>NC_000001.11:2746290-5246290 GCF_000001405.40 Homo sapiens
AGCCTGTACAGTACCCACACCCACAGGCGAGCACCTGAACCCACGGAGCAGCACCCACACCTTCCGGCGAGCATCCGACAGCCTGGAGCAGCACCCACACCCCCAGGTGCGCATCTGATGGTCTGGAGCAGCACCCACAACCACAGGTGAGCCTCTGACAGCCTGGAACAGCACCCTGCACCCCCAGGAGAGCATCTGACAGCCTGGAACAGCGGGCACACCCCCAGGTGAGGATCTGACCGCCTGGAACAGCACCCACATCCCCAGGCGAGCATCTGACAGCATGTAACAGCACCCATACCCCCAGGTGAGCATCTGACAGCCTGGAACAGCACCCTGCACCCCCAGGTGCGCACGTGACAGCGTGGAACAGCACCCACACACCCAGGTGAGCATCTGACAGCCTGGAGCAGCACCCACATCCCCAGGTGAGCATCTGACAGCCTGGAACAGCACCCTGCACCCCCAGGTGAGCATCGGACACCCTGGAACAGCACACACACCCCCAGGCGAGCATCTGACACCCTGGAACTGCACACACACCCCCAGGCGAGCATCTGACAACCTGGAACAGCACCCATACGCCCAGATGAGCATCTGACAGCGTGGAACAGCACCCTGCACCCCCAGGAGAGCATCTGACAGCCTGGAACAGCACCCATACGCCCAGATGAGCATCTGACAGCCTGGAACAGCTCCCTGCACCCTCAGGTGCGCACATGACAGCCTGGAACAGCACCCACACACCCAGGCGAGCATCTGACGGCCTGGAAACGCACCCACAGACCGAGGTGAGCATCCGACATCCTGAAACAGCTCCCACACCCCCAGGTGAGCATCCCACATCCTGAAACAGCTCCCACACCCCCTGGTGAGCATCCGACAGCCTGGAGCAGCACCCATACCCCCAGGTGAGCATCTGACCGCATGGAATGGCATCCTCACCTCCAGGTGAGCATCGGAGAGTCTGGAGCAGCGCCCACACCCCCAGGCGAGCATCTGACAGCCTGGAGCAGTGCCCAGAGCCCCAGGTGAGCATCTGACAGCATGGTTCAGAACCCATAGCCCAAGGTGAGCATCTGACAACCTGGAGCAGCACCCATACCCCCAGGCGAGCATCTGAACTCACGGAGCAGCACCCACACCCCAAGGCGAGCATCCGACAGCCTGGAGCAGCAGCCACACCCCCAGGTGCGCATGTGATGGTCTGGAGCAGCACCCACACCCACAGGTGAGCATCTGACAGCCTGGAACAGAAACCCCACCCTCAGGTGAGCATCTGACAGACTGGAACAGCACCCACATGCCCAGGTGAGCCTCTGACAGCCTGGAACAGCACCCTGCACCCCCAGGTGAGCATCTGACAGCCTGGAACAGCACGCAAACCCCCAGGTGAGCATCTGACAGCTTGGAACAGCACCCCGCACCCCCAGGCGAGCATCTGACAGCATGTAACAGCACCCACACCCCCAGGTGAGCATCTGACAGCCTGGAACAGCAGCCTGCACCCCCAGGTGCGCATGTGATAGCCTGGAACAGCACCCACACCGCCAGGCGAGCATCTGACGGCCTGGAACAGCACCCACACCCCCAGGTGAGTATCTGACTGCCTGGAACAGCACCCACACCCCAAGGTGAGCATCTGACATCGTGGAGCAGCACCCCACACCCATAGGTGAGCATCTGACAGCCTGGAGCAGCACCCACACCCCAGGTGAGGATCTGACAGCCTGGAACAGCACCCTGCACACCCAGGTGAGCATCCGACAGCCTGGAGCAGCACCCACACCTCCAGGTGAGCATTTGACCTCCCAGAGCAGCACCCATACCCCCAGGCGAGCATCTGAACTCATGGAGCAGCACCCACACCCCCAGGCGAGCATCTGAACCAACGGAGCAGAACCCAGAACCCCAGGCGAGCATCTGACAGCCTGGAACAGCACCCACAACCACAGGTGAGCATCTGAAAGCCCGCAGCATCACCCGCACGCACAGATGAGAATCTGACAGCCCGGAGCAGCACCCACACCCCCAGGGGAGCATCTGACCGCATGGAGCAGCACCCACACCCCCAGGGGAGCATCTGACATCCTGGAGCAACACTGACAACCCCAGGTGAGCATCTGAGAGGCTGGAACAGCACCCACACCCCCAGGTGAGAATCTGACAGCCTGGAAGAGCACCCCACATCCCCGGGTGAGCATCCGATAGCCTGGAGCAGCACCCACACCCTCAGGTGAGCATCTGACAGCCTGGAACAGCAACCACACCACCATGCGAGCATCTGACAGCCTGGAGCAGCACCCACACCCCCAGGTGAGCATCTGACAGCCTGGAACAGAACCCACACCTCCAGGTGAGCATCTGACAGCCTGGAGCAGCACCCACACCCCCAGGTGAGCATCTGACAGCCTGGAACAGAACCCACACCTCCAGGTGAGCATCTGACAGACTGGAACAGCACCCACACCCCTAGGAGAGCATCCGGCAGCCTGGAGCGGAACCCACACCCACAGGCGAGCATCTGACAGCCTCGGTCGGCACCCACAAACCCAGGTGAGCATCTGATGCTTTGGAGCAGCACCCACACCTTCAGGTGAGCATCTGACAGCCTGGAACAGAACCCACACCGCCAGGGGAGTATCTGACAGACTGGAACAGCACCCTGCTTCCCCAGGTGAGCATCTGACGGCCTGGAACAGCACCCACACGCCCAGGTGAGCATCTGACAGCCTGGAACAGCACCCACACCCCCAGGTGAGAATCCGACAGCCTGGAGCAGCACCCACAACCCCAGGCGAGCATCCGACAGCCTGGAGCAGCACCCACACCCCCAGGTGAGCATCTGACAGCCTGGAACAGCAAACTGCACACCCAGGTGAGCATGCGACAGCCTGGAGCAGCACCCACACCTGCAGGCGAGCATCTGACAACCTGGAGCAGCACCCACACCCCCATGTGAGCATCTGATGGTCTGGAGCAGCACCCAAAACCACAGGTGAGCATCGGAGAGTCTGGAACAGAACCCACACCCACAGGTGAGCATCTGACAGACTGGAACAGCACCCACATGCCCAGGTGAGACCCTGACAGCCTGGAACAGCACCCTGCACCCCCAGGTGCGCACGTGACAGCCTGGAACAGCACCGACACCCCCAGGTGAGCATCTGACGGCCTGGAACAGCACCCACATCCCCAGGTGAGCATTGGACAGCCTGGAGCAGCACCCAGATTCCCAGGCAAGCATCTGAACGCAAATAGCAGCACCCACACCCCCAGGCGAGCATCCGACAGCCTGGAGCAGCACCCACACCCCCAGGTGTGCATGTGATGGTCTGGAGCAGCCCCCACACCCAGAGGTGAGCATCCGACAGCCTGGAGCAGCAACCTGCACACCCAGGTGAGCATCTGACAGTCTGGAACAGCACGCACAACCCCAGGTGAGCATCTGACAGACTGGAACAGCTCCCACACCCCCAGGCGAGCATCTGACAGCATGTATCAGCACCCACACCCCCAGGTGAGCATCTGACAGCCTGGAACAGCACCCACACCCCCAGGTGAACATCCGACAGCCTGGAGCAGAACCCACACCCCCAGGCGAGCATCTGACAGCCTGGGTCGGCACCCACAACCCCAGGCGAGCATCTGACGGCCTGGAACAGCACACACACCGCCAGGTGAGCATTGGACACCCTGGAGCAGCACCCACATCCCCAGGCGAGCATCCGACAGCCTGGAGCAGCACCCACACCCTCAGGTGAGCATCTGACAGCCTGGAGCAGCAGGCACACCCCCAGTGAGCATCTGACAGCCTGGAACAGCACCCACACACCCAGGTGAGCATCCGACAGCGTGGAGCAGAACAAACACCCCCAGGCGAGCATCTGACAGCCTGGGTCGGCACCCACACCCCCAGGTGCGCATCTGATGGTCTGGAGCAGCACCCACACCCACAGGTGGGCATCTGACAGCCTGGAAAAGAGCCCAGACCCCCAGGTGAGCATCTGACAGACTGGAACTGCACCCCCATGCCCAGGTGAGCCTCTGACAGCCTTGAACAGCACCCTGCACCCCGAGGTGAGCATCTGACAGCCTGGAACAGCACGCACACCCCCAGGTGCGCACGTGACAGCCTGTAACAGCACCCACACACCCAGGCGAGTATCTGACGGCCTGGAACAGCACCCACACCCCCAGTTGAGCATTGGACAGCCTGGATCAGCACCCACATCCCCAAGCGAGCATCCGACAGCCTGGGGCAGCACCCACACCCCCAGGTGAGCATCTGACATCGTGGAGCAGCACCCCACACCCACAGGTGAGCATCTGACAGCCTGGAGCAGCACCCACACCCCCAGGTGAGCATCTGACAGCCTGGAACAGCACCCTGCACCCCCAAGTGAGCATCCGACAGCCTGGAGCAGCACCCACACCCCCAGGTGAGCATCTGATGGTCTGGAGCAGCACGCATAAACACAGGTGAACATCGGAGAGTCTGGAGCAGCGCCCACACCCCCAGGCGAGCATCTGACAGCCTGGAGCAGTACCCACACACCCAGGTGAGCATCTGACAGCGTGGAGCAGCACCCAAACCCCCAGGCGAGCATCTGAACGCACGGAGCAGCACCCACACCTTCAGGCGAGCATCGGACAGCCTGGAGCAGCACCCACACCCCCAGGTGCGCATGTGATGGTCTGGAGCAGCACCCACACCGACAGGTGAGCATCTGACAGCCTGGAACAGAACCCACACCCCCAGGTGAGCATCTGACAGACTGGAACACCTCCCACATGCCCAGCTGAGCCTCTGACAGCCTGGAACAGCACCCTGTACCCCCAGGGGAGCATCTGACACCCTGGAGCAGCACGCACATCCCCAGGCGAGCATCCGACAGCCTGGAGCAGCACCCACACCCTCAGGTGAGCATCTGACAGCCTGGAGCAGCAGGCACACCCCCAGTGAGCATCCGACAGCCTGGAACAGCACCCACACACCCAGGTGAGCATCCGACACCGTGGAGCAGAACAAACACCCCCAGGCGAGCATCTGACAGCCTGGGTCGGCACCCACACCCCCAGGTGCGCATCTGATGGTCTGGAGCAGCACCCACACACACAGGTGGGCATCTGACAGCCTGGAACAGAGCCCAGACCCCCAGGTGAGCATCTGACAGACTGGAACTGCACCCCCATGCCCAGGTGAGCCTCTGACAGCCTTGAACAGCACCCTGCACCCCCAGGTGAGCATCTGACAGCCTGCAACAGCACGCACACCCCCAGGTGCGCACGTGACAGCCTGCAACAGCACCCACACCCCCAGGCGAGCATCTGACGGCCTGGAACAGCACCCACACCCCCAGTTGAGCATTGGACAGCCTGGATCAGCACCCACAACCCCAAGCGAGCATCCGACAGCCTGGAGCAGCACCCACACCCCCAGGTGAGCATCTGACATCGTAGAGCAGCACCCCACACCCACAGGTGAGCATCTGACAGCCTGGAGCAGCAGCCACATCCCCAGGTGAGAATCTGACAGCCTGGAACAGCACCCTGCACCCCCAAGTGAGCATCCGACAGCCTGGAGCAGCACCCACACCCCCAGGTGAGCATCTGATGGTCTGGAGCAGCACGCATAACCACAGGTGAACATCGGAGAGTCTGGAGCAGCGCCCACACCCCCAGGCGAGCATTTGACAGCCTGGAGCAGTGCCCACACACCCAGCTGAGCATCTGACAGCGTGGAGCAGCACCGACACCCCCAGGCGAACATCTGAACGCACGGAGCAGCACCCACACCTTCAGGCGAGCATCGGACAGCCTGGAGCAACACCCACGCCCCCAGGTGCGCATGTGATGGTCTGGAGCAGCACCCACACCAACAGGTGAGCATCTGACAGCCTGGAACAGAACCCACACCCCCAGGTGAGCATCTGACAGACTGGAACAGCTCCCAAATGCCCAGCTGAGCCTCTGACAGCCTGGAACAGCACCTTGCACCCCCAGGGGAGCATCTGACAGCCTGGAACAGCACGCACACCCCCAGGTGAGCATCTGACCGCCTGGAACAGCACCCACACCCCCAGGCGAGCATCTGAGAGCATGTAACAGCACCCACACACCCAGGTGAGCATCTGACAGCCTGGAACAGCACCCTGCACCCCCAGGTGCGCACGTGACAGCCTGGAACAGCACCCACACAGCCAGGTGAGCATCTGACAGCCTGGAGCAGCACCCACATCCCCAGGTGAGCATCTGACAGCCTGGAACAGCACCTTGCACCCCCAGGTGAGAATCTGACAACCTGGAACAGGACAAACACCCCCAGGCGAGCATCTGACACCCTGGAACTGCACACACACCCCCAGGCGAGCATCTGACAACCTGCAACAGCACCCATACGCCCAGATGAGCATCTGACAGCATGGAACAGCACCCTGCACCCCCAGGACAGCATCTGACAGCGTGGAACAGCACCCATACGCCCAGATAAGCATGTGACAGCCTGGAACAGCTCCCTGCATCCCCAGGTGCGCACCTGACAGACTGGAACAGCACCCACACACCCAGGCGAGCATCTGATGGCCTGGAACGGCACCCACACCCCCAGGTGAGCATCCGACATCCTGAAACAGCTCCCACAACCCCAGGTGAGCATCCGATAGCCTGGAGCAACACCCATACCCCCAGGTGAGCATCTGACCGCATGGAATGGCATCCTCACCTCCAGGTGAGCATCCGACAGCCTGGAGCAGCACCCACACCCCCAGGTGAGCATCTGACAGCCTGGAACGGCAACCACACCCCCAGGCGAGCATCCGACAGCCTGGAACAGCACCAAAAACCCCAGGTGAGCATCTGACGGCCTGGAACAGCACCCACACCCCCAGGTGAGCATCTGACATCGTGCAGCAGCACCCCACACCCACAGGTGAGCATCTGACAGCCTGGAGCAGCACCCACACCCCAGGTGAGCATCTGACAGCCTGGAACAGCACCCTGCACACCCAGGTGAGCATCCGACAGCCTGGAGCATCACCCACACCCCCAGACGAGCATCTGACAGCCTAGAACAGCACCCACACCCCCAGGCGAGCATCTGACAGCATGTAACAGCACCCACACCCACAGGTGAGCATCTGACAGCCTGGAACAGCAGCCTGCACCCCCAGGTGTGCACGTGACAGCTTGGATCAGCACCCACACCCCCAGGCGAGCATCGGACGGCCTGCAACAGCACCCACACCCCCATGTGAGCATCTGACTGCCTGGAACAGCACCCACACCCCCAGGTGAGCATCTGACATCGTGGAGCAGCACCCCACACCCACAGGTGAGCTTCTGACAGCCTGGAGCAGCACCCACACCCCAGGTGAGCATCTGAGAGCCTGGAACAGCACCCTGCACCCCCAGGTGAGCATCCCACAGCCTGGAGCAGCACACACACCCACAAGCGAGCATCTGACAGCCTGGAACGGCACCCACACCCCTAGGTGAGCATCTGATGGTCTGGAGCATCACCCACAACCACAGGTGAGCATCGGAGAGTCTGGAGCAGCGCCCACACTGCAGGGCGAGCATCTGACAGCCTGGAGCAGTGCCCACACCCCCAGGTGAGCATCTGACACCATGGAGCAGCACCCACAGACCAAGGTGAGCATCTGACAACCTGGAGCAGCACCCACACTCCCAGGCGAGTATCTGTACGCACAGAGCAGCACCCACACCCCCAGGCGAGCATCCGACAGCCTGGAGCAGCACCCACACCCTCAGGTGAGCATCTGACAGCCTGGAGCAGAACCCACACCCCCAGGCGAGCATCTGACAGCCTGGGTCCGCACCCACACCCCCAGGTGCGCATCTGATGGTCTGGAGCAGAACCCACACCCACAGGTGAGCATCTGACAGCCTGGAACAGAACCCACACCCCCAGGTGAGCATCTGACAGACTGCAACTGCACCCCCATGCCCAGGTGAGCCTCTGACAGCCTGGAACAGCACGCACACCCCCAGGTGAGCATGTGACAGCCGGGAACAGCACCCACACCCACAGGCGAGCATCTGACTGCATGTATCAGCACCCACACCCCCAGGTGAGCATCTGACAGCCTGGAACAGCACCCTGCACCCCCAAGTGAGCATCCGACAGCCTGGAGAAGCACCCACACCCCCAGGCGAGCATCTGACAGCCTGGAACGGCACCCACACCCCCAGGTGAGCATCTGATGGTCTGGAGCAGCACGCATAACCACAGGTGAACATCGGAGAGTCTGGAGCAGCGCCCACACCCCCAGGCGAGCATCTGACAGCCTGGAGCAGTGCCCACACCCCCAGGTGAGCATCTGACAGCGTGGAGGAGCACCCACACCCCCAGGCGAGCATCTGAACGCAAGGAGCAGCACCCACACCTCCAGGCGAGCATCCGACAGCCTGGAGCAGCACCCACACCCCCAGGTGCGCATGTGATGGTCTGGAGCAGCACCCACACCCACAGGTGAGCATCTGACAGCCTGGAACAGAAACCACACCCCCAGGTGAGCATCTGACAGACTGGAACAGCACCCACATGCCCAGCTGAGCCTGTGACAGCCTCGAACAGCACCCTGCACCCCCAGGGGAGCATCTGACAGCCTGGAACAGCACGCACACACCCAGGTGAGCATCTGACCGCCTGGAACAGCACCCACACCCCCAGGCGAGCATCTCACAGCACGTAACAGCACCCACACACCCAAGTGAGCATCTGACAGCCTGGAACAGCACCCTGCACCCCCAGGTGCGCACGTGACAGCCTGGAACAGCACACACACCCCCAGGCGAGCATCTGACGGCCTGGAACGGCACCCACACCCCCAGGTGAGCATGTGACAGCCTGGATCAGCACCCACACCCCCAGGCGAGCATCTGACAGCCTGGAGCAGCACCTCACACCCCCAGGTGAGCATCGGACAGCCTGGAGCAGCACCCACACCCCCTGATGAGCATCTGACAGCCTGGAACAGCACCCACACTCCCAGACGAGCATCGGACAGCCTGGAGCAGCACCCACACTGCCAGGCGAGCATCCGCCAGCCTGGAAAAGCACCCACACCCCCAGGTGAGCATTCGACAGCCTGGAGCAGCACCCACAACCCCAGGCGTGCATCCGACAGCCTGGAGCAGGACCCACACCCCCAGGTGAACATCCGACATCGTGGAGTAGCACCCCACACCCACAGGTGAGCATCTGACAGCCTGGAACAGTACCCACACCCACAGGCGAGCATCTGAAACCACGGAGCAGCACCCACACCTCCCGGCGAGCATCCGACAGCCTGGAGCAGCACCCACACACCCAGGTGCGCATCTGATGGTCTGGAGCAGCACCCACAACCACAGGTGAGCATCTGACATCGTGGAGCAGCACCCCAAACCCACAGGTGAGCATCCGACAGCCTGGAGCAGCACCCACACACCCAGGCGAGCATCTGACAGCCTGGAACGGCACCCACACCCCCAGGTGAGCATCTGATGGTCTGGAGCAGCACCCACAACCACAGGTGAGCATCCGACAGCCTGGAACATCACCCACACACTCACGCGAGCACCTGACATCCTTGAGCAGCACCCACACCCCCAGGTGAGCATCTGACAGCCTGGAGCAGCACCCTGCACCCCCAGGTGAGGATCTGACAGCCTGGAACAGCACCCTGCAACCCAGGTGAGCATCTGACACCCTGAAACAGCACACACACCCCCAGGCGAGCATCTGACAACCTGGAACAGCACCCATACGCCAAGATGAGCATCTGACAGCGTGGAACAGCACCCTGCACCCCCAGGAGAGCATCTGACAGCATGGAACAGCACCCATACGCCCAGATGAGCATCTGACAGCCTGGAATAGGTCCCTGCACCCCCAGGTGCGCACCTGACAGCCTGCAACAGCACCCACACACCCAGGCGAGCATCTGATGGCCTGGAACTGCACCCAGACGCCCAGGTGAGCATCCGACATCCTGAAACAGCTCCCACACCCCCAGGTGAGCATCCGACAGCCTGGAGCAGCACCCATACCCCCAGGTGAGCATCTGATCGCATGGAATGGCATCCTCACCTCCAGGTGAGCATCCGACAGCCTGGAGTAGCACCCACACCCCCAGGTGAGCATCTGACAGCCTGGAAGAGCAACCACACCCCCAGGCGAGTATCTGACAGCCTGGAACAGCATCCTGCACCCCAGGGTGAGGATCAGACAGCCTGGAGCAGCACCCACACTCCAGGTGAGCATCTGACAGCCTGAAGCAGCACCCACACCAACAGGTGAGCATCTGACAGCCTGGAACAGCACCCACACCCCCAGGTGAGCATCTGACAGCCTGGAACAGCACCCACACCCCCAGGTGAGCAGCTGAAATCCTGGAACAGCACCCACACCCCTAGGTGAGCATCTGACAGGCTGGAGCAGCACGCACACCCCCAGTTGAGCATCTGACAGCCTGGAACAGCATCCACACCCCCAGGTGAACATCCGACAGCCTGGAGCAGAACCCACACCCCGAGGCGAGCATCTGACAGCCTGGGTCGGCACCCACACCTCCAGGTGAGCATCTGATGGTCTGGAGCAGTACCCACACCCACAGTTGAGCATCTGACAGCCTGGAACAGAACCCACACCCCCAGGTGAGCATCTGACAGACTGGAACAGCACCCACACGCCCAGGTGAGCCTCTGACAGCCTGGAACAGCACGCGCACCCCCAGGTGAGCATCTGACAGCCTGGAACAGGACCCACACCCCCAGGCGAGCATCTGACTGCATGTAACAGCACCCACACCCCCAGGTAAGCATCTGACAGCCTGGAACAGCACCCTGCACCCCCAGGTGTGCACGTGACAGCCTGGAACAACACCCACACCCCCAGGAGAGCATCTGACTGCATGTAACAGCACCCACACCCCCAGGTAAGCATCTGACAGCCTGGAACAGCACCCTGCACCCCCAGGTGTGCAAGTGACAGCCTGGAACAGCACCCACACCCCCAGGCGAGGATCGGACAGCCTGGAGCAGCACCCTACACCCCCAGGGGAGCATCCGACAGCCTGGAGCAGCACCCACACCCCCAGGTGAGCATGTGACAGCCTGGATCTGCACCCACACTCCCAGGCGAGCATCTGACAGCCTGGAGCAGCACCCCACACCCCCAGGTGAGCATCGGACAGCCTGGATCAGCACCCACACCCCCAGGTGAGCATCTGACAGCCTGGAACAGCACCCACACTCCCAGACGAGCATAGGACAGCCTGGAGCAGCACCCACATCGCCAGGCGAGCATCCGCCAGCCTGGAACAGCACCCACACCCCCAGGTGAGCATCCGACAGCCTGGAGCAGGACCCACACCCCTAGGTGAACATCCGACATCGTGGAGCAGCACCCCACACCCACAGGTGAGCATCTGACAGCCTGTAACAGTACCCACACCCACAGGCGAGCATCTGAACCCACGGAGCAGCACCCACACCTTCCGGCGAGCATCCGACAGCCTGGAGCAGCACCCACACCCCCAGGTGCGCATCTGATGGTCTGGAGCAGCACCCACAACCACAGGTGAGCCTCTGACAGCCTGGAACAGCACCCTGCACCCCCAGGAGAGCATCTGACAGCCTGGAACAGCGCGCACACCCCCAGGTGAGGATCTGACCGCCTGGAACAGCACCCACACCCCCAGGCGAGCATCTGACAGCATGTAACAGCACCCACACCCCCAGGTGAGCATCTGACAGCCTGGAACAGCACCCTGCACCCCCAGGTGCGCACGTGACAGCGTGGAACAGCACCCACACACCCAGGTGAGCATCTGACATCCTGGAGCAGCACCCACATCCCCAGGTGAGCATCTGACAGCCTGGAACAGCACCCTGCACCCCCAGGTGAGCAACTGACACCCTGGAACAGCACACACACCCCCAGGCGAGCATCTGACACCCTGGAACAGCACACACACCCCCAGGCGAGCATCTGACAACCTGGAACAGCACCCATACGCCCAGATGAGCATCTGACAGCGTGGAACAGCACCCTGCACCCCAAGGAGAGCATCTGACAGCCTGGAACAGCACCCATACGCCCAGATGAGCATCTGACAGCCTGGAACAGCTCCCTGCACCCCCAGGTGCGCACATGACAGCCTGGAAGAGCACCCACACACCCAGGCGAGCATCTGATGGCCTGGAACCGCACCCACACCCCCAGGTGAGCATCCGACATCCTGAAACAGCTCCCACAACCCCAGGTGAGCATCCGACAGCCTGGAGCAGCACCCATACCCCCAGGTGAGCATCTGACCGCATGGAATGGCATCCTCACCTCCAGGTGAGCATCCGACAGCCTGGAGCAGCACCCACACCCCCAGGTGAGCATCTGACAGCCTGGAAGAGCAACCACACCCCCAGGCGAGCATCTGACAGCCTGGAACAGCACCCTGCACCCCCGGGTGAGGATCAGACAGCCTGGAGCAGCACCCACACTCCAGGTGAGCATCTGACAGCCTGAAGCAGCACCCACACCAACAGGTGAGCATCTGACAACCTGGAACAGCACCCACACCCCCAGGTGAGCAGCTGACCGCCTGGAACATCACCCACACCCCCAGGTGAGCATCTTATATCCTGGAACAGCACCCACACCTCCAGGTTAGCCTCTGACGGGCTGGAGCAGCACGCACACCGCCAGTTGAGCATCTGACAGCCTGGAACAGCACCCACACCCCCAGGTGAACATCCGACAGCCTGGAGCAGAACCCACACCCCCAGGTGAGCATCTGACAGACTGGAACAGCACCCACACGCTCAGGTGAGCCTCTGACAGCCTAGAACAGCACCCACACCCCCAGGCGAGCATCTGACAGCATGTAACAGCACCCACACCCCCAGGTAAGCATCTGACAGCCTGAAACAGCACCCTGCACCCCCGGTGCGCACGTGACAGCCTGGAACAGCACCCACACCCCCAGGCGAGCATCTGACGTCCTGGAACAGCACCCACACCCACAGGCGAGCATCGGACAGCCTGGAGCAGCACCCCACACACCCAGGTGAGTATCCGACAGCCTGGAGCAGCACCCACACCCCCAGGTGGGCATGTGACAGCCTGGATCAGCACCCACACTCCCAGGCGAGCATCTGACAGCCTGGAGCAGCACCCCACACCCCCAGGTGAGCATCGGGCAGCCTGGAGCAGCACCCACACCCCCAGATGAGCATCTGACAGCCTGGAACAGCACCCACACTCCCAGACGAGCATCGGACAGCCTGGAACAGCACCCACACCGCCAGGCGAGCATCCGCCAGCCTGGAACAGCACCCACACCCCCAGGTGAGCATTCGACAGCCTGGAGCAGCACCAACAACCCCAGGCTTGCATCCGACAGCCTGGAGCAGGACCCACACCCCGAGGTGAACATCCGACATCGTGGAGCAGCACCCCACACCCACAGGTGAGCATCTCACAGCCTGCAACAGTACCCACACTCCCAGGCGAGCATCTGACATCCTGGAGCAGCACCCACACCCCCAGGTGAGCATCTGACAGCCTGGAGTAGTATCCTGCACCCTCAGGTGAGCATCTGACAGCCTGGAACATCACCCTGCACCCCCAGGTGAGCATCTGACAGCCTGGAAAGGCACCCACACCACCAGGTGAGCATCTGATGGTCTGGAGAAGCACCCACAACCACAGGTGAGCATCGGAGAGTCCGGAGCAGCGCCCACACACCCAAGTGAGCATCTGACAGCCTGGAGCAGTGCCCACACCCCCAGGTTAGCATCTGATAGTGTGGAGCAGCACCCACAGCCCAAGGTGAGCATCTGACAACCTGGAGCAGCACCCACACCCCCAGGTGAGCATCTGACCGCCCGGAGCAGCACCCATACCCCAAGGCGAGCATCTGAAGTCATGGAGCAGCACCCACAACCCCAGGCGAGCATCTGACCGCATGGAGCAGCAGCCACAACTCCAGGCGAGCATCTGACAGCCTGGAACAGCACCGCACACCCGCAGGTGAGCATCTGACAGCCTGGAACAGCACCCCACACCCCAAGGTGAGTATCTGACAGCCTGGAACATCACCCCGCACCCACAGGCGAGCATCTGACAGCCTGGAGCAGCATCCACACACCCAGGCGAGAATCTGACAGCCTGGAACACCACCCACATCCGCAGGTGAGCATCTGACAGCCTGGAGCAGCACCCACACCCCCAGGTGAGCATCTGACAGCCTGGAGCAGCACCCACACACCCAGGTCAGCATCTGACAGCCTGGTGAAGCGCCCAAACCCCAAGGTGAGCATCTGACAGCCTGGAGCAGCGCCCACACCTCCAGGTGAGCATCTGACAGCCTGGAGCAGCACCCACACCCCCATTTGAGCATCCGACAGCCTGGAGCAGCACCCACACCCCAGGTGAGCATCGGACATCCTCGAGCATCACATACTCCCCCAGGTGAGCATCCGACAGCCTGGAGCAGCGCCCACACCCCTAGATGAGCATCTGACAGCCTGGAGCAGCACCCATACCCGCAGTTGAGCATCTGACAGCCTGGAGCAGCTCCCACACACCCAGGTAAGCATCTGACAGCCTGGAGAAATGCTCACACCCCAAGGTGAGCATCTGACAGCCTGGAGCAGCGTCCACACCCCCAGGTGAGCATCTGATAGCCTGGAGCAGCGCTCACACCCAGAGGTGAGCATATGACCACCTGGAGCAGCACCCACAGTCCCAGGTGAGCATCCGAGAGCGTGGAGCAGCATCCTCACCCCAGGTGAGCATCGGACATCCTGGAGCATCACATACTCCCCCAGGTGAGCATCCGACAGCCTGGAGCAGCGCCGACCCCCCCAGGGTGAGCATCTGACAGCCTGGAGCAGCACCCACACGCCCAGGCGAGGATGCGATAGCCTGGAGCAGCACCCACACCCCCAGGTGAGCATCCGACAGTCTGGGGCAGCACCCACTCCCGCAGGTGAGCATCCGACAGCCTGGAGCAGCACCCACAACCCCAGGTGAGTATCTGACAGCCTGGAGCAGCACCCACACCCCTAGGCGAGCATCCGACAGCCTGGAGCAGCACCTACACCCCCAGGTGAGCATCCGACAGCCTGGAACAGAATTCTCAAACCCCAGGTGAGGATCTGACAACCTGGAACAGAACCCCACTCTTCCAGGTGAGAATCTGACAACATTAAAACAGCACCCTGCACCCCCAGGTGAGCATCTGACAGCCTGAAACA
Source organism: Homo sapiens (assembly GCF_000001405.40). NCBI lineage: Eukaryota > Metazoa > Chordata > Mammalia > Primates > Hominidae > Homo > Homo sapiens. Next base: position 2,761,558 of record NC_000001.11, read on the forward strand.
GCACCCTTCACCTTCAGGTGAGAATATGACAGCCTGAAACAGCACCCCACAACCCAGGCAAAAATCTGACAGCATGGAACAAGACCACTGCTCCCAGGTGAGCATTTGACAACCTGGGAAAGCACCCTCCACCCACACGTGAGCATCTGACAGCCTGGAAACACCCCACTGCTTCCAGATGAACATCTGATAGCCTGGAACAGAACCCCAGGCCTCCAAGTAAGCATCTGAAAGCACGGAACAGCACTCTCGACCCCAGGGGAGCGTCTGACAACCTAGAACAGCACCTTCACCCCGAGGTGGGCATCTGGCAGCATAAAACAGCACCCCTACTGGCAGATGAGCATATGACAGCCTGGAACAGCACCCACACCCCCAGGCGAGCATCTGACAGCCTGGAGCAGCACACACAACCTTAGGCGAGCATCTGACAGCCTGGAGCAGCGCCCACACCCCCAGGTGAGCATGTGACAGCCTGGAGCAGCGCCCACACCCCCGGGCGAGCATCTGACAGCCTGGAGCAGCACACACAACCCCAGGCGAGCATCTGACAGCCTGGAGCAGCACACACAACCCCAGGCGAGCATCTGACAGCCTGGAGCAGCGCCCACACCCCCAGGTGAGCATGTGACAGCCTGGAGCAGCGCCCACACCCCCGGGCGAGCATCTGACAGCCTGGAGCAGCACCCACACCCCCAGGTGAGCATCTGACAGCCTGGGGCGGCGCCCACAGCCCCAGGTGAGCATCTGACAGCCCGGAGCAGCGTCCACACCCCCAGGTGAGCATCTGGCAGCCTGGAGCAGCACCCACACCCCCAGGTGAGCATCTGACTGCCTGGAGCAGCACCCACACCCCCAGGTGAGCATCTGACAGCCTGGAGCAGCGCCCACACACCGAGGTGAGCATCTGACAGCCTGGAGCAGCGCCCACACCCCCAGGTGAGCATCTGACAGCGTGGAGCAGCGCCCACACCCCCAGGTGGGCATCTGACAGCCTGGAGCAGGCGCCCACAATCCCAGGTTAGCATCTGACAGCCTGGAGCAGCACCCACACCCCCAGTTGAGTAGCTGACATCCTGGAGCTGCACCCATACCCCCAGGTGAGATCTGACAGCCTGGGGCAGCACCCACACCCCCAGGTGAGCATCTGGCAACCTGGAACAGCATCTACAGCCCCAGGTGACCATCTGACAGCCTGAAGCAGCACCCACACCCCCAGGTGAGCATGTGACCACATGGAATGTCATCCTCACCTCCAGGTGAGCATCGGACAGCCTGGAACAGAATTCTCAAGCCCCAGGTGAGGATCTGACAACCTGGAACAGAACCCCACTCTTCCAGGTGAGAATCTGACAGCATAAAACAGCACCCTGCACCCCCAGGTGAGCATCTGACAGCCTGAAACAGCACCCTCCACCTTCAGGTGAGAATATGACAGCCTGAAACAGCACCCCGCACCCAGGCAAAAATCTGACAGCATGGAACAAGACTACTGCCCCCAGGTGAGCATTTGACAGCCTGGGAAAGCACCCTCTACCCACACGTGAGCATCTGACAGCCTGGAAACACCCCCACTGCTTCCAGGTGAACATCTGATAGCCTGGAACAGAACCCCAGGCCTCCCAGTAAGCATCTGAAAGCAAGGAACAGCACTCTCACCCCCAGGGGAGCATCTGACAACCTAGAACAGCACCCTCACCCCGAGGTGGGCATCTGGCAGCATAAAACAGCACCCCTACTGGCAGATGAGCATATGACAGCCTGGAACAGCACCCACACCCGCTGGCGAGAATCTGACAGCCTGGAGCAACACCCACACCCCCAGGTGAGCATCTGACAGCCTGGAGCAGCGCCCACACCCCCAGGTGAGCATCTTACAGCCTGGAGCAGCGCCCACACCCCCAGGTGAGCATCTGACAGCCTGGAGCAGCACCCACACTCCCAGGTGAGTATCTGACAGCCTGGAGTAGCACCCACACCCCCAGGTGAGCATCTGACAGCCTGGAACAGCATCCACTCCCCCAGGTGAGCATCTGACCACATTGAATGGCATCCTCACCTCCAGGTGAGCATCTGACAGCCTGGAACCGCACCCACACCCCCAGGCGAGCATCTGACAGCCTGGAGCAGCACCCACACCCCCAGGTGAGCATCTGACAGCCTGGAGCAGCACCCACACCCCCAGGGGAGCATCTGACCGCATGGAATGTCATCCTCACTTCCAGGTGAGCATCCGACAGCCTGGAGCAGCACCCACACCCCCAGGTGAGCATCTGACCGCATGGAATGGCATCCTCACCTCCAGGTGAGCATCCGACAGCCTGGAACATAATTCTCCAACCCCAGGTGAGGATCTGACAACCTGGAACAGAACCCCACTCTTCCAGGTGAGAATCTGACACCATAAAACAGCACCCTGCACCCCCAGGTGAGCATCTGACAGCCTGGAACAGCATCCACACCCCCAGGTGAGCATCTGACCGCATGGAATGGCATCCTCACCTCCAGGTGAGCATCCGACAGCCTGGAACAGAATTCTCCAACCACAGGTGAGGATCTGACAGCCTGGAACAGAACCCCACTCTTCCAGGTGAGAATCTGACGCATAAAACAGCACCCTGCAACCCCAGGTGAGCATCTGACAGTCTGGAACAGCATCCACACACCCAGGCGAGCATCTGACAGCCTGGAGCAGCACGCACACCCCCAGGCGAGCATCTGACAGCCTGGAGCAGCACACACAACCCCAGGCGAGCATCTGACAGCCTGGAGCAGCGCCCACACCCCCAAGTGAGCAGGTGACAGCCTGGAGCAGTGCCCACACCCCCGGGCGAGCATCTGACAGCCTGGAGCAGCACCCACACCCCCAGGTGAGCATCTGACAGCCTGGGGCAGTGCCCACAGCCCCAGGTGAGCATCTGACAGCCTGGAGCAGCGTCCACACCCCCAGGTGAGCATCTGGCAGCCTGGAGCAGCACCCACACCCCCAGGTGAGCATCTGACAGCCTGGAGCAGCGCCCACACACTGAGGTGAGCATCTGACAGCCTGGGGCAGCACCCACACCCCCAGGTGAGCATCTGGCAACCTGGAACAGCATCTACAGCCCCAGGTGACCATCTGACAGCCTGAAGCAGCACCCACACCCCCAGGTGAGCATGTGACCACATGGAATGTCATCCTCACCTCCAGGTGAGCATCCGACAGCCTGGAACAGAATTCTCAAACCCCAGGTGAGGATCTGACAACCTGGAACAGAACCCCACTCTTCCAAGTGAGAATCTGACAGCATAAAACAGCACCCTGCACCCCCAGGTGAGCATCTGACAGCCTGAAACAGCACCCTCCACCTTCAGGTGAGAATATGACAGCCTGAAACAGCACCCCACACCCCAGGCAAAAATCTGACAGCATGGAACAAGACCACTGCTCCCAGGTGAGCATTTGACAACTTGGGAAAGCACCCTCCACCCACACGTGAGCATCTGACAGCCTGGAAACACCCCCACTGCTTCCAGGTGAACATCTGATAGCCTGGAACAGAACCCCAGGCCTCCAAGTAAGCATCTGAAAGCACGGAACAGCACTCTCACCCCCAGGGGAGCGTCTGACAACCTAGAACAGCACCTTCACCCCGAGGTGGGCATCTGGCAGCATAAAACAGCACCCCTACTGGCAGATGAGCATATGACAGCCTGGAACAGCACCCACACCCCCAGGTGAGCATCTCACAGCCTGCAGCAGCACCCACACCCCCAGGTGAGCATCCGACAGCCTGGAGCAGCACCCACACCCCCAGGCGAGCATCGGACATCGTGGAACAGCACCCCACACCCCCAGGTGAGCATCTGACAGCTTGGAACAGAACTCCACACCCACAGGTGAGCATCTGACAGCCTGGAGCAGCACCCCACACCCCCAGGGGAGCATCTGACAGTCTGGAACAGCACTCCACACCCCCAGGTGAGCATCTGACATCCTGGAACAGCACCCCACGCCCCCAGGTGAGCATCTGACAGCCTGGAACAGCACCCCACACCCCTAGATGAGCATCTGACAGCCTGGAGCAGAACCCCACACCCCCAGGTGAGCATTCGACAGCCTGGAACAGCACCCATACCCCCAGGCGAGCATCTGACAGCCTGGAGCAGCATGCACACCCCCAGGCGAGCATCTGACAGCCTGGAGCAGCGCCCACACCCCCAGGTGAGCATGTGACAGCCTGGAGCAGCGCCCACACCCCCGGGCGAGCATCTGACAGCCTGGAGCAGCACCCACACCCCCAGGTGAGCATCTGACAGCCTGGGGCGGCGCCCACAGCCCCAGGTGAGCATCTGACAGCCCGGAGCAGCGTCCACACCCCCAGGTGAGCATCTGGCAGCCTGGAGCAGCACCCACACCCCCAGGTGAGCATCTGACTGCCTGGAGCAGCACCCACACCCCCAGGTGAGCATCTGACAGCCTGGAGCAGCGCCCACACACCGAGGTGAGCATCTGACAGCCTGGAGCAGCGCCCACACCCCCAGGTGAGCATCTGACAGCGTGGAGCAGCGCCCACACCCCCAGGTGGGCATCTGACAGCCTGGAGCAGGCGCCCACAATCCCAGGTTAGCATCTGACAGCCTGGAGCAGCACCCACACCCCCAGTTGAGTAGCTGACATCCTGGAGCTGCACCCATACCCCCAGGTGAGATCTGACAGCCTGGGGCAGCACCCACACCCCCAGGTGAGCATCTGGCAACCTGGAACAGCATCTACAGCCCCAGGTGACCATCTGACAGCCTGAAGCAGCACCCACACCCCCAGGTGAGCATGTGACCACATGGAATGTCATCCTCACCTCCAGGTGAGCATCGGACAGCCTGGAACAGAATTCTCAAGCCCCAGGTGAGGATCTGACAACCTGGAACAGAACCCCACTCTTCCAGGTGAGAATCTGACAGCATAAAACAGCACCCTGCACCCCCAGGTGAGCATCTGACAGCCTGAAACAGCACCCTCCACCTTCAGGTGAGAATATGACAGCCTGAAACAGCACCCCGCACCCAGGCAAAAATCTGACAGCATGGAACAAGACTACTGCCCCCAGGTGAGCATTTGACAGCCTGGGAAAGCACCCTCTACCCACACGTGAGCATCTGACAGCCTGGAAACACCCCCACTGCTTCCAGGTGAACATCTGATAGCCTGGAACAGAACCCCAGGCCTCCCAGTAAGCATCTGAAAGCAAGGAACAGCACTCTCACCCCCAGGGGAGCATCTGACAACCTAGAACAGCACCCTCACCCCGAGGTGGGCATCTGGCAGCATAAAACAGCACCCCTACTGGCAGATGAGCATATGACAGCCTGGAACAGCACCCACACCCGCTGGCGAGAATCTGACAGCCTGGAGCAACACCCACACCCCCAGGTGAGCATCTGACAGCCTGGAGCAGCGCCCACACCCCCAGGTGAGCATCTTACAGCCTGGAGCAGCGCCCACACCCCCAGGTGAGCATCTGACAGCCTGGAGCAGCACCCACACTCCCAGGTGAGTATCTGACAGCCTGGAGTAGCACCCACACCCCCAGGTGAGCATCTGACAGCCTGGAACAGCATCCACTCCCCCAGGTGAGCATCTGACCACATTGAATGGCATCCTCACCTCCAGGTGAGCATCTGACAGCCTGGAACCGCACCCACACCCCCAGGCGAGCATCTGACAGCCTGGAGCAGCACCCACACCCCCAGGTGAGCATCTGACAGCCTGGAGCAGCACCCACACCCCCAGGGGAGCATCTGACCGCATGGAATGTCATCCTCACTTCCAGGTGAGCATCCGACAGCCTGGAGCAGCACCCACACCCCCAGGTGAGCATCTGACCGCATGGAATGGCATCCTCACCTCCAGGTGAGCATCCGACAGCCTGGAACAGAATTCTCCAACCACAGGTGAGGATCTGACAGCCTGGAACAGAACCCCACTCTTCCAGGTGAGAATCTGACGCATAAAACAGCACCCTGCAACCCCAGGTGAGCATCTGACAGTCTGGAACAGCATCCACACCCCCAGGCGAGCATCTGACTGTATGGAATGACATCCTCACATCCAGGTGAGCATCCGACAGCGTGGAACAGAATTCTCCAACCCCAGGTGAGGATCTGACTACCTGGAACAGAACCCCGCTCTTCCAGGTGAGAATATGACAGAATAAAGCAGCACCCTGCACCCCCAGTTGAGCATCTGACAGCCTGGGGCAGCACCCACACTCCCAGGTGAGCATCTGACAGCCTGGAGCAGCACCCACACCCCCAGGTGTGCATCTGACAGCCTGAAACAGCACCCTCCACCACCAGATGAGCATCTGACAACCAGAACCTGCACCACACACCCCAAGGTGGGCATCCGATGGCATGGAACAGCACCCCCACTCACAGGTGATGTGACTGCGTGGAACAGCACGTCCCCTCAGGTGAGCATCTGACAGCATAAAACAGCACCCCACAACCCCAGGTGATCATTTGCCAGCCAGGAACGGCAACCCACATCCCCAGGTAAGTGTCTGACAGCCTAGAGCGGCACCTGCACACTTAGGTAAGAATCTGAAAGCCTGGATCAACACTCGAACCTTCAGGTGAGCATCTGACAGCCTGGAGCAGCAGTGCCCACCCCTGGGTGAGGATGCTCACCTGAGGTTGGGAGTGCCATTCCAGGCTGCCAGATCCTCACCTGGGGATGGAAGGTGCCATTGTAGGTTTTTGGATGTTCGCATGGGGGTGAAGGGTGGTGTTCCGGGTTATCAGATGCTCACCTGGGGACGCGTGGAAAACCATGCCCACCACAAGGTGAGCATATGACAGCCCGGAACAACACCCTCCACCCCCAGGTGAGCATCTGACAGCCTGGAACAGAACCCCACAACTTCAAATAAGAATTTGATAAGTGGGGAAAAGCTCCCCGCCCTCAGGTGAGTGTCTGACAGCCTGGAACAGCACCCCACAACTGCAGGTGAGCATCTGATAGCCTGGATAGGCACTCCACACAGCCAGGTGAGCAGCTGAAAGCCTGGAATGGTACCCCACATGCAGGTGAGCATCCGACAGCCTGGAACAGCAGCTCACATCCCCAGGTAAGATTCCAACAGCATGGAACAAGACCACTGCCCCCAGGTGAGCATCTGGCAGCCTGGAAAAACAACCCCCTTCAGGTGAGCATCTGACAGCCTGGAACAGCACCCTCCACCTTCAGGTGAGAATATGACAGCCTGAAACAGCACCCCACACCCCAGGCAAAAATCTGACAGCATGGAACAAGACCACTGCCCCCAGGTGAGCATTTGACAGCCCGGGAAAGTACCCTCCATGCACAGGTGAGCATCTGACAGCCTGGAAACCCCCCCACTGCTTCCAGGTGAACATCTGATAGCCTGGAACAGAACCCCAGTTCTCCAAGTAAGGATCTGAAAGCACGGAACAGCACTCTCACCCCCAGGGGAGCATCTGACAACCTAGAACAGCACCCTCACCCCGAGGTGGGCATCTGGCAGCATAAAACAGCACCCCTACTGGCAGATGAGCATATGACAGCGTGGAACAGCACCCACGCACCCAGGTGAGCATCTGACAGCCTGGAACAGCACCCCACACCCCCAGGTGAGCATCTGACAGCCTGGAACAGCACCCACACCCCCAGGTGAGCATCTGACAGCCTGGAGCAGCACCCTACACCCCCAGGGGAGCATCTGACAGTCTGGAGCAGCACCCACACCCCCAGGTGAGCATCTGACATCCTGGAACAGCACCCCACGCCCCCAGGTGAGCACCTGACAGCCTGGAACAGCACCCCACACCCCCAGGTGAGCATCTGACAGCCTGGAACAGCACCCACACCCCCAGGTGAGCATCTGACAGCCTGGAGCAGCACCCCACACCTCCAGGGGAGCATCTGACATCCTGGAACAGCACCCCACACCCCCAGTGAGCATCTGACAACCTGGAGCAGCACCCCACACCTCCAGGGGAGCATCTGACATCCTGGAACAGCACCCCACACCTCCAGGGGGAGCATCTGACAGCCTGGAACAGCACCCACACCCCCAGGTGAGCATCTGACAGCCTGGAGCAGCACCCTACACCCCCAGGGGAGCATCTGACAGTCTGGAGCAGCACCCACACCCCCAGGTGAGCATCTGACAGCCTGGAGCAGCGCCCACACCCCCAGGTGAGCATCTGACAGCGTGGAGCAGCGCCCACACCCCCAGGTGGGCATCTGACAGCCTGGAGCAGGCGCCCACAATCCCAGGTTAGCATCTGACAGCCTGGAGCAGCACCCACACCCCCAGTTGAGTAGCTGACATCCTGGAGCTGCACCCATACCCCCAGGTGAGATCTGACAGCCTGGGGCAGCACCCACACCCCCAGGTGAGCATCTGGCAACCTGGAACAGCATCTACAGCCCCAGGTGACCATCTGACAGCCTGAAGCAGCACCCACACCCCCAGGTGAGCATGTGACCACATGGAATGTCATCCTCACCTCCAGGTGAGCATCGGACAGCCTGGAACAGAATTCTCAAGCCCCAGGTGAGGATCTGACAACCTGGAACAGAACCCCACTCTTCCAGGTGAGAATCTGACAGCATAAAACAGCACCCTGCACCCCCAGGTGAGCATCTGACAGCCTGAAACAGCACCCTCCACCTTCAGGTGAGAATATGACAGCCTGAAACAGCACCCCGCACCCAGGCAAAAATCTGACAGCATGGAACAAGACTACTGCCCCCAGGTGAGCATTTGACAGCCTGGGAAAGCACCCTCTACCCACACGTGAGCATCTGACAGCCTGGAAACCCCCCCCACTGCTTCCAGGTGAACATCTGATAGCCTGGAACAGAACCCCAGGCCTCCCAGTAAGCATCTGAAAGCAAGGAACAGCACTCTCACCCCCAGGGGAGCATCTGACAACCTAGAACAGCACCCTCACCCCGAGGTGGGCATCTGGCAGCATAAAACAGCACCCCTACTGGCAGATGAGCATATGACAGCCTGGAACAGCACCCACACCCGCTGGCGAGAATCTGACAGCCTGGAGCAACACCCACACCCCCAGGTGAGCATCTGACAGCCTGGAGCAGCGCCCACACCCCCAGGTGAGCATCTTACAGCCTGGAGCAGCGCCCACACCCCCAGGTGAGCATCTGACAGCCTGGAGCAGCACCCACACTCCCAGGTGAGTATCTGACAGCCTGGAGTAGCACCCACACCCCCAGGTGAGCATCTGACAGCCTGGAACAGCATCCACTCCCCCAGGTGAGCATCTGACCACATTGAATGGCATCCTCACCTCCAGGTGAGCATCTGACAGCCTGGAACCGCACCCACACCCCCAGGCGAGCATCTGACAGCCTGGAGCAGCACCCACACCCCCAGGTGAGCATCTGACAGCCTGGAGCAGCACCCACACCCCCAGGGGAGCATCTGACCGCATGGAATGTCATCCTCACTTCCAGGTGAGCATCCGACAGCCTGGAGCAGCACCCACACCCCCAGGTGAGCATCTGACCGCATGGAATGGCATCCTCACCTCCAGGTGAGCATCCGACAGCCTGGAACATAATTCTCCAACCCCAGGTGAGGATCTGACAACCTGGAACAGAACCCCACTCTTCCAGGTGAGAATCTGACACCATAAAACAGCACCCTGCACCCCCAGGTGAGCATCTGACAGCCTGGAACAGCATCCACACCCCCAGGTGAGCATCTGACCGCATGGAATGGCATCCTCACCTCCAGGTGAGCATCTGACAGCCTGGAACAGAATTCTCCAACCACAGGTGAGGATCTGACAGCCTGGAACAGAACCCCACTCTTCCAGGTGAGAATCTGACACATAAAACAGCACCCTGCAACCCCAGGTGAGCATCTGACAGTCTGGAACAGCATCCACACCCCCAGGCGAGCATCTGACAGCCTGGAGTAGCACGCACACCCCCAGGCGAGCATCTGACAGCCTGGAGCAGCACACACAACCCCAGGCGAGCATCTGACAGCCTGGAGCAGCGCCCACACCCCCAAGTGAGCAGGTGACAGCCTGGAGCAGTGCCCACACCCCCGGGCGAGCATCTGACAGCCTGGAGCAGCACCCACACCCCCAGGTGAGCATCTGACAGCCTGGGGCAGTGCCCACAGCCCCAGGTGAGCATCTGACAGCCCGGAGCAGCGTCCACACCCCCAGGTGAGCATCTGGCAGCCTGGAGCAGCACCCACACCCCCAGGTGAGCATCTGACAGCCTGGAGCAGCGCCCACACACTGAGGTGAGCATCTGACAGCCTGGGGCAGCACCCACACCCCCAGGTGAGCATCTGGCAACCTGGAACAGCATCTACAGCCCCAGGTGACCATCTGACAGCCTGAAGCAGCACCCACACCCCCAGGTGAGCATGTGACCACATGGAATGTCATCCTCACCTCCAGGTGAGCATCCGACAGCCTGGAACAGAATTCTCAAACCCCAGGTGAGGATCTGACAACCTGGAACAGAACCCCACTCTTCCAAGTGAGAATCTGACAGCATAAAACAGCACCCTGCACCCCCAGGTGAGCATCTGACAGCCTGAAACAGCACCCTCCACCTTCAGGTGAGAATATGACAGCCTGAAACAGCACCCCACACCCCAGGCAAAAATCTGACAGCATGGAACAAGACCACTGCTCCCAGGTGAGCATTTGACAACTTGGGAAAGCACCCTCCACCCACACGTGAGCATCTGACAGCCTGGAAACACCCCCACTGCTTCCAGGTGAACATCTGATAGCCTGGAACAGAACCCCAGGCCTCCAAGTAAGCATCTGAAAGCACGGAACAGCACTCTCACCCCCAGGGGAGCGTCTGACAACCTAGAACAGCACCTTCACCCCGAGGTGGGCATCTGGCAGCATAAAACAGCACCCCTACTGGCAGATGAGCATATGACAGCCTGGAACAGCACCCACACCCCCAGGTGAGCATCTCACAGCCTGCAGCAGCACCCACACCCCCAGGTGAGCATCCGACAGCCTGGAGCAGCACCCACACCCCCAGGCGAGCATCGGACATCGTGGAACAGCACCCCACACCCCCAGGTGAGCATCTGACAGCTTGGAACAGAACTCCACACCCACAGGTGAGCATCTGACAGCCTGGAGCAGCACCCCACACCCCCAGGGGAGCATCTGACAGTCTGGAACAGCACTCCACACCCCCAGGTGAGCATCTGACATCCTGGAACAGCACCCCACGCCCCCAGGTGAGCATCTGACAGCCTGGAACAGCACCCCACACCCCTAGATGAGCATCTGACAGCCTGGAGCAGAACCCCACACCCCCAGGTGAGCATTCGACAGCCTGGAACAGCACCCATACCCCCAGGCGAGCATCTGACAGCCTGGAGCAGCATGCACACCCCCAGGCGAGCATCTGACAGCCTGGAGCAGCACCCACACCCCCAGGCGAGCATCTGACAGCCTGGAGCAGCACGCACACCCCCAGGTGAGCCTCTGACAGCCTGGAGCAGCACCCACACCCCCAGGCGAGCATCTGACAGCCTGGAGCAGCACACACAACCCCAGGCGAGCATCTGACAGCCTGGAGCAGCGCCCACACCCCCAGGTGAGCATGTGACAGCCTGGAGCAGCGCCCACACCCCCGGGCGAGCATCTGACAGCCTGGAGCAGCACCCACACCCCCAGGTGAGCATCTGACAGCCTGGGGCGGCGCCCACAGCCCCAGGTGAGCATCTGACAGCCCGGAGCAGCGTCCACACCCCCAGGTGAGCATCTGGCAGCCTGGAGCAGCACCCACACCCCCAGGTGAGCATCTGACTGCCTGGAGCAGCACCCACACCCCCAGGTGAGCATCTGACAGCCTGGAGCAGCGCCCACACACCGAGGTGAGCATCTGACAGCCTGGAGCAGCGCCCACACCCCCAGGTGAGCATCTGACAGCGTGGAGCAGCGCCCACACCCCCAGGTGGGCATCTGACAGCCTGGAGCAGGCGCCCACAATCCCAGGTTAGCATCTGACAGCCTGGAGCAGCACCCACACCCCCAGTTGAGTAGCTGACATCCTGGAGCTGCACCCATACCCCCAGGTGAGATCTGACAGCCTGGGGCAGCACCCACACCCCCAGGTGAGCATCTGGCAACCTGGAACAGCATCTACAGCCCCAGGTGACCATCTGACAGCCTGAAGCAGCACCCACACCCCCAGGTGAGCATGTGACCACATGCAATGTCATCCTCACCTCCAGGTGAGCATCGGACAGCCTGGAACAGAATTCTCAAGCCCCAGGTGAGGATCTGACAACCTGGAACAGAACCCCACTCTTCCAGGTGAGAATCTGACAGCATAAAACAGCACCCTGCACCCGCAGGTGAGCATCTGACAGCCTGAAACAGCACCCTCCACCTTCAGGTGAGAATATGACAGCCTGAAACAGCACCCCGCACCCAGGCAAAAATCTGACAGCATGGAACAAGACTACTGCCCCCAGGTGAGCATTTGACAGCCTGGGAAAGCACCCTCTACCCACACGTGAGCATCTGACAGCCTGGAAACCCCCCCACTGCTTCCAGGTGAACATCTGATAGCCTGGAACAGAACCCCAGGCCTCCCAGTAAGCATCTGAAAGCAAGGAACAGCACTCTCACCCCCAGGGGAGCATCTGACAACCTAGAACAGCACCCTCACCCCGAGGTGGGCATCTGGCAGCATAAAACAGCACCCCTACTGGCAGATGAGCATATGACAGCCTGGAACAGCACCCACACCCGCTGGCGAGAATCTGACAGCCTGGAGCAACACCCACACCCCCAGGTGAGCATCTGACAGCCTGGAGCAGCGCCCACACCCCCAGGTGAGCATCTTACAGCCTGGAGCAGCGCCCACACCCCCAGGTGAGCATCTGACAGCCTGGAGCAGCACCCACACTCCCAGGTGAGTATCTGACAGCCTGGAGTAGCACCCACACCCCCAGGTGAGCATCTGACAGCCTGGAACAGCATCCACTCCCCCAGGTGAGCATCTGACCACATTGAATGGCATCCTCACCTCCAGGTGAGCATCTGACAGCCTGGAACGGCACCCACACCCCCAGGCGAGCATCTGACAGCCTGGAGCAGCACCCACACCCCCAGGTGAGCATCTGACAGCCTGGAGCAGCACCCACACCCCCAGGGGAGCATCTGACCGCATGGAATGTCATCCTCACTTCCAGGTGAGCATCCGACAGCCTGGAGCAGCACCCACACCCCCAGGTGAGCATCTGACCGCATGGAATGGCATCCTCACCTCCAGGTGAGCATCCGACAGCCTGGAACATAATTCTCCAACCCCAGGTGAGGATCTGACAACCTGGAACAGAACCCCACTCTTCCAGGTGAGAATCTGACACCATAAAACAGCACCCTGCACCCCCAGGTGAGCATCTGACAGCCTGGAACAGCATCCACACCCCCAGGTGAGCATCTGACCGCATGGAATGGCATCCTCACCTCCAGGTGAGCATCCGACAGCCTGGAACAGAATTCTCCAACCACAGGTGAGGATCTGACAGCCTGGAACAGAACCCCACTCTTCCAGGTGAGAATCTGACGCATAAAACAGCACCCTGCAACCCCAGGTGAGCATCTGACAGTCTGGAACAGCATCCACACCCCCAGGCGAGCATCTGACTGTATGGAATGACATCCTCACATCCAGGTGAGCATCCGACAGCCTGGAACAGAATTCTCCAACCCCAGGTGAGGATCTGACTACCTGGAACAGAACCCCGCTCTTCCAGGTGAGAATATGACAGAATAAAGCAGCACCCTGCACCCCCAGTTGAGCATCTGACAGCCTGGAACAGCACCCACACTCCCAGGTGAGCATCTGACAGCCTGGAGCAGTACCCACACCCCCAGGTGTGCATCTGACAGCCTGAAACAGCACCCTCCACCACCAGATGAGCATCTGACAACCAGAACCTGCACCACACACCCCAAGGTGGGCATCCGATGGCATGGGACAGCACCCCCACTCACAGGTGATGTGACTGCGTGGAACAGCACATCCCCTCAGGTGAGCATCTGACAGGATAAAACAGCACCCCACAACCCCAGGTGATCATTTGCCAGCCAGGAACGGCAACCCACATCCCCAGGTAAGTGTCTGACAGCCTAGAGCGGCACCTGCACACTTAGGTAAGAATCTGAAAGCCTGGATCAACACTCGAATCTTCAGGTGAGCATCTGACAGCCTGGAGCAGCAGTGCCCACCCCTGGGTGAGGATGCTCACCTGAGGTTGGGAGTGCCAGTCCAGGCTGCCAGATCCTCACCTGGGGATGGAAGGTGCCATTGTAGGTTTTTGGATGTTCACATGGGGGTTAAGGGTGGTGTTCCGGGTTATCAGATGCTCACCTGGGGACGCGTGGAAAACCATGCCCACCACAAGGTGAGCATATGACAGCCCGGAACAACACCCTCCACCCCCAGGTGAGCATCTGACAGCCTGGAACAGAACCCCACAACTTCAAATAAGAATTTGATAAGTGGGAAAAAGCTCCCCGCCCTCAGGTGAGTGTCTGACAGCCTGGAACAGCACCCCACAACTGCAGGTGAGCATCTGATAGCCTGGATAGGCACTCCACACAGCCAGGTGAGCAGCTGAAAGCCTGGAATGGTAACCCACATGCAGGTGAGCATCCGACAGCCTGGAACAGCAGCTCACATCCCCAGGTAAGATTCCAACAGCATGGAACAAGACCACTGCCCCCAGGTGAGCATCTGGCAGCCTGGTAAAACAACCCCCTTCAGGTGAGCATCCGACAGCCTGGAACAGCAGCTCACATCCCCAGGTAAGATTCCAACAGCATGGAACAAGACCACTGCCCCCAGGTGAGCATCTGGCAGCCTGGAAAAACAACCCCCTTCAGGTGAGCATCTGACAGCCTGGAACAGCACCCTCCACCTTCAGGTGAGAATATGACAGCCTGAAACAGCACCCCACACCCCAGGCAAAAATCTGACAGCATGGAACAAGACCACTGCCCCCAGGTGAGCATTTGACAGCCCGGGAAAGTACCCTCCATGCACAGGTGAGCATCTGACAGCCTGGAAACCCCCCCACTGCTTCCAGGTGAACATCTGATAGCCTGGAACAGAACCCCAGTTCTCCAAGTAAGGATCTGAAAGCACGGAACAGCACTCTCACCCCCAGGGGAGCATCTGACAACCTAGAACAGCACCCTCACCCCGAGGTGGGCATCTGGCAGCATAAAACAGCACCCCTACTGGCAGATGAGCATATGACAGCGTGGAACAGCACCCACGCACCCAGGTGAGCATCTGACAGCCTGGAACAGCACCCCACACCCCCAGGTGAGCATCTGACAGCCTGGAACAGCACCCACACCCCCAGGTGAGCATCTGACAGCCTGGAGCAGCACCCTACACCCCCAGGGGAGCATCTGACAGTCTGGAGCAGCACCCACACCCCCAGGTGAGCATCTGACATCCTGGAACAGCACCCCACGCCCCCAGGTGAGCACCTGACAGCCTGGAACAGCACCCCACACCCCCAGGTGAGCATCTGACAGCCTGGAACAGCACCCACACCCCCAGGTGAGCATCTGACAGCCTGGAGCAGCACCCCACACCTCCAGGGGAGCATCTGACATCCTGGAACAGCACCCCACACCCCCAGTGAGCATCTGACAACCTGGAGCAGCACCCCACACCTCCAGGGGAGCATCTGACATCCTGGAACAGCACCCCACACCTCCAGGGGGAGCATCTGACAGCCTGGAGCAACACCCCACACCTCCAGGGGAGCATCTGACAGCCTGGAACAGCACTCCACACCTCCAGGGGAGCATCTGACAGCATGGACAAGTCCTGCCCCCCGGTTAGTGTCTGAATTCCTGGAATATGTGCTGTCCTTTTCCACCAGGTGAGCATATGACCGCCTGGAAGAAGCACCCCTGCATGTTACCTGTGGTGAAACCAAGGCTGAGAGACAGGACAGGGTTGTTGGCCAGGAGGAGGGGCCTGCTGCTGAGCCCCAGCGCTGAGTCAGAGCTCACAGCCTTGAGCCTGTGCCATGCCTCCTCTCAGGGTGAAGAGGCAGAGGGCATGGGGGGGGGGGCGCAGCATCAGCCCATATCCTGGATGCACAAATTCACAGGCATGACGGGGCGAGGGCCTGCTGCTCCTACCGTCACTCCCACATGCTAGCCCTCCAACGTCCTGGCTGACTTTCCCTGCCTCTGGTCCTGCGGCCCTGGACACAGCGGGAGGAGGGGACAGGATCCTGTGGTACCCCTTGGAGGAGGTTCCGGCACCTGTAGGCAGTTTCCAAGGATCCCTTGTGGCCACATCCAGCTGTTAAATGGGCATGTCCCTGGCAGCCACAGATGTCTGTCCAGTGCAGGAAAGTCTGTCCAGTGCAGGAAAGGGCAGGCAGAGAGCTGGCTCCCAGCCCCAAATGCATGTCTCCCTCCCTGGGGCCCAGGCTGGCACAGAAGTCAGGCCTGCCAGTGGGAAACTTGGGGGAAACTTGGTGCCCTGGTCCAGCAGCCTGCCCTGCAGCAGCAAGCATGGCCTCTGGAGGCTGTCGTCCTCCTGGCCTCCAGGATTGCTTTTCCTTTCTTCCTAGAACTCCAGCCCTTAAGAAAATCAGAAGCCCTGGCAGGCACATTGCCTCTGTGCTGTGCTTTTACCCAGCGAAGCATCAGGGCAGACAGCCAATTTCAACACTGCTCTTGGCTGGGAAGTGCCCTCATCTCTGGCAGCCCCCACAGAGAAAGTGCAGGGCCCCGGGGCTGTGGCTGCCTCAGGGCAGGTCTCCCTTGTGACAGCCTCTTGTCATGGGCCTGGGAGTGGACCCCTCCCATCCCTGCCGTGCATCCTGTTGAGTAGACAGCTCAGGCTAGTACCCAAGAGGGTGGCCAGCAGATCACAGGGGATGTCCCTTTTGTCTTAGCTGTTTATGGGCTGGAGGAACCACTGTTCAGCCACATCTCCTCTCCTGCCCCTCCTGCATTCACCCGAGGTTGATGGGAGCTCTGTGGGGGGAGACAGGCAGGGGAGGGGCCAGGCAACACCTGGGCATATCCCCAGGGTGCCTCCTCTGATCCCCAGGAGGGGCAGCACCCACCCTCTTCTTTTTCCAATTTGTTTTTATTGTGGTTAAATATACATAACGTAAAATTTACCATCTTAATTAATTATCTTTATGTGTACGGTGTGGTGGCATTAAATACATTCATCATGTTGTGTGGCCGTCACCACCATCCCTTTCCAGAACTAGCTCATCTTCCCAAACTGAAACTCTGTCCCCGTTAAATACTAACTCTCCGTTCCCCAGGCACTCTCTGCCCCCAACCCCAGGCACCCACCATTCTGCTTTCTGTCTCTGTGATTCGATGACTCTAGGGACTTCATATAAGGGAAATCACACAGTGTTTGTCCTTTTGTGGTGGCTGCTTATTTTGCTGAGCACAATGTCCTTGAGGTTCATCCATGTTGTAGTGTGTACCAGGAATCCCTTCCTTTTTAATGTTGAATAATTCCCCATTGTATGGATGGATCATGTTTGGCTTATCCACCCATCCATCGGTGGACACCTGGGTGCCTTCCACCTCCAAGCTCTTGTGAACAATGATGCTATCTATGAATATGGTGTACAAATGTCTCTAAAAGACCCTACTTCCATTTATTTTGGATGTAGACCCAGATGTGGAATTGCTTGATCATATGGTAGTTCTATTTTTTTTTTCTTTTTTTTGGAGCTGGAGTCTCGCTCTGTCGCCCAGGCTGGAGTGCAGTGGCAGGATCTCAGCTCACTGCAACTCCCACCTCCCGGGTTCAAGCGATTCTCCTGCCTCAGCCTCCCGAGTAGCTGGGATTACAGGCGCGTGCCACCACGCCTGGCTAACTTTTTGTATTTTTAGTAGAGACCAGATTTCACCGTGTTAGCCAGGATGGTCTTGATCTCCTGACCTCGTGATCCACCCTCCTTGGCCTCTCAAAGTGCTGGGATTACAGGCGTGAGCCACCACACCCAGCTGGTAGTTCTATTTTTAGCTTTTTGGGAAATGGCCATCCTGTTTTCCTTAGCTGCTGCACCATTTTACCTTCCCACCAATAGTGCAGAAGGTTCCAGTTTCTTCACATCCTCACCAGTGCTTGTTATTTTCTTTTTAAAAACTTCATAGTAGCCATCCTGACAGGTGTGAGGCATATCTCGTTGTTTTGATTTGTGCTTCCCTGATGATTGGTGATGTCCAGCATCTTTTCATGTGCTTATTGTCCATTTGTATATCTTTTTTTGAGAAATGTCTGTTTAAGTCCTTTGCTCATTTTTTTTGAATGACACAGTGAAACCTCGTCTCTATAAAAATACAAAAAATTAGCCAGGCGTGGGGTCGCCCACCTGTAATCCCAGCTACTCGGGAGGCTGAGGCAGGAGAATCGCTTGAACCCCGGAAGCGGAAGTTGCAGTGAGCTGAGATCCCGCCACTGCACTCCAGCCTGGGTGACAGAGCGAGACTTCAGCTCCAAAAATTGAATTGGGTTTTTGGCTTTGTTGTTGTTGAGTTTTAGGACTTCTCTGTGTATTCTGGGTAATAATTCCTTATCAGATATGTGACTTGCAAATATTGTGGTTTTCTTCCATCCTGTCAGTTGCCTTTTTACTCTATTATAATAGTGTCCTTTGGTGCACAAAAAATTTAATTTTCATGAAATCCAACTTTATTTTTTCTTTTGCTGCCTGTGCCTTTGTTGTTGTAGCCCAGAAGTCATTGTCAAATCCAGTGTCGTGAAGCTTCTCCCCTGTGCTTACTTCTAAGAATTTTATAGTTTTAGGTCTTTGATCCATTTTGAATTAATTTTTGTATGTAGTGTTAGGAAAGAGTCCAACTTCATTCTTTTGCATAGTTTTCCCTGCAACATTTGTTGAAAAGACTGTCCCTTCCCCATTGAATGGTCTTGGTCAAATCATTTGACCATCTATGGGAGGGTTCATTTCTGGACTCTCTATTCTGTTTCATTGGTCTCTGTGTCTGTTTTTGTGCCATACCACACTATTTTGATCACTGTAGCTTTGTAGTAAGTTTTGAAATCAGGAAGTGTGAGTCCTCCAGCTTGCTGGTTCTTTTTCAGGGTTGTTTTGGCTGTTTGGGGTCCCCTGAGATTCCACAGGAATTTCAGAATTTAGCTTTTCTACTTCTGTAAAAAACATTATTGAGATTTTGACAGAGATTGCATTGAATCTGTAGATCACTTTGGGTAATACTGACGTCTTACCAACATGAAGTCTTCTAATACATGAACATGGAATGTGTTTCCATTTGTTTATGTCTTATTTAATTTATTTCAGCAATGTTTTATAGTTTTCATTGTACAAATCTTTCACCTCTTTGGTTAATTCCTAAGTATTTTATTCTTTTTAATTCTATTGTAGATGGAATTACAGTTGACTCTTGAACACAGGTTAAAATTATGTGGGTCCCCTTATATGTGAATTTTTTTCAATAAATACAGCCAGCCTTTCATATTGGTGGGTTCCGAATCCACAGCCAAATGCAGATCAGTTCTTGGGATGTGCAACCCTCGTACACAGAGGGCCAACTTTTCATATCTAGGGGTTGGGGGTTCCACAGGGCTGACTGTAGGACTTCAGTATGTGGGGATTTCAGTATCTGAGGGTTGTCCTGGAACCAATCCCATGTGTATACCAAGGGGTGACTGTATTTTCTTAATTCCCTTTTTAGATTGTTCATTATTAATGTATAAAAATGCAACTGATTTTTGTGTTGCCTTCGTATCCTGCTACTTTGCTGAATTCATTTATTAGTTCTAACAATTTTTTTTTGTGTGTGGAATCTTTAGGGATTTCTACATATAAGATCTGTGAACAGAGATAATTTTACTTCTTTCAAATTTGGATGCTTGGTAATTTTTTTCTTGCCTAGTTATTCTGGCTATAACTTCCAGTGCAATGTTGAGTAGAAGTGCAAAAGCAATCATCCTTGCCTTGTTCCTGATCTTAGAGGAAAAACTTTTCTTTTTCATCATTGAGTATGATGTTTGCTGTGGGTTTTTCATATATGGATTTTATATTGAGGCAGTTTCCTTCTATTCCTAGTTTGTTGAGTATTCTTATCATAAAAGGGTGCTGAATTTTGTCAAATGCTTTTCTGCATCAGTTGAGATGATCATTTTTTCCCTTTCATTCTGTTAATGTGGTACATCACATAAATTGACATTTGTATGTTGAACCATCCTTGCATTCTAGCAATAAATCTCACTTGGTCACGTGTGTCATCATTTTAACAAATTGCTGAATTTGTTTTGTTAGTATTTTGTTGAGGATTTTTGCCTCAATATTCATACGGGATAATGGTCTGTAGTTTTCTTGTAGTGTCTTTGGCTATGGTATCAGGGTAATGCTGGCCTCATAGAATGAGTCTGAGGAAGTGTTCCTTCCTCTTTGATTTTTTGGAAAAGTTTGAGGATTCGTGTTAGTTCTTTAAATATTTGGTAGAATTCACCAGTGAAGCCATCAGGTCCTGGCCTTTTCTTTGTTGGGAGATTTTTGATTACTGACTCAATCTTTTTACTAGTTATAGGTCTATTCAGATCTTCTATTTCTTCATGATTTAGTCTTGGTAGGTTTTGTGTTTCTAGGGATTTGTCCATTTCACCTAGATTAACTGATTTGTTGGTTTACAATTGTTCCTATTACTATCTTATAATTATTTTTATTTCTGTAGAATTGGTAATAACCTGATTTTCATTTCTGATTGTCATGATTTGAATTTTCTCTTTCTTAGTCCACCTGGCAAAAGGTTTGTCAAATTTTGTCTTTTCAAGGACAAACTTTTGTTTTCATTGATTTTCTCTATTTCTTCTCTATCCTATGTTTTATTGATCTCTGCTGTAATCTTTTTCTCTCTCTCTTTCTTTCTCTTTCTGTTCATGTGTTCTTTTTCTAGTTTCTTAAGTTGTAAAGTTAGATTGTTGATTTGAGATCTTTCTTGTTTTTTAATGGAAGCATTTACAGCTATACATTTCCCCCTCAGGATTGCTTTCCCTGTGTCTCATAATTTGGGGTGTGTTGTTTTCATTTTCACTTGTCTCTAAGCATTGTCTAACTTCTCGAAGTGTGATTTCTTCTGTGATCCATTGGTTGTTTAGCTCCCTCCTCCTTTTACAGAGGAGGAAACTGAGGCCTGGGGAGGTGAAGTGATTCGGCTGCGGTTGCTTAGCTGGACCCAACTCTTCTGGGCTCCAGGGACAGTGCTCAGGGCAGCAGGCCTGGGCTGAGCACACAGGTCCAGTGTGAGTCCCTCAGAGTCAGACCACATAGAATGCAGTGCAGTTGCAAGCAAGGAATGCTCATAAACAAACAGAACAGAAACCATCTTCCAGCACACAGGCCTCCCCCAGCTGATTGGGATCTGTCTTCTTGCCATTGCCCCTCTCCCAACTTTTATTTTAAATTGGAGCAGTTCCTGCAGAAGAAAGTCTTAAATGCATAGATACCGAACTTAAAGAGCAGGTAAATGAAGCTCAGATCAGGGTCCGGGGGCTGCATCCCTGCACCTGTCTGTGGCAGACATGGCTGGCCGAGGCCAGCACTTACTCCCTCTGTGCATGTCCTCTAAACCCCTCTCAACACCGGGGGCCAGGCAGCCTCACCAATGCAGCTGAGGGAACATCTCCTGGCCAACAACCCCAGAGGGACCCCTGCATGCACTGAGCATTATCTAAGCTGGGGAGGACCCCTAGTACCTCTGAAGGCTCGCACATCTATCCACACAGACTGAGGCTGGGAGGATGAAAGGGCAGGACTCCCAGAAACTGGGTTTGTGGGGACCCGGCTCCCATGAGCCGCTGTACAGGTGGGGATGGGAACATGGGTTTTGATGGGCATCTCACTGCTCAGGATGGCCTACCCGGCTCCCTCTCTCCTTGGGGTGGAGGAAGGCAGCTCCCTGGGTCCCCCACCCGTGCTTGCCCAGGCCCAGGTCAGGAGTGGGGCGGCACCTGCAGCTGGTCTAGGGCCAGGTGCACCAACGCCCGTCCACACAGTGCCTGCACGTTCCCCGGCTCAGCCCGCAGCACTGTGTTGAAGTCGAACATGGCCGTCTTCTTCTGGCCCAGGAACCCATAGCAGCGGGCTCGGGCAAGGAGGGACTCACTTGCCTGGCTTCCTGCAGGAAGACGGCATGGGGTCAGGATGAGCCTATGCTGGGTCCCTTCCCCAGCATCTATCCTGCCCAGCCCGGGGAGGGCAGAGGGTGCATGAGCTTCAGGGCCTACCTTGGGGAGCTCACAGGCCACTGGGCACCAAGACAGACAGAGACAGGGTGGACTTGGGGGCATTGGCTGCAGGGCAAGAGGAGCTCAGCCAGGACTGGGGACAGCTGGGGGGCTGCCGTGAGGAGGGGGCACTGCAGCTGCCTCTGAGGCCAGGCGAGGGCAGGGGGATCAGGGTAGCACTACCATCAAGACGCGGAGACCGGTAGTGGCCCCGAACGGCTGAGCGCACTGATATTTACTGCATACAAGACGAGGGGGGCAGGGTAAGGAGGGTGAATCTTCTAAGTGATTGACAAGGTGAAGCAAGTCACGTGATCAAAGGACAGTGGGCCCTTCCCTCTTGGGCAGCTGAAGCAGAGATAGAAGGTGGCATACGTCAGCGTTTTCTTCTATGAACTTATAAGATCAAAGCCTTTAAGACTTTCACTATTCCTTCTACCGCTATCTACTACAAACTTCAAAGAGGAACCAGGAGTATGGGAGGAACATGAAAGTGGACAAGGAACGTGACCATTGAAGCACCACAGGGAGGGGTTTAGACCTCTGGATGACTGTGGGCAGGCCTGGATGATATCCAGCCTTCCATAAGAAGCTGGTGGAGCAGAGTGTTCCCTGACTCCTCCAAGTAAAGGAGACTCCCTTTCCCGGTCTGCTCAGTAATGGGTGCCTTCCCAGACACTGGTGTTACCACTTGACCAAGGGGCCCTCAAGCAGCCCTTATGCGGGTGTGACAGAGGGCTCACCTCTTGCCTTCTATTCACTTCTCACAATGTCCCTTCAGCACCTGACCCTACACCCACTGGTTATTACTAGATTATGTTAGTAATGCAACAAAAAGTAATATTAAAAGCTAATGATTAATAATGATTAATAATTGTTCATTATCTCTATATCTAATTTGTATCATGACTATTCTTATTCTATTTTCTTTATTATACTGAAACAGTTTGTGCCTTCAGTCTCTTGCCTCGGCACCTAGGTAATCTTTTGCCCACAACCCCTCGCCAAAGAGGCTGTCATTACTGTGCCCCTTCTGGGTGTTGTTCTGTGACGGACATGGGACAACATGCCAGGCTGCTCTGGGCCACTCTGGGCCGCTCTGGGCTGCTCTGGGCCGCTCTGGGCCGCTCTGGGCTGCATGCCTTCCTGCCGACGTGTGCAGGGCATGCTCTCTGTGCCAGGTACTGTCCCAAAATGAGCCCTCTGAATCCCCACTTCCACCCGACATGGGCAACGCTGCCATCCCCCTTTGGGAGAGGAGGGTGAGGGGTGCTCACTAAGTGCATGGCCAGGTTCCACGTGGCAGCCTGATCTAGGTCCAGGCTTGGGAGAGGAGGATGAGGGGTGCTTACTAAGTGCATGGCCGGGTTCCACGTGGCAGCCTGATCTAGGTCCAGGCTCTCACACTCCCTGTACCCCAGGAGATCCCTGCGAGTCCTGGGAAACATCGCCTTCCCTCCAGACACCTGGCCCCCCAACCCCAGAAACAGCACTGACTCCAGGAAGCAGGCAGCACCCCCGTGCTGGGTGTCCCAGGGTGGGGAGGCCAGGCGTGCATAGGAGGAGCCTGTCACTATTTCTAGGAAGGGCTGAGGGGAGCAGGGACCTCGCCTCCTTGTCATTAGCTAGGAAAGGGGCCCTTCTCCCCTCAGGACTGGGGGTGCTGGGACGGCAGCTCAGGCACCAGGCAGGGCACAGCTCAGGTCCCAGCTCAGGCCCCAGGTCTCAGAGCCTGGTCTCAGGCCTTGGTGCACCCACCTTGAAGGTGAAATGCCCTCAGCGAGTGGCCCTTGCCCTGTCCAACCCGTGGGTGTTCCTGAGGCCCCTGCACCTGGGGAGCATGCGTGTCCCCACCAACCAGCATGGCAGAGACTCCCCATGTCCCCTGTGCCTGGCACAAGACTGGGCCCTGGGGGCAGGTGGGCAGCTCCTACCTGCGGCAAAGATGGCCAGAGACAGGTAGGCGATGGCCTCCTTGGTGTGAACCCTGCCGTCGGCCCCGCCTGGCCGTGCCCGCAGGATGGCCAGGGCCCTGGCGTGGCAGTGGCCTTGAAGCAGCTGCCGGTCCTCGTGGCAGAAGACGTCCAGGGTGGGCTGGAGGCAGGCGGTGTCACCAGACTGGACCAGCTTCTTCACCAACTGCAAGGGTGCCACAGTCACTGCCCATGCCCTTGGGACCGATGCCCTGGAGCCCACCCTGTACTGACGCCCCTGGCCATCCCCCACCCCACCCTCACTGCCCCAGGGTCCACCTGGTGCCAACGCTCCCAGTCCCACCCTTGCTGCCCCACGGCTCACCCAGTTCCAACGCCCCTGGCAATTCCTCACCCCACCCTCTCTGTGCCAGGGTCCGCCCTGTGCCATCACCCCGATCCTCCCCTACTGCCTCGCTGCCTCCACCAGCCCCTGGCTGTGTGTCCATGAGCCTGGGAGCTTCTGCCTGTCTGAGCACTAGGAGGTTGGCCGTGTGTTGCGATGTGGCCATTTGAGCCTTTGGGGGCGTTTTGTCTCCCCATAGGTGGGGGTCCCACAGCGGCCAGGGACTGTGTGTCCCCACCTTGGTGCAGAGGAGTAGGTAGGGAGGGGAGTCGTGAGCCCGCTCTGGGCTGCAGTCTGAGCCGCATCTGTCTGCTGATGGCATTGGTGGGCTGGGACTCTCAGGGTTCCCGAGCCTAGGACTTCTCCATCCCATGGAGGTGGAGACTCCGCCCCAGTGGGCCCACTGGAGCAAGGTCCAAATGAGAAGCAGAGGAAGGGGCTTTTAGGTCATGAAGGGTCAACAGGCGCCAGGGAGTCCTTCAGACGACGCGGAGCAAAAGCCCAGCACGGCCAAGTAGGACCAGGTCGCTGGGCGAGGGGAGACCTCCACCCCACAACGTCCCCTCTCCGCGACTCCATCCGAAGGAGGCCCAATGCTGCCCCCTGCTGGCTGCTGGTGGGCACACGGGTTCCCCAAGCTGAGCAAGAGGATGCAGGTTCAGGGCATCCGAACCTGGGCAGGGCAAGGAGATCAGGACCCAAACCGGGCCCCAGGGGGAGGAAGACGCGAGAAGGCCCTCACCCCAGGCCCCAAGGCCTGAATCCCACCAGAGTGTAACCTTTAGACCCCAGTTCAAACAGGAACCCGGGATAGCACCTGAGGCAGGTAAGGGTCTGCCTTTCCTGGGAGCAGGGGGTCTTGGAGGCAGGAGGGAAGGTCCCCTCTGCTACCCACCCCAAGGCAGGGTTGCATCCAAGCCTGGTTTATGTGAGAGACTTGGAGAGAAGCTCGGCCTGCAGTCGGTTCCTGGCCCTTATGCTTCGTAACCACAGTGGAAGCAAGTACGACAAAGCAGCTACGCATGCAGGGAAACTGCCGGCCCCGGGGACCTGCCCCAGCCGATTTCCATGACAACCCATGGGACCAGGACCCAGATAAGGAGACTGAGGGTCAGGTAGGTGAGGGCCTGCAGCAGGTGCAGAGCTGGGGCTGAATGCAGTCGCCTGGTCCAAAGCCCAGACTGTGGGGTCCAGCGCCAGGGCCACGGGAGGCCTGTGCCCTCTTCCCAGCTGGGCCCATTTCCACCTGCCCTCTGTCACCCCCCAGGCCTCCTCACCTGGTTGGCGTCATAGAAGAAGCCCCTCCTCAGCTGCAGCAGGGCCAGTCGTGCCAGCACAGGGGCTGCCTGGGGCCTCCGGGATAGGGCCACCAGCAGGGCCTTGTGGGTCTCCTCCAGGCGGCCCAGGCGGTACAGGGCATCAGCCGCCAGGAGGCGAGAGGCCTCGTCCTCTGAATCCAGCTCCATCAGCAGTGTGGCCAGCTGGTGCACGCCGCAGGCGACCCTGTGTGGAGATCAGCTCAGGGGGGCATGCCCCTTTTGACAACCCCTCCACCTGCCCAGGTGATTGGGCAGTGGGGAAATCCCGTCTCCATGTACCTGGCCTGGGCAGCTCCCTCCGGAGGGACCCTCACGCCACACCATCCCCAGAAGCCAAAGGTGCCCTTCCTAGCATGCGGCCCTCACGCTCTCCCTTGCCCTTCTCCTACCCTGTGGGAGGTGGGATTGTGGCGGTATAGACAGGCAGAGGCAGGGCTGACCCTGTGTGGACCCTGCCTCAGTTTCCTTTTCTGCAAAAACACAGACGAACAATTTGGCCTTGCTGGGCTCAGGGGTGTGCCTATAGGCAGAACAAGAAAACACATGGCTGCACCTGGCATGTTCCTGTGCCCATGTGGGAATGTTACTGAGTGCTCACTGGGAAATGGGGCCAGATCCTCAAATTTGACAATTTCCAGAGAACAAATATAAATGCCATCACATAATGAAAGTTTCTTACCAGCAGCAAATCAAAGCCACGCAAATTAAACACCCAGAAGGCAGAGGAACTCTGTGTGTTTTGTGTGCGTTATGTACATGTTGTGTGTTGTGTGTGTGTTATGTACATGTTGTGTGTTGTATGTGTGTTATGTACATGTGTGTTGTGTGTGGTGTGTGTGTTGTATGTGTGGTGTGTATGGTGTGTGTCTGGTGTGTTGTGTGTGTGTTATGTATGTGTTGTGCGTGTGTGTGTTGTGTGTGTGCCTTGGGGTGGACGCTGACATCAATGATGCCCCTCCAAGAACCGCCCCCACCCCCCGGACTCAGTGCTTTTAACTTTGCTGAAACCCCTTCCTGCCACCTCCCAGCAATTACACGAGGGAAGTCAAAGCAGCTAGGGATTCACCCACTGGGCTTTGGGCTGGCAAATAATTTGCAAAATGAGCATCAAGGGTGAGTGGGGGATGGGCGGTGGCCAGATTGTGGTGGGAGGAGGGCAGCTCCTGAAGTCAAGGATCCTACAAGTGGCGGCGCTTCCTGACCCGGGAACTGCATGCCTGTCTCCGTCTCATGGAGAGAACATCCTGGAGACAGGACATTACCCACGAGGGATTACAGCTAAGAACAAAGGCCAGGCGCGGTGGCTCACCTGGAATCCCAGCACTTTGGGAGGCCCGGGTGGGAGGATCACTTGAGGTCAGGAGTTCGAGACCAGCCTGGCCACCATGGTGAAACCCCATGCCACTAAAAATATAAAGATTAGCTGGGCGTGGTGATCCCAGCTACTTGGGACGCTGAGGCAGAAGAATGGCCTGAACCCAGGAGGCGGAGGTTGCAGCAAGCCAAGATTGCGCCATTGCACTCCAGCCTGGGCGGCAGAGTAAGACTCCATCTCAAAGAACAAAAAACAAAACAAAACAAAACAAACCAACCCCAGGACTGCTGGAAGGAGTAGTGGCAGGGGCGCAGGTCGGGGCGGTGCTGCCGGAAACACATTTAGCCACAAAGGGAATCGTCATGACCTATTGAGTAAGAAAATTAGCATATGAACAGCATGTCCAGCACAGACTCGGTTTGGTGAGCTATTTTACATGCACCAAACGAAAGGCCTGGAAGGAAATGTGAGCCGCGGATTTCCATTTCCGGACTGCGGCCCGGTCGATGGAAGCAGCGGAGCTAGACCTGCCTCGGGTGCTTTGGGAAGTCACCAGCCACTGCCTCCGTTCATTCCTTTGTAAAATAGGAGGAAACACATCCGTCGCTACCTCGAAGGAGACCCGCAGGAAGCAGCGGCCCCAGCGTGCCCGGGCGGGTCCTCACCCCTCCTGCGTGGTGGGGCCGCCCGTCTCTGCGGCCTCCCTCCGGCCCTGCGCTCTGGACGGCCCGGCGCGTGGAGATCGCTGCAGCATCCCACGGGCCTCCTCCCGCAGCACCACCAGCAGCAGCCCCCGCTGGTTCCAGGGCACGTAGGCCTTGGCGGCCAGCAGCGCCTCCTCGGGCCGCAGCCTGCAGGCGGTGACATAGTCCAGCGTGCCCAGGAACGCGCTGCCCGCCAGCACCCGCAGCAGTCCCCGGCCGCACAGCGCGCGCACACAGCCCCCCGGGTGCGGCGCCCCCTGCTCCACTACCGTCTGGAAGTCCTCCATGGCGCGCCGCGAGTCCCCGGCGTGCAGCGCGCAGAAGCCGCGCAGAGCCAGGAGAGGTGCGCGGTCCCCTGCACGGTCCCCCGCAGGGTCCTCAGGGCGTGCGGGCCGCAGCAGGCGCTCGCACATGGCCCGGGCGCCCGCCGCGTCCCCTGCCAGCAGCAGGCACTCGGCGAGGCGGGCTCCCAGCGCGGGTCGCGCCCCGGCAGGCGCCAGGCGAAGCAGGACGCGGAGCGCGCGGGTTACCGGGGCCAGCAGCTCGCGGCCCGCATCCTCGCGGAGCTCAGGGTGGTTCCGCACGGCTTCCTGGAAGCGGGCGAAGCCCACGTCCGCGGCCTCCTGCGCCTGAGCCCGGACGCGCTCCTGGTCCTGGACAGAGAACACGGCCTGGAACTGCCTCCGCGCCCCAGAGGGGCTCTCGCGGAAGGCCTCCTGCAGGTTCCAAAACACGTCCTGGGCCCGGCCGTCCAGGAAGAAGGCCGAGGCCGCGCGGGTGACCAGCAGGGCGGCTCGGCGCTCACCTGCGGAGAGAAACAGAGGCGTGGGTTCTGCCTGGGGGGCCGACTCCCCGG
The DNA here is from genome assembly GCF_000001405.40 of Homo sapiens. Taxonomy (NCBI): domain Eukaryota; kingdom Metazoa; phylum Chordata; class Mammalia; order Primates; family Hominidae; genus Homo; species Homo sapiens. The sequence continues at coordinate 2,790,398 of NC_000001.11, forward strand.
GGGTGCCACCTGCAAGTCCCCACCAGGTCCAGGGCTTGGACTCAGGAGACTGTGAGTCCTCCTGCCCGAGGCATCTCCCTCCAGTCTCCAGGTGGCCCTGGGTATGGCACCGCCAGGACACCAGCTGGCAGGAGGCCCGACGCCCATGAGCGACGGGGCAGGTTGAGAACCGTGCTGGGCAAGCGGCGAGGGGGCAGCCGCCCGGCCTGCCAGCGACACTGTGCTCTCAGGGTGGGTTCAGAGTCACTCCCACCGCTCAGTGCAAACCAAATTCAGTTACAACGCCTTTCCCTTGCCTGACATTTAAATAATGGGTTTTAGGATTGAGTTTCCTCCTCTGGGAATCAGTGCCCCTCCACTCCCAGGGCAGAGCTGAAGCTCCAACTCTATGACCTTTGCAGTGGCCATTTATTCCTGGGCGCCTTTGTTTCTTGCCTTCTTTGGGCCAAGTGGGGACCCAGCCCTTCCCTCTCTGTAGCAGAGCTCTTCTCTCAGGTCTAGGACTGGAGGGGCATGCCCTGCTGCTTACTGAGGGTGGACCTGGGCATTTACGGAGTCTCCTGCGTCTGTTCCCTGGTCTGCACTATAATGGGTTATAATGATCCACGCTCGCAGGGGGTGAGGATTAAACGGATCTACCTACATCCAGTGCCTGGAAGGGGCCTGGTGCATCGTGTGAGTCAGTGAGGTCAGGGGCAGCATCCCCACCCCCACTCCCCCAGCACCCTCCCCGCGCACCTGCCCCCCACCCCAGTGTGTCTGAGCAAACGTGAATGGGGCTTTCTGACTGGTAAGGGAAGTGTAGCTGCCCCATCCCAAAAAGGGCCCCAGGCAGGGTGCACAGGCCACTGGGAGAGGCGGGGATACTCCGTGCTGGGCGGGCTTCAGGTCATGGCCCTTATTTTCACAGGTTACGAAGGTGCTGCAGGGGAGGGACGTTCTGAGGGTCCATCCCAGACCTCTGAACCTCTGCTTCAGTGCTTTTTGCACTGACTCCTTCAGAATTTTCAAACAGCTTTTCCTTATAACCCCATTCAATAGCAACAACAGCAACAATCTGCTGCATTCAAACAGGATTCTGGAGAGGGCAAAATACCACGCAGGGCACAGAAGCAAAGCCGCTGCGGTCACTGCCCTGCTGCTGTTGCGGTAAGCGCCGAGTCCAGCACAGAAGGTGTCTCGTGCCCTGAGACTAGCCATGCAAGCAGCCACAAGGTCACTCTGTCTAGTTCTGGTGGCCAAAGTAAAAGACACTTTGAGCCTTTCCTGCCAGCTACTGACCCTTGAACACAACATTACCCCTGATTTTTGCAGTGGCTCATGGATCCGAGGGAGCTGCAGCCAGGGGAGAACCCTTGGGACCTGAGGGTGATGGGGCGCTGTTATTTATGTTCCCACGTGAAAGGGTGATCTCTCCTCTCTTTCCGAGATTCCAGTTACACACACGAGACTTTGATATTGTCCCCAGGTCACCCAGCCTCTGTTCATTTTTCTTCTGTTCTTCGTATCGAGTAATTTCTATTCTGTCTTCAAGTTCACCGACCCTTCTACTGTCGCTAATATTTTCATTTCAATTATTGCACTGTTCAACTCTAGACTTGCCATATGCTTTTTTTTTTTTTTTTTTTTTTTTTTTAAAGACAGGGTCTTGCTCCATCACCCAGGCTGGAGTGCAGTGGTGTAAATACGGCTCACTGTAACCTTGACCTCCTGGGCTCAGCCTCCTGTGTAGTTGGGACTACAGGCATGCACCACCATACCCAGCTCACTTTTGGATGTTTTTTGGAGTTGGAGTCTCACTTTGTCACCCAGGGTGGTCTTGAACTTCTGGGCCCAGGTGATCCTCCCGCCTCAGCCTCCCAAAGTACTGGTACTCCTTTTTATAAGGAACCATGCCTAGCCTGGTTCCTTTATATGATTTCCATTTATCTATGAAGATTCCACATCAGTTCAATCGTTAGGTCCACATTTTCCTGAAGTCAGTTTTTAGGGATTTCTTTTTCTCCTTACTGTAGCTCATATTTTATTTTCCTGTCTCTTTGCATGAATAGTAGTTTCTTCCCACACACCAGGCATGATGGACACTTTGTGGAGACTCTGGGTTCAGTTACATTCCTCTGAAGAGAGCTGAGTTTTGTTTTAGTAGCAGTGAAATTGGCTGGGTTTAAACTCCAAATTCTATTGCTTTTTGGTGGACAGAGCTGAAGTCTCCATTTAGCTTTTGCAGCTTCCAGTGCCTGTTCTTTCAGCCCAGCTAGTCTTTACCTCTGTATGTGCAGTTCTGTAGGCTGGAGATTTAAGTAGATTTAATACACAGATTTGGTGCTGCACCCCCTCTGTGGCTCCCTCCTTTTCAAGATTCTTCATCTAACTTTCCATCCATTTTTCTCAGCCCTGAACTGTCCTGTGCTACCTCAAGCCAGGAGAACGCCAGCATCTGCTGAACAATGACTCATAGATTGAGGAGCCCCCTCAGGTGAAGAGCTGCGGGGTGCACATCTCACCTCACACAACACCATTGTTCAAGGGTCAGCTACTAGTTTCTGCCTGCATGTGGTTACGAATCCATGCCTTCAAATAGTCACTTTTTATATTTTGTCCAGCTTTTATAATCGTTATCTGTGGGACATGTAGGCAAGCTATTCCACAGTGACTTGAAGCCAACTTGAAGCCAGATCTTCTATTGTTAGATAGACAATTTTTGACTGGCTGAGAGGAATGTAAATGCTATCACATTATTGTTTTAATTTCTATTTTCCTGATGACTAGTGAGGTTTACTTATTAATTTTTTTCCCCAATCTGGTGGGTGGAAAATGGTCTCTCATTGTTTTAATTTTGCATTTGTCTCATTACTATGATGCTGAATATTGTTCACATGTTTTATTAGCCATCTGTGTTTCCTCTTTTGGGGAATGCTTTTGCCAAGTCTTGTATTGAATTTTTTTTCTTATTGATATGTAGGAGTTCTTCAAATACTCTGCATACTAATTTATCTGCTCATTGTATATTTTGCAAGCATTTTTCTCCTTTTGTGGATCGTCTTTATTTTCTATAGTTATGGGCAAAATAGAAGTTTTAAATTTTAGTTTAATCAGATGTATTAAATTTTTCTTTATTGATTCCCTGTTTTGTATCTTAAGAAGCCCACCTGTACATAGAAATCTTAATGACATTCTCAGATATTTTCTTTTAGAAACTGTAAAATGCAGCAATTTCCACCTGGGATTCGCTTTTTTGCAAGGTGAGAGGTAGGAAATCAGTACCCTCCATTGAATAATGCTCCTTTTCTTTCTCTATAGATTTGCAACACTCATCTGTCACCTGTTAAGTTTTAGATCGACGTGGGTCCACTTCTGAGCTCTCTAATTCATTTTATTGGTCTTTCTATCTATTCCTGAAGTCAATAAACTTCCGTATTGATTAGTATAGCTTCATATTAACTGGTAGAGCAAATCCTTCTACTGCCACCTCTTCCTTCTCCATCTTCTGCTTCTCCTTCTCCTCTTCTCCCCCATCCCACCTCCCCACTCCCCTACCTCTCCCTTCCCCTCCTCGCCCTCCTTCTTCTTCTGTGGACAGTGAATATCTCTCCATTTATATAGATATTCTTTCTTTTCTGATACAATGTTTGCTGTTGCCCAGGCTGGCATGCAGTGGTGTGATTACAGCTCACTGCAGCCTTCATCTCCCAAGCTTAAGAGATCCTCCCATGTCAGTCTGGTAAGTAGCTGGGATCACAGGTATGCACCACGTGCCTGGATAAGTTTTTTTGTATTTTAAAAATTTTTTGTAGAGACCAGTTCCCACTATGTTGCCCAGGCTGGTGTCAGACTTCTGAGCTCAAGGGTTCCTCCTGTTTCAGCCTCCAAAAGTGCTGGGATTACAGGCATGAGCCACTGAGGCATGGCTATAGGTATTCTTTATTATCTTTCAATAAAGTTTTATACTTTTTCCATAAAGTCATGTGACTCTTAGAACTTAATCATTTTCTGTCCCTGTGGTAAATGGGACACAGGGCATCTATTTGTTGCTGGTATTTATAAATATAAATAATGTTTTGCATATTTTGTTAAATTTTGCTACAATGTCTAATACCTTTTTGTTGCTTCTTTTGGAATTTCTATATACATAGCTAATCATATTGCCTGGAATAATTATAACTTTGTGACTTCCTTTCTGGTCTTACATGTTCTGTCTTGTTTTCTTACCTTATTGCATTGGCTAGGATCTCTAGCACAATGATGAGTAACTGGGAGAGTGCACAGCCTCCTCGTAATTGATTTTAAATGGAAGGCTTCTGAATTGTCACCATTGAGTATGATATTTATGGTGGGTTTGGGATAGATATTATCTTTTTCAATTAAGTAAGTTTTCTTCTGTTTCTTGATTGTTAAAATTCTGGGAATGTGAAATATTATAAAACAGTTTTTCTGAATCTACTGCAATGATAATATGTTCTTTATTCCATTAATTATTAATGTAGTGAATTATATAATTCTGGAAACATAAAATTTTAAGTTCTATATTATAATATTTGACGAAATGTTGGCTAAAATGCATCAAAACTGATGTTTTGACCTGGTCAGCAGTTATTTCAGCTAACTATTCCTGCATAACCATCCACTGTAAAACTTAGTGGCTTAAAACAACAATCAAGCCTGGGCAACGTGGTGAGACCCCATCTCTACAAAAAAAAAAAAAAATTAGCCAGTTGTGATGGTGTGTACCTATAGTCCCAGCTACTTGGGAGGCTGAGGCAGGAGGACTGCTTGAGCCTGGGAGATTGAGTGCAGTGAGCCATGATCACACAACTGCACTCCAGCCTGGGAGACAGAGCAAGACCCTGTCTCAAAAAGGAAAATCCAACCATTTATATTTGCCCATAATTATTCCTCAGTTTGGGCTGGCCTAAGCTGGACAGTTCTTCTGTTGGTCTTACCAGGGGTCACTCAGGTGGCTGCAGCCATCCAGTGGCTTTACCGGACAAGAGACTCTAAGGTGGCCTCACTCATGTGTCCGGGGCCTTGGTGATGGCTGTCAGCTGAGCCTCTGTCTGTGTGTTCTCTCACTGGTCATGATTCCAGCTTCCTTACATGGCCCTGGGAGAATTCCAAGGTGAAGGTGGAAGCCGTGGGGCCTCTGAGGCTTGGGCTCCTGAAGCACAAGCCATCACTTCTACCATATTCTACTGGTCCCAGCAAGGCACAAGGCCATGCCAGATTCTGTACGGAGAACAGACCCTGCATCTTGCTGGGAGGAAAGCAGGAATCACAGCTATGCTTTGTCACCTTTCCTAGCGCTCTTAATGAAGAACCTTAAACAAATTGGAAGTGGTCATCCCAGTCCTTTGGTAAGACAAACACGTAGGGAGCCATGGTACCTGGATGCTTACTTAGCAGCTACCTTGAGGGAAAGTGGTATTTATTCTGTATCTTGTCCTCATACATCGTGTATCGCTGCATGTCTACTTACTAAAGAGGGCAAAGAAAGTTCCCAGATTATAGAAGGGTTTTGCTACAGTTTGAATGTTTGTTCCCTCCAAAACTCATGCTGAAACTTAACTGCCATTGTAATGGTATTGACAGGTCAGATCTTTGAAGATGATTAGGCCATGAGGGCTCTGCTCTTGTGGGTGGGATTAATGCAAGTTCAGCCCCTTTCGCCTCTTTGCTCTTCTGTCTTGTGCCAAGTGAGGATGCAGCATTCAAGGCGCCATCTTGGAATCCGAATCCCCAAGCCTGTTGGGGCCTTGGTTTTGGGCTTCCAGCGTCCAGAACTGGAGCTCATTCATTTCTACTCATTATGGATCACCCAGCCCGTGGCATTCTGTCACAGCAGCACAAATGGAGCGACTGGTTTGTGCAATGTTTCCAAGGACTTTGGAAAGTAACCTCCAGATGGAAGGTCATTTGTTGCAGGAAACTGCATCTGTAAAAAGTCTGTTATAGGAAAATTCATTTCTTCTCTTCTCATCGTAAGCCATGCTTGTGCTGGTGCTGGCGATGTGGGGAGTCCCTTGACCGAAGTGACTTGGGTCTAATGGATGCACAATTCTTAGGGCAGGTGTTCCCTGTACACACCAGAGCCACGGCAGACACAGACGAGCTTCCGGTGGCCTTCCTGGAGGAGCTGGGTCTTCCCTCACATTCCCCAAGCCTGCAACACTTGGGGGGTTCTGGATTTCTGCAGAGAGCTTTAGTGTGACCCCCACCCACACCCTTAAGTCATGCCCTGCCCCTGCGTGATCATTAAAGTGGAAGGCCCCCTCCCTCCTGGAGCCCCCTTGCTGTGGGCATGGTCCTCACCAGCCCCTGAGTGCCTGTGCTCTGGGCACCCGGGGTCCCCTCCTTCCTCAGAAGCTCACGATTCGGTGTGACTTTGTTGATCATTTTCTGGTAATGCTCAACATATTTGAGCATATTTCCAGAAACAAATTTTCCTGCTCACTTTGCAGCTCTCTCTAACTGGTTCCTGCCCCACCCTCTCGTTGGGGTCACCAAGAACCTCGGCACCACACGCCCAACGCACACTCCTTGTCCTCTCCTTACGGACATTGTGGCCACTCTCAGGGCTGCCTACCTGTCTTTATCTTGCAAACCCCCTTCTCTTCTGGCCCTGATCCGTCACCCCACGGGCTCCGAATTTTCTTCCTTCTTCCTGTCCTCCTGGGCTGCTCCTCCCCAGAAGCACAGTATGGAGGGCGGTTAGGAGCACCCCAGGGGCCAGGTCCTAGCTGCCTGCACTCCGTATGCCCTTGGCAGCCCCGTGTCTCATGGGGATGGTGGCTGCTCTGCAGATTCCATGATTATGCACATCAAACCCATCAAATGGGGCCCACCCACTAGCTGTTCAGTAAACGGCAGCTAATACTGCCATCCTCACCTCCAGATGTCTGCTGGCCTGGGATGGGGGCTGGGGCACGAGGAAAGGGCAGGGAGCCGCAGTGCCTTGCAGGACACTCACGCCAGGGAGGTCCTGTCTGCTCCAGGATGCCTCGTGGCCCCACTTCCTGCCTCTGTCGGGAGCCTTGACTTTCAACCTCTCATTTGCACTGACCCTAAACCCCCCTTTTTCAAACTGAGCTCCTCTCACCTCAGGGCTCACCTGTCTGGCTGCCTAATGACATGAGGCTTGATGGGCTCAAAGGACTGTGTGTAAAGCACTCAGTAGGTGACATTATTCTAAGGGTTTGCTGTGCATGTTTACTGAATCCACACAGCAGCCTTTGGGGTGGAGACGCAGCCTCGTCTCAGGCACTCAGGGATCCGAGGGTGGCAGAGTGCTGGCAGTAGGCTGGGCTGTGGCCCTGGGTGCTCCTCCAGAAGGAAGAGGCAGTGAAGGGACCGGGCAGGAGCAGTGTCTCAAACTGGGGGCGTCTAAACCTCTGACACCCCTTTTCCCATCCGCGCTTCCCTCCACAGTTCAGTTGCTCATCATGAACTCAGAAAACGTTCCTGACCCTCCTTCTCTGTGCCTGTCTCTCCACCATTAAATCTACCCACAATCTCGTCACTTCTAACTCTCAGACATGTGGTTTCTCTGCAACCCTTTCTCCCTGATCTGAATTCCATCAACTCTCTCCTGAACCATTGTCCCAGCCTCCCAGTCTCTCAGCTGCCCAGCATCCAAGCCTCCCAGTCTCTCAGCCTCCCAGCCTCCCAGCCTCTCAGCCTCTTAGCCCCTCAGCTCCCCAGCCTCCAAGCCTCTGAGCCCCTCAGCTCCCCAGCCCCCCAGCCTCCCAGCCTCTCAGCCTCTTAGCCCCTCAGCTCCCCAGTACCCCCAGCCTCCCAGCCTCTCAGCCCCTCAGCTCCCCAGCCCCCCAGCCTCCCAGCCTCCCAGCCTCTCAGCCCCTCAGCTCCCCGGCCCCCCAGCCTCCCAGCCTCCTAGCCTCTCAGCCCCTCAGCTCCCCAGCCCCCCAGCCTCCCAGCCTCTCAGCCTCTTAGCCCCTTAGCTCCCCAGCCCCCCAGCCTCCCAGCCTCCCAGCCTCTCAGCCCCTCAGCTCCCCAGCCTCCTAGCCTCCCAGCCTCTCAGCCTCTCATCCCCTCAGCTCCCCAGCCCCCCAGCCTCCCAGCCTCTCAGCCTCTTAGCCCCTTAGCTCCCCAGCCTCTCAGCCTCCAAACCTCCCAACCTCTCAGCCTCTTAGCCCCTCAGCTCCCCAGCCTCCCAGCCTCCCAGCCCCTCAGCTCCCCAGCCCCCCAGCCTCCCAGCCTCTCAGCCTCTTAGCCCCTCAGCTCCCCAGCCACCCAGCCTCCCAGGCTCCCAGCCTCCCAGCCTCTCAGCCCCTCAGCTCCCCAGCCCCCCAGCGTCCCAGCCTCTCAGCCTCTCAGCCCCTCAGCCCCCCAGCCTCCCAGCCTCCCAGCCTCTCAGCCTCCAAGCCTCCCAGCCCCCCAGCCTCCCAGCCTCTCAGCCTTCAAGCCTCCCAGCCCACCAGCCTCCCAGCCTCTCAGCCTCCAAGCCTCCCAGCCTCTCAGCCTCCAAGCCTCCCAGCCCCCCAGCCTCCCAGCCTCTCAGCCTCCAAGCCTCGCAGCCCCCCAGCCTCCCAGCCTCTCAGCCTCCAAGCCTGCCAGCCTCCCAGCCTCTCAGCCTCCAAGCCTCCCAGCCTCCCAGCCTCTCAGCCTCCAAGCCTCCCAGCCCCCTAGCCTCCCAGCCTCCCAGCCTCTCAGCCTCCAAGCCTCCCAGCCCCCTAGCCTCCCAGACTTCCAGCCTCTCAGCCTCCCGGCCTCCCGGCCTCCCAGCCTCCCAGCCTCCTAGCCTCCCGGCCCCCCAGCCTCCCAGCCTCCCAGCAGGTCTTGTCCTTACTCTGGTTCCTCTGGCACATTTTGCACATGGCAGCCAGAGGAAAGTTTAAAAATGCAGATCAGGCGCCGGGCGCGGTGGTTCACTCCTGTAATCCCAGCACTTTGGGAGGCTGAGGCAGGTGGATCACTTGAGGTTAGGAATTTGAGACCAGCCTGGCCAACATGATGAAACTCCATCTCTACTAAAAATACAAAAATTAGCCAGGCATGATGGTGGGTGCCTGTAATCCCAGTTACTCGGGAGGCTGAAGCAAGAGAATCTCTTGAACCCAGTGGGTGGAGGTTGCGGTGAGCCGAGATCGCCCCATTGCACTCCAGCCTGGGCAACAAGAATGAAACTCCATCTCAAAAAAAAAAATGCAGCTCAGAGTACCTCACTCCACAGCTCAGCCTCACAGACTGAGGGTAACATCCAAGGGCCTTGGGAGGCCAGGAGGATCTAGCCCCACAGCTGCCATCTTCAGTCTCCCATTCGTTTTCCCCTTCCCTCCGACAGTCGCCCTGGCCCCCTCAGTGGCAGGGGGAGCCCAAGCTCTTGCTCCCCTAAGGACTTGGCACATTTGCTTCTGCTGCCTGGAACCCTCACTCTCAGCCTAAATGATTCCTCTCCTGAGAAGCTTTCCCTGATCACCGGCTGGAGCAGTACCTTGCCCATCCCATTTCTTAAAGCATGCATTTTGTTTGTGTCTTTGGGTGCTCCAAAGGGGCAGGGCCTGACTTTCTTGTCACTGAGGCACCCCAGCCCCAGCACAGCCTCACCCCATCATGGCAGGACATAACCATGTGGGGAGGGAGTGGCGGGGGCAGCTTTCACCCTGGCTCTGCAGGGGCCATGCCGTCCTCCTACCTTGGGGTTCGCTGCCGGTGGGATGGGCCTCGAGGGCCCGGCTGCATGCTGCCAGGCAGTCCTCAAACCTGCCGCTGTGGAGCAGAGCTTCAGGTGACAGGGTGTCACTCCGGGTGCCCCTGGGGTCCAGAGCCGCCAGGAGTCGCTGGCCACCGGTCTCCTGCTGGCCGGCACTGTGCCCAGCCTCCGGGTGCCCCGAGAGGTAGTCCTGGAGGGCACTGAGCAGCGCGGGGAGGTGGGGCCGCTGGTGGGTGCGAATGAAAGCTACCGTCCGGTCGGCGCTGGAGGCGAAGGCCTGGAGATAGGCGGCCACACCATCCGCTGCCTGCACCCCGGACAGGACCCAGGCGAGGGCGCGGGTCAGCCGCAGCTCCAGGACTTGCTGTGCATGAGAGTCCAGCAGGGCGCTGCAGCGTTGCACCACTTCTTCGTGACGCCCGCGGGCCAGCAGACCTGCCAGCAGGTGCAGGATGGCGGCGGGGTGGTCCGGGCAGAGGGCGCCGAGGAAGGCAGAGGCCAGCGACCCTGTCAGGGAGACCACTGCCATGCCGTCCCAGTGGATGGCGGGGATCTGGCTGTCCCCGCGGCACCAGGACTCCAGGGTGGCCACCACCGCCGCCCCCCGAGCCTGGGCCAGGGCAGTGCGCACACTCTGCAGGGCTGAGGGGGCGTGGCAGCTGAATGCAGCCAGGTAGAAGGCGGTGGCCAGGGGCAGCTCCCCCAGCGCCAGATGCTGCTCCCCCTCCCGGCAGAGGCAGGCCACGAGCTCCTGGGCTGACATCATGTCTGGGACCCCGACGGGCCCATGTCTGGTCCTCAGAGTACCTGGGGGTGGGGGAGCATGGTGAGTCCACAGAGGGCGGCCAGTTCTCCTGCCCTGTGGCCACCCGTGCCCAGCCTCAAGCCACCTCCACCCCTTCCCATTGACCCCACGGTCAGTGCAGACCCCACTGGGTGAAAACTGGGGGGATCCTGGGCTGGTGGGGTGGGGCCTACCAGGTGTCCCAGGCCAACTTCCAGCCCACTGTTCACCTCTGGGGCCTCAGTTTCGTGCCTTGCAGAATGGGACAGTGGCCTCCCCCAGCTCAGTTCCCTCTAAGAACATCTGACCCCTGAGTGTCCATGTCGGGAGGGTTACGGTGGCCCGAGGTGTCAGGGCCCAGCAATAGGAACCCCGGACCCACCCTCTGCCCCTCCCAACCCTGAGCCCCTCAGGAAGGCACACCCCCCGTCAGTCCAGGCAGCCCTCTCAGTGGGACGCAGGACCACACCCCTGCCCACCCTCTCACACCTGGGCCATTCGAGGGGGGCGCCGAGAGCACCTGCCAGGCCCTTGGGTCGGGGGAGCCACCCCAGCCCATGGGTGGGGGGGTTCAGTTTTGAGGTTGAGGTTCCAGGGACAGCCCCTGGTACTCCCCTATTCCCTGTCCCCAAGCTACTTGACCTGACGAACTAGCTCCGCACAGCCCTTTCTTCCCTCATCAAACAGGCAGCCCCCAGCATCCGCTCTCAGACACACACAGACACACTCACACTCGTCTGCAGCTTGGAGGCTGAGCCGGCTGTGCCCTGGGGACCCAGATTCCCTCGTGGGTGGTGGGGGACAGAGGGATGTGGCTGGCTGGAGGGCCCAGGCCTGGGTGGGGCTCCTATGACCGCCCCGTGTGGGTTGGGGAAGGCACAGCCTGCGGTTTCCCGGGAGAGTGTCAACACCCTTGGGTCTCCTGGCTGTCCTGCAGCGCCCCGCTGTGGCCAGAGGCTACCAGGCCGAGGTCCCACCCACACTGCCCCAGCCAGGCTCCAATGGGCTGCCTCAGAGCAGAGAACCCTGAGTTCATGGGGGTGTTGGGGGAGAAGGGGCCTGTGGGGTACAGCCCCCCATAGCCGGGGCCAGCCTCCACCCTGCCTGCTCTGCCAGGGTGCCCCCAGCCTCCTCTCCACATAGATGAGGAGGGCGCTTCCTGGAGGCAGGTGGGGGCCGCCTGCCCACCCAGTGCACTCAGGCTCTGGGTTTGTCCCCCAGAACTCCGCCTGGGCTGCTATGCGGGCCCCTCACCGCCCAGCCTCACTCCTCTTCTGGCAGGGCCCTGTCACCCGGTCCTGGGGCACCTCCCCACAGGCTGTTCCCTGTGCCGGCAGCTGGGACTGGACCTTCCGTGCACAGCCAGCCCATTTCCCTTGGCCGTCCTCCCTCTGAGAGGCTTAGGCAGCCCTGTCCTGCCTGCACCAGCTGAGCCAGCTGTGCCCTGGGGAGGGCAGGGCACATTAGCCGAGGGCACACCCCTCCCCCATCACAGGGTTGAGGCCCAGAGGCAGCTCTGGGAGCCATGACCTGAGCCTACTGCCCAGGGACCCTGATTGTTGCTGAGGAAGGGGTGGCAGCATAGGGACTATTTTAGGAAACATCACCTTCAGCCCGTGGCCACCGTCAGCCCATGCCGCAGGAGCAGAAAGACTGAGTGGGGTGGCTGGAGGCAGGCTCAGGTCCCTGAAGCTGAGACCCCACCACCGGCAGCTGCCCTGGAGGGCAGGCATGAGTGGGGGGAATGGGGGTGGTGCGTCCCTGAGAGAGGTCCCTCCCAATTCAGGATGCCAAGGTGCCCGGACACCAGGCCAATGCTGGCTCCTCTGTGGGGCTCAGGGAAGCAGGGTTGGGGGTGCCCTTTGGGGGAGGAGATCTTGGGAGTGGGGGGTGGCATCCCTGATCCCCTCGATGTCTGGGTCTCCTGAGACATGCCCCGCAGGCCCTTTGGGGAGGGTGTGGAGCCCCTGCAGCGTGGGCAGAGCAGTCAGGGTCAGTCTGAGGGTGCAGGGCAGGGGGGTCAGCAGGGCTGGGGCTGCCTGGCCCAGTTCTTCAGCTCCATGACATTCACCAGGGCCCAAGGCCTGTGCGGGTAATGCAGTGGGGGCAGTTTATTAAGAGATTGCCCATTACTCGGTGTTGATTACTTTCATTTTAATTGCCCTAATTAGGCGAGAGCTGTAATGGAGTGGGGCTGTCACCAGGGCTGTAGAAGAGCCCGGGGCACAGAGGTGGCAGGTCTGCGCGACAGTTGCCATCACAGCAGTGCCGATGGGCCCCCTGCGTCTCTGCCCTGTGCACAGTGCCCTGCCCGGGGCCCACAGGCACTGGCCAGATGAGCCTGGAAGTCTCGGAGGGTCCCGAGCTATGATCACAGCCCCTGCCTGAGAGCAGCACACCTGGATGCAGGTAATCCCAGGGCCGCCTCCACGCCACCTCCCAATCCGCACTCTCGTCTCTGATTCTGCCACAGACAAAAGTGGGCGGCTGAGCCGGACAGGGAGGCCGAGGCCGGTGCCTGGTAGTCTCAGGGTCTCGTGTTCGGGTTTGTGCTGCTTTAGTTTATGAGTCAAAAGGATTTCCAACATTTCCAACTTGAGGCTAGCGGGGGGCGGGGGATACTGCTCATTTGCCCTCTGCACACTTTCCCATTCAAGACCATTAGCGCACTGACAGCGTAGGGAGCTGGCTCATCTGACGCTTCAGGGGGAAACAGGGTTTGAGGGTGATGGAAGCATTCAGCCCTGACTGGACCCACAACAACTACTTGTCCTTACAGACCCCTGCGAAGAGCCCAGGAGCTGCTTCCGACGCCCTGGGAGCCGCTCCTCCTGCTCTGAGCCTGCTTGGCTGCCCCCGTTTATGTGGTCGGACCTGGCTGGGTGGAGGGAGGGGCAGGACTCCGAGTCAGCACCCAGCAACGACCCCCTCACTCCTTGCACTCAGACTTGCAGAAATGAAAGGGCCTGGTTCCCACGCCGGGGCCGAGCAGGAGCACATGGTCCCCACCAGAGATGCCCTTAGGAGAGTCCGCAGCTGGCAGGACCCGTCCCAGTCACACCGAAGGCCTGGGATAAAGACGCCACCCTCTGGGAAGAGCTCTGAGCCCTGTCACCAGAATGTTCTTGAAGCCAGCAGTGAAAACAGTTGACTTGGTGGGAGCCGGGGATGGCCTTGAGGCTGACCTCATGTGCTCATGGCTCACAGGGCCGTGCATGGGCTGCTGGGGCAGGCATGGCTGCAGGCGGGGCTCACTCTGCCCTTTCTGCAGGTGGCACAGAGCAGCGAGGCGCCCGCCCCAGGACCAGGCTCTCCAGCCTGTTTGGAGCTCCTTTTCTGCTCCCCAAGAGTGGACACGGGTGTGCCTATTGGGCAAGGGAATCTTTTGGAACCTTTCCCAGGGCCTCTTCAGAGGCTCCTCGAGAGGGACGGGCAGGAGGAATCCAGCACACGTGTTGTCTTTATACAAACAGGTGCGCTTCATTCACCCTAGTCAGTGGAACCCCCTGCCCTCCAGACACCTGAGTGCCCTCAAAGGTCAGGCATGCAACTGGGAGGCGGGGTCTGGCCGTGAACTGCTGCTGCCAAGCACCTGCCTGCAGGCTCCGCCGAGGCCCCACCAGCACCAGCAGCCCCGAGGCTGTTCCTCCCCAGCTGGAAGGGAGGTCTGCACCCTCCTGCCACTGGGGGCTGCCAGCGTGGCAACAATTTGGGGCCCTTGGTGACCTTGGGGGTGGCGGGCACGTGTCCTTGTCCCCTACCATCACAGCACAAAGGGAGGGATCCCCACAGCCTAGGCCTGGGGCCCAGGCCTGCACTGCCTTTGGCAGTGATGTTGCCTCCGTGCAGCTTCCCCAGGGCCACAGCCTCCCCACCTGCCTGCCCCTCTTCCCCCCGCAGGCGCTCACCTGGGGAAGCAGATTACTTTGGGCTAAGCCAGCCCCAGTTAGAGAGGGGAAGCCTTAGCAACAGCTCGAGGCTGCGCCCCAAACCCCAAAAAGGGTAGCCCTGGGCTATCTCGGGGGTGCTTCCCCGCCCTCCTGACCCGGGAACAGGTGCAGCTCTGGCCACTTCTCTGGCCTCGGTGTCCACCCCACCCAAGGGGCGCCTCCATCCCATGTGCCCCAGAGTGCCCTCCCAGGGTATGTGAGCCCCTCAGAGCCCCAGCTGCCAAAGCTTAGGACACTCCCCCAAGACTTAGAGCCCCTCAGCTCAGGGGAGCCCCTTGGGCCCCGGGGTTTACCTGGGGTATCATCCAGGAGACCTGGGCAGCTTCACAGGACCAGGGTGGGGCCAGGGGGCCCGGCCATCACCAGATGAAATTTTCGCCTCTTGACCCTGAGCCACACAGGCAGGACCTGCAGGTGGACAGCCAGGCAGAGAAGCGCACAGCCCTCCCTAGTGGAGCCTGGGGTCGGGAGGCCTCTCCACTCCACGCCCTCCCTCCCCGAGCTAAACTTCTCGCAGGCCTGGCAGCCTGCAGGCAGGGCAGGGCCCACCCCCGCCCCCGAGCTCCTCTTGTTCCCCGGGCTCCTGTTCCATCCTTGATCAATAATGCAGTGGGGGGAGGAGCCCCCACCCCTCCCGGCCCCCACCCGCCAGCTGCTCCCGCTGTGTTGCGATCTCAGTTGCAGGGGTGGTTTCGGAGGGCCCCTTTGCATTCTGGGGGCTACTGTGGGTGAGGCTGAGGGTCAGATGCCTGTTTAGGGAGGAGCAGATTTTCCATATTCGTGTTCTGGCACCACGGAGGCTCCGCGGTTCCCTTGGACCCACAGTTCAGCCGTGGACTTCTCATTGCCTTTGGGGGACGCTGGGGGAGGAGGCTCTTGGGGGCTAGCATTCCAGGTGGGGAGGAGCTTTGCCGAGCCCCGTGTGGCCGGTTTCTGAGGCCTGCAGGGGATACTCAACCCCGAAGCGTCCTGCCTGGCCTGCAGGGAATCTGACCACCCAGCCCCAGGGGACGGGCCAGGGCAAGGAAGGGGCCACAAGCCAGCGGCCCCTCCAAGACCTCGTCTGTCCTCACACCCACACCTGGCCCATCTGCAGGTCCCCAGCTTTCCCGCCGAGGCATATCCTGGGCGTGATGGCTTCTTATCTCCCACTGCTGCGAGGCTGCCCACCGCGGTCCCGTCCGCTCCCACCCTCGGGATCTGCACCCTCATCTCCCAGTGCCTGGCCACTCAGCCCAGCCACGCCGGCCCCTTCCTGGGCTGGACCCCACCCTGTTCCCCACAGTCTGTTCTTGCCCCAGGGCCTTTGCACTGCCCGCTGTTGCCCCCATAGCCGGCAGGTCTGGGCTCAATCCTTCTTCCTTCAACAGACCTTGGCCGACTTCCCCATCTCACGCAGCCCCACTGCTGCTCCTCCCTGCCCACACCCCTTCGCCACCCAACACTGACACGCACTTTTGTCTGCATTGGTGGCGTTTCTGCCTTGGCGTGTAGGTGAGCAGGGCAGGGTAAGCCTGCCACCCCCTCAACAGGACCTGGCAGGTAGAAGAGAAGCAAAGGAAGGTGTGAAGGAAGGAAAGAGGGAGGGAGGACGTGCGGAGATGTCTTCTCCGACCTCTGTGCTACACTGGGCAAGGGAGAGCCCAGCTTCCCCCGGAGGAGGTCAGCCATGAGCCACAGGTCTCCCCGGACTTAGCTGGGCAGGGCAGGGTTCTGCTCCTGTCAAACCGAGAATTTGGAGAAGCTCCTCGGCCCGGTGCTGCTCCACCTCCCCCTTTGTCTTTTCCTTTCCCCGAAACTTCCCAACCAACAGGCACTGGGGAGAGAATGATGAACGTGGTGCGGGAGCTGGGCGCCGGGTTGTGTACACAGCCTGTATCGGTTTGAACTAACGAAGTTTATTAACCAGGCAACCCAGAATCATTAATCACGCAGAAAAATAACACAGCGAAATGACTTTTCAAAATGCCATTGGTATAATTATCGTCTTGCCCATTACACTAAATGCCGCCATTTATATCTGTGATACTTAAGTATGCAAACAGTAATTAACGTGGTAATGAACCGGGGGCCCCAGAGCCTCCCCTCCCTGAGCTAATTTGCATGTTAATTATCATTAGCGACCAGGGAAACAAGTTATAAACAGCCTAATTAGCAGCCAGATCATTTTTACAAGAGATCGCGTGCACTTTGACACGTGAACCAGTGTGAGATTAATGAAGTCAGGCGAGGCCGCCCCTCCTGCGGGGTGGGGGTGGGGTGGCCTCAGTGCAGTGGCCTCGGTGGTCTCTGGGTGCTGTTAGCAGGTGATGGCTGGTGGCCTCAGGCTGCCCCTGAATGGTGGGGCTTGGGCTTCCCTCTCCACGCGGCTTGGGCTGGATGAGACCAGGAAAGTGGGGGCCCTGGTAAAGGGAAATTATCCTGACCCTTGGTAAGGAAGACTTCATTCAAGACTGTTGCGTAAGAGAGAGAGACAGGGTTCGACCCCGGATGCCAGGACAAGTGGGGGTTCACAGCCCAGGAGCAGGGTAGGGGCTTGGTGGATGGGAGATCACAAAGCGGGGACACCAGGGCAGAGAGATTCTTGCAAACCCACTTCATTGATTCTTGCTCAAGGTGGAGTGATCCCATATCCAGGGCGGGGATTGGCTCCAAACTGCCTTAGCCGGATTCTTGCCACAGATGGACCCCGCAGGCTGAAGCAGGGCCCAGGTGAGGCTGAGCTGAGAACAGCGCTCAGCAGCCCACCCGGACTTTCCCATCCCAAAGTCCAGGTCCTCTGCTTTTGTGCCTGGCCCCTCTCCTGCACCCTGAGCCTCTCGGCCAACCCCGGGCTTTGCTCCTTCCAAGAGACACCATTTAACCAACCAGACATGTGTGCCCCACCCTCCCCCACCTGCAGAACAGCCCTGTGGGGGTGAGAACCATCACCCTGTTTCAGCAAGCAGGAAGCCCAGGCACAGAGAGATGGGAACCTGCCCCAGGCCTGCAGTCCCAGCAGCTGGTGAGTCCCGGGCCCTGACGCCGCAGCCTCGCTGCTGCCCCTGGACACGCCGGGCAGGTCCTGCTCCAGGGCCTTTTCATCACAAAGAGCCCTGTGCACGCTGGCGTCCACCCTGACTGCGCCATTCAGCCTCCATCCCGTCCTCCTTTCCCATGGTATTTTTGCTCAGGCTCTTGCCTAGTGTCGGCGTGTTCCTGTCTGTCTCCCTGGCAAGAGTGCCGGCTTGCGGGGGCAGGACATGTCCCGTTGATCCCCCGCTCCCCAGTGCCTAGATCAGCCCGACGTGCAGCAGGCTTCCCAGCACTGTGGAGGGGGGCACGTCTGGCCATGAATCGCTCCAGAGTGGGGGCTGAAAATGTTTTTTGGAAAGGGTTCCAATCGCAAAGTTTACATTCCACTCAACCGTGGCAGCACAAAAGCAGCCGTGGACAGCATGCAGACACACAGGCCAGCCCTGCGCCCGCACCGTCCGATGTTGGCATCCTCAAACCAGATACCTGGCCGGCTACCTGCCGCCTCACACACCCACCACGCTCCATTTCAGACCCTCTGGGCCTTGCTGGCCTTCTCTTTGTTTGATGTGGGCTCTGAGTGATTTTGGACAGGCACCACCCAACACAGCAGGGCTGACTCTTGCCTCCTGCCCGGGTTCCTGAGGACGCAGCCACAGGGCCATGCCCAGAGCCTGCAGGGCAGTCAACACCCGGGGGCCTGGAGGAGTGGGGAGTGTGAGCGCCTCTCCTTTTCTGCTGCACAAGAGAGGCCCCGGGCGCAGGTTGCTGCATGGGGTCCCCCGGGCCAGGTGCGGGGGACACCTGGGGACTTGTCTTCCTCGGGGCCACCTCCTATGGCTTCCCTGTCCCATCAGTACCACTGCTCGGGGGACTGTTCTTCCTGTTAGGATAACGGCCCCAAGGCCCCCCCCACCCCCATTAGGCTGTGCTTTCTGGGGAGCCCAGGTCAAGGTGGTCTCGGAAAGCAGACCCTTAGGGTGGGATTTTGGAGCTGGGTCACTCACTGGCCTGAGGGCCACAGGGCCCTGGTGCTGGTGGGAAGGGGGGCGGTGAGGACCCTGCCAGGCAGCCTCATGGTGCCCTGGCCTCACTGGGCCACGGAGACAGGAGGAGCTCGGTGGGGACGCACGGTGGAAGGTCTGGGGCTGTGGAGGAGCTGGGGCTGCCGGCCTCGCAGGTGTGGTTGGGGTGGGTGGGGCTGCCGTGGGCCTGGCTCCATGGCTCTGTGCAGGTGGCAGCCGGCGCCGCGTGTCGCCACCCACACAGGAAAGGCGAGATTGGTGGCAGAGGCCGTGTCCGCGTCATCATGGGAGCTGCAGCTCTTCCCTTAGTTCCCTGCACCCACTTATTGAGGGGGGCTGGTCCTCCTGGGAAAGGACCTGGCAGCATCCCCGGGCGTGGGACACATGCCTCGCAGCAGAGTTGGGGGACACGGGGCTGTGCCCGCCCTCCCTGCACTAGAACCAGCAGCAGCAAACAGCCCCCAGCTCGGCCGCTGACCATGTCCTGCTCGGGTCTCCCGGGCTGGCCCTGGCCCGCTTAGCCTGGACTCAGGTGCCTGTGGCCGGCTGCTCGTGCCTTCCCATCCTGGGGCAACCCGGGGAGTGGCAGTGCAGCCTCGGCTGAGACGGCCGCCATCCCTGCCCTCAGGTCTCCTATGGGGAAGCAGAAACATGCCCGATGGCTCTGGGGGTGGGCAAGCACCAGCAACTGGCACAGGCCACTCCTGGCACAGGGGGAGGTGGCCTTATCAAGGGTGAGGACACAAACCCAGAGAAGGGAGGGGACATGGGGCAAAGCCACCTGCCCTGCGCCTCAAGGGACCTGTGGCCTTGGCCTGGGAAGTGCCACATGGGAAGGAGGTGTGGGCCTGCTGAGCACGGTCATGTGTGGGCCTGGCCCAAGGCTCCGCCAGCAGGTAGGGTGGGGTGGTTCTCGCCCTCTTGGGCCTAGGGCCTCACCCTGGGATGCCTCGAGTGATGTATCTGCCCGGCCCCATGGCAGGCGAGTCCGATTCCTTGGATCCGGCCTGGATCTGCCTGAGCGAGAGCCTCCTGGGAGTCCAGAGCAGCAAGTGGAGAACTCGCTCTGAGAAGCGCGTGGACTCCCTGGCGAGGCCGTGGCCCCAGCTGAACCTATGGCCTGGGTTCCACCACCCTCACCTCCCACTGCTCCTTGGTCACAGTGGGCCCAGCAGGCCACAGCACGGCATTACGGGACGTACTGCCTCCTTCCTGGCACCAGCCTCTGCCTGGTCAGTTTCCTTTTCTAGAACCTTCTTCCTGGTTCCCTGGACTCTGCTTAGACATTTGGCCCTCCCAGGACCCCCTGAGCCCTCCTGAGCCCTGGCCCCTGCTCCATGTGCCCCTCGGTCCGGCAGCCTGCAGCCCCCGCCCTCCCCTAGCCGTGCCCATGCAGTCCCAGGCCTGAGACTGGCTGCGGGGGGGGGGGGGGGTACACGTGCTCCTGGACTGAACGCTGCTACCGTAACTTCATCAGCACCCTCCAGGCGAGGACCACGTGTCCAGCCCCTGCTGTGCACACGACTGAGGGTTGTCGGTTCCCCGAGCTCAGCTGAACTCCCTCCTGCCAGCTAGCCGTCCCCATCGCCCGGACTGGGGAACAGTCCTCCTGGGGATGCCGCACTCCTCTCCATCATTCTCGGTGCCCCTGCTAGCTCAGCCAGCCTTCTTGTGGTGAGGACAGCGGCGGGACTGGGGCCCCCAAAGGCCTCTCAGCCTGGGACGAGCTACAGGCATTGCTAGGTGTGAATGTCAGAGCCACCCTCCCCAGCACCAGGGTCACCCTCTCCCTGTGCCCCTGTGCAGGGCCTGGGGACCTGCCCCTTGTTCCCTCACACCAGGGACTGCTGGGGACTGGATGGGGTCTGCACAATTCCTGGAGGTGCCATTGTGGTGGGAGACCCTGGGGGAGACAGTGGCTGCACAGCAGTACGTTTAGCACAGAGCACATTTGCTGACCACTTCCTTGGTCTTGGGCCCTGGACTCAGCACCGCACAGGCCCTTCCTGTTCCTCCCAGCAACCCCGTGGGGCTCGACTGGACATAAGGGCCTGGCTCACGCTCTGGGAGGAGGCAGAGCAAGCCTCTCCCTGTGAGGAAATCACGGGGACTCAGGGATGCTGTCCAGACATCTGGACCCTCAGCTCCCTCTTTCCTCCCACTCATGGGATTCCCTGGGGCCCGGGTCAGGATACCAGGCTGCCACCTCTGGGCAGCCACCTCCAGGCAGCCCTCCCGGACTGCCCAGGCCCTAGCTCCGAATCTGTAGCACCTCAGTCTTCTTCTCTCCGTTGAACATTTCACCCTCTCCTACTGCAGGGCAGAGTGACCCCTGTCCTGTGAGGATGTGGCCTTGAATGGCCCAATGGGCCAGGAATTCCTCGGGGACAAGAGCTGCATTCTCCCTGCCTCCCCAGCACCCAGCCCAGTGGGCCCTGCAGGGCACAATGACCTGGTTTGTTGGTTCCAGGCAGGCAGGGTGGCAGTGGGCCCCAGGGGTCACAGGCCAGTGGGGAAACAGCCATGGGGGCAGCTCTGGCTGAGCGTCACTGGCCCTCCTGGGGGATTAAGGTCCTTGTCACAGGGGCCTCCAGGCCAGCCCCAGCAGCTAGCACATGGCCGGCTCCAGCTCTAAGGCCTGTGTCTGAGCCAGGGAAGAGAGAGGAGGAGCCCCCTGAGAGCGGCACAGGGGATCCCCAGGGGCTGAAGCCATAGTGGGGTGTGAGGTCTGTAGTGGGGTGTGAGGTGTGTGGGGGGCCATCCACAGAGGGGGCTGTGTGGTGGCAGTTTCAGGCTCAGGCTGAAATAGGAACTGAGAGGAGACAGGTTTGGCTGTGTGGCTGCTGAAGGCAGCCCGGCCGGCAGCGCCTTGGGGACAGGGAGGAGCTACGGTCTCCTGCGATTGTCTTCTGGGCCTGGGGGCTTGACTGGCTCTGAGGCACTGAAGAAGCTGTCATCCATGGGGAGGGCCGGCCCATTTGCTGTGCCTGAATGACCTTCTGATCTGAGGCTTGTGCAGGCGCCTGCCTGGGCAGCTTTTATTGTTGATGACCACGTTATCTTCCTAATTATTAGATGTGGGGAGACCTCCGGGGAAGTTCTTCATGGTAGAAGGGAAAACCCCCTTCTTGGCTGTCAGGAGAGAATCCCACAGTGTAAAGTTCTAGGAAGTGAAGTGAGAAAAATACTTTAGGTTTCAGTTGGAAAAAAAAAACAAAACAAAAATGGCTTTTTTGATTATTTAAAAATAGTTTAAAGATATTTAAAAATAATGGCCAGGCACAGTGGCTCACACCTGTAATCTCAGCACTTTGGGAGGCCGAGGCAGGAGGATAGCTTGAGGAGGCCAGCCTGGGCAACATAGGGAGCCTCCATCTCTACAAAGAAAAGAAAACCCACCTGTCGCCCCCAGCCTTGGTGCCCATGTGTGCCCAGGGTGTGTGGATAGCAAGTATCTGCCAGCTGCTGCTGCTATGACAAACATCTCCACTTCTCAGTGGTTCCCAGCTGCTCACAGGGCGGCTGCTGCCTGCGGCTCTGCTGGCTCAGCTCCGTGCAGCTGATTTGGCCCCAGTGGCCTTTGCATTCCAGGCCCCAGGCTGCAGGAGAATCTGTCTGGGCTGTGATAATGTTCGAACGGAGGTGTGGGAGGCAGCATCATGGCTCCTCCAAAATGTCCACACCCTTGTCCCTGGAAGCTGTGGACATGTGACCTCCTGTGGCTCAAGGGGCTTTGCAGGGTGAGTAGAGATGTTGAGATGGAGAGGGCCCTGGCACCTGAATATTCACAAGGGGTGGCAGGAGGGTCGGAGCCAAAGAGCAGCGTGACAGTGAAGGTGGAGGCTAGGGTCAGCTGTGCTGCCAACTGCGATGGTGGAGGAAGGGGCCATGAGTCAGGGATGCCACAGCCTCTAGAAGCTGAGAAGGTGTGAAATGGATTCTTCTGTGGAGCCCCTAGGAGGAAGGCAGCCCTGCTCACACCTTGATTTTAGCCCAGTGGGACCCATTGGAGGCATCTGACCTCCAGAACGGTAGTAAATTTCTGTTGTTTTTGTTGCAGCTTTGATAGGAAACTAACAGAAAGGGGAAGGAGCAAGAGGGGTTCGGCCAACCCCTGCAAGTGCATTTTCCGTGGATCTGACAGGGCCGCACCTCACCTGTGCCCACGTTCTATGAGTCAAGATGTGTCACGTGGCCAGGCACAAAGCCAGTGGCACCAGGAACACACCCTCCTCCAGGGAGGTGACAGGAGAACTGGGGATGGTGAGAGGTGACAGCATGCTGGCAGTCCTCGCTCACTCTTGGCGCCTCCTCGGCCTCGGCGGCCACTCTGGCCATGCTTGACGAGCCCTTCAGCCTGCTGCTGCACTGTGGGAGCCCCTCTCTGGGCTGGCCGAGGCCAGAGCCGGCTCCCTCTTGCAGGGAGGTGTGGAGGGAGAGGCACAGGCAGGAACCGGGGCTGCACGTGGTGCTCACGCGCCAGCGTGAGCTCCGGGTGGGTGCAGGCTCGGTGGGCCCCACACTTGGAGTGGCCGGCCGGCGCTGCCAGCCCCGGGCAGTGAGGGGCTTAGCACCTGGGCCAGCAGCTGCGGAGGAGGGTACACCAGGTACCCCAGCACTGCCGGCCCACCTCCGCCATGCTTGAATTCTCACCAGGCCTCAGCCGCCTCCCCATGGGGCAGGGCTTGGGACCTGCAGCCTGCCATGCCTGAGCCCCCCTCCCACTGTGGGCTCCCGTGGGGCCCAGCCTCCCTGACAGGTGCCGCCCTCTGCTCCGAGGCGCCCAGTCCCATCGACCGCCCAAGGGCTGAGGGGTGTGGGTGTGGTGCAGGACTGGTGGGCTGCCCTCCCGGGCCCAGAGGGGGATCCACTAGGTGAAGCCAGCTGGGCTCCTGAGTCGGGTGGGGAGTTGGAGAACTTTTACATCTAGCTAGAGGATTGTAAATACACCAATCAGCACTCTGTGTCTAGCTAAATGTTTGTAAATGCACCAAACAGTGCTCTGTGTCTAGCTAATCTCGTGGGGACTTGGAGAACTTTTATATCTAGCTGGAAGATTGTAAATGCACCAATCAGCACTCTGTGTCTAGCTCAAGGTTTGTAAATGCACCAATCAGCACCCTGTCAAAACGGACCAATCAGCTCTCTGTAAAATGGACCAATCAGCAGGATGTGGGTGGGGTCAGATAAGGGAATAAAAGCAGGCTGCACGAGCTAGCAGGGGCAACCCGCTGGGGTCGTCTTCCATGCGGTAGAAGCTTTGTTCTTTTGCTGTTTGCAATAAATCTTGTTGCTGGTCACTGTTTGGGTCCGCACTGCCTTTGTGAGCTGTAACGCTCACCACGAAGGTCTGCGGGTTCACTGCTGAGGCCAGTGAGAGCCCGAGCCCACCAGGAGGAATGAACAACTCCGGATGGGAGAAACGAACAACTCCAGATCCGCCGACTTAAGAGCTGCAACACTCACCGCCAAGCTATGCAGCTTGACTCCTGAAGCCAGCGAGACCACGAACCCATCAGAAGAAAAACTGTGAACACACCCGAGGAATAAACTCCGGACACACCATCTTTAAGAATTGTAACACTCACCACGAGGGTCCACGGCTTCATTCTTGAGGTTAGTGAGACCAAGAACCTACCAATTCTGGACATAATGGTGGGAAAGTGAAACCACCTGCCCCAGTAGTGGGTCACAAATGTCTCCTTCACTGATGCATGCAAAACATGCAACCCCCGAAAGCCTCAGCCGGTCCTGGCTTCGAGCACGGCACCCAGCATCTGGTGATGACCATCGTGGCTCACGTGGCTCCTCTTAACCTGGAGCCTTGGGCACTAAGACGAGTGACCAGCCCTGCTGGGCCCCACACAGCACCGAGCCGGGGACAGGCTTGTCTCGGTAAATGCGCCCAACTAGAAGGGGAATCAGGGGACCCACAGCAGTTACCGGTCCCTGGGGACTCTAAAATGCCCCGGGACTGGCTGCAGCGTCAGCCTGGGCTGCGGTAGGAATGCCGGTTCTTCGCCCTGGGAGGGGCCCCAGACACTGGGCTGTCCTTCTTTTCCTGCATCTTCCTGGGCCGCATCTGCAGAGCCTTGGGGAACGCCTCTGAGGGGCTCGGCTGGCTCCCTGCCCATGGGAAGCTGGGGCCAAGGGCTGCGTCTCACCTTGAGTGGTCGTCGTCTGTGTTAAGCTGGGCTGGATGTCCTCTGGTCGGTATGATTTTCTGGAAATCTTTTTAGAATTAAGATATTCGGTTCCATCCAGCTCCATCCAGGATCTAAAATGTTTAAAGGAATTTAGCTATTCCCCCATTAAAAATGATTTAATTTAATAATTTTTTATTTTTTGGGATAGGGTCTTAACTCTGTCGCCCAGGGTGATGTGCCAAGTGGTGCGATCTCGGCTCCCTGCAATCTGCCTCCTGTGCTCAAGTGATCCTCCCACCTCAGCCTCCCAAGTAGCTGAGACCACAGGCACACACCACCACACCTGGCTAATTCTTGTCTTTTTTGTGGAGATGGGGTTTCACCATGTTGCCCAGGCTGATCTCAAACTCCTGGGCTCAAGCAATCCGCCTGCCTTGGCCTCCCAAAGTGCTGGGATCACAGGCGTGAGCCACTGCACCTAGCCTGCAAATGATGATTGTAATTTTAAAACTAAAAAAAAGAATAGTAAGATTTCTGTTTGCAACTCAGGAGCTCAGGAAGAACTGGGTTTTTAACTTTTTAAGACCCCTGTGGGGTGGCAGCCGGGGCTTGGGGGCAGGGAGCAGGAGGGCCAGGCTGGGCGAGGACCCCGGCGGAAGGAGGCAGGCGTCTCCACCTGGGGCCAGGTTGCTTCCTGGCTCCCTGGCCTGAAGGGCGAGGCTGGCCTCTCCCTGGCCCTCCCGTCTGGAGCTGCAGCCTGTACCCAGAGGTCTTCTGGGAACGCACCTAATCACACAACTCCGTCCCTGTAGTCCTGGCCGCAGCCTCAGCACAGCCAGCACCCCATGCTGGGCAGGAGGACGAGGACCCCAGGGTCTGGATCAGGCAGTGCCGACCTGGGATTTGTTCGCATTCTTGAGTGTTGCCCAGGCTTTGGCAGCGGTGGCTGTAGAGCCGAACATGGTTCTGTTCTTCTGCTGTTTATTCTCATGATATTGAAAAAGCATATTATTTTTAAAGTATTTGAATCTCATTTAAAAAATCAAACTAAACATTTACTATGTTTGAGATGTAAAAGTTCTTAAGTGTATTACAACATCAAGCAAAATATATGTTTATAAAACTATAGACATCAAACGTTTACTATTATTTTAAAAGAAGGTTTTAGCAGATAAATGAATTAAAGCAAAGTATGTTATAAAAAATCAAACATCATGTAATAAAAGAAAAGCTGGAGAGGCTGGATGTGGTGGCTCATACCTGTAATCCCAGCACTGTGGGAGGTCGAGGCGGGCAGATTGCTTGAGCTCAGGAGTTCAAGACCAGCCTGGGCAATATGGAGAAACCTTGTCTTTACAAAAAATATAAAAATTATTTGGGAGTGGTGGCAAGCACTTGTAGTCCCAGCTAATCAGTAGGCTAATATGGAGGATTGCTTGAGCCCGAGAGGAGGTCAAGGCTGCAGTGAGCCATGATAATGCCCCTGCCCGCCAGCCTTGGTGGTAGATATGGGTCGTTGATCACTGCTTAACAAATCACCCCAACAGTCAGTGGCTTGGAACAATCCATATCAATCATTGTTCTTGTGTTTTTGGTCAGCAGAGGATGGGGTAGGGTGATCCTCCAGGTCCAGGCTAGCGTTTTCCATGGTTGAGGGCTGGGCGGGCTGTGGGCTGAGGCGCCTCAAGTCTCCTCTGTGTGGCCTCTCATCCTCCAACAACTAGCTTGAGCTTGTCCCGACGGCAGAAGCAGGTTTTTTTGGGGGTGGGGAAGAGATGGATTGAGGAAGCCCCAGGGCCACTGTGAACTTGTCTGCTGCCACATTCACGTATCCCAGTGGTCGGCCCGGATTCAAAGCAGGTGGGGTCAGTCTGCATCTCCTGTGGGAAAAGTAGCCACCTTACCTTGCCAACGATGCCACGACGGGAAGGATGGAGAGTCAGCCGC
Organism: Homo sapiens; assembly: GCF_000001405.40. Classification (NCBI taxonomy): domain Eukaryota; kingdom Metazoa; phylum Chordata; class Mammalia; order Primates; family Hominidae; genus Homo; species Homo sapiens. The sequence goes on from NC_000001.11 coordinate 2,816,929, forward strand.
TGCACGGTGCCGCTGCTCCTTGGACTCTGAGACATTCTTTTAACCCTTTTCCCATTTGCCCTGAGAATACTCACCAGCAGTGCCCACGGCTGCGGCATTTACTGAGATAGCTTTGCCACAAAATATCTCACTTTTATTATTATTTTCCCATCGCTCTGGAATATCGACTTTGGAAACAAAAGCCATCATTCTATTATTTTGTTTTTAGTCATGGTATTTCCATTTACAAATATAGTAACTTTCGATCGCTGCAAAAAACCATGCCATTCCTGTGCGTGATGGTGACATTGTTCTCAAACACTTGTTGGCCGAAGATTCGTTTGATGAATCCGATTTTTCCGAAATAGACGATTCTGATAATTCAGACGATTCTGATGTCAGTTCTGTTTAGAAATAACTCCAAGAACAGTTTTTATATTTTATTTCCATGTTGAAAATCAGTCAGATTTGTTTCAGCCTCAAAGAGCGTATTGATGTAAAATTAAATGAATGCTGCTAGCAAGCTGCACTTTCTTTTTTCTGAACAGGAAAATTAAATCTTCTTTAAGGTCCTGCTCTTTTCCTCTTGACAGCAAGCTACCACTGTTTAGAGAGAGTCTCCTGTTGTCTTCGTCCTGAGGCTTCTTCCATCTGCACGGAGGTTCCGAAGCGTTTATGACATATCAATCCCTCTACCATCAGGCACACATTTCACTGTTTTGGGAGAAGGCCTTTGGACTGAAGCTGGAATCACTGCTGCTCCGTGGGTGCTTGTCATGGCTCCTGTGGATGGGAACCCGCTAGGCTTCTAGGCTCTGCATGGGTTTGTCTTTTTGAATAAATTGAGCAATTGAATTATTGATCCTGGCCTCATGATATAAAGGATTGGATTTTGATTTCTTAAAAATTCTGAAGTCACGGCAGTATACCAGTAAACGCTCTAGGACCTTGGTTCTTACAGGTGGCATGGTATCGTGGGACGCCGGGACACAGGAGTCCTTGGAAGTGGGCTGCGGCCTCTGTTTAGTCTGCTGGTCAGCAGGAGCCCCTGTTCTGAGGGTGCTGCTCCCCTGCCAAGCCCTTCCCATGCTTCCCTATAGCACCAGGACAAGGCCCACAGAGCCCATGGAGGCCTCGCCGTCTGGCTGGACTATCTGGCTGGTCTTGACTTTCCCACGGAGGCCTGGCCATCTGGCTGGTCTTGACCTTGACTCCATGATACTGGTGTGTGCTGAATCATCTTAGTGTTTTTTTTTTTTTTTCTCCAGCTCAAACACACGCACCTCTTTGTCCTTCCTTGGCTGGTGAGAGGTTCATTGTCCATCTTTTCTCGGCTCCCCATCCCCACAGTGTTGTAGAAGCCTCCAGGCCCTCCAGGGCTCAGGGCTGGCTGGGGGCCCCAGGGTGAGGCCCACACTCTTCCTACCCCTGCTCTCACTGGGCCAGGAGTGTCAGCTGGGGGCCCCACTGCTTCAGGTCTTGGTGGGCACCACTCACAACCAACCACTATGGGAACCAGGTGCACCCCAGGCTCTCCCTGCTGCCTGCCCTGCAGGGGCTGCAGGGGCAAGTAGACACTGCCATGCTGGCCCTCTCCTCCCCCTGGGTCTTGGGCCTTCCCTGGGCTCTGGATTCAAGTACTCCCTTCATGTTCTCCTCTCCAGGAAGCCCCAAGCTTTCTTAAGGCACCAGAAACACAACAGCCCTCTCTGCATGTGTGCATATGTGCATGTCTGTGTGCCTGTGTCTGCATGTGAGTGTGCCTGCATGCATACATGTGTGTATATGCCATGCTCATGAGTCTGTGCGTGTGTGCCTGCGCATAGAGGTGCATCTGTGCATGTGCCCAGGTGTGAGTGCAGATACATAGGCGTGTATATGGCCATGTGAATGTGTGCAAAAGTGCAATGCACACATGTACTTATGAACATATGCGTGTGTGCCTATACATGTGCATACGTGCCTCAGGTGCATGCCATCCATGTGAGTGCGCATGTGTGCGCATGTGTGTACCCCAGGCCATTAGTGAAACCTGACACCTGGACAGCGCCATTCCTAGGCAGGTGCTCCCACAGTCCTATCCTGCCGTGTCTCTGATCTCAAGGCACCCTCCAAGGGTGGCTGTATTTCCCCATTTGGACAGATTTATTGGAAAGCTAATTTCAGGGTCCTCATTTGCATGGGCCTCTTCCAGGCACTGTGCGTAATTTTATATCCTTTCTCTTAAAGTGGGCTCCCAAATTGAAAAGCTTCACGCCTACAAGACCTCGGTCTGCCCTATTCTCATTTTAAAATGGAGGAGACGGAGGCACAGAGAAGTCCAAGAATTTGTGCAGGGTCATGTGACCAGTGCCTATGTTCAGTGATCCAATCATTGCAGCCCCTCTCCCTACACACACCTGAACACACACACCTACATGCACACATCACACTGGCGCACACACACCTGCATGGACACATGCACACCCACACACATCTGCACACCCTGTATGCACACACCTGGAAGCTACACACACTTGTATGCACACATTTGCACACCCCACACAGGTGCACACACTTACCTGCACAAACCCACCTGCATGCACATGAACACCCAACACACCTGCACACACACCTGTATGCACCCACATGCACACCCCCACACAACTGCACACACGCCTGCACACCCACACACCTGTGTGCACACACATGAATGCACACACCACACACCTGCACACACATGAACAGCCACACTGCACGCACATGTACACACACACCTGCACACACACCTGTATGCACACACATGCACACCCCCACGCACCTGCACACACACACACACCTATATGAACACACATGAACAGCCACACCTGCTGGCACACACATGCACACACACATACGTCTGCACACACACACCTGCATGCACACCCCTACACCTGCCGTCATACACACCAGCACACCTGGTGGGCACCCTTGTCTGGCTCTGCCACACAGCTGTCTTTTCTGGGGATGCCCTGTGAACCCCAGGATAGATGCGGCCTCTTCCTTTCTGTTCCAGAAGGAGCAGCTCTTTCCCTCCTCCTGAGTCTGACCTTGCCATGTCCTGACCTTGGGACTCAGCTCCCCTGCCCCGCCCAACCACATCTCTTCCCTGGGTGCAGCGCCCAAGCGTGTGCCTATGGGGCTCTGGAGTCAGCGCATCTGCGTCCACGACTGACTCCACTACTTCCCCGTCCCTTTGCTGCCCCGTGACCGATTCTCCATGTTTGAAAGTGGAGGCATCAAGATCTCCCTCCCAGGAGGACGAGAGTGAGTGAGTGAAGCGAGAAAACCATCTGCAACTGCTCAGCCCGAATTGCCGCTCAGCCCGAATTACCGCTCAGGCCGAATTACCGCTCAGCCCGAATTACCGCTCAGGCCGAATTACCGCTCAGCCCGAATTACCGCTCAGGCCGAATTGCCGCTCAGCCCCAATTACTGCTCAGCCCCAATTACTGCTCAGCCCTCATGATCCTTGACCTGCACTGGCTCCAGGACCTGCCTTCACTTCAGGGGCCTCGGTTTCTCCCCATGGCAGTGACCCCAAGTCAGCGGAGAGGCCCAAAGAGTCACTCACAGAGGCTGCCCTAGGAGTCCTAGGTGTGCAGTGTGGGCCTGGCCCAGCGCCCTCCATGCTCCTACCACTGTGCATGTGGGTCCCAGGCCAGGGGGCCAGGGGTCCAGGGGTCGGGGGTCCAGGGTCAGGGTCTTGGGGTACCACGGGCTGAGGGGCTGGAGGCCAGGGGTTCAGGGGACCAGGGGGCCAGGGGGCCAGGGGGCCAGGGTCAGTGTCTTGGGGGATAAGAGACTGAGGGGCTGGAGGCCAGAGAGCCAGCAGATGGGGGGTCCAGGGCATTGGGGATCTGGAGGCAGGGGGCCAAAGTGCTGGACCAGGAGGACTGTGCGGTAGTGGCCCCGCATTCTTAGCAGCCAGGTCTCTGGTGAGGGGTGGAGGTGAGCACAGCCTTGGGTCTGAGTCCTGCCCGTGTTCTGGCCAGCGTCCAGCTGCATGGATGTTCCAGGAGTGATGGTTCAGGGGACAGAAATGGCCCAGCTGTTGCCGTCAGGACAGATAAATAGTTGACCCTGATGTTTTTCCCACCAAGACCAACAGGCCCCTGTCTCTGGAGCCAGGAGCCGCTCAGCTACATCGGCTGGCAAGTTTTGCCGGCTGCCTGCTGAACCCTGGCATCTTGAAGGGGCTATGGCTGGGGGCGGCACCAGGGTGGGACACAGAAGTCAGAACCTCCGAGCCAGGCTTGGCATTCAGCTCTAGAGAACAGCACAGCCAGGTCTCAGGGGGCCAAGGAGGGTCCCAGGGCCAGTGCCAGGCCTCTGTGGCTTCTGGGGAACAGTGGGCTGGGAAAAAGAGTCTGTGAGCTTGGGGGTGGCTGCTGGACACTGGTGGAGTCAGGCCTTGCCTGCAGTTCCGCCTGACTCTGCAGAGCCCTGCAGCCGCGTGTGCTCAGATGCAGCACCCAGGGAAGGGTTCATGGGTGGATGGGCCTGGGGGGAACCAGTTTCTAGGGGATGGCCCAGCAACGCGCAAAAGGGAGACCCCTGAAGCCGGCCGGCCTGTTCCGGGCACGGCTGCAGCCGGTCCTCGCACTCACCTCCCTTGCAGACAGACCCACTGAAATCCCCAGCCCACCTGGGAGCTGCTTTGGGGAAGAGGTCTTATGGGGTCTAAGGGCGGTCCCAGCCCCACCAGCTGAGGCCCTGCTCAGCCCTCTACTTCCCCTGCACCAGACACCCCCTTCTGGGCCTCCCTCCAGAGCGTCCCTGCCTGAGGCAGCCCCCGGATCACTGCCCTGTGGGAGGATGAGCTCTTGATAGGGGCCGGCCAGGACATGGGGCCTGGGGCTCCAGGCCTCAGTTTCTCCATCTGGGCAAGGGGGTGGGGAGGGCACTGATGCTCATGTGGCTCCCTCTGTCCAGGGTGAGATGTCCCCTCTGGAGAGAGGTGCTTTCACTCAAGGTGGGCACGTGGGGGCCGAGCAGCTCCACCTCCAGATGGCTGTCTCTCGGCTGTGCCTCAGTTTTCTCCTCAATGCAACGAGGCTAGCGATGCCTCGGCCGAGGCTGTGGAGGGAGGGACTGGGGATCCCTCCAGAGTTCACGGCGACTGCTCCTGAGTCCTGGCCCTGCCCCTCTTGGCAGGCGCCCTGGAGGGCCCAGAGTGTGCACTGGGGCGGGGCGGGTGGCTGCTCCACCTCCTCCCGCGGTCACTGCTCGTGGACACCAGCAGAGGGCGGCCACGCACCACGCACAGCTGGGCTGTCCACGCCGGAGCCCCCCTCCAGGTGCGAGTCAAGGGGAGGCTGGGGAGGGGCTCAGGCCGCAGGAAGACCACTGCGCAGGGCAGGGGAGGGGCCTCAGACCTGGACCTGGGGTGGGAAGGGTGCAGTGGGGACCCTGGCCGGTGCCCTTGGAGCTGGGCCTGCACTGAGCATCCTCACGGCCCACATACCGGGCTTGGGCTTGGGGGGTGCTCGAAAGCACGGCCACCCAGGGCTTCTCCAGGGCGTGAGGAAACAGGGCAGGTGGGCAGGAGGTGCTTGGGCGGCAGGGCCTGCGGCCACAGGGGTTGTGGTCTGGAGTCCAAGTGCAGCCCCCATCCAGCTTCCAACCATGGTTGGGCCGCAGAGGGCAGAGGGGTCCTGCTGTTACTCCTGCAGAAGTTTCCACCAGCTCCTTCTGACTGGATCTTCCCCTCCACCTGTCCTCACAGGGGTCTCTGCTCCACTGGACAAGCATTGAAACATGTCTGGGGGAGGGGCTGGCCTCCTGCTCACGAGACCCACACAACATGGTGGGTGCAGCCCATTCTCCTGTCTGGGGTCTAGAGTGGACAGAGGCTGGGAGGTGGTTGCAGGACAGGAAGGGGGTGCGTGGCAGCTGTGCCGTGAGCAGGTTGTGCTCTCCAGACAGGAGGGCCCTTGCAAGTGGCGAGTTCTCAGGGGTTCGGGGACCTTGGTGCCGGACGAGGACCACTCCTGAAAGAGAGTTTGTCTCAGGCCTGGGGGAAATGAGAGCGCAGCCCCATCCCCACGTTAGGCCAGGACTGAGGCAAGCTGTCCTTCAAGCTGACGAGGTCACCCTGAAAGGGTCGCAAATGAGCACTGGCCCCCAACCCCCTTCCTCACCAGTCCCCCGCTGCAGTGGACAGGGTGGGGCTAGGGCTGGGCTTCTGGAAACCCATAGGGCACCTGCCTTAAAAGCAATGGAAAATGCCGGGGGCCTCTGAGAACAAAGATGTCCATCGCAGTGTTATTTACGATGCCGGAACTGGAAACAACCAAGTCTTCAAAACTGGAGGAACAGCCGAGAAACTATTGCACAGACATCAAATGGAATTTTATTCTACTAACAACATGAATGATGTGTTTTTTCCTTTGGCTGCTATAAAAATTGAAATAAACTTAAGGCTTAGAACCACACATTCCTTATTGTAGAATTCTGGAAGTCAGAGTCCTACAATGAAAGTGTGGCAGGGCGGGTTCCTCCTGGGGGCTCGAGGCGAGAATCTCTTCCTTGCCTTTTCACTTCTAGAGATGCCCATGCTCATTGGCTTGTGGTTCCTCCTCCGTTCTCAAAGCTGGCAGCACAGCTCCTTCCAGTCCCTCTCTCTGATCTCTGCTTCTACACCCGCATGTCCTCCCGCTCTGACCCTCCTGCCTCCCTCTTAGGAGAGCCCAGTGATCACACTGGCCCCACCTGGATAATCCTGGATAATTTCCTCATCTCAAGAACCTCAATTTAACCCCCTCTGCACAGTCCCCTTTGCCAGGCGTGATGGTTACTTTTATGGGTTAACTTGACGGGGCTGTGGGGTTCCCAGACACTTGGTCAGTGTGACTCTGGCTGTGTCTGTCTGTGAGGCTGTTTCTGGGTGAGATTGACATTTGAACAGGTAGACAGGGTAAAGAAGGCTGCCCTCTGTCATGCGGGTGGCCTCACGCAACCAGGGGAAGGCTTGCAGAGAACTAAAGAGGTGCCCCTCCCCAGATAAGAAGGAATTCACTCTGCCTTCAGCTTTAAGGAAACCAGGGGCTCCTGCGGGGTCTCGAGGCTGCAGATGGCAGATGGTGGGCTCCATTGGCCTTCCTGATCCCCTTTCCCCCCGACACACAGCCTGCTGGTTTTGCTTCCTCAGAGAGCCCTGACGAATGCGCCAGGTAAGGTTCCGGGGACTGAGACGTGGGCATCTGTGGGGACTGTCATTCAGCTGACCACAGATGGGGTGGACAGTCCTGTCATGTCCACCTGAGAACACGGCAGAGCAACCCAGAAGCATGTGCTCTGAGAGCTCACCGGGCCGTCTCTGGGTGTTGGGATTGCAGCTGACTGCCTTCCTTCTTTGGATATTTCGGGGTTTTCGTCTTCTGTTCTAATGAGGAAGTTCAATGTAGGTGGCACATCCCAGCCCCAGGGGAAGCAAATGCCCAGGAGCCGCTGCTGGGCGAGGCGTGTGCATTAGGCTGTTCTCGTACTGCTGTAGAGAAATGCCCATGTCTGTGTAACTTACAAGAAAAGCTCACGGTTCTGGAGGCTGTGTGGGAAGCACGGTGGCATCTGCGTCTGGGGAGGCCTCAGAAGGCTTCCAATCACGGTGGAAGACGACGGGGAAGTAGGTGCCTTATGTGGTGGGAGCAGGAGCAAGAGAGAGAAGGGGAGCTGCCACACACACTTTAAACAACCAGATCTGTCGCTAAGACAGCACCAAACCTGGAGGGCTCTGCCCCCAGGACCCAAGCACCTCCCGCCGGCCCCACCTCCAGCACTGGGGATTTCATTTCCACACGAGATTTGGGTGGGGACAGCTATCCCATTGATACCACCTTGGTTTGGGGCTGCCCTGGAGCTGATGCCTGGGGGGCGAATCCTGGCTGCCTCTCCTCCCTCTGCCCCATGTCCAGGTGTTCTGAGGTCACCTGGGGCTTATTCTGCCAAAAGAGCATCTCGGTGAGTGTGTGTGTGTGTGTGTGTGTGTGTGTGTGTGTGTGTGTGTGTGTGTGTTTGGGGGGGTGGCACTAAGGGGTCAGCCAGTACAGGGGGTCCAGGAAGGAGGTGGGGAGAAGACTCTGTCCCCAGGACCTGGGAAAGGGTCACAGCCTGCCCCTCTGGGCTGATGGGTGGGGGGACTTTGTCCCTCTGGTCTGATGGGGAGGGGGGACTTTGCCCCTCTGGGCTGATGGGGGGAGACTTTGCCTGGCTGATGGAGGGTGCTTTGTCTCCCACCAGGCAGCTTGGTCTCTCTGTCTGCAGCTCCCCAGGGCCAGGGCCAGGTGAGGGCATGCCTGGTGGCACCTTCCCTGGGGATGGAGAGCCTCTGGGGTCCATGGGTGTCTCTGACTGGGGGTCACCTGTGTGGTCCCCTGCTTCAATTTAGGTCCCCTGTTCTGCAGGCAGGGGCTTAAGCTCTGTGGGGGTGAGGGCTTGCTTTCCAGGGCAGAATGGGCTGCTGGAGGTGAGGTCAAAGTCAGGCTCCTAGAGAAGGCTGGGACTAGGGTCACCATTGGTAAGAAAAGGTAAAATGTAGTGTCTTCCCTAGATGGAGGGAGAAAGGGGCCAACTTACATGGCCGCGAGGGAACCCAGCCTGGCAGCAGGCTCCGGTCCACACCAACTCGAGGTAAATGCTGGAGAAGATCCCCAGCTGGGCTGCGGTAGGACCCCTCCCTGCAGCTGGTGCCACCCTCGGGGGCTCTGCCTCAGGACGCCCTCCACACTCAGCACAATAGCCCCTGACTGTTGATCTGGAGAGGGAGCTTGCAAACATTTCTGTTTGTTTCAAGCCAGAAAGCAGCAGTGGAGTGGGGTCGGTTTGCAGGGACTTCCACAGCAAAGCACCACAGCCTGGACGCTTACACAGCACTGTTCCCACGGCCCTGCAGGCTGGGAGTCCAGGGTCAGGGCGCCGCAGGGCTTGCTCCTCCAGGGGCCTCTCTGTGGCTGGTAGATGCCGCCTTCTCTGTGTCCTCACAGGGGCGTCCCTCCATGCATCTGTCCTCACCTCCTCCTGTAAGGACACCTGGATTAGGGCCCACCCTTATGACGTCATTTCACCTAAGTCACCTTTTCAACGCAGGGCCAGAGTTCAGCCCTAATGGGGGGGGGGTTCAGCTTTCAGAGGAACCCCCTCTTCTGTGGCTCCCCCACTGGTGGGCAGAAGCCGGGCAGGGCATGGGGGGATGTTTGTTGAGGTGCAGCAAGAAAAACCTGCAGTTTCCCACACTGCCAGGCCGAGAGCAGAGACAGCTTGGCTGTGGTCAGGTTTTCTAAAACGCTGCTTCTTAGGGGCCAGTTTTCCTCAGTCAGGTCACCCCCCGCAGCCCTGGGCCCCAGGTGGAGAATGTTCTCATGCCTGTGCCAACAGGGGCTGCCAAGTGTAGGCAGAGAACGGCGGGCAGGTCTGCGCCACCGAGCTGAGTTTGAGGATTTCACACAAGACCTGGTGGAGTGGAGCGAGGACTCCACCCTGTGCTGGTTCCGAGCCCCTCAGGGGCGTTTGAGGAAGGCGCCTGTGGTCAGGACGCTGGTGGTGGCATTAACTCAACCAGGTGCTGGCCAAGCTCTGGCCATAGAGAGTGTTCTGGATCGCGCCTGCTGGGAGCAGCTGGGACAGGGCTCTCTGGTTCCCATGCACCGTGTCCTCACGTGGGGGTCCTGCTGTCTCCAGGCCTGGCCCTCCTGAGGGGCTTGAGGGAAGCCCAGCTCCCAGGTCAGTCCGGAGATCCCTGTCCCCTGGGCCATCTCCCTCGTCCAGGAGGTGTGTGGGGTGGACCAGGGTGGGGTCCACGTCCACCTAAGCTGAGGAGCCGACTTCCAACGGTGAGATTCTGCTGGAAAAACCAGAAAGCAAGAGGGAGACAGTGGCTGTTTCAGAGGCCATAGCCTGGCCCAGGTAGGCACTGCCGTGCCATCTTGTCTTTGTGCCAGCTCCCATCTGGCTGGGATTGGCTTTGGGACAACAAGGTCTGGGTGTCTGGCTGCAGCTCGGCCGAGTCACGTGACCTCCCTCTGTGGTACATTCGTCTGCTGGGGACCTGCACCCACCAACCCCTGGGCCATGCACAGTGCCAGGTGGGAGAGGCCCAGGGCCAGGCCTGGGTGAGGACACGTTGGGGCTACTGGAAGGCCAGCCCCAGGGCTCCCATCTTGCCGAGTTGAGATCCCCCAAGAAGGAAAAGCACCCTGATCTGGAGCTCCCACACTCACCGGCTGGGTAGGATGGTGGCAGGCCCTACCTCTGTGTGGGAGGGTGAAGGCGTCAGCTGCAGTAGAAACCATCGGCTCTGGGAGGAAGGGGTGCACCGAGTGCTTCTCAGAGCCTCTAGAGGGCAAGGGGCATCGTTGGGGGCCTCCCAGGAGACCAAGGTCTACCCCAGGGATGGCCAGATAGAGCAAACAGAGATACAGGATGCCCAGTGACATTTGAATGTCAGATCAGCAAGTCCTTCTGAGTGTAAGTATATCCCATGCACGATTTGGGGGCATACTTGTACTAAGAAATGACCTGGTGTTGATCTGGGATTCCAGAGCAAGTGGACAGCCTAGTTTCTCTGGCAACTCTATCTGCAGGGTTCCCCGTTCCCACCCCAAGCTCAGCTGGCTGGGAGCTCTTGTTAGGACAACCTCACAGATGTCCTGTCCCACGACACACAGTCTGGGAAACCTGCTTGTGGCTCTTCTAGGGGTTCCTTCTTTCCTCACCTCAAAGGTCCTCAGAGAACATGAGTTTCTGCTTGTAACTGTGGGCTTTTTCCACTGACAGGGTCCTGCAGGGTCCAGAGAGAAAGAAGAAAGGAAGAGGAAGAAGGGAGGATGGGAGAAGGGAAAGATGGAAGGAGAGAAGGAGAGAGAGGGGAGAAGAGAAGGAAGGAAGGAAGGGGCAGGAAGGGAGAGGAAGAAGAAGAGAAAGAAGGCGTGACAGGAAGCGGGAGGGAGGAGGGAGGTGTGAGGGGAGCTCCAGGCTCCGGCCTGAGGCCTCCCTGCTCGTGGGTTGCTGAGACCAGCTCGATCGGGGGAGACCCTAACCCAGTGGCACTAGAGGAATTAAAGACACACACACAGAAATACAGAGGTGTGAAGTGGGAAATCAGGGGTCTCACAGCCTTCAGAGCTGACAGCCCCAACAGAGATTTACCCACATATTTATTAACAGCCAACCAGGCATAGCATTGTTTCTATAGATATAAAATTAACTAAAAGTATCCCTTATGGGAAACGAAGGGATGGGCCAAATTGAAGGAATAGGTTGGGCTAGTAAACTGCAGCAGGAACATGTCCTTAAGGCATAAATCGCTCATGCTATTGTTTATGGCTTAAGAATGCCTTTAAGCGGTTTTCCGCCCCGGGCAGGCCAGGTGTTCCTTGTCCTCATTCCCGTCAACCCACAACCTTCCAGCTTGGGCATTAGGGCCATTATGAACATGTCACAGTGCTGCAGAGATTTTGTTTATGGCCAGTCTTGAGGCCAGTTTATGGCCAGATTTTGGGGGGCTTGCTTCCAACAGTGGGTGATTTATTCAGCCAGTGTTCCTGGAGTGCCTGCTGTGGCCTGGTGTGGGGATCCGCTGCCCTGGAGCTGAACGAAGCCATGCCCCAGGACGTTCTCTCTTCAGTCTGAGCCAGGATCCCCTGGCATCCCCTAGGCCTGGACTTGGGCTCCATCCTGCTGCCACCCAATGCCCCCAAACAGTGGGACCTCACGGGGCCTCAGGGCTGTGAACAGGCTTCCCAGTGGAGTCTGTGTTTTGACTTCTGGGAAGACCAGGGACTGGAGGCTCAATGCTCACAGAAAAGGGCACAGGGTGGCCCCAAGTACACAGAATGGGCCTGGAGTCCACGCTGAGTCCATCTATCCCCATGGCAGATACGTCGCAGGTGGCACGCTCCTGCTGGATGGTCGGAGGACCCTAAGCTCACGGCAGGGCCACTGGAGGTCACACGAGGGGTCCTCAGGGCCTCACTCCCAAATCTTAGCTTTGTCCCTGGAGGGTGGGAGAGAGGCTCTTTTGTAAAGCGAGCTCACCTCTCTCTGACACACTCTCTGCCACTCCCGAGCCCTGGGAAGCAGCTGAGGCCTCAGTGTGGGGGTCCTGTCCCGGGTTTGGGAGTGAGGTGGGCACGGTCCTGGGCTCTGCTTAACAAACAGCACGTGTGTGTCCAGGGCTCCAGCTTCCTGCCCATCATGCAGAGCCCGGGGGACTGATGCTTTGTGGTGAAGGAAGAATTTGGCCCCCATCCTCCATCTGCCTGCCGCGGGGGTCCCCCCACCCGGCAGCGAGGGTCTTGGCATCTGAGTTTGCCTGACACAGCCAGGGAGGTGAGGTGGTGGCCCGTTGGTGGTGTGCGATTGAGTTTGGGTCGAAATCCAAGGGTGGGAAGGACCGTAGGGATTGAGAGATGCCTGAGTGTAGAAACCATTGACTACCAGGTAACAGATTTGATTAATTTTGTGCCTGGAGGTTTTTTTTTTCCCCCTTCCCTTTTCTGTTCCCAAAGAATCAGAGAAAACAAAATATTTTTCTAATTAAATAAATCTACGGTGCACGCTAATGGAGCCCGTCTGTGGGTCTGTGACAGGGCAGGGGAGAGTGGAATAATGATTTTATTTTTTCATTAAATAGAATTATAGGCAGTTACTCAAAGCAACGCGGAGCCTAATTGAAAGAAACCCATTTCTTCTTAATTTACTTTCACGGTTTTGGATGATAAAAGAGTGTGTTCTTTGGAAAATTAAATAAAAAACACAACACAAGGAGAGGACTCTGTTTAGGCGCATTATTTGCTCCTTTAAGCTTTAGGTAACGGGCACCAGGCTCAGGGGAGACAAGGGGAGGCTCCGGTGGTGGGGATCCCTCCCGGGGTCTCTGAGGGTGGAGGAAGTGACCTCAAGACCACCAGGCTCTGCGGTGCTCCTCTCTGCCCAGGCCCAGGCTGCCTGGGGTATCCTCCTCCTTCCTGGTGCCCGGGACCTCCCTCCAGAAAGAGTTTCCTTTCATCAGAGTCATGGACAGGATGATGGCCTGGGATGTGGCCATCAGGACAGCCGTGTGAGTCCATGTCCTGGGCCTCTGTGCACTCTGGCCAGCGTCTTCCTGGTCCCCCTGGAGGGCTCCCACCTCCAAGGTCCACGCTGCTATGTCTGGCCAGGTGCCTCCCTCCACGGTCTTCCCTGCTCACTCATCAAGTAACTGCCCTCCCCGCTGCCCGAGGCTCTACTTCTTCCTGGAAGCCCTCCCTGACCAGCCCCACCCCCTCGAAACTCCACTGAGCCAAGCTGAGCTCTGGGGGTGCCCCAGGCATGGGGGTGCCAAAGTCCCTCACCCTCCTCCTTCCAGTTAATGCCTCCTCCTTCCAGGAAGCCAGGGGCAGAGTCAGTGCTATGAAGACGGCCAAGCACTGAGTCTCCGCCTGAGGATCCATCCTGTCCTTCGAGTGTTCGCTGAGCTCCCACTGTGTGCTCTGCAGAGCCCGGGGAAACGGAGGGGTTGGCTGTGGGTGCCGGGGCCATCCTCGGAGCTGCCTGTGTGGAGACGTCCTATGTCCATGGGCCACGTGAGTCTACTGAGCACTTGAGACGTAGTTAGTGTGACTCGGGAATGGAATTTTAAAGCACTTATCTTAATTTATTTAAATTTAAATGTCCACCTCCGGCCACGGTGCAGGTAACCGGGAAATTCTGGTTACTTCCTTGTGCGTTGGATACAATCCTCTGACATAGAGAGAAGCTCCCAGCACCTCAGTGACGCAAATGCCCTCCCCTCTCACTCAGTTCTGGGGGCAAACAGCATTTCTGGGGTGGCAGATATATGTGGTCAGACAAGTGTGAGGATATTGATTTGTAATTGAATGATTATTTTTAAAGAACACAAAATACGAAATTCAGAATGCACAAAGTCTCCCTGAGAAGCGAGGCTCCCTGCCCCGCCCCCGCCCCCGCCGCCTGCTGCTGCTTCATCTCCCGGAGCCCCGGCGAGGGGGAAGGTGCCAGCGCCGTGAGGCCAGGTCCCACCTGTGCTCCCACTACCAAGCTACCAAGACCACAGCCATCATCATGGCGCCAACCAAAGTCTCTCCTGCCAGGCGCTGCCTCACTGCCATCCATGGGTGCCTTTCTCGGCGTGGCAGCTCCTGGGCACTGTGCCCTCCAGATTCCTCAGAGCCTGGTGCCAGGTGCACCTCCCCAGCCCTCTCAGCCCCTGAGCTCTGCCACCCTGCCCGGGCTTCTGCCCTTGGGTCCTGGCCTCTCAGGGTCTCCTCAGCTCTGCAAGGAGGGGCTGGGAGCAGGTCCCAGGCTAGCAGTGGGCTGGAGGCCTCCTGTGTGGTCTCTACCTGTCCATGCCGAGGGGTCACCTCTGGGTGAGGTCGCACCCACCCCCCTCACGGGGCTGCTTTGCCAGAAGGTCTGTTCCCCTCATGGCCTCTGCTACTCTTTACACTTAGTTCTTCCCAGGAAGGGCCCGGTGGCTGCAGATAATGTTTCCCATCTGTGGAGCCTTCAAGGGCTGGGCCCATGAGGATTCTGCTCCCAGCTTGCTCTTCCTCTCCAGCCTGCACCCACCAGGCCCCAGAATCCTGAGGATGGAGCTGCTCCTGTCCCCTGAGGTGGTCTAAACCTCTGGGGAGGCACTGGAGGGGCCTCAGGAGCAGCCACTCTTCCGTGTTCTCCCTGGACCTAGAACCCGAGGGGCTGGGAAGAGTGGAATGCATGAGTGTGGCCTTTGAGGTCTTCCTGAGGCCGTGGGGCCTGCCTCGCAGGAAGCATCAGCTTCAGGAAGGCTCTGCACTCAGGGCTGGGCGTGGCCACCCACAGGCACGTAGGGAGCACCTGCTGTGTACCCAGTGCTGCACTGGACTCTGAGACCCAGGGGTGGGTGCCTGAGTACCACCACGTGAGAGCTGCCAGTCTTGTTTCCTTTCTGAGGGGAAACTGAGGAACTCCCGCTTGCCCTCCCCCCCGCCTCATCCTCTGTGTCCCATGTAAAAGGCAGGCATCTGGCTGGACTCCCTCTGGGACACCCACTTTCACCAACTGGCATGGCTGCCTGGCCAGTGCTGGAGAGGGTCCAGCTGGGTCTGGGCTGAGCAGCAGTGAGTGTGGCGATTGATTAGTGATGTCTGCCACATGCAGAGGGATGGGAGGGTGGATGCGAGAGGCAGGAATTCCCCATCTGCCGACTGAGTCCTTTCTTAGCCAGCCCAGCTCTCGCCATCTGCTGTGGTTTGATTGTGTCCCCTCTAACATCAGGTGTTGAAACTCAATGGCCAATGTGGTGGCATTAAGAGGGGCCTTTAAGAGGTGATTGGGCCATTAGGGCTCCTCCTCTCACGACTGGGAGTCCACAGCATTTGGTGAGCTCGCCCACCCTGGCATGAGCATGTCCCCCTCTGAAGGATGCAGCCCTCACCAGACACCAAACCTCGGTCTTGGACTTCCCAGCCTCCAGAATGGTTAGAAAGACATTTCGGTTCTTTGTAAATTACGCAGCCTGTGGTATTCTGTTACAGCCACACTGAAGGACTAGGGCTCCATCATGAGCTGATGGGTGTGGGTGCAGTCCCCCCAGGGCCTGACGGCCTGATCACCAGTTCTTTTTGTTACCAACGGCACCTTCCCAAATGTGTTCATTGATTTCATCGCCCCCATAAACATGCATGGATCAGCACGGGGTGCAGAAGAAAGGTGTATGGGGGGAGGCCCAAAGTTCAGGAGAAGCCAGGCCCAGTGCAGCCAGTGGGAGGAGTGAGAGCAGCCAGCGGAGGCGGACGTGGCCTGTGCATTTGCATGTGGGGCGGCTGGAGGTATCTATGGTGTGAATGGGGGAGGAGCCTAAGGGCTGGGTCTGAGCCGCTGCTGGGCCTCCAGCCTGGGTCTGGGGCTCCCACCCCAACTGCCAGGCTCAGGAGTTCTAAGGAGTGCAAGGCAGGAACCTGCAGTGAGCCCCGCCCCCTTTCTGGAGGCTCCACCATGGCTCCTCACCCGCCCCACCCTGCTGGTCCCGGGCTTCTGAGCGGAGAGGGTGGCCCTTGTCCATTGCAGGCATGCAGGGGTGAGAACGGTCCGAGGGGCTCACAAGGGTGAACTGGGGGCCACGGATGTACGCTCCAGGCTGGGGGCTCAGGCAAGGCCCCAGGGGGCCCCACAGAGCTCCCTGCATAAAATCAGGGGCCAGTGAAGGGGGTCGGCCTCTGTCCCAGCCATATACCCAGAGGTGCAGGATGCAGAGTCTGTAGCCCCCTCTCTGGGGTCTTGGTGCCCCTGCCTCACCTACACTTCCTCTCCTGGTGGCCCCAGACCCCTGGGGTGGGAGCTGACCCGGTGGGAGCACCAGACGGGGTCGCGACACTCACCCCGTGGCCACCGCCAGCAGCGTGGAGAGCTCACCAAGGGTGTGATGGATGGGGGCGCCCATCCTGCAAAGCTGTGACAAATGTGCCTCCCGCTCACAGACTCTCTTTGGAATCCGCTAATACTCCTTGAAGGTGAAGTCCCATTTTTCCCCTGCAATCACAGTATTAAACTTTAATATCTGATATTAATAAAACATACTCTCTCTAATAGAGTCACTCGAGGCCGGGAGGGAGCGCGTGCAGAGGATGGTCCCTGGTGACTGTCTGCAATGTTTTCCCATCCTGGCCAGGTGCTGGGAGTGCTGCGATGCAGAGGGTGGGGGCAGAGTCGAAGGCGGGAAGCTGCCCCACTGGGGCTTCCTGTGCCATCCTCCCCAGGCAGCACCGAGGCTCCCCTGACTCTTCACAGCGGATGTCAGACAAGCAACACAGGTGTCTCTCAGATGGCAGGCAGGGTGCTGCTGCCTCCGGGGGACCAGGTATGGCCCCTCTGCCTCCAGTGGGGAAGGAAACAGGGTCCATGTTTTGGCTGAAGCCCCTTCAGCTAAAGACCCCCCCGGAAAGAGGGAGAGCCCTATTCCCCTCCACCGTGCACCCCGGCACTGTGCTGTAGCCATGCATGCTGCCCTTTTGCAGGATTGCCAGAGAATCGTTTGCCGAGACTGGGGTGCTTTTGAGAGTGGGGGAAGCTGTTCGTTGGCTGGGACAGTGAGTGCAAACTAGGGCCATCCCGGGCATCGGGGCTTCTCCTCATCCCATGCAACTCCACCCCATGTCTCCCTCTGACTGTGCTCAGGGGGCTCCCTCTGCCAGGTCTTCCTGCCTCCCAGCCCCTCACCGCCTCCCCTAGCCCCGTGTCCATGCTACCTATTCCCTGGAACCAGCCTCGGGCTCTGCCTCGGTGTGCCTGTCCTGCTCTTCCTGCCCTCCCTGTGTGTGCCGCCCGAAGGGGACTGTGCTGTGGAGTGGTCAGAGGGCGGGTTTGATGGAGAAGCAGTGGCTCCTGCCCCAGGATCTGGGAGGTGCTGGGGTGAGCAGCGGTGCCGTGGGGCCCCCAGGAGTCTCCGTTCCCACTGCAGGTGTGTTGGGTTGTTTCCCGGCTCTCGGGGCAGGGCTGCGTCGTGTCGTATGTCGCATTCCAGGTGTAAGTCACCAATCACCCTTTCAAAGCGTACAATTCAGTGATTTGTTTTTAGTACAGTTGATCCTCATTCACGGATTCCACATTTACCAATTTGTCTATGTGATGAAAGCTATGGGTGGTCTCCAAATACATACTCCCAGTGCCCTGAGGTCACCCGGACGTGTACCCAGTGCCAAGCAAGCCTCTTTCTCGAGGTCGATTTAGTACGTGTTTCTTGCTTTGTGCGTTTCTTGTTGCTGATTTCGCTGTTGAAGTGGCCTGAGCGCTGTCCTGTGTGGCCCAGGGCTCTGGGGGGCTGACCGCACTGCTCTGGGCTGCCCCTGAGAATGCCTCCCCGGCCCCAGGGAAAATATCAGGAAAAATGCCTCACCCCAGTGGCATCTCCGCTGCTCCACCAAACAGCCTCTGAGGGGGACACCTTTCCTCCCCGCTTAGAGATAAGGACACCAGGCATGGAGGGGCCGGGCCACTTCCCAGCCATCGCTTCGAGCTAGGAGGACGGTTATTGCCATCCTTGCCTCAGCTTTTCCTGGGCAGGCCCTGGGCCGGGCCTGTGCGTGCTTCCCCCAAACGCCAGCGTGCCCAGAACAGTGGGTGCCCAGGGGAAGTTTGTGGGTACAGAGAGTGGGAGGGGGAGGTGGGAGCCAGAGGGAGTCGGGGGTCGGAGGCTGTGAGGTGTTTACAGAACAGGAGTCTGCAGTAGGGGCCCTGCCAGGAAGCCGTGGACAAAGAGGCTTTGCCGGGAGGTGCGGCCACGCAGGGATCCGGAGCTGGTACAGGCAGACCTCCTTGGAGAACTTGGACATGTCTCCACTGTTCCATGGGGTGGGCAGAGAGGAGAAAGGGGGCTCTGTGCACTGCCCTCGCCCCGAACCAGGGCCGACCTCGCCCCGGCAGCCAGTGCCGCCTGCCCCCACTGCAGTCCACCATCTAGTGCCTTCTAGAAACTTGGCCTTCTCTGGCTGAGCCAGCTGTGTGGCTGGGGCACAAGGCCCCGGGGATCCCGGGTTCTGACAGCCACGATAGTGGGTTTGGACCCAGGTTTCCAGGCCAGGTCCTGGGACACTTGCCTGGTTGGTGGGGCTGGGGCAGGGACTGTACAATGGAGGAGTGGGGGGCCAGCCCCTGGGAGTCATTAGACACTCAAGCCGGAGGCCCCCTGAACCCAGGAGGTCATCTGGAAAAACATCAAGTGGCCCCCACTGAGAATGGTCTCAATGCCCCCAGTCCCTTTAAATCTCACCTTAAGGTTTCAAGCGTCGAGCAGGGGTAATTTCCAAGTCATTGTCCAAACAAGAGTGGCTCAGTGGTGGTCCCACACCTGGCTGGGCAGCTCCCCCTCCCACACAGCGGCCACTCGGCCCCCCAGTTCTGCTACCCTATACCCTGCTAATAAAATCCATATAGTCCCTAAAACCCCCTCGGCCAGGCTGCCCCTCCTGTGCCCTTCCCCACCACTGCCAGCCGCGCCCCTCCCCTAGCACCCTGCAGCCTCGCCCCCTCTCTCTCTGCCTCAGACAGGGTCTCCTGAAGGGCAGTCATGGACCCCTGGGGGGCTCCAGCCACTTTCAAGTGGTCTTCAGGCAGCGTGGTGGTTTCAGAAGAAAAAGTGCTGGAGCAATTTGGTTCAGATATATTCACTAATGTGAAATTTAAGATTAATTATGATTTCTGCAGAAATCCCATTATGCAAATAATAACTGTTTTCTTCTGAAGGGCTGCACAGCGGCTGTGAGGCCTGCGGGGGCCGAGATCCATCTCCCTGACCCCCGGGGCATTATCTGCTAGGAAACTTTGTCAAATATAGGCAGGGGGCCCTTGAAGCTTTTGCATCTCTTTTTTTTTTTTTTTTTTTTAAAGCTCAGGAACCTCCAGATAAAATCATTTTCTTCCCCTAGAACAACTGCAAAATGCTTTTTAGGTTTAAGTGGAAGAATTTTGCTGCGAAAGGTAGAGAAGTGATTCCACTCAGAATTGCACAGAATGGGCATTCACGCTGCGTGGCTACTGAGAAGGTCCTAGAACAGACCACAAAGGTAACAGCCGAGGACAGCGCAGAGGCGCCCAGCACCGAGTCTGCGTGAGTTGGAGGATCGATGGCACCTGCCTCGGCCGGGAGGTCGAGTCTGTACTTAGAATCCACTACGGGGCAGATGTGAATTAGTGTCTGGCCCTGGGTGACTTGGGAGTGCTTCAAAACCATTTGTCCCATTGTCTCCCGAAACTGGTGATAGAAGCAAGGACATTTCATTGGCTTGACCTCTTTTGGGGAGGACCACTGTGCCGCCAGGAGGGCCCAGAGCAGGAGGGCCCGGAATGCAGCGAACACAGGGATTGATTCACAGAGACAAGAGGCCAGCACAGCCCCTCCCAGCCCACTGCAGAGGGGAAGCCATGTCTGGAAAAGCGACACAAGGCCTTGCTGTAGTCAAGAGTATTTATCTTTGAGGCCTGCTGCTCCAAAAGATGGAATATTCAGCTCTTCTCCAGATGGGGTACCCCGTGCAATCTGTGTGATGTGAGGGGATGAGGCACGAGTATTTTTTTCTGACTTTGGTCATGTTAAAAAATCTGATTTCCATAACGGCTGTGCCTGACTTGAGGGATTTGTTGAGGACATTGAATAACCTGCAGCTGATCCTGTCAGAAATAAAACAGCATTCTCTTCCGCCCTTGTTAGTGAACCTTTTAATTCAGTGGTTCTCAACCTTTTTGGCACCCAGGACGGGTTTTGCGGAAGACAATTTTTCTATGGATCTGGAGGGTGGGGGATGGTTTGGGGATGATTCAAGGGCATTGCATTTATTTGGACTTTATTTCTATGATGATTACATTGTAATATCTAATGAAATAATTCTACAACTCACTGTCATGTAGAATCAGTGGGAGCCCTGAGCTTGTTTTCCTGCAACTAGATGGTCCCGTCTGTGGGTAAGGGGAGACAGTGATAGAGCATCAGGCTTTAGATTCTCATGAGGAGTGCACAACCTACATCCCTCGCATGCACGGTTCACAATAGGGTCCTGGCTCCTGTGAGAATCGAATGCCACAATGCCACGGCTGATCTGACGGGAGGTGGGGCCCTGGTGGCGATGTGAGTGTTGGGCAGTGGCTGGAAACACAGATGAAGCTTTGCTCACTCACACGCTGCTCACCTCCTGCTGCACGGCCCGGTTCCTAACAGGCCATGGACCCATACTGTGGTCTGGGGGATGGGGAGCTCTGTTTTAATGGAAGCATCAGTGAGTGCGGAAAACTGCCCCACTGTGGCTGAACACCCTTGAGAAATCACCCTGTGGACCAGGAAACAGGGCAGCCATGTCCACTCCTGGCACACTTGGCTCTCCTCCCAAACCTACTGCCACCTTGACCGCCAGGGCCATAGCTTGGTTTTGCCCCTCTCTGAATTTTACATAAATAGAATCATGCCATGTGCCCTCCTGTGTGTCTGGCTTCTTTCCCTCAACATTACGTTGCTGCAATGACTCCGTGACAGGCAGAGCTGTGACTTGTCACCTTCGATACATAGCATCCCGTGTTGTGACGATGCTGCAGTCTATTTGCCTGTCCTATTGTCAGTGGGTCATGCCGACCTCGGCAATATTGCTAACCATGCTGCCGTGAACACTGCGGTATGTCTTTTGGTGAACATGCGTGCACATTCCCACAGAGTACTTGGCTAGGTGCAGAATTGCTGGGCCATAAGTTATGTGTAGATTCAGCTGTAGGAAGTATGGATACCCAGTGTTCCAGAGTCACGCCACTTTCTCTCCCTGCACGTGGGGTGCTGGAGTTCCAGTTGCTCTGTCTCCCCACCAACCTTTGCTTATGTCAGTCTGTCATTGTAGCGTCTCTCATAAGTGTGTATGGGTGGCTCGTGGTTTTAATGTGCTTTCCCTGATGAGGATTGACACTTCGCAGTTTTTTTTTTTTTTTTTTTTTTTTTTTGAGATGGAGTCTCGCTCTGTCGCCCAGGCTGGAGTGCAGTGGCACGATGTC
This sequence comes from Homo sapiens, assembly GCF_000001405.40. Lineage (NCBI taxonomy): Eukaryota > Metazoa > Chordata > Mammalia > Primates > Hominidae > Homo > Homo sapiens. The sequence goes on from NC_000001.11 coordinate 2,838,427, forward strand.
GGCTCACTGCAACCTCTGCCTCCTGGGTTCAAGTGATTCTCCTGCCTCAGCCTCCTGAGTAGCTGGGACTACAGGTGTGTGCTATCACACCCGGTTAATTTTTGTATTTTTAGTAGAGATGGGGTTCACCTTATTGGCCAGGCTGGTCTCGAACTCCTGACCTTGTTATCTGCCTGCCTTAGCCTCCCAAAGTGCTGCTGGAATTACAGGCGTGGACCACTGCATCTGGCCGACATTTAGCACTTTTTAATCAAATGCTTATAAGATAACTTTTGCAAAATGCCTGTCGGAGTTTTTTTTTTAACCCTTTTTTTGATTATGGGTTGCCTTTTGTTCTTGTTCTTACTGATTTGTAAAAGTCTGGTATATATCTAGGAAGTGAGTTTTTTACCAAATACACTTGTTACAAGTATTTTGCCACAGTCTATAGTTTGCCTTTTTACTTTCTTAATAGTGCCATAAGGTCTGGACTTAAGAAATCTTTGCCTATCCCAAAGTCATACAACATTTCGCCTGTGTTATCTTCTAGATGTTTTACTGCTTTATCTTTGATGTTTAGAATCTATAGCATCCCAGGAACTGATATTTAGAAATGGTGCGATATAGGGACCGAGGCTTATTTCTTCCAGACGGATACCCAAGTGACTTAGCACCATTTTTTGAAAAGACCATCCTGCCCCCAGCTTCGTTCTACACCAGGTCGCCATTTATTGTGGGTCTGTTTGTGCACTGATACTACACTGGCTTAATTATTGTAGCTTCATCTTAGACCCTGGCCTCTAGTGGGGTAGGTCCTCCTGTGTTGCTCTTCTCCTGTAGACTGTCTGGTTCTCCTGGTCTTTTCTTTCCTTCTTTTTTATTTAATTAAAATGGAGTCTCGCTCTGTTGCCCAGGCTGGCATGCAGTGGTGCAATCTCGGCTCACTGCAACCTCCGCTGCCTGGGTTCAAGTGATTCTCCTGCCTCAGCCTCCCTAGTAGCTGGGATTACAGGTGTCCGCCACCACACCTGGCTAATTTTTGCATTTTTAGTAGAGACAGGGTTTCACCATATTGGCCAGGCTGGTTTCAAACTCCTGACCTCAAGTGATCCACCCACCTTGGCCTTCCAAAGTGCTGGGATTACAGGCATGAGCCACCGTGCCCAGCCCAGTCCCAACCTTTTCATTTCCTGTACACTTTAAAAGTGTGGCTTCCTTTCACCAATAAAAACCTGCTGGCGTTTTAAAACTAGCGTTGCATGGAATCACTGTGTTAATGTGGAGATGATTGACATCTGTCCACCTTTGATTCATGAACGAGCTGGTTCCTCCACTTGGGGCCTCCATTACTTTTGTAAAATGATGTTTTGTAGTTTTCTGTGAGAGAAGTTTTGCACATTTTAGATGCATTCTCAGGTATTTGATTCTTTGTGTCATTGTAAATGATACTGTTACTGGCTGAAGGTCTTGCTACAGGTCGTTCGGGTTCTTGGCTTTTTGCACAAAGAGTTGGACAAAATGCACGAACAAAGTGACAAGAGAATCAAGCAAGGAAAGCACAGACTTATGGAAACAAAAGTACATTCCCCAGAGTGAGAGTGGGCTCGAGCCAATAGCTCAAGAGCACTGCTTAAGAATGTTCTGGGGTTTCAACAGCCTCTAGAGGTTTCTCATTGGTTACTTGGTTACAATCTATGTAAATGGAGTGGCCCACGACCAGTCTGAGTGATTGGGACCAATCAGAGGCTGAAATGAAGTTACAAAGTTACACCGCTGTGCAAATGAAGAGTAAGGCCGTGACCAGTCTGATTGGTTGCTGGAGGTGACCAATCAGAGGTACTTTCCGTTTTTCATCTGCAACGCAGTGGAGGTGGTGGGGACATTGCTAAGGGAGTCGCCTCTGATCATTTTGTTACTTTGGTGGGAAGAGGTGAGGTTTTCCTTTTGATTCAGTTCTAGGAAGTCAGGGCGAATCAGCCTTAGACTCCAGACCCTATTCTCCTGCCTCAGTATCATTTTACTTCTTGGTTATTTTCTTTTCTAAACACAATTAGCACAATCCGCGGCAACAGTAAAGGTTCTGACTCCAGTTTTGCGGTTTTCCTGCAGAAGGTCTTGAAGCCTCACCCTCCCCTCCCTCTTCTGTCCCACCTTCCTGTGAGCCGATGAGAAGGCCTGGGTCCCCCTCTGGCGGTGCTGGCAGGAAGTTCAAAGCCTGGGGCCCCTGGCCTGCCTGTGGGAACCTTCACCCCAGCCCATCCCCGACCTCTGGGACCTCTGGGACCTCTGGGAAGGCTGAGTCCACCTCCTCTCCCAGCCGCCTCAAGCCACTTTCAGACAAACTTGGGCATCAGCCCCGCTCTCCCCAGAAAGCCTCATTGCGTGACTAGTAAGCCTTGCATACCCTCTTGGGGTGTGTGAATGTGTGAGAGTGTGTGTGAGTGTGTGTGTGAGAGTGTGTGAGTGTGTGAGTGTGTGAGTGTGAGTGTGTGTGAGTGTATCACTGTGAGTGTGTGTGAGCTAGTGTGTGTGTGACTGAGTGTGTGTGTGAGTGTGAGTGTGTGTGCGTGTGTGCAAGGCATCATCAGTATTGACATCCAAACCAAATTTTAGGAACGTGGGGGAGTGATGTCTATCTTGTTTCTTGCAGTGGGGTGACCACAACACCAGCCTAGACAAATGTCATTGATTTTTATATATTGACCGTGTATCCGGTGACCACACTGAGTTTACTTCATCAGTCTGATGGTTTATCTGTAGCGTCCTTAAGATATTTTACATATAAAATCATGTTGTCCACCTATAATAAAAGTTTTATTTCTTCCTTTCCAATCAAATGCCTCTTATTTCCTTTTCTTGGTGTGATCACACTGGTGAGGACCTCAGCATGTGTGACTTAAACTACACAGGGGAGCTGCCATCTTTGTCTCATCTCTAATCTTGTGGGAAACCTTCCATGATTTCACCATTAGGTAGAATATATTCTCCAGGCTTTTTGCAGGTGCTTTTGATCGGAGTAAGGAAGCTCCCTTCTCTTGTTTTCGGATCGTTTGTTTTATTATCGTGAATTTTCCCTGCTTTCTTCTCATCCTTTTCTAATTGAGTTCTCCTGTGTTCCCTCCCACTCCTCTGCCTGCGTGAATCTGGGAGTGAGCATCCCTTTATATTTTGGGCCTAGGGGAACTCACTGGACTCACCCTAGTCCTGGCCCTGCCTTTGACGTTTGTCAAAGCCTGATTTCTGTCCCCAAATATGATAAATTTTGGTTACTATTCCTTAGGTACTTGAAAAGAGTGTGTCTCCTGCAGTTTTGGGGGAGAGTGCTGTGTATCCGTACAATGAACTGCGTGTTTATGTCTGCTTGAATTCAGATGCTGAAATCCTAACTCCTAAGATGACAAGGTTAGGAGGTGGAGACTTAGGAGTTGATGAGGTCATGACGGTGGAGCCCCCGAGAATGAAATAAATGCCTTATAAAAGGAACCCCAGAGAGCTGGCTTGACCTCTTTCTACCCCGTGAGGATACAAGGGAGGTCAGCCGTCTGCAACCCCGAAGAGGGCTCTCACCAGAACCCAACGATGCTAGCATCCTCATCTCAGAGTTTGTCTCCAGAAGGGTGAGAAACAGATTTCTGCTATGTATAAGCCATCCAATCTAGGGCCCTTTGTTACTGCAGCCCAAAGGGACTAAGACAATCCATACATCAGGTCATATTTAAAATCATGTTTTCAAACTGTCTGTTAATATATCCTCACTCACCTGCTGTCTGTTCTATCAGTTACAGGCTGAGGTAGGTGAAAATTTTTTCATTATGATGATAATTCTGTCCATTTCTCCCTTCTCAATTCCTTCCCTTTATGTTTTGAACTTATATTATTGAGTGCATATGAGTTTTAATTTATGTTTCCTGATGGATTGACCGTTTTAACCTGTATCGTTTAACCTGTATCATTTCTCCCTTCTCAATTCCTTCCCTTTATGTTTTGAACTTATATTATTGAGTGCATATGAATTTTAATGCTATGTTTCCTGACGGATTGACCGTTTTAACCTGTATCATTTAACCTGTATCATTTTAACCGGTATGCACTGTCTCAGTGATCTCAAGCACGGCTTCTTGCCTGGAGGTCCGCCCTGCCTGTCAGCATACCATCAGCTTCCTTTCGGTTATTGTTTACAAGGCGCTGATTTTCCCATCCTTTTATTTTGATTTTTGTATGTCTTTCTAATTAAAGTGTGTCACAAGCAGGATGTAAGTGGTTTTCAAAAATATAATCTGACAATCTTTATCTTTTAATTGGAATATTTAGTACTTTCACATTTAATATAATGACAAATATTTGGGGTTTAAATCTACCATCCGACTATCTGGTTTTCTATTGGGTTCGTCTGTTTTTTGATCCACTTTTTTCCTGTTTTCCCTTGTTTTATCTCTTGTCCTGTTAACTTGTTAAATATCCTATATGTTATTCTTCTTTTAGTCTTTTCCCTAAAAAAGATTAAAAACACATCCTTGATTTATTACACTCTACCATGATTGCATACTCCTGTCACTTCCAAGACAAGGCAAGTACTTTAGAATATTTTATTTTAATTAAGTAATTAATTTTTCCCTGGGTCAGAAATGGACAATTTATTACACATAGAAATAGCAGTAGCTAGACTATCAGAATTTCTGGGAAGTTTCCCTGAGCTCTGGTTCCCACAGGGTGATGGGAAGAAGGTTGGATGATAACTGCACGCCCAGTGGGTTGCATTACAGGAAAACTCTCAGGTTAGGGAATCCAAATCTTTTCAAATAGAAAGTAGGCATGCTTGCAATATATATATATATATTTTTGAGACGGAGTCTTGCTCTGTCGCCCCAAGTTGGAGTGCAGTGGCGCGATCTCGGCTCACTGCAAGCTCTGCCTCCCAGGTTCGTGCCATTCTCCTGCCTCAGCCTCCCGAGTAGCTGGGACTACAGGCACCTGCCACCACACCTGGCTAATCTTTTGCATTTTTAGTAGAGACGGGGTTTCACTGTGTTAGCCAGGATGGTCTCCATCTCCTGACCTCGTGATCTGCCCTCCTTGGCCTCCCAAAGTGCTGGGATTACAGGCGTGAGCCACCGCGCCTGGCCGCTTGCAATATTTTAACTCCATTTTCTGCTGCTACCTGTTGTGTGACTGCTGTGTATACACGAATTCTATGTATATTTAAAACCCTATAAGACATCATTATTGTTGTTTAGTTGAGAGTCATTGATATTTACCTACCCAGTTACTATTTCTGTGCACTTAATTTTCTCCTAAATTTCCTTTCTGTAGCCTGGGATCATTTTGTTCTGCAGGAGAATTCTCTTTAATATTTATGTGTGTGTATTTGTGTGTGCATGTGTGTTGCTGCTACCTCAGTTCTCTCAGTTTTTATTTGTCTGCAAAATTTTTTTTTCCTTCTCTTTTCTTTAAACCAGCTTTATTGAGATATAATTGACATGCCATAACATTCATGTTTTATGTGTACAAGTCAATGAATTTTAGTATATTTACAGAGTTGTATGACTGTCTCCACAATCTAATTTTAGGTTTCCACACCCTAAAAATAAATAAGCCTGCCTGTAATCCCAGCTACTCTGGAGGCTGAGGCAGGAGAATTTCTTGAAACCGGAAGGCAGAGGTTGCAGTGAGCTGAGATCATGCCACTGCACTCCAGCCTGGGCAACAAAAGCAAAACTGTCTCAAAAAAAAAAAAATCACTCTTCATTTCCTCCCCTAGCCCTAGCCAGCCATGGATCTGCTCTATGTCTCTCTATATTTGATTTTTTGGACATTTTATATCAATGGAATCCTGTCATATGTGTTCTTTTGTGTCTGGCTTCTATCGCTGGGGATAATGCTGTTGAGGGTCATCCATGTGCTAGCATGAATCTGTGCTTTTTAATGGCTTAATAATATTCCACTGTATGGGTAGACCTGACTTTATCACTCAACAGTTGGTGGTCCCTTGAATTGTATCCTCTTTTTGGCTTTTGTGTATGATGCTGCTATGAACATTTTTAATACAAAGTTTGGTGTAGATATGTGTTTTTCTTTCTCTTGGGTACATAACTAAGAGAGGAATGGCTGGGTCATATGTTGGGCTATATTTAACCTTTAAAGGAACTGTTGGCCTTTATTTTTGAAGTTATTCTCCCTTGCATTAGAATTCTAAGTTGGCAGTTGTTGTTTTTAGCATATTTTTCCCCAGCACTTTATGACATACCATTACCTTCTGGCTTCTGTCATTTCTGTTGTGAAGTCCCTTGTCATATTATTGTTCCTTTGGAGGGATTTTTCAGTCCTAGAATTTCTATGTATTATTTTTTCACAGATTTCAATTGTCTGGTGAAATTCTCTACTTTCTTAAGTGCACTTTTGTTAAGCCTGTCTCTGTAACTCCAATAGCGGGATCACCTGTGGGTCTGCTTCTATCGTCTGCTTTGCTGTTCCTCTCTTGGCTTACCTGGTGTATTAGTTTCCCATGGCTGCCATAACAAATGACCACAGAGTGGTTTGAAACACCAGGATCTTGGCCGGGTGTGGTGGCTCATGCTTGTAATCCCAGCACTTTGGGAGGCCGAGGCGGGCAGATCATGAGGTCAGGAGATCGAGACCACGGTGAAACCCCGTCTCTACTAAAACTAGAAAAAATTAGCCAGGCATGGTGGCGGGTGCCTGTAGTCTCAGCTACTCAGAGAGGCTGAGGCAGGACAATGGCGTGAACCTGGGAGGTAGAGCTTGCAGTGAGCTGAGATTGCATTACTGCACTCCAGCCTGGGTGACAGAGAGAGACTCCATCTCAAAAAAACAAAACAAAACAAAACAAAACAAAACAAAACACAGGATCTTAATGTCTCAGTTGTGGAGACCAGAAGCCCCCAGTCAAGGTATGGGCAGGGCTGCACTCCCTCCAGTGCCTCTGGGGGAACCCTCCCTTGCATCTTCCAGCTGCTGTGGCTTCAGGAATTCCTTCGTGGATGAAGTGACTGCATCCCTTCCGTCCCTGCTTCTGTGCCACATTTCCTTCCCCTCTTCTCTGTGTGCCTGTCTCCCTCTGTGCTTCTCAGCCCAGTCTCTTTGTTTCTTACAGAGCGTACATGGGACTGCCTTTAGAGAACCCAGGATAAGCTCCTTCTCCCAAGATCCTTGACTTGATCACACCTGCAAAGACCCTTTTTTCCAAATAAGGTCACATTCACAGGTTCTAGGGGTTATGATGTGGATGTATCTTTTTTGGGGCCAGCACTCAGCTCACTGTACCTATAATGTAAAAAGAAAATTCTCCACATTGTTCAGAAAACACTGTAGCGCTCTGGGTTGTTTATCTCCCCAGAGGAGACTTTCTTTGGTTCCCAGCAGGTGGCTGCAACGGGGCCGGATCTCCATTGTCCAACTAAGAACTGAGCTGATTCCACTGGGTTTGGCTCCTCTGAGGCCTGGCCTCTCTACAGGCTGCTCTTGCTCCTGGGTGGAGTTGGAGTCATCGGGGCAGAAAGCCTGTGGTGTTTAGCAGGGCACTGCTTGCTTGGCAGGCTCTGAACACAGTGCCGTGAGCTTGGGGGTGATGCTACCAGGATGCTCTCTGCTGCTGTTGGCTTGGATTGTCAGCCCACAGGCCCTTGTCACGCCAACCACGGAATCCGTTCTCAGACTTTCTTCCCTGCACTTCCCTTTTCTCCAGGATGTCGGCTGGTCTCGTGTCCCGGCTGCTTTGCTGCTGCTGTGGTTTTGTGTGTCCATCCTAGAGTTTTCAGTTGTGTTTGCAGGAGGATTGGTCGTATATAATCTACTCTAATATAGTGGAAGGTAAAGGGCATCATCATGTATAATACAATTAAAATTTTTTAAATACTGAATTGAAACACGCTTATTTCTTTACAAAATTGAACTGTGGTGCAAATGGACCAACCACTGAGAGTTGATCTTTTCCCTGTGCAACTGATTTAACTGTTTAAGAAATAAGTTAGGTCGGGCGCGGTGGCTCACGCCTGTAATCTCAGCACTTTGGGAGGCCCAAGTGGGTGGATCACTTGAAGTCAGGAGTTCGAGACCAGCCTGGCCAACATGGTGAAACCCTGTCTCTACTAAAAATTCAAAAATTAGCCGGGCATGGTGGTGCCTGCCTGGAATCCCAGCTACTCAGGAGTCTGAGGCAGGACAATTGCTTGAATCTGGAAGGCGGAGGTTGCAGTGAGCCGAGATCACACCACTGCACTCCAGCCTGGGCAAAAGAGCAAGACTCTGTCTCAGAAAAAAAAAAAGAAGAAGAAGAATAAATAAGTTAACAAATCAAGGCCATATTTTAAAAGTTCATGTCGATTCTGCAACAGAGCATGGAGAAACCCCTTGAGAACCTCCTAAAACCAAAGAGGGGCTTAGGAGTTCTTTGGCCCCTATCTCCCGAGCCCGATGGCTCACACTGTGGGAATGACACGGGGTCCTGGGGGCCTCAGTTCAAATCGCGGCTCCACCTCGGACTAACCGGATGGCTTAGCTGACTTCCATCTCAGTTTTCTCAACTCTGCAATGGGAAAGGCGATAATCCCCACCTTTGGGCTGTTGTGGGAAAGAAATCTCTACAAGGCGCTTTGCAGTGCAGGATCTCAACCCATGGTGAGCCTCAGTGAATGTCCGTGAGTGGTTTCTCCATAATTCTAGGTCCTTTTTGTGTCTGAATACCCAAAGCTACCATGCAGGACACCAGATGCACCCACCGTCTCTGAGGACTATGGCATGAAAGGGAATGTGCAATTTAATGGCAATAAAGTGACAAGACAGAGACCACGTGGGGGCCCGGCTCATCCCCCCAGCCAGGTGCACCAGTCTTGGACACAAACCAGTAATGTGTGCCCTGCTCCCGCCTCCCCCAAGGCCAGCAGCCCTGCTTGGCCTCCCCCTCCCAGGGGGACTGGTGGGGGCTTGAGCCATCTTGGCAGAATTCACTTTTCTTTCTGTGCACCCAGTGGCCCTTTTCAAACTGGAGAAACCCTAGTGTGACCAACTCATCCCAGTCTGCTCAGGACTGTCCTGGTTTTACAACGGAAGGTCCTGGATCCTGGAAACTCCCTTGGTGCTGGGTAGAGTGTGTCAGCTGGTCACCCCGTGCTGTTCTCTTTAAGCTCAGCACACGGGGTGTGGCTGGAGGGCCACATTGTCTGCTTGTCTGCTTGTCTCTGGGCATGTTCCGCACGGGTCCGCTCCTGTCCCCGGCACTGCAGAGGGAAGGAGGGCCTGTGCCTGGCCAGTGCCTTCCTGTCCTTCGGGCGTTGGCCTCATGCTGCCACCGCGGAGCTGCTTTTCGTCCCCCCACGCCTTTGAGGAAGCTCTTCCCAGTGATTCTCCTGCCACATTCGGCCCATTTCCTTCTAGACAAGTGCAAGGGCACGGCTTTGCCTGTTCACTTCCTTATCTCCCGTCTTCTTCTGTGGCTGCGGGCTCCATGGTCTCTTTCTTCACCCCTATAGCCAGTAAAGGGCTTGGGGCAGCCTCTGAGGCGGCCAGGCAATGTCCCAGGGGTGGGGAAACGAACCCCTCTGCCTGGGGCAGCCCAGGGTGAGGCTTGGCATTCTCATCAGGAGACAGGAGCAGTGAGTCCTTGTCTGCCACACGGGGATGAGGCCGAGGTCTGCCAGGTGCTGCCACGGGGCCAGGATGCCATCCTGCTGCCACCTCTGCCTCGAGCCTCAGGCTGCAGGGGGATCTCCACCCACGCAGCCATCTCCACCCACGCAGCCGCCTCCACCCACGCAACAATCTCCACCCACGCAGCCGCCTTCATCCGCGCAGCCGCCTCCACTCACACAACCATCTCTACCCACACAACCATCACCCACGCAGCTGCCTCCACCCACACAGCCAGCCCTCCCCTCTCTGCAGAGCTGAGCTGCTCCAGCAGGGATGAGGACCCAGGTAGGGATGGGTGACTTGCTGTCCTCACCCTGTGCAGTCACCTGAGAAAGGCCCATTCAGAGGCTTTGCTTGAACACTGCCCAGGAGGTACCCAGAGAGGGGGTCTCCCTGGGGCCAGTGACCAGGGATGGGGAGAGGACCTGGGAGGGGCAGCTCTGGGTTCTTGGCTTCTCTGAGGACAAGGTCCCCGTCACAGGCATAGGCTGCTGAGAGCTGATTATGTGAGCTGCCAGTGTGGAGGCCAGCACCCAGAGGGTTAGGTCCCCTCACTTTGGGTAGGGACAGAAGCCAAGGGTTTCACGTTGTTTAATTAAAAATTTTAGATAACTTTCTTGAGGCATGCTTTACATATCATCAAATGCACCCATCGGGATGCATTTTAGTAGAATGGCTGTTATTTAAAAAAAGCAAACCAGGAAAACATGAGTGTGGATGAGGATGTGGAGAAACTGGAGCCCTGTGCCCTGGGTGGGAGTGAGGAGTTGAGCCCCGTGCCTTGGGTGGGAGTGTGGAATTGAACCCTGTGCCTGGGCGGGAGTGTGGAATTGAGCTCTGTGCCCTGGGTGGGAGTGTGGAACTGAGCCCTGTGCCCTGGGTGGGAGTGTGAAATGGAACCCTGTGTCCTGGGCGGGAGTGTGGAATTGAGCCCTGTGTCCTGGGTGGGAGTGTGGAATGGAACCCTGTGTCCTGGGCGGGAGTGTGGAATTGAGCCGTGTCCTGGGCGGGAGTGTGGAATTGAGCCCTGTGTCCTGGGTGGGAGTGTGGAATTGAACCCTGTGCCCTGGGTGGGAGTGTGGAATGGAACCCTGTGCCCTGGGCGGGAGTGTGGAATGGAACCCTGTGCCCTGGGCGGGAGTGTGGAATTGAGCCCCGTGCCCTGGGCGGGAGTGTGGAATGGAACCCTGTGCCTGGGCGGGAGTGTGGAATGGAACCCTGTGCCCTGGGTGGGAGTGTGGAATGGAACCCTGTGCCCTGGGTGGGAGTGTGGAATGGAGCCCTGTGTCCTGGGTGGGAGTGTGGAATGGAACCCTGTGCCTGGGTGGGAGTGTGGAATGGAGCCCTGTGTCCTGGGTGGGAGTGTGGAATTGAACCCTGTGCCTGGGCGGGAGTGTGGAATGGAACCCTGTGTCCTGGGCGGGAGTGTGGAATTGAGCCCTGTGCCCCGGGTGCGAGTGTGGAATTGAACCCTGTGCCTGGGTGGGAGTGTGGAATGGAACCCTGTGCCCTGGGCGGGAGTGTGGAATTGAGCCCTATGCCCTGGGTGCGAGTGTGGAATTGAGCCCTGTGCCCCGGGTGGGAGTGTGGAATGGAACCCTGTGCCCTGGGCGGGAGTGTGGAATTGAGCCCTGTGCCCTGGGTGGGAGTGTGGAATGGAACCCTGTGCCCTGGGTGGAAGTGTGGAATTGAGCGGCTGCTGGGGAAACAACGTGGCATTTCCCAGAGAATTAAACAGAATCTCCACATGACCCAGCCATTCCACTCCCAGGAACATCCCCAAAGAACTGAAGCAGAGACTTCACAGACCCACACCCCAGTGCACACATAGCAGCATAATCCCCAGTAGCCGAAAGGTGAGAGCAAACCAAATGTCCGTCAAAAGGTGAGGGCAAACCGAATGTCCGTCAGCAGACAAATGGATCGATAGCGCCTGGTGCAGTCACCCCCTTATCTGTGGCTTCGCGCCACAGTTTCAGTCACGCCCGCTCAATTGAGGCCCAAAAATATCAAATGGAAACTTTCAGAAATAAACAACTCACGAGCTTTAAATTATGCACCATTCTGTGCAGTGTGATGAAATCTCCCGCCATCCCTCTGTCCCGCCCTGCAGGTGAATCTGTGCTGTCTACACTGCTGCCCGTGAGCCACTTAGTAGCCACCTTGGTGATCCGATCGACGGCCATGGTATCACAGTGCTTGCTTTCAAATCACCCTTATTTGACTTAAATGGCCCCAAAGCACAAGTCTCGATGCCGACAACTCAGTTATGCGAAAGAGAGGCCGTGAAGTGCTTCCTTGAAGTGCAAAGGTGAACGTTCTCGATTTAATAAGGATAGAACAGAAACTGTACGCCGAGCTTGCTGAGATCTGCAGTAAGAACAAGTCTTTTCTCAAACTCTCAAGAAGGAGACAGAAATTTCTGCTAGTTTTGTTGTTGCATCTCAAACAGCAGCAGTTGTGGCCGCAGAGCATGGCAAGTGCTTAGAGAAGACGGAAAAGCGTTCCATGTGTGCGTGGAGGACAGGAGCGGAAGCGTGTTCTGGGATGGCATCATGTGGCCCTGGAAAGCACGGAGCCTGTAGAGAGGCCTCAGCAAGGCACCCCTGAGAGAGTGACGCCCAGCCGTTGACTCCCAGTTGAGGACAGTTATGCAGATTCCAGGCTGCATAAGCTCCATGGTGGCCTAGCTGCGTCCCAGTGCCTGCGTCCTGCGCCTCACTGCAACTCAGCACATCAGCGCGGGAAGCAGGAGGGGGAGCACCTCGCAGAGCGGCAGGATATTCAGGAGAGAGAAAGAGAGAGGCAGGGGAGGGAGGAGAGACCACAATCACGTAACTTTCTATTACAGTAAATGGTTATAGTTGTCTTTATTGTTAGTTAGTGTTAACCTCTTCCTGTGCCTGACCTGTGAATTAAACTTAATCATCGGTGTGTATGAGAAAAAACAGTATAGAGACGATGTGGTACTGCCTATGGTGTCGAGCACCCACTGGGGGTCTTGGCACCTATCCTCCAGGATTGGGGGCTGCTGTGTATCCAAACACGGGAATGTTATTCAGTGTAAAAGGGAATAAAATGCTGACACAGGCTATGACATGGATGCACCTCGAGGACATTCTGCTCAGTGAAGTCAGCCGGTCACGAAAGGACAAATTCCGTGGAATTCCACTTACAGGAGGTCCCTAGAGCTGTCAAATCCAAAGAGATGGGAAGGGAAGGGTGGGTGCCTGGGGCTGGGGGAGGGGGAGCAGGGAGTGAGTGTTTAATGGGTGCAGAGGTTCAGGTTGGGAAGAAGAAGCGTTCTGGGGTAGATGGTGGTGACGGCTGCACACCAAGCTGAATGCGCCCAGTGCTGCGGACGTCTAACTGAAAAATCATGAAGATGGTTAAGTTTTACGCTATGTGTATATTTCACCACAATTAGAAAAGGCACCCAGGTAAAGTTGGATAAATGTTGACAAATGTGTACATCCATGTAACTGCCACTCCATCAAGTTAGAGCGCATTGCCATGTCCCCAGAAAGTTTTCTCCCACACTTGCCACACAATCCCCCTTACCCTCCACCCCAGGCAACCCAAGATCGGATTCCGGTCACTGTGGATTAGTTTAGATTCTTCTAGAGTTTTACCAAAGTGGAGTACAAGCATGCCCGCTTTTTGGTCTGGCTTCTTTCTCTCAGCATAATTATTTTGTGATGTAATCATCCTGCTGCATGGATCAATAGTTCTGCTTTTTTACTGCTGGGGAAATGGTCTTTGTATGTATCCATCCACTGCAAGGACCCAGACAGGCTATCCATGACATGTATCCACAGGTTGTTTCCATTGCAGGCACCCACAAGTCCCATGCACTCTATGGGGAGCTACACATGGTGTCCATTGCAGGTACCCATACGTTTTCTCCACTGTATACACCTCCACATCGTGTCCATGGCGGACACCCACACATCTCATCCACTGTATACACCTCCACATCGTGTCCATGGCGGACACCCACACATCTCATCCACTGTATACACCTCCACATTGTATCCATGGTGGACACCCACACATCTTATCCACTGTATACACCTCCACATCGTGTCCATGGCGGACACCCACACACCTTATCCACTGTATACACCTCCACATCGTATCCATGGCGGACACCCACACATCTTATCCACTGTATACACCTCCACATCGTGTCCAAGGCGGACACCCACACATCTTATCCACTGGATACACCTCCACATCGTATCCATGGTGGACACCCACACATCTTATCCACTGTATACACCTCCACATCGTGTCCATGGTGGACACCCACACATCTTATCCACTGTATACACCTCCACATCATGTCCATGGCTGACACCCACACATCTTATCCACTGTATACATCTCCACATCGTGTCCATGGCGGACACCCACACATCTTATCCACTGGATACACCTCCACATCGTATCCATGGTGGACACCCACACATCTTATCCACTGTATACACCTCCACATCGTATCCATGGCGGACACCCACACATCTTATCCACTGTATACACCTCCACATCGTGTCCATGGCGGACACCCACACATCTTATCCACTGTATACACCTCCACATCGTGTCCATGGCGGACACCCACACATCTTATCCACTGGATACACCTCCACATTGTGTCCATGGCGGACACCCACACATCTTATCCACTGGATACACCTCCACATCGTATCCATGGCGGACACCCACACATCTTATCCACTGGATACACCTCCACATCGTGTCCATGGCGGACACCCACACATCTTATCCACTGGATACACCTCCACATCGTGTCCATGGCGGACACCCACACATCTTATCCACTGGATACACCTCCACATCGTGTCCGTGGCGGACACCCACACATCTTATCCACTGTAGACACCTCCACATTGTGTCCGTTGCGTGTATCTATTGTATGGTGAACCACAGGCCATTTATTTATTAGCCTTTTGGTGTAGTTTTGCGTGATTTCCAGTGTGGGGCTACAATGAATACCATCGCTTTGAACATTCACCTACAGGTTGTTGGGTGGACACATGCTTTCATTTCTTGGGTAAATACCCAGGAGTGGAATGGTTGGGTCCTATGGTATAAGTGTAGGTTTAACCTCAAGGGAACTGCGAAATGATTTTCTGAAATGGCTGTGCCGTGGGACACTGAGTTCCAGTTGTTCCACAACCTTGCAGCACTTGGCATTGTCAATTGTTTTCATTTTAGCCATCCTGAAGGTTTCACGTTCATGTTCCTTTTCTTCTGCTTTAAAATTTTGTTTAGGTTCAGGCATGATGGCTCACGCCTGTAATCCCAGCACTTTGGGAGGCTGAGGTGGAAGGATTGCTTGAGCCCAGGAGTTTGAGACCAGCCTGGCAATGCAATGAGACCCCATCTCTACAAAAATTAGCTGAGTGTGGTGGTGCACACTTGTCTCAGCTACTCAGGTAGCTGTGGTGGGAGGATTGCTTGAGCCTGGGAGTTCAAGGCTGCAGTGAGCCAAAATCAAACCACCGCACTCCAGACTGGGTGACAGAGCAAGTAAAAAAAAATTTTTTAAACTTCTCAGCTGGCAAATAAAAATCATGTATCATTATTGTGTGCAACACGTATACACTGTAGAGCAGCTGTGATTTTCTTTTCTTTTCTGCCTTTGACCACGATCTCTGTGGCCTCCTGCTCATCTTCACTTGGCCTCCCCTGCCTGCCCCGCCCAGCCAGGAAGGAGTCTGAGTTGAGGCGGTGGCTGGTGTTTGCTGTGTCCAGCTCCGTGCCATGAGCCTGGGTGCTGCAGACATAGCCTGTGTAGGGCATCTGGTCCTGTGTCAGAGGCTCACTCCCGTCCGGAGCTGAGACTCACATGCATGAGGCTGACTCCTGGGACCTGAGACCAGCACCGCCTCCTGCCAGGGGCCCCCAGACACTGCCTAGGGGAGGCAGGCATGCAGCAGAGACTAGAAAGCTGGAAGATGGTAGATGGTCTGGCAGGTGACGGGGAGGGGAGAGCCTTCAGAGGGGTGCAAGGTGCACGTCCTGCCCCAGGCCCAGGCTGGCCAGGGCCACGGGATGTTCCCTTATCTCGTCCTCACCTGGCCCAGGTGGGAGTTACAGCTCCGTGATACAGAAGATAAAGCCAGGCTTGGAGCTGTGTTGATGTAAGCCCCATGGGCCTCCATGAAGGAGATGCTATAGGAGGGGAAAGAACGGTGAAGCCAGCTTAAGGGTCCAGGGCCCAGCTGGGCAGCCCAGCGGGTGCCAGGGGACGCGGAGTGAGGAGGAGGGGCAGCGTCCTAATGCGCCGTCACCTCAGCCTGGGTGTCCTCCTAGTCACAGGGGCAGCCCTGCCCACGGTTTCACAGCTTGGCCTGGAAGCCAGAGCTCTGTGCCCTGCTCTGGTGGACGGAGGTGTGAGGGGCATCTAGGGGAGCATGGGGGCGTCCCACTCCACGCAGTCTCGGTTGGGTGGAGTTTCTTGTGAGTAGTTCTTTCTGCTCTGTGGGCTCTTCTGAAAAAAGCGGGGGTGCCGGCCAGCGTGCACAGGTAGGATGGAGGTGGATGGGGATTTATGCACCTCTAGCTCTAAGTCTCCAACTCAGTCTGCAAGCCACAGGTCAGGGTCAAGAAATGGCGGAGCCTTGCTCCAGGCCCTGCAAGGTGATGGGCAGACGGCAGACACCAGTCTAAACACTCAGGGGCTCCCGACGGCTCCCCAGGCACTCCCTTGCCTCTGGGAGCACCCACGGTGTGCAGGGCACTGGGTGCTCTCGGGAACCAAGGCCCAGGTATGCATGAGGTCGGGACCCCAGGGACTGAGGCAGCTCCCGGTTCACAGAGGACACCAGGCTTCCAGCCACATGCCTAGTGAGCAGCCCCGGTGGACACGGGGACAGTGAGGGCCTCCTGTCCTTACTGTGGCCAAGTTTCACCACCTTTGAAATTGCTCGGAGTCTGGCATCTGGGGTGGGGAGCTGGTCAGTGCGGGGGGACTGGGGGGCTTGTCTCTGCGTGCCCTGGCTCCCCCTCCCGGAGGGCCCTGTCAGAGGCCCACCGCGTTGTTTCTCTTCTGTCACCCCAGAGGTGGGGAATTGTCTTTAAGCAACTGCTTTCATTCAGTGATAATTATCGCAGTTTCTCTTTTTAAAAAGTTTAATCAGAGACATCCCCGGATGCCATCTGAGGTCTGATCAACCTCGGTCACCAGCGTGCCCACATTGGCGGCAGCGGGATTCCAGCCCGGAGCACGGAAACTTGACGTTCTCGACAGCCTGGAAATGTAGGATTTCCGTTCGGCTTGTTGTAACACTGAGCCCAGCTCCAGGGACCCTGTCTCCCTCTTCGCAGGCTCCCATGGGGGGCTGGGGGAGCCAGGCGGGCTCGGCAGCGGGTGCTGCGCTCTGTGGGGCTGCCCCGCTCCCCAACTGTTCTTCTCTGCCCCTCCAGGAAGCTTCCAGAATCCTCCTCAACTCTCTGCCCTGCAGGTTGCAAGCAGGGGAGCCCGGCCCCGGGCCAGCCCTCCTCCGCCTCCCCCTCCACTCAGGGAGCGCACGGGTTCTGCGCTATCTTGCCCTCTGTCGCCTTGTGCGAAATGTAATCCACAAAATGCCTTCGTGGTAACCTTATCCCTGGGCAGCCCGCGATAGCATCTCGCGGCCCCGTGACAGGCAGGAACTCGCAAGCATGGAGTTAATAATGCAGACTTTCAAAAACCGAGGCTGGCAGAGGGAGGCGAGGGCGGGAATGAAAGGGCCGGTGTGGCTGTAATTGGGACCATGTGAACTTCCTCGGAGGAGGATTAGGAGGAGAGACAGGCCTTGCCCGCGAAGATTAGTTTCAATTAGACGGGCTGGAGGCGAAAGGCCGGCTCGGCGAAAGATTAAAACAAGAAGGAGAACGTTTCCGCGGCGCAGGCTCCGGGCCTGCAGCAGGGGCCGGCAGGACCCACTAATGGAAGGCAGAGCGTGCCCGCGTTCGCAAGACTCGGCTAATTGATTCGACGCTGGCTTTGCTTCGTCTTCCCCTGCTCACCCGCGCCCCGTGCACTTTTCAGATACTCATTTGTGCTTGAAACCACTTTGGAGGGGGGCCCTGCCCCGGCTGTGCCTGCAGGTCAGGGGAGAGCTGGGCAGGGTGGGGGCAGCCCCGCCAGACACTGGCCCGGCCACTTGGGTTCCCATTCTTGGCCACAGGCCATGGTGGGACCGACTGCAGTGCTGAGATTTCTGCAGCCTTGGCCGGTCGTGCGCAGCCGTGACCTCGGGAGGCTTTGCTGGGATCTTCAAAGGGGCTTTCAAATTGCAGGTCTGGGTGTGCCCCCACTCCCTCCTGGGGCCAAGCCTATGTCTTTCCTCCCTCCTTCCTTCCTTCCTGGACTCTGGCCTCTGTAACTTTGAGAATAGTTTTCTTAAGCAAAAACTGTGAAGACAAATGCCTGCAAGTTGGATGTTTCCATGAGCGGGCAGTCGCTTCTGAATTTCTGGGTCGGGCCGGTGGCTGGCACCCCTTGGAGGTCAGAAGTAGCTTAAACACCAGGGCTAAGGGCTGGGGATGGGGACTGGCTGGGCCACAGTCCTCAGTCAGAGGCCTCACGCAGAGGCCAGTCCCTCCCTCCCTCCGCCTCCCCTTCTCTCCTTCTTTTCTTCCTTCGACCGAGACCGGGCTAGGGGTCGGGGGCCCCTCCGTCTCAGAACCTCCCTTCTTCTCTTTCCATTTCCGTGGGAGGTCAGGGAGTGAGATCCCTAGCCCACTCCAGGGGAGGCAGGGGCACAGAGAGGTGCGTGGAGCCTGACACGCCAGCCTGACCTCCTGCTTAGCTCCCCAGCTGCGGCCGATGCTGCAGGAGCTGCCGGATCCTTGGGCCTCGAATTCCTCATCTGTGACGTGGAGGTGGAGCCTGGAGCTGCCCAGTGGATGCTGTTGCTCCTGTACCTGAGACAGGCGGGAGGGCTGGTCCCCGCTCATGGGCCACTGTCTTGTCCTGCACCCAGGCCCAAGCTCAGAGCCCCGGGGAGGTCTGTGTGCTGCAGTGGACTCCATGCATGAGGTCGGGGGGCAGCACTGTGTCCTGATCTGGGAGCCAGAGGCCAGTGCCCGGGTGTGGCTGAGCACCTGTGCCTGCGTCTCACAGGCAGAACCAGCTGCCTCCCGGCCTCCTCCGCTGCTTCCCTCCAGGCCCTCCAAGCACGAGGTTGTGTGTGTGTGTGTTTTATCAATCCTTCCCATTGTAATGACAGCTAAATTATGGAAAATGCATTTTCACAGCTGGTGAGAAAAACCATTAGCATTAATCAAGGATCCAGGCTCATTGGGGATTCATAGGCCGAGTTTTGTTGGTAAAGTCACGGACGTGCTGAACAGTCGTTAGTGGGGTTCACTGGAAATGGGGCCGATCATTTCTCTTCACGCCGTGCTTCCTACCAAGGGACACCTCCTTGCCTGGGGTCCAGGGCTGAGCTCAGTGCTGGGCCCCTGGTGGTCACTGCAACCCTCACCCTGTGCTCAGGTGGAGCCTCTGCTTTTCAGGGACCCACCCACAGCCAAGGGCCCCTTTGTATCAGGGGCAGGGGATGCCGTCTTGGTGACATCGTGGGGCTGGCTTGGTTGTGGTAAGGACGGGAGGCCCTCACTGTCCCGGTGTCCACTGGGGCTGCTCGCTGGGCAAGTAGCCGGGAGCCTGGTGTCCTCTGTGAACCGGGGGCTGCCTCAGTCCCTGAGGTCCCGACCTCATGCATGTCTGGGCCGTGGTTCCCGAGAGCACCCAGTGCCCTGCACACCGTGGGTGCTCTGAGATGCAAGCGAGTGCCTCGGGAGCCGGTGGGACCCCAGTGAGTATCTAGATTTTGAGCGCTGACTGCATTAAAGTGATTTTTAACATAAATGTTTATTTTGGAAGAATTTTGGATGAACAGAGAAGCAATAAAGGGCTAGTATAGAGAGTCCCCACAGCCCCTTTTTTAGGATTTTTTCCAAAACCCCACAACCCCAGGCTAGACACGAGAAACACATCCGACAAACCCAGGCTGGTGGCTTCTCCAGGACCCTGGCCTCCTCCCGAAGACAGTCCTCCTGCCCCCATCCAGGCTCCCTTTGCTCACACCCTGTGCCCACGGGTGGAGATGCCGCCAGGGCACACTGCACACCCTCTGCTCCGGGCGCTCTCTGGAATTCACCAGTTTCCACATCAACCATCAGGAAGTGCCTAGGAGGACACAGGCTGTGCCTGTGCCTGGTGTGGCTCCCCACCACCCGGACCCCCACCCCTCTAGTTCCACAACAGGGGTTTGCTCCCAGTCCTGGCTGGCCTGCCCCGCAGAATCTCCCATCACACTGGCCTCTCTCACCCAATCCATCCCTGAGGGTTCAGTTTAAACCCCCACCTGCAGCGTCCCCACTGGCTCCCTGACCCCAAGAGTCTCGCCCCCCTTAGCACCCAAATCTGTGCTTTTGTCCCCAACTCTCTCAGGGCATGAACAAGTCTCTCCCATACCCCTGTTAAAAATCACCCTGCCAACTATGGATATGTGTGCCTGCAAGGGTTGGTATACACATGGCTGTGTGCGCAGGTACATGTACCTACACACATGTGCACAGGTATGCACAGACACGTACACACATGTAACCTGTGCACACATATATGTTATACCAGCCCACGCATACAGATATTGGTATATTTGTATACACACGCATGCTGACCTGTCAGTACACAGGGTAGTGTACATACGTATGCACACCCCGGTTGATATGCACCCATGTTTTACGTCGCTGTATCTGCTGAGAGGCCCAGCGGGGACGCCCCAGTGGCCATGCACACGCCCTGCACCCAGATCCCATTTCTAACACCGTCCCCAGTGAAGGGGCCGGAGATCTGCAGAGAAGGGATGGGTTCTAGGACAGGACAGGGAAAATTCAAGATGAGCCTGTGGCACCTTGTGGTGCCAGGAAATGAGGAAGAGTTTGAGAAACAAAGCGATGGGGCATAGATGGCCAAGGAATGCAGGAGCTGACCTGGAGGAGCTCCTGATGGCCACAGCTGGAAGAAGGTGATCCACAAAAAGGCGCAGCATTGGGTTATAGCTCCAGGGATGAAAAAATACCCACCTGTTCATGCGCCATAAAGTAAATGGAGGAAGGAAGGGAGGGAGGGGAAGGAGGGAGGAAAGGAGGAAGGAAGGAAGGAAGGAGAGGAAGAAAGGAAGGGAGGCAAGAAGGAAGGAAGCAGGGAGGAAGGAAGGAGGAAGGAGGAAGGAAGGAAGAAAGGAAGAAGGAAAGAGGAAGGAAGAAAAGAGGAAAGAAAGGGAGGAAAGGAAGGAAGGAGGAAGGAAGGAGAAAGGGAGGAGGAAGGAAGGAAAAAAGGAGGAAAAAAGAAGGAAGGAGAAAGAAGGAGGGGGAAGGAGGAAGACAAGAGGGAGGAAGGAGGGAGGAAAGAGGGAGGAAGAGGAAGGAAGGAGGGAGGAAGGAGGGAGGAAGAGGAAGGAAGGAGGGAGGAAGGAGGGAGGAAGAGGAAGGAAGGAGGGAGGGAGGACAGAGGTAGGAAAGAAGGAAGGAGGGGTAGGAGGAAGAAGGCACAGATGTTTCTTGTTGAACCCACAGGTGCAGGTACTCCCCCGTGGAAGTGCACCTTAGCCCCCACCACCGCCCCCAGTCACTCCAGGGGTGACCCCTGGCCGACTCCACCTTAGCCAGGCCCACTCACTGTGGCTGCATCCTCAGGTGGGTGCTGTTCCCACCCACGTCACAGACGGGACAGCTCAGGGAGTCCTGAGACAGGCTGCCTGCCTGGGGTCATTGAAGCCATTTCTGACCCCTGGGCTCTGGCCTCAAGGCTTGGAGGACAGTTTTTTTCCCATTTAAACCTTGACTGTAAAGACCTGTGACCTGGAAGTTCTCTGTGGTGGGGCAGCTGCCTGTGGACTCCAGCCACCTCTAGAGTCATGGTTGGTGCCCCCTGGAGTCAGGAATGGCCTAGACTCGGCAAACAGGATGGGCCAGAGTCGGGGGCCCCATGCAGGGTCCTGGCTCAGCCCCTGCTCCTGGGTGACGTTGGACAGCCGCTGGAGGTCTCAGCCTCTGTCTCTTCATCCATAAGGTGGAATGACAGCTGCACTTGCCCCGAGACACTACGGGGTTGCCAGGGCTCAGGGGTCAGGCGTTGGCAGAGCACTGGGTCCCGTGTATCAGGGCCCTGAGGAAGGGTGACAAAACTTTCTCATGCTCCGCATCACGATAACCAGCTCAGTGTGAATGGAGTGAAGGCTTTTGCCACCTCTGCTACTGGGGCCTCCACAAGGCTGATTTCTGCCGTCCACACCATCTGGCCCAGGAAGGCCCCTAAGAAGTGGTGTCCACGCCTCTTTGACCCTCACCCACATACTAGAGATGGGGGTCTTTGGACCTCCAAAAAGGCACCTGACTGCTCCCCGGTCTCTGCCCCAGCCCTAGCCGGGGGCCAAAGGGGAGACCATGCCACACACAGAGAGGTCTGCAAGCTTCAGGGGACCCCGCAGGGCTGGCAGGATACCCTCTGCTAAAACCGCCTGGTTGGCGCTCTCCCGGAATTCCTCTTCCTGGCGGTCAGGCCGGGACAGTCGGGAGGAGGTGGCTGAAGGGCTCTTGCCATCGGCAACCATTTGTTCCTGGTGAGCCCCACCAAGGCCGGGCGCCTGGCTCAGCATCCATGTGGACACCCCGGAGTGCGATCATCCGTGGTGGGCGAGCCTCCTCCCGGTGACATCCCGGGAGAGGCCACCACCCTCCCATTGTCGGTGGCCAAAGAGTGTATCCTGAGGGTTTTGCTTCTTCCTCACTGATCTTCTAAAAATTAAGCAAAACCAAACGCAGCAACACGTCACCGGGGCTTTCCCCGTGCTGGGGACACCGCCGACAGCCAAGGTCTTGCCCCATCCCTGGGCCGTCAGCAAACCTGGCTTCCCTTTGCCTCTGTGCTGCTTCCCTCTGGCCTGAAGACCTGGGGGCCGCCATGCTTGTCGCCCGGGCTGTTTCCCTCCCCTCCAGGACACTTGGGAACAGGTGGATTCAGAGGCTGAGCCAGGGCCCCGTCTCCCCAGGCAGCTGGCAGAAGGGAGTCTCTGGGGTCAGAGAAGCCTCCTCCCTGCCTTGGTGGGGCCGACTCTGTGGTTGCATTGAGGAGTGGTCAGCGGGGCGTGGGGGGCTGGTGGGAGGCCCAGGAGCTGCAATGAGAACCCACACCTGGGGCAGGACTCTCTGAGGAGAGCAAACCAGGAGGGACACAGGGCGTGGGGGGCGGGGAGCACTCACCAGGGAAGCCCTTCAGTCCCAGGCACAGTCTCTTTGGAGGGGTTTCCTGAAAGACCGGCCTGTGTGGTCCCAGCCTTGCACTCACAGACATGCCTTGGGCATTGAGAACGCCCCACTCTTCTGGGAGCCGCGCCCAGGCCCCAGCAGGCTCCTTCTCAGGGCAGAAACGGTCACTTGCTGTGGGTTCTGTCTCTGGGGGGCCCTCCTTGGGCCAAACACATCTGGCTTTTTCCTAAAGTCAGCACCGCCAGAGCCGGGCCAAGTTAGGAACTGCCCCGTCCCTCAAGGGAGCTGGCAGAAGGGAGCCTCTGGGGTCAGAGAAGCCTCCTGCTTTGGTGGGGTCATGGAGAGCCTGTTCACCTGGCCCTGGGCCATTCCAGAGCCCTTGGCACAGCCTCTGCAAGGGAGCAGCTCACCTGGTCAACCAGAGACCAGCATCTCTGCCCTGCAGGCGGGCCCTGTCCTCAGACCTGCCACGTACCACTCTCCCTGCGAAAAGCCTGTTGGAGCTGGGGAGGGTGGCAGAGAGGGTGGCCCCAATGAAAACCCACCCGTGCCAAACCAGACCCTTCCTTGCTCCTTGGAGGACAGTTTTTTTCCAATTAAAACCTCAGATCCAGGAAGGGGAACTGAGCCTCCCGCCTGCGGCCCCCAGGAGGAGCTCCTTGCTCAGGAGGTGCCCGGACCTGGAGCGTGGAGCCAGGATGCCTCTGGCATCTGGGCACTGGGCCGGAGGGTGGGATAACCCAGCCTGCAGACAGACCTGCTCCCGGGCTACGGTCGCCAGTGCATATGGACTCCGTTTGCCCTCTGAGGCTGGCAGTGACTCGACTGAACGCAGCCCAGTCTCTGAAGGGCGGTGGCGCTGATTTCTTTATGAGGTGGAAGCGAGAGTCCCCCTCTGGATTCACACACCTGGAGGCGTCTGAGTGACTCCTCGGGTCCCAGAGCCCGGTGAGCACTGGCACATGGGAGGGTCACAGCACTGCATCTGAGTGAGCTGGACCGGAAGCCTGTGTCATCTGTTAAATTTAGTGTGAGCATCCAAGGGAGGCTGATCAGGGTTTCAGAGATTCTGCTCACTGGGGGCTGAACGAACCGTCAGGCTCTGAGCTGCAAACTTGCAGAAGGGCACTCAGGTCGTGATCAATTTGTTAGCGATAGCCGCCATAAATACTTGATTCCCCATCTGGCTGGACAGCTCCGAGGGCGCTGACGTTAACTAATTGCCCGTGGTGGGAGCTGTTGCCGGACGGCGCCCCCGCCTCCTCACACCTGCCGCGCTTCCTGGATAGGGTGATAGGGATCGGCCTCCATCCACGGCCCCACAAGGTACTTCCCAGCAGATGGGGAGACCAAGGCTCTTGGGGGTGGTTTTATGTCAGACTCGGGTCCACTGAACCTTTTTGGGTCACAAGAGGGGGTCACCAATAAAGGGGCCGCTGGGTCCCAGAAGTCTCTGGAGGTAAAGCCCTCAGCACTTCCCTGGGGGAACAGCAAGCTGACCCCTGGCAGCTGGAAACACTCAGCCAACCTCTTCCAGGGACCCCCAGTGACCACTCACCCACCCCCAGACACCGAGAGATTTAAGGGGAGTCCGAGATGCTGGCTTCCAACCAGGAGAGGGCACCTCCCCGTCATCGGGAGCCCAGCCCAGATACGCCACACCTGGGCGAGCTGGGGGGTCTGTCCCTGGGGCAACTCCAACCTCCCAGCTTCTCCGTGGCCCTCAGTATTGCTGGGAAATGAAGGCTTGAAAGCAGCGGAGAGGCCAGAAACCCCGCCCCGAGGGGCCTCAGTCGCCTGCTCCAGGGAGAACCAGGAGAGGACAGAGTGCATCTGATCTGGGGCTGCTGGCCATGGGGGGTGCTGGCCATGGGGGGTGCTGGTCATAGGGGCTGCTGGCCATGGGGGGTCCTGGCCATGGGGAGTGCTAGCCACGGACGGGTGGTGGCCACGGGGGGTGGTGGCCATAGGGGGTGCTGGCCATGGGAGGGTGCTGGGCACTAGAGGGCTGCTGGCCATGAGGGGTCCTGGCCATGTGGGGTCCTGGCCATGGGGAGTGCTGGCCACGGGGGGGTGGTGGCTATGGTGGGTGCTGGCCACCGTAGGGGCACTGGCGGCCAAGGGGGCGAGCCGAGGCCTCAGCCAGGCCACATTCACCCCAAATCCCACATCCCATGAGGAGGTGCCGTGAGGCATTCCTGAGCGAGGACCCTGCTTCCTTCAGTCCCTTAGCCTTGGGGGAGGGGTCCCTGGGGAAGCCAGGCCCAGCTGCAGATGCGGGGTACCCTCAGGCTGGGTGGGATCGAAGAAGGCCACACCACATGCCGGCTGCATCCAGAAGCCCCAGTCCATGTGGGGGTCTGAGAAGGAAATGCTGACTTTGAAGGGCACAAGTATTAGGAGCTGCAGGTCCGGGGCCACCCCGTGGTGTCCTGGTGCCAGTGGGACGGCCCCTCGACAGCTTAGTTGGGCTCTACTCAGGTGGGCGAAGCCCCTGGGGTCTCTTCCTGACCCCCCACCCCCAACTCCCTCCGGGCAGGGCCGGCTCTGGGGGCGGCTGACTCCAGCCTCTGCTTCTCCGAATTAAGACGGATGGCGGCTTCTCTAAGAAAGGAAATGTATATCAACAAACTTCCATCCCGGAGATCAAACCGCTTCCTCCCGCCCTCCCCAAGCACCTCCCGTGCTGCCCCCCCTCGCCACCCCACCCCCCAGTCCTGCTGGCCTTCCCTGGCCCCATGTGCCGGCTCAGGGGACCTCAGGAGGGGTGGTGGGGGTGCGTGTGAGGTGAGCTGGGCTGGCCAGAGCAGGGCCAAGGGGCCACTCTGCACTTTCAAATATCATTAGAGTCAGCGGGCTCCCGGCAAGCGCCAGAGGAGCCCTGGGGGAGCCCCTGTCCATGGCTTCCCAGTGCACCAGGTCAAGGCCGTTTCCATCAGGGGCATCTGAAAATCCCTCCCCAGGAAATGCCTGGCCAGGAGGGACTGGAATTCCGAGCTCCTGTCCTCAGGAACTGATGGTCTTTTTGGGATTGGCATTAGCCCCGGGTGACATCGCCTCCGGCAGCGAGCGGGTGGTGGGGGGGATTGGGGGCTACAGCGTGGCTGGCAGCCTCCTCCATTGCCCCTCACCCTGGGGGGAGCCACCAGCTCTCAGAGCAGTTGGTATCCCTGGCCAGCAGCACTGTTTAAAAAAGCCAGAGAGTGTGGCGTGGGGAAGACCCAGCACCCACCCGGCCTGTGAACCGCTCCAACCACTTTTCAGAGACGGCTGCTGTTGTGCGGGGCTCCCCAGGCAGCTGGGGTGGGGGCACCAGCAGGGGCTCTGATGGGGCATCCTGGAGGGCGGAGCTGGCGTCGGGGCTGACGTGCGCCCAGTCACGCCTTGTCTTAGGGCTCCCTGGGGAGGTGCCAGTGCTTGGCAGGACAGACCCTCCGTGCGCCCTCTCTGATGGCCGCTCCCCTCGAGACTCAGAGCCCCATGAGACTGTGGGGAGGACACCGGGGGGAGAAGCGTGGACCTCCTGGGAAGCTGGAGTAACATACCCGAGCCAGGCCGGTGGGCTCCATGGGCCAAGAGACCCCCACAAAGCCTCCTCTGCCTGCACCTCTGCTAGGGCTCCCGGAGGCAGAGCCGGATCCAGCTCCCAGGATAATGTGCGGGGGCATCATGTGGCTCAGACCCCCCTGGAGCTTGTGTTCAGAGGGCAAGGTGCTCCTGGGTCCACACTGTCACACAGGTGGGGGTCTTGCAGCTCCCCTCTGAGAGGCTCTGGCCTGGCAGGGTTGAGGGGTCCCTGACTGAGGACCAGGAAGAACGGGGACCGTGGACTCGCCTCTGACCAGCGCTGGTGGGCAGCTGTGTCCACAGAAGCCTCCGCAGGAGGATTTCTCACAGCCCAGCCCCAGCCGTGAGAGAGCCGAGGCCTCAAGGACAGGTGACGGTCCAGGACCCAGGGCCAGTGCCAGCCAAGCCTTCAAGCCAGCTGTGCCTGCCCTGCACTGGTTGCACTTTCCAAGCAAGGGAGGTGGAGGTGCAACTGTGCTCTGAGGATGAGCAAGGATGAGAGAGACCCAGAGACAGAGACAGAGAGTTGAAAGGAGGGAGGGGAGGATGCCGTAGAGATGGAGGTTCTGAGACCTCACTCAGGGCATTGGCCTAGGTGCTGGGGTTCTCCTGGCAGCTCTGGGTCTGAGACCCTGGACGAGGCTGGCCTAGAGAGGCAGCTACTGCAGAAAGGCGAACTCCTGGGAATCTGGCTGCCCAGGGGCCTGAGAGGTGAGGTGGGCGACTATCCAGAGGCCTCATCCTGTCCCTTCCTGCCGGGGCCTCAGTCCGGCCGTCTGGTGCTGTGCAGGATGGGGCTGGCTCTGAAACAGTGATCACCGCGCCAGCCACGGGGCAGCCTCTGGTGGAACCCAGGGTTCCCTGCAAGCCAGGGTGTGCCAGAGGCTCTGGGATCAACTGGTTTCAGGCCCACGTGCTCTGAGGGACCTGCATCTCACTGCATAGGATACTTGGGTCCTGGAAGGTGAAGCACCTCCTGAGACCCCCGCCCCAGCTGGGCAGCCTCTGAGCGTCCGCACCCTATCCCACCACGCGGTGACATGGAAGGGCCCTGCGTGCTGGCTGGACACACTCCCTGACCTGCAGGGGCCCCAATACCCAGCACTCACTCACACCCGTTCCCATCCTGCAGCCTGGCACCCAGAGAGATGGGCTTGCGGCCCTGTGCAGAGGGAAGACAGTGGCTCAGGGACACCAGCCACATGCCAGGGGATGGTTCTGGCCGAGTGGGGGCCCCTCCATGGGGGGGCTTGGAGCACCCCCCATCTGCTTGGCCAAGGCTGCCTGCCTGAAGGTTGACGGATTAGCTCAGCAGCCCTGCCCGGCCAGGGTCCTCGCCCCTTCCTACGCTGGGAAGAGGCGGCAAGCTGTGTTTATTTAGACTCCCTCAAGCTGACAGCTTGAATCAGGCTAATTTACCTGAAGTACACCAACCGTCTCTCTATTTATTTTACGATATTTCACCAGCGTAACCCAATCCCCACCCCTCACCGCCTGTTTACCGTGGCCCAGGACAGCGCATCTGTCCCTCATAGCCCTCGGCTGCTGCCCTGCCTTTCAAGGATGGCAAAGACGTTTCCGAACGGGGTCGCCCGGGGGCAGGCTGGGCTTGAGGACAGCTGGGCGGCACCCGGAGCCTTCGGGACTCAGGGTGTGGAGTTGGGGTGTGCAGTACGTGCCCACAGGCTGGGTGAGGCCTCAGGGTGAATGGCCGGAGGGGGCCTTGCACCTGCACGAGGATTCTGGCCTCACCTGGGCAGGGGGAGGAGCTGCTGGCGCCAGCCCAGCAAGGAAGCAAGGAGGGCCACTTTGACCCCAGGGCGGCACATGCCGTCTACTCAGGTTCCCTCACGCTCGGCCCGGACAGAACCATTGACCCACTTTGCAGAAAGGAAAGACCTGGACCTGGAGTCACTCACCCAGCCGGCATCAGGAAGGCCCGGCTGCTCCCAGGATCGTGCTGCCCAGGCTCAGGGCATGGGCCAGGCAGGCTGGACAAGTTACCCCAGGGACAGGGCTGGGGCTGCTGGAGGCAGAGAACACCCTGGCCCAGCGAAAGAATCCACAAGCCAGCCAAGAGAAGGCCGTGCCTTCTGTCCTAGGAACAACTCGACAGAGGCAGAGACCACGCACACAGAGATGGTTTTGGCTATTAATCCTGACAGAGAAGAAGCAGGAATGGCTGTGTGCCCACCTGAGGGAAACGCTTGCTGAGCCTGCTGTGTCCAGGGCTCGGGCATCAAGCAGGACTCCAGGGGCCACCCAGAGGCCATGCTGCTGCGCGGACTGGGTGTTGGCTCAGCGTTTGACAAACACCTCTGAGAGTGGGCTCTGTGCTGGTGCCAGTCCTGGTCCGAGGGTGCGGCCACCAAGGAAAGCCCCTGCCCCAGCTGCGTGGGAGCTGCCCGGCCAGGCTAACCACAAACTCGCAAAAGACAAGTGGACAAATACCTTTGAGAGGAGGTTGGAGAAAGCAAAACTGAAATACAGGGGCCCAGATGAAGGGTGTTCCGTGGGCAGTTAGGAAGGGCTTCCTGGAGGAGGTGAATTGGTGCTGAGGTTGGAATGCTGAGGCTGAGCCTCCACAGGAGGTCTGGGCAGGAGTCCTGGGCAGAGAGGAGCCTGTACAAAGGCTCTGGGGTGGAGCTAATCCTGAGCATGGGTGGCTGGAGTGACCAGAGCTCCGAGGCTTGTGGGAGGTGAGGCCACGAGGACCTGGTGCTCACAGAGCCGGGGGAACATGGACCAGCCCAGCTCTCCCAGTGCCCTCCAAGCCCGGCAGGGAGGAAGCGCATCAGTGATGTCATCATCATCCTGTTCAGGATGCTGGGGTTACGGGCAATTGTAAATTAGATTTCTACACCATCCAAAGTGCCTCCAGGACGTTTTCTTTTCCCTGAAGTGTTAACAACAGACAAACTCTAGAGTTGCTGCTCCCCTCTGCCCTGGATCCGTGGCCTGACAGGGTGGCTGCTCTGCAGCGGTTGGTCACCTGCAGGGGGAAGGGGCCCAGCCTGCCCGTGGGGTCCCCTGGCCTCCCTCCAGCCCCTCACTCCCCTAAGCCCCAGCCTCCTGGCCAGGGGGAAGGCAGCCTCCTCTTTCTCACACCCTGGGTGCCTCAAGGGGGCAGTGCTCACCCCAAGCTAGGGCTTGTGGCCCCCGGCCCTGGGGGCTGATTTGGAGGTGAGAGCGCCTCAGTGCCTCTCAGATCCCAAGAAGGAGGGCCAGTGGCCTCCACCATCCCGGCCTGCAGCCCCAGGGCCACCTATGGCTGCTGCCTGCCTGGGCATCGTACGGAGGCCAAGGGTTCAGGGGCCTTTGCCTCTTCCCCTGCAAGAACGTGAGCGAGCCATTCCCTGATGTGGGGCAGGGGCGGCGAGGGGAGGGGAGGTGGAGCCAGGCTGGGCCAGGCAGGCAGGCACCAGGGGTCAGTGGGAGGGTGGGCCGGCCCGGGGGGATGCTGTCGCCCGTCTGCAGTGCCAGCTCTTCTCCTGCACGCTCCCTCCCGGGACGGGCCATGGCCTTGCTGGGCCATACGTCTCTGTCAAAATCTCTATGAATAAATTAACCTTTTTAAAGATTAGTGCTCTCTAATACCTCAGGGTTTTTTAAACACAGCAAATGCTACAAATATTTTGCCGAGCATGGCTGGCGTGCAGGGCTGCCGTCGGCAAAGGCCCCACCCAGCGTCCCTCCATGGGCCGGCCCTGCCAGCTGGACCTCCACCCAGGCTGCCCTGACACTCCAGGAGCAGGTTCCGGCCCCCATGGGGGAGCAGCATCGCCCTGTGGGGCGGAAAGTTGAGGGCGTCCACCCCACAGGAGGCAGGAGGGCGTGGCTGTGCCCACGGGCAGAGAGTCCGTTGCTGCTGGCCTCTTCCTCTGAGTCTTTGTGCACAAGATGGGCCGGGCAGTCACAGTCCCTGGAGCTGTCCACGAAGCCACCTGACTCCTGGGGTCAGATGGGGGCTGGCACTTCTGTCACCCACCTCGGTGGCCTTCCTCTTGTCAGCCAGGGGTGGAGGCAGTGTGAAGGCGGGGCGGGGGGTTTTACAGTCAGGGGCTGCGGCTTCTCTCCAGTGGTTGAGGAAGGGGGGCGACCCAGGCAGGGGTTTGAGGTGCAGGAAGGCAGGAAGTTGAGAAACACTGGCTTTTGGGGGCCGTCGAGGTGGGGGACTCTGTGTGTGGACAGAGGGCGTCGGTGAGCTCAGAGGGTGGGGGTCTCTGGGCAGGGAGAGAACAGGCTGCAGGGGCTGCTCCCTGGGGTGCCCGGCTGCAGGTGGAGGAGTGGGGCTCTTGTCCTGAGCCCAAGGGAGCCACTGAAGGCTGTGAAGGAAGAGGTGATGTCACAGAGCTGGGACAAGGCCCCCAGAGAGCAGGATGGAGTGGGGTGTGTGTGGGCTATTCCAACAGGCCCGGTGAGGCCATGAGGCCAGAGTGGGAGCACTGAGGGGAAGGGAAGGGGCCCAGACCCCCGAGCCCTCTTCTCAGGACAAAGTCACCCTCTGACCCACTCCAAGGTGGTCAGCTCCCCGAGGGCTGGGCTTGGCCACGGCTGGTCCCCAGCTCCCAGAGCCTGGCCTGGCACGGGCAGGAGCTGAAGAGCTCACACCTGGGGGGATGTGGGTCCACATGTGCCCTGGAGCCCCGGCCTCCCTCTGGCCTAAATCGGCTCACTTTCCTGGGAGCGGGGGTGACTCCCCGCAGCGTCCCAAGTTCCCAGGGCTCCCCACAGGCCCCAAGGACGCAGTGTTATCTTCACTGCTCAGGGGACCCAGGAGGGAGCTACCAGCCGGGACCTCACCTGCCACGAGCCTCCCCTCATCGGTGTCGGTTCAGAACTGTCCAGCTCTCCCTGCAGGAGCAGGCAGCCTGCGACCCCCGCCCCAAGGCCCTTGCACCAGGCGAGGGTCCTCTGTCAGGTGGGGGCTCCAAGGAGCTGTGGCGGGTGTGGGGTCTTCTCCTCGCTCCCAAGTTTTGTATCCAGCCCTGGCCCATGAGGGGCAGCTGGGGTCCCTCCCTTGTGCCTGCTGTGTGCCCGGCACCGGGAGGAGAGCTGGCCCCTGCCCTGCCAGTGTGCAGACCCCAGAGGGAAGAGGAGGATGAAGGGCCTTGGGAACAGGACTGGGCAGACGGGGATCCTAAGCCTTCCTTAGAGTGTGCGAAGCCTCAGGCTCTCTGTTGAGGAGCGTTTGCTGCTTCATTTCAACAAATACCCTTTGTGCATCCACTGTGCACCAGGCTCCAGCTCTGTCCCCTCCTGGGACATCCTCGCTGTGGCCCCCGTAGAAGGGGAAGCCAGGCTCCTGCCCTCACTTGCTGGGAGGCAGCAGGGCCTGGCTCAACTCCTGGCATCTCCACCCAGTGCAGCCCCCGGGGCCAGCCCTCCCTGGGTATTTGGGTCTTCCAGATGCTGACTGTCCTCTTCCCTACCTCCCCACTCTTTTGCCTCCACTTAAATGCCTCTTCCTCCAGGAAGCCTGCCCTGATCCCCATGGCTGAGTTTGACCCCCCACCCCACCATCATTCCTGGTCAAGGCACCTGGCCCTGCGTGGTCACTGGATGATTTCACATGTCACATTCTCCCCTGAGAGCTGTGGGTGCTGAGAGTTCCAGGCCACCAGTCACGAGGATGGAGACGGACGGGGGAGTTACACAGGGTGGGAGGGGAGCTGGGCTCTCCCTTGACCAGGCAAGGTGGGGCATGTGGAGGAGAGGACAGCCCCTTGCCTGGAAGTAGACAGGCTCCCTGGGGTGTGTGTCCGGCTAGGGTGAGTGAGAGGAGCCGGCCTGTCACCACCTGGTATCATCACCACCTCCATGACCCAGCCCTGCCCAGAAGGCCCAGAGCCCTGAACCCAGCTGGCATCCAATGGCAGTAGGTCAGCCCACCCTGAGGGTGTGGACGTCCTGCTGGCCAGAGCCTGTCTTAGCAGCCTGCCTGGAGACAGGGCCTCCCTAGACTCCCTGGGGGCCCAGGCATTCTGGCCTTCTGAGGCTGTTCTAGACATCATGGGTTGCAGAATCTTGAGGGGTCAAATGGCCCCACTGCCAGGGTCTGCCTGGAGACCCCAACAGGGGCCCCAAGGCGGTAAGCCTCAGAGAGCTCTAACAAAATCGAGTCCAGCAGCCTCCCCTAGTGATGGATTACTGTGCCCTGAGCCAAATTCCTGGGGCAAGGACTTGGTGAGAATGAAGTTTGTGAAGTGGAAGCTAGACAAGGAAACTGAGCCTTCACGAAGCTAGGTGGCTGGGCCAGGGTCACCCTGCTAGCCAACAACGTCAGGGCTGGGCTCAAAGGCAGGCACCTGGCCCTGGGCTGGAATCCCCTCCATGGCCTAGTGGGGAGGTGAACTGAGACAGGAAGGGCAAATTCAGATTGAGTTTCATCCCAGGGCACTGGCCCAGCCCCAGCCCAACTATTCTTCCATCTCGTGGTGCAGCCTTGGATGACCCAGCTATCCCTCTGCCTCATGGTGCAGCCTTGGACAGCCCAGCTATCCTTCTGCCTCGTGGTGCAGCCTTGGATAGCCAAGCTATCCTTC
This sequence comes from Homo sapiens, assembly GCF_000001405.40. NCBI lineage: Eukaryota > Metazoa > Chordata > Mammalia > Primates > Hominidae > Homo > Homo sapiens. The sequence continues at coordinate 2,871,456 of NC_000001.11, forward strand.
TGCCTCATGGTGCAGCCTTGGACTGCCCAGTTATCCTTCCGCCTCATGGTGCAGGCTTGGATGGCCCAGCTATCCTTCCACCTCATGGTGCAGCCTTGGATTGCCCAGCTCCTCTGGCTGTACTTCCTCCCCACACAGAGGAAAGCTCAGGCTGAGGTCAGGCCGGGAAGAGTTTTGGAGCACACTTCGTCTTTTGCAGTCTTCGCTTCCCACCTCTCACAGCCTCTTCATATTTTCCTCTCACTAAACTAAACACTCCAAAGCTGGAAGGGGCTACTAGAACATTCCTTCTAAGGGGTGGTGAAGGGACCTGGGGGGTGAGCTGATATGAGAAAGAGCCCTCAATTTACCACTTTGTGACTCATCCCTGACAAAGTCCCCAAGGGCTTTGGGCACCAGCCGGGCAGCTTGGCTGGTCAGGGCTGGGCCTCTGCAGCACCTCTCAGAAGCCTCCTGTCCTGAACATGCTTTTCCGGAGGGAGTCCCTTGGTTTGGTCACTCTCCAGGGCTTCTCTGTGTGGCTTGGAGGGGCCTGGGAGGACTGGCCTAGGCAGCTGGGTAGGAGCCCCCCTTTCTTCTCTGCATGTCCCAGGGGCCTTCTGGGGATGAGGACCGGGGAGCCAGGCAGAAATGGGGTTACGGCAGAGCATTTTCTGGTGGGTCCTCCCCGTGAGGCCTCAGGTGAAGCTGGCACTGCCCAGACACCTCCGAGACTCATCCCTGCCCCTGAGCTCCAAGTCAGGGACCAGGACCTGGGCCCCCAGCATGGCTTCCCTTAGGCCAGGGCATGACTGTCCCCAGCCTCTCTCTCTCTGAGTTGAGGGGTGCCCAGCCACTGCTTCCCACTTTCTTAATTGCAGCTTATCCCTCTGGCAGGGGTGCGGGAGGGGCAGCATGAGCCAAATGTCCACCTTCAGCCAGGGGTGACAGCGTGTGGAGGGTGTGAAACCTGGCCTGTCTGAGTGTTTGCTGTAGGAGGGCTCCTGTGTCCCCTGGCCCCCAGGCACTGGGGCTGACCCTCTGCTTTTCCAAGTGCTCCTCAGAGCCTAGGAAAAGGCACCTGTTACCCGCCCATGCCCTATTAGTATAAGCTCCATTTATTACAGCTGCAAGCTCTCCCCAGCCTGCCAACCTGAGGATTTTTTTTTTTTTGATGTAGTTTTGCTCTGTCACCCAGGCTGGAGTGCAGTGGTGCAATCTTGGATTACTGCAACCATCGCCTTCTGAGTTGAAGTTATTCTCCTGCCTCGGCCTCACGAGTACCTGGGATTACAGGCATGCACCACCACGCCCAGCTAATTTTTTGTATTTTTAGTAGAGATGGGGTTTCACCATGTTGGTCAAGCTGGTCTTGAACTCCTGACCTCAGGTGATGCACCCACCTTGGCCTCCCAAAGTGCTGGGATTACAGGCGTGAGCCACTGCGCCTGGCCAGATTTTTCTTTTCCCTTTCTTTCTTTCTTTCTTTCTCTTTCTTTCTTTCTTTCTTTCTTTCTTTCTTTCTTTCTTTCTTTCTTTCTTTCTTTCTTTCTTTCTTTCTCTTTCTTTCTTTCTTTCTTTCTTTTTTTCTCTCTCTCTCTTTCTTTTTCTTTCTTTTCTTTTCTTCTCTTTCTTTCTTCTCTTTCTTTCTTTTTGCCTAAAAAATGTGGAGCCCTAAACTGCAGCGTTATTTACAAGATGAAGTGAAACTAAGGAATGTGGCTTCCAGGCTGTGGCTCTGTCCTGGATATCGGCTCAGGAGACCCTTCCTCCTCCCCAACTCCCTGGGCCTGGATTCCTCTGAGGGCTGTGCTGCTGTCCTGGGGTTGGAGTCTCTCTCTCTCTGTCTCCTGGAGGTGCCCTGAGGCGATGCTTTAAGGTTCCTCTGTCCTAGGGCGATTGTTGGCGTAGGTTTAATCTCTGCTCTCTCTTCCAGTTCTGCCCCCTCAAGGAAGCCCTCCTGAAGACCCTGCGGCTCCACCAGACCCTCCTCCTCTCTGAGTCCCTGGATGGATCCCGGGGGGTTTCCGAATTCTCCCCTGGGTGAGTCGACCCCTTCCACTTGCCCTCTGAGGCTGTCCGGGCCTGGAAGACAGAGACGGCCACTCCTCAGGTCCCCCCAGCCTCCGCCCAGGCCTGGGACAGGCAGCCACTGGGGAGAGAGGTGAGACTGTGATGGCTCACGGGCAGCTACTGGGCAAAACCACGACGATGGCAATGATGGCAACAATGGTGATGATGGTGACGGTGACAGGAATTGCTCCCCTGGGGTGCCCGCAGTGGCCCCGCACCTGCCTCTCCCTGTTTAATCCTGTAGTGGCTGCTGGACATGGGTTCTCTCTCCTCATCCTATGGTCTCAGACAAGGACGCAGAGGTGTTGGGAGGCACTGCTGTCTGTCCAGCCTGCCTCTGGAAAGTCTAGCTGGAGGCGGTGCCGGAAGGTTGGGCAGGGGTAGCCGTGGGGCAGAAGGAGGCCTGGTGAAAACACAAAATGTGAACAGCAAGGTGGCTTCAGCGCATGGGTTTGCTTAAGTCTCAGAGTCAGGAGCGGCCAGCCAGGGCAGGCAGGGGCCCATCCCAGCATTACCTGGCCTCCCTGAGTGGCTTGGTTGGGGGGCAACCATGGCTCTGAGCTGGGGTGATGCAGGATTGGGGGTCTGTGTGGAAAGGGGGCACCCGATGCTCGTTAAACGAAGCCTTCCTCATGCGACAGAGGCAGCGGCACGTTTCACCCAATGCTATTATTAAAAATGCAACCAGTGCTTTTGTATGGAGAACAACCCACCTGCTGGTCAGCCTTTGCCCCACACCCTCTGGCAGAAGCATAGTCTGTGCCAGGAACTAGGGAGGGCTGGGAGTGACGGCGGTGAGGTCCTGAAGAAAATAAAAGGGAAAAACACAGGTCCTGTCCCAGAATATCTTGGAGTAGGAAGGAGGGGCCAGGGTTGAAGGGCTGTTAAGCCAGGAGGACTTCTTGGAAGAGGCGGTATTTCACTCAAGAGCAGTCTAGCATTTCCCTCCTACCGTCTCAGGTGTAATTTCCTTTCACTGGGAAATATAAAACCCCAACGTAAGGCAGGCGGACCCTTCTCTACCCTGGTGGGCAAAATTCAGAGGGGTCTAGGGGAGGATGGTCAGCCCCCAGGTCAGAGTCTACAGGACACGGCCCCTGTGGGTGTGCATGTGAGCCATGTGGGTGCTGGGTGGGGCAGAGAGAGGCCCGGGGCACTTAGTTCTCTGTTGGGTGACGTCATGGTTTCAGCTCTGCCAGCTGGGCTTGGAGTGGCCAGTGGGCTGCAGGCATCAGCTGGCCGACGTCTGCGTCCTGCAGACACAACATTAGAGAGAGGGGGAAGGGGGAGTTCTGGCACTTCAGAGACCCCCGAGGACTCTCTATCACTCCTGTTTGCAGGGTGGAGGGGAAGGGCTGGCCTTGCAGGAAGCCTGGGGGAGGGTGCGTCCGGCTGGCTCTGCCAGATCGTCCCTGGCTGGGCCACCCAGGCAGGACGGCACCTCCCGGGCCAGCTGGCTCCTGTCCATCCTCGGTTTCCCTCCCTCCGCCCCACATCATGGCGCAGAAAGTGGGGCAGGCGCTGGGCTCTGTGGTGCTGTGTCTGGGGTGAAGACCCTCTAGAAGGAGGGGCAGGGTGGGGCTCACGGGGCTCCTGTCACCCAGCCCCACCCGTGACCCACACAGACGCATGGCAGATCTCACAAAAGGTGACTCCACAGGCTTTGGACCAAATCCCAAATTTGCTTCCAAGAGCCTCTGTTGATAGAGCCGGGCTCCTCTCTGGGGTCGGTCAGGCCTCCATACACCTCGAGAGTTTACAACTCTATCGCTAAATCGAAAGTTGGCCTTGGTTTTAATTCCAAGGGCAAACCACATACTGTGGGGGGAATCCCGGGAATGCGTTTTAGGGCGATTGCCAGCGAATGTGTTTCCAGGGCTCCCCACCCCTAGAGACGGCCTGGGTGGGTCCAGGAGCCCCTGGAGGATGGGCTTTCTAGAACTCTCCGCCCCAAGGTGTTCCGGCAGGTTCCCTCACACCAGTGCTTGTCACCTCTGTGCAGCCGTGTGGGTTATGGGTTGGCATCTGTCTCGTAGCTGCAGCTTTTGGGGGCTTTTGCAGGACCCAAGACCCTGCTTCCTCTTTCTGTTTGAATGGAGCCGCCTGGTGGCCTGGCCTGGGGTGCTCTTGGTCCTGTGGTCTGGAGGACGAGGGGCTCCTTGAGGCCTGGGGTCCCATCCATAGGATGATGTCACAAACCCACTCCCGTTTCCCGGTGTGGGGCCGGGCCCCAGGTTAGCGTGCTCAGCTGAGGAGGGGCCAAGGAAGCTCAGGAGCCCCATCAGCCTCTCTTAGGTCTTCCCCGCTTTCTGGGCCTCCCAGTGGGTCCTGGACACTGTATCAGTGCTCTGTGCTGGACTCCTCTCTCCCCGGGGCTCTCCAGGCACTCTTCCAGCTGCCGTGGGCAGGGGTGGCCGCTGGGAGACAGAACGTGGCCACAGAGGCCTGGGCTGAGTGGCTAGCCTGGCCTGGAAGCCGAGGGTGCCCTGGCCCCTGCCCTGCTCCGGGCCCCGCTCATGGGAAGGGTCCTCAGACCCTCGCACCCCGCAGGAATCTGCTGCATCCGCAGAGGGAGTTGGGCCCGGTGCCGCCTGGCCGGCCAGTAGGTGGTGTCTCTGGCCTGCTTTCCAGCGCCTGGCCTGCCTTTCCCGCTCGCTGGCCTGCCGGCGGCCGCCCGCACCTCCGCGCAAGCTGGCCACATCTGGAAATGTTTGATTTGATATAGTGTCGCTTTACATTGCAGAAATGAGCGTAAGCGGTTTTTTAACCCACCGAGTGAGAAATGCGATCTGGGTTTTACTGCCGACCCTTTAAATAAAAAACAGATCACTTATTAAACCATTATCTATCAAGGATGGGGGGTGGGTGTCGAGAGTGGACGGGGATCCGGCGCAGATGGAAGGGATGCGGCCTCTGTCTCTTGGCTGATGGAAGGGTTGGGGGCCCGGGCCGCTGGCATGTCACTCCCAGGGGATGAGGGAGGGAACCAGGTGCCCACCGCCTGTCCCATCCACCCTGTGCCAGCTGCTGCCAGTGGAGAGGCGACACTTTCCTTGCTGGAGGAAGGGCTTAAGGCTCACTGGCCTGGCTGCTCACCGGCCCTGAAACGGAGGCTCCCCATCAGAGTGGGAGGGGAGAACTGCAGGGGCTGACCAGGCCACGGTTGCTGGTCCCAGGGCAGGGGTCCCCAAAGCCACAGGAGAAGGCATGGACCTGGCTGTGCTCAGGGGCTCCTTGGCATCCCTCTCCTCAGAGTCCTCTCTCCCTTGACCTTGGCTTTTGAACAGAGCTGGGTTCCCAGTTCAGGACCTTTAACTCCGTCAGCCACCCCTGGGCTCGTCTTTCAAGGAGGGTTCCGGGGTTTCAAAGGTGCCTCACATGACCCTGCCACGTGGTGACTCAGTGGAGGGGCCGTCCCAGGGGTGCTGGGCTGAAGTGGGCCACATGCTTTGTCTCTGGCCACGGCCTCGTGTGTGGGTTGTGCGGATGGGCCTGTCGGTGACCAGCACTTGGTCCAGGGGCCTGGGGCCCTTCCCGGGGTTGTAGACACATTTCTACAGCTGTGGGCCGGGCGCCGCTCCACCGGCTGGCACGAGCCTCTGCTGCCCACTCTGTGCCTGGTTCCTGGCCTGCTGGGAACAGGAGGAGCTCCGGGAGCGTGGAAGGTGACCAGTCCCCACCCGCATGGGCGTTTGAACTGTTCTGTGCTTTGAGTCGGGAGCCTCCTTGGAGTGGGGTTCAGTCAATGCTGCCCTATTCCTGCAGTATTTTTGGTAAGTGACTCCCTTCCGCTCTGTGGACATGCCTTTGGTAAGCTGACCAGAGTCCTCCTGGCGTTCCTCCACCTGGACACACCGCAGACGCACCCTGTCCGGTGTGAGCAGTACCCGTTCCTCAGCCGTGGAGCCCCTTCCTCCATCCTCCGAGAAGCTGGGGGCTGGTGTGACCCCAGGGGTTTCCCGAGCTGGTACCAGAGATGGTGTTGAGAAGATGGTCAGGCTGACCAGGCCCAGGCACAGAGGCAGAGTGACCTGGGGCAGGCGGCGTTGGGGACCGTCAGGAGGACAGAGGCGGAGTGGCCTGGAGCAGGCGGCGTTGGGGACCGTCAGGAGGACAGAGGCGGAGTGGACATGAGAGGATAGCATCCCGGGACACGGGTGAAGGAGGTGCCATGCTGATGGTGACCAGGCAAAGCCAGGGGCCAGGTTCTGAGGACAGAACCACAGGTTACGCGGCGTGAACAGAGCTCAGGAGGATGGGTGGTGGGTGCCTGCTGAGCTAGCTGGGAACTGGGCCTGGGGCCGGCTCTGCCGCAATTCCACGGGAATCTGCAAATCCCCAGGCCTCATTGCAGGTTCTGTGGCCTGTCGTGAGACAGAGGGAGGCACGTGACCATGTAGACCCACTGGGCCTCGAGACCTCTGGGCTGGGCACTGCCTGGGCAGGAATGGGGTTCACGGAGAGCTCCCACCTCCAGGGCTGGCAGGGAACAGGGTGTGTGGCTCCCCAGGAGGGTTGGCTGCCACCATCTTTGCCCTCGTCACTCAACAACCCTTGGTGGGGTGCAGAGACCTGAGCTTGGGGGAGTCTCAGAGACACAGACAGAGCCAGCACTGGTCATCTAATGTCTGGGGACAGCTCCTGGCAGCCGGGCCCATCTGCGTCACCCACCTTCTCTGGGCAGGGCAGGCTGGCCCTGGCTGCTGGCTGTTGTGGGGGTGGGCCAGGGGTGGCCAACGGATGGGTCTCAGGAGACCAGTGAGGGGTGGGCTGTCCAGGAAAGGAGGTGGGCCGAGCGGACAGAGAGGACCCTGGTAGTGGAGCGGAGGCACGCAGAGTGGGGAGGCGGGGTGAGGTCCTTTCGGGGCAGCCGTCCTGGGGCTGGTTTCTGTCATGTCAGTGCCCCTGTAGAGGGATTTACTGAGCTCATGACTGGTCCCCTGGCATGGCAGGGTGCTCATAAGGACAGCCAAAGTCTCCTGTGTGTGCGACAGCTCTCAGCAGCCCCCGGCTTGGTCCTGACTGCACTGGAGTGGGAGCCGTGTCCCCAGTCTGCAGGTGAGAAAAGGGAGGTCTAAAGAGGGTGAGGGGCTGGCCCAGGGCCACACAGCCAGAAGGGGCGGGTGCAAGGCTGGGAAGCACAGGGCGGTGCTGGGCAGGATCCCAGGGGTTGGGTGCCACTGTCAGGGGCCCCAAGTCCCTCTGGCCCCTCGCACACAAGCATGGCCACCGAGGCTGGAAGGGCAGCAGCGTTTCTGTGCCACGGCCGGGTCCTTCAGCCCCCAAGGGGACAGGGAGGAAGCCGCCTCACTTCCCACCTCTGGCAGCCCCTGGGCCTCTTCAGCGAGGGTGACCACAAGGTCACGGCCTCCCCACCGTCCCCCGGTCATGGGGCTTCCAGACAGCACACACCTGGATTGGCTGCCCCGTCCTCGCTATGCCCTGCTGCCCATAGTGGCTTGGCTTGGACAGATTTATCTGAGCTGTCACAGCCAATAGAAAAATGGGGCCGCCCGAGCCACCGTGTAGTTACAGTGACCGAGCGGGCACTGGGCACACGTGTGATTTATGGGTCCTGCTGGACCTGGTGGGCCTGATCCTGACACTACAATGTGGCCCCTGCATGCAGGTCCCCGAGGGGCAGACCGGGGGCCGCTTCTGACCTTGAGCTGGATTCTGGGCCGCAGCAGGGACCCTCACGAGTGTGCAGGGGAGTGCTGTGAGTCAGGCCCCCCGGTGCAGCCGGGGCCACTCCTTGGTGGGCCCAGGGGCACCCAGGCGTGGGCTGGCTGGGGCACAGGGTCTCCAGGAGGCAGCCTGGACTCAGGGACAAGATGTGGCTCAGCTGGGGACGTGGGCGCCTAGCTCAGGGGACAGCTGGGTCCCTGAGTTCCTGGTGGCCAAGGCCTAAGCCAAGGCGGGAGGCTCGCCGAGATCCTGGCCCTTTATCCAGGACGCCCCCTTCCTCGTTCCTCTGGTGCAAATGATTTTTGGCCACAGGTGTCCTGACTGGCCCCCACTGGGTTGGGGCTCTGGCTGGGAGCCTGGCCCTCCCGCAGTCCTCTCCGGGCCGTTTCCCTGACCCCTTCTTGCTCAGCTGCCCCCGAGCCCCTGCCTGGACGTCATCAGCCACAGTTCATTCAGAGCCCTAGGGCCCTCAGGGTTGGGTCGCCATGAGCCCCGGGTTCCTGAACGTTCGGCTCAGGACCACCTGGATGGAGAAGCAGACACGCGAGGGTCCTGGTCACTCACCGAGGGCCGGGAGGGGCCCTGAATCCCGGCATGCTGGGGGGAGGCCCACCTGTGGGAAGATCCCTGGGTGGCTCTTTTGTCTCCTGCTCAGCTGGGGATGGCGGACACTAGCCCGGGTGTGTGCACCGTGTCGGCCGCGCCACGTGGGTGCTGCAATGGGTCCCTAACCCACAGTCCTCACAAGGAGGTTTCTAGGCTTCTTGCCTCACACAAATCCCAGCAACACTGGCATGGGGCTGCACGGATTTACTTCCTGGAGAATCAAACCCGGAGTGGCACCATCTGCTCTGAGGATGGGGCTGAGCTGGGCTGCCCGGGGCTGAGATGCTGCTGTGCCCGGGGGGGCTTCCAGGGACTTCACTCTGCCGTCTGCACCCCCTGTAGGACTTGGGGGTGGGATAACCCGTTGTGGCCTAGGGGCAGGCAGCCCCTGCTTCACAGCCAGGACCCCCTCCCTGCAGGCGTTTCCTGCCACCTGGGCAGATGAGGAGTGGAGGCTCAGGGAGGGGGCGGTGGGGCGGTGCGGCCCGGCAGGTGCTCTGGGGCCCAGGCCCCAACCTGAGTGGAAGGACCTGCTGCGGCAGCACGGGGTTGGCTCTGAATACCTGCTGGGTGAGTGAGGGGTGGCAGCACCCACCAAGTGGGGGCTATGGTGAGGCCCCCAGGGCAGCAGGAACAGAAGGCTGGGTGTCTAGGGGCGGGGGCTCCACCTGTAGCTGCGGCCTCCACAGGTCCAGGGAGAACAGGGTGGTTTTTGCTGGTGGGTGAGGCAGGGAAGGGCAGCTGGGCAGAGGGAACGGCCTCTGCAAAGGTGTGAGGGTGAGAGTGGCCTTGCGCCTTGCTGTGGCTCTGAGGCTGAGGCAGGGAGTGCTGGAGAGTGGGGCTCACAGAGGGTGAGGGCTCTGGTCCATGAGCTTGGATCTTGCCCCTCGAGCTGGACGTTCACCCCAGGGCACCTGTTAGTGACCACGCCCCTGCCCTGCTGACGAGACACTACAGTGGGAACCCAGTGGGGGCCGGGATGGGTACCTGGGACATGGCAGGTGCCAGACAAGTGTTTGCCAAGTGCACAAATGACTGTGGGGGAGGCTGCTGCCTCAGGGGCTGTGAGACCTTCTCTCTATCCCACTTGGGCTCCCGAAACATGGTCTCCTGAGTGTGTGGTGCTGGGCAGGGTGCACACACGTGTGAGCATACACACACACTCATGCATGGACACACACCTGGCAAGCATACACATGTGCACACATGTACACCGCAAGCACACACGTGAGCACGTGCTTGTGCACACACACTCTACAAGCACAGGGAGACCCTGGCACACGCAGCCAGCACCGCCGAGCCCTCCCTGCCGGCATCTCTGGTCCTGAACCCAAACTCCTGCCTGTCCAGGCTCCGGCCAGCGTGTGCGGGTTAAAAACTGGAGCATAGTCAGGATACATGATTCTAATTAGAACAATCTATGTCCATACGGAGAAAAAATTGTATGCAGAGGGTGACCAGGCAGTTATGGAAAGGTTCCGCTTTCTAACGATGTAAAACAGAAGAGATGGGGTGATTTTAGTTTCAAGAACCTGGGTGGGGTAGTGGCGCCTGTATGCCTGTCTAGAGGGGTGGGGGCAGGCACAGGGTTTGGGGGCTGCAGCCGGCGGGGCTGCTGGGACTGAAGGAGGACCCTGGGCCCAGCCTGCCTCCATGGGCTCTGGGGCCAGGGCAGGGAGTGGGGATCCGGAGCCAAGCCGACCCAGGACTCAGCCCTGTGTTACCCTTCGTTGCCTTGGAAGGACATACAGGCGCCTCCCCTTCCACACTGGGGCATGAGGTAGGTGGGAAAGGACCCACAGGGCAGCCGAGAGCTCCAGGTGTCCCAGGCGCCCTCCGGCCAGTCCCACTGCCGGGGCCCTCTGGCCATGAGAAGGGAGGGTGGCCGAGAGAGCATGGAGTCCTCCCCGGCACGGAGCTGCAGACCCCAGGACTGGGCATGGGTGAAGCACTCGCAGCTCACTCCCCTCTGTGAGCTCCAGGAGGCCTCTGTACCCCAGAGCTGCGTGCAGGCCCTGCAGGGAGGAGGCATCAGGAGGCGACTGCATTGCTGCTGGTCCTGGGTGGCCTCAGTCAGCGCGGCTTGGAGAGCACCCCCCAGGCTTTTTTGCCGTCACGGTGGTGTAGACCAGCAGGTAGCACACAGGCCGTGATCCCGCACCTGGGGATGGGCTAGCCCCTCTTGGAGGACTGCTGGCTGCACAACCGTCGCTGTGTAGACAGGGATGGCCCCTCGGCCCCTCTGGGAGCTTCACCTGCCTAGGCCATAGCTGTCTTCCTGAGCCTGGCCCACCACAGCCCCCAGTATGCATTTGTTGAATGAAAGCCAGAAAGAATGGTGCCTGTACCCTCACTCCCTGCGCGCCCCAGACCTCGAAGGCTGGGGGAGCCCAGGGAACCCACACACAGGAGGTCCTGGACCCAGGCCAACTCTCTCAAGGGATGGCCACTCTGGACCCAGGCCAGCTCTCTAGAGGGACGGCCGTGCTGCTTCTCGGAGGACCACATGATGGGTAGTTCCCACACTTGCATCTCACAGAGGGGCCCCAAGAATCTGTGAGGGGCTTGGTGGAGCCCACTGGCCTCCTCTACCCCCCAGGGGTCAGGGCCTCCTCCTGCATGGTCCAGCTTCTCCATAGCACCAGGGTCCGGTGGGTGCCTTCCCCAAACATGCAGCCCCACCCTCCCCAGGTCAGCTGCAGGCACGGGGGTAGGACAGGGCCGGTCAGGAGCCCTGGGTTTCATTACCCTACAATGCCCCTGGCCCTGGAAAACATCCCAAATCTAACCCATCCCTGCAGTGTGATCCTATGAGGCCTCTGCTGGGTTGGAACAGGCTTCCTTCATCTGGTTTCCATACTTCACAGCCGTGGGGATGTGAGCGGGTGTCAGGTGGGCGAGGTCTGGGGCATAAATTCGGCCAGCCCCATCAGCCTGACCCTCCTTCTCTGGGCAGCACAGAGGGCACCCTCAGGGGCACGGGTCCTCGCCCCAGGACCTAGATGTGCATCATTGCAGCCGAAGGACAAGGTCAGAGGGCGGGACTGTCCCCTCCGCCTCTCCACGCCGCCCCTTGTGCTGGAAGCGCACCTCCTGCTGGTCTGAGGGGCGTCCGGAGCACCTGGACCTTAGCTCCTCATCACCCCAGGAGCAGTCACCTGGGGTCACACACGGGTGGGTGGGTCTCAGCCTGAGGCCGGCCCCACTGTCCACGTGTGCACCTTGATTTACCATCCCTGCTCCTTTAACGGCGTCTCCGGGCGCCGGCTCCGAGCGCGTCCTGCCCCCGCTGCCCCGTGCGGCAGAGCTTGGGAAAATCTATTACCGCCGAGTCATTAATCTGAGGCTGCCGCCTCGGGCACTTTCTGGCCCCTCTATTTAATGGGCTCTGCTTCCGGAGCTCCGGAGCCGTGCTGCTTGCCTCTCTTGATCAGCTTTGTTTAATTATCAAAATATTTGATGCAGAAAATTGACATTAGTTCTGAAGGTTCTGCCCTCCTCCCCCCACCCGGCTCCTGGTAGCATTGAGTGGCTCAGCCGCTGCGCCCATCGCCTCAAAATAGCAAATGGGCCGCCAGCCTGTGCTTGGCCAGGCGGACATGACGAGCCGCCTGTGGGGCTGAGGCTGCCTGGCCCTGCTGGGACCCTGCCCTGGCTGCTTGGGCGGCACACAGCTGCACCCCAGGCCCGTCCCCCATTTCCAGTGTCCCTGGCCCTGGTGGGAGCGGCCGTGCTGGGCCGTCGTGGAGCCTTCTGTGCGTTTCCATGCATGATGCACCTGGCTAGAGCCTGTCTCCCAACACCTGGGCTGGGGGCACAGCACAGAGCGCCGAGCTTGCGGGCTGGGGATTGGGGCTGGGTGAGGCCAGCGTGTCCTGCCCCCTGGGCTGTTGTCAGGGCCTCACCCATCTGCAGAGCCTCTGAGGGGCCCTCCTGGGCAGGGGCCAGGCCGGCCCAGATGGTGGAGCCCCCTGCTTGAGGGGCAAGGTGGGGCTCCTCACGGCCAGCCTTGTGAGCAGGGCCTGTGGCAGGGGGAGGACCAATACTGGGAGCAGCAGGCTCATGGTACAGAGGGGGCTGCTGACCTGCAGGGCCCAGCTTGTGCCCAGGTGAAGCTCAGCAGCCCCTTTTAGCCTCAGCCGCAGGGCTGGGCTGGGCCCGGCCGATGCTGGCCCCTCTGCAAGCATTTTCATCCACTTTCCGGCCCATAGCGGGGAGAGCGCTTGCTAGGCCCTGTCCAGGCCTTAGTGCTGGGATGGTGTGTGCGTGTGTGTGTGGGCACACACGTGTGTCCCTGAGTGTGTGTGTGCCCTGGGAGCCCTGTACACGCGTGCATGTGCGTGTGCCTGTGCTTGTGTGTGACCGTCATACATGAGTGCCCGTGTGCATGCCTGTGTGTCCCACACGTGCCTGCGTTGGCCCTCGGGTACCCACCGTGGACACCCACCCTGGGTAATTCATGTTGAACCTCATGTTGACCTCAAGCCCCTCCTAATCTCTCCCCAGCCCCATCCCTCCCATGTGGTTCCAGGTCTGTGTCTGTCCATGGGTGTGAGTCCATCTCTGAGTCCAGAAGTCAGCGCCTGCTGGCTTTGGCTTCCTGGTAGAGCAGCGAAGCTTGGGACCCAGCCCTTGGTGTGGGGGCAGCCGGAGCTGTGGGCTTTTGAGAGGGGGCTGGTGCGTGAGCGCCCGGGAGGAACCCCTGTCTTCTTCCCCGCCGGCTGCACCGGCAGACCCAGAACTCATGTATTTGCTCCTGGTTCCCAGTCTCGGGGACCCTGGCCGGCACGCGTCCTCAAATGCGGCTTTTTTCAGATGCCGGATAATTTTCAAAACAGAAAGTAGTTTCAAGGTTGAGAAGATACCATTATGGAAAACAAATAGCGGTCAAGCTTAGATTCGTGGCTTTTCACTTGCAATCAATGTCCCTGGTGGAGGGAAAGGACAAAGGGAAGGAGTCACAGGCTCAGGGAGGGCGCTCGCCCTCATGGCTTCATGTTCACCTGCAGGAAAAAGAAAAACCGTCAGGCCCTTGGCCTTCATGGATGGTAGCCTGACTCCCTGAGCCCTGGGCCAGGCTCCCAGGAAGCAGCGTTGCTGTGGAAGCTGACGTTTGGGTCCCTTTCTCGCCACCTAGCTGGCCTGTCCAGCGAAATCCCACCACGCCTGTCTGCTGCGCGTTCAGCTGGTAGATGGGACGTGAGTTCTCGAAAAGACAATGTCCTCCTCCCTCCGGAATGCTCTTTGCCCAGGTTGGAAATGGATGGCTCCATGTATCTCCCTGTCTCGGACGCTGACCGCATCCTTTCCCCATCCGCCTCTTCCTGTATCTCCAGGACAGAATCAACACGCCCGCCTGCAGTGGTCACCAGAGCCCCGACACCCCCATTCGGGCCAGGCCGCCTTCACATGGGGACCTCCCGGGAGGCGCAGCAGCAAGCAGGTGTTTAGTGAGGGAGGGAGTGCCCCTGTTTTCTGAGGAGCAAGCCCTGGGCCCAAGAAACAGGAGGGAGTGGACCCACGCTTTTCTGCACTGGGCAGATGGCTTTGGTGAAAATGTTTTCGTGGGTCTTGCTGACTTCTCTGTAGCTGCGGGCAGGGTTTGCCACGAGGCCTGCGTTGGGAAGGGGTTCGGAGAGGGCGCTGATGTTGGAGGGAAGTCCCAGGGAAGAGGCAGAGCCAAGTCTGCCGTGTGGCTGCACAGGGGACCTGGAGCTGCGTCCCGACCAACCTGTTGGCAGCTTTCCGCCCACACAGGGACAAAGGACCACAACTTTGGTGGCTCAAAACGACACATATCCATCCTCTCCTGGTTCCAGAGGGTGCGATTCGGAAATCGAGGTGTTGGCAGGACCACGCTCCCCACGAAGCCTCCGGGAGAGGATCCTCCTGGCCCCTTCCAGTGCCTGGTAGTCCCAGGTGGTCTTTGGCTTGTGGCTGAATTGCTCCCAGCCCTGCCTCCTTCATGCGGCCTTCTCCCCATGTGTCTGTCCTCGTGTGTGTGTGTCTATGTGTCCTCCCCCCTCTTACAGGGATGCCAGTCATTGGATTAGAGCCCACCCTAAATCCAGGCCGATTTCATCTCGAATTCCTTAACTAATTACAGTCCCCAACATGGCCTCATTCTGAGGTTTGGATGGGCCTGAATCTGGGGGACTCTATTCAACGCTCCACACAGTGGGAGGGGGTCTCCTGGTTTGTAACAGAAAGTGCGTAAGGAATGGGAATCCGTCTGATGGCAACGGTGGAGCACTGGCCTGTTCTCCGTTCACACCAGGATGCTGAGGATGGCGTGTGAACGCGGGGAGGACGTTAACTGGGCCTAGGAGGCCTGGCAGCCTTCTCCCTCCACCCCCTTCTGAGCTGAGCACTGCAGTACCAGGCTGGGGACAGGGCTCCAGGGACAGGAGCCATGCATTTGGCTTGGATGGAGGCTGCGGGGTCAAGTGCGCCAGCGGTGGCTGCTGGTAGAGTGCTCTGTCAATCCATTATTGATACACACGCACGAAGAGTAACCACTCTTTTAAATCTTGGCTGAACCAAGCAGGGGGTGAAAGAACAAACTAATAAATAACCATGGTAACGACCTGCCTCCCCTACCCCTGCCCCAGTGGCCTTTGATCTCATTATTCCAGACGCCCGCTTGGAGACGGTGGGCAGGTGAACTTTGCAAACACTCACTGAGGTCTTTGCATTTTTATGGCTTCTGCTGGCCATGCCGGGGCGTCTTTGTGGGCATGGGGAGGGATGTGCATTTCAACACGCAGGGATCTGCCTCCTGCCAGAGCATCACCCACAGCCCCCGCCCTTCTGAGGAGCTGAGGGTGAGGGCTGCTGTGTCTGTGAGCCAGGGGTGGGAGGGAGCTGCCTGGGTAGGGGCATTTGGGCATCTCGGTAGAGATAACCTCTGTGGCCATCTCAGGGGTGGGCTGGGCCCGGCCTGGACTCCTGGGGTTAGGCTCCCCCACTCCCAGCCTCCCAGCGCCCCAGCCTCCAAGCCTCCCAGCGCCCTGGCCTCCCAGCACCCCAGTCTCCCAGCCTTCCAGCTCCCCGGCCTCCCAGCCTCCCAGCGCCCCAGCCTCCCAGCCTCCTAGCGCCCTAGCCTCCCAGCCTCCCAGCCTCCCAGTGCCCCATCCTGCCAGCACCCTGGCCTCCCAGCCTCCCAGCCTCCCAGTGCCCTGACCTCCCAGCCTCTCGGCCTCCCAGCACCCCGGCAGAGCCACCGTTTCAATATACATCTTTGTTTGTGGGCAGGACGTGTCTCTGACCAGGGCTTCCCGAGACCTTGGCTTTTCCTGACACAATTATTGCCACCACAGGGACTCATTTTCAGTGTGGCCAACACTGACCCAGCTGGTCCCCTCCCCATTGTCCGTGTCCACAGCTACGAGGATGGCTCCACTCCCAGGCCCAGGACCTGAGGCAGCACCGGACGCCTCCGGGCCCTGCCCAGCATCTTCCCGAAGATCCTCCTGGGAGCCACTCTGTGCCCCATTCCCCTGTGGCTGGCCCTGCGGACCCCACCCAGCACCTCTGCTGCCAGCCAGACATGACTTTCCTGGCTCATGTGACGCTGGTGTGGGACCTTCTGTGCTGTGGGCTGAGGATGGGGGTCGGGGAAGGAGAGGGTGAGGAATGGGTGGGGAGGTGGGGGTGGGGAAGAAGAGGGCTCTTGGTACAGAATTTCCAGCTCTGACTCATCCCACTTTAGGCTATTTCCCAGAAGAGACCCATTCTCCACCCTCATACCCGGCCAGTGCACCCCTCACTCAGGAGCCCCTCACCCCTCAGCCCTGAACCCGGGTGAACCACGATCACACACTCCCACGAATGCCCACGCCATGCTCAGGGCCACACTAGGTGCCCCGTAAATGTGCGCCCCTGTGGGTGCAGCTCTGGGCCAGAGAAAGCCTGTGGGCAGCCCCTCCCCTAACCCACTGCTCCAGTCCCTGCTTGGAGAGGGCAATGCCAAGGGCAGGGCACTCTGTGTGGGAGGGGAGCAGGGCTGGCCTCTCTTTGGAGCTTGCTTCTGTAGCCCCTGGAGGTCGGTGGTGACCCTAGCCCCCTGTGTGCCCCTAGGGAGGGGGACTCACCCTTCAGGAGAGCTCTGCCTGCTCCCTTGGGCTGTAGGGCTGGCTGAGGCCCAGCTCTCACTGAGGTCTCAGGAAGCTGGTGGACAGCTTGTCCTCATTGTCTGTGCTCCGGACCAGCCAGCCCAGTGCTGGGTGACAGACGTGGAGATGCTGGGCATGGAACGGCCAATGGAGGGGGAGAAGGTGCCCTCCACCACCGTTGGCCCCATCCCACGTGTGCACGCACCGGCAGGCATGTATTGAGCGCGCTACACGCTCAGTCTGTGGTCTGGCACCAGGTGCCTGTGTTCTGGGCTGTCATGTGCCCCACAGTGAGGGGAGCTGAGGGCCCTTCTGTGTGTGAAGGAGTCGCAGGGCCCAGGGCAGAGGGTCCCCCGTCTTTTGGGCAGACCAGAGAAGGCTCCGGAGACCAGGCGACATTTAGGGAGAACCTGAGGAGGGAGAAGGAGGATGAGAGTCTCTCAGGAGGGACGGGGGTGGGGGTGGGGGGCAAAGAAGCAGGGGTGGGGCCACACAGCCCGGCTGGGGAGTGGGAAGGGCCTGGTGTGCGCGGGCGTGGCTGCCTAGGCATCATGCACGGGGGCCTTCACCCTCCAGGGCTGCTTGGCCAGTGGTGCTGGGCTGGGCCCGTGAAAAGAGCAGGTCGGGTGAGCAGAGGTGGCTGCTCTGGCCCCCTGGGAGGTGAGAGGGCGCGTGCCTGTGTCAGGGCAGGGGAAGGAAACCTGTTTAGTTTTGCTGAATCATGGTTTCACCACAAAGCCGGCCCCCTGCCTGGTCCTTGCATCCTGAGGCATGGCATATTGGTGATCTATGCTGCGTATGGCACCACTACACACCACACAGCAGAAGCAGATGGCAGACACCCACTCATCACCTCACAGGTTCCCTGGCCCGGAACTGGCTGTGTTCTCATCTGAGGGCTCCACGAGGGAGGGACCCACTTCCAGGCTCATCCCAGCAGCGGGCAGAAATATTTCCTTGTGGTTATGGGACTGAGGTCCCATGTTCTCGGGGCAGTCAATCCGGAGCCACTCTTGGCTCCTAGGGGCCCCCACCGTCCTCTGCCCTGGAGGTGTCTCTGTTGGGCAGCTTGCTTCCTCCGGGCAGCAGGAGACTGTACCACTCCAGCCGTCGGAGACGTGTCTTCATAACATGTGAGCAAGGGAGTGACTCGCCTGCCACCTGTATCATACGCTGCTGGTCGGATGCAAATCTCAGGGCAGGTGGTCACACGGGGGGTGACTTGGGGTCACCTTGGCATGTGCCTGCCACTCCCAGGAGCACCCCCAGACATCAAGCTTTGGGAAACTCTGCCAGGATCTGGGAGGCAGCCGCCAGTGCTGTGTGAGTGGGGAGCGTGGTCACAGGGTGGGGGCAGGACTGGAAGTGGCCATGGGGATGGACACAGAAGAGCCACCCCCAGGCTCCCAGGGCCCCGAGGACACAGCATGAGCTTCATCTACATGGGTGGGGGACGGCGGCTTGGGGCCTTGATTCAGGTGCTGGGGCCCCTTCTGTCCCTGTCCCTGCCCTGAGGACTGTTGGGGTCAACCCTGGCTGAGTGTGGACGTTGCTGGTTCAGCGGATACCCTGAGTGCCGAGGCCAGGTAGGCCGCTGGGGCTCAGGGGGACAGGCTGGCTGAGGACTCTGGGGATCACGAGTCCGTGGTGGGCTTTGGAGCCAGCCTGGGTGGGGCTCCAGGTGGGGACAGAGGAGGCTCTGTGTCTGGGCTCTGGGGGCCCCGCTGGAAGAGGCCAAGGACATCAGAACTGACGGGAGGACCAGGAAGGGGTGGCCGGGGGCTGAGGGAGGTGGGGAAGTCGGGGGCCCGAAGCCAAGGGTGGGGGCCGAGCTGTGGGGAGCTGAGGCCTGTGACCCATGCTTGGTGGGGGTGACCAAGCAGCAGACAGAGAATGGCCTGGAGATTTCAGAGGTAGGTGCCTAACCCTGCAGCACAGTTCCAGGCAGGAGCATTTCTGGGTGAGGCAGTTCTGGGGTGGAGGGAGGTGGGGGGAGGTGGGGGGAGGTGGGATGAGGTGGAGGGAGGTGGGGGGAGGTGGGGGGAGGTGGGGGGAGGTGAAGGGTGGTGGAACGAGGTGGCGGGGAGGTGGAGGGTGGTGGAGGGAGGTGGAAGGTGGTAGAGGAAGGTGAAGGGAGGTCGGGGGAGGTGGAGAGGGTAGAGGAGGGTCGGGAGACCCTGTGTGTGAGGGGATGGGAGGCACCTGGGCCTGGGGGATGGGGAGCTCATGGCAGGGGATGGAAGGGCACCGGCCCCTGTTCTGCAGACCCGCTCCACTCCAGGGAGTTCCTAAGCCCCATCCTCTCTTTTTTCTGCCTCCACCCTCTGGCCAGCACACGTGGCTCTGGGCACAGTGACCCCTCACACTGGGGAGTGCTTCCCACAGTTGTACCAGCCAGAGGGTGCCTGTGATGTCCCCATTTGGAAGTCAGGACCTGGGCACACCGACTGCCCTGGCAGAGAGCTGTCTGACACACGATGGGTCAGGGCCCGGGTCTGGGGTCCTGGCTTCCTGCCTGTGGGTCCCACGGGGGGCCGGGGCAGAGGATGGCTATGGTGAGGCTGCTGCCTGGCATCTGAAATGTATCGTCACCAGTAAAGACCCGATGGGACTGCCCATCCTGGAGGACACAGACCGAGCAGATGGCCCCGCCCACCCTCACTCTCCTGTCTCCCTCCTGGAGCCTTGAGGCTGAGGATCGCACCTGTCACCCCCTGCTGAGCCTCATCCTCCCAGGGGTGTGGATAAGTTTCCCGTTGATGCTGCAACAAAGACAATCATTGTGGCTTAAAATAACACACACTGATTTATTGTGGCTTAGAATAACACACACTGATGGGTTGTTGCGGCTTAAAACAATACACATTGATTCTCTCGTGGTCTGGGGGCTGGAAGCCTAAAGTCCAGGTGTTCAGGTCCAGGCTCCCTCTGAAGGCTCTGGGAGAGGATCCTCCTGCCTCTTCCAGGCCCTGGTAGCTTCAGGCAGTTCTTGGCTGTGGCCGCCTCACTCCCACCACTTCCTCCAGCATCACTGGGCTGTCTTCCCTCTGTGGGGGTCTCTGTGCCTCTGTTTTCTTCTTATAAGGACACCAGTCACACCAGTAGGGCCCACCCTACTCCAATACAACTTCATCTGAAGCAATTATGTCTGCAATGACCCAGCTTCCAAGTAAGGCCGCATCCCCAGGTCCTGAGGGTTAGGACTCCAGCACATCTTTTGGGGACATTATTCAACACCCATGGGGCACTTCCCTGCCCTAAGCGGCCTCCACATGGGTCCCAAGGTATTCCCCCCACCCCCTCCACAAAGAGGAAGCCGCAGGAGGGAGGGCTGTTGAGGCAGAGAGTGCCTGAGGAGGCTCACGGGCCCGGCCCTGGGGCCAGACGGGAGGCAGGGTCCCCGGGGCTGGGTGTCGGTGCCCTCATGCCCCGGGGCATCTATGGAGAGGGTGACCCTCCGTGAGAGCGAGTTCTCCCTCTTCTCCCACTGGAGTGGCCAGATTAAGCCAAGTAAAGTGCAGGCACCCAGTTAAACGTGAGCTTCAGATCAACAAGGACTCCTGTTTGGGATGTTCTAGATCCTGCACGGGGCATACTCAGCCCGAGGAAGCGGCTCCTGTGGCTCCGGGTTCGCTGGTGCCTGCACCCTCTGTTTCATCCGGCGGTGCTGCTTGGATCCCTGCGGCTCCGTTCTGGCCACTCTGCATCCACTCAGGGATGAGAGAAGCTGGGCCCGGGATGAGATCCCCTGGCGGCTGCAGCTCTGCACCCCTTCCCGGAAGGGTCAGGGGGCAGCAGCTGCATTTCCTTTCTGCTCCAGGGCTGGGAAGTGGGTTCCAGGGGAGGGTCTGGTGGTATGGGGCCAGGGCTGGCACAGCCCTGGGGGCTGGGAGGCTCCGCACCTGGCACAGCGGCCTCGGGGGCTCAGAACTGGAGCCAGCCAGGGCCTCTGCCCCTGCCTCTGCCACTTTGGGTGGGGATGCCTCACCCCACTGCACAGCTTAAAGCAAGAAGTGAGGAGGGAAAGGCTGGGCAGTCAGAGGGCCCCGGGATGGCTGTCAAGCCAACGGAGCGCGGGCCTGGCGGGGGTCGCTTGTCTGGTGGACCTGTGAGCTGGCCCAGGCTCCCCCTCTCTGGGCCACCAGCTGCCCTGGCTCAGAGGCCAAGCATGGGTGGGGCAGGGGGCAGCCCACCCACCAGCCAGCCCAGTGGGGCCTCAGCGCAGGCGCCATGAAAACGCCTCGGCCGTTGCCGAGGGGACCTGAGCCAAGCTGGGTTCCTGAAGCCATTGCATTTGATCCATGGAGCCCAGAACGTCTCCGGGAGAGAAATATGGAAGCAATTATTGTGAGGGCCGTCGTTTGAGTAATTCCCAGAGAGACACCAGGGCCGGCGCTCACGAAGCCTGGTGCACAGCGCCCTAATGAAGCAATTAAGGCAGGGATCCTCCGACTTTGATCTTGATGGGGTAATTTTTACAAAAACATCACGGAGTGATAGATACCCATAACTCAGAGTCCTTAATTGTACTTAATTTGTTTGGAATACGAATGTGCATTTCATTAAACCCCAGCTCAGCCCGCACGCTTCAAGCAGGGCTGTCAAGGAAAATTAAGACCCAGTTTGCTTTCAGAGTTACTGGTTTTTATCAGGCAAGGACAGCGGTCTTCAAACAGAAGGTTACGGATAATTAGGCCGAGAGCTACAGCCCAAGAAAGTGGAGAGACGGCACCGCTCCAGGAGCGGGTGGGGAGGGGACCCCTCCGGGCAGGCGGGCAGCAGGGCCCTGTCCCATGCAGACCCCAGGCTCAAGGAATAGGGGCTTGGCCGGAGGTGGACATGTCCACATCTGCATCTGGCCACACAAAGGCTGCAGGAGTCCCGCCCTCAGAGTCCCCTCGCCTGGGAACTGCTCCTCTGTCCTGCTGGCCTCTGATGAATTTTGGCCACAGGGACACACAAGAGACATAGATCTTCACTCTGGAAGGGCTGGAACAGTCCAGCCCACGCTTCTGTTAAAGAGGGGAAACTGAGGCACGGGGGGGGCTGGCCTTGCCCGTGGTCACTCAGGAAGTTCCTGTGCAGAGTGATGGCCTCCCTGTCCAGCAGCTTTGCTGCCTGGCCCTCATCAGTTCTCATCTGGGGGGTGTCATCTGCTCCGCCTGGATGTGCAGGCTCTGGCCATCAGCAGGTCTCCCCTGGCTGAGGGGCAGAGGAGAGGGGAGAGGACGCAGCCCACCCCATCCCGCCCACTCCACCCTACCCTGCCCACTCCACCCCACCCCACTCTGCTCCAGGGCCTGGACGCCTGGAGACAGTGAAGTTTGCCTAGGGACCTGGAGGGTTAGGGTCCCCACCCTGTCAGGGAACCCCAGGCCTGTCCTTGGGGGAGCAGTCTCCTGTGGGGCAGTGGGTGAGGGGCCAGTTTCATGCAGGAGAGAGCAGGAGAACCTCTCCTTTCTCATCTGAGAGTTACAGCTCACAGACACACAGACAAGTACCTACATATGCATGCACGTGACATGTGACACACACAGCACTTGGCAGTGTACACAGGCAGATATACACACATGCACAGATGCATACAAAACACACATAGCACACACCCCAGCAGGCATGCACATATGTACGCACGCCACATCCACACATGGGCACAGGTACACCCACACACAGATGCACAGACATGACTCATGGACACACAAGCGCAAACCCACACATGCATGTGCACACAACATATATGATACACATGTGCACACATGCACGCACCTGCCTGCACATGTGCACACGTTTGCACACGATGCACCTGCATGTACACACGTGCACCCCCATGCGCCTGGGGACCTCGTGGGCTCAGCGGTCGTTCACTCTTCTGGTCTGGAGGTGGCCTGGGTGTCAGCCTGTGACCTTAACAGCTTTCTCTCCACACTGTCCACCACTCAGAGACCCCCTCCCCTGACCCAGGCCGGCCCTGTTGCAAGGAGGCTCGCTGTAGCGGGGGTCTCCATGATGAAGTCGCTGTGGCAAGGCCTGGGCTGGGTGGCTGGGACCTGCCCGACTCTGACTTTCCCACCCTAGGCAGCGAGGACCCCTTCGTGCTACTCTCCCCAGCAATCAGTGGTCTGCAGCCCAGCAGCAGACTCCAGCCCCCGCAAGCCCTGGGTCTCGGCCCTGTGCTGGCCATGGAAAGGGACAGCTCCTAGCCACCAGATGGTCACCCCTCGGTCACAGCCTAGCCTGCCCCTGGCAGGGTCTGCAAATCCAGCCCCAGCGGCTGCTCCACCATGAGCTTGCCTGGGCCTTGGCTCACCTCCGGTGCCACACAGGGACAACCTCTCTTGTCTCAATGAGACCCTTATCAATAGTACAACCCCTGGGTTTGCCAATGTCTGTCCCTTTCAGGTGTGAGGAGGTTAAAAACTTGTTCAGGGTAACCAGGTAGCAACGGGACAAATCACTGTATCTCGGGACCCCGGGGCCCCAGGGTTGTTTTCAGGAGATGCGGCCTCAGTGGAAGGGACCTTTTTTTCTAGAGGGGGCTCAGGCCTCCCCAGGCCAAGGGTCCTCGCTTGGCTGGAGGCGTCTCTGCTGCTTTGCCTGGTGGGGAGGGCCCCAGTCTGAGTGTGCCACCCTCCGGAGGGCGTCTCCTCTGAGTGAGTGCTAGCTGAGTGATGTGGGCGCCGTCCTCACAGGGCTGCTTCCCTTGCGCGTGTGCCGGCTGCCTCGAGGCGCTGGCTCTCGGGACCTAACCTTGGTCAGATGGGGTGGCAAATCTTCCTTCTCTGTCCTCCCCACCCTGACCTCCCCACCCTGCCTCCCCACCCTGACCTCCTTCCTGGGGCACATGTGCACCGGCTGTGAGGGTACACCTGGCGGGGAACGCTGGGGCCACACCTGGCAACTTGCAGACAGACTGAAAACCGCAGAGTGTGGCGGTGCCGCCAGCCTTCCTGGGTTGTGCTCAGCCTGGCACGGATGTGGCGAGGACGTCCTGGGGCCACCGCCACCAAGTACCACGGGTGCGGGGGCTTGAACCACAGATGTTTATTCCCTCACAGCTGTGGAGGCTGGAGGTCCGAGATCAAGGCAAGAGCAGGGCTGGTTCCTTCCAGAGGCTCAGAGGGCAAATCCATCCCAGGCCTCTGCCGCCCGCGGCTGTGTGGTACACTCCGCGCTGCTCCTCGGCTCCTGGGAGTGCTGCCCAGTCTCTGGCTCCGGCTTCACCGGGCATCTCTCTGCCTGTGTATCTGTGTCCACGCTCTCCCTTTGTGTAAGGACACCCCTCATGGTGGATGAGGGGCCCCCCACTCCAGTGTGGCCTCACCGCCATTGTTCCGTCAAATGAACATTTATTCCCAAGTCAGGTCACACTCCGAGGTCCTGGGCTGAGAACTGCAACTTATGAATTTCATGGGACACAGTTCAGCCCACATGGGTCCCCCACAGGCTGAGTGAGCTGACGTGGTGGGGGCGAGGGGCTGGGGCCGTGGCTGGCATGGGGTCACTGCTGTGTCCTGCTTAGTGACAGACAGTTCTGCCTCTGCAGGCATCATTTTGGCTCCTGACCGCAATGTGTGGGGAAATCTGGCTGCTTCTGGCAGGCACTTGCCTCGGCCTGTCGGTGCCCAGCAGAGCTGCTGTCTATGTGGCCTCTTGAGTCCCCGGAACTCTGACCCGGCCAGGGTCCAGCAGGAGCACTGGTCACACTAAGTGTTTCCACAGAGGGGACTTGATGAGGGCATTGGGTTCAGGAGCTGCGGCTGCCCGCAGGGCACGAGGGTACCTGAGGGTAGCCCAGGGCTGGTGAGTGAGGGAAGCTGGGAGCAGGCTGGAGCCGTAGGTTCCAGACACTCAGAGGAGAGCCCCACAGAGCAGGGGTCCCCCTTCAGAGCTGGGGTGCTGCTAGAGAGGGCACAATGGGGCTGGCTCAATGGGGTCCCCAGAGAGGCTAGAGGCCAGAACCACCTGCAGCCGCCAGGACTGAGTCCACTGCTTGGGGAAGAGCTGGCAGGGGCCGCTAGGCCAAGTCCTCCTCAGCGCTTGCTTCCCAGCTGGCCCAGGGCCCCGGTGAGCAGAACCTCACCAGGGTTCTGGTGAGGCAAGGGAGCGGGCAAGGGAGAAAGAATCTGTTGGGTCCTTGCCCGCATCTCAAAGTGTGGCAGGGCAGGCTGGGAGCTGAGGGGCCCCAGGAAAATGCTGGGCACAGTCACCCTTCGGGGAGCCTGCATTAGTGCATGCCTGTTACATGCATGGCAGTTTCCAGACAGTGACGGTGGTGGCCCGGGGATGCTGCTGCTGGACAAGGCTGGATGGCCTGTTGTGAAAAGAAACACCCGCCACCCTCCTGTAAAAGGAGGAGAAGCCCCACAGCCATGAGAGCCACTGCCCAGTCACAGGTGTGGGATGCGTCTTGGGCAGGGTGAGCTCCTCTTCTAGGTCAGTGTGAGATCATCTGGCTGGTCTGTAGCACATACAATACATTGTCAAGCTGACCACTGTTAACTGTCCATTTATGAAATAATACTGGGAGAGAGAAGGGGAGGAAGAAGGGAATTGGCACACACACTTGCACACACACATGCACACACGTAAACACATTACACACGCACACATGCACACACATTGCACACGCACACACATGCACACACATTACTCATGCACACACGTACATACACGCACACACCTACATACATTACACATGCACACATGTACACACATTATACATGCACACACATACATGCAAACACGTGCGCTCGTGCACATGTACACACATTACACATGCACACAAGTACATACATGCACACACATAAACATGCACACATGCACACACATTACACATGCTCATACATGCACACGCATACACATGCACACATGCACACATGCACACACATTACACATGCTCACACATGCACACATGTACACATTACACACGTGCATACATGCACACATGTACACATGCACACACACAAACATGTACACACATTGCCCATGCACACCCATGCACACATGCAAACACACATGCACTTATGCACACGTGTGCACACATTACACATGCACACATGTACACACATATGCACACATGTACACATGCACACACGTACACACATTACACATGCACACACATGCACAATGCACACACACATGCACACATGTACATACAGTACACATGCATACACATGCACACACGGACATACATGCACACATACACACATGCACACATGTATGCACATTGCACATGCACACGTACACACATTACACGTGCGCACACACATGCACACACACATGCACTCATGCACATGTACACATATTACACATGCGTGCATATATGTACACACACACCTGCATATGGACGCACATACACGTTTCTCTGTGGTCTTGGTTTCTGCAGCTGGTCATGTGCTGCCGTCCATATTCATGGGAACATCTTTCTTTTACCCTCATTCGCTGTTTCGTTTGCCCTCTCTCAGCCTCTCAGCTGGTCAAGGTTTGTTCCCTGGTGGGGGAACCTGAGTTACTGTCACCAAAGGGGCTGAGTCCTCAGTGGCCCTGCTTGTTCCTTTACTTCTGTGGTTTTGGTGGCTGCAGCCTATTAATCGTCACACGGCAATACTCAGAGGTGCCCGGAGATGCCCTGGGCTGCTGCTCATGCTCCTCCATGGCAACATCCCCAGGTCCCCCTCAGCAGGGGCTTCGTCACCCTGGCTGGCACAGGAGCTTGTGGTTTACCTGTGGATTTGGAGCAGGCAGATCCCAGCAGCCCAGTGTCCACACTGACTTCCAGCTCTGCGGACCTGCTGTTGTGTCACCAGTGGAAGCGTTCTGCCGAAGACCAAGACATCTAAACCAGCACAGTCCAAAGTCCTAGGGACAGGAAGTCAGTGTTCCAGGAGTGGGTCGGCAGGTGTGAGTGACAGGAGCCCCTTCTGCATCCAACCCATGTTGGGACCCGGGTATGTTGGGACCTCGGTATGTTGGGACCTGGGTATGTTGGCTGCAGAATGGCACAGTGGCTTGTTTAAAACATAAATTACACCTGAAGATAGAAACCCAGACTTTCAGGGAGTGCTTGTCCAACGGGCACCATAACTAGGTCTTCACTAGGCCAGCAGTGGGGTGGGGAATGCAGTGGACCAAAGATTGGCAAGGGTGCCTGTGAGCCATCGCCGAGAGGCTCTTTGAGTTGACTTCCATGGCCAGAAACAGTACGGAGCTGAGTGCTGCCTTGGCAAGAGAGGCAAGAGGCAGGTGCACAGGGTGGAGCCGTTGGAGCAGGGAGGCAAGTCCAACCCAGAGAGGACTCCCTGAAGTCCCCTCCATGGTGCCCCTGTGATGTCAGGGGCCCAAGGTCATCTGCCAGGCACCCGTGAGTGAGTGGCACAAAGTCCCAGGAAAAGCTGCTGCCGGGGGCCCCAGTGGTGGTTTCTGCTTGGGCACATGGGGTATGCAGGTCCCACAACTCTACTGGTCGCCAGGTTCATCTTGTCCAGGAGAGACCATGTTGCTGAGCCATGTGTGGTCTCTAGAGTATGGGCTGCCACCACAAAGCACCACAAACCAGGTGGCTTAGAACTGACTGCAGGAATGTCTCTAGTCTGGAAGCCAGAGGTCCAAAATCAAGGTAGGGGCAGGGCCATCTCCCTCCAAAGACCCTCCCAGTCCCCGGTGGCTCCTCACTGGTTCCCTCAGCCTGTAGCTGCGTCACCCCACATCTGCCTCTGTCATCACAGGACACTCTGCCCATGTGTCTGTCTCCATGCAGCATTTTCCCAGTCGCACTGACTTAGAAACCACCCCAAGAACCTCAGCTTAACTTGATTAGATCTGCAAAGACTCTATTTCCAGGCCTGGTGCCATGGCTCACACCTGTAATCCTAACACTTTGGGAGGCTAAAATGTGTGGATCATTTGAAGTCAAGAGTTTGAGACCAGCCTGGCCAACAAGATGAAACCCCATCTCTACTAAAAATACAAAAATTAGCCGGGTGTGGTGGTGGGTGCCTGTAATCCCAGCTACCCAGGAGGCTGAGGCAGGAGAATCCCTTGAACCCAGGAGGCAGACGTTGCAGTGAGCTGAGATTGCATCATTGCACTCCAGCCTGGGCGACAGAGCAAGACTCCGTTCCCCCCTGCAAAACAAACAAACAAACAAACAAACAAACAAACAAGCAAAACTACCCTATTTCCAAATAAGGTCCCGTTCACAGGTACTGGGAGTTGGGACATGAACATATCCTTTTGGGGTCACAACTCAACCCATGACAAACCCCATCCCTGCCATCCTGGCCACTTTGGGTGGGACCCCTGAGCAAGCATGGGGTAGCAGACCCCAGAGAGAGGACAAGGGCCCTCCCCAGAGTGCGGCTCTGCCTGGATTCCTACAGCATCCCCTGCAGCGGACGGCCTTGGTGCCCTCACGTCTGCCATCCCCGTGCCCTCCCAGAGGGCCGTCTGCACACCCTGCCCTCCACCTCCCTGTCTACTGGCCTCCAGTCCCCTTCTTTCCAGGCCCCAATCATGCCGGGGCCATCAACTTGTCTCCCGAGCTGGGAGATGTGTATCTCCGCCTCTGCCTGTTTCTCCGTCCGGACAAAGTGGACAACAAAACAGACCATGGCCGGGAGCTTCGCCTCCTCCATTGCTTCCCTCCCGCTCCCTTCTCAGGACTCTGGGTTAGAGCCGTGATTCTGCCACAGCCGACTTCCATCAACAGAAAACAGTCAGGACCAGTATGTGAACCAAGCCTGAGTTTTTGTCTTTGGTCCAAGGTGGGCGAAGCTGTATTGTGGGGGATGAGGAGGGGGTGTATGTGAAGGGGGTGTGGGGCAGTGCCAGCCGCCTCACCACTGTGCAGGATGAGGAGGAGGTGTGTGTGAAGGGGGTTGTGGGGCAGTGCCAGCCGCCTCGCCACTCCTCTTGCTTCTGCCTCTCTCAGCCCTCATGGGCCATCCCTTGGGACCGTGGGTTGCTGCCACCAGGCTCATCCTTATGGCCTCCTGGCTCATACAGTGCCTGGCCGGTGAGGAGTGCTCAGGTTGGACAGCCACGGTTGTCTTGTGGTCAGCCATTGGGTCTGGGCTCTTCTCAGAAAGACAGCACGGGGCCTCGGGGAGAGCACTGCTCTCAGCCCTGGGTGTCTGTACCCCGTTCTTCCCCCTGTAGCTTCTCCAAGGTTCCACACAGCAGGTATATCTGCCATGAAGACCTCTGACATCGCAGAGGCTGGCAAAGCAGCTCAGGGTCCTAGATCTGAGGAGGCCCCCAGAGGCTGTTTCTCTTTCTAGGCTCAGGCAGCAGATGGCACGGTGACGTCAGGCCATGGCGGCAGGACCCTCAGCTGCGTGTTGGGTCCCTAAGTGTCAAGGGTTTATTGCCTGGTCTCCGGCGCATGTGTCTTCTATGAAGTCAGACAAGATGCTTGCTGCTTTCTGACCATCAGGACCAACTGACCATCCAGACCAACTGATGTCATCAGCAGGGACACAAGTGCCATGGCCCTGGGACCTCCAGGTGAGCAAGATCCCTGCAGAGGGCATGGGAGGGGTGATGAGGAGGGTAAAGCGGGCTCCGGGCTGAGCTGTGCAGGTGAACCCTGTGCAAGCTCCTGCTCCAGGATCCCAGGAAGCCATGTTCCCAGTGGCCAGTCCTGTGCCTTCTCCCAGGGGACCCCCTCCCTCAGTGGAGATTCCATGGTTGGAAAAGCGTCAGTGACTGGGTCCCCTGTGTGAAGTCGAGAATAATCCCCAGCAGTGGTTCTCAGCTCGGGGTGGGGGGTGGGTGGACATTGGGCAGCGCCCAGAGACATTTATGGTTGTCACCTTCAGGGGATGCCACAGGCTTCCAGTAGGGGAAGGCCAGAGAAGCTGCCAACACCTTGTGAAGACCAGGTTGGCCCCACCACAAAGGGTCATCTGGCCCCAAAGTCTAAAGTGTTGAGATTGTGCAATGCTCGTCCAGGGTCACTTTGTGAGATCCGTCTGCCTCCTTCCTGCACAGGCCACCGTGCCAGGAATCCCTGTGCCTGCTGCTCTGGGCCCAGCCTCAGCCTTGTCACAGGGTGCTGCTCTGGCTTTCCTCTCCTGGGTGAGAGAAGCTCCAGGGGCATCTGCTGTCTCTCCCCACCCCAACAGGTGTCATTCTGTGGGTTTGGGGCCAACGTGGGGATTCTCCCAGTGGCCAGCTATGTCCAGTCCAATCATGCATTCCGGGACTGTGGACGTGACTCAGGCCACAGAGCTCACGTGGAAGTGGACGTGGCCACAGGTGTTGCTGTCCTCTGGACTGCAGGCCGCACGGGGCTCTGGGTCCCCAGGAAGCAGATCGGCACAGAGCCTGCTCTCAGATGGCCCGGCTGGATCCCTGCTGTCGAGCACAGCCTGCTGCAGACCTGGTTGGGGCTGGTGCAGGGGAAGCATCCAAGTTCCTCGTTGTGAGTGTGTAGGGGACCTTCCTGAGGGCTCCAGGACCCTGGGAAGAGCAGCCTGGCTGGTGCAGAAGCTGAGGAAGCCGCTGAGACTCCTTGTGGTGACGCCACAAGTGAAGCTTCTGGTGAGCAGACACGGAGGAGACCTGCCCTGTAGGTCGATCTCCACTTCACTAGGCCTTCCATCTGATGGATCCCAGAGACCCTGATCAATCAGCCACAACTAAAGCGCATGTCGAGCTAAACCTCCCAATGATCACTCCGTCCCCACCGCCCATGACAGCTCTTGTCCTCAACTGGCCAGCAGCAGTGAAACCCCACCTGGCCACTGCCACTCCCTAACCTGTCATTCTCACTAGGCCCAGGGGCCCACCCTAGTGAGTGCGGTCAGCTGCAAATGCCTCCACCTCGCCCCTCGCCAAGATAACCCTCCTAAGCCCTGGAGCCCTGATAGTTACCTGATACTGTGAGGTCCACGCAGGGGTGATAATGTGCAGGATCCTGAGATGGGGGGATATCTGGACGACCCTGGAGGGCTCTAAATTCCATCACAAGTGTCCTCATCAGAGAGTCGCAGAGGAGACGTGGCCACACCCTGAGGAGACCCATGTGGGACGGGGTGGTGATTGGAAGATGCTGGTCTTGAAGACCGGAGCGAGGCATCCACAAACCCAGGAATGTTGGTGCCCCCGGAAGCTGGGAGAGGCCGGGAAGGATTCCGTACTGGAGCTTCCAGAGGGAGCATCCTGATTTCCACCCAGTGAGGCTGACTTTGGCTTCCTGCTTTCGTGAGTGTGAGAGAGTAAATGTGTGTTGTTTTAAGCCCCCTGGTCTGTGGTGATTTGTCTCCGCATCCCCGGGAAATGAATCCAAGGAGGCCTCTCTCTGCCTTGTCCCAGCCTCCGGAGCACAGCCTCAGTGGAGTTTGTGAGAGGCCAGGCCTCTGTCACAGACGGATTCACTCTCTGAGCCCAGGGAAAGGCGTGCTTGGGCCCTCTCCTGGGTGCAGTGCGGAGTCGGGCCCTCTCCTGGGTGAAGTGCGGAGTCGGGCCCTCTCGTGGGTGCAGTGTGGAATGGGGCCCTCTCCTGGGTGCAGTGTGGAGTGGGCCCTCTCCTGGGTGCGGTGTGGAATGGGGTCCTCTCATGGGTGCAGTGTGGAGTGGGCCCTCTCGTGGGTGCAGTGGGGAGTTGGGCCCTCTCATGGGTGCAGTGTGGAGTGGGCCCTCTCCTGGGTGTGGTGTGGAGTGGGGCCCTGTCGTGGGTGCGGTGTGGAATGGGGCCCTCTCCTGGGTGCAGTGTGGAGTGGGGTCCTCTCCTGGGTGCAGTGTGGAGTGGGCCCTCTCGTGGGTGCAGTGGGGAGTCGGGCCCTCTCGTGGGTGCAGTGTGGAGTGGGGCCCTGTCGTGGGTGCAGTGTGGAGTGGGCCCTCTCCTGGGTGCGGTGTGGAGTGGGCCCTCTCCTGGGTGCAGTGTGGAGTGGGCCCTCTCCTGGGTGCGGTGTGGAGTGGGCCCTCTCCTGGGTGCAGTGTGGAGTGGGCCCTCTCCTGGGTGCGGTGTGGAGTGGGCCCTCTCCTGGGTGCCGTGTGCAGTGGGGCCTCTCCTGGGTGCAGTGTGGACGTGGGTGCAGTGTGGAGTGAGATGTCCACGGTAAGTGAGCCCCATTGGCCCCTCCCTGGGCCTCCGGTGGCCTCTTCTCTGTTGGGTTAGGGACGTTCTGGCGTCACAATAAACGGGACTCTTAGTCACTGTGAGTCGGGGCCTGTCACTGACCAGCCAGACTTGGTGAGCGCCCCAGCTCCTTCAGCCGACACCGCAAGTCCACCGTCTCTGGTAGGTGAACCACTAGCAGGCACTTAGCCTAGATCAGCCTTGCATCCGATCCCTGGTATGAGACCCCAGACATCACCTCTCACATGATTTGCCCAAGATATTTGCCACAAAGCCTAACATGGCTTTTGGCCTCCAAGCCACCTTCTCCTGGGCTAGACGTCCCCTGTCCCTAGAGCACGCGCTGACTCCTCATGGGCGCCGAGGAAGCGGGTGGTGCGTCTGGATCTTAAGAAGGGCAGGAGGCCCTCCACGCGGCAGAGCAAGCGCCCGGACCAGGCTGTTGCAGGGTCTCCCAGGAGCGAAGCCTGGTTTCCCAGACCCAGGCAGAGGACTCTCCTCTGGCAAGCGAGCCGCAGAGAGGCCCAGGAGGTCAAGACTTCCATTCCTGTGTCCCTGCCCCAAGGTCCAAGGCCCTGGACCTTCGGGAAGGACGCCCGATGTCCCCCGAAGAGCCTCGACACATATGAGGGGCCTCCACTCCGCGCTTCCGTTGTCGGCTCAATTACATCCAGGGTTCGTTTTCAGTGAAGTCATCCCTGAGGCTAAACGAAATGAGATTATTTCAGGGCCACCACCTCAGGTCTCTGCTATGACTGTAGCAGGAACGAGTCACAGCTCCCTGCAAGTTCTCAGGGCAGAGGAAGTCGGCTCGCCCCGTTCTCTGCAGCTGCCATTGCAAAATACAGTCTTGGTCAAGTGCAGCCCCCACGGGGTCCCCAAGGCACTTACTTCAAAAGAAACTCAATCACGATCCCGCACAGTGACAGTTCCGTTGACTGCGATGTCACTGCACAGCTCCGACAGCCAGCGTCCGGTTTTTCCTTGGTAGAAAGCACAGTGCTGCTTTCAGGGCAACGGCAGCCCCACCGTCCCGGAATTCCCGCTGCAATGGCTGCTTCCGGGGACTGCTCCCAGGACAAGTATCAGCCAGCATCCAGCCCGGGACTGGAAACCACCTTGGGTGCTTCCACCGAGGGAGCCCAACCCCAACCCGGAACGGCTGCCTGGGCCTTGGAGGGTGAATGCAGGAAGCAGCCTCCACTCAGGGCTGGGAGGGTGGTGGAGGTGAGGTTGTCCCGGTCCAGAGGCTCAGGGAGGGGCTGCAGGGTGGAGATGCAGACAGAGGCAGGGGCACCGGGAGGATACTGTGTAGACCCAGGGAGGCAGAGGAGATGGCCTCGCCCCCGCCTCCTGTCCACGCTGTCCAGAGAGAGGGGTGGGCACAGATGCCGAGGCCCTGCTCACCCGACACCCGGCCGCCTGGCCTTGGCGCCCGCAGTGCCTCAGTGCTCCTGATCAGTAGCGGAAGGGATGCCCTGGGGAGGGAGGGCTGAGCTCCCAGGGCAGAGACGCACACTCGGGACTTCTAGGTGCTGCGAGGATGAGGTCAGTTACACCTGCAGGTACATGGGGAAGCTCTTTTGCTTGTTCACGGGTGGAAACGCCACACAGAGGGGCAGCAGTCTCCATGCTGGGCCAGCTTGTTTCCAAACCATTATCCCTGATCAGGGCCGTGGGGACCAAGACGGGGGATCCTTGTCTGGGCTCTGTTAACAGAACTCCCAGCATCCTCCGCCCATCCCATCCTCCTTCCCTCCCTCCCATCCTTCCTCGTTCCTTCCGTTCTTCGTTCGTCAGGTCAGGAGGTGGGCTGGGGCCTGGCTTTCCCACCTGCACAACGGGAGATGGGAATGCCCGTCTCCCACTCTGATGGCCGATGTTGAGGACCCCATGACAGGCAAGGGCCCCGAGTGCTCCTGGGAGGGTCTGGTGTTCTGACAAGTCAGCCACAGCCCTGGCTGGGCATGAATATTCAGGGCAGCCCATGAGGGTGGGAAACAGGGCAGCCCCGCCCCGCCCTGCCCTGCCCGGCCGGCCAGGAGTGTCCACTTGGGGTTTGGTGCCAGCCAGGGCTGTAGCCCACCGTGCTGCTCACCCACTGGCCAGGCACCCGTAAGCTCCACACCAAGGGTGGGTGGGCGGGCAGGTGGGTGGCAGGGCTGTGGAAGCTAGTGAGTGCCAGGCCTGCTCCTCGGTGCCTCGGACCCGTGGGCCTCCGGCTGCACCTGTCCCCGCGTCCCTGGGGCGCTGACCTCAGGGTTTCTCCCTGCAGCTTCACCTTCACAGATCAGCAGTGTTGGAGGGTTGGGTTTACCCCTCACCTCCCTACCCACTCAGGTGCAGGAGGGCTGGGCTGACGCCTCCCAGGAAGGCCCAGCTCCTCACGGAGGGTGGCCCTCCCCTGTGGCCACCGGGGACCCTCTGTGCTCCAGCCCCCCAGGCCCAGCGGTCAGGACATCATAAGGAATGCTGTGGCTGGGGCTTTGAGAATCCGGTCCCCCACCAGCTCCTCTGACCCGCCTGCACCTCTGCACCAGGCCCTTCTGCTGCTTCCCCTCCAGGGCTGTGGCCCCTCACGGGGGGTTTGTAGACGTACCCAGGGCCCAGCTGACCTGCCAGGGCCAGTGCCCTTTCCTCCCGATGGCAGCTCACTGGCAAGGTCTGGAGGAGGCTGCTCCCAGTGCCCACAGAGGACCCTCAATGGGGCGGGGCAGGGCAGTGCCACCTGCCTGGCGCCGGGCACCCCCACCCTCCTGGGAGCCATGGTGCTGGAGGATGAGGACAGTCCTGCCTCTGAAAAGCCGTGGCCCTGAACCCACAGCAGGGATGGGAGTGCCCGATTCAGACGCTGTCTGCCATCTGCACTTGGGGCAAACTCTCCTGTCCCTGAGAGGCTTACCTGGCTGCAGGGAGGGAGGAGCCCAGCCGTGCGGGGATGTTTATCTCTGCAGAGGAGCTCTCCTGGGCGACAGCCCCCTCGCACTGTAATTCAAGGGATTTTCCTCGCGTGTCATTTTTAATAGATGTGATTACGGTTTGGAGTCTGATATTCTGGTAATTATCTTCCTGGGCTTAATCCCCATGCCCTCATAATGCCATTAGGGACTCGACATGAGAGTCTTAAAACAGTGATTATTTATCGCGCGTGCCTTCAGCTCAGAGCAATCCTGACCGCGTTCCGCTGCTTCAGGGAGCGAGGGTGGGGCTCTGGGGCGCTCAGACGGCCTCTCCCGCGGCAGCTTTGCTAACTGCTACTCGAGCTTTGATGCGCGGCCAAGATGGAATCAGGGGTCAGACCTCAGCTGTGAGAGCTGCAGCCTCCAGTCCCAGCTGCTCGGGGACAGAGCTGTGTCCAGCCAGGCCTTGTCCCCAGTCCCCCAGGGCCGCCTGTGTGCAGTTCCCGCCAGCATCCCTCAGGGGCCTCTGGACAGCAGGGGGATCAGGAGCAGGGTTTCCGTTCCTGTCGCACCAGGGCCCTGGTGTGTGACCTTCGCTGAGCTGCTTTTCCTGCCGGTCTGTAAAATGGACACAGTAAAAAGACCTGCCTCGAAACTAAAATGCATATTCCTCAGTGAAAGGAGCCAGTCTGAAAACGCCGCTCACCGTGAGATTCCAGCTCAAGGGCATTCTGGAGAAGGTGGAACTCTGGAGGCAGCCAAAAGATGAGAGGGTGCCAGGGACTCAGGGGAGGGAGGGAGGAAGGCACAGGTGGAGCAGGGAGATCTCCAGGGCGTGGGCTCCTCCGCAGGACCCCGCAGTGGTGGATCCACGCCATCACACGCCTGTCCACACCCACGGAATGCAGGGTAGAGAGCGAGCCCGGCGGTGACTCTGGGCGCGGGGTAAGGCGGTGTAAATGCGGGGTCAGCCACGGTGGCAAGTGCACCATGCTGGGGGGCGGGTGTGGCTGATGGGGGTGGCTGTCCTCACATGGGGACTCAGTGCCTTCCACACAATTTTGCAGTGAGCCTAAAACTGCTCTAAATAATAAAGTCTAGTGGAAAAAAAAAGCCCACCTCCTCGGGGACAGTGAGCCCTGAAGGAGAAGCTGTGCCCAGCTCACAGTCACAGCGCGGCTTGAGACGCTGCCCTTGTGGTCAGCTTGGCTCAGACCTCGGCTCTGCACCTGCCCTGAACTGAGGGAGATGGACAGAGACCTCCTTGCTCCAGGTGGAGCCAGCATAGGAGAGCTGGAAGCCGGTGGGATGGGGCCGGGGGCGCTGCGGACCCCTGTGGGTTGGCATCAGTAAGTGGCAGGGGCTGCAGTGTGCCTGTGCTCCCCAGGTCACCCCGAGCGCCTCTGCACTCTGCGCCAGGGTGAGAGCCGGCAGAGAGACGTCCCTGGGGGCTGGTGGCGCTTGGCGGTTCTGGGAAGCAAAAGTTGGTTTGGAATCTTTGTTAACAGCTGGGCATACATCTTTTAAATTATAAATCGATAAATAGTTAATTCAATAATAGAACTCTTTTGAATATTTCATGCTGCCCATGCGCTGCGACGCTCTGCATAGATGATGAAGTGGCAGAGGAATTAGAGTCAAACTCCCCCAACTCCTATGAGCGCGGTCATGGGCTCGGCTTGGAGTGGGCACCTGTCAGTTACAGGCTGGGCCCTCACTGTCCCGGCTCTCCACTCACCTGGGACCACATGAGGGGCCTCACCCGTGATTAAATGCCAGATGCTCAGAGGGGAGATGGAGGTTTGAGGAGAAGAAAGTGTTGGCTGCAAATTCCTGTGTTAAAGTCCTGATCCCTGGACCTCAGACTGTAACTCTGTTTGGAGACAGGGCCTTTAAAGTGGTGAGTGAGTTTAGGGTGGGCCCTCTGGTGAGCGAGGTTAGGGTGGGCCCTCTGGTGAGCGAGGTTAGGGTGGGCCCTCCGGTGAGCGAGGTTAGGGTGGGCCCTCCGGTGAGCGAGGTTAGGGTGAGCCCTCTGGTGAGTGAGGTTAGGGTGGGCCCTCGTCCAGTGTCACTGGTGCCTTCTAAGGAGAGGAGATTCAGACCCAGACACACAGGGCGATGGCCCTGTGGGGACACCGGGAGGAGACGGTATCCACAAGCCCAGGAGAGAGGCTTGGGGAAGAACCAGCTCTGCTGCCACCGTGACCTTGGGCTTCAGTCTGCAGGACCCCCACAGCAATATTCCTGCCCCCAGCTCCCTCCCCGCCCTGCTGTGTCCCACCCTGGGGTCAGCAGCGGGCCAGGCCAGAGAGTCTGTGCGATGTGCTCTGAGAAGCTGCAGGAAGCAGTGCCTGGGAGACCCGACGGAAGTCCTGGGCCAAGCCAAGCAGAGGGGACCTCACTGCCACGATCGCCCGCTGCACCCAGCACAGTATCCCCGGGCGTTTGGGAGAGACGCTGGCCGGCACAGCCTATGTCCTGGATCCCGTCACTTGCCCTGTGCTGTTCCTGGACTGTCTGACCTAGAGAAGGGCCGTGTGTGAGCACATCCAGGCAGAGCAAGTGCGCAGCTCAGAAAACCAGTGCTGGCTCCAGCAGGTCTGGGTCAGACAGTGCCCCCTTCCCCCATGAGCCTTGTAGCTTGGGGACACCTCTGACCTTAGGCCACGCCTCTGTACTGTGCCTACACCACGTGTGGCTCCATGCTCCGCACAGTGAGGCTGCCACGTGGCCCTGAGGTTGCTTCTGCTGTTCGTGGTTGCCCTGGGTGTCTCCTGCCTGGACCCTGGCCTAGGAGTGGGCATCAACCAGGCAGAGCAAAGTCCAGCTGTACCACCAGGGCCCATGTGCGCCTACCTGGGGCCCGGCTCACAGACCAGCACGTGGTTCTGGCCTGAAAATCCGTCTTAGCAAGTCCTGGCGCCAACTGGGGCCTCCGAGCCTGGGCCCTGCCGGATCCTGGCTTTGTCCAGAAGAGGGTTTTGCCACTGTCAGGGGACCTTGGCGTGCCATATGCTCCGGCCCCTGGAAGTCAAGGCTCAGGTCGTGGAGTTAGGTTGAGCTTGGGGATTTTCCAGGTCAGAGAACCTGGGGCAGGTGGGGCTCTACTCACCCACCCAGCTCTGGCTTCCAAGGGGAAGCTCAGAGAGGAGTTTCCTGATCACGCCCTTTGAGCTCCATAGAGCCGGGTGTGACACTGGCTAGGATATGCGGACCCCTGTGACTTGATACTTGTTTGTTTACTCACATACTCACTTCTTTATGGCCTGCATCTCCATTAAGCTGGGGGTCCCACGGGGGCAGGCTGATGCCTGGGGACATGGCAGCGTCAAGGGTGTGTGGC
Organism: Homo sapiens; assembly: GCF_000001405.40. Taxonomy (NCBI): domain Eukaryota; kingdom Metazoa; phylum Chordata; class Mammalia; order Primates; family Hominidae; genus Homo; species Homo sapiens. The sequence goes on from NC_000001.11 coordinate 2,909,241, forward strand.
ATCCAGGCGCCCAGGGGCTGGGCAGCCCTGCCCAGGATCTAAGCCTGCGCATGGCACCAGGAGTCAGCTTTTTGTTGTCAATGTCTCTGGCAGCAAATCACCCCCATCCTTTGCCCAAAGGGTCAAGTGGGGCTTGACCAGAACCCCACCTCCAAGAGTGGGCACGCACTCAGGTCCAGCCCAGCCTCCCAGACCTCAGTGAGGGGCGGAAGGTGGTCACACAGCTTGAACTTGGCCCATCAGAGTCCACCTGGGGTGTTCCTCACCTTCCTTGTGAGAGGTGATGCTGCTGCTCTTTCAAGTTATTAAGAAGTCCTGGGTGCTTTGCCGCCCAGCCATGCTCACTCAAAATGTGGCGAGTGAGACCGTGCCCACCCATGGTCCGGGCCCTGGATCCTGCGGAGCCGGAAGCCAGCTGTATCCCTGGATGTCCCGTTTGGCTGTGCGGTGACTTTTCTGTGTGAGCTGCTCTGAGCTGTGTTCTGCAACTGCAACTGGAAGAGTCCCATACGGTGCAAGCATGGGGTCGGGGTCAATGGTTTGGTCTGCGGGCAACACCCTTGGAGAGGCTTTGGAGGACAGAGCCTGTGAGTGCAGGAGGTCCGTGAGTGCAGGGGGCCCATGAGTGTGGGGGGCCCGTGAGTGTGGGGGGCCCATGAGTGCGGGGGCCCATGAGTGCGGGGGACTCGTGAGTGCAGGAGGCCTGTGAGTGCAGGGGGCCCGTGAGTGCAGGGGTCCCGTGAGTGTGGGGGGCCCGTGAGTGCGAGGGGGCCTTGAGTGCGGGGGACCTGTGAGTGCAGGGGGCCCGTGAGTGCAGGAGGCCCATGAGTGAAGGGGGCCCATGAGTTCAGGGTGCCTGTGAGTGCAGGAGGCACGTGAGTGCAGGGACCTCCCCAGGGCTACAGCAGGATGGGGCACACTGGGGGTTTGTGACGTCCATCACCCGGCCTCCCTGTGTTGGGACCTCAGCAAGTGGCACAAGGCAGAGGCCAAGAAACTGCCCATGACACCTTCCTGGCTCCACCAGCTCTGCCCCAAGGGCTGGCCGTGTCCAGGACACAGCTCTGGCCCTGAGCCCTGCCTCTCCTGCGTGTGTCAGGCCCTGCCCCTTCAGCTGAGTGGCCTCCACTGCCTGCCCCCAACCAGCTAGCTGAGTGGGAGGATGAGGGTCATGGGGAGGCTCAGGGGCCTCCGGGAGCAGAGCATAGCTTGGCTCGATGCACCTGCCCGGCTTGGCCTCAGGTGGCTTCCGCAGGGAGGAGAAGCCATGAGATGCGGCCCATTGATCCATGCAGGCTTTGTGAGCCGCGGCTCAGCAGGGGCGACCATTGTCCGGGGAGCAAGGCTGTGCCCCTCACTAGGAAACAGGGGTGCAGGAGCATCAGCCCAGGTCAGGGATGGACAGCCCCCAGGCTACCCAAGCCCTGTGTTGGGCCCCGTTAATCCTTCAAGGGGCCTCAGAAAACCCTTGGGGTGGGGGTGTCCTCCCTGGGTCCCAGGGACCCTGGCCCAAGGGGCACTCTCTCGGTGAGTTGAGTCGGTGACGTATTCAGTAGGCCACATCGCTGTCTCCTCCTGAGAGTTCTGGACCTGGGGTACTCTGGCGCCCACCCACCTGGGGGTCAGTGTTCTAGGCAGTGGCAGTATTTGGCAGCTGCAGGGGCCGTGCCTACCTGGAGCCTCTGACGTGGGTCTCCAAGCATCTTGTCTGGAGGCCTGAGGGGTGGTGGGGTGCAGTGGGCCAGGGTCCCCATGGCAGTTCTGAGCCCCCAGGGCCAGGCCCGCCAAGCCACTCTTGCTGAGCCACCCTGGTGTGTCCTGGGTCCCCCTTGCTCCCTGTGGCCAGTGTAGATGGGAGGTGCAGAGGGTGCTGCCCGCGAGGTTCCTGAGTCTTTCTCTGTGCACAGATGAGAGGCAGGTGAGCTCCTGGGCCGAGGTGTCATCCAGAGGTCTGGGCGTTGCCCCTTGGAGACACTTGCACGGGGGTCTGGGCGCCAGGACGCTGGAGGCGTGGGATGATGGCGATTCGTCTCCCATCTTCAAGGCCAACACAGATAGGCGGTCCACTGTCCCAGTGGGACCTGACGTGGCCCAGAGTGGACGGTGGCCCCTACCCAGGCGCGCGCGTGGCCCCAGATCCCGCGCTGAGTCCCTGCACCGCGGCCGCCGCGGCGCTGCTGTCCCCGAGAGGCAGCCCTGTCTCTGCTGGCCCGTTAACTGTGCTGGCAGAGCTGTTACCGTGACAGTAGATTAATATCTCTTTAGTCAGCCAAAATGAACATGGCATGCTGGTGACAGTCCAATTTTCTGCTAACAGATTGTGGCCTATCGAAACCCGGCGCTCAGCTGATTTTTATTTCTGCCAGAGATAATTCAGCGCGGGAGGAGCGGCCGCCACCATCCCATCCACCAGCGCCGTTCAATATATCCCGCGCCGGCGTTTCTCACCCACTGTCAGGAGGCTGCCCGAGGGACTCCGAGGGCCTGCGGCATTTAGAGGCTGTCTCAGAGCCCAGAGGCACGGCTGCTGCTGCGATCAATGCTGAGCCTGGACTTGCCTGTTTCCAGGCTTGGGGGCTGCGGGGGAGCTCAGGGTCTGAGAGGAGGAAGGGGGAGGGTGGGGCGGGCTGGTGGGCACACGAGCACAGGTGTGTGTGTGTGTGTGTGCGCGCAGGATGCGTGTGTGTTTTGGAGTGTGTGGGTGTATGTAGGGTGCCCGTGACTGTGTGTGTGTAAGCACGTGGCTGTGTGCATGTATGTGTGAGTGTGAGTGACCTTGTGGGTGCACACGTATGGGGACTGAGAGCCTGTGTGGGGGCACAGGCTTTGCATGCCTCTCAGGCCTCCTCTCCTGGCTGCAGGAAGTCACCTATTTCCCATTTTCTCTGCAGGATGTGGAGAGCAGCCCTTACCTGGCCTGCTCCCGGAGAAGTGTCAGGGGATCCATGACCCAGGGGCGTGGGAGGTGGAGCTCCCTCCCACCTCATTGGGTGGGAGGTCAGGTGGCTCTTGGGCGAGGCAGGCAGAACCCAGACAGAGTAGGCCTCAGCTTTAAGGATGGTGATCCTGGGGAGTCCAGCTGCTCCGGGCAGCTCTTCCGAGAGGCAGCTGGTACACCCCAAGTGGAGGAAGCTCTCTTAGTTTAATTAATTAATTAATTTTAGAGAAAGGGTTTCTTTCTGCCACCCAGGCTGGAGTGCAGTGGTGCAATCATGGGCCATTGCAGTCTCAAACGCCAGGGCTCAGACAATCCTCCCGCCTTGGCCTCCCAAAGTGCTGGGACGGCAGGTGTGAGTCACTGCACCCATCCATCCAGGACTCTTTTCTAATGCGACTGATGTGGCCCCACCAGCTGCTTTTTCCCAGGGTTGTTGGGGGCCTATGCAACCACCTGCAGCCCTCCCTAGGGGACCATCCCAGAAGCTGCACCGCAGCCCAGCTTGGCTCAGGACCGGATTCCTGGGTCATTAGCGGACTATAACCCCCATCCCCAGCAGCCAGAGCCTCCCCGCAGGTTGATCTTCCCGGGTGTTTGAGTCTGAATGCTGTGCTTCCCCTTCAGGCTGGGGAGGGGAGGGAAGGGGTCCCCAGGGCAGGGAGCCAGGCCTGACTCATAGAGGGCCTAGCGAGCGGGGCTGGCCAACTTCCCCTTCGGATCCCTGTCACCATCACCAAGTCCTTCTGTAAGAAAGATTGTGCGAGAGACTGTCATTAGAGGTCACGCTTCTGGAAGGTTCTTGCTCTCAGCGAGCTCAGTCAGGAAGATGCTGGTGCCAGCATCCGACATGGCTGCTGGGGATGGGAGGAAGTGCCCACTGCCTCAGCATCAGCATTAGCATCCCTGCTTGGGTCACTGCATCCCAGTGGCCCCAGCCCAGGCCTCAGAACCCACCCCGGCCTGTTGTGACTTGTTCAGCCTCCTGCCTGCCCCGGGTGAAGCCACGCTGGCCCTGCCCTCCTGGTGCCAGCTTCGTCCCATTCATTCAGGGGCTCAGACGGGGATCGCCATCCCTGTTCCCCCGTCACTCTGCTTCCCTGCTGGATCTCCTCATGGTTGAACCCACCTGGGAAGAGGAGGGCGAGGCCACCCCACCGCATGTGGTTCCCAGGCTGCCTTGTGTGTCTGCTCTGCACGCTTCTCCCGAGTGCTGCCTGTGCTGAGGTCTCCACAGGGGGGCGGCCTGAGTGTGGTCACAGCCCAGCAGGGACACAACGCAGAAAAAATGACCCTCGGCAATGTCCCGTTCAGGGTGGCGCTTGTGCTGTTGCCACCCTGCTCGTGTCCAGGCAGACATCACTAAACTGCTCCATCAAACCCCAGACCTGGGCTGGCATCTCCTGTGTCCCCACCATGTCTTGGTCCAGCGACATCAGCACCCGCACCAAGGGGACACCACCGCCTTCCTCCCACCACCCCTGGAGGCATGAACTCTCACCCCAGAGGAGACAGCACCTTGCCCAGGGCACTCAGCGGCACATGTGGTCGTGTGCCCAGCTCAGTCCTCGAGGTCTTGCCCACCCTTCATAGGACCTGACCAATTGCCCTGGGGCAGGCACCACGTTGCCCATCAAAGAAAGCAGTGCTGCCTTTGATTAGTGATGTCTGCCAGCCCCCAGCCCCTGGTTTTAGGACCAGCTCTCAGGGACCAACCTTCCAGCCTCCTGGGATCCCTGCACTGCTCAGAAAGGTGCTTGGCAGACTCCACCCTCAGGAACATGGGTGCTGGAGCTGCAAGGTCCCAGGGGGCCCAGAGGGGACCCGTGGAGTCAGTGATTCTAGGGGACATTTAATGCAGGGCTGCTGGCAAACCTGAAGGCAGGGAGGACTTGGTAGCCCCCTGGCCTTGGGGGTGAGGATGGGTAGAAGGCGAGGGGGTCTGGGTAGCCATCAGCAGAGCTGGGTCTTCCAGTGGAGCTTGGCCACCCCCACCAGGGAATGGGTGTGCTTCCCTCCTCACTGCCACCTACACAGGATCCCACTGGATGAGGCCAGAGGACACAGGTGTTACTGGCCACTGTGCACCAGATGGGGCAGAAAGGGACCCCTGGCCAGGTGGGCTCCCAGTGCCCACGCCCCGATCTCTGATAATGGACGGTGATTTAGCCTTTCTGTGCCCAAGGCGTCTCCATCTGCCCCTGGCAGGGCTTTCCTGGGCAAGCTGGCGGGGGAGGTGCAGGCTGTCCTGGAGCCCTGCATGTGCTCTCCCCGGGGAGCATCTTCCATGGAGGGCCGGGCTTGCTGTCTGCTCCGGGAGCATTGGGGCCCTTTTCCTTCAGGGCCTGCTGAGCCCCCTGTCCTGCTCCTGGTCCCAGGACCTCCACCTGTTGGGCCTACCTGGGAAACTTCCTGTGTCCATTCCTGTGTCACAGGGTCTCTCCCTGAGGGGCCCCGCTGGCTGGACAGCAGGGGATTCTGACTCCTTTCTATGTGGATTTGTGCAAACGACAGTGACGATGATGGTGATGGGGGGCCAGGCTCAGAGCAGGATGAGGGAGGCTGGGCCAGACTCAGAGCAGGATGGGGGAAGCTGGGCCAGTGACTCCCGATGTTGTTGGCAGAAGCTACATGGACCCAGGGGCGTTGGATCCTGCACATGCATTTGCCTGCCCCAGCCCTTTGTACACAGTGGCCTGGCTTGCAGGAGCTTCCAGAGAGCTCTAGAGGGAGGCAGAAAGCTGTTTCTCCAGAAAGGCCTCCTGAGAAAGATCCAGGCACAGGCCCCAGGTCCTTATCCCCACCAGGAAGGACCCATGGCTGGCTTAGCTCCGGGGGGAGGGAATGGCCAGCCCCTGAGCCCTGCAGGGGTGGGTGAGGGTGTGGGAGTCTGCCCCGCGGCAGATCCACGAAGGGATGGATGTCCATAGGGCTGAAGCCGTGGCTCAAACATGAGATAAATTTGTCCCCACTTAGATTGACTTTGTTGCCCAAACGCCTGAATTGCCAACTTGAACCCTGAGGGCAGGACATAAACCCCACCCTGTGCATTTCTGCTGAGTCTGTCTTAAGAGTCCAAGGAGGGGCAGTGGGGGAGGACAGAGCCTTTTCGAGTTCCTGGCTTGACAGTGCAGGAACTGTGCCAGGGTGCCGGAAGGTGATCACCTCCCACGCCAGGTACATGAAATTTACTTGGCCCCAAACCCTCTGGCCTGAGGGGCCTGTAGGACAACCCGAGCTTGGGCTGCCACTGCCTGAAGCTCTCCGCAACTCTGGAAACCTTCCGGTGTGGGGCCACCCCCTCCCACCATGCTGACAATTCCTGAGGGACAAAAGCTGCAGAAGGCTAGGCCAGTGCACGTGTCCACACGTGCACACATACACACTCCTACAACACACACACGTGTCCACACATGCACACATACACACTCCCACAGCACGCATGCACACATGTACACACACGCAGACATACACTCTTGCAGAGCACACACATGCACACATGTACACACATGCACATATACATGCTGCACACCACACACATACATGTACAAGCCCATGCAGCACATACATGCACACACATGCACACACATGCATAAATGTATGCATATGCACACACTCACAACACACACATGCACACATGTCCACACATGAACATATACACACTCCCACGGCGCACACACACACACACGTCCACACATGCACATACACACCTGCACAGCGCACAGCACACGTATACACCCACACAGCAATACATGCACACATGAATGCACTCACAAAGCACAGACATACACACATGTGCACACATGCACACACCCATGCTTGCACTGTACACACATGCACACACAACATACAATGCACACATGCCACACATGCACACACACAAATTCACACATACTTGTACAGCACACCTACACATATACACAAACACAACACACACAGCACTCATGTACACACGTGTGTACATAAAACAATGAACATATGTGCACAATGCACACACTGCACACACATACACATGCACACACATGCACTCATACTTGCAGTCTACACACATGCATATGTACACATGCACACATACACTATGCACACACAAACATACATGCACATCTGCACACAGCACATACATTAACACAATCATGTGCACACCCACATGTTTGCCCACATGTGCACATGTACAGCCGGTGCCCATGTGTGCACATATCCACATGTACACATGCATGTGTTTGCACATGAAAATACACATGGACACATATGCACATGGACACACCCACGCAGATGTATGTCCATACACCCACCTACATGTGTACCCACACATGACGTACATGTACACACACTCCTGATGACCTCTCCCAGGACCCAGGGCCCAAGGCCCCTCCAGCCTTCAGACACATTCTGTGTCCTGGGACCGGGATTCTCAATGGCCGGCATCCGGGGTTCTAGCTGGCAAAGGGCACTCCCAGCTGTGCCAGCCACAGTGTGTGCACAGGTGTGAGAAATTGTAGCTGTGTGCACACACGTGAGCATGGCCTGTGACCAGGGGCCACCCCAGCATGCCTGTGTGCCTGCTTCTGCATGTACACATGGCTGTGTCCTCAGGCACCCGTGTCTGCACATGCTCACATATGTCTTTGTCTGTGCTTTTGCTCAGGTGCTGGAACGTGGGGCCGAGGCGGGGCAGCTTGTGGGGGCCCCTGGGCCTGTGTCTGCTCCACTACCACCGTCAGAGCTCTTCTGAGTCGCCGTGGGGATTTTGTGGTGCCTCCTCCTCTGGGCTCTGATCCGGCTGCCCCAGAACCCAAGCTCAGAGGCCTCGTCCCCAGGCGGGTCCTGACCTCGGCAGGCCAGCCTCGCGTTCCCTCAGCCCCATCACACCGGCTGACAGGCTGGCATTTCCCTCCCGCCTGGCGTTTCCCCCCGCCGGTCATGTCGACAAGCACCATGGGTTTCCTGACAGACGGAAATATCAATCCTTAGGTACAGGGACAAAGCAGGTTTTAAACTTTAATGAGAGGCTTTAATGGAAATAAAACGTAAAATTCCTCTTCAAATGGAGGTGCTTCTGTTTTATCAGAGAAAAAGTACCCTAAATAATAAATCGACGTCGTGTGTCGTGGTTCTCGTACCTGCGTGAATATTTAAAACATGCAAACATGTGGGAGATGCATTTGCTGGGAACAAAAGGAACACACATATTTAACCCCTGAAATAAATAAATAAGGCGAAGGTGCGCAGCTGGAGACAGGGCATGGAGACAGGGAAGGCAGAGGCCATGCATATTTAACGTGGCGGCTCCACGAGGCTGCGTGTGAGCGGACGTGTGGGCAAACCACCCTGAAGCATCGTGGCGAGGCGGGCAGGGGTGCAGGGTCCCGGCAGGGCAGCCCAGGTGCCCTCTGCCTTACTGTCGGCTGCTTATTTACTGTCTGAAGATTTTAAAAGCCCCAACCACGCTCCTGTCCTGCCTCTCTGTTCCATCACTGCTCATTTCAGGAGCACCTGGACGCCCATTGTTTATTTAGCGCTACTGTGCGTCTTCAGGGCAAGGCATTCATACACGGGTGCCGGAACAAAGTTCCATGAACCAGGCGGCTGAGAGTCATGGGGATTCCTTCTCCCCCAGTCTGGAGGATGAGGTTTGAAATCCAGTGTCCACGGGTGCTCTGGGAGGGTCCTCCTTGCCCCTTCCAGCTTCTGCAGGCTCTGGCTTTCCTTGACTCCCGGCCACAGGGCCCCACGCTCTGCATCCTGTCGCACAGCTGTCTTCTCCCTGTGTGTCACAACCTCATGTTAACGTGACGACATCTGCAAAGATCCTATTTCTGAATAAGGCCCGTTCACAGGTCCTCAGAGTTAGGACCTCAACGTATCTTTTTGGGGTTACAATTCAATCTACAACAATGAACCAAAAGCAGCCTGGGGTCCTCTGAAGGGTGGGGAGCCTGGGCCAAGCAGGACAAAGTGACTACCCAGGGACCTTTAGCTGGCCTGAGGGGCTTCCCGGAGAGCCGAGCCGGCAGGCAGGAGAGTGCCCTGAACCTGGGACCCCTTCCTCCAGCCCCCAGCCTCATGTCAGCGGTGGTGGGAGGGGTCTTAACGCATCTTTTCTATCTCTTTCCACTCTTGGAAACCTGGATCTCAGAGTCCAGGGAGAGAAGTCATGAGATTTTATGAGATGTGGGGAAACAATTTTTAGAACTCGCCATGCGTTTCGGCACCTTTGTTATTTTCGTAAAGTGTGGAGATATGGTCTCCTTGCGTTTGGCTCTCCCTATTCCTGGCATCTGGTGATCTCTTTGCTCTCCAAGGCAGGCGGACGGAACATGTTTCTGTTCTGAGGACCTTGTCCTCTGTGACATTTGGGGGCAGGCGGGGGGCGAGAAGGGGGAGCGTGAGCTGAGCCGGTTGATGGCGAGGCCTGCGCTGTGCTCTCATGCCTTCCCCGCTGGTGGCCCTGGGGAGTCACGAGCCTCTGATCTCCTTTTCTCATCTGAAAGTGGGTGTCACGCGGCCCCCACCCCACCGGCCTCCACGTGCTGTTAAGGGCAGTGAGCACACCCGTGCGCAAGTCCTTGGCAAACAGAAGCCATTTTCTGGAATTAATGAGGCCTGTGCCAGGTCCTCTGCAGGGGTTTTCTAGTAACTTTCTAGAAAGGCTTAAGAAGGACATGGTCTTTTCCAAGGCCTCCAAGTTGTCCAACCTGCCTTATTTTGTTGCTGCTGTTCTGTTTTGTTTTGTTTCAGGCTTTTAGAAGCCTGAGGCCATGGTTTTTGGTCTATGTTGCTAGTGATAAGTGGAAAAGAGGGATGAGGAGAGGGCTTCCCTGGCCCAGCCAGAAACAGGAACTGAGAGCTCCTGGCCGTGTTATCCCCCCTCGGGGGGAACCTCTGTAGACCTCTGTGCTGCTGAGAGGAGCATCGTCTCCACCGCCCAACAGGCTATTTCTGCGCGAATGCTGTCTTCTTCATCTTGCTTGATTGTCACAGTGCCTGCGTGAGACCCCAATGGTCCCCCCATCACGCAGGCGGGGCAGCCTCAGAGAGGCAGAACCAGCGGGAGAGCCGGCTTCCCTGCAGCTGGGCAGGCCCGTGGCCAGGGACAGCCCTTGCTGTCTCCGGGGTCACCTGGTGCCTGTTTCCCTGCACCGTCTCCTCTGCTTCATTGCCCGGAACCATGGAAATCCAGGGCTGCTTTTAACACGGGTTCCTGAGCTCACCTCCTCGGAGCTTTCACACAGGAGCTGCTCAATTATTCACTGCCTCACGGCCCTGGGATGAGAGGCAGTGGACCAGGGCCCGGTCAGGAGAGGGCTTTCTGATGCTGGCTTATTAATTTTTAAACTCTGCCACTTTGGTGGCCAGCCCCGAGTTCTGCCCCTTTGAAGCCACCAGGTAGGTGATGACAAAGTGAGTTTGGTTTTTGAGTCTTTGTTTGTGACCGAGGATGGTTCAGGAGCGTCCTTGGACAGCAGGAGTCAGGCTCCTGGGTCAGCCAGAGTGGGGATCCATCCAGGCCGGGCGGACAGGGCAGGGAGTGTCCTGCCGGGATGATCACGTGTGTGCCCTGTCCCCTGGAGGCCAGGCGGGAACAGGCAGAGTAAGGAGTTGTCAGTTCACAGCTGGGGAAACTGAGTCAAGCCCAGACAGAGTTCTCTCCTCCAAGTGGCTTTCTTTAAAAAGTCCCCTGGGTGTCCGGGAGGGAGGTCTTTGCAGCGGCCCGTCCTGTCCCTGGAGGTCCCTCCCCAGCACCCTTGACCACAGGCCTGACCCTCCCTCAGGCAGGGAGGCTGCTGTTGTGAGGCCTTTCTACAGCACCGTGAAGTCCCGTGCGCAGACGGAGGCCAAAGCCCTCGGGACGGCGGCGGCACCAGGCCCAGACCATTCTCATTACGGCCAGCTGGACCCCTGCGAGCCGTGCGAAATCAGAACAGTAACAACATCATTTATTTCAGCAGCACTGGGGAGAAACAGCTTTACAACGGTGTTTTACGTGCTACATGTGCACCATAAATATTTCCATAAAAACATGCATTAAAATATAAAAGTGGGCTTCAAAATATCAAAAGTCAGGGAGGGGAACCCACAGTGAAGGCCACGTTATGGCCGGGCTCAGCCCAGCAGCTGCGGTGGGGGCTTCCCTGTGGGTGGGGGGCGCGGGAGCAGCACCTCTCCCCTCCGCTCACTGCAGATGGGGGCAGGGAGAGCCGCTGGGGGGCACAGGACCCCTGCCCACCCAGCCTGGGCTCTTCCGAGAGGCTGTGTTCAGTGGCGAGGCTGTGCCCAGCCCCATGCCCACCCGTGGGGAACCGTGCTCAGGACCTGGGGAGGAGGACCCTGAGCTCCCAGAGCCCACTGGCTGAGGTCCTGTCAGGCTCATGGGGCTTCCAGCGGCAGCTCCCCCAGTCCAGTCATCTCCAGCCAAGCCCTAATATCGTGGAGCGCCCATGTGGCAGGGCTCAGGGGTCCCCCAGGCCCCGTTTGTTTACTCAGGCTCCTGCCTCAGAGCCTGGGGTCCTCACATGAGACAGGACAGTGAGGGACAAGGATGCCTTTGCCCCAGTGTCCTGTGTCCCCGCCAGGCCCCGCTCCCAGTGCTCCACACACCTGAACTAACAGGCCTGCATGGGAGGCAGGCACAGAGACGTCAAGCCGCTTGCCCAGGTCACACAGCCAGGAAATGAGGCAGTGGAGATTTGAACCTGGGCTGCTGGCTCCAGAGCCCTAAGGTCCCTGAGGTCCCTATTTTTGTCAAATGGCCCCCAGGCCCCCAACTCTCACTCCACCGGGCCCCGCTGGCCTCTCTGACCTCCCCTAAGGCTCCTGGAGCAGACCCGAGACATGCTGCCACCCCTGAGTGTGGCTGGTCGTCTCGGCCTGGGCTCGGGACTTTGGTAGTTGCATCTGGCTGCTCTGCAGGCTCCGGCAACGGAAACCTGCAGCTCCAGCCCCCACTGCCGCCCCGCTGCTCGCCCCTTATTCAGCTCCACGCAGGGGAAGCTGTCTCACTCATGGCAGCCCCCCCAAGCCCCCCACCTCCGAGAGACCCTTGCCTGTTCCCCACCTCTGCCCTGAGCCGCACTCCCCCACCCCTGCCTTTCCCGTGGATGCGGGGACCCGCATCCCCTCTCCCTTCACAGCTGAGTGACCCACATCCCCTCTCCCCTCGCAGCTGAGTGACCGGTGTCCCCCGCTCCTTGCACATGTGGAGCTCCCAGCTGCAGCATCTCGGGGGGAGGCATGGGCAGAGCCAGCTCTGCAGGAGGGCGGCTGCCTGTGTCCATCTGTCCATCCAGCTCTGCAGGAGGGCGGCTGCCTCTGTCCATCTGTCCATCCAGCTCTGCAGGAGGGCGGCTGCCTGTGTCCGTCTGTCCATCCAGCTCTGCAGGAGGGCGGCTGCCTGTGTCCATCTGTCCATCCAGCTCTGCAGGAGGGCGGCTGCCTGTGTCCATCTGTCCATCCAGCTCTGCAGGAGGGCGGCTGCCTGTGTCCATCTGTCCATCCAGCTCTGCAGGAGGGCGGCTGCCTCCGTCCATCTGTCCATCCAGCTCTGCAGGAGGGCGGCTGCCTCCGTCCATCTGTCCATCCAGCTCTGCAGGAGGGCGGCTGCCTCCGTCCATCTGTCCATCCAGCTCTCCAGGAGGGCGGCTGCCTCCGTCCATCTGTCCATCCAGCTCTGCAGGAGGGCGGCTGCCTCCGTCCATCTGTCCATCCAGCTCTGCAGGAGGGTGGCTGCCTCTGTCCATCTGTCCATCCAGCTCTGCAGGAGGGCGGCTGCCTCTGTCCATCTGTCCATCCAGCTCTGCAGGAGGGTGGCTGCCTCTGTCCATCTGTCTATCCAGCTCTGCAGGAGGGCAGCTGCCTTTGTCCATCCATCTGGGCTCTGGGGCCGAGTTGGGCTCCCCTGTCCGTCCATCCAGCTGTGCAGGAGGGCAATTGCCTCTTTCAATCCATCCGTCCATCTTTGCAGAAGGTTGGCCGCCCCGTCCGTCTGTCTGGGCTCTGGGGCAGAGCTGGGCGCCCAGGAAGTCGTGGCGCCGAGCCCCCTGGTGGTGAGTGGCTGCCAGCGCGGCCGCCCACTCTGTCCTGGGCACCGCTGCCAGCCCAGCTCCGTCCCCGTGTGTCCCTTGGGGTCCGCCTTCCCTGGGGCCCTACAAGCACTGAGACTGGGACTGGGGATCTGAGTATGTGGCCCCACCGTGGGGGTCCAGGCAGGGTGGCCAGGTTGAGCAACTAAAAATTCAGGAAGTGCAGTTCAATCTGAATTCAGATCAACAATCTGAATCAACGAGGTTTTGTTCAAATCAGCGATGGGCCACATGGGTCGGGTCAATGATGTTTGGGTTGAGGCACAGCCCATGAAACACTGAGGACGTAGTTTCACTAACAGTTTAATCACTGATGTGAAATTCAGAGATAACTGGGCACGTGGTATTTTTTCTGGCACCGCTAGCCGTGAATGTGTATGGAAAATAAAGAGTCTGGAACCGCATGGGAGACTCAGGAGCCAGAGCCCGGGGTGGATTCCATCCCTGAACCTGCAGCCCTGGAGAGGCCTGGGCTCAGCTGCACCCCTCAGGGCTCAGCCCGAAAGCGACTGGGTCACCACTGTCATCAAAAACACCTTTATGGACCTGTAATCCACATACCATACAATTCACCCATCTGAAGTGCACAATCCGATGGTTTTCAGTAAATGCACATAAAGGCGCAACCACGACCACAAACAGTATGAGAACATTTTCATCATCTCCAAAAGGAACCCCATACCCTTAAAAAACCATGAGGGCGAGGCTCTCCCAGCCCTGCCGAGCCCTGGTCACCTCTAGCCCACGGTCTGTCTCTAGGGACCCCGTGAGCCTCCCCCAGCCCTGCCGGGCCCTGGTTACCTCTAACCCACAGTCTGTCTCTAGGGACCTTGTAAGCCTCCCCCAACCCTGCCCAGGCCCTGGTCACCTCTGGCCCACGGTCTGTCTCTAGGGACCGTGTGAGCCTCCCCCAGCCCTGCCCAGGCCCTGGTCACCTATGGTCCGTGCTCCATCTCTCAGGACCCCTCGGTCTGCACATTTCAGATACATGTCACCATGCGTGGGGCAGCCTATGCCCAACTTCTCTCCCTCCTCCTCACGCTCTTGGTCAGCCCGCATATGCTCGTGTGTGGGTGCCGCTGTCCTTCTCCTGGCTGACCATGACCCCCTGCATGCGTTCACCACATCTATGGAGCCATTTGTCCACCCAGAGGCATCTGTGACACCTTCACCTTTTGGCGATTGTGAACTTGTGCGGCCGCGAATGCGTGCGCCTGGCTTTTCGTGGGCTGCTGTGATTCTCACCCGCCCCTGCTTTGAGCCCTTGCCCCCACCCTGGGCCCCTCCACTCCCTTCCCCCTTCCCCAGGAAGCCCAGGGGCCTGGGGTGCCTCCTAGTGGGGTTCGCTGCCTGGCCGCGGCTCTGAGTTCTCCTCCCCGGGTGTGCACAGGGGCCCCAGAGCCAGGGAATCTTCGAGGGGCGCTTTTCTCCGGATTCCCGAGGCCGGGGCGTGCAGGAGTTTACCTGGAACGTGAGCAGCTTTCCAGACGAGTTCCAGACTCCAGAATGCTCCAGAATGCTCAAGGGGCTTCAGGGCAGGGTTGGTTCTACTCTCCCGGGACCAAATCCCACCTGGGCTCTGTTAACAGTCTCGGGCAAGGCAACGCTGGGTCCCCAAGTCTTTGAGCAATGGAATGGCAGCTCTTGGGGCCAGGGTGCCACAGAAGGAGCAGGCGTGGGCCAGCTGTCTCATCATCCAGGTCCTGCTTTGCCCAAGACCCCCAGGACCTTCAGCGACTGCCCCAGGCTGCAGGCGCCGCCTCTGACTCCGATGGTCTGGGCAGATTTGGAGGCTGCTGACAAAGGCTCCAGGATGAAGTCCTGTGCAAGGCCACTCCACGCTCATGACTGTGGGTCCAGGGCTGGGGTTGGCCGTGCCACACAGGAGGATGAGACGGACGGAAGCCACCACGCAGGAACGAACAAGGGATGTCCCACGATGGCGGCCCCTCCCCCAAGCCTCCCACCAGCTGGCTTCGGGCGGCTTTGTGAGCAGGCACCCAGGGCCAAGACTTGGGGCCAGATGCAGAGAACAGGCCAGGCTTCCCACCCAGGGATGGGCCCGGAGGCTCAGGTTCTCCCCTGGGGTCAGCGTCATCCTGGGGCATGGCCCCTCCACCTCTCTGTCTTCTCTCTTCTGGGGGTGCGGCGGTCACACGCATGCAGTGGAGAGCACTGGGACCCAATGAGGCAGGGGAGGGAGCTTCGCCCTCTAGGACATTTTAGGAGGGCCAGCCCCCAGCCCACCTTCACTGCCCTCCACCCTCAGCAGGCAGGCCCCATCCTGAGCGGTCAAACATCTGCCTGTTCCCTGAGTGGCCGCGGGTGTCCCCACGTCCCCTCTTGGGGCTTATGGGTCACACTTTTCTCTTTCTGCCCACCTCCCGCCCCTGAGTCTCCACACACCACGATGTTTCCATGACCTGACTGCCATGTCCCCTGTCTGAGAGGCCTTTGCAGACACCTCCCAAAAGACAGAAGGAAACACATCCTCCATGGGGGCTGGAGCTCTAGTCGCTCCCCACTTGATTGGCTATGGGGGCACTGTTGTTTCAGGCTTTCCTGAAGGCAGCCCAGGCCCCAAGCTGGGGCCAAGAGCAGTGCTGTCAGCAGGAGAACGACCCCTGGGGGACCCCCTGGACCCCTGTTAATGTGTCACCTCACACGGCAAAAAGGACTTCGCAGATGGGATGAAGTTAAGGATCTGGGATGGGTGTTATCCTGGCTTGTCCGGGTGGGCCCGATGTGATCACGGGGTCCTCCTCATAGGAGGAGGCAGGGGGTCAGAGCGGGCAGAGGAGGAGATGGGACAGCGGAAACAGAGGTCAGAGGGATTGGAAGACGCTGTGCTGTCAGCTTTGAGAATGGTGGAGGGGCCAGGTGCCCAGGAAGGTGGGTACACAGGGCAGGACGAGGGTGCTGGGGACTCTTGGCTGCCGTGCTTGGGCCTGGGCCCTCCCTGAGGCTGGGGCTGTCCTGTGTCCAGGGCTGGACATGCAGAGGCCATAGGCCTGGGGTGCCTGGCTGTTCTGTGGGAACCCTCATGATCTCTTCTCTGGAATGCAGCCCCCCGACCTATGTCAGCCCCCAGCACCAGCCTGGGTCTGGGTCTGTCCTCTGTCCCCCGAGAGTGGACCTCACCCGGCAGGCTCTCTCCACCCAGATGGAGCCGCTGGCCTGGGGGTCTGGCTTTAGAAGCAGCCTTGTGGCATGAATGCCAGAACCCGCCCAGCCACGGTTCCTGGGCCGCAGGTGACAGTCCCGGGGCTTGGCCCTGGGGGGTCCCCTCTGTATGCGGGGTTTGTGTGCACCCTGGAATCCCACAGGGGAGGAGAGGGGCACAGTGCAGGCTGCTCGATGCTGAGTCTGGGGGTCGCCAGCCCTGGCTCTGTTCTTTATGCCACGGGATGGGGTCCCCTCTGCAATGCCTGCGGTGGGGAGCAGCTTAGCGCATCCCCAGATTCTTCCATCCAGCCAAATGTCTGTATTTCTAAGGTAAGAAGGATTACATAGGCCCTTCTATTATGATTTTTAAAATATGGAATTCTCCAATGTGCTTTCGTGGGGAGTTTCATGGTGAAACATGCTATCAACAGGGTTCTGGGAATACATCTAGATTTTAAATGCTTGGACAGTGTGAGATCTCACACAGGCACATCTCATCTTTTTTTTTTATTGGCAGGGGGTTCAAGGAGCTAAATTTCCTTCCAATGAAAACACTACCGGCCCCTGCCACCACCCTGCCCTGCCGTGGGTGAGGCTGGCTTCATGGAACCTCATTTCCTGGCAGAATCCCAAGTGTGGGGTGAGGAATTCCACAGGACTCTCAGCCTGCTGGAGTTCCCAGGCGAGGCGTGCTGACTCGGGGCCAGGCCTGAGCCACTGCTCCCAGGGGACTCCGGAGGTGGCCAAGGAAGCCGGGCTCGAAGGCCCTTGAAGCTTCCCTGTTGGGTGTGGGAAAGGGGAGCTGCCGATGCCCCCAGGGCCTGCTTCAGGTTTTTAGGGTCTTGGAGAGGAGGGAATTGATTCTGAGAATTTCAACAGCTGCGGGAGGGCATAAAGTCTGGTCCTCAGATGGTGGGCAGGGCTTCTGTTTGGGGTATTTTCTCTGCCTGGAAGAGTTAGGTGAAGGGGCTGGCTGGTCCCCGGCATGAGGTGGCCTTGGAGAAGCCCTCCCTTTCAGGGGCAGTGGGATATCCTGGGGTATGATAGGTGGTGCTTGGCAGGGACCTGGATACCAAGAATACAGGGCTGAGGCCACAGCTGAGCTCGGCTGGGCTGTGCTGTGCTGGGCTGAGCTGGGCTGGGCTGAGCTGGGATGTGCCAAGCTGGGCTGAGCTGTTCTGGGCTGTGATGGGCTGAGCTGGGCTGAGCTAGGCTGGGCTGTGCTGGGCTGTACTGCACTGAACTAGGCTGTGCTGGGCTGTGCTGGGCTGGGCTGGGCTGGGGTGAGCTGAGCTGTGCTGTTCTGGGCTGAGCTGGGCTGTGCTAAGCTGGGCTGTGCTGGGCTGGGCTGGGCCGGGCTGTGCTGGGCTGGGCTGTGCTGGGCTGGGCTGTGCTGGGCTGGGCCGAGCTGGGCTGAGCTGGGCTGGACTGGGCTGTGCTGGGCCGTGTTGAGCCATGCTGAGCCGGGCTGAGCCAGGCTGTGCTGTGCTGAACTGAGCTGAGCTGGGCTGAGCTGAGCTGGGCTGTGCTGGGCTGAGCTGGGCTGTGCTGTGCTGAGCTGGGCTGAGCTGGGCTGTTCTGGGCTGAACTGGGCTGAGCTGGGCTGGACTGGGCTGACCTGGGCTGACCTGGGCTGAGCTGGGCTGAGCTGGGCTGGACTGGGCTGTTCTGGGCTCTGCTGGGCTGAGCTGGGCTGGACTGGGCTGAGCTGGGCTGAGCTGGGCTATGCTGGTCTGTGCTGGGCTGTGCTGGTCTGTGCTGGGCTGAGCTGGTCTGTGCTGGGCTGAGCTGGGCTGAGCTGGGCTGAGCTGGGCTGTGCTGGTCTGTGCTGGGCTGAGCTGCATCTCTTTTTCCTGCCCCTGCAGGTAGGAGACTTGGTTCTACTGTCTTGGGGTGGCAGGTGTTCATGATCCTGTCCCTTCCCAGGGAGAGTCAAGCTTTGCTGGGCATTGTACTGCTTTAGCCTCTCACATAGAGAATCCAAGTCAGAATGCGAAATCCACCAGGTGAAATTTCATCAACTGACTTCAACTGAAAGGCAGAAAAGTGGCCCAGGGTCCCGCCTGAGAAAGCCTTGGTTCCATTTCAGTTCCTCTTCGTGGAGTGTGAAGCCAGGGCTTACGTCCGGGGCGGTCCAGCACGCCCAGGAGCCGGCGAGCTCTCAATCCTTCCCCTGGGAGGAGCGAGCGTGTGTCACTGCCCCTTTTACGGAAGGGTCTCGTTCAGAGTGTGGAAACGAGGAGAGGAAGAAAAAGTCACTCTGTTTTCAAGCCAAACCGGTGCTTGGGCCCAGTCGTCCTGGCATTAACCACCCAACTGGCCGAGTGGATGCTGGTCACCATCCTTTGGCCATGAGGCCCCACAGCCCGGTCGCCGTCCTGGTGAGAGGTATGACCAGGTGGCGCTGAATGACCTCCGCTCGCCCTGGGTTGGAGTGATTTGCCACGCTGCATAAAACCTCTTAGGGCCATTACGTTTCCCAGATTGCCTTACAGCAAGACTCGGCGTGAATGTTATGCTTTGAAACATTGAAGAAACAACAGCCTGTAGTCTCTGATCTTTATGGTTTGGAAGACCAAACACTCTACTGAGGTTGTGGCCAAATCGATGTTTTAGATCCAGAAGAAACCCATCATGTTACACCAGGAGAGACTGTCCTGGGAGGAAGGCGTCCAAATCACTCCAAGATGTTTTGGGCTCACGTCTCCTGCTCTCTACGGAAACACATTCGTGTTCCTGGGCGTGGAGTCAAAACACACAGAAAGGGGATATTTTTAGTTGAGCCCGTTTGGAATAAAACCGCCACTCTGATGCCTGACGAGGGCGTGGAGACAGGTTGGCCTCCCGGAGATGGTGCAGCCCTGGTCCTCTCTGGTCCTCTAAGTGCGGCAGTTTTGTGCCCTGGGCTGTGGTGTGCAGACCCGGCAGGAACTTGGGGTGTGAACTGAGACCAGCCCACCATGGTATATGCAGGCAGTGTGCTCAGCTCGGGGGGTGGTGGGGAACGGGCGGACTGGGGACCTGCCTTCCTACCTTGCTTGCCTCGTGCCTGGGACAGAGGCTCTGGTGTGGTATGTGCGGTTGCCCACTTGCTCTCGGGGTGTGCGTGGCCCTGGGGAGTATGTGCAGCATGTGTGAGCACCGCCAGTTCCCACGCCACACAGCGCATGTTGGGGCCTCCGCAGGTGCGGCCGGGATGAGGAGGAGCACGTGCATCGGGGGCTCCCAGCTGGACTGCCCCTCAAATGCAGCGGCTTTGCAGAGCAGCCTGTGAGACAGACCGCGCTTCTACTCAAGCAAACATGGCATGAAAATCACTGTGAGAGCAGAGACGCAGGTCCGAGCTGTTCTCACGGAACCACTGCTGTCTTATCACTGCAGTAATTAATTTCAGCCCAGCCGCAGAGACTGCAGGCTGATACAAAAGCTCCACTTGCCGGATCCGGGCGAGCATTGCTGCTTCCACCGGGATGCGGGAAAAACAGTGCAGAGAGATCCTGAGCTTCCGCACGTCATCATTTCTCAGAGTCGCCATCTGTTCCTTCAAGCAAGTAACACCTTTGGGGCTGCAGTGTGGCTCAGAGCAGGTGTCTGGCCTCGTGTGAGATACCCCAGAGCCTCTGCAGCCCAGGACTTGCCAGTGCGACTTCTCCCGGGCTCCGGAGAGGCCGACGGGATCGTGACGTCCTGAGGCCTCTTCCACCGCAGAGCTGTTGGGATCGACTTCACACCCCACCAAGGTGGCCTGGGGTGGCCCACAGCTGGCCCGTGGATGGGCCCTGCACCTGTGGTGTGGCCACTGTCACATGGCTGGTGGTTGGCAGCTTTGGTGGAAGCTACAGTTGGCAGCTGTCATGCCAGGGCTTGGGCTGGGCACTGGGGAAACATCGCCATGAAATGCAGAAGGGAGGGTTCCCCCTCCCTGGGGAGAGAGTGTGGAGATGTCCCTGGGACTGGGCTGCCAGTCAGATGCGAATTCAGACAAGCCACAGTAATTTTTCATGCAAGCATGTGTATTATTTGGCTCAGCTGCCAAAACAAATCCCACAGCATGGGTGGCTTCAACAGCAGGAATTTGTTCTCCCACAGTCCTGGAGGCTGGAAGCCCAAGATCAAGGTGTCGGCTGGGCTGGTTCCTTCGGAGGCCTCTTTCTGGGCTTGTAGGTGCTGTCTTCTCCCTGTGTCCTCACGTGGTCGTCCCTCTGTGTGTGTCTGTGTCTTCATCTCCCCTTTTTAATAAGGACTCCAGTCCTACTAGGTTAGGGCCTGCCCTGGTGACCCCATTTCTAACTACCTCTTTAAAGACCATATTTAGAAATACAGTCATGTTCAGAGGTACAGGAGGTTAGGACTTCAACATAGCTTTTTGGGAGGACAGAATTCAACTGAAAACAATATGTCCATGCAATATTTGGGACATCACATCCTAAAAAGTATTAGCTGCTTACCTAACATCCACATATAACCACACATCCTATATTTTTCTGTGCTAAATCTGCCCACCCCTTCCATGGAGCCTGTGTCTGGGGCAACCCCTTGGCTCCCCATGGAGGCCACCCCAAGATGTAGTTATGCCCCAAGGGGTGTGAGGGCTTGGACCCCCAAACGCCTCGCATATGTGAGGCCAGATTGGCCTTACTTGGGGGTGGAGATGGTTGAATCCCTTGATCTGGGAGGAGCTGTGGTGGAAAAGGAGAGAAGCCGGCTCCGCAGGCTGCCTTGACCACACACACGGATGCATGCACACACACACATGCTCACACACACGTGCACACACATACATGCAAACACATGTGCACACACACACGTGCGCACACATGTGCACGCAGGTCCCAGCATGTGGGCTTCTTCCGTGGGCAGGCACAGAGGTCGGGTGTCGGCCCAGAGGTTCATGGAGGCGCTAATGAGCGGCTCCGGGCCCGCAGGAGATGCGGCTCACACAGGTCAGATTTCGGATGGATGATGAAGGAAATGAGGGCCAGGCCAGCCTCTGGTTACAGTTTAGGAAAAACACGAGGCGCCCTTCTCTAGTTCAAAAGGCAGAGAGAGGCAGACCCAGGAGCTAGGGGGGCCGGACGGGATTCCAGTCCGGTTTCATCTCCGGATGCCCTGGGAACCCGCCTGGCGTAGACCGGGTGGGGGCGGTGCAGACAGGACCCTGGAGAACAGGGCTGCGGTGCGCAGCAGGGGGTGGCCCCGGTCACACAGTGTCCCCCATGGAGGGGCCTCGATGGCCGGGCTGCGCATGGCACGTGTCGTGTGTGGATCCACAGCAGGGCCGCTGCCCCCACCCAGCGCCAGCCGGGAGGTTGGGAAGTGTTAGCGCCAGGAGCAGCTTTCAGCTGAAAAATCCCCAGTTTATTAACTTTGCTCCAGAAGCCAGGGCGTCTGTTATTTATGCTACTTTGATCTAGAAAGCTGTTTGTTTACATTTTATGGCGTTATAAATCCCCTGTAAGCAGGCGTGATATTTTTATGATGCCCAATGAGGGTCCTCCTGTGCTGTGTGGGGGGTGCCAGGGGCCTTTATGGCCCCGCTACCAGTGTCTTCCCACCCGGGGCGCATTTCTGTTCATCATCTGGACACATGCGGCTCGCAGATGTGTTTCCTGGTGAACATCTGGGGTGGGGCGGCGTCGGCTCTGGGCGTGGTGCAGCCTCACTGTGCGGGGAGCCCTACAGCTCAGGGAGCGGCCCTCGTGTAGGCCTGGAGGGACCTCGGTCCCCTGCCTGACTCCCACACAGGCCTGGGAGGGGACGGGGCTGGCTTTGGGCTCCTGCACGGGTCCAAGGCAGGAAGCTTGTGTGGCGCTCGGGCCTCTGCGTGGGGCTGAGGTGCTCCGTTCGGCTCTTGTGCAGGCATGGAGTGGAGACGTTGGCCCCATGTAGCCCGTGTGGCCTTTTGGCTCCAGCTCAAGGGGTCCACCCTGCCCCCACTGGGACTCATGGGGAAGCAGAGAGGCCCGCAGGGCAGGTGTGGGAGGCTTGCACCTTCCTGGCATCATGGGCTCCAGGAGCGGTGCCCACAGGCAGCAGCCGCACTTGCTCTCGTCTTTGCTCAGCAGACATCGGCACGAGCTGCTCTGTGTCAGGTCAGTGCTAGAGGCTGGGGCACAGCGGTGAGCCGGCCACATGCACCCTGGCTTTCTGGAAGGTGCAGACAGTGTGAGACTCGTGGAGCAGCCCCAGGATGGGTGATGCTGATCTGGGGCCAGGCCCGACCTCGCAGAGAAAGAGGGGACACAGACGGGGCCGGGATTGAAAAGTGAGCGGCCATTGTCCAGGCAGGGGATAGAGCACAGGTGAAGACGCTTGGGTGTGAAGGGCATGGAGGTTTTGGGGAAGCAAAGGGCCCCTGAGGCTGGGCTATAGGGCAGGGGGAAGCAAGCAAGGGGCAGACCAAGACCTCCCCCCGCCGGTCTTGGTGGAAAGGCCTGGACTTCGTTCTGTCCACCCCTGCCAGGTGGGGTGCAGTGTCACTGCAGCTCCCGCCCCGTCCCTGAGTCCTCCTCACCCCATCCCCCAGGCAAGAAGCGTTGTTCCTTCTTGGTGACCTGGGCACAATGTACAGCCTTTGGCACACAGGCATCTGGCTTTGTTTTTGTGCCCTCCTCTCCCTCAAGGCTGAGTGTGGATTTCCATCATCTCTGGACACCCCTCAGCCCAAAGACGCTCTGTGCCATGGAGAAGCCCCCAGGATAAAGCTCGGGACTGCGCAGATCCCCGCTAAGAGTAGATGAGAGGCCCAGTGTGGCCGGACGTCCCCTCAGACACAGTGAAGTGAGCACCTCCATGCAAGCACCGGGGGCTACGGACAGGCTGGAGGGGACGGGCACAGGACACAGCTCAGAGCAGAGTATCAAGGACAAGGACAGGGACCGGGGATGCAGGACAGAGACAGGGAATGCAGGATAGAGACCACGGGACATAGGATAGAGACCATGGGACATGGGATAGAGACCAGGAGACACAGGATAGACACCAGGGGACAGAGAATAGGGACCAGGGGACACAGGATAGAAACCAGGGGATACAGGATAGGGACCAGGGGACACAGGATTGGGACCAGGGGACACAGGATAGACACCAGGGGACAGAGAATAGGGACCAGGGGACAGAGGATAGACACCAGGGGACACAGGACGGAGACCAGGGACACAGAATAGAGAGCAGGAGACACAGGACGCTGACCAGAGACAGGACAGTGACGTGGAATCCAGGACAGGGACTGAGGACACAGGCCACGGGTCAGGTGACACAGGACAGGGACCAGAGGACGCAGCCTTCAGAGGGACAGGCAGCTGTGTCCCCTTGGGGCTTGCAGGCTGTTGGACACACATAGTCAACAGGCAGCTCCCATGGGGTCAGTTTCCCCATCTAATCCCCACCGCCTGCGGGGAAGGTGCTGGAGTTGCCCCTTTGCAGAAGAGGAGACTGAGACACAGAGCCTCGCGTCGGGTCCCGCAGCTGTCAGTGCAGGAACTCCGCCTCCACCCTGGGCCCCGCGCTGCGGACCCCCAAAGCCTACAGCTCCGAGAGGCCCACTCTGCGCCGTGCATTCATTTGACGCAGACATGGCGCCGCCGGCACACACCACAGGCGTCCTTGCCTCTTGACAGCCACCACCCTCCCTCCAGGTACCTGGCTCCGAGCTGAGCCCCAGGCTGGGGATGGAAGGGAATGCAGGGGTCTCTGCACGGTGGGGCCCACGAGGCTAGCCCTCTGGGGCACACCCTTGCCCACCCCTGCATTTCCCCAGACTGCCCCTGCCCTCTGGGGCCTCGGGGGTGCAGGAGACCCAGGAGAGGCCCTGGGGGTGGGCGGGCCTGCTGTGCGCCTCGACCTCACACCCCAGCCTGACAGCCTCAAAAGGTCTCTGCTTCCCTGAGGCTCAGCGTCCTTCTGCACTGAGCGGCAGCTCGCAGGGTGATGAGGATGAAATGGGCGAAAAATAAAGCCGGGCAGAGAGCAGAGGGTGCTGGGGGAACGTAAGGAGGGCCAGTTCCCTTCCTCCCATCCCCTCATCTGCTTCTCAACTCAGAAATCCCTGGCTTAACATGGAACCTGGCCCTCTGGGATCCGGAGTGTTGGTCTCCAGCAGACCCCCGGAGGAGGGCTGTGCTCCCCGCAGACCCCTGTAGGGTGGGCTGTGCTCCCCGCAGACCCCTGCAGGGTGGGCTATGCTTCCCGGGCCGTGCTGGGGAAGCCTAAGCTGGAGACAGCTCCAAAGAGGCTGCTGGAAATGCAGAACCCCCTCGGCAGCTCAAGTGGGTGTGGCGTCCTCCTCCTTGAGCAGGACCGGGGTCCCGGTCCCCCTTTATGGATTCTCTGTGCCTCGGAGACTGTGCTCTGCGCTTGACCTTCTGGAGGGAGGTTAAGCCACAGCAAGCCCGGGAGAGCACTCTCTTCATCTTTTATGCCTGAAGATTTTCAGGTAGAAAACAAGGATCAACCTAATACGGAGGGTAATGAAAGAAAGTTATGGCCGGGGTGACACATCTGTGCCTGTGATCCCCCGGCTCCCAGCCGCGCCTGCACACGCTCATTACACATGGCCTGCACCGGCCAGCCGGGCTCTAACATGTCCTCAACTTTCAGGAAACCAGAGCCTCCGAGTAAGTATCAGATGAGTTGCTAATGTTGGAAAAAAAGCGAGAAACATGCTTGGGGGCTCTGTTTTACGGCTGCACTTGAAGTCGGAATCTGCGATCGTAACCCAATGCTGGCCTCGCCAACGTGTTTTCGGTATTGTCGGGATAATTGAAAGTCCAGACAAATTTGGCTATCAGGGCTCCAGGCAGCGGAATCCCATGGTGGCCCCTGGTGTGATGAGCTCGCCGAGGCCGTCTCAGGTCCTGCGCCCACCACGGTCTTCGGGAGCAGCTGTCGGCTTTGCAAAAGCCCCAGGACTTTCCGGGTGGACATGGGGGGCTTGGCTTTGTCACCGGGACCTCTTGAAAGGCAGCCGGTCCTGGGCCTCTCATCTGGCCCCGCACCCTTCTTGGCCACCGACGTGGAAGGCAGGGCGCCCTGTGGGGTGAGCAGGGCCATCCGTGCCTCGGGGTCTGCCCTCGGCTTGTGTCACAGGCAGAATTGTGTCCCCCCAGATACACATGTTGAAGTCCCAACCCCCAATATCTTGAAATGCGACCTGATTTGGAAACAGGCTCATTGCAGATGGTCAAGTTCAGATGTGGTCATTCGGGTGGGCCATACCCCAAAATGACTGGTGTCCTGTGGAAAGGAGGAAACTGCGCACAGAAAGGGACCCACAGGAAGCTGTGAGGATGAGGCAGGGACTGGCCAAGAATCGCCGCGATGGGCGGCTCCGAGCAGGTTCTCTCTCGAGCCTCAGAAGGGGCCCTCCCTATGGCACCTTCATCTCCGGCCTCCAGCCCCCAGCCCTGCGGGAGAGGGGGTCTCTGCTGCTGAAGCCCTCATCTGTGGGGCTTTATGGTGGTCACACAGTGGTCTTGCCAGGCGCCCAGCACTGAGCACATGCTGCAGACCCTCTGGGCGTGTTTTGGGCCCTGCTCTGGGGGAAGCACCCCACACCGGGGGTGCTGGGAGTGCCCAGCATGGCAGGCGAGCGCTCCCTGCTCCAGGCACTTGGCAGCCGCATGGCTCACGGCCCTGCTTTTGTCTTGAGTGGGCCCCACCCCCAAGGGTCAGCCTGCAGCCTGCATGCAGGTTGGCCAGGAAACATCCCTGTCTTGTAGAAAGAGAAATGGTCTTGGAAAGGCAGATGGGGGTACTCTGTGCCCTCCAAACCCACCCAGCACCCTCCACCTGCCTGAGGGCAGCCCTCAGGGCTGCCCCGTGGAGTAGGCTTCCCTGGCATCTCCTGTGTCTGCCTTGGTGGGGCTCAGACAATGCAAGAGGCTGCAGAAGCTCCGAGCCGCAGGTCTGAGCCCCCAGCTCCTCCCTGCTGGACCACATGGGTGGCTGCGGTCCCCAGGCCTCCCTGGGGGCCTCTGCAGCAGTCTCCTGTGCTTCTCCCTGCTCTGGGCCTATGGAGGCATCCTGCTCTTCCTTGAAGGCGCCCATGGGAGGAACCCTGGGGCCTGGACACACTGGCCCCTGCTCATCCTGCCCCTTCCCAGCCTCTGCAAGCAACCCCTGGGTGGCCTTTCCCCTGCACTGCAGGGACCCCACTTACTCCCTGGGCTGCACGCCCAGGCTGGGGTTATTATGGGACTAGTATTTTGCCTCCTTTTACTCTACACTTGGTCCTGGGTCCTGGGCTCTACAGACAGATAAGTGACTGGAATTCAGGGGTGACGTGCTGATGGGGCCTCTAGACTTTCCCTCCTCCCCAGTCCTCATCCCCACGTGGGTGGTGGTCATAAACTCACAGCAAGGAGATGTGGTCGTGATGAGATTGTAGACTCAAAGCAGCAAACTCTTGGCCAAGACCGGGCAAGCTCCACCGGCTCCCACCCCTCTTGGGCTGGCTGTTGGCCAGGTGTGGGTGGGGGGGAGGGGCGGGGAGAGCGCCAGCCTCAGGCCTGCTTCCTGGAGTGGGCACAGGGAGGGAGACGGACCCGCCCCAGTGGGCCTGCCCTGCTCCCCACAGGGTCACAGTGGCCTTGGTCTTGGAGGGTCCTCTGTGCCCTCTGACATGGGGCAGGGGAGGACAGATTGCCAAGCGAGGCCCGGATAGCCCCAAAGTTCCAGAAATGACACAGAAGAAGGGTTTGGATTGTAGCAGAGGGGGCAAGTCGGCGGATGGGAAGGGACGCTGCCAGCAGGCCCAAGGAGGACTTCAACTCGGAGGAGACATCAGGAACCGAGACCTGCCACAGGCACAGGGGTGCCCGAGACCCACCCAGATGACACTGTTCTCAGCCAAAGCCGGGCGAGCGATGCCGGCGAGGAACCTGCCCACCATCCCCACCACCTCGACCGTGAGTCTGGCTTCCCCCTGGACTCCAGAGGTCACCTTGGGGCTTAGGAAGGAGAGAGGCCAGTCCTGAGTGAATCTACCCTAACCCTGAAATGACCAAATCTTTCCAGAATTGAAGATTAAATGGAGCTGAAATTCCTGCAGGAAGACAGATTGACAGCTCTGCTTACCTGGTGTCTCCTGGCCTCGGACTCTGGCACCCGATGATCTGTGGATGTTCTGATTGGGTGTGGAGGGTTGAATACCCACAGTCTCTGCATCTGAGCAGAACCATAGATCACTGCATTGACCTAATCAGGAGATTCAGCGGTGAGGAGCGTGTTGAGGGGAGGCAGGGCCCCTCCCCTTTCCGCCTGAATCCATGCCAGCATCTCCCTCGTGCTTGAGTTCACTCCCGGGAAATGTACCCATGCAGGAGGGCCCACCTGGGCTATGCATTTTTACAATTAGCCATGCTTTGTACACCTGGGCCGGGGAATTCCAGAGAGCCCAGGAGGCCAAGAGAGAAGTGAGGGTCTTGCGGGTGAGCAGGCACCATCTTATTTGTGTAGGAGGTGGGAGAGGGGAAAGTTCACTTTGGAAAACAGGCCAGGCAAGTCCACCTGTGCTCCTGTAGGGTCCTTGCCACGCACCTAGCCTCCCCCATCCCTGGCCTCCCCCAGCCCCCGTGGGGTAAATCCCGCCAGCGCGTCCACAGGGCCGGCTCCTCCTGGGCGTGAATCGGACCTTTATGAGCACGGCAGCCTTGCCTGGGAGATTCATGGCCCTGGCGCCCTTCAACTGTGGGTTATGAATAGGGGCCCTTAGCCATTTCCTTCTCATTCAATTTATCATTTTTGCCCTCTTTCAACACCAGGTACAGGTTAGCAATATTGGAATGTGGGCCTGCCCAGAATCGCCTGTGCAGTAAGAAGTGTGCAGAGGAGAGGGAGGAAGGCCTGGGCCCTGCCCCTGCCCTGAGAGGCCAGGCCAAGTGCGGGTCCCTTCGAGTGAGCTCGTGGAGGGGAGGTGGTGGTGTTTGGAGAGGCTCAGCCCCAGCGTCCAGGCAGGGCCCAGCTCAGTTTCTTGGATATCAGACAGCAAGGGCTCACAAAGCCAGACTCTGGGTTAGTGACATCCTTGTCCTCCTGGCTCCTTCAGGTCACACCCTTTGTGGTCATGGAGCAGATCATCTTTGGGGCTTCACTCACAACCCCCTGGTTTGGATGACTTTGTGGTTTTTGGCTTTAAGAAGGTCAGAATCTCCTGTCCATCACTAAGTGGATAAAGAGGAAAAGCCCGGTTTCCCAGTGTTTGGCCGGAGTGGGGAAGATTCGGGGGCCTGTCTTCTGGGAAGAAACTGGAAGTCAGGCTGAGGCCCCAGAGGGGCACTGAGTACAGGAAGGCCCGGGCTGGCCTTTCCCAACGCCAGTGGCCTTTAATGTTCTGCTGATGGCACCATTTGACGATGAGAAATGACACCAATTCTTTGTACTGTCATTTTGCCATTTCTGCCCATTTCTTGACACCTCAGTCAGCATCTGTGGGCAGGCTGAACACACACATACATGTGCATGCCCACATGCACACACGTGCACATAAGCCCCCACACATGGGCACACACAAAGCACACTCATGCAAGTGCACACACACCCATGCACACATGTACACACACATTTGTGCACACACACATGCACACAATCCCCTACACATGTGCACACACAGACAAGCACACTCATGCATGTACATACATATACATGTGTGCACTCACAAACATGCACACACAAGCCCCCCCACATGCACACACATACAGAGAGGCACACTCATGCATGTACACACACCCATGCATGCATGTACACATACACACATGCACACAAACATGCAAACATGCACACATGTCCCCACACACGTGCATACATGAAGACAAGCACACATGCATGTACACACATACACTTGTGTGCACACACAAACACATACACACAAGTCCCACACACGTGCACACCCATACAGAGTAGTACACTCATACATGTACATACACACCCACACACATACACAATATACATATGTGCACACAAAAGCCCCCACACACATGCACACACAGACAAGCACACTCATGCGTGTATACACAAACACATGTGTGCACACAGAAACATATATACAAGCCCCCCCACACATGCACACACAGAGAAGCATTCATGCATGTACACACACACCCATGCACACACAAACATGTGGACTTGCGTGTGTGCACACTCACTCCTTCAGCAGGAGGACCAATCTCTCCTAGAGAGGACAGTGTTGCTATGGAAGGAAAGAAATTGATATGAACCCCGGGAGTGGAGGAGCCAGGCACACTTAGTGGCCAGGGGGTCAGGCCTCCAAGGGGCTGCGGAGAGGCCTTATGGACACCAACCCAAAGGCTCTGGGCAGCTACACCCCTCCCAAGCCCAGCCATGACCCCCACAGACCCTCAGCCTCACCGTGAGCCCTGCTGAGGTCAGGTGCTCTGGGGCCCCCACTGTGTGGGGTGGGGGGCTGCTGGCAGTGCTTGTGCTCCAGCAAGGGTCTGGTTCTGCCCCTAGACACCCAGCATGGTGCCAGCTCTCCTGTGACATCACTGCACTGCAGAGCCCATGAGTGTGACCATGGGTCTCTGGGGCCCTGTGCAGAGGTGCCATGGTTGGCTTGCCACAGCCTTTTGGTGTCAGGGATTGGATTCTGACTGGATACCATAGGGACCTGTGTCCAGCTTGGAAGGTGGAGGAGCAGTGGCCCATGTGGGCCTGAGAGTGAGGACAGGTCTGACTCAAATCATCCTGAGAGTTGGGGGGGATGGGTCCCTTGCTGAGATGAGACCAGGATGCCATGAGCCCTGGCCTCTGATTGTCCACACCCTCCTTTGGTGTCAGCTGGGGCGGTAGATCCTCCTGCCTCAGACCCCCTTCTTGCAGGGCTCAAGCCCTGTTGCAGGCTGTGCAGCCCCTCCAGGGTCAGGACCAGAGGGAGACTGCATAGGCACTGCCTCAGGCTGCATGTGGCAGGGAGAGCACTTGGCAGACAAGCTTGAGAGTGCCTGGCCTTGCAGGTTGGTCAGTGACCAGTGCTCCAGTCCATCCCCACAGATGGGGGAAGGCAACACATGCCTGCACACAGTGAAGCCTTGGTCACCTCTGCTGCAGGCACACATAGAAGGCTTCCAAGAAGGGGCAGAAAGGAACATCTGACTTTAGCAGGGCTCATGGTGAGGCTTAGGGTCTGTAGGAACCATGGCTGGGCTTAGCAGGGGTGCAGTTGCCCAGGCAGATGCCAGTTGCCCTGGCTTCCTGCTGACTGTGGGCAGGCCGCTGGTGTCTTGGGAAGCCCCCACCTTACACAGAGGCCCCTTGACCACTCCCTGGAGTTTACAGTGGAGCTCAAACCAACATGGACTCCAAGTCAGATGGTAGGGCTGTGTTGTAGGCAGCGAGGGAGGACTGTTAATTTCAAGGACTGAAATCTGAAATCAGGGACCTGAACCAAGGTCTCAGCCATGTGGAAGGTGGGCCCAGGGACAAAGGCAGGTATCGCTTTGCATCTCAGCAGCTGTCACCAGGCTGTTTAGACATTCTGTCCCCTGACTCCCCACACTGATGTGTCCCAGTTCTCCACTTTCTGACCTCCTTTGCCTCCTTGTCCAGAGGCATCTGCTGGAAGCAGCAGCTCCCAATATGGTGGATGAAAATCAGTTTCTTTTCCAGCATCCCCGTATCACTGCAGAGGCAATTCTAGAGCACCTCCAGGTGGGGACAGCTTAGGATCACTAGAGAGGTCTTGGCCCACAAGGAAATGCTCAAGGTCTCCCACCCCTGAGGTGCTTGTACCAATGGGGACTCTCTGGCAACCCTGAAATGAAGAACAAGTCCATGTTTTTCCACTTTCTTCTTTTTTCAATTAGTATCAGAATTACACCTGTCAATATTTTGTCAAAGTGATACATGTATATAGTTCAGCGCTTATGAGGAACACAGACAATTTCAAAGGTTAAAACTTTTCAAAAATTTACTGCCTGTGAACCTTTTCTCAGAAAGCTACTGGAGGACGTATCCCAGAAAATCAAGGACATAAACCAAAGGAAAAATCAGGGCATGGAAAAGGTTACTTAAGAAAGGATCTGACCCACTTAGTGGCCAGGGGGTCAGGCCTCCAAGGGGCTGCGGAGAGGGCTTATGGACACCAACCCAAAGGCTCTGGGCAGCTACACCCCTCCCAAGCCCAGCCGTGATCCCCACAGACCCTCAGCCTCACCGTGAGACCTCTCACTTCTCACTGATCCTCTGATTTCTGCCCCAGAAGCAGCCATTTTCAGTTGTTTCAGAGTTTTATTTGTATTTATCTGTATCTTATATGACATGTAGTGTTTTGATTTTAAGGATTTTCTATTGTCTGCTGTTGAAGAGCAGAAATTTAACCTTTTTAACACACACTTGCTGATTCAGTTAGTCCACTACCTTTTATTACATCACTTTTCTGAGCTTTTGTTCTTATGAATGTGTGAATAACATTCGTTTCCTTTCTTAAGGAACCTTTTCCTTGGCCTGCATTAACAATTGCCTTATATTTTCATTTGCATCAGTTTCTAGAAAATTTCTCTGAAAATGGGCTTGAGGGTTCTGTTTGCTTAATTTACTTATGTTTCTTGGAGGCATCTTTGTTTTTTCTCCGTGACGTTCTGTTTTTTTTCCTAGTTCTTATGCTAATCAGGATGCATGCGGAAGTGAAAGGGGTGCTATTAAGAATTCCACTGAGAAACAGGCAGGAATAAGGACTGACTGTCACCACATCTGTAGCCCACTGAGGCAGTGGCTGTCTTGGGACTTACTTTTGCCATCACCCTGGGGATTCATCAGCCTTTTCAGGTTTGCATTTTCTGTGTCCTGGTTTCTCCTTTGGTTTATCCCCTTGATTTGCTGGAACACATACTTCAGTAGCTTTCTGAGAAAGGGCTCATGGGAGGTAAATTTTTCAAACGTTTTAATCTTTGAAATTGTCTGTATTCCACTGACACTATTGATGGTGTGTTTGAACACTAAATTCCAGATTGGAAATTATTTCCCCCTTGGCATTTTGAAGGAGTTGCTTCATTGTCATCAAGTTTCTCTGAAGCCATTTTTAGTTCTCGCCCTTTGTATAGGATCTGCTTTGTTTCCTCTCTGGAAGCTGTCAAGTGCATGTCTTTCCCCCATCTTATAGCACATCATGGCACTATGTCCCAATGTGGATACATTCTCATTCCTTAGGCTGAGTAGTTCTGGGCTGTTTCTCAGTTTTCCTTGCTCTCCCCTCCTGGTCAGCTGCAGGACTCCCGAATCCATCTTCCAATTGTATCCCATTTCCCTTCTCTCATAGGGGGCTGAGCAGTGTGTCTGGGGAGAGTGTGGGCTCCTGGGTCAGATCCCAGTGCTGCCACGCACTCCTTGCAGGACCTTTAGCGAGTTCTTTCAAATCCTTTTGCCTCCGTTTTCTCATCTATAAAATGGGCTTAGTAGACAGGGCTTTCCTTATGGAGTCCTTGGAGACTAAGTGGAGCTGCTGCTGCTGCTGCTGATTTTAAATGGGTTTCCTTTAAAGCAGTCTCCTCACAGCCATGTGGGTTTTAAGAAGGCTCCAAAGGAGAGAAGCTCTGAAGGGGGCCGGGTGGGCTCTGTCCTCATGTGTCACTGCCAGCTGCTGGGCCAGTACGGAAAGTCCGCCTGGAGGCTCCCGTTCCTGCAGTGGCTGCCCAGGCCAGTCCCCACTCCCGGGTCACCCAGGCACTGCCCTGCATCCCAGCTCCCCTTTGAGGAGCCACACTTGCCAGACTCCTTATGGGCATGCTGCTGTCTGGGCTGTCACAGCCATGTGTCATGGCGGGTGGAGAACAGGGCCAGGGGCTGAGTTTTGGTCCTAGGGCTGGTGAGTGACTATCATTTTCCTGCTGGCCTCAGTTTCCCCTACTCATAACAGGAGAAGCCTGGACTTGCTGATCCTGGAGGCCTCTCACCTCTGACCCTGGATTAGGTGCCCCTGGGGCCATGTTCCCAGCCAAGGGCCCCTCCATGTAGACACTCTTCTCCCTCGAGGCACATTCCTTCATTATGAGCTTCTAGCTGCATGCTGACCGCAAATTCTCACTGGAGGCAAATCTAATCTATTTCTGCTCCCTCTCCTGCCACCCTAGATGCTGGCTACTGTGGCCCCTCATGTGCTTGGCCCCTCCCTCCCCCTTGGCCAGGTGCCAGCCTTGAAAGTCTTATTATATAGTCCCTGAAGCAACCCGCAGATGTGGGCGTGCCTGCTGGCTGTTGCCAGTTACAATGCCAAGGGCTCTGGCCCTTGTGGTTCAGCCTGGCCTCCCTGCCTGGCTCTGAGGGGCCACTGGGACTGGAGTTTGGAATTGGACCGGCCACAGTGCCGAGTTGACCATGGAGCAGTGGGTGAGGACTTAGGGGGCTCCTCCATGGAGCCACTGGCTTCCAGGGGCCAGCAGGAAGGTGTGACCTAGGCCCTGACAGGAAGAGGCTGGTCGGCCAGCCACTGGGTGTCTTTCACCAGCAGGCGCTTGCTGGCTTGGACGCTGCCTCTGATGGCTTCAATCTGTCCTGAACGTTCACCTCCACCTCCCTTAGGACACCAGCGATGGGAACCACCGGTTTGGATTTGGTGGCACAATTCCAACCTCGGGAAAAAATGTAATCAATGCGGGAGGGCTTAAGGATAAAATGCACATCCGTGTGCACGCACACGCGCGTGAGGCCATGCACACTACCCACACGAAGCTACGAGAAGGACCCAGCGGCTTGCCAGGGCTCGTGGTGTTTGCCGCATCCTCTCCAGCCCATCTAACCCTTACGATGCAATGTGGCATCTCTTGGCTGGTGCTGGGCTGGGCTTCTGGGCAAAGACCACCCGCTACACAGGCACCTTGGGCCTCCCCACACCCGTTTCGCGTTCCTGCAACCTTACTTTTTTTTTCCTGGGACAGGGTCTCGCTCCGTTGCCCAGACTGGCAGTGGCACAATATGGCTCACAGCAGCCTCAATCTCCTGGGCTCAAGTGATCCTCCCACTTCAGCCTCCTGAGTAGCTGGGACTACAGGCACATGGCACCATGCTCAGCTAATCTTACTGACTTTTGGTAGAGATGAGGTCTCACTATGTTGCCCAGGATTCCTGAGCTCAAGCAGTCCTCTCACCTCAACCTCCCAAAGATTACAAGTGTGAGCCACCACGCCCAGGCAAACCTTATTATTATTATTTTTTTTTTGTAAAGTGACCCATTAAATAAATAAATGCTCATTATTAAAAAAATCAATATGGCTTTTCATGAACAAATCCACACATCAGGAAATTGGTTCTTTGTCAGGCAACTGTCCCTTTGGGTTGACAATTGCCCCTGTGCAGAGGTGAGCTGTATGGGATCAGCCTCCAGAGCAGGGGCACCCGAAACCCACTGCCACACCTGTCCAGTCTCATGTTCAGGACTGTCCTTCAGGAGAGATCATCCCTCCTCTGTACTGATTTAAAGGGATCCCTGGCTGTGGGGGCCCGTGCTGGGGACTGCTGTGGGGCCACAGGACTCCCCTCTGATGCCTGAGAATCCCCCTCCTTGCTCACTTGTATGACGGCTTCAGGGGGAACCTCACCCACAACCAGGAGAAGAGGCGTCCTCCACAGGGTCCTTCTAGGGGGTCCCCTCATAGGTCATGCCCTCCACTGGCCCCCAGAAAAGAACAGACCCCAGGCTGCTGGCGGCTCTGGGACAGGCTTCCCTGTGTCCTGCTCCAGGCTGGCTGCTGCCCTGGATGGCATCCTGGGACCAGGACCAGGTCAGAGTGCCCAGGACCGAACGGCCTGCCCCCAGCAACCAGAACAACTGGGGGGCTTGGAGAACTGGTGGCTGAGAGCTGAACATGGGACTGAGCCTCAGGACAGGGTGACCAGCCTGCACCGCTGCTAAGATTCTCTTTAGTCTCTTCCAAAGAAGGGTGTGTGTCTGTGTGCATGTCAGTGTGTGTGAGCGTGTGTGCACATGTCAGTTTTGTGTCGGTGTGTATGTGTATTTTGGCTTTCTGCTCACAGTGCTGGAGGCTGGAAGCCTCAGGTCAGGGTCGGGCTCAGGTGAGGGCTGCCTCCTGGCTGCCGAGGGCAACTATCTCCCTGTGTCCTCACGTGGTGGAAAGAGAGCTGTGTGTCAGTGTTTCATGTATGGACAGATGTTCGTGGGTCTCAGTGTTTGAGTGTGTCCATGCGTGGGTGTGTGTGAGTGCATCAGTTTTGTGCATGTTGAGTGTGTGCATGTGAGTGGGCCAGGTGTGCATGTGTGTCTGTGTAGGTCTGTCCCTGTGTGAGTGTACATGTCTGTGTGCATGTGTGTTAGTGTGAGTCTGAGTGTGTGTGTCTGTGTGCATGTTAGTGTGAGTCTGAGTGTGTGTGTCTGTGTGCATGTGTGTTAGTGTGTGTGCATCCATGTGCATGTTAGTGTGAGTCTGAGTGTGTGTGTCTGTGTGCATGTGTGTTAGTGTGAGTCTGTGTGTCTGTGCATGTTAGTGTGCGTGCATCCATGTGCATGTGTGTTAGTGTGAGTCTGTGTGTGCGTCCATGTGCATGTGTGTTAGTGTGAGTCTGTGTGTGTGTCCGTGTGCATGTTAGTGTGAGTCTGAGTGTGCATGTCCGTGTGCATGTGTGTTAGTGTGAGTCTGTGTGTGTCCATTTGCATGTGTGTTAGTGTGAGTCTGAGTGTGTGTGCATGTGTGTTAGTGTGAGTCTGAGTGTGTGTCTGTGAGCATGTGTGTTACTGTGTGTGTCCCTGTGCGTGGGTCAGTGTGTGGGTCAGTGTGTTGGGTGTGTGTCAGTGTTGTCAGTAGCTGCACTTGTCAGCTTTGTGCATATGAAGAGGTGTTAGTGTGTTTCGTGTGTTTGCATGTTGGCATGTGCATGTGTATCTGTATGTGTCGGTGTGTACAAGCACGTCTGTGCAAAAATACGCATGTTGGCGTGTCTGTGTATACGCATGTTGGCATGTGCACACATGAATGTGTGTGCACATCAGTGTGTGTGCACATGTGTCCATGTGTATGTTGTGTGACTATGCATGTATTGCACATCAGTGTGTGTTACTGAGTGTGCATGTCTGTGTGTGTGTGTTGGGGGCATGCATTTCTGTATATGTTAGTGTGTGCGTATGGTTCTGTGTGTTAGTGTGGGCACACACAACAGTGTGCAGTGGCACCTGGCTTTTCCTGGAGGATCCCTCCTGGCACAGATGTGACTTGGGGCTTCGCTGAGGATTCCCTGCCGTGGCTCCTGTCAGAAGAAACTGGAGTAGGAACCATCACCAGGAGATGCCTGAAATCTGATAACCTGGCCTGGCCAAAAGCTTCATGGCCACAGACAGGCTTTCCAGTATTTTTAAGATTTAGCAAGTATTTTGTTAGAAAAATGTGGTCACGCTTTTCCATAAATGAATAAAAGGGTTGAGTCTTCCATGGCCTTCTAGCCACGGGCTCTTGGCTCCCATGGGCAGTGGGTCAGTGCTGGCTTGGGCTGTGGGGAGGCCTGGAGGGCCCGTGTGGTCAACTCCTCACAGATCCTGGCGGAGCAGGATGGCTGCCTGTGTGCAGGGCCCCCACTCCCATCCGGTGTGGACTCAAAGCTTCCTGGTGAACCCCAACCACTCACTCCCAGAGGCCCCACTGAAAGGCTGTGGTCTGCACCAGAGGGAGCCTCGCAAGCACGGGGAGGGGGACACCCAGCGTACCAGGCGTTCCCACCTCACCCAGGACGAGGAGCCGCCCGGATGGCACATGGAGCGGGGAAATACTAGCCCTGCCCACTGAGGCATACACACTAGGGTTCCTCAGTATCCCAGTGAGGGGTGCCTCGGTCCCCACCCTCACTGTGCCCCCAGCCCCAGTCCCCGTAGCCCTGGCCCTGCCCTGCAACTCTTCCAAACCAGCAGACACACGCACTCTCCAGCCTGGCTCCAGGCTGGGGTGAAATCCCTTCTCCCGGGCCCCCATGGATGAGGCTGGACGGCCCCAGACAAGCCACTACATGGTAACGGTGAGGGGAACAGCTGGAGGGATGGGACGCGCGGAGACTCACATTCTACGGCTGGCCACCAGGGGCTCCTTTTCCCAGCAAGACCCATTTTGTAGGTCAGGGAGGATGGACTGAGCCCAGATCCGGCTGCTGCACCTCCACGCGGTGGGCGGTGAGCCACGGCTCCTGTCCTCGCCAGGTCACCCCCAGGGTCTGGCCGCCCTGTCTCAGGAACCCGCCGGGCCAAGGGAGAGTGCCAGAGCCCCTCAGTCATCCCATCCTAAGCCTCTGACCACAGAGCAACCCACTTGGCTCTGTCAGAGTTTTTTTTAAATTGAGTTCATTAAGAATTTGCTTACACGTACAACAAAAAGGCCCCCAGACAAACAAGCGAAATGAAATAAAATTAAACAAGAGAAAATCATGGCCACCGCCGCAAAACAGACTTGGTGAGCCCGCTAAGCCTCCAGTGCTCTATGCTCACATGTTTTTGTAATATTTTCAAAACTAAGCTGTTTTGTAGTCTTTCTCTTAAAGGGGGTTCCCAAATTGCACGCACTGAAGGCCCACAAAACCTGGGCCCACCCTGGTGAGGGGAGTTCTCGCCTCTCCCAGGCCCCCATGGCACGATCTAAGTGATTTATTTCCTTGGCCAGAACCAGTAAGAAATCTGAGGAAATGAAAAAAGGTTTGGTTCCTGGGCAAGGCTGCAGCCTCAGGACGCCTTGGTCCCCTGGACCTCTCACCCCTGGAAATTAAAGTGGCGTTCTTAGTGGACAAGACACTGCCCTGTCTTTGCTGTCCACAGGGCCGGGAGCGGGTCATGAGGAGCCCAGGGCCTGGCCGCTGCTCCAGGGACCTGGTTGAATGGCCCGAGTCACTGTTGACGGCGTTTGAACACCAGGAGGTGTGGGTGCCGGACAGCTGCAGCTTCTGTTTCTGATAGAGCCCTGGGCACCACGATTTAATGGATTAGTTAAAATGATGTGAAAAAATGGATCTCTGATTTATGACCTGCAAGTTTTTGCTGACTGCAGCATGTTTTTCCCAAGCCCTGCGTCTTAAAGTCCTGGGCACACACACGAGCCGGGCTGGTTTCCTTGCGTCTTAAAGTCCTGGGCACACACACGAGCCGGGCTGGTTTCCTGCCGGTGCCCTCAGGGCTCATCCGAGGTCCCTTTGCCCAGGGCTCTCCAGACCTTTAAAACAGGAAGTTTAATTTTATAGAATTAAAAAAGAGCAAACGGTACTTAATTATCTGGCTGTGAAACAGCACTGCCCTGTCTTAATTTTAGTAGCTAATAAAAGGCCGTTCCCGGAGTTAACTACTTCTGGTCCAAACGCCCTGCGATTTTGGCTATTTGGATAGAATATTTTATGAACTGTTATATATTGCACTACGGTTTTTAAGCTCTGCTATGACATATTTCTCTCAAGATTTATTAGGATTTTTTATTTAAAACAATATATTAAATAGGGGAGAAAAAGTAATCTTAGGTAAAATTCAAATATTAGCAAAACAAAACATGGACCAAAACCTCTTTTATTTGAAGTTCTCCCTCCTTCCACCCCCACCCCACCCCCTTCCCTCCCACTGTTGCTGTAAAAAAGGTTTGGGGAGCAACGGCCCCAGCTGCATCATTAATTCAATATGTCTTCCAACCTGCCTCCAATCAGGGGATCAATTTCAAGGCCAGTTGCCGCTTAAGTGACTTTATGGAAACAGAAGAATGAATGGTGCCCAGCAAGACCAGCCCAGCCTCCTGTAAAGAGCCCCGGGCGCCCTCCCAGTTTCCAGCAGACCCAGGACAGCCGCACAGGCCCCTGGCCCTGCGACACCCCCTGCCATGCGAGGTGCATTGGGACCGCCAGCCCCTGCCCTGGTGGGTCGTGTCTTCAGTGGCCGTTCCTCTGAGTAGGAGCATTCCTTCCTTCCCCGCCTCCATGGCTACTCCTCACTATTGAGGACCTACTCTTGGGAGTTTCAAGCTTGGGGGAATGAACCTTGGAGGCAGAAGTGGGGGCCCATCCACCCAGGAGGCGGGAGGTGGGACTGCGTGGGAGCTGAGGCTGCAAGCTCTGGCCCGTGGGACTGCATTTATACAGCACAAGTTCAAAGCCAGAATGGCAAGAATTTCAAGACGGCAAAGACGGAGCATTTTAAAGCTCAGACTTGGCCCCTTTGGAGTGAGGATCCCCCAGGTCTCATGCGGTAACCGCCTCCGACCTCCCAGTGCCGGTTGTGGTGCTCTTGGGAAGAGGGAACCCTGGGGAGGCTTTGAGCAGAGCCCAGCTCTCCAGAAAGCTGGGGCAAGGGACAGGCCTTCGCAGGGCAAAGCAGCTCCAGGACCCCAGTGCCTCCTGCCTGTGCCCTCTGCTCCTGCAGCCAGGGCCAGCCAGGGAGCAGGACTGGGCAGGAGCCTGTCCTCCTGGAGTGGACAGTGGATGGCAAACAGCTGGAGAAGCCCACATGTGCAGCTTGTGGTTCTGTGCGATGGTGAAAACAAGCAGGTCACGAGATGGGGTCATCACAGAGCCCCTGGCCTAGAGGGCTCGGGTCTCCTCTCTCGGGAGAGGGCATTTCTACTGAGACATTAAGCCCAGGGGAGAGGAGCATGAAGAGCTGGAAGGAGGGCAAGAAGGCAGGTGCCGGGGAGGGCAGACGGCCAGACGTCAGGGGAGCCGGGACTGTGATCTTCCCCTTGGAGACCTCAGGCCCAGCTGCCCTCCAGGGCCAGCCCAAAAGGCCTCCCAGGCAGGCTCTGCTGGAGACACAGTGGGTGACCTCCTCCTGCCCGGCCCTCACTAGGAAGGCGTCATTGGTTGCAGAAGGGTGCCCTGAAGAGTATCTGCTCACCGCCATCATTCAAGGTCGCCGGGCGATGGGGCCGTGAATGGGGCCATTGGAAAGAAAATCGCTGTGGTCGATTACAGTGAGCAATGCTTCTGAGAAGCCTCCTTCCAGCTGTGTGCCTACCTGTTAGCCTTGTGTAGTTAGCTAATTCATGGGCATTCAGGGGTTTGAGCAATTATCAATACCTGGAGCTGTGCGGGCCCGGCATCTACCCACAAGGCTTTGTTGGTTCCCCCCACGCCTGCTCAGGTCAGCCTGGTGTGACAGCTGCACGCTACATGTTTGAAAGCAGCAACAAGGCTGTCTTTGTACGGCAGGGGTGGTGCTGGCAGCTCTGTGGCGGTGCCGGGCTGCAGAGTACGGCAGGGGTGGTGCTGGCAGCTCTGTGGCGGTGCCGGGCTGCTGGGTACGGCAGGGGTGGTGCTGGCAGCTCTGTGGCGGTGCCGGGCTGCAGGGTACGGCAGGGGTGGTGCTGGCAGCTCTGTGGCGGTGCCGGGCTGCTGGGTACGGCAGGGGTGGTGCTGGCAGCTCTGTGGCGGTGCCGGGCTGCTGGGTACGGCAGGGGTGGTGCTGGCAGCTCTGTGGCGGTGCCGGGCTGCAGGGTACGGCAGGGGTGGTGCTGGCAGCTCTGTGGCGGTGCCGGGCTGCTGGGTACGGCAGGGGTGGTGCTGGCAGCTCTGTGGCGGTGCCGGGCTGCTGGGTACGGCAGGGGTGGTGCTGGCAGCTCTGTGGCGGTGCTGGGCTGCTGGGTACGGCAGGGGTGGTGCTGGCAGCTCTGTGGCGGTGCTGGGCTGCTGGGTACGGCAGGGGTGGTGCTGGCAGCTCTGTGGCGGTGCTGGGCTGCTGGGCTGCTGGGCTGCAGAGCTGGGCTGGCGCCACTTGGGGCGGGTGCGGCCGGCATAGGAGAGGGCCGGGTGTGTGCTGAGGGGACCATTCCAGAATCCCCGTAGGCCCCGGGGCTGGCCTCAGAAGCTGTCACCACGGCTCTGCTTGGCTGCCCATGC
Source organism: Homo sapiens (assembly GCF_000001405.40). Classification (NCBI taxonomy): domain Eukaryota; kingdom Metazoa; phylum Chordata; class Mammalia; order Primates; family Hominidae; genus Homo; species Homo sapiens. Next base: position 2,950,221 of record NC_000001.11, read on the forward strand.
ATGCTGGCAGCCAAGGGGAAGGAGAGTCGCGCAGTTCCCGTTCCTGCCAGGCACCCCTCGACAGCACCCCCAAGGCCTATGAGCCTGGCAGCCCTTCCTCCTTTTTCCATGCCCTTCATTTCTTTTCTGGAGCCGACCCTCGCACCCGCAGTGTCAGGACATTGCTTCTCTGGCCCAGAGCCCTGTAGTAATCGAGAAGGCTGGGCTCCCAGTTTCCCCAAATGCAGGTGGGGAGGTGGGGCCGGAGCAGGGCCAGGGCAGAGGGTTTCTCTGGTGGGTTGAACAGCGTGCCTCAAAACGCATGTCCACCCAGAACCTCAGAGTGTAACCTTATTTGGAAATTGGGTCTTTGCAAATGTAACCGGTTAAGATGAGGTGTCATAGTGGATTAGGGTGGGCCCCAAATCCAATGACTGATGTCCTTCTGATGAGAGGACAGAGAAACTCACAGGAGGAATATGCACAGGTGACAAGGATGGCAGAGGTGGGGGTGACGTGGCTGCAAGCCAAGCAGTGCCAGGGACTGTCGGGGCCCCAGGAGCTGAAAGGGGCGATGAGGGGCCGCAGCTCCAAACTCAGATTCTTTCTGTATGTTTCGCATCTTGCATTCTCATGACTTTTGAGCTCTATGTAAACATGTACCTGTATTTTATTGCAAAAGAGAAGTAGACAATCTGCCTGAGTCTTAAAGCAGAACCAACTCTGTGTCTATCCTGTGATTCTCTTGTGCCTGGCCAGGGTTGGCCTGGGTCATAGGACAGTGTGACCAGCACAGACCCTGCTGCCACCTCAGGACAGAGTGGCTGCCTTCCCTGGCTTCGGCCCTGGCTCCCCAGCTTGCCTTCAAGATGCTGGGCACCCTGGCCAGCTCCATGAAGACGCTCATGGCAGAGGCTGGTGCATCGTCCAGCCCAGGAATTGCTGGTATTTTTTAGAAAGGAGGCAATAAGGAGCCTGTAAGACTGGCCACTTGGCCTCAAACCCTGTGTGGGTGGCCCTGCCTGCCCCTGCCTATTCTCTCGAGAGTGCTGTGGCAGGTGCTAGAGACACACAGGGTGCTGGGGAGGGGCCGGGCTACAGGCAGTTTCCACTGTGCCGCAGGACACAAGGGCTTCAGGATTTTGAAAACTTGGAGCCTGGACTAGTGGTCAGGCAGAGAGTATGAGTTTGTTCTCGGGAAGGAACAGAAGATGCAGAGAGGAGGAAGAGTAAGCAGGGTCGGTTGGGGGGGCATTTGCAGGGGGTGGCAGCAGCCATGGAGGGGCCCGTCTGAGCTCCCCCTGTGTTCCGAGCTTGTTGTGTGGCCCTCAACATCCAAGAAGAACCTGGGGAGAGCATGCCCAGCAGCAGGCACCAGGCACTCCCACCATCCTCTTATCCAAGGGGGCTCCCGGCCACCCACTCCAGAGCCCTGGCTCTCATTATCTCTAAAGTGCATGGCCGTGCACTCCCACGGAGCCCAAGGGATTCCCCCAAATCTCAGTAAATGCCCTGCTTTGTTTGGGGCAATGCCTGAGGTTGGTTTTGATTTCATTCAAACCAGTGCCCCAATCTTCACTTTGAGGTAAACGGAGCCTTCCAAGATCTATTTTGGGTAACATCTGAGCTGAAAATGCTTCTGGGATGATAAAAGCCTCTTGGCGAGGCATTTAATGCCCTCTTCAAAGGCGGACTTGGAGTGGAAACAAGATCTGTGGCCCTGGACGGGACAGGCGGAAGGGGCAGGCATTGGTGTGTTCACAGGCCCTTAGCGAGAAGTGAGAAAGATGGGTCCCAGCAACGGCGCAGCTGGAATTCCAAAGCTGGGAGAAGTGGAGGGTCCAGAAGTGCCATCCGAGATTAGAAATGTTCCAAAGAAGCTGTGGGCAGCCGTGGGAAAAATGCTTGGCCGGCTCTCCCTTGTTCTTCCAAGCTGCCTGCTGCCGGCCTCCGCCAAGATCAAACCTGCCTGGACGGGAGTGGAGCACAGGCTGGGCGGAGTCCACCTTCAGGAGAGGCAAGGGGCTCAGAAATAAAAATAGCCCCATTCAGACACTCACTCCCTATGTGGAGGAAGAGCTCCTGGGCCCCACATTAAAGCTCACAGGACCCTTCCACTCCCTTCCACCCTCCCCAAGCATCTGGAATGTGCTCCATGGTCAAGAATGTCCAAAGGAATTGAGAGGGTGGCCGAGTCACACCCCCTATGGAGATCATCACTGGCCCCAGGGAAGCTAGGCTGGGGCTCTAGTGTCCAAGGTAACAGCCTGTGCTGCTGAGGGTGCTGGGATGGCATGGAGGGTGGTTGCTGCAGGAAATGAGCCAGGCTGGTCTGTAGCCCCAACAACGCCCAGGGTCGGTGCCACGCCTGGATAGAGACTGGGGCTCAGAGGAGAGGTGTTTTCCAGCCCAGAACCCCAGGAGGCAAGGCCTTGTCCACGAAGCCGTGATATTGTGAATGGGAAGAAAGGAGATGGGTTGGCAAAGCCGAGAGCACAGATGTTGGGAGTCGGCCCCACCCAAGTGCTTGGAGTGCAGCAGGCTTTCCCTTCTCTCTAACTCTTCCTCCCGGCTCTCCGTGCTCTGCCTGCACCTCTCCCCACTCTACACTTCTCCCCGCCTCCTTACTCTGCTCCCCTGACCCACCATCTCCTCTCTACCCTCTGCTTCTGTGCCTCTGCCTGCCTCCTCCCTCTCCCATTTCCAGCCCCTCTCTCTCTCTCTCTCTCCCTCTCTCAGTCTCCCCCTTCCCTCCATCTCTCTCTCTTCCTTGTAGCTATGATGCTCAGAGATTTGGTCAGACGGTATCTGTCAGCGATGAGGGAACATGATCAGGTGGCCCTGGTCAGTCAATAAAGCTGCTGCGGTAGCAGGCCAGATGGGCAGAGCTGGAGCTGCCCATAGGCAGACATGAGGCTCTCTGGCATTCACCGTTTCTTGGCATAGGAATCCTTTTGCAAACCCAGACACACAGCTGGATTCCACTCTGGTGCCAACCCCTGGCCACCCAACCCTTCCCAGTGGTTCCCAGGATGCCTGGACCTCAGTGGATCATCTTCCTTCATCATCTAGTCTCCTCCCGGCCATCTACAATGCTCTGGGCTGCACAACATTTGTACCCGTACCTTAAAAATAAAACATGGGCAAGGAAAAGGTTTCTGTGTACACCAATGACAGATTCGATGATTCAGACCAATCCTCCTACTGCGGACAACTAGGAAAGACAGGCAAAGCCAGCTTGAATTAGAGTGGACAAGGCAGTGATGACTCATAGAGGAATAAGATTCAAGAGAATATCAAAGCCCAGAGAAGGGAACCTAGCATTTATGATGACTTTTCACCAGGGGCTTCTACCAATTTCGGAAGATGGGGCTGGGAGACTCATCATCTCAATGCCTGACATTGGATTAAAGTGATCTTGGATTGCTAGTGTTTCTATCTAGTAACATTTAGTAACTATTTAGTAGAAATTATTTAGTAACAAGTTTCTAACTAGTTTTCTCCCAGAAACAAACATAAATTCTCTAGAGGAAGAAAACTTCACTCTTAGGCTTATATTTCCTTTTTGTAGTTTTAAAAGAAAAGTAACTGGTACTCAACCAAAAATAACTAGGTATACAAGGAGATAAGACAGTGTAAATGAAAACCAGGAAAAAATAGGAAATATAAACAGGCCTACAGGAACCCCAAATATTGGACTTATCAGACATAGAAATGAAAACATCTGTGCTTATTCAAGGAAATAATGCAAATGAGTTAGAATTTCAACAGAAAACTGGAAACTATAAAAAGAGGAACCAAATTAAAAAATCAAGAACTGAAAAATTTAATAATCAGAATTAGGAACTTAGTGGATAGGGTGAACAAAACAAATAAGACACAGATGGAGAGATATGCACAGAAAGGGACCCACAGGAAGCTGTGAGGATGAGGCAGGGACTGGCCAAGAATCACCACGATGGGCGGCTTGAAGCAGCAACTTGAGTTGCTATGATTTTTCTAAAACTGCATAACACATCTAACCACAGATCTAAGAAGTTCTACAAACCCCAAACAGGTCTATGAAAGTTAGGGCTGTGAATATGAGGTGGCCTACAGAAAGATGGAGGGAGTAATCATCAGGGTGAGGACCATCTCCTACCCAAGTTCACTGGGCAAATGCTGTCTTTCTCATATCTATACCCATCTCTGTCTTTCCTATCTCTACCTTTCCTGGGCCTTCATAGAAAACTGCTCAAAACCAGAGAACAAGAGAAATTCTAAAAACAACCAAAAAGTGTAAGACCCATTACTTTCAAAAAAGCTTCAACTAGACAGAAAGCTAGGTAATAGACACAACTGAAGCCCAAAGACAATGAAATGATGACTTAAATTTTTGAAATAAAGTAACTGCATTAGTCCATTCTCATGCTGATATAAAGAACTGCCTGAGAATGGATAATTTATAAAGGAAAGAGGTTTAGTTGACTCAGTTCCTCAGGACTGGAGAGGCCTCAGGAAACTTACAATCATGGTGAAAGTGGAAGCAAACACGTCCTGTTTCTCATGGGAGCAGGAAGAAAAAGAATGAGTGCCGAGCAAAGGGGAAGCCCTTTATAAAACCATCCGATCTCATGAGAACTCACTCACTATCATAAGAACAGCAGCATGCAGGTAACCGGCCCAATGATTCAGCTACCTCCCACTGGGTCCCTCCCACAACATATAGGGATTATGGGAACTACAATTCAAGAGAGATTTTGTGGGGACACAGCCAAACCATATAATTCCGCCCCTGGCCCCTCCCAAATCTCATGTCCTCACACTTTGAAACACAATCATGCCTTTCCAAGAGTCCCCGAAAGTCTTAACTAATTCCAGCATTAACCCAAAAGTCCAAGCCCAAAGTCTCATCTGAGACAAGGCAAGGCCCTTTCATCTATGTGCCTGTAAAATCAAAAGCAAGTTAGTTACTTCCTAGATGCAATGGAGGTACAGGCTTTGGGCAAATACACAGGTTCCACATGGGAGAAATTGGCCAAAACAAAGGCCCCATGCAAGTCCAAAATCCAACAAGGCAGTAATTAAATCTTAAGGCTCTGAAATAATCTCCTTTGAATCCATGTCTCACATCCAGGTCACACTTATGCAAGAGGTGGGCCTCCATGGCCTTGGGTAGCTCCACCACTGTTGCTTTGCAGGGTACAGCCCCCCACCAGCTGCTTTCATGGGTTGGCGTTGAGTGTCTGAGACTTTTCCAGGTGCACAGTGCAAGCTGTCAGTGGATCTACCATTCTGGGGTCTGGAGGACCATGGCCCTCTTCTCACAGCTCCACTAGGCAGTGCCCCAGTGGGGACTCTGTGCGGGAGACTCCAACCCCACATTTGTCTTCTGCACTGCCCTAGCAGAGGTTCTCTATGAGGGCCCCACCCCTGCAGCAAACTTCTTTCTGGACATCCAGGAGTTTCCATACATCCTTTGAAACCTGGGCAGAGGTTCCCAAACCTCAGTTCTTGACTTCTGTGCACCTGTAGGCTCAACACCACATGGAAGGTGCCAAGGCTTGGTGCTTGCACCCTCTGAAGCCATGGCCTGAGCTGTACCTTGGCCCTTTTTAGAAATGGCTTGAGTGGCTGGGACACAGGGCACCAAGTCCCAAGGCTGCATACAGCAGTAGGGCCCTGGGCCCAGCCCAGGAAACCATTTTTCCCTCCTAGGCCTCTGGGCCTGCCACAAAATTCTCTGAAGTGCCCTGGAGATATTTTCCTCATTGTCTTAGTGATTAACATTTGGCTCTTTGTTACTTATGCAAATTTCTGAGCTGGCTTGAATTTCTTCCCAGAAAATGGTGTTTTTTTTTTCTATCACATCATTGGGCTGCAAGTTTTCCAAACTTTTATGCTCTGTCGCCTCTTGAATGCTTTGCTGCTTCAAAGTTTCTTCCACCAGATACACTAAATCATCTCTCTCAATTTCAAAGTTCCCCAGATCTCTAGGGCAGGGACAATATGGTGCCAGTCTCTTTGCTAAAGCATAGCAAGAATCACCTTTATTCCAGTCCCCAACAAGTTCCTTATCTCCATCTGAGACCACCTCAGCCTGGACTTCATTGTCTATATTACTAACAGTATTTTGGTCAAAGCCATTCAATAAGTCTTTAGGACGTTCCAAACTTTCCCACATTTTCCTGTCTTCTGAGCCCTCCAAGTCTCTAGGAGGTTTCAAACTTTCCCACATTTTCCTGTCTTCTTCTGAGCCCTCCAAACTGTTTCAACCTCTGCCTGTTACCCAGTTCCAAAGTCACTTCCACATTTTTGGACATCTTTATAACAGCACCCACTCTTGTACTAATTTACTGTATTAGTCTGTTCTCATGCTGCTATAAAGAAACTACCTGAGACTGGGTAATTTATAAAGGAAAGAGGTTTAATTGACTCACAGTTCTGCAGGGCTGGGGAGGCCTCAGGAAACTTATAATCATGACAGAAGGGGAAACAAACACATCCTTCTCATGGTGGCAGGAAGGGGAAGAATGAGAGCTGAGCAAAAGGGGAAGCCCTTTATAAAGCCATCAGATCTTGTGAGAACTCGCTATCATGAGAACAGCAGCATGGGGGTAACTGCCCCCATGATGTAATCACTTCCCACTGGGTCCCTCTCACAACTTGTGGGGATTACAGGAACTACAACTCAAGATGAGATGTGGGTGGGGACACAGCCAAACTGTATCAGTAACTATCAATCTAGAATTCTATAGACAGCAAAAGCATATTTCAAAAAAAGGTCAGAAAAAGACATTTCTAACCAAACAAAATCTGAGAAGTTGTGAGCAGCAGATGCTCACTAAATAGGAAACATTGAAAGGTTCAATAGAAAGAAAAAGACCTTCATATGGAAAGTCAAAGATCCAGGAAGGAATAAAGAGCACCACAAATGGAAAATATGTGGTTCTGTTTATATGAGTACCGACTGTATAAACAAAAGTAACAAACATATACAATTAAGATATGTAATATCAATGACATAAAAGTTGGAGAAATAAAATGGAATTAAGGTATTCTAAAATCTTTGCATTGTCTCAGAAGAGAGCAAAATTATCAAGTAATATTATATTTTGATAAGGCAAGAACGCCTGCTGTAATCTCTTGGGTAACCTCTAAACAAATAAAAATGACTAATGTTTATATAAATAATGGAGGGTGGAGTAATTTTAAAATGGAATCATTCAAATGAAGCAAGAAAAGAGATTAAAAGGAACACAGATTATTCAGTCCAAATAGAAAAATATATTTAAGCCCAAGTATATAATTAATTACATTAAATATAAATGGGTTAAATCATCTGATTAAAAGATAAAAGTTATCATGCTTAATTAAAAATAAAACCCAAATATATTTTGCTTATAAAAGCTACATGAACAAAATTCAAGTATATATTGTTTATAAAAGTGACAATCTGAATATAAGAATCCAGACAAATTGAAATAAAAGTTTGAAAAAAGATGTGCTAGGAAAGACTGACATTACAAAGCTGTAGTAGCTACAATGAGATCAGATAAACTCTAAGGCAAAAAGCATTACCAGAGAGAAAGATGAAAAGATTGGATTAACATTCTTAAAATTGATGAATGTAATTAAGCACATACATAGAATAGAGTAGAAAAGCATATGACATTATCAACAGATTCAGGAAAAGCACTTGATGATACTTAACATCAATTCATAAACTAGGAATGGATGGCAGCTTCCTTAATCTGACAAAGTAAATAAACAAAACTTATAACAAATATCAACCATGATGGTGAATTGTTGAAAGCTCTCTGAGATTGGAAACAAGACAAGAATGCCTACTACTATAAATTCCATTCAACCCTGGACTAGAGATCCTGGCCAGTGCAATAAGGCAAGAAAAAGTAACAAAAGTTATAACTATTAGAAATATTATTGTCATAATTTGCAGATGATATGATTAGGTAACTAAAAAACCAAAAAGAGCCTGCAGATCTATTATTAAAATAATAAGATTATTAATTATATCTCTCCTTTGTTTGAGACAGAATCTCACTCTGTTGCCCAGGCTGGAGTGCAGTGGTGTGATCTCAGCTTACAGTAATCTCTGCCTCTGGGGTTCAAGTGATTCTCCCACCTCAGCCTCCTGAGTAGCTGGGATTACAGGTGTGTGCCACCATGCCCAGCTAATTTTTGTATTTTTGTAGAGATCTGGTTTTGCCATGTTGGCCAGGTTGGTCTTGAACTCCTGACCTCAGGTAATCCACCTGCCTCAGCCTCCCAAAGTGCTAGGATTACAGGCATGAGCCACCATGACTGGCCCTGCAAATATTTCTCTATATAGCAACAAACTTAAAAAATTTTAATCATTTATAGTAGCATCAAAAATATCAAATGCCGAGTAATGAATCTTGTGAAAGGCAGGCAAAACCTCATCACAGAAAAATAGAGACCTTCAGAGACATTAGAGAAAACAGAAGTAAATCAAGGAATACCATATTTATAGATTGAAAAAACCAATTAGGTCAAGTTGTCAATCCTTTACAGATTGATTTGTAGCGTTAATACAATCCTAATCAAAATCCTGTATGGTTTTCCATGAAAACTTACAGGCTAATTTTTAAAGTTATATGAAAAATCAATGCATTTGGAGGAGTCAATTCATTCTTGAAGAACCAAAAGGGAGTTTGTACTCCACAGACAGAAATGAGTCTTACACATCTGAAGGCATTAAGGCAGTTGGTATTGGCTCCAGGATAGACACATGGACAAAGGTCAGAGCAGAGAAGCAATCACCAAAGTGTGGACTTTTGACGTATGGCACAGCCCTGGGCCCTGGGCCCTGCTGGCGAAAGAGGCCTCTGTTTGGATCAGAGCTTGGGTCCCAAGGCTGCATTTGATGGTGCAGTGTCATGCTATTCCCTGTTGATCCTGAGGCAACCTTGTGGGCTTGAACCCACTGGGAAGAGGCACAAATGGCACTATTGGCAGCCTGTGGGGAGGGAATTAGAAGTGGCTGAATTAGAAGTGGCACCTCTGCCAGACCCTTGGCTGCCGTCTGCCTGTCTCTGGAGAGGGCTGCTATAAATGGATGCATCTCTGATGATGGGGATGTGGGGATGCATCTCTGATGATGGGGTGCACCTCCCTAGAGTTGGGCCTGGCTGAGAGGTTTGGGGATGGTGTGCTCCTCCTCCATGGGAGTGCTGGACCACTTGGGTAAATGGTCAAGCAGAGTCCACAGACAGCAGCACAGGGCAAGTCTGCTGGGAAGTGCCCTCATGGCCACCTTCTGCACCATCCCAAGTGCAATTCGAGCCATCCCTGGTCAAGAGGTGGTCACTGGTTGGGCAGAGATGCTGGGTTGAGAAGGATGCTGGGTTCCGGGGACTGAAGGCCAAATTGATCACTGACTTCTGACATGGGTGAGGGGCAAGCAGGGGTGGCTCCTGTGTCCTGAACAGCCAGCCTGCCATAGCAGCACCCAGGATGAGGAGGAAGAGCCACGTACGTGCCAGTGTCCGTGCAAATGACCAAGGGGTAGTGTGAAGGGCTCATGAGGCAGCTGGCAGGGAGTACATCCTAGAAGGTATTCGCTTTAGAAACATCATGGTAACTTGCTGCCCTTTAGCTCTCTTTTTCTACTCTAATGCCAGAGAAAAGAGATGCTTGGGAGAAAGAGATGCAACCTTGCCTAACAAGAAATTCCAAAAGTGTCAGATAACATGGGACAGCTTTCTTCTGCCAGGAAGGTCAAAATGTGGACTGAAGCTCCAGCCTGAACACCCATGCACGTGTGCGGAGTGCCCCGCCTGCCCCACGACTGGAGTGAAGCCTGGGACCTGCCCCACGACTGGAGTGAAGCCTCGGACCTGCCCCGCGACTGGAGTGAAGCCTCGGACCTGCCCCGCGACTGGAGTGAAGCCTGGGACCTGCCCCGCGACTGGAGTGAAGCCTGGGACCTGCCCCGCGACTGGAGTGAAGCCTGGGACCTGCCCCGCGACTGGAGTGAAGCCTCAGACCTGCCCCGCGACTGGAGTGAAGCCGTGGGGACCGCCTTCCTCTCTAGGATGCTCAGGGCAGGTGAGGCCAGCTGCCAAAAGACACCTGGTTGGGTGAGCCCTGGCCTACTTAAAAGGGGTGGGAGGTACATTTTCATTCATTAGCTTTTTACTTTAAATAACAAACACCAGATGGGACATTTTATTAGGTATCATTGAACAAAATATATTTAGTTAGCCAAAGTATTCAGCCAAAAACATCAAGAAACATGATTAAATTAAAAATTACAACTGTTAGGTAGGTGAACCTTTGAGGAGGGTGTCCCATTCTCTAAGGCTAGCTCTTCTGGGACAACTGCACAGAGGCCAAGGCTGTCCCTTCTGGTCTGACCACACAGAGGCCAACGCTAGCCCTTCTGGTCTGATCACACAGAGGCCAAGGCTAGCCCTTCTATCTGACTACACAGAGGTCAAGGCTAGCCCTTCTGATCTGATCACGCAGAAGTCAAGGCTAGCCCTTCTGGTCTGATCACACAGAGGCCAAGGCTAGCCCTTCTATCTGACCACAGAGAGGCCAAGGTTGGCCCTTCTGGTCTGATCACACAGAGGACAAGGCTAGCCTTTCTGATGTGATCACACAGAAGTCAAGGTTAGCCCTTCTGGTCTGACCACACAGAGGCCAAGGCTAGCCCTTATGGTCTGACCACACAGAGGCCAAGGCTATCCCCTCTGGGAGTTCCCACAGCCTCCCCTGGTGACAGTATTTGGCCAGCCATCCCTGGCCTGTGCATGGAGGAAGCCTGTGCATGCTGGCACACAGGAGAGGGTGCCATGGATTGGGCAGGCATCCTTCCCCCTGTGCTACGGTGGATGCAGAGCAGGCAACATCAGTAACCACTGTCCCTGGCAGGGTGGCCTTGGGCAGATCAGGCATTTCTGTGGCGAAACCTGGGGTGGAGGGAGGAATCGTGCTGGCCTCTGGAATCGTTGCAAGCAGCAGAGTATATGCCATGGCCGGCTTGTCACTATGAGCCAAATGAACATGACTTCCCCATCCTCACTGGTTGCCCCACCAGCTGGGTCTCCCAGATGCTGGTTCCCACCTCTCTCCAAGGCAGGAGGTGTCCCCATCAAGAAGGAAGATGGCCTGGAGCCGAGCCGTGGGGAGCAGGCCTTCCGTTCCTCCTGAATTCTCCTCTCCTGAGTGGCACATGCTGGTGTGGGCACTGGTTTTGTGGCTTCCTGAGCAGACTCTGGGGTCTGCAGAGAGGCCAGGAGCCTTGGGTTGGATTCCCAACTCCACACCCTCCTCAACCCCAGAACAAAGTGTGGATGAGAAGACAGAGCAAGGAAACATTCAGAAATCTGCCTCGGTCCTTCTTTGAATTCTCAGCTTTCTGTGGCAGAATAAGGAGAAAGAAGGAAACATCAGGTGGGGGAAAGAAGGGGCTAGTGGCACCTGGGGTCTCGTGCCAGCTCTCACCTGGGGAGATGCCTGGGGATCTCCCATCCTGTGGGCCCTCCTCCAAGGCGTCCCTGTTTGGTATACACGATGTTCCCAGGGAACTCCGACTTCTCCCAACGCTTTGCAAACATAAGCCTGGTTTTGTAGGAGCACAAAGACAGAATGCCTAGGCACTGTGAAGAGCTTACCCGGGAGCTTCCTCTCCTATGGGCCCTGGCCTCTGTCTCCTGAGCCGGCGATTCAGGCCTGGTATGGCTGTCTTCACTCCTGGCCCCTCCATCCCGGGGAACCAGCGGCCTCTGCTCTGTGGGACGCTAAGCCTCGCCTCCACTTTCTCTCTTCGATCACGGCCGTTTCATCTCAAATTGCCACCAAGGACTCTCTGAGCTGGGAAGGCCAGGCTTCTGTGCCTCGGTGTGCAGGGGTGTGTTTATTCCTTCCAAGTAACTGCATTGGCAAAAAATGGAAATAATCAATGGGGAACGATGACCGGCATTTAGAGGCTGTTCATGACTAGAGCGACTGGTACAGGAGCACCCGCCTCCCCAGACAGCAGCCTGGGCGCTTCTTCTCTGCAGGACTGTGTGTGCTGTGCGGTCCTGGAGGCCTGGCCGGGTTTGCTCCCTGGCAGTGAAAGGCAGAAGCAGGTAGATGCTCTGAGACCTCCAACTCCCTCTGGGGGCAGAGCCGACCTCTCTGCAAGCTTCTGTGGGATGGACTAAGCTGTGTCTCCTCCCAAATTGATCCGTTAAAGTCCCAGCTCCCAAGACCTCCTCACGTGGCTATATTTGGAGATGAGCTCTTTAAGGAGGTAAATCAATGAGAATGAGACCATTTGGGTGAGCCCTCATCCAACGTGACTTAGTGTCCCTAGAAGAAGAGGTGATTAGGACACAGACACGCTTTCTGCACACCCAGGAGAGAGGCCTCAGAACGAACCCACCCTGCCCACAACTTGACCTTGGATTTCCAGCCTCTGGGACTGTGAGACAATAGAGATCTGCAGTTCCAGCCCCCAGAGTCTGCGGTACCTTTGAAGGACTTTCAAACTTCCAGGGCTGGACCAGCCAGAAGGTGTCCTGGTGCGGAGCCTCCAGCACAGCTGCTGAGAGGGCGCTGGGAGGGGGCAGGAGGCAATTACATCGTGTAAATGGGACCCCAGACATGTGGGTGTCACTCTCTGGTCAAGCAAATATTTGCTCATTGCTTTCTAAAGGTGAACAACATAAACATAGCTCCTAGCCTCGAAGAGCCTCCGTGCTATTAAGGAAATTAATAGTCACTTAGAGAAACTGATGAGAACATATGTGATCGTTTGGATTGTTGCTCGGCAAATATTGCCCCCTCCTCCCCTCGCTGTGAGGTGGGGTGACTTCCCCGTTGTGGACTTTGGGCTGGGCCTTGCAATTTCTCTGGCCAAGGGATGTTGGCCTCCTGCCTGCTGAGGACATGCCCTGAAGAACGTGTGCCCGGGGTCCACCATTGTCCCGCAGCCCAGGCCCCAGAATTCACAGACCTGCGGCAGCCGTGAGCCCAATCATAGCCTCAAGCAGGGCCCACCGCTGGCCCGCGAGGGTGAGGAGCAGGGCCTATGGCTGGGAGGCACTGACCTGGGGGAGCTTTGTTAGGCGCCATTGCTGAAGAAACCCCACACACAAATGATGTTCATCTCAGCCAGGAAAGTAGAAATGTGAGGGGAATATGACTACAGTCTATCAAATCCTGAAAGTTGCTTGTAGAATGAGCACACAAGGGGCCAGCCGTGGTGGCTCATGCCTGAAATCCCAGTGCTTTTGGAGGCCAAGGCAAGAGGATCACATAAGCCCAGGAGTTTGAGACCAGCCTGGGCAACATAGTGAGACCCCATTGCTACAAAAAATACAAAAATTAGCCAGGTGTGGAGGCGCGGACCTATGGTCCCAGCTACTCAGGAGGCTGAGATGGGAGGATTGATTGAGGCCAGGAGTCTGAGGCTGCAATCTCCACTCCAGCCTGGATGGCAGAGCAAGACCCTGTCTCTAGAAAAAAAGACAAAAAAAAAGCATGAGTACACATTCATTCATCAGATAGTGGATGGTGGTATATTGGGGGAAGAAGGGAGACAGCAAATGACAGCCTGCAGACCTAAGCAAGCCTGCCACTTGTTTTTGAATGGCCCATGAGCTAAAAATGGCTTTTACATTTTTTAGTGGTTGAAAAAGAAAATCAAAGGAAGAATAATATTTTGCGACACATGAACTTGATATGAAATTCAAATGTCAATGTCTATAAATAAAGCTGTATTGGAATGCAGCCACACGCCCATTTGTTCTGCGTTATCCATGTCTGCTTTCAGGTTCTAGCGTCAGAGTTTAGTGGTTCAGGCCCATGCAACCTCAACTGTTTACCTTCTGGACCTGCCTAGTAAAAGCCCACTGATCTCTGAAGAAGATACAGTCTTAGGGCAAAAAACAAAAGGGGTCAGCTCACATAATGTGGAGCACAGCTGCACTGTGATGCTGGGGCAAAGTGAAACAGGCTTAGGGGCATATTTCACAAACTTGCTCAGGCAGCCAGCGTTTGATGCCTCCTACATGCCCAGGTCTGTGAAAGCCCGCCTGCCCCAGCATAAGGAAGCAGAAGATTCTACCCTGTGCTTATTTGCAGGGAAGGATCCCTTTCCATAACCTTGACTTCAGGAGCCAAGTCCTTCCTGGTTACCCACTCTGTTCCTTCCTTCCTTCATGTCCTCATGACTCACCCATTCCCTGAATACCTTCCATGCACGGTGTCTTGTGCTGAACTTGAAGATACAACATTGAGTAAAATGGTCATCCATGTATCCACCCATCCATCAATATTCTCATTCATCCATCCATCCACCCATCCACCACTCTTCCCATCCATCCACCCATCCATCCATCCATCCATCCATCCATCCATCCATCTTCCCATCCATCCATCCATCCACACACTCATCTTTTCAGTCATCCATCTCTCTACCAACCCATCTATTTTTCTATCTACTCACAATTCATTCATCCATTCACCCATCCATGCATTCATCTATCTATTCATCCTACCATTCATCCGTGCATCCATCCATCCACCCACTATACACCTACATCTGTCCTACTGTCTATCCAACCATCCATCCATCCATCCATCCATCCATCCATCCACTCTTCCATGTATCCACCCAATTACCAATCAGTCTTTCCAACCACTCATCAATCTTTCTATTCCCCGTCCATCTATTCACTCACCCACATACTCGTCTTTCCGTCTATCCATTTATCTATCCACCTACCCATTCATCACAATTCATCCATCCATCCTACCATCCCTCTACTCATCTATTCATCCAAATCCATCCATACTACCATCTACTACTCATCCATCCATCCATCCACTCATCCGTCCATCCACCCACCATCCATCCATCTTACTACTATTCATCTATCCATCCATCCATCCATCCACTCATCCATCCTTCCACCCACCATCCATCCATCTTACAACTACTACTCTTCTATCCATCCACCCATCCATCCATCCATCCACTCATCCATCCATCCACCCACCATCCATCCATCTTACCATCTACTACTCATCTATCCATCCATCCATCCATCCACCCACCATCCATCCATCTTACCATCTGCTACTCACCTATCCACCCATTCATTCACTCATCCATCCACCCACCACCATCCATCTTACAAAATACTACTCATCTATTCATCCATCCATCCATCCATCCACTCATCCATCCATCCAACCACCATCCATCCTTCTTATCATCTACTACTCATCTATCCATCCATTCATCCATTCATTCATCCACCCACCCACCCATCTTTCCACACATTCATTCAATGACTATTTCCCAAGTGGCCATTTGCTAAGTACTCTGTCTGTTCAGAGATATGGTGGTGAACAGACAAGTCTGTGCCTTTGTGGAGTCTACCGTCTTGTGGGAACAGGGAAAGCTTAATCTATCATTACAAACCATGAGGGAAAAAGTCAAGAAAATAAGTTGTCCTGGAGGTTGCAATGGGAAGAGGACTTTCTGAGAGGGGGAAGTTAAGCCAAGACCTGTAGTTGACAAGTAAAATGACATTTGAAGGGTGAAACTCCCAAGGCTGGACTAAGCTTGCCCCTGGGGTTGGGGCCTTGGAAAGGGCCACAGCCAGGATGGGCCCTGGAAAGCAGAGTGGAGTCTCATGTTCACAACACATCATGATAGTGCCTTGTGCTCGAAGTCTCCATGGAAGGACAGACCCAGCACCTCCAGGGAGTGCAGGGTGTTGGGAGATGCTCCTTGGGAGATTTTATGGATCGTCTGTGCTGGGTGGAACAGGGCACCTCAAGATTCATGTCCACTGGAGCCTGCGAATGTGACCTTATTTGGAAATTGCGTCTTTGTTGATGTGATCAAGTGAAGATGAGGTCACACTGGATGAGGGTGGATCCCAAACCTAATGACTGGTGTCCTTAAAAGAAGAGGAAAATTCAGACACACAGAGGAGACACAGAGGAGAGGCTCTGTGAAGAGGAGGCAGAAATTGGAGCCATGCGTCTACAAGTCAAGCATTGCTGGAGCCACAGAAGCTGGAAGAGGAGAAGCGTCCTCCCCTAAGGGCTCTGGAGGGACCACAGCCCTGCTCACACCTTGGTTGTGTACTTTTGGCCTCCAGAACTGTGAAAGAATAAAATTCTATTGTGTGGAGAAGTTTAGCGCTCCATTTATGCTAACTGTTAGGGTAGCCCAGGAGGCCAGCACTTCACCCCCAGCTGGGCCCACCTCTCTGTCTCGCAGCCGCAGGGCTCCTGGCTGGCACGATCCTTGCTGCATGCCCAGGACACAGCAGCTTCAGGGCAAGGCTGGCATTTTCGTTCACTGCCCATCCCACCTTAGGCCTGAACCACAGCTCTGGGGGGGAGCCCGGCACCTGACCTGGCACGCACAGTAGTCACTTTAGAATGTACAGCTGGTTACTTCATTTTTTGCAAAACAACCATGGCTCTCCCTCCAGCCCATTATCCATCTTGAGCCCTGTGGCTTCCACTCTCACAGCTCACAGCCAGGGAGGCCTCCAAGCCGGCCGCCACGCGTTCTGACCCAGCCAGGGAGGTCTCCAAGCTGGCTGCCACGCGTCCTGACCAGCTGGTGCAGCCCTGATGAGGGTGGGGTCTCCTTTATCGCCTATAAAAATGAGAAATCTCTAAACAAAGAAACTCCACCCACTTTGTAGCTGAGACTTGGGTAGAATTCAGTTTCCCACTCAATGGGAAATGATTTATAAGAGCTGTGGAGGCCAAAGAGGTTGGCCTGGAAAGCAGGCTAGACAAAATAATTTATCAGAAAATTCCCAGTGACCGTCTGTAATGGTTAGAATGCAGCGTGGTGAGGGCCTTTCCCAGCCGGGTCAGGCACTGGGGAGTTGGGGGGTGGGGTGCTGCCTTGGCAGCCGGTGCCTGGTCGTGGCTGGGTTCAGAGCCGAGCGGATGGGCAGACACACTGTGTCATTGTCACAGAGGTGCTGCTGCCTCTGCCGCCCAGAAGCATCTTCCCTGGGAGGACCTGGCGCTCCCAACCAAACACGTTCTGGGTGAAATTGGAGCTCATTGGTCCCACTTCTCAGGGCCCAGTGTACCGTGGGCTCTGGGAGGCAAGGAGCCCTGGAGGACGGTGAGAAGAATGCTGAGTTAACAAACCAAGCAAGTGGCCTTCCTCGTGGGGAGCCAGGGAAGCCTTGAGTGGCGCTTGGGGCAAGTCCAGCTGTATCCATGGGGCAGCGGGGCCCTCGGGTGCTGGACGCCCAGGGAGCCCCAGCCTCTCCCACCCAGGCTGTAACAGACACATGGCACGGGGGCTCGCACCATGCTCCCCAAGCGGTCGCACCCCCCACCAGCCGAGTGACTGAGGCTGGAGCACGGGACCTGCGTCCGGCCAGCGGCTGCACAGGGTGACTGTCTCTGGATATGGGAGCTGCAGCCTTGTTCTCGGGCCCTGTGCACTGACCCAGGGCATGGTCAGCTCAGTCTCCTGCCCTCTCCTGCCTAAAAGGAGCCCAGACATCCACTGAACTCAGTGGAAGAGCAAGGTCAAGTTACAGAGCCTCCCGAGAGTCCAGCCTGCTCTCCCATTTCGGGTGAAAGCAGTCCCAGCTACTCGGGAGGCTGAGGTGGGAGGATCACCTGAGCCTGGGGAGGTGGAGGCTGCAGTGAGCTGTGACTGTGTCACTGCACTCCAGCATGGAGGATGAAGTGAAATCTTGTCTCAAAAAATAAAAAAAGCTCAGTTCGGTTGAGTGCGGTTGGGTTTGAGCAGCCTGAAATCCCCAGAATCGGTGATTCCCTGAGCAGGGAGTGGCACAAGGTGAAGCATCCCTGGCCTTGGACGCATCAACACTGCATGGGGCGAGTGGACACTGGCCACACCCGTGGCACCCATGCAGGGCTGGTGGACACAGGAGGCTCCCAAACCCATGCTGCTACTGTTTCCAGGGCGGTGTGCCCACCTCATCACCGGAGTCAGTGAATATATCACTCGGGTCACACTCTGTCCTCTGAAATGAATGCTGATTTGGAAACCACTCCCCCAATAAGACGGGTGAAAGTTTCCATTTGGAAAAGAGGTTTTTTGTTTTTTTTTCTTGGCAGGAGCCACTTTCTCTGAGCACGAAGAGATGGCCGTGTGGTTCTTATCTTTGAACCCCATGTACTTAACGCTTATTAAAATCAATACCATCCATTAGCCAGCAACATTTCCATGTTTAATCATCTATTGATATACGGCCTGTGCTTTTATAGGACTAAACAAATTTCCGCTCTCTGTGCCCCTCTGCAGCCTGGGGGCCGGCGGGTGCGCGGCTGCGGGACGTAAATGTTTATTTACTGCCTGCTTCCTGATTGAGAACATACCTGGTCCGTGGCTTCAGATGGCTTTTACACGGGGGACTTACGGCCACTTCCTGTTCTCCAGACACACAACACTGTTTTTAAGGAGCGTAATGAATGCACGGTATTGTGGACGCAATCGCCGCCCTGGCCCAGCCCGAGCGAGGGCAGAGCCGGATCGCAGGGCTTGTTATTGACTTATTCATGGGCTGTTCTGGGGGGCAGGGTGCGCTTGGCCCAGCTGCGGAGCTGCCGACTCCTCTCTGCTGCACTCTCCCAGGCCTCGCCAGGCCCCAGTCTCGTGAGCGTTCATCTGGGAAAGCAGGGCAGGACCGAAGTGACCTCAGAGAAGCTGTGGGTGCCCCTTCTGCCTGCGTGTCCATGTTCCCGAGGCCCACCAGCCTCCTGCCTCCTTTCCACTCCCCTTCCCCTCCCCTGGGCTGTGGCTGTGATTCCTTTGAGCTGCTTTGCTGATCAAGGGGGCAGAGCCGCAACTGTTTACAGACAGAGCTTTAGAGCCCTGCACAGGGCTGGGTATGGGGAGCCTGAGACCACCCCTCTCTGCCCCTCCCAGGCATGGTGAAGAAGGGGCTCACGGGACCCTGCGGTCTGGGTGGCACCTGGGGAGGCTGCTGCGGTCCTGGCCTAGGGTGGCCGGTCTGGATGGATGGAGGAAGGTCTGTGGCTAGGGCCTGAGAACCAGAGGGACAGAGCCTCCCCAGCCACCAGTGCCTGCTTCACCCTGGGCCTTCCAGCTGCAAATCTTGCTTATCCGGAAGTTTCCTCTGGGGGGACTAGTTCCTGCCTTCCTCATCTTATACACACCATATCTGCTGGGAGAGTGTCCCTGGCAGGGCCAAGCAGGGACTCAGATGGCCGGGAAGGTTGCTTGGGGCTGGGGACTCAGCAGACACCTTGGGGAGGGGTGTGTGCCTCTCCAGAGTCCTGTGTCTCAACTTCAGAGAGAGCCACTCTTCCTGTGGGACACCTGGGCCTGGGCCTGGGCCTGGCCTGACGGGTCCCTTGACCGTAGGTGGTGCAACCCAGGTGACCCAGGCTGACTCCTGGGGCAGGGCTGTTGTCCCCTCAGCCACACTCACCATTAGGGGCTCAAGGCACCGAGCTGGGGGGAGTCCCAGGCCACAGCCAAGACACGGTTCCAAAGACTCTCAGGAATTTGGGGTGTCCCAGGGGCCTCCTGGGGGTGGGAGTGGAGTGAGGCACGGGATGGCCGTTTCGCGCCAACAGAATCAGCTTCGTCTCTGCCTTTTCTACTTTGGTTTAGTGGTTTAGTGGTTTGTGGGGAAAGAGCCCCGCTGCTAACATAAGGTGAAAGGCATCTGTCTGCCAAAATGAGGAATCCGAGGCCCAGAAAGAGGAGGCCCTGGCTGAGCTCGGTCGCCACAGCGGTGTGAACAGGTGCCCTGACTTTCAGTGCCTGGTGCCAGGCCCCCGCCCTCTGGCTGAGGGTGTCAGGGAGGGGCTCCGGCTGCAGAGACAGCCGTTATAATAGACGCCTCTCTGTGCACTGGGATGGCGGACTGGCCTGCCGGCGCACCACCGGCCACCCAGCGCAGGACACCAGGCCCTGTGAGCAGCAGCTGCTGTGGCCGTGGGTTAGACATGCGTCTGTGATCGGTGGCTTCATAAAACGCCTTCTAATGAAAGTAACACACAGCACAGGAGGGCGGCCCTGGGCGCGGGGCTGCGTCCCCGAGAAATGCTTGTTACTGTGGAATGAGGGACAGAGCAAATCCCCTGAATCGGGCAGAGCTGTCGTTAAATCCCTTAATGACGGCGGTGTTTTCTCTGGTGCGCCGAACAGTTCCTTATAAACCCCTTTGGCGTGGGAGGGGGGGTGATGGGGATGAGGGCAGGACAGAGCGGGGGCATCTGCAAATGGCCTTTCTGGGGGCTGAGACCTGGGGGCCCACTTTACCCTTCCCTGTCCTTGGCCCCTTCTCTGCAGTGGCTGGGCGGGCACCTGTGTTCTCCTGCCTGGAGTCTGGGCAGAAACGGGGCTGGCAGAGACGCAGCCTGCAGTCTTCAGACTGACCCTGTGGCCGGCCATTGGGTGACCTGGCCAAAGCGTGCTGAGCACTCGCCCTGTGCTGGGCGTGGGGCATGGGCCCGGGGACAATCCAGAGCCTCCTCTGGTGGCCCTCAACAGATGTCCATGGGGCTCAGTGTGAGGAAGGCTCAGAAAATACTCGAGGGCTGATAACAGCCGGGCCCTGGGTGGACATGGCTCCAATGCCCCACTTGGGAAGGGCTCGCCTGGAGTTTGGAGATCCAGTCTCTCCTGGGGCGTGGAGTTCCAGTCTCATGGGCAGCGGCCTCACCACGTTGTGGCCACACACCCAGCCAGTGATTCCCAGCCCTCCTCCCAGGACTTTGGCCCTTCCCATCTGAGGACCCGAGCCTTGATGGTCAGGGGCACTGGGTCCCTGAGGCCTGTGCCCCCCACCCTCATGGGGGCCTGGTCTCAGTGGCATTTTGGTTTTAGGGGCTTTGGCGAGTGGGAGACAGGAGGGTCCACGGCCAGGCTTTTGGCTTGGGAGCCAGAAGGCCGGGGCACCCAGAGGGTGACCTCAGGTGGACATGGCCTTCTCGACTCCCAGCATCCTTTCCTTTTCCTGAGACAGGCCCGGTGGCCCTCTGAGCAGGCACCCCTCTCTGTCCCCAGCCCCTCCTGTGGGGGCAGCTGACCCCACCCCCACCTCTGAGGCAGAGACCTGGACCAGGCGGAAGGGATGGTCCCTGTGGTTCCCCGGCTGGCCAACGAGATCCGTCAGGCCTTTTGATGCCTTTTGAGGCCTGAATCCTGGCAGGAGGTCGGGGCTGAGGCCAGCCACCTTCTTGCTATCATTGGAGCTGAGATGGAAGCCAAGACAGCAAAGGAGGAGGGGAGAGCAGCGGCCCCTCATGGCTTCCTGGAGTCCTAGGGCATCCATCCATGCCCTGCCTCCTCCCCGCCTGGGTACACTGGCACAGACTAGCTTAAGACAGTTTGGGTTGGAGTTTCTGTCACTTGCGATCCCCACAGTCCTAGCAGGTGCACTGTCTGAGCCTCAGCTCCCACCTTTCACGCTTGGGGAAGAGGCCTTTCCTGGATGGGCACCACCAAGGGATGGGCCGGCCTAGTGCAGGTCTGGCACTGTCCCTGGGGTGGACAAGCCCTGCTGACACTGGCCCCCTGGGGGCTGGGCTGAGGCTGCCCCTGAGAAGGAGCCTCCCGAGCACTGGAGCCCCAGGCCGTCCCTGGGCCCTGGCGGTTCAGGTGTTGACTGGTTCTGTCCGGGGGTAGCCCTGGCCTTGCCGGGAGGCAGCGAGGCCACAGCTTAGGGGTTGAGCGAGGTGTCCAGGGCTGAATCCTGGATGGGCTGGACACCAGCACCCAGCCCTCCCACCACAAAGTGGTGGCTGACTTGACCTTGGAGGGTGGCAGCCACCTGCCAGGGCCCAGGAAGGTGCTGCCCACGGGGAGCCCTCCTCCTTCTCTGGCGGGGGGGGGGGGGGTGTTGGGGGTCTCTGGCTACTGAAGTCCTTGTTTTTCACACCTGTGTGGTGGATCCCCCAGCACAGGGGACCAGGGCTCCTCCAGGGTCCAGGTGGTGGCTTGGCCTTGCTCCCATCCTCCTGAATGGACCTGGGGCTGAGGGCTTTGGGGGCTGGGAAAGAAGAGTAATTCATGCCCCAGGCCCAAGGGCGAGCACAGCCACACAGGGTACGCTGGATGGCAGGACTCCATGCTGGGGGTTCAGGATGGAGAGGATGCACCTGGCCAGCATTGTAGCCCCTTCATCCTCCCCTCAGCCCTGGCCCCCACTGCACCGCCACAGGCTCCTGCCCACATGGGTCCCCCTCAGAAGTCCCCGTCAGCATCTTATCCTTTGGAAGCCTGGAAATTAAGGCTGCCCGCAAAGCCCCAGGGTCCCAGGCTCGCTGGGCCCCAAGAGACTCGGGGTCTGGGACCGACATTCATAGGAAGCCAGATGGGAGGGGGTTCGACCGGGCCGCGGACTTCCCTGGGGCTGAGCATGCCGGATACCTGCTCGGCCGGGTGGGGGCTGGGGTCTTGGGTTCCCGGGGCTCCCACCCATGCTACGGGCTCAGCACACACTTCACTGCTGCCGTCCCACACAGGAGCTCCAGGCTCGGATCAACCCAGCAGCAGGAAAGTCTTCTTCAACAGGGGCCAAGGCAGGATCCCCAAGGAGGCCACCTTCCAGAAACTGCTAAGGAACGAGGTCCGGGGGCCCCAAGCCCTGACTGGCACAGTCAGAGGAAAGTCAGGGCGGAGCTCAGCCCCCGTCCCCTCCCCTCGAGAGCGGGCCTGAGCCCCTGTCTCTCCATGCCCCCGTTTCCTTGCCCGTAGAGTGGCAGTGAGGAGTAAGTGACTTCATCCCTGTGGGCAGAACGGGTTGGATGCGTTGAGCCCTTGCATTGCAGATGCCCCTGTTGAGGAGGGGCTCATATGGCATCCCCATCCACCATCCTTCCAGAAAGATCAACTCAGGCCGTGTCTCAGCACCTGACACCCCAAAGGGCCTCTCAGTAGGTTCTGGGGTCCTCCCCTACCCTGCAGGAGAAGGGGCCCCCTTGGGAGGACCCTGGTCAGCACGGTGGAGGGCTCAGGACACAGTGTCCTGGGGGACTGATGGCAGCTGGGGAACCTGTGTTCAAGGAGGCGTCCTTTGTCCATCTACAGCGGGGTCATCTCAACATGAGTGGTCCCTGGGCAGAGCTGGGGTGCCCAGCCCTCGTGGGAGCTGCCCCTGCTGGCCAGCCTGCCTTAAGCACTCACCCACCTTGGCCATCTCTGGTGACCCCCTTCCTACATGTGTCCCCCAGACCCTGCCGGAGGATGAGGCTGTGCTGGGGCAGAGGGAGGAGGGAGAAAGGGGAGCCCCAGCCTGGCCGCAGGCACAGCTCTTGGCGGGACGCCCCGGCCCAGGGCAGTGGTTCAGCAGGCAATCTAGGGCCCAGGTGTGGATATTTTTAATAGTCTGTGACCTGCCATCCACTCTTGGCTGGGTGTTAATGGCCAAATGTTTTGCAAGTAAATTACCAGAAAGAATTATTCCTGAGAGGCAGACATTTGGGGGAAGGTGTTAGAAAAATGGACAACTGGCAAACGCTGCTCTCCATCCCGCCATCCTTCCCAGGCACAGAGGGCCAGGCGGGCCTTGGGCCAGGCAGGCTGGCTTCTGAGGCTCTGGCAGGAAGAAGCTGGGCAGAAGGGGTGGTGGCCCCCCAAACCTCCCGGCCACAGAAGCCACTTCCTCGGAGGGAGGGCCAGAGCAGCACAGATGCCAGAGCTCCTGGAGCTCCTCCTGCAGCCGGTGCTGGACAGAAAGGATCCTCTCCGTCCCCCTTGGAGGGTGGTCCGGTCACAGCCAGGGCAGGGGATGGGCTCTGGACTGCCTGTCTTGCCCCGTGGAGGCAGCCCTCTCCCGCAGAGTGAACTGGAACTCCCACTTGGGAATTGGCTAGAGGAGAGCTGTCTGTCCTTTCCCCACTGGAGAAGGGCTAGAGCTGCAGGGGCTGCCCAGATGAGGCCCCCAGAATCCTGGAGGCAGAAGCCAGCAGGATGAGGGGGTGCCCTGGACCTGTGCCTTCTCCAGGTGGACGGTCCAGGCTGGTCTGTGTTCTAGCCAGCCCAGGGCACGTACTGCCTGGAGGATGAGGGATGGTCCAGGCTCATCTGTGTTCCAGCCAGCCCAGGGTACACGCTGCCTGGAGGATGAGGGTGGCAGTCCTGGGACAGGGCATTCTTCCCTCCACCCATGGCACAGGAGGCATCCCCAGGGAGAGGAGAGCTGGCCTGTGGGCCACCTTACCAACCCTCGCCTGGCCAGGAGAGCCAAGGGACATCACCTGGAATGACTGGCTCTCCGAGGGCCAGGTGGCCACCCTGACCTTGGAGGTGGTCAGCAAAGCTTTGACCTTGGCCAGAAAGGAGGACACTGGCAGAGTCCTGGGTTGGGGAAGGCCAGGATGCATCACACTCACCTGGTGGATGCGTCACACTCACCTGGGGGACGCGTCACACTCACCTGGGGGACGCGTCACACTCACCTGGGGGACGCGTCACACTCACCTGGGGGACGCGTCACACTCACCTGGGGGAAGCGTCACACTCACCTGGGGGACGCGTCACACTCACCTGGGGAACGCCTCACACTCACCTGGGTGGATGCGTCACACTCACCTGAGGGACGCCTCACACTCACCTGGGGGACGCTCACACAGAGACTCCTGGATGGGCCCAGCACCAAGTTGGGCAGACTCTGGGGACCGCGACCTTGGGGACTGGCTGGGTGGGTGGACTTTGGGAGCTGCCCCAAAATGCCACCTAGAACGTGGAAATGGCCCTGAGAAAGCTGCACAGGGAACCCCTCCCTGGCGGCCCCTTCTCCACCCGCCTGCCTCCATTCCTGGCAGCCCCAGTCCCTCCTCGACTTTCTACCCCAGCCTCGGCTGCCTGGAGAGTGGCATGGCCAGCATTAGTGTTTCCTGCCACTGCTCAGAGATGGGCCCCAGCAGCTCCACACTCTGAGTCTCCACGCAGTGGCCGACTGGCAGCCCTCATGTTGCTCCTCGGAGCCGGAGACCAGGCGCAAAGGCCAGGACGTGCTGTGAACCCAAATCCAGAGACAGACGGCCCTGGGACCACAGAGGGGGCACAGACTGGGGCCTGCAGATTCCTTGGGACACCTGGAAATTAAGGCTGCCCACAAAACCCCAGGGCCTCAGGCTCGCTGGGGTCCGAGTTCCTGACCAGCGTTGGGCCCTCAGCAAGTTCCTCAACCTCATTAAACCTTGTTCCCATCTGTGAAATGGGGAAAGTGCCCACCTTGGAGGTTATGTGAACAACAAATGAAATACAGTTAAAATGCCTAGCCAGGCACTACACATAAAGCCAGGTGTCAGTCCCCCTGGGGATGCCCCCCATGTCCAGGTCCCAGAGGCCACCCCCACCCCCGACGCCGGGCCAGGGCTCAACAGACACCTGGACGCCAGGCCCCTCCTGGAGACCCTCGCATCCTAGCCTAGGCCTGGACAGTGAGCGTTCCTGCTGCACCTGGAGATCGCCTCGCGGGGGAAGACTGCTCCTGGCTGTCACACGGGAAGACTGTGGCCCTGCGAGGAGGTGCGCCCTAAGGAGGGGTCTGGGCACTTGGACGGGGAGGGCACAGGATGGACAGGCCAGCTGGTGAGACCCAAGGCCGCTCTCCACCCCTCGCCCTCCGCCTGCAGACTCGGCTCTGCGTCTTTAAGACACTAATGGGCCCTCTTAAAAAAATGACAGTCTGCCTGCACACTCACAGGTTCTCGTCTGACATCAGCAGGGAATCAAAGATATTTTATTATTTGGAAACTCCATATAGGGAAAGCAACCTTGAAAATCTGTCATTGCTCCAAAACCCACACCTCCCCTGGGAGTTAATTATTTTCTTAAAATGCAACTTGTACTGTTAGTTTAAAACATTCCAACTGTGTTCACACTCTTTAAATCTTCAGTAAACCTTGGAGTTTAAATCACTTGCAGATAAGAGTAATTCTATTAGGGAGAGAGGGGAGTGAGCACTCAATGGAGGTGAAATAGAATGGAATAAAAAGGCCATTGATTGTGGGCTCTCGGGCACCTCGGTCCATGCCCTCTGAATGTGTCAGCCACACAATGAGATCTGGCAGGGTCCGGTCATGGTGCCCAGCAGGGCTGCCCACCCAGCTCTTAGGAGGCTGGATACAGGACCTGGCTGTCCGCCTGGGGCCTGGTGTCCACCTGGGTGCTGGTGTCTGCCTGGGGCTGGTATCTCTACCTGGGGCCTGATGTCTACCTGGGGCCTAATGTCCACCTGGGCCCTGGCGTCCACCTGGGACTGGTGTCTACCTGGGGTCTGCTGTCCACCTGGATCCTGGTGTCCACCTGGGGCCAGCGTGGGTGCTGGTCTGGATGGATGGTGGGGTGCTGGTCTGGATGGTGGGGTGCTGGTCTGGATGGATGGTGGGTGCTGGTCTGGATGGTGGGGTGCTGGTTTGGATGGTGGGGTGCTGGTCTGGATGGATGGTGGGTGCTGGTCTGGATGGTGGGGTGCTGGTTTGGATGGTGGGTGCTGGTCTGGATGGTGTGGTGCTGGTCTGGATCGTGGGTGCTGGTCTGGATGGTGGGGTGCTGGTGTGGATGGTGGGTGCTGGTCTGGATGGTGGGGGTGCTGGTCTGGATGGTGGGGTGCTGGTCTGGATGGTGGGTGCTGGTCTGGATGGTGGGGTGCTGGTCTGGATGGATGGTGGCGTGCTGGCCTGGATGGTGGGGTGCTGGTCTGGATGGATGGTGGGTGCTGGTCTGGATGGTGGGGTGCTGGTTTGGATGGTGGGTGCTGGTCTGGATGGTGTGGTGCTGGTCTGGATAGTGGGTGCTGGTCTGGATGGTGGGGTGCTGGTGTGGATGGTGGGTGCTGGTCTGGATGGTGGGGGTGCTGGTCTGGATGGTGGGGTGCTGGTCTGGATGGTGGGTGCTGGTCTGGATGGTGGGGTGCTGGTCTGGATGGATGGTGGCATGCTGGCCTGGATGGTGGGGTGCTGGTCTGGATGGATGGTGGGTGCTGGTCTGGATGGTGGGGTGCTGGTCTGGATGGTGGGTGCTGGTCTGGATGGTGTGGTGCTGGTCTGGATGGTGTGGGTGCTGGTCTGGATGGTGGGGTGCTGGTGTGGATGGTGTGGTGCTGGTCTGGATGGTGGGGTGCTGGTATGAATGGTGGGGGTGCTGGTGTGGATGGTGGGTGCTGGTCTGGATGGTGGGGTGCTGGTCTGGATGGTGTGGATGCTGGTGTGGATGGTGGGGTGCTGGTCTGGATGGTGGGTGCTGGTGTGGATGGTGGGGTGCTGGTCTGGATGGTGGGGTGCTGGTGTGGATGGTGGGTGCTGGTCTGGATGGTGTGGATGCTGGTGTGGATGGTGGGGTGCTGGTCT
This sequence comes from Homo sapiens, assembly GCF_000001405.40. Lineage (NCBI taxonomy): Eukaryota > Metazoa > Chordata > Mammalia > Primates > Hominidae > Homo > Homo sapiens. The sequence goes on from NC_000001.11 coordinate 2,977,518, forward strand.
GGATGGTGGGTGCTGGTGTGGATGGTGGGGTGCTGGTCTGGATGGTGGGGTGCTGGTGTGGATGGTGGGTGCTGGTGTGGATGGTGGGGTGCTGGTCTGGATGGTGGGGTGCTGTCTGGATGGATTTTGGGGTGCTGGTGTGGATGGTGGGGTGCTGGTCTGGATGGTGAGGTGCTGGTCTGGATGGCGGGTGCTGGTGTGGATGGTGGGGTGCTGGTCTGGATGGATTTTGGGGTGCTGGTGTGGATGGTGGGGTGCTGGTCTGGATGGTGGGGTGCTGGTCTGGATGGTGGGTGCTGGTGTGGATGGTGGGGTGCTGGTGTGGATGGTGGGGGTGCTGGTGTGGATGGTGGGGTGCTGGTCTGGATGGATTTTGGGGTTCTGGTCTGGATGGTGGGGTTCTGGTCTGGATGGTGGGGTGCTGGTCTGGATGGTGGGGTGCTGGTCTGGATGGTGGGGTGCTGGTCTGGGGGACAGCCTTGGTGGTCTGCTTGGGTTTTCCTTCTCTCCCCTCTAACATGGTGGCTCAGATGTGGCCTCTGGTGCCTCCCGGATTATTCCTGGGGGCTGGTGTTCCATCCAAAGGGCCCCAGCTTAAGTCATGGGAAAAAAGACGGTGACAGCCAGCAGCAGAGAGCCAGGGGCCTTGAGCAGGCTTGTTTCTTGCTTTGGGAGGTTCTTGGTTTCTGAGTGGGTGAGGGGCTCCTTAGCTCTCTCTGCCCCTCCCCATCAGGCTCCACTTCTGGCTCAGGGGCTACCCCTGCCTCGTGGTGACATCTGTGTTCCTGGTGCATCCGCCCAGCCCCAGGGATTTTGTTAACTGAGGGTATTGGTCACCAGTGCGTTCCTGCGTCCTTTCCTCACTGCCAGGCCCCACCAGAGGGGAGGGTGGGGCCACCTCTTCCTCCCAGCCCTGGGTGTCCCCACCCTGGCCCCTGCCTCACAGGACTGTGACTGCCTGGCCACTGTTTACCTCTCTGCTGGACTGAGACCCCTGCCCCAGAGGTTACCAAGGGACCCCCAGGCCTGAACAAGCTGGGCCCCAAGGGGAGGTGAGGGGCTGGGGGTATGTTCCTCAAAGGAGGGCACACGGACAGGAGGGGGACGGGGGCTGGGGGGCAAGGACACGGGGCCCTCCCCAGGCTCGCTGGCAGCCCATTGTGCTGGGCTGGAAGGTCTCCCAACCTGAGGACACCTAGGGGCAAGGGAGCCACTGGCCTGAGCCTGAGATCTCTGAGCGGGGGCAGGCAGCCCTCGCCATGCCAAGGGCATCCCTAATCCACCCCTACACACCAGCGGAAGCCACTGGCAGTGAGGGCCCAGGGCCACCAAGCAGGGCTGGGGCAGGAAAGACCAGCAGGTGCAGCTGAGGGAAAGGGGGAAGTCACTGGGCTGGGGGCCGGGGCCGCTCACTCTGGCCTCCTCTGAGGGGTCCACTGGGGTTCCGGCTCCTCAGACCCTGGCTCTGCAGCCTCAGGGCCAACTTCCCGCTTGGAGAAAGGGCAGCGCTTGTCCGGGGACCCACCACATCCATCCTCGTAGGGGGCTGTCTCCACCCAGGGTCCCCCCCCCACCCCCTCATTCCTCCCAGTGGTGAAAGGACAGTGAAGGAGGAGGGCAGCCCAGGAGTGGACATGGAGTGACCAGGAGCTTCCTGGGGGGTCCGGGAGGTGGGGCACACCCTATCGCACACCAGGCCTGCGGGCCTCGATGGGGCAGCAAGACGAGCCCCGGGCCCGCACTGTGTGTGTCAGGGTGCGTGTCATGCGCGGAGCCTGGCAGCGTCCACTCGTGCCTGAGCCGGGCTCCTGTTAGGGGTGCCTGTAGGTCTGGCTGTGTTCAGGAGCCAAGGAGGCGGCCTCTCACTTCCCACTGCCCATCAGGGCTCTGCAGTCCAGGTCTGGCAGCAGCCTCCCCACCCCATGCCCACACACGGTGTCTTGAAAGCCTCTCGGCCCCTGACTGCCGGCCCTGTGCGCACAAACGCTTCACGCCCCATTTCCAGCAGCTCTCAGCAACTTTGGCGTGGGGGTGTGCTGGTGCCTGGCCACTCCCATCGTGAATGGGGACACACCTGCCGCATCCCTTCCATACTAGTGACTGGACCTGCTCTGGCCAACAGCGGCCAGCAGAGACATCCACCCCAGCTCTGTCTGCTGGCCTGAGGCTGGGCTGTGTGTTGGGCCTCTGAGGACACGGCCTTCCCGCCTCCTTCCTGAGAATGGCTCCTGTCTCCAGGAGGAGGCCTTGGGCATTAGGGGCAGGGCCAGCCTCCTGCTTCCACCTCTGTGTGCTCAGCCTCTGCCAGACATGGGCTATACCTGGGGTGCAGGGTCCAAGCTCCAGGATCCCCGAGATTCTCAGTGGGAAGAGGGACCCAAGCTGGCCGAGAAGGGCACAGGCTCTGTCGCGTGGGACCGGGCCCCGCAGAGCCCCTGTGGGGAGGAGGAACTCCTCAGAGCTGAGCTGTCCCAGCCTCAGCGCGTCTTTCCCGGGTGGACCTGGCGGTGTCCGGCGAGCCCCACTCAGCCCTTCGCAGGCAGACTTGGCAGGCACCCTGGGCCTGGTCCCACTCTCACCAAATAGCATTTTGATGAGTTAAGTGTGAGAGAATTAAAAACAACCCGATTAAATTTCCTTTATAAATACACGTAGGTTTGGAAATCAAGGGGAAAAGCGGCTTTGGGCTCATAAAACGCTGCGTACGCTTTCCCTGCAAGTGTGAGGGAAGGTGCCTGGCAGGTCCTCGGCACGGGACTCCCTGCTGAACCGAGCTGAGCCAGCCCAGGCCATGACCCATGCAGGCTCTCACCCTGCTCCCAGCCCCAGTTCCTAGCTTGGACAGCGTAGACGCAGGTCCATGCAGGTGCACACCCTGCCCATGCCCTGTAACCCCGAGCACCACCAGTACGATGCCAGTGCCTGCGGCACCGACCTGCCTACAATTATCTCATCCTCATGACCGTCTGCCATGTCAGCCGTGCTGTGACTGCCCCCACCGCACAGGCAGCGGGAGTTGCCCAGGTGGCTGGGTTAGTGGCAGGGCTGCCCTCCTCACCAGGCACACGGCCTCTGTCGCCCTTCCTGCTATCGAAGTTGTCGCTCAGGCACTTGGGAGCAGCCTGGCCTGCAGTGGGGGAGCCCAGGTCCTAAGCCCCTTGCCCGTGGGTCTGAGCTCCAAGGGAGGGAAGGGGGGCAGCTGGGCCCATGTGGTGGGGAAGGGGTCCAGGCAGTGGAACGTTTGAGGTCATTGGAAATGCAAACAGAATCATTAACAGCTTCCAAAAATAACCCAGCAAGAGTGAGATTCCCAGGAGGCTCTGCCAAGCAGCGGAGCTTCGACTAGGGGGGTACCTCTAAGGGAGCCGGTGGCTAGCAGGTCCAGGGCTGCCCGGCTGGCGGCAGCTGGGGGTGGGGGCGGGGGGGCTCCAGCGGGTGCTCCTCAGGTGACTTGGGCTTTGCCTGCAAAATGGGCCAACAGGAGGTCTGGTAACAGGAGGTCTGGTAACAGGAGGTCTGGTAACAGGAGGTCTGGTAACAGGGGGTCTGGTAACAGGGGGTCTGGTGCCGGATGAGGCTCCACTATTCGCCCACTCAAGCCCTGTCTTAAAAGCTCACTTTTAATGCTCCTGTTTATTGGCCGTGAGCCCTCACAGGTCAGGCAGTGAGCGTCTGGGATCTTCTTTAATAGCTTTACTGGGGGACAGTTGGCTTACAAGAAATGGCACCGTTTAAAGCATGCAGTGTGATGAATTTTGGCAGGTATGAGCCTGCGAAACCCCACAATCAAGTTCGTGAGCATCGCCATTGCCCCCCAGAAGTCCCCCCTGCCCCCCACAATTAAGGTTGTGAGCATCTCCATTGCCCCCCAGAAGTTTCCTTCTATCCCCCATAATCAAGGTCATGAGCATCTCCATTGCCCCGGATGTCTCCCCCTGCCCCTCTGCCAGCTCTCCCTCTTGCTGTCCCCCTTCCCCAGGTGACCATGGACCTGCTGCCTGTTGCTGCCTTACCTAGAATCTCACAGGAGGGGAATCACAGGCCTGCACTCTTTTGTCTTCTTTCTCTCGGGGTCGTCTTTCGGAGGCTGGTCCTATCGCAGCATCTGTCTGTAGTTCAGGCCCTCGGATAGGACATTCCTCGTAGTGTGAGCTGCTGCTCATGAATTCTTCCTGCTTTTGTGTATTCATTCAAACAAGTCTTCATTTCTCTTTGGCACTTGGAGTAGGTTTTCCCTGGGTGTGGAATTGTGAACTCACAGGTTTTAGTGTGTGGGGTTTGTTCCCTTTTGGGACTTTAAAGCGGCCAATCCACCATCTCCTTGCTCGCGCCTTTTCTAGCCAGAAGCCATCACCATTCCTCTGCGGCAACACCTCTTCCTTCTCCGGCTGCTGTGAAGATGTCCCGGGCCTTGCCTTCGGGCAGCTTTATCATGAACATATTCTCTTTACTCAGGTTAAACCATTGACCCCCACGGCCTCTCTTTCAGGTTAAAAAAATAAACTGAGGCCTGGGAAGTGAGCTGCCTTTTCCAGGGTCACTGGGCATCGGAATCTGAGCCACATCTGCCTGACTCCAGAGCCTGCACCACAGCTGCTCTGTCGCCCGGGTGGACTGTGGCAGGCCAGCCAGTGTGCGGGGGTCCTGGGTGGGGACACAGGCTCTAAGGACCCAGGCCCACCCCTGGGGTGCTCAGACGTGCGGCTCTGTGAGCACAGAGGAGGCTATGTCCCGAGGGCTGCAGGGAGGGAGCTGCCGGGGCCTCCAGATCCGTCACACTGTGGGGCAACAAGTCCCTTGGGGCTGTTTCTACAGCCCTGTCTACAGATGGAGGCCTGGGGGACCCTCAGCCCCCATGTGGCAAGTGCTGTGAAGACGCGTTTCAGTTTTCACAGTGACGTTTCTTCCCTCCAGTGTCCTTTCCTCTCACCATCGGGGTGGAACCCTGGCCTGATCAGGTTGATTTAGACCAAAGTCTCTGCTGTGGCCTCGCTGGGGCAAGTGGCCTGAGGGACAGGCCACAGCTGTCAGGGTGAGCAGAGTGCCTGGGCCACCCCCGGCATTGCCGAGGGGTCAGGCGTGACCAGGTCCGTCCTCTTGCCCAAGGGCAGAGGCTGCATGCTCACCTGCACGTGTACCTCTGGGGCCAACGCAGGTGTCGTGAGACCTGGCAGGTGCGGAGCGGGAAGCAGACCCTGACGAGAGGGACACCAGTGCCTGGGTGCCATGGGAGGCACCTGGGACTCCAGCTTCCTCGTCAGGAGCTTCGGGAGGGTCAACCAGCCTGGGGCACACGCAGGGTCCTGCCCCAGAGGGGCGGCCTGGGATGCCGGGGAGTGGGCCCTGCAGAAGAGAGTGCCAGGCCACGCGGGCCTGCTGGGCCAGTTTCTTCCCAGACTTTCTGGTTGTGAGCCCCGAATGGGGCCCTGGGGACTAGGGGAAGGCATTCTATGCCCCGGTGAGGGGCAGCCCCAAGGTGGGGAGGCTCATCCCCGCCGGAGGCTGGAGTCCCGGCCGTCACGTGGCCTCTTCTCGCTGACATGTCACTGCCTCTGCCAGGGCCAGGGCCAGGGCCGGGGCTGGGGAAAGTTCACCCTTTTGCCAACCACAACTGGCAGCTCTGGTGAGAGTGCGGAGCAGGCTTTTTTGGAGCTGAATTTACTTGATATTTCCCCGCTCCGCTGGGCCGGTTCCAGGGCTGCAGTCCACGAGGCTGCAAGTGAAGAGGCGTCTTTGTTTCTTTAATTTTGCCCGTTGGAAAACTCCGGTATTAATATTTATGAGAAATGACCTAATATCCACGCCGCCTGCCGCGTGTTTGCTTAACATATTTAATGTGATTTGGGGGCTGCGTGTACTTTTTTAACTGCCTCGGTGAGGGGGGCCTGACCTATCTCCTCCCCATCCCCCTGCATGGTAAAATGGCAACGTCCTCTTTGAGGTCTCGAAAGTTCATTTATTCAGTAGCTTTGGAAAGGCCTTGCGGCCCCCACCTGGCCCGGGCCCTGGAGGGACAGCCTCACTCCGCACAGTCGCCCAGGGCAGGAGGCTGGGGGTCTGTAGACCTGTGCCATCCAGAGCCGGAGTCGGCACTCGGGGAGGACTGGAAGTGGCTTTCTTCAGGAAAGGGAGGAAAAACATTTGAATGGTTTCTGAAAATAGCTCCTTGGGTAGTTATAAGACAGCAATTTAAATAAGTGCTTTCTGCCTGTTTCTCTTGAACATAAAGGTAATTGTTTTTGCCCCAAAATAGATGGCCAGTTTCACTGTAACTTGATTTTTCTCCACCATCCCTTTGTGCACTGTATTAGCTAATGCGGGCCACAGGTGAGCCCCACGAGGCAGCCGGGACCTGGCACCTGGCCTGGGCCATTCGACCTGACCCCAGCCAGGCTATTGGCTGCATAGAAAGAGCCGGGCCTTTGCAGCCGGAGAAATGCCAGCTCGAAATCCAGCTCTGCTGATTAGAAGCTGTGTGACTTTGGACTCGTTATTTCACCTCTCTGAGCCCCAGTTTCCTCAGGGGCAACGTGAGAACAGAAGCATTCACACTTTCTGGCTCACAGAGTCGTGTAAGGCTCAGGAAATGCAGCCGGTCTGTCCTTGAACTTTCTGCAAGACAGCGGGTCCAGCCTCCCGTGCAGTGGCTCAGAACCGCACCCCCGGGCATTCCCGGGGCTCCGTGGTGGGTCCTGGATGCTCCCTGGGCAGCCAGGAACATGAGGCATCTCGTCCCTCCTGGCACACGCAGATGCTGACTCCTAGGCCCAGTCAGCCAGTCCCCTCGGACAGCCAGAGGCCATGAAGTCAAGGGGCTCTGGTCAGTGAGGGGCCTTGCTTACCCAGCCATCACCATGCACCAGAACTACAAACGACCTGTCCCTCTGTGCCATCTCTCAGGCTCTGGAGCACACAGGCTCTCAGCAGCAAGGTGTCCAGGGCACTCTAGCCCGGAGACCTGTGCACCAAGAGCTCACATACCGAGAAACTAAAAGGGGCCCCAGAGAACAACCTCTCCCATACCAGAGCTGCTCCTCCTGGGGCTGAGACAGGCCCTGCGCTTCGCCTGCTGGATGTGGGGCAGGAGGATATCCAAGCACTGCCATCCTGCCGGGGGTCCAATGGCCAAGGGTGGGAGATCTGTGTGATCCCTGAAACCCACCACAGACAGAGGCTCTGAGTCCTGTTCCAGGTGACCAGGCAGGACCACTGGCCAGTCACTTTCTGGGTCCAGCCATCAAGTTAATCACTCATGTTGTTCCTGCAACCGCCCTTCCGGGGTGGCGTAGTTTCCCTTTTTACAGCCTGCAACACTGAGGCTTCAAGGCATTCAGCAGCTGGAGCCCCCAGGCAGCAGGCAGAGCTGGGCCGAGAAGCTCCTTGGGTCTGCCGCGTGCCTGATCTGGCCTCTCAGATGCATCTGCCTGTGATCCAGCCTCGGATGACAAAATGACAGAAAACAAAGCTGCCATTCCTCCCATGTCCACAGCATCAGCCAGGCAGCCTGGGTCCCAACCTCCTCCAGACCCACCAGTGTGGACCCATCACCCACAGATGCCTTGCACAGCATCCCCCAGCCCTTTCCTCCTGTGTCTTCTCCTTTGTGGAGAAGGGCCTGTGACAGCAGGCCACCCAGGGAGCCAGGCAGGGGCAGGCAGTGAGGGTTGAGGGTTGAGGTGGGGCTGAGGGAGACCCTGGAAGGGACCCCGACCCTGTGAGTTATTGCAGTGCCCTGGTAGCGGGCCCCGGTGTGCTCATCTGAAAATGAGGCCCTGCCAGGATCTTCCCCCAATGCCGCCCGGTGGAATGAAGATGCGGCCCCCCACCCTGAGTGCTGGTGAGAGACACAGCCAGCTGCCGCCTTAGCCCGGCCCCTCAGCCTCCGGGGAGAGGACACCAGCACGCGTGATCAATCAGTCCCAACACTTCCCAACATGCTTCTCGAGTTACACACCGCGGGGATGATGTCATAGCGGCCGCCAGCCGGAGCTAGGGAAGAAAGAGGCCCCTCTGTTTCAAACCCATGGGCCAGGACAGGCCAGCTTCCCAGGCATTGGAATTTCTCTCCCCGACTTGGCTTCAGAAATGAGAGGAGTGCTGAAACCTTTGAGGTTTTTTTCTTCAGATTTTGAAAGCTATATATGTGTACTCTACAGAGGAAGAAATAGAAAATATTCCAAAGCTCACTTCATTATATTTTCTTCTGTTTCCATCACGTACCTCTACTTACCTACTCACCAGCTCATTGATCCATTGATCCTTCATTCTGTCCATCCATCTATCCATCAATCCATCCATGCATCCATCCATTCATCCATCATCCATTCATCCATCCATCCATCCATCCATCCTCCATCATCCATCCATTCATTCACCCATCCATCCGCCATCCATCAGTCCATCCACCCATCCATCCATCCATCATCCATCCATCATCCATCCATCCACCATCCATCCATTCACCATCCATCTACCATCCATCCATCCATCCATCCATCCTCCATCCATTCATTCACCCATCTATCCATCACCCATCCATCCATCCATCCATCCATCCATCCATCTATCCATACATCGATCCATCCATCCATCATCCACTTATCTATTCTTTCTTCCTTCCTTCCATCCATTCATCCATCATCCATCAATCATGCATTCATCTATCTTTTTCATCCTTGCTTCCTTCCATCTATTCACCCATCATCCATCAATCATTCATTCGTCTATCTTTTCTTCCATCCATCCATCCGTCATCCACTTATCTGTTTTTCCTTCCATTTATCCTTCCTTTCTTCTTTTCTTTCATCCATCCCTCATCCACTTATCTTTCCTTCCTTCCTTCCTTCCTTTCCTCTTTCCATCTATTCACCCATCATCCATCAATCATTCATTCATCTATCTTTCCTTCCTTCCTTCCTTTCATCCATTCATCCATCTATCCATTCATCCAGCCATCTCTCATATCAAACCATATGGAATGGCTGATACTCAATGTATGAAATATTGATCATCTGTTCTCATCCTTTTTTATTTTTGAAAAATCTACATGTGCCTTTTGCAACTTGCTGCTGCCCCTTAATGACATTACTATGACAATTTGCTTGAGAATCTTTTGTTGCAAAGAATCTTCAGGAAACACCCGTCTGGCAGCATGGTGGGTGTGGAGGGCCTCAGCTGGTCCGCAGCGTGCAAGGCTGCCCCCTCGGGGCACAGGGCACAGTAGAGCAGCAAGGCGACTTGAGTGAGTGCCATGTTCACCTTGATTCACAGCAACAGGTCAGGCAATTTTATAATGAATGGCAAGACACCTTCAGAGCAGCCTGGGCCCCCAGAGCCTGATGGCAGGGATCTCCCACCTTGCCACTCCCTGCCGTGCAGTCCTGGGCCAACACCTGAACCTCGCAGGGTCTCCACTTGCTCTGCTGTGAAATGGGACTGCAGGTGGCAGCTGTCTCCAGGTGAGAAGAATGGCCCTGGACCAGACCAGGCTGGGGCTAGCTCAGCATGGGCTTAGGGAGAGCTCTTCCCATCCTTGTTCTTCTTCCCTACCCAGAGGGGAAGAAGGCAGAGCCAGGGGCTCCCCCCATTCCCAGGGGTGACCCGCCAAGCCAGGGAGGCAGAGAAGCTTTGGCTATAAACGAAATGTTCAGCATGGCCTGTTACATGGGCCGGGCACTTTCTGCAAATCTGGTGGCATAGAATGGAGACACAGAAAGGTGCCAGGCCACACATGGATGGCTGGAAAAACAATCCCCAGAACCCAACCATGTTTAGCTCTCTGAGTGGATCCAGAGAAGGTGCGGGGTGGCCTCCCTCCATCCATGGGCAGATACACTGGGATGGCCCTGGGAGGTGGTGGGTGCTGCTTTTGGATGATGCCCATGAGGCTGAGGCTCCCTTGTCAGGAGACGGTATGTTCTGGTTCCAAAGGACGAAATCCTTTCCTCCAACAAAAAAAGCTATGAGTGGACCCCGACCAACCAGGCCCTTGAATATGCCAGGGCCTGTGTCTAGATGTGGCATTAAAGCAGAAAAAAGGCAGGTCATAAAATAATGCCCTCCTAACAGGGATGGTGTGGCACCTTCAGTTTTGTATGTGTGTGTGTGAGTGTGTGTAAGTGTGTAGGAGTGTGTGGCCATGTGTATGCATGTGTGAGGGTGCAGGAGGGTGTGAGTGTGAGCCTGAGACTGTGTGCTGCTGCGGGGAGGAGAGGGTCCCTGCCTGGCCTCCTCCCATCACAGCATCCTTGGCCTTGCATCTCAGCATCATTCCACGGCCCCTCCCTGCCCCACAGAGCTCTGCGGTGGCCCCTCAAGAGGGATGCGCCTGGTCGTTGCCTGCTGCGGAGCTGGGGCTGCACATGCGGGGCCACCCTGGCTCCACGTGGCCCAGGTTGGCCCCCCCCACTGACTGCAGCCATAAAGCCTGTGCCCTGGTGGTCAGTCCCCGCCCCCACCGCCAGCCCACCTCCACTTCTAATTGGGCCGCAAAGCCGTTTAATGGTGTCTGCCACGTCTGCAGGGCTGCTCGGGGCGGAACAATGCGCTATTCATGTCCCACATAGCACACTAGTGATCCGGCTAATATCTTTAAGCTAAAAAACAAGGCTTAATTGGAACAGATGCTGCAAATTCCAGTGCAAAAGGCCAGCTCCCATGCGACCTAAACCAGGTATGTGCCAGGACTTCGCGTTTAATAGCAGCTTTTATTTTTTTATTGGCATGTACAAAACTCACTAATACTCTGCACAGCAGACTGGTGACGGGCCTCTCAGAAAACTTCCATGGGTGCAAGGCCTGCGGAGCCCTGTGGCCGTTGTTTGGGCTACAATAAAAAGGTACCCGGCCATTGGGCAAGCTGTTTCCTCGTGGACGCTGGTCTCTCCTCTCCCCTGGGTCGAGGCTCTTGTGGCCTTTCCAGGACTGCCACCAGGCTGTTAGAACTCAGCACTGAACACTCCCAGTGAATCAATCAGGCCTGTTCAGCAGCTGCCAGTCTTTGTGGCCATGGCCTCCCCTGGCCAGGAAGCCTCTGTCCTCCGGACACCGCCCAGCCTTTTCCCTGCTGCTGCACCACGGCCCTGACCACAAATTCCTGCATTTTGCTCTAAGACTACAGCTTTTTGGCAGTGTACTCCCATTCTGAATATATTTGCCGAGTCTTCCAATCTAGAAGAAAACTCCCTGAAGTCAGGGCCTGGCTGTGTTTTACACATAGATTACATTGCTAAACAGAACGGGGACTTTTCTCCTCGTCTTCCACTTTTTCAGAGAAAGAGCCATAGCTAGGGAGACCCAGAAGCAGCCTTGCCCAATCTAAAACCCTTTTCCATTCAGCCACCTGAAGCTGTTGCTGCTGGAACTGTCGTATCCAGGCCTGGAAGCTGCTCCTGGTATCTCAGGACATTGTTTCTGTCACAAAAGTTAAAATAGGTACAGCTTCCTGGCTAGTGAGGACTCCCATTTGCTGGAAGTACTGAGCCCCCAAGGGAGCTGTTGCTGGGATTTATCTGAAAAAAATGCTTCAGAAGGGGACCTTGGCTTCAGGTAGAGTCCAAGGATGCAATATCTGCAATCTATCCATCCATCCATCCACCCATCCATCTATCCTCCATCCATCCATCTACCCATCCATCATCCATCATCCATCCAACCATTCATCCATGCCTCCATCCATCCACCCACCCATCCATCTATCATCCATCCATCCACCCATCCATCCATCCATCTGTCCATGCTTCCATCCATCCATCCACCCATCCATCCTCCATCCATCCATTCATCATCCCACTCATCCACCCACCCATTCTTCATCACCCATCCGTCCATCATCCACTCATTTATCCATCCATTCTCCATCCTCCATCTATTCATCCTCCATCCATCCATCCATCATCCATCCATCCACCATCCAGTTATCCATCCATCCTCCATCCATCTATACTCCATCATCCATCCATCCATCCATCCATCCATCCATCCATCCATCCATCGTCCACCACCCACCTGTCATCCATCTATCCATCCATCCTCCATCCATTCATCCATCCTCCATCTTCCATCCATTTGTCCATCCATCATCCACTCATCCACCCATCCAATAAATACCTGGCCCTGATAAGTGCCAGCCAGTTCGTGGACTCTCTTCCTCCCCCACCTCATGTACACTGCACATGCTCCTGTGGCTGCTGGAGGGGCTCTGGAGGAGGCTGGGGACCTCGCAGGTAGTGGAAGCTGGAAGGGCAGGGACGTCTATGAGCAAACTTAGCCCATGCAGAAGCAGGGTGAAGGATAGGTTGTCTGTCTGTGCCTCTGCCTCACACCTGGAGGGCTTCCCTCTCACAAAAAGGCTCTCCCTGCTCAACCCGAATCCCTCTAAGAAACCCCTCCTTGAGCACAGGGTCTTAAAAACCTTTGGATGATTAGCGAGCAGAGAAAGGGGAGCTTAACACTGGGGAAGTGAGAGTCAGGGGCCATTAACTGGGGGCCGGCCCACCCTCCATGCCTTCCTCTGGGTGACCAGGTGTGCCCCCTGCCCTCTGCCAGTGCCCAGGCCAAAATGTGGGTGGGATGGGGGTGGCCCTCCCATGACCCCTATCTGTGGTCCTGGCTGCTGGACCTGGGCCAGCATTCCAAGATCCTCCGGGTTCTCTGCCAGGCCTCTCCTTGGTGGCAGCAGCAGAGAAGATGCCCAGGATCCCGGCGGGCATAGCCAGTGTCAGCCAGGAGCAGAGCCCAGGCAGCCTGGCCCTCGGTTCAGCTGAATGAGATCCCAAGCTCTCAGCTCTTCAGGCCATCAGCTCTCCACTGTGGGTGGCAGACGGCAGAGTCAGTAGCCAGCATAGCCAGCACGGGCCACGTGCTCTGCATGCCTGGCTGTGTGGGGTCCTCCAGGCAGTGGCAAGTGAGAGGGACTGGGGAATTTTCAGAAAGCCAGGGGACCAGAACTCAGGTCTGTGCCTCTCAGGACTTGAGAAGCCCCTTAGGAAGATGTACGCACGCCCCCATCCATGTGGGAGAAATGTGAGCGACACCATCAGGGCTGTGGCTCTGGCCTGAGGGCGAGGCAGATGCACGAGGCTGGATGGGGTGGCTGCCCCATGAGATGCGGGACTTGGTCAGGGCCAGGGAGGCATGCAGGGACGGAGACGGACCCTGCGGAGCATCTGAAGGTCACTTGAGTTTCTGTTTCTGTGGCCTTCTTGGAGGTGCTTTTTAGGAGCATGGAATCTTTTGATCATTGAGAAGTGTGAGAATAGCAGGCGGAACACACTTGACACTCAGCTGTGTGGCCAGTTGGGTTCATGGCAATGGATTCCGCATTGCCCTGTCCCGTTCCCACCTGGAGCCCTCCCATGTAGCGTTTATCACCCTCGCACCGGGCTCTCACTCTTCCCTTCAGTAATTCACAGGCAGGCCTGGTGGTCTTCCAGTGCGTGTTGAGAAGTGGCCGCATTGCTCTGTGTCTCCGTGGCCCACAGTGAGACCATCAGCACCTGGTGTGGGTGAAACTCCCATTGTGCCCACTGAGGCCTGAGAGATAGGTGGTCACTCCTGCTTCAATTAGCATCTCCCTAGTGACCGGTGACAAGTGTTTCTGCCCAGGTGCCCAGACATTTGCCTTTCTGCCACTGTAAAATGGCCCTTTATAGCCTGTACCTATTTTTCCATTGGATTGTCTTGTCATTTCTATTTTTTCTTGTTGCGGTTTATTTTTATTTTATTTTATTTTATTTTTTGAGACAGGATCTCACTCTATCACCCAGGCTGGAGTGCAGTGGTGTGATATTGGCTCACTGCAGCCTCAACCTCCTGGGCTCAAGCGATTGCTGGGACCACAGGTGCACCCTACCATACCAGGCTAATTTTTGTATTTTTTGTACAGCCAGGGTCTCACCATGTTGCCCAGGCTGGTCTTGAACTCCTGGGCTCAAGTGATCCTCCTGTCTCAGCCTCCCAAAGCACTGGGATTACAGGTGTAAGTTGCCACACCTGGCTTACTGTGGTTTATTTTTTAATGAACAATTTTATTTTTTGTTTGTATATCTTTTATTTGTTTGTTTTTTGAGACAGAGACTCCTTCTGTTGCCCAAGTTGGAGTGCAGTGGTGTGATCTCGGCTCATTGCAAGCTCTGCCACCTGGGTCTAAGTGATTCTCATGCCTCAGCCTCCTGAGTAGCTGGGATTAGAAGCATGTGCCACTGTGCCCAACCTAATGAACATTTTATTAAAAGACAACACACATACAGAGAAAATGCAAAAGTCAGTGTGCAATTGGTTGAATCTTCACAAAGTGGACATACCCACGTATTCAGCAACCAGGTCCAGAAACAGCAGCCTGGGCCCCAGATGTCCCAGGGGCTCCTCCCACCACTCCACACCTTTCACTCCAAAGGCAGGGGCTGTTGTGACTTGAGCCAGCGTGGATTCCCCCTGCCGTCTGCACTTTACTGAAGTAGAATCATGCAGCGGGCTGTCTTTCAGGTCCGACCTCTTTTGTGCACGCCGCATCTTCGTGAGGTGCATTGCGTCACTGCAGGGAGAAATCGTGCTTGTTCCTCTGCAGTATCCCCTCATTTCAATGTCTATGTATTTATCCATTCTAATATGCATGGACTTTCAACAAGTTTCCAGTTTTAGACTATTTTGCTTAAAAGTCTTACCGACATTCTTGTAAATGCCTTTTGATAGGTACTTGTGCCATTTCTCGAGTGTAAGCCTGGGGTGGAATTCCTGGGCCGGGGGACACATGTCCTGGTCAGGGGGGACTTGCAGACAGACTCTCAAAGCATCTGCCCCCACGGACGCCCTCAGGCAGTGTGAGGACCTCCGTGGCTCTGCGTTCTTCCCAGCACTGGGCTTGCCAGTCCTTCAAATTTAGCCAAGGTGCAGGTCTGTGGCGGTGGCTTAGTGTGCTCACAATATGCATTTTCCTGATGGCTGAGGCTGGGAATTCTTGAATGTTTATTGGCCATTTGGTGCTCCTTTTCCATAAACAGCCTGTTCGAGACTTTTGCCCAGGCTCATAGGAGGTTGCTTGTGGTTTTCTCATTGGTCGGTGTGGGCCCCGCCTGTGTTGCAGAAGCAAGCCCCTTGTCAGCGACCTGCTGGGAGTGTCCCATCCTTGGCTGCCGCCTGCCTTTCACTCTCATAATAGTAATGGGTGAAATGCCTTCATTTTCACATAGTTCAATTGATTCATCTTCATCTTATAGTTAGTGTTTTAGGTATTTGGTTTAAAATCTTGTCCAAGATCAGAATCTTGTGATCAAGAGCTGCATAAGGTCACGAATACGTTCCGTGATATCCTCTCGGGGTATTTTTCCTTTCATGTTTAGCTACAATCCACTGGGAATATTTAGTTTGCATGTTGTGAGGTGTACAATTTTTCATTTTTCCTGTACAACTGTCTAATTGACTCATTTATTAAAAATGCCATCTGTTTCCTCAAAGACCTAGAGACAGAAATACCATTTGACACAGCAATTCCATGATGGGGTATATACCCGAAGGAAGAGAAATCATCCTATTATAAAGACCCATGCAGACATATGTTCATTGCAGCACTATTCAAAACAGCAAAGACATGGAATCAACCTAAATGCCCATCAATGATAGACTGGATAAAGAAAATATGGTACATAAACACCATGGAATACTATGCAGCCATAAAAAGGAATGCGATCATGTCCTTTGCAGGGACATGGATGGAGCTGGAGGCCATTATCCTTAGCAAACTAATACAGAAGCAGAAAACCAAATACTGCAAATTTTCACTTATAAGTGGGAGCTAAATGATGAGAACACATGGACACACAGAGGGGAACAACACACACTGGGGCCTATGGGAGGGTGGAGGGTAGGAGGAGGGAGAGGATCAGGAAAAATTGCTGATGGGTACTAGGCTTAATACCTGGGCAATGAAATAATGTGTACAACAAACCCACATGATGCATGTTTACCTGTGTAATAAACCTGCACATCCTGCATATGTACCCCTGAACTTCAAATAAAAGTTTGAAAAAAATGCCATCCTTTCCCCCCCATTTGGAACCTCCACCTGTGCAGAATTGATTTGCCACGTTTGTCAGAACCCATGTAAATGTCCATCTGTTTCTGGACTCAGTCCTGCTCCATGAGTCTGTAAGGATGACAATCGAATCAGGATGGAGCTTGTCAGTAATAAACAGAGAGAGAAGGCAGCTTTGATTTCTATGCTGCGTAACAAAGCAGTGAAAGCCTCATGGCTCAGAACACCGCACATTTATCATCTCACCGTTTCTGTGCAACAAGAGTCACAGTACAGCTTGGCTGTGTTCTTGGCTCAGGATCTCACAAGGCTGCGATTAAGGTGTCAGCCGGATCATGTTCCTTTCTGAATTTCAGTATCTTCTTTCAAGCTCTTGAGGTTTTTGGCAGAAGTCAGCTCCTTGTGATAGTAGAACTAAGATCCTCATTTTCTTGCTGGCTGTCAGCCAGGGTCTGTTCTCAGCTCTTAGAATCTTCTCTGATGCCCTTGCCATGTGGCCTCTCCATCTTCAAAGCCAGCAGCAAAGACCATCCCTGTTTAATCTCTCTCGTGCTTCACATCTCTTCTGCCAAAAGAACTCTGACCCTTTTTGAGTGCTCATCTGATTAGGTGAGGCCCATCCAGGGTAATCTCCCTCATGACAGATTTGCCACCTTAACTGCCTCTGCAAACCCCATCCTGTTCCTCTCCCCACTGCTGTGTGTTGGGTGTGTTGGGAGTGGATGGCTTGTCTTCTGCTGGTCAGTTCCAGACCTGGGAGAGGAGCACTCATTATTGGCTCCTCTGTTATTGGCTCTGAGACAGTGCAATAACAACATGGAAATTCATCCTCCCATAGCAATACAATTCCTGGTTGTGAGCTCAGCACATGACTTCCCAGAATAAGCCCCACAACCCAGCCTGCCTTCCAGCTAGTTGTCACCATGGTGGCAATTTGACTAATTGGAGTGGGAGTGCTATGTATAATTTCTTGACTGTGTTCTTACAGGTGTTCTGACCTTTCTTGTCACTTCTGTCCTGTGTATTGACATACGATTGTAGTGTTTAATCATCTTGGAGCAGACAGCTGAGGGTCATACCCTAGAGTGCTCAGAACAAAATTGGAGTCTAATTCCTCAGATGACCTCCTAAAATGGGACCATCATACCAGTGTTGGATTGGATGGCCTCTCCATGTTAGGTGAGGGAGAATGAAAACTTATGTGTTTAAACCACTGTATATTTGACATTTGTCCCTCTCAAATGCTTTCAAACCGAAGCCTAATTAATACTCATGGCAACCAACCTGAATTCAGCTCTCTAATGTTAAACCATCCTTGCATTCCTCTGATAAATCCAATTTGGTCACGATATTTTGTTTTTAAATTTATATTTGCAGGTTTCACATCGCTGGATTCAATTTTTGGGTATGTTATTTATTACTTTTAAGAAATTAATGGGCCGGGCGCGGTGGCTCACGCCTGTAATCCCAGCACTTTGGGAGGCCGAGATGGGCAGATCACGAGGTCAGGAGATCGAGACCATCCTGGCTAACACGGTGAAACCCCGTCTCTACTAAAAATACAAAAATTAGCCGGGCATGGTGGCGCGTGCCTGTAGTCCCAGCTACACAGGAGGCTGAGGCAGGAGAATGGTGTGAACCCGGGAGGCGGAGCTTGCAGTGAGTCGAGATCGCGCCACTGCACTCCAGCCTGGGCGACAGAGCGAAACTCCGTCTCAAAAAAAAAAAAAAAAAAAAAAAAGAAATTAATGTTTGTACATGAATTTACCTAAATGTCTCCTTCTTATGTTGTCTTTTTCTGATCCTGAATATCAAAGTAATTTTAGCATCATTAAGTCATTTGATGGAGACATTTCCTTCTTTATATTCTTTGAAGCCATTTTTTGGAATTGAGACTGTATAGAATATTGTGGAGACTACTCTTCAAAATTCTCTGATTCTAATGGGGTATTTTATGGGTATATTTCAAATTATCCTTAATGCTCAAATAAAAAAGTGATATTTATATCACAGATATTTATATTTCTCTTCTAGTCAGTTTTTTTAAAAAATTACAAACTTCATTTGAATTTCATAATTTTTCCCCAACGTATTGGTTTTTTTTCCAGGATACCACCTAGAACCTATATTGTATTTAGTTGTCATGTCCTCTTGGTCTCCTCCAATCTATGACAGTTCTTCAGTCTTTCCTTGTTCACAGACATTGGCACTTCTGAAGAATATAGGTCAGGTATTTTGAAGAATGTTCGTAAACCTGAATTTGTTTTGTTTTCTAATAAAATCAAGGTTGTGGATTTAGGGGAAAAGTCCTCAGTGCATCATATTGGGGGCATGTGATGTCACATCATACTGGTAATGTTAAACATGAGCCCTTGGTTAAGGTGAGGTCTGCCAGGTTTTTCGACTGTAGAGTTACTATTTTCCATTTGTAATTAATAAATATCTGAGACAAAATGCTTTGAGACTACGCAAATATCCTGTTCCTTCTTAAACTTTTACACACTAATATTAGTATTCATCAGTGGACCTTGCCCATAACAACTATTACTGTGGTTTTCTATTGGTGATTTTAAAAATTTGTACTAATTCATTTTACATTTCTGAATTGAAATGTTTCCCTAAGGAAGAGTTTCCAATTCTCTCATATTTACTTATTTATTCATCATTTTTATGAACCTGTGGATATTTTTCTCTTCTGGATTTTAGTCCATTACTATTATTTTTATTTTATTACTTAAATTGTCCCAGCTTTGGCTAGTGAAAGTTGAAAGTGAAAGAAGAAAGTTTTCAATCTTTTTGAAGTTGTTGTAAATGGAATTGTTTTCTTAATTTCATTTTCAGATGGTTCATTGCTAAAGTATAGAAATATAATTACTTTTTGTATATTGATCTTGTATCCCAAAACCTTGATGAATTTGTTTATTAGTTCTAACAGTTTTTTTAAATCCTTAGGATTTTCTACATACAAGGTTATGTAATCTGTGAATAGGTATGGTTTTGCTTCTTCTCCAATCTGGATGCCTTTTATTTCTTTTTCTTGCCTAGTTACCCTGGCTAGAACCTCAAGTCCAATGTTGGAAAGTTATGAGAACAGACATACTTGTCTTGCTCCTGATCTTAAGAAGAAAGTTTTCAATGTTTCATCACTAAGTATATTAGCTGTGGGTATTCCATAGATGTCTTTTATTAGGTTGAGGGAGTTTCTATTCTTAGTTTGTTTAGTGTTATCACTAAAGGGTGTTGGATTTTGTCAAAATGCTTTTTCTGTATCTATTAAGGTGATCATGATACTTTTGTCCTTTATTCTACCAATATAATATATTAGATTAATTTATTTTTATATGCAGAGCAAGTCTGACATTCTTAGAATAAATTTCACTTGTCATTGTATATAAGCTTTTTATATGTTGTTGAATTTGAATTGCTAGTATTTGTTGAGGATTTTTGCATTGATATTCATAAGGGATTTCGGTCTGTCATTTTCTTGGGATGTCTTTGCCTAGTTTTGGTATCAGGATAATACTGACTTCATAGAATGAGTTTTATTTTTGTCTCTGTCTTTGTCTTTGTCTTTGACAGCTGGACTATGAAGTGTTTAATGTGCATCCCCTTTGAGTCTATTCTACTTAGACATCATGGAGCTTCCTGAATGTGTAAATTAATGATTTCAACAAATTTGGGAAGTTTGGGGTCATTAGTTCTTCAAATTTCTTTCTTGTCCTTTCTTTTTGTCCTTTCATTTGGAGACTTCCATTGTACATATGTTGCTATACTTGATAGTGTCCCCACAGATCTTGGAGGCACTATTTATTTCTCTTTCTGTTCTTCAGACTGGATTATCTCAGTTTATTCAGCTTCAAGTTCATCAATTCTTCTACCAGCTCAAATCTGCTGTTGAGCTCATCTGGTGGATATTTCATTTCAGTTATACTTTTCAACTCAGAATTCCTATTTGATTTAAAAAAAAGTAATTTCTATTGCTTTATTTATATTCTCTACTTGGTGACACATGGATTCTCATACTTTGCATTAGTTTTTCAGACATGGTTTGCTTCAGTTCTTTGAACATGTTTATAACAGCTGATTTAAAGTCTTTGTCTAATAAATCCAACACCTGGGCTTCCTCATGGGACAGTTTTTATTGACTGATTTTGTATCCAGTGTATACACTACAGTGTATACTACAGTGTATACACTACAGTCTATACTACAGTGTATACACTACAGTCTATACTACAGTATATACACTACAGTCTATACTACAGTGTATACAAAGAACAGGCTACACTGTCCTGGTTCTTTGCATGTTTCATAATTTTTTGTTGAAAAGTAGATATTTTAAATAATTTAATGTAGGAACTCTGGAAATCAGATTCTTCTCCCCACAGAGTTCTGTTTTTGCCATTTGTTTTGCTGAAGTAAGCTATAAAGTCTGTGTTCTTTTCATGTATAGCCACTGAAGTTCATTTTGCTTTGTGGTCAGTTAATGGCTGGGGAGAGATTTCCGTAAATACCTTGGAGCAACAAGTCTCCTTGATTTTGTGGAGGAGGACTTCAGTTCTCCAGCATCAGGCTGCAGCTCTGCCTTAGCTTTCAGTTCCTACTTGTGCAGAGTCTCAAGGTTAGCTAGAGGTGACAGGCTAGGGCCTCCTCAGGTCTTCCCTGGACATGTGCACAGCATGACACATGCATGTGGCCCTCTAGAATATTTTGGAATTCCCCCCTCCAGTAGTTGTTAGGCTGCCATTTGTCACAGCTATCATGATTGTCAGACTGTTGATTTTCAAGGCCACTACACAGCTGGGGAGAGAGAGATGAAATAGGTCAAGTTGAAACGTCACACAGCTGTCTATTCTTACCTAGATTTGATCCTTTTTCTTAAACAAATGCTCTTCAAATTGTTGGAGGCTGTATTAGTCTGTTCTCCCATTGCTGTAAAAAAAAAAATCCGAGAATGAGTAATTTATAAAGAAATGAGGTTTGACTGGTTCATGGTTCTGCAAGCTGTACAGGAAGGGTGGCAGCATCAACCTGGCTTCTGGGGAGGCCTCAGGAAACTTACACACTGGTGGAAGGCAAAGCGGGGAGTGAGCACTTCACACAGCTGGAGCAGGAGGAGGGGCAGGGAAGTGTCACACACTTTTAAACAACCAGATCTCGCGAGAACTCATGCACTATGCAGTACCTGGCTGGGGGACAATGCTAAACCTTTCACAAGAACTTACCTCCCACAAGGCCCCACCTCCAACACTGAGGATTACAGTTCAACATGAGATTTGGTGGGGACACAGATCCAAACCACTGCCTCGAGTCTCCGTCCATCCTTACCCCAGGGCCACTTCTCTCTACTCAAGATGGATGCTCAGGTGCACGGCCCAGAGCTCTGCCCACCAAGAGGATGTCCCCGGACCCTGGTGAACTTCTAGGGCATCTAAGAAGTTAATTTTGACCATTTTATTTGCCAGGATTCTCCTTGCTTTTATGGAGGTGCGTAACATGGGGGTCCTTAATCCGCTATTCTGGAAATGCTTCCCTTCAGGAGAGACTTGCAAAAAGGTCAGTCCGGATCAAGACAGATGCGCTTCTTTGTAATATTCCTGTGCTGGTAGGTAGGTTTGCTATACCCATTCCTTTCACTCAGGCTGTAGCTAGCAGGGACCATGGCTCTGTGCAAAAGTTTCCATTCTGACCCTTGCTTCTTGGGGATCTAAGAGCTTCATCCCCTGTCCCGGGAACCCATTGCAAGCTCCCTGATATTAAGAGCGGCATCTGGGAACCACCCCCAGGCAACTCCAGCATTAGGTCACCACAATTACTATTTTGGGTCATGTTATTCATTTTTGGGCCTCTTGAAATTTCCATTACTCTTTTGCAAGCTCAGCTTTCCATTTAAAGCATGCATATCCTATTTTACCTGGCATTGCTAAGCTATTTTTTAAAAAAACAGGAGTGACCTCAGGTTATCTTGATCAGAATTCTCCCTGGAAAAAGTTGCTCTCTGTATATTTTAAAACTCACAAAAACATGCACATACACAAGTGGCCAAGTGCAACACGCAGAAACAGGAATGTCAGCTATGCTGTGGGCGGTGGGTGGAGGTGCCTCGTATGAAGACAGGTAAGAGGGTCTGGCCTGGGCTCGGGGGTCTTCAGGTCCACTTCATCCACCTGCAGCCCTCACTGGAGGTGTTTAGTGACACAAGAGTGAGGTGTCTGGGCTGCCGGCAGCAGGACCAAGGGAGCCTTCTGTTGCCCAGAGCCTCTGCCCTTCCATACCCGGCCTGCCATTCTTAGGCAGTGGTCTGGAACCCCTGGGACTATCAGGGCCTTGGGTGACACTTGCAGAGGTGCCCCCTCCAGTACTTGGGGAAAGTGGAAGATCCACATGTCCAAGGTCCAGGACAGCAGGTGCCAGGAGGAGTGCGAGGAGGAGGGGATGTGCTGGGAGAGGATGGAGGAAGCTGGTGGTCCCGGGAGCAGATCAGTTTGTAAGAGAACTTTCTGGGCTAGGAATGAGGGTGGGGCTGAAGGGAGAATGGCCAAGGGCTCCCGTGTGAGAAGAAGACGTGCATCTATCCAGTGGGGTTCAAATTTCCCAGGTGGACCAAGGACAGACAGGTGGGAGAGTGCTTCCAAGGGCTGTGGTTTTCTTAGAAAACGTGTCCGGGGCTTTCGCAGCCGTCAGGATGCACCCATACCCCCTCCCAGCCTGTGAGCCCCACATCTAGATGTACCTGCGCGACCACAGGGTCCGCTTTCCCTTCTTTCTCTGCTTCCCAAACACTCAATGATTCCATCAGCTGTAGACTTGGCAGCAGCAGGGCTGGGACTGACCTCCCGGAGTTGGGGCGGGGGTGCCCCTTTATACCGAAATCTAGTTGTTAGAAAGGTTGGTGAGAGCGTGGAGCATGGAACACCTCTCCCTCCTCTGCATTACTGTAGCGTCCGCGGCTGACCGTCCCCGGCACTTCTCCACGTGCAGGTCCTAAGAGCTTCATGATGCTGTGTCACTTCAACCTTCCAGCTGCCTGGGCTTCTTTCTCATCATTCTCTCTCCTTTATTAAAAAAAAAAAAAAAAAGAAACTCAGAGAGGCTGAGGGAGCCAGCTGCTTGTGGCTGCAGAGCCGCTAAGGTGAAGACCTGGGGTTTGAACCTGGACTCTTTATCACCCGAGATTCCATGTTCTTAACCATCACAGTTTATCCCGACCATTCTGTTTTGAAGGGGGAGCTCCAGGCATCCAGCGAGCCAGCAGCGAGGACCTGTGGGGGATCTTCCTGAGTCAGGCTCCCCGGACATGGGAATCTGGGTGTGTGTCATTCCTCTGGGAAGGGCTCATCAGGAAAAGCCTCTGAGGGCCATGGTGAAGCAGAGTAGGGGAGGATCAAGAGCCAATCGGCAGGTCTCAGAGTGTCTCTGGAACATGAACTGCACTGCAGAGAAAAAAATTGATCGGTCTGTGCCTGGACAGCCAATCACTGGCCAGGAGCCTCTCCAGGGGGTTGACCACGTCCTGGGCAAGATGGCTCAGGTTGGTAGAAAGCCGTTCTCCCATGACAGGGGATGCAAGCCATTTGCACCCTTCACGCCAGCAGCCTAGAGGTGGAGTCACTGAGCCTGTGAAGGGGATCTTGAGGGGCCCCAATGGCACCTGTGACAATCTGCCCCTGGCCAGCCCACAGTCTCTTGCTGCTCACAGATCAGTGAGTTCACCACAGCCGCGCAAGGCACAGGCTCTCCACGGTCCTGCAGCCTCAGTTCCTGGGAAGCTCACAAGCAGGGGGCTGGCGTGTGAACTCCGGTCCCGCTGTGGTCTCCAGGCCGTAACTGACCCTCACCCACCCCTTGACCTGCTGGGCACTCTAGGCTGCCTCCGCCTGGTCCAGCAGGCCTGGCTGGCGAGGGATCCACCAGGAGTCTGAGCCCCGGCTGCCATGCTGTAACAAGGCAGTGGTTAGTGGACTTGCTGGGCACTGGGGCAGCAAGAGGTGTCCCGTGGGTCACATGGATGCCAGGCGTGTCCCCACCCTGTCCTGGAGCAGCAGCCCTGGCCCCACCCCCACCCCTCAGGATCGGGGCCAGCGACCCCTGCCAGGACTCTCTGTGCCTGGCACGAACGAGGCAACAGTGACCAGATGGTGCTGCCTTCTCAATCCAGGGGAACTAGTTCTGCGACCCCGGTGGAAATGTACCCTTCTGGCAGCCACAGAGTCACAGGGTGAGGGCGGCAAACCCATGTTCCCACAGTAAGCCACGTGGAACGACGACGAGGGGACCCCCTATGTGTCCACTCCGTAGCTCCCAGATCCATGCATTCTGCCTGTCATGGACACGGCACCGTGTCATCGTCACTGGCTCAAGAAATAGCCTGCAAACTAAAGGACAGCGCCCACCTTCTCGGACGTCCACATTCTCGGACGCCCACATTCTCGGACGCCCACATTCTCGGGGGCGCCCACATTCTCGGACGCCCACACTCTCGGACGCCCACACTCTCGGGCGCCCACACTCTCGGGCACCCACACTCTCGGGCGCCCACACTCTTGGACGTCCACACTCTTGGATGCCCACACTCTCGGGCGCCCACACTCTCGGGCGCCCACACTCTTGGACGTCCACATTCTCGGACACCCACATTCTCGGATGCCCACATTCTCAGACGTCATCTCTGAGCCAAGTCTGGGCTGCTTTTGGGAGGATACTCCGTCCCTGTTGGCTCAGCCATTTCTGGAGGGAGGTCCATGGTGGGTCCAGGAGATCCATGGACTGTGTGCCCCAGCTCCTTCCTCTGACACCGAGGGGTCCTGTGGTCTGCAGCCATGTGGCCGGGGACCCTCTGTTAGTGAATCTGGGCTCTTGGCTGTGGTGCATGAGGAAAAGCAAACCCTCACCTGGCACAGGCACCGATCCCAGTCCCGACGGGCCCCTGTCCTCTCCAGCGTGGAGTGGTTCTTTGTAACCGGCTTGCCACCAAAGGGCTGGTTGGTGTCTTTGAGGGACGATGTCAGGACTTGAGCTGCGGTCAGTTTCTGATACAGCGGTGACAGTGATCACAATAGCCTCGATGAGAAGCCTGTGCCATTGAGAGGACACATGGCTTCAGACCCTGTTACCACGCCTACTTCCACCACAAGTGCATCGCCCCAACCCTGCAGTGGCCCCGGACAGAGGCTGCCTGACACCTGGCAGAGTTGCCCTGCCCACACGGTCATCCTGGGCCTCTTCCACACAATGCTCCCTGGCGCTTGGGGATGTGGGACACAGAGACCTCCCCGTCCTCCAAACCTCACGCTGAGGCATTCACCACTGGGCTGACTCTGCGTCCATCCTTACCCCGGGCCACTTCTCCCCACTGACAGGGGATGTCCAGGTGCACGGCCCAGACCTCCGCCCACCCAGAGGATGTCCCCTGACACTGGCTTTCAGGTTGGCCTCTGCGGGGCAGTCACACAGCAGCAGCCCCTTTCTGGCTTGCCCTGAGAGCTGAGCCGAGCATCTGAAAGTCAAGACTGCTTCTTCCTCTTTTACCCACTGGTCAGAAAGACCCCCGACGAAGCCAGGGGTGTGAGTTGGGGGAGAGACGTTGGTGCGTGGTGGCAGAGGACATGGAGGTGGGTTTCCTGTTTGTGGAGCCTCCTCATGCCCCCTGGACCTGCCTGGGCCTGGTCACAGACGACCCCGTCGGCGAGGGTGGATGGCCACTGCATCGTCCAGCCTTGTCACTCGGGCCTGGCGGTGCACAGCTCTCGCTGGGTGAGACTGGCTCCATGGTCAGCTGGTGTCCCCTGGCCAGAGGCTCCCTGCCTGCTGAGGTGCAGTAGCTCGTTGGGGACTGTTCTGGAAAATGGTCCGTTCTCTCCTGCAGAGAGCAATAACAGAGGCTTGCTCCCCAGCTCCGGGGTCTGCACGGCTGCTGTCTTGGGGGGCATCGTGCTCCACCACATGGGGTCTCCCAGGCTGTAGGGCCTAAGAGGCAGAGCTGCTTATACACAGCCTGGTCCAGTTGCAGAGCCCGCTGGGGCCTGGGCCTGCGGAAGAGGAACTGCCGGGTTGCACCTGACGAACGGCTGGATCAGGGTGCCAAGCACAGGCCGTGCTGCCTCCACAGCTGCAGGGGCCTCGGGATGTCGTGATTCTTTCTCAGTGGCAGGAATCCAGTCCACAACAGCCACCTCTGGAGGGGGCATGTCCCCCACCCTGAGCCCCCTCCAGGTCCCCAGCTCCAACTGCATGCTGGCTCCAGTGTATGGGGCTGCCGTCGGGGTCTGGGCCATGTCCAGGTGGTTCCAATGCCTCCCTTCCTTCTCATTATTGTCAAAACGGGAGGATCCACACAGCCCCGGGGTGAGGCCGGGGGTGCTCACGGGGGCCAAGCCACGTGCATGTGGATGCCTTCTGAGCCTCACCGTGGGACAGACGTGGAAAAGGATCTGCTTGCAGATGGGCCGCCACAAAGCTTGTAGCCAAGGCTGTGTGTGTGCTCGAGTGCGACGCTCCCTCTGGCCTCGGCTGCAGCTGTGCTGTTTCTCAGCTGTGACTGTGGCCGGCTCACCATGACCACAGCTCCTC
The DNA here is from genome assembly GCF_000001405.40 of Homo sapiens. NCBI lineage: Eukaryota > Metazoa > Chordata > Mammalia > Primates > Hominidae > Homo > Homo sapiens. Next base: position 3,004,117 of record NC_000001.11, read on the forward strand.
CAGCATCCCAGGGGCCACGCTGGTGACTTAGATAGTGCTGTGACAGGGCTTGAGCGGGGGGTCCTGCACCCTGTTCCTGAACTGGAATGGACAAACTCAAGAACTGGCAAAACCCTCACCCTGGTCCCTCAGCTGGCAGAGGGTGATCTATTTTAGCAGGAACGGCCACGTGGAGGCCATCGAAATTGCCCTCAGGCCTGCCCGGCCCAGAGAGCAAAGTGAAAACAGTAGAAAAGGCTGTGGGGAATGGTGGGAATTAGAGCCGCTTCCAAAAACTCGAAGGATGCAGGAGGCTGTTAGCAGTGAGTGGCAGCCCCTTGCAGGTTGAGCCCTGTGCATCACCAGGGAACACAGAGTGCCGAGCAGTGCAGCCAGTTGGCCACATGAAGGTGCCTGAGGGGGTGTCTAACCTGGAAGTCTCACCCCAGGACTCGCCCTGTGGAGCTGGGGACACCACGTGCCAGGATGTCCCATGCACCGGTGCCACTGCAGCCTTGGTTACCATTCTTGTAGCAGGTGAAACCGGTCACCGCAGTGAATTCCACACACAGAAAGCCATGCAGTCACCGTCATACTGCCAGGGCTGTTGTGGGCCCTGGGAGGCAGGAGTCCACAGAAGCGATTTCATGTTGGGACGTGCCCTGTGCCCGCTCCGGCTCAGCCTGGCTCTCAGGCTGTGGGGAGAGGTCCCCAAAGGCTCACAAGCCCTGCTCCTGCCCACCAGACTGAGCCCAAGCCAGGGCTCAGGGACCTCTTGACAGAGCTGATTGGCAGGCACAGACAGATCCCCTGGGACTGAGGCTTTTCTCTGGAGCCTCCCACATTCTGGGGGCGAGGACCCCAGCTGTGGCTGCATCCACAGGCACCAGGGGAAGGGACTGGCACCAAGGCACCTGTGCAGAAAGTGTGGGGCCCCCCACCGAGCAGGGCTGCCTCCAGCTGGGGTTGCGTGGCACTTCCCCAGCAGGAACCTCTCTCATGTACCAGGTCAAGGCTGGTTGAGAAACATAGAGCCAGGGCTTGGGATGAGCCTAGAACCAGGAAGGGCTGACAGCGCTCCTCCACAAGGCTTTGCCTGGGTGTTCCCTCCCTGTGCAGGAATGCGCTGCTTCCTGGTCTCCCATGGCATCCTCCACCTGCCCACCCCGTTTAACTCGCCCTCAGCTCAGTCTGTCTCCCGATCTTTTCATTTTCTTCATGGGGCATATCCCACTTCAGCACTGTCTTGTTTTGAATTTGCTGACACCTGCCTCACCCCACCCCCGGCCCCTGCTCTCGACTGCAAGCCAATGATGTGAAGGGTGTCCTGACCTCATCCCCAGCATCTCAGAGCCTGCACAGAGACTCAGACACACCAGGTATGGTGTCCAGTGGTGGGATGGTAGCTCAAACCTGGGATGGAGGATGGAAGAGCGGGTGGGGAGGGAGCTATGAGGGTGCAGGGGCACCTGGGACAAGGTGGGGACCTTGGCCTCATCCATACTAAATCATTTAAGCAGCATCCTCAAAGATTCAGCCACTGGAGGAAACAGCCAGGGAAGGGGATTTTGTGCTTCATCTCCTGTTTTGCTGAGCAAATGAGAACCACTGCTCTCCCCACAGCATGGCAGACCCCTGCTCCAGGGCCTGCACCTTCCTTCCCCCTGCGCTGGGCTCTTCTGGCTAAATGATCTCGCTGATACCTTGGGAACTGGGTGATAAAGCTCGTGCCTGAGTAATTTCTACCTCCAGGCTCTCCTGAGAATCACAGTAAAATGTGGATGTTTCCAGGTTCTGCCAACACGTTTTCCAGTCGGCCGTCTCTTGGGAGTCTGGGCAGGCAGGGCAGGGGAGGGGAGTGAGAGAAGGAGTCAGCCTCCATTTTTAGGTTGAATTCCCTTTTGGAAGGCGCCCTGTCTGTCTTTGGCAAGGATGCAGAGAGGGGTGGAGCACAACCCCCGCAGGGCAGCTCAGCCAGCATCTCCCCAAGCACTTCCTTGAGTATTTCCTTCAACCCTGGGCAGGTAGGGGCAGCCACAACTCCATTCGGATTAGTTTGATCAAATGTTTCTCTGTATTTAAAGGCCCATATTTGGAAAACTCCAACTCTGTGCATACCAATCACTGTATACTTAAGAGATAGCAATTTACCAGTGGAAGTCTGGCCACATAGGTAGGGTGGACAAGCTGAGCAATACTGGCTGCCCAGTGATATAGTTTGAATGCATGTCCCTGCCCAAATCTCATGTTGAAATGTAATCCTCAATCTTAGAGGTGGGGCCTGGTGGGAGGTGTTTAGATCATCCGGGTGGATCTTTCAATAATAGCCTGGGCCATCCCCTGGGTGATGAATGAGCTCTTGTTCTGAGTTCACATGAGATCTGGTTGTTTAAGAGCATGTGGCACCTCTCCCCATAATACTCTGTCTCTTGCTCCTGCTCTGGTCATGTGACATGCCTACTCCCCCTTTACCTTCCACCATGACTGTAAGCTTCCTGAGGCCTCCTTAGAAGCCAAGCAGATGCCAGCATCAGGCTTCCTGTAAATCCTGCAGAACCATGAGCCAATTAAACCTCTTTTCTTTAGAAATTATCTGGTCTCAGGTATTTCTTTATAGCAATGCAAAACCTGCCTAATATAGAAAATTGGTGCCAGGAGTTGGGTATTGCTATAAAGATACCAGAAAATGTGGAAGCAACTTTGGAACTGAGTAATGGGGACAAGTTGAAAGAGTTTTGAGGGCTCAGAAGAAGACAGGAAGATGAAAGAAAGTTTGGAACTTCTTAGAGACTGGTAAAATGGTTGTGACCACAATGCTGATAGCAGTATGAGCACTGAAGTCTAGGCTGCTAAGGTCTCAGATGGAAATGAGAAACGTATTGGGAAATGGAGCAAAGATTACACGTTATGTCTTAGCTAAGAGCTTGGTTGCTGCCTTCTGTTCTGCCCTAGGGATCTGTAGAAGTTTGAACTTCATAGTAATGATTTAGTGGATCTGGCAGGATAAATTTCTAAGCAGTAAAATGCTTGAGATGTAGCCTGGCTACTTCTATCAGCCTATGCTCAGATGCAGAAGCAAAGGAGTAACTTAAAGATGGGACTTATATTTAAAAGGTAAACAGAGCATAAAAATTTGGAAAATTTTCAGCCTGACCATGTGGCAAATAAAAAAACCAAAAAAAAAAAAAAAAAAGCTTTTTCAACAGAAGAATTCAAGTAGGCTGCAGAGCAACCACTTGCTAGGGAAATTTGCATGAATAAAAAGGAGCCAAGTGCTAATATCCAAGACAATGGGAGAAAGGCCTTGAGGGCATTTCAGAGATCTTCCTGGTCTCTACTCCCATCACAGGCCCTGAGGCCTATGAGGACTAAATGATTTTGTGGGTCAGGCCCAGGGCCCCGCTACCCTGTGCAGCCTCAGGACACTGCTTTCTGCATCTTGGCAGCTCTGGGTACAGCCTGGGCTCAAAGGGGCCCAGGTATAGCTCAGGCTGCAGCTCCAGAGGGTGCAAGCCATAAGCCTTCCACATGGTGTTAAGCCTGCAGGTGCACAGAGTGCAAGAGTTGAGGCTTGGAAGCCTAGATTTCAGAGGATGTATGGAAAAGCCTGGATGTCCATGCAGAAGCCTGCTGCAGGGGTGGAGCCCTCACAGAGAACGTCTACTAGGGCAGTGCTAAGGGGAAATCTGGGGTTGGAGCTGCCACACAGAGTCTCTAATGGGGCAGTACTTAGTGGAGCTGTGAGAAGGGAACCATCCTCTTCCAGACCCTAGAGTGGTAGAGCCACTGACAGCTTGCCTCCTACACCTAGAAAAGCCACAGACACTCAACGACCTGTGCAAGCAGCTGTGGGGGTTGTACCTTGCAAAGCCACAGGGGTGGAGCTCCCCAGGGCCTTAAGAGCCCACCCCTTGCACAGTGTGTCCTCAATGTGGGACATGGAGTCAAAGGAGATTATTTTGTAGTATTAAGATTTAATGACTGCCCTTCTGGGTTTCAACTTTCACGGGGACTGTAATCCCTTTCTTTTGGTCAGTTTTTCTCCTTTTTGGAATAGGAACATTTATCCAGTTCCTCTGCCTCTATTGTATTCTGGAAGTAAATACCTTGTTTTGATTTTACACACTAATAGGTAGAAGGAAAAAACATCTCTAGATAAGAGTTTGGACTTGGGACTTGAACTTTTCAGTTAACACCGGAAATTAGAGTCAAGACTTTGGGGGACTGTTTGTAAGGCATGATTATATTTTGCAATGTGAGAAGGGCATGAGATTGTGGAGGGGTCAGGGGTGGACTTACATAGTTTAAATTTAAGGCCCCACCCAAATCTCATGTTGAAATGTAATCCCCAGTCTTGGAGGTGGGGCCTGATGGGTGGTGATTGGGTCATGGAGGAGGATCCCTCATGAATGCCTTGGACCATCCCTTTGGTGATGAGTGAGCTCTTGCTTTGAGTTCACATGAGATCTGGTCATTTCAGAGTGTGTGGCACCCCTCCAGCCCCTCACTTTCTCCTGCTTTCACCATGTGCCATGCCTGCTCCCCCTTTGCCCTCTGCCATGATTGTAAGCTTCCTGAGGTCTTCCCAGAAACTGAGAAGATGCCAGCACCATGCTTCCTGTAAAGTCTGCAGAGCCATGAATGAGTTAAACCTCTTTTCTTTATAAATTACCCAGTCTTGAGTATTTCTTTATAGCAATGCAAGAATGGCCTAAGACACCCAGTTAAATTTGAATTTCAGATGAACAAGGAGAAATATGCTATATAGACATGTCCCACGGAATCAGGCAAGCCCATGTGGGGCAGGCTCAGGACTGTGCACCAGGCTGGCTCTCTGCTCGCCCACACTTCCTGGTTTCTACACAGGTGGGTTTGGCCATGTGACTCGTCCTGATGAGGTGTGAGCAGAAGTGACATGTGTCACTTAAGCAGAGGCAGGATCCTCCCACATCTGTCTCATGGACAACACAATGGTACCCATCCCCTGGACTCTGAGTGACTGCGTGGAGCCGAGTGTGCAGACTCAGAAGGAGGAGGTATGTCCTGGCCCAGCCTTCCATGCCCACCTCCTGTGGGATGACGGAGCTGGACCAGCTGCTCCACAGCTGTTATTGGCAGAATCCCTCAAGAGAAAGGTAATTATTGACTGCTCACATAGGAGGCCCAGAGCATGGCGCCCCTGGGCAAAAAGTTAGGGGATGATGCAAAGCTCCAACAGGCAATGCCGGCTCCTTGGAGTGGCTCAGCTTGGCTCACATGTGGCTCTTCCTCGGAACAGTGTCCTTCCATCCCCTCCAACAGAATGGCCACCTCATCTGTCACAGAGTCCCCACATGTGGCCCTGCTGGAGCTGCCTCCCCCTCTAGAGGTGGAAGCATGGTCCCTGGAAATGGCAGATCCTCAGAAGCTGGGTGGGGAGCCTGAAATGTCTCCTTCTGCCACTTGATAAGGCAAATGATGGGTTTGTTTCTAGAGAAATCTTATCCCCACCTCCTAAAATCTTAAATCGGTTGCCGGGTACCCAGAACCTGAAAATACAAGCCTGACATGGATGGGCTTTCCACTGAGATGTCTCTGGGGGAGAGATAATGAGCTGCAATGTGAGGCTGAGATCTACTTATGTGGGGAGCCCACCTTCTCAGCTGCCCAGTGCCCCCAAACCCCCAGCCTCCACTTCTCCCCAGAGACTCTCCAAGGCCTCCATCATTCAAGCTGGGAGTGAAGTCTGAGACTAGCAGTTGCCTTTGTGGTATCTTCCACTCAGATGCCCTGCAGGTCCTCTTAAAAAGAATAACAGCCAGCAAGAGGGAAAGTGGATAATTTCTAAAAGGTGAGTTGGCAAGTGTGGTTTTCTCTCTGTGGACAGTGGACAGTGGGAGGTCACAGGGAAAGCTGGTTGAAGAAGGGGATCTGTGGGGCTCAGAGCACCCAAGGGCCACCTCAGAGCAGAACTGTGGAAAGGTAGTGCATTTGTCTGTTTTCATGCTGCTATTAAAGACATACCTGAGACTGGGTGATTTATAAAGAAAAGGGGCTGGGCACGGTGGCTCACGCCTGTAATCCCAGCACTTTGGGAGGCAGAGGCGGGCAGATCACCTGAGCCCAGGAGTTCAAGACCAGCCTGGCCAACATGGTGAAACCCCATCTCTACTAAAAACACAAAAATTAAGGGCTGGGCACGGTGGCTCATGCCTGTAATCCCAGCACTTTGGGAGGCCGAGGCAGGAGGATCACAAGGTCAGGAGATCGAGACCATCCTGGCTAACACAGTGAAACCCTGTCTCTACTAAAAATACAAAAAATTAGCTGGGCATAGTGGCGGGCACCTGTAGTCCCAGCTACTTGGGAGGCTGAGGCAGGAGAATGGCGTGAACCCGGGAGGCGGAGCTTGCAGTGAGCCGAGATTGCGCCACTGCACTCCAGCCTGGGCGAGAGAGCAAGACTCTGTCTCAAAAAAAAAACCACAAAAATTAGCTGGGCTTGGTGGCACATGCCTGTAATCCCAGCCACTCAGGAGGCTGAGGCAGGAGAATCGCTTGAACCCAGGAGGTGGAGGCTGCAGGGAGCTGAGATCATGCCACTGCACCTCAGCCTGGGCAACAGAGAGAGACTCTTTCAAAAAAAAAAAGAAAGAAAAGAAAAGGAGGTTTAATGGACTCACAGTTCCACATGGCTGGGGAAGCCTCACAATCTTGGCAGAAGGCAAAAGAGGAGAAAGCCATGTCTTACATGGTGGCAGGCAAGAGAGAGTGTGCTCAGGGGAACTCCCCTTTATAAAACCTTCAGATCTCTTGAGACTTATTCACTATCACGAGAACAGCACAGGAAAGACCCACCCCCATGATTCAATTACCTTCCACCAGGTCCCTCCCATGACATGAGGGAATTATGGGAACTACAATTCAAAATGAGATTTGGGTGGGGACACAGCCAAACCATGTCAAGTAGGGATACAGCAGAGAGGTGGAACATGTTGAAGCTTCACAGCCTAAGAAAAGTTCTGACAATCGATCTGTGGCTCTGATGAACATACTTCATTCATTTTCTGTGGCTGTTTAAAACAGGATCTGGAAAATGCTAGCCTGACACGGATGGGCTTTCTGTGTCACTATGCTCTCATGGTCTGGAAACCAGACGTCCCAAACTGAGGTGTGGTCAGGGCCCTGCTCCCTCTGAGACTCTGGGCAGAATCGGTCCTTGCCTCCTCCCCGCTTGTGGCCAGCCATCCCTGGAGTTCCTGGGCTTGCCCGCACCTCACTGCCATCTCTGCCTCCTTGTCACGTGGCATTCTCTCCGTGTGTCTCTTCTGGGACAGAAGTCGTTGGGTGTGGGGCCCACCGTAATCCGGTATGGCCACATTCCAACCTACCTTGTTACATCTGCAAAGACCCTATTTCCAGATAAAGTAATTCCTAAGGTTCTGGGTGGACATTGTTCAACCTGGTACACCCAGGTGCGCAGATCCTTCAAAACTGAACGTGGATTCGCAGGCCCGAAGGAGCCGCAATTCCAGTATTTTGGGGCCCAACCAGGGTCCTGATTTCTGGAATGAGGGGGAGCAGCAGGCGGGAAGGGGGCAGTTCGGCCGGGAGCCCCCTCCTCAGATGGCCTTGGCTGTGTGGGGCGTGTTGGGCCGGCCATCCAGCCCCTGATGTGCCCCACCCGTGACAGAGGCCAGGCGGCCCCGGGCCGGCAGCACGTGCACGGTCATCCAGGACACAGCCCAGGGCCTGCAGCGGGCAACGGCTTCTGCTGGGAGCACTTCCATCTGGAAACCAGAGAGGTGTCCACAGAGAAGGGGCAGGACCTTCCCTCCCCGTCCGGGCTGGCTAGGCGGCAACCTCGCCGTGGAGGCAAATCCTTCCACCTGGAGCCGAAACTCCGCAGAGATGATAAATCTCTCCTCGTGTCGGCTTCCAGAAACGACGCCTGCCATTTGCAGATGAAAAATGTCGGCGAGCCGGCTGGAAGCGGCAGGCACATGGCAGAAAGGTTAGCTCTCCTGCCTCTCCCCCGAACACAAGGCCTTTTCTTTCTCCAGCTGGAAGTGAGCACGCCTCATGAATGCAAAGCGCTCTTTCAACGTTCGATTTTAAATTCTTTGAATTAAATCTGGATCCTTCCGGGCCCTGTGTTCTCCCGGTTATTTATCACTGGCTAAGTGTAGAAGTCTGTTCGGCGTCTCCTGGGACTGCTGACTTAGAAGCTGCATCTGAAATGTTATAAACTATTTAAAACCAAAAGCTCGGCTGTGTCCAGTCGGGGGGAGCGCATTTGCAGGCCGCGCTGGGAGCGCTGGGAAAACGAGCGCTGGCCCCCTGCACACACACTCATTCTGCCTGGCCTTCCTCCGGGTAATCGCTTTGATATACTTGAAAGCAAACCTTTTCCCCACCGAGGCGGGGCGATTCTTCCCCCTTATTTAGCAAACATTGACTTTTATTCCCTCCTCCATGGTCCTGCCTCTCTGTGAAATTAACAAGCCAGCTTTGTCCCCGCATCCCCACCGCCCCCACCCCGCCGCCTCCCCAGGCCCGTGGCAGTCCCACCACGCGCCGGCAGGGGGCGAGAAAGCCTCTCTTTTGAGGGCCCCACGCGGCGCTCCCGCGGGACCCGCCTGGGTCTGGGCTCCTGGGACAGGGAAGCCGGGCTTCTCCCCGGAGGCGGGGGCAGAGAAAGACCCAGTTCCTTCCGGACGTCGCACATCAGGACCTGCGATGCTGAAGAATGAGGAACTGGGTGGAAATCGTGGTTTGAAGCAGGGAGAGCGCCCCCCGCTCAATCTCTCAGGAGCCCTGCCGGGTGCCCCTGCCACCTGTCCCGTGCCACCAGGGCCACACTCCCCAAAAGGCCGTGCGTGGAGGGCTCAGTCCCCAGCCCTGCCTGGACACTGGCTGACAGCACTGTCCCTGCTGACAGCCGAGGAAACTGGGCCGGAGTGGCTGGAATTGGGTGGGAGCTCCCACGGGGTGACTCTGCACCTCAGTCCTGGGGACCTGGCCTATGCCCTGTCCAGGGGAGCTCCAAGACGGCCCTCGATGTGCCATCTCGTTTGGGTGACTTCTGCCCCTCAGCTGGGCTGACCAGCGTGCTTCTGATGGGTGGAGAGCAGCACGGGTGACGCTGCTTCCCAGAGAGGGTTCTGGCGAGGCCCTGGCCTCTGCGTTGGCTGGCCGCCTCCTCCTTCTGTCTCTCTCCCCACCTTTTGCTCTAGCTTTCTGTTTCCCTCTTCCTTTCTGTCTCTCTGTCTCTGTCTCTTTTGCTGTCTCTGTCTCTCTCTCCCTTCTCCTCTGTCTCTGTGTCTCTCTCTGTCTCTGTCTCTCACCCCCTCCTCCTCTCTCTGTTTGTGTCTCTCTCTCTGTCTCTGTCTCTCTCTCGGTCTAGTCCCCCCAAGGGAAGCCGATGCCATGTATGAAGCTACCTGGAGAGGCCGATGTGGCAAGACACCAAGGCCGGACAATGGCTAGATGAGAGCTTGGAGGCCAAACTCCCCTCTCACTCCCCATTGAATCTTCAGATGAGACGGCAGGCCCTGCCCACAGCTTAGCTGCAGCCTCATCAGGACCTGAGACTCAAAGGCACCCACACAAGCTGTACCCAGATTCCTGGCCCTCAGAAACATGAGATGAGAAACACTTGTCTTAAGCTGCTGAAGCGTGGAATAACTCCCTACCTGGCCGGAGAGGCCTGGAGAGTAACTCCCAATGTGGCTGGAGAGGGCCATGGCCCCTCCTTCTCTGCTCCACATGCAGCAGCCTCTCCTGAAATGCCCACCAGGCTCCCGCCTCTCACTGGGTGCTACGCTGTCACCTGGATCCCCAAGGCGGGGAGTGCCGCTGCTTGCTGCGCACAAACACAGCCGGTTCCCAGCGGGCAGGCAGCACCTGCTGAACTCCGGCCCCCTCTAAAATGCACATATTCATGTCCTAGCCCCCAGTACCTGGGAATAGGACCAAATAGGGTGTTTGCAGATGATCAAGGCAAGATGAGGTCATTGAGGTGGGCCCTAACCCAAAAGGACTGGTGTCCTTGGGAGAAGGAGAACCCAGATGCAGAGGCATAGACAGGGCCGACTAGAGCGATGCCACCACAGCCCAGGAGCCCCAGACACCAGGAGCCGGGCCTGGAGCAGGGACCTGCCCAGTGCCCTCAGAGGCTGGCGGCCCCATCCACACCCTGATGTTGGACTTCCGGTCTCCAGAACTGCGGGAGGATGAATTTCTGTTGTTTCCACTGCTGAGTTTGCAGCACGTGCTTCCGGCAGCCCCAGGACATGGGTGCATCGGCTGCCAGAATCCACCCCTCCATTAGCCCTTGAGTTTTCGTGTGGAGATTTTAGAAGACCTTGGGAGGAAAGTGACCCTTTGAGGAATTGTCCCATGGTTCTTCACATATGGGGTGTTGGACCCTGGGAAGGGGAAGGAGGAAGCTGGGAACATTTTTCTGCCAGTTTCTGTCCATGTTGTGAGCACGTGCACCCCTGGATGGACCAGCCCTGAGTTCAGGTGCAGCCCCAAAGTACACGGCAAGCATATGCAGGTGGGCGCGCAATGCGATTGACGGCGCTTCGCTTGTAACAGAAAAAAGAAAAAACAGAAAAACCTCAATAATTGAACAATTATTAAATGGAAATACCTCAATAGGGGTTGGTCTAATAAAGTGGGCAACGCAGACAACAGGTCACTGAGCAGCTGTTCAGAAGAGCAGCACTGCACTCCACACACTCGCTCGGAGGAGGAGGGGCAGGGACACGTGGGGGATGCGCCTGACCCAGGGTAACCGCAGTGACACTGGAGCAGCAAGCGGGGCCGGGAGGGGGCTTCCCGGCACCTCACACGGTGCTCAGCGCCAATGCTCCAGGTCAAAGCCCAGTTCCCCTTGAAAGTCAATACAAATGCGAGCAGTGCTCTCCGGAGGGAGATGGGCATGGGCAGAGGCTGTTCTCATCCCTCAGCCCCCGTATGCCTGTGGCCTTGCCCGGCCAGCCTCAAGCCTGCTCCAGCTTCACCTGCTATGGACGGGACACAGGAGGGGCCTGGCTCCCACACCCCCCAGCACATGTGTGCACAGAGCAAAATATTTCCAAGTCCAGAGGAGTGAGGCTGCCCTGTGCGCTGATGCCACCCTGTCCCTGGCAGGCGAGCAAAGGCACTGCCCAGCCTCCAGACTTAGTGTCCCTGCAGCCTGGTCCTCCCACCACCCTCCTGCCTGTGTTCCTCCAGGGCAGAGGTGCCTGGTAGCTTGGCAGTGTCTGGGCTCACTCTCCTCCTCCCCTACTCCAGGGTTGGATGCTCCCCCGGCCCTGCAGCGAGGCACTGAGTCCTGGCCAGGGGAAGCGCCGAGCCCCTGCATTGGAAAATAACAACAGTACTCATAATGCTGATGACTGAGCAGAGCTCACCTGAGGATGTGCACGCTCGTGAGCGCCTTGGGGCTGCACTGGCACTCGAGCCTCGGCCACCTTGCCCATGAGCCTCACTCCAGGCCTCTGCACGGAGAGCTGAAGAGGGCCAGTCCCATGTGGACTGAATGTTCCCCTGCTGTCCTCTGTGAAGCCGTTTAACACCCAGTGTGGTGGGGTCAGGAGATGGGGCCTTTGGGAGGTGATTAGGGTCCTTGTGAGAAGAGAATGAGACCAGAGCCCCTTCCCTCTCTGCCACTGAGGACACAGTCAGAGATGACCCTCACAGACCCCCCGGTGTTGGGCCTGATCTCAGACTCCCAGGCTCAGAACCGTGAGAGGTCAGCGGCTGCTGCCGAAGTCCCCAGGCTGTGTGATTTTGTGAGGATGCCCTCAATGGCAGCAGCCCATCTCTGGGCACCATGCAGAGCAGTCCACCAGCATCTGGCTGCATGTGGATAATGCCACTGAGGTGTGGTCTTGGGCCCCAGGGCTTAGCCCACCCTCATGGGTGGCACCTACTTGACACCCCACAAGGGAGGCAGTCCTGGGGTCTGCATTTTCTAGCCCAGCCTGCAGTCGGGGAGCAAGTCACAGAGCCCTGGAAGCTGCTGCAGGGAGGGCCCTTGTCTTTTTAGCATCCAGAACCCAATATTCCCAAACCTCCATCTCAGGTTCCTGCCACACCTGTCCCAGGTGAGAGGCCACCTCTGCAGCCATTGTGTGCCTAGGTGGGGCTCATCCCCTGGCCAGGGAGGCTGGAGCCGCCACTCTCCTGAGACCACCCCTGCTGGCCACTGCTCTGGGCACCACAGAAGGAAAGAAGAGAGGGAGGGAGGAGACAGGAAAGGAAGGAGGGAGGGAGGGAGGAGAGAGGAAGGCAGAGAGGGAGAGAGGGAGGAGAGAGGAAGGGAAGGAGGGGGGAGAGAGGAAAGGAAGGAGGGAGGAGAGAGGAAGGGAATGAGGGAGTAGGAGAGAGGAAGTCAGAGAGGGAGAGAGGGAGGAGAGAGGAAGGGAAGGAGGGGGGAGAGAGGAAAGGAAGGAGGGAGGAGAGAGGAAGGGAATGAGGGAGTAGGGGAGAGGAAGAGAAAGAGGGAGGGGTGGAGGAAGGGGAGAGGAAGGGAAAGAGGGAGGGAGGGGAGAGGAAGGGAATGAGGGAGGGAGAAAGGAGAGAGGAAGGGAAGGAGAGAGGGGAGCCAGGGGAGGGAGGAAGGCTGGATACATGAAGTATGGCTGGAAAGATGGATACTGGGTGGGTGGATGCGTGGGTAGGTGGATGGAGGGGACTCGGATTCCATCTTAGGGACTCACAAGCGCTGAGCTGCGGGGGAGAATGCTGGGGCTTGGGCCCTTCTGGGGTGACGGGCAGAGAGGTGGAGGAGCAGCCGTACTGGATCCTCCTGTGGCCGCTCGTGGGCCCTGTGCTCCCCACACCCTCCTCACTCTTTTGAGGACAGCGCACCTCCTGCCATCCAAGAGTCGCCCTGTTCCTTCACTACTGACACTGGCGTGGAACCCTCAGCCAGAGGGATCTGGCCACCAGATGTAGGGCCGGCACTGATGAGCCCAGTCCACTGGTCAATAATTGGCTGAGGCTCTGTCCACCACTGACAGATGGAACCAGGGACAATGGGGCCGACAGAGAGGCCCCTCGCCCAGGTTTTCGGTGACCGGGGCACCCTAAGCCAGGCTAGTGGGGGCAGGGGGTGCCCAGCAGATACAGGGCTGCCCACTCCAAGCTCAAATGCCTGACAGCTTCCCGGGGACACCCACGTCCATCCACCTCCAGCTGCAGTCTCAGGGCCCCTCCCCGGGGATGGGAGGTGGGTGGGGGGTGCTGGCGGAGTGGGAGGCGGCTGTGCTGGGCACAACTACTCCAGCAGAAGGAAGAATGAGGCTTTCTGTGTAGGACGAAATGATGACCCCAGAATCATCTCAGGGTGAGCCCTGCCCTGGAGGGGGTTGGCGGTGCAGCCAGCTCACCCATAAACTTGTTCAAGTGATTTATGAGGCTTGCTCAGCGCGGGTGGGGGTGGACCAAGGCGGAACCGTGGCCTCTAATTGGAGCAGGGAAAGGAGAACGTCCTTGTGTTAATAACAGCCTTCGCCACCAGCGCTCCCCATGAGCTCCAAGACCGCTCAGCTACTGGGGTTTCTGTCCAGTTGGACATCAAATCCCCTAGGTGACAGGGACCCCTGTGGGTCTCACACGGGTACCTCCAGGAGGTGCAGACACAAGTAGTCAGAGGGTCGAAGGTGTTTCCTCATGGATGGTGAGCACGGTGTCTCGCACCGCTGATGGGAAGAGGCCGAGGTTCCCAGGCACCTGAGAACCGAGAACCACAGGGAGGAACTTCTGCCCTGGGGACAGCTGGAAACCAGTAGAATGTCACATAGGCTGTGGCTCTTAAACCCACTGGATCTTCTCAGTGGCCACGTGGTGCCAGCCCCAGACAGTGGCCAGGCCTCCTTGGTGGTAGGGTCTTCAGGGTCCTTCCTGCTTCTTCTGGCTCTGCCCACATGGCAGACAATTCTTCAGCCCAGTGAGACACTGAGCAGCCAGGACAGAAGCGTCTACCGAGCCAGCGGCAGGGCCCTGAGCCAGGCCTTGCCCCTGAGGTTCTCGGCTCCAACAGCAAACCCAGATACGACGGTGACGGAGCCAGCGTCGCCCCGGGTGTCCAGGCATCCCGATGGTAACTAGGGCAAGACCACCCTGCCTGCCAATTGCTTCTCCCAAATAGACAAACAGCAATGTGGTGGGCTTCGAAGGGCCTGCTCTGCCGGGCATGTGGCATCTCGGCCACGACTCTCCTGAGTTACCAGGATGGGTCAGGGCACCAGACCCAAGGCCAAGGGCACCACTTCTCCCAGGCTCAGCAGGGACAGTGAAAACATTTAGGGAAAAAAGGACCTGGCCCAGGGCCACTGTGCTGCCAGTGCCCCGGCTTTCCCAGTTGTGTACTTGGGGGTATGCCCTTGTCTTCTCCAAAACGGGGACTGGCAGGGGTCATGGAGGGACCGAGAAGAGCTGAAAATAGGTGGAAAGTCCCAGACCTAATGTGGAGGCTGGGGAAGCAGCCGGGCCGGGGAGGGCGGGGGCGGGGGCCTGTGTGTTTTTGCAGGACATGCACAAGGGTAAGAGGCTGTGCCCGGGGTGCTGTGACTGTGCCTTGTGACAGCAACAGGGGATGGAGGAACCTCAGAAGCCCCACAACACCCCACCGGGAGCTCAGCAGCCCAGGCTTAGCGGCGTCTGCCTCCTCCTCTGTCCTGCCTGCAAATGCCCAAGACCCCAGCCCGCCCAGGGCCACCTCAAAGCATCTGTGTGCCTGACCCAAGAGCCCTCCGCACCAGCATTGCCACTGCCTCCCACTGTGGCCACCGGCAGAGCCAAAATCTAGAAAGCATCGGAGCACGTTCCTCTCAGCTCAGCCCCGAGTATTGGGCGACACTGACGCACTTCCAGCCACACCTGAGAACCAAGGATGCAGACCCTCTGTGATGGCTGCAGGCTGGAACCCCAAGGCGCAGCAGCCAGCCAGGGAATGCTCTCCCCAAAATGTGAGACTCGAAACCTTAGCAATCCCCACAGGTTGGTGGTGGACCTGGACTGTGCAGAGCCGGGGTCTGGGAGACAACACAGCAGGCTTAGTCGTCCCAGCCTTGCGGGCCCTTCCCAGGCCAAGGCCATCTCTACAAGGTAGACAGGGCTTAGCCGGGGGCTGTGGGCAGAGAGGGCTCAGCCGGGGGGGCACGTACCATCCCTGAGCGGCACTCTCTCGCCCTCCTGGGTAAACCTGGTGCCCATCTGGGGCCATCTCTGGTAGCATCGGCTGATGTTGAGCCAGTGCTCAGCAGGGCATGTGACTGAGAGGGACCTTGCCCCTCTGCAGAGCCAGGAGAGAGCCTCCCAGATCCTGTCCCAGGGCTTCAAAGGGCCAGCCTTGTGGACAGCCACACCTCTGCCAGGACCCCAGGTTGTGCAGGTCAGCAGGGATGGGCCCACTTGTATTTCCCAGGACTGGCGCCTGTGGTCTCCTAGTTCAGCGAGGAGGGAACCCTTCCCGCGCAGGGTGGTCCTTCTGTTGTGAATGTGGCTGCATGGGACAGCCAGAAAGGCATTGGAGGATGAGTCACCTCGCAGCCTGGGACCTGCCTGGAAGATGACCTTCGAGGGGGGCACCATTTGCCCGTGCACGCTATCGAACAGGAGCGGGGTTGGGATGGCGCCTGCCCCTGGAAGATGGCGTTCAAGGGGGGCACCCTCTGCCCGTGCCTGCTATCGAACAGGAGCAGGGTCGGGATGGTGCCTGCCCCTGCCCCGGGACACTCTCCGTGTCCCCCAGCACAGGCCTCAGGTGACCTTCAGCAGGACCTGCGGGGTGACCTTGATGTGGGCAGGGAGGAGCTCCAGCGTCTGGGTCAACAGGTTTCGAAGGAGGCCTCAGGGCCCTAGGCCGTGCCCATGGGTCAGTGCCTCCGTCCACACCTACTGCCTCAGGGAGCCCGGGGTCTCTGAGACGACTGCAAGCAAGCTGTGTGGTGGCTGCCACAGTTTCCAGAGAAATGGAGATTTAAGAGCCACACCTGCCCTGGCACGCTTTTGACTCAGTTTCCCTCTGGGGGGGTCCCCTCTAGGAAAATCCTTCAATAATCAAGTTTTTGTTGACTACCACCCAGGGATTAGTGGGGCCCACAAAACCACGTGTCAACAAGACACATCTACACCACACATCAACAACGAGTGTACCGCGCGTGTCTACACCACCCATCTATCCCATGCATCTACACGGCACATCCATATGCGTCTGTACCTCGTGTCTACACCACATGTCTGTACCACGTGTCTAGACTGCCCATCTACAACATGTGTCTACACCACCATCGGATTAATGCCTGCTGGTGGGTCAGCAGGGCAGGCAGGACACACAGAGGGGGCCACCAGCAGGAGCTGAGGGGCTCCAGGAAGGGAGTGACCCCGGGAGGCGTCCTCTGGGAGAACTCTGGGGGGCCAAGCTGGGCTGGAGCATGATTGTGGATATGACAGGAGAGGTAGAATAAACCTCACATTCTCCAAGGCCACCTCCAACCTCCTTAGGAAAAAAGTGAAGCTGGTTCCCAGGTTGGATCCCCTCCCACTTTCTCCCCAAGCGGAAGACAAAGCGGGGGTCTGAGTGCCGGGCGTGCACTGTTGTGGGTGCCCTTGGCCTGGCCCGGTGCCTCCTTCCTGGTCATGCTCAGGCCTTGACCTTTAATGGCCTGGTCACCTCTGAGCATTGCTCTGTGGTTGTGGCCTGACTGTGTGGCAGCTCATAGACACAGAGAGGTGTCACAGGCTGCAATCCAGGCTACCCATGTGAAACCAGCAGGCCATATCTTCAGGGCTGTTGGGTTCCCAACTCTATGGCTGCTGGACTTTGTTGTGTGCTGGCACTTCAGAGTCTGCAGAGAGGAATGAGGGGTGCTGGCCTCAAGCCAGAGCAGAGATGTATTCCTGGACAAAGGGCCAGCAGCCCAGAGGGCTTTGAATAGGGTCTACCCAGTGGGACAGACAGCCAGGACTAATGGGATGGAGGGAGGAGAAATCCCTGAGAGCTTCCTGGGGGAATCACTATTCAAAAGCACATTCTAAGTGCCTGCTGGGACAGAACTGCTTACAACACCCCTCCGACCTGGTGCTTGGTTTTCCCCCTTAGCAAAGGGAAGTGTTGTCACCCCAGAAGTTGCAGCTCAGGGGCCAGAGAAGCTGGTTTTCTAGGGTGCACGCAGGCTGGGCTGCTTCTCTCCACTCTAAAGCTAAGTCTCTGCCTCAGCCCACAGGCTTGTCCAGCACCGCCCTAGGATGCACTTGTCTCTCTCTCTCTCTCTCACCTCACCCTGTGGGGGATGGGGGACTCAGAGCCCCACCCCCAGGGCCTCTGAGGCTCAGGACAATCGTTGCCTTGGCTAGATTGTTACCTAGGAGACAACCCCCTGGCCCCCTGGAAGAGGCCTCAGCAGGCCCAGGCCACCTGGAGGGAGAGCAGACCTGCGGCTGAGGATGCAGGGCTCCCGGGCACGGTGCTAGCCCTGCCTTGAGACACCCCGAGAGCTGTGGGAAGAGCTGTGGGATCCCCTATTGCATCACAAAGCGGCCCTGGAGGGCTGGTCTTTATTTTGATGAGGCTGAGAAGGGAAGGCTGCGGGCATGTTTAATCCGCACGCTTTAGACTCCCCGGCTGTGATTTTTGACAATGGCTCGGGGTTCTGCAAAGCGGGCCTGTCTGGGGAGTTTGGACCCCGGCACATGGTCAGCTCCATCGTGGGGCACCTGAAATTCCAGGCTCCCTCAGCAGAGGCCAACCAGAAGAAGTACTTTGTGGGGGAGGAGGCCCTGTACAAGCAGGAGGCCCTGCAGCTGCACTCCCCTTTCGAGCGTGGCCTGATCACAGGGTGGGATGACGTGGAGAGACTCTGGAAGCACCTCTTTGAGTGGGAGCTAGGCGTGAAACCCAGCGACCAGCCCCTGCTTGCAACGGAGCCCTCCCTGAACCCCAGGGAGAACCGTGAGAAGATGGCAGAAGTCATGTTCGAGAACTTCGGCGTGCCCGCTTTCTACCTGTCGGACCAGGCGGTGCTGGCTCTCTACGCCTCTGCCTGTGTCACGGGCCTGGTGGTGGACAGCGGGGATGCGGTCACCTGCACTGTCCCCATCTTTGAGGGTTACTCCCTGCCCCACGCAGTCACCAAGCTCCACGTGGCGGGCAGGGACATCACGGAGCTCCTCATGCAGCTGCTCCTGGCCAGCGGCCACACCTTCCCCTGCCAGCTGGACAAGGGTCTCGTGGACGACATCAAAAAGAAGCTGTGCTACGTGGCCTTGGAGCCCGAGAAGGAGCTTTCCCGGAGGCCGGAGGAGGTCCTGAGGGAGTACAAGCTGCCCGACGGGAACATCATCAGCCTCGGGGACCCGCTGCACCAGGCGCCCGAGGCCCTGTTCGTGCCCCAGCAGCTGGGCAGCCAGAGCCCCGGGCTCTCGAATATGGTCTCCAGCAGCATCACCAAGTGTGATACCGACATCCAGAAGATCCTCTTTGGGGAGATTGTGCTGTCGGGGGGCACTACCCTGTTCCACGGGCTGGATGACCGGCTTCTCAAGGAGCTGGAGCAGCTGGCCTCCAAGGACACCCCCATCAAGATCACGGCTCCCCCCGACCGGTGGTTCTCCACCTGGATTGGAGCCTCCATCGTCACCTCTCTGAGTAGCTTCAAGCAGATGTGGGTCACCGCCGCAGACTTCAAGGAGTTTGGGACCTCCGTGGTGCAGAGAAGATGCTTCTGAAGGCCGCTTCTCGTTGGGTACCGTGGGGGGTGAACCCTAGCCCCAGCTTTGGGAGGATGTTCAATAAAGGACCAATGCCGGAACACCTGGCCACCTCGGCTCAGTTCCTTCTTGGGGGCGGCAGAGTCATTTCTGGCCCTGACAGTGAATCTGTGAAGTGTCTTGGTCCACACCCGCTCCCCTTCGCTTCCTCCCAAGAAAGCCTGGGCTGAGGCCAGGCTGTGTCCATCTGCAGTTTGTATGAAAGTAGGGCCCTGGGCCTCAGGTGAATAGGGCGCTGGAGTCCGCATTCTAAACAAGGGTCTTAGGTGGGCTGAGAGAGTCGGCAGGGATGGTGGGGACTAGCGCGTGCACCAGGTTCTGACGGCTCAGCAAGAAACCCCTCCCTGTGTGGGCCCTACCTAGCATGCCAGGGCCGGGGCTCTGCTTGTGTGAGGCCGGGCGGCTGAACAGGGTGGAGCTGCCGCTCTCAGCAGATAGGAACAGACGGGAACAGAAGTCACCGTTTGTTTAGGGCCCTCTAAACTCAGGGGTCCTGCTCCCAAAGGAAGTACAAAGAATCAACACTTCTGCTTAGCAAGTGTGATTCTTCTGTTTGTTTTTACTTTCAGTGATGTTTATAGCATCATTGTTTGGGGGCAGAATGCTGGAAACAAAGTTAATGGCCATCACCAATGTTAACGGTTGAGTAAATTATGCATGGAGGGAATTTTTCCACATTGATGTGGTGGAATTAACCCAAAATATTATTGGGAGAGAAGTGGAAAATACAGATAACTCTTTACGCCATGGTCCTTCCCTTGGTTTTTTGGAAAAGAAAACAGCGCCCCTTCCCCATGTCTTTGCCTATGTCCGCTGCTTCGTGTGGACCCATACCTGTGTTCTATGTGGTTACCAAGTGCATGCACTGTGGGTTCCAGCATGTCGCCAAGGGAAGAGGGAGGGAGACGCAATGCAGGCGGAAAGAAGAAAGGAGAAAAAAGTACTCAGGAAATTCAGCCTGAATGAAATAAACCCATTTACCTGAAATGCGTGTGTCTTTCAATCTTCACAAAGTGCATCTTTTTCCACCATTTCACTTTCAACCGACCTATGCTGTTGGAAGTGAGCATGGGGCTGGTGTGAAGACGGCGTATAGCTGGGTCGTTTTCTTATCCACCCTACCAATCTCTGCCTTTCAGTTGGTGTATTTAGTCCATTTACCTGGTAACTCATTGATACACGGAATCTCAAGTCTGCCATCTGATCACTCTCTGCTGTGTCTTCTGCTTCTCATTCCTGTTTCTCTTTTCTTACCTCCCTCTGGGTTACTGGAACATGTTTCAGGATTGTGTCTTGATTTATTTAGCGTGTTTAGAGTACCTCGTTTTTGTAGGTTTCTTAGTGGTCACCCTGGGTATTACGCCGTATATGCCGGGATGTATATGATGTCACAAGCTACGGGCATTGACATGGTACCATTAGAGGGAAACGTGAAACCTTCTTCTGTCCGGGACCCTTCCCCCTCACCTCTAAAACACAGTTGTCTTGTCTGCTGTGTGTGCACTGAATGCAACATCAGGGGGGCTGAGATTTTTCCTTCAACCATCAAATATGATTTAAGAAGCTCGTCAAGTCGAATCTATTGACCCCTATTTTTACCCAATCTGGTGTTCTTTTGTCCTGTCTGAAGCCCAAGACTCATTGTGCTGTTATTCCTCCTGTGTTTAGAGAGCTTCCTGCAGCCATTCTGCAAAGATAGGACACTGGCAACAGAATCTTTGCCTTCCTTCAACTGAGGTGACTTAATTTCTCCCTCATCCCTGAAGGCTGTGTCCACTGCAGTGGAATCTGCAGGTCACCGTTTCCTTTCAGCTCTCGGGCTCTCCAGCCGCCTGGTTTCGATCAGGCATCCTCTGTTATTCGCTGGGCTCCCCAGGTCATGGGTCAGGTCTCTGTGGCTGCTTCAGAGTTTTCACTGTCTCTAGATTTCAGAAGTTTAATTTTGATGCGTCTCGGAGTGGATTTCTTTGGGCTTATCCCATCACCTTTTCCCACCGCGTGAATGCTGGGGGTTCACATCCCTGCAGGGAGCCCACTGACCCTAAGGTTCAGGCTGAAGTGGTGGCGATGAGACTGGCTCACACCACCTGGCTCAGCCTCACTGCTGCTGCTGGGGGCGGTGGGGTGGGGTGGGGGGTGGAGGGAGGTGGGGATAGGATGGGGGTGAGATGGGGAGGGAAGGGGATGGAGTGGGGTGAGGTGTAGGGGTAATGTGGGGGTGGGAAGGGGCGGGAGTGAGGTGGAGGTAGGGTGTTAGATCAATTCCCCACTTTCCCACTGAAACCCAAAGGTGGGGTGTGGTGTTTTCATTGGTGTTGAGCTGGAGTAAGGAAGGTGTTTCCAAAAAGCTATTCTGCTGGGTCACCCTGTTCCCAGGGGGAACAGGCTTTTCTGGGAGCTTTTTGTGTCTGTGCCTGTTGGAGATTTGGGTCAGAGGCTTCTGAGCACCCTGCTAGACACGTGTGGGAGACAGTCAGGAAGCCTAGGAGCCCCAGTCCCGAGGTCCCTGGGCGGCCTTCCACCTCCCAGTCTTTCTATGTGTGTTTGCTGTGTTACATCCAGCCTTTTAAGGGAGGACCTGGTAGGAATGGGGCCTTTGAATGAGGTTTTTATTTCTTTCCATGGTACCCGAAAGTTACAAGGAAATGTAGTGAGGGCTCCTGGCCTCCACCATCAAAGCCCTTCCTGTCAGGGTCACTCCAGTCTACAGGTGAGAATGTCCAAGGCCACACAGGGAGTTGAGAGCAGAGCTCAGCCCAGAGTCCCAGACCATGGCTCCTTCTCCTTTGTATACTCCTCCTAGACCCTTCTCCACTCCAGATGATCCCCATGTTACTAAACTACACCACAAATAAAATAGAACTAAAAGAAAACTCCCTTTTTCTATTCAAGACACCCTGCTTCTCTTCTTATGATGGCTTCTGCTACTACTGCTATTGCTATGGTGGTAGGAATGTGATGGTTGTGGTGATGATGGCAGTGATGGTGGTGGTGGTGGTGATAATGGTGATGGTGGCAATGATGGTAATGAAGATGACAGTGATGGTGATGATGATGGTAATGACATGGTGGTGTGATCATGATGATGGTGAGGATGGTGGTGGTGATGATGGTAACAGTGATGATGATGGTGATGGAGGTGATGGTGATGGTGGTGATGATGGTGATGGTGATGGTGGTGTTGATGGTGATGGTGATGAATACAGTGATGGTGGTGATGATGGTGAGGATGATGATGATGGTGGTGATGATGGTGGTGGTGATGATGATGGTGGTGATGATGACGGTGATGGTGGTGGTGATGATGAGGATGATGATGGTGATGGTGATAGTGATGATGATGGTGATGATGTGATGGTGATGGTGATGGTGGTGATGATGACAGTGATGGTGGTGATGATGGTGAGGATGATGATGGTGATGGTGATGATGATGGTAATAACATGATGGTAGTGGTGATCATGATGATGGTGAGGATGGTGGTGGTGATGATGGTAGTGATGAGGATGATGGTGGTGGTGTTGATGGTGCTGATGACAGTGATGGTGACAATAGTAATGATGATGATGATGGTGGTAATGATGGTGATGATGACCACAACTGAGATGACTGTGGTGATGATGGTGATGAAAATGGTGATGGTGGTTTTCTGACCTCTAGTTCTTCAGAACTATGTTCTTCCTGGGGCACTGCAGTGAATAGATGGTAAGCAGTCCCCCAAGGCCCTGATAGAGTTTCTAGAAAGAGCATTGTAACACAGCTGGCTTTTAACTGTGGCTTTCTTGAGAGGGGTGGAAGGTCCAGAGCGTGTCAAGCAGACGAGGCTGCTGCTAGTGAGGGAGGAGAATTGGGAGGAGCTGTGAGGTCAGCCTTTGCATCCGAGGCTTGACCCTGCTTCAGCCTGGAGGTGTCCAAAGTGAAGGGCCAAGGCCAGGGGATGGGCTGGGCTAAGCCCTGGAGGAGGAGAGAGACGCCTCCCTCTGGCTTTGAACTGTTTGACCTTGCCTAGCAGGCATCCACAGGAACTGGCTTGAGCCTGTTTCCCTATTGGGAGCATATGCATTCCCATGCCCAGACTCTGTCAGAGGACTCCACGAGCCCCAGCCAGCTCTTTGCTTTGGTCCTAAACAAGATCTTTCTGTGACGTGCCATTTGGATGCTGCCATCTGGGGGCTCTGCTGGAGGGGTTTCTTGTTCAAAACTCGCGGGCGGAAGAGAGGACATGGAGCAGAGCCCAGAGAACATGAGAATTGGTTCTCCTGAGACTGGCCCTGCAGTGACACTGGTGGGGACCAGTAGCTGTCAGCTCCTGCCTCTTGTCCCGGGGACCTCTCAGAAGTGACTGCTTTGTCTGCAGGTGGAGGGTGCTCAGGGCTACCCCATGCTCAGTGCCCCTGCCTCCATCATCTCCTCCACTGACCTCCAGTCCTGGCTTCCATTATGGACCCTCAGGAGCAGGTTCCACGAGAGCCCAGAAGCTCCATCTATGGCAGTGATTAGACACAAAAACTGCCACACTAGGGGAGGATCAGGCCAGGAGGGCATCCCCACACTCAAGCACCCCATGCCTCATGGCATGGTCACCTCCTGGGACATCAGGGAGGCTATCTCAGGGCACTGCTGCACCAGGGGATCCAGATGCCTGTGCCCCAATGGAGGCGCCATGATCCCTTGCTGAATGGCACCACTATGATGATGTTTTCTGGAGGACCTGGTGCTCCAGGGTCCTACACCCCTGCAGACTCATCTCCACCAGGGGCAGGCGGGGGGGGGGGGGCATGGCACACAGTCCTGAGAGCGGCTGCCTGCCCCATGGCATGGCTCCAGCCAGAGGGCAAGACATTGCCTGACACCCAGGCCAGCTCCTGTGAGAGCAGGACCCTCTGTGATCTGGGCTGAGGGTGAGGTGGGCAGGACACCGGGAAGAGGCTCCCAACAGACCTTGGCAGAGGATGCGGGAGAGTCTGAGGAAGACAGGCATGACTCTGTCTTCTCCAGTGGCCATGCCATCGGGGGCAGAGTCCGGCCCTTCTAAGCCCTAGAGCTACTCCGTATGGTGAGGGCCCAGGTCAAGGTTCCAGGAATCCACAGCTGGTCCTAGTGGAGGGGCCAAGTGCAGCCAAGAATCCACACAGGAGGAGACTAACCCTCAAACCCTCAAAAGTCCGCCGAGGAATGGGAGCCTCACAGGCAGCTCCACACTTGGCCCCAGAGGTACCATGGGGCTGCCCCTACTCGGAGTGGTGGGAAGCTGCTCTGCTGAGCTGCGTTCCGCCTTCCCGGGTGGCGGGGGTCACCCGTCCCACCTACAGGGAGCTCGGTACAAACGCTCCTCCCAGGCAGGCACCAGCCCTCGCAGGTGGGGCAAAGCTTGGTAAAGTTCCAGCCTCTGCTGCAGCTGCCGCTCTCCACCTGGAGCAGCCATCGGGAGGTCCTGGGCATGGACCTCAGCTGGGTGGGCAGCACCCCAGGGAAGGAGCCCCCAGCCCTGTGCTCACACCCACTGCACCCTGGTGTCCACATTTCCACCCTGAGGGTCTCTAAGGCCCTAGCCCCCTCCACCCAGCAGCAGGTGTTGAGCACACAAGGCCCTGCCATTCCCAGGCTTTCTGGGACTCACGAAGAGCCTCTGTCACCCGGACCCCTATCCCTGGGCCTCCACCCCTCCATGTGTGTCTAGGCACACAGCTGACTTGGATAAATGCCCCGACCACTGCACTCACTCTCTCTCCTTTTGCGGGGACCCAGACCCCCGCTTGGGAGACCAGAGTTGACCCAAGGGTCACTGCTGACTCCGGGGGCCAGAGTGGGGCGGCCCACAGCAGGGCACGGAGCTCTCAGCTCCCTTTGCCTCACTCCCCTTGAGCCAGTGGTCTGGGGAGGCTTTGGGCTCTGGATCCAAAGCCCCCGACCCTCTACCTTCCTTCCCGAGTGTGGGACGGGGCTCCTCTGCCTCCGGGATGGTGAGGGCAGGACTGGGCCTCCCTGGGGGTCCCCAGGAAACCCGATGCAGGGATGTAAGTCCCCCTGAGCCAGCGCAGGAAGCTTGTAAACAAATGAGGTGTAACTGTCGACAGTTTAAATGCTGTGCGGCTTGCCGGCTTCCAGATGAGAGGGGATTTACGGGCTCTTAGGCGTTCAAGCGGGTTCCCGGTAATCCAGCGCAGATAAGGAGTGTAGTGCGGCTGCCGGCGGAGCCCCTGTCGCCTGGGAGGGGACCCCAGGGGCTGGCACACAAAGCCAGGACCCTTCCCGGCGGAGCCCCTGTCACCTGGGAGGGGACCCCAGGGGCCGGCACACAAAGCCAGGACCCTTCCCGGCGGAGCCCCTGTCACCTGGGAGGGGACCCCAGGGGACGGCACACAAAGCCAGGACCCTTCCCGGCGGAGCCCCTGTCACCTGGGAGGGGACCCCAGGGGACAGCACACAAAGCCAGGACCCTTCCCGGCGGAGCCCCTGTCACCTGGGAGGGGACCCCAGGGGACAGCACACAAAGCCAGGACCCTTCCCGGCGGAGCCCTTGTCACCTGGGAGGGGACCCCAGGGGACGGCACACAAAGCCAGGACCCTTCCCAGCGGAGCCCCTGTCACCTGGGAGGGGACCCCAGGGGCCGGCACACAAAGCCAGGACCCTTCCCACAGGGTGGCTTCATCCCGGCCCCCCTTGACCCGTCTGTCCCAATGTGGAGACAGCTCCTTTCCCTGTGGAAGACGTCGGGGATGCTGTCCCTGAGATGGGCCAGGCTGCAGGGGGGACTCATGATCCTGGGAGCTGGGCAGGCACCTGCAGGCAGAAGAGACCAGCCATGAAAGGAAGAAGTCTGGCTCACACACTGCTCACAGGCCCCAGGAAGAAGGGGTTGGTGGGGTTCCCCGGTGCTTCCAGCCCCTGGTATGCAGGCATGTGGGCATGACCCTAAATGGATGGTGACGGATGCTGTGGGGTGGGGTGGGGTGCCCCGGTGCCACGGACGGGCCATGCTACTCCCTTCCCGCCTTCTAGGTCAGGAGCCTAGAAGTGATTAGACACAAAAAGTGCCACACTAGGGGAGGCTTGGGCCAGGAGGGCATCCCCACACTCGAGCACCCCATGCCTCATGGCATGGTCACCTCCTGGGACATCAGGGAGGCTATCTCAGGACACCTCTGCCACCAGGGGCTCCAGCGGCTGCTGGCGGGAACCCACTTGAACTCCTAAGAGCCCGTAAATCCCCTCTCATCTGGAAGCTGGCAAGCCGCACCGTCGGGCTCCAGAGTGAAATTATCAGCACCCCGCAAGCCGAGGCTCCTAGGAATGCCTCGAGGGCTGCACAGACCACGTTGCTCCCAGAAGGTGAAGTCCACGCCTGTGGTCCCGGGGGCGGGAAAGCCCTGTGGTTCGGGCACGAGCCAGGAGCCCGAGGAGGGTCTGGCCAAGGCCAGGAGGGGCCTGGAGTCACCAACCAAGTCAGACCTTAGGTCATTCGTTTGCCTGGCAGGTGCTCCCAGGAACAGTGGGTCCTCCCGCATGCCCGGCCCTCTGGGCAGGTCTGTGCCGGGAGCTGGGCAGAGTCGGCAGTGCCCGCTCTGGGATGCGCAAGGATGTCTGAAGCTGCCGTGGGCCGAGGTCGGGGCACAAGGCCCAGGGCACAGGGCGGACCCGGTGATGACCCCAAGATGGACTCCCTGCTCTCAAGGCTCCCACCCAACGCAGAGCCCAACGCAGGGGCGAAGGGAGGCAGAGCCACGGTGGGCTAAGTTTAGCTCCCTTGGCATTCATCACCAGGATGACTCTTTAGAGAATTTCCATGAGAGTGGGGCTGCCCCAGAAAGAGTGAGGGGCACTTGGACTGGTGGGATGAGGGAATGCCGGGCTCGCCAAGGGGACCCAGAGCAGTGCCCCTCCCCGGCCCTTGTTATGGGTCAGGGAACCAGGGAAGACCAACCTTCTCATTCCTACAGGGCAGGACCCAAGCATCACGCCTGCTCTTGTCCTAAGAGGAGGCCTCCTTCGGCAGGGCCAGGCCCCGCAGCCGGCAAGATCCAGCCCCTCACCCAGGCCCCAGCGAGGAAGCCGGAGCTGCTCCAGCCTCACAGTTTTGCTAGGAGTGAAAATCTCTGCACCCCACGGCGATGCCTGCCTGTCTGCTAGGGCGCCTGCTATCCCCGCTGGCCCAGGGCTGTGTCCCCAATGTGGGCAAAACTGTCACCAGGCCATTGTGCAAAGCCAGGAGCAGCATGCCACCACTTCCCTCCTCCACATTTACTTTCAGATCTGGCCACGGCTTTCGGCTTTCTGGTAGGTGTCCATGATCTGCCAGTACGTGCTGATCCCTGTGCGCTGTGGCCCCTGTGTCCGGGGCACTGTCCTTCGGTGACAATGCCCGGCATGGGAAACAATGCAGACATTGTCATGGCTGGTCCTGGCTCAGCGTGGGGAAATGTAAGACATCCTCAGTTATCACAGCCACGGGGGACAGGGCTGGGCTCCAGCTCACCAAGATATAATAATTTTCTCCCATTATTCAAATCTCTTCTTCTCTCACTCCACCTTTGGGTGTCAGCAGCAGCGGAAGGGAGAGAGTGTCCGGGCTGGAACCCAGGGCCCTGGGACGTCTTCCTATCTGGGCTGTCTGGATGGCATCCAGGGACACACGGGGGCCAGGGAGCTGGGCACCACTCCCCGGGGATCCCTTGGGGGGCCGGCCAGCCACAAGGACGCCCAGCAGGCGACTCCTGGATTCACCCCCTCCCCACCATTGTCTCTGGACCTGAGGCCCGCAGTGCTCTGGCAGGGCCAGCAATGACGCTGACGCTGGGAGAGATGTGATCAGAGGGTGGAGACATGCCCGCCCATCACCACCCTCGCAGGCCAACTCTGGCCAGAGGTGGCCATTCCTGGCTCCCATAGGCTGGAGGCTCCATGCACTTTTGCCAGCCAGGCCTCGGGGTCAGGGGACACGAGAGCCCCCACACCTGGCAGGGTGGGCCGCCTCCCAGAGAGGGAGCACGGAGCCTGCTCCACCCGCCGTGGCGGGCTTCAGGGCTCACTGAGAGGCGTCGGCCAGCGTAAGAGGATACCTCACAGTTATGCAACCCGGGCCAGCGAGGATGGGCCCGCAGCCCGGCCAGCCAAAACAAGCACCGTCCGGCTCCAGAGTGTGAAATTGTCAGGCCCAATTAAAGGGAGCTCAGGGAGCCGGCTGGGGGCTGGACAGGGGAAGAGCCTTCCTGGGAAGGGCTGCAGGCTGTGAGGCTTGATCCACTCTGTGGAGGTCTGGCCCTGCTGCCACCCGGGCACCCTGGGGAGGACGGGGGGAGGCGTCCGGAGCCTTCTCCTCTTTCGCCCAGTTAGACTGGGACATTTCACACACAAACACGGTGCAAGATGGAGGGACAGCCAGAGACACTCTTGCTCCCTTTTTCTGCCTAGGGAGTCTTGGAGGCCGGTCCCCGGTGAGACATGGGCTCTCTGAGCAGCCAGGCCCTGGTGGGTCCTGAGATTCTGACAGGAGCCCAGGCTTGGCTGTTACCGGGAATTCACAGTGCAGGGGTAGGAGCCAGCGTCGACTCCAGGGTAGGAAGGGGCATCCCACCACCTGGTGCAGGGCCTGGGGTGGAGCGAATGCCCTCTAAATGTTGAGGAAAAGGAGGACCATGTGGGCTGTGCTGGGCTGCCCTGGGGGTGCCTCCAAGGCTTTGGGGTGACTCGATGTTGGGTATGGCCCGGGGGAAGGGAGACACACCAACGAGGCACGTTACCCTGGCGTGGCACTCCGTGTCTGTAGAGGGCACAACCCCTTTTCCTGCCGGCCATCTCCAGGGCCAGCCAAATGCAGCAAGAGGCACCACCAGCCCCAAGAGGAGGTGAGGGGAACACGCTCCACTTCGTGCACCCCAGGCTGGGGCCCCACGAGCAGGACATGGCTGGCCTGGAGCCGGTCCCGGACGAGGCTGACCCTCCACAGCAGTGAAGGGGCAGCAGCTGGGCAGGAAGTGGAGCCTGGTGGAGACCACTAGGGGAGCGAGGGGCTGTGCGGCTGAGCAGGGGGCGCATCTCTTATCTCATGGAGCCCGGGAGATGGTTCCCATAAAGCCCATCCCCAGACACAGGAATGAGAAAAGCAAAACTGAGGCTGGAGGAAGGCCTGGAGGCATTGGCTGTGTCTGCAGTGGAGGGAGGGGCTCAGCAAGAAAGCCTGGGCCACGCGGGAGGCATTTCCGGGCCGGGAGTGGCGGGAGCTGCGAGCTTCCCATGGTTTTGTCGCGTGTGTAAGGCGTGGGGAGTGGGTGAGTTTGCGCGTCACCTTGGCTGGGCCACCTCCACCCAACTTCACCAGATGTTGTGGTGAAGATGTGTTTAGATGTGGGCACACCTGACATCCGCGGGCTCTGAGTCACGCAGGTGGGCCCCTCATCGTGTGAGGGGCCTCATCCAATCAAGGGAAGGCCTTCAGAGGAAAAGACCAGCTCCCCAAGGAGGGGGTCCTGCCCTCAGATGCAAAACCGCAGCATCAACTCTTCCTAGATCTCCAGCCTGTCAAGGCTGCCAGCGCCCCCCACAATTGCTGGTTCCTTAAACTACCCCCCCCCGCCGCTTCTCACACACACATACAGAGTCTAGCACACTTCCTATTGATTCTGTTTCTCTGAAGAACCCTTGCCAACAGGAGGACAGTGATGGGAAATGTTTATGACGTTCCACGCACGTTTAATGCAACATGTGCTCTGCTCAAAAGACCCCTTGCTGTCAAGCGCTTCCTATGGTGCAGGGGTGCCACATGAGAGCCCAGGAGGGCCCTGGGGCCTGACTGGACAGAGCCAGGCAAGGGCTCGCTGGTGTTGGGATGGACACTCATGCTGCCCATCCAATCAGGGTCCCCTTGGAGAGGAAGACCTCATGTGGGGAATGCCAGCTCCGCTCTGCAGTTGAGGCTCACATTTTTGCCGTGAGCATTTTGGACGTGTTGCCCGGCTTGCTGGCTTTGGCAAAATTCCTCCCATTTGCACACAAAGCTCTGAGTGCTCTAGCCCCTGTCCCTGGATATGAAACACAGGGAAATGACATTCAGCCAGGGACACAGAGGCATCCCTGAGAGACGCTGGGCTGCAGCACAGATGGAGGATGGATGCATGTCCCAGTCCCTAAGACCAAGTTCACAGAGATGCTAGCAGCAGACACACTAAGTGGCTGCCACTTTTGTAGGATGCTAGAAAACCAGCTTGCTTTTCTGAAAACTGGTGAATGAAAGGTAGGAATCCTTTCTAGATACAAATTCTTTTTGAATGCAAATACAAATTTAAAGCCAAAACCATAGCAAAGGCCAGATCTAGGAGAAAAAAAAAAGATTCCAAAGTTGTTGAAAGCAATCCACACAGTGTAAGTTGCTGTGCACCCCCTAACCAGTTAGACAGAAGCTTGTGATTCCTCTGAAGACGAATCCTGGGCGAGCTGCGATACTGGCCTTTGGGGCTGTGAGATGTCAGGCAGTCTCCCGACCCTGAGTCTTGGTCCTACCCCAGGTCAGCCACCTGCAGTGTGGGGATCCTCTGTATTGCACAGCAGGCTATAGGGTAGACACACACAGGCATGTACACACACGTGGATATATATGCTCGCCTGTGAGTAGACACACGTGTACACACATGTATATGTGTGCCACCATGCACACACAAACATGGAGGGAGGAGAAACAGCAATCAGCTCCATGTCCAAGTCAGCCTCTGACTCTACTCAGGCCTCCAGACAGCCATTCCTTGCTGTGCAAATTAAATGCCAGAGGTTTGCAGGAAAGACTCATGCGTGACCTTCCAGGGATGGTAAATACATGAAATCCTTGATCTGATCCAGTCCTGCAGAAGCAGGATTTCCTGGACAAGCCTGGAGTGGAGAGGGTCCCTGGAGGGGAGGAAGCACTGTGTCCTGCCCTTTGCTGGGTTTGTTGACCAGGGTGGGGGGACCCTCCTTTGTCCCCTGCACCTCCAGAGTAGTCACCTACAGAAGAATGATGAAGCAGTCAGTGTGCGGACCGACTGCGTGTCCCCACCCAGGTGTCTGCCCCAGGCCTGGAGATCCTGGGAGGGGAGGTGTTGGGAGGAGGTGCACGTGGACAGCTGTGTCCATGACCCAGGCGGGTGCAGGAGATGCTCAGGGAAACCAGGACCCCAGGTATCTTCTGGAGCAGCAAACTCCAGGGCTTCATCCTCAGGATGGTGACTTGCTGTGAGGGTGGAGGTGGGCATGGGGTTGGGAGGACCTAGGGGTCAGGGCCTACCCCATCAGGAGCTTGGGCTCCTTGAGTAGGGAGCAGCATCCATGGGCCCAGCCAGGCCACAGAGCGGTGGGAAGAGAAGTGAGCTGCATGCTTGGCTTTGAGTAAACCCAGATTTTCCAGGGCAGTGGTGCTTGGAGCATAACGTTGAAGCCCGTGACAAGTACTGGGGACATTGAGCCTCAGGATGGATATCCTTTCTGACCCCGGGGATCCTGGGGCACCCCGTCTGGCTTCCCCGCCAACGATCTGAAAAGGTACATACCTCCCTCTCTCCTTCCCTCCCTTCCAAAGAGGTCCTTCCTGAATGGCGCCTGCTCATGGTCAGCAGTTTGGGCAGGGGCCAGGTGTCAGGCAATAGGGGCTCTGGAGCCCAGCCTCCTTCCTGAGGTCTGACTCATGCTAGGAGCCGAGTGGCTGTGACTGAGCTGTCCTGGGGGCCTGAGAGACCCCCCCCCCTTCTAGAAGCCACGTGTGTAGATGGAAAGAAAGGCAGCTCAGCTCCACAAAATGGCTTTGTAGCTCAGCTTCTTCTGCAGGGTCTGGGGGATTCCTGCACTCGCAGCTCCGTCCAGCTGGCCCCCTCACCAGCGAAGCTCTTACACAGCCAGAGTCTGAAATGACTACAGCTTTTCTGCCGGGGATTACATGGAACCAAAATCATTCTTTCCACGAGGATTACACAATAGCATTTATTTTAGATGTTTCTTTCTCTGTTCTGGGGATAAGGAGTGAGACCTTCTGCCCTAAGCCCTTGGCTAGCAGGGACAGAGCCTGTTTCATGGAATACAGCCAAGGGGGACAGTTGAAGACTGACCCGCTTTCTACAGGAGGTGGGGACCCTGAGCGCTGGCCTCCATATGAGGGTCCTCACCACCCCCACACAGCCTGGCCCCTGCACATCTCCACTCGGCCTTGGAAACGGGGTGGGGCCCCTTGCCCACTGATGAGCTGTGAGAGTTGGATGCCATCTACCCTACCCCACGCAGGACGCATCCTAGCTGCCAAAGTGTGCTTTGGGGATGGTGCGGCCACGTCCAGGAGGCAGAAGCACAGAGAATGTTTGGAAAACATGAAGTGAGCAAAAGCGTCCAGGCCCTTAACAACCAGGAGCTCTCACTGTCAGGCTGTGGAAGTGGCTGGTCCTCAAGGCCTGGGAACTTTGCGAGGCATCGTCGGCCCTCCTGACTCCAGGCTGTGCTTGAGCCCAGCAGCCTGGCTGGGCACATGGAGTGAGGCAGGGGCAGAGTGAGGTTCAGGCTCTTGGGGAGGGATGTGAAACCCATCCCAGTGCTCACCTTGGGGGCTATGTGGCTGGGCACGGGGGGTGAGGGTTGCCTGTGGGGATGGCGGGGAAAGTCACCGCAGCCAGCCCAGCCACTCCAGGTCTCAGCACATGGGGAGGATGCATGAGGGGGATCCTGAGCCTGGCTTCTGTGAGTGTCCCAAGCCCATGGACAGGAAGGAAGCCCCACCCCCTGAGAAGGGCTCCTTCCTCGACCTCGGGGGGGGCTCCTTCCTCGACCTCGGAGGCTCCTCTGAGCCCTCCTCTGATGAAGCCTTGACCTTGGTTTGGCCTTGGTCAGTTCTCTTTGGCATGCCGAGCGCAGTTTTAGCAAGAACCCTGCTGAGACTGTTTACAAGAACCCCCACCCTTGACACCAGATCAATTTCTTGCAGAAGCTGTCCCCTGCCTGCCGGCTGCCCGCAGGGTCTGGAGGCCTCGCTGTGTTCTGAGCAGTGCTCAGCTCTGCGCAGCACCTCTCTTGCCTCTGCAGCTGCTCAGTGATATCCGCCTGGCTCCTCCTGATGGGCTGTTTCTCTATGACACTGCCCAGAACCAGGACACGACAGTGCCTCCCCTGACTCTCCCTGTGGGCCAGGGTCTGCCTCCCACTCCCCTGAGCACAGCGGGGTATGTGGAGCAGTGGGCTCTCCCGGGAGGTCTTTACCCTACTGGGAGGAAGCTCCTTACACAGCCCTTTCCAGGGTCCCTGCCATTCACTCGGCCCCTCCTTCGCCTCACAGGAGGCTATTGAGTGGGGAGGTAGGAGCCCCGACTCCGAGGCAGCCTGCGGGCCTCAGATCCCACCCACCCCTCCCCAGCACAGGAGGACGGTGGTGATGGAGAAGCTGGTTGGAGCTTCTCCTTCAGCACAGTGTGGGCAACACTAATGCCTCTGACCCTGGCCCGAGGGGAGCACTGCCCGAGGAGTGCTCGCTGGGGTGGCTGCCATGGTTATGGCTATCCCAGGCCCAAGTAAGGGTGAAATGGTAAGGAACGCAGGTCCCCACCCTCCCGGGGCTCACCTTCCTCTGGGGAAGGAGACCACGACCAACGGGTACCAAGGGTAGCGGCTGAGGTGACACGTGCGCAAGGGAGGGGCAGAGGCAGCATTTGGCCCCATCGGGCAAAAGCCAACATTGAAACGGGCAAACACTCACTGGCCGTCATTCCAGCGAGGCTGCCCAGCAGACAGCCCCTGCCGGCTCATCTGAATGACAGGCTCCGTGCCTCTCCTTTTCGCTGGGCTGTTCTAGAGCCCTGTGCCTGGGAGAACAAGGAGGGTAACGCAGAGGACCCCTTCCCAGAGGGAAGTAAGGGGATGCCACATGGAGTAGGTGCCACCCGTCCCGCCCAGAGCGAGGTGCAGATGCCAGGGACCCTCTACCTGGGTCTCGTCTGCCGCGGATTGCTCTTTGTGCTCCCCAGAGCGAGGTGCAGATGCCAGGGACCCTCTCCCTGGGTCTCGTCTGCTGCGGATTGCTCTCCGTGCTCCCGGCCGCCTGTGCAGCTGGGGCTGGACTCTGGATCGTCCTTTAATCATTTTTTATATCAGATTGGTGCCTCATAAATTAACGAACTAAGTGGAATTGTTAACATTGTTATTTTGTGTTTGCCTCAAAGTCATGATTTTACTCCTGAAAAGATTACACTTTAACTCCCCTTGGAGAGTGACCAGCTGAGGCTCCCCCAGGGTCCACAGAGCTGGCATCTGCAGAATGAGCAGTGGTGACTTGGAGAAAGGGGAGGGAGAGCAGCGGCAGAGGTTCCGAGGCCAGGAGGTGGGAGCAGTCCCAGAGTCTTAGCCAGCCCCCTTCCTGCCCAGCAGCCTGGACTGGAGTCTGACTGGGGGCTCCCTACCTCCGTCTGCACATCAGTACACCTGCCCCGACGCCTGTCACATGACCTTACTCCTGGAGCTCCCGCGTCTCCTCACCCATTTTCTCTGCCTGTGCCAGGCAGCCAAGGACAGTGGTTGGGAAACACACATGGGGGCAGCCAGCTTTGGATCCAGACTCGGCTTGGACACTGCCCAGCTCTAGGCCTCGGGTGGTAACCTGGGCTCTGTGACTCTGCTTCCTCACATAATACATAGGGAAAGTGAAAATCCATATACCGTAGGAAGCCTGCCAGAGGCCCACGAAGGGGTCAGGCAGATGGGGTGAAAGAGAAGCTTACGGCCCATCAAAGTGGGCGCTCGTCCCGCCCCACCTGGGCTCCTTCACAGCCCCACTGCCCCAAGTTCACCTGCTGGAACCACCCCCGGGAGGGTGAGTGGGGCCCCACCTTATACCTACACCATCCAGGAGTGGGGTTGCTGTGCAGTCCCTGCACCCCAGGCCAGCATCAATGAGACCATGGTGGTCGGGAGCTGTGACCCCGGGCCCTCAGGGGGTTGCGGCAGGGGCAGGGGCTGGAGGCTGAAGGAGGCCCTTCTCACGGTCTGTGTCCTGGGCCGAGCCTGCTGAGCCACAGCTGGGACCAGCTGGTGCTTTTGGCACTGCACCTGCTGCTGAGCTCTGCCCCCAGAGACGTGCCCACCACAGCCGTGCTTGGGTCCCCAGATCCCGCAGCCTGGGGCTGGGAATGGAGCCACATTCAGGGCTCCAGGAGCAGGGCTGGGGGGCTGCCCGCCCTTCGCTGACAGCCACCTGGATGGCCACACTCAGTGGAGGACATCTAGCTGCTCCAGGTGGTGCCGACAGGGGCCTTGTGGACCACCCAGAAGGCCACGTCTGCCCGGTTAAGATTCTGGGAGTGAAAGAAGAGGCAGCACCACCGTGCCCTGCAGCCAGGACCCCCTGCGGCCCCAGCAGCTCTCTCCTCTCCCTCCTCCCGCCTGTCCTTCCTCACTCCCTAAGCAGTCCTGGCCAGAGGAAGGGACAGGTGCAAAGACAGAGGCCACTGGCCAGTCAGGGAAGGGGCAGTGCAGACAGGCACCGTGGTCATGGCACCCCTGGCTCTCACAGCAGGTTGGGCAGGCTGGGCCAAGGCCTGGGCACTCTTCCCTCCCTTCCCCTTCCTCCTCCCTCCCCCTCCTCCCCCCTCCCCCTTCTTATTTCCTGGGTTCACAGCACCTTTGAAGATTGCATTTTTATTATTTTCTACTCACATTCCTCTTCCCTTCTCTAGAACATGAGCACACTTGTCCTTGGGGCCAACACAACTGAAACAAGGGGCGACTGCTGGTGTTGGAGGTCATGGTGGGGTGTGTGCACTTATGTGTGTGTTGTGTGTATATGTCTCATGCTTATGCTACGTGTATATATGTGTTGTGTGTATGTGTGCTGTGCGTATATGCCCCATACATGTGTGTTGTGTGTATACATCTCATACATATTCTATGTGTATATATGCTGTGTGTATATGTGTTGCTGCATATGTGTTCTGTGTATGGGTGTTGCATGTTGCATGTATGGGTGTTGTGTGTTGTGTGTATGGGTGTTACGTGTTCTGTGTATAGGTGTTATGTATTTTGTGTATGGGGGTTGTGTGGTGTGTGTATCATGGTGTGTGTATATGTACTCTGTGCATACGGGCTGTGTATATATATGCTGTGTGTATATGTTGCATATGTGTTGTGTGTATGGGCATTGCATGTTGTATGTATGGGGGTTACATGTTCTGTGTATGGGGGTTGCATTGCGTGTGTATAATGGTGTGTCTGCACGTGTCTGGTTTGCTCCCATGGTGCTGGTTTCACTGCGTTGCATGT
This sequence comes from Homo sapiens, assembly GCF_000001405.40. Taxonomy (NCBI): domain Eukaryota; kingdom Metazoa; phylum Chordata; class Mammalia; order Primates; family Hominidae; genus Homo; species Homo sapiens. Next base: position 3,040,114 of record NC_000001.11, read on the forward strand.
GTGTTTCACTGAACGGCATGTTTGCAGATCCATCCACCCAGCAGTGCTGGTGCTGAGGCCATGACTCCTCAGTGCTGCACGCGACCCACTCTCTCCTTCCCGCCTCCCCTCAGGCTGACCCCAGCTCTGCACCTGCACAAACAGGGCTGAGCCTGCCCCAAGCCTGCCCTGGGCAGCAAATCTCCAGAACTTCCCTAAGCTCTGCCAGGTCCCCTTAGAGGAGGAGGGATTCCATTTCCCCACACACTCCACACACTCACCAACACTTGGAATTATTTGACTTTCAAATTTTTGCAAATTGGTTGGGTGTGAGGTGGAAAATCAATTCTCAAATTTGAATTTCTTCAATGATGATTGAGGCTGAAAATCTCCGTGTGTGTGCTGGCCACCAAGGCCTCCCCTTCTCTAAGTGCTTGTAGTTGTAGGGTTTCCTTTTATCTCCTACACTGATCACTCAGTAGCTTCAGCAAATATCCTCCCCTCAGCTGATTTTCTCTACTGTGCTCTTCCCTGACCAGACATCTTTATCCAGATGACAAAGATATTTTCTCACATGTTCTTTTCTTGGTAAAATTGGGGTAGTTTTAAGGGTCACACCTAGGACTGCACCCATCTGAGTTCACTTGGGTCTGGAATTGACTTTTTGTCATACAGCGAGCCGTTCTTCCAAACACAGCCACTGAACCATCCATCCTTTTTCCAGAGATAAAACCTCCACAGCTCACAGGGTTTCATTCTCAGCTTGTCCTGCCCTGTGTGGCTCTGCACCTGCCCCCACAGCTGTATTACACGGGTTCATTTTCTTGCCGTGGCAAGATGTCTCAGCCTGACTCTTCTTGTTCAAAAATATCTTAGCTATTTGTTAACCTTAGTTCAGCCCTGCAAATGTTAGAATAAGTTCATTTCTGTCCTTTAAAAGCTCTGATGAAATTTTGATTGAAGTGGAATGGACTCTATGATAGGAAGAACTGCTGTCTTTAAAATGACTACAGTTGACAATAATACATGGTAGATTTCAACTCAGCTAAAAGAGAAGCTTTGAAATGCTTCCAACACAGAGAAATGATAACTATTTGAGATGTTGGATACGCTCACTACCCTGGTTTGATTGTGGCACATTCTATACATGTATCAAGATATCATGTGCCCCCTAAATATGTTGAAATACTATGTAGAAATAAAATCGCATGAAGTTTTCACCCCTCAGCATGTTTCGGCTCTTCTACTCATCTTGTTTTATCTTCTTTAATGGAGGTTAAGCACTTCCTGGGAAGGCTGCATTCATTCTTTATTAGATTAATTTCTAGGTACTTTATAGACATTGCTGCAAATGTGAATAGCAGCTTTTTAAAAAATTGTTTTTCTAATTGATGATTGTCAACGCAGATGAATTCTAGCATTTTTGTGAGTTTTCTCTTTATCTAGAATCTCACCGACCTCTCCTACTATTTTGCTGGTGTTGTTTGTCTACATTTAGGATTTTTATACAGGTGATCACTCTCCATCTGCAAAAAGTGGTAGGTTCATTCCTTCCATTCAACTCTTTGCACCCTTATTTCTTGCTTGTGTCTGGCTGAGGGGACAAGACTAGCCGTCTTTGTGGAATGATTGTGTGAGTGGCGGGGAGCCTGGTCTTCTAAGCACCTCAAAGAGAATGCTTCAAAGCTCTGTTGAGTGTGATACCTGTTATAGGTGTTTTGAGATCACCTTTATCAGGTTAAGAAAGATTCTTATTCCTATTTTTCTGAGAAACTGTAGAGAGAGAGTTTCTAAACTGGGCTGAGGACTGAGCTCTGTCAAGTTATTTTTTGCACGTATTAATCACCTTTGTAGTCTACAAATGTGAATTCTCCTTTTTCTTTTCTTTTTTCTTTCTTTCTTTTCTTTTTTTTTTTTTTTTTCAGACAGAGTTTCGCTCGCTCACCCAGGCTGTTGCAGTGGTGTGATCTCGGCTCACTGCAGCCTCCTTCTCCTGGGTTCAAGTGATTCTCCTGCTTCAGCCTCCCGAGTAGCTGGGACTACAGGCACCCACCACCACACCTGGCTAACTTTTTTGTATTTTTAGTAGAGACAGGGTTTCACCATGTTGGTCAGGCTGGTCTTGAACTCCTGACCTCAAATGATCCACCGTCCTAGGCTTCCCAAAGTTCTGGGATTACAGGTGTAAGCCACCATGCCCGGTCTCCAATTTTCTGAATTTAAGCCATCTTTGCATTCCTGGTATGAAATGTATTTGATTATTATGTGTTTTTTCCCAACAGTTTATTATGAAAATGTTCAATATTCATTTTACAGTGAGCACTCATACATATACTCACTATTCAGACTAACATATTACTAATAAAATTTACTAATATTTTATACTGTTACAGTAATATTTTACCAAAATGCTTGATCACATATTCATCTATTCATCCATCTTCCTATTCATCCATCCATTCATCTTCTTAAATGTGTTTCCAGGTAAGTGGGGGACCTCGGCTCCCTCAGCTGGGACCACAGGCACGCACCACCGCACCCGGCACGCACCACCGCACCCGCATGCACCACCGCACCTGGCATGCACCACTGCACCTGGCATGCACCACCACACCCAGCTAATTTTTGTATTTTTTGTAGGGACAGGGAGTTGCTATGTTGCCCAGGCTGGTCTGGAACTCCTGGGCTCCAGTGACCCACTTACCTCAGACTCCCTAAGTGCTGGGATTACAGGCGTGAGCCACCACACCCAGGCTGGAGTTAACTTTAGCTGTTTTGGTGAGTGTGTGTTTTAAAATACACTGTTGGATGCCAGCATTTAATATTTTATTTGAGATGTTCATAAGAAAGATAGGCCTGTGCTTTCTTTTCTTTCTTTCATTTGGTTGCCCTAATCCAGATATGAAACCAAACTGACACCACTCTGTTAAAATGAAACAAGCTGCTTTACCTATATTATTATTTTCTAGAAAAACGTATATAAGATATACACTTTTTTGATAAGACAGATATATCTGTCCCTCGAAAGAACGCACCTGTAAAACGTCTTGCCATACAGCTCTTTTTTGAGAAGGGCGGGGTCTTTGATTCCCACTTTTGACCTATGTAAGTTTCCCACAGGCATACCTTGGAGATATTGTGGGTTCTGTTCCACACTGCCACAACCAAGTGAGTCACAGAAACGGTGTTGTATTAAACATGCCATAGCATTATGTCTGAAAAGGCAACATACATATCCTAATTTAAAAATACTTTACTGCGGGCTGGGCCCGGTGGTTCACACCTGTAATCCCAGCTCTTTGGGAGGCTGAGGTGGGCAGATCACCTGAGGTCAGGAGTTTGAGACCAGCCTGGCCAACATAATGAAAGCCCATCTCTACTAAAAATATAAAATTAGCCGGGCGTGGTGGTGCATGCCTGTAATCCCAGCTACTCAGGAGGCTGAGGCAGGAGAATCACTTGAACCTGAGAAGTGGAGTTTGTAGTGAGCCGAGATCGTGCCATTGCACTCCAGCCTAGGGAAAAAGAGCTAAACACTGTCAAACAAACAAACAAAACAAAACAATAAAAACTTTACTGCTAAACAATGCTAATGCTCCCTGGGCCGTCAGTGAGTGGTAATCTTTTTGCTGGTGAGGCTCTCGACTCCATGTTGGCACTGCTAACTGATCAGGGCAGTCAGTGGTTGCTGAAGGCCAGGGTGGCCGTGGCAAGTCCTTAAAATAAGACAACAGTGAGGTTCGCTGCATCCATGGACCTTCTTTCATGAAAGATTTCTGTGTAGCATGCAGTACTGTTTGATAGTATGTCATCCACAAAAGAACTTCTTTCAAAATTGGAGTCGATCCTTTCCCACCCTGCTGCTGCTTTATTAACTAAGTTTATGGAATATGGCCAGGTGTGGTAGCTCACACCTGTAATCCCAACACTGTGGGAGGCTAAGGTAGGTGGATGGCTTGAGCCCAGGAGCTCAAGACCAGCTTGAACAACATAGTGAGACCCTGTCTCAACAAAAAGTACAAACATTAGCTGGGTGTGGTGGTGCATGCCTGTAGTCCCAGCTACTCAGGAGAATGAGGTGGGAGGTTGGCTTGAGCCCAGCAGGTGGAGGTTGCAGTGAGCTGAGATTGTGCCACAGCACTCCACTCCCAGTGACAGAGCAAGACCCTTATCAAAAAAAAGAAAAAACAGTGTATGAAGGCCAGGTGTGGTGGCTCACATGTATAATCCCAGCACTTTGGGAGGCTGAGGTGGGTGGAATCCACAGCATCTTCACCAGCAGGAGAGTCTGTCTCAAGAAACCACTTTCTTTGGTCATCCATAAAAAGCAAGTCCTCCTCGTTTCCAGTTTTCTCACAAGGTTGCACCAGTTTCGTCCCATCTTCAGGCTCCACCTCGAATCTAGTTCTCTTGCTGTCTCCACCCCATCTTCAGTCACTGCCTGTGTCAGAGTCTTCAACTCCTCCAAGTCACCCCTCAGGGCTGGAATCCACCTCTCCCAGACTCCTGTTCATGTTAATATTTTGACCTCCTCCCATGAATCCCCTGGGTTCTTCACGGCATCTAGAAGGGTGACTTCTTTCCAGGACATTCTCAGTTGACACTTCCCAGACCCATCAGAAGAGTCGCTATCTTTGGCAGCTATAGACTTCTGAAATGTATTTTATTTTTTACTTTTATCTTAGGTTCAGGGATACACGTACAGGTTTGTTATATAAGTAAATTGTGTGTCTCAGATTATTTCAGCACTCAGGTAATAAGCATAGCACCTGATGGGCAGTTTTTCCATCCTCTCCCTCCTTCCACTCTCTACCTTCAAGTAGGCCCTGGTGTCTAGTGTTCCCTTCTCTGTGTCCACGTGTACTCAATATTTAGCTCCCACTTATAACCAAGAACAAGTGGTATTTGGTTTTCTGTTCCCGTGTTACTTCACTCAGGATTATGGCCTCCAGCCCCATCCATGTTGCTATAAAAGACATAATCTCATTCTTTTGTATGGCTGTGTAGTATTCCATGGTGTATATGGGTTACAGTGAAATGTGTTTCTTAAATAATAAGATTTGAAAGTTGAAATGACTCCTTGATCCATGGGTTGCAGAATGGATGTTGTGTTAGCAGGCATGAAAACCACGTCCTTGTACATCTCCATCACAGCTCTTACGTAAACAGGTGCACTGCCTGTGAACAGTAATATTTCGAAAGGAATATTTTCTGAGCAGCAGTTCTCAACAGTGGGCTTAAAATATTCAGTAAACCATGCTGTCAACACTTGTTCTGTCGTCCAGGCTTTGTTGCATTTCTAGAGCACAGGGCCAGTCAATTGAGAACAATTCCTAAGAGCCCTAGGGTTTTCAGAATGGTAAATGTGCATCGGCTTTAACTCCAAGTCACCAGCTGCATTTGCCACGAAAAAGAGAGTCCGCTTATTCTGTGCAGTTTTGAAATCAGGCATTGACTTCTCTCTAGCTGTGAAAGTCCTAGATGGCATCTTCTTCAAATAGAAGGCTGTTTTGCCTACACTGAATATCCATTGTCTAGGGTAGCCACCTTAATCAATGATCTGTGAAATACAATAAAGTGAAGTGCGCCTGCATTTCTTCTTGGACCAGGCATGGCACTTTGCATTTTTCCAGAAATGTACCCATTATATCCAAATTCTTCCGTAAATATCTGTACCTGACAATATCTAGTGGGCATTAAGGAAAGACTCTGGGCTGGGCGCAGTGGCTCAAGCCTGTAATCCCAGCAACTCAGGAGGCTGAGCAGGGAGGATTGCTGGAGGCCAAGAATTTGAAACCAGCCTGGGCAACAAAGCAAGACCCTGGCTCTGAAATTTTTTAATTAAAAAAATAATAATAAACAAATAGAAGGAAAGAAAGACCTGGGCTTAAGGCAGCAACAGAAATTATCTAAAATGATATACGAAGAGAGAATTGCTGAAAACATGAAGAGAACAGCAGCGATCAGTGAAGTCATATAAGTCAGTCTAATATACATGTATTGGGCTTTGTGAAGGGCAGGAAAGAGATGCAGGACAGTAAAATAGCTGAATAGATACTTGCTGAAAGTTTTCAAAATGTGATTAAAAACCCGTAAACTCACAGATTAAGAATCTCAATGAACCCCAAGCAGGTAAAAAGAATTCCATGAGAGAAAACTATCTCAAAGCATATCATAATCAAATCATTAAGACGATAAAAGAAAAGTCTTACCAGTAACCAGAGAATAAAAGTCATACTGTGTACAATGAACAAAAATAAGTACATAAGTAGATTTCTCACAGAAACTATGCAAGCCAGAAGACAGTGCAGACTTCTTTAAAGCACTGAAAGAAAAACAAAAAGGTCAACTTAGAATTCTATACCTAATAAAAAATATGTTTCAAAAATGAAAGAAAATAAAGAATTTTTCAGTCAAATAAAAACTGAGAGAATTCATGGTCAACAGATCAGCACTACAATAAATGTTAAATAAGATTCTTCATAAAGATATTATACAAGGTGGAAATATAAACCTACACAGAGAAGTGAAGAAAACTGGAAATGACAAATATGTGGGTAAATATAAAAGCATTTAAATTAATTTTTTAAACGTAAAACATAACTTCTCTAAAGAAAAATAGTAATATATTAAAATTTATAATATACGAGGAAGTAAAAATGTATGACAGTAGCATGAAGAACAGAAGAGGGGAGGTGGAAGCCGCTACACTATTCCAAGGCTTTTACACTTTCTGTAAAGTGGTTTAACATTATTTGCAGGCACACTGTTACAGTAAGATGTATTCTATAAATTCTAGAACAACAACTGAAGAGAAAAGGTATAGCTCATAAGCCGAAAGCTCAACCATATCTATAATCACATTAAATGTAAATGGCCAAAACATTACAATTAAAAGGCAGAAATTGTCAGATGGAGTATAAATATTCAAGACCCAGCTAAATGCTGTCTACAAGACACTCAATTTAAAGACAAAAACAAATCAGATTAAAAGTTAAAAGATGGGAAAAGATACACCATGTAAACACCAATAGAAGAAATCTGGAACTGCTATGTTAACATCAATAAAGGTTTGATTTGAGAGTAGGATATATTAGCATGGATAAAGAAGGACATCTTGTAATAATAAAAGGGTCAATTATTCAAGAGAACACAGTGATCCCAAATGTATAGAGACCTAACAACAGCAAAATACACATCTCTTCCAAGTATACATAGAACCATCACCAAGAGAGACCATAACCTGGACCATAAAATAAGTCCCAATGCATTTAGAAGGATTGAAATCATTCAAAAGACTAGAAATCAATAACAGAATGATACATGAAAATCCCCAATTATTTGGAAACTAACCAATACACTCCTAAATAACTAATGGGTCAAAAAATAAATCACAAAAAGAATTTTAAAATATTTTTACCTGAATAAAAATGAAAACATAATATTTTGAAACCTGTGGAATGCAGTTAAGAAGTGCTTAGAGAAAAACTTATAACATGAAATTCTTATGTTGGAAAAAATGAAAAATTTCCAAGTAGTAATCTATGCTCCCTTCTTTGAAAACTATAGAATGAAGAATAATTTAAGCCCAGAGTAAGCACCAGGAAATATGAAAGAAAATAACAATAATAAATGAAATAGAAAATAGAAAAACCATAGAGAAAAATTCATAAACCCAAAATCTAGCTCTTAAAAGGCTTATTGAGAAACCTCTAGCCAGACTGATCTGTAAGAAAAGAGAGGAGACACAAATGGCCAATGTCAGAAATGAAAGAAGGAACATCACTAATAAACCTATAGGCAGTGAAAGGATAATAAAAAAGTATTATGAACAATTTTATGCCAATAAATTCAAAAACTAAGATGAAGGAGGTAAATTTCCTAAAGGCACAAACTACTAATGCTCATTCAAGGAGAAATAGGTGCAGATAACATATTCGTGTATGTAGAAAATCCAAAGAAAACTATAAAAATGCTACAAGAACTAGTAAGTGAGTTTAGCAAGGTCACAAGATAGAAGGTCAATGTATCAAAATTAATTGGACTTCTACATGCTAGCAATGAACAACTGGAAATTAAAATTTTAAAAAAATCATAGAATAAAAATATTACATACTTAGTGATCAATTTAACAAAAAATGTGTAAGGCTCATGTCATACACTTTAAACTATGAAATATTGCTGAGGCAAATTAAAGATTACTTACATGGAGAGATATAACATGTTCATGGATTGGAATGCTCAGTATGCTTAGAATGTCATTTCTCCTGAAATTGATCTATAGATTTAAGGCAATACCAATAAAAATATCCCAGAATGCTTTCTTTTAGAAATGGACAAGTTAGTTTTAATGTTTATGTGGAGATGCAAAGGACCTAAAATAGCCTAAAACGTTTTTGAAAAACAAGACAAAAGTTGGAAGACTTACACCTTACACTATATCTTATGGCTATAATAAAGTTGTAGTGATCGAGACAGTGTGGAATTGGCAGAAGGAGAGACACACAGATCAACAGAACAGAGTCCACAAATAGGCCCACACATATATGGCCAATTACCTTTTGACAAGGTTGTCAAGGCAATTCAATGGGAAAGTCATAGACTTCTCAACATAGACAACTCAATACAGACTGCTGCAACAATTGGATACTTAAATGCAAAGAATTTAACTCCAACCCTTACCTCACACCACATAAAAAACTAACTCAAAATAGATCCTAGATCTAAATATAAATATAAGAACTAAAACTATACATCTACAAAACGATAAAGGAAACATAGCAGAAAATCTTGGTGACCTTGAGTGAGGCAAAGGTTTTTTAAACAGGACAAAAACTAAAGCACAAATCATAAATCAAATAAAAAAATAGGATGTTGCTAAAATTAAAATGTTGGTTCTTCAAAAGACATTGTTAAGAAAATGACAAGGCAAATCAAATACTAGTAGAACATATTCACAAATCATCAATCAGGGGAAGGAGACGCTGGATGGTACCGTGCCTGGGAATGTGAAGGAGAGTCCTGCCTGAGGTCCCCACTCCCTCAGGCCTCCTGCCTCAGCATGGCCCCACATTCTGATGTTACACTGAGAACCATTTAATCTTTAAATACAGTCCCTTTCTCCAAGCTCCTAAGCATCTCACAGGCATACTCAGTGGCCGAGGGGCCTGGCTGGCCGGATGGGATGCCCCCTCTCTGGACCACAACCATCCCAACGGGCACGGTTCTGGCCATCACTGGGACAAAGCAGGCAGGCGAACCTTGGTTCCCCTCCTTGCTCCCAACCTGAGGAGCAGCTGGCTCCTCTGCCAGCACGTGGACCCCCACCATGCACAGATCCTGGTCCTCCTGGACTCCCAATGCCACCCACCAGGCATACCACTGGGATGGGCGTGGCTCCCCACTGCTGGTCAGGGTTAGGCTGAGAGGCAGCTGGACCAATGCTTAGGGCATCTTCTGGAAGAAATCCACCTTCTAAGAAAGAGGGTAAATGATCACAGTGTGGTAACGCTGGCAGAAATGGGAGAAAAAAATAATGTCGCCTTTATAAGGGAGTCAGCTGAACATTTTACAATTCTTCCCCAAATCAACTAAGCCATTTTCACAACATAAAACGAGCAAAAAATGTAATTATTTCAAGGTGTCCTTCACCTCGAACTCACTCGAGGCCCACAGCTTAGGGGTTTTAAAAAATACATATATTTAAAGCAAATATTATTGCAAATGACTACTCTGTAATTTGGATTAATTGCTTTCGGTTTTTTCTGGAAATAAAATCTTTAAGGCAAACTCATAAAAACTCTGGAGCACAGGGCAGCTGTTCCTCAGTGCCTCACTTCAGAGAGTCCAGTGCCTCCTCACAGGGGACCATGTTCCACAAAGTTGCCTGTTTGGCCAAAGACCCTGGGGGTACCTGTGACACCCTCATCAGAGGCCACAGCCAAGAACAGCCCAGGCCCCCACCACAGTGCCCATTAAACCCTGCTGGCATGGCAGCCTGTAAGCCTCAGGGGTGGCCCCAAGATACCTACGCAGGGAGAGTCCAGGAAGGACCCAGCCAGGTTCATCACTGCTCCCTCTGGGGGGGTGAGGTCAGGGGCTTAGCTGGGCCCCGCTGTGTGGCTTCAGAGACTCAGCCAAGAGAGATGGGCAGGACTGGGGAGAATTGGCTCTGGCTGTTCCTGAACTTACATGAAGTGTGTGGCTGTCTGAGTGCTGGAGCAGCGGGAGGGTGGTGCACAAAAGGGGGTTAAAGGAAAGACCCTCCCATTCCAAGCAGCTTCCGGGGTTTCCAATCCTCCTTAGAACAACTGGACTCAAGCCTTTTCCTGACATAGGATCCTGGCAAGACCCTGTTGCAGGGAGGGACCTCAGGAAAGCCAAGAGGTGTGTGTCCATCTTCAGGAATGAGTTGCACAAACATGTTGCAGGGGGCCCAGGAGAATGAAGATGGGGCAGGGCCATTCAGACATCTCTGGGGACCCTGGCAAGCAGTTTCAGCAGAATGAGGGACAATGGGCAGAGTGTCTGGTGGGGCAAGGGCATGGATGTCATCTGCCTGCCACTTATCTGTTTCCATAAAGCCCATCACTTTATTTGTTCTGTGCAGCAACCCTGAGAGGTGGGCATCACCTCTCTTTCTTGGGTCCCATGCCCAGGGTCACATGCCAAGGAGTGACAGACTGGGGACTGTACTTGTACCTACAGGTGCAATAAATGGAGGTGAGGAAGATCAGGTTTCTGCCCCTGGAGAGCTCCATCCTGGGTCAACAGCAGACATGGATCAGACCTGCTTGTCAAGGTGAAACTTACCACTACACACAGCTGGGCACAAGAACAGAGATCTGGGGTCTCAGGGCAGCTCTGTGGCCAGAGTGCCCTGTGACTTGGAGCAGAAGCTATTCTTCTACTAGTCATCAGTTTTACAATCAGTTCATTAGGTGGAGGGATTCATCCATCCATCTATCCACCCACCCACCTATTCACCCATCCATTCATCCAACCACCCATTCATCCATCCAACCCCCAACCGGTAGACACCCATCCACCCACTCATCCCTCCACCCACCCACCCAGCCACCCATCCACTCATCCATCCACCCAATGCCCACCCACCATCCACTCACCCATCCACCAACCCACTCATCCACCAACCCACCCATCCAACCCACCCACCCAACACCTGCCCACCCATCCATTCACCCACTCACACACTCATCCACACATCCACCTCTCCATTCACCCATCCTCCCACTCATCCATCCATCCAACACCCACCCACCCACCATCCAACCATTCATCCACCAACTCACACATCCAACCCATCCACTAAACTCCCACCCACCTAACCATTCACCAACTCACCCACACATCCACCCACTCAGCTATCATCCATCCACTCATCCATCCATCCACCCACCCATCAACCTGACACCCACCCATCATCCATCCATCCATCCATCCATCCATTTACCCACACACCCACCCATCCATTCACCCAACACTCACTGACTCACACACCTACACATCCACCCACCCACCCATCCATCCATCACCCATCTACCCACCCACTCACCTGCACGTTCACCCACTCATCCACCCAACACCCGCCCATCCATCCATCCATCCACCCAACCCACTCACCCCACCCACTCATCCATGCATCCACCCACCCATCCATCCATTCATCCATCCATCCACCAAGTCACCCATCCATCCATCCATCCTCCATACACTCACCCACCCATCCACCCACCCATCCACCCAACACCCACCCACTCATCCATCCATCCACTCACCCATCCATCCATCCATCCACCCACCCACCCATCCATCCCTCCATCCATCCATCCACTCATCCATCTATCCACACACAAATCCATCATCTATCCATCTTCCATCCACTCACCCACCCATCTATCCACCCAACACTCATCCATCCATCCATCCATCCATTCATTTATCCACCTATCCACACACACACCCATCATCCATCCATTCTCCATCCACGCAACACCTACCCACCCATCCATTCATTCATCCATCCACTTACTCACCCACCCATCCATCCACCCATCCATCTATTCCTCCATGCACACACCCATCATCCATCCATTCATTCATCCACCAATCCATACTCCATTCTTCATCCTTCCAACCTCTATCCATCCATCCATTTTTCACTCATCTTCCATCCATCCGTCCAACAACCATTTGTTGATCATCTCATGTGTGCCACGCTCTCCTTTATACACTGGGGAACAAAGAAAAACAAAACAGACAAGAAGCCCCCCTCTCATGACACCCTCAGAGTTGTGTTGGGCGGGGAGGTTTCGGGACCATTCAGGAAGCTTTTGAGGTGACAAATGTGGGAAGAGGTGGTGGCAGTGGACACAGAAGGCAGCAACTGCCCTTGACGGAGGAGCTGCCCCTCCTGTGGGGATTAAGGCCTGTGTCCTGGGCCCCTCCAGGCCACTCCTTGCAAGGAGGCAGAGGGGCATGGGGTGTGGGAGCAGAGCCAGCTCAGCCCAGGGTGTGTGGGAGAAGGAGTCTGTGCTGGCTGCCCTGCCCTGAAAGGAATCGGGAAGCATTCAGGCCCTTGTGGATTCTGGGGACTGTGGAGCCGCCACACCCCTGCCCTGGAAAAGATGGGGAATCTGCGTGTCCAGGTCAGGGAGGACACCAAAGGTCCACCCTAGGCTGAGTCTGCAGGGGAGTGGCCAGAGTGCCCCTGATCCTCGCCACAGATGGGGAAGGCCATAGGAAAGTGATTCAGCCCCTCAGGCCACCAGGCACCCCCACCCCACCTCGAGGGAGGCTTAACTTCAGGACACCAAGAACTGCCTCAGTTTACTTCTCTGTGTGGGTCTCTTTCACCACACAGCCTCACACAGGGGCATCTGCTGGTGCTGGTGTCCCTTCTCTGTGCTGGGGGCAGGGGTGCCTGGGCTGTGATCCCCTCCTATGGGAACCCAGTTGTGTCTGGGCTCATAACTGCTGTCCTCATGAGTACTGTGACACAGAGAGCAAGAGGCAAGACCCACTGGACTGGAGGGACGAGGGCTTTGGGAGAAGGTGGTTGCATTTGTCCATTCTTGCACTACTGTAAAGAAATACCTGAGACTGGGGGTAAAGTATAAAGCAAAGAGATTTAATTGGCTCACAGTTCTGTAGGCTGTACAGGAAGCATGATGCTGGCATCTGCTCAGCTTATAGGGAGGCCTCAGGAAACTTACAATCATGGCAGAAGGCTAAGGGGGAGCATGAGGCATCTCACAAGGTGGGAGCAGGAGCAAGAGAGAGAGCGGGGAGGTGCCACATGCTTTTAGGCAACCAGATCTTAGGAGAACTCACTATGGTGATGCCAACATCAAGAGGGGATGGTGTTAAACCACGAGAAACTGCTCCCACGATTCAATCACCTCCCACCATGAGAAGCCATCCCTGTGATCCAGTCACCTCCCGCCAGGCCCCACCTCCAGCACTGGAGATTACATTTCAATATGAGATTTTGGTGGGACACAGATCCAAAGCATATCAATGGCCTTTCAGCTCTAGGAAACTGCCCCCTGCAGTACCTGAGGGGCTGCACTCTCCTTGTCCATGTGCAGAGGGGCTCCCCTGGGCAGCAAGAGGGATAGCCCTCTCTGAGTGGGTTTGTGCAGAGCCCACCCCAGCCTCAGACTCCCAGTGGCTAAGCAATGCCCCTCAAGCCTGGGCGGCTTCCACACACAAGAGCCCCTCATCCAGTGCCCTCCAGCCCGGTGTACGAAATCCCTCTTTATGGCATAGCGTGTGCGAGTGGCCCTGTGGCTCTGTGCATATAATTCCTGCACCACAAATGTCAGATGGCTAGATCTCCCTAACAAGGGGGCAGAAACTCCTCCAGCCATCCTCTCATTTCCAAACACTGCCACCATTTGTTTTCAGAAAAGGCCTTGTTTTGCGGATATTTTCAAGGATCCGTTCTTTCTTGGGAGCTCTGGGGTCCGGGGTGTAGCCATCCTCCCCTTGAGGCTGCCTGGAGGCTGAGGGTCAGGAGCGAGTGGGGCTGGGGGCTAGGTTGCTGCCCCTCAGCGTGTCTCCCCAGGATCTGCAGGAGCCATGTCCCTGGCTCTCTCAGGGGACATACCCAATTTTAGGGGTGTGAGTGGAGGCCAGTCACTGTCCTCAAGTACTCAGCAAAGAGCCCCCAATCCCGCTGGTGAAGTTCTCACCCCACCCCCTGCTTCCTCATCCAATCAGGGACAAGGTGGGGACAGTGACCCAGGAATTGCTGCAGCCCTGGAAATCCCTTGGGGCTTAAGCCTCAAATGAAAAGTGAGTAAAATCTAACAAAAAGGCAACATTGTCCATTACTGACTCACGTGGATCTTCGAAGAAGGCACCCAGTGCACATCTGCTGGGGAACAGGGAAGAAATCAGATCAGACCCCACACAGCCCCGCCGGGAGCCCCGCAGCAGGAGGGGACAGAGAAGACAGGTCAAAGAGGGTGTCCTGAACCCCCAAAGAGGCCCGTAGCCCCTGGGCAGATGAGTCACAGGCAGCACAGAAGCAAGGCTCAGAGCGAGGGCACTGCTGGAGAGAGCGTGGCAGAGGCAGAAGCAGCTGGGACTGTCCACGGAGGAACAGACAAGGGAGACATGGGCCAGCCATGCGACGCAGGATGACTCAGTCTTTAAAAGGCGGGAAACTCTGACATGTGTGACAACACGGCTGAACCTTGAGGACATGAGCCAAGTGAGATCAGCCGGTCACAAAAGGACAAATCCTGTGTGACTACACTTCTACGAAGTCCCTGGAGTGGCTACGTCCATAGAGACTGAAAGCAGAAAGGGGGGTGCCAGGGGCTGGGGAGGGGCTATGGGGAGCGACTGGAAATGAGGATGATGACGGCTGCACAACTTTGTGAATGTACCCAATGCCACTGAACTCTACACTTAAAAATGGTTTCAGGACGTGAAATTGTATGTGGCTTGTATTTGATTTCATTTACAAAGACCCAGTCTGGCAGCAGTTGGGCTCTGCACTCTGCACGGAGCATGGTCCTCAGCCCTACATGCAGTCAATGACCCTCTCCCTCACACTAGTCACATCTACAGAGGGGGAGGCTGAGGCCAAAACAGCTGTGACCAGCTCCAGCCCAGAGCGAGGGCATGATGGATCCAGGGACACTCCAGAGCCTGCATACCCACCCACCCGCCCACGCCTCGGGGCTGGGAGCCTGGGGCCAGACACCCGTGCTTCTCCCGTCCAAACATGCGATGTGCTCAGACCACATCTCCAGCTGTCCACACCCCAGGAGAAGAGAGACAAACTCAGAAATCAAATTGATATTTAGAAAATGCAGTTTATTTAATGTGGTGCAGGAAGCATTCCCAACAGTGGGAATACGGGAGACTCCCGGGAGGTAGCAGTGGCTGAGCTGGTTATTGAAGGACAGATAGGATTTTCTTCTCATTTTTATTTTTATTTTTTGAGACAGGATCTCACTCTGTCACCCAGGCTGGGGTGCAGTGGTGAGATCTTGGCTCACTGCAACCTCTACCTCCTGCGCTCAGGAGATCCTCCTGCCTCAGCCTCCTGAGTAGCTGGGACCACAGGAACATGCCACCACCACCCTGGGCTAATTTTTTGATGTTCTTATTTTTAAACATTGTAACACTTCCACCACTAATATACAGTCAGTGGAGAAAAATTAAATGCAGAGAAACATAACAGAGAAAAAAGTTTTAATATTATCAGATCTAATCACCCAGGGAAAACCGCTGTTAATATTTCAGCTGACATTCTTAAAGGTCGCCCCCATGTCTCAGGGACATGTCAGCGTGGTGATAAGCATGCACTCTTGTCACTATGTTCACTGCTGATGCAACACTCCATTGTAGGAAACTAACAAATTTCATTTATCAGCTGTTTCTGTGGCCAGAAGCAGGTCAAGGGGGAGGCTCTTGAAAGATCATTGATCAGGACCCAAAGAACCCTGTGGGGTCAGAGCCCCTGTGTGTGGACACTGTGTGTGGTATCGGGCCTAGACCTAAGAATGGACACAGTCTTTCTAAAATAGCCACAAAAGCCTCGGGTTAAGATGGCAAACTAAACACACACCCATTCAATAGCGTCCCCTCTGTAAGCCCCACTTCAACCACAATAAAGAGATTTCAAAAGGCATCTACCCATAAGGGTGGGCCTCCCTTCTGAAAGCTGAATTGCTGATGGACCTGTGGCAATTGGATCAGAGACAAGAGAAAATCCTGAATAGAGAGCAGGAAGGTGAGATTTTACCAGATTTATAACCAAGGGGAATCCTAACACTCAAGACTGAGTATAAGATTACCTCTAGGGGCCAGGCGTGGTGGCTCACGCCTATAATCCCAGCATTTTGGGAGGCCAAGGTGGGCGGATCACCTGAGGTCAGGAGTTCAAGACCAGCCTGACCAACATGGTGAAACCCTGTCTCTACTAAAAATACAAAAAAAATTAGCCAGGCCTGGTGGTGGGCACCCGTAATCGCATCTACTCTAGAGGCTGAGGCAGAAGAATTTTTGAACCCAGGAGGCAGAGGCTGCAGTGAGTCAAGATCGCACCATTGCACTCCAGCCTGGGCAATAAGAGTGAAACTCCGTCAAAAAAAAAGGGTACCTCTAGGACTTGGGGTGCAAGAGCGGCTACGATCAGGATGGCTTAGTAAAGGGGGATTCCTATCCCCTCCTTATCCTCCCTGAGCGACCACCCCTCCCCCACACCAGCAAAAGTCCAGAGGTTTATTTCCCAGAATTCAGGCAGCTGACTGCAAAGACCCCTGCCTTCAACTCCAAGTTGACTCCAAGAAGACTGGCAGCCAGACCCTCCCTTGCTCCCTGGGTAACTTCTCTGGGAATCAGGTCAGTTCCTAAAGATACTGACATCCAAGGATCAAGGATCACTCCCATTCATGGGTCTCAAGGGCAATGAACCCCTCCTCTCTTACTGTCAGAACTTCCAGTCAGCTCCTCATCATGGGCAGAAAGCCAAGAATCAGCAGATGCCTCAGGAAAGACAGATTGAAACAAACAGAGCAAAGCCATTTGGTGGACACACAGATTATATGTGCAGAAGAAAGCTCATATAAATATCAAGTTTCAAAAATGAAGAAGAAACAAAACAGAGAGTAGAAATCACTAAGAAAGTATTTCAAGAAAATTTCCCAGAGCTAATGGACACAAGTTCTCAGTTGGAAAGAACTCACAGTGGATAAAAACAGACACATTCTAGGGCACATCATTGTGGAATATGGGACCACTTGGGACAAAGAAGATTCTATAAAATTCCAAAAAGGAAAAATCACACTGCACACAAAGTCCGAGGAAACAGAATCTTCCTAGACTTCTCAATAGCTGCCTGGTAGCAAGAAGACAATGGGGCAATATTCTCTAAAATTCTGAACAAAAAAATCATCTCCAATCTGGAATTCTATACCCAGTTCATCCATCATTCTGGTACTGTGGAAGTCCTAAAATATTTATCTCCTATGCATCTTTTATCAGAAGTTACTAGAAGATATGCTTCATGAAAATGAGAAAGTAATCCAACAAAATATGTAGTCTGTAAAGGTAGCAGGAGATGCAAGGGAATTTCCCTAGAGAATGGCCATGGACAAGACGTAGAAGGCAGTCAGTCCATACTGGCATGGGTGGCTAAGGAGCCAGATGTGAGGATGGCCATCACCACTATTCTGTGGTCATTACTCTCTCGTTCTCATCTAGGTGAGATGGGCTCAGATTCTTATCACCCCCGGCATGTCTTTACTATGGACAGATGAAATCCCTATTTCCTCCCCATATTAATTTCTGGTGGCTGCTGTAACAAATTACTACAAATTTAGCAGCTTCAAATAGCACACACTTACTAGATTTTGGTTTTGTGGGTCAGAAGTCCGAAATGGATCTCAGTGTCCTAAAGTCAAGGCATGCATAGGGCTGCCTTCCTTGCTGGAGGCTCTAGAATCCATTTCCTTGCCTTTTTTAGCTTCTAGAGTCTGTCCGTATTCACGTAACTTGGTTCGTGGGCCCTTCCTCTGTCTTCAGAGCCAGCACAGCCAGGGGAATCTTCCTCATATTCTCACATATCTCCACTTCATCCTAATCCTGACTCTCCTGCCTCCCTCTTCCACTTTTAAGGATCCTCGTGATGACATTAAGGCCACCCAGATAATCTGGAATCGTCTCCCTACTTTAAAGTCAGCTGAAAGAGCAACTTTAATTCCACCTGCAGCCTTAATCTGTCCTCCCACTGCCACTCTACACGGTTTTCCCCTCCTCCCCTCCCCGTCCTTCTGCAGCAGCCACACTGGTCACTGGAGCCTCAGGGCCTTTGCACTGGCTGTTCCATCTGCCCCAGTGCTGTTCTCCCAGACACTTGGGTGGCTCCCTCATCCCTCCCTGACGTCTCTGCCCAAATGTCACCACTTCAGTGAGGCCTTTCTTGAACAACCGATTGAAGACTGTGCCTTCACCTCTCTCCTCTTTCATGTCCATTGCACTAGAATCGTCTAGCCTGGCACCCCAGACCCATATGTATTTGGCTTATTGCTGCTTTCCCCATCAAAACATGACCTTGATGGGAGCAGCGTCTGTCTCCATCACTGCTGTAGTCTCAGGGCCTATGGCTGTCCCTGGCACACGGTAAGAGTGCAGTGAATGTGTGTTGCTTGAACAAATGAAAGCCTCACACTGCAGCCTCCTGGACACCTGTCCCTATTAGTCAGCCCGACTTCCCACTGGCTTCCAGCTAATGGTCTCCTTTCAATGCCTGGAGGGCTGAAGCTGGACTCTGGTGTGGCCCATCTGTTCCCAGGGCCTTCATTGGCCCAGAGTACTACTGCCTCTACTTCTACAGCCAGGCAACCACTAATATGTCTTCAGTCTCTATGGATTGGCCCATCCTGGACATCTCGTATAAATGGAATCACACAAAGCGTGACCTTTTATGACTGACTTCTTTCACGGAGCGTCATGTTTTCCAGGTTCATTCATGCTGTAACAAGCGTCAGCTCTTCATTCCTTTTCATGGCGACATAGTATTCCATTGCATGGATATGCCACCTGTTATTTATCCACGTGTGCTGATTTTAATGCTCCTCACTCATTTCAATTTGGTGAAGCTTCTGCAGATGCGTTACTCTGCAGCGAGATTCATTCTAGGCTCTGGGAGACCTGGGAGGACCATAAACTTCTGCTGAGGCCTGCACACATTCTTAGGGAAGGTTTAACAGTCTTTTGATCTCAGACTTAACGGTTCCAAAGCAAAGGCTTTAAAAGCAGTCTGTGGAGTTAAAACCATTTTCACCATTTGGCTCTGTGGACTGGCCCAGGGAGAAACCTTTCTGATGTTCTGGGCCAAACCGAGAAAAGACAGCAGCAAGGATGACCGAACGGGTTTTTCCTATTTAGCAAAAAGCACACCCACTAAAGAAAAATCACTAAACACGGCTTTGATTGGGAAGGCAGCCTTCAATGAATGACATCATTCCAAGAACATAAATCTTAGTTTGTATGATTTATTTATGTTAAAAAATCCACACATGATGCTGGGGTTTCAATGGCTTTGTTTAAGTGATAGTTTTTCCTTTTTAGTGAAAGTTGGAGCGATGATAAACAGCTCCAGCTGTAAAAATGAAAGGCGGAGGTGAAGCTGAGGTGATTATTACAGAAAAATGCTGAGTGGGGAGGGGTATTTGGCCCTTCCATCCTCTAAAATGAAAATTACCCTCTGCCACAACGTGCCACGAACAATTACCTGCTGTTTATTAATTAACCTCTTTTAAAAGCACCGCATTTCTGCAAGAAACTGGTATTTCTCTAATGTGAAAACTGGCTTATTCGTGTTTATTGGAACCACTATGTCCCATGTGGTCCAGGCTTAGTGCACACTTAACTGACATGCATTTTTTTTAATGGCACATTTGATGATTGGAAATACCTTCCTAGAAGAAGCCCAGACACTCAGCACGACTTGCTTGGCGTATTAGTTCTAAACTGAGTCCCCAAAGACCCTGGCTGGAGCATGCGACCTCTCCCTGACCGCAGCAGCCACAGCACAGCCCTGGAGAGCTGCTCCAAGAGTGGGTGCTGGGAAGGAACGGGGCTCAGGACTTACCAGTGAGAGGCGACTCAGGAAATACAGACTCCAGTGGCTGAGTCTTTCTGGACCCTGGCAAAAAAGTGTATTGGTCATTGCCAGAAGGACACGGGTGACCAAGAGGCCAGAGCGCCCTCTGGGTGGCATGACTGTAGTGGGGCTTTCGTGGTGCTCACACTCCCAGCACCAGAAGAGCCCCAGGAAAGGGTCCCAGGCAGGGATCTCTCTGCAGAGGCACCTCTGCCACCCTGCACACCCCGGAGAGCGCCATCCCTGCAGTGTAAGTCACCTGGGGCTTTGTGGTCAGGGTGCTCTTCCTCTGAGTCCTGCTTCTGCCTCTAAGGACAGGTCCTGGCCTAGGTTGCTCAAGCCTCTGAGCATCAGTTTTCCCATCTGTAAGGTGGGCACAATCACAGCACCCACAACAGGACTGGGAAGGCCACACAGCCCCCAGTTGCAACCCAGGGGTGGGAAGTGAGCAGCACAATGCCCAGCACCCTGCCTGGTACAGCACCCAGGCCAGGGAGCCTGTGGGTGGACCAGCTTCTCTCCTAGAACTCTCGCTCTGCCATGGTCCCTGCCCCCGCCCCCCATCCTGCTGGGGACCCCTGAACAAGCCAGCTTCCTTTTCCAAACACAGTGCAAGGGGCCTGGGCAGCTGCTCACTGCTGTGTCCTCGTCACATGGTGCTAGCATTGGCTTACTGAACATAGGACGGCCCTCTGAGACCTGATGGATTATAGAGGTTACAGAGGGGTGGCTCGGCCTCAGACACTCAGCACAGTCCCTGCCCCAGGCTGCTGCCTCCACACCACAGCGTCCTGCAAGGTGGCCCTCATCTCCCTGGGTCTTCCCCTGGGCTGAAACTGCCTGTGGAAACCCCAGGGAAACCTACTGGTTCAGCTCTTCAGTCATTCAGCTGTGACTCATCCATTCTTTCACTGAGGACACAGCACAGCCCAGCCTTGGGCCAGGTGCTGGAGCTTCGGGTAAAATGCCTTGGAAGCTCCAGGTCTGATGGAGCAGACACCCTCCTGTAGATCTGATGGAGGAGATACCCTTCTGTTTAACTCATACCATAGACTCGAAGCTCCAGGAGCACGGAGCCTTGCAGCGCCTCCTGCATGAGGAAAGGAAGGAATGAGTGAACGGAAGGGAAGCGCGGACTTCAGTTGCCAGGAGACCAGCTGGCCCCTAGACATCTCCACCCGACTGGCAGCACCAGGGCAGGACAAGGTCAGGAGGGCAGGGCTTGACTGGGAGCTAGGGGCCCCTGAGCCAGTTAAGGCCTTTGTGGATGAGTGGAGCAGGTGGCTCCTGGGGCACCTGTCCTCACGCCTGGCCCCAACTTGCCCTGTGTCCAGCCAGGAGGTGGTTACCTTCTAGGGCTCCAGCTCAGAGCCTCTGGGAGTAGTGCTGGGTTCTGGGAGAGGAAGTGCAAGAGGGCAGGCAGGAGGGAGAAGGGCTCCCTGCCTCTCCAACAACCTGCAGGGCTCCAGGAACTGCAAGCCACTCATCGGGGTGCAGCTGCCCCACCACAGGGCCAGGCTCTGCCGCCACCGTTCTACCTTGGGAAATTGGACTCCCAGGAAGCTGGAGGGGCTGCCCGAGGGTCCCAGGAGACAGGAGGCAGAAGCTGAGCTTGAGTTCCTCCTGTCTCCCCACTCCCCCAGCTGTCTATGGGCCCTGGGGTCCCAGCACTGAAGGGTGGAGAGGGGAGGGAGGCTGACGGTGTGGGAGGGGTGGGTCACTGTTTCACCTCAGTAGAAGCCCTCCCCTCTTCCCTTGTGCAGCCTACGGGAGCTGCCCTGGGTGTTCCCCTTGTAATTCCACTGAAGTCATGGGGGAGGGGCTGCTGAAGGCTGGACCTGCCCTCTTCACCCCAGTCCCCAGGGCAGGCCCCACCTAGGTCCTCAAAGAGGTGACCTGTGGGGGCTGCAGGGGGCACTATTCTGCACACAGGGGTGTTCCTGCCACTCAGGCCCCTGCTTTGATGAGGAGGCCCAGGGACCCAAAGTGTGGGGGTGAGGGCGCCCCACAGCACGGCACCCGTGAGGGGACTGGAGTTCTTGAGTTACCTGTGCCTGGCTGCTCTCTCCAGCCCCCGGGGCATGGGCGCCGGTGTACTGGCGGCGGCGGGGGAGCAGGCAGCTCTTTCCCAGGAGGACGCCCGAGTGATTCCATCACCTTCGGGTCACTCTACAGAACTGGTCATTTTTTCCCTGCCTGGGGCGATCCTGGTCTCTGCTCTATTCTTGCCGGCTCTTTGAGCCGTGTCTCGACTGCCACCACCACTGCGATTATTGGTTTAGTAGAAAGCAAAGCTCGCAGGGATAGACCCTTGGGTGTCCCTATGGACACCCCACTCCCCTCGGGTCCTTCCCCGTAAGTCCTGCCCCAGGAGGTGGGAGGCCCAGAGGTGAGAAGGTCTGCTCAGACCATGGCCCCCTGCTTCCCACACCCCACCTCCTCCGTCTACACCTAGAATGGTAGTTTGTGCCGGATCCCGAAGCCTCAGCTCCCCAGGCCATGCTGCGGGGCCCCGCCCAGATGTGTGGGAACGCGGCTGCCGCCGGTGCCAAAAGACCTACGTCCTCGGAAGTGGGTACGGGGATGGCGTATTCCCTCCCGCGAGGTTCGTTGTACCTAGGGGAGCCTGGGTCTCCAGTCCTCCCCCGACCCGCTTCCCCGGCAGGCCCTGTCCCCCACCCCCAGCAGCCAGAGCGCCCGGGCAGCCCCTGCCTTCTCCCCAGATCCCCTCCACACTCTGCAGGATTTGGGGTGCTGGGTGGTGTCATCTCAGGTTCGAGTCTGCGCGAAACCTCCGGGCTTCTGGAGACCCAAAGGGACCTGAGAGGAAAGCCCAGGGCGGGCCAGACTCTGCGGTGGGGGTGGGAGGAGGGAGACCCCAGGGGCGGCGGAGTCGGCCCTCGCCCCTCCTCCACCCAGCGGGCGAGGAGAGTTCCGGGAAGGCCGGGGGAGGGGGAGCGAGGGGAGGAGACAGGGACGGGCCGGGCCGCCTCCAGAGCCGCCGTGGGGCGCGCCCTGTCCCGCACGCCTCTGACCCCCGCTCAGCAAACGAGGCCCACGGGGTGGGCGGCCTTGGGCCTCCTCCTGGCAGCTTCCACCCAGCCATTCTCTCCAGCCAGCCCTGCAATAAACTCCCGGAGAAGCACAGGCGCGCCTGGTCCCATTTCACAGACGAGGAAACTGAGGCGTGGAAAAGAAACCCACCGCAGCTCCGTCTCCACGGTTTCACCTGCGGGGTATTAATCTCTCAGGATGAAAGGCAAAATTTGGTTTTGAAGCTAAGAGGGCCGGCAGTGGGGGGCAGGGCGCGCTGCGGAGAGACGGCAGGAGCGGGCTTTGCAAGCCGAGTCTGGATTCCGGCGCGAGCCGATTCCGGGAACTGGCTTGGTGACCCGGCCGCCGGCCCGTGTCCCGGGCTCTGGGCGTTTGGGGACACGGAAGGCGGGCTCCCACCTGGCGACTCCCGGAATGTGGCCGCCGGGCCCGGAAGGCTACGAGGCTCGCCATTTTCGTTGCTGCCAGGGCCCCGCCCGCGCGCGGCCGAATTGGGATCTGAAGGCAGCGGCAGCGTCTACGCAAGCAGCGTTCTGGAGCGTCGCTCTGCCACCTTCCCGCGCGCAGTTCCGCGCGAGCCGCAGGACGCGGGCGCTGTGGGTAACGAAGTTGCTCCCGGTGTGCGCAGACCGGCGGCCCCGGGGTTGCGGGCGGCAGGAGGGACCGCCACTCCACGGCTGCGGGCGCGCGTGAACACACGGCTGAAGGTCATAGGCAGCGCATCCAGGCAACAGCATTCGTTGGCGGATTTTTAAAGGTTCTTAGATCAAGAGGGAAAGCGTGTGAAACCGATTCCGTTTATTGCCCCCAGCGGCGGGGGAGCTCCCCGTTGCAGACACCCAGCGGCTCGGCCACTGCAGCGTCCTGGCCCAGTATGGGCCGCACACGAGTAGGAGTCGTTGGGGGCTTCCTGCACCTTCTCAGTGAGCCCGGTTGGGCCTGGATTCGGCTCCCTCCTGGGCCCAACGGGAGGAGATCAAGGGAGTTCAGGTTCACAGTCTCAATCTCTTAAAACAAAACAAAACAAAAAACTCCGGATTGGGCCCTCGAAGTGCCCATGGGGCATCCAGATACTCCCGACATCTGCGCAGGAGAGCTGGGCACCCTGGTGGGGACGCCAGGACACAAAGCCGGGCAGAGGGTCTCCACTGGGGTGGCCACGGCATCGTGCAAGCCGGTCCCCGGAAGCTGCCCATCTGCAAGGGACAAGGACCCTCTTGCAATCAAAATAAGTCAGTTTCCACACATCTGGGGTTTGTTCGAAATCAGCGACATGGCTCACATTCCTAGGAAGTCCACTCCTCCCAGCTACCCACTCTGGGACCAGGAATCGGGTATCGGCTTTGGGAGGCCCCCACCTTTGAGCAGTGCAGGGAATGGAACCTTGCCACCACTGGGCCACAACTGGGACCTGTGTCCTGTCCTCTCCAAGTATTCTGGGGCACAAGAAGGTTTCCCAGGCCTCGGGTGAGAAGAAGGTTCAAAGGGGCCCCGAAATATTGACCCCAGGGTCTGGGGGGATTCCTGTAGCCCCAGTGTGCGGCTGAGGCATGATGCTGGAGGAAGCACCCACTTCGGGTCATTTCAGAGGTCTCAATAGGGAAGAAATGGCCTTTTCCATGACTTGTGTCTCCCACCCACCCCCACCATTCTAGACCAAACGCAGGCTCCTTCCAGCATTCAGCCCCCATCGAGTCCCCTGCGAGGTATAGGGTCCAAGCAGCCCTCCTCCATGTTCCCCTCTGTCTAGTGGGAGCCAAGTCAGCCATCCCCAAGGGCCCCTGTGGTCTCCTGGCTCCTGCTGCTCAAGTCTGGGGCAGGAGAACATGCCCGGGGAGCAAGAGCCTCATCCTGGCCTGACTCAGTGGCCCACGTATTGGGGGTGGGGTGAGCGCTGGCGATCTGGATCCCACCTGGGGCATTTCCAATCTCCCAGGAAAGCCCGTTGGTAAACCAGAGGCTGTGTGCTTCTTTGCTACCCGGAGGAACAAGGTGGGGGTGTGGAGTCAGTAAAACCTTGACCTGGAATTCAATAGAGCCTGAGGCCAAGTATCTGAAAACCCATGGCTAAGTTCAAAAAGCACAGAGGAGTGGGAGAGAAAGGGGTGAGGTGAGGGGAGAGAAAGTGGGAGAGAAAGAACCTGGTGAGGTGAGTCCATCTTGCCAGGTGCCATGCCTACCTCCTGTCCTGCACACACGGCCCGAAGCAGGGCTCCCTGGGGCCTGAGGGGCTGGGGGTAGGGGCAGCTGGGGCTGCTCTGACCCTGCCAGTTGGCATGGGGCACAAGGCCTGGCCAAGCGAAGGGGCCCTCTAGCCCTTGAATGCATTTGTAGATTCCGGGAGTGGAGGGCAGGCCGGCATGGTAGTTCTGCTACTCAATGGGCTTCTGGGGAACCCCTGGGGCTTGGGGGCCTCCTACTCGCTAATAAGATGCTTCCTCCAGCACGGCAGGACCAGCATTTCTGGCTCTCAAACCCGGCCTTTTCCCTAAGGAATTAACCTGGTCATGGGTCTCCAGCCGTTAGAAACACTGGGAGTCTGCAGGGCTCATGGAGAAATCGAGTTTCCATGGACTCCCTCTCTGCCCAGACCCCAGCAGAAGTTGGTGGTTAAAGCCCCGCTCTAGCCTCCAAGACCCCAGCTATGAAATTGGTTTTGGAACTCGACAGCAGCGTGCAGTTGTCCAGTGTAGGAGCCTCTATGTGGCCAACCCACACTCACTGTCCTTGGACGACCCAAGGAGGTCAGTAGGAATGAGCTTACAGCACTTACAATCCCAGCGCAGGGGCCCCAGGGCCTGGCATCAGCCTCAAGGCTCTGCAGAGCTAGACTTGGTTTGAAAATTGCCCTTAGACCTTTTAGTATCAACCTTTTCCCCACTGGGCCTACATTTGCCCTACCTGTTCTCCAAGCCCCCCAAAGCCCTTGCCAGGCAGGGACACAGAACTGGGCCCCAGGGAGGACTTGCATCTGATCTTCCCTGCTTCACCCTTTTTCCCCACGGGACTCCTCAATGCCTGACCTGCTCTCCGCTTCTAAGTCTGGCCACGCGGGGGCAGGGCCTGGCCAGGCCAGGATGCAACCTCGGCCAGGGCCATGGCCTTGGGGACAGCCTGCCTGGGCTCCTCGAGCAGGCTCGGGAGACACTGCCCCACTGGAGCCAGGGCTGCGTCAGTGCCTTGCAGGTAGGCAGCCCGGCTGTCTCCCTGGCGAGGCTTGACCGGCAGCTACCCCTTCCCAGGCAGATCCATGACCCCATCCCTACCCAACAGCCTGGTGGAGGGCAAGGACCAGATGGCACAGACCAGCTTGCTCCCATACCTCCTGCCCTTCTTCCCTAGGGGCTGGCAACAGGCCAGGGATGGCTGTCCTGTCCTAGCCTGGCCAGGGTTCTGAGAACCACCTCCTGAGCTGGAGGAGGAGGCAGGGAGAGGGCCTGAGAGAGTTGGGGCACCCGTAGAAGAAGGCCAGGACTGCACAACCTTGGCATCTGTTGGCTACCTCCAGGCCAGGGGCAAAGGAGGCCTCTGCTGGGCTGCAGGGTGAGGGTGGGGAAGGGACCCTCTCTGCAGGTGGGAGTGGTTCGCAGGCACCATAGTAACTTCCCCAGGCCTCCTCCCAAACCTGCAGAGGCTTCAGGCAGGAGCAAGGGGGACCTGGGTGCAGAGATATGGGAGTGACCTTGAGTCCTTTCTAGCCAGCAGCTCCAGCCAGGTTGGGCCCACCGTTGGGAACCTGCCCTTGGCGGGGTTTAGGCAAGACAGCGCCCGTGTTCCTGGGCTCCAGCACCTCCCACCCACTGGGGCGAGCAGGTTCAGAACCGGCCTTGGCGGTGCAAAGCTGCAGCGGTGCCCTAGTTGGCTAGGCAGATCAAGACCTCCAGAGCCGGGCCTGTAAACTGAGCTGTTCTCTGCCCCAACCCCTGTAGAAAGATGGTCAGGGTGTGGGGAGGGTGGGTAAAGGGGTCGATAGACCCTCGAAAGGACGGCAGGGAATGGGGCTGTGCCATTGCTCATGGCCCTTCTCTAGGCGACACTCACCTGGTGCCAGAAACAGCAGAGGTAGCGGCCAGTGAGCGCTTCCTCCATCCGGGGCTCGGGCGGCGAGCTGGCTGCAAGACTGGGCACCCTGGAGCCGTGGGAGCCTTGGGAGCCGAATCTGGGTTCGAATCTGAGCAGGGAAGCGGTGCCGACCGCGGAGGATCCAAGGCAGAAGGCCCAGCGCACCGCCGCCGCCAGCTCCTGCCCAACCCGGCTCCGCTGGGCTTTTCCTCTGGGGTGGCGCCGGCCCCGCGCCCCTCCCCATCCGGGGCGCCTCTGCTAGGACACCGGGGTCTCGGGGTTTCTCAGGGCTGCTGCGTTTCACCTCCTTTAACGCGGAGGCGCGGAGTTGCACGTGTGGGTCTCAGTGGAGCCGCCACAGGTCTTATTACACAACAAAGGGCAGGGAGGGCAAGGCCAGGAGCCTCGCGGGGCGGCGCAGAGACCCCGCATCGCGGGCGCGACCCCTGCCTCGGGCTCAGGCTGACTCTGCGGCAGCTCCAAGTCCCGTTGCCGGGCAGGACTTCGGTGCTCCGGAAGGGTGCGGGGCAGCAACCTGGCCAGGGCAGCGCCTCGGTTTCCTTCCAATTCATTCTCGATTCCCAGATACTCAGATGAGAAATCCGCACTCAGGCCGTCAGGCTCCTGGGCCCGGGCCACCCTGCCTGCGCTCAGCCCGGCCCCTCCGCCGCAGCGCCTCGGAGTTTGGGGGCTACAGGGGAAGAGGAAGCGTCTGGTCGGCTCCCGTCCGAGCTGCTCCACCTGCGCCGCTGGCCTTTCCGCCCGCTACGCACCTGGGCCCCGAGAGGCCAGAGGGGAGTGTCCCCAGTGGCCCGGGTCCCCGAAGGTGGCCCAGCTCGGGCGCTCGCGCAGCCGGGTACTCACCTTGGGGGCGCGGCGGCAGGAGAGCGCGGGCGGAGAGGTGCGGGCGCCCTGGGACGACCAGCCGAGGACGCCTGGTGTTTGGACGGCTGCCCCCGCGCTGTCCCCCCGTGCGAGGCGTGTTGGCCTCCGTGGCCTCGCGAGGGACCGAGGGCGGCGGGTCCGAGTGCCGCCCGCCGGCCTGGGCAGTGGCGGAGCGCGGAGCTGGCGGCGCCTCCGCTGTTGTTTTTGAGCCGCGAAGCCCGAAGCAGCAGCCGTTGGGTGGGGGCGAAGGGGAGGAGGCGGGGGCCGGGAGGCGCGAGGGGGGCGGTGGGGCCCGGAGGGGGCTTCGGAGGAGCCGGGTTCTGGCGCGCGAGCCCCGACGCCCCCTCCAGCGATCGCAGGGCGGGGACGGGGGCCGAGGGGAGAATGCAGGAGAAAAGCGGGCCGGGGCGACGGGGAACGCAAAGCTTTTAAATTAGTAATCAAACGCAGTAAAACGGAGCAAAACCAGCCCGGACTCGCGTCCGAACTATCGGCGCGTGTGCCCCGAGATCCAAGGAAGTCGTGTGGAAAACCGCAGCCGCCGCCCCATCTTCGGCCCCGGCTGGGGCGGGAGCAGCAGCGCGACGCGCCGCGACGCAGGGGCAGGGTGGGGGGATAGTCACCTCGCCTCCGGGGCCACCTGGGTCCTTTTAAAGTGTCCGGGGTGCGGGCCCCGGGCGGGAGCGCCGAACACGGAATGTTTTCTTAAAGGGCCAGTTCCGAGCTGCGCTGAAAAGGGGGGGGGGGAGAGGGGGGAGAGATAAGTGAGACGAAGACCGAGAAGGCCGAGGAGAGCCCCCCAATCCCGCGCCGAGGCGGCGGCGGCGGCGGCGGCGGCGCGACGATGAGGATGATGAATACATTGCAAAGTTTTTTTGGCCCCGGCGAGGGGTGTCAGATTGAGTGCTCTGTGCGCATGTGCGAAGGTGTCCAAACTGACAATGCTGGGGAGATGAAGATAGTGTGTGGCTGCTTCTGGACTCAAGGAGGAGGAGAGAGATTCCGCGAGCCGACACCATGCGATCCAAGGCGAGGGCGAGGAAGCTAGCCAAAAGTAAGTCTCCCGCGCTCGGCCGCGCCGCGCCGCCGGGGCCCGGGCCGCCGGGCCGGGGCGCCCGGGCCAGGGGTGCGCGTCGGGGCGCGGCCGGCGCGCCTGCGGCTCCGGGCCCCCGGCTCGGCCGCGCGGCCCGGGGGGCTGCTCCGCCTCCCGCGCTCCGGGGCGACCGGGCTCGGCGCGGAGGCTCGGGGCGCCCGGGCCGCGCGCTCCCCGAAGGCGCCGGCCCCCTCCCCGCGGAACCCCCTCCCCCCCCACCAGTGTCAGGCGCTCGGGCCCGGGAACCCGAGGCGCGCGGTGGG
Organism: Homo sapiens; assembly: GCF_000001405.40. Lineage (NCBI taxonomy): Eukaryota > Metazoa > Chordata > Mammalia > Primates > Hominidae > Homo > Homo sapiens. The sequence continues at coordinate 3,069,599 of NC_000001.11, forward strand.
GGCCGGGGAGGGGGGCGGAGGGGGAGGGCCGGGGGTGGAGGGGAGCGAAAAGTGAAAGTTAGCGAAAAGTTGACGAAAGGGGAGAGCAACTTTTTCCTCCCCGCTCGCTCTCTCCCTCTCTCTCTCCGAGTGGCTCTCAGTCCTGGTCAAATCATATTCCGGGCTTTTGAAATAGTGGGCGCTAGAGCACCGCCTTTGGCGTCCGCCAGCCGGGCGCAGAGGAGGGAGACCCCGAGCCGGGGAGGGGCGGAGGAGGGGGCGCGGGCCGGCGCCCACCCGGCTCCGCGGGCGCAGGGGCAGGGGTGGCGACGGCGGGACAGCCGCAGCCACTTGGGGAGCAAAATGGAGACTTTTGCCCGGGCTGGGAACTGTGGTCGTGAAGTTTATCCCCGGCTGTGCCCCGCGTGGTGGAGGGCGCTCCTCTGGGACGCCGGCAGCCTGCGCGGGCCGCCGGGGCGACAGTGCCTCCGACAGGAGGGACCCACCCGGCCACCTCCCGACCCGCCGCTGCCGCCCTCGGGCCCGCGTGGACCCCTCTGTACCCGCTTGCCTGGCACAGCCGGGCCCGGCGGGGACAGAGCTGCCCCGGCCAGGCTGCCCGGTCCTCGGTCTTACTTTCTCTTTCGCTCCGTCTCGGCCGAGCCCCGGGCTCCGCGCGCCCCGCCTGCCGCCAGCCGGTCCTTGCCGCGGGCCGGGTGCTCCAGCCACCCGCGCCCTCGCCCGCCACAGCGCCTCCGAGCAGCCCGCGCGCACCCCGCAGCCCCGGTCGCCGGCGCCATCCGCGGTGAGGCGGGCGGGCAGGTGAGGACAGGCGGAGCCGCGGCCCGGCCAGCGCGGCTCCCGCAGCCCCGCCGAAGCCCCGGCTGCAGCGAAGCGGCCAGCGCCGCGCGGAGCGGAATCGGCGCCGCCTGCTCCCGCCGCCCCCTCCTCTGCAGGCCGCCCGCCCGCCCACCCGCAGAAGAGGCGCCCGGGCCGCTCCCCTCGAGGTCCCCGCCCGACCCACGCCGTTCCGTCCGCGCCTCCGGGGCCGGGTCCCTCCAGGCCGGCCTCGCAGCTCCCGGGGCCGAGCCCCCAAACGTGAGCCGGGTGCGCGCGGGACTCGCGGCGGTTTTCCGAAGCTCCGCTCCCTCGGCTCGGGGCCCGCCCGGCTCGTCCCAACAGCTGCCCCGCGGCCGTAGGCCCCGCGCTCTGTGCACCAGGGAAAAGCAGCTCCCGAGTTTGTGCCGGACGCTCCTGCGCCCCGCCATCGGCCGTTCCCGGCCCCTGGGTGAGGCGCCCCCTTCCCGCCGCGCTCCGCTGCCGGGTGCCCTCGGCCTCGGCCTCCCGTGACCTCTGACCCCTCTTGGTGCGAACAAGACCGGGCGTTTCGCCGCCGACGCGAAGGGGCTGTCTGTGCGCGGCGTTGCGGGCCCTCCGCGCGTGGGGTGTGCGTGTGCGTGTTCGGGTTCGGTTCTGTGTGTGCACCGCGGGCCTGCTCAGAGTCGGGACCACCGGGCTGCGTGTGGGCCGCCAGGTCAGGCCCTCGCCCAGGATGGGCCCTAAGCTGGAACGAGAAAGGGGAAACCGGCCGCGCTGACGCCGGGGCCTTCGCTGCAAGCGAGAGGCGGACTCGGCGCACCCGCGCGGCCCTGGAAACTTCCGAGAGGCCCCAGCTCTCCGCCGGCTCCACCTCTGCCAGGTGGGGAAGGTGGCCCGGGACCGGGTCCGCTCAGGACCAGAAGTGGTGCCTGGCAGCCATCTGGCCAGGAGGCCGGAGAGCCGGGCCCAGCGGGAGCGCCGAGCGCTGGCTTCCTTTTCCCGAGAGTCTTTAGTGAGGAAAAACCCCATGAGAGGTGACTGCCAGGCCTCGGCCCTCTGTCCACACTTGGCCGAGCGCTGGGAACCCCTCCTTCCAGGCTCCACAGCTGGGACCGCTTGTCCCAGGCCCCCCAAGGTGGCTGAGGCAGGTTCAGGATCACACTGCCTGCCCTGAGCAAGAAGGCAGGATCCGCTGAAGAATTTCATTTCATCAGGCGATATTTTAAGCAGATGTGAACTTCCCCGGGGACCATAGTCCATTACCCGAGTCAGAGGCGGTAGGGCCAGCACTCCAGCCAGCAGGTCCTCCCCTCCCCACAATGCTGACCAGGTCAGGGGACTGTGGGGTTGGGCAGGGGCAAGGTCATGGTTACCAGGTTGGTATTCAGGCTGGGCACAGAACAGCAACCAGGCCAGTGGAGGTGACCCCATGACCCAGCATTTCGGGGGCCACCGCCGAGTGTGCATCTGGAGGTGTAATTTCGTTTGTGTTTCCCTGGAGACCCCACTCCAAGCCTCAGTTCAGGTGGGTTAGTCCTCTGGATTGGGTCTTGTGAAGGGCCAAATGGTGGCGGCTCCGGGGGTGACCCGGGCTTCCAGCTGAGCTTTCCAAGGACAGAGGTGGCCACTGGGGCACCCAAGCCGGGGCTGTGGCTCAGCTGATGGGAAACCTACAGCCTCCTCCACCTGAGCCTGGGGGCCAGGAACAGAGTGAGGACAGTTCAGGGACAGGGTCCCCCCTACTGAAGCCAGGGCGGTAGGGCCGGTGGGGTAGGGGCTGCTGCAGCCCCACATTTACAAACTCAATGCTTAACAAAAGCTTATTGTTTCCAGGGCTGTTGTGAGCCAGGTGGGCAGGTGGGGGGTTAGCACCACCAAGGTGCTCTCTGGATCACCATCGCCCTCATAGCACAGCTGGGGGCCTCTGTGCAGGAGGAGGATGTGCCAGTCGGCACCCCCATCAGAGCTGCTCCTTGAGGCCTGATCCCCACCTAGGTGGCAGACCCCATGTCCTAGATGCCACATACCCCAGGGCTGGGGGAGTGTCCTCTCCACAAGTCCCATCTAGCCCCTGGGGTGGGGGAGCTGCAGCCCCCACTAGATGGGGACTGTGTGTGTCTTGCTCGTGTTTGAGGGTGATGCGTGTGGAAGGTGTGCTGGAGACAGGGTAGAGGTAAGCGGGGCTGGCGGCCCAGTTCACAGCCTCCTTCCTTCTTCGTAGAAACAGGCCAGGCTGGCTGGGCCCTCCCTTCTCCCACCCTCCCTGGGGCAGTTGGCCCCGTCCACCAGTCCCCTCCCCAGAGCCAGGACGGCAGCCTTCCCTCTGAAGGCCGGTTAGGGCAGCAGCGCCAGGACGTCCGGCGGGAATCCAGCGTCTTGCCCCGCTTCGGACGAAAACACAGAGGCTGCGGTGGAGGGGTGGAGTGCGGGGCTGGCCGCCAGGGCTTGGTGCCCCACGGCAGTGGACTGTGTGTCACCCACAGGCCCCCTCCCTCAGCCCCTGGCTGCGCAGGTGTGCCATGGCTCGGAAGCTGGCAGGAGGGGCTTGCCAAGCTGGCTTGTGGAGCAACTGCTGGGTGGGCTCCTTGGGGACAGGCACCGGCCATGCCTGGCTCGCCAACCACCAGACGCCCACTCGGGGGGTCCTCCTTGTCCTGTGAGCGGCTCTTCCAGAGCAGGTGCCAGCCCGACATCCTGGCCCCTCCTGGCCCCGAGGCTTCCTCGGCTCCCAAGTCCTCCTGTAGGCAGTGCGCAGGGCAGGGGACCAGGTCTGCCATTTCTGCCGGGAGGCTGGGTGAAGGGGACCCAGCAGCCAGGGGCTCCCCCCACCGGGCCCCTCAGGGGAGGTGAGGCTGGTGGCAGCTCGCTGGGCCGCTGTGGGCCCGATTAGCCCCCTGTTTTATTCAATTAGGAGGCAATTAGGGATCCTTGGGGGGCTTGGGCTGGTAATTAAGGTGATGTATAATTAGAGTTTCAACAAAAATTATCCGGGATTAAAAATCTTTTGAATAATTTCGTTTAAAATTTTCAAATAGCGTTAAATACAATTTATCAGGTTTTGAATCAAACCCGTGTAACGAGTCTTGGAAGCTGCAGCTCCCGTCGCCGGCGCGGGAGGACCAGGAGCAGCTCCGGCGACTTCCCCGTGCGGGAAGGAAACTTCGCGAGCGAAGCCAGCTGGCTGGGGCCTCGCCGCGGTGCAGCGGCGGCCGCGGGCTCAGAATCGAGCCACCGAGGGCTGCAGACGGCGTGGGCCGGGTCGGGGAGCGGGGCCTGGGGGACCCCGGGCCGGCCGGTAGTCTCGGCCGACTTCCCACTCCCCGCGCACAAAGTCGCGGCCAACTACCGCGGAGCAGCGCCCGCGTCCACACCGCGCAGCCTGGCGCCCCGACCCTGGCCCAGCGGGAGCGGCGCTCTCCCCTTCTAGAGCCCCAGCTTGGACCCCGGGGTCCCCTCCTCCTGGCCTCCCTTGCGGAGGAGGGCGGCCTCCGCGTCCCCAACCGCCGACCCTCGACCTCGTGCGGGACACCGTGGGCGCCAGGCCCCCCGCTTGCCTGGGTTCCCTGCGACATCCCGACCCGCGCCCCGAGAGACGCGGGAGCGCGCGCCGCCTGGGTTTAAGTAGGGGCTGTAGGGGGAGGGAAGACGGTGCAGAGAAACGGAGGCAGAGGGTGGGGGTCTGGCTTTCCAGGGTAGACCCGCCTGCCCAGTCTGATCCGCAGCCCCGGCCCCTGCCGGCAACCTCGGGAGACGGGCCGGGCTCCCTAGTGCACTTGGGGGACAGGACACCTCCTCCCTTCACTGACCCTGGGAAGACAGAGTGCAGGCGAGCAGGCACCACTTTTGAGAGTGAGAAACCCCAGACGCAGAGAGGTGGAGGAACTCTTGGGAGGGCACACAGCAGATTGAGGCTCCAGTGAAATTCAGTGGAATGAAGACCTCCAGGGCTTCTTATGTAGCATTCCCCTCCCCCACAGAGCACCACAGGCTGCCGTTAATTCCATAGGGTTTTTTCTGTGTGTGTGTGTGTGTGCGCGTGTGTGTGTGCGTGTCAGGGTTTAAGCATTTTCTCAAGGCCAATGCTCAACTTGTAGCAGGTCTGTTCTTAAAAAGCAGGCAGGACATCACGTGCGTCCAGCGTGTAAGTGACCTCACACCTGCAGGCTGGACTCCCGCTGGGCTCCGTCCCCCACAGCTCCTGCCCCTTCTGTGGGTGTTCTGTCCCCAAGGGCAGGCACAGAGGAGCAGAAACCTTGGTCGGGTGGCCTGGCCTGCACCCTCCACACTCCCTCGCTCACTGCCTTCATCCGGAGCAAATGCAGGAGGCTCAGGTTGGCCCGGGAGGTGTAGGACCTGCCCTTTGCCACCCCTCAGATCTGGAGGGGAATAACCACCACCCACCGCCTCCACCCACCGCCCAGCAGTCAGGGGGAGGTGGAGCTGCTGCTGCCCTGTTGGTCTGAGCTGCAGGGTGGAAGGGGCCGGCTGCTGACATCCCTGGTCCAGCCTGGCGTGGGCCACGGCTCCTGAAGTCTGGGTGTCTCCTAGGCTGCAGCCAGGGCCACGGTGGTCATCCTGGGCCAGGAGTGCTCCCAAGCTTTGGTGGGCCCAGAGCAGGGGAGGAGTGGCCTCTCCCTGGTCTGACCACTTCACTCTTGGGCTTTTGCCATCAAATCCTCCACGGTCTGGAGGTGCCTGGGCTGGCCCGCCTGGCCGGCCTAGCCTGAGACGCGGGAACAATGCCCCGAGGCCTGAAGATAGGAGTGCTGGCCGCTCCAAGATCATATTTGTTTAATAGTTAACATTTTGGGCAGAAAAGGAGGGAAGTCAGATTCTGGTGAAGGTTTTGCTTATTTTATATCCACTATAACTATTTCTGTCCATGAAAATTGGCTTAATTATATCAATGGAATGTTTCTTTTTCAATTCTGTATGCAATTAGTCCATCTTGCCGGCTGCAATTTATTTTAATAAAAAAATAAACCAGTGGTGTGTTCAGTTCCTCGTCCCCTGGGGACAAATGCGATTGGTGTGTTTAATTTCATTAACTACAATGCGGCCTACTGGAAAAATGTATAAAATCAGCTTTATACAGCTTAAACACTGGCATTTGAAACAAATCATTATTGCATTAGCTGTCACACTGGTAATTCTAGAATCTAAGGAAAAAAATATATTATGGCTGTTTTTATAACCCTTTGCAAATGCACTGTTAAAATAATTTATAATCATTTTAAAACATGGCTGGGTCCTAGTGACTATTTCATCTCCTCTGAATAAGGCTCTGTGCCGTCCCATGCGCGTTTTCCGCGCTGATGGCGGTGCCGTTTCCGAACCTGCACACGCACCTCTCAGAGTGGAGGCCGTGGAGCCTGTGTTGAAACGAACCCGGTGAGGAGGGGTCCCTTTTTCATTCTGGCCTGAACCCCACTCGTCAGGCGGAGCAGTGGGTGCGGCGACAGGCTCATCTGCGATCCACCTCGGGCCAGAGGGGACCCCAGAGGCCAGGGCGGCAGAACCTCAGCAGCTGCTGCCCACCATCCTCCTGGGGGAGGAGGAGTCACGCACTAGGCTTGACCAAGAGTGAGCCAAGCCCCCCACGCGTGGGGTGCCCACTTCAAATGTGCAGAACCAGGAGCAGCCTCTGCTCTGCCCACCTCGAGGCCCTGCTTGGCAAAGCGGCTTTCTGAGCCTGCTGTGAGGGAACCCACCAGCCCCGCGCTCCTCTCAGGATAACAGGCTTCCCAGCACACTGTGCAGCTCCAGCCCGTGCTCTGTCAAGCGTGGGTGTGTGAAGGGGTGTGTCCAAGCACGTGTGTGTGTCCAGGTGTGCGTGTGTGTTGCGATCCACGTCTTTGCCGCAGCCCTGGCCACGTCTGCACTGACTCTGCTGGATGAAGGGAGGGTGTGGGATACGTGCTCCCTGTCCGGCTGGTGGGGACCTGGGGCTCTCAGAGGATCTGTTGGGGCGGGGAGATGAGGGAAGAGTTTGCTTTTCCTGCTTCTGAGATGTGTTCTGAGGAAGCTGAGTTGTGCCACTGAAGCCCTTGCTAGTGGCCGCCGGCTGGTCCCCTGCGTGGAGTGGCTCAGGGAAAGCGTCAGGGCATGCAGGAGCAGGGACACATGGGCTCAGCCTCTGTCTGCTCTCAGCGTCCCCGGGCAGAAGCACTGGAGCCTGGGGCTTCTCCGAGGGTGTCTGTCTCCTTCCTCGCCCACAGGTAGTGCCAGGGGGCATTAACAGGAAGGAAAGGGCTCAGGAGGCTTAGCTGGAGGCCAGGGGCCAGGGCTGCCTTTGCATGGGTGTGCGAGGAGAGGTTTTCCAGGCTTTACCGGGGCTTCTTAGTTTATTCCCAGAAACCGGCTCGGCTTCCTTGGGCACACTAAGGACTATTCCCTGTCCCTCCTTAGCCTTCCGACTTACCTGGATGGATTTACTTAGGTTTGGTTTTCTCCTCTGACACCAAATGTATATTCTATAAGGAATTTAAACATGGGGTGATGGTGGGTGTTTTTGGGGGGGACACAGGAAACTCCACAGAGCACACATCTCGGGGTATGAAGCCCCTTCTTGCTTCTCAGAGGGGCTGGTCTGCATCTTGGCTGGCTCTCCCCAAACCTCTGGCTCTGGGGCCAGTCCCCATTGAAGTGACCCCCACAGGGCAGGTCTCCAGGCCTGCGGTTTGCTTTCTGTGTGGTGTGCTATGGAGTTGGGAAATCAGTAGCTTTGTCTCCTTTCCCACTTTAGAAGAATAACAAAGCTGAATGTTTGGGGCGAATATGAAGTCCTGGTCCACGGGCCTCCTGGAGGCTGCTGGCGAGGTCTCCCGTGGGCCCGGGCCCTGCCCCCTGACACAAGCTCAGGAGCATCCCACATCAGCCCCAGAAACCCAGGCTCTGTTCACCCCAACTCTGCATCGTGTGTGTGTCCCACTCTCCCAGGGTCCCCAGCCCCACGCTGGCCTGGGCTTGCTGCTGGCCCCCTCCCTCACTGCTGCTGGACTCTCCCCTTTGTGAAACCAGGTAAAGGTGAGGACGCTTTGGAGAATAAAAGTGAGTTTGAACTTGGTTGAAGTGCTGCGATGTGTGCACTCGTGTGAACCTGTTCCTCCAGCAGGGGTGTCTGCACAGAAGGACCTGGAAGGTCCACCAGGGTGTTTAGTAGGTGCTTTTTCCTGGAATTTGGGGTCCTGGAGCCAGGCTGGGGTGCTTTACAATGTCTCCTCCAATCAGCCAGGCAGTCAGATGGGGAGTTTTGTTTTTATCTCCTTGGCCTGTTTGGGAAGCTGATTGGTCAGTCCTCAGCCTCAGCCTTTGTGGGTGTTGTGCAGGGTGGGTGTGCAGGCTGCAGGTGCTCACAGGCCAGGCCCCGTGCGTGGACCACCAGCACTGTATCGTTGCTGTAGGCAGGGCCCGGGCCACATCATAAAGCCAAACCACACTGGGGTCTCCCCTAGCCTGCAGCAGGAGAACCACTTTGACCCCTGCCTTAGAGCTCAGCCCTGAAATAAAACATGAAATGATTGTTAGCTGCTCATTTCAAACTAGGAGGCACAGGTGCCAGAATCTGTTCTGGCCCCTGCCACATGCAGTGGATGCCTCCCCTACTGCCTCCCCACACTCAGCCTCCCTGGGTCTCCTCTGTCCTTGCCTCTGTCCTGGGGTGGAAACAGCTGTTGGCACGTGCCACTTTTTTTCTTATCAGAGGCCTCCTAGTTCTTGCAGGGGGCTGGGGGCTTCTGCAAGTTCCATTCCCATCCGTCCTCTCATCTTCCCCTGTGTCAATCATGGTGTGGTGGGATTCCTGTGTGCCGGGCTCCGAGACCTGCATGTCAGGGGGCAGAGGACCTCTCCAGCTGCAGGATGCATGCTAGGGGCCCACCTGGAGGGAGACAGGGTCCCCGAGCTCTGGGTGGTACAGGCTGCCTCCCGCTGTGGCGAGTCGGGGCTCAGCAGCTCCACACAGACTCTGTGTCCTCACTGGGGAGTGGTCCCTCGCCTGGGGGTCTGGACCATGGTGTCTAAGATGGCAGGAAAGCCAGAATCCAACCAACAGCTCACCCCAACCCCCGCCGCTCTAGACATGAGGCTCAGGGCCTCCTCTCTGCACTGGCGCGGAGGTGCCTGTTCCCAGCCCTGTTTCACATTCGAAAGGCCCAGAAGAGAGGGAGGGAGGCTGCCAGAGAGGAGGGTTATGTAATTTTCTTTGCTGCTGTGAGCCTCTGCCTCTCTCTTTTTAATTCGGTAGTTCAAATGAAATTCGTTTCTCTAGTACCTGTGGCAGGCAGGACACTGCCAACGTTTTAGCGGAGGGAGGAAATGACGGGGTGCATACGTGAGGAACGGGCTCTGAATGTGACTGGGAGCTCTTGCCCGTGACATGGTTGAATCCCTGTATCTGATCCAGACCTGGCAGCCGGTATTACAGCAACTATGGATTTCCATAATAGACTTCACCATGGCTCCCGTAGCTGGGTCTCCCAGGGAAAGGGGAACGCATTGAAAAATGCCCAGACATTTCTCTCTGCCCAATGGGCTGTAACAGCCTCGTCAGAGAGGCTGGTCATATCAGTCCGTAAAACATTTAAACAAAGACCAAAAATGACGCTCACCGGAGGAGCCCAAACGGTGACCGCAGGGTGGCTGCGGTCCTCCCCGGGCAAACAGGAAGTTGGCGTGACTGTCTCCGACGGCTCCGGGCATTAATCCTCATTTTACTCCCTGCTGCCCACCGCCTCCCTGGTGGAGCCGCGTCCCGGAATCTCCGCCGCTGCCCGGGCCTGTTTGGCCTCAGACTGTGCTCCCGAGTGAAGGCCGTGATGGGGAGGAGAGGTCTCGGCTATGTCAGCATCTCTCCGCAGTGGTGGCCTGAGAGCCCCTTCCAGCCTCACATCAGAGGGGCTACTGTCATCCCTGTCCCACGCGCTGCCTGGCTGGCCCAGCCCCTGTGTGTGCACAGGGCTCCTTCATGCTGCCCTGCTGGCCCAGCCCCTGTGTGTGCACAGGGATCCTGCGGTTGCAGGGCTGTCAGGGGGACTGTCCCAAGGTCCCTGGGTCCCTTTCGGAGGGAAGCCTGTAATGCAGAGAGTGTCTATTGACTTGGTGAAAATACTGCTGCCTTAGGCAGCAGCAAGCCGCATGGAGCGGCCTGGCCCCAGGGACGTGCCACAGGAGCTGGCTTGCTGGGAGATTTCTGGCCTTCCTTGCAAATCACCCGCAGGCTCTTATTCCTGGAAAACCCGATGCGTTTCTGAACTACTTGAAAACCAGAGGGTGTTTTCTTGGCCAGAGCTGAGACTGCTCCAGGGAGAAGTGGCCCCTCACATACCCCTTCATCTGGCTGGCATGTTGAGATTGTCTCCAGGGAGTGTGAGGACGTGTGTGTGCTCTGTGTCTGTGTACAACACACACACCTGCAGGCAAGCGTGCTTCTGAGGTTGGCCTGAGAGGGCCCGCCAAGCTACTCTGTTTTTGTTGATCAGCAACATCGCACACTTCCCTGCCCTCTTGTGCCTTGAAAGAGCCACTTGCCTTGGCTGCACCTCGGTCCTTAGCCCTCCGTGGCGCCAGAGTTGGTTGCCTCAGTAGCGCGTGCCCACCCGGCCCAAAGCTGTTCTGCAGCTGGTCACTGTGGGAGAAGAGACTGGAAAAGTTCAAAGGTGGAGAGGCGGCAGCGATCTGGAGCACTTTTCCGCACGCTGTAACCCCTGAGAAGAAACAAAGAGGAAACGAGGCTGTTTAGATAATCCCGGGCCCTGGTGCTTGCATTTAGAAAAATTAGGCCCTCTTGAAAAATTACAGAATTATGCTGCCAGTGTCAGGTTCCCAGATAATGATGTGTCTGTGTGTGAAAATATTAAATTGCAATAACACGCCGTGCGAGTGCCTCTCTGAATGGGGTATTCAGTTCCCAGCCCAGGCTGAGCGTACAGCGAGTGACTGACAGAATACAAATGGTGCCACGAAGCACCGGGGATTTACGGCCGACCCGCGCTTTCCGATCGGTTTCTCTACCCCGGCCCATCCAGCCATCCTTTTCTTTAATGAAACAGCCCGACAATGTGGCTAATTATTTATTTATCACATTGGCAGGAGGAAAAGCTATCAGAGACAGATCGATTTTTCCCTGGAAGTGATTTGGCATGACTTTAAAAATAAGATCTACTAAGATATGCTGGGTGGTGTCCTCTGAAACCCCAAATTTTGTTTCATCAACTCGGCTGACAATCCATTTTGCAAAAACGGGAGGCCCGGGCCCCTAAGCTTGCAGCCTGAGAAAAAGCAAACTTGAGCAAAGCCAGCTTGCTCTCCCCCTCGGACCGGGCAACTGCTCCTGGATTTCTGTTCCGAGGAACATGTTGGGCGGTTTCTTCCGGGCCGGGGAAATCTGAGCAGCCACAGGCGAATCTGGGACGATGGCAGATTGTTAATATCTCAGAGCCCCAGAGACTCGGCGTCTCCGACCCTGAGCCCACATGAGTAGCAGAACCCCGGCCCGAGCACCCAACGCTTCCCGGAGAGCTTGTGTGCCTGAGAGTGTGTGTGTGTAGAGGGGGTGGCGGGGCGGGGGGGGTCTGCACATTCCGCCGAGTGTCCTCATGAACAAAAGGCCTAAAAAAAAGCAGAGAGTAAGGGAGCTCAGAGAATCGGGGGGCAGATAGCGTAGCCACGAGGGGCTCTCTGGTTTCATGGCTGGGAATCTGAACCGCAGGGCAGAGGCCCCGGAGTCTTAACTTTCCCTCCGTCGAAGGTGTTAGTCTTACCTTCCCGAGGTTAGATAAAGCCGCTAAAAGCTGCTGTTTGTTATTGAATCTCATCTGCTAATTACGGCGGCGGGACTTGGGTTCGAGGCCCCTCGCGGCTGTACCCCGAGTCCCCCGTGCTGGCACCTGATAAGGGGTCATTCTGTGCTCTTTCCAGAGGGTTTTAGGTTGCGTCCGCTCCTGACAGGTGACCCTTGTTCAAAGGGAACGAGGGGCTGGTGGCCACGGTGGGCGTGAGAGGCCCATTCCTGCAGCCTGGCCCGGCCGGCCCCTGGAGAGCCCCCTCCTTGTCCCACCAGACCGAGCTGTGGCCGTGTGAGGAGCAGGGCTGAGGTGGGGAGAACGCCGACTTGCATTTTCTGACAGTCCCCAGCTCTCTCTGCAGAGTATAGGCTACTGCTTGGCATCACCTACAGGGATGGCGGCGGCCAGGGTTGGTCTTCCTTCTGTGAGCACGGGGGGTGAGCAGTGGGCAGCTCCAGGAAGCCTTGCTGTGGACTGGGCAGGACAGCTGGACCTCCTGGCCACACAGCCGCTTCCCACCCCTGGGTGTCGGTCACTAGAGAGTGGGTAGAGCCTGGCCACAGGGCACGTGGGAGGCCCCCATGGAAGGCCCGTGTTGGGGGACCTTCCATGGGCAGCAGGGCAGCAAGGGAGACCACCTCCTTGCTGCCCTGACTAAACACCAGCTTTGCAAAAGCAAGACCCTGCCATCCCTAGCTCCCCTCACAGACCCAGAGGCAGAGGCCTTCAGGGCCAGCAGTCAGGATGGGCAGATGAAGCCACAGTGTGCCAAGGCAGCGGCAAAGCCCCCGTGAGCACCAACCCAAGCCTTGCACCCCTGACATGTGGAGGCTTCTGAAATTCCCTTGACGCCTCAAATCGAACACCGCCAGCCTCCAGCCTCAGAGGTGGCACCTGGCTTTCACTTCCCAAATGAACTGAAGCTCCACCATGTTAGATGACCTTGGACCAAACCACGGGAACTTGATGGGCAGGAGGCTGGCCCGGGGGCCCTGGTGTGACCAGGAAGGTGGGAGGCCCCCGCGGCCAGGCCCTCTGCAGTCAGGTCCTGTGCAGTCAGGCCCTGTGTGGTCTTCCTTGAGGGGAAGTTTTCTGTTCCTTGGGTTCTGCAGGAGCAGGCAGGAGGCCCTGTGGGTCCAGGAGGGCGCCTCGGGGTCTGCCTGGCCAATGTCAGAGGGGTAACGGCCCATCTGCAACTGGACTCAGCTGTGGCCACAGGATGGGGACAGGAGAGTGGCCACACGTAGGAAACCCAGGGTGAGGGACCTCAGCCTGCAGGGTCTGGGGACCATTCCCAAGGAGCCCCTGAGCTGGGCTGAATGGTGTTCAGAGATGGGGTTCCGGGGAAACCTCCCTCACCCCAGTCAGAGCTGAGGCTGGGGGTGCAGCTCCGAGGGTCACTCCTGGACTCCCTTGCTGGCATCCATGCCTCGGCTGGGTCAGGACAGAGCCGGGGTTGGGGGCCAATGCCCAGCAACCCCCTCCCCCAGGATCTGGAGCTGGACCTGGGGGGCTGGAGGCACCCTGTTGCCGCAGCAAGGAGAGGTGGGGTGCGCTTCATCTCAGCTGCCCCAGGGCTGAGCTCAGCTTTGCCCGCTTTGTGCGGAGTCCACCGAGGGGGCCTGGGGGACAGGCGAGATTGGAAAGCGATGGGGCCGGCGCCTGGGTGCTGCGTGGGAGCAAGTGCCTGTGGCCCCTGGGTCTGTGGCCGCTGCCTTCGCTTTCCCCTCATCTAGGACAGGATGCTCGGCCCTCCTGACACTTCTGGGACAGATGAAACACAGAGGAAGAGGTGGGGGCGCTGGAGATCGAGCCCCCCTGCTGGGACAGTGCACCCGGAACGCTCGCCTGTGGCTCTGATTATTGCTATTATTGTCCTTAGGATCCAGGCAGTCAGGAGCTATTTTGGGGTTTCTGGAACTTTCACTGGCCAAAGACAGGCTTGTGTGTGTGAGAGCAGAGCCGGGCAGGCTCCTCTGGATGCGGCCTCCAGATTAAACGTCTCGTCCGAGACCACTGGATGAGCGCAGTGGCAATGGCTAGGAGACGCAGGGGTCGGGTCTCCTGGCTGCGCCCCACCAAGCAGCAACCTGGCGGCTGGGCCCCGGAACTGCACATCCCTCCCCATCATAGCCCTGTCCTGGACTGGGCGGCGCGCTCATTTCAAGGCAGTGCGGCCATCTGGGCTGGGCCTGGCGCTGGCGGGGCCTGCTGTGTGCCGGGCGGGCAGATCGTCCTGGGGCTGACCTGGAAGCTGTGCTGCGTTTATGGCCCAGGGAGACACCTTTCTAGGGTTGGGGGTTTCACCCACAGCCTGGGCTTCTTCATCATTTCTGTGAAGAGGCGAACCAAGGAATGTCACCAGCCTGCTGCGGAGGGATGCCCTGCAGGTCAGGACACACAGCGCCTGCTGTCAGGGGAGGCGGGTGTCAGCTTCATGCTGGGTGGGGAGGGTGGGTGCCGGAGCTGGATCCTGCCCTCGGGGGTTTCCTGTTAGTTTTGTTCCAGGGGGTTGGGGGTGTTGTTTATCAGAGGGGCAGTTTCCACAGCTGAGAGGGGAAGAGCTGTTCCTCCTCACCCCACCATTATCCACCTGACCTTCCGACTGCTGGGATTGTGTCTGTGTTGTCATTGAGGGGACACCCTTTGGACTTGCCCAGGGAACTGCAGGAGAGAGGGGCTTCACCGTAATCAGCACATGGTGCCCACACACGCATGGAACACGTGGTTGACACAAATGTGACTCCATGAGCTGGACTGGCTTTACCGTGGAGACTTATGCAGAGATCAGATCAGGAGACCCTGTTCGCGAGAGAAGAGAACAGGACCCTTGTTCGGAGAGATGTCCCTGGGTCTTGGCAGACCCACACGCTTGTGGAGGGAGCGAGAGGAGAGGTGGCTGGGGACGACCGAATCCCAGCGCTGCTGTGGGCTCCCTGGAGGAGAAAGGGCCTTGGTGTCTGCTGGGCCAGAATGCAGGCCTTTCACTCCTCTCCTTGCCTGGGACTGCGGTCCTGGCGGGCCCTGGGGCGTCTGGGGGCCTGTACCCCTCGGGTGGGGCAGGTTGGGCTGGAGCCCCCTGGATCTGGTGTCAGGCAGACCCAGAGGCAGGGCACAGGGGCCGCCTCTGGCCCTTTCAAAGGGACATTCGATCTGAAGCATGGGGCCCAGTAAGAAGATTCCAGGGAACACAGTGCTGATGGGGCCGAAAGCGCTCGGCGGCCGGAGAGAGCCTCTCCACAGTCTGTGCTCTGGCACGAGGCCCTTTGTGGGATTATCTGCCCCCCTGGGAGGCACGGAATGCTGGGGGCGAGGGGCCACAGCAATATTGAGCTTGCATGGGCCCCCGATAAAGCGGCTGCTTGCTGCAGTTGCTCTGTCGCCGAAATTCGAGGTGCAGCCCCAGAATGGAGGCCGCTGTCCCTGGACACTTGAGCCAGGGAGGCACCGTCCATTCTGCACTTGTCCTTGAGAATTTGAGTCGAGGCCACATCTGCCAGCGCTTATATCTAGGGCTCCCACCCGCTTCAAAAAACACAGTGGGGCAGAAAAACGTCCAGAGAGGCCCAGGCAGCATCTTCCCTTCCAGCCTCACTGTTCTCGGGCGTCCCCCTTGGATCACAAACGCTGAGCCCTGCAGGCTGTCGGGGGGCAGGCCAGGGAAGTGATTCTTTGGGCCAGTAGCTCTCGGGTGCACACCTGGGGCTGGAGTTGCACAGCCTGTAGGTCCAGGGTGGCTGCCAGGTGGAGAGGAGCTCAGCCGCGCACCCTGCGGCAGGTGTTGCAGGCGGGCGGGTGCTGGGGGTTTGTTTCCAGCAGCTGGGATGGTTTCTGCCCAGCATCCAGCCCCTTTTCCTGCACCCCTTGGTCCCCAGCCGCACCTCTCTGTGTCAATGGACAGCCTAGGCAGCAGAATAGTTACTTCTCACTGCCCCAGGCTGGTGCCCAGGACCTACTCCGACCTAGAACGTTCGTGCAGGTGGAATCTGGACACCACCATGTGCAGAGGCAGTGCAGCCTTGGGAAGACCCGCCTGGCCAAGGCCTCTGAAGCCTGGGTGGGTGCTGGGAGGGTCTCAGAGTTTCCTAGAGCCACGGCTATGGTGGCCTTCGCTTGCTGGGCTGGGATCATCCCACAGCCAAGAACCAAGGTGCGGCTAGATACCCAGCAGGACCTGGGGGACTACAGGGGCTCCGAGTCCCCTCACTGAACAAGCTGCCAACTGCTGGGACCTGACCCTGGGCAGCAGGGCCCCCCAGGGCTCCCCATTCTGGCAGCATCTGCTCTCTTGGTCTGGCTGGTAGTGGACAAGGGAAGGCTTTGGCTCAGGCCAACTTGGACTGAATCCTGGCACCCACTGTTCAAAAGCTGAGTGACCCCGGCTCCTCCTGGGCCTCTCTGAGCCCAGTGTGCCCATCTGCTGAGTGGGGTAATCCATCCTCGTGGGGCTGTGGTGTCATCAAGAACGGGTGGTCCCTTTAGGACGCCCAGCATCCTGCCCATGTGTGTGTCCTCCTGGAGGCCATGGAAGGGCTGCACTCAGGGTGGCCATGCCAGGTCTCTTTCTGCCGCCTGGGTTGACCTTCTGGGCCACAGGTCGGGTGGGCAGCAGGTGGCCCTCAGCCAGGACTGCCTCCTACCAGGCCTACAGGGCCCCAGATGGGCACAGCTGTGGGAGCCCCACCCAGGCCTTGTCTCCCCAGAGCTGCTTGGCGTCCAGCAGGGCGCCCAGCCCTGAGAGTTGGTGCCCCACTCACGTGGGTTCACGTTGACAGAGGGGAGGGACAGGGGCTGCACCTGACCCCATGCCCTGGTCTGGGCCATAGGCTGGGCACCTTCCTTTGGCCTAAGTCAGTCTCAGAATGCGTACACAGCTGCAGGCACACAGACCTCTGATGAAGGTCACCATGGCCTGAGGCGGCTGGATGCTGGTCTCCTGCAAGGTCTCTGTCTACACACTCCAGGTCCCCTCCTCTCAGGGCAGGACAGATGGGGAACCTGAGGTTGCTCAGGGTGAGCTCGTGAGTGCGTGAGGCCTTAAAAACCATAAGGTGCTTGCCTGGCTGTGACAGCCAGGGCGGCTGAGCCTGGCTCTGCCCTGGGCGCACCTGCTGCGACCCCCAGGCTCAGAGTCCTCTCGGCCTGCAGTTTCTGTTGCAGGCCAAGGTTCCCTGCCCCCGTCAAGTGATGCAGGGATGGGCTCTGAGTTTCTTGGTCAGGAAAGCTGCCACGGGGCTGCTACCCACATGCCCACCCTCAGAGCCTGTGCTGGAAAACGCCCGAGGTGTCGGTGCAGTGTCCTCCCTTTGCTTCTGGCCTCCTCCCTCCGCTACTGGCCTCCTCCCTCCACTTCTGGCCTCCTCCCGCCGGGCTGCCTTGTCATCTGGATGCTTCCTGGTCCTGTCTGGAAGCACAAGGGCTGGGAAGGGAGGCTGGGGCTCCCTTCCCCCAGCTGCAGCAGCCAGACCCAGGCCCGGCCACTGACGCCCTCCACCGGAGAGTTTTTGGGTGGAGATTTTCCCAAGTTACTCCGCTGCTTCCTTTCGGAGCTAACGAGTGGTTCTTGGCGTCGTCTGCCGGGGCTTGCTGTCTTCATTTCTTTATTTTTTTTGTGGAGCATGCCGTTAATTAGGCAAAAGATCTGCAGAAATGCGCTCGCGCCTGGAGATTTCAGTGAAAAATGAGAAGTCTCCTGAAATTTCCAGTAGTGAAGCAATTAAGCGATGGAATTCCGCAATCTAAACATGGTATCACTCACCTCCAATGAAAGTTAGAAAAAGAAAAGAAGGAGTGAAAAGGAAAAAAAGGAAACAGAAAGCCTGAAGTCCAAGTGAGGGAAGTTCTCAGGCCAACAGCGACATGCTCGTAGTTCATATGGAAACGCTGCACGTGCTGCCGGCACTGTCTTCTTGGGAGCACCTGTTCCTTTGGAGGTGAAGGGTTAACGTGAGGATTCTTTCAGAAGAGGCAGCCTCACCACGTGCTGGTCAGCCCCACCCGAGACCAGCCCCACCCGAGACCAGCCCCACCCGAGACCAGCCCCACCCGAGACCAGCCCCACCGGAGACCAGCCCCACCTGAGACCAGCCCCACCTGAGGCCAGCCCCACCTGAGACCAGCCAGGGCCTCTCACCTTCACATCCCTCTACAGCAGCAAGAGGCCCCGTAATCTTAGCACCCAGTGCACCACAGAGCACGGGCTGAGGAACGCGAGAGCAGGTGGACAGGAGTCCTGGACGTCCCACTCTGGATCGGCCGGCAGGAAGTTGTTCCTGCCTTGGGGTCAGGTTAGGTTAGGGTCCTTCCTTGTCTGTGGCGGGCTACTCAGCCCCAAAAGAGGAAATTCACATTTTTCTGTGTCTGTTGGGGGGAGTTTTTAGATCATAGGAGGAGATTGAAACCAACTTTGATTTCCCTATCCGCAGATGCATTCTTAGTCAAAAATGCCCAACGCACCCTGTTTCCTTGGACGTGACCAAGGAATGCCATGTCCAGATGATCAATCCAGGGATGGCCGGTGGCCCTCGCGATGGCTGGAATCACTCTTTTCAAAAATCACGTCTTGGTTGTGTCTGCCAGTACCATATTGTTTCCATTTTTACTCTTCTTTTTTTCACCACCTTGAGATGCCTTTGGACAACAAGTCTCTGGTTATTGACAAATCAATTTTCCAGGGAGGGAGGCACGTTTCTGTTTGTGCTCTGGGGTCTGGCCTCCTGTTTGTGGTTGAGCAAAGATTACACTACATTTCTCAGTGAGCTGTTTCCCTCCGTCCCCCGAGACACCCCTGCTCTTTGGCCTTGGTGCCGCCTTCTTCTTGCCCTCCTCATTTCACTGCTGTTTCTCTCACCTTCTAAAGTCAGCCAGCAGCCTGGTGGAGATTTATGAGGCCTAAACTTCCAACAGGATTGTCTATTTTCTACATTCTCCCTGTGCTGCTCCTTCGCCTGACCTCCACCGCTGCTGCCGGTGCAGCTTGCACACACAGGAGTTTTGTTTGGCTGAGAAATCTCCTCACCGAGGACGTAGGCAGGACTCTGGAGTTGCAGTTGCATTCAATCAGGGAGCTGGGGACCGGAGTCACTGGGCACAGTCTAGAAAGCAATAAAAATAATAATAATAATAAAAATCCTCAAACCGCCTTTCCCTTCTGTTGCATTCAATCAGGGAGCTGGGGCTCAAGTCACTGAGAACAATCCAGAAACCAGTAACAACCCCCCCAGCAGGCTTTCCCCCGAATACTCTTGGGAGATGCAGGGATTCTTTTATTATTTATTTATTTATTTATTTATTTATTTATTTTGAGATGGAGTCTCGCTCTGTCACTCAGGCTGGAGTGCGGTGGCGCGATCTCAGCTCACTGCAAGCTCCGCCTCCTGGGTTCAAGCCATTCTCCCGCCTCAGCCTCCCGAGTAGCTGGGACTACAAGCACCTGCCACCACGCCTGGCTAATTTTTTGTATTTTTTAGTAGAGACAGGGTTTCACCGTGTTAGCCAGGATGGTCTCTATCTCCTGATCTCAGCCTCTCAGAGTGTTGGGATTACAGGCGTGAGTCACGGCGCCCGGCCATATTATTATTATTATATTATTTATTATTATTTATTATTTATTTATTTATTTTTTGGAGATGGGGTCTCACTCTGTCGCCCAGGCTGGAGTGCAATGGCGCAATCTCACTGCAACCTCTGCCTCCCGGGTTCAAGCGATTCTTCTGCCTCAGCCTCCTGAGTAGCTGGGGTTACAGGCACATGCCACCGCGCCCAGCTAATTTTTGTATTTTTAGTAGAGATGGGGTTTCACCATGTTGGCCAGGCTGGTCTTGAACTTCTGACCTCAGGTAATCCACCCACCTTGGCCTCCCAAAGTGCTGGGATTACAGGCGTGAGCCACCGCGCCAGTCCGAGATGCAGGGATTCTAATAGCTGCCTGGTACCTGGCCCCTTGTCGCCCCACCTGTCCTCAGCGGTGAGGGTGTTTTGCAGGCCTGGGCCCCTCCGACTCGACGTCTGAATGGAGATGGTGTCTGCACCAGCCCTGGCCCCTGCCTGGAGAAGGGGTGTGGACCCCGAAACTCCTTGCACCCAGCTCCCGCACAATAGGGACTGCTGGTAGCCCAGGCTGAGCCTCGTTTCTAAGAGACGTTGGGACCCCTGGGACCCACCCCCCACCGGGGCTGTGACCCCATGCAACACAGCACCATAGCTGCCTCCACCTGGCTGCACCCTCCATGGTTTGGGAACTCGGAGCTGAGGGAGGCTGTGAGAGCTGGTTAGCAGGAGGCGGAAGCGGGTGGAAACTTCTCAGAGCACAGTAGCCTGTCAGCCTTCCCACGTGGGGAAAATAAACCCCCGCCAAGCATCTCCAGGCCAGAAAACCAATATTGTTTATTTGGGCCTTTCTACAATAGTGTTTCTAATTTAAACAGAAATGCCCCTGCCGGTGAGGGGCTCCCCGTGTGACTCGCTCTGGGGCAGCAGCCACTGCCGAGGAAGCGCAGGGAGCCTCTGGTCTGGCATTGTCGAATTTCCCTGGTCATTACGTCTCCTCCGGGCCGAGCCTGATCCAGGACTTGCATCCCGAGGCCGGGTCTCCCACCCGCACCAGGGATGTTCCATTTGATTTAATGAAAATAGGAACACCAAGCTGGTGACTTGCTCCAACTTCCTCCGGCCGACCGACACCAGCTGCAGAGAAAGCTGCTCAGAACCACTGTGACCCAGCGTCTAAAATCCACTCATTCATTCATTCATCCATTCATTCCTGCCACAGTTCCATGACTTTTTACGGGTGGTCCCTACTCTGTATCTCCCAAATTTCTAAGAAGCTCTGTTCCAGCCTCGTACTTGTTCACAGCTTCACCGGACAAATAAGATATAACCCCCGCAAAGTAAACTGCCATACAAAGGCAAACAAACCCCCCAGCCAGGATGGCCCTGTGTGCTCATTCGTGACATGGGGACTGGAGAAGAGAATGCCAGCAAGCTTCTTGATGCCCAGATGCACCCCGAACGCCACCACGGGGCTGGTCCCCCACAGGACATGCAGCGTCCAGACCTGGCCTGGGACTGCCCAGCAGACGGGGCTTGACACTGAGGGCTGTGACTGCCGCTTTCCCGAAGCGCTTCCATCCACTTCCAAGGGAGTCCAGCTGGGAGACTCAGGCACTGGAGCTGGTCTCGTGAGAAGCGCCACATGGCCCTGAGGCTGGGTGGGGATTGGTGGCCGCCGTTCGGCAGGCCTGGTGGAACTCCTCTGAGCCTGCGCACACAGGCCGGGCGACTGGCTCCCCTGAGACCACCCATGAAACGTGGACATTCCTCAGGCAGCCAGTGGCTGTTTTCACCCAAATGGAAGCAAAGACTGGGCTCCCTGTGCTCTCTCCAGGTGTGGGTCCCTGCTAAGAGGCAGATTGGGTGCCCACGCCCGAGGGCTTCTCACCTGACTCTGTCCCTGGGCAGACTCGGCCACACAGCCTGGCTACTCCCCAGTCTGACACCAACAGGTCACGTCAGAACCCCAAAGCCTCTGACTTTGAACTTGGCTGCACCACGGCCTGACCCCAGATTGAAAGGGGCCAGGTCTTTGCCTGGGCATTGGCCCCTGAAGCCCATGCCAGGCATCTGATTTAGGTTCCCAGGAGCAGCAGCTGACACTCCTGCAGGGTGGGGAGGCAGGACCCTCAGGCTCCGAGCCGAAAGCAGAATCTCCAGGACCTGCTTCAGAGGCACACAGGCCTGGATGTCCTTGTGTGTGATCTATGGGGAGCCACGAACGAGAAGCAGACAGCCCCCAGGGCTCCAGGGTCTGGCTCAGGAAAGTCACGTTTCTCCCCGCAAGTCTGCCCGGAGACCTCAGCCGCAAACTCTCCCTAACCCCGAGCTCTAGCTCTGGACGGGGCTTCTTCTCTAAATGCCAAGGCGCCATGAAGAGACACAAATGGAAAGACAGGAATGACCGCTAACAGGGAGACCAAATCCTGTCCCAAGGAGCCACCGACCAATAGCAGCTTAAACCACACAGAGCGCTTCCATCAGACGTGACCTGGCCAAGCCAGACAGGCTCTCTGAAACCCAGGGTATGCGGATGGGGAAACTGAGGCCTAGGGAGAGGCTGGTTTGGAGTGGAGGTCACCTGGGACGTTACCAGCACTGGACTTGACTTAAGCGGGTGCAGCCAGGCCCGCACCGAGACGACAGCATCTCTTTCATCTTCCAAGGCCCATCTTCCTGGCAAGGCCCAGGTTGGCAACGCTCAGCTTTTCAGCAGGACTCAGATCCAGGGGGAGTTCGTGAGAAGGGCAGGGGTTGGGCCGAATCCACTCCTCGTGCCGGCTCCTCTCCACGCCTGCCCCGTGCCACACTTCTCCGTGCACCCCTCATTCCCTTGGGAGAGTCTGAGGGAGGCTGGGGTCCTTGCTGCGGAGGGCACCTCTGCCCAGGCACCTCTGCTGGGCAGGGCTGCAGCTGCCTTCACTGAGCACCCATCCTTCCAGCAGCTGTGCTGTGCTCCTTCCATGATCACCCCACAGCCCTGCGGGGAGGGGATGGAGCTGTCCCTCCATAGATATATGGGTCGTGAGCTCGGGGTGTAGCCAGCTGCTCCAAGTGTACTCAGGCTGATGGAGGGGCCCCCACTTGCCCCGACTCTGTGAACCTGGAGAGAAAGGGCCTGTCCCCAGAGGGCCTCCCTCTAACGGGGGTGATGGACAGTTCGCAGGTGGTCAGATGCGAGAGAATTCACATCGCAGAACCTGCCAGGAAAATCAATGGGACCGTGAGGACTGCTAGGTTTGGGAGGCCCGCGTTAGCCCCAGGACGGCTTCATGGGGAGGGGACGCAGGTCCCCATGTAGAGGATAAGATGGAGCCAGCCGTGGGTAAGGGTGGACCACGCAGGATCGCAGGATGCTCCCTGGGCCCCCATGTCACGGCACTGCTGCATGCTTGGTGTTACCTGCTTGTAGACATGGACACCAGGCTCAGAGAGCACCACGACTGTGCCTGGGGCCCCAGGTGGTGGGTGACGTGGTATGGCTCTGCAGCAGGGCCCAACCCCAGGGGCTCAGAGAGGCAGTCCTGCAGGGAGGTGCCAGGCACGAGGGCTGCTCTTCGTGAGTCCCGAGGCAGAGGCTACTGTGTGCTCCTGAGGGTATCAGCCCCCAGGGGCAAAGGCACCCGGTCCTGCCCCACTGCTCATCCTTAAAGCCTTTTCCTCACACGTGCCCATACCCTGCAGGCACCGAGTGCCACCAGCACTTGGGTCCATGAATGGAGCAGGTCTCAGGATCGGGGCATTGTGACCATGGACATGCTGGGAGCTGTCTTTTTATTTCCGTGGCAAAATGTACTGTTTAGTTAGAAAACATCCAGCACTCACCATTTCTGGTCAGCGAGTGGGAAATGAGTGGGAGGCACACACTGCATCCCCCTCAGGCTGGCCAGGCATCCTCAGGGCTCTGTGGAGGGGTCTGCACAACTTCGTGCTGGATGGCGCCTGGGTGCGGGGAGCCTCCTTCCTCTGGCTGGGCACCCCCGGTCTGGGCTCTGAGCCACAAGCTGGGGGCTGATGCACTTTGGGGTCTCCCGGCAGCTCTAGGGTGGCAACCTGGGCTGGGATTGGGGTCAGGGGCTGTCTCAGGGAGGACATGAAGTCTCAAGGCAACATCTTAAACCCAGGGGCAAAGGGGAAGATTTGCAGCTGTGGCCCCTTTCCACGACTTTGACATAGACAGAAGTGAGAGGCAGTCAGGGCTGCTACCTCGGGCCCCTGGGTCCCCTCAGGCCCAGTGCTTCCTGCTGCAGGGACCGAGGTGGCGTCCCACCTCTGTAATCACTGTCCAACTCCTGTAAAGCCAGGAACATGGGGCCAGCCCTGGCTGACCGCCCTCAATAGTAACTTCCCTGAGCTGACCGCTTCTCCTGACCTGGCTGAGAAGTGAGAAGTGGTGAGAAGAGGAATTCTCACCCCTTCATACTGTTTTCCTCACCCAAATCTCTTGAAGGGCCCAGGCTGGCTGATGTCAGGAGAGCCCAGGCTACCCCTATTTCAGAGGTAAAGCCCAGGCTAGCCCGATGTCAGAGCAGAGCCCAGGCTAGCTCCATGCTGGGGCCTGAGCCTGGGTACTGTCCAACGTTGCGATGTTTGGTAGCACCGGGGCAGTCTGCCCTCCACATTTCTGTACAGCCAGGGTGCAACATGGTCAGACTGGGGTGCAGCTGGGACTCGGTCAGAAACCATCTGCCCATGAAGAGTCCTCTTCCAGAATTGATTGACTGTTTCTCCAGACTTTGGGGGCCCTGGAATCAAGTGGGGAATGAGAGCCCAAATGCCACAGGTTGTGTGCTCTCTGCCTCTGGGCGCCCTGGGACCCCCGGCATCTCCACTGTGTGTCTGGTCGTGAAGGCTGAGGTCGCAGTGCCTGTGGGCCCCTTAGATTGTGGGGTTCACATGAGTTCTCGGAGGCTGCATGCTGTGGTCGTGGTGAGAAGGAGGGGCAGACCCTAGGAAAGGGGTGAAAGCCGGGCAGGGAGGGACCCCTGCAGCGGAGAGTGGACAGCATGAGGCTAGCCTGCAGGAGCTCAGGGCAAACGCCCACTCCCACCTGGCTGTGGCTGAGCAATGCCCAATGTAGCCCAGCTCCGAAGCGCAGGGAAGGAGGGGGAACGTGCGGGGGTCTGTGGGGCCAGGCCTGTGCACCCCATCCCACTCGGGCGGAGAGCAGGCGAGACAAGGAAGGAGTTCCTGACAAATTTCCCTGAGCCCCGAGAATTTTTTAGAAGTTGCCATGAGTGTGTGGGCTTCTGCGATTCTGTGGTCAGGCTGCTGTGTTTCAGGAAGTGCCGAGCAGAAGTGGTGGCACCAGCCAGCAACGTGGTCTGGGGAAAGTGGTGGCTGCAGCCAGTGTGGTCTGTGGCTGCTGGTGACCCAGAAACAAACACCTGAGTGTGCAGGGCAAGAGGCGGGCGGGGCACGCAGGGCAGAGCTGGGGAGGAAAAGGGGAACTCTCGCCGCCCAGGCCTGGAGCCGCGGAGGAGACAGGTGGCTGGTGGCACGGGGGCGCACAGGCAGCAGGCACCCGCCATCCCCACCCTGCCTCCACAGCTCCCAGGTGGCTCCTAAGCACCCCTTGGGCAGCCACGGAATTGTCAGAGCGGAACGACTTGGAAGTAAATTCGAGTTAAGTGCAGCCACATCACCCTGCAGAGACGTGGGCTCCCAAGGTCAATGCTGGCCCGTGGCCCCAGCCCGTCTCAGGCCTGCTCATGCCGGACTGGCAGCTGTTAGCTTGGCATCAGGATCCGGTCATTCAGAGGGCAGTTTGGGCACAGGAGTGCAGACATGGCTGCCCTTCTAAGCCCCCAGCAGGTTCAGAGCCAGGGCCGGGACGCTATAAAGCTTGGCCGTCACTTCCACTGGGCCCTGGAGAGCTGTGATGAGGAGGTGACTTTCATGCTGATGACCAGGAATATGTTTTGCTTATTGGTGTGAACAGACTCCTTTCACAGAACACGCAGACATTCTGTGAGCACCGGCCCAGCAAGCAGTGTCAGTGGCTGCGCCGTTCCTGCTTAAATGAGCAAGGCCTTCGGGTGCTTCCCGGCCTCCCTGGACTCCCTGCAGCCAGGGAGGTGGGGCCTTGTCCCTGCTGCGGTTGCCGAGGGACTCTGGGTGGGAAGGAGGGGGTCTGCATGAGTGCCAGGTGTGTCTTCCTTCCTGGTCTTTTCCGACGTGGATGGAGCCACACAGCCCGGAACCCCGGTGCTCGTGACCGAGACCTTCTCACAGCTGCATGGGGGAATTGCCCGTGCTGGGCGAGATGAAGCCAGCAGGAGGGGACGGCTCTGTTGCCCTGGCCTACTCCCCGGTTGGGGAGATGATGAGCCAGGCTTGTCCTGACGGGGCACTGGCCCAGGCGAGCAGCCAGGGGTCTCCCAGGGCCCTGCCCACCTGCCTGTGATGAGAAGGCCCCTCTCCAGCTCAGTGCGTGAAAAGCCAGGCTGGAGCTCCACCTCCCCAACCGCCAGTCCAAACCATGCTGGCACTTGGTGACCAGGCCTCAGCCAGCAGCCCTGCAGCTGGGTTGAGGTGGCCCAGGGCTGTCCAGGGAGGTAGCCGAGAAGAGGGCTGCGGAGAAAGTGGAGTAGCAAACAACTCGGTGTGTCTCCAGGGGTGCTGGGTGCCGCTGGGGTGCCAGATGTCATGGGCTCAGACCTACCCTCATGGGTCAGATGGACAGTGGTATCCCCCTCCTGGGGTGGGGGGCACTCCTAAGGCAGAAAACCCATAGGACCTGGAGCACAGCCCTGTGCGGCTGTGTCCCGGGGCAGCCCAAGCACTGCGTGGTGCCTCATGGGGGGCCGGGCTCAGCTGCTGGTCCTCCCTAGTGCCCCCTGGACTCAGCTTCCACATCCACAGGATTGACAGGACGGTCTCCTCCTTCAGATGCCCTAGGGACCCCTGTGCTGCCCTGAGACACAGCCACCCCAAGACGCAGCCTCACAGTGTGTGCCGTGGGCAGCCTCTGGCCTCGGCCAGGAGGGTAGGATTTGAGGGGGGCAGGGGTCAGTGTGGGAGATGACTCTGTGGAGTTGGGGGTGATGTATGGGGGTCCATCTGCCCCTTGGAATGCCCTGGGGGCTGCTTGGGGTGCCCCAGGGGAGCCTCATATCACAGCTCACTGTGCGGGTCCTCATGCTCAGAGGGTGGCCTTTGCCTGCAGCATGGACTCGAGGTCCGCTCAGCATCTGACAGGGGTCTGGGGCCAGTGGAACGTCACACTCCCTCCCTCCCTGTCTCTCCTCCTCCAAACGGCTCAGTGGGCCCTGGCTGGGACACCCCACTTTCCTGCAAAGCCCTCGGGACCTGCCCCCTAACAGTCCTGGCTGCCTGTCACCCCTGGGGCCCTGGTGCCTGTCTATTTGGGGTGCAGGGTACGCACCCCATGCTTAGAATGTTCTGGACCCCAGGAAGGCCCCGGTGCTTTGAACCCCCATGTGGGCAGGAACCTCGGCTTTCCTGCTCCTCTTCCTCCTTATCTGCCTTCTTTCCTGCCTCTCCCTGAGTTCTCAAACCTCCCTGCTCATGGCAGTTCCCCACAAGGCAGCCTCCTCGCTGTCCTGTCCTCTCTAGCCCCAGAACCCCGCGGGCCCCTTCCTCACGTCTCCTGCCCGCAGGACCCCCAGGAGGCTCTGTGCACCATCCCTTGTCCACGCTCTCCCCTGGCCAAGTCGGAGCCATAGGGGAAGGAATGAGGTCATGGGAGGGGAGGCGACTGGGCCTGAATGCAGAGGGAGAGGGTCTGTGTTTCGAATCCACACCTTGTGGCTGATGCTGGAAACCACTGGCAAAGCCTGAGCTTCCCCTCTGCACCTGCCTCTTCCTCTTTTGCCGGCTGGGGCACATTCCCTCCCTCAGTGCCTTGCCGCCTGTGTGTTGAAAGGTCGTGAGGGAGGGACGCCAGGGACTCCCTCTCCTGCCCCTGGACCAGCGAGGAAGACGGCCCCGTCCCAGGGCTGCTGAGCCCTCCAAGGCTTCCGGAGCAGGGGTGGATGGTGAGTGGGCCCTCTCCCTACGAGAGCCGAGCAGGGTGGGTGTGCTGTGGCCCTCATCTTCCTCAGTTTTCCCAGTGCCTGTCTTTCCTTGTGCCAAGGACGGGAGTCTGGGCGGCTTCTGCCCACCACCAGGTGAGACAGCTCCGTGGTTTCTAGGAAGAAGCCACCCGTGGAACCATGTAGGTGATTTCGTGCCCATTTAAAACTACGCCGAGGCTGCTCTCTGTGCCCCTTCTCTCCCAGGCTTTCCAGTAGAGTCTCGGCTCCCTCTGGGAGCCACCTGCTGCAGCCATGGGTGCATCGGGTGCGTGTGCTCCTGGGGGACCCTTTTGCTGGGGCTGGGGTCAGACAGCGCTTCACCCAGGCCGGGATTCTAGGGAGAGCGGTGCCGAGAAGTTGCCCTCGTAGCCAAGGTCATGGGCAAGGTTAAGGGCAGAGCTGAGGAGCCTCTCTCTGTACCCACAGCTGGAAGGGGTTCAGCTGTGTACAAAAGTTTTGGTCTCTGACGGGTCATCTGTTGTCCGTGTGACCTGCCTCGGACAAATTTCCCAATTCCTCTGAGTACAGAAAGGACGTGACGGTGTCTGCCTGGCAGGGCTGCCGAGGGCTGCATCTCCAAAGGACCTGGTGGTGCCCAGCACACTCTGGGCTTCCAGTGAGCAGAGTCATTGTGCATAACAACAGTGGCCAGGCTGCCGCCCCGTGCCCTGACCTGGCGTCTCCCCGCAGGTGAATGGTGGTAGGTGCTGGTCAGGGTCCCCTCATTCCATACAGGCCAGAAGCCAGCACCAGCCAACATCACACGGTGATGAACTTAAAAATGAATTCTTCTCCACTCGCACCTCCAAAAGCTCAGCCTCCAGTGACCCCTCCTGGCCCTGCCCTCTCATCTCCAGCCTGGAGATTCCCGCCCCACAGCCCCTCTGGGGGTCTTGGCCTCAGCAGCTGTTCTTCCTACCATGGAGGGAGGCAGAGACAGGGGCAGCCACAGGGTCTCCCCGAGGCCTGGGAAGGTTCCTCAGGAAGCCAGGTGTGAGGGGGCGGGAGGCAGCGCCTTCTGTTTGGCCTCGTGTAGAGAGATCCCAGGGGGGCCCAAGCATGCAGGGATGGGAGGCAGGTGCAGCAGACGCCCCTCGAGCTGGAGGAGGCACAGGGTGCAGGAAAGACCCAGGAGGCAGAATTCTGCCATGCCTGCTGTCCCCACCCGTCCCCTCTTCTTGTCCTGTCCCTGTGACCTCAGGCACAGTCCCTGTCTGCAACAGGGCAGGTGTCCAATGGTGCTCCTCCAGCAGGACTGGAAACTGCCCCCGCCCCTCTCCCTCCTTTGCCCGCCCTTGTGCGGCTCCTTCCCAGTCTGTAAAGGGCACTGAGGCCTCCTGTCAGTGTGCTGGGGGCTGAGCCTTCACTGAGCCGTGTGGAATCCTCTGCAGGTGAGAAGCTCCCAGTCAAGGGCCCTGAGAGTCCCTCCAGGCTCATGGGGCTGGATCCAGTTCCCCACCCTGGGTCTGGAAAATCCTTCTCCCGGGCTGCACCCTGCACCAGCCTCAGCCCAGTGGGTTTTCTTGGGGCCGGCTCCCTGCTCCCTGCTCCTGGGTGTCAACTCTTGGGCGAGGTCACCCTCACTGCCCACTGGGGGGTTGCGGAGTGGCGAGCTGGCAAGGGGCTTAATGGTCAGAAAGACCAGCTGTGTCTGGCCCAGGGTCCCACTTGTCTCCCCCACTCACCGCTCCACCCAGGTGCTTCCCCCAGACTCCCATCCAGCTGGGGAGAGGGACATCCCTGCAGCCAGAGAGGTTCCCCCATGGGTGAAGGTCCGACCCAGAGCCTGGCCTCCCTGGGCTTCGAGACCCCAGGCAAAGCCACAGAAAGGAAGTGCCCCAGGGAGCGTGGCCACTGCACTGGACCCCCGCCTTCTAAAATGCCTCAGTTTCTCTGGGGGATAAAACTGCTTCTCCTGAGGTCTACACGGGGGTGCTGTTAGTTCAAAGGAACAAGGGGGTTTTCAGTCTTCTGGACAGGCCCGGGGGCTTCCCTCTGATGCCCTTGCTGCTCCAGCCCTGCAGAGCTGGCTGCCTCCTTGGGCTCCTGGGCGCTGCATACCCACTGTCCTTAGCTGCCTGCTGCATGGTCCTGCAGGCGAGGCTGTGTCCCAGCCATGGTGCTGCCTCCACCTCCCCACCAAGGACCCGGCAAATGCTGCTTCTCAGTGCCCGTTGAGTGGCTGAGCGGCCTCACTGAGGAGGGCGAGAAAAGGAGCTGGTCCATCCCTGGCTGAGTAGGAGGGTTGGGCCACCCACTCCATCAAGCCCCATCGAGGGGACCCAGAGCGGTGGGGGCCGTGTGGGAGCGCTGAGAAGCAAGCTCCTCTGGGAATCCAGGTCGCCTGCAATGAGGGTTCTCAAATGGGCTTCCTGGGGGCTCCACACATGGCCCCTGGGGTGCTGGACCCAGGTTGAGGGCAGCTCGGTCAGCCCTTCAGCTGTGGACTGCCCGTCTGACCAACCCAGTTCTAGCCTTGGCTCCGCCACCTCCCACTGAGGGACCCCGAATGAGTCCTCAAACTGCCTAGAACTCCTATTCCTGTAACATACAGACAGTGACGACCACCTGGCAGGGCTGCCAAGGGGCCGGGAGAGATGTGTGCCCGCTATGTGGCTTCAGCTACACCAATAACCAGCCTCACGGAGGCCCCGGAGCCCCGGATGCTCAGCACGGGGTCCCCAACACCATTGGTAAATGACTAGCTGAGCATTAAACAAGGCCGGTGGGGGGCAAGGGTCCTGGCATCCTGCGGGCGGCTCCTGGGGACTGGCTGGTGCTGGGCTGTGAATGTTTTGGGGTGCTCAGAAATATTCCAGGCACATCACAGAGAGAGGTGCTCCCTGATCCCAGGCCTGCCAGCACGTGCCGAGTGCAGTGGGTCACAGAGACAAGCATGAGCTCATTAGGAACTTGGGGAGCAGGCTCACCGCTGTAGGCTGGGGCCACCCACCAGGCCGCCATGGCAGGTATGTTGGAAGATGAGCATCAGAGACCGTTTAAGAGAAAACACTCCCAGCGTCCCTTATATGGGAGGAAATGCAGGTGCTGAAGAGTGAACCGTCGTGGGAGTGGGTGAGATGGCGCCCCCTCCTTCTCCACCTCCTTCCAGTGCAGCTACAGAGGACCTGAAGGCTCTCATGGACAAAGATGGGCCAGAAATCGGGGGTCGGTGGCAAGCAAGGGCTGCCCCCAGGAGGCACCTATGAGATGGAGGCCACTGGGCTCGGCACCCCTGGGTGAGGGAGCCGTAGAGGAGCCTGCTCCTCTAAGCCCTGTCCTCTGAGGGGCGTGGAGAGGCCCGGCACTGCCCTGTGGGTCTCTGACAGGTGGCCGTCCCCTGGCATCTGTGGGAAGGAAGGGCCCTGCCCTCCCCTGAGGCCTTTGGTCTTCCTCCCTGGCTGGAGAGGTGGGGACCAGAGTAGAGCTTGCCCCCTGCCCGCTCTGTGACGTGGCCCCAGTGCCCACTCTCTGGGAAGGAGGTAGATGGATGCCTGTAGCAGCAACGCCACATCACAGACCCGTTCGCTCTTCATAAAACGCAGAGTGACTTTCGGCTGCTTTAGCTCCTGTCTTTAGGTCCTCTACTGGGTCCTCTCTTCCAGTGGGTGGCTGAGCCGCTTCCCCATCCTTGGCCGTGGGTGGTGGCCTGGGACATGGATGGGTCTTTAGGACATGATGGCTGGGGTGTGGGGCAGGTGAGCTGCTCTCTATGGAGCCCCTGCAGAACCTCCACGCCCTGCCCTCAGTGGACGGGGCCTCTGCTGGGGCCTCCTGAGGCATCCCACAGGCCTGGAGAAGCGAGCTCCAGGCACGGCCCATGGTCCTCCCAAGCACCCCCAGTTCCCGAGGGGCATTTGACGCTGCCGCCTGGAGCCCCCCATGTAACCCGTTTGCCCAGGGAGGAGCTTTCCCCGAGTGAGGTTCCCGTGAGGAAGATAGATACACCCACACACGCCCTATAGGGCTGGTGGGTCCTGTGGGGTGGAATGTGGGGCAGGAGGACCTGGGCTGACTCAGCACAGCTGGATCCAGCTGTGGGGCCATGAGAGTGGAAGGTGAGAGATAAATGTGGCCTGGAAAGGGAGGTGCCACAAGTACCCACGACGGCTGTGCCGAAGCCCCCGGGGAGGAGCTTGTTCAAGGTGACGGGTGGCACTTGGTCATGTGGGTGCTGGCTGACATTCTGCCCGGGAGGCCTGGAGGAGGGGGCATTGGAGGGGGTGGGTGTCCGGCTGAGGACAGGGGCTGCTCCCTAATGGGGGATGCCCTCGGCGGGAGTGGATGCTGCTGGGCCCCAGGTATGTCCCCATCTCGCCCGGCTGGCACACCAGGATGCCGTGGGAAGCCTCCTCGCTGTGCCCCTTCGGTCTGGGGAACAGAGACTGTGCCACGATGAGCTCAGCTCTCCTCCTGCTCCTCCTCCCTCTGGCCCCAGCGGACGAGCAAACACTCTTCCCGAGAGATAGTGGCTCCCATCCAACGCACCTCAGCTAATCACCAGCCATCGTGGGAAAAGCCTGAGATGAGGGCCGCGAGGCAGTGCATTGTCTAGGGGAGATTAAAGCCCCAGGGCCGTATTGTCTGGCCAGGGGATAAATCTTCGCGCTGTCACTCAGGCACTGAATTAAATTCCCCCTCGTTTTCTAAAGGGGCTTATCTGTCCTGAATGGGCAGCCGCACCACCAGCGTGAGCGGACGTCCCAGCACCTTTGGGACAGGCTGGGGGAGCGGCGGCCATCGGGGAAGGGGACACGGGGCCTGGAGAGGCCACAGAATCCTGGCACAGGAGGGCAGGCTTGGCCTGAGCTCTGTCTGTCTGCTTCCTTGACACTGTGCAAGGAGGAGCCAGGGCACCCGTGGGGGTCTCTGCTCCGGGCCAGGCAGAGCCGGAAGCCACCAAGTGAGGGAACAGAACTTGGCAAGGTCAGAGGACCAGCCAGGGGTGGGGAAAAATGGCATATGTCCTCAGGGCAGCTTGAGGCTGAGAAGGAATGCCGGCCCAGCTCAGCAGGAGTGATCTGGAGCTTTCTATGTATGGTGACATCCGTGTTAGGGCAAGACTGGGAAGACCACCCGTTCTTGTCTCCCCCACCCGGAGACCCCCAGTCCCAGCTGGAGCTAGTGCTAGAGTCCTGGGCTGGGGCACAGTCTTTGCTGTCTGGGGGCCAGCCGAAAAGCACAGCCCCTCCAAGGAAGGAGAGTTCACACGGGTGGTTTTTCAACATTCTCAGCAACAGGACTCCTTTCTAACCCCAACCTTGTGTGGGGTCCTGATTTACAAAACCAAGGAAGGCAGAGTTGGGGAGGATGCCCCGGCCACAGCTAAGTCTCAGGCTGAACAGCCTCATTCAATGCTCCCAGGAGCCCCATTTCGCAGTGGAGAACCCAGAGCTCAGAGAGGGTGGGCAGTGAGTCCAGCCGCACAGGGAGCCAGGTAGAGGTGGCGCCACCACCCAGGCCTCCCCAGCGGGGCTGGGAGGGGACTCAGGGGAGGGAGGACCTGCCAGCACCTGGCTACCTCCTAGCTGTCCCCTCTGGTTTCCCTGGGGCTTCTTGGCTCAGGCCAGACTCCTACAGCAGTCTTCCAGGATGGAGTCCTGGAATAAAAGCTGTCATGGGAAGCCACCTCTGGGGTCCTCATGGGCTGGGGCCCACTGGTGGGATCTTAGCTGAGAGTTTCAGCTATGAATCCTCAAAACCGCATCCCCATCCCTGAGCTGCAGGTGGGCCCCCTCTGGCATCCCGGCCTAGACAGGACGGCTGGATCTGAAGTGTCCTGCATTTCCATCTCTGGGCATTTGGGGAAGTGCTCATGGGGTTTTCTGCACTGTGCATGGAGTTTGCCCTCGGAGACAGGCTTTAATATGCTTTTATGGCCCTTTCTGGCTTTGCAGTTATCTCCAGCTGCTCCTCTGAAGGACCAAAACCATTGCCTGAACAAGGAGACCTGTACCTGTTACCAGATTCTCAGTGAGCAAAACAGCCTGCCCACTGGGGCCCCTGCGGAAGGGACTCTGGAAGGGCTGGGACCATCTGCTTCCTACCCCATATGTGGCTGCTCTCCTTCCTGCTCCAGAGCAGATGCTCAGGTGGGAGGTGGCCCTGCTGCTCTGGAGGTCAGAGTAGCCCAACCTCAGGGTCACCTGACAGCCCCGGTGATGTGAGTCTGAATGTATCATTTCCTTCAAATCTTCCTCTCCCTAAAACTAGAAGATGTGATCCTGTGTGCACAGAGGCGTTCACAGGAACTCAGGTTCCTCCCAGTCTGGGGTGCAAATACGTTCAATGGGTCCTCCTCTACTACTGCTGGACCTGGGGCCACCGCAGCAGCAAAGTCAGGAGAGATGGGCAGCTCCATCTCCGACCACCACGCCTGTCCTGGTGAGCTGGGGCGGCTGTAACCAAGTACCTCGGACCACAGACTGGGCAGCTTAGACAGCAGGAGTTTGTTTTTTCAAAACAAAGGGTCCCCGTGGTGCTGTTTGCTCCTGAGGCCCCTCTTGGGCCCTGTCTTCTGCCTGTGTCTTCACATGGTCATCCCTTTGCATCTGCATCCTCATCTTCTAAGGGCACCCGTCCTATTGGATTAGGGCCCGTCCTAATGACCTCCCTTTACCTTAGTCGTCTCTTTAGAGACCCTCTCGCCAAACGCATTCTGAGCTCCTGGGGTTAGGGCTTCGCCTGTGAATTTGAGGGGACCCAGTGCCCTTCCTCGAAATGTCGTGTTGACTGGCAGTGGCTCTTTGTTCCGGGTCTCTGAGCATGACTGTTAGTGATAACCTCGCATACCGCCAAAAACACCAGCCCCTGAGGGGTGGTGCAGAAACACCTGTGGAGGGTGCCCAGGCCATTGGGCATCGCCTTAAGCAGGTGTGCAGGGCAGGAGGGGACGAGAGTTCTGTAACTGGCATGCACGCACCATTCTGAGAAGCCGCATGAGCTTAAAGAGAGGCCTCAAACCTGAGAGGCGTCCCTGGAAACCAGGGCTGCTCTGGAGTGCACAATTTTTCCCATTTTTGTGGGGTTGAGCCTTTTCAATAAGATTTCAAGAGAATAAAATCCACAGGCCCCAGGGAATTTGCATACGGCTACTTAACATCAATTCTGTATGTTTTTTAAAAAATAAAGAAATAAACACATCCACAAACTTCCCCATCCACAGGGCGGGACTACCCTGGGAGTTAACGGTTCAAACCTATACAATTTTTTAAAACCCAGCAGCTTTCCATAACAAAGGGCAAAATTCACAAACAAATTGCCTTCCTCCGCCGAAGTCACTGCTCCTTGGCCGGGTAAAGGCATGTTGATAACACACAGCTCCTTGGGCCACCACTGAATGGCGGATTCCCATGGAGACAGGGTCCCCCGAGGTCTGATGAGAACAGCATGGCTCAGGAGCCTGCATGCTTGCTCCCTGCTTCCAGCCTTTTCAGAACTCCAGCTCCCAGGCGGCACTGTGGGGACCCAGGAGGCGGCCTCCCAGAGGGAAGTCAGGGCTAAGCAGAGGCAGCCCAAGACCTGCTGTCCTTGCTGGAAGGTGCTAGAAGGAGCTGGGAGGGGTGGGGTTGGAAGGTGCTGGTGGGAGCTGGGAGGGGCTGGAAGGCAAGCGCCTCCGTGCACAGGGCCTTGCTGTTCTAGAAGCTCCAGTGAACAGGCAGAGGCTGCCCGGGGAGGGACAGTGCTAGAGAGGACAGGGTGCTGAGTCAGCGGGCATCTCCAGTGGGCGGGAGACCACAGCAGTTGTCTGCCCCAGTGTTCACAAGGGTGGGCGCCGCAGCCAGCCCTCAAGAAGCCCTCAGTCCAGCCTGGCTGGCCCCGCCTACACATCCAGGAGCATGTGCCAGCGGCCCTCTCCCCAGACCCCTTCTGCCCCCTTCATTCAGAGCTGCAGCCACTTTGTCACCCTGGCAGGCCCCTCTGGGCTACAAACCCCTAGTGAAGTCTTCCTTGGAGCCCCCACCTCCCCACGTCACCTGGCCCTCGCTGTGCATTCCTGGGCCGTGGCCACCCCGCCCACAGACATGGACCCTGAAGGGCAGGGATGCTTCTGCTCCTCCCAGCTCCTGGCAGCATCTGGTACCCAGTGGCCACTTCATGAACGCTCACTGAACACATGCATGAGAGGTGAACACCCACCCGGAGGTAGGGTGGCCTCCAAGGACAGGGCTCTTGCAGGGTGAGTCCCTCAGTGCATGGGAGGAGGCAGGATGGACTGTTCTGGAGCAGGTGTCATGGGAGGATCTGCTGTCCTCTCTGGAAGGTGCTGGAGAGGAGCGGGGGGTGGGGGCGGGTGGAAGGTGCTGGAAGAAGCTGTCAGGAGTGCCTGGGCAGGAGGAGAAGCAGGGCCATCCCCCCAAGTAGTGAGCCCTCCCCACGATGGCCACAGGCTCCTCACTGGGGAGCAGGAGCTTCCACTGCCTGCCTGGTGTCCTGAGGGCTTAGACCTGGAGGTACCACTGTCCTGCCCACCAGCCTCCCTGGGCCCAAACTTGAGGGCCCAGCCCGGCCTGGTCACAGCTCTGACACCCCGCTTCCTCCAGGCACCTGGCCCAGAGCAGAGGCTTCGGTCTGCACTGCAGCACCCTGTGGGTCCAGAGATGGAAGGCGCTGTGCATGGGCGCATGGTCTGGTCAGGGCCCTCTCTGGGCCAGGGGCTGGTCAGCAGGCTCTTCCGGAGCGCAGCCTTGCACCTGAGGCCTGGGCCTGGCTGCAGGAAAGGGAACCCTTGGACGGTCACCGGTCTGGACCCCAAAGGGTTAAGGAGCAAGTGTGCACTTTGTTCCCGGCATCCCCTCAGATGTGAGCCTAGCGCTGTCCCCAATCCCTTCCTCATGACTGTGATTAGTATTGCGGGATGAATAGGCCAGCGCAGATTCCTATGGTAACCTTCAAAATGCATTCCTCGGGCAGGCTCTGCCTCCCGCAGTAATTACATTCCTAACTCGGCCCACAAGCAGCATGCTAATTAGCGCTCCGCTGGCCTCGCCTCCCGCCCTGAGAACGGGGCTAGCAGAGGCCACTGCTGTGTGCAGCCCCTTCCCCCTGCGGCGCCCCAGACAGGACAGGAAACAGGCGAGAGGCCAGGGCAGCTAGGCCAGGCCGGCCACAGAGAGTCTTCAGGGAGGAGCAGCCCAAAGCCCCTCTGCCACGGCCATCCTTAGTGTGCCCCGGGGTCCACCTGTGCTCCTTAGTTGGGTGGGGGCAGGACATGTCCTGAAAGCTCTGCCCTGTCCTCCAGCCCCAGCTTCCTGTTGAAGCTTCCTGGGTGCAGGGCTCAGGGCTGAGAAGGGGGCAGGCTGGGGCCCGTCTCACCCTCGGCCTCAAAGGATGCCAGCCCAGCTCCCCACCTAGCACATGTGGATGGAGTCCTGGCAGGGTGGGCGGGGTATGGGGGGAAGCCCCTGGGGGAGCCTGTCTTCCAAAGAGAGCAGCCCTGGTGAGCAGGTGGCCAGGTCTGCAGAGAACACCTGGCAGGCAGTTCTTTGGATGCGATGGGGGTGTCCAACCTGGAAGCTGAAGGAGAGACACAGGCTAGGAGGGAGGGGAGCTCCCTGGGCAGAGGGGCCGGGGCACTGGGCCTGAGGCTGTTGAGAGCCTGGTGCTTCTGAGGAGGACTGGGTGGTGGCCCCACTGGGGCCCGAGGGGGCTGGAGGGCCAGAAGCGGCTCAGGGGCCCGAGGGCTGGTGCGAGATGGATAGCTTTGCCTGGCTCACACACAGCGGGTACCTGAGCAGAGGCAGGGATGGGGATCCTGCCAGGGCTGGGGGAGTGGTCACAGGGCAAAGGCTGGACAAGGTGGGGCTTGGGGAGTTGTGGTGTGGGTGCGCTGGGTGGCAGAGCTGGCAGGAACTGGCAATGAATTACACATGGGGTTTGGGAAAGGGAAGGCACCCCCAGGTTTCTGTCCCAAGCACCTGGGCCAGTGGAGGCATTTGGCCAGGCCAGCATGGGGGGGAGCAGCTCCCGGCGGGCTGCCTGAGGGTCCACTGGTATCAGCGAGGCAGTGCTGGCCATTGCTGGGCTGGCATTGGAAGGTAAGGGCAGAGGGCTGTGCCCATAGGGCTGATAGTGCTGGCCCTGTCACTGAATAGTGGGCACCTGTTCTCTAGTGGGCAGGTGTGGCTCCATGACAACAGCGCCTGGGGCCAACAGAGCCCTGCCACCCAGACGACCAGAAGGAGAGGGGGCCAGCCTTTCTCTCCCCTGCCCCACCAGAGGCCAGGATGGCAGCATGGCCAGGGGGCAGGCCCTAGGGCCAGGTGTCATGGGCTTAAGCCTGGCAAGAGCAGCTCACACCTCATCAGGGTGGGGCCAGTAGGTGCCCCAGGAATTTTGGTGTCTGCTGCTGCCATGGCCTCAGGGAAGGAAGCCGAGGGCCCAGGAAGCAGGGCTGCCATTTCCCAGGGTCAAGTGTCTCCAAGAGCAAAGCTGCTCACCTTGAACCTCACCCTGCCTATGTCCCCACCCTGTTGGTCTTGGGGGACCAGTCTGGTGGATTCCAGAAGGCTGTGGCTACAGCTAGGCTTTCGGGCTTGGGCAAAGAGCTGGGAGCAGGTGGTTCCACAGTGCTGGCTGGGCCGGGGGAGCCATTGATTTTGTGCCCAGGTGGTTTACAGTGTGAAGCTTAGGGAGGGATTACCGGGCTCGGGATTTGGAAGCCAGCAGTTCCTTGGTGTCAGTCTGCACAACTAATTCTAATGTAAATAGAGCAATCCTTTAAGTATATATCATTTAATGCCCGATGGGGAGCCTGCGGATCTCCTTACCGCCATCCTCATCTCAGAGTAGCTGCTGGTTAACTTCTCTGTCTCAGCCCATTTCTCTGATGGCGGGTGTTTGTGGTAAACCCCGTGAAGGTGTCACAATCATCATGGAAGGCATCCTGGATGGATTTCTGTTCCCTTTTGTCCTCCTCACTGGACCAGTGACTCGAAACCACCTTTCCTTGTAAGAGACACACACTATCCCTGGGAACTCTGCTAGCCAAACCCCAGCTGCCTCCTGGTTGTGCTGGCTGTGGCCCCTGGCCTCACTCTCTCCCTGCCCTGGGCCTTGCTCAAGCCACTACTGGCCAAGCTCTGGGCCTCAATGACCATGCCATGTGTCTAGCCTGGGGCTGGGCTTTCCTGGGAGGTCCTAAGGTAAATGCTGTGCAACCCCTGCCGGGGAGGGGGGCTGAATTGTCAGGGAATAGCAAGGCAGCACTGGCACTGCCACAGTGGCTGGTGTCAGGGAGTTCACCTCCACACCAGGCCATGCCAAACTGATTCCTTTCTCCAGACAAACCTTGAGTTGGGAGCTCTTATTATCTCAGTTCCACAGCCTGGGAGATGCAGCTGCAGCACACAGAGTGTGAAATCTTACATTCGTAGGACTGGGAGAGCATGTCTAGCAAGGGGCCATTGGTCTTGCCGTTTGTCCTTAGAGCTTTGCTTCCTTTAAAAATAAACCCTTCCCTATTCCCAATCCAAATTATCCTGTAATTCTTTTTTGAAGTTTTACTTTCCATCATGAAGTCCTTCAACCCACCAATGGTGAATTTTTATGTATGGTGTGAGGTAGGGATCTAACTTTTCTTTCATGCAGCTGGTGGGTAAGCTCCATCCCAGCCTGGTCTATGTAGGGGAAGTATTCACCTCTGGGATTTAAAATGTTACCAAGTAACCTGCAAAATCACCTCTGTGACAGTCAAAGTTTTGTCCCAGTGAGGGTCTGTCTCTCAGTTTCTCATCTCTTTCTTCCCAATCATCAGTTGGTTTATGCCTGGCAATGCTACAGTGCCTGACACAGCTATTGGAGTAATCGCCATATGCTAGGGACAGGCACCCTGCCAGGTGCTGTCCTCTGCTTTTGGAGGGGTGGAGGAAACCAAGGCACAGAGAGATGGTGCCTCTGGGCAGCTGCTCCAGGTCAAAGCACTGTCAAGAAGGCCGAGTGGCCCTGAGATGGGAGCTGGTGCCAGATGTCTGTTCCCTTCCTGTCCTGCCAGGAGGGGTCCATTTGAGCAGGACCTTCAGAGGCAGTGCCCCCTTAGTGCTCAGGATGCCAACAGATTGTCCCAAAAGGTGCTGGCAAATTTTTAAAATAATGTGAAACAGCCTGACCAACATGATGAAACCCTGTCTCTACTAAAAAAAAAAAAATACAAAAATACAAAAATTAGCTGGGCGTAGTGGTGGACACTTATAATCCCAGCTACTCAGGAGGCTGAGGTATGAGAATTGCTTGAACCTGGGAGGTGGAGGTTGCAGTGAGCCAAGATTGCACCACTGCACTCCAGCCTGGGTGACAGAGGAAGACTCCATCTCAAAATAATAATAATAATAATAATAATAATAATAATGTCAAACAAAATCACATATTTTGAAAAACAGGTGTGTCCCATGCAGCACCCTAAAAAGGCTGGGGTGTTTTACCTTCTTTCTGTGTCACAGGTTTTTGTCGCCTTGGGGCTAAGTGTGCTGATCCGGTCCACGTTTTGCAGGTGGGTGGGCTGCCACCAGCTCCTTCGACTGGACCAAATGCCGTGGATTCTAGCTTGTATTCAGTATTATTATCATTATGATTACTTTACCATTCACCAAGGGGCAGCACCATCCTGGGGAGGCAGCTGCATCCTCATCCGTGGAGCCCGCAGGATGCAGGCTGAGGCTCTCTCTCCTCCTGCAGATGTTCAGACTAGCTCCCTAAACAGACGCTAAAGTGATTCCTCCCCACAGATCTCAGAAGTCAACTGCCCTTTAATAACTGTCTAATACTAAACGCTCCTGGGAGGCCCTAGTGAAGCATCACAGACCATTAGACCGGGGCTTCCGCCGAGGACTAATTGAGCAGCCCTTAGGGCTTTTCATC
Organism: Homo sapiens; assembly: GCF_000001405.40. Lineage (NCBI taxonomy): Eukaryota > Metazoa > Chordata > Mammalia > Primates > Hominidae > Homo > Homo sapiens. The sequence goes on from NC_000001.11 coordinate 3,109,626, forward strand.
TGGGCAAGAATCCGAACTCCTCCAGGAAAGCATCAAGTCCATCCCGGGGAGTGTGGCAGGGGAATTTCCATCCCGTCTGTGTGCTTGAGCAAAGGACATGAAAGCAAACGAGTATGGGAGTTATTACGGGGTCTCAAAGCCAAATTTCCCCCCAAATATCACCTGAGTGGCCCATGGAGAGAATGGATGAGTGGCCGGTGTGTTTTTCAGGGGAAGCTCATTTGTGTTGGATATGGGCTCAGCTGGCATCACCTCTTTCCAGACACAGACACAGACAGCAGCTCCTCCATGTCCTGCGTGTGGGGACACAGTGCTCGGGGGCTCCCCTATGTCCTGGGTGTGGGGACACAGTGTCTGTGCCTCCCCCGTGTCCTGGATGTGGGGACACAGTGTCTGCGGCTCCCCCATGTCCTGGGTATGGGGACACAGTGCTCGGGGGCTCCCCTCTGTCCTGGGTGTGGGGACACAGTGGCTGTGGCTCCCCCATGTCCTGGGTGTGGGGACACAGTGTCTGCGGCTCCCCCATGTCCTGGGTGTGGGGACACAGTGTCTGTGGATCCCCCATGTCCTGGGTATGGGGACACAGTGCTCGGGGGCTCCCCTCTGTCCTGGGTGTGGGGACACAGTGGCTGTGGCTCCCCTATGTCCTGGGTGTGGGGACACAGTGTCTGCGGCTCCCCCATGTCCTGGGTGTGGGGACACAGTGCTCGGGGGCTCCCCCATGTCCTGGGTGTGGGGACACAGTGTCTGCGGCTCCCCCATGTCCTGGGTGTGGGGACACAGTGTCTGAGGCTCCCCCATGTCCTGGGTGTGCAGACACAGTGCTCAGGGGCTCCCCCATGTCCTGGGTGTGGGGACACAGTGTCTGAGGCTCCCCCATGTCCTGGGTGTGCAGACACAGTGCTCAGGGGCTCCCCCATGTCCTGGGTGTGGGGACACAGTGTCTGTGGCTCCCCCATGTCCTGGGGAACGTATTTTAGTGATTGAAGTTGGACCTAACGTGGGTGTTTTCTCAAGTATTCATGCAAATCATTATCTAAAGAGAGAATGTATTTCTGTTAGGATGTCAAGATCAGCTTGGTGTGAACTTTCCTTCTCCTCACGTGGCATCTCTGAGTTGTGGGCTTCCTGTGGTCCTGGAGAGAATGTTCCGGCTCAGCCTCTCTTTAACAGGAGCGTGGGAGGGATGGAGGCCACGTGTGAGGGGCACATGCTTGGGGCCGGGATGAGGTGCAGCTCTTGGGATAAGAACAGTTGCCGAGTCCTTGCCGCCTGATGCCCCGGGGTGGGGTGGGGGATGGGTCTAAATCGAAGGAGGCCAGAGATTGCCCGGTTCTGGGCAAGACGGCAGGGGAGCCATTGCCAGCCTAGCTTCGTGGGCTGGTGAGGATGTGGCACCGATGTATTGAGGAATCCCTGGGCCCCACACCTGCCGAGTGTGAGATGGGGAAGCTGGAGGTGGGAGGCTCCACGCTGGCTCACGTGCAGGGGCCCAGGGATTCCCAGGGCAGGCCCCTAGGACCCTGTCCACACCTGGCCTTGGGCCCTGCTGGCCACTGCTGGGCCCCTGTGCCCACGTCACAGCCTGCCTGTGCCAAGGCCCCTGGGAGACGCGGAGAGAAGGGAAAGAGGCTTGTCCTCGGCCACGGCCTTAGTGGGGTGCGGGCAGCACCGGCCTCTGTGTGATCCTGCACTGGGCAGTGGGGGAGGCAGGATGGACAAGAGTCTCCCTCCTGAAGGTGGTGCTGGGGGGAAGTCCACACATGGAGGCAGGATTCTTGTCAAGGGGTGGAAAGCCAGGCCAGGCACCTGTGTGGACCCAGTGCCACGCGGACTCCTGTGGGGAGGAGGACAGGCAAGGAGGCCTCGAAGAGGGAAGACCAGAGAAGGAGGGGAAGGGGAGAGCGGAGGGAAAGAGGTGGGATAAGGAAGAGAAGGAGGAGGAAGGGGAAGAGGGAGGAGGGTGCCGAGCAAGGTTGGGGGAGCCCAGCGCACGGAAAGGAGGCGCAGGTCAGGGGCGCACGCCCCCTGGGGCGGGGGCGCAGGCCGGCTTTCAGGTACCGGCCTTTTGTCTGCTGCCTTGGGCTCGCCTGTCAGCCCCGCTGTCAGAGGCCTAATCTTTTTTTCTTCGCGGCTGAAAAGGCCCAGCGCCACATCAGGCGACACACGGCTGCCTATTCTCCTTCCCCGCAGAACCCAATCACTGGACAGCGCCACGATAATTCACTCCCCAGCCCGCCCTTTGAAAAGGTGGGCCGCCTCTGCGCCGCTCCCCAGCAAGATAAATCATGTACTCGAAATTAACTTCCATTGAGAGGGAGGGCAGGAAGAAAGGCTGATGGGCCGGCGCGGCGGCGAGGGAGGACCGGCCTTGATAAATGTCAGTGCGGATAATTGGGGGGCTGTGATTAAGATCTTATCTAGGTGGGAAGTAAACAGAAAAGACTTTAATAAAACTCCTGCCCCATCCACGCTCACTAACTTGAGAAGTTCCTTTCCCCCCCTTATTTTTGGGGGTGAATTCAGAAGAGAATACCAAAAAGGTCTTAGCGAAGGAAAAGTTGGTTTCAGGGCATCACTTAAAAGGATTAAACGGACCTCGGAGGAGCCTCGGCGTTTCACCCGTGGTGACAAAAGGCAGAGGAAACAGAAGGGAGCACGGCTTTGTCCCCAAATTCCCACTTATACGAAATGATGAAATTTCAGGGCTGAGCATCCATCGTGGGCCCCGGGAACCGGCCTCTCAGCCTCTCTTTTCGCTTCTCTCTAGTCATAAGCATTATCTTGGTCTGTAAACATTCTTTTTTCAAGTAAGAGGAGCCCCGCGCTTGCACAGCCTGGGGTGCGGGAGGCAGTTTGCACGGGAAGGCTCTGTGTTCCCGGGCCGGCTTCGCCCCAGGGCCCCGCTCAGTGGCCTTCGCCTGGGGATTGATGTTTGCTGCCCTGACTCCAGCAGCCTGCAGCTCCAACCCACGCTGCTGGTGGAGGGAGCGTCTGTGGAGCCTGTCCTCCATCGCTGGTGCCCTGGCCGGGCCGCATTCCTGCAGACAGGGCCTTCCCACTTGCGTGGACCACCCCCTGCAGCCGGGCAGCTGCTCCCCGGTGAGGGTTTCTGCCAGCTAAGGGCATAGTCACCCTTGCATTGGCAAATCCGTCTGAGGTCTGCACTCCCCTAATTGGAGTCGCTCAGGGAGGCAAAGGGGTGGGCAGCCCCGAGGGCCCGCCTGGGCTCCAGCCCCATCATCCTCCTGTGGAACGGGGTCCCGGGCCATCCTTCTTGCGGGGAGAGCCTGTGGGAACTCACTGAGGTCACATGTGCAAAGGGCTCAGCTGGCAGTTACAAGGACTGGGGTGTGCTCCCTGTGCCATGCAAGTCTTCCCAGACTGGTGCAGGGCCTGCCATGGGGCACCCAGAGCCCCAGCTAGAAGCAGACCCAGGGAACAGCCAGCCTCTGTGATACTGGGGGGCCTCTTGTGGAGGGGGCTGTGGCCTGTGTGGCTCCAGCAGATCTGAGATATTACTGGGCCACAGGGACTCCACGGAGGGGGCTGGACACCCGTGCTGTGCACACTGCAATGTTCTCCCCCAAGCTCTGGTCAGCCCGTCTGCGGTGGCCTGGCTGTGGGCCACTGGAGGGAGCATCAGGTGCAGGGGAGTGGGAGGGGAAGCAGGACAGGGGCCCGGAGGAGACAGGACGGCTAGGGGATTGTGACCCTGGAACACAGTGGCTCCTTCACTGCAGGTCCCAGCCCGAGTGTGACTCAGTCCTCAGCTGGGCAGGGGAGGGCGTGGGGATGCCCAGGACCTGCACTTACTAGGTGCTTAGCAAAGGTGCCTAGAGAGGAAGGCTCGGAGGAAGGAGGGAGGGAGGGAGGGGAGGGGACGAGACAGACCCATTATGACCAAGGCCGAGGCCTGAGCCAGCGGGAGGGGCCTGCGTCCATGGCTGGCCTTGGCGTCACTGACACTTTGCTCCGAATAATCCCTTGTCTTGCTGGTCGTCCTGGGCACTGCAGGGCGCTGAGCAGCATTCCCGGCCCCCACCCACCAGACCAGGGTGGCTCCCCCTCAGAGCTGACCACCAAACACATCCCCAGACATGGCCGCGTGCCCCAGGGCAGAACCCCCGTCTGGGGGCCCTGGGCCAGAGGCAGAGGCTGCATCCTGGCAGGGAGGCCCAGACTCCCTCGAAGGTGCCCCTGTGTCTGCCTCCCTCAGGCCGGCTCTGGGCTCAGAAGCTCTGGAATCGAAGGAGTTAGATGCTTTCCCTTGAGAATATTTTCTGTTTCATTTTGAGGGAGAATTTTTTTCTTTTTTTTCTCTCCCACTCGGGATGTGAAGGACAAACACTGGAGTGGTTCCTCTGTTTTCTTTGGTTTTGTTTTTAAACCTACTAGTCATGTGCGGAGGAGTTTCAGGGACAAAGTTGCCAAGTTTTGAAGTGTAGATTTGTATTTGCATGTTCATTTGTGATGGCGCCGTGCTGCAGTAAGACAGCGGCGTGTATCTCTGCACACTGCACACACGCACACACACACGCACACACACGCACACACACGCACACACGCACACGCACGCACACACGCACACGAACACACACGCACACACGCAGTGTAAACATGCACACGCACGCGCACACGTACACACACGCACACACGCAGTGGAAACGCACACGCACGCACACACACGCACACACGCAGTGTAAACAGACGCGCACGCATGCACACATGCACACACGCACACACGCAGGTGTAAACAGACGCGCACGCACGCGCACACACACGCACACACATGCACACACCAGGTGTAAACAGACGCACACGCACACACACGCACACACGCAGTGTAAACAGACACGCACGCACGCACACACGCGCATGCACACACACATGAACACACGCACACATGCACACATGAACACACACACGTGCACAAACAAGCACACACTTGCACACACAAGAACACACGTGCACATGCACACACGTGCATACACACATGAACACACACATATGTGCAAGCACACACACGTGCACACACAAACACACATGCACACATGCACCCGGGTGCACACACACACAGAGGGAAGGCACCCTCCTGCAGCCGGGTAGATGGTGGGGTGCAGGCCCCTGACGGGGAGCTCCTGCGCTTCACCAAACAGCCACCACTCCCAGCCCTGCCCAGACCATCCCAGGTCAGCCCTGCAATTGATCTCCAGAGTCCCAGATGTTGTGGGAAGGGGAGGAAGAGGCCCTGGCCGGGATGCAGGATTCGCACTCAGCCCTCAGGGTGAGGAGAGGCGCCTCCCTGCACACTTGGCCAAGGCCTCCTTCTCCTCTGACCTCGCCCCTGGGCCCACCCCACCCCTGGCTGGTGACATCTGGGTGTAGCCTCTGGAGTCTGGTGCACAGAGTGACACATTTGGTTTTCAGCCACAGTGTGGGCCTGGCCAGCCTCTGAGCCTGAGTGCTGCAGCCTTCTGTGCCCTGCCCCGCTCCTCCCACATCATCACATTCCTCGGTGAGTGGTTGGGGGGGCACTCGCTATTGGATGGCACCCATCACCCTGTGACCCCGCCTCTCCTGGGTCCCCCACACATTGGAGTTCATGAGACCCTCATGTGAAGGCTTCAGACCCCAGCCAGCCCCAGCTGTCCCATCAGTGGGGGCAGAGGGGCTGTGAGAATGTGGTGGCCCCATCAGCGCCCGTCAGAAAGGGAGTGCAGGGGGCCTGGAAAGTGGCAGAGAGAGCAAATACGCCAGCTCCTGAGCAAACCCAGCGGGACGGGGAGATGACAAATGATGGGATTGTGTCAGCTTGAGAGAGATTGGACTAATGGCACGCGGACTTTGCACTCTGAGGATCAATATTCCATCAGGCAGTGGAGCGCCAGCCTAGCGAGTGGCGTTTATGTGGACAAAGGCGAGATCCCCCCATAGTCTGTGCACACTGCCCCGGCGCCGGCCTCCGCCGTAAGCCTGAGTGAAGCCGAGAGGGGGCGGGGGCCACGGAGGGTCTTGGCATCCCCTGAGTGATGGGGGCAAAGGCCGGGCTGACCGGGGGCTGCCGCTGGCCTGGGCGTCTAGCCCTTGGCCTGCAGTCCTGCCTTCCACACGGCATCTCCTATGGCTACAGGTTGGCATCCTCGGGGTGCCCTCGGGCCGCTGGTGCCCAATGCCAGGTGCTGTCTTCCCAAAAGCTGTTTCTGTTCTACCTGGCTCTGCCCACCTCTTCTCTTCTCTGGCCCATGCTTTGAAGTCTCGGGTGTCAGGAGGCCAGCACTGCAGCCTCCCACCCTGTGTCCAGCATCTGGGGGGCTGCTATCTAGGCTGTCCATGCCCCAGCCTCCCGGGAGGACTCCCAGGCGGCCCCTCCCAGCGTCTGCAGCTCCCCAGGGGGCGGGGCTCGATGGCAGGTGCTAAACGCAGGCAGGTGTGGCCAGCCGGAGCCCCTCACACGGCAGGCGTCAGGTTGAGTCCTTGGGGTTCAGGGAGGTCAAGGTCAGGCCTAGCGTGGGTGGTCATCTCAGGGGCAGCACTGGTGGCCGTTGAATTGTTCCTTACCGGGGAGAACAGGTGGCAGGGAGGGATGGTTCCAGACCCCATGGCACCCGTGTCTCTGCAGTGTGTCCCTCTCATGGGGGGACAGTAGGCAGAGCTCCCCGGCTGCCCTGCGCCGGCGTGCTCACTCCGCGGTGCGTGCTTAATACCCACAGTGTGAGAACCGAGAGCCAGGGCCAATGACGGGGGGGACGCGGGTTCACGGGTGGCCTGGAGACGTGGCACCGTACCTCCCTGCTCCCTTCCTGTGAGAATTTTGCCCTCAAGATGGCAGCCCAGCCTGGATGCCCAGACCCCATTCCCAAGCCGCAGGTCCTGGTCTGGGCTCTGTCACTCGGGGACGCGCCTGCTTGTCTTTCCCCGGCTGGGGCAGTGCCTGGTCTGCTCAGCCCTTCCTCTCTCCCCGCCCGGGACAGAGGCTGCCCCAGGGGACCGCAGCTCCGGCTCTGATGGCAGACACGGTGTGGCCTGTCACTGCGGGTCTATGCCCGAGCTCTGGCCAGACGATGGTCAGGCTGACCTCAGAGGTCAGAAGCCACTTCTGGCCACACCCTTGCTCTTGCAGCCCTGAAGCCCTCACCCCAGCAGGCCTAGCTGCTCCATGGCTCTGGCCCCGCTGGTGACTTGGTGGAGGGCTTGGAGCTCCGTGTGCCCCCACCTGCCTCCAGTCAGGCCCTCCACAAACCCCCGTGACTGGGCACTCCTTGCAGCACAGCCTGGTCACAGCCCAAGCCCGACCTCCCTCCCTCCACGGCACTCACACCTGGGGTGGATCAGGACTTCTGGTCCATATCCCTCCTGGAAGTATAGAAAGTGAGTCTGAATTCTGGCCCTGAAAGTGGGGTGACAGGTGGGCACAGCTGCCCCCAGGACCCACGGGAAGGGCTAGAGCAAGGGGCTCCTATCGGGGGCTGCTTCCTCGGTGGGAGGAGCCCCTCCTGCGTGCTCTTCTGCTCCGGCTGTTTCGGCTCCCATCAGCCGGGATCATTCATCTCTGGTTTCTTGTCTCACACCGGCCTCTATGAGAGCGTCCCCAGGCTGACCCAGGCTTACAGGCATTTTAAATACAAACATGGCAAGTGGGGACCGGGAGTGCTGGCCCCAGCATCCTGGTGGTCATGGCCCTGGCCTTCCTCAGGAGTCGGAAATTGGATTAGACCGTGCAGGGATGGGGCCAATTGGAACCAGGGGTTCGGAGGGTCTCTGCAGAGGTGGCTGGGAGCTGGCGGGTGAGAACGCAGGGGGAAGGAACACCCTTTCTGCCCCAGAGAGCCTGTGAGGTGCATGTCTGGGGAGTGGTCTAGAGCCTGGGGGCATCGCCATGCCACCTCACCTCTGGCTACCACGCAGGCCTCGCCTATGCTGTCCCCACCCCCGGTTTCCTTCTGCTTGATTTGCCAAGTTGTCCAGAGCAGAAAAGGACTCTGCCTCCCCAGGGCCCATCTCCAGGGTGAGGAGCAGAGCCAGGCCCTACTTCTGGAGGGGGCCCGGCAACCCAGCCTAGTCCAGGCCCAGGTCCCGTCTGGCCTCCTGTTGACCGCTGGGCTGAGCCACAGGCCCGGGCCCGCCTTGTCCTTGTGCTCCAGCGATCAGGTGCTGGCTCTCCATGGGACCACAGACCCCAGGGCTCGCTGGTCTTGGGGAGAGGCCTCCGCACATTCATGTTTCCACTTGGAATGCAGGACAAAGGCTCCAGGTGGTGCCACAGATTCACCGGCTACAAGAGGCAGGGCTTCCTGGTGCCGGAAATCCATGCAAGTTGTGCACGTGTGTGTGCATGCATGCTCATGCTGTGTGTGTGTACATGCACGCGTGTGTGCGTGTGCGTGTGTGCATGTGTACATGCATGTGTGTGTGCATGCTCATGCTGTGTGTGTACATGCATGTGTGTGTGCGTGCATGTGTATGTGTGTACATGCATGTGTGTGTGCGTGTGCGTGTGTGCGTGTGTACATGCATGTGTGTGCATGCTCATGCTGTGTGTGTTTGGAAAGATTGTGTGTGCATGCATGTACACACGCACACACGCACACACACACGTGCACACACGTGCATACACACGCACAGAGCTATCCCCAGAAGGCTGATCCAGACCTGCTCAGAGTGCAGAAAATGGAGCCATCCAGAAGGAAACAGCATGGAGCCCTGGTGGCCTGGATGGCAATTCACACTCCTGCACCCCCACCTGGCCCCTCGGAAGCGTGACAGCCATGGAGAGGGGCTCCTGGGTGTGCCTGGACACTCCCTACCCAGGACCTAAGCTGGCAAGGGGGCAGCTTTGGGAGCTAGAAGTGGTTGGATTCCGGGTAGTGTGGCCAGGGGCCTTCCCCGGCATGATGGCATCCGCCCCCAGCTCATGGCCCAGGTCTCCATGAAGATGAACAAAACACCACCAGGAGAGGGGGAGGCAAAGCCGGGAAAGAACCAGGGAGTCTGTGTGGCTTTCACCACATGCTCAGGTGCTCTGTGGCATATGACCATGTCTCCAGGACTGGCAGTCGGGGGGTGTCAGGGACCCCCAGAGCGGACTTGATCTCAGCCTGGGGGCCACGTGGATGGAGTCCAGGGAGACCCCAGCTGCTGGCGTGCTAGGGCGTGCGTGTACACGTTTGTGTGCAAGTGTGTGTGCACGTGCATGCGCTGTGTGTGCACTTGCAGGTGTTTGGACACAGGGCCCGAGGCACCTCTGTGCCCAAGTGGGACTGAAGACTCCCATCAAAGAAAGGCCTGGGAGAGCCCCCTGCCCGACCTTCTAAGGCATTTTGGCAAGAAAACACCCTGGCTGAGGAGCGAGACCCTGGCCCACAGGGTTGCTTGACCCCAGAGCAGGCAGGGTGGGTCCTCCCTGTAGAGCTGGGGGTGGCCCGGGAGGTGGGAGACGGTATGGCCATCTCTGTACCCTGTGCCCTCCTTCAGGCCAAGGGCCTTTTTGGTGGGACTGGCTGGCCTAGTGACTTCCAGCTGCACAGCTATCGACCCAGGGCTGGACAGCCCCTGCCTGGCAGAGCCTGGCCATTTGCTTTCAGGAGCACCCCACCCCGGCGGCCACAGTGGGACTTCCTTTCCAGGTGCTGGTGAAGGGCCGGTGCCTCGGCCGGTGCCGTGGACATTCTTTGTGCGGCCAGGCGGGTGACCCGCTGCAGGCTTGGCCCTCTGGGGTCTGGTTAATTACCTTTCTCCAGACACTGGCGTGGAAAGTCATTTCCTTGAGAGGATGCGGGGAGGAGGACTCCCCATCCAGCCCTGGCCTCCACAGCCGCCTGGGCCAGGTTGGGGGACATGGGGGCTGAGTTTTCTAGTGTGGCCTTGGGTCACTCCAAAGCCTCACCCCCAGGGATGGGGACTTGGGTGCTGTCCCGTGCCTGGCATCCAGGGCAGGGGGTGATGTTGTGTGTTTTCTCTCTGAATCAGGCTGCTGATCGTGACCTGGCTGGGGAGGGGGTTCTAGAAGCCTGGCCATGGCCCGATGAGGCAGATAGGAAATCAAGGGCCAAGGCCTCGGAAAGTGGGAGAGTGGCTGGGGGTGCCGTGTTTTGTACAAAGAGATTTTTATGACTGATCCTTTTTCTTCACGTAAGCGGTGGAGTTAAGTGTTTGGAATTGCTGCAGACGCTGAGAAAGGCCTGCCCCTGTCACGCCGGATTGTCCCCTGCTCAGCAGCTGACACAGCCCATCTGCAGTGTGCGGGGGAGAGGGAAGCCTGCAGAGGGGCAGCCCCCAGGATCCCTGCGGCCCCACAGCCCCTTCCCTGCCTGGAGGCTGTTTCTTGGAGGGGGGAGAGAGGAAGCAGCACCCAGGCTGCAGCCCTGCCTGCCTGCCCTAGCTTGGGAGCCCCGCCTGGTGGCCGAGGCTGCTGGTGCCTCCTTGCTCAGGGGCAGGTGGAAGTGGTCAGTCTGCCCACCACCAGCCCTTATCCCACAGGTGGCCCCTGAGCTTCCGTGGGGGATGGCAGGGTCAGCCCTCACCGTCGGCAGAGTTATCAGTTCGCAGCTTGAAATCCAAGTAATTAAGGCGATGGATTAAATCTGTGGGAAGTCTCCACACTGGCCCATATCACATCGTTCCACAAAGATCGCGTGTCCTCCCTGCCCCCTGTCTGGCAGCCTCCCCTCCCGGGGCACTGGAAGATTCCAGGGACGTGTCTGGTACGCTTCAGCCTGGTTGAGGTCGTCACCGCAGAAGGGAGTTTTGGGGTTTGGCCCAAGGCCCGGTGACAAACAGGAGCTGCAGAGTGGCTGGGAGGACGGGAGGGGCTTTGCTCCTGAACTCGGGGGTCGTCACACACAAAAAGACCACTTCAAGTGTGCACCAGGTCATTTCTTTTTAGCTACCCCAGAGTGTCTGCCACCATCCCCGCAAAGCTGGAGAAAGAGAAACCCAGGCAGCCAGAAAGGAACTCGGGAGACCCCCACCCCTCTGTCCCTGCCCCTGTCCCCGGCAGCCCCCTGGGAGCGGGAGGATGCCTGCCCTTGCGTCTCTGCGCTGGAGCTTCTGACACCTTTCGCAGTGAAAGGCAGGGTGGATAGTCGGTGAGGAGAGGGTCTGGAAGCGGTGGGCCTCGTGGGAGTGACCCCAGCCAGGCAGAGTCTGGGGACCCGGATGGCAGGGCCGAGCCCTGGCCAAGAGTGCAAGGAGGCTGCCGGCCCCAGAAAGAACCATTAGAAGCCCCTTTCCGCTTCTGCAGGGATTTGCAGAGACTTGTTCTCTCCGGGATCTGCCATTCCAGGGGCTCCTCACCTTCAGGAGCTGTGTCTGAATGTCTGAGGGACCTTCACATGTTTGGGTTTGGATTGGAAACAGGATATGATTGACTTGTGAGCATGTTAGAATCTTGTGCTGGGACAAGGTGAGCGTGTGGTTTCTCCCCCTTTCTTTCTGTCGTGTAGGAAAATGCTTTAGTTAGGGCCCGGCTTGGAGGCAGGGCTGAGGAGTCAGCGGAGGCTGAGGCCAGAGGACAGCTTGCCCGTCACGGAGCCCGCAGGTCACAGGATCAGGCCTGGCCCCCGAGCTGCGTAAGATCAGCTGGCCTGGTCAGGACGGAGCCTGCCCCAGGAGCCCACCCTCCCAGCAGGACCCGGGGCTGCGGTGCCTCCGGTCCTAGCAATCTGCCCCTGAAAATGGCCCTGGTTTGGGGGCAGGGCACAAACGGGAGAATGACATTATTTGTTTTTAAAAACAGCTTTTATTTTAAAAGCCTGTCCTGGAGGAAAGCAACCTGGAGCTGTTTTCAGGACCGGGCTCAGAAAAGATCAGCTCCTGATGAAAACAAAACACAGTGAGGACAAGCCAGGTAGCCCAGAGGCCCCCAGCTGGAGCAAACCGTTTCTGTGGAGACTCCGAACGTCGCCTGCCTCCTGCAAGGCCGCTAGTGTCTCCCGGCCTGGGCCTGGCCTGGAAGTGCGGGGCAAAGGGCGGTGGTGAGAAATGAATGGGCTTCCGAATGCCGAGAAACAGATGTGAGGCTGTGCCGAGGAAGGGGAGGACAGGGAACCAGCTGATTAGGGGATCCGGGGCAGGGCCAAGTGCCGCCGACAGCCTTGGGGGACAGCGGCCCTCCACCTCGGCTGCGCGCTGCAGGCCCTTCTCTGCGGGGCCGGCCAGGCCTCCCTCCTGCCAGCACCCCCTCCCCAGGCGGCTGGGGACCCCGGAATGTGTGGCCCTGGCGGGAAGTGGAGGAAGAAGGGCTGCAGCCCCGTCAGTACCCTGGGTGATGTAGTGAGTGAAACATCTTGAAAAAGGAAAGCAAATCCCGCTCTAATCTCCCCGAACAAAGGCCTTTCAGTTGGACCAGAGTGGCAGGCGCGGGCGGTTGGTATCGCCAGATCTTTTCTATGAAACGCGCACCCGGCGGAGTATGGATCTGATTAGGGGAGCCAGCCTCACCGCGAGCCCCTTTCCTGCGCACGGTGTCTGTGGAGGTCAGGCGGACACGTCCAGCCATGGCCTGGACACAGACAGCCGGGCTGTGTGGCACAGGACTGCCTGCTGGAAGCTTCCGCCTGCGCACTCCTCCCGGCCTCCCGTGCAGTGCTGGGAAAAACCGAGTGCCCCTTCTAACAATTTCTAATCGACCCTTGAGATGCTGGGCCCTCGACGCTCTCTGCAGATCCCCTCCTCTGTCCGGTTGCTGCTCTGTCATGTCCCTCAAACATTCAAACACAGCTCCTGGGGGTGAGGAGCCCCCGGAATGGCAGATCCCGGAAACAGCAAGTCTCTGCAAATCCCATCAGAGGCTTTGAGTCTGTCACAAACCTGAAGCAATGTCTCTTCAAAGCTCTGTCCCAGAAGCAAATGGACCCCTTGAAGGTGGCCGGCCTCCCCTGGGGCCCACCTGGGGGCTGCGAGTGGCCGCGTGGAGAAGTTTAAGCCTTCAGCAGAACAAACAAAACTCAAGTGCCCGCAAGAGGAAGAAAGGATCATTATACGAGTGGAAAAAATGAACCGTCTCGACTCAGCAAATACCGCAGCCCTGCCCTCCTTCCAGACATTCCCCCCCTCCGTGCTGCCCCCACACTAAAAACAGCCCAGGAAAGGAAATCAAATTTAGGGTTTCACTAACTGGCCAGAATGCTTAATTTAATAAGGGGTGGGAGATGCTGTTGTATTTTATTTTATTTTATTTCTACTTTGAACAGGTTGAATCTTCCTGTAGGGCTCTAGGGAGGCGGCGGCTGGGAATGAGAACCAGCCCCAGCTTTGCAAATTCAAACCAGGACTGGAGCGCGGGAAGGGCAAGAGGCGGAGCGCTTGCACGGGAGCCCGAGGCCTGGGGGACGGCTCAGGGGGTCTTGGTGCTCAGGGCAGCGGTGTGCAAGGGGCCAAGGTGGGTGGGAAGAAACCTCCTTGATTTCACCAGGTCCTGGATGAGAAGTCAGTGTTCTTCGGTGTAAAGTGAAGAGCCCGAGGGCTGGATGCGTGGTTGCTGTGTCGGCTGTGTGCTTGCACCTCATACATGGGACAGCAGGCCCAAGCCTTCGGCGCTCCCCTCTTCTGCCATCATGGCAAAGCCAAACCCTTGCACAGGGGACAGGGGCTGCAGGATGCCTTGGTATCAGGTTCCCAGGAACGTGTCTGTCTCCATGGCAGAGAGGCCCTCAGGAAAGCCGACAGGACCCTAACAGGTGACAGTCCTGGGCTGAGGGGTTCAAAGCAATGTATCTCCAGGCGTCTGACAAATTTATCAACCCCCAAGTGTGGCACCCGTGCAGAGGGGGGTGTGGGTGGCTGAGATCAATGCCCAGGCACGGGTGAAGGGTGTCTGCCAGCAGCTATGTGGAGCCTGCGGCCTTCCTGGAGGAGGGGGCAGCCATTCGGCTACATAAACACCTGCCCCACCTGGTTCACCCTTTCAGCACAGATTGCAGAGTCCCACTCCCCAGTGAGGGGGGCCCAGAGTCTTCTCCAGTGCAGCAGGTGCTGCTGGAACTGGGAGGGGGGGCAGCCCATCCCATGCCCCCTTCCTTGGCATCCAAAGGCCAAGCTGGCGTGAAGCTGGACTCAGGAGATGCGGCTGTGAGGGTGGCAACATCTTTTTCTTCTCATTTGCCTCCCGGTGGCCCGAGAAGCAGGGTGCTCACGGGGTGCCCCAGGGCATTGCCCCAGTGGCGAGACATCAAGTCCGAGCTCCGAGTGGATGAGCTGCGGGGTCTGGGGCAAGGCAGTTGGCCTCTCCTCAACTGGGGACAAGACAGAGACTTGTGTCCTTGTCAAGGTTAAATGAGGCCCTGTCTCCGAGCACCTGGGCTCGGGTGGGGCAGCTCAGCTGCAGTCAGCGTCCCAGATGCGCACCCCACGCCGTATGGTGGGCGTCCGAGTCGTCTCCTTCTCCCAGGCTTTGTGTGGAATGACTTCTCTCTCTGACGCTGCCTTTGGGACCCCATGTTAGATGTGCCCCCACCCGTGAGAACCCCCAAGAACTGCTGGGACCCGGGTGCTTAGGAGGGCAGGGCCGGTGGAGGTGGACAGGGCCGTGGAGCTGGCCACAGTGGCTCCTGGAGTCCTGGGGGTCCTGTCCTCGTACCCTGGCTCAGCCCAGCCTGGGCCCTGAGCTGGAGGCCGGCAGTGGGGACAAGACTTAGATGTTAATTTTAAAATGAAAAGGGAAAGGCCAAGGAAAAGAGGGAGAGAGAGGCCCAGACAGTCTCCTGTTTTGCAGAGAGCTCTTCTGAACTCTGACTGGTTTCCCTGAGTGGTTCTTGGCCTGGCTGGGCTGACCTATGTCTTTCAGCCAGGAACCTCTGCTCCCGTGGCCTCTAAACATGACCCACTGTCCAGGAACTGATCATGGACAGGACAGAGGTGACAGCCCCAGCTTGGCCTTTTGGAAGGCAGCGATGCTTACCACTATAGCACCAATGCTAGGATCAGCTTGGTCCTTTGGCCAACCCTGACCCTTCCATTTGGGAGAGAGCCACCTGCCATGTCCCAGGCCTGGTGTGTGGAGCCACATCTGCGGTCCTGCCAGGCCTTGGAGCGGAAGGAAGAATGAGGGCCGGGGGTCAGGTGTATCTGGGCTTGCATCCCTACTCAGCCTGGTGACAGCCCCTCGAAGCCCCCCTCCACCTAAGGTGGGCCCCAGCAGGATGGGGGGACCTCTATGCCCTTGGTGGCTGATGTGAGGGGTCAGGGTGGGAACATGCCAGCTCCAGGGCCAGGCCTCAATCCACAGCCCCCTCCCTGCTCCCATCCGGGCAGCCCTGTGGGAAGTAGGCTGGAGAAGGGGCCCCAGGTCTCAGGGGTACTGGAAGCGAGCAGCTGCAGTGTGGCCCCTGTGTGTCCTGGGTTCCAGCTCCCGCAATGTTCAGGTTCCTGTCAGCTCCGCAGGAGCCCCCTGGGGCTCTCTGGGCTCTTTGCATGTCTCTGGGAAAACCTGATCAGCTGACCCAAACCAACTACAGTTCTGGCGAGTTTCTCTTTGCCTAAAGCTCTGACATTTCTGCCTCGCTAAGGCACAGTCACCAGCCAAAGGCTGACCATGTGCGCACCCCGCAGCTGCACCTCCTTGAGAATGCTGGGCTTCCTCAGCCAGCGCGCTTCCCGCATCCGTGAATCACTCCGGCTGAGGCTGCTTTCTTAGCGGACGGCCCAGCCCCTGGGCTCTGGGCTGGAGAGGCCTCAGAGCTGGCCAGAGGAGGCCAGCCCAGTGCCCGCTGATTGGATGGGCAAAGAGGACGGTCCTCCTGTCCTTTCTGGAAGTGGGCCTCTGTTCAGCCCAGGTCTCCTCTGACCCCCCAGAGTAGCCACTGTCATCGCCAGGGCACATGGGGAAACTGAGGCCCCCCACTCAGCGGCTGCTGGGCTGTTCGGAAGGGCAGAGTCGCCGGCTCAGCGGGACACACGCTCTGAAGCACAGGCCTCTGGGGGGACCGGCCCTGCCTGGCGCTCGCCAAGGCTCTGGAGGAGCAATGAGTTAGGGGAGCGGCTGTGCAGGTCCCTGGACCGGGCTCCGCTTTTAATTTTTTAAGGGAAGAAAGGAAAACATCCCTCAGTGGCTCTCCCAGGAGCTCAGCCGTGTTTGCTGTCGGTCACGGCAGGTTGGGCCATTTGTAACGAGTTTGGTCTGCGCGGGGGGCACTGACCCCACTACGCCTGGCCCCTCGGAGCGGAGCGCGGCACAGGCGAGGCGCGGCCAAGGGTGCAGGTCCCTGCACTGGCCCGATTCATTAAGGACCGGCTCCTTTGTGGGCCCCAGCTCCAGGCCCATTGCTGTCACGGGGCTGTTACAGGCATAATGACAGGGGCATTAGAGGCCCGAGAGCAATTAACAGGCTGCTTAATTAGCAAGAGGAATTAGCGTTTGAGTGGCGGATCTTCCTGTGAAACCTTGTAGAGAGCCCGGGCAGTTATCTGATTATGCATTGATCGGGCTGGCTCGTCCTTAGGTAATCCTCTCCCTCTTGCAATCTGTGAATATACAACTGTTTAAATATTCCAAACCGAACTGTCTCAATAAACGCGGGGAGAAAGGGGCCATTGTGGGCCCGGGCGCCGCTGGCCGCTCTTCCCGGCCCAGCTCCCCTGGGCTTGCAGAGGCACAGTCGGTCCCCGCAGCTCTCGCCGCCGCCGCACGCGGCCAGCCTGGCTGTGCCTGGGAACAGTGTCGGCCAGTCTGGCCCCAGGCCAGCCCTGGCCACAGGTGCCAATGGCATCCTCCTCCCCAGGTCTCTCCCATGCCCCCGGGGGCTCAGTCCACTGCTCAGGTGGACAGGG
Organism: Homo sapiens; assembly: GCF_000001405.40. NCBI lineage: Eukaryota > Metazoa > Chordata > Mammalia > Primates > Hominidae > Homo > Homo sapiens. The sequence goes on from NC_000001.11 coordinate 3,126,393, forward strand.
CAAGGCCGGAGGAGCTGGCTGCAGGTGCGCAGGAAGGGACAGGCCTGGCTACCTGCAGGCAGCACCTGGGGTCCAGACAGCCCTCAACGAGGGACAGTCAGGTCAGATCAGGTGGACCCAGACCCTGCTGCGGTTCCTGGAATCCCTAGATGAGCTTTGAAAACCCAGGGGCCTGTACCCAATCCCAAGCAGTGGCCTACCGTGCTTGAGCTCTGTGGTGGGCAGAGGGCTGGGGACTGGACCAGGAGCCTCCAGCCCTGGGCTCTGTCAGGGACCCTGCCCTGTAGGGCTGGTGCTTCTGGAGTGAGGGAGGAGTAGACAGGAACCAGTCCTGGAGGTGGGCTCCCCACTGGGCCTGGGACAATGAGGTGCCCATCGCCAGTGATGGTCACAGCACCTCGAAAAGGCAGAGACAGGAAGATTCCAGAAGGGCTTCTGATTCTGTGCAGAAGCGTTGTAGATGGGGCATGGTTGCTCTGGTGTCAGGCCCGGGCCCGCTGTCTGTTCCGGCAAACTTTAGGGGATCGAGAGCTTACTCTGGACTCAGCTGGGAGGCCCCTCGAGCCTGGGAGCAGGGCAGGACCACCATCGGCCCCGGACACAATTGCTAGGGTCCTGTCCTCACACTCTGGCTCAGCCCAGCCTGGGCCCCGAGCTGGAGGCCTGCAGTGGGGACGAGACTTAGATGTTAGTTTTAAAATGAAAAGGGAAAGGCCAAGGAAAAGAGAGAGAGGCCCAGACGGTCTCTTGTTTTGCAAAACTCAAAATAGATTTCAGCACTGTGCTTTCTAAAGACAAATCTTTGCACTCTTCTGCGATCCTCGCTTGACCTCTCATGGTTTCTGGCAAGGACAGCCTGTTACGATTTGGCATCGAGTTATTTAAAATGCATAACGGCGGTGCGCAGGCTTTGCCAAAAGCTGATATATGTTGGTTTCTGGAACCTTGCTTTTCTTGTTTGCTACATCTGATATCATCTTACCCAGACGATGCCCTCGTGAGATAGATCCCCCACCCCTTCACATTGTGGGTGCAGCCAACGTATTTCATTTTATTGCTTGCACGATCTGTGTGTCTGGAGAGAAAGCAAACCAGTTACCAGCGAGCCACAGCCTAGCTTCCCCGGGCACTTGGGGAATCTTTATCGAGCTCAAATGATTAGACCTGGTTTCTGGTTTCATTTTGGAAGACTGGCTGCTAAGCAGATCCATTCTGCCTGTAAACTGATACAGATGCTCAGGGCCACTGCTTTCCCCAGTGCCCAGGACAGTAGGACGAGGGTTGAGAGGGACCCCCCTGGGCCATGTCCCCCTTGCGGTGCAGAGGCCCGGCCTGAATCTCTGAGCGAGAGGCCGGTTTGCCTAGGGTGAGTGTGAAGGCCTGAGGCCTGCCCCATAAAGGCAGAGCGTCCCCATGGTGTGGGGGGACAGTGGGAGGCGGGCAGGCCATGAGCCCTGGGTTCGGGGAGGCTGCAGGCGCTTGGCTGCCCATCAAGGGGCCTGGCTTCCTGGAACAGAAGCCTGGGTGCTGTGGCCATGGAGGAGGGGCTCCCGCCTCTGGTCAGCCTTCTGGCATCTGGGAACACGTCCTCCAGCTTTTTTCCTTAGTGGCCAATTCCTGAGAAAAGGGCCAACGTGCTTCCATCCACTTCAGAGGGCACTTGTATGAAAATCTCCTCCCCTCCCCCGTCAGCCCCGCTGTGGAGGGATCAACTCCGCCTCTCACTGGAGAGAGACAGTCATTCTGAGTGTTCGGAAATTGAAGACTAGATCTGGGTCTGGTTCCGTACCCATGCCCTGTGATGACAGACCCGTGATCTCTCTTCTGAGAGGGAAACAAAGACCTCACGTTTGACGGGGCCAAGAGGCAGCCGTGGGAATCTGCTGCTCACTTTCAACACTGGGTGCCTTGTCCTAGAAAGTCTGGGGTCGTCAGATCAACTTTGATTTCCTATTTTATCCCAGTTAAAGTGGCATTTATAGTATTCGGGGGTTGCTTCTGTCCTGCCTTTTTCTGATCACGACATCCCATGCACGGCTTTGGGAAACGCAGGTCACAGTAGCAGGGCATTGAAAACCCTCCCTCCGCATGGCTCCGCACCCAGGACCCTGGGGTGGCTCCACAGTGGCTCCATTTTCTCCCACAATGGTGACCTGCAGGCTCAGGGCATGAGGGCCGAGGACTCTCACTCGGGAACCCAGAGGGTGATCGGCCACGGTGACCGGCCGGTGAGCTGTGGAAGGAAGCGTCCAGCCCTCTGTGGACTGCCCTGTTCCTCCCACCATGCTACTGGAGACCATCCCACCATGCTACTGGAGACCATCCCACCCGGGTCGGTGGCTGTTTTCCGGTGGTGGCAACGCTCCAATGGCTCTGGTTCCCTTACTGGAATCCTTGGGCGTAGCCTGAAGAGTGGACAGCTATCCACAGCCCAGTGAGTGCCCTGCTGGGAGCTGGAACTGTTCGGCCCTCACTAACACCAGTCCTGGGGAGCCTGCCCTGGCCCCAGGTGGGGGTGCGCAGCCGTGGCCGGCAGCCTTGGTTTCTTCATCTGGGAAGTGGGAGCGACTGTGCAGATGAGATGAGGAGGGTGGCCCTGGGGAGGCTGGGGTGTGGTCGCTGCTCCCCTAGCAGGAAACCAGGAGGGAGTCTGGTGCATGTGTGTGTGGGGGGTTGCGTGTGCATGTGTGTGCGTTTCCTGGCTGGTGTGCGTGCATGGGTGAGTGTGCACGTGCGTGTGTGGGTGTCCTGCCTGGCGTGCGTGTGTGGGTGGGTGTGGATCCTGCCTAGTGTGTGGGTGTGTGGATATGTGTACATGTATGTGTGTGTCTTGGCTGGTATGTGCATGTGGGTGCGTGTGTGTGGGTGTGTACATGTGTGTGTGTGTCCTGCCTGGTGTGTGCGTGTCAGTGTCCTGCCTGGTGTGTGTGTGGGTGTGTGTCCTGCCTGGTTGTGTGTGTGTGCGCACGTGGGTGAGTGTGTGGGTGCGTGTGCACGTGTGTGTGTGTCCTGCCTGGTGTGTGCTTGTGAGTGTGTGTATCCTTCCTGGTGTGCATGTGTCTGTGTGTGCATGTGTGTGTGTGTGTGGCCTGTGCACTCACAACACTGGCTGAACCACAGGGGTGTCGTCCAGGGCTGCTGAGGGCACCTGGGAAAGGAGCCGGGGCAGACCCTCCCTGCTGGGTGCTTGAAGCTGAGGGTCAGGACGGGATGGGGACCCGGGGCCCTTGAAGCAGGTTCTCCCAGGTCCTCCGCAGTTACGTGGGAGAGCCCAAGGGCCCTCAGTGCCACAGGTAGGGGCAAGGTCCTCCTCTAGCACTGCCCAGACCCTGTACGGAGCAGAAATCCCTGGAAGAGAAAAGAGAATTGGGGTTTCAGAACCCCTTTTTCCAAGGAAAGAATTTCTCTGCTCCCAACAGGAGCCTGTCTGATTCTCTTTCCCCCTCTCTGTCTCTCTCTGTCTGATTTTCTCTCCTCTCTCAGTCTCTCTCTCTCCTACTTCCCGCTTTTGCTTTCCCTCTTCCCAGGGCCCCAGCAGGGTCTCAGCCATTTGTATCCACTGAGGGCATCCAAAAGCGTTGATGGGCCAAGGCGACCAGCTGGGCTGGGAGGGCAGTGCAGGCGGCTTGTTCTGGGACAGTGAGGCCCAAGCACCCCAGAGGGAGGTGGAGACCCCCTGGGCAGACTCCTGCTCCCCCAACAGGTCCTGGGCTGCGTGCTCAGTGTCCAGGGTCAGGGGCTTGGGGACAGCTAGTGAGGAAGTCTTGGGTCTTGGTGAGAAGCCAGCAGAGCCCTCTGTCCCTGTCCTGTGCAGGACCAGCCAGACCTGGAGGCCGACTGCCAGAGGGGTTCCTAGGACCCCCGGGCAGGCGATGTGGACCGTGGGGTTCTGGGGAGAAGCTGGGGGCTCCAGGGCTGTGGTCTAAGCGCACCACTGTGCCCCATATCCCAGTGTGTCCTTTGCAAACTACAAACCCAAACCAAACACAACACCAGCCCTGGGGAGGCCAGGATAAGGAGCAAAGGCAGCCGAGAGGTGGGCCCTTCCTGCGGCCATGGGGCTTTGGAAACATGTGGAGACCTAGTTGGCCCCAGAGGCCGTCTCCAGGGCCCGCCCAGCAGCCCAGGGCTGCCCCCTGTCTATAGGTTTCCTCGCTGAAACATCAGTGCAATTTTAATTCACACTGCTGGACTTCAGGGGAGGGCTGATGCTTCATGCGCCCCACGCACAGCTCTGCGCTTTCTGTAACTCGCCGCCTTCTCTTTGGGGACGTTTGTCTTCAGTTTCTTAATTTTCAAGAGCCCATTACAGACGGATGTCACCTCCATTCCCTCAAATACTGTCGCCCTTTTCCCCCGTGAGCTGCATGGCCTTTTCCTTGGTGCGGGGGCGGTGGGGGGGCTGTTTTTTTTTTTTAATTTTTTATCTTTTCTGCTGCCGGCACACGGTTCTGGGTTTCACAGCGTCAGACCCACCAGCCCTTGCTCTATGCTCAGGGCTAGAACGCAGCCGCTTCCTTCTGCAGGTTGTGCCCTGTTCAGGTTAGGTGTGTTCCAGCACCTTCTGAGTTTGTGGGGTGGAGGAGAACCTGACCCGTCCGTGTTTATCCTGACGTGCAGACCGCGGGAGGGACGCTTGAACCGGGTCCTGCAGGGAGGCCCCTGCCCTTGTCTTCTGGCCACGCCATGGTGTGTGGCTGGCTCTGCCCTTGGCTTCCTCCGAGCTGTGCCGCAGCCACAGTTTTTGGTTGTTTTCGTTTTTTTCATCATCCTGATGATCCATATCAAATACTTAAACTCACAGAAAAGCAAGACTCCCTCTCTCTCTCTCAGACATTTCTCGTCATTGTCCAGTTGTCTGCATTTATTTTGCCTTTGAGAAAAACTTTGGAGCTGTTTTCTTCAAGTTAGAAAAAGGTTTATTTTGTAAAATTGTTATGTTTCTGTGTTTGAGTTAGGGGGACTGGACGCTTTATAACCTTTAATTCTTCCTGTGAAGGAATGTGAGGCGGCTGTCCATTTCTCAAGGTTCCTATCAAAATGGCTTTCGCTCACATTTTGTAGTTCCATTCACAGAGCTGTGACCCATTTCTTGCTGGGTTTTACTTCAAAGGATTTTTTAGCCAGAAAGTTAAAAAAAATCAAGTGGACATAATTAAAACTCTTATACTTCTTTATGCCTGTACTGCAGAAAAAATAATAATAAAAATAATGACAGTTCTAGCAACCATGAGCAAAATTTTTGCATGCCATTGGAAAAGCGAGGGTTGGTCACGCCTCTGGTCTGTCCGCTGCATGGTGATAAGCTGAGGCATCCCCATTTGAGGCTGAGGTGATGGTGTGGTGCAGGCCGCAGCTCCAGGCCCCGCAAACCTCACAGGGGAGGCCGTGGCCCAGGCTGCGTCCTGCAGTGACGCTGCCCTGGGGTCTCCAGGCAGCTCTCCTGGGACCCGCCTGCTTCCCCTCCACTGCCTTCCTCCTCCTCCCTCCTGGGCCTATGTCCTAGATAAGCCTGTTAAATTAGCCCCATAATACTTAAAATGCTAGTCCGTTTAATATGTAAACAATGACAATTTTTTTTCAAAGGGTTTAGGATTTAAATTAGTTTTTTTAAAAAACCCAATTACTGCCGTTTAATTCGGAGGAGAGAGTTCTTTATGTGCTAATTATATAGCTGGGAAATGAGCGATCAGGGGCTCAATGGGGCATTAGGGGCACTTTTTAAAGGTTTAGACGTATTTATCTGAGTTTGGGGTTTGCAGTCTGCATTCAGGGCTGCACAGGCAAATTTGGAACCAGGATGAAGGGTTACACGGCGGTGCCACGGAGAGGAAAACTCTGCCATTCCAGCGTGTTATTATCTGGATGATGTTTACGAAGTGTCAGGACCTGGATGTGGTCCCTGCCCAACTGATTCTGTGTCCGGTGAGCAGAGGAGCGGAGCCTGCTGGGTGGAGGGTGGATGGGACAGGGGACCTGGGCCTGGTCAGAGCACTACCTTGGGCCCTTGGGAGGCCTGAGCCTTCCAGAACTTTCTAGAACCTTCTAGAGGGGCACACATGGCCGGCCAGGCAGATGGGCTGCAGGGAGTGGTCTCACCATGGGCAGTTCCTCACCCTGAGTCCCTGGAATGCAGAGGGAGCTCTTCAACTGCTCCAAATGGCTCTCCCCTCCACCCCCCATTACCTTCCTTCCTCCTTACCGAGGGGTCTCTCTGACAGATCTGGAGCCCCCATGAGGTCCAGAATGTTCTAGAGCCACCCGGTTCATACTGTTGCCCGAGAAGTCAACACCTCTGCCTCCCAAGAGAGAGTAGACGATTCATTTAAAATAGAAATTATGTTGGAAGTAAAGTGACCCTTATTTGGTTCAGCAGTTTTTGAACACATCTGATTAGGAATTCCCCGGGGACTGGGTGGGGCAGGGTTAGATAAAAAGCCCTCGTCAGGGTGGCTGGGCAGGGCCATCCAGCCGGTCCACTCACCCGGAACCCCAGCCTCGTGCAAACACAGATACTGTGAATCTGTCCCAGACTTACAGAAGATGGACCTGTAATTGACACTGTGCTGTATTTAACTGCCAAGGATGGTAAATGTCTTCAGGAAACACTGCACCACGTTTTGAAGAAGTTCAAACAGCGTCCGTGCAGCAGGTGCGTTCTGCCGTGCCTCTGACTGGGTGGTGGTCACTGCCAGACTGAGTGGTCCACACCAGCCCCGCACCCTCCAGGACAAAGCCCGAAGGACGGTGGTAACCGGCTTCTGGTGGTGGAGTGCAGCTGGTCAGATGCCTGGGAGACTCAGGTTCCAGGGCAGGAGCTGCAGGAAGACCAGGGAGGTCTCTGCCCATGTCTCTTCTGGAGGCTCCTACAGGAAAATCCAGGGGTTGCTTTTCCCACCGCAAACCATGCCAGACTCTCCCAGGGCGAGGGAGGCACCTCGGGGCTGTGGGCCTGGGGGAGGTTCCTGTAAGACTGTGTTCAGAGGGGATCTTCTCAGCAGAGGGCAGAGCCATGGGGCTCGGCCTCCCGAAGCCACAGCCCTGGAACCACCTGGAGATGATACCCAGGCTCTTGTCTGTCCTGCACGATGGGGAGAGGAGGGCAGGGTCTGTCCAGAACTGCTCCCCAATCGGCCGCCCCTGACAGAAATGATGCCCAGCGACCTTCCCTCCTCCTTACCAAGATCCACCTTGGCAGGGGCCGTGCCATTGCTTGCAGTCCCATCTGATTTCTACAGAAAGCCACGTGGAAGTTGTCCACTCCGTTTTGCAGAGGTTAATGGCTCTCTGAAGTGGTTCAGCTGGGGCTGGCAAGGCTGGGCCCGAGCCAGCTCCTCCATCTCCCCTTCATGTGAGGGAGAAAGCCCCATGAAGTGGCCCGTGCTGCCTGCTGGGAGCCAAGGGTATGCAGGCAAGGGGCCTTTCGCCGCGGGAATTTGTGCACAATTTTTGAACATAAGTCAGTTCCTCCCTTCCCCCAGGAGAAATGATCGGCCTCCAGGAAGTTGGACCTCGCCTTGCTCAAAACAAACATAGGGCCATCTGAGAGCAGCCCCAAAGCACACACGTGTGAGAAGGAGGCTAGAGTTTTACTTTCCTCCCCCAAGACTGCAAAGCACTGGGGAAAAAAGGTCAGGCAGCGCGTCCAGTTCAGGGAGCGTGTCCAGTTGTGTCACGAGTGGGAGACCTGGGTTCAGAACCGTCCAGCTGTGTCGGGAGCAGGAGGCCTGGGCTCAGGACCACCTCTGGGCTCCTGCTGGGACCTTGGAGATCAGCACCTCCCGGCGCTGATGTCCAGTGGGAAGGGGAAGCCTCTACACAGAGGCTCCCACAGAGAGGGGATTGTGTGGAGCTGTCCGGAGCGCCATTCAGCTGGGGGACGGAGCTTCCCTGGAACATAGTGCCCCGCTTGATTCTTGAAGAGAGGACGTGGACAGCAGAGGAGACGCAGGCCTGGGGACGGACAGTTGGGCAGCAGGCATGGCACGGGCATGGGCTGGGCGGGGGCCAATGCCCCCAAAGTCAGGAAGATGCCCCCAAAGTTGGGGCCGAGGGGCCACGCTCATGCCCATCACCCCCTCCTGCCCTCCCCTCCCGCACAGCCTCTGGCATCAGAACTCGCACCCTTGTGCACTCCTGGGAAGCCCCGTCCTGCTTAGACCTACTCCGAGGGCGCGTGGAGCCCGCCTCCCCCTGGAAGGGGAAATAGGAAAAAGAACCGTGAAAAGCTCCGGAGTTAACCGTGGCGGCTTGAAGGACCTTGACCTAATTGGTCCAGAAAAGTCAACATCGGCACCTAGAGTGTTCAGAAAGTGAAGATTAAACTTAAAGCGATTAGACAACTTATTTTTCTTTTCCAAGACATTAGCTGGTCAAAAATGACAAAAATGTCCTTAAGCCTAGCTGAGGCAGAGGCGGCAAACAGGCGGCCTTTTGTTTGGCAGAGGGGCCTGACCACCCGAACCCGCGTGGGACACCCGGGAGCCCACCTCCTGAGAGCCCGGCGAGGGGATCGGGCCGGGTATTAGCCGGGGATTAGACGGCCGAGCTGCTGGCCTGGTAGGGGAGCTGCCGGGGAGCTGCCGGCCACCCGCAGGCTGGGCCTGGGAGGCCCTCCTGGTCCGCGTGCTGCTGCCCCCGGGTCAGGGGCTTCTGGAAGGTGCCACCCCCGGGTCAGGGGCTTCTGGAAGGAAGGGCACTTTCCTCGGGAGCTCGCTCTTTATTTTGGGGGGCTGCGGAGCACCCCAGGAAACAGCAAGGCAGCTCCAAGAGTCCAGCCTGGTCCCCACCAGTGAACCCGAGTCAGCCCAGTCGGCCCCAGGCTCCGCCACCACCCCTTGGCTTCGGGCTGGACTGGCCATGGTGGCCCCATGGGCAGGGTAGGGGGCCTCAGGGAGGTCTGCGGTGGGGGCAGGGCGGGCCACGTGAGGCCCTTCATCGTACCCAGCTCTTCCTGCCTTGCAGACACCGACCACGGGCCCGACATTTTCTCAAGAAAAGAAAACACAAGAGCCCACATTTCTTATCTGAGTTAAACAATGAGCTCCGGGCGTCCTGGGAAGGGGTTTCACAGTGAGTTCAACGTGCCAGGAGCTCTTAGCAGCCGCTGCCAAGGCCAGTAGGGGCTGCAGGCTTGCGCTGGTTCTATGTCCCAGCCCGACCGAGCCCTCCCCCTCCGTGGCCCGCAGGTGACACACCAGCTGTGATCCTGGGTAACCCGAGCCCGCCTGACGCGACATCCCTGGCAGTGACAATTAAGGGGTCTCCTCACCCAGCTTCCGGGCACTGGCATTGTGGGTCCCGCACACACTGCTGGGGCTTAGGCGTAATTATAGGGTCGGGTTACCCCGAGAAACAGGTATTCACACTGTTTAGGACAAACCTCCTCGGAGCTGGATCCCAGCCGTCCCCAGACCGTCCGTCCCTTCCCCGTGGCTCCCTGGGCCGGGTCTCCCTGCGCCCTCCCCTGAGACTCCTCTTCAATGCTCCTTGTTGTCGCAGCCTACAGAGCCTGGGGCTGCAGAGCGGGGCAGGGGCCTCTTGGCGGCCTGGGCGCCCGGCTGGGGAGAGCCTGGGCGTCTCCCTTTGTTTTTCCAGCAGTTGGAAGTAGAGTCCAGGTGTGAGGAGATTGTTTGGCTCGCTTTGTCCGGGAGCCACAGGACACCAGGCTGGGGCGGGGCTGGGGGCAGAACGCTCCTCCAGCAGCCTAGGAGCCACCCCTGGGAAGAAAGGGGGTCTCGGGCAGCCTCGCCATGGGACCACCAGCTTTGGGCCTTCGTTACAGGGGTGATGCTGCCCCGCTGATAGGGTTGGGGGCCTGGGGCTGCAGCGTAGCTGAAGTGGAACCTGCCCAGCCTGCACTTCCCAGCTGGCCAGCCCCGCGCGATGCTCCGGGGTCTCGGCGAGGCACGCCAGGCACTGAGTCCTCAGACCCGCTGTCCGGGGACCTCTGGTGTCGTCCATTTTACAGACGAGGCAGTGGAGGCCCAGAAAGATGGACCGACAGTCCCCGCCTTAGAGTGGCTGAGCTGGGGCTGGGACCCAGGCCTGACCCCCTCTAGGGCTTCCCGTGTCACAGTGTCACTGTTTCCCTGAATTACAGAGCGGGGAGAAGCCGGTTTCTAGTTTGGAGGTGCAATGATCCCCCAAGTCCCTGGGTCCACAGGGGCTCTGGGCCAGCTCCAAGGACTCTAAGGGAGTGGAGCCGCCCTTGCTTTCTGGGGCCACAAAGGTCGTTTCTCTTGCCCTCAATTCTGGCTGCTGGGTGTGGACAGAGGAGTGGGCTTATCAGGCATCTCCTGGCCCCACCGCCCCCTGCTTCTCCCCTCCTGGTAAACACACACTTTGCTCTCTAATGGCTGCAGGCACCCCCACTCCATACAAACCCTTCCTTCAGACAGCTGTAATCAATATTTCATCCTGTCCCATGCTGGGTGACTGGGTCAGTTGGGGGTCCGGGATGCTGGGAACTGACCTGGTTTACAGCCCCCACTGGCCAAGATGCCAGCTGGAACTTGGAGTTATAAACAGTGGACGCTTCTCCTGCTGCCCCTGGCTCTGGGCTGGAGAGAGGCTGGTGCAGGGAGAGGGCTTGGCCCTGGGGTTCTCACCCCCAGGGTCCCATCACCGGACAGATGGGGTGGGTGAAAGGACCTCGGAAGGAGTCATCCCATTTCACAGGTGAGGAAAGAGAGTCAGAGATACACAGTGCAGGGGGTGGGAGTCCAGGCCCAGCCTGGAGCCACTCCCACCAGAACAGGGTGACCCTGGCTGCCTCCGGCATCCCCTCCTCAGCCCAGGCTTCCAGGGACCGAGAGCAGGGCCTTTCCTGCAACAGCAACCTGGGCAGCTGAGCTCTTCTCCCCACGCTGACCTGGCCGCCACCGGCCCGGGTGCAGGCATGTGAGGTGGGTCACACGGTACAGATTTAGATGCGAGCCTGTCACTCGGAGCAAGGAATGTGGTGTCTCCCTCCTTCCTGCAAAGCCTCATCATGTGTGAGAGAGAGAGGCTAGGGAGAGTGGTGGCTGCCAGGGGACACGATGTCCTTTGCATGTTTCTTCCTAGGGTCCCAGAACATTCCAGCAGCAGCACCCCTCCCTGGACACTCAAGGTCTGCTGCAGGGGAGGCACTGGGGGTCAGATTGGATGTGGCAAGGTCCCGAAGAACCGTCCAGGAGGACCGCCTGGAGGAGGTGGCTTTGTGTGGATGGAGGAGGGTGGTGGCTCCCAGAAGCAGCACTGGCAGGCTTCCTTCTCTGCGGCAAACCCCATCCCACGAAGGTGGGAGTCAGGTTTCCTACCAGCAGGTTGATGAAATATTCCTGACAGTGGAGGAGCATGCCTGCTCTTCGCAGAGTGCCTTTCTAATCCTCCTGCACAGGAGCGCACTGCAAGCTGGAGGGGCCGCAGCACCTGCGGCTGGGACCTCGCTTGTCCGGAGGTCCCTGACCTCACGAGCCAGGTCCTGCCATCCTCCCTCGCCGATGCTTGCCAGTTTCCAGGGCCAGGCACCCATTTGTGCTAAATGTCCCACGATGCATTTGAGGCCAGTAGCTCTTGGACTGTGGCTGGAGGGTCCGTCCCTGGGCCAAGGGGCTCGGAGGGGCCTGTGTGCAGAGCTGGCCAGGCAGGGGTGTCCTGCTGGGAGTTGGAATCCCGTGTAAGTTCCCCCTGTGAAGGGCTCCAGCCTGGCAAGCCCAACTTGTCGTTCTTGGGACACGAAAGCAGGGGGACCCCAGCCCTCTTCCAGAGAACTTCCTGCTTCCCTTGCCATTTCCTTCTGTCCCCCTCCTATAATCCTGGGGAGAGGCCGCATCCCTCCCAGCGCAACCACGGGGTGTGGCTTTGTGCAGAAAGGAAAGGATCTTCTTCAAGTTCAACAATGGCTGCCACAAGCCTTTTTGCATCCACTGCTAAGAGAGCTGGAGGCAGCACCCATCGAGTAAATACAAAAGCTGAGACTGGGGGAGCCCATCAGCGGGGAGGCATCTGGGCTGTCCCTGAGCAACCCTGGGCCCCCTGTGGTGTCATGGCTGTGCCCCCGGAGCCGGCGTTGGGGTCTCCGTCCAGTCTCTGAGGTTTCACTTTCCTGTGCTTATGAGTGAAGTCTTCACGCCGGGGTGGCACCCTCACCTTCTGCTGCCGGTGACATACCTGCCCTCACCTGGTACTTGGAGGTGTTTGGGAGAGGTGGGCAAAGTTTGGCTGGAAGGCAACTGAGGGAGCCTGCCATCTTGTCAGAGCCCCTTCCTTTCTGAATATGGTACCAGCACCTTGGGAGTGGGGCAAGACAGCGTTCCAGAAAGTTCCAGAAGGCTTTCCTGCTCAGACCGGTGGGTGCCAACACTCAGGTATTCCCGCCATGCTCAGGGTCACGTTGGTCATCGTGTGAGGAGGGGGCCTTGGAGGGAGCCAGGCGCCCCTGCATGAGGGCACACAGCCGGCTTTCCCTGGGCTTGGTGCAGCTGCCATCTTGTGATGTACCGGGTGTGTTGCTGTTTTCTGGATACTTCAGTAAGAGGGAGGCGGGATGAGGCCGTTCCTTGCGCTGGCCTCTCACCTCCCCCTCGGCCAGTTTTCCTGTGTGCTGTGGGCGTTCAACTTTGACCTTTGGGATAAGATAATGGGACTTCTGTTCTCGGGAGAGGCTTCAGTGGGGGCTTGGGGCCAGGTCTGCAGGGGTCCAGTTTGTCTCCATGACTTACGCTTGTTGATCAATCTAAACGCAGACACACGTGGACGAGTTTTCAGGTTCTCGTTTCAGAGCGGACGGTTGCTTCATCGGGGAGAGGGGGACCCACATTTTAGCTCCACTTGGTGCCACCGGGCCTCCCCTATGTGGAACTGGGGGTGTTGGAACACGGCACGCAGAGATTCTTCTGCACCTGCCTTCCTTCCTCCTGGAGCCGAGCCGTGCAGATGAGACCCATGGAAAGAGCAGGGCTGGGGCTGCCCTTTGGGACCCTGGGGTGCAGAGACTGAGGCTTAATAACGAATCACGTGCCCCTTGGCCCCAGATTGATAGCAGGCGACTTGCTTTTGTGGGTGCTGAGCACCCTTGGGAGAGCAGACGACAGAGCTGCTGGCAGGGGCGGGGTCCCTCGGGGGCTGCAGACCCAGGCGCTCAGCCCAGCAGTGCCGCATCCGGGGGTGCTCGGGCACTGCCTGCTCTCTGTCACCATGAATGCCATCGCGAATAATGCCAAGCATTGTTACAATATCTGTGGGTTGCCGTGGTTCCTGTTCTCCGGGGCCCGGCTGTGATTTTTTTCTCATCTCTGTGCAGAGAACTTTGTGAGAGCTGTGGCCTGCTGGCCAGGAGGGCGTCACCTCGGAAGCCCATGCACCTGACCCTGGTCCTGTTAGCAGGAAAGGGAGCTGCTCCCGTCAAAGGGAAGGAGCTCCAGGCTGAGAGTGGTTTGGTGGGGGTAGCAGTAGGTGAAAGACGGTCCTAAGACACCCAGCCACCTCTTTTCCTCCTCCCTGGTTCAGAGCTGTCCCCTCGCCGGGCTCTGGCTGGGGGCCATGTGCCGTGACCTTGAGCCCTGACAGCCCACTCTTAATCATGCCTGCCAGACAAACACGGCAGGCTGGAGTTCCCGCAGTCAGCCCCGGCGACGCATCTCCCTCGGAGAATGGACCGCGGGCTCTGGATTTTGACAAAGTCACGAGCGAGACTGGCGTTTTAAACCAGCATGTTAGAAAAGCGGCTTTGGGAAGCGATCATTTCTTTCACTTTTAATCCAACATCGGCAGCACCCGAAGTGGTCCCCGCTCCCCCGGCGGATGCAGCCCCCGGATGGCCGTTGCCACGCATTTTTGTTTAGGAACCTGGTTTTTATTAAATGTAATTGCTTCCCTTTCTGGCCTTAAATCAAGGGTGGCCTCAGCCCAGGGACAGCATCAATTTGATTTAATTACTCTGCACTGTAGCCTTCTGAGCCGAGATGTGGCTACGGGGGTCTCACATAGGGCCCCCAACTCAGGATGAGCGCAGAGGCCTTGACGGGGCTGGGAGGTGTTTGCCTCCGAGAAGGGACAGGTGATCCGGAGCCCAAGCTCTCTGACCCCCACCCCTCGCCTGTCTCTGCAGAGAACCGGCCCCGACCATGGTTTCCACTCCCTCGCTGATGTGTTTATTTTTCATTTGCCATTAAAACCACGTTGGCTCTCTAACTCAGGAGCAATTCATTAAGGGCTATTTATCTTTTGCAGCGATATTTTACCCTCAGAGCTGAGCTCAGGGCTGTAAAAACCGGGACAGCGTCGCCACCAGGCAGCTCCTAGAAGGCGTATGGGGGGTGCATGGGCTGCCTGGCCTCCCAGGTGTGAGGGTGGGGCCACAGTCACGCGTCCCTCTCTGCATCCCAGACCCCCACAGCCCATGAGGGGTCCCGCCTCCGTTTCCGCATCCTGCGTTCCATGGTACGACGGATGGGCTTCCCTCGGCAAAACCGTCATCCACATTGATCCCGCAGAAGAAAAGCCGGAGCTGGCGTGGGTGCCCCTGGAGAAGCAGGCGGTCGGAGAAGGGGCACGACATGGCTTTTACTCCCGATACGGATCCCTTTTCCCCAGCATGGAAACCCAGAGCCAGAGGAGTCCCCATGTCCCTGGGTTTTATCAACATCACCAATGGCAAGAGGGCACAGGCAAGGTGGATCCTTGCTCCCTTGGCTCCCAGAACTCTGGGGGAAAACACTGGACATTATTAAGATGATTTGTTAAATAATAGAAAATGTTTTTCATTCCCCAATTTCCAGCTCTCGGTAAAACCATCCTCCGTCCGCCCGCTTCTCATCCCTGATATTTAGACTTATGGGCCAATTTGGGGGTATTTTCTCCTTCTGCCGTGATGAATGCTTCTATGAAACAATGTCATCACAAGTCACCTACCTGCCCTGTCAGCTCAGCATCAATCTCGCTGGGCTGGGCGGTAATTTATGACTGGTGCCTGCAATTTGCAAACCTAATGGGGAGGAGGGACGGGGGAGCCGGCTTGAGCGCTGTCTGCAGCCTCCTCGGTCTCCCCGCATTAGCAGAACAAATGGCGCAGAGATCAGACATCATCTCCAAGGCTCAATAAATATTTTATCAGCCATAATGGAAATTGTCAAATTGATCTAATTGTACAATACGTTATCAGTGAGATATCAAAGCCCGGCCAGGCCTCTGCCCGGACCCTTCTGGGCCGCCCCACCTGCGAGGATGGGAGTCAGAAAGCCCAGGGCGGGCCACAACGTGGTGGCATTAATCATATGTGGCCACAGTGGCTCGTTAAGGAGATGATACATTTTGTGGAAATGGCCTTCTTCTGTTGTGCTTTGCCAGTCTTGATATTTGAAGCAGAGAGGGAAACAGACATAGACAGAGAAGGTGGGACAAATTCAGAACTTTCAGGAAGCATAGATGCATTCTCACTGTCTCAGTTGGGGTGGGGGCGGCCTTCAGTCGGTCAGATGGACCCCAAGAGAGAATGCCACCTGACCCGTTCTGTGCGGAAGCATGTGCTGCCCACGGTAGGGGATTTTTACCTTTTCTGGCCCTCAGGCCTGCCTGGAACGAGAACACTCATGGTGCACCGCGTTTCCGAAAACGTGGGGCCGCACTGTGCATTCGTCAGCCATGGGGTCGCACTCTGGCCCGTGCCAAGCACACCCATCCACCCCGCAGGAGCTGGGAGCACTTCTGAAAACCAAGCTCGTGAGAAACGGAGCTGCCCCAGCCTCCATCGGCTCCCCCCGTCCAGGGCCATTTCCGGGGTCTGGTCTTCCAGGAAGAGGTTGGGGCCAGGGCTGGGGGCAGCTGTCAGTCAAGCGTCTTTCACAGCCAGCCAAGACCTTTTGATTTCTAGAACAAACAGCGATGTCTTAGACCTGGAGCAGATTTGCAAAATCGAGTGAAAACATCTGGCTGTGCTAACAAGCAGCAGCTGAACACGGGGAGCCCTGTCCCGGGGGTGCGGTGGGGACCGGCCCTCCCTGGCTCCTGCCAGAGACCTGAGCTGGGCCCTCCTGCACATGGCCCGACAGTGTGGTCCTCAGCTGCTCCATCAAAGCCTTAATTGACCTTTTGGCATTGCTCCTTGGTCTCGGGGCAGGCGCCGTCGAACGGGATGCACAAAAGCACAGGGATCCTCCTCACCTGCGGCGTCATCCAAAGGCGTGTGGCACCCAGACGTTGAGCAGAGTCTGAGGCTTCAGGGAAGACAGGCTGCCACTGCCGTGTATGTTCCCAGTGTGCGGACCCCAGGGTGCGCACAGGCAACGGAACGCCTGGGATTCCCAAGCCTCGTGCTCCCCCGAGAGCGGGTAATTACCTGGATGTGGACCGTATTAACTGGAAGCCCAGATGTTTATAGAATTCCCTGCCCGCCAAGCTGTGAGGGGAGGCATCTGGAAGGGGCAAAGGGGTCCAGGAGGGGAAACTGATGGATGGCCTTGGCTGGGGCCCTGGTGTTACAGGCTGCGGAGGGTAGCCCAGGCAAGGGACCGGCATGGCTGGCCAGACCCTGAGCTGCCACCACATCAACTGCCCCCTGGCCGGGGCACCCAGGTGCGATGCTGATCTCTCGGCAACAGCTTTTCCATAAGGGAATCCGATGCATTTGCTGGGATGCAGGATTCGGGCTGTGTTGCTGATGAGATCACATAGGGGCTGGAGAATTCGTACCCGCGGGCACCCATGGAAGCCTGAGCTCTGTCTTTTCAGTCGCCTGTCATTTAAAATGAAAGTAAGAAGGGAGACCTTGTGGCAACCGCAGTGCTGGGCCGGGGGGAGTCGCTGGTTTGCAGCCCCTCGGGGGCCGAGTGTTCCGGGCTCTGATTTTTGCTGGCTGAGACACAGGGACCCCTGGGTGTGCGGGACCGTGCCGGGAAGTGTGGACATGGGTCCGGGCTGAGGACTTCGTCAGGTGTCAGGACTCGGGACAGCAGGACCCTCAGGCAGTAGGGCTCCAAGCACCAGCCCCTCGCCCCAGTCCCAGCAGGTGGCCTCCCCAACTTGAGCTGGGTTCATTTCCTCTCTCCACCCCTTCTTTCTTCTCAGCAAAGCAAATGACATTTGAAACTTTATTATTAGTATTATTATTATCATTTTTGTGAGATGGAGTCTTGCTCTGTCACCCAGGCTGGAGTGCACTGGCGCAATCTCCGCTCACTGCAGTCTCTGCCTCCCGGGTTCAAGGATTCTCCTGCCTCAGCCTCCTGAGTAGCTGGGATTACAGGTGTGCACCACCACGCCCGGCTAATTTTTGTATTTTTAGTAGAGATGGGGTTTCATCATTGTGGTCAGGCCAGTCTTGAACTCCTGACCTCAGGTGATCCTCCCGCCTCGGCCTCCCAAAGTGCTGGGATCACAGGCTTGAGCCACCGCGTCCGGCTTATTCTTTTTTTCTAAATAGTGAGGCCCAGAGTGCAGGTGTGTGTCACACACCTCTGGTCTGCAGCCCCTGGGAGCTGAGGCCCTGTCTGTGGATGGAGGAGGAGGGACTGGCAAGCTTGGGGTTCCTGGGGCATCTTGTCATGTGTTAGTCGTAGTGAAGGCTCCACAAGCACTTTTGAGGCCAGGGGGAAGATGCTAAGGGGTCCTCTTTGCCGCCTGTGAAGACAGCTGCGTGGCCACCTGGCCTCTCGCCGCCCACTTCATTTCTTTGATTTCCTCTCTGGCCCCCTCCCATGACTCTACAGGCCTGTGCAGACCCCAGCTTGGGGCGGAGGGACCTATCTGCCACCTGGACCCAGCACTATGGGAGGGACAACTCGTGACCAGCCCCAGCCACCACTGCCCTGAGGAAGGCTCTGAGCCTGTGGGCACCATCACTGCCCTGGATGGGGGCCCGGCCCCACAGGGACCCAGCCCCGGTACATGGACAACCTGGGTCCCTGGGAGGGAGAGAGGCGCCGGCCATCCCTCGGGTTGGATGCAGACAGGCCCGTGTGGCTTTGGGAAAGGCTCCTCCCCATCCCAGCTGCCCTGTCTGCAGAGAGGGGCTGACAGTCCCTGACTCACAGATCCCACAGTTCCCTCCAAATGGTCAGGGTCATTCCCACTCGGCCAGGTCCCAGGCAGGGCGTATCCAGGTGTCCAGGGCTGACCCAGCCTCTGCCTTCCCAGCTCCACTCTGAGGTGGATGACCTTGGGGTGGGTGGGGGAGGGGGTGGCCATGAGCTGTGTGAAGCCCTCACTCTCTGTACCTGCCAGTTGTAGACCCCACAGCACCCTGCGAGATGGTGCTCTGTGTGCCCGCGTTCAGGAGAGGAAACCAAGGCGTGGGGGCTTTGCACCATTGCTTAGGCTACAGATGGGCTATGCACCCAGCCGCCCAGCTCAGCCCCTGCACGGGGTCACCCCCAGTAAAGGGCTCTTTCTTTCCCCTAAATTTGGAGGTCTCAAGAATGCCCTGAGACCAGAAAGCAGAGATACACACATGTCTCAGTCACCTTGGGTCAGGGGGCCCTTCTGCTCTTGGCCACCAGGTAAGGGTTGGGCTGGCAGTCAGGTAAACCCAGAGGTCCTCACTCTCTCCTCCCACCTCCCAGTGAACCCCCAGGGCCTCAGGAACCCCTGTGCGGCTTCAGGTGAGGTCACCTGAGCGAGAAATGCTGGGAGCAGCCTCAGCCCCTCTGCCCACTCGTCTTGGAAGGAACACCCTAGATGTCCCTGCACTTGGATGTCTGTGGAGCCAGCCCAAGTAGGCCCCACGCAGGGGCTGACCTGGCAGGTGATCGTCCATGCCACCCAGCCAGGCTTCCTAGGAGCCGTGTGCCTGGTGTCAGCAGGAAACCGCCCCCACCCCTCTTTGGGTTTGAGCTCCTGGTTGCTATCTAGGAACGTCCACGTGCAGATGGAGAGGGTGCATGCGGCACGGTGTCAGTTCCTCAAAGCACCTGTCAGCCCGTAAACCATTGCCATGGGATACGGGGTGGCTCTTCAGGGGCCTGCAGCTGGCGACCTGGGCCCTGAGCCCACTGGCCAGTGACCTCTGACACTCCAGGGCCAGGTGGCCACACTGTGCTTTTGGGTGTTCCCCAGCCCTGCCTCTGCAGCCCTGGAAGGAGGAACGGGGCCTTGGACGGCAGCCTGGACTGGAGAGTCCCCAGGGGAAGTTCCCAGGCCACCCCAGGGGGCTTCTCCCGAGAGTCCCCTGACCCAGCTGCATCCAGGGCTCTGGTCCCTCTCCACGTGGTGCAGCAGTGAAATTCCACAGCAGAACAGAGCCATGAGCCTCCTGCAGAGATGTGTGTCCTGCGTGGTCCGTACAGTCAGGACGTGCTTCACTCACCCGCCCCACCCGCTCCCGGTCTCTCACTTCCACCCCTGTAGAAAGCGCTCTGGCTGGGCTATCAGCTATGCAGACAGTGAGGTCATTCCTGCCCACCGAGGCTCCCGATAACCTCATTAAGAAAGTGCAATTTATCTAGTCGGGGTCCATTTAATTATCTAATTTTTCTGAGTGAGGTCTGACTCTGTATCGCCCCAGCAGGTGGGCAGCCCGGTCAGCCCGGGGTCAGGCTGACGTCCTGGAGAGGTCCCCCGGCGCCCCCCGGGTCACAGAAATTCGCAAGGTGTGAGCAGCGCCTCGGGACTCACACGCCTCACCGCGGGTATCAGGCCTCCTGGGCCCCGTTAGGGACGCAATGAGGACCCGTTTTCTGCGGGACAGAGGGTTTGGCCGAGCAGGAAAACATTTAGACACACCCCCACACACAGCACACGTGGGCATCAGGGCTCTGCTGCACTGCAGACTCTCCAGCCCCCGCACATTTGGGATATTCTGCCGCCTTCTGCACCGCCCACCCCAACTCCTTACCCTCGGAGGGTGGAAACGGGGGGGCCCGCTAACCAATGAACGTTCGCTGACTTCATCTGGGGTGGGGGGGGCCTCCCCGCTAACAGCCACATTCTCTTTGAAAAAGATAAACAACTGGGCATGGGGATAATCATATAAACCGTTCACAAATCCAACCAGAAGCAATTCATAAAAATGATCTGCTTAAAACCATTGTGCTGCCTTGCCATCCGTTGTCAAAGGTGTGAGGGGTGTGTGTGCACATGTGTTCAGTGTGGGGTGTGCGCACATGTGTGCTTGGTTGGGGTGTATATGTGTGCAAGTGTGTGTGCTCGGTGTGGGGTGTGTGTGCACGTGTGTTCGGTGTGGGGTGTGTACACATGTGTGCTCGGTGTGGGGCATATGTGTGCACGTGTGTGCTCAGTGTGGGGGGTGTGTGTGCATGTGCTTGGTATGGGGTGTGTGTGTGCACGTGTGTGCTCAGTGTGGGGTGTGTGTGCACGTGTGTTTGGTGTGGGGTGTGTCTGCACATGTGTGCTCGGTGTGGGTTGTGTGAGTGCACGTGTGTGCTCGGTGTAGGGGGTGTGTGTGCACATGTGTGCTCGGTGTGGGGTGTGTGTACGTGTGTGCTCAGTATGGAGTGTGTGTGTGCACACGTGTGTGCTCAGTGTGGGGTGTGTGTGCACGTGTGTTTGGTGTGGGGTGTGTGTGCATGTGTGTGCTCAGTGTGGGGGGGTGTGTGTGCACGTGTGTGCTCAGTGTGGGGGGTATGTGTGCACGTGTGCTCGGTGTGGGGTGTGTGTGCATGTGTGTGCTTGGTGTGGGGGGTATGCGCACGTGTGTGCTCGGTGTGGGGTGTGTGTGCACGTGTGTGCTCAGTGTGGGGTGTGTGTATGTGTGCGCTCGGTGTGGGGTGTGTGTACGCGTGTGCTCGGTATGGAGTGTGTGTGTGCATGTGTGTGCTCGGTGTGAGGTGTGTGCACGCACGTGTGTGCTCGGTGTGGGTGTGGACGTGTGTGTTCAGTGTGGGGTGTGTGTGCACACGTGTGCATTCACTTCTAAGTTGGGGCGTGAGGAGGCATCATCAGTGCTGGATAATTCTGGACTTAGAAGGAAAAGAAAGCCTTGAGGTCTGGGGTGTGTGACGTGGGTGCACCTGGGCCTGTTTGCCGTCCCTGTCCCTTTCACTGGCAAATCATCCTCAGGCAGAGCTCAGACATCCACAGGGAGACTGGGGCCTCCGACCAGGTGCCCTGGGCAGTGTATCTGTGCTGTCCGCCTGTGCTGAGATGTCCGACTGTGGACTCCGTCGCCCTGAGGCTATTTCTGCTGTCTTCTCTTTGAGAAATGGGATCTCCAGTGTCTGGAAACTATCATCATTGCCCTGCATGGTCTTTGTGAAGAATGAGACCCCAAATCTTGACCTTGGACTCTTTGGGGAGGCCAAGGCACATCTTGGTTCTGCGTCGCACACAGCACCGGTCCCAAGCAAGGATCTGGGCACCCAGGACTTGGCTCCTGTCCAACAGGCCATCCATACCCTGGGCGGCCTCAGTCAGGCCACCTCCCCCAGGGTTCTTGGGTCCTCATCTGTAAGCCTGGGGCTTGGGCCAGGAGAGGAGGCAGCCAGAGGTGAATCTGAGGTTCCTCCAGGCCATGGGGCAGGCTGAGAGCTGATACTGGCCCCTCTCGCCCCAGCCAGAGCAGAGGGGTTCAGATGCACTGGGCCAGGCTATGTGGAAAACCCCTCACTGCGCTGACAGTCTCTGATTCTGCATTGACCTCAAACCCCATTCTCTGAACCCCATCCTGCGGCAAACCCCATCCTGCTGCTCACCTGCAACTTGGGAATACCGAGATGCATTCAGATTCAAGTTCGGCCTTTGGCGTCTTCTCTCGGGGGCCCTCTGTCCGCCTCAGTTGCAGGTGGTGGGGTGTGGTTGGGCATCAGGACGGTTTTGTGGGAGGGGCTGGGCTGAGAGGTGGGAAGGAGCCCCCGGATGAGTGAAGAAGCTGGGTGCAATCTCATGCCCTGGGTGCAATCTCATGTCCTGGGTGCAATCTCATGCCCTGGTGGCCCTGGTGAGAGCAGGTCGGGTGCCAGGACAGAGCAGCCACAGGTGGCCGCCCAGGGGTTTACTCTAGGGGTGTCCCTCACCAGGCAGCCCTGCAAACCCAGGAGCCAGGAGCTGCAGGAGGGCCAGTGGCCAGAGGTGAGGAAGGAGCTGTCCGGCAGGGCTGGGCTGGGCTGGGTGTCAGGCATTGGGTGCATCCAGCCACTCACCCGCAGCAGGTGGAACCCCTGCCTCACCTTCCCTGCTTCTGAGGGGGCAGCTCCCCATAGTGGTGGCCCAGCCCTGGGGAGCAGCGTCAGGATTTTACAATCCAGGAGATGTCAACTCCTTGCTGGGACCTCCTTGACGCTCACGGGGCTCAGATCCCATCTCAGGTGGGCGGTGACTTGTCCTGGCCGAGCCAGCCCAGTCCTTCTGGAAGTCCAGTTTGTGTCAGAGCAGCGGCCCAAAGCCAAAGGGTGGTGAATCTGGGCACTGCCTGGGACCATGGGGGGACCACAATATCTCTCTAAAATCCCCAAATCCATCCCCACTTTACTTAGCACATGTTGAAAGTCCTTCTAGAAAGCCAGGATGTTTGTTAATTTATTTTTAAGATTTAGTGTGTTGTGGGGGTTCATCGTTCCAAAAAAGGAGGATCCCAGTTGCGGAGGAAATGTTGGAGGAGGGGCAGTGGGGAAGGGCTGGAGCCCAGCTCTACTGGTATCAGGGGGGTCATGGGAGCCCCCCATCCCAGGGGCCCTCCGGCTTTGGCCACCCCGGCTTCTGTCCCCAGCTCCCCACCACTCTTCCTTGGTTCTCTGCCTCTGTGGATTCCTTATTGCAAGGGCACTGGCAAGCTGGGAGAGATGGAAACAGTGGGGGACAGGGGTACGAGAGTCACAGCAAGCCTGGGGGTGGGGGGCATGGAGCCTGGGCAAAGAGCCTGCATGAGATATTGTCAGCCTTGTGGCAGGGGCAGCCACTGGAGGATGGAGAACACGGGTGAGAATGAAAGCCCCAAACCCACAGCTCCTTCCTCCTGAAGAAGATGAAGCAGGCAGGTCTAGGGTGGCAGGATGGCTTCCAGTGGCTCCGAGATTCCCAAAACCAGGAGGCAGGGGGCCAGAGTCGGATGGGGAGAACTGAGCCCCGGGTGGGGGCAGACAGCCTGGGACCCCCACTATGAGGTCTACCCACACGAGGTGCTGTGGGTGCCTGCAGGCCTGCCCTGCCCTGCCACTCCTGGCTGAGGACGTCAGTCTACACAAGGGTGCATACCTGTGTATCCAGACTCCGCCTGGGCCTCTGCAGGGAGCCGTGGGTGCTCCCAGCTGACGGAGGCCAGGAATCCATGCTGTCTTCCTGGGTTTACCACTCAATGAGCCAGGCTGGCATTTGTGAAGCCTCAGGCAGCCCCTGGCCCACAGTTAGGGAATGCCCTTTTATGCAAGATGGTGCTGAATTTTATTTCATCAGGAAGGAGCACCGGCCAGTTCCCTTGTTAATTACCATTTCCTCCATCCATCCACCTTCACCGCTCAGGAGGGAGGGAGGCTCCTGGGCTGGCTGGGGACACAGCAATCCACCCGCCCTACTCATCCAAGCTTAAGGCCAGGGACACGGGTTTTCTGAGATGCGTGTACTCCTGCTGTTACTTTTGAAGCTGCCTAGTTCCTGTTGGGCCTGGACAAGGTTCAAGGAGGCAGGAGCCCCGGGGTTATCCAGGCTCTGCCACGATGGACCAAGAGGCCAGGACAAGTGGACACTGGCTGGGGCGTGTCCATCTCCTGTCATGGCTCCTGCCCTGAGGAGAGGACACGGGTCACCCTGGACACCAGGACAGGGCACAGACATCCCTCCTGAATCTGCTGGAATCCCCCCGAACGCACAGGCGAACTTTACAAGCCTCGCACTGCGTAGGGGGATGGCTTTGGGAGAGCCATGTAACCTTCCAGAACTTGTTTCCTTGTCTGTAAAAGGAAAGCTGTGGGTCTGACACTTGGCCCTTGGCTATCTAAAAATTGAGGTTTGGGGCCGGGCATAGTGGGTCACGCCTGTAATCCCAGCACTTTGGGAGGCTAAGTTGGGCAGGTGACTTGTGGTCAGGAGTTCGAGACCAGCCTGGCCAACATGGTAAAACCCCATCTCAAAAAAAAAAAAAAAAAAAATCAGCTGGGCGTGGTGGCCCGTGCCTGTAGTCCCAGCTAATTGGGAGGTAAGGTGGGAGAATCACTCGAACCCAGGAGGCGGAGATTGCAGTGAGCCGAAATTGCGCCACAGCGCTCCAGCCTGGGTGACAGAGCGAGACTCCATCTCAAAGATAAAGTAAAATAAAATAAAAAGATAAAATAAAAATGGAGGTTTTCAGTCTCTAGTCCAAACACAGACACAGTGCCACCCACTGCGGACTCCCCTTTCCCTGGCATCTCTGGTGCACACCTGCCCACCCTCCCAAGAATCTGGTCATTTAGACTCGAGCTTCAAACACACAGGGGAACTCAGAGTTTTTCCAGTCGCCAGTTGGCCGTTGGGGACGTTTGAGCTTCCTCCTTACTTTTTGGTCTCTGAAGCCCATGGGAGTGGGAGGGAAAGCACAGAGCTGCAAGAGCTATGGAGGCCGGGTGGGGGCGGGGGGGCTGGTCCTAGAGCTATGGAAACGGGGGGGCTGGTCCTAGAGCTATGGAAACGGGGGGGCTGGTCCTAGAGCTATGGAAACGGGGGGCTGGTCCTAGAGCTATGGAAACGGGGGGCTGGTCCTAGAGCTATGGAAATGGGGGGCTGGTCCTAGAGCTATGGAAGCCGGGGGCTGGTCCTCCAGCAGCCACCCTCGGGGAGGTGGCGGGACCCCTGGGCCTCCTGGTCCTGAGATATCTCTGTGCCTCCTGCGTAGCTTAGCTTCCCAGTTGCCTTTGTCTCTGGGTACAACAAATTGAGTCAGTGTCTGTCCCCTCGCTGGGCATGGGGGCAGGGCCCTGGGGCACACTCTGTACCCCCATCTGGTCTAGAGAAGGCTCGACCAAGGTCCAAAACTCCCCAGAGTCCAGACAGAAGTGGGGACGAGCAGGGTCCTTTTCGGGGGCTCTTCCTTGGGTTAGGGATTAGGGAACACCCTACACTCAGTTCCTCCTGGGAATAGACTCCGCTGCAAGGCGAGGGACAGGGAAAGTGGCTGTGGGGTCCACCTTGCCCAGCCAGGCCATGGGCCAACAGGCTCACTCTAGGTAGTTCCATGTGGGTACCCTTCCTCCTTTTACTAACAGGCTTCCCAGAGGGTGTGTTCTGATCAGACTTCCATCTGCCTGTGGATAAAGCAGAGGTGAGATTTACCTGATTCCTAGGCAGCACGTGTGAGCTGTGTCCAGCCAGGACCTGGGGCAGAGGCCAGCGTCGACACTGCTAGCCCCACCGCCGTTCTGGGAGGCCGCCCACAGCACTGGCTTCTGCCAGAGTGTCTGAGTGGCCGGGCGTGCATTAGACAAGAGCTCAGCTTCACGGCTGAGAATACACGGCTCACTGTATTCTCCACTCCCGGAGAAGAGAGCCCAACTGTGGGCCGGCAGGGTCAGCTTTCACCCTGGGACTGTGGGAAGTCATCACGGACGTTGTGTGTGGCCTGTGCCCCCTGTCTCTGGAGCACCTTCCAGCCAACTGTGGCTTTTAAATCTCAGAAATGGGAACATGCCTTTGGGCCGAGACATCCCACTCTTGGAGAGAACAGGGGTCTGGTGGGTGGGAGTCTGCTCTGTCCTCTGCGTGGTGCTTCCTGAAGCTGTGCTGGTCACCACTCGGCCCCGTGGCACATTGCTCAGAATGGCCTCATCCTCACTGAGGTTTGTACAGGATCCAAAACAAGACCAGACATAGGCTGAGCATGGACGTGGCTGGAGTCCCTGCTGTGGCTCTGGGGGCATCTTGCCATAGCTGCTGCTGTGATGGTGAAGGTGGGGAAGGCAGGAGTCTCTGAGAATTCCTGATTCAGAATCTGGGGCAATGCCAAGTTAGGCCCCATTTGGAACCTAGCTTTGAGGCAGTTTTTATTCATCCATCCATTTATCCCTCCTTTCATCCATCCATCCATCCATCCATCCATCCATTTATCTATGCATTCATCCATCCATCCATCCATCCATCCATCCATCCATTTATCCATCCATCCATCCATTTATCCATCCATCCATCCATCCATGGAGATATACTGGCTGTCTCAACCTGCCAAGCAGTGGCTACTCTCTGGCTCCTGAATCCTCTGAGCAGACTCTCTAAATTAGATCCCATCTCCCAAAGAAGAAATGAAGGCTTGGAGGGGTTCTGACCTCTTTTATAGAGATGGCACTGGTCTACGGTGCTGCCTCCTATGGCAGGGAGCATGTTGCTCAGGAAGTTACACTTCCCCATGAGGTCTCTAAGAGCAAGGGCCAGTGGCTCCTCAGGACAAGGCTATGTTGCCGTCCGTCGTCCATCTGGTTTCTGATGCGTGGCTGGGCCAGGTCCCCTGGGGAGGGCTGCATGGACTCAGCCATAGCGTGGGTCCTTGGCTTCAGAGATGCCTGAGGCCATGGCCTGAGCCCCAGGAGGTCCCCGTCCTCAGGCAGGAGGGGTTTTGTCCAGAGGCTTGGGCCCATCCTTGGTGCCTGCTTTCCTGCTGTGCCCTCTCTCCCCTCTACCAAGCCCAGACCAGAAGACAGGCTCTGAGGACGGCTCCCAGGAGAACAAACTAACAGGGGTCATTTCTAAAGGGCCCCTAGTCAGGGAGGTGCCCAGGAATCACCAGACCAGAGGAGTGAACCAGTCAGCCTGGGGCCGGGGCCAGCCAGGCCAGAGCCAGCTCCAGCTCCAGCGGTGCTCAGATCTGCTCCTCTTTTCTTCTGAGTGGGAACAGGGGTTGCCCCCACCTGGCCTCCCTGTTTGGTGCATGGTGACCCCTCCCCTGCCACCTGAGGGATCTGCAGCCCTCCTCACCCCTGTAGCTCCGTGTCCTCAGGCAATAGCTCTGGAGTGGTGAGCTCTGGGCCAGGCAGGGTCTGGGCCAGGCAGGTGAGGAACGTGGGCCTGGGGAGCTAAAGCAGGCCCCGGAGCCCTGGGCTGGGTGTGCACATGTGTGTGCTTGTGTGTGTCTACACATGTGTCTGAACCAGTGTTGAAGCCACATGGTTTGCACTGTGCTGGCAAAGTGGTCCATGTGCGGCTAGACAGGACGGGCGGGCGGTTCCCCAGGAAGAGAAGCTCCCCACAGCGCGGTCCCCAGGCTGGACCAGAGCGGGGCTCCCCTGGAAGCAATCCATCATGTGCTGCAGGAGAAACGGGGCAAGGACAATTGCCGGGTGTCTTTTGGAGGCTGGTCCTCAACGCTGGCAACAGTTTCTCTCGCTATGAGTTGGTCCCAGAGAGCCCCGATTCACCCTTCCGGAAAAGGCAGTCCTGTTTGGATCAAAAAATAATTAGCTGAGCTTTAAGTGGGGGTTTCAAGTACACATTTAATTTACACTGATTAACAGTCATATGCTAAGTAAACACCAGCTGAATATTAAACCCGCACCATTGAGAAGCGTGGAACGCAAAGTAATATAGAAAACGCAGTAAATACACAGTTTCTATAACCAGTAATTATATTAATAACATGCAGCACTTGTCTTACAAAATGCAAATTAATACGTGCATATCTACGTAGAGATCCAACTTTTGATTTCACATGTTACCAGGGAGGCTTCCTTTGCGAGCTCCACGTTAAAGAAAGCCACAGCTTCTGAAGCAATTAGGCTGACGCACGGAAAATACAGTAAAATCAGCCCAGGGACGGCGCTCCCCTTCCCGTGCACTCTCCCAATCTGCGGCCCTTTGTCTGTGAGTTTCTGATCTTAGAGCTGCCGGGTCCCACTGGGCCCTGCTGCTGTTTCCCATGTGCACCGCTGTGGCTGTCACCGGGACCTGCCACGGTCGTGCCTGTGACAAGTCGTTAGGATCTGCCATGGAGATCCACCACCGTATCCCTAAGTGGACGGACTGGCGCTGTCACCACGGGCTGGCGCACTCTCCCTGGGCGGCGTGGTGGGGGGGCAGGGGGACGCTTTTGAGGGAGCACTCCCATCCCCTCTGGGTGGGCAGTTACAGGAGGCGACGGAGCTGCCTGTCGCTGTGGCAGCTTTGCACATTCTATAGGAATAACTTGAAACTTCAAGGAGAAGGATGCCAGGTGGAGGCGTTGTCAGGACGGCCAAGGGCTTCCCAGGGGCTGCAGCATGGAGCTGTGGGCAGCACACTCCTCCCGCCTCCAGGAATGGCCTTCCTGCCTCATGCCCCAGACCTCCTGCCCCCATGGCCCTTCCCACTTTCCCTTGGCCCCCATGGCCC
This sequence comes from Homo sapiens, assembly GCF_000001405.40. Lineage (NCBI taxonomy): Eukaryota > Metazoa > Chordata > Mammalia > Primates > Hominidae > Homo > Homo sapiens. Next base: position 3,154,590 of record NC_000001.11, read on the forward strand.
AAGCTGGGTTTCCTGGTGTTCTTAAGGTCCCTGCACGGGCACCATTCCAGCTTCACGCAGTCGGCCGGGCATCCTGCACTGGCGAGGAGACCTTGGTGCTGGTCGCGGTGGAGGAAGGCATGGAGCCCTGGTTGAGATGTGGGCTGACCGCTGCTGACCCCCAGGCCGTTCTCACTCCTCTACCAGGAACCCTGGGTCAGGGGGTAGTGGGTAGCAAGTATAAAAACTGCTAGAAAAATCCCTTTGCTTCATAAGGAGGGGGATCATCAGTCTAAGCAAATGAAAAAGAAACTCAAATTCTGTCTTAAAAAACAAAGCAAGACACCAAAGCAAGCCTTTGGTTCATGTGGGTGAATGGAGATTTTGTGTGAACCGACCCCGCCATCCCTGGTAGAAACAGACTGTTTCTTCCCAGACCCTGAAGCCTGCCTGTGGGCCCTGAGGCCTCACATCAAACTCCAGGGGGTGCTCCATGTGGGTACCAAGCTCTAGGGGCCAGCCTGGCATCCCCCCGACCTCTCAGGGGCTCTGGAGTCTTCCTTAGGGACCCCAGATTGGAGAGAGGCTGCCGTCCTGCGGACCTCTCCAGGAAGGGCCCCGGGAGAGGCATCTCTCCGGAGGCGTCCAGAGCTGGCTCAAACACCGGCCAAGGCAGGCGGTGGGACCCGGGGCCCATGGCTCCTTTCTTGGAGGGTTTTGAAAGAAAATAAAATAGGGGAAAGAAAATCCAGGCTGCAGGGCTTGGCCGCGGCTGCCGTGTGGCTTCGCCCGATTAGCATGGTCTCCGCGAGGACTTGGGTTCGGGTTTGCGGTGTTATTGCCCTGTTATCTGCGTGGTTGGTGGTATCGCTGTACACAGATTTGCACCGTGGTGTTCTCTGAGGGAGCAGAAAAGGGGCCCCTCCATTGTTCCCGAGGCACTTGCTCCTGCGACCAGCACCTTCCATCTGTTTTCCTTTTTCCTTCCTCCCGATACAGCAGCGTTGCCGCGTCTCACCCGGAGGAGGGAGGGCCGCAGGCTCCCAGCACGGCCGCCGGCCTCGCCTTCCCCGCTCCTGAAAAATGAGATCATTTCAAACAGCGCCGTTTTCCACTTTGCAAAATGTGCTTGCGTTTGGGGGAGCAAATGTTTCACCTTTTATTCAAATAAAATCTAGGTGGTTGCAAGGCTTCGGGGATTCAGTGAGAGACCAGCCTGGCCTCAGCTCAGGGACGCAGCTGATTTTGCTTTTCCTTTCCCTGACCCTCCAGAGCAGCAGGCACCCCTGCGTTACCCTTGTCTTCCTCTTCAGAGCTGCTCGGTGTAATGGATTTCTTTAAATTAATAATGCGTAGAAGGAGATTTACAACACATTGCTAAAATATTGTCTTTGCCTTTTATTCATGCATTTGTCACTGTGGTCTCTAATCGAGGTGCTCAGAGAAGGGATAAATAATGAAGAGAGAAAACAGCTCTGTCATAATCCAGGACCATTTGCAAATTCATCACCGATATTCTTGGGGAAGGAAAGACAGAGGAGATGACAAATATCCCACCTTGCTAATATATCTCGTTGATTTCCTCTCCCATTTATTTAGATAACCTACTTTGAGCCGTGATAGAATGAGGGTCCCGGGCTGCTCTGAGCAACAGATGGGGCTGTCTGCAGGGCTCCCGGGCAGCAGGACAGTTTCCACGCGTTTGATGGTGGCCACTTTGAGTGTTAATTGTGATCGGTTTGATTTTAGGTGACTTTGGGGGAAATGATTCTTGGAGGGAAATGGTCAAAGGTGATTTCTGCAGCAAATCCTCTCTCTGCCTGCGGAGGTAAAAGTAGCCATTGCTTCTATTTTTATGGCTGGATTTAAGTCAATGCCTATCCTTAAGAAGAAGGATGGACCCAAAGCCAAATATATACCCCCAAAAGAAGGACAAAATGGTTTTCTAGTTTGGAGGGGTTTTGTTTGCTGTCACCCCTCCTCCTGGTAGAGGCAGGAGCTATGCATTTGGAGGTTTCCCTCTCTCTCTCTAGATGATTTTTAACTGACAGGAACTGGGAAGGAGGGAAACAAATCTGCTTTGGGAATTTTTTCTCCAGACCAGAGAAGGTTGGACCCGTTCAGAGAAGCCTCCGTCCTTCAGCTCCAGGTCAGGCTCACTACCCAGCCCCTGCCCGGCTCAAGCAGTGGCCACAGCTCAAAGCCAGAGTCCCAGGGCCCACATGGGCTTTTGCTTTTAGCTCTTCGAGGGGGGAAGCAGAGGAAGTGGCTTCTGTCTGAGCCTCTGCACCAACCGTGTGGCCTGAGAGAAGCAGGTGGGGGCGTCAGCTCTGGGGCGGCCTCCAGCTGCCTCGGTGGGGACACGGGGTCTCCCAGCGTGTCAGGACGGAGGGTGCTGTAGGACTATGGAGTTAGCGTGTGGTGCAAGCTGTAAGCCAGTGAGTGTCTGGTTAGAGGCTGGGCTGGGGCTGAGCACGAGGGCCAAGAGGTGACCGCCGGCCAGAACCAGCCGTGGCTGCCCAGTCGCCCAGATGGTGGTCCCAGGGCAGGGAGTGTTAGCACCTGCCGGGCTCAGCCTGGGCGGCTCAGAGGGCGGGACCTGGAGAAGGAGGGCCGCTCGGCAACCGCTGAGCCGGCGCAAGAGCTCAGGCCCTCAGGGAGCGTGGCCAGATCCGGCAGATGAAATCCAGGACACCCAGTTCAATTTGAATTTCAGATACACAGCACACAAGTACGTCCCAAACACAGCCAGCATTTTGTTGTGTTTACCGCATTTATTCTATTGATTGACTGAATTTACAGCATTTGATCTGGGGACCTGCCCCCAGGCTCCCAGGCCTTTTGCGATCCCATTAAAAAAAAAAAAAAAAAAAACACCTTTGTGGGGGCTGGGGGTTGATTGTCTCTTGAAAACAGACATGGGCCAGATCCAGTTGTTTGGTAGGATAAGGTCTTTATGGGCAGAAAAGAGATGATAGATGAGAAAAAAAAGAGACTGTAGGTTACAGAGAAGTCATGGGTGGGGAATTACAGGGAAAGTGGACCTGTCGGCTCTGTTCATGGACAGTATGGTGGGGCCTGAACAGACTTCCCCAGAAAGTTCCCAGATTCGCACCTGCTGGACTGGGAGGCGTCTCAGCAAATACCCACAGGAGGCTGTGTTTGGCCACTAGCGGAGATGGCCCCAGAGACAACACCCAGATGGACAGAGCTCGTCGGTTGGCTGAGGCTGGGGATGTGTCCAGGGTCACCGAGGCCATCTGGCCTCCCCCAGCACCGCCGGGCTGGATGCTTTAGCCCCAGCACCAACTATGCCATCTTCCTCCCACTTAAACCTCTCTTTTGACAGAGGACAGATATATTACGAAAATTACAAAATAATTACAAATGATAAAAACAATGACTGCTCATTGCAGAAAATACAGAAACAGATTTTGAAATGGAAAACCTTGCCTCTCCTCATCTCAAGATAATATCTGGTATACTTTTTCAGTCCTGTGCATGCATCATATAGATAGACACACATAAATGATTTCTGGTGTGGAATACCTGATACACGGTTGTGCCCGTTCTGTATTGGCAAACACACCCGCTTGCCACCATCCCCGTAACGGGATAGTGATCCTCTCTCATTTGACCGAGTCACGCTCTCCATCAACAGACCTCTGGGCATTCTAGAGGCACACTGCGAAGGGGAAAAGGGCCTGACCTCAAGGGGGTTGCTTTCCCAAAAGGGAAGCCAGGCTCAGCTGAATTTTAAAACTTGTCTTCTGCTGAAAATGTACTGTGATCATTTACATCTGAGGTATTTAAATTTTCATTTAAAATTTAAATGTAATTAAATTTAAAATAATTTTAAAACAAAATAAAAATCTAATTAAAACATTTTTAAAACCTATTTTCTCGCCTATACCTAAGTCACTGATATTTCAATATTTTTGCTGAGTCATTTGAATCTTAAAATTCAATTTTGTTCTCATGGCGAGAAGGCACGATGACTTTACAATCTCATCGCCATGGGCTCAACCAGCTGTTATGGGGGGAAAAGAGGAGACTGAGCTGATGGGTTTGTTGGAGATTTTTCTTTTTCTTTTTTCTCTCTTTCTTTCTTTCTTTCTCTTTCTCTTTTTTTCTCTTTCTTTCTTTCTTCCTTTTCTTTCTTCCCTTTCTTCCCTTTTTTCTTTCTTTCTTTCTTTCTTTTCTTTCCTTCTTTTTTTTTTTTTGAGACAGAGTCTTGTTCTGTTGCCCAGGCTGGAGTACAGTGTCCTGATCTCAGCTCACTGCAACCCCCGCCTCCTGGGTTCAAGCAATTCTCCCTGCCCCAACCTCCCGAGTAGCTGGAAGGCGCCTGCCACCACATCTGGCTAAGTTTTGTAGTTTTTAGTAGAGACGGGGTTTCCCCCATGTTGGCCAGGCTGGTCTCGAACTCCTGACCTCAGGTGATCCACCCGCCTTGGCCTCCCAAATGCTGGGATTGCAGGTGTGGCCACCATGCCAGGCCAAGATTTTTCTTTAGGAAGTATGGAAAGTGAGCCCCTGATCGGTATTCCGCCAGGGACAGCCTTGAGACCTTGGGCTGGGGGACCCTGAAGCAGACAGGGAGGCTGGAGGTACACAGGGCGGCATGAGAACCGAAGCCAGATGCCTGTCCTGGCACCTGAGCTGTGTGTTACCGGCGCAGCACCAGGCCACTTGCAGAAGTACTGCTGCATTCGCCAGCAAGGGCCGCCATCACGATGCGCCTCGCAGACCGCAGGGCTTGAGCAACAGGAACTTACCTCCACCATCTGGAGGTGGGAGGCCCAAAGACACAGTATCAGCAGGCTGGCTCCTCCCAAGGCCTCTCTCCTTGGCTCATAGATGGCATCTCCTTCTGGTGTCCTCACAGGGCCTTCCCTCTGTGTGTCTGTGTCCTCATCTCCTCTTCATACAAGGACACCAGTCAGATTGGATCAGGGCCCACCCTAGTGACCTCACTTTTCCTTATGACCCCTTTAAAGACCTCATCTCCACATGCAGTCCCATTCTGATATCCTGGGGATTGAGACTTCAAGGTGTGAATTTGGGAGGACACAGTCAGCCCACACGGGTGGGTGGTGGGCCAGTGTGTAGGAGGAAGAAGTTGAGTTGGAGTCCAGGTGGCCTGATCCGGACACTGTCCTGGGACACATTTTGTCAAGGTCTAACACTTGCTAAGAGGTTAGTAGGGGTACCTGGTACTGCCCAGAGGGACCACGAGAGGCACTTACCCCATCGAAGTGGGCTCAGGCGAAAGGAGTGTCCAGACTCAGAGTGCCAGAGAAAATACAGGACACCCAGTAAACTTTACCTTTCAGATCAACCACAAATACTTTTATAGTATAAGCATGTCCCAAATATTTCACGGGACATACTTACACTAAAAAAATCATCCACCGCGTATCTGAAATGCAAAACTAACTTGGTGTTCTGTATTTTTATTTCCTAACCCAGCTGTGTTGGGCTGAGATTCACACACTCAGTGTCAGGCAGGAGTTCATGGGGGGCACCAGCCATGGGCAGCCGGGCATTTCTGAGCTCCCGCAGCCAGAGGCCTTGCCCTTGGCACACAGAGCTGGGTGGGCCCTGTGGGGACCAGCCCCTGGGGATCCCCGGTGAGGCCGCGGTTCCTGCCCTGGTGTCGATTGAATGGGCTGGGCAGGCAGGATGTGTTGGAGGGAGGATGTGCCGTTGGCTGGTGTGGGATCATTTGCGCCTCCAGTATGACCACCTGAGACCCCACACCTGGTGTGCTGGGTCCCTGGTGCTCAGCAAGTCTCAGTCCCTGGCTGGGGGAGGGGGCTTTGGCCTGAGCTGCCACATCATCCTCATTGATGAACTCACCGGGCATTCCTGGGTGCCACCGTGACATTGTGGAGCACAGGAAGGACAAGGACCCTCACAGAGTGTCCTCCTGCTTTGTCCAGGGTAAGGGCGACACAAGGGGATGGGACAGGGAATGGCTTGGGTCACAGAGAACAACACAGTCTCCTCTTCACTGCCCACGAGGTGCAGGTGCAGGGGAGGCCTCTGGACATGGTCTGGGTGAGAAGCGCCATCTGGGTCCCTGCCCTAGAACCCCGTCTGGGGCTGACATCAAGACCCTGATGATGACGGTGACCCTTGGCTCAAGACAGCTTTGCCTCAGGTGCTGTGCAGTGGGAACTGCAAGAATGGGCCCATTTACTTCTCCCGGCTTCATGGGCGGGGCACTGTTGCCACCTGCACTTCCAGACAGGGTAGCTGGGCTCAGAGAGGTCAAGCACCTTGTCCAAGGCCACACAGCCAGCAAGAGGCTGAGCCTGGGTGTGAGCCCTGAGCTGTTTTTCGGGCAGGATGCAGCCGGTGGCTTTCGTTTCTTTATTTTCCCCTACTCCCTTGACAATGCTGCCCGTCTATTCGGAGACCCTGAAATGGGGGGAAAAGGCAGAGACTGGTAACCCCCACCTCCACCAAACCCTCAGGCAGGAGCCGGGAGGGGACGTTTTGCTGCCCCCACTCCCTGCCCCAGCCCTTTCCTCTCCCGAGAAAGATGGGGCTCAGCTGAGGACAGCTGACAGGTGAGGGAGGCGAGCAGGAAGGAGCCAGCGCGGAAAGTTCCGGCAGAACAGGCAGTTTTCAAAGTTTCTCAAAAGACGGCGAAGGAGCGCTTCGGCTCTCACCAGCAAACACACACACACAACACGCTCGAAAGTGCTCAGGGAAAAGTTTATTGGAAACTTGGCCCCAGAGCCGGGGAGGGTTCTTTGTTTGCCGGTCACAGCCACACCAAGTACAAACCGAGGTGGTTTCCCACATCTTGTCAAAGGACGGCATTTCCTCTCTCCTTTCTCCTCAAGCTGATTAGCGGGTCGGGCAATGGCGTGAGGAGATGCTGGGGGTAGGAAAATGGGGGTCATTTTGGAAAACCTCTTTGTGGATGGGTCGGGAATGGGGAGAAAATGAATAGTTATAAGCTCATTTCCATAGAAACTGTCTCATTATCATGCTGGCTGCCCGCTGGACCAGGCAGGGCTTCTTGCCAGCACCAGCTCCACAATTAAATGTCCCCTGCCCGCCCGGCGCGGAGAGGCCGGTCAGCAGAGAGGGCTCCAGCCCCAGCAGGCCCGGCCGCGGGAGCCTCGAGATTCTTTTTCTTGAAATACCAGAGGTTGGTGGAGGGATTTTTGCGGCACCTGAACAGTCCTAAGCAGGCCCATGCCAGCGGCGTCCCAGCTCCTGGGTGCAGGATCTGGTGCGCCTGTCTCCATGAGGATTTGGACCACGTTCGGCAGAGCAGGTCTCCCAGGCTTCCCTAAAGATGTTTAACAAAAACAGTGGAGATGATTGGGTTTGGAGTCGCTTCCTGGGCAGAGCTGCTCGTGTTCGGGCAGCGCTCAGGGCACTCGGTTGGACGTCGCCAGGGTGGCTCGGCCCCTCCACGTGGGGCCTCCACACCACCTCTCAGGGGCTGCCACCCCTTCCCGTCCCCCTAGACCCCAAGACCCCAAAACCACACATGGGCTAATTGTGGTAAAATATACAAATGTAATCTTTGTCATTTTAACCACCCGTGAGCGTGGCATTAGGTGGCGTTCAATATGCCCGGGCCACTGCGGAACCATCACCCCTCTCTGTGCCCAGGATTTTCCCGTCACCCCCCAGGAAAACCCCGTGCCCGGTAAATAGTGACTCTGCGTCCCTCCTCCCGAGTCCCGGGACTTTCTCATCACCCGCCACAGAAACTCCGTGCCCGGTAAATAGTGACTCTGCCTCCCTCCTCCCGCAGCCGCGAAGCCTCGGTTCCACTTTCTTTCCCTGTGGATAGGCCGGCTTGTGTGTTGAAGATGGAAAAGCTCATCCCAGGGAAGCAAGCATATTCACAACTCCCAAGAGAGCTGCAGCAGGCCCAGCAGAGCCCACTCCTGCCCCTTCCCCCCGGCTGAGGTCGCAGGCCCACGAAGGTCGTCATTACGGATTTATTAACCCCCTTTCCCTGGCTTTGTGAGAGGCCTGGTCTGGAAAATGACCAGGCTCCCAGGAAGTGAATCATTTAGGATTGACAGCGGCGAGCCCGTGCGCCGATGGAGGCGAATCAGGGAGCAGATGAGTGGTGTGGAAAACGCGGAGCCAGGCTCGGTCGGCAGCCACGCCCCCTCCTTCACCCTCCAGTCCTCCTGTGTGGCAGGGACCTGGTGACGCCTGTGCGACCATCGAAGCCACACAGGCAGCCAGAGAGGTCAAGGGTCCAGGGTCAAAGCGGCACCTCCGCAGGAGTGGTGTCAGGGCCCCCGGCTCTAGAGGGCTTTGGGAGAGGGGATGTGCGCAGAAGCCCCTGGCATGGTCTAGAGGGCTTTGGGAGAGGGGATGTGCGCAGAAGCCCCTGGCATGGTCTAGAGGGCTTTGGGAGAGGGGATGTCCGCAGAAGCCCCTGGCATGGTCTAGAGGGCTTTGGGAGAGGGGATGTGCGCAGAAGCCCCTGGCATGGTCTAGAGGGCTTTGGGAGAGGGGATGTGCGCAGAAGCCCCTGGCATGGTCTAGAGGGCTTTGGGAGAGGGGATGTGCGCAGAAGCCCCTGGCATGGTCTAGAGGGCTTTGGGAGAGGGGATGTGCGCAGAAGCCCCTGGCATGGTCTAGAGGGCTTTGGGAGAGGGGATGTGCGCAGAAGCCCCTGGCATGGTCTAGAGGGCTTTGGGAGAGGGGATGTGCGCAGAAGCCCCTGGCATGGTCTAGAGGGCTTTGGGAGAGGGGATGTCCGCAGAAGCCCCTGGCATGACCCCCTTCTAGTGGGTCAGTCAGCACAACCATCAAGTTCCAAGCTCAGATTCAGGTGGAGGACACAGATCTCCAAGGCGTGCACAGCCGGAGGCCTGAGTGAGCACCTCTGACGGTCCAGCCCAGAGTAGGTGTTGAGTAAGAGCGGTCAAGCAGTGCCAGTTGGTAAAACCCACGCGGCGTTAGCTTCCTGGGGAGGTCCTAACCGGGTACCCCAGCCTGAGTGGCTGAAACAACAGATACTTCTCCTCCCACGGTCCTCAGGGCCAGAAGTCTGGGATCAGCTGTGGGCGGGGCGGTCCTTTGGAGGCTCTGAGAACCCTTGTCCCGGCCTCCTTCTGGCTCCCTGGGGCTGCCGGCATCTTTGGCGTTCCCTAGTTTGTAGGAGCATCGCCCAGCCTCAGCCTCTGTGTGCATGTCATATTCTACCCCGTGCGTGTTCACGTCCAGAGCCGTGTTTTATCAGGACACGGTCATTTGGATAAGGGAGCCACCCCCAGCAAGGTGAGCTATCTTAACCCATCGCATCCGTGATGACCCTTCTTCCAAATAATGGCCGCTGGGACTGCAACCTACGAATATGGATAACCTCACTTCATCTCCCATGGCCCCCTCTTCCCAAGGGAGCCCTGGGGCCCAGGGGACGCAGCTGCCACCAAGGCCCTGCTGGAATGTTCCCTGATCCTCATCCAGCCAGCCACCCCTTCCCTCTAAAGCAGGTTGTTCTGAATCTGGGCCACTGGCCCGCTGCGCCCTGAAGCCTGTGTCGTCCATCAACTTCCAGAGGCCGCCGCTTCATGAATTACACACCATGCAAACGTCCGGCCAGCGGCTTAAGTATAAAGCGTGAGAAACACAGGAGATCATTCCGTGTTCGTGGTTTTGTAAGGTTTGAAAAGCGATTTAAAATAATTTTAGGTTGTCCTGGGGTTGGCGAACAGTGTAATAGGAAATTTGAGAAGGCAAAGTTTTTAAACTGAAAGGTTTTGCCTCCTTGTTTCTAATTTTTAGAAACATGATGGATGTCAGCCGTGACGTTGGGCCGACAGCTTCTGGGAACGATTTCCCAGCTCGCTCGGACCCAGGCGGGGGACCCTGCCAGGAGGGCACCGAGGGCCATGGCCACGTACAGAAAGAGGACGGCTTCCAGTCTTCAAATTGGAAACCTGCACCCGGCCTCCCTTGGCTAACCTCAATCCCATAAGCAATCCGAAGGCATTGCTGAGCGGACAGAAAACTTTCCCGGTGTGTAGCCCGCTCGGTGTCTCTGGAAACCATGGTCGGAGGTGTGAGGGATTGCTCACTAAACGCGGACGGCAGGCGAGGGGCTAGGAGGCGGCGTGGTCGAGCGAGGTGACCTGCGAGGGAAATGAGGTCACGGTCCCGCGTGATCATGGGGTCAGGTGTCCCGGCAGCAGTGCAGGGGAGGGGCTGTGTTTGCGGGGGGAGGCTGTTGGGAAATGGAGGTCGCAGTGCTCCACCCACCGCCCAGCCCGCCTCCGTTCTCTGCTGGCCCCAGCTCCTTGGGAGATGCAGGTGGGAAGGCCGTCGCCACCGTGGGGAATCAGATGTGCCCCGTGCTTGTTCCCCAGAGGTGCAAGCCCTGACCTCCGCCCTGCACAGGCCTCCTGCCACCCTGGGGATCAGCCGTGTTCCAATGGTAGGCTGGCGCCTCTCTGTGCCAAGTGACATGGTGCTTGGGGAGATGCCTGGGCATGGCCTGGTAGGCCAGTCACAGGAGCTCCGGGCCCCCCTCTGCCTGGCCCTTCATGCAGGGACTCAGCAGGCAGGCAGTCTTCTGGTGTGAGCGCCCGTGGGCTCAGGAGTGGGGCTTACCTAGGCCCAGGGACAGGGACTTACCTGGCCTCAGGGGCATGGACTCACCTGGGCTCAGGGACAGTGACTTACCTGGGCTCAGGGACAGGGATGCACTTGGCCTTAGGGGCATGGACTCACCTGGGCTCAGGGACAGGGTTGCACTTGGCCTCAGGGGCATGGACTCACCTGGGCTCAGGGACGGTGACTCACCTGGGCTCAGAGACAGGGACTCACCAGGGCTCAGGGACAGTGACTCACCTGGGCTCAGGGACAGTGACTCACCTGGGCTCAGGGACAGTGACTCACCTGGGCTCAGGGACAGTGACTCACCTGGGCTCAGGGACAGGGACTCACCTGGGCTCAGGGACAGTGACTCACCTGGGCTCAGGGACAGGGACTCACCAGGGCTCAGGGACAGGGACTCACCTGGGCCCAGGGACAGGGACTCACCTGGGCTCAGGGACAGGGACTCACCTGGGCTCAGGGACAGGGACTCACCTGGGCTCAGGGACAGTGACTCACCTGGGCCCAGGGACAGGGACTCACCTGGGCTCAGGGACAGTGACTCACCTGGGCTCAGGGACAGTGACTCACCTGGGCCCAGGGACAGGGACTCACCAGGGCTCAGGGACAGGGACTCACCAGGGCTCAGGCACAGGGACTCACCTGGGCTCAGGGACAGGGACTCACCAGGGCTCAGGGACAGGGACTCACCAGGGCTCAGGCACAGGGACTCACCTGGGCTCAGGGACAGGGACTCACCTGGGCTCAGGGACAGGGACTCACCTTTTTTTTCTCCCAGTGACCACACCATTCCGTTGTGGACCCAACAAGGTGCATGGTGAGCAAGTGCTTGGGAAGGGGCTCCCTGGGGCATGTCGGGGGCCTGGGATGGCGGGCGAGCCCCTCCTAGCCCCTGGTCTTTCCTGTTCCTGGGTCTGAGTGGCGCATGGGAACCTCACCTTGCTTTCCGTTTGGCTGAAATTCATTAACTGCCAGGAAATCATGGATTTCCAAGCCTGGCTTTTTCCATAGCCTTTTGCTTAGCAGAGAAAATCAAATGGATGCAAGCAAATAATGAGAAACAGCTCCCGAAGAGCTTTGCTCAAACACGGGGCTGTCTGGTGGTGGGCGTTCTGCGGAGGCAACTCCGATGCCCACGAGGGGTCCCTGCCAGGTGCCACAGGCCAGGCGTCTGACCGTGGGGAACCCTCGGAGGTTTTCCACAGTGAGCGTGGACAATTCTAGCAAGGAGAGCCAAACGCTGAGGCGCGTCCGGGCGAGGCTCACACGTGCTGCCAGGTGACAAACTGCTTTTGCTAAGCCCACTTGGTTTGGCGGCTCCCTTTAAATGAGGCCTTCTCAGGAATACAACCCCAGGGAACACATTTCACTGGCCTCAAAAGAGAAAGTGCTCACGAAGGGGACAGTCCCTCGCATCGCCAGTAACCGCAGCCTCTTCTCATCTGCACACTGGCCCTGGCTCCCTGACCCACAAGGTTGAACAGAATGCCCACCTCCCATCACCCAGGGATGACGGCTGGAAAGGGAACCACAGCGCGGCCTGGGGCCCGGCCCAGGTGGGGAGAAGCCAGAGGACTCACTCGGGTGAGGTTCTTTGCCTCTCTGAGTGGCCCCATGGTTCTCACCGGTAAACTGGAGTTGCCATGAAGCTCACTGTGTCTGGCGCTGGCCGTGCACCCTGGTTCAATTGCTCTGTCCTCACGGCGGCCTACGAAGCAGGTGCTGTTTTTCTCCTGCTGCATAGATGCTGCTACAAGGCCCAGAGACCTCAAGGCACTTGCTCGAGTACGCACGGTGGACACTGTCCAGTAAGGCTGAACACGCACCCTCCAACTGCCCTCCATCCCCAGAAGGACTCCCAGGGAGGTGCAGGGAGCGAACACAGGGACGATCTGGATTGCACCTGGCAGGGAAGGCTCAGCTGGTGCTGGTCTACATGGCTACTACTACTACCACCGGGGAGCCTGAGAAAGCGATTTTTCCAACAATATGATCAAGAGAAAAATAGAGGAGGAGGAGCCAGGGTGAAGGCCCCTGTCCCTCCCAGGCCTTCAGCCTGTACACAAAGCCCAGCAGTTGCCCTTTACGTGAGAGGAATTTCTGAAAACGACCCCGTTAAAAGCCATTCCGGAAATCCGTCATCCGCAGAACTCAAAGCTGCTCCCAGTTTTCTGGGAATTCAGGCCTGCGTGGGAGAGCCTCAGGGTTAGGGACAAGAGGGCCTGGTGGCTGGGGGCTGGAGGAGGTCCCCATGCTTGTCACCGGGGGTCACATTCGCGCTCATGTGCAGCCGGGGCGAAGGGCCTCCCACTCATGAATCCTGCCACAGGTGAAGAAGGTGCCAACCCGGAGCCTCCTCCCAGCGCCTCTGTGGCATTGCCCCCTGCTCCTGCCATCCTCCCACCCCACCCCTGCCTCCCAGCACCTCTGTGACATTGCCCCCCTGCTCCTGCCATCCTCCCACCCCACCCCTGCCTCCCAGTGCCTCTGTGACATTGCCCCCCTGCTCCTGCCATCCTCCCACCCCACCCCTGCCTCCCAGCGCCTCTGTGACATTGCCCCCCTGCTCCTGCCATCCTCCCACCCCACCCCTGCCTCCCAGCGCCTCTGTGACATTGCCCCCCTGCTCCTGCCATCCTCCCGCCCCACCCCTGCCTCCCAGCGCCTCTGTGGCATCGCCCCCGCTCCTGCCATCCTCCCGCCCCACCCCTGCCTCCCAGCGCCTCTGTGGCATCGCCCCCGCTCCTGCCATCCTCCCGCCCCACCCCTGCCTCCCAGCGCCTCTGTGACATTGCCCCCCTGCTCCTGCCATCCTCCCACCCCACCCCTGCCTCCCAGCGCCTCTGTGGCATCGCCCCCGCTCCTGCCATCCTCCCGCCCCACCCCTGCCTCCCAGCGCCTCTGTGACATTGCCCCCCTGCTCCTGCCATCCTCCCGCCCCACCCCTGCCTCCCAGTGCCTCTGTGGCATCGCCCCCGCTCCTGCCATCCTCCCACCCCACCCCTGCCTCCCAGTGCCTCTGTGGCATCGCCCCCGCTCCTGCCATCCTCCCGCCCCACCCCTGCCTCCCAGCGCCTCTGTGGCATCGCCCCCACTCCTGCCATCCTCCCGCCCCACCCCTGCCTCCCAGTGCCTCTGTGGCATCGCCCCCGTTCCCATGCAGCCATCCTCCTGCCCCACCCCTGCCTGGTTTTCTGGAACCCCTGGAACCAGCATCACACAAGTGAGCAAGTGGCTCTTTCCAATCTTACAACCCCCGCGGTGGAAGGAACAGGTGGAAAGATTGTTGAGACTTGTAAATTAGTTGCTAATGAGGAAAATCAGGAAATTTGCTGAGGCATAAAAAATGAGAAGTCCGGAGAAAGAAGACAAATGGACCCGCAGCTATTCCCGCCCCACCCCCGCCCCTCGCCCTTTCATACCCTGGTTTAGATCAGACCGAAATACAGATCTGATGCCTAAGTTAATGCAAAGAAATTGCTTTAAAATGTAAAGGTGATTAATTGGATTAATGTGCAAAAAATGGTTAAAGTATGTCAGGGAATGAGGAGGGAGTGGGGGCCCGTGTTTCCCGGGCCACCTGCCACCTGCCCGGCCCATGGAAAGTGCTCTGCCAACATCATTTCCTGGAATGCTCAGAAGGACCCTGCCAGGTGGCCACTGTCGTTCCACTTCTGCAGATGAGAAGCTCTGGCCTACCGAGCCTACTCCTGGAGCCAGGTGGTTGCTGCCCACACCCCCTCCCACCTGAGCTGACCCCTGTGGCCACGCCCAGGGTGCAGGTTCAGGACCAGTGCAAGGGGACATGGGGCTGTAACCTGTAGGCTGATGAGTCCAACAGAAGCCTCCCCACCCCTGTAAGAGGGACGTCCTGAGACCCTGTGCTGTGCCGCTGCTGCGGTCTCCAGCCTCTACTTGGAAGGCTTGTGACAAGTGTGGTGTGTGGCCCTGGACACTTTCTGAGCCTCAGCTGGCCCTGATGCTAAATGGGCCCATGGAGGTATTGTGTGGATTTTCTACTGTTTCTTTTCAACAAAACCCATGGTTTGGAACCTCGGGAAGAAACAAACCTCATAAAAATGTGATTCCTAAGGCCCTTCCATCCGGCCCCCACCACCCTGAATCCCTAGGGTTAGAAAACACTCCTGAGGCTGACCCAGAGCTCAGGGAAACACCCTACGGTTGCCATGGGAGCCCCGTCCCTAGCGACTCTCCTCAGGGCCGGGGGTTGGAAGATACCACACAGGGGTGGGAGTGCAGGCCGAGGGGCTTGTTGGCCTGGGGTTTGAGCCCCACCCCTCTCCCGTGCACAGCCTGGGGCATGTGCTGGCTTCTCTGTGCCTCAGTTTCCTGATCCATAAAATGGAGATAATAACAGGCCAGGTCCCGGGGTTGTTGCTGAGGGGCAGAGTATCCCTGTCACCTCCTCAACAAAGAGGCTGACAGAGGAAAACAAACGATTAAAGAAAAAAAAACAGAGCCCGCCCCCCACGGGCCCCCCAACACCCGCAAGGGCCTGCACCACTTCCACCGTCTCTGGCTCCTGTACGCCATCAGGATCTTGAAGGGGCAGGTGGGGAAGGGCTGGGCTCCCCCGCAGCCCCTGGTTCCCCCCGAGCCTCGGGCCCTCTCCCCTGGCTGCCGTGTCCATGGGCCACGCTCGGGTCAGCGGCGAGCTAACGCCTTTGTCAGGGTGATTAATAGCGGGGGGACTGTCGTTAATTCACTGCCTAATGACCGCGGCCCGCGCGCTCCGAGTAATCGGGTGATGTATGTGGACTGTGCACACCTCGTGGCAGAGGTGAAAATCATTTCGACAAGTCAAATATTGTCACAGGGAACAAATGGCTCTCCCTGTTAATAAAAATTAATGAATTTTTTTTTTCTTTCTTTTTTCCTCGCCGCTGGCCTGCTAAATGAATCTGAGGGCAGCTGAGCGCGGACGGGCTGGGAAGGGTTAAGTTCTTGATTCCGTGGTTAAAACTATGAACGTCTTCATCAGGGCAAGTGCGGCCAGGGGGCCAGGGTGGCCCTGCACCTGCAGCCTGGCTGCTTCCCCCAGGAGTGCCTGCAGGCCCTTCCGGGGTGGGGGTGCAGAGATCCCCCGCTCCAGGCCTGAAGGGGTGAGGCTTCCAGAGAGGGGCTGCAGCTGTCCCAGGCTCTCTGGACCTGAGGGTGATGGGAGCACCTTCAGGCTGCTCTCCCCACCCCTCCACTGCAGCCCCATCACCATGTGGGTGGGAATTAGGGAGCAGAGCCGAGTGGATTAGGACCAGGTGCTGGGCAATGAGTTTATCCAGGGAGGGTCCTCCTGGCCCCGAGAGCCGGAGCCCAAGGTGGCACCAGTTTCCCTAGGAGCATCTGGGTGGCCCCCAGACCCTGCCCTGGCTGCGAGGGGCGGGGAGTCAGGCCTCAAAGGCCTCAGCCTCCGCAGCTCCCCACCCCCACTCTGGTGGGAGGCCAGGCCAGGGCAGTGAGCCAGCCCGCCTCTGTGCCCAGAGGAGGCGGGGCCCGGGGGAGCAGGGGAAGGGAGGGCCTGCACCCACCATTGGCAACAAAGCTGTCCTGGCCGCTCCCGTCACCAGGGCTGGAGGCACACGGACATGGACAGTGCCCTCCCCACCCCATGATGCAAACCCCCAGTTTTCATCCCAGCAGCCAGGGCTGTCGGGAGCCCATGGCCTTCTCTGTCTGCAGCAGCCACGGTGGAGGCAGGCCACCGGGGAAACGTGTGTTTCAGCTCCCAGAGCTCGGGCTGATGGCGCCAGCCCAAACGAGGCTGTCCTCCCCAGCCCGTCTTGGCTAGAGAGCCCACACAGCCTCGCTGCAGTCCCTAAGGGAAGGCTGGGATAGGGGCACCCCTGTCCCAGCGGGACCCCGCACCCCTCAGCGCCCCACGGAGACCTGCACCTTCCAGACTGACAGTGCTCGGGGCCCTCTCTCCCTCTTGCGATTTTTATTTCGGGGCCACGTTTGTTTACTTGCGGCGTGACTTGCTCTGGCCTGTGCACGGCAGCCACAGGCCCAGTTGGTAGGAACTAAAGAGATAAATAAGTCTATAAATAGTTTGGTGGCGGTCGGCTGTTACGGCGCTTGCTCAGCATTTAACCCCTTGTTCCTCCTCCTCGCTGTCCGGGCAGAGCCAGGGAAAGGGAAGCAGAGAACAGAAATCTCCGAGTGTGTTTTCTTTTCTGAACGAGCCCTGGCTGAGTGCACTTTGTCCTCGGGTGGCCTGGCCTGCAGAGCCTCCTGCGAGGACGCTGGCCTTGATTGCAACCCCCTCCAAACCCTCAGTGCCGCAGGTGCTCTGGCAGCTGGCAGAGGTGGCCATCCCAGGGTCACTGGCCATCCCTTCCTCTGCCCTCGGTATCCCACTTACAGCCTCCGAGTTTGCAGAAACACAGCTGTGTGTATTGGGGGGCCCTTCCCCAAATCTGCTCTGGCCACGAGCTGAGCTGGCTCCTGTCCTGCCCTCCTCGGGCTGGCAAGCCCAGGCCCCTTCTGGGTTCTGGTTGGCTCCATGGAACCTTTCCTTCCTCTTTCTGGAAGGACCCCAGGACTCCAGAACACCTAAGCACCTGGCTGAGCCTCCAGGAAGAGCCTGAGGAAGCCTCCGGGTGAGAGGTGACCCTCGTCTCTGTGGCCACCCGGGCCCTCCACCAGCCAGAACCTCTTGTCGCCCTGCTTGGATCAGGCGCCTCCCGAGCACAAAGTCCTGGAGCAGCGAGCCGAGCTCCAGGTGCAAGCCCCCCGGCCTCCGCGCCACCGGGGGAGCTGCGATCCAGTAGAACGGGGTCCCCGGTGCTGAAGGAGCATCCCTGGGCCCAGCGGGAGGCTGTGAGGTACTCAACGGCTCCACGATGTCCTTATGCTGCTGTGGGCCCTGCCGGCTGCCAAGCCAGCTGCCCTAGGTGTGGGGGCCACCTAGCAATCAGGGTGGAGAAGGAGTTGAGAACAGAATCACCCACTCACATGCAGGTGAGGGGCAGGGCATACGGCTCTGAACGTCCCCCACGGTCTTCCCGGTTGGATTCGTGCCTGTTTTACAGAGGAGGAGGCTGAGGTCCAGAAGGTGGAAGTGGCTTTACCCCACTCCCAAGGTACAGAGGCTGGAAGGAGACCCTGTCCTTGCCTATAGGAATGAGAGTCAACCAGGGTGGTGGGGGAAGTCAACCTTACCTGCTTTCCAGAGACCCTGAGATCTGGGCAGTGGGGCTGCTGACAGGAGCCTCGTTTCACTTGGGTGGAATAGCCTGGGTTTTGTTGATGCTAAGAGCACGCCGTAGATTCAGACGGCACACGCATGTTCACACGTGCTTCCCACAGTGGCGTGTGCTTCACTGTAGCTAAAATGTGGACACACCACAGTGTCCATCCACAGATGAAGAGACAAGCCAAAGGCGGCACCCACATGCCTGGACTATTAGCCCTCAAAAGGAAGGAAACGGCGACACACGCCACCACCTGGAGGAAACTTGAGGACCTTGTGCTAAGCTAAGTAAGCCGGCTGTGAAAGGGCAATAGTGTAGGATCCCACTTACGGGAGGTCCCTAGAGTTATCACATGCATAGAGACGGAAAGTAGAATGGTGGCTGCCGGGGCTGGGGGAGGGGATGGAGAGTGTCTGTGGGGTAGACTTTCTCTCTGGGGAGATGCAGGAGTTCTGGAGATGGGTGGTGGTGACTGAAGGCAGCGCACAGCATGAATGTGCTTAATGCCACTGAGCTGTGCGCTGAACAATGACTGAAATGATACATTTGATGTTACATGTATCTGCCCACAGTCTTTCTAGAAGCACGCTGTCACGATGCCAGATCTTAGCTCGTGGAGCTAGTGCTTGGAGCCAACACCGCCTGGTATTTGAGGGGTCCAGTGCATGCACAGTGAAGGGTTAAGGAGAGGCACCCCGCTCTGCTGCCGCCCAGATGCTGCTTAGCGCAGGGCCAGGGAGCCTCGGCTGTGATTCAGGAGGGAAACAGTGAGATGTGAGCAATCCGTGGCTACCTTGCTGCCCCCGGGGCTCAGGGAAGTGGTATATTAACCAAGGAATAAAGGAGAGGAAGAAAAAAGGCCAAATCACATCTCTCTGAAACAAAGAGGCTTTTTACCCGGAACAAGGCTTTATAAAAATGACAGTGGCATCGCGAGTCATTCAGCGCCTGCCCGGGGCGATGGAGGCGGCGAGGAAATACAGGATGCGGGCTCTGAAATGGGAACGCTGCTGTCCCCGGAGCATTGCACGGATAAATAATCGTCTTAGAATAATGCATCGGCTTTAGGTAGGGCCAGGTGGCCTGAGCTGCCCGACAGAGGCCTCCGTGGCCCTGCGTGAGGGCCAGATTCAGCTCGGCTGGTCAGGGGAGATTCCAGGGGCTGGGAGGGGCGTTCGTGGGCAGTGGCTTCGTGGACCCCAGTGGGACTTTGTGGTGGTCTGTGCAGCGCAGCCAGGCCCACCCGCCTGCCCCAGAGGCGTGGGCTGCGCAGAGGCTGGGGCTGTTTGCCCTTCCCCTTGGCAGCGGATGTGCTTCTCTCCGAGCTTCAGGGCCGGCCCCTGGTGGGGTGAATGGCAGTCACACATCCTCCAGGCTGTCATGGGGCCGAGGCTCCGTGCTCAGCAATGCGGTTCCTCTGGGTGGTTTATGCTCCCGGTGCAAAGCCTTTGTTCTTCCTCTGAGAGAAGGGGGCCAACAACCTGCTTCAGGGCACCAGGAGCACGTTACAGCCAGAGGGGCTGGCAAGGAGGGTCATGTGTTCTCGGCCGGGCCCGTGCTATGGCCCGTGCTATGGTCGCTTTGGTCTTTGTGTGAGTGTCTTGGGTCTGCTTTAACGAAAGAGCACAAACTGGATGGACTGAAACAACCGAAGGGTGTGCTCCTACTCCGGAGGCCAGAGACACAAAGCCAGGCTGTGGACAGGGTCTTGTTCCCTCTGGAGGTCCTAGGGGAAGAGTCCCCGCTCACCTCTCCCAGCTTCTGGTGGCTCCAGGCATTCCTTGGCTCGGGGCAAATCCCTGCCTCTGTCATCATATGGGTGTCACCTGGGCATGTCTCTGTGTCCTTCTCCTTGTCCTATAAGGACATCAGTCCCATTGAATTAGGGCCCTCCCTAGTGACCTCACCTGAACTTGATTACCACTATAAAGACCTTATTTCCGAATCAGGTCACATTCTGAGGCCTGGGGGTTAGGGCTTGAATGCACCTTTTGGGGTGACATCATTCAACTGGTTACAGTCTTGGGAGCCGCTGGCCAGCCTGGGTGACAGTGGGGGCTGGTGGAGACTCCCTGAGTCAGAAGGGCAGGGTCTGTGCTTGCCTGCTGTGTGACCTGGACAAGCCCTGGAGTGGGTCTCAATCTGCTTCCTTCATCTCTAAAGTGAAGGCAGCACTGTGGACTGTCCCTGCCTCCCTCCGTGTCTGCGACAAAGGCGAGTGTGTGTGAAGGTAGCCAGGCTGGGGGTTTGCATCTGGTCAGGATTGGGGAGATAAGGCAGGAAGCCCCACCTCTTTGCTGGGGAAATTTCTGTGCTTCGGTGGCTCCAAGAGGGCTGGGAGCCTGTCTCTGAGGTCAGGGCTCCGTCTTCCCAGGCTCTCCCGGGCCCTAATGACAATTCGGCTTCATCAGCCCTGCAGCTGGGGTTCAACGTTCCCCAGTCTCTGTGGGCCAGGTCCCGGGTGCAGGTTTGAGATAGAAACGGCAATTGATCATATTAATATTTAGCATGTTTGCAGAAACGGCTTTCTCAGTGCTATCAATCTGCTGTGTTAATAGCGGCCGCTTGGTTCTGGGCACAGACGCTCAGAAGGGGAATGCCAATGAGTCCCAGTGCCGCAGGGCAGCCGCGGTCCCGGGCTGGTCAGAAGGTGGGACCAGCGGCCAAGGCTCCTCCTAGCACCATTTCCTGGAGTTACGACAGCTTTGTTCTTGTCTCAAAGCCAAGATCCAGGGCGAGGGGAGAAGCTATTGCCTTTACCGCACAGTTTTAAAGACAGAAGAACAAGATAGAACTCCATCAGTTCCCAAGTTTCTCTTTCTAGCAAACTGTTTTTGGGAAGGGGCCTTCAGGATGACCCTGCCGCTCCAGGAGCCCTCCCACTGAAGAAGGGCCTTCTGTTCACCAGGGTATACTCGGCAGAGATGTAGGTGTACAGAATCCTCTGTGAGGAATGGGAACACCCTATTTTTTCTCTAGAAGTTGCCTCCGTGCGTGCCTGCTCTCCCCGATCAGCTCTCCCACAACCACAGCCTGCCTGATGCGCCCACCTCTCCCTCTCCCTGTTTTGTTCAGGGGGCAGGATGGCCCTTCACTGCTCATGGGGACTCATAGGCACCCAGTTGGGGGAACATTCTCCAGGTCTCTGACCCACTACACAGCACTCCTCCCTGCTTGGTTCTGAGAAGGAAAAGAGGAGCCAGAGGATGGGGCCCCAACAAGCCTCAGGTGGAAGCTGCAGTCCCGTGGAGCCAGGCACAGCTCCGGCCAAGTCCCAGAACTCAGACCTGCCCACCCGCCACATGGGTGCAGGGAGGGTGACAGCCGGTCAGCCCTGAAGAAGCAGCAGAGAAACCAGCCCTTTCTCCGAGGCAGGGCCTGGCTGAGAAAGCCCAGACGTTCCTCTCAGATGAGCCGATCAGGGTCAAGGGCAGAGAGGAGCCAGGGTTGTGTTAATGGAGCTTCACGGCTAGGGAAGGAAAGTCAGAAGTGGGAGTGAGGCTCCTGCCTTCTACCTCTTCTGTTGGAAACTGCCCTGGAGGTTGCCCTTACCCCATCCATCCATCCACTCACTCACCCATCCATCCATGCAGCCAGCCAGCCAGCCAGCCAGCCAGCCATCCCCTTATAAATCTATCCACCCATCCATCCCCTCATCCATCCATCCAACCATCCATCCATCCATCCATCCACCCATTGATTCACCTACCCATCCATTCATCCATTCCTTCATTAACCCATCCATGCACTCATTCATCTATCCATCCATCCATCCATCCATCCATCTATCCATCCATCCATTTACCCATCTATCCCCTCATCTATCCACCAAGCCATTCATCCACCTATCTATGCATTCATCCACCATCTGTCCATCCATCCATCCATCCATCCATCTATCCATCTGTCCATACATCCATCTATTCTTCCATCCATCCCTCCATCCATTCATCCCCTGTTCTCCTGGAGGCATTCACACCTTGAGGTGGCCTTTGGGGAAGAGCTGCCTCATGCTGGGTCCTGCCTCTTTCAGAGCAGGGCAGCACAGCTCCTCAGAGCAGGAAGACCCTTCTGGCAGACACCAGGCTGCATCCATCCATCCATCCACCCACCCATTGATTCACCCACCCATCCATTCATCCATTCACTCATTAACCCATCCATGCACTCATTCATTTATCCATTCTTCCTTCCTTCTGTCCATCCATCCATCATCCATTCATCTATCCATCCATCCATGTACCCATCTATCCCCTCATCTATCCATCCAGCCATTCATTCACCTATCTATGCATTCATCCACCATCTGTCCATCTATCCATCCATCCATCCATCCATCCATCCATCCATCTATTCTTCCATCCATCCCTCCATCCATCCATCCCCTTATAAATCCATCCATCTATCCACCCCTTGATTCACCCACCCATCCATTCATCCATTCATTCATTAACCCATCCATGCACTCATTCATCTATCCATTCTTCCTTCCTTCCGTCTAACCATCCATCCACCCATCTATCCACTCATCCATCCACCCATTCATTCACATACCCATTCATTCATTCATCCATCCATTAACCCATCCAGCACTCATCCATCCATTTTTCCTTCCATCCACTAATCCATCCATCCATCCCCTCATCCATCTGTTAACTCATCCATCCACTCATGTATCTATACACTTATCCATTCATCCACTTATCTATGTATTCATCCACCATCTTCCATTCATTCACCCATCCACCAACCCATCCATTCACTCATCCATCTATTCATCTATTCACCCATCTATCAATCTTTCCATCCATTCGTAAATTCATCCACCCACCCACCCATCCATTCAGCTATTTATCTCTCCATCCATCTATCAAGCATCTATTCACACTCCCACCCATACCTCTTCTGCTGGACATGACGAAGGCCCTTACTGACTGCCAGGAAACTGTTTCAGGTGTTTTGTCATTGTAGGGAGAACACGGGGTCGTTAGAGTGGCGTTTGAGAAGCTTCGAAATCAAGACTGTTTGAACATCTCCCAGCTCGTTCCTGACTAGCTGTGTGGCATTGAGCAAGTTGCTCACTCTCTGAGCTTCACTTCTTTGATGTATAAACTGGGTGAGGTCACAACTCCACCTTCCCTCCAGGGCTGCTGCAAGAATGAGCTGGACCACAGTGCCGGCTGCATGCTCCGCGGCCCAGTCAATATCAGCAGCCGGCCAGTCCCCAGGAGAGCGAGCCAACGTCAGTGCTCTATTGTCTGATTAGAGGCTGATTGCTCCAAAGTTGCTCCTGGAATCATTCTAGAATCGAACAGCTGTGTGGTCAACCAGGGACCATGTTTCCTCACAGTCTTGGAGTTGTGATGGAGGCGTTCTCTGTCCTGAAGTTTTGCCTCCCTTTGTAATTGCATTTATATGTTGGCCTGAACTGATCAGTAAGTTTAGATACTGTTTTGGATGGGCCAGGTGAGACTGAATGCAACCTCAGGCGTTCACATCTCGAGGTGGCCTTTGGGGAAGAGCTGCCTCGTGCTGGGTCCTGCCTCTTTCAGAGCAGGCCAGCACAGCTCCTTGGAGCAGGAAGACCCTTCTGGCAGACGCCAGGCCGCGGCGTCTTGCTGCCTCTGGGCAGGAGACTGAAGTTAAAAACAGACTTGCAAGGCTCGGCCATGGCTGGGTTTTACAAGAATGATGGCCCGGTGTTTGGCGAGCTGAGGAGTGGATCCTCCCCCTGCCAGCGATATTAGGGACGATGAGGAGCACGTGGCAATAAGACGGCAAGGGTTTGGTCCCCTCACACCCAATAAAAAAACGCCTTTCATGAGAGAAAGCAGTTGCAGGGGCAGCTTTAGACTTGAAGCTTTTGGAGGCCACATCTACACAGACAGGTAAGGGGCGTCTCGAACACAGTCCTTCTGAAATTCTTGGCGAATCTCCCCTCCCTCCCGCAGGCTTCCGTCTGCCTCCCTCACCTCCGCACAGCCCCAAACCCAGAACCGAGCTCTGCGGAGAGGTGGTTCTTTAACAGCCACGTCTTCCTGGGAAGGCTTTGGATGGGAAAAGTGCTTTGCAGCCCAGCTGCTGTTCTCCCGGAGGCCGGGGCTCCTGGAGGCTGCCGCTTGCTTTTCTCCGCCTGGGTGGCAAACGTGTGTACTTAACTTGAAAAACCTCAGGGTCAATAAGGGTTTCAGTCCACATTTTCAGAGCGATCTTCTCGACATTTTAGAAAAGCCTAGTTCCCTCTGTTAAACCCTGTTTCCCCCAGGATGCACCCTTGTCACTCAGCACTTCCCCATCTGTCCCCACCACCCACTTCCCAAACTCGAGGGCCCTGCTCCTTGAGGGCACCCCTCCTGGAGGCTTTGCTGAAGCACCGATTGCCTGCACACACCAGCCCCGCCCCAGGTCAGTGGGCCTGGGTGGACCTGTGAATTACAGGTCTAGCAAGTCCTCAGGGGATGCAGGGGCTGCTGGCGGGGACTCCACTCAGACTCCTGAGCCACAGGGGCTGAAACCCACAGCCGGGTCCACCCAACCTCTAAAACCTTCCGGTCCCACCTCGCTCCAAACACCTTGCCCAGCCCTTCCCTTGGGCTGGCCCTGGCCCTGCGGGTTTAGAGAAGGGGGTGACCCGATGCTGCACCTTTCACGGGCCTTGAGGCCTGATGTTACTGTCAGGGCCTTGGAGGAACTCAGACAAACCCCATCCAGGGCTCTCCCCGGTTTTGAAAGTGCCCATATGGCGCCCACCACACATATTCTCTCTGCTCTGGACTTCTCTGCCTGATGGTTGTGGGGAATGTGTAGCCGATCCCAACCAAAATAAGAGGGCTCCGCCTGGACTAGGGTGAGGCAGAGAGGCCAGCAGGGCCAGGACTGGGGTCAGAGCGCTTGTGCCCCAGGGCATGGACAGGCTGGGTGTCAGGGGCAGGGAGCGTGGACTCAGGAGTGGGTGTGGTTCCAGCCCTCAGCCCCTCACTGGGGGATGACAGGCTCCTTCACCCCCCTGTGCCTCTGTTTCCCCAGCTGTACAGTGGGCAGCTCCCCTGAGGGAGGAGCACACCCTCCTTCCAGAGCCACTCACTGCTTGGTCCACATGGCTGGATGCGGGCACCTGAGAGGCTGTGACATCACATCCGTCCCAACACCTGGAAACAGGCTGAGAAACCTGCTGTGGGGTGGCAGATCCATCAGGCAGCATGAGGGAGAGAAAAGGGCCCCCGAGTGCCCACCCGGCTGCCAACCCAGCAGGCCCGCATGGCACCGTGGTGCAGATTGAAGGGGCCGCCCGCTCTCAAGGCCGGGCACCTGCATCCTGGCACCTCGCTGGCCTCCGCCTTGCCCTGCTCACCAGGCACTAGCCTCCTTGGAGGGTGTGGAAGATTCCAAGGTGATCCGGCCCCGAGTGATCTCGTACAAGCTTTTCTGGTTAGAGAGACGGTTCCCAAAGCCCAGAGATCTGTGGCCTGAGTGTGGGTCACCCCTGCTTTCCCGGGTCCCTGTTCCTATCACGGTGGACCTTCCCCAGGCTGCCACCGGATTTGTTTGCTCCATCATGACAAAGACATTAACGAATGACAAGGTTCTTGGTGGTCTGCAGCGCAGAATCGTTATCCCTGGACTTTCCTGTCCCTTCCGTCTCATACTTTTGACCTTAGGTTTTCTGAAATGTGACATTTCAGGGAACTGCACAGCAAAGGATTCCCTCGTGTTTCTCAGGTTGATCAGAAGCACCTACTGCCACCCTCCACAGTTATTTCTGTTGTTTCTGTTTTTTGTTTTTTGTTTTTGTTTGTTTGCTTGTTTGTTTTAAGCAGCTCCTCCCACCCCCCAGGCCAAGACAAGGTATCTCGGAGCCGGGCAGGAATCATGAAGTATGTTCTGCTGTAAACTCACAGGCCTGAAGTAATCACACATCCACGTACACACAGGTGGAGTGAGGAACCGTAGATTTTTGGAGTGGGTGTTCTTTCCACTGAAATGTTCCTTGAAATCACGTGGCTGGGTGTGCAGTTGTAAGAAACGCCGCGTAGAGGCCAGCCTGCCCTTGGCGCAGTTTCTCCCGGTGGGTCCCATCTTGGGCATCTCCAGGACCACATCTTGGCCCCATAGAGAGGTGTGCAGCTGGGTGGGACCGAGTCCCCACAGGGCCCGAGGGCCGCAAAAGTAAAGACCCAGGCCAGCATCAGGAGGCCCCCAGGGAACCCGCATGGGGCCTAGACGAGGGCAGCCCGGGGCAGCCGAGCGCCATTCGCTGCCTTGCCCTTGAGGGAGGGAGGCAAGGGGGCCCGAACTTCAGCCCCTCACCCAGCAGACGGGAGACCCTTCCTCCTGAGGGGTCTCCAGACAGAAGAGAAACAGCGTTTCCCAACCCAGAGGCCGCATAGAGGCTGGGGTCAGCTGAGGTTGCCCTGGACACCTTTTCAGGTTCCCAACAGGGCCCTCTGCTTACACACGCAGTCTTACGCACGGCCTTACACACGCAGTCTTACACACGGCCTCACACACGCAGTCTTACACGCAGCCTTACACACGCAGCCACACACGCAGCCTTACACACGCAGTCTTACACACTCGGTCTTACACACGCAGTCTTACACACGATCTTACACGCGGTCTTACAAATGCGGTCTTACACGCGGTCTTACACACGCAGTCTTACACGCGGTCTTACACACCCGGTCTTACACACGGCCTTACACACGCAGTCTTACACGCGGCCTTACACACGCAGTCTTACACGCGGTCTTACACACGCAGTCTTACACGCGGTCTTACGGTCTTACACACGCAGTCTTACGGTCTTACACACGGTCTTACACACGCAGTCTTACACACGGTCTTACACACAGTCTTACACACGCAGTCTTACACACGGCCTTACGCATGGTCTTACACACGCAGTCTTACACACGGTCTTACACACGCAATCTTACACAAGCAGTCTTACACACGGTCTTACACACGGTCTTACACACGCAGTCTTACACACGGCCTTACGCATGGTCTTACACACGCAGTCTTACACACGCGGTCTTACACAAGCAGTCTTACACGGTCTTACACACGGTCTTACACACGCAGTCTTACACACAGCCTTACGCATGGTCTTACACACGCAGTCTTACACAAGCGGTCTTACACACGGTCTTACACACGCAGTCTTACACACGCAGTCTTACACACGGTCTTACATATGGTCTTACACATGCAGTCTTACACACGGTCTTACACATGCAGTCTTACACACGGTCTTACACACGGTCTTACACAGTCTTACACGCGCAGTCTTACACACGGTCTTACACACGGTCTTACACACGCAGTCTTACACACGGTCTTACACACGGAGTCTTACACACGGTCTTACACACAGTCTTACACATGCAGTCTTACACATGCAGTCTTACACACGGTCTTACACATGCGGTCTTACACATTCAGTCTTACACACGGTCTTACACACGCAGTCTTACACACGGTCTTGCACACGCAGTCTTACACACGGTCTTACACACGCAGTCTTACACATGGTCTTACACATGCTTACACACACAGTCTTACACATGCCTTACACATGCAGTCACATGCTTACACATGCAGTCACATGCTTACACACACTGTCTTACACATGCTTACACACGGATACTCATGGGATGCTCACATTCACACGCACTCTGGGGGCCGCCCTTCCCTGCCAGCCACCACACGGTGCCTCTTTCCTGCCCAGTGGGGCCTGCAGGCCTCATGGCTTCTCTTTAAAACCACATGATGAAGGAGGAAGCACAGCCAGGCAGATACCGACTCCGAAAAACCCCCTTGTACTCCCTCTGGCCAAGAATCTAGGCTGAAATCTGCCCATCCCTGACACAGAGCCGCTCGGCGCTCGGGCTGCGGGGAAGGGGTCGTCGTGTTGGTAATCCCCCTCTGAGGGCACTGCTCGTGTGGCCCTGGCAGGTGGACGGTGGTGAGGGATCCCCTGTTGGCTGTTGGGCTCCTGTCCTGGCCGGTTTAGCACAGTGGTCCTGATCTGTGGCCTCTTCTCTCGCTCTCTCCAGACCCCAAGACCCTGGCCATAGCTTTGCTTTCTAGATATGGGTCTCTTGGGAGATGGTGGGGGTGGCCTCTGTTCCAGGATCATTTCCTATAGCCTGGGTGAGGGGTGCTGAAGGCTCCCACTGTAAGGCTGAAATAGACGCAGCCCTAAACCAAGGGTTGTGGTGGAGCCCAGGGGCAATGCGAGGGGCAGAGGTCACCGTGGGCTCCCAGCCAGCTCGGTCTCTGTCCCAGCCCGGGGCAGCAGCAGGGTTTCTTCACCTCCCTTACCTGTATTATGCGATCAAATGACGATCGCTCATACGTGTGTGTGACAAGACTCAAAGCAGGGCCTCTCCGTGAAGATCCCCAAGCACATAGACTCGGCTGGAACTGGCAGATCGGGAGGTGCTTCACGGCAGAAAGGGGTGGCCTTGGCCCCAACTCGGGGTCACTCAGCTCCCTTCCAGCCAAGTCCACCTCTTCCCTCCCGAGCTCCCTGCCTCCCCACTCCCCTCCTTGCTTTTATAATTCCACAGGTCTCCCCATAGAAATTCTAGAAATGATGGCCTCAGTACCCTGGAATGAGATCATGGCAAATCCCAAATAAAGGATGTCAGGTCTCCTGACAAGTCAATCACACGCTGTTACCCAGCCTGCATCTCCAAAGTCATACATGATCCTGGCCCTGCACACTGACCTGTGAGAGAGTGCCTGCTGGAAATGCACACCTGTGTCACAGAGGCCTGGGTGGTAGGCCAGTGAAAAGATGCCCACGTCCAGAACAAGCCTGTCCAGCAGGGCAGAGGGTCGGGCAGCCTCCTGAACTTGCTGACCCTCTCGGGGGCATCCTGGCCGGAGCTCAGGGTGGAGAAGGGCTGACTCTGATCTCCCGGCTCCGGTTGTTCCGGGGACCCCAGAGAGCGAGTGATCTGTGCCTGGCCTGCTGGAGCCTCCGTGCAGGCTTCCCGCTTTCTCCGGGCTTTAGGGCTGTTCTCTGCACCTCATTTTCTCAAAATGTTTTCTGCACACGAATTAGCCCTCCTCTCACCCACCCTTGAAAGAAGAGCTCCCTCTCCCCCAGCAACAGGGACAGCAAAATGAGACGGGTTTTTCCTGGAGGCTGTGGGCAATCGCTTAACCCCGTGACCGCCGGGGAAGGGAGGCCGGGGGCCCAATGCACAGGCCTGCCTTTAATCAGCAGGAAACACTACCTTTCTCTCCTAAGCTGTTTGCTTGGCCAGTAAATTAAACATGCCCTTAAAGCGCTGATTTTCCTCCAGCGGGTCAGGGGTTTTGGGAAGTAGAATTCAAACAGAAAAAAGCCATGTTTTAAACGGAGCCCTGCAACGGATATGCACTTGATGCGGACGCTGCCCCACTTCGGGCTCCAGCGGAACTCCCAGAAACACCTGGGGTTCTAATTCCTACTTGTCCTTCGGGCAGAGGCGCCCACGCCCGAGAGGAGTTAAGGAGCGCGTCGAGGGGGCTTCGGCCTCCAACCCGACTTTGTTTGCGAGCTCCGTGCAGTTACCAGTTCCAAATAACAAGATGCCATGTTAATTACCACCCCCCCCAATGTACCTTTCTGCTGCACACGGTCAGCGGGGCGGGGGTTATGGGGGTGTTCTTTCAAACCTAAACAACTTCAGGTCTTTAGGGGGGAGGAACAGCAGCGGCAGTTCTGTGGCTGCGTCTCTGAAAGGATCCGCCGCGTCAATTAGAAAGGACCCGTTGGCCACTTAAAACATAATAATTACTTCTCTGAATGCTGATCAATTAAATAAGTGTTTTCCTTACGACTTTTCCCCCCAAGACTTTGGTTTCTTTTGAAAGAAAGCATTTTGCTACTTCTTGTGCTGATCTGTTTGCAACCAGTGTGAGGAATCTGAAGTCATTTTTCCTGTACTTAAAAGTTCTGGTCTCCTTAGAGGCTTCTGTTTCCGCAGCCAACGACAGGGTGCGGGGCGGGGGCCGGGAGGCGAGGGCCAGCAGGACCGGGGTCCAGTCACTTTCACGGGTCCTCGAGGCAGCCACAGAAGGAGGGGCTTGCGTGGAAAGATCTAGATCAGGTCAGGGTGACGGAGCTCACCCCACCTCCTGTCCCTTCCCGCTGCTCCCCACCTAACACTCGCGCCTGCCTTTTTTATGTTATCGAGGCAGAATTCAACCTCTGTAAAGGGGGCGATTCAGTGGCAGTGAGCCGTTCACCCAGCAGTGCGACCACCCCCTCTCTAGTTTCCAAACACCTCATCACCCCGAAAGGAGACCTGGGCCTCTCGCTGTCACCCCCACCCCAGTCCCCGAGATCTCCCATCTGCTTCTGTCTCTGGGGGCCTGTGCTGGATGAGTCGTCTAAATGCCGCCAAGCAGGTGTGACCCTCTGCATCAGCTTCCTATGCCGAGTGGTGCATGTCGGGGGCTGGTCCAGGCTGCGCGTGCCAGGGCCGCCCTCCTCCTTGGGGAGGGGTGGTGCCACAGGTGTGACCCTCTGCATCGGCTTCCTACGCCGAGTGCCGCATGTCCCAGGCTGGTCCAGGCCGCCTTCCTCCTTGGGGAGGGGAGGTACCGTCCACTACTCATCCGTTCCCTCATTCCCTCGCAGACGGACATTTGGGCTGTTTCTGCCTTCTGGCGATGGTGAATCTGCCACTGTGAACATTCGCCTGCCTGAGTCCTGATTTGGCTGCACTGGGTGGAGGGCTTTGCTTTTCTTCCTGTCCAGACTCCTCCTCGCCCTGCCCATCTCCCTTGGTGCCTCAGGCTACAATCTGGTATAGTTTCGGCTGCACACACACACTATCTTGGCACCCATCCTCTCTTAGGACGGACCCCAAAGGCCTATCCCAGACAGAAAAACTGGGCACTCTCTCATTGCTTAGTTCAGTGACCTGGGGCCCCATGAGTCCGATATCCATGACCTCAGCAGGCCTGTTCCTAGCCTGTGTCGAGATCATCAGGAACTTCCACCAGCCTCCCCAAGACCCAGCCAGCCCTACCCCAGTGCATGTCCAGGCTGTGGCCTAAGTGCAGGGATGCCCAGGCTGCGGCCCAAGTGCAGGGATGTCCAGGCTGCGGCCCAAGTGCAGGGATGTCCAGCCTGCGGCCCAAGTGCAGGGATGTCCAGGCTGCAGCCCAAGTGCAGGGAAGCAGCACTGAGCACATTTCACATTCACCCAAACTCTGAGTCCTCCCAGGCACTTAGGACTTCTGCCGTCCCTGATTTCCAAGGCTATAGAGGACATTTGGAATGTTCTGGTGCAAATATTTCACCATCAGCCAGCCCTGGGTCAGCCGCCACGCGTGACGGCTTCACCGGCTGTCCCCAGGCTTGCAAGGCACAGGCAGCTCCTTCCCTAGTTCCCTTAGGGCAGGACCACCCGGCGCATCCTCAGGTGGCTGTGGGAGCCAGGGTGGGTGAGCCAGGGTGTGTCGGGCTGTGCCATCCCATCAGAAATGTTGGCCCCAAAGGAGCCTGGTAGGATCCCATCCTCTGGAGCCTCTGACATCGAGTGATGGCAGCTGGGCTCAGGGCAGAGTGGAGGCAGCGTCTCCCGGGCAGGGGTGGCAGCCGGGCCTTCTGGGCCCCTGAGCACCCTCGGTGCCCATTGATGCCCGAGTCCCCGGCGCTCCCTGAGCTGTACACACTGGGTGGGGCACGTGCTGCAGAGGTTGACGCTGCGTTGTCTCCTTTAGGTGACGGTGACGTTGTAAATAATATGTATGAGCCCAACCGGGACCTGCTGGCCAGCCACAGCGCGGAGGACGAGGCCGAGGACAGTGCCATGTCGCCCATCCCCGTGGGGCCACCGTCCCCCTTCCCCACCAGCGAGGACTTCACCCCCAAGGAGGGCTCGCCGTACGAGGCCCCTGTCTACATTCCTGAAGACATTCCGATCCCAGCAGACTTCGAGCTCCGAGAGTCCTCCATCCCAGGGGCTGGCCTGGGGGTCTGGGCCAAGAGGAAGATGGAAGCCGGGGAGAGGCTGGGCCCCTGCGTGGTGGTGCCCCGGGCGGCGGCAAAGGAGACAGACTTCGGATGGGAGGTGAGCGATCGCGCCTGAGTATGATTGATCACGGCCATTTATCTTGTGTTCAATCTATTTATAAAGCCGGGCTGAGCAGCCACTGCCCGAGGCGGGAGGCGCGGCCAGAGAGAGCGTTCAAATGTCACATTTCCCAGCCTATTTTATCCTGCAGCTCGCCTGATGCGACTCAGAAAGCATCAGAGGTCCTCGTGGGTGCCTGTCAGCCCTGTAGGCCACGCCCACTCTCTCCCGGAAATGTGTCTTTCATGAGCTCATGTCTTAAAACATCCCGTGCTTCCCGCCGGATCCCAGGCGCGAACACTGCCATCGCGGCAGGGCAGGGAGATTAATAGGAAGTCCCAGAACAGGCAGCTGCACTCCAGGGCTTCATTCCAGGCCAGGGCAGTGTGGAGCCGCTCACAAATCACACCTGGTGGCCACGCTGCCCCGGCTGCCGTCTTCCCCGCCTGCCCCGGTCAGCCAGTGGCCTAAGAGCAGCCTCAGCTTCTCCAACTCCAGGGGCACAGGCCCCGACCTGCCAGGGAGGGATGGCTGGCTGTTTAAATTTTCCCACCACGACGTGACTGGCCTTGAGGGTCTGAAGCTGGCCTGGTGATCCTGCTGCAGGGGTCAGGAGAGAGGGCGTCCCTGGGACGGCTCTGAGAGGGAAGCACCCGGAGTGTCCTGCCCAGGTTGTGAGGGACGCTAGGCCCCGGTGTTGGGGTCCCTTGAGTGGTCCTAGGGGGACTAACAGCCCCACCCCCCCACAAAAAGTGCACTTCCTGGTGGGCCCTGGCCCTTCTGCCGGCCTCACGCAGCCAATTGTCGGTGGTATTTTTGGCAGGGCCCCTGCCTGGGTGGAAAATGGGAACACCAGTCGGATTCCCCCTGTGCCTCCCAGCCTCTGGAGTGCCCGGATGGAGGTGGGCTCCTCATGGGCAAATGGCCTGAGCAGGGAAGAGGATCCCCAGACGGGTGGGGGCAGGGTCCTGTGTCTTGCCCACCTGCTCTCCTGGTGGCTCGTGGCTCTGGAGAAGTCCCCAGCCAGGTCCATGCTCACTGTCAGGCCTGCCCCAACTCAGACAGGCCGTGGGGAGGTTCCTGTGGCCTCCAGCAGCCCTTGAGCACCTCCCCGGGCTGGCGGCATTAAGAGCCCTTTGTAAGAACACCGACGGCCTGGGGACCAGAGGCTGCCCCGCACGCTGCAGAGCTGAGTGCATCCTCCCTGGGCAAGGAGACCAGGGCACCTTGGCAGCTCCCAGCAGGCAGATGTGGTCCTTGGTAGCTCACAGAGTCCTGTGTGGCTCCTTGTCAAGGATATAGGGAGACTCAGGAGCTACTCCCTGAGTGTCAGCTTAAAGCCCCCCAGCCCTTTACAGAGCTGTGGGGGTCCCGGTGCCTGAAGAAACGTGCGGCAGAGTCTGCGGCCGTCAAGCAGGGTGGAAGCTGCAGCTCTACGGGCAGCCCCTGTGGAACGGGCGTACCCCCCCAACGAGAGGCAGAGGACAGTGTGTGTGGGCCCAAGGTCGGGTCACCTTCGGGAGAGACTGGCCAGGGCCAGGGGCCCCAGTGAAGCAGGACAGGGAGAGAGTTTGGAGTCGAAGACCTCAGTGGAGACACTGCCCAGCTTCATGGCCCTACAGGACCCTCATGGGACCAAGGAGAGCATTTTTCTAGCAATATTCATCTTTGGCTGTGCAGTGAAAGTAACTTTGGCAGAAGTGGCCTGTCCCTCCCTGCCTGGTGTGTGGGAGGGGAATTCAAGGGTGTTTGTCCGTCACACTTAGAAAGGTCTGGACTGTGTAATCAGGAGGTGGCTTGTGGATGTGAGAGGTCCAGGGGCCCTGCAGGTAGCACTTTGGATGACCTTCAGGTGACTTTGTTCTTGTCTACTCTGATACAAGTTTCTATTTGCTTTTTTTTTAAAGAAATGGCCCGTATCACCATGTCCGCGTGGTGCCAGGCCCAGCGCAGACTGCGCCACTGCCTGCCGGTGCCTGTTGACTTTGTGGTGTGTTTATCCCGGGTGTGTGTGTACGTGAGGGAACGCGCTCTCCTCACGGCGCACCTCCCGTTTCTGCGGAGGGCTTTGTTCCACGGTGGCCACCTGACAGATACCCCTCCTGCCGGCGCTTAGAAATATTTACTCTCCCCCCGACG
This sequence comes from Homo sapiens, assembly GCF_000001405.40. Lineage (NCBI taxonomy): Eukaryota > Metazoa > Chordata > Mammalia > Primates > Hominidae > Homo > Homo sapiens. Next base: position 3,188,617 of record NC_000001.11, read on the forward strand.
CCCTCAAACGGTGCTCCCCGCGCACCCGGCAGGATCTCGCCTGACCTTGTTTTCCTTGCGAGTTCGGGCACCGACTCCCTGGCTTTGGGACCACCTTTGAGTTTTGTTGCTTCTATCAGATGGGACGGGGGGCAGCCATGTGCGTCGGTGCCTTCGGGAGCTGACATTGGAACTGGGCAGGAAGCCACCACCTCCTCTGAGAAGGAGAGAGAGGAGGAAGCAGGGGGCGGGAATTAAGTGGCAGCCACCTCTGCCTGAAATGAATGATGTCCGTCAATCAAGGAGGTTTCTCCCCACCTCCAGCCACCTCAGTTGGGGCCTTTGGGCAGGAAAACTGACATCTTACCCTTAAGCAGCCTTCCCAGAATTTTCCACCTGTCCCGAAAGAGCTGATTGCTATTTCCCCCTGGTTTTTGCCTTCCCTGAGGTGGCCCCGGAGGGAGAAGTGACTTGCGGGTGACTCCTTCTCTGAGGACTTCTTCCTCTTGCCGACTGCCTGGCCTGTCTTCCAAGTGCCGTGAACAGGGGCCTGAGACGGGACGGGAACACCAGGCTTCAGGGCTGGGATCCCTCTGTAGTTCCAGACACGAGAAGGACCTTCTGCTGAGTCCCCTTCCCAAGCCACTCACACCAACAAGCGGCCCTGCTAGCCCTTCTCCTCCATGCCCCTGCAGTGAGCTCGGCCAGAGCAGGCCTGGTACAGAGAAAAACATGGGTGCCAGCATCACACCAGGGGGATCCCAAGTCAGGCCTGGGACAGAGAAAAACATGGGTGCCAGCGTCACGCCAGGGGGATCCCAAGTCAGGCCTGGGACAGAGAAAAACATGGGTGCCAGCGTCACGCCAGCAAGATCCCAGGTCAGGCCTGGGACAACCCATGCGTGCGTGTCGTCTCTGATGGTCCTGAATTTCATATGTATAATTGTTCACTTTCACACTGGTAATTAAGTGTTATGAATCAGAGTGATTTGACTTTACTGTAATGTCCACGGTATTTATTTACTGAAAAAGAACAAGTAAAGATATTTTAGTAAAGATAACAAGCAAAATCCAAGAAGGATCGGTGTCATTTTGGCCTCCCTCCGTGCTGGCCTAGAGCACGGTGTTGTGGCCACTCTGAGCTCAGAAGTGGGATTCCCCTGGAGGAGAGGGGGTCTGGGAGTGGCGTGAGCAAAGGGATCTCACCAGGCAGCAGCCCCTGCAGGAACAGGGTGCGCGTCTCTTGAAGGATAGGTTTGAAATAAAAGTCACGTGGATTATTCTTACTGTCATTTTGGGACACCATGGAAACCATTTTCTTTCTACTCTGAGAACAAAGTTCTTGTTCTGGAGAATTCAGTTGAAATAAAATGAGAAGGTCCAATTTCCTTTCTCTTTGTATAGCAAGAGACACAGTGCCAGGCAACCCTCGGCTTTGGGATGACTGGGGAGGGTCAGGGGCTCTTCTCTCCCTGACATGGGGCCGATGTAGATGACAGCATGACTCCCTGGGGATGAGAGATGGGGCGGGCAGCACGTGAGGCACCCACGAGCTTTGGGTTCAAGGTCGTGGGGCAGCCTTACTTCAAGGTCGTGGGGCAGCGTTACTTCAAGGTCGTGGGGCAGCCTTACTTCAAGGTCGTGGGGCAGCCTTACTTCAAGGTCGTGGGGCAGCCTTACTTCAAGGTCGTGGGGCAGCCTTACTTTAAGTGGGAGCTTTCCGTTAGCAACGCAGGAATGAGGCTGGGGGTCGGGAGCTGAGTTTCCTCCGGCCTCAGTTGCTGGTCGGAAGCCTGCATTCCTTCTACGCTGAGGCTGACGCTTTTGGGAGGGCCGCCCCCTCCTCTCTCCCTCCTGTGTGTTAGGAATAGTCGCTGACTAAACCCGCTTTGTTCCTGGGTGCTGCGAGGCATCCTGAGCTGTGCCCTGAGTCAGATGCCCCACCCCCGACCTGGGGGCTCACTCTGTGCATGGCTGTGTGTGTGCCCCAGGGGTGTGTGGAAACGGCCCCCTGGGCTTCATCTCAGGGAGGGGGCTTGTCAGGAAGTGCACCCGAAATTCCTGGCCTCCTCCATCTGGACACAGCCGGGCTCAGTCTCTTCCCAAATACCACGCCCCGCCGGTCGCCGCCGAAGCCCACCTGCCTGGAGGAAATCACCCGTGAGCGCATTTGCTCGCCGTGGGGTCTGCAAAAACAATGATTTTCACATTTGTTGAGTAAATCATGACATTTATCATCATGCTGTTTATTTTGCTAATTAAGAGGCGGCTGCCCGGTGACAGCCCAGAGGGAGGAGGCCATGGGTGAGGCACTGGGGAGGCCACCTGCCCCCGGCTGGGCCTTCAGCTGTGTGTCCAGGGTCCTGCAGCTTGGGGCCTGCTGGGGCGGGATCCCGCAGGACCCCCAGGGGAGGCACTGGGGGCACTTTGCTCACTGCATCAGCCACTGTCTCCCACCCAAGGTCTGCTTGTTTCTTTGTTGACTGTGTCTCCCCAGAAAGGCTCTCGAAGGCATCAGCGGCCCTGCCTGTAATCAGAACGCTGATGAGTAAGTGCCTCTGCCTCTGCTGAAGAGGCCAGGTGAAAAATGTTAATGTGAATTGATGGGGTTTCAATTATTTGAAGAATGTGCTGAAGTGGACGACCTCACCCCTGGCGTTATTTACTGAATATTAATGTGTGTTCATTTGTTCAATCAACAAATGCACTGTATCTGGGCCAGGGCCTGTGGGAAGCTCTGGGGTCAGCCCAGAGGCCTTGGGCCACACCAATTCTCTGGCACTGCCATCATGGGACCCCCAAGCCGGTGCCTCCTGGGTCCCCAGAGCCCACTGAGAGCCTTTGGCAGGGCCAGGACCTGCCAGTCTCCCCTGTGGACCAGGAGCTACACAGCAGCCAGGGATGGGTGAGAGCAAGTAGAGCCTGCACTCTGAGAAGATGAGAAATGTCCTCACATGTAATATGGAATTTTATCCAAAACACCCAGCCTTGAAGAAAGGCAGGATTTCCAAGGAAGTAAAACCTCTTCTGTGGACACAGGCCTGTCCCCCTACATGTGTTTGGAATACTGATGCTCTTCTGTTCCTGAGTGGGAGAAATGAGAAATACATTTGCAGGTCCATTTTGGTCCCAGGTGATAGGATGACGATGGAGTGGGGTGAGGGCAGCCCAGCCAGGCACCTGGCTCCCTGGGACAGCAGGAGGGACAGTGCTATGGGGCTTCAGTCTCCGACATCACAGCACAAATGTCCATGATTGGCTTTTAAAGGCACCGTGAGGCAGGCGTAAAAAGGTAGCACCCAGAACCAGCTTCCCCACATACCAGGAAGCACTGGAGGGCCCCAAGTGCTGAGACCCGGTTCAGTCCGATGGCAGGAGGGGCAATGGCAAATTTACTCCAGGGTTTTTGCAATGTGGCCAGGTCCACAGGGTAGGGTAGGGAATCACCCAGGCCACCCTTTCCCACACACAAACCCCAGTCCCTTCTCCCTTCCTCCTGAATGTCCTGTCAGCAGCAAATATTAACATGATTTGCTGCAGGAGATTGTGTGTGAGCTTGCACACACAAATAGCCCCCACAGCTTAATTTTTGCCTAAAGTCCTAGACAGAGCCTTGGCCTCTAAGGATGGGGATCATCCGTGTCGCCAGCTCATCTGGGCTCGGTAGCTTTTGGAGCTGGCTGTCTTGGGGCATGCGGGTTGGGTGCCTGCAGGCCTTGCTTCTCTGGGAGTTCCGGCTGGGTTTTGAGCCAGAAGATCCTGGAGAGACACTTCCAGGCTCTGGATTAATGACCAGGCTCAGGGTGTTAGGAGGAGACCCTAAGGAGTCAGCCCCTACATCCAGACCTCATGCTCTGGCCTGCTCATGTTCCAATTGGGCAATCTCTTCATGAGGGATGTGGGTTCAGGACTGGGTTTGGGGAAGTAGGAGGTCCTATTGGAGGCTCTGCCTTTCTACCGTTTTCATGGCAGTGGGCGGGGCTTGGTGCTGGTGTAGGAGCTGGACTTAGACCCCTCCGTCGGTCCTGGGCTGGGGAATCAAGGTGAGCTTGGCCACAGGTCTGAGCCCAGGCAGAAGCGACCCTGTTTTAACCAAGCCCCAGCTCCTGCCCAGGAGGGATTGTCGAGGCTCCTGGGACTCTGCTTCAGTCCCTTTCAGTCCCTGTGGCCCATGAGCAAACAGGAAACCAAGATCAACCCAGAGACAGACACACCCGGCTGCCTTGTTGCCATAAAGACCCTCGGTGCTCAAAGTGTGGTCCCTGAGCCAGCAGTGCTGGCCTCCCTGCAGGTTTGTTGGAAATGAAGAACCTTGGCCCCTCTCTGGGACTCACTGAGTCACCACCTGCAATTGAGCGAGATCCCTGGTGATTCATGTGCACAGCTGAGTTTAGGAAGGACCCGGCCAGACAGCGAGTACCCAGCAGTCACAGCGGCCAGACGGCGAGTACCCAGCAGACACAGCGGCCAGATGGTGAGTACTGAGCAGACGCAGCGGCCAGACGGCGAGTACCCAGCAGACACAGCGGCCAGACGACGAGTACCCAGCAGACGCAGCGGCTTACCAGGGGGCAGCTTTGGGTGTGTTGCAGGCATTGGGAGAGTCACCAATGTTCCCTGACGCTGTGGAAGGATGCACTGCCTTCCTGCCCGTCCCGCCTCCAGGGCTGACCTCCTGAGGCTTCGGGCTCCTGCCCGGCCCCCCAAGGGGATGGAGCGGCAGCTCCCACCAGTGCCAGGTCTAGCCATTCCTAGGAGATCTCCAGGCTGCCTCATGGCTCTGGGATTCAGGAAGAAGGGGCACCTGCCAGCCACCAGAGGCTGGTTTGAACCCAGAAGTGTTTGACATAGCTCTCCTCTGTAGAAGCAGAACTTGTGTGTCCAGCGCCCACTGCTCAGTGGGCTGGGTGCTCCCTTTGCACCCCTGGAGCTGTCCACAGCCATGGACCTCCGCACTCTCCATCCCATCCGGCTCTGGGGGACCCCAGGATGGCAGGCAAGGAAGGCTCAACCCAGGGAGCTCCTGTGGCTCAGACATATTCTGAGAAGTGCGCCCACCCAGCCGGGGAGGAGGTGCAAGCCCCTGCCCCCCAACAATGTCTGCTGAATGCATAGGAAAATGTAAGAGTGAGTGCCCCTCCCACATGTCGGTCTGTACTGGGGGAGGGGGTGGTCAGGAAAGCTCCCAAGTCCTTCCCGGGTGCCTGAGACCTGAGGGCAGAGGCTGGGGGCTGCGGGCTCCCCTTCACTGTGTGTTCGTGTTGCCTGGGGAGCATGGGAAATACAGGTGTCAGGCCTGCCTTGGAGATGCTGGGCTGGGGCCAGGGAGGGTGACCAACCTCCCTGTTTGCCCAGGAACGTCCCAGTGTCAGACCCAAAGTCCTGGCACACCCCTCTGGCATCAGGCATGTGAAAGCTCCCAGGAGATCCTAATTTACGGCCTGGGCCGAGAGCAGCTGACCTAGATAGGAGGAGTGGAGAGCCCGCCTGCATGTCCTGTCCGGCACCTGCACCAGACCGCCGGGCAAGGGACAGGTGGGAGGGCTGAGGAACAAGGGCTCCCAAAGCACTCGTCTGGCCTTCTGCAACGCTCAGTGCACACTGGGGGGCTATTTAGGATGGTTGTTGAGGGCATTTAGTCACTCAGCAGACAACCGGCTCATCTCAGGTCCTGCAGAGGTGTTCACTGGTACCTCCCTGTGCAGGGCGCTTCCTTCTGTCTCTCCCATGCCCCTTTCACCCTGGAGCTGAGCCCCGCCATAAGCCCTCCTTGCTGGCCTGCTGTGGGGGCAGCCGGCGCTCATTGGCTGAGCTCTTAGATCACCCTATTACGCCTTATCCTTTAAATTCCAACAGAGGGGAAGGGGTAGACCATGGCAGGTGCTGGGGACCTCGGCTCAGGCTGGAGTCTCAGGGAGGGAGGCTGGGGCAGGTCTGATAATATCAAGGCTGGACTCTGCGGCAACTGGCCACTGTCTCCCCACCACACGCCACCGTCTCCCCACCACACGCCACCGTCTCCCCACCACACGCCACCGTCTCCCCGCCACACGCCACCGTCTCCCCGCCACATGCCACCGTCTGATCGCCACACGCCATCGTCTCCCCGCCACACGCCACCGTCTCCCCGCCACACGCCACCGTCTGATCGCCACACATTAGGGCTTGGTATTCTCAGTCCCACGTTTTATCATCTAAACGCCAAAACTCGTTCCTGGCCTGCCCTTTCTCTCCAAGGTTCCCAGATGCACGCTCCACTGCCCACACCACCCCCACGGTTGAGTGGGCTCGGCCCCGGGACGTGGCCTGGCTCTGGGCACCTCTGCTGCTCCACTCTGCGTGGAGAGTTCTGCGTGAGGCCAGGAAGCTTTGCCGCGCTTCCCCACTCAGGAGCTTCTGGATGTTTCTATGGAGGCCTCACGTCTAAAACCGTGAGCGCACCGGCCAGTGGATGCTCTGAGGAGTGTTCCCGTGGAGCCAGCACCGGGCAGCTCGGCGAGGCACACAGCGTCGGGATTTGGAGAGAGACGGGGCCCTGTGGGATGGTGCGGAGCCTGAGGCCACCGTGGGGACAGGGATGCAGAGAAACCCATGGGCCTCGGCGTTGCTCCGGGAGAAGCCGGCAGTGCCGTGGAGGAGTCACAGCACAGGCTTCCCATGTCCCCCGGCACCGTGACATCAGCCCTAGACGTTTTTAGCCCAAGAATGCCATGAAATCCTGCACTATCTTCGGCCCGGCTCGGAGGCACGGGTATATAAGGAATTTTAGAAAAAAGGAGAGAGAATGACTAAGAATACCTCCCTGATGGCTCTCCTTTACTTCCTTAAGGGGTAATAACTCCGCTGCAGCCCAGCAGAGGGGACTTTCTTTAAATAGAGCATTCTGATTCACAAGCGAAAAAGGAAATAAATATTTTCTTTTCATATTCGAGAGACATCTGTGAATACCAACTTCTTAAATAGTATTTTGCCAATCGCATCCCACACGCCCCGCCCCCCCTGTCCCAGTGACACCCAGAGCCCACCCTTACTCAGGAACCGGCCGCTTGTACCAAGAGACCTGAAAACATCATCAGGGCTGCCAGCCTGAAAATGTCTTCAGGGTTTTGCCAGAAGCAGGAGGGAGAAGGGCTTCTGCGTGGGGGCGTGGCCCAGCCTCCCCCTAGGTCCCCCAAGGCTCCCTGTGAGAACAGGGTGCTCCGGAGCCTCCTGCCCTTTTCCTTCCTCCCTTTCTTTCTTCCTTAGGGAAAATAAGGATTGGATGTGAAGGGAGTATGACAGAGGCATGTGGCCTCTGTATGGGCCTGGTGGGCACCTGCCGTGTGCCCTGGTCTCTGTGAGGCTCTGTCTACACTGGGACCCTCCCAGCTGTGCTGTGATTAGGACACAGCCACCCTCGCTCTGACAGGGGAACCCGGGGCTGAGAAGGAAGGAATAGCTCCCAGCCCCCAGGTTTGTCCATGCAGGGGCCCAGAGGCAGGTGTGGGTCCCGCTCAGTGACCCCAGCAGGAGCTCACTGGGGGCAGCCAGGCTCTTGCCAGGTGGGAGAGGCACAGGTGAGCTCCAGCAGGGGCGGCAGCTGGGCCCAGACCCGGTTCCTGCCCCCACTAACAGCATGTAGGTGGGGCAGTCTCAACTCTGCGCCTTGCAGGCCGATTGCCTGGGCCCAGTGCCTCATGCTCCTGCCTGAACATGGCTCTGTCCTCTGCAGGTCCCTGACCCAGCCGGGCCCTGGAACTTGACTTCACTACAGCCGATGGCCCTCTCTGGGCTTGGGGGAATTCTGTGTCGTAAACATGACCTCAGCCCCACTTTTTCTCAGAAGCTGCTGTCCCCTTGTTTGAAAGCAGGTCCCAAATGTAGACCCATGGGCCCTTGTGGGGCCTGAGAATGCTGGGGACACTTGGCAGAGAGTGAGGCTCACCGCCCGGTGCCCCTGCCTGAAGCTGGGATTCTGCGGTGGCCCCAGGGTGCCCGTGGCACCAGAGAGGGGTTCAGCCAGGAACCGCAGGGGTTCCTGACCCAGATGGTCAGCCTGTGAGACCCCCACCCAATTCCAGGCCACATTCTCTACCTACTACTGGCTGAGAGTTCCCGGGGGAGGTCCCAGGAGTCTGCATTCTGAGAAGCGATCATTGTGGGGCACTTGGAGGAGTCCAGCCCAGGAGGAGGCCCTGGGAAAGGGGCCCGCCCTGAACTTCCTTCCTCCCCTACCCATGGGAGCCCAGAGAGGCTTTTCCTAAAGGTGCCGAGGCTGACGGGTAGCAGCAGAGCCTTTCCTGACCACAGGCCTCAGCAGGGCAGGTGGAAGGAGCAGAAGCTGGAGCTGCGAAGAGGCGGGTGCCTGGGTCCACTGGGGGACCCCACTGTTGCCCAGGGGGGTCTGTGCAGCCGCTGAGGCTGGGGGGTGAGCTTCACACCACTGGCTCATCAGCATGGCTCCTGTCCCCGGCCACAGCTGCACGAGGCGGCCCGAGGCTGACCAGCCACGCGCCCCCGGGCATGGAGTGATGGCTAAGATAGGAGGGGCCCCTTGTCATACCTGAGTCCCCCTTGGGACATCACCATCTCCTCCCCCTCCCAGTGCAGTTATGAACTGGGCCCCAGGGAGGGAAAGAGTCATATGCGACCATGGGCTGGGTGGACCCAGGACAAGAGCCCAGGGTCCCGACCCCCAGGCGGGCCCTTTCTGCCCCTGCAGCTCCCAGATGTCAGCTGTGAGCAGGGCAGGCCCCTCCTTCCTGTGTGCCCCCAGCCATCACAGCGGCCCCAGCTCGTCGTGGGCACTCAGTCCAATTGTCCCTTGGGTGATCCTACAGCCTTGGCATCCTAGAGGAGCGTGCCCCATGAGCCAGGCAGGGCTGGCACAGGCCTGAGAGGCAGCTCATTCACCTCTGGTGCCTGCACCTGCAGTGCGGTCCCTGCAAGGCTGTGCCGGGATCAGCTTTGTGCTGCCAGGCGGTAGGCCTACGAGGGCGGCAGGAAGCAACTGGACCACTAAGACTGAAGAATCTACAGTACAGATCATTTGCGCTTGAGATCTTTTAATTTTGAGTAATTTCCCAGCAGCAGGCTTCGCAGGGAGCAGAATGGGTGGGGAGGGCGGCCCCTCCTGAGGGTGGGCGGCTGTGGCCTGGCGGCTCCCTGGAGAGGCCCCCTGAGGCCTGTGGGCCAGCTCCTGGGTGGCCCTCCCTCCCCTGGGTCAGACGCAGGTCCCACGCGTTCCAGGCCACAGAGGTCTCCCTGGGTCAGGGACGAGGGTCAGGGGATGAGCGCGTGAACCTCGCACTCCTCAGGGGGCAGTGGCAGGTCCCACTGCCCTCCCGCCAGGCCTGCTGCTGGTCAGAGCTTCTCCTGTGGCAGGAATTCTCATGGGCCGGGTCATCAGCTGGGGTAGGAATGTGCTCTCAGGGTGCTACGGGCCACCTTGGCCTCAACCAGAGATGAGGGTGACGCAACTGCTCACAGGCCCGCTGAGGGGCAGCGACCTGAGGACAACTCCTGTGGGCTGCCTGTCTCTGCTGCCTCCTGCACGCGGGTAGAATCTGCTCGGGTCAGGGGCGGGCACTCCATGCGTTCTCTGGACCCCCGAGCTGCAGTGTGGCTGGGTTGCTGTGGTTGAAGGCACCTGCCTTAAGGGGCCAGGTCGGCGCAGGGCAGCGTCTCTCTGGGGTGAGGAGTTTATCTGAGTGCCTTAGAGAAGGCCCTTTGGAGAATGGCTGCAAGCCGGCACCCTTGCTGCATGGAGGGTTTGTTCTGCGTGGCCTTGGCTGGGCCTTTCCTGTCGTTTGGGACATATGTGAGTAGAATTGCCTCAAAGTGACTATTCTCACTCAGCTGCCAGGATGCCGTGAGTGTGTCTGCTGTGCAGGGGAGCGTGGTCTCTTCTTGCTTTTGCAGCTCCGGGCCCACCTGGAGTGCTTGGCGTGGCACTGGGCCGTGGCCTTCTGGGACGCGTGGGCAGCACCACCGTGCTTTCCAGGGAGCTGGCTTGGTGAGTGGGCCCCACTCTCCCCTGCTGCATGAAGAACGGCACCAGCCTCCAGCAGCAGCCGCCCAGGAGCTCTCGTGCATCCACTCTGGTCCTCCGGTCCCGGCTGCGCCTCTTGCACCAGGCTGGGGCAGGGATTACCAGCCGCACGCAGGCTGCGGGAACCCCCTTTGTCTGGCTTTCGGCGGAGTCGGCAGAGTTCCTTCCTTCTGGGCTAATGCCCAGTTTAATTGTACATCCCATTGTGTCGTCTCTGTTCAATCATGTTCAAAAATACCTACGTCCACTCCGTTCCCATTTAGATCTCTCTAAAGTCCATTCCGGCTTATCAGCACCGTAATTTCACGAGCAGAGCTAAGATTTCTGCCATTTAGGCCCCAGGCATTGTCTGTCGCGGCAGCAGCTGAGATAAACCCTCACCCAGAACAAAGTCGAAATGACCTTTTACAAGTAGAAGCGGCCTTGTTTCCCTCTAGACTAATTTATCAGCCTTCGTTTCAGCCCTGGCGCTCAGCGGAGGCTGGAGAGAGTGCTGTGCGGGGTGGCGGCAGAGGGGGATTAGGATGCTTGCTTGCTCCACAGTTTCAACAGGCACCTCTGGATCCTCGGGGACAGAAGCTGCCAATGGCCATGGGGTGCCGCCGAGGAGCTTGCCTGTGGGCGGAGAGCCATAGCCAGGTGTCCCCCAAAGAGCGGTGGGGGTCTCAGGGCCTGGGGCAGGGGCACAAAAATAAAACCTTGTGTGAAAACAACGAGCCAGGCTGGAAATACGTGAACATAAGCAACATGAAATGGCCGGGCCTCCGGAGCCCCTTGCCAGTGGGGCTCTGCTGAGCTTCTTGGTAACAGCTCACATGTTCCACCTACAGAGGCTGGCTGGCTCAGTCCTCCCCTTCCTGCCCACCCCAGGAACAAGAATCTCTAGGCAGAAAGAAGGGAGGAGAGGCTGCTCAGGCTCCTGGGTCAGCCAAAGTCCCATTTCTAGAAGGTTCCAGTTGCCCTGGCTCCTGGAGCTAGGTTTGCACTGGAGCTGCCGGGCCCCCTCAAAGCATCCTCATCCCATGGGGTGGGCCTCTGATGAGCCTCTCTAGTGCATGAAGAATCGCTGGGGGCTGAGAAGCGCAAGTCTTGCTCGGCTAGGAGCCCCAGCTGCACTCGAGCCCCAAGGGGCCCTCCGGGACAGGACGCCACTCTGCTGGCCCTTGATGCCTCCCACATGGACACGAGCACCATGCTGTCTTCCCGGAGAGACCACGGTGCACCCTGTCTCAAGTCTGAGCTCTCAGAGGTGACCCTGCCCCTCAAGGGCTCCAGGACAGCTGTGCAGTGATCCCAGGACAGGGATGTCCTTGTGTTCCGTCTCTCTCCCCCCACCAGGGGAATGCAGAGGCTACAGGCCTCCCAGGGTCTTGCTGGGGAAGGGACCTCACTTCCTCCTGGTGCACATGGGTGAATGCTGAGATATCAGACTGGAGGTAAACATGGGACCTTCTTCATTGTATCCCAGTGCAGAGGCTGAGGCTCACCTGTCTTTCCAGTAGAGGCAACAATCCCCGTGATGACTGCCCAGGGCCTGAGGGGCAGAGACTCTCCTCACAGCCGCTGAGTCAAGGGCCTGGGGAGAGGGGCCTGGGGGTCTGGCCTGCCGGCCGAGGCTGCCCTGGATGGGGGCTGAAGCCTGCACACCGGCAGAAAACCACAGGCTCTACCGAGGCCCTTAGCCGGGGCCCTCCTTTAGGCTTAAGGTGGATTTTTTTTTTATTTTTTATTTTTTGAGATGGAGTCTTGCTCTGCTGCCCAGGCTGGAGTGCAATGGTGCTATCTCCGCTCACTGCAAGCTCCGCCTCCCGGGTTCACGCCATTCTCCTGCCTCAGCCTCCCGAGTAGCTGGGACTACAGGCGCCCGCCACCACGCCTGGCTAATTTTTTGTATTTTTAGTAGAGACGGGGTTTCACCGTGTTAGCCAGGATGGTCTCGATCTTCTGACCCTGTGATCTGCCCGCCTCGGCCTCCCGAAGTGCTGGGATTACAGGCGTGAGCCACCGCGCCCAGCCTAAGGTGGATTTTAAAACAGCCTGGGAGTCCTGCGTGGGATCTGAAGAACAAATAAAGTATCCCCGGCACGCGTGGCCCTCCTGGAAATGCAGAGAGTGCTGCTTGTCCTACCTTCCGCCAAGTGGACAGGGCTTGGGGGTCATGGGGCGAGTGTCTCCTGCACCTAATCCCAGCCTCCACCCCGATGATGCTGCCTGTGGACTCAGCACAGAGCTTCAGACCTGACCACGGGCACAGAAGACGAGGACAAGAGCCGAACCGGGGGCAGAGGAGGAAGAGAGGAGGAAGAGGAGCAGGAAGGAGGAAGGAGAGAGAAGAGGGAGAAGAGGAGGAGGAAGAGGAGGGGGAGGAAGGGGAAGAGGAGGAGGACAGCTGAGAGCTGTGAGTCCAGGGTCAACCCTTAGCCGGAGTGGGGACTCCGGGGAAGGCCAGCTGCCCAAATGACTGAAGTCTGATGGCAGAAGGACATCAGGACCCCTGAGTTTTGGGAGCATAGACCACGCTGCCTTCTTTTGAGGAGGACAGGGATGGAAAAAGGGGTCTGGGCTGCATTTTGATAAAAGCCTTCAAACTCCATTCATATGATCATAGGAGCTGGGGGGCTGGAGACAAATGTATTTCTCTTGCCTCTAAAATTCGCTTTGTCATGGGATTTAAAATTACTTCAATTGCACTGACTTGAAGCTCGCACAGAGATGAACAAGATGCAGCCTCGGCGCTCAGAGGCGGGTGTCCAGTCCCCAGAGAGGTGGCCTTCAAGTCCAGTAGCCCAAGCCACGGGAGCCAGCCTCACCCTGGCCCCACACCAGAGCTCCCACCGCAGGGCCCAGCCTCCTGCTCACTGGGATATTCCCTCATGAGACCTGGGCCCTTGCAGTCATCAGGAATGATGTCAGCTGTGGGGAGGACAGGAGGGCCACCCGGGGCAGCTGCCCTCTGAGGGACTTTTTGCCCCTGAGCATGGCCTCGGGGGCTGGGAGCCCCGGCTCTGACGTTTCTCCAGTGACCCCTGGCAGGTCGGGGACCCCAGCCACTTCCAGCACCTGCAGGGCAGGACCTCCCCGCTTGGATGCTGGTGACACATTCTTCAGCTGGAGCCGAGTAGGGTCGTGTCTGCCCCGCTTCCACGCGAGCCCTCTCCCACCTGGCCTCTGTTTCTACCTCGGGTTGGTGTCTCCCGCCCACTTCTGTGTCCACTGCAGAGCCTGCGGCTTCCCAGATCCCACATGAGCTTAGGCGCTGACTCCACCTCTCGGAGGGACCTCCAAGTGGAGCCTTCGAGCAAGGGGTCCAGCTCCTGTAGGTTTCTTGCTTCAGTGGTGCCCGTACATAATAGTGGGTCCCACACGTCCATGAGGCAGGGGACGCCCTCACAGTGGAGAGGTCCCCACTGCCTTCTGAGGTTAGGAGGGCTTTCCACCTGCCTCAGGAGGGAAAGCACATCCAGGAAGCAGCGCCAAAGTCCTTGGAGACACCCCCGAAGGTGTGCAAAGGGCAGCCTGGCCTTGCCCCTTCACCCGCATGACCTCATGGTAGACTTTCATCATCTTGGCATTACATGAGGGGAAACTGAGTCTGGGAAACAGCACACGGTGCTGCTGATGGAGCAGCTGGGACCAGGACGTCAGATGTCAGCTGCAGACTGGAGGGCCTCCTGCTTCCCCCATCTTCAGGGAGCAGGTGCATCCTTCATGCTGGGGGAGTCTGGGGGAGGCTGGGGAAGCCTAGGGGAGGCTGGGGGAGGCTGGGGGAACTTGGCTGCCCTGTGGGGCCCCTGTGCACTGGGCTTTGCTGAGAGGCAGGGATGGGTCAGGGCTCAGTCCCCTTGGTCACAGGCGACTTCAGAATCCTAGGAGAGCAGACACCTGCTCGAGCCTAAGTAGGCCTTTTGCATTTTTGCTCTCTGGCTGCGCTGCCCATGTCCCCTTAAGGGTCTGCAGGTGAAGGATGGTGTGTGCCGTCTAAAGGTGAGGGATGGTGTGTGCCTTCTGCATGCTCCTGATTCCTCCTTTTCAACCTCAGTAGCTTTGTGAGGTTTTCGAAAAGCGATGTGCAGGTTTTTGAGATGCCTGCATCACAGAGCCGGGGCCCTGGCACCACAGAAAGAGGAGGACGGCTCAGGCTCAGGCTCACAGATGCTGCTGAGACCTTGAGCAAGCCATCGTGGCCTCTGGGCCTCAGTTTCCCCACCTGCTAAATGAGGAACTAAGAGAGGCATCTTGCTGGCCCCACCCAACTCCAGCCTGTGGTCTGAGTACTCTGATAGCCAAGAGGTGCAGAGACGAAGAACGTGGCGGTTGGTGTGGGGGAAGGAGTTTTCTTTGACGGAATCTGAAGAAAGTGGATAATTTTCCACTGGTCGTACCCTTGCCCCCAGCCTGGAAGCTGTGTTCTCCCGAACTGGCATTCTTCATCCCCGATGAATTTGCTGTCATGTGGGGTCACCAAGATAAAGCAGGGCAATTGCACACCACCCCCAACCCCGGGCTGAGGTGGAAAAGCCACTCTCTGAGAACCTCGTCGTCTGTTGCTTTGCTGATTTTCTCAAAGAAGTTAGGCTATGGGTGGTGGGGGGCCAGGGCTTTGGCGGTCATCCTTGAGATGGTTGCGTCCCACGCCACAGGTGGATTTAGTGAATGATGAGGCACTCTGAGAAAGTTACCTTGCCACCCACACAACCGTTGAGTTCTCATTCTATGTTTGTGTTCTAATAACCCAGCTTAGGTGAATGAAGAGTGAAAAGTACCTGGCACACTGCTGTGACTGAGAGGCAGGTGCTTATGAGCCCGTATTAGGGCCGTAGGGGCGCTGCCGCAAGGTGCCATGTGCTGCATGGCCTGCCTATGAGATGGCAGGTCCGGAGGCCAGAAGCCCCTGATGGAGGTGTTGGCCTCACTCCCGCAGAAGCCTCTGGGGTGGGGTCCGTGCGTTTCTCTCCCCGGGGGGGCCAGGGTGTGGTGCAGATCTTCCCCATGCTTTGGCTTGCAGACACGGTGCCCTCGAGGCCTCTGGCTTTATCTTCACGTGGCTCCTTCCTGCGTGTGTGTCTGTGTCCACATGTCCCCTTTGGGTAAAGATATTAGTCATATTGGATTCGGACCACCCTACCTGCGTTAACTCATCACATCTCCCAAGACCCTGTTTCCAACTCAGGCCGCGTTCTCAGGTCCTGGAGGTGAAGGCTTCAGCAGGTGAATTCGGGGGGGGCACAATTTACATAGATCCCTTAGACATCAACTATCTGGGCCTGGGCATTTCCAGGTATAGCAGGTGACAGAAGGCGGTGCCCCAGTGCACACCTGGTCCCCACGTCCCTGAAGCAAATGCTGGCACCTGAGACCTCCCAGACAGGCCCCCTCTGCGGACTCGAAGGGGACCACACCGGGATTAGGAAGGGAGGTGTATAGGTCCAGAAGTGATTAGAACTCAGGGCCAGTGACATATGAACGGTGGTGCCAACCCACGTCTTAACAGTAAGATGCCTTTTTAAGGCCGGCGTTTTTAGCCAATTCCAGTATTTTCCATTTGGAGATAATGTTAGTGAAATAAACATCAGAGCAGACTTGGCCGCTCACAGATACCCGTGCCCCTGTAGTGTGTGTGGGTGTGACTTCCACAGATGAAACGTCTGTGTGGGGGGAGGGCAGTGGAAATTGGGGTAACTGTGGACCCCGCCTGCTCCCCGCAGGGCTCCTACAACTTTCAGACAGAAAAAAAAATTGATTTGGAGGTAAAACGACGTCATGTGAACATTTCAAACATGGGAAGGAATCCCACACTGATCCCTACAGTTTCTAGAGAGGGAACCTTACCGTCCCAGAGACACACACCCTCCTGGAAGAGCAGAGGCCACCAGGGAAGTCTCCGAATTCCTTCTAGCCCTGCCCCTGTCCCAGGGGAGCCCGTGGCTCCGTTTCTGAACCAGTGTGTGGGTGAGGTTTTGGGAATGCCAATAGCTCGGCTGCTCCGTTATTTGTAGTTTTTAAAGTCTTCTTTGAGGATGGTGCAGGCTTTCAGAAGCCAGGCCGACAGCCTGACTTTGCGTGTACGTAGACGTGTGACCACGATCGTGTGTTCTGTCTTTGGCCCGACCGGCCCTGGGTTTGTGAACCTGCGGCTGTGGGTTGCTCACCCTTGAAGGCCCTTGGGAGTGAAATTCAAAAACGAAATGGTTAAAAAATGGGCGGGCAGGCAGGAAAGGAGTGGAGGGATAGGAGCCCAGCGGTTGGCTAATTGGAGAGTGGGACCCCCGTTGGGGGGGGCCCTCGCCGGGACAATGTGCTCCGAACGGGGAGCTGGGAAGGCCCCGCGGGATTGTTATCGAATTAGTTGAAGTCAGAAGTCCCCTGAATGGGGTAAAGAAGGGAAGGGGAAACGCAGGCCCGGGTATAATGCGGCCTAAATGAGGGCCCCATTCACTGCCCGTGAAAGGCTCCCGTCCCCTTCCCGGGAAGGGTGGGCAAGTTCACTTTTGTTTGGTGGGGGCGGGGCTGCTCTCAGAGTATGTTCTTACCTAGAGCCGGGGGGCCAGGGGCAGAAGGGGAAGGGGGCATTGGAAATAATCCCCCGACGGGCAGCAGGAATGGTGCAGCCACAGGGCACCCACCGGAACCCCCAAGGCGCCTTCTGAGCTCCCTCGGCCCCAAGTTCACCAGAGCACCCACCCCGCCGGGGAGACCGCCCCTCGTCAGCCATCCGGTCACTCCACTTACACCCGGGAAAATGCCGAGATGTAAGATGTGCCTGTGTGGCCAGCTGCATAGGAAAGAAATGTATCCTAATGGCTGAATTAGAAAAAAATGTTATTGGAAGGAGGAGAGAAACCCATGAAATACAGAAATGGACCAGCCAGAAACCCAAAAGGCCAGGAAAACAGAGGTGGGGGGCAGGGCACAGCAGGTTACATAGGAAAATAAATACTTAACAAAGTGCTGTGCTCAGTAAATATTTGTTGAATTCATACATTAATTAATTTTCCAGATGAGATTTTCCTAATCCATTTTTTAAAGAAAATAAGGATTAAGAAGGAAGTGGAATCTGGTTATGAGGGCGGGCTCGGTGGAGGTAAAGGGAAGGTGGTATGTGTGAGGTTGGGGGCTGGGCAGTCCAGGGGCAAGGCTAGAACCGGCTTCCTGGCCAGGCCTCGGTAATTGCCCCAGGGGCAGCTGATCTGAGTTCAAGTTGCATCCCCTGCCTCTTCACCCACCTCCCAACCCTGAAGCCGGTGCAGCGGCATGGACTGGATGGAACCACCTGAATCTCCGGATCCCACACAATTAACCCTCTCCCAGGGATCTGAATGCCGAAGGAGCCCCCAGCCCCCTGCCCTGACTCAGGGAGTTGCAGAAAACAGCAGCGCGCCCCAGCGCTGCCCTCCCAGCTGTGTGTGAGCGAGACCGGGGCTAACAGCCCCCTACCTGCGTTCCCCATGACCGGTGCTCACAACAGAGGTGCCCCAACTAGTACTGGTGCCCCCGTTTTCTCAGCAAGTCCCCTTGTCGGAGGCCACAGAGCTGGGGTGAACCTACTCTGGGAGAACCAACACCCCACACTAAGCCAGTGGCCCACACTGACCTGGCCAGGCCACTCCTCTGGAGATCCTCCCTGTGAACCACCCACAGAGGGCCCTTTCCCAGAGAGACCACCAGTGGGCCTGGACCCACGCCCTTGGGGATGAGCAAGCTCTCGTGTATTTGCTGTGTGTGCAACACGGGGTTCCTCTCGGGGCACTGGGGATCCCGAAAGCGTGTCTGGTGCAGAAGGCGTGACCTCCAGGCAGCTCCGAGACGGGAAGTGATTGGAGTGTAGGCGTGAGGTCCCGGTGCTGGATAGACGCACACGCCTTCACGCATCCTCAGAAAGTGATGTTGCTGAGTGAATAGAAGGTGCACGTGGCCCTTCCTGAGTCTGCTCACCCTCCGGACACACACGCATGCCTTCCCACGCTCCTGTGCACACACCCCTCCCGGCCCTTCCATGGAGGACCTGTAGGAACCCGTGGCCTAGGGTGAGCTGGGTCTGAGGCTTTGGGACCCGTGCCTGGACCAGTAGCTTCCCAGATGTGGCATCTGAGCAAGAGGGGCAGAGCGAGGCTGGCATGACAAAGAGTGAGCCACCCCATGAAATGGGCCCGGCAAGGTCACACGGCACCAGCTGGCCCAAGGCTGGTCAAGAATCCGAGTTTTCTGCAGAGGGAGACACAGCCTGACACCTGGGACCTGTGCAGCTGGGTGGAGTAGAAAGGGATGAAAGGAGGAGGGGCGGTCGGCCCAGGAAGCAGGGCGGGCAGACGGCGACCCAGGGGACCTGTCCGAGAGGTGACATAGAGGACAGCAATGCCGCCCGCATGTCCCCACATGGACCTGCTTCCAGGAAGGTGGAAAAGGCCCATGGGATGCAGAGCAGAGGAGACACAGCTGTGGCTTAGTCAAGAAGGATGGTGTCCTGGTGCGGGGAGCTTTGGGGGGCGCCTTCTCACGGTGCCAACCCGCCAGCCCCGCCCTTTGCCATCTCTGAAAGCGCTACCCAGAAAACCTCCTAGCCCAGCGCCATTGATCCCTTTTTATGACTTGGAAATAAATTCGCAGCTACAAAACCCGAGGTCATTTGGTTAATTCCACTGCCGAGCTCCCCACGGCGCATACCCCCGGATGCTTCGGCCCAGCCAGGTTCCTTGCTAAGGGCAAGTTTTACGACCTTGGGAACATTGGCATTTGTTTATGGCAGAGAAGTGAAGTTTTGCTTCCCCCAGAGGCCAGAGTGTTTCCACGGACGGTTTTAAAGGGGAAGCAGGCACATTTGTGACTAAGTCACCAGGCAGGCGTGATACAGGAGACAATGCTCTTTGGAGCTGCCCACGTGGCGGCAGCAGCCAGAGGTCCCTTTGCCCAGTTCTCTGGCCTCTTCTTGCCCTGTGCACACCTGTCACCTGAGACACCCGTACTTGGCATTCGCTCTTCAAACAGGCATTCTGTGAAAGTAACGGTCCCTGCGTGCTGGGGACGCCGGCCTTGGCCACGTGCTGGCTGTGGTCTCCCGGGAGCTGAGGAAAGGAGTTCCGCCTCGCAGAATGAGGCAGGATTCTCCTCTTCCATCCCCCTCTCTAGAGTCAGAATTACCCCAATAATTGCGCTCATCTGACTCCAAGGCCGTCTCCAGAGTTTCGAGTGTGAAATAGAGTAGCTGTCTCTCACCAAGGCTGTCACAGTTCTCAGGAACCAGAGGAGAAGGCAGGAAGCCCCCGACCCCTGGAGCAAACCCCTGGGTCTTCATAAAGCAGCTGCTGGCACAGCGGCTGAGAAACCCAGGCGTGGACCCTAGCCCGGCCGCCTGTCCGCGTGGCATCCTGAAGAAATCACTGCATCTTCCTGTGCCTTGGTTTGCTCATCTGCGAGAGTCCCGGCCTCCCTAGGCTGTTCCAGGGATCATGGGGGCCTCTGCATGGGAAAGCCCAAGCCAGCACCTGCCCCGGCACCTCTGCATCCACATGGCAGCTCCGTCTACAGCCCGAGGGCCCCATAACCAGCCAGAGTGGCCACGCTTGAAGCCTCACGGGGCTCCAGATGGAGCCTCCCTGACAAGGGGACCTCTTCTTCCCGGGATCTTGTTCCGACCTTTGCTTAAAGCAGTTTCCCCACTGGCTCGGTTCACGTGCGGGCAGCGATTCTCTGGCCCTGCACTGTAGGGTGTTTAGTGTGCCCGAGGCCACCCCGAGTGATGACGACGATTGAAAATGTCTCCAGAGGCCTGACTCGGTGACTCACGCCTGTAATCCCAGCACTTTGGCAGGCCAAGGAGGGTGGATCACGAGGTCAGGAGTTCGAGATCAGCCTGACCAATATGGTGAGACGATGTCTCTACTAAAAATACAAAAATTAGCTGGACGTGGTGGTGGGCACCTGTAATCCCAGCTACTTGGGAGGCTGAGGCAGAAGAATCGCTTGAACCCAGGAGGCAGAAGTTGCAGTGAGCTGAGGTCACGTGACTGCACTCCAACCTGGTGACAGAGCAAGACTCCGTCTCAAAAAAAAAAAAAAGAAAAGAAAAGAAAAGAAAAGAAAGTGTCTCCAGATATCTCCGCCAGGTGTCTGCCTGGGCAGCAGAGTTGCTGTAATGGAGAGCCACTGGTCAAAGGTATGGGCCACCATCCCCTTTGTGGGGTTTGTCCTTTGGAACCATCTCCACCCCCTGAAGCCATCTCCTCTTGCTCCCTGAGTGCCTGTCCAGAGGCCCCCCCAGGTCCCCACGAGTGGGTGGAAAGTCTTGGGGACAGAAGAAACCTGGCTTTTCCCATGAACAGATGTCCCCCTCGCCACATCAAGGGAGTGACTTGCTCCGTCTGTCATGTAGTGACCACCTGCTTCTCAGCAGGTGGCTGGGACTTAACTCTCAAGGGTATTTAGGGACAGAGAGCAGTGGGAATTCAGAAGGAGCTCAGAAGGGAATGCCCTGTGCCAACCTAAACCTGGGGCAGGGTGGACAGCAGGTGGCTTTGAATATCCTAGTCAAAAATATGGGAACATTTTGGTTCCAGGGGTAAGAAAAAATTAATCATTTATTTGGTAAAGGCCCATGACTGAGTGGAAAAGCAACAAGAAGAGAAGGACAGGAAATAAATCTCAGAGTGGGATTTACTAAGCACGGTCACGCTGAACAGTAACTGTGGGCAGGGACAGCACTGCACGTTTGACATCGGGGCACGCAGCTCCGACGTGGCCGGTCCCGACTGGCACACCTGCCCCGAGTCACCTGGGACGGACTGCAGCCAGCCAGCTCTCCCTTCTTCCTGGGGAGGCCTGTGAAGGTCGCGTGAATGCCTGTGTCCCCCGGGACAGCCAGGGAGGCAGGAGGCCAGGCCTGGGTGTGGAATAGGCCTCGCTGGGAGGCCGTGGTTCTGCTCCTGCACATTTCCAAAGGAAGCTCCCTGTGGGTGCGCGTGGAAGCTGAGCGCCTCAGTGGAATGTCCTGGAACCTCACTTCGGGATCCTTTGTCGAGACCAATTGGCCACAAATGCCACCTCCTGCTTCTGGAGAGGTTTAGTTGTCAACGGCCACCAGGAACCACAGCCCTCCCGCCCCCCACAGAGCCCCTTCCCTGAGGGTTGGGCCAGGAACTTGTCTTGTAGTTTCCTGAGCACGACAGCCAGGACTTGGTCCAGCGTTTTCCAAACTGGCAGAACCCGGGGATCTAAGACGGGCATGCTGGAAAAGTAGTGACAGTTATTTGCCTCCTGATCTAAGGTTAACGGGGACTTCCAAAAGGTGCACCTGTGTTAGCCCTTTCACAGAACTCTTACTTAACATGGAAAATATCGTAGCATTTTCTAGAGACATTTGCAGGAAGGTATTTGACACATTAAAGCCAATTTTCTTTCTCAACTACAGAAAATCAGTGACTACTATTAACATCTTACTATTAACTGTAACCCAGGTATGGATGTCTAGAACAGAAATCTATTCAATAAATATTGGATAATTGCAGCAGCGGAAACCAGCTCGCTATGTGCCGATGTGTTCCTGCAGCTGCTTCATGTTACTCTGGGCTTTTAGGGCAGCCAGCCTGCACTCACAGGCAGGTGGGCTCTGGTCTGGCTCCTGAAGCTTTGCAGGATCCTTGCACTAGGATTCAACATGAAGGCAGCTCGAGGCATCACTCCTGATCCAGCTCTGAGCATGGAGATGAGGACATGCTCCCTGGGATCCATGGGGAAACCAAGGCCCTGGAAGGCTTTCCCCCCTCAGATTCAGGAAGGAGCCGCACAGGCTCAGAAGCCAGGCTCCCAGCTGGAACCACAGCTGCAGACAGCCCTGCCCAGAGCCTGTGGGCATCATGGAAGTGTGTGCGTGCACGCGTGTGTCTGTGCACGCGTGTGACTTTCACGTCTGATTCCACTTACTCAAGCCACATGCAAAGGCTGATAAAATATTTCCCAGACATGCTCTAAATAGCAGGCACATGTTCTAAGTTGAGGGAATCAGAATTCAAGAGAATCTGTGGCTGAACTTATGTCATGGGTTCACAGGGCTGGAAGGGGCCACCCTTAGCCTCTAGATATGCATTAGTTTATTCATTCACAAGATATACATCCACTTGTTCATTCACTTATGAGATGTTTATTTCTTTATCCATTCATAGATATGCATTTGTTCATTCATTCGTTAGATATCGCTTTGTCCACGTATTCATGAGATATTTGTTTATTCACTCATTAGAGATATATCTGTTCATATATCTATTAGGTATTTATTCATTTATTTATTCGATATGTATTTGTTCATCCATTCATAGATATGCATTTGTTTGTCCATTCATTAGATATCGATTTGTCCACGCATTCATGAGATATTTGTCTATTCACTCATTAGGCATGTATTTGTTCATACATTTATTAGTTTAGATATTAGATATTGATTTGTTTATGCACACGTGTATACATTTGCTGATCAATTCACCCACTAGGCATCTATTTCTTGGTCATTTGTTCGATGCTGGTTGTCTCCTCCTTCATTAGACATCTGCTTGTCTGTCTCTGCACTCATGGACACTTGCTTGCCCACCCATTGTACACAGGTCTGTTGAGAGCCTGCGGTCAGCAGCCACCCTGCCCTTCTTCCCTAAGCTGTCTTGGTCACAGCGTAGCCAATGCCGATTTTCTTTTTCTAAGTAGACCGATTGAAAATAAGTGAAAGTCATTTCCGGGCAGCAGTGTCCACCTGAAAGTTGAGATATGCACAGTGTTGACCGAACATCTCTCGTGGTGTCTGGTCCAGCAGTGTGAAAAGCCGTGGGCTTGATCTAGCTGGAGATGCGGCCGTGGGTGGACTCCTAAGAAAAGACTCAAGGCAGAGTCTCTTGGGGCCCGTCGGGGGCTGCAGCAGATTCGTGTCTTGAAAACAGGTTGGGTCCAGCTCCCTCTGCTGTGAGGTCCCTGCCTCATTGCTGGGACTTTTGTCTCAAGGCCCCGGCCTCGTCCTTGGTCGTCCAGCCCACTGGCCGCAGCAGTGGGGGCCGGCGCTGGTGGTCAGTGCTCGCTCACCCTGCCCTGCACAGCCCCTAATGTTGGCACTTCACGGACAAGCCGGCCTGGGTCCTCAGAGGAGAATAAATGTGCACGGAACAGCACACGGTGGCCCATGGCCTTGCAGCACGAGCGTGTCCATGCGTGTGCACGTGTGCATGCGTGTGCGTGCGCGTGCATCCACGCCTGGCGGCCTGGGCCCGGCGTGAGTGTGTGGGTGGGAGCGGGTGTGTATCCGCGGCTGCTCCATTCTGCTGTAAAGGCTCGCTGCAGTGGGCAACATGGAGGAGACATGAAAGAGGGGACAATAAATAGCTTCCTACCTTGCCTGGATAATGGGCGAGTTCTCCGGGTGGATTAATCCTCGCGTCGTCTTTGGGCCGTCAGTTTGGGAGTGACAGTAACAAGGCTCCCGGGGACCCTGCTAATTTGCACTCCATTCACCGGCTCGTGAAACCGTCAGGGCTGCGGAAGGACTGCGCGGCGCGGGCCTCCATTCACTGGGAGCCTGATATACTGGGAAAGGGGCCAGTGCGCACAAAGCCCAAAAGAGCACATGGGTGAGGCTTTGTCCCTCCTCTCCCGTTCCCTTTTATGCGGCCTTGTGCTAGTTAAGCTCCTCATTTGTCCCCGCTGGGGCTCGGGGCTCTGGTCACCCTCAGGGGCTGCCTTTTCAGGTGATCTTGACACCCCTCTGGCCCTGGCCTGAGTGGGCGGTGGGGGCAGGGCTGCCTGAGCGGGGGCACCTTTGAATTCTGGGAGTCCAGGCCTGGAGCCGGCCGGACGCTGGCCTGCAGTAGGGACAGCAGAGGTGGCCAAGGCCCCTCTCTCCTCACAGCCTCCTGCCTCCGTCCCCATGTTCTGGGCGCCTCTCAGAGGTCCTGGCTGGACGCCTGCACCCCAGAGTCTTTGAAGGTGGAATGGAGGCCCCCGCTCATCCTCCCGGCCCCCTCGCTGAGGTCCTCCCGCTCATCCTCCCGGCCCCCTCGCTGCGGTCCTCCCGCTCATCCTCCCGGCCCCCTCGCTGCGGTCCTCTCTGCCACTGTGGATGGGCTTCACACAAACTGAGATGGGGAGGCCCCATCCTCTTGGTTCCCACCAGCACCTGCATTTCCGCCGCTACCTCGGCGTGGCTCTGCCTGCTCCCTCCCTGACCCCAGCTCTGCCCTCTCCCTCCAGCTCAGCCTCAGATTTTAAGTACCCACCTGGCGAGGGGCCCTCTTCCCTGCTCCTGGCACAGAGGCCCCGAGCCTTTCCTTTTTCATGTTGCTGGTGACCCCTCCCCAGGTACTCGTTTAAGAGCTCCCTGGCAGCAGAGCTGGACACAGGGAAGTCAGTGGGACCTTTGTGGCCACGAAACAGGTCTCACCCAGAAAGGAAAGCGGGGTCGGCTCGCCCGCCTGCCGCACGCTTCCCCGGGAGGCCGAGCTCAGGAAGACGCGGCAAATCCCATCCTATGTGCTTGCAGCAACTCCTCTGCCAAAAAAGGAAATGCCACCGCCAACAGCAACAGAAACACAGATTTGGAGATCCCCAAATTAGCCAATAAACACCACCCATTCCGTGGTGAGGGGGGAAATGGAGAAGAAACCACCTTCCCAAATCTTTATGAATTAAACATGGCATGTCCATCAAGTCATAGAGACAACCATTTCTGCTTAATTTGCTGACACAAATCACCCTAACTATTTTGCTGGGGAGAGGGGTGTGGGGGCGGGATGGCGGGTCCTGGGCGTCTCGGCTCCGCCATTGTCATTAATTATAAAATTGGGAGGACTGTAATTTTCCACTTAGGCTTGTCACCAATCGGGCAGTCACCCCAGCTGTGCGGGTGCCCCCCTGGGTTTGGTTGTGCCCGTGGGGGGTTGCTAGAGAGTCCTTTGTCGCCTCCCTGGGGGCACAGACACCTGGAACTCACTCTTTCTCCGAGGAACAGGAGCAAGTGCGGCATTCTGGAGGGAGGTGGCACTTGTTTCCATGAGATGCTCCAAGCTCCTCCTGTTCTTACCCAGCATTTCCCCAGGATTCCAGGAGACTCTGCCTGGCCCAGGAGGTTCTGCTCTCCCCAGGCAAGGAAGCGGGGTTTCCGGGACACCACGTCCACCCCAGGTCACCTACAAACAAGGTCAGCCAGGGCCGTAGACCAAGGACTCCCGAGGCCAAGCCGGTGCCTTCCCAGGAGGCCTTGCCACCCCCCATTAATCCTGCAATTCCAGATCATTATCAAGGTCACTGCCTGGTACATTAACTCAGAAGCACGCGGGTGACAGGGTGTGGCCAGTGCACCAAGCAGAACGGCCAGGCAAGCTGCGCCCAGACACATGTCGGAGTCTCGTGTGGCCACTGGGTCCGCCTCGGCTGGAATCTGCCATCCTTCTCCCACCACAGCCCCGCCCCTTGTCTGCAGGATGCAGGACTGCCCGGGAGGCTCTGCTTGGCCAGCAAAAAGTGTGTTTCCTTGTAAAAAGTTTACCAGAAAAGAGGAGAAAGTAGTTAATGGAGAAAATGGTTTTCCTTTTCAGACAGGCGTCTTTTCCTTCCATTCTCCTATTGGACACAAACCAGAAACTTCTAGATCTGAGGAGGGTCTGACACGCTGGGCAACTTCCAACCCTAACACTCTGTTTCTATGCAAAAATAATGCCTTTCTCAGTTCAAATGCTGCTAGGCGACCCAGGGCGATGGCGGCTTTTAAGAGCTGATGTCCACCCAATAGCACCGTCAGACTCGCAGGCCTCAGAACTCCAAGCCCTTGGTCAGGTGCGGTGGCTCACATCTGTCATCCCAGCACTTTGGGAGGCCAAGACGGGCAGATCACCTGAGGTTGGGAGTTCAAGACCAGCCTGGCCAATGTGGCAAAACCCTGTCTCTACTAAAAACACAAAAACTAGCTGGGTGTGGTTGTGCACACCTGTAATCCCAACTACTTGGGAGGCTGAGGCAGGAGAAATGCTTGAGCTCAGGAGGCAGAGGTTGCAGTGAGCCGAGATACATTACCACAATAGCATCTCGCAGGGGCAAGAATGGCTTCAGCTAAGTTAGTATCATCCTCAGAGACAGATTCTTCTTATTCTGAATAGTGTGTTGGGCCCCTGTTGGGTGCCTGGCCCTGTGCTAACATGTTCCACATCAGACGAGATACCAACACATGGGGAGATGGTTACAATGAGCTTGATCTTGACCGTTGGGGAGCTGTGGCCCCAGGATGCTTCTGTGGTGAATACAGACCTTTTGGCTGGGCAGGGCCTGAGACCCTGGTGTGATACCCTGGGCATCGTCCCCCAAACCTTCCTTTCAGGGCCACCGATCTTAGAGGTCAATGCCGCAGACCTGACAGTGGGGACCTGTGTGTGGGGATTGTGTGGTCAGCTGATCAAGGTATTTTTTCAGCCAATGGGACCGTATCCAAACATCATCAAAGACACCATCCCATCTGCTTCCCCATCGCTGCTGTTGGTCCTGATGTCAGTGTTGGGCTCCTGGATAGCCTGGGTTGAGGATTCTATCAGAACCAAAAGGACATCCCCAAGAAGTCCACTCCTACTGCTAAGGAATCTGTCATTCAATAAACAGGATCAGATGGCACAGAACAGAGCGGAACCCGACCTCTGTGTGGATGATCCACAGGTGCCACTGGGACCATGTCAGGAAGAAACAGCCATGTCGTGGAAGTGCAGCCAGGCCCTGGGGACAGGCAAGGCCCACGGGGTCCAGGAGAACAGGGCCTCCAGGAGGGTCATGGGTCCCGGGGACAGGCAAGGCCTATTGGGGTCCAGGAGAACAGAGCCTCCAGGAGGGTCATGGGTGGAGGCGGGAGAGAGTGGTTTGTGTGGGGTGGAAAAGAGTGGTGCAGGAAGGAAGGTGGGGGCCCTGCCTATAGAGCCAGCAACCTGGCTGCAGCCCCACCCTCCCTCCACCGAGCGGACCAACCCAGAACCCCACAGGGGCCCTGTCCTCCGGGGACCTGTCGAGTCAGTGCTCCTCTGCACGGTGGCTCCAGGCCACCCCTCCCTTGGCCCTTTCCCACTGGGCGTGGAGGGACGGCCGTGGCCTTCCCCTGCCAGCCCCTGCCCTCCTCCTCGGGTGCCCCCACGTCCTCTGGTTTCCCCTCAGCTCTCACAAATTCTGCCCGTGTCCGCACCCTCATTAATCAATGTCAAGGCGCGGCGTCGGCAACAAGGGGCGCATTCTTCCCCGGCTCCTCAGCCTCATACATCCCATTGTTCCCGGGGCCGATTCAGATGGCAAGAAAACAGCCTATGCAGCACATAAAAGAGATGAGGCAAAAATGAAAAGAATCAAGGGAGAAAAAAGAGGAGGCATTTTTCCCCCTGAAACACTCGAATAAATACTCGGCAATGATAATTTAAATTATTCATACATTTATGAAAACATCCATTGAAAACCCAAGTGTATGATGCTCTTTGTCTCTGTCTCTGTCTCTTGTTTGGGATTAATCTTTACTGTAATTCGGGCTGGCCGTGGCCCCCTGACAAAGGCCACACTCTCTTTCCATGGGAAAAATGTTTCCACATATCCCAGCAAGGAGCTGGGGAGAGATTTGTGCTGACGAGGCAGTGTCCAGGCCCCCGAGATGCTGAACCAGCCATGTTCAAGAAGCGTCCAACCCGCAGAAAGTACAGTGGGTTGTCACAGTGCTGTCACTCCAGTGACATCCATGCCACGGGGCTGGGAAGCCAGAGGGGCCTCCACAGAGAGGAGACCCACAGAGCATGCATGCTCCTGCAGGCCCCTGAGCCCACCAGGGAAGGAGAATCCAAGAGCCTTCCCCAATATGGCCTGCGTGGGGAGACACACCCAGACACATCCCCACCCAGGTCTGGTGGGTTGGTGGGTTTCAGATGCCCCCGGTGGCTGTCCCCCGCCGAACCAGGCCTAGTTGTCACATCACAGCTGGGCACACTCAATGACCTGCCATAGAAGGCTGAGGTGGGCATCCTAGCAGGCTGGAGCTGGGCATCCCAGAGTCTCCCCAAACCTGGGGCAGGAGTCAGGAGCCACACTGTCCGGAGGCTGTGGTTGGCCTCACGAAATCAGAGAGTCTAGGCCCATGCCTGAGACTGGAGATGCTGAAACCATTCTTGATATTGCAGAGGGCGGGGCTGTGGCTGTGGCCATCAGCATGGAACTGGAGGGGACAGGTTCCTGTAGCCAGTCATCCGTGACTGCCATAGAGTTCAGGTGCCCACTGTCCGCACCTCTGTCTTCCTCAGCCTCCCAGGCTCCTGGTCCCTCCCTGGGCCACCACTGTCTCTGACAGCCTGAAGCCACCCACTGGGATTGCGGCAGTTCCTCTGTGAATTAACTCGTAGCCTAGCACTGTTCCATGTCCAAATGTTGCAGGGCAGCAGGGGAAACGGCACCCTCTGTGTGGATAGAAGCACGCTTTCTGTGTGGTGTTTTCCTCCAGGGCTCCGTGACCAAAGCTCATTCCCAAACAGGATAAAAAGCCCCGGGTGGCCTTCTCCTCACACACCTTTCACCGTGAAACGGGCATTCGCCCGTGTGTGAGTTGATCGGCAGTGATTTCTCTTCCCTGGAAGTGACCCAGAATCCATTCCTGGGCGGCTGGCGTCCAGCTCCTTAGCCTGGGTTAGCGCTGGGGATGGGGCGGCCACAGCAGTGGGCGCACGGCAGCTTGCAGGCTGTCAGTTCAGAAGACGCTGCAGCAGCTGCTGGGCTGCCCCCCAGCTCTTCTCGGCTTATTTGGTCTGGAATGGGAGCAGGGATCTCATGGGAACAGCCCTCCTGGTTGGATTTATGGCTTCTCTGGTTTGGGCCAGGTCAGAACTCAAGAGGAAAACCGCTCCTTTCTGCTCCTTATTCCAGATGAAAGTGGATCTCAAGAGTGCCTGGGAGCATAAACTGGCCTCTGTCGAGCTTGGCAGCCATGCTGAGTGCGCTGGCCTAAGTCTACGGCGAGGGTGAGGGGTTCTCCCAGCCACTGTGGCTGAGTGCACGCTGTCCAGAAGCAGCGTTTTCACTCACGGCCCTGCTCTTCCTGGGGCCAGGTCCCCGTGCCGTGCATCCCGGTAGATCTTTTTTTTCAACACGGGAGAGCTCTTGAGAAACTCAGCCCAGTTTTCCTTGAGGCCCTGCGAGTTTCATTTTGGGCTGGCTGGGACGCGCGCTCTTCCCCCTAGAAGTATTCGGGATGCCGCCTGCATGCTACCTCGCTCACTCCCAACTCTGCTCCCCACACGAGGTTTTGGGGTGCCCCCTTGGACTGCTGCCACCGGCCTCTTCCCCCTCTTGCCGGCCCTCCCTCCTCTGTCACCGATGTTGGGGTCTGGGAAGGTAGCCAAATGCAGGAGGACACCGGAGCAATAAATCACCCCTCATCCAACATCTGCAGGCCCTGGGGCGAGCCCCTCGCTGCCGCCCCCATCCCATCCCTCGCCACAAAACACTATTGTCGTGGCCAAGTGAAGAAGAGTCGCCTGCACTTACAAAGGGCCTCTGCAGCCTGGCGTGACGGCCAGAGGAGGTGCCTGGCTCTCGGCAGGGAGCCGCAGGGCTCTTTCTTCCTCTCTGGTTCGTACTTCTCCTCTCTCATGGGGGTCCCCCAAAGCCTTTCATTCCGGCTTCATATTCACATAAAGACATCAAGAAAAAACCCAGCAGAAAGAATTATTAGGCATGGCTGTCAAATGCTTTATCGGAGAAGGGGGGAGGGCAGTAACCCGTTAGGTGCTGGCCAGCAGCCCCAGCTTCCCCAGGTATCCCCAGGGGGCAGCCGGGGCCACCTCGGTGTGCGGGAACAGGCCATGACACACTTGGGCACACCCACCCACTCCAAGGCACACATACGCACACGTGCACACAGATGTGCCCGCCCGCACAGGTGGGCATCGGTGGGGCCTGTCTCTTCACCAAGTTTTGAATGGCTACACCTGATCTCAAGGCCCTTCCTTAGAAAGGGATGTTCTCTGCCTTCCTTCTGGCTCTTTCTTTCTTTGTTCCAATTAGCAGAAGATGCTTCCTCCCCTTATCCACACTGGCAGGTGCCTCTGCCACCTTCTACCCACGAGCTGGGGTCTTTTCTACTCTTGGCAGCGAGGGGTGGCTGAAATCAGATGTGCCCTGGAGGCCAGGCCTCAGGACGCTCCTCCCCCAGGTGCACGCTCAGCGGACAAGGTGGACAACCCGAACCACGCTTGCTCAGAAATCCCGTAACCCAGCTGGCATTTTTGGAGACGTGTTCTCCCTCTTCCCTGCAAAGAGCTTTCTCACAGCTCACCCTAGACAGTTTTGCCACCTGCCAATCCCAATGGCTTTCCGAAAGTTCACAGCCTGGGGCCCAGCTCTCCCAAAGGAGGGGTCCTCGCGTCCAGTGCCGGGCTGAGCGGAGAGCTGCAGGGGAGAGGCGTGTTCTGCACACTGCCGCGAGGAGGGCCTTTAGGATTTGTGGTGAGGGGCACCCCAGGGTGGGCAGTACCTCAGGATGCATTTTCAACACAGCCTCACGGTGCACAGAAACCGAAAACCGCATGCCGACAAACGGCTCCCTCGGCAAACATTTTTATTTCCAATTAGCAAAAGAAAAATTGCTAATTTGCTGCAGTTGGACCAGGCTGACGTCTCAATCTGCGGAGTGTCAGCGCAGTGAAAGAAAATGTTTCACACTGTGTCGGCGAGAGCAAGCAGCTCTAAAGAGGGTCAGGGCAGCGGGCCCAGAAACCAGATTGACTGGCCACAGCGCTAAATTACTCACACAAGACACACATTGTCTGCCGTGCCAGCTCCCGGAGGACCTGCCTTCTCATTCTTTCCCCTTGGAGCTGGGGCGGGGGAAGGGGTCCAGCGTGGGAGGAGAGCGCAGGGGGCTGGCAGGCCCTCGGTAGGGCAGTATCATCTTTGGGAACAGAGAGAGTCAGAAGCCGGGTTAATAATTACCCAGGTCTGTCTGCAGTGTTCGGGAACAGGACGATAAAATTCTCCCAGATCCCCGCCACAGCTCTGCACTCGGGAGATTCTGTGCAGATAATGTCCCGCAGGAGTGAGGGCTGAACATGGCAGGAGCAAGGGCTGAACATGGCAGGAGCGGCCATCTCTCTCGCCCTGCATTTCAAGGCTCTGTAACCGCCCGCCTGCCCTGCTTCACCGACTTCGGGAGAAACCCCCATACCTCACGGGCGCTGTCTCCCCACCTCTGGCAAGCCGGAGGAGGATATCTCAGCAAAGCCAGCTCCCCCACAGGCATGAGGTCCCCCGGATCCACGGAGCTAGCACAGGCCATGGACCCAGACCGGCGGAGTCTCCCTGGGGAGATGGCGAGGCTGCGGTGCTGGCCACAGATGTTTGGCGCTGAGGTAATAATGAGCCTCTCCTGAAAACCATTGACCACGTAACCTCAGACAGTAAAAGCCCCCGAGTGGGCTCTCAGAGGATCTAAATGGGTTTGCCTGCATCTCCAGACATAGCCCTCATTTTGAAGAGACATTCATTCCGTGCCCACACGCGCCGGGAGGAATGCATCTTGTCCTCGCCGTGCCCACGCCGTCACTCCGTCTGCGGCACCTTCCTCCACACATCTCTGTGGCCCCACAGCACGCCCAGCCTCCCAGCCGATGCACACAAAACCTGTCCCCAACACCGTGGGGCCACGTCACAGGCATCATAGCAGCCGGCCAGGGCAGCCCCAGGACCTGTGGTCTGTCCTGGCTCAGACTCACGCCCAGGGCCAATCCAGGAGCTACCTGCAGCCCTCCCCGCGTCTGCCACCTTCCACAGCTCTGTGGGCCTGGGACCTGGTCACGCAGGACCAGCACAGGTTGGGGCAACATTGGGTCGGCAGGGCTGAGAAAGCCAAGACCTGCTTGCAGGTGCAGGGGCCACAGGAGCAGCCGGCCCACCTGGCCTCGAGTCTTGCCGTACCCCCAGGCTGCTGTGGTTCTCCTTGGCCTGAAATGCAACGGAAGGCTGACTTTGGGGATGGTCTAGAGGGGCCCTTTCTTGAAAGGACACCATTTGGTCTCTCTCCCCATTCTCTGGCAGTTCCTGGGTGTCACTGGGAGAAGCTCCCTGGATGACAGGTGTGCAGGGGCCTGGCAAACAG
The DNA here is from genome assembly GCF_000001405.40 of Homo sapiens. Lineage (NCBI taxonomy): Eukaryota > Metazoa > Chordata > Mammalia > Primates > Hominidae > Homo > Homo sapiens. The sequence goes on from NC_000001.11 coordinate 3,220,740, forward strand.
GAACCCAAACAGGGAGGCAGCCCAGGGTGCAGGGCTCGTGCATCTGCTCGCCTCCTCCAAGGGTGCTGCTACAGTCTGCATGGGGAAGCTCCTCGCCTTGGTCTCTTTGAGATAAGCTGCCCAGGGAGGAAAGGGCCAACCTAGCCCAGCCTTGGGAGAAAGTGCACCACAGTGGCAGAGCCAGCCTCTTCCAGCCCTTTGACACATGGTGATTTCAGAATCCATCCCATCAGGCCACTTGATGCTCAGACTCAAGAGAGGGAGACCCTGTCTGGGAGCAGGAGTCATGTTTACAACCCAGGGTGGTCAGTGAGGTGGAGAGGGGGGACGGGTTGCCAGTGGCTGGGCCTTGGAATTTCAGCTGGCCATGCCGACACTGGCTTAGGGCCTTGGGACGTGTGCAACCTCACCGTGTGCAACTCAGCCTCAGCATTCGGTCTCTGGCAAAGATGGGCAGTGCCCCACAGCCTCTGCCTCACTCCGCTCTTCAGGGAAACAGTCTCTAGACTAAGAGAGCAGAAGACTGGACTCTGGGCCTCCCGGTTCCAGCGCTCAGTTGCCTGCTGTGTGGCCTTAAAGTCATGAGCCTCTCTGAGCCTCCGGTTCAGCGTAACAGAGACAATCAAACCGGATCATGTACGTGGGACTTTTTTCCAGAAGATGCAAAAGCTGCTTGGATTTGCTGTGTTTGCACAAATGACAGGCGCTTGCAGCTGGCCTCACTGGGGAGACTCTTTGTCCGGCCTGCACCGACTCTCTAAGCACTGCATGTTCTTTAGTCAAAATAAAGCATTGCTGGTCGGGCCAGCAGTCACAGAGAAGTCTGGCTTCCAATGAACGTCATGCACTGCGCTTGCTTGGAGAGCAGAGGCAGGGGCAGCCTCTTGCATTTCCCCCTTCTCCCCTCAATGCCTGCCCGGCCCTGAAATGTCCACCCTGGGCATGTGGGACACACATGGATGCCCCCATGTACACGCATGCACACACATACACATGCACAGACGCACATGTGTGCAAACAGTGACATGCATGCGTGTCTAGGCACATGTACACACAAACACAGGTCGTGCATGCAAAACACATGTGCACACAGATGTCCACACACATATACAATTTCCTCATGGAGAATTCACTCCCATCCTGAGGCCCAGAACCTTGGAGCCATCCTCAGAGTTTGCTGGGTATGGAGAAATCTGTGCAGGAAAAGCCACAAATTTAGATGGGGATACAGTAAACTTCATGAAGTAGTCTCGCGTCTTATCTGCTCCCTAGACCCTGGAGGGCGTCCACTGCTCCCCAGCAGAGGTCTGCAGGCCCCGTGCTGGCAGGAAGTGAGGTGAGGGAGGCCCAAGGGGAAGGAGGGGCTGTTGCAGGTGCGTTTGCAGGGCCAGCCTCCGCCACAGGTGCCGTGACCTTGAGCTCAGGTCCCACCCCCTGACAAAGCAAATAACCAGCCAGAGGGCTGCCCACGTGGGTTCCCTCCCACCCACCCAGCCCAGCCTCCCCCAGTGAGGAGCTGGTGACGACAGATGTAATTCCCCTGGGAGGGAGCGGTGCCCCAGCTGCTGGCCCTGAGATGTATTTTCCAGCGTTCTGAGCTGGAAGAACAAGCTGAGGCTCCAGCAGGCCTGGGTGCTGGGACTTCCTCTTTTTTGCTGAGGAAGGTCTCTCTCCCTCCCTCCGCCATGAGGAGTGGGGGCTCGCAGCCTGTTGCCAACTACCCCGCCTTTCTTCCCTCCAGGAAGCCTCTCCTTCGGCCTGTGGTCGGCTTCAGGAGGTGGAACCTGCGGGGCCCCTGCCAACCAATGGTGCTGGTGCTGGGTGTGTTTCATGGCCCTGCCCAGCAGGCCTCATGCACCAGCTACCATGCAGGGGAGGGCCTGCTCCCCATCCCAGGGCACTTAGGCCCAGCCCACACCCCAACGTGAGACTCTGGGGCGGACTGGGCATGGGTGCTCTGCAGGGCCCCTGACTGTCTCCAGCGTGCAGTGGGGCGAGGACCAGCATCCCCATTCCCAGCACTGCAGTGGATGCAGGCTTGGTTCTGGATCTTTCCCCACATCCATCTGTGATTCCTGGGCTTGTGGTTTCCAAAGCTGAAGCCTGATGTGAGGGCACTTTGCATCCAAAGGGGCCTGGAGAAAGTGTGCAGTTTGCCCTCAAGGCCGGGGTGGAGTTTGGTGGGTGGGTTGGGGAGCAAGACCAGGTTGAGGGGCATTTGGATCGGTCAAGACATCCCCAGCTCCAGAGACTCCCAGACATGAGCGTGCGTGGGGTAGCATCTGCAGATGGAAGCTCCTGTTCATAGAGGTATCCTTGGAGCAGCCAAGGTGGCCCTGCCTCCGCCGTGGCCAAAATCAAGGCTTTTTTTTTTTTTTTTTTTTTTTTTGAGACAGAGTCTTGCTCTGTTGCCAGGCTGGAGTGCAGTGGTGCGATCTTGGCTCACTGCAACCTCCGAAAATCAAGGCTTCTTTCTGGAGTCTGGGAATTAGCAAATGAACACACCCTGGGCCAGTTTTAACTAGGGCGCGGCTCATCGCAGTGTTGATTACGGAGTTGCTATCGATTTTCGTGGGGAGCAAACGTTTCTGGAGTTTACGATGCCTGTTATCGTTTGGCTGCTAGAAGCGCTGCTGATGAGCCGAAGTTCATCTTTTGTCTGGAATGTTCCTGGGCTCAGGCATCTTCCCCAGCTCAGGAGTGTCACGCCTCACACAGGTGCTGACCCCACGCTCACCCCCGGCATGCAGGCATTTTTCTCTTAATCGTGGCAAGAGGGAGAAAGACTGGCCATCCAAGTACGTGATGGTGAATCTAGAATAACATTGCTTGGATTTTCTTTTTCTTGAGCTCAAACTAAACTCATCCAAAGCCTGCTTTACCTCTCAGGGCTGCAGGGGAATGCACCATCAATTTGAGTGTTGGGTCTGCATACTCATGTCAGCCCTAGGAACTAACTTCTCAGTCAATCACAGACCAGGTGCAAGAGGTCACGCGATACCAGGGCTGGGGATCAGCCCCCGGAATGGAGGGGGTCGGCGGAACAGGCAGCGAGAACCGGGAATAACCAGAGTGGGACCAGCACAGGGGTGCAGCCTCCTGTCTCATCACCCACCTTGTCCACTGCCTTTTTCAACTTTAAACACCGTGAGCAGATGAACGAGGAAGACAGTTTTCCAACCCCATCTGAGGCGTCTCCTCCTTTTACAAATATTAAGATAAACGGGTATCACTTTTGGAAATTTTATATATAATAGGAAATCTATGGCACCGATCAGGGATTTCTCTTCCAGGGAAGCTATTGTGTCAGGTAAAGAGGCGGCCATACATCAGCCGGCTCTGCCCCTCAAATAGATAATCAATTTCCCTGAAAGCATCAATAACCAGAGTGGACATTTATTGCCCCGTGGATGGTTTATCTTTGGGGCTGGGGACAGCAGGGCCGTGATGAATACCAAATCTGCCAGGGAACACAATTAAATGCTGCGAAGATAAAGGATTTTATATCGTGCACAAAAAAGCAATCAAATTCATAATTGAACTCCATTGCATGAAACCAGCCAGAGATAAATATCACACCCAAAAGTGTATAACCTGGGTGCCGTGTTATGGGTCAGGCGACAGTGTTGCCAATACCCAGTAGTGTCTCCCTCTGGAGGCCCCGGTGCGCCCCTCTCGCTGGGGTACCAGCTTCCAATTGCCACTCTCTCTCCCTCTCCCCTTCCGCATGTGCCCAGGGCCACTCTCTCTCCCTCTCCCCTTCTGCACGCACCCACAGCCACTCTCTCTCCCTCTCCCCTTCCACACGCGCTCGGGGCTTCGGCCAGTGCTTTTTCTTTTTCTTTCCTTAGAGAAGAGAAAACGTGCTCCGGTCTGACTTGTCTTAAACCTGCAGAACTGTGTTCCCCTCTGGCCACCTGCATTAGGCGGCCCCAAGGGGGATGATGAGGTGGAGGAATGAGGGCCACAGCCTGGATAAAAGATACTGTGGGCTCCACAGGATGACAGGGGGAACCCCTACTGTGAAGCCAGGCGGGAGGATGCCTACTGTGGTGCCACCCTGGTTCCGAGGAGACCCTGAGCTGCTCCAGGCAAGAGCTCTGGGAAGGACTATGCAATCTCGTCTCTGCGGACTTGTGTCTCCAGAGAAATTGCTCCTTCCTGTTGGACGCAGCATCTCAGGGACTCTGGCGGGGCCACAGGGGCAGATACGGTGCTTGGGTCAGAGACAAAGAGCAAGAAAAGGCCAAGGGCATCACCTTCCCATTTGTTGCGTTCCTCCTGAGGTGGGGGCGAGGAGCGCCTTCATTACGGTTCAGGTCTGCTTGGACTTCATGAACTTGATTTTCAAAAGAACCTTGAAAATGTTAGAGTTTAAGGTCATATATGCTTGGCAAAATATGGCTTTTAGCTTGGAAGGAAAAAAAAAGGCATAGAGGGCATTTTGGACACAAAATAGCTCTTTAAAACAGCATTTTGATGAGTTAAGTATAAATAAATCAGAAACACACGGATCTCATTTCCTTTAAAATACCCGCGGGCTCAAACACTAGCGGGAAAAGTGCCTGGCAAACGGCGGTTTGGGATTTTGACAAACCCAAATATTTTGAAGAGGTTTCTGAAATGTTTGCACCCAGGTCTCCTCTCTGCCCTACCTTTAGTGCGTGCCTGTGTGCGCTGGTCCCCGTCGGCCTCTGAAGGGCAGGTCCAGCCAGCACGGCGCGTGGACACCACTCTCTGTGTCCTGGGTGCAGGCTTTCCACAGCCTGACCTGATGATGTGCAGCTTGCCTGTGTGTGTGTGTGTGTGTGTGTGTGTGTGTGTGTGTGTGTGTGCGCGCGCGCAGAAGGAAGGAAACGCAAGGAAGATCAGTTAAGGGATGAGGCTTTGGGTCTTCAAGAATTCTAACTTATTTTGGCGTGGAATGGGGAAAAAAAAACACATGAGAATCCTACTTGAAGGAGTTGAAATAAGGCTCTAAAACCGGCACTGGAATGAAGTCAGCAGTGTCTGCTCCCAGCCCAAACATCTGGGCTCCAAGTGGGCAATCGGCCCCACCTCCAGAAGTGTCGGATCACAGGACACAGCTCCTGGGGACGGAGCCGCCGGGGCAGCCAGATGTGTGGGCACCGCACAGGCAAAGCCGGTGGCATGCTCCAATGCAAGGCCATCTTCTTTACCTCTGCAGGAACAAATCGGATCAGGTGAGGCTGATTCTCCTGCATCCGTGCCTCAGCCCTTAGTGGTCCCAGATCATTGTGGTGGCCACTTTTAGGACAGGGCCAGAGCCTTGGCCTCGACCTCGCCCAGCAGGCAGGCAGCCCTCCCAGGACCCTTGGGTGAAACTCCAGCTTCCTCCTCCAGGTAGCTCAGGTGCCAGCAGGTAAGGCTGGGAGCAGCTATCCCTGAAGCCAACCCACTTCCTTCCTGTTCAGAGCTAAGAGCTGCCAAGAAGCACGGGGTGGCTGCTCAGATTCATGAGGTCTGCTCTGCACTTTTACAACCTAATAAAATTTGGGGGCATCTGAGAGGAACACCGAGGGGCACACGGGGACGTTGACATGTTGTGGTGGGGTCATTCAGACAGGACCTGAGTGCCGCTCTTCATTTGGTCCTGAATTCGGGTGTGCGGTGAGGCTGCGCCTGGCACCCCGGATCCCTCCACGGCTTCCCCCTTATCTAGAGCATCTGGCCCCATCTTGGCCGTCTCTGCTCGCTCAGAGACATAAACAGAAATGCCGTTTGGCAAAGGCGGCCCTAAAACATCTTTCCCTGAAATGTTCCTTTTGGCGTCTGATTAGGAAAAAAAACCTTGCAATTAATACTCTTGAGTTGGATTGTGAGATTTTCTGCAGAATTAGGCTTGGAGCATTTAACAACAAGGTTCCTTATTGCCCAGCCTCTAAATTTATAATAAAAATAAATGTTTCCCCTTCCTGACGTTGAAGGCCATGCCAACTGCAGAGAGGGGCCTGGATGCAAGAGGAAGCAATTGGATTCACTTAAATGCCGCAGACATAAACCCCTGCACGCCTTCGCAGGACTGGGTCCCCGCACGGGGACCCCAGGGAATGAGAACGGTGTCGGCTAATCTCCGAGCACTTCTCCTAATTGTACAGTGCTCCGCGCTAATCAACATCCAATGCCCGTTCTCTTTAAGACCAAGACAGAACAAAGCCTCAAATTACTAATTACACAAATACAGTGTCTTTTGCTAATTGGATTGGTTAATGTTAGTTAATAAAGCACTTTAAGGATAGGCAATGTGGTATGAAAGAGGCAATTCATACGTTTAATAATAGGCTAATAACTGTCAGCAATGAATAATCAGCCGTTGTCACGTGCAACGAACATCCACGCTCTTTCCAGCTCTTCGGGCGTCTGTTACAAATTAATGCCTTTGCAGGAGCCAGCCTGTGCTCCAAGCCCCTCATCCCCGGGCTGCTGGAGCTCCGACCTTGCCTTCTCGCCCGGCGAGGACCTGCAGCTCACACACCGCAGCCCCGGTGGCCGTTTGGGGAGTTTATCCTCTGAAGAAAAATGAAGCCCTGTTATTTCTATTATTTATGAAAGAGCCTTTGGCCAAGCGATTAGGGACAGGAACCAGAGTCCTGCATCCTTGTCCCGAGGCCACAGGCTTTGCTGTTTTACTCAGTGACCCCGGGCAAGCTCCTTGACCCCCACGGGCCTCCGTCAACTCAGCTGGAAAATTGGGTAAAAAGATTGCGGTGTCTCTCAGGCATGGAGCTGCAGACTGGAGGTGCGTAAGGCCGGCGGGACCGTGACAGTCCAGCGTGGGGCCGCAGCTGCGGCGGGGCTCTGCCGTGCACTCTAGCAGCCAGTGCCAAAAGGGAATCAGGACCCGTGGGCCCCAAATCAGCCCCCAGGACCTGAGATGTAGGGCCCGGCTCCGGGACCTGGTTTGGTAAAATGCAAAGACCCAAGTCCACAGCTGGCTGCCCAGGCTGCCCGTCTCCGCCAGCCCTAACCCTTTAGCTCCTCTTCAAATATCAGAAGAAAGAGGTGGCTGTGAAGAGCTTCTTGCAGGGGGTGGCCGGGTCTCCTGAGCAGGACCTGTTCCTGGGCAAGAGCTCCTGTGGGGACAGGTGCTGGGCAGCCAGGGGCTTTAGAGCCGGCGTTCTCTCTTTTTCCATCACGACAAGTGCCAACACCACTATGACCTACACCCGAGTGGGTCGAGTTTGCTCTTCCTCCAAGTCTCTGTTTCGAGCCGTGGGCTCTTCGCAGTATCCCAGGCTTCACAGTCACATCCAAGTAAATGTTGTTCCGCTCCGGGAAAGCGAGATCTTTAAGACAAAACAGAAGCGCCAGTGGCGAGGCTGTCCCTGCCAGTTGGCAGCACTGATTGAGTGTGCGGGGGTCCTCCCTCTTCTGAAGAGAGTCCCCGGAGGGATGTGTCCAGTGTGTGTCCTTCCCGGGACTGAAGCCTGGAAAAGCACAAAGCATTTTCCAGAAAAGAGAAGCAAACCGAGGATGGGATGCACTTGCGTTCACTCGCGATAAACGAGACGCCTTGAAAGTGGAACAGGATCCCACCGTTTTCTGCCTGAACGTGCACAGGTGAATCTGCACACCCCAGGCAGCCCCACCCCCAGAAAATTCTGTTTGTTAAGTACAGGAATGTACCAGAATTAATTACTTGAGGCTACACAAAGCTAACAGAAATGGAGGTCAAGAGAAAGCAGTTTTTGTGCGCCTCTCAGAGTAACGCTGTTGGTCTCCTGCGGCCCAAAGGGAGCTCTGGGCCAGCCCCAGGGAGGAAGTCCTGTGCCAGGCTCAGAGGAGTCCAAGATGGGCATAAAGTTGAATGAGGGCTGTATAGTCTCCCTGCCCTCTCCCCACTGCCTCGACAACGTTGCAGCTGCCCCAGCTGTGGAACGCAGGGCTTCGGCCTGTACATATCATCCCTCATGAGCTGGGGGCTCCTCGCCATGGCCCATCCCTCCAGAACCAGTACCACCTAGTTCTGCAGGTGAGACCCTCTGTCATCCCTCTGCCCGTCCACCTGCACTGTCCACCCAGCTTCCCAGGCCTCCTGCCATGGGGTCTCCTTTCTCTCCCTCCATCTCTCTCTCTCTGAACGGGACGCGCTGAGCCATCACCGCCACGGGCAGTGCTTTCCCACAGGCTTGCCTGGTTCACAGCCGGCAACCTCACCCCTCTTTTCAGTCCTTGGGAAGAGCAAATAAATCACACTGCAGAACAGCTCTCCCAGCCCTAAGAATAAAGTTTAAGTAACTGTGTCTGAGACTATTTCTGTAGCTCTTCAAGATGAGCCTTCCTGGGTGAATGCCTTCGCAGGCGGGAAGGTGCCCGTTTCTAAAGCCACTTGGGCAGAGCACCTCCCCAGGGCACCGTGAACACAACCCTCCTGCATCCATGGAGCAAGCAGCCAGGGAGGAGCCCAGGGTCATGGCGAGAGGAAGGCGCCTCTTCCGCTACTGACTGGTGGATATTCCCCCAGGGCCATCGTTACCCACACACGGGCTGGGTGGACAGGTGTCCCTGGGAGCACTGTTCACCCACAGTCCAGCACAGAAGCAGTCAGGGAGGACTGTGAGATCGGGCAAGAGGTGCCCACACCTGCAGGTGCCCCGGGGGCCCCTCCCCGGCCTCCCCTAGGTGGCCTGGGAAGCACATTCACCCCCATGCCCCTGTCTTTCTCCTGCACTAAAGGACATTTTTCTCAGTCCATCCTGCAGACAGATGGTGACCTTGTCATGTTTGTTGACAGCCACACGGCATAGCTGAGAATCAAAGCGCCACCTCCCATCTTCCCTGTCAGGGCCTCCAAGCCACAGGATGTACATTCCAAGCCTCACAGGCAGGATGGCAGAATCGGATCGGATCCCAGTCCCACCCAGCCACTTGCAGCCCATGAGCCTGGTCACTGAACCTGCTGTCCGTGCTGACCTCCTGCAGCTGGAGACAAACCAGGGAAACCTTAAGGGTCTCTTTCTTCTTATCTTAGGGCTAAAAAAAAGAAGGGAGGCGAGCAGGTGTGTCTGTTTTTCTGAGGCTCATGGACAGCAGGCAGGAGCAGCCCCCAGAGGAGCCCCTGGCCCAGGCTCCATTCTCAGACACGGGCGGGAGGGAGAGTGGTTTGCTCTCTTCCTTAGAGCAGGGTCTCTGCCCTTGTTTCAGTGACTTGTTAGAAAGCAAGGAAAGATGGTGCAAAATAAAGCTGCAGCTCCGTGCAGGTGTCGGGACCAAAAGCAGCTGCCCTGGCGCCCGCGTTTAGTTTGCATGAACACTCTGTGCACTTCGGATGCATGGCTGTGGCCCAAGGAGGAACGCGCATCCCCCTGCAGCTCTCTGGGATCCCTGGACCCCTACAGGGTCACTGTGAGATGAAATCACTAGAGGATGCTTTCGGGCACCCAGTGTGCTGTCTAGCCGAGGGCCTCAAGAGAGACAGACTGGCCTCCACTGGCAACTGCTGCTCCATCCCTGACCTGCCCGACGGCTCTCCACAAGGCCAGGCAAGGGTGCCAACTAGATGGCCGTTCTAGATTCCTGGATGTTGCTAGGTCTCACGGAGGCCTTTCTGCACTAGGACTCCACTCCCAGCCTCCTGGGACGAGTCCTTGGGGTAGCAATGGAGTGAGACTCCACAGTCATCCAGACAAGAAGCTCAGTTAGCGCCGGACTCACGGCCACCAGACCTGCCCCAGAGAAGAGACCCTTCCCCATCCCAGAGGAGGTTGAATATCCAGGGAAGTTGTGTGGATGGAAATTGACATTCTGAGGGTTTGGGGATCTCCCTTGTGGCAAGTTCGTGTGCTTCTCCTTGTTGGAAAACAAACAGGAGGAAAATAAGAAAAATATAAATGAACAGCCGTTTCAGACTGCTTCCCATCTCACACCACCTTTCCCCGTGGGAGGCTCCAGCTGAGAAGGCAGCTCCGACGCGGCCCCGGTTGGGGTGAGGCAGGACAGCTGTCCCCAGGATTGGGTGTTCCCAGCAGCCCTGCCTGCCTGTCTCGCTGGCTGTGTGGTGCCTGCGCACCTTCCTTCCCCACACCTGCCCGGTGCGACCGCACTGCAGCCTCGGGCACCATGAGGCATTCGAAGTGACAACCTTATGGTATTTCCTCTGCTTGGGGTTTTGCCTTGGCCGTTTGGTGTTGGGAGCAGGTGTGAGCAAAGGGAGCAGGGACAGATGAGCCACCTCTGCTCGTGGAAGCCTCCCATTCCTGGAGAGAGGCTGGGGAAGGCTCGTCCCCGCCTCTCTGCTGGCAGCTGGACTGGCTACCCAAGGACATGAGTGCCCTCTTATCTCCGTCCTCCTTGGAGCCGTGGTGTCTCTGCCGTGGGCCGGGGTCAATGTGCCTCCAATGTAAAAGTCCAGATCATGTATAATTTAGGCTTTCTGTGTCCTGTGTGACCTCCGTCCCATACACGTTTTTGTTTATTTTTACAACCCTTCATACACGTAAAAGCCGCCCATCCTGCCATCACCCTTACTAGGTTAATCGCCACAAGAGGCTTTTGGTCCGCAAGTCATGGCAGTCTTGAAAACGGGTGGTTACGTCTTGAGCGCCATCACGATTTGTGTGCACATGCCGAAAATAGGTGAGTGATGGGCCAGGCAGCGTTGCTGTTTGCATCTTCCCCGTCGTCATGGACAGCGGTCAAGGCCGTCTCCCCTTCTCCGTCGTCAGGGACAGCGGTCAAGGCCGTCCCCCTGGGGCATCTGCCTCCCGCTTCACAGATGAGGGCGTCGAGGCTGCTCAGCCCAGGGGATGCGGGGGTCGAGAGGTGTTTCTGGGACTCACAATGGGAAGCGCTGGCTTGGGGCCCAGGATTATTTGCCTGGTTTCTGCCGTCCTTCCCAGCTCTGTGAAAGGCACCAGAAGGAAGGAAGGTCGGAGGAACATTCCGTGTTGGTCAGGGAGCCCCTGAAGGCATCCTCCAGGGCAGGTGGCCTTGGCCGTACGTCTGCCCACATCTCAGCAAGGCTGGGCAGTCCCTGGACTTGGTATGGCCTGGAAATGCAGACGTGGGACCCCGGGAGGTTACTTGGAAATCACGGGCAGAGCGGGCAGCCTTTCACCTGCCAGGCCTTCCTGGTTCAGCTTCTCCACTAACTCCGCCCCAAGAGAGTAAAGCTGGACCCTGGGGGGTCCCGGCTGCAGCCACAGTTGCATGGACGTTGCAAGACTCCAGAGGTGGCCAGTTTTTCCCAGCAGATCAGCCCGGAATTCCTCGCTGCAGCTGTTCCTGTCACTGGGTCCCATTAGGAAAGCATGCAGTCTTGTTTGGTGACGCTCTGCCTCCCGCTGCCTTCACGCACGGTGGTCTCGAGTTCGCAGGCAGCTGCGACCGACACCCAGGAGCTCGGGCCTCTGTGTGTTGTCCCTGCAACAGATTGGAAACATTCCTTATGTGAGAGAAAGCAAAGCTCTTCATCTCCCTCTCCCTTCCCGCCGATCCATCTCCCTCACTTCTCCAAATGGAACCAGTTCAAGGGAGGCCAAATAAGCGAATGGCTCGGATAATGCCGGGTGGAGCTGCACGGCCTGAGTTTGAATCCCAGCTCTGCCATTTGCTGGCCCTGTGACATTGGACGACTTAACCTAACCTCTCTGAGCCTCAGCATTCTCAGGTGTAAATGGGGATTATTGTAGGATTATTTCAAGCATTAAATAGGATGATGCAGTGACACCTTTGGCAGAGCTAGCATATTAGCTGTTATTATTATCATTGTTATTTTATTTCAATCAGGAATAAAATACAACGGGAAACAATTGTACTTCTGGCCTCCTTGGCTTGCAAGTTTGCGGAACTCAGAAATGCGAGTCCACAAATGCTTGCTTCGTGAGTAAGTGGGATGCATGACAAGCGAGGATGAGAGAAAGACTGAATTTGATCAGGGAAGGGCCAAGGGGGGTAGTGACACTGGCAGCTGCTTCTGCTTCCTCCATCCCCAGAAAGGTGCTGCCTGCCATTTTTAAGGGAATTAAAATTCCATATTCTGCTCGGATATGGATCCACTTTCGGATCTTGAAAGGTTTCCCAAACCTCAGTGAGTGGTGTCGTAGCCAGAGAAGAGCCCAACTTTGGGGAGGTCAGATTCTCCCACCCAGTCCTGGGTCTTGGGGCTTTCAAACGCACATGTGACCCAGGCGCTGTTACCAGGAGATCTACGACCCTTCTTATTCACTTATGATTATTAAGAATTACCTTAATAAACGAGGGATCAATCAGCAGAGTCAGGTGGAAGTGCATTCATATGATTCTGTCAATTTCCAGGTCATTTCTATAACTAAAAAGGGTTGAGATAAAAGATAAATGTTTGTATAGAACCGATCATTGATCCTGTGATTTATTTTCCCCGTGGAAAGCGAAGCTCCCTGGGGAGATGCTGGTGCAGAGCCCACCGGGCTGCCCTGGAGGAGTGCCAGTGAGGGAGCCTCCAGCAGCTGCCCCCTGCCCAGGGTGGGGGTGGCCGGTGGCCGCGCGGTGCCTAGCACCTCCTGTGTCGTCGGTGTGGAGGAGGGACCGTCAGCATTTTCAGAAGCAGGGTGGAAAATGGCCAGCAGTGGACCTGGGAGGGCACATCTTTCAGATGTGAGTCGGGACAGCCACTTTGGGGTTTGCAATGGCAGAGTTTGGTGTTGGTTTAAGTGATTGGGGGAAGGCACAGCGCACCCGCCGGAGCTGGGGTCCCCTCCTGCCGCTGCCACTCACAGTGAGCGGAATCTGTCCTGGGGCGCAAAGGGCTCAGGCTGAGCATGGAACATCCCCTGCTCACAGACACTGGCCTTTGGAAGATGGAAAACCATTCCGCCAGCATCCTTCTCCCTGCCCCTGTGAGTGCGGCCAGCCTGGCCTGGTCCTCTCTGCCCAGCAGGCCTGCAGTAGCCTCCTTCAGCAGCCTCCCTGTTGCCTACATAACTTTACTAACACAGGAGAGCCGACGTTAGATTGTCCCATCACAAAATAAACTAATGATGAATGAAGAGGGCAGGGCAAGCTTTTGGAGGTGATGGATGGGTTTATGGTGTGGATCGTGGCGATGGTTTCTTGGTGCATTCTTGCGTCTCCAGGCTCATAAAGTTGTCTACATTAAATACCAACAGCTTTTTATATGCCAATCATACCGCAATGAAGTGTTGGGGTTTTTTTAAAAAAAAAAAAAGGTGGGGGGAAATTCTATGAACTCTGGGAGACTGTTGAGATGGCCTCTTGCGGGTGGGAGTGGCTGCTGGAGGATGGGCACAGGGCCCACTGCTCCCCTTCCATTTGTCTTGGCTGAGCCTGGAGCCCTCGGCTCCTTGACGCTCCCACCAGGCTGGATGTGACTTTCGGGGTTTGCGATTGGGTCGGTCCCGGTGTCCTGGGAGTGTGTTCAGGGCTTGGGCTCTTGGAACCCGGGCATGGGACTGTCGTGTTGATTTCGTCTTCAGGGTTCATCCCTGACTCATCCCCCTGTTCTGGGGGCCTTCCTCTGCGGTAGCTTTGATGCTTCCTCTCCAGTATGGTCACCAACAGAGGGGCTTCCCGAGACAGGGGCTTTCAGAGCTCAAATCCAGACAGTCCTGGCCACAGGTTGGTCCTCTTGTCCCCGGGGCCCTGACACGGAGCCTGCACAAAGGAGCTGTCCCCGCCCCAGCAGCTCAGGTCCATCCTCAACTCCCCAGGCTGCCCCGGCCAGGCCACTTCCAGGCCAAGCAGCCGCAAGACAGGCGGGAGCCGGACCCTGTGCCTCGAGGCCCAGGTATCTGATTTCTAGCCGCCTGCCCGAGACGCCTGGTCCAGCAAGAGGCCCTGAGCCTGTCAGGGTGGCCAGGGCAGCTTCCCTAAGCCCCATAGTCAGAGAGCCACCCCGAGCACAGGGCCCCCGCAGGCTGGATGGCCGGGCCCCACCGTGACTGTGCCAGTCCCCACCCTCCACCCACAGGCCAGGGCCTGGTTCCCAGGGGCCTGGCCCAGGTGAACATGACCATGTAGCAGCTCGGTAAATTCTACAAGGAGAGCTCCCATTTTCCACTCACTGACTCATGATTTATTATTCGGTAAATGCCACGTGGGGTCTCCCTTGTGTTCCTGCTCGGAGGGGCCGTGATGGTGCCTGACACCCACCTTTGGCCTAAAGGGGCGTCTAATCCAGGAGGGAGGACGGGCCTGCCTGTAATAACTGGGCAGCTCTGAAGTGAGGCTGGCCATCCTTTTCCAGGCTGCAGGGCTCTGATGAAAGTTGGTGGAGAAATAAAGTGTGAGTGGGTTGGGTCAAGGTCACCTGCCGTCCACTTAGAACCATCAGCTTCAACACCACCTTCCCAGCACAGAAGCTGCAGAGTGCAGAGGGTGTCCCTGGGATCGGCTCCACTGGCGTCCCAGCCAGAGCCCCCTACCGAGCCCTGCCTGCAGGTCCTGGGGCCCTGCGAGGCCGCCCAGCCGCTCCAGGCCTTGGCTCTTTCATCTTCTAGAACCCAGGCCCTCGGAAGCTCTGAGACCAGCTCCAGGAACAAACAGCCTCGCAGAACTTTCTCCTCATTTCCAGGGCGTGCGTGTCCAGTTCCTGAGCTGGCTACGGGAGGCTCTTGGACTGGCCGCTGCTTCCCTTTCTCGTGCTGGAAGTGATGGCTCTTCATGAGCCATTGATCGCGAGGGCCACATGTCACCTGCTTTTATGATTTACATTCCCTTCCCCTGGGGACATCAATCTTCCGGAAGCAGAAGGAGGAAGGTGTCCACAGAGGGCCAGAAGCAATGCTGGACACCCCTGTGCTCGGGGACAGGGGCCTGCAGAGATCCTTCCCGCTCGCCCCGCTGCCTGGCAGAGAAAGGGCTCTGGAGCCTGCGCCCCAGGGGCTGATAGCCTCCTGCCAGTCCCCACACCAGGTCACCCCCACCCGCTCTCACCTTGCTCCATCAGCAGGGGCTCCCAGGTGGAGCCCAGGAACAACAGGCCTTCCCCAGCTCCGCCTGACATGGGGGAAAGAGCGCCCGTGAGTCCAGGACGGCGGGGGCGGGGTGTGGGGGGTCCCTGCCATGTAGACCCCGGAAGCCTGCCCTGCTCCAGGGAATCTCAGGCTGGGTCAGATCTCCCCCAGGCCCCTCATTTGGAAAGGGCTGTCCTGCCTGTGTGGGGCGGAGCTCTGAGATCTGGAGCAGCCCATCGAGCATGGCGGGGGAGTGGGGGTTGTGTGGTGGAGGAGCTGCGTCTTTGGCTTGGTGGAGAATTCAAAGCTGTGGCTGGAATGGCCCAAGCATTCTGGAAGTTTGGGAAGGTCTGAACGTGGTAACCTGCACTCTCTCCTCTCTGGAAAGGGATAGCATGGCGGGGGCAGTATCCAGAGAGCAGGCATCCCTGCAGGCGCCACCCTCCCCAGACAACTGCAGCCCCAGGGCAGGTGGTCAGTTATAGCCCTGCCCCCAACTCTACCTTGTGCCCCGAGGTGCTAGAGGCAGAGGGCAGAGCAAGGTCACAGCCAGGGCAGGCCAGGGGGACCCCACAGTGCCTCCTTGTCTCCCACAGCCCCTGGGGCTGGGAAGGAGGCTTGGAGAGGCCTGGCGGGGGGTGGCTTCCCAGGCCAGGAGCAGTTGGAGAGAGAGACAGGACCCCCACCCTAGGGCTTCCAGCAGCCTCGTCCTCTGAGAGGCTCCTGTGACTTCCAGGTCAAGGACCACAAATATGCTAATGGCCTGGGGGGGCGCTTGTCTGACCACCGCATTGGCAATGAGGTGGGCAGAGGAAAGTGAGTCCTCACAGGGCTGCTTGCAGGCTGGAAGGGAGTGGGGCCTCCTGGGTACTTCACCAGCAAGCTGGGCGTGGCCATGGGCCCCACGCCGGTGGGTGCCTGGGTGACCCGGGCTGGGGGCCAGGGCTGGTCTACACCTGTGTATCTTCAGGCTTCCCTGGGAAAAGGGGCTGCCCAGCCCTGCCCTCGGTGTGCACCACCTACTCAGGGTCCACTCACCTTGATCTTGGCAGGGCCCATGTGAATCCAGGGTGAGCCCGGGTTAGCACTCCCCTGCTGTCAAATTCGGGAGGCTACTTTACCTCTCTGAGCCCCTTCCTCTTCTGCACAGAGCAGGAAGCCATAGCCTTGCTCGTGGGTGTGTTCTGGGGTTTACATGCATTATTGGGGGCCAAGTACCCAGTGCGGAGCCCGGCCTGCCTGGCCCTTGGCCCTCCACCTCACCATGGAGGCCTCTTGTCCTGGGCAGCCTCCTTCTCTGTGTGAGGAGAGCTAGACAGGTCCTAGCAAAGGGAGGAAGCTGGGGGGCACAGGCCGGATGGAGCCCACTGCGGGGCCCCACACTTGGGTCAGCAGGAAAGACCCCCACATGCTCCTCCGAGCAGACATGAGGAGGGAGACCCCTTGGGGGCCCGTGCACACAGGAAGCCACCCTTCCTGCAAACTGTCCCTCCTCCACACCCCATGCCCCCATCGTCTGTTTCTTGCCTCCATCCGAGAGCCCCTGCCTGAGTGAAATCCCTCAGCCTGGTCCTCAAAGGGCCATGGCAGAGCTCCCCCCAGGCTTCCCAACCCCAGGGCTCCTCCGTCTCTGGGGTGCTCATTTGCCCCCTGCTAACACCTTTGTGCATATGCTGCCTCACTCCCAGCCCCATCACCTCCTGGGCTCCCCACCCCCACTTCGGGACCCCACCCCCAAGAGGACCTCAGCTCCCAGACTTGGAGATCTTTCCTCTTCCTCGTGTTGATGTTGCTGTGGAAGGCAGGGTGGGTCCTACCCATTGTGTCTGCCCCAGAGTAGTGAATTCTGGACTAAATACTGTTTCCGTATTTTTTAAATGTCTCCAAGGCACTCTCCGTGGGGCAGTGTAGACCAAAGGTGCTCAATACCACTTATGAAATGAGGACATGAAGGGGTGTGGAGCCTGCTCCCGGGGGCCAGGGAGAGGAAGAGCAGTGCCCATTCAATCATCTCACAGGAAGGGAGATGCGCGCGGGGCCAGCCTCGCCCGGGCGGTGTGTCCAGGCCAAGGGGCAGCACTCACAGGCGGGGCTGCCAGCGAACAGAGTGTTCTTGGAACATCAGAAAGAGAAGCAGGCCATGCCCAGATTTTGGGTCTTCAAGGCCTTGCTGGCTGGGCGGGGCAGGGCCAGGCGGTGGCAGCCCTGCAGGTCGAGAGAAAATCACTGGGCGTGCACTGAAGTCTGCTGGCTCTAGCAGACTGCTTGTGGCCGGAGCAAAGCACAAGGCCCCATCTCACCAGGTCAGCGGAGATGCTGCCTGCCTGGAGCTCGGGTCCCATGGGGTTGGGGGCGAAGATGCTGCATCCCAGTGCTGTTCCCTGCTCGGGGCCCTGGAAGCAGAGCGGCCTGGCTTCTCTCATTGGCCAAAGAGGGTTTGGAAGGTAGGGCTTAGGGGCCATTCCCTCCTGTCGCACAGCCCTGCGGGGTTCTCATGCGGAACCCCAGGCCAACCCCTGATGACAGGGCCCAACGCGGGAGGCTTGGGAAGGCCTTTGGTGGTGGGGGCAGGGGATGCGGAGGGCAGGAGTGAGGGAGGTGGTGGCTGGGAGTGTAAACAGCGGCGTAGAGACCTCTGTGCATTTCAGGACGGGCTCTCCAGAGCCCAGGGTCCTTTTCTGTGCCGTACTTGACTGTGTAAATATTTTTCTTAGGAGTAAAGAGAGAGCCTCCATTCATTGGATGGATCTCACTTGAAGGAACTGAGAAGTAACTGTTTAGGCATAAAAGCTAAAAGCAGTGTCCAAGGAGCTTTAAAAAAAATCATTTCTGTAGCTCAAACACGGCCAAGCTGATTTTTTTAATGCAAAAAATAAATAAATATTATCCTACTCCCGGTTGAGAGCGCAAGGGTTTGTGTCAACACCAGTGCAGTCTTTGCTCTGCGAGCCAGAGGCGGGGCGGCCGGCGACTAACCGCCTTTCACGGTTCTTGCGGGAGCTGCCAACGGGAAGCCGCCCAGCTTTGCTGGAGCCCACACGGCCGGAGGGAGCTTGGCCGTGGAGAGAGTCCTGGCCGGGGTTCAGGTGCAAGTCCCGGGTGGAAGGGCCTGGCGTGTGTCTTCTTCCTGCCGAGGCATCCACCCGGAGGCCTCTGTCCTGCCGGAGCACACTCCTGGAGTCAGGAGGCCCAGACTCGAGTGCGGGCGCTGCCCTGAGCAGCTCCTCGACATCTGCCCGGTCACCTCAACTCTGCAGCCCCTGTTTCCCGTCTACACAGCAGGGGCGTTGCTGGTTCCTGCTTCCCACATGTGGTTGTGAGGAGGAGGTCCGCGTCTGCGGTGCCTGGGACAGGCCCCCCACATGTGGCAGGGCCCCAAAAAATGACCCGCTGCTGTTATGACTGGCTTCACCATTGCCATCACCTTGATGCAACATTTACACCAGGGAAATTGGCAGCACCCACGGCTTCCATTTGGAAAAGAAAATTAAGAATGAGATTTGTTCTTTAAAAACTCCATCTTCTCAGAAAGGGAGGATGTGTGGGTGGCCGTGGACATTCCTCTCCGAGAGTGAGATGACCCTGAGATGTGGAGGCTCAGTGTGGCCTGGTCATCAGCTTCCAGCCCTGCCAGGGGCACTGTTTAGTTGGGTGTAAAACCCTGCTGAACATGTAGGCCGCATGGAAGCTGAAGCTGCTGACCACCAAGACCTTTGCTCAGACTGTGTCCAGCAGAACCCTGAGCCCCTCGACCCCACAGTCTCCCAGCAGTGAGCAGAGTGAGGCTTGGAGCCTGGATGGGATGTGGAGGTTGTAGACAGCTCCATCAGCCTTGCCATTTGTATGCCCCTGGGTGCCCTGCATAGACAACCCTGACCCCCCGACTCCACCCATAGGGGCTTCTTCAAGGAGAAGAGGCCTTGGAATCAGCTTTTAGCAGGTTCTAGACTCAGACCCACATCTTTGGGTCCAACGAAGCTACTTCAGAAATGGGCAAGAAAGAAAAGTAGGTTAGAACCAGCCACAGTGGCTCACGCCTGTCATCCTAGCACTTTGGGAGGCCAAGGCAGGAGAATTGCTTGAGCCCAGGAGTTAGAAATCAGCCTGAACAACATAGTGAGACCCTGTCTCTACAAAAAATACAAAAAATTAGCCAGACATGGTGGAGCATGCCTCTAATCCTAGCTATTTGGGAGGCAGAGGTGGGAGGATCACCTGAGCCCAGGAGGTCGAGGTTGCAGTGAGCTGATAGAGCCACTGCACTCTAGCCTGGAGGCTGGGGGTGGGCGGGGAGAGAGAGAGAGAAGAAAAGTAAAGAAGAAAGAAAGAAAGAAAAGAAAAGAGAGAGAGGAAGGAAAGATGGAGAGAGAGAGAAGAGGAGAGGAGAAGAGGAGAGGAGAGGAGAAGAGGAGAGGAGAGGAGAGGAGAGGAGAGGAGAGGAGAGGAGAGGAGAGGAGGAGAAGAGAAGAGAAGAAAGAAAAGAAAGAAAAGTTAGAGCCGAGCTGGGCATGATGGCTCACATCTATAATCACAGAACTTTGGGAGGATTGCTGGAGTCCAGGAGTCCCAGCCTGGGCAACATAGTGAGACCCCATCTCTACAAAAAATAAAACAAATTAGCCGGGATGGTGGTGTGCTTGTTGTCCCAGCTACTCAGGAGGCTGAGTTGAGAGGATCGCTTGAGCTCAGGAGGCTGAGGCTGCAGTGAGCCATGATTGCACCACTGCACTCCAGCCTGGGTGAGACAACCTGTTTCAAAAAAAAAAAAAAAACAGAAAAAGAAGAAGAAGAAAGAAAAGAGAAGTAGGTTAGAGAGAGAAGGTTTGCTCTCAATGCCAAGAGCAAGGGGTGGGTAAAGCGGAGTGTTGGGGTCCCTCATGGGCCTCAGCCTCCTCCGCACCGGGCTCCGTCCACCTCCCGCTGGTATGGAAGCAGCTCCGTGGCCGGGGCTCACTCTGGGTTTCCTCCTTAGTTAGGTTCTCAGATACTTTAATAACAGATAATTTTGACGGGAGAGAAACCTTCTGGGATCCATTTGTGGCACCAAACAGCAAGCTGAGCCCCCCTGGGGCGGCGCCAGAACTCCAGAGCCCTAAGCGCCTCTGCGTACGTGGCCTCTTTGCTGACTTTTTGGAGAACAGAGGGTATTTATTTTAAGAGTCAAAAAAGAGGTTCTGACCAACCCCACTTAGCTAAATCCTGGCGCTGGGACCCGTGAGAGCAGCTAAACGCCAGAGGTCAGACCTCGCTTTTTTTGGCTAAAACGCTTAATCAAACACACCTAATACTTCTGCCGGGGTGCGGGGAGGTTGAGAGCGCGGCGGCCGCTGCCAGCAATCGAGGAGCCAGCGGCGCGTGTGCTGAGGGCCCAGCTAGCAAAATAAAGAGGGTTTTCAGCGGAGCGGCGGCTCAGGCGAGGCTGGGGGAGCCGGGGAGCGCGTCCCGCCATTTTTCCAGCCGAGGTCAGCAGCGGGTGAAGGGGCGGAGTCCGTGGTGTTCCCAACTGCCCAGGCGGGCGGTGAGATGGGGCAGGCGGTTCCGCAACGCGGCTCAGGCCCCAGCGCCCTGCCTGCAGGAGGCCGCTTCTTTCTCTGTTGCCATCGGGCGCCGGTTTCCTCTTCCGGGGATGCAGGGCAGCTGGGGGGGCTCTGCCTCTGTGCGGCTCTTCCGTGGTTCCACGCTGGGCTCCGGGGTGACCACAGTCCTCAGCAGCCCACACCCTCAGCCCGAAGGGGGCCCAGGCCCCGTGCCCAGAGGATCCAGAGAGACAGCCGGGAGCCCAGCAGCTGTGGCAGCTGCCCCCACCACCACCCCGGGGCTGGCCAGGTCCCACCTCCTGACGCCACACGGTATGACTGGGCCCTCCTGGTCAGTGCGTCGCATGTAACGCCTTCAACTATTGGGGCCGGTGTTGGAGCATCCGTCTCTGCGTCCCCACCTGATGACAAGCTCCGGGGAGCAGGAGTGCTGGCCAAGCCCACGCACGGACCAAGCCCACGTCAGACTCCGCCAGAAAGGCAAGAAGGGCCTCCGCATGGCGTGACGGATGGGTTTATGGGGGCATTCCATCCCACCCGGACGCTCGGAGGGCAGGGAGACAGGAAGATCAGGCGACCAAAAGTGCAAGTGAAAATGCAGCTGGCCACAGCAGGAACGGTGGGCGCCCAGCAGAGAGCAGCGTGGACAGAGGGAGGGCGGCCCCCACCTGAGAGGCTATGCATCTGAGGCCACAGCAGGCCCAGGGTGGCATCGGTGGGTGGCTGGAGGGCTGTCACGCTAGCCCCCTCCGAATGTGAGGTTGTGGTGTTAACGGGGGCTCCTGGGCTGACCCTGCCTGGGAGTGATCGTGGGGGTGTCACCTGCATTGGGAATGGCTTGAATGGGCCGTGGCATGCACTTTCCCACTGGGAACAGGAGGGAGCCTCCCGGAAAATGCCCAGAGGCCACCAAATGCTCCCAGGCCAGCGCCAGGCCCCTGTGGGCTCTGGGTGGGTACGTGGGTTTGTGAGCAGGTACTGGCAGGACAGGGCGGGGAGGGCAGGGCCCTCTCGCTGGTGGTGTCTGCACAGGTGCCTGTGACTCCGCCGCAAATGCCAGAGAGATACAAACAGCATCTCACTCCTCGACGTGCCTCACGAAGCAGGCAGGACTGGGGAGGCCCTGGTTCTGGTTTCAGCCCAGCCTTTAACTGGCAACAAGATCCACAGTTTCTCTGCCCGGGGCGGCTCACTACGGCGGGATCTGTCCTTCTACTCTCGAGAGCTCCAGCACCACCACTGGGACGGGGCATCCCTTTCACCAGACCTGGGATGGCCAAACGGTCCTCCAGCATCCAGAGTGAGGAGAGATTCCACCTGAGCAGCTCCTCGAGCTCTGCCTCCAGCACGCCTCGGCCCCGCAGGCAGGTCACACCCTACTAAGGCTTTCTCCTCTTCCAAACGCAGCCCATCTAGGTGCCTGAATCTAGCAGCCATCACTGCCATTCACATTAGCGCAGGGTGACCCGGAAGGCGATGGGGCTGGGCCCCACTGTGACTGGGAACGCCAGCTCGTCAATTGCACCTTGGTAGGCACGCTGTGCTGCTGTGCTCCGTCCTTAGGATTTGTAAAGCCATCATGTAATATTAAGGGGAGGGGAAAGAAAATCTTTGGCTTGAGCATCATTTTCTCGTTTTATTTTTCAAGTATCAGTTTCAATCTTGGTTTCTATTCTTATGGAAACAACGTTGCGGTTTCCGTATACTCGACCGTGCATGGCCACTTTGGGTCCAGAAGGGAAAAATCCAATTTCTAGAGCTCATTTGTCAGTTTGCTTAGCACAGACAGCACTCTGGGATGGGTCACTGAGACGCCGCCACTCTGGAGTGCAGCCTGGTGGCTTTTAAGAGGAGACACCCGGCGAAATGCTCTCCAGAGCCAAAGAACGTTCCGGCTGGAGCGACCTGGGAGGAAGAACGAGCCGACTGCTGGCCCACTCCAGCCTCCCTGTCTCGGCCTCTGTCCACACGTGGGTGAGGGGGTGGGAGCTCCTGTGTGGCCCACAGCCCGCTGCTGGGGGTCCTCAGTGGCCACCCCGGGCACCTGCATGGCACTAGGCACAGCGGCTTTTCTGCCTTAGCTCCATTTCCTTTGAGAAGTTTCCTCCAAAAGCCATGGGGGACATCCCCCTCCCAGGGATCTGGATGGGAGTGAAGAGCCAGTTAAAACACTCCCACCTCTGATTTGCCAAAAAAAAAAAGAGGAAGCAGAGAAATGGCATGAGCTCCCTCTCCCTCCAGCACCCACCAAGCCACCCTTCCGCAGGGCGTTGGCCGACCTCTGCCCCTGCCTCTGGCCGCCCGCCGCTGTCTCCTGGGACCGCTGGGCAGAGTCCAGCTCCCCCCGACCTCTGCCTCCTGAGCTGGACTGTAAGCCCCCGGAGGGCAGGGACTGCACCTCGCTGTCTCTCACCTGTCCAGGACCAGGCACAACCTAGGCCAAGTTACGTCTAAATACACGTGGTGTGATTCGCCGGCGGAACTTGGAGGAAACACAAATAGAGTCTGTTCACCATCCAGGGTGTCCATGCGCTCCTCCCAGATGGTTCTCATAAATAATATGAATGGCTCACCTTGAGACGCCTTGACCTGGGTCCCCACCCAACCACTAAAGGGCCAGAGTGAGCTACACAGTGTGTCTCCATCCCTGGAGTGCAGTGTTTCCAGGGAGGTGAAGTCCCTGGGGGGCGCTTGGAGTCCTCGGTGACTGGGGGAGCCTCTGCTGGAAGAAGGGATACCTGTGATCAATGGAACCCTTCATTTCCTGCTGTGGAGAAGCCACTGGGTCCCACCCTGTGACTTTTGGGGACAGTGGTTCTGCCCCCACCATTTAGAACCCAGTGTAGCTTGAGAATGTTTTATCAGAAACTAACAACCCCTCTCAAAATTGTTTTGCAGCAAATACTGACGGACGTGGAAGTGTCGCCCCAGGAAGGCTGCATCACAAAGGTAGGAGAGCTCGCCCTGCGCCGTCTCAGCTCCCCAGCGTCCTCGGAGCTCCTGGCGGGGCGACCGCCATCCCAGCTGTCCCTGAGCTAACAAGCGTGTAGTCGGAATGTTGCTGGCAGGCCCCGAGCAATGTGTTATCTGTGGACTGACGTGTGCACAGGACGGTGGCTTTGCTGTCATTAGGAGGGATGGGGAGGTGGGGGTCATGTCGCCGTAGGGTCACAGGTACAGGGCCATCCGCCACTCTCCTAACTCCCGAGAGTGGAGGAGAGCCCTGTACCTGTGGGAAAGCTTCAGGCCACGCAGACAGGAAAATTAAATAAACGCAGGTTGTGTTTATTTAACTGTCTTTGCTGGATACTCTCATGAAAAGAATATGGGGAAGAATTGGCTGCAGATTCAACAAAGCCTTTGCTGCACTCGTAGCTTCCAAAGAAGCATCGTTTTAAATAAGCAAAACCACGAGGCGAGAGAAAAAGGGTCCACGTGGCATTATCCACGGCTTTGCTGACTGGTGGTGGATAACGGCTGGTGGACAAACATTAGGTCTAACAGATCCAGAGGGAGAACCATGTGCAGAGAAACACACAGGCCCTGGGGAGGCACACACATAGTCACATGTGTGCCTGGGTGTGCACACTGCAGTCCAGACGGCCAGGAGGAGGAATGGCCTGGAAAGCAGCTCCGAAACCTAGAACCTGTTCAGCAGCCAGAACTCCTCTTCGACGGGATATGCATTGCCTGCACGCACACACAGACGTCCACAGACACAGCACGCTCACACGTGGTGGCTGATCTCCTATTTTTTGGGGGGGGGTTTCTAGTAAAATTAAAGTAACAGTCTCTCGCTTGGCATCTTTGCTTTAAAGCAAGATAAAATTTAGAGAGAGTCACATTTACACATCCCCACCCAGACAGCATCGCAGGGGGCGGGGTGGGGCGGGGTGCACCATGGGGGTTGCTGGCACAGAGGAGCCAGTGCTGAGTCAGTGCCTACCGAGTGCTGTTACAATTCTGTCAGAATTACAACTGGATTCCGTGACGCAGCATATGGGCTTGAGGGGTACTGGCAGCCTTGTGGTTAGGAAGCTGAGCTGAGTGTTCAAGTCATCAATACTCCATTTTTCCCCCAAAGTCAAAGGAAAGTGCTGTGCTAGTCCTGCCAAACTCCCAGTCTCTGAGCCGAGGCATTTGGGCAGAGCTGCCTACGAGGGACAGGGGACCCACCATCTGGGCAGAGCTATCCGCAAAGCACAGGGGGACCTGACCCTTCTCTCCAGGTTCAACCCCAGATACATTGATTTTGGAGAAAGCATGGCAATGGAGACTTTTGCTGGGCCCGCAGTGACCCGCTGAAGGGCCTCCGGAAACTGGGTGAACTGGTTCCCGTGTCCCTCCCCGTCGCTGGTGTGGCTGTGTCTGGCCTCCTGGGGTCCTTTTGTCCAAGGACAAGGTGTCGGCTCTCAGTCCCCGCCGTCCACAGGATGCCTGAGGTCTTCCTGCACCCACGTTTGACTGGAGCAAATGGAGCAAATTCCAGGGCTGGTCTTTTCCACTTTCCCTCTTTCTCCTTTCCTGCCTCTTTAAATGAGTTCACATTTTCTTAAAGGACATAGAGGAGCAGGAAACAGTTAGCAGCGCTGCTGTATTTCCGAGAACTGCAGTATTTTCACTTCCCACAAAAAGTGACCTGCAGTTAGTGCGAATCCCTCAAGTTCTCGAGGGAGCCTGAAATCACTGGGTTTTCCACCCCGATGCGTCCCTGGACCGTCTGACATTTTCAAGACGCCCTCCTTGGCTGCGCCTCTCCTGAATGCCTCATGGAGGTGGCCTGGCAGGAGGTTAGAAGGGGATCAGTTTATGCTGGGAGGGGTTGCTTGGTCTAGGAACAGGGGTCAAGTCAGAAGGTCAAAAGGTCAAGTCTAGATTTAAAGGGCCCGGGGGAGGCAAGTGCTGGCTGCTTCTGAACCAGAACGAACTAGGACAGAAGGAGGGTGAAGTGGGCGCCGCCTTCTGTGCCTCTGGGCCACGGTGGGTTTGCCTTTGTGTCTTATATGTGTGGCCATTAGGTCTCGCTCAGTGTGGCCCAAGGTCATTCTTGAGAGCGGCTCCCGGGGTGGGCATGAGATGCTGTCCAGCCAGGGGCCTACTTCCAAGTGCCCAGGGCAGCAGGCATCCCTCTGACGCAGGCCCTTGGAAAGCAGGTTGAGAACCTTGGGTCGGGCTGAGGAGTCTCAGGTTCCGCCATCCCACGGAATCAGAGCAGACCCGATGCACGAGACCCCCCACGGCACCGCCGCGACTGCAGGGAGCTCAGCGCAGGGTACCAGAGCCAGCATCGGGGGCGTTGGTGGGCGGTCCTGTCCAAGCAGGCCTCCTGACCCCAGCCCAGGGCTCCTCCCTGCCGCTGCCCTGCAGGCCCAGTCCGAGGGGCTGGGGGCTGCCTGGAGGAGGCACCCAAGTCCTCAGGCACAGCTCCACCAGAGGGGGAGGCTGCCACACAGCACTGCCTGGGCCATCAACTCATAGTTTTTTCAGCCTCCGCAATAAACACCGTCAGCGTCTGGAGGATTCGAGTGTTTGCCAAGGCCATGCTGGTGGGAGAATCAGATCCCTAACCCCAGGGCTCAGACTGGACCCGTTCAGTTACATTTCTAGGCACTCTCGGGGAGCCGGGGGGGTTGGGGCTGAGAGACTGAGAGACATGAGCTAAAATTCAAAGGCAAAGTCTTCAGACTCGGGGGCCAGGAAGACCAGGACAGACAGCCCTCGAGTGGGCGTCAGTCCAGACGGAGACCCCACCCTGCAAACAAATGCGCCACTTAGAGCTGTTGGTATAGGTGCGATGTGTGGATTGCTGCCGTAACTGTGCGCACCGCGGTGCTGTTTTCAGGATGAATTCAGTACAGTCCTTCCTTATAGGATGAGAACTCTGGTTTAGGGGTTTTGTAGTTTGGGTCACCCAAAGGCACACTTGGGAACATTAAAAACCTCATAGGGGAACATGACGGGGGTGGCTGTGTGACCTGTGGGTGGGCAACTCCTGTGTCTGGCTTCAGTTCATCCACCTCTGGGAGGATTACACTTCCTGTTCTTTATCTGCCTCAGTGAAATGTGACGAAGTTAATTAATTCAATCAGCAGCTTGGCATATGAGCTGCAGAAAAGGTGGTATTTTGTGAGGAAGCCACGGTTAGGAATTCTAAGTATCAGAGAGTGAGGTTTCTGAAGAGGCTGGATGCAGGATGACTCTACTCAGAATTTACAGGCGAGGGCGGCCGGGCCGAGGGTTGTATGGAGGCCTGGGATTCGAACTCAGGACTGTGGCGCGGGGCCTGGCTCCTGTGGGCGCTACAGAGGTGCCTCCCGTTAGCCCCGCCCCCACCCCAGGAGGGCGGAGCCACCGCCAGGCGCAGGGGACGGTCCTCCTCCGTCCTTCCTGCGCCCCTTCAGCTTCGCCCTGGACTCCCGCGTTCCCTCTGTCTCACACCCTGGTCTCTGCGCCTTCGTTCACTCCGCAGCCCTTGCGCCCGCGCAGCCCAGAGCTTTGGCGCTGGCCCGCGCTCGCTCTGGTGCGCTCGCCCTGGTGCCCTATGCGTGCCCTCGCCGTCCCTGCGCCCGTCCTGGTGCGCCCTGGGCGCGCGTCACCGGCGCTTCCCAAAAAGTCACATTGGCTGTGGGTCGGGCTGCGTCGCGCCTTTCCTGGCCGCGGTGCGGGGACCTCTGGGACCGCTCCCTCCAGCGGACTCTCTATTTAGTCTCTGTTTACTTAGAGGGAAAGCCCGGGGGCTCCTGGAGAGCAAACATCTGCGGGAGATAATCTAGCGAGTTGTCCATCCATCACTCCGGGCGCGCAGCTCCCTGGAGAGCCCGCCGGAGCCGGTAATAAAAAGGCCGGGCGAAGAGGCTTTGGGGACGAATCAAGAGCCGTGTTAAGGGCTCGCTGAAAATGGATGGAAGACATTATTAAGGCTCAATGGCCATCTTATCAAAATCCAATAGGATAGACATTTGGCAAAAGGCTTAAATTTATTCTTTGACTTTCTGGAGGGCTTGAATTTATCCGTTAACAAGAGTGTAGTCCACCCGGGAGATGCTATCAGCTGAAAGAATTTTGATTCAATCTCTGGCGATATGAAAGGGGAAACATGGCCCGGCAGCCTTTCCCTTTGTCCACTTTATCGTGTTTTCCTTCCCCCTCTTGAAAAGGAAGGACGTGTTAATACAGAACGGGAAAACACAAACAAAAGGAAGTGACCTTTTCTCTTATTTTTATTTTCTCTTCCCCTCCGCTTCTCTATCCCCCTCCTCCCAAAAATAAATACATCGTGAATTCGCATGGGAGGGCTAGGCCTGGGGACCTGGAAAAAAAACCCTTCAGAAGCTTCGGAAAAAACGCATCCACCCCAGCCAGCCCCTAGGGCGAGGGGCGGGAGTGCAGAGGCTTAGAGGAGGGTCAAAAATAAATCGAGCTAATAAAGTCATTCCGCCGGAAGAGGGGCCGGTGATGGGTCCATAAATCTCTCCCGGTTATTATTATTACGTACAAAATGCTACAGGTCATAAAAGTCGTCTGATAGCCCAGCCTTGCATTGTCCAAACAGGGTGATTGATTGATAATGACGATAATTTGTGAAATGATTATTTGGATGTTAGAACCATGGCCTGTCCCACTGGGCTGTTCTGTGGGCGTTTTCTATAGCCCGGCCCGGGCAAAATGCCTCTGGTAACGAGGAGTCCAGAGGTTTCCTGGGTCCCTCCCGTGGGGACTGGGGGCTAATGAAGGATGGCTGCTGAGCCCAGGAAGTTGGGAGCGAGACAGACAGGCAACTGCTAAGTGTCTTTTGTGCAGCAGTTACTGGAGGAGGCCACACACCCTGAGGTCTAAACGCAGCTGGGACCTCGCTGGGACTCCAGGCAGTTTGTGAGCAGGATATACCGAGTTCCTGGCCATGCCAGGCTTTTAGCCCAGCACAGCACCACGCAGCCGGAGACTGCTGTTCGGTGTCCAGTCCTGTGGCTCACTGTGTTCTGTTTGTATTGTTTTCCTCCTAAAGGAGGCTGGAGGGCTGGGGAGGAAGGGAGTAGGGGGCAGGGGTAGGGAGGGGAGGGGATGTGGTTG
The DNA here is from genome assembly GCF_000001405.40 of Homo sapiens. NCBI lineage: Eukaryota > Metazoa > Chordata > Mammalia > Primates > Hominidae > Homo > Homo sapiens. The sequence continues at coordinate 3,249,259 of NC_000001.11, forward strand.
GAGAGATGGAGGGACCCTCAAACACAGAGCTGCAGAAGGAGGCGCTGCTATGCATGCATCGGGCTCAGCTGGTGGGTATGGGAACTAGAAGGCTCTCTGGGATGTACTGGATCTAGAAGGCTTTCTGCGGCCTCCCTAAGCTTGGTTTTGCTGAGGCCTGTGCCAGCGAGGTGAGTGAGGTTCAGACCGCCTTTTCCCGTTCCCTTACCAGCCAGCCAGCAACACAGATCCCGCCGGAGTGCCGTCACTAAACTGCAGTTTACCTACCCATGCACTTTATTACCAAAAAAGAAAAAAAAAAATACACACCAAAATCCCTAACCCTAAGAACCCTGCTATCCAAATTATTAATTTGCATGTGGGATCAGTTATGTCTTTATGAAATCCAAGTGTGTTTAGCTGCCCCGGAGACAGCCCCGAGTTGATTTTGATAATCTCAGCCTGAATAGACTTGCTTCGTCGCAGTAAGCCGCGGACAAAAGGCTGGACAGTGGCTGAAAGCCCTTTGACAACATGTCTCTCTTTCCATTGTCCCAGGGTTGCTGATAAAAGAATCGGGAGTCCATTAATTCAGTGAATGAACATATAGTAAAGTCAGTCCCCTCTTGAGAACAATAATGTTGAGGTCAGCTACGGTTGCCATGGAAACTAAGTATTCCTAAGAAGTTTGCATCCTTGATTTTGCTGAATCAAAGGCTGCAGGCAGAGAGGTGTAAGGCGGCCCAGGCAGCAGAAAGTCGGAAAGCACCGCCCACACCATCCCCTTCCCAAGGCAGCGCTGGGCCGTGGCCCTGGGGACCCTCATCCGCCCCTGGGGACCAGCCCAGGTGCCTGGCTTCCGCTTCCTCCGTCTTCTCTCCCCCCTCCCCCCACCCCACTCCCAGGATCCCGTTTTCACAACTGTTGCGGCTTGTCTGGGGAGGCCGCATTGCTCCTGAGGCTCCAGTCCGCAGGGCAGAAATCAGGCCTGAGGGAGGGGCCGCAGCCACAGCTCCCGTGGCCTCCAAGGTGGCAGCCGGCCCTGGGTGGACTCTGACCTCTCGCCACCTCGCCACACCTGAACTTGCCCCCTGGGGTAGGGCGGTCCCGCAGGGGCCCCTTCACAGGCTGATAAGGGTGATTAATGGCCCGTTAGCATGGCCCAAGGTGAGTTATGGGGCAGCTCCAGGCTGGGTGACAACTTTATCAATGTAACCCTTTTGCCGCCGCCCCCCCACCGCCATTCTAAATTGAGTTGATTCTACTTACCCCACCCCCACCTCACCTGAAGGATCCCTTAAATCAGCTGAAACCGTCAGATTCGGCTGGGAGAGGTGCAGCTAATTACCGTCCTATGCAGTGGTTTATTACCTGCTATGCTGGTGCCATGGTCTCTACCACCCTGCGTGTCTGAGGTGGCTTCCTTTCTGCTCTGCAAGGCCCCAGGGCCTGAGGGTGCAGGGGGCTCAGGGCAGCCTGGGAAAGGCATTGTTCACACACATCCAGCCCAAGTCCAAGAGCACATGGGGGGACGTGAGAGTTTAACTTGTCCTTTTTCTGTGTCAGTGAAAGAAGAGCCTGGGCTTCTCTCTGACCCTGAAGCGTCCTGGGAAGCCTGCGAGGGTACAGCCTGGGGGAAAGGCCCTGCAGAAGTGGGGCTGGAGTGGATGGAAACTGGGAGGCAGGGCAGGGGGCTGTGTCCCCCATCTCGGGGTCCCTGGCTCAGCATGAGAACAGGTGGCTCTGGGGACCCTGCTGTCATCAGAAATGACTTCTATTGTGCTGAGGCTTTAGGCTGAAACTTAAATTCCAGTAGGAGACGAAACATCACAAATTTTAGAAGGACACACTCAGACGCTGCCTTAACCCCAAGTTAAACAGAGGGGTCTTCTTACCTTGGAGACCCAGAGGAGCCGGACCAAGCCAGGGCCCCTTCCCCACCCACCCCTGCCCTTTGGACCTGGTTCTGCCCGGGGCAGCGCGGCCCTCAGCCTTGAGCTCCAGGCCTGGCCGTTTGGTTTCCTCTTTTGCAATGGGAGATAATGAGTCTCACGTGCTGCGTGGTTCAGGGGTGAGGTGGGGTGAGGGCGCAGCCGTGAGGCACAGCTCTGGGTACCGAGGGTGAGGTGGGGTGAGAGCGGAGCAGTCAGGCACAGCTCTGGGCACCCGGCGTGAGAACCCACGTCCAGGGCTTGGCTGCTCTTTACTAGGTGTGGGAACGAGGGACCAGTCAGGGTGGTGGGAACCCAGCGACCAGGGTAGGGGGCCCCTGGGCAGACACCTGCCTCTGAAGTGGTATCATGGCACCTGCAGGGGTCAGGGTGCACAGGTGCTGCCCTGGAACCAGCACCCCTTCTCCACAACCGAACCGACGCCACAGGGTGCCCAGGGCAGCCCCTCCGTTGTGGCCACCCAAGCAACTCCCACAGCAGGGTGCAAGGGGAGGCCGTGCAGACAGGACACCTCTCGCAGGCGCCTAGTTCTGCAGCAGGATTTATTGGCTACATTACCAGCTTTATAGGAGCCAGATGGTGGCGTCAATAAACCCTGTCCATAATCTTCAGGTGGGTGCAATATTGAGTTAATTAAATTGTGCTGCTCTATTAGGAGAGAAAAATAGATCAGCTCTGAGCCCTGGTTAGCCTCTTCTGCTTTAAACACGAACACACACCTCAGCAAAGTCTGTGGTAATTGGTTTGGGCGGGGAGTTCTCTCTTCCACACAGCCACGCCGCCTCCCTCCTAAGATACCTGCCAAACCTCGTTACCACGATTCTCATCAGCTGGGCTTATGCATGCTAGTGAGCCGGGTGGCGGGGTTCCCCTCCAGTGTAAAAGAGGGCAACTCTCCTGGGTGCTGGGACTCCTTGGGACCCTTCCCGAGGCCTGGCTCCTCGCTTCTGTGACATCATGCTGTGCCCCCCTCTTCCTGAGCCCTATCTCCCTGTAGCTAGGTGCCCAATGGCCTGAGCATACCTCCCTCTCGTGGTGCAGGTTGAGTGCTCCCGGCTCCGAGGGCCAGCTCTGAGGTCCTGCATGCCCAGCGGTGTCCCTGTGCGGGCATTGGGGGGCTGGGCTCTGCAGCTGCTCCTCTGCATAACGGTGTCCAGGCCGGGCCCCAGGTGGGCCCTGAATCCCTCAAATAGAGGGGGGATCTTCCCTGGCTTCTTGGGGCCCAGTCCTGCTCTAGAGCCAGAAGAAGGCTCTGGGGAGAGTGAGGGCCTCATGTGCCCAGTGGGGGCCGCGGTGGAGGTCCCTAAGGCCTATCTGGCTGGTGGAAATTTTCCGCAGGAGGTGGGCCCCTCGTGGAAGGTGGTATCTCCCCACCTTATCTAAGAAGCCACCTGCTGTTAGAGAAAGCGCCTGCCCTGGGGGTGGGGCTGGTGGGCAGCAGGGTGGGGCAGCCAGGTCCCAGGAGAAGGTTGTAGATCCACTAGCATCCCGGGCTCGTGTTCCATGAGACTACTTCTCTGGTGGGGGCACTGGCTTCCTGGGGCCGACTGTGATCCCACAGCTGCGTGGACCGTGGGGGTCCCAGCTGGGACCACTGAGCAGCAGTGCCGAGCCTCCCCCTCCTGCCTCACTACCACAGCAGGTTCCAGGTTGGCCTTGAGACAGTGTGTGTTCAGCCTTGTACTGCGGGGTGGAGGCGGGAAGGAGGGTCATGCAGGAAAGAAGGAGAAAGGCAGGGGTGTGTGCTCGTGGAGATGTGGCATTCCCCCTCCCTGGCTCCGACACCGGGCTGTCCTCTACCAAACACCAGCCGCGTGTGCAGGAACCCCTCGAGCCTGCGCGCTGCTGCTGCGCTTGTCACCCTCGCTTACAGAATGCTCGCCAGGCGCCACGTGCTCTGCAGCCTCCACGATTCTCCTGCATGGATCCCCACACTAGCCATCCAGGTAGTATCACCCCCACCAGGCCACGTCGGAAAATAAGGCACCACACTCTTTTTTTTAATTTAATTTAATTTAATTATTATTATTATTATACTTTAAGTTTTAGGGTACATGTGCACAATGTACAGGTTAGTTACATATGTATACATGTGCCATGCTGGTGTGCTGTACCCAATAACTCGTCATTTAGCATTAGGTATATCTCCTAATGCTATCCCTCCCCCCCTCCCCCCACCCCACAACAGTCCCCAGAGTGTGATGTTCCCCTTCCTGTGTCCATGTGTTTTTATTGTTCAATTCCCACCTATGAGTGAGAACATGTGGTGTTTGGTTTTTTGTCCTTGCGATAGTTTATTGAGAATGATGATTTCCAATTTCATCCATGTCCCTACAAAGGACATGAACTCATCATTTTTTATGGCTGCATAGTATTCCATGGTGTATATGTGCCACATTTTCTTAATCCAGTCTATCATTGTTGGACATTTGGGTTGGTTCCAAGTCTTTGCTATTGTGAACAGTGCTGCAATAAACATACGTGTGCATGTGTCTTTATGGTAGCATGATTTATAGTCCTTTGGGTATATACCCAGTAATGGGATGGCTGGGTCAAATGGTATTTCTAGTTCTAGATCCCTGAGGAATTGCCACACTGACTTCCACAATGGTTGAACTAGTTTACAGTCCCACCAACAGTGTAAAAGTGTTCCTATTTCTCCACATCCTCTCCAGCACCTGTTGTTTCCTGACTTTTTAATGATTGCCATTCTGACTGGTGTGAGATGGTATCTCATTGTGGTTTTGATTTGTATTTCTCTGATGGCTGGTGATGGTGCGCATTTTTTCATGTGTTTTTTGGCTGCATAAATGTCTTCTTTTGAGAAGTGTCTGTTCATGTCCTTCACCCACTTTTTGATGGGGTTGTTTTTTTTCTTGTAAATTTGTTTGAGTTCATTGTAGATTTTGGATATTAGCCCTTTGTCAAATGAGTAGGTTGCGAAAATTTTCTCCCATTTTGTAAGTTGCCTGTTCACTCTGATGGTAGTTTCTTTTGCTGTGCAGAAGCTCTTTAGTTTAATTAGATCCCATTTGTCAATTTTGGCTTTTGTTGCACAAAACAAAAGGGATGCCCTCTCTCACCACTCCTATTCAACATAGTGTTGGAAGTTCTGGCCAGGGCAGTTAGGCAGGAGAAGGAAATAAAGGGTATTCAATTAGGAAAAGAGGAAGTCAAATTGTCCCTGTTTGCAGATGACATGATTGTATATCTAGAAAACCCCATTGTCTCAGCCCAAAATCTCCTTAAGCTGATAAGCAACTTCAGCAAAGTCTCAGGATACAAAATCAATGTACAAAAATCACAAGCATTCTTATATACCAATAACAGACAGAGAGCCAAATCATGAGTGAATTCCCATTCACAATTGCTTCAAAGAGAATAAAGTACCTAGGAATCCAACTTACAAGGGACATGAAGGACCTCTTCAAGGAGAACTACAAACCACTGCTCAATGAAATAAAAGAGGATACAAAGAAATGGAAGAACATTCCATGCTCATGGATAGGAAGAATCAATATCGTGAAAATGGCCATACTGCCCAAGGTAATTTATAGATTCAATGCCATCCCCATCAAGCTACCAATGACTTTCTTCACAGAATTGGAAAAAACTACTTTAAAGTTCATATGGAACCAAAAAAGAGCCCGCATCTCCAAGTCAATCCTAAGCCAAAAGAACAAAGCTGGAGGCATCATGCTACCTGACTTCAAACTATACCACAAGGCTACAGTAACCAAAACAGCATGGTACTGGAACCAAAACAGAGATATAGATCGATGGAACAGAACAGAGCCCTCAGAAATAACGCCGCATGTCTACAACTATCTGATCTTTGACAAACCTGAGAAAAACAAGCAATGGGGAAAGGATTCCCTATTTAATAAATGGTGCTGGGAAAACTGGCTAGCCATATGTAGAAAGCTGAAACTGGATCCCTTCCTTACACCTTATACAAAAATTAATTCAAGATGGATTAAAGACTTAAACGTTAGACCTAAAACCATAAAAACCCTAGAAGAAAACCTAGGCATTACCATTCAGGACATAGGCATGGGCAAGGACTTCATGTCTAAAACACCACAAGCAATGGCAACAAAAGCCACCACACTCTTAAATGCAGGAGACGGTTTCCAAATGCAGCCTGCAGACCCCACAGTGGGGTCCTGAGGGTCGCGTGCAGCACACAGCCTCCCAGACGGCTCTCACCACAAAGCCAGGGCTGCCCCCGACACTTCAGGAGCCCAGCCCATGATGGCACTGAGCTGTCAACACAGTTGGGCTCAGAGAGAGGCAAGACAGTGGGGCGGAGTCCTGGGAGGAGGTGTGGCATTCATCTGTGGCCACAGTGGCACGGGGAGGGGGCGGGAGACACAAGCCATCCCCTAACTCTGTGGCTCGAAACAGCACACGGTGCCCCTCCTTATCGCATTCAACTTAGCTGCTGTGGGCAAGCAGCAGGGCTTGGTCCACCCTGGCGGTTGGGCCCAGTTTGTCCTGACTGCCTGCCCCCCTTGGATGCCAGAGCTATCTGGGAGTTGTGAAATATTCCTGGTGGCAGCAGAAGAAGACAGCAGACACACATAGTCCTCATCCTCCTTAGGCCTTGGCTCAGAATGAACCCATTGTCACTTGTGCCCAAAGCCAATCCCGTGGCCGCACCGACACCCGAAGCCAACCCCGTGGCCGCACTGACACCCGAAGCCAACCCCGTGGCCGCACCGACACCTGAAGCCAATCCCGTGGCCACACCAACAGTACAGGGTGGAACGAGCTCCGCCTCTCAGGGGAGGGACAGGATTACGTGGCAGAGAGCAGGTATGTGGCACAGTGACAGCGCCTCACCTGGGACTGGGACTGGAGAACAGCTCAGGCCACCCCTTGCTTTTGCTGATGCTGAGTAACTGGTAGTGAGGTTAACCAGGAGGGACGAGGAGAGGAGACATCCGGATAAGAGAAGATAAACTGGCCTGACCCAACCAGTCTGAGAAGGCTGCATGCTCCATGCCTCCAACTCCATGGCACTCCAGACAAAGCAACACTGTAGAAGGACCAAAATCATCAGGGGCTGCTGCGGGCTGGGGGTCGGAATGAGTGGGCAGGGCATGGGCTCAGGGCAGGGGCAGGGCTCTGTGTGGCACTCCCAAGGTGGGTCCACGCCCCATTCTACATTCATGCGTAACCATGACCCCTCAGGTCAGCTGTGGACTTCGTTAATAATAACGGGCTGATACTCGTTCATCTATTGTAACAAGAGTATCACACCAACGTAGGTGTTCATCACGGGGGAATTGCGGGGAGACAGGGAGAGAATGAGTCAAGGGGAACAATGTACTGTCCACCTGTTTTCCTATGCACCTGTCATTGCTCTAAAAAATAAAGTCTTCGGTCGGGCGTGGTGGCTCATGCCTGTAATCCCAGCACTTTGGGAGGCCGAGGCAGGCGGATCATGAGGTCAGGAGATCAAGACCATCCTGGCTAACACGGTGAAACCCCATCTCTACTAAAAATACAAAAATTAGCCGGGCATGGTGGCGGGCGCCTGTAGTCCCAGCTACTAGGGAGGCTGAGGCAGGAGAATGGCGTGAACCCAGGAGGCAGAGCTTGCAGTGAGCCGAGATGGCACCACTGCACTCCAGCCTGGGCGACAGAGTGCGACTCCATCTCAAAATAAATAAATAAATAAATAAAGTCTTCATTAAAAAAGAGTTTTCTGGAAGTGGCACATCGTATGCAAACACATGCACATGCATAAGGACACACGTGTCTGAAAAGGCTGATTGGAAATAGTTTTGAATGATAATATGCCTTATTGCTGAGATAATGGATGGTTTTTTTAAATGAACACCGATGGGGGTGTTTTACTTGTTAATACGTTAAGTGACGCACGTAGGGCTGTGCTGGCCTGCAGCAAACACTCAGTAAGTGGCGAAGGTAGTCAATGAACACTGGTAGTACCTGGCAGGCCGCGGAGGGCTCTTCGAGTTGGTTGGATTCTAAAATCCTTGTGGTCCAGGGTTGTGGATCATTCCTTCATGTGTGTGGGTGCCACTGGCACAGCTGACCCCAGTTTCTGGCTCTCTGCCTTCCAGGAACGAGGTAGGATGAGACTCTCTGCCCACCTGGGGTTGGGTGGAGCATCAGGCCGGTGAGTATGAGGGAGGGCACTGCTGCTCTAGGCCGGGCACCAGCTGCTGGTGTGGTCCCTCCAGAGTTCTCTGCTCTCCAACACTGCAACCAGAGAGTCCCAGAGAGCTCCTCAAGTTTTTACCACAAGCAGAGCTGCCCTGCCAAGTCACACTGGGCTTAGGAAAAAAATAAAAGTCACATGTTTATTTAGGAAAAATAAGACTTTGTTACTTGGTTAAGACAATGAGTTTTAGAAGCTGTTTGTTACATTGGCATAAACCTTGCTCACCCTGACTGATCTGCTTAGTGAGTTCCTTGTGTCTGATTCAATTCTACTTTTCAAAACATCCCTCATTTATTCATTCACTCACTCATTCATTCAACAAATACGCCTGCCTTGGGGTCTTGCAGGCTGGCGTTTGAAGACACTTCTCCATTTAATAGTGCTGCCAGGATACAACCAACCACACATCGGAGCCCGCACAGTCGGAGGGCTGATTCACTGTGATGCCATTTTATATAAGAAACTTGAGCATCCTTGGATTTGGGTACCTACAGTGGGAGGAGGTGAGTGAGAACCAGTGTCCCCACCACAGGGACAGCTGTGTCTAGGAAGCACCTACTGTGGGTGGGGAGCTGTCCTGGGTGCTGGAGACATGAGGTTGGATTCCACCAACCTCACCAGACTCCTCCTGGAGTCTGAATTCTTCTGGGACCTCAGTTCCCTGCAACAAGGACCTCTTAGGCCTTTGCTTTTGGTGCCCCAGTTCCCTGGGGACCTCCAGCTGTGAGGATCCAAATCAGATCATCACAGACCTTGGAGGGGTGGGGAAGGCAAGTATCTACCGTCCTGCTGCACTGAGATGCCCGTGTCCTCCTGCGGTGGGCTTGGCTGCATCCCTGTACTTTGCAGATTCTGAGGAGTCCCTTCTCAGGGCTATTCCTCTTCTCATCTGTTATCTATGGGGGGGATATTGTGAGGATAACAAATTGAGTTTGGCCAGAAAGAGTGGGATTCTTAATGTAACAGATTCCGTGTGAGTGTACCGTTTTCTTATTGAGTAATATTTCCCTCTTTGAATAATACTCTCTTTCAGCGTTGGCCTCTTCTTATGCTAACGGGATTCATTACTCCACCTGACACCCACTTCCATCAGCCAGGGCTGCATTGGGAAACTGTTTCTTCTTGCCCAGTTAACAAGATGTTTCTCCAGTATAGTGTTGATAAATTAAGTAATAAAAAGCAAGACGTATTATTTTATGTTGGAACCTCGCCTCTGTTATTTCTGAGCAACGGCCAAGACTCAGATTATTAGCCACAGAAATGTTTGCATTGCCTGGGATGGAAAATTATCACATAAAAAGAGTCTGGTCTGGTGTTCATCACAGATCAGCTGAGAGGAAGCGGAGATATTTGGAGAAAAAAGCATCCACTGTAGCCGGCTCACGCACACCGGGTTAGAGGGGAAGGGGTGAGCGCGCGGCGGCTTCTGCCGGGGAACAGGCTCCCTGCTCGAGCCAGGCCAGGGCTTTCTTCTTGCCTCCCAAACCTGAGGCTCTGGGTTACCAAGGCCCCAAAAGGGCAGATAATTATCGGAAGAGAATCTGAAGCCTGGGCACCCCAGAGAGCTGCAAAAATAAAATGAGGAGGAGGACTTTTGAATAGATTTCCTCCCTTTGTATTTCTGTTTTGGACGAGAAATGCAGAGGCGGGAGCAAAAGGGAACTGGCAAGGTGGAGAAAGCAGCAAATTAGGCCAGAAGGAAGGCCTGGATTGGCGGGCACCCTGGGTCGGTGGGGAGCTGCAGGGATGAGCAGTACCTCCGTCCCGGCCCTTCTGCCCACACACAGCCCTTCAGTAGTTCACACCGGCCCAAGGGGAGGCTCGAGTCACCCTCAGCTTACCCACGAGGAGGGTCCAGGCAGGCGCCGGAAGCAGAAGATCCCAGGGATTCCCTCCAGGGGCTGCAGCTGGGGCTGGGGAGACATCGCCTGGGCCTCGTTCACCATGATGACTGTGCCTGGGCGTGGCAGCACCCTCCGTGTGCAAAGTCAGGCCATATTGGGCTCAGGCCTGGGTGGTAGAGGCCACCCCTTGCAGCTCGCCAAGGGATGATCTTAGGGCACAACTGGTGAGTTCTGGGGGCCACACAGCAGCCCTGTGAGGCAGCTGCCTTTCTTCCCCTCCACATAATCATGAGAAAACTGCATTCAAGCAGGTAAACTCACCACCCAAGGCCACATAGGCAGTAAGCGGCAAATCAGGCCCCCCCAAGAAAGCCCTGAAACCCAGACCAACTAGTGAACAGGAGGCTGGGGCAAGAGGGGACCCAGTGAAGTGTTTTGCAGCGTAGCCTGCAGCCCCGCATGCTCTGGGCTGTCCAGGTTTCTGAGGTTGGAAAGAGTGTGGTCCCCACAACCAGCCCCAAGCAAGGGACTTCTGCGTGAGCCACCTCCGTGGGCCTGGGATGCGCCTCTCCACTGGGCCTGGGATATGCCTCCCCTCTCCATGGTCAGGTCTGGTCCCAGCTGTCCCTCCCTCGTTAGTGCAGCAGGTGCCGTCTGTGTGTCCCTCATCCAGGCTTCCTTACAGGGCACCCAGGATCTTCCATTACTAAGCTGTGGCCCTCAAACTCTCCCCATAGTATCCTCCAAGCCCCCTGCACTTCTTTGGGCCCCTGGTTTTCCAGCATCACACACCCTTCCCACCTCCCCATACAACTCCAGGGAAGACTTGCATCTCCCCTGCGGTGTACCCCTCAGAGACCACCTTCTGAAACCCCACTCTCAAAAAGAAACTCTTTGCTTTTCAAACAGCTTTAGTTGTGTGAACCCAAGCAACTACCCACACCCTGGCCTAGCAGGGAGCACTCCTGATTGTCTGGATTCCTGTGGTTCTGGGGGGCCAGGCCCCAAGGACAGCTCCACAGGCCTTTGGGGTTTTACTCAGCTCTAACCCCACAGGCTGCCTCTCTGCTAAGCCTCTTCTGAGCTGCTTCCGAGCCCCCATGAGGGTCTGTCCACAAGCACTTTCTGTGGGCCTGGGAGACTTGGTGGTGAAAAGAAATTCCTGGAAGGCAAAGGGCTCTGTAAGAAAACTCCTTTATCCTACTGACACCTTAATTTCTTCGTCTGTAAAGTGGAAATAATAACTTTTGCCTCAGAGTTATGGTGGTGACTATACAAGTTGTGGTGTGTAAAGCAAACTTAAAATAGCACCTGGCACATGCTTGAGACTCAGAGTGAGATCAAGATTTGTGTGATGATGCTGGTGATGAGGTTGATAATGAAGATGAAGATGATGGTGACCATGGTGGTAGTGATTATGTTAATGATGAAGGAAATGATGATCATAGCTTTGATTATGATGGTGTTGATGATGGTGATGGTGGTGGGGTGATGACGGTGATGGTGATGGTGGTGATGATGAGGAAGATGATGATTTAGGTGATGAGGGAGATGATGATGATGGCAATGATAGTGATGATGATACCATTGATGATGACGATGATGATGATGAGCCTCAAGGTCCCATCTAGACACAGTCATTACATGGGAGAACCAAAGAGCCCAGGAAAGGGCAGACATCAAGGGACCAGAAGACCCCAGAAGCTTCAGTTCTGGCTCCATCATCAACCAGCGTGACCTGGGACAAGTCACTTAACCTCTCAGGGCCTTGTTTTCTGCCTTGGCAACAGAGGGTAGACACTCTGTTCCCCACTCAAGTTCCTGGGCTAGGGAGGACCCCGGGAGATAAGGCATGGAACAGTGCTCAGGAGAGTCCTTCACAAACATGAGGCATTAACAAGAAAAAAAAAAAAAAACAGGAAGAGGCAGAAAGAAAACTCTTGAATGTCCCTCACGCCCTGGTCCTCTTAGGTGACCTCTCACACAGAGAAGCGGGCCTTGGGGAGTGAATAAGAAATACAGGACTTCCTGCGAGATAGCAAGTGAATTGTGAGCCGCGAATTACTTTTTTCCTTTGAAAAATGAGGTAGTCGGGTCAAAATATTTTTGCATTTCAAACACTTGAGTTCCTTTGTCCTTGGGGCGAGATGACTTGGTTTCCATGCAGCCTCACAATGCATGGAAACATCTTTTAGCTGCCAGACGGGGCTTCTGATAAGCCGCCAATTCATAGTGTGGGTTTGGAGAGCTGGAGACGGGGTGAGAAAGCTGAGGCCTTTGCAAAGTCTATTTACACAGTGGCGAGAGTCCCTTTCACCCTCTCCGGCAAACAGGCCCTGGAGCACAGGCATTGAACCCAGGGGGCCGGGTAGATGACCTGTACACACGGCATTGCCCACCAGCCCACGCACACACCAGACCCACCTAACTGGGTTCCTGGGGGAGACCTGCCCAGATACCCCTGGAGCCAGACCCCCAGGGACCTCCTCCACTCCTCCTGTGTCAGGGCAGCCTGCCTCCTGAAAGAACTGGCGTTCAGCCTGCCCCGCCCTCCGTCCTGGTCCCCACCCTCCATCCTGGCTCCGTTCAGAAACGTGCCCCAGGGACCAGGTTTGCTCAGTTGACAGGTTGTCTGGCCTGCAGCCTGTGCAGCTCCTGGTCCCATGGGCCATGAGGCAATAGGAAGAGAAAGGAAAGAGCTGTCATCCTACCCCCCACCCTGTCTCCTTTCCTTTTCTAAGCCACCTGCTCTGCTGCCCTTGGAGCTGAATGGAAGCTTCCAGTACAGGTACTTTCAGAGGGAAGGACTGAAAAATCAGTCGGCTTGTTTATTTGACTAATGCGCCCTCAGGCACTTGTGCTTTTAGCAAGTAGTACCCATTCTACAGGTGAAGAAATTGGGCACAGAGAGGTTCGGTAATCTGCCGAAGATCACACAGCAGTGAGGGGCATTGAACCCAGGTGCTCTGGCTCTGTGTGCTAAGCACAGACATGAGGCTCCTGTTTGATCCATTAACGTGCATTTGTGACCCAGTTGCGTCCCTGGACTCTGAAGACCAAGGGCTCCCTCCTTCCCCCAGGGACTCCACATTATTCTGGTAACATGGGAATCTGAGGGACAGCCCCACACTTGTGAGTCACCAGGAGTCCATCTGAAGGCAAAGCCAGCCAGCGGGAAAAATTCAACCAGACCGAGCAGGAGTCTTGCCCTGGGGCCCCCAAGGAACCGGCTTCATTCAAGAGCCTGGGATCCACAGTGTCACCCTTGGCGGGAGGCGTGGTTGGCCAGAGCCCCTCCCTCTGTGTCCCCCATCTCCTCCTGGTTGCAGGCTATTCCTGGCCACTCCTCTCCTCAAAACCAGATGATGAAGTTGGAGGGATGGGGTCCTTGCTGAGGGGTTTTGGGGAAGGGGTGCAGCTTGAAAAGAACCCACAGAGAAAAATCCCACAGGACACACATGTGCTCTTTAGTGGGGGAGGCAGTTCAGTGACGATGACAGCAGTAATGACAACACACAGAAAACATGAGGGTGTGCGAGCATGGGGTCCCAGGGACGACACCTGCGGGGTGCTGCCACGATGGTGCTGGGAGGTGCGGGGTGCAGTAATGACAACACACAGACAACACGAGGGTGTGCGCGCATGGGGTCCCAGGGAGGACACCTGCGGTGTGCTGCCGCGACGGTGCTGGGAGGTGCAGGTGACAGCCAAGCACTGGATCCTTGAGAGTGAGTGATTGTGCCTCCGGCAGGGCCATAGAGAGGGTCTGTTTCAGATGGAGGTGCCCCGGCGGATGAGGCATCGCAGGGGCACCAGCTCCTCTGGGCATGCAGCCTCTGGTTGGTGATGGCTCAGTGTGTACCCCAGGGGCTCCACAGACCCTGCAGCCTGCCTGGCGGCCCCTCCCACCCCGCACGGGTCTCAGGCACCAGCAGCCTCTTCCATTTCTGTCCTCAGTTGCTCTGAGTGCCCGGGGATGGGAAAGCCTGGCCTGAGAACACGGTGAGCTGAGGCTGAGGGCCGGGACACTGTGTCTAAGGCTCTCCCCGCCCCGCCCGGCTTTGTCAAAGGCCTCACCCCCAGGTGCAGAAATATGAGGGGTAGACCAGAATTCTGGGGCCATCCCAAGTAGACAGAGCGTGCCGCTCTCCCGTGGGGCCCCCCGCAGGCCTGCTCTAGATGAGACCACCTGTTGGTGGTGGGAACCCTGGGGGGCCTAACCCTGTCTAGTGGTCCCTGGGCATCTGTCCTGGTGGCCACTCACTGGGATCGCACTCACAGAGATCCCAGAAGAGCCCAGCCTGAATGCAGCCAACAGTGGCACAGGCTGCCAGAGTCCCTGAGCTCTTCCATCCCATGGGGAACTTTCCCCAAGGCACACGGCCCATATGTCCGGGCCACAGCTCTCTGCTGGCTCCTGCCCATGCTGCCCTGCAGATGCCAGACCTGACTGGGCTCCTCCAGGCCCTCACAGCCCTGACCACAACTCCAGGGAGGCTGCCTGGACGGCAAGATGGATACCAAAGGAGGTGTCTCATCTAATAGTTGGAACGTGAAGCCAGGAGAAGCCTTTGCCACCCATTAGAAAAGCGACCCCTGGGCAGGTGGCGCAGGTGGGGGTATGGCGGCACCATTCACTCACTCCTTTGTTTCTGTGGTTGCTGGGTCCTTCCTTCAGTCGACGCCTCTTGGAGCCTCCTGTACGGGCACTCGCCCTCTCTGTGACCCCCACTTCATCCGAGGGTTCCAGGGCTCAGGGAGGGGCAGGACTTTGCCCAAAGCTACTGTGCAGCTGAGCAGACTCCTGGCCATCTTCCACAAGCTTAGGGAGCATAGGTTTCCAAGGCCAAGGCTGTGAACAGTCAGGCCCTTCCCCAGAGCCCACCATCCCCTGGAAGAAGCGAATAAAAAGCAGAGAAATAGCAATGACACGAGCAGTTACAATAACAGGTGCTATGGAGTCCGAAAATGGGGCGCTGTGTGACCTGGGGCCTCTCTGCGGAGGGGCCTTAAGGGAGTCCATGAGGCTGAGCCGGAGCAGGATATGGAGCAGAGCTGAGCCTTCCAGGTGGAGGGAGCAGCATATCCAAGGACCCCGGGCCAGAAGGGAGGCAGGGGAGGGGTGTGGAGGGGCATCCGAGGACCCTGGGCCAGGAGGGGAGGAAAGGGGAGAGGCATAGAGGAGCATCCGAGGACCCTAGGCCAGGAGGAGAGGAAAGGGGAGAGGCATAGAGGAGCATCCGAGGACCCTAGGCCAGGAGGAGAGGAAAGGGGAGAGGCGCAGAGGGGCATCTGAGAACCCCGGGCCAGGAGGGAGGCAGGGGAGGGGCATGGAGGGACATCTGAGGACCCCGGGCCAGGAGGAGCGGAAAGGGGAGGGGTGTAGATGGGCACCCGAGGACCCCGGGCCAGGAGGGGAGGAAAGGGGAGGGGCGTGGAGGGGCATCTGAGGACCCCAGGCCAGGAGGGAGGCAGGGGAGGGGCGTGGAGGGGGCTTGCAGGTCCCATGTGCGTGAGTCCCTGGGGTGCTGACAGGAGGGGGCTGCAGACAGCCAAGGGCAGAGGGGCTTGGACAAGGATGGAACAGAAGATAACAAACAGACATATTTGGGACATCTCAGAAGGAGAAGGATCAGGCTATGGAAATAGGGTCCAAGGACAGTGGGGATGGGCTCATTGGCAGGGATGGGAAGCCCAGAAGCCCAGGGCAAGGGACTGGGCAGTGGAGATGGAAATGGAGGCGGTGGATATCAGAGGAGGGGTCAAGCAGACAGATGCAGATTTCTGAGCACAGAGAAACCTGAGCTGAGCCACTGAGTCCCCCAGCCTCTCTCTGACCCAGGGCCCAGGAGGGAGGGGAGACCAGCAGGGAGGCGGGAGGCAGCCCTGGAATCCCTGGTGCCACCTATTGAGGCCGAGGCGAGCGGGCTGTTAGGACTGGGACTGAGGGTGGTGGACAGGGATGAGACAGGAGCAGGGCTCTGGGTCCGGAGAAATTGCAACCATGGCTTGACAACAGCTTGTCCCTTACGGTTGGGACAGAAGCCTCAGGGTGCAGGGGGAGCGGACAGGAATGCAGGTGTGGGTGGGAAGGGGCTGAAAACGGACAGGAGCTAGAGGGCTAAGCTGCTAGGCACAGCTCATGGGGAGGCCTGACGGGCCTGAGACTGATGATGTGAAGGGCCTAGTAGGGGCTGAGGTCCTGTCCCAGTAGGGGGTTGGGGAGGGACTTGGAGGCTTCCCGGTGGGAAGGTGAGTTGCCCTGCCTGCTTTTCGCTGCCAGGAGAAGGCAGATGCAGGGATGTGTGACTCAAGGGACCCATCCGAGGTTCATGGGAAGAGGAGAAGGGGTCGTCCTGGTGGGAGAGGGAGAAGCAGACCGCAGAGGCCCCTCTTGGGTCTGGGAGCTCCTAAAATTGCAGCCAAGGCCAGCCCTCTTGCCCCGGGGCTGCCTGGGTTTGTCCTGGGAAGGTGAGGATGGGAGCTGACTGTGGTTAATCAGGAGGTCACAGTTAGCCCCAGCCAGACAGGCATTATCCAGCTGGCACCTCACGCTCTGTCCTCACCGCCCAGACCCTAGGAGCCCCCAGACCCTGCCTCAGTGGGTCGTGCCCAGGTCCTTCGCTCTCTATGATCCCTTTACGGTCGTGCAGTGCTCCCCAGGGCTCCGCACTGCTCCCCAGGGTTCCTTGGTGCGTGTCTCATAAAGCCCAGGAGGGCGAGGCCAGGCCCAGCCCCCAACTCAAGGGCCGCCCTCCAGCCTAGCGACGCCACCTGGCCCCTCTTTCCATTAAGTCTCCGTCGTCTTGAGTCCATCCAGGGCGGTGTGCGGCCGGTCGCTTAGTCAGCAAGAACCCTGTGAGCTGCAGTCATCATAAATGCATATTTAATAACTATTTTCTTCCTGGGGAAAATGTGCTGCTTCAGAAGTTCAGAAATGGGCTTCGCTCTTCAGCTGGTAATGAGAAGTTAATAAAAGTGGGATTTTGTGCAACGCTGGCCCTCTGACATCTTAATCTTTATTAAAGAGACGTAAACTTCCACGGATCGGGCGGGCCTGCCTGGCACAGCCGGACGCCAGGAGAGCCGGGCAGGGGTGGCCCAAGGCCGGCCGAGCACCCGTAATCCACCAGAGAACAATGCGCGCCGGAGCCTTTTCGCCCCGAGAGCCCCTCGCACTTACCTCAGTAGACGCGAATTAATTCTCTCCCCCTGAGAGCCCCAGAGAGACTGGGGAGGACCGAGCGGTTCGCATTTGCAAAGCTCTTAATCAGTGAACTGCGTTGGAGGCATTGCTGCTCCGCTCCTCCGACGAGGAGAGGGCCCCAGGGGCAGGAGCCACTCCCTGGATCTCAGACCCGCTTGTCTCGCAGGCGGGAGGCACGGGCCTGCACCCTCCGCCGCTCCCACGCTCCAGCAGACCACGGTGGGGCATGCATTTTATTTTTATTTATTTATTTATGTTTGAGACGGAGTCTTGCTCTTGTTGCCCAGGCTGGAGTGCAACGGCGCAATCTCAGCTCACTGCAACCTCTGCCTCCCAGGGTCAAACAATTCTCTTGCCTCAGCCTCCTGAGTAGCTGGGATTACAGGCAACCGCCCCCACGCCCGGCTAATATTTTTGTATTTTTAGTAGAGACCGGATTTTGCCGTGTTGTCCAGGCTGCTCTCGAACTCCTGACCTCAGGTGATCCATCCGCCTCGACTTCCGAAAGTGCTGGGATTACAGGTGTGAGCCACCGCGCCCGGCCACGTGCATTTTAGAGCCATCTCCTTTTCTTTCTTTTCTTAAACCAGTGTGAAATGTACAAAACGTATAACTAATTATTCTAAAATGGACAGTCAGCAGTATCTAGTACATTCGGTATTTTGCAGCCGCCTCTGTCTAGTTCTGGAGCATCTTTGCTTGCCCTGAAGGAGACCCTGTACCCGTGAGCAGCCACGCCCATCCCCTCTCTTCCAGCCCTAGGCAACCACAAGTCTGTCTTCTCTCTTTCTGCATCTGCTCTTCTGGACATTTCATCTCATGGAGTCATGCAGCGTGTGGCTCTTATGGCTAAAATGTTCACTGAACATAATGTTTTCAGTGTTTATCCATGTTGTAGCTCGTGTCGGAGCTCTGTGCCTTTTTCTGGCTGAGTAATATTCCCCTGCGTGGAGGGGCCACACCTTTTCTATCCACTCGTCCCTGACCGGAGGACGTGAGGCTTGTTTGCACCTGTGGGTGTTGTGAATCGTGTTGCTCTGGGTACGTGTGTACAAGGATCGATTCCCGTGGAGAGCGCCCTGGGTCTGGGATGGCTGGGTCACAATAACGCTATGTCTCACTTTTTGGGGAACCTCCAGACTGTTTACCACAGTGGCTATACCATTTCACATCCCGGGGTGCCTGTGTTCGTTTGACTCAGAGCTGCTCAGAAACGAGGAGCGGCCTCACAGAGCGGCTGAAGGGGCGGCCCCTCCCGCACCAGGGTGATTCCAGCCCCTGCCCCTCCTTCTGAAAGTTGAGCAGAGCGCCAGCCTCTCCCTCAGTGAGCCGCTTCTCCATCCCGCGCCGCTGCGGGTCCACAGTGGGTGTCGGTGGCAGCATTGGCTCCCAGGCCCACAGGAAGCCTCCCTGGTTCACAGGACACAGGTCCATGACGTGGATCCTAAGCCGAGTCAGAAGTGGAATCCAAGCCAGGATGGAGGTGGAAACCCTGAGGAGTCCGCCCTGTTGTTTTGGCTTTGTTGTGACAGGGGGTGGATCTGCCTGCCGTTCGCAAGCAACGCGGGTGCAAAACAGCCAACCTGGGTGCAGACCTCAGGGGCCTGCGGACCACGGCTCCCCGGCCCTCAAACCATGACCCCCGAATCTAACAGGGTGCCCGTTTGCACACACGTGGGAGCGTACGGTGAGCAGGTCCTAGACTTCGGCTGGCCCACTGGTCTCAGGAGAAGGGCCCGACGCTCCTGCTGCGGTTGCAGTCGCCCCCGGCTCGGCGCGCGTCAGACCAGGTGCGCGTGGAAGTGTGTTTGTCTCCGCTAATCCACGGGGGAAGGAGAAGGGCAGAGTCTTTGTCAGGCTCCGAGCAATTAGGATAATTAAAAAAGAAGGCTTATTGGGTAAACATGCTCTGGGATTGTGACCCCTTAATTAATGGACTACGGGGAGAAATTACAGCAGTGGCAGGATAATTAACGTGTGCACTTCGCAAAGCCGGTAGACCAGGGTGTTGGAGGACGGGATGGCCAGGCTGGTGCAGGGCGGCCGGGGAGGGCAGACGGGCCCTGCGAGGGGCGAGGCTCATGGGCAACAGTGGGCAGCCTGGCAGGCCCTGGCAACTTGGGGCAGGTCACAGGAAGCCTTCACCCTCATTCCTATAGCTAGCTTAAAAAAATCCATCACTCTCAGCAGAAACCACAGCTGCCCCTGCAGCACCCCTTCCCCAGCTGTCTGCCTTAGCAGAGGCACAAGGGTGTGGGAACCCCAGAGTTCCCTGAAGAAGGGCTTCTTACCCCTAACCCCAGCCTCAGAGTCCATTGGGGTCACTAGAGTATTCTAATATTCCTGGTATATTCGAGGAGGGCAGCCGTGAGCCATGACCCAGTCCAGGGGCTCCCAGCCTGCCCCACCGCATGCCTCAGGGTGAGGGGCAGCGTGGGAGGCTTCCCCATGCTGCGCCAAGCCAACTTCAGCTGCTGTATTTTCATTTCGCTTTACCTGAGGTGGCCCCATGACCTGGGGGTCCTTCCAAAGGTTCCCACCCCCAGGGAGCCTGTCCAGGCCCCCAGATCCTTGATAGGCACTGCAGAGGCAGTGAGTCTTGGAGACAGGCGTCTCGGGCTTGTTTCTTGCTCCCAGGTGGGGAACAGAAGACAGGTGGGTGGGCTTTGGGATGGGCTTTAGAAGGTGGCTCCAGGCCAGAGAGCAATGGCCATGGCCACTGGGCTTCTCAGGACCGAGGCTGGTTCAGTCCCAAGGAGCAGGCAGTGGCTGGGGTACCAGATGGACAGCTGGGAGGAGGAGGACGGCCCCAGAGGAACACAATCCCGGAGGAGGACAGTCGGGGAGAAGCGCAGCCCAGAGTAGGACAGTCAGGAGGACAGTCCCAGAGGAGGACAGTTGGGAGGAGCACAGTCAGGAGGAGCAGTCAGGAGGAGGACAGTCCCAGAGGAGGACAGTCCCGGAGGAGGACAGTCGGGAGGAGGACAGTCCCAGAGGAGCACAGTCCCAGAGAATGACAGGGAGGAGGACAGTCCCAGAGGAGGAAAGTCCCAGAGGAGGACAGTCCAGGAGGAGGACAGTTGGGAGGAGGACAGTCGGGGAGGAGCACAGTCCTGGAAGACAGTCCCAGAGGAGGACAGTCCCGGAGGAGGACAGTCGGGAGGAGGACAGTCCCAGAGGAGCACAGTCCCAGAGGAGCACAGTCCCGGAGGAGGACAGTTGGGAGGAGGACAGTCCCAGAGTAGGACAGTTGGGAGAAGGACAGTCAGGAGGAGCACAGTCCCGGAGGAGGACAGTTGGGAGGACAGTCAGGAGGAGCATAGTCCTGGAGGAGGACAGTCCCAGAGGAGGAAAGTCTCAGAGGAGGACAGTCCCAGAGAATGACAGGGAGGAGGACAGTCCCAGAGGATGAAAGTCCCAGAGGAGGAAAGTCCCAGAGGAGGAAAGTCCCAGAGGAGGAAAGTCCCAGAGGAGGACAGTCCAGGAGGAGGACAATCGGGAGGAGGACAGTCAGGAGGAGGACAGTCAGAAGGAGGACAGTTCCAGAGGAGGACAGTCAGGGGAGCATAGTCCCAGAGGAGGACAGTCAGGGAGGACTGTCCTGGAAGAGGTGAGTCCCGGAGGATGACAGTCCCAGAGGACAGTCCCAGAGGATGACAGTCAGGGAGGATGACAGTCGGAGAGGAGGACAGTCGGGGAGGAGTACAGTCCCGGAGGAGGACAGTCGGGAGAATAGTCCTGGAGGAGGACAGTCGGGGAAGACAGTCCCGGAGGAGGACAGTCCCAGAGGAGGACAGTCAGGAGGAGGACAGTCCAGGAGAAGGACAGGAGGAGCACAGTCCCGGAGGAGGACAGTGGGGAAGAGGACAGTCCCAGAGGAGCACAGTCCAAGAGGATGACAGTCAGGGAAGAGGACAGTCCCGGAGGAGGACAGTCAGGAGGAGGACAGCCAGGAGGAGGACAGTCAGGAGGAGGACAGTCCCAGAGGAGGACAGTCCCAGAGGAGCACAGTCCAGAAGGAGGACAGTCGGCGAGGAGGACAGTCGGGGAGGACAGTTCCAGAGGAGGACAGTCCCGGGGGAGGACAATCAGGCGGAAGACAGTCCTGGAGGAAGACAGTCAAGAGGAGCATAGTCCTGGAGGAGGACAGTCGAGAGGAGGACAGTCGGGAGGAGGACAGTCCTGGATGAGGACAGTTGGGTAGGACAGTCCCAGAGGAGAACAGTCAGGAGGAGGACAGTCCCAGAGGAGGACAGTCGGGGAGGACAGTCCCGGAGGAGGACAGTCGGGAGGAGGACAGTCCCAAAGGATGACAGTCAGGAGGAGGACAGTCCTGGAGGAGGACAGTCCCAGAGGAGGAGAGTCGGGAGGAGGACAGTCCCAGGGGAGGAAAGTCGGGAGGAGTACAATCCTGGAGGAGGACAGTGGGGAGGAGGACAGTCCAGGAGGAGGACCGTTGGGAGGAGGGCAGTACAGAGGAGGACAGTGGGGGAGGACGGCAGTTCCAGAGGGGCAGTTCCAGAGGAGCAGTCCCAGAGGAGGACAGTGTGGGCCCTGTTCGCTGAGTCTGCCAGGGCCTCCCAGAGGCAGACCTTGGTGTCTGCCACGCTCCTCCCAGTCCCGGCTGTGGCCGGCCTGCCTGCCCCGCCACGTGCATGCAGGGGATATGCGGTGGGAGGAAATGCTGGAGATTTTCAAGGGCAGAGACTGGACATTCACGCCAGTGTGGGGCCCCGGACGCCTCCAGGTCAGAATGAAAGCCCCAGTCCTCTTATACAGATATCCCTCGAGGAAGGAACGAAGCATTTCCGCCAATCAAGGAGGCTACTTCCCACAGCTAAACAGAGCCTGGCTCTGCAAGATGTCTAAGAGCCCTGGAGGCAGAGTGAGGCTTCCTGAAAGACCCTTTTCTTCCTAGCAGAGCCTCCCTGGGTCTCCCACAGTGGGGAACAGTGACTAAGGGAAGTTTGGGGTGAAGAATTCACTCTTAAGCCACTCCCAGCCAAATCCAAAACATAAAGAAAATGGTAGCCCTTAGGAGCTCAACCCAGTGAGAACCCAAGGCCGTTGTCCTGCAGCGGACGTGGAAATTCTGACCCTGTGAGCTGCCCTTGGGGGTGAACCCATCTAGAACCTGTTCCATGACCTGGAGCGTGAGGCCAGGCAGGGGGACTGTCTGGGTAGTCCAGGGGCCCTGGCAGAGAACCAAGGGCTTGCATTTCTCAGCTTTGGCTCGGGGCAAGCCCAGGCTGCCTGGTGATGTCAGCTGGAGGGGCACCTGGTGGCAGGAAAAGCTCCTGCCTCAGAGGCCAGAGATGATCCTGGCATCACCTTGGCTGGCACGGGACCATCTCTGACCCCCAGCACGGAAAGCAGCAGCAGGCCGCGGAGTCCTGGGCACAGGGCTCCCTTCTCTCTTCTGCTCCCATCTGGGGATGTCTCCCCACTACCACCTGCACACACCACCCTCACCGTCTGTCTTGCAGGTAGGATAAGGTGCCTGATCACAAGACCACACATTGCCCTGGGACACACAGAATGAGACAGCTTCTCCCAGCCATGAAAGCACCTGTCAGCTGTCTACCAGGGGCTGCCTGGGTTGGGACACGGTGCCCACATGGGTGTCAGGAGGACAAGAACTTCCGGTGCTTGCAGACGCTTCCAGAGGTGGCTGGTGGCCAGGCAGTGCTCAAACCCCAGGGAATCTGGCTCACGGTTTCCTCCAGGGCGAATTGGCAAGGCCCAGGGGCTCTCAGACCGGATCCTGCTCATCCTGCATCTGCAGCACTCCACGGGGACAGGCGTGTGGTGAGAAGGTGGCAACAGAGTTGGCTGTAGTCGGGCGCTTTAAGGCCCATCTAGAGAGGTAGGGGCTCTGTAGGGGGCTCTCCGTGGGGGCTCTTTAGGTTCCCATGGTCTCTGAGGCCAAGGCTGGATGTGTTTTTTGTTTGCAGCTCTCAGGGCACAGAGAAATCCATACCCCGGCCCACAGGCACGCGCTGGACTCTGTCCTGGGCACGGCGGCTAGAGTCGTGCAGCCTCTGCTGTGAGGCTCCTTCCGGGACCTCGGGGAGGCTCGCACTGGGGGCTCGGGAAACACCCGCCTCCTGGGGCTCCATTCTCCAAAGGGACGTCCCGCCAGTGAGCCTGGGGACATTCATGCTCCACCCCAGCTCCCGTGTGCAGGTCCCCGGGTAACCTGTGTGTTGGCTGCATCGCCTCAGTTCTGCATTCGTTCAGGAAGATTCGAAAGTTCCCTATGAGATGCCTGTGAGCCCCACCACCACTCGGAGCTCTGCCTGAATGTGGGGTTGGGGGCCAGCCTTCCAGGCCTGGAACAAGGTGGGCGAGGCCGAGCCCATCTCTGGAGCTGCCCTGTGCCCCCACAGGGAGGGCTGGCTCCCCTGCTGCCTGTGCCGATGAAGGGGACACAGAGGCCTGGTGGCTTCACGGCTCTGCCACTCCCCAGCCTGGGCTCTGAGGGCCGGACCACTCTGAGTCTCGAGTCTTGTGTCTGCCACATGGTGGGGACCTGGTCATGGGACCGTCCTGGGGGGCTTACCTGAGGCTGCAGTTACACTAGTGCTGTGGTCGAGAGGGCAGCCGGAGTCTGCGTGGGAGAGGATGTGCGTTCAGAACCAGAAGCTGGTGCAGAAAGCAGAGAGAGGAAGAAAGGCCCAGAAACAGGGAGGATCCCAGGGGCAGTGGGGAGCAGGAGCAGGGATGAGGTGGGCTCCATGGCAGAGCAGGTTTTTACCCAGCTCTTAACCATCCCCCAACGCTGGTTTCTTTGTTGGGTATGGGGAGGCTGCCTCCCCAGGGCACCAACCTTGGATCACCACCCCAGTGCCCAGAAGAAAGCCTGTTCTGCCATTCGAGGTGCCTTCTGGGCAGGAGTGGGGAGCAGCAGTGACACTTCCACATCTCTTATGATCCTACCCATGGTGCCCTTGGCATACTCTGATCTGTGTGTGGAGGAGGTGCACATATGAGGGTGCGTGCACATGTGTGTGTGTGGGTGGGTGGGTGTGAGTGAATGTGTGTGCACATGCATATATGAGCTGCATCTATAAGGGTACATGTCCATGTGTGTACGTGGGTGGGTATATGGGGGCTGCATATATAAGGGTACATGCCCATGTGTGCACATGTGTGGGTAGGTGTGTGTGTATGTACGGGCACGTAAGTGTGTGTGTGCATGCATGTGTGTGTATGGCCTGCATCTATGAGGGTACATTCCTGTGTGTGTGTGCATGTGGCAGGTGTGTGTGCATGGGTGAGCATGTAAGCACATGTGTGTGCATGGATAGGTGTGTGGGGGTTGCATATATAAGGGTATATGCCTTTGTGTGCATAGCGTGTGGCTAACTGCATAGGCATGTAAGTGTGTGTGTGTGTGTGTGTGTGTGTGTGTGTGTATGGGCTGCTTATATGGGGGTGCCAGCCTACGTGTGGGTAGGTGCGTGTGCACGTGTGGCATGTAAGTGTTGTGTGCGTGTGTCCCAGGCACCGTTCTCTCACCGTGGACTTGGTATGGGGAGGTAAAAAAAAAAAAAAAAAAAAAAAGCCACTGAAAGGGAACCAGCCGCATCCATCTCTGATGGGTGAATTAGGATCCAAATTTTTAACTAATTGAGTACATTAAATAGAAAGTCCCTAAGAAAGAAGGGAGGAAAAGACGAATACAAGACACTTTTCAAAGCTTCTTTAATAAAAAGTGTATTTGGGATTTGACCATGATGGCTATCCTTGCTTGCCAAAACCTGACGCCCTGGCAGGTAACTTTCATCAGGCATCTCTGAAATGGTACCTAAATGAATTAGCAATAAAATGGACTTAGGCCGAGCAGTGGGGGCCTCCATTAATCTTGGGTTAATCACTAAAGAGGTGCCATTCACTTTTCTTAAGAAGTCACATTTCTCTCCCCTTGCTGGCGACCAGATTTCATAAAGTAACATATTTCTAATGAAAGGTCTCTGCTTGAATTAAACCCTGAAGGTTTATGCAGATTTTGCGTTTGATTACTGCTGGCATGGGCTCTTAGCCGGCTGCGGAAGGAAGGTCCGTTCTGAAAGGGCCCCAGCGTGCAGTTCATAATATTCTTTGAAATAAAATAGTGCACTTGTGCTTAGTGGCTTTAATCAGCCCTGACTTTTGATAGTCAAACAATAGCTAATTACAGTAGCACCTGCCTTCCAGGCTCTGTCACGTCGGCTCCTGCCGGAGCGAGGCCTTGTCTGCGAGCTGCGTGATTATTACAGACTCTGTCTGCACAAAGTCGCTGGAGCTGACACCCAGCAAGTTTGGTAGCCATTAGGGAAGGTTTATTTTGCTGCTGCATGGCTGGCTTTTCCATTACCTTCTTCTCCTTTGTATGTTTGGGGGCAGTGGTGTCGAGGGCATGGAGGCATGAGGAGGCATGTTAGGGTGTGGGTCCCGGGTCCTGAGACAGCCGGCTTTGGACACATGGCACCTGCTCAAGGCGTTCTTGCTCTGGGGATGCAGGATGCACAGATATGCTGGGAACTTGCTCGAGATTTGAGAAGGGTGTTGTGAATGCTTGCCATGTACCGACAGCAAGGTTGGACTCTGAGCATCCCCCAGCCCAGCAGGAGCACGGATCTGGCTGGCTCCCAGGTGCGCCTGGCAGAGCCATTCTGGACGCTTAGGTGAAATGTGCCGCCAGGCACTGGGAGCAGGAGGCGGGCCCAGTGGAAGTCATAAATTACTATCTCATCATATAAGTCTTTCCTTTCTCATTAATTTTGCCTGGTAAATGAACCTGAGTTTGCCAGAATCCAGCCAAGTGAGTAACATCGGCCTGTCAGCCATGGGCTTGACAGACCTTGTACGTAACAAGTTCCCGGAAAGGATCAACCGGATATCGGGAATGAAAAAGTGGGGGCACCCCGTCCCATAGACACAGGCCAACCCAGCCTTCGCTCCTTCCTGCCTGCCTGTCTCTCCCTGGCCCCTCTGCCCACCCCTACCCCGCTGCAGGACACCCCCAAGATGAAAGGGCAAGGAGAAGGAGGGCCTGGGGGACCTGGCTACCAGGACTTCCGGACAAACAGTTGTCAGGCACTCGGCATGCCCCGAGGTGGGGGGGTTCAGGACGGGTCACCCTGTCCTGGTGCAGGCAGCACTCCTCGGTGGGGGCAGTTTTGGGCACAGTGCTCGAACCAAACGCCAGAGCCGGTCCTGCCCAGTGCTCCAGTTCCCTCAAGAACTCCATCCGGTCCCCTCCAGGAGAGACCGGGCAGGGCTCAAAGGGACCTTCCTCCTGGACTTTAGGTGACCTTTTGCTGAGGGTGACGTGAGAACCACCAGTGAGAGCCAGGGGGGCGGGAGGGGAGTCATTCCAAACTGGGGAGAGCCGTGCACATCCAGCGTGGAAGTGGGTGGCACCCAGCCAGGCCCTAGTCTCTTCTCGTGGGGCCAGCGTCTGAAGATGCCCTCCCAAGCCATTCACATTGCGGCCAAGACCATGTTTCCCTTTCTCTGTGACCCAGCTGCGCCCTGTGGGTCTGTGCACTCCAGCACACGCGTGCCTGCTGCGGCCTCCCCGGTCTCTCTCACGCCGTGGGTGCCATTTCCGCTCTGCCGGCTTTGGTCTCCGGACACCACGTCGTGTTGACAATTACCCACAGCCAGGACTTGCCAAAACCTGGAGTTGAAAGGGCTTCAAGGGGGGAGAAACCAACTGGAAAGCTGTTTTCTGTTAAGGCAGGTTTATTTTTCCTTGCAATTATGTCTGACTAAAATGTCCTTGTGCGGGAGTCACTTCCCAAGAGAGGTCTGATTCATCCTGCCCTGGGCAGCCCCCCGGCCCCCGCCATCCTCGCCAGGCCTGCCATTGGGCCCGCGGTGGGAGTCCTGGTCTCAGCACCGCAGACTCCAGCAGCGACCAGGCCTCTTGAGGGGCTCTGTGGGTCCATCCCAGGATGGAAAGCACCCCTGAACCTCTGGGAGCTCAGGAGGGGAGCGTGGACTCTGCTCGTGCCCGGCCCTGAGCTGCCTCTGCTGTGGGAGCCTCTCATACCTACATGAAGTCAGCTGCATGAAGACTGGCCAGCGACCCGGACCCGCCCGCAGGAAGGCCCCACGGCCCTAACTCCGCCGGTGTCTGACCCCGAGCTGTCCCAGCCCATGGCCTAGAGGAAGCCCAGGGTTCACATCCCAGGGAAGCTGCAGGGCCTTGGCAGCATGTTCAGCTCGTCGGCCCCAGCCAGCTCGAGGTGCCGTGAACAGAGCCAGCGAGGGGTGCCGTGAACAGAGCCAGCGAGGGGTGCCTGTTTCCTCACGGTTTCCCCTTTCTCCCTGGAGAACAGCGCCAGCCGCCTTGTAAATCACCCCTTTGCCCCGT
Organism: Homo sapiens; assembly: GCF_000001405.40. NCBI lineage: Eukaryota > Metazoa > Chordata > Mammalia > Primates > Hominidae > Homo > Homo sapiens. The sequence continues at coordinate 3,276,800 of NC_000001.11, forward strand.
CTGACATCTCCTGTTGCCTGGGCCGCCTCGGCCTGGACCCTGAGGCCAACCTAGTGATGGAAAGAGAGCGAGCCCTAAAGGGGGCTGGGCTTGGTCAAGTTCAGCACTTCCTCCGCCATCTTCTCCCCATCCCCCATCACGACCCCGGGCAGCGTCTGCCTCTCGTCCCCGTGGTGTTTGCCATCACCAATCCGTTTGATTGATCATCTCGGTGGCCACAGGTTGGTAATAAAGCTGGTTTCAGAGCCTCTTGCATTTCCCCCAGGACCCCGTTGGCATGACAGGACTTGACACCAGCCATTCGTCACCTGCTGCCTGTGGTCTCTGCACAATGACCAGCAGACAGACAAGAGCCAGGCCAGGAGGAGGCTTCGGGAGAGGCTGGGCCTGTGCTCAGGGCTGAGTGAGACTAGTGGACGTGGCCGGCCCCATGCCTCTCTGTGCACGGCTGGATCTTGCAAACAGTCGAGTCCTGGCTGCTGCGCCACCCGGGGATGGCATCGTCTGTCACACGCTTCACTCTCCCTGTGGCGCACTGGCATCCACCATGCCCACCTCAGAGGCCAGGAGGCACGTCAGCCGGGAAGGCTGCAGGGAACCCCCAAGCCCAGGCCACCAGGGCCCTACCCTGCCATGGGGCGCACTTGCTCAGGCCTCTCCTCACCACAGGGTCTCTGGGTGCCTCTGTGAAGACAGGATCCCAGTACAGGAAAGCCCCAGGCTGGCCCCGACCCTCTCCTTTTCTGGGAGGAAAAATGGGTTTATGTTGTGAATCCGCTGAAGCCCCTGGGACGTTGTCCAGGGACAGGGTCAGTGAAAATGTCTCAAAGGTCGGGGACTGGGCACAACGAGGCATTGACCCCAGATGAATCCACAGAGCTCCCGGAGCAGGGGAAGTAGCCCTTGTTCACCCACATGCACACACACACGCGCGCACACACGCACACGCACACACATGCACACACGCGCACACACACGCACACATATGCACACACAAACGCACAGTTGTGAACACGAGCATATGCACATGCACACACGTGCACAGGCACATGTGCATAACCACTGTGTAAACACACCCAGGCACAAACAGGAACACAGACCCATACACTCATGCACATGAGCACACGCACTTTTCCAACACCGTGAAGTCCGTGCATCCGGGAGCTCTAGGTCAGCGATCATTGCTAGCAGGCCATGGGACCCTCTCATCTGAAAAGGAGGGAGGGCAGGGCAGGGGCTTGTAACCAAGAACTGTGTCTGGGGTCATTCCTAATTCAAGTCTGAGACAGTGTGAAGGCTTCTTCTCATTCTCATGGCCATTTCCCCAACCCCACCCAGGTCCCTAAAGCCCTATCATAGCCTGGCCTTACCGTCCTCGCCTGGTTTTCCAGCCTCCCACCCTGCCTGGGGCAGAGAAGACCCCCTCAAGGCCATGCTGCATCTCCTCCAGCATCCCAAATCCTCCCCATGGGCCATCTCCCACATGGTGTGGATAAAGGGGCGTCTTTCCTAGGGACAGCCTGGCTGCGCCCTTGCAGCCACACCTAGGCCTAATACTGTCTGGATGGCAAACAGGGAGCTGAATGAACCCCACTGCACAGGCAGGACCCCAGGGGCAGCCTGCAGAGTGTGGGAGGGGCCTGTGTGGAGTTCACATTCATGCAGGATATTTCAGCAGCAGCACATTTGCTCACATCGGCAACCCCCTCTTCTAAGCACCCACCTAAAGCGCAGTCACTAGCAAATGGAACATCCCTGTGCTGGGCATGAAACAGGCCCTGGAACCTCAGCCGCACCCGGCACCCTGCTGCCCGGCGGGGCCTGCAGTCAGCCAGGACACCCGGCAGCCACAAGGCCGCCCTCTCTGGAGCCTGTGGTCTGGTTCGGCTAGGGTATTGTGATCTGAGGACCCTTAGAAAACTGGCCACCCGAGAACTTTTCCAGTGTGACTGCTGGCCTCTCTGGCAGACGTGTCCAAACTCAGAAAACCTCTGCTGCTCTGACCACAGGGAACGTCAGAGGGGACGGGGCAGCGGAACAAAGCACAAAGCGTCCCTGCGTCCTCTCAACGTGGCCCAGCTCCTGCAGACACTCAGCGAGCCGTGGCCTCTCCCATCCTCCCACGCTTCCCTCCGGCCGGCCCTGGAGATCCGTGGAGCCACACGGTGCCGAGCGCGGCGCTGGCCGTGTGCTCCGTGTCTGTCATCGTCAGCCCTGTCCACCTTTGGGGCAGGGGCAGCTGGGCTGGCTCCAGTTTCTCTCCATGTCAACTTTGCAAAGGAAGGAGGTGGATGCAGAAGCTGCCACCAATAGCCACGTGGGCAGCTGTGGCCCCGAGTCCGGGGATGCAGTTGGTCATCAGGAGCCTCGAAGCGTCGCTCACCATGCCTGGAAAGACCGGCGGCCTCTCCTGCCCAGGCGCAGGCCCTCGGCTCAGCAGAAGCCCTGCAGAAGCTGGAGCAGGAGGCATCCCTGGGTCCGGCACAGCCTGTGGTCAGGCCGCCTCTGCAGCGGGGCAGGGTAGATGTTCTCCCCTCAGATCTGAAACGCAGAGAGGAAGGGCGGGCCCTCGCGGTGCCTCGGGGCAGCTGTGCTGAGCAGTGTCAGCCGCTCCGGGCGAGGGACCAAGTGGCCACACTGGCCGCAGAGCTGCCCTGCCCGGCGGCGTCAGTCTGGGACGCCCTGCACGCCTGCCCCTGCCACCAGGCTGGCTTCCTTCTGAGCTGCCTCGGCCGGAGACCCCTTGTGACTGGGCTCTCTGTGGATGACAAAAGGAAAGACTTGAGCAAGAGGCTCTGAGGAAGGTGCCGGCCCCTCTCCAGACTCCTGTGCCACAGGCTGAGGACGGGCAGCCGTCAGGGAGAGTCTGTGCTGCAGGAGGGCAGAGGGTCGGGGGAGTGGAGCTGAAGGGGATGGTGGAGGAAGGAAGGCAGGACAAAGGGGCCTCCACCGCCTCCTGCCCCTTTCCCCATTGCCTGAGGACCAGAGCCTGCGGGGGGGTGGGGACAGGGAAGTGGCCTCCTGGGCCAGCATATCCCTGAGCCAGTGTGGAGTGGACAGGCGGCCCCTCCTCCCACCCCCCCCGGGCACCCACCACCAATGTGGGTCCACACCATTCCCCATGACGTCAGCCGAGAAGCATGAGCTCGGTCAAGACAAAACCTCATGGAATCCCGAGTCTTTTAAAAGAAATATTGATTTATTTTCCAATCACGATAATGCCATACTTTTTTTGTAAAACAAGCAGGGTGAAAAAAAAAAAACATTTAAATAAGAAAGTCAGAATTATCCATGAGTCCTCTATTGCTGTGTGGAAGCCAGTTATGGTCAGAGAGAGACATTCAGCACCCACTGCATGGGTAGGGGGTGGCTGCCCCGAGCTGGTCACCAGCTTAGTGCCAAGTCTGTGGCTTGTTGAAGCCGACTCTGTGTGTTCGTGTGTTGGTGTGTGCATGTGACGTGTGCACATGAATGTGCGCATGACCTGGTGTGTGTGCACGTGTGTGTGCATGCTTGCAGCCCAGTGGCTGTCTCAGGGGACATGTCTTCAAGTGTGTGGCTCCCTGTCTCACCTGGGGCAGGTATATCTGGGAGGGTGCAGAGTTCTCTGTTTGCACACAGAGGAAGTGGTTTTCTGCCTGAGTCCCCCCACCCTTACTGCCAGCGTCCAACCTCACACCAGAGAAAAGCCAGAGTTTCATGTGCGGAGGGACGGCGTACATTCCAACAAGGTCCGTCCTTCCCACCTCAGGCCTTCCATCGCCTCCCTCGACTCCCACCTGGAGCCTGGAGGCAGCTGGAAGAACCCACCTCTCACCCCAGCAAGGTCTGTGGCGTTAAGGTCACACTGGCACCAACTAAGAACTAAGACCTTCTCTGAGGCATGAAGGCTGTTGCTTAGCTTTGAAAACAGTAAATGTGAATGAAAGGGAACCTTGAGAAAGACCCGTTCCTAGGTGAAGTGAGAAGCAGGCTAGACTGGCCGTCCCGGGCCATACCCACCCTGTCTCCAAGGGGTCTCTGCCCAGGAGAAATCAAAGTGGGGTTCTCACAGCCCCTGGGGCAGGGGCAGGGAAATTTGGTCAGAAACAATGCGGAGCCCCCAGGGCTTTTGTCAAATCTCCATCCATGGGTTTTGTTTTCTCCCCAGTTCTGAATCTGGGAGGCCGAGTGGCTGCCCAGCGAGGTTGGCTCTGGGCTGAGGACAGCACTGCCTGGGCCTCCTTCCCTGGGTGGTTGTTCAACACCGGGCAAGTCCCTGCACCTGTCCAGCCTCAGCCCACTGTCTCAAAAGTGGGGCCATTGGCATTCTGGACTGTCAAGAAGCTTGAGAAACTGGGCCCTAGGAGGATGCTGCAAGATGCCCAGATGTCCTCTTCAACTCGAAACGTTGCCATCTGCCTTGCTGGCTCACACCCAGCCCCTACCTGAGAACGCAGCTGTGGGCACTGTCGCCCAGGAGGAGGCCTGGCTGCTGAGACGCTCCCTTCCTACAGCTGCCGGTGGCCAGAACCCTCCACCTGTGCTCCAGACCAGGCTGGCACTGAGACGCCCACCCCAGCCATGGTCATTTAGAAATAAGTAGGTGTCCACTATATGAAATCGAAATAGGGATCATTCCTGTGCCTGCCAATAAAACACCAATCTCCTTGAGAGAAGCAGCCTTGAAACTTATCAGTCATTCACAACTTAGCATGATCAGATTGATGAGCTATGATCAGATTGATTGATTAGCTATGATCGGTTTGATGTGCTCTGATTGGGTTCACTGATGAGCTATGGTTAGATTCATTGATGAGTTATGACCAGATTGATTGATGAGCTATGATCAGACTGATGTTCTGTGATCAGGTTCATTGATGAGCTATGGTTGGATTCATTGACGAGCTATGACCAGATTGATTGACTAGCTATGATCGGTTTGATGTGCTCTGATTGGGTTCATTGATGAGCTATGGTTGGATTCACAGATTAGCTATGGCCGGATTGATTGATGAGCTATGGTCCGATCGATGAGTTGCTTTCAGGAAACCAGGGATAAGGAGCAGGCAGACGCCATCCCTGTACCAGGGGGTGCAGGGTGCTCAGGGAGACTGGAGCCCCAGTCTGCCTGGAGCTGGCATGAGGCCAAGGTGGGCGCCCGCAGCCCTGGATGTGGAGGGGTGTTCTAGAAGGAGTGCTGGCCTGCAGGAAAGGCCTTGGGCTGCAGTCAGGTCAGCCATGAACCCTTCAGTCAAACATGTGACCTGAACTGAGAACCCCAGGTCCAGCCTCTAGGTATGGGACGCCAGCTCTCTCCTTACCACCGAAGCAGCTTTGGGCTTGCACATGAAAAGCTTCCGAACCTTGACTCCCTTCACAGGCCTGAGCAGTGAGTTCCCAGAATGTTCTAGAAGAGGCATGTGCTCAGGGAGGCCATGCTTCAGTGTGCAGACGTTTCCCCAGAGAGGTCAGCAGGTGCCGGGCACCAGCCCTTCCCCAGACACAGGCTGGCCCTGCCAGCTGGCTTAGCAGGGCGCTGCCTGTGTGTGGAGTGGGGGCTCTGGGCTCCTTGCTTGGCCCCCACAGGTCCTCGACCCAGAGACCTTGTCCCCCCACTGTCGGGCTTAGGACAGGCCAGGGTCACCCTCAGCAGAACCTGGGGCCAGCGCCGCAGGGCCCCCTGGTTTGGAAAGCCTGTTCCTCAGCTCTGTCCCAGCGGGCACTTAGCTGAGGATACCCCTGATGCTGCTCCATGCACACCTCTCACCACGATTCAATCCACCTGAGGATGGTCACCTTCTCAGGGAAATGGGGAAAGACTTATTGCCAAGGTCACTGAAGCCTTCCTGGTCTTGGTGTCTGGAAAAAACTCGCCAAGAGAGCAGGCATCTCCCGAGACCCAGGAATCAGCATGGCCACCAGAGCTGGTCACTGCCACTCCGAAGCTCCTCAGGCAGCTTCCTTTCTCCCTAGGGAGGAGACACTGTTGTCCGTCTGAAGCCTGGCGAACGTGGGACACAGGAGGCAGCCGTGGCCGGAGGGGCACGAGGGTGGTGGGCAGCCAGCGCTAGCCCAAGCTCCCGGGGTCACTCCAAGGAGTAGTGAGGGCTCCCCTGCAGGTGCAGTGAGAGGCGTGGTAGTATTAGGGCGGTTAGAGGAGGGGCGTCTCCCTTCCCTTCCTTCTGAGTTTTCTTTGACACTGTCATCTTTCAGTGCAGAGTCAATGCTGCAGAAGGCTCCCTGTGAGACAGGCGAGGCTGTGAGGCCGGGTGGGAGGCAGCGCTTCCCGAGCAGGTGCGGGGTGCGTCTTCACTCTGCCCCTCCCGACACTTGGTTTTGGAGGGGTCTGACCCAGTGGCCGGGCTCATGGGTGGGAACTGGCCAGCCAGCCCCTCGTCACCTTCCCTCCTGCTTGGGCTCCACAGCATATCCCAGGCACAGCTGCCCATTAGAGGCGGGGCTGTCCCTGCAATGGAGGTGCCAGGGAATGTCTGTCCAGGCCTTGGCCAGGGCCCGGGGTGGCTGCAAATGGCCTTAGGCCAATGAAGGACACAGCTGCCCCCCAACCTTGTTCATTCTCCAATGCCCCTCCCTCTGTCCCTCTCTCCCTCCCTCCCTCCTGCAGCCAGACCCTGGAGGTGGGCTCCATGGCATAGGACAGCCCCAGGCAGACCCAACTCACCCACTCCCCAGAGTGGAAAGAACAGCCTCTGCCCCACACTGCGCGGTGCCCCTAGGTCCACAGCAGAGACAGACACACAGAAGAGAGGGGACGGACAGCGAAGGGTTACGGGGACCAGACCTCAAGGTCAGAGGAAGAGAGAGGGGACGGTCAGCAAAGGGTTACGGGGACCAGACCTCAAGGTCAGAGGAAGAGACAGGGGGTGGTCAGCGAAGGGTTATGGGGACCAGACCTCAAGGTCAGAGGAAGAGAGACGGGGCGGTCAGCGAAGGGTTATGGGGACCAGACCTCAAGGTCAAAGGAAGAGTATATTTCCCGCCTGCTTCCCCCAGCATCTTCCAGCAAAGCCGGCTGGTGGTGTTGCGGCCACACAGCCTCCCCGACCAACATCCAAGCCTGCAAAGCTAAGAGGTTAGGATCTGCAGGAGCCCAGGTGCCTCCGCGGGAGGAATGTGGCTCAGATTCGGGGGACCGGTGCGCGGTGTGTCCAGGAGACGCAGGCACATCGCAGGGTTGGAAGTGCGCTGGGGGCCTGGCCTGTGGTCCTGGCTGGGATGCCGCCATCCTAGGGTAGCGGGCCTGGGGGGGCCTGGAGCTGGGGGCCATCCTCCCATGGCCTGGGCCTGGGGCAGGGGCTGCTGCCCGCCACCCGCCACCCGTAGCCCGCCCGGGAAGCTGGGGTGGAGGCGCCCTCTATCGCCTGCCTGGGGGACATCTCGCCAAAGCACACCGGTTTGCAAAGGCAAACCGACATTAAGCGTCCCAGGTTCCCCAGACATTATCTGCCTTTTGGGAACCTTTAAAATAAAGAGTCAAACGTTTTCGGCCCCTGTCTGGCTTTTTATGTAAACTGAGTGGTTCCTGGAGTGTGTTTTTTAAAGTGTTAAGATGGCAGTATTTATCTGGAGGGGGAGGGAGGAAGAGCCAGGTGGGCGTTCTCCTATTAGGCCAGAATTTTCAGAGAAAACCAGTGTAAGGCGTGGCCAAAATGATGAGTTTGTTTCCCGGTGGCCTAGGAGTCTGTCCAGAGCAAAGCAACTGCCAGGTGGGCTTCTCCTGGCACTGTCGCCGTGAAGCCTTCGGGAGCCAGGACCTGCCAGCAGCCAGAGTTCAGCCCTGCAGGGAAAGGGGCGGCCAGGGGGAGCCCCACACCCTGAGAACGTGGGAGTGCGGTCTTGATACAGATCATCTTCAGATAGACTCTGTGGCCTTATGATGGGGAATCTGAGGGTTCATTCTCAGCCAGAGAGGAGGATAAGGGGTGTTGCTTCTAGAAACGGCCATGCGTCTTGGGGGCTTCACGGAGCACCTGTGAGCCTGGGGTGGCCAAGCCTGGGAAACCCAGCGTGGTCCCGCCCAGGCCAGGGCAGAGCAGAGAAGGGTCAGAGCTGGAGGCCGGGCTGAGGAGTCTGCAGCCGCCAGGGCAGCTTCCGAGCTTGGTGCACCTACTCACCACGCTGGCCCTTCCTGGGCTGTAAGCCCTGAGTGACCTGCTCCCCTCTGGGCCCGGGCTTTCGGAGGCGAATGTTGGTAGGTTTCTCTGGCCGGTATAGCCCTTGAGCATGGAACGCTTCACCTGGTGCCCTGGACGGGGTGCAAGGGAGGCAGGCTGGCACTCTCTGGCCCCCCCAAGTTCTGGGCCAGCCCCCAGCATTTCCTGCTGAGAGTCCCAAGGTCCTTGGTGAGGTTTTCAGAGCCCACTGGGCAAACCTAGGGTGAGGTGGGCTGTGTGGACTGCAGCCAGGAGCAAAGTCTGGCCTGGGGCACCCCAGCCCTCTGGCCCCAGCCCCGTGGAGGCCCCTGCCTCTCCCCTCCAGCTGGCCACCTGGGCGTTCTGATTACCTCTCCAGGTGTGGCTGGGAAAGCAGCTCTGCCCTCTGCCCTCACCCCATTGTTCCCCAGGCTCTGCCTTTCAGGTCGTTTTACGTTTTCACCTGATCCCTGTGATGCTGCAAAGCATTCCCAGGCCACTGAGCAGCCCTGCCACAGCCGCTGTGTCGCCCCCACTCACAAATCTCGGGACGGACATGTCCCCTGCCTTCCTGGGAGCAGGCATGCTCCCAGGAAGCTGTGACATGCTCGCTCGGGAGCTTGGAGCTGTGACATGCTCGCTCGGGCTTCTTCGCTCACACCCGCGACATCCACATTGGCCGTGGTCATAGCCAGCCTGAGCCCAGGGCGTGCTTGAGCCCCTCCGTCTCTGGTCCCTGGACGGCCAAGGTCAGTTTCCTCCCCCTGGAAATGGCTAGATGAAGGTCTGCTTCTCCAGATGCCAGCCTTGCTCCCAGGCCATGGCAGAGGAAAGCCCCCCCACCACCGGACACCTGGCATGTCCACCTGGGGAAAGGGCACTGGCCCTCTCTGGCAAGAGCTTCTCAGACCCCAGGGTAGGTGGACTTTGTGGTTTTCATCTCTGCCGAGCGTGGAGCCCAATCAAAGATCCAGGCTCCGCTGACGAGAAAACCCAGAAAGCCCCTGCGGCGTGACACAAGGAAAAATAAATATCAAAAGAACATTTGACGAGCTCAATAAATTGATCATATTGTGCTGAACCTTCACCCCCATAACTATGGGACCATTTAAATGCTAATGCCATTTTTTAAAAAGTCAATTACAGGAGTTTGCAAGGAATGGAGTCAGCATTCCCCACGACAGCCTCTCCTCCTCCAGCTCCCTCTCCTCATCCACAGGCACTGGGGCCTTTGCTCCCCTGAAGGAAATGTTCCCTCACAGTGGTCCCAGTAATTGAATCAAGTTGATACAGACACCAGGAATATTGCAAGTTGTGTGGGTAATGGGAAGCACGTGTTGATAAAGTGGTCAGTGTTTGCGGACCAAGGGGGGCCGCAACTGCAGTTAACCCTTCAGAGAGCACAGCGTCCCCACAGCCCGAAGGGCCGCCCCCTGCCTGGCAGAGCCCCAGGTGGGTGACATGCAAGCATTCCGGAATCTTCCAGCCCTGGGTTCCTGTTTCCCATCAGCACCTGCTCTGCTCTGCAGACGGCAACATGGCCACAATTCTCCCTCCTCTTGGTGGCACCTCCTCACCAACTGGACCCAACCGAGCCTGCAGCCTCCTGAATTGACATGCAGGAGAGGAGAAAGAAGAAGACATGGACCCCCAGAGAAAGCTGGATGCTCAGGAACCCCGTGTCCTCCATAAGGGCCTGAGGGCCTGGGGGTTCAGCCTTCTGCACCCCCAAGTTCCTCCCACACCAACTGTGCTGGTGGCAAAATTCTAGTCACCATTTTCATACCGACAGCCTCTACGTGCTGGGCGCTTAACTCACAGGAGACCTGCAAGCCTCACTCGGGGAAACAGAGGCACACAGAGTGGAGGGGCCGCCCAGCTCAGATGCAAGAGGATGGAAAGCATGGGACTCAAAGCTGGGTCTGCCCACCCTTCCTGGGTGCTGGGACTCAAAGCTGGGTCTGCCCACCCTTCCTGGGTGCTGGGACTCAAAGCTGGGTCTGCCCACCCTTCCTGGGTGCTGGGACTCAAAGCTGGGTCTGCCCAACCTTCCTGGGTGCTGAGTCTGCCCACCCTTCCTGGGTGCTGGGGCCCTGTTCCCCTGACCCTCATTTTCCCACCCTTGATCTGGCCCATGAGGTCCTGGGGGCCTGGAGTCTTCCTGGGGTCAGCAGGAGGCCTGCCCCACTGGGGCGGCAGCATGGACGCTGGGAAGTGGGACCTGGACGCTTGATGTTGAAACCGTGGTGCCTCCAGGATGCCCTGAGCGCCGTAGGAGAGCTCCACTTCCCAGCCACGCGGGCATCCAGGATTGCATTTACCGGGGCTGGAGGCGCCCCGCCACGCGGGCATCCAGGATTGCATTTACCGGGGCTGGAGCCGCCCCGCCACGCGGGCATCCAGGATTGCATTTACCGGGGCTGGAGCCGCCCCGCCACGCGGGCATCCAGGATTGCATTTACCGGGGCTGGAGCCGCCCCGCCACGCGGGCATCCAGGATTGCATTTACCGGGGCTGGAGCCGCCCCTGCCACGCGGGCATCCAGGATTGCATTTACCGGGGCTGGAGCCGCCCCGCCACGCGGGCATCCAGGATTGCATTTACCGGGGCTGGAGCCGCCCCCTGCCACGCGGGCATCCAGGATTGCATTTACCGGGGCTGGAGCTGCCCCTGCCATGCGGGCATCGAGGATTGCATTTACCGGGGCTGGAGCCGCCCCCTGCCACGTGGGCATCCAGGATTGCATTTACCGGGGCTGGAACCGCCCCGCCACGCGGACATCCAGGATTGCATTTACCGGGGCTGGAGCTGCCCCTGCCATGCGGGCATCGAGGATTGCATTTACCGGGGCTGGAGCCGCCCCCTGCCACGTGGGCATCCAGGATTGCATTTACCGGGACTGCAGCCGCCCCGCCACGCGGGCATCCAGGATTGCATTTACCGGGGCTGGAGCCGCCCCCTGCATGGAGCCTCGCACACCCTCAGGTTTCTCACCCCGGCTGGGGCAGCTGCATGGCCGCATTTCACAGGGAGAGTGTAAACTGCTGAGTTACAGGCAGAGCCCTGGGCTCAGGGGTGGGCGGAGGCCCTGACCAAGCCCAGGGCCATGGGGGCTACAAGGAGGCAAGGCCCCTAAAGTCAGGCAGGGCCAGCTAGCTGCCCGGCCATAGGAGTCTGTCCACACAGCGCATGACAAACAGAGTGCCCAAGGAGCCAGCTGGTCTTAGCCTGGCAGAGGTGCCAGATAATCCAGCACTGGAGGCTGTGGCTGTGGAAGGCTGGCCTCTGACCCTCATGCCCCCAGGCCCAGCACTTGGGACAAGCAGCTGAGACCTAGGGGCCTGCGGTGAGGAGGTCCCTGGGTGTCCTGTGTGGACCCAGGCTCAGGGGCAAGGCCAGGCAGCTGGGACCCTTCCCACTCCCCGCTCTGTCTCTCTCCACCTCAGTTTCCAGACAAAGGCCTTCTCTGGGCTCTATGTCCCACGGCTGGAAGGGAACGCCCTCACCTTGAGGGCTCCAGCCTGCTTTTTCTGAATCCCAGGGTCCTGGCTGGGAACGCTCAGATGTTGAGACCTGAGCCTGTGGCCAGGAGTGGTGGCAAAAGGGTCCTGTGGGCCCCCAGCCCAGCTCCAGCCCAAGCGGGGGACCAATGCCTGTGCTCACCTAGGGGTCCTGGTGGGACCGAGGCCACCACCACCCATAGCCCCTCCCCCACCACCCCAGGGGCTCTAAAGATGCAAACCTCCAAGGTGTAGATAAGAGAGACCCAAGTCCTGCAGCCAGGAGGGGCAGCCTCTCCCTGCAGGAGCCAAAGAAGGGCAGAGGGGCAGCCAGCCCTCCCTGCCTTGCAGCAGGGAGCAGACATCCCTGGAAGGGGCAGGGGCCAAATGTCATGTGCAGGGTCCAGGCTGCCCCTTCTGGGGGAGGAAGTAGGGCCTCCTGGGTGTTCTCCTCCCACATTGACCAGTGCCTGCTGCCCCTGGGTCTTTGAAGCTTCAGAAGTTCCCTAGAGTGGAAGAGCAGACCAGGGGCCTGCCATCCTTGCGTGCTCACCACCTCCTCACAGGGCCTAGGGGCAGGGGAACTTGGCTGGCTGCCCATGAGCCCCTGGCCGAAGACCCCAAGCCCTGCAGAGGAGGAGGCTGATGCTGCATCTGGGGTCCCACTGCCTTTTCCCTCCTGTGCTTGTCGCCCGGCCCCTGCTACAGGGCTCAGGTGGGAACACCTCTGCGTGGAGGGAGACCCACCAGTGTGGCCACGGGCAAGGCCCCTGATAAGGTCACAGGTGGGGAGGACCAGGGCTGCTGAGACTGAGGCCCAAGCCCCCTGCCTAGGCCCCCAGAGATTCCTGGGTGCGCTGGCAGGGAGGGGGTCAGCTTGGAAATCTGCAGGTGGGCAAGCTCTCTGGTGTCCCGATGCCCGCCGGAGTCTGAACGCAGCCCCTGCAGGTGCCAGATGGGTGTCTGTCGACAAATTCACAAGTACCTGCCTGCAGCGAGTTCCCACCTGCAGCTTCCCCACGCTGTTTTTGTTTGGTGCTTCCAGAAATCATTTCATCCTCCTCACCCACACTGGTGCCCACCCTGTGCCAGGGCTGGGGGCTTGGGTGAAGGAAGCCCAGTCCCAGTGCCCACAGCCCAGCAGGAGGAGACAGACACATTAGCAAGGCCTGCGGGCAGGTCAGGAGCTGGGCGGGTCCACGGTGAGCCCCAGAGCTGCTGGCAGAAGCGAGGATGGCCTTCCAGGGGAGGGAACGGCACAGGCAAAGGCCCTGGGGCAGGACAGCACGGATGTGTCCATGGAACATGGGACAGCCACGGCCTTCACAGCTGCTATGCCTGTGGTGTCGGCTCTAGTTCCAGGGCAAAGGATGGAAAGAAGGCCGGGGCCCCGCTCCCACCCAGGAGTCAGGACCCCACTCCCTCCAGGGCACCGAGACCCCACTCCTGCCCGGTCACCAGACCCCACTCCCTCCAGGGTGCCAGGATCTCACTCAATCCAAGTCACCAGACCTCAATCCCTCCAGGGCACCGAGACCCCACTCCCACCCCAGGCGCCAGGACCCCACTCCTGCCTGGGGCTGCCCCTGCTGCTGTGCCTCCCCTGGTGGAGCGGTTTCTGGCTTTAAAAGTGTGCTCGTGAGCGCAGGGTGTTTTTCCTGAATGAAAACTCACAGAGTGCATGTGTCATGCTGATGTGACAAACCCGGGCGCTGTTCTCCTGGGTATCACACCCTACGACTCCAAGGCTGGCCCGGCACAGGGGCTCCCCTTGAGGTGGGCAGGTTTCCAGGCATTTGGAAGTAGACATGGGAAGGAAGGAGCGACGGGGTGGGAGGGATCTGCCTGCCAGCCCACAGGGCTCAGGGGTCCTCAGAGGTGTCGCCCCTTCCATGCTCAAAATGGCTGGAAGAGGAGAGCCTCTCAGTATCCCCACCTTATAGATGAGGAGGCACAGAGAGGGGGAAATTTGCCGGTTCCCCAAAGAGCCTGCTGCCTCCACCTGCTGTGTTCGAAGCGGTGATTTTTCTCTTGAGGCCCCTGTGTCCTAGCATTTCTGAGCTCAAAGGAACCTGTGTCTGGCCAGCCCCTCCCATGCTGAGGACAGAGGTGAATGCTTGGGACAGCGAGAGGTGGCATCACTGAAGAAGCCCCGTGGCTCCGGCTCCGTCTGCAGGATCCCTCCCAGGACGCAGTGGTGGGCCCAGGCCGGCCAGCGCTGGCTGAAGGAGCACTGTCCCCACAACCCAGGGAAACAACAGGGCTCCAGGGGGACGTGCAGGGAGTGGAAGAAACTCAAGCCGGGAGCTGTGGATCCAAAAATATTGCAGAGTTTCCCGAGGCAGGCCCTACGAGATCCCTGAAACGGGATACGCCGAGCTGAACTTGGCCACATAATGCCGCTCTGTTTGGGAAGGGCCCGGAGCACTGGGGGCCCGAGGTATCTTTCAAAGAGTGATGGTTACGGAAATTAGTGGTGCAGAAATCCATACTCATCATTCATCGGGGGCCTTATTAACCTTCTTACGATGTGATAGGAGCGGCTTGGCCTCCTGACTCCAGGGGCCTGGGAGAGGCCATCCTTGTCTCCGGCTTGGAGGAGAGATGCAGGAGGATCGCCCAGGCAGCACCGGCCCCACCCGCTTCCGGAATCCTTGGAGACACGAGTAGCAGTTTCCTGATGTGATACTTAGGTCATGAGGCAGGGCGTGGACCAGGACGATGCACAGCTGAGAGCAGCCCACACGGCCTCTCTCGGGGTGGCAATAACACTGCCTCAGAGACTGGAGAGAGCCAGGCCCAGGAGACCCCAGTCAGGGCGTTCCCAGGAACAGGGAACCCAGAGAGGCCTGGGCATCACACACACCTGCGCTCACAGTGGCCCCACCTGGACCCCTGGGGGACCCACCCTTCTTCCCCTTCTGCCCCTGTGTTGCTTCCTCTGCACCGCAGGGGCCAGGTAGCTGCCATGGAGTTGTCTGCAGGTTAAGGGAGGCCAAGGAAAGGCATCTGACCTTTGGAAGATACCCCAATAAACACCATCCGCTGTCATCACTGATCCAGCAGCTGAAACATGGAAGGGCCAGCTCCAGGGGCCCACAGGCCTCGCAGAACTCAGAGCTCCACACTCCTCCCGCCCCTGCCCATCCCCTCTTGAAGGGGCCTCACCAGGCCATGGGCTCCCTATTAAGTAATCACATCAATGTCCATTTTAAATAAGGTCTGAATGCTATGAAGCACCCGTGTTGGGTCAAGGCAGCTCTTGGCAGTGCGGGGGAGCTTGTTAGAAATGCAAGTCCCCTGAACCCCAGCACTGGGGGAGACGGGGGTTCTGTGTAAATGCCCGGCAAGAGAGCTGCATTCCAGTTTGAGACCCACTGGGTTGGACATAGCAGGTGAACGCTGGTCCCAACAGCTTCTCTCCTCGAAGGGAACAGTGCACCTCCCACTGCTCGAGACCAACCTGGGAGGCTCCCAGGGCCCCTCCTGGGCCTGTCTCCCCCCACACAGCAGGTGCCTTCTCCCGGGCTCCTTTGGGGCCTACCCGGTGCCTGGCACCCTCAAGATGCCTTTACATCTTGTGTTTTGGGCTTGGCCGCAGGACCCCGCAGGAAGGTGCATGGCCGCTTCAGCAAGGCTGGCGGAGAGGGCAGATTTTCTGGGCCCACAGGCCTTGGCAGGATGCTGGCCTCTCAAGGTTGCACTGACAACCTTGGGCACGTGACGGATTTATTGAGGGGAGAGCAGGTTGAGCTGTTCTGTCCAATGCCGTCGCCAGGAGGAACCTGCCGTGGCCCGGCCTCAAGTCCTGTTACTCAACACTTGTCTTATTATGCTGCAAAGCCAGAGCAGAGCCGAGGTGATAACGCGGGCACGGCAGGCCCGGGCTTTCCAAACCTGCTCATTTTTAGCCCCTGGGAATCAAAGTGGTGTCCGGCTCTGTCCCGCAGCCTTTGATCCTCCGCCCAGTGTCTCCAGCGAGAGAGAAGCAAAGAACACAGAGAGATAAACCACACTTGAGCCGTCGCTCTCCGCCTGGCTGCGCCTCTATCTGGGGCCGCAGCGTCCCCCGAGTGCTGAAAAGAGTTCTCCTGGTGAGCGGCACCGTGACCTTCATTCTTGACCGCGCTGTCCGGATGAGAGTGGCTTGTCCAGACGAGAGTGGCTTGTCCAGACGGAAGGGGAAAGGACGGTCTGCCTGCTCTCCTGAAGGGAAGGGCCAGATAGCGAGGGAACCCACCTCCCTTCCTGTGGGGTGGAGGTTTGGGGGTGGAGGTGGCCCCAGGAGACAGGGGTCACGGAATTGGCGCGAAGGGAAGAATGGGGAGCCCAGGCTGAATGTTCTCCACCAGCACATCGGTGGGGGCTCAGGAGGCCAGTCCCATTGCCAAGCGATGAAACTCTTGTATCTTCGAATGGCCTGGGTGGGTTTCCGGCAGCCAAGAAGCGTGAGCAGCCCTGTGGAAGGAGGGGAAGAGGCACTGGTCTTTTCCTGTTTGTCTTCTGTGGGTTGACCCTCACGGAGGCACTCCGCTCCGGGCATGACCTCGGACTCTTGAGGAGCCTCAGTTCGGCTGTCTTTCTGCAGTTAATTACTAGGACAAGGGAACACATCCAGGTGCCTTTCACAGGGACATCGCCCATGAGGGCAGGGACTGCACCCTATTGACCCTATATTCCACCCCAGCTCCTGGCACTTGGCCGGGGCTCAGACACGTGTTGAGTGAAAAACTGCACATTTGGGCAGAGTTACCAGCAATGAACCTGCCTCTGTAGAGGATCCTAAGTCGGGGCGAGGGGGCCCTCAGTGAAGCCTACAGAAAGCCAAGCAGCCCAGGGGTTCCCTCTCCACCTGAGAAGCAGCGAGACCCTGTCCAGGTCAGCGGGACCAGCACCGCATCCCAGGCCACCCGTGTGTCAGCACATAACCTTTGAAAACACCGTGAATGCCGGCTTTGATGATAATATGTGGGTAAAGGTTGTATTGCTATCTGGGTGATGATTCATCCGTCTGTGAACCGGGACAAGGAGGTAATAGGAAGGCGCGATGGCCAGGGGCAACGTTGGAACGCAAACTTATCAGAGGCAGTGAACTCCGCGCTGCACTAAATAGAATTCCATTATTGTTTCATAAATAGAGAGATTGAAGTACCCAGGCCAGGAACCGATGATCAGAGGGGAATGCGTTTGAGCTCCGCTCTGAATAGTATTTGTTCTGAGTAAGTGGTTGTCTCGGCTAATAGTAGGGTATTTCATTGTTAAGAGCTTGTTGAGCAGGATTTATGGGTGAGTCCAGCACGGCTGTTTGTGCAGGATGCTCAGTGGTCGCCAGGGGTCCGGGAGTCGGCAGCAATGTTGTTCCATCCTTTGTCGGCTTCTCCATCTCCTGGTGAACGTTGCCCCTTGGAGAGGCGATGGCGTGGCCCGGCCCCGGCAGGTGTCTGAGGGCCTGAAGGCACCCCCGTAATCCCAGCACACTCGTGGGTGCCGGCAGTGTGTGAGTGCGTGCGTGTTGTGTGTGCATCTGTGAACATATGACAGGATTCGGGTTTCTGGCTTCTCTAGAAGCCTGGGCTAGGCCATTCCCCTGCCTCACTGTGGCGGCTCCTTACTCCCCCGGGGGCCAGGCGTTCCTGCCATGTGCCCACCTGAGCCTTGGCAGTCAGAAATGATGGTACCTACCTAGAACCTGCCTACCAGGTAAACAGGCGAAACCTAGAACCTGCCTACCAGGTAAACAGGCGAAACCTAGAACCTGCCTACCAGGTAAACAGGCAAAATCTTGTCAGGTATAAAGAGCTTCTCTTGGGGGCAGAGTCTGCTGGCTAGGAATTGCTGTGGAGTGGGGGTGTATCCAGGCTGGAGGGCACCCCCGGACTTCTCCCCAGGGAGAAAACAGATTGAGCCCTTCTCTCCATCTTCTCACCAGCTGTGGTTTCAGAGGCACTTCCAGCAGTCCTGACCCCACCTCAGGGTTTTCTCTTCCAAAGGGGCTACAGGATTGAGGTAGGGAGGGGCCCCAAGAGCCTCTGACTTCCCCCCAGATCACCAGGTAAACCCATGGGTCAGTGTCCAGCCCCTCTGCCCCAACATCAGCAACACAGCCCTCCATTCCAGGGCCCCTGTGTGTCCCCTTCCTCCTCCCCCCAGGAACATCCCCGGAGCAGCCCGCGTTAGAACAGGATCCCGACGGATCCCGTGCTGCCTCCCCTTCAGCCAGCGCCATCCTCTGTCCCCCAGGCCTCGCGGGCTGGGCTGCGTTTGGTTGAGCATTGACAAAGTCACCTCCATTCTCCTCCAAGAAAAGCCCACGAGAGACTCAGAGGCAAGTGCTCATAAAGAATCAAACACAAACCAAGCCCAGGTCCTGATCACGGGCACGGCCAATGTTTTTGTTCTTATTTTCCCTTTTCTCTGATCACACGTACAAACCAGAACCAACCCCACGTGCCTTAAGAAACACAGACCCAGGGGAGAGGGGTAGACCCCACGGAAGTGGCCATCGGTGTCAGGCCCCGTCTCAGGGACATCTTCCCCCGCCTGGTCACTGCAGGCAGGCTATGGCAGGTTCTGGGGTGGTTCACCCCTGCACCCTCAGCCCCACTGGGCTTTCTTCGAGGTGCTCTCCTGCCTGTGGGCCCAAACTGTTATTTAAAAGCCACCTCTGCCTCCCAGGGCACCCAGGTTGTGGCCAGCCCGTCTGTACATTCTTGGCACTGCTGAGGTGAGATGCATGAGGTCCCTGCTCACAGAACGAGGAGCCAGGCCATTACAGCTACAGGGTATCCAGGAAAGGCATCAGGTGGCGGGCAGGACAGCTGGCTTGCAGGGTGAGCCCCTCCTGGCCTCACTTTCCCCTCTTTAAATGAGGGTGCAGCTCATCTGAGAATAGGTAGGAAGGTGCCAGTGCTGGGAGGGGACTGGGTGGCTCTCTGGGCTCCTCACCGCGGCTGGTCCCTCGGGACTTCCATGATGGGCTCACGGAGGTGCGACTTCCTCCCAGATCCCTCGAGGACCCCCTACAGCCCAAACCTCCAGGAGCACCAGCGTGTGGGGGCTGGGAAGAGAGTGTCCTTCAATGCAGGTGTGCAGGTAGCCATGCACATGTGCGGGGTGAACAAAAGGCCCCTTCACTGTCACCTCCCCGGGGGCCGTAACTCAGGAGCCGAGCGTCCTCCTCTCCCTCCCACCGGTAGCAGCAGACTTGACCGCCAGGCTCTGAGGCCTGCACACCACGCTCGCCCACAGTGGGCTTTGTTTAGTCTGGGGGAAGCTCCGTTGACAGGGTTTCTGGGCGATGGGCTCTTTTTTCTTCCGAATTCTTCCAGAATTCTGTAGGCTGAAGACACCACGCGTGCAGCCTGAGGGGAGAGTAAATAACCCTGTGAAGTGGGGAAGTTCCTGCCTCTCCGGAGGGCTGCCATGGGTCAAGCTGTGCATGGTGAGAACTGGGGTAACTGGGGCGTGACACCTCTGCCCCCACAAGAAGCCCACTGAGACAGGACCTGCCCTCCCCAATCAGAAGAGCTTGTGCAGTGGAATGTTCCAGAAGGCCTGGGTGGGGCTGGGCAGGAGGAAGAGCCTCAGCAACCGCACTCCCATCCTAAGCTGGGGACTTGCCCGAAAGGACAGCTGGAGCCATTTTCAAGCCTCAGCCTGGGCGGTCATCTGCTCAGATCCACTCCGAGGGTCTCACTTCCTTACGTTCCGGAACCGTACGGGTCATGGTGGAGCGTCCTGGGGAAGTGGCTGTCGGCTTGGTTAATGGGTCCCTGCTGGCTGTGAGGCACACGACCAGTGCCCTCTGGAGCTGCCGTCCAGCCCCAGTTCCCATCTGCAGGGACCCAGAGTCACATTCGCCTCCTAGAGAGGTGCTCAGAGTCGTTATGGTCCGAGAGGCAGCCAGGGAGCTGCAGAAATGGACATAAACCCGTCCATTCTCCTGCAAACACTTCTCCTTCCTCCACTCTGTGCGGAACTGGGGCCGGGGGCAGAGGTAGGAATGGGCACAGCCTGGCCTTCCGGAGCCTGTCACTCAGTGGAGGAGGCGAGAGGCTCCACCAGCCCTAACCCGGGGCCTCGTGTTGCTGTTTGATGTGCAGGAGAGGAGAGAGGCCAAGAGGGAGCCAGGAGTGGCTTCCAACAGGGGGACCTGGCCCAAAGCCAGGGGAGGCCGTGGGTGCCTGTGAGGGCAGGGTGGGCACATGCCAGAGGTTGCCATGGGGGTCGTGTGTGGACCAGGATGGGCAGCCTGGATGCAGAGAGGGGCTGAGTAGGAAAGGATATGGCCGGGAAGGAGGGCTGATTTGTTTTCAGAAGAATCTTTTCGTGGAACTCTCGTGTGCCATTGTTAAGTGCAGATGTTCCTGGACTTGGAATGGGGACAAGTCCCGATAAACCCACTGCGAGTTGAAAATATCCTAAGTCAAAAACGCAGTTCACACACCAAACCCACCGAGCAGCACGGCTTAGCCTCACCCACCTTAACGCGCTCAGACACTCATATCAGCCTACAGCTGGGCAAACTCATCTAACACAAAGCCTATTTCAGGGTAAAGTGTTGGCTGTCCCACATAATTTATTGAATACTGTACTGAAAGTAAAAACCATAATGGCTGCGTGGGCCCTCAGTGTGCGGTTTCCACTGAATGCGCGCAGATCTCAGACCTCGTGGGGTGTAGGAGCCCTAAGGGGAGCGGTCAGCCCTTGTCCTCTGTCCGCTTTCTGCCCAGTGGCCCCTCCAGGTCCCGGCGTCTCCTTGGACTCACATTACCAGCATTTCTGTCCATTTCGGGTGAGACCCGAAGCAGCGAGACCCTATCCAGGTCAACGTCTGGTGAGAGGAATTTTTTTTTTTTTTTTTTTTTTTGACAGAATCTCGCTCTGTCACCCAGGCTGGAGTGCAATGGCGCGATCTTGGCTCGCTGCAACCTCCACCTCCTGGGTTTAAGCAATTCTCCTACCTTAGCCTCCTGAGTAGCTGGGACCTCAGGTGCCAGCCACCACACATGGCTAATTTTTGTATCTTTAGTAGAGACGGGGTTTTGCCATGTTGGCTAGGCTGGTCTCAAACTCCTGACCTCAGGTGATCCACCCACCTCAGTCTCCAAAAACGGTGGGATTGCAGGTGCGAACCACTGCGCCCGGCCTGATGAGAGGATTTTTGAGGACTGAGGGTGGCTTTATAGCAGGCAGGTAGGGAGCTGGTGGTGGCAGAAGGGATAAGAGAGGGGGATGAGGCTCCTGGCATCAAAATGAAGCTGGCACCAGGCCGACTCCTGCCCACAACACCACAGTCTGGAGCGGCAGGAAACAGGGGACAGGGAGGGAGTCAGGGAAGGGCTGCCCGATGGCAGGAAGGGACCAAGAGAAGAAAAAAAGTCCAGGGTCCCACATTCCAGGAGTAAAAAGGGAATAGAAGCCCCAAAGGGAGGCACAGCCAGACTGTATGGCAAGCTCCGCAGGGGCCAGACTGCATGGCAAGCTCCACAGGGGCCAGACTGCATGGCAAGCTCCGCAGGAGCCAGCTCTGCAGGGGCCAGACTGCATGGCAAGCTCCGCAGGGGAAGGCTCTGCAGGGAACAGCACGTCACCCAAGGTACACTAAGGAAGCTGCTGAGAGTTCTGCAGCACCAGGGCGATGGAAGTTCCAAGTGTGGGCCATGCACTAGAGAAGGCTTCTGAGAGCCAAACCTCTGGGGCTTGGGAATACGTGTAAGTGACAGCATCTTCCACTCCTTAAATCAGTAGATTCCCGTCAGGCATTGATCAGAGACCCTGAGTGTGCAGGGGACACTTTCCTCCGCAAATGCACCTCGTGTTCGAGTCCTGCACCCCTCTCCTTCCCTGACCTACTCCCATGGTTCTGAGCACTCAGAGCCTGTCTGCCTCCTTGAAGGCCAGAACGCACCAGCAGAGGCTCGAGCAGCCTCGCTGTCGGGAGGAGGGAAGCGCTGCAGGGCTGGGTGCCTCTGACGGCCGACACCAGCCTGGGAAATGAGCTTCGTTGCTCGATGGAGGCACTGAAGCTTTCACTTTACTTAGTTTTAATTAAGTTACATTGAATCCCCACCCCCCGGCCCGGAGAGGGCAGCCCCGGATGATGCCTTTGTGTCCCCACAGCACATTGTGAGTCCTCAACAATTGTGCTAGCAGCTTGGTTGTGTGGTTCCCAATTCATATCAGACACCCTTCCAGTCTTAGCTAAAGAGACTCTCCTGCTTGTTCAGTGCCAACATTCTGGTGGCTGAGGTCTGAGGACACTGCCTGGCCCTTGGTTCCTGGGGGTTGGTGAAGAAATGGGCAAAGGAATCTCCTAGAAATGCCAGTTCTGGAGCTGTAGGAGTCGTAGACCAAGGGGCCGTAGACCAAGGGGCTGTCTCATGCTTCTCCAACCACGTTTGGCCAAAAAGAGCTTTTGTCTTTGGACTTTTGCTTTGCTGTAAGTCCCTTCCGTAGCTCCGATGAGCCTGGTCCCAGCAGAGTGCTCTGGCCTTCAGGCTGGGTCTCCTCCCGTCCAGCCAGGGCTGTCTGGATGTGAAGGGTCTGACCTACAGGATCCGTAAATGGACTTCCTGGAATTTTGTCCTCGGACCAGCACTACCACCAAAACGCACACAGCATTTCTCTCCTCTCCCTCAAGACACTGGCTCGGCCCTTGTTGGAGATGCTGTGCTGTGGCCGTGATGTTTCCGATCCCAGTCGTGGTGGCTCTGCCCTGGTTGAAGATGCTGTGCTGTGGCCATGATGTTTCAGATCCCAGTCGTGGTGGCTCTGCCCTGGTTGAAGATGCCGTGCTGTGGCCGTGATGTTTCAGATCCCAGTCGTGGTGGCTCTGCCCTTGTTGAAGATGCTATGCTGTGGCCATGATGTTTCAGATCCCAGTCGTGGTGACTCTGCCCTTGTTGAAGATGCTATGCTGTGGCTGTGATGTTTCAGATCCCAGTTGTGGTGACTCTGCCCTTGTTGAAGATGCTATGCTGTGGCCGTGATGTTTCCGATCCCAGTCGTGGTGACTCTGCCCTGGTTGAAGATGCTATGCTGTGGCTGTGATGTTTCAGATCCCAGTCGTGGTGACTCTGCCCTTGTTGAAGATGCTATGCTGTGGCCGTGATGTTTCCGATCCCAGTCGTGGTGACTCTGCCCTGGTTGAAGATGCCGTGCTGTGGCTGTGATGTTTCAGATCCCAGTCATGGTGACTCTGCCCTTGTTGAAGATGCTATGCTGTGGCCGTGATGTTTCCGATCCCAGTCGTGGTGACTCTGCCCTTGTTGAAGATGCTATGCTGTGGCCATGATGTTTCCGATCCCAGTCGTGGTGACTCTGCCCTGGTTGAAGATGCTATGCTGTGGCTGTGATGTTTCAGATCCCAGTCGTGGTGACTCTGCCCTTGTTGAAGATGCTATGCTGTGGCCGTGATGTTTCCAATCCCAGTCGTGGTGACTCTGCCCTGGTTGAAGATGCCGTGCTGTGGCTGTGATGTTTCAGATCCCAGTCATGGTGACTCTGCCCTTGTTGAAGATGCTATGCTGTGGCCGTGATGTTTCAGATCCCAGTCATGGTGGCTCTGCCCTTGTTGAAGATGCTATGCTGTGGCCGTGATGTTTCCGATCCCAGTCATGGTGACTCTGCCCTTGTTGAAGATGCTATGCTGTGGCTGTGATGTTTCAGATCCCAGTCGTGGTGACTCTGCCCTTGTTGAAGATGCTATGCTGTGGCCGTGATGTTTCAGATCCCAGTCGTGGTGACTCTGCCCTTGTTGAAGATGCTATGCTGTGGCAGTGATGTTTCCGATCCCAGTCGTGGTGGCTCTGCCCTTGTTGAAGATGCTATGCTGTGGCCATGATGTTTCCGATCCCAGTCGTGGTGACTCTGCCCTTGTTGAAGATGCTATGCTGTGGCCATGATGTTTCCGATCCCAGTCGTGGTGACTCTGCCCTGGTTGAAGATGCTATGCTGTGGCTGTGATGTTTCAGATCCCAGTCGTGGTGACTCTGCCCTTGTTGAAGATGCTATGCTGTGGCCGTGATGTTTCCAATCCCAGTCGTGGTGGCTCTGCCCTGGTTGAAGATGATGTGCTGTGGCCGTGATGTTTCCGATCCCAGTCATGGTTTTCCAGCCTCAGGAGCACATCTCCTCCTCCAGCAATTCTTCGTTCCCTGGAGCCTCGGAACCGCGGTGCAACTGGGGTGCGTTTGTGCCAGGGAAAATGGATTCTGCCGGTGTCTGACTCTACCAAGATCCACGCATCATTGTTAGCATTTCCTTTCATTTCTCTTTGTTATTATTTGTCTTTTCCACCTTGTACCATCCCCCCGAACCCCATTTATGTGTGTGAAGTCAGTTACTCTACCCATTGAGCAAGAGCTGAGCAACCGTGTATGGAAATATCTTCCTTCAACCGCTTAGATCCCAGACCCAGACTTTTGTCCTTCAGCACCACGAATGAAGACTTGCTATCACCCTCGCTGTGGTGTTATCTGTTTGCTTTTGGCACTTATCACCTGGAAGGCAGTCCCCGTTTTCTCGTCTCCACCAAGGGAGCTTGTCAAGTGCAAGGCTGCACTCCTTGACCCCACCAAACCTGACATGAAGTGAGGTTCAAGAAATGTTTGGGCCGGGCACAGTGGCTCATACCTGTAATCCCAACACTTTGGGAGGATAAAGAGGGCAGATTGCTTGAGTCCAGGAGTTTGAGACCCACCTGGGAAACCTAGCAAGACCCTGTCTCTACAAAAAAATTAAAAATTAGCTGGATGTGATGGCATGTACCTGTAGTCCTAGCTACTCAGGAGGCTGAGGTTGGAGGATTGCTTGAGTTCTGGAGGTCAAGGCTGCAGTGAGCTGTGATATTGCACCACTGCCCTCCAGCCTGGGCAACAGAGCAAGATCCCATCTCAAAAAAAAAAAAAAAAAGAAAAAAAAAAAGGAAGGAAGGAGGAAAAGAAAGCTTGCCAAACAAATGAATAAATGAAAAGCCAATAAATGCATTTGTAGTTGGGGATATGTGCTTTAGAGAAAAGGGGATGTTAGATTTGGTCATTTTAAGTGACTCCTTTATTAAACCCTTGGTTGTCTTTGTATTTTTAAAAGAAGACGTCTCGGTGACCCAGTGCTGAGGCTGACACCTCTGGCGGAGCCCAGCTTCCTTTAGCAAGGGCTCTGTAAGACCCAACTACAGACTGTGTCCAGGGCTCGAAAAACGTCCGGTGGGCAGGACAGGGGATAGAGAAGGTCTGGCCAGAAAACTGGATTTTGCTCTGTGTCTGTTGGCTTGTTACTAACCCCAAGCAAAGCCACTGTCCCAAGCTGGCCCAGACATCCAGGGTGTACCCAGGCACACAGGGGCACACACCACACCTGAGCCACATTCTGTGTTTTCCTGTGTGCTCCAGGCCTCCAGAGGAGCTCCCAGCCATTGGATTCTGTGGAAGTATCTCCTGACGCCCCCTGTTTGAGGCCCTTCCCGTGGAAATCCATCTGGCGCGTGTTGGTCACCGGGGGACTGCTGACTTAGCTCCAGCAGAATTTGGAGGGCCTTTTGGCTACATGAGAGTGCAGTTTGTTCTGTTGATATAAGTAGACGGTTCATTCTCATTATGCTCAGCTGCAGTTCTCTTCTATGCAGTTGCCAGGAATGCTGAATTAGCAGGTCCTAAACTGTTGCTCCTAGGAGAGATACTGTGTTAGGTTCCTGCAAGCTTCTGGTCACATTTTCATCTACTGGTCAATAAACAACCTTATTCTACATGTGGTTCTGCTTAGAAACCCCTTATCTAACACAGGCGTCTCCGAGATTTCCCGGGGTTGGTTCCAGATCATCACAATGAAGTAAATATTGCAACAAAGCCAGTGACGCAAATGTTTTGGTCTACCATACCGTAGTATGTGCAGTGTGCAATATATGGTGCCTAAAAACAGTGTAGATACTTTAATTTACAAGTACTTTGTTGCCAAAAAAAAGGTGACGGTGGCATGCAGTAAGCACCTGCTGTTAGAAGAATGGCACCAGTAGACTTGTTGGATTCAGGGTTGCCCCAAAGTATCCATTGTTGCCACAAAGTATCCATTTGTTAAAAAAAAAATGCAATATTGCAAAGCACAGTAAAGAGAAGCTCAATGAAATGAGGTGTGCCTGGATACATTGTCGAGCCATCCTCACTGTAACTCAGCCTGAACCAAGCTGCCCTAAGACATGTAATTCTACATCAGGCACCTTGCAGCCTCTCTGTGCCTGGGAACTGCAGACAACACTTTAGCACTGTGCGTGGGGCCATTTTAAACAGTGAAATCGGCCACAAAAAAACCAAACGTGGAAAACATGGCACTAAGTAGACTAGAAAGAACACCTGGTCACAGTGCGAGAGCTGAGACAAGAGGGTGGAGAAGACCCCAGCTGGGAGCACACATGCCAGACAACCCGGGTCCTTCACCCCTCGGTGCAAGTCCAGGAATGGCCTTGGGTGCACTTCATGTATTGATTTGGGGGTCACAAAGACATCTTAGCAAGTAGGCAAATTCAGGAATATAAAATCTGGGTATAATGAGGCTCAACTGTATAAATAAAAACCTATATAATATATATCAGTTTTATTGATATATACACTTATATATATCAGCTTTATAATACATATATGTCAGTTTTACTGAGACGTAATTCACATACCATATAATTTTCCCTTTGGAAGTGTTAGTTTTTGGTCACAGAGTGGCACACCACACCACTGTCTAATCTTAGAGCATTTCCATCCCCCCAGAAAGAAACCTCTGACCATTAGCAGCCCCTCCCAGTTTCTCCTCTCCCCCCAGCCCCTGGTAATCATGAATGTCCTCTCTGTCTCTGTGGATTTGCCTCTTCCAGACATTTCCTGTAAGTGGGACTATACAATGTGCCATCCTCAGGACCTGGCTTCTCTGCTCAGCATAGGGTTTCTGAGGTTTTGCCACGGTGAACACGCGTCAGTCTCCCACTCCTTTTTATGGCCCAATAATATTCCATTGCATGAAACCCACATTTTCTGTCTGCGTCCAAATGTCCACTAATGGACATTTGGTTGCCTTTCGCCGTTGGGAAGAGTGCCGTGGTGACCGTCCCAAGACAAGTGTTTGTGTCGAGAGACATCTTCATTACTCTTGGCCGTATTCTTAGGAATGGCATTACCAGGTCATCCAATGGCTTTGTTTAACTTTTTGAGGAACTGTCAGACTGTTCTCCATGGCGGCTGCACCGGTTCACATTCCCACCAGTAGTGTGAGGGTCCTAACTTCCCCACATCCTTGCAGACGCCCGCCTGTCTTTCGGACCGCAGCCATCCTGTGGGGTGCGGTGCATCTCACTGGGACTCTGTGCCTTCTGAGGGATGTGCTGGGGAGCGCAGGAGGCCGTGGGCTCTTTAATCCTTGGGGACAGTGACATGAGACCCCAGCCAAGCCCTGGTGTGCATGCTGGGGAGTGCAGGAGGCTGTGGGCTCTTTAATCCTTGGGGACAGTGACACAGGACCCCAGCCAAGCCCTGGTGTGCCTTCTGAGGGATGTGCTGGGGAGCGCAGGAGGCCATGGGCTCTTTAATCCTTGGGGACAGTGACATGGGACCCCAGCCAAGCCCTGGTGTGCATGCTGGGGAGTGCAGGAGGCTGTGGGCTCTTTAATCCTTGGGGACAGTGACACAGGACCCCAGCCAAGCCCTGGTGTGCCTTCTGAGGGATGTGCTGGGGAGCGCAGGAGGCCGTGGGCTCTTTAATCCTTGGGAACAGTGACACGGGACCCCAGCCAAGCCCTGGTGTGCCTTCTGAGGGATGTGCTGGGGAGCGCAGGAGGCTGTGGGCTCTTTAATCCTTGGGGACAGTGACACAGGACCCCAGCCAAGCCCTGCAGTCCTGGTTGGTCATATCTGTGTGAGCAACGCTGCCTCTGAGAGAGTGGGGAGAATAGAAGGCAATCTTCCAGTCAGCTTTCCCTTAACAAGTGATCTCTATTCGCTGAAACCACATTTGCAGCCTCAGACAAATGCCTGCCCCGTTTTATACGAACAATGAAAGCCTGCATTGCATCCTTGGCGTCACGGAGCTACTGCCCTCAGCTGCCTGTCCACACGAGGAGCACAGCCTGGAGCACATTGCGTTGTTGGTGTCACGGAGCCACTGGCCTCAACTGCATGTCCACACGAGGAGCACGGCCTGGAGTGCATTGCTTTATGTCCCCACATAGGTTTTTTGTGTGCATTGATGACAGCGCAAATAAGGGAGGGCAGTGTCGGTGTCTCTGTGAGCACGTCTGATGGCTCCCAACAGACACTCGCTGTCCCCTTCGCTCCCTGCAGGGGCCAATGCTCTGGAATTCTCTAGATACAGCAGGAGGTGGTCTCAGGACACCGTGCCGCCCCTGTGGCCTCCTCCTCCTCAGCCCTAGCACCACAGTTGTGGAGGAGCCCAAGGAGGTGGCCTCCCAGGTGGACCCTATTCCTTCATAGCCTGCCCTCCGCTGCCACCCAGGACTGGGGGCCCATGTCCCTGGTGCCCGGCGTCTGTGTCCCCAGCTGAAGCTGGACAGTGCTCTGCCCTCCTGTGCACTTCTGACCAATCGAGTGAACTGTGTTGAGAAACGGATGATGGGTGGTTGAGAAACACACATGTGCAGTGCTCCCAGCCGGAAAGCCTGTGTAGTGCTCCAGGCCGGAAAGCCTACAGGTGCCAGCAGGGGAAGCTGGCACCTGCCCTCCAAGCAGCAGTGAAATGATGTGGTCCTTTTGTTCAAGAACATTTCCATGAAGATTTACAAAGGACCTGTCCCAGAAGAGGTTCCCACAGACACTGAAATAACAAAATGTCAGCCGCATCTCCGCAGGCCCCCGGGAACCACACGTGCAGAGTCCGGCACATGCAGGGACCTGATGGGACGGGGACCTGCAGTTGCCCCGCAGCCCCTGCCCGTGCAGGGGGCCCAGGTGCCCAGGCCCCGCCTCGCTGTGCTGCCTCCAGCTGGTGTTTATTTTCAGACACCTAGGGCCCGATCCATGGTTACTGCCCAGCTCCATGTTAGGTGTAAGCGGATGCTCCTTTGGTGACCATTTCCCATCTGTTTGCCCACTCGTCCACAGCCTCCCACATGCAGGTAATGATGTTGGCTGAAACTTGTTATTCGAATGGAAGTTGATCAGTTGATAAAATCCTTCGTGGAGTCAACATAGCTGAATGCTTCAGCTGTCAAAGGCCCCCTGGCAGGGCAGAAAGCGCCCCGTGGAAAACGGTGGGGAATTGTGGAGCAGGCAGGACTGCCAGGCCCAGCTCCGCGACTTTTGCAAGTTTGGGATCCACATCACATGCATGCCTCATCTCCACAGACTGCTGGCAGCTTCGCCTATCAGAACAGGACTGAGATCCAGGATGCGAGAAGGGAACCCTTCCGGGTGATGCCCGTGCTGCTTTTCTGCCCATTTATTTGCTGATTCACTCATTGACTTAACACTTTGCCACTAGCCACCTATGCCAGGCACTGGCCTGGGCCCCAGTGACACTCTCTGCATCCTCCTCAAGGTCACGTGCTGGGTACAGTCCCAAGCTCGAGGCATCCTTGGCACAGCACTCCATCTCTGCTGGGATGAGACAGCCTTTCTCAGAGACCACTTCCCTCCAGGTTGTGAACGGTTCTAACCATTCAGCTCTCTGATCTCTGCAGCTCCAGCACATCACAAGCAAGGGGGAAGTACTCACTGGGGGAGTTAGCCAAGGGCCATCAGGGCCACATGTCCTGACAGCAAAGAGATGGGACCTGCCACACAAGCCAGCTCCAAAGACCGCTGGGCCATCTGCAGTGGGCAGTTCAGTGCTGGGGACATCACAGCATCACTGCACATAATCAGTGATAATGACACCCACATTGCAGGTATTTCTCTTATTTAAGGAGGCCAAGACACAGGGTGCACATGTTAGAAATTTTCCATATAAAAAAGCAAGGGGCTGAAAGGAGTGCACCCCTCTCAACAGGAAGACTTGATCGTCTGGAAGAACTCAGGTGCTGACAGGTTCTGGAAGGACGAACTTCATTTACACCTGGACACAGCCACGTGGACACAGACAGACTTTTGTCTTATAGATGGAAGTTGTCCCTCAAAATCTACTACCTCGTAGCTTCTCCTGCAGACAGATTTGGGCCATTTAGGAGAAATTTTAAGTATTCCAGAAAAATAGAAACCCTGAAAAATGTTTGCATTGTGCAATAATTGCATTTTAAAAACAGCTTTATTGAGATGTGATTCACACGCAAACAATGCACCCCATTAAAACGTACAATTCAGTGGTTTTCAGCCACAGACTTGTGCAACCATCACAATAAATTTTAGTACATTTTTATCACTGAAAAAAGAAACCACACACCTATTAGTACTCACTCCGCACTCTCCCCATGTCCCCCTGCCCCCAGCCACTGCAACCACCAACCCACTTTCTGTCTCTGTGGATTTGCCTAGTCTGGAAATTCAAATGAATGGATTCAGACAGCCCATGACCTTTTGTGACTGGCTCCTTCCACTCAGTCCCGTGGTTCCCAGGTTCGCCCACTTTGTGGCCTGTGCCGCTACCTCACTCGTTCTTATGGCTGAGTAATATTGTGTCGTATGGAGGGGCCACATTGTGCTTATCCATCCATCCACTGATGGGCATTTGGGCTGTTTCTGCTTTTTGATGTTATGAATCATGCTGCTATGAATGTGTATTTTCAAGCTTTTGTGAAGACGTAAGTTTCTATTTCTCTTGGGGACTTCCTTGAAAATGGAACTGCTGGGTCATGGGACTCCTGCTTTCCATTTCGAGGAACTGCTGGACTATTTTCCATAGTGGCTGCACCATGTCACCTCCCCACCAGCAGTGTCTGGCAGGTCCCCATTTCTCCACATCATCACCGACGCTTGGCATGGTCCTAGCTGTGTTTTGGTCTCCTTCGCCTGCCTGTGTTTGTGATGAATGCTTGATCCTTCATACGTGTCATCTTCCGGTTTCAGATAAATCTGGGTGTCCTCTTAGATGTTTCAGTTTCAATAATAATGAGGGAGAAAATTCAAAATTAAACAACCAAAGAACATTGTAAATTTTCGTTCCTGTCCCCAGACACCTCCCAGCAGGCTTCAGGGATGAGAGGTTGGTCAGGGTGCAGGTGACTAACGTTCTCAGTCATGGAAGAGCGCACAGTGTGCAAGGCTGAACGTGGCCTGCTTCCACGATATTTGTGTCTACAAGTTGGCATTTGCAATGCAGTCATATTTTTCAGGGCTCCATGAGCTTACCCCTTAAAGCTCAAGGATTTTACAGCCATCTCTCCCTGTGTCCCTGTTTCTGCAGGGATCCTGGTAGTAGCCCTCCTTGATCTGAGCCTCGCTTCCCAGCTGACTCCATCCTCCACTTATAATCTTGCTGGAGAACATACCAAGGCCACGTACATTCACAGCAAGAGCGGCTCAGCCTGTGAGAGTTGGTAAAGGAAAGGGGTCCCTGCCGCGTGGCCCCCAAGACTGCCTTTGCCAGGTGTGTTCTCACAGAGCTGTGTTTCAAAGGCAGCATGCTGTCACCTGGGGACAGGTGTTTTTTTAGTCCCACGGTAGACACCTTATAAAGGCCCAAGGGCTCCTGAGCACTGGGAACACTGTCTTTGGTGGGCACTGCTCAGCTTTGGATCATGGTCCTGGCTCTGTAGTCTGACTGGGTGACCCTTTCCAAGGACGGGGCAGTGATGAAACCTCTCTCAAGGGGAAATCAGACACCAGTGTCTGGCATGTGACCTCCCCGTGATGCTGGCAGCATCCTCCCTCCTCCAACCCAGTGCTGCCCCGCTGGAGACTCCACGCCACAGCGTCAGGCCGTGCGGGGGCGACCCACTGTCCTGGATTGCCAGGGCTGCCGAGGGGGCTCTTCTTGTTGCCACTGAAAGCACCACATCCCAGAAAGAATCTTGGTCCCCTGCAAACCGGGATGGTCACCGGGTCACCTACAGACTTGGCAGCACCCACAGTCCAGGCCCCTCTGATGGCCTTGGGTTCCTCCTGCTCCTTCCCCTAGGAGGTCAGGAACGTGGGGCATGGAGCATCTCGGGGAGTCAGCTGGGGGAGGGATTCTTCCCGTCCGGTTGAGGAGGCCATTTCGGTGATGCCAGTGATGGCCACTCATCTTCTCAGGCTTGCGAATGCGTTTCCTCGTGCCTGGTTTGCTTAGACAGTGGTGCGCCTCCGGCTTGCAAGCCTCCAGCCTGAGGGCAGCTCTGCCATGTCTTCTTGCTACTCTGAGAAAGAAGCAAACACTGGGTTCTGGGTTTCGCCCAGTGAGGGGACAGCTCCAGTTCTGGGGTCCAGACGGCTGCTTTGCCTTCCAGTGTTGTGGGCTGCGTGACTTTGGCAGCTTAGTGCCTCAGTTTCCTCTCCCAACGTGGTCATGATAGTGGTCCCCGGGTAATGCAATGTAATGTAATTCGCCATGATGGTGCCCGGCTATCGGGGCCCTGGTGCGTGCCGGTGAGAGATGTGTGGGTGCCCTGCCTCTGGGATCTGGAGTCCGCCAGGCCCGGTGAACCCGACATTCCCTATGAGCTTAATTTTTCCCTGGCTCCTCCTTGGGAAAGGATGAGCAGCCCTAGCCCCTGGTATCCCCCAGTTCCTGTCCCTGTGGACCCAGCTCCTCACTCATTCCATCCCAGGTTTCCGACCCAAGGATGGATAGAAACTGAGGGCACCGGACCTTCTGCCCTCCCTCCCTTGTCCCTCCTCTGTTCCTAGTTTCTGTTCTGAGGGGGCTCTGCTTCCCGTCCTGCAGGCAGGGCTCCCAGGGTGCACCTCCTCTGGGCACAGCAGCCCCTGGCTTTCTGGGAACACTAATGGTGGAGGGGTCATGGGGAAAGAAACCTGATTCCGTCGTCAGGCGATATTCCCTGGTGCACTGAGGAGAAATTCTTCCCGGGATGCGAGACCTGAGCCTGTCCTTCCCTCCTGCTCCCGGTCAGGCCATGGGGCCTGAACACACTGCTCCATATGTGGGGAGCATTTCCAAGGCTTCATAGAGTTCTCAGCCCAGACAAGCACATGCCAGCTCTGTGGCACTGGACAATGCTCCTAACCTCTCTGTGCTCATTTCTCATCTGTAAAACACCAGAGAGATGGAATGAGGAGGCTGCTACAGGGCTGGCCAAGTGCTTGACCTGGAGAAGGTGCTGGAGCGGGGTAAGCTGAGCTGTCCTTGTCCTGGTTGTTTTCATATTCTGACACTTCCCGCATCCCTGCAGGACCAGCTCACCTTGGGAAAGGGGCCGAGACTTGAACACATGACTGTGACTCCAGAGGCCAGGGCTGCCCTGGGCTAGGAGCAGAGGGCTACAGCCACTGTCAGAGGGAGGACCTGAGAAAGGGAAGGGTGGGGGCCAGGGAGGGGACCCAGGGAGGAGGAGCGTGGCCCCCTTGAGGGAGTCCTTGAGGGAATCAACCACGGATTCTCTGAAAAGCCCCAGAGCAGCCTCTCCCCATGGCCAGCTCCAGGTTCACACAGGGGCCAGGCACACCCGCCCCATGCGAGCCTGACCCACAGTGAGAGGCCGCTTGGTGCCGAGCCTTACCCAGTGGGCATGCCTTCCTGGGTGCAGCACAGACACTTTATTGTAATCTTTTTCCCCAGTAGAATCCAAATTTTAAAACAAAAAGTCAACATGTGGCCACATACACACATCCCTGTCAGGTTGAGACAGGCCACGCCCTTCCTACCTCCACCTCCTCACCTGTACGATGGGTATCATGGTGGCAGCCACCTCCACAGCGGCTGCAGCTGTTAATGGAGATGACACCTGCCCGGCACACTCTGGGGCCCAAAGGCCGGATGCCTGCAGTGTGCACACACCTTTCCCCTCCCTCAGCCTTGGGAGTCGAGTGCCCCCCACCCATCTTCCTAAAGCGACCCGGTCACCGCCCCTGAAGCGCCCTCCCTCTGCTGAGCCCGGTGACCCTGAGCCGTCTTTCAACGGAAACCGTAGTCCCTGTGCCTCCTCTGAGCTCTGGCCCTGTTTCTGGCATCACAACCCACAGGGGCCCTCGGAGCTGCTGAGGGGTCTCAGCCAAGCTCCACTTGGGGAGGTTGGGCTCCCCAGGGACACAGCATCCGTGCCTGGGGAGAGAATGTTTGACCGAGCCGGGTTACTTGGTCCCCAAGTCCCTCCACCTGCCAAACCAGCAAGCACGTCTCAACCAGGGCCTCCTCTGGCCTCCACGCTACCTCTCCAGGCCTTCCTCCTCTGCCAACTCTTCATTTGGCCTCAGATGACATGGCCCTGGCGTGGAGTGTCCCTGTGTAGGAATATGTGTTTGCATGTATGGGTGTGTATGTGCATGCATGTCTGTGTGTGTGTATGTGTATGTGCATGTGTGTGCTGGTGTGGATTGTGCATATGTGTGCACATATAAGTGTGTGTGCATGTGTGGGCATGCGTGTGTGTGAGACATGTGGGCATGTGTGGGCACGTGTGCATGCATGTGAGTGTGCGTGTGTGTCTGTGAGACGTGTGGGTGTGTGTAGGCATGTGTGTGCGTGTGTGCGTGCGTATGTGTGTGTGTGTGTGAGCGCCAGCATGGTTGGTGGTGGTGGCAGGATGCAGGGAGTCCTCAGCTGAACCCGGCCCCAGGACTTCCCAGCTTCAGGGGTGCCTGTTGCCTGTGAGAGCAGTGAGGTGGGGAAGGGTTAACCCGCCGAGGGCTGATGGCCCAAGCTCTGTCCTGAGACGGAGCCGTCGCTTCCCACTAATAGAAACCAGAGCTCTCCTGCAGTGGCCGCGGCGCTGCCGCCACTCCGAGGCCGGGTCTTTGTTGTTGTTCCCGGTGGGCCTCGGCTCACTCTTTTGCCTTCTTTCACTTTTGGAAACAACCAGGACGAGCCAAGGCCAGAGTTGGGGAGAGGTTCTTGGGTGGGATCTTATTTCTTCCCAAAGTGCCTGGAAACCTGCCCGTGCATTGGTGCCCGCTCTGTCCTGTGCCCTCTGCTCCGAGGCACCAATCTGGCCCCGCCATGAAGCCCAGACCCAGCAGGCAAATCTCAGGGTAGCCTGGAGCTGCAGTAGGAGAAAGAGAAGAAATGATGAAGAATCCCCACAGGCCCAAAACCAGCCAGCGTGGTACGACTTTGCCATCATTTAATCCTTGGCCTGACCTAATCAACAGGGAAACCGAGGCACAGAGAGGCTCAGGAGCTCACCCAAGTGACACAGCCAGAAAAGGCGAGAGCTGGGTGAGCCCAGTTCTGCCCGACCCCGAAGGCACCCCCAAAGCTGATTTCACACCCAGGAGAGTGATCTGGGGTCCATCTGCCTCCTTCCCCAAGGAAGCTTGGGTTCGACATCTTTCTCAGAAGGCCCCAGATCTGAGACAGCCCTGCCTCCCAGATAGACCCAGAAGGCCAGATGCTCAGCCCACCCCACCCTGGGTCCAGAGGGGCTGCAAAGCTGCCAGTGCCTCACAGTCGCTCTACAGCTTTGCAGGTCAGCTCCCGGGGCCCCCGTCCAGAGTTCCAGACCAGCAGCATCCAGCCAGGTGCTCAGGGAGCCCCAAGAAAGCTGCTTGAGAAGGCTCTGGAGTGTCCAGCCCAGGAGTGCGGCTCATGGGCAGACTGTAGGGTTCACATCGCAGCCCGGCTGCTCCCCCATGCGACACCCTGCTCTCTGATCCTGACTCCCCCACCTTCCCACGTGTGAAATGGGATGTGCTGCTGGGTTTAAATGAGATCTGACTCCAAAGCACAGAGCTCGGCCTGGCCCATCTCGGGCCCTCAGTGGACATCCATGGCGCCGTCAGCATCCTCGCCCCACTGGGTTATTCCCACGCTCATCCTCTGAGGAGGAGCAGCCCAGCACTCAGCGGCCTGCAGGCTGGCGGGGTTGGTAGCAGCAGCCTCTCACTGGGCCGGTGACATGAGGATCACTGGGACAGGCACGGGTGTGGTGGGACCACAGGGCCCCGAGGGCAGCAGGCAGCCCCCAGCCTCCTCCGAGGTCTGTCCTGGAGGCTGGCCGCCCACCCGCCGGCTGCACCTCACAGCCGCTCCTCCCCAGCCTGCTGGTGTCTGACGTTGGCATCCCCTCTGTGGGATACATCAGGAGCCCATCCGGATCCGGGGCCGGCAGGTGGGGTTCCCGGGATGGGTTGGGAGTTCCCAGAAGTCCGGTGAGGGGCTTTCGGAAAGGGACCGTGCACCCTCCTGTGCAGAACCCGGCCTCGGCCAAGCTGCAGGCTCTGACGCTGGAATTGAAACTTACACAAATACTCCGCCGCTTTTCAGGCATGTTCCAAGGAGACATTTATGTTGGCTGAGGCGGTATTTTCCTTTTATTGCTGTTATGAGATTCAACATTTTTTCCAGAAATAACTTCTGAAAAGTGTGCCTAGATTTTGAACACTTGTGATCCTAACATGTGGTGAGAAAGGCTTTTCAAAACACACACGTGTGGACAGAGGTCCACACACGGATACGTGTGCACACACGGGTGCCTTGGGCGTGCGTCTTCCAAAAGGGGCGAGTACAGCTATCAACTTGTGACTTCCAGGAGGCCTGGGTTTGCCTACGAAGGGGCCGTGTTCCCAGTTGGCGTTCACACGTGGTGTACACACACAGGCACAGGCACCGTGTCCCAAGGCCATCTCCCAAGGGCACCCGCAGACACTGGGCAGCCTTCTCCGAAGCTGTCAGTGTCCTTCCTCGTGAGAGGATGATGAAGAGGATGTGGTTTCCGCCGCCTCATCCACAGGCCGGCTGCCCACGGAGCCTTAGACATCGAGGCCAGAGCGACTGTTGGAAAGGAATGTGAC
Source organism: Homo sapiens (assembly GCF_000001405.40). Lineage (NCBI taxonomy): Eukaryota > Metazoa > Chordata > Mammalia > Primates > Hominidae > Homo > Homo sapiens. Next base: position 3,313,250 of record NC_000001.11, read on the forward strand.
CGCGCTGTCTATGAAATGCCGCGGAGCTGGAGCCCCACTCGCCGTCACGATGAGTCAGCGCCGAGCGGTGAGTCAGAAGGGGAGAGCTGAGCTCCCAGACCGGAGGGCGGCACTTACCAGAAGCCTGTGTGCTGACCGGCCTGGTCTCCTTTGACGTCTCGAGCAGCTTGGCAGGGTGGGAAAAGTAGCCTGAGAGTGATCCCCGGGCAGTGTCCGAGGCTCTGCCGTCCCCACCCCCACAGGCATCCAGGGGAGAGAAACAACCTGGAAAGAGGAATTCAGATGTGAATGGAAACTTGTATCCAAAATTTGAAATAGTCCCTTTGGGCCTGCTCAAGAGTCCTTCCCTCCCAGCCCCTCACCTGCGCCTGCGAGGCCGTGCGGACCCCGCTCCACTCACCCCGCCTGGGGGCCAGAACCACCTCCCAGGGGCTTCCGCCAGTGCCGCAGTTGCTGACCCCAGGCAAACCTCGCCGCCTCCTGCCCCGGCGGGCCTGGGATTTGCGAATGTGTGAAGGCATTAGCTGCCAGTTGTAACTGGAACGCAGCCTAGAGGCCTCACTCCTCCAGCAGGAAGCCTTGTAGTGCAGCGAATCTGGACCCGGCCCAGCGTCCAGAGACAGGAAGCATTAATAGGAGCGAATGTGAACACTGTTCGCGCCCTGGCTGCGATTTATTGCCGATTGTGGGGAAAACATCAGTTGGTTGCAGAGTTTCATTCATCTGAATATGAAATGTAATTAGGGAGTCACCCAGTGTCAGACCCCAAGGAATAAGGTCCAGGCATGGGACCCTCGCCCCCGAATGCCGTCCTTCCCCACCGGGGGGGGGGGCGGGAACATAAAATGGACCCAAGTCACTGTCCCTTAAGGAGCGGACCGCCTGAGCCCTGGAGTGGCCCAGGGAGTCCTGAGTGCAGGGTTTCCAGGACCGTGACAAGGTTCTCCCACGTGGTGGGGGAGGACCGACCTTTAGGGACAGGACCGGTGTGTCTGGGTGGCAGTTTAGAGAGCTGGGACAGTCTGCATCACTCTGGGTGGCTCCTCTCAACCCTGGTGTGCCCTAGACTGTTTCTGAAATCGGTCCTGGAAAGGAGAGGGAGAGAGAGATGGTGTCTCTGTACCGAATCGGAAGGATTTGTTTTTGTGTAGCTAATGAGGTAGCAAAGACAGTCTGCAGGTCAGAGGAAGGCCACGATGAGGATGGGGACAAGGAGAGCTCCTGAAACCCTCCCACCTTACAAAGTCCCCCAGCCTCCCCACATAGTTATCCTGCTCCATCCAGGAGCAAACTTCATCTGCCAAATGTGTGTGAGCGTTCTCTCTCTCTCTCCTCTCTCTCCCCCCCTCCCTCCTTCTCTGTGTCAATGAAGGAAGGCTGGGGGTTTTTGTGTGTTGTTGTTGTTTCCCCTAATCGCCTTCGCCCCCGTAGCCAGTTTGTTCTCAGAAAAGTTCCTCCCCCTCCTCCTCATCTCCTGAGCTCTTTGATCTTCTAGTTCGGGTTCAGTTGCTTCGTTTTTTGCAATTACCAGCCTGGAGGGAGGATGCCCCTGACCCGCAGTCTGGCAGACAGATGGGACAGGAAACGGGGAGTTTATTTCAGCCTTCGCCCTATTCATCTTGGATAGATTACAACAGTAGCAGCTCCAAATGTCTTCATAGCCCATTTATGATAAAGTGATGGTAACATCACACAGGAAGAGAAATGTGCGGATTAGCCATATCCGGGGAAAGATGGATCGACTGAGAGCATGGCATCGCTCTGAACAAAGCCCCACCCTCCCTCCCCAGCCCCTGGGAAAGCCCCGCTCCTCGAAGGCCAGTGGGACCCAGAAACCCAACTGGGAGAGCAGCGAGACACTTGCTACCGCCTCTCTCTCTTTCTCCTCCTTTCTCCCCCGCTTCACTCCGTGTCTCCCCCTGCTTCCCTCCCACCCTCCCTCTCCCTCTCCCTCTCCCTACATTCTTTGCCTTTCCAAGTTTTTGAACGTCTACAGCGCAACTCCACAGCAGCCCAAATAAATCAAGCTGCCATGGTTACTTTGCAGAAGGCTGGGGGATTTATATTTGAATTTCAGGAAGAGGGGCAAATCCATCACCCTGGAATGCCGCATCTATAGATTTTAAAGTTTGCCTGAATTATTATTGGGAGGGGTGGGGGCTGGCAGTGAAAGGAGAGTTTGGAATCAAACCAAGGAGGGCCGGGTAGGAAGAGCTTCTTGCTGAAGGACATGGGCACATTTATAAGCCATCAATAAGAACCATTAAGACCTGCGGCTTTCTCTTTGTTCTTTCTGAGAGGAAACACTTGACAAGTTGTTGTTCTTTGTTGTACTTTTTTAATGAGCCAAGAGAACATGGCACAGCCTGGAGAGGAGGGGCCTGAGCGCTTTTGTCTTTTACATTTTTCATCTTTTTACTTTACATGAAAACTGACAAGAAACCCCTCCATGAAGGAAAGCCGATCTACCCAGGCTGGTTTCAAAGAGCTCCAATTTAGAGCATCCCCGGCGACTTCATTTCTAATCATGTTTTTACTTTGCTGGCCACCAATCGGAGACTCCCACAGGTCACTCTGGTTTGTATTGATTAGAGCCGGGCTCCGAGGTGAGGGGCCCGGGATGAATGAGGTGGGGGTGGCAAAGAGATGCGTTGCCCGAGTGGCGGTGGCCCTGCCTGCGGAAGGTATCTCAGGATTTGAATGACATCTCAGGGGACAGTATCAGGCTTCCAAATTCCTTTCATCCATCAGATGAGAGAACAAGCTGTGGCTTTCAGTTGGACAGGGGCTGGGCCTTTCTCCCGGAGTAAATGGGCTCAGGCCACACAGATAAAGAGCTTCTCCTGTTCCTTTTTAAACGTTTCAGGCAGGAATCGTCTGTCACTGACTGAGGGCGGGTGGGGGCGGGAGGGACCTTTCAGCTCTGATTAAAGTGGCAAGTCCAGGGCCACAGCGGAGCTCTGGAAAGTCTTCCCCATCCTTCTCTCCCGAGTCACTTACCAGGTTTACCTACACTGTGGGGGTAGGGGTGGGGGTGGGGGTGGGGGTGGGGTTGCCTTGCCTTCTGGAGGAAACCTGCCTTTTCATTTCTTAAGGCAGGATCTCGTCTAGCCTGCAAAAGCTACGGGACCCCCGGTCTCAGTTGCACACCCATCCAGCTTCCAGGGAAGAATGGGCACTTATGAAGTGCCAATGGTATACACTAAGTACTGGGAGGGATTCAGGACAGGGAGGACCTGGGAAGAGAACCTGAGTGGAAAACATAGCCGAGAAGACAGGACCTGTGTAGCCAAGAATCAGTGGCACAGAGTAACCAGGAAACATTGATACAGGGTAGACAGGAAACAGCGACACAGTGGAGCCAGGAAACAGTGACACAGGGTAGGCAGAAAACAGTGACACAGTGACACAGGGTAGACAGGAAACAGTGACACAGGGTAGACAGGAAACAGTGACATAGTGGAGCCAGGAAACAGTGACACGGTGTAGGCAGGAAACAGTGACTGCAGTGACACAGGGTAGACAGGAAACATTGACATGGTGTAACCAGGAAACAGTGACACAGGGTAGACAGGAAACAGTGACACAAAATAGGCAGGAAACAGTGACACAGTGGAGCCAGGAAGTAATGATACAATGTAGCCAGGAAGCCGATCAGAGTGTAGCTAAGAAGCATTGACAGGAGGTCGCCAGAAAACATTGACACAGTATAGCCAGGTTTCAGTGTCACAGGGTGGCCAGGAAGCAGTGACATGGGGTAGCCAGGAAGCAGTATCAGGGTAAGCAAGAAGCAGGGACTCAGTGTAGCCAGAAAACATTGACACAGTGTAGCCAAGAAGCAATGACATACGTAATGACAGCGCCCTACGTGGTCTCGAGGTTGTCCACAGACGCGCCCATCATCTGCTGTGGTTGGACAGTGTGACCAGTGTGAGGATGATTTCTTTCTTGCCGCTTGGTACGAGGGATGTTTGCATCTTTGCTGTCTGCTCCTATGACCTAAACAAGGGACCTTGGAGACCTTACTGTCTCTTACCTGGGAGAAGTGACAGGGAGGAGATGAGGGCAAGGACATTCCCAGCTGGGCCCTCACCGAGGCTGCAGCGAGCCCCAGCTGACAAGGACGGACTAACGAGTATGCCTTCTGTCCAGCAGCCGCTGCACGATGCTGGCTTCCTCACTAAGCAGGAGTGCGGGCGTGCCGTCAGGGTCCTGGTGTCCGGCATGAGGCCGTCGGAAGTCTCCAGGTCTGGGGATCTTTGGGTTTCTAGCAGCGCCCTCCTTCCATCCAGACCCCACTCCCTCTCAGTGCCTGACTTCTGAAAGCAAAGCCATCACGTGGGCCGGATCCCTCCTGCCTCTTGGCTCCGCCCGGGCCTCTGAGCGGCCCTGGCCTCCAGACACAACCGCTCCTGGGAAGCCGTCTGAGGGCAGCCATTGGGCGTGCGTGGGTGCCCCAGCCCGGAGCCTGCCCATGAGTGTCCCCTCCTCCTCCGGACACCACCAGCGCCGTGAGGATGCACATTTCTTATAGGATTACTCCCTTTTAATAGAGACCCAGAAAAGTTTCCAAAGGCAAAATGACAGGCTGGTTAACTTCATATCCCAACTCCAAAAAGATACATTTTCCTCTTTGTAATGCACTAGTTAGTGGTTACTGGCACATTACATTAACTAATTTGAGATCGAATTATCAAATTTGCTCATTGCTGCTAGCGCTAATTTGAAACCTCACAATAAAGAAGGGTTTGAGAGGCACATGAAAGGAAGCCACCCACGGCGGCTCCGAGGCCTGTCCCCGGAGCATCACAGCGAGCCTCGCAAAGGGTTCGGGGTAATTGCAGTCATGAGCCGGAGTTGATTGAAGAAAATTATACCCCAGTTTTTTACTGCAAGTTTTTTTTTGTGTGGCTTTCCTTAAATTGTGTGGTGAAATTCAATGACAAGGGAAGACACGTATAGGACTTTTAATAACTGTATTAAGAAGGTCTTCCGAGCTCCTTTCTGCTGTGTCCCATCGGGTTCTTAACCTACAGCTCCCTCCAACTTGTGACGATTCTTGAGGAGTTTGGGTGGTGTTGGTTGTTTTTCTTTTTTAAGAAAATTGTGATCTGGTTCAAATTCGCTTTTTTCCATGTCATTTCTGTTGTTATTCTTATTCTTCTACAATTTAAACCAGAAAATGTGGGAAAGGAAGCCTCAACACATCCTATCATCTGTTGATTGATTATCAATTGATTATTTTTCTACCATCTATTGATTGTTGATTATCTATCAATTGATTATCCATCTATCAATTAGCTATCTATTGATCATCTATCAGTCGATTGATCATCTATCACTCATCTGTCTATGTATCTATCAATTATCTATCTGTCTAATTTATTTTCCAACATGAGACACTGCTGTGTCCTTGTCAGACAAACCCTCATGACCTTTGAACTTTCCCTAAGGTAGCAAATCTCAGCAACCACATTTCCAAATTGCAAGTCACAGAAATGAACTTATCCCCCCAGCATCATCTGGATGACTAAGGCATGCCAAAAAGGAGGGCTTTTCCCCCTGCCTATTGAAAGATTTGTAACAATAAAAAGTAATAAAAACGCCAAAGGAGTTGAGCTTGCTGCCAGGACTCTCCCCACTTTCCTAGGAAAAGCGCAACTGTGAGTGTAAAATAAAGGCCCCTGAGCTCTGTAATTAATTCATTTACATTTTTAATGCTGCAAATGGCTACAAACATGGCGTGACATTTAGAGTGACATCCAGAAACTCCAGCCCAGTGAGTCCTGCTCAGACTGTCTGTGCAGGGGTTGTTGCTGAGTCAGGAGGAGAATTTTTTTTCAGAACCCAGGGAGCAAAAACACTTTTCAGAGGTCGTCTGGCATGAGTGGGGACTGCTGAGGCTGGAGGTCCAGCCAGCTCCAAAGGGTACAGCCCAGGGCTCCCTGCTGCCCGGCAGGGATGGGGAGCTAGGAGAGGGCTTTGATGTGAGGGATCATTGGGTCTAAAGTATGGGATCCTCCTCTCCCTTCTGAAGGTCAAGGGAGAGATTAGGAGCTGGCACCAAGGCTCAACATTGGAAGGGCAAAAAGGTCACTGTTTTATTCTGACGTCCTTGGGTATTTATTCCAAAATGTTTGGCCTTCTCCACCATGAGCGGGTCAGTGTTTGGGGCAGGGGGGCAGATATGCAGGGTGATGGGGAACATGCCTTGCCTCCTGGTCCGGTAGAGCTGAGAGAGAAGCCTGAGGCCATCAGACCAGGCTGGGGGCCAGGGGATTGAGAGGGGAGAGGCCCTCCCAGGCTGAGGCTGTGGATCAATATCTCACCAGTGGCCCCTGGCTTCAGGGATGGAAGGAGAGCGTGGAGGCGTCAGGCGCTCCTCTCTCCTCTAATCTACCCCTTTGCTGGCTGCTTGGGGAAATCGAAGCCTAGGGGTCCACTAACTTCCCCAGAAGGCTCAGCCCAGGTCTGCTGGCCTCCAATCTGGGGCTCTTTCCTCTGTGCCACCCAGCCACCCACACAGCCCTGGAAGCCATTGTTCACCAGCAGGTAGGCGCTCCTCCCATGGCTTTAGCCGGCTTCCCCAAAGAGTTTTGGTGCCTTTTCTGCCCATACTTGCAGGTAGTTAGACAAGCCAGGACCAGCCATGTTGGGCAAATTGGCCTTCCAGCCTCTGGGGCTCACAGCTGTGTCCCAGGGACGACTATTGTCATAGTCAGCCAGCCATTGGCTACACATGGTGGGTGACTCTGAAGAGAGCATTCCCTAGAAAACAGTGCCTGGGCCTGGTGGCCACACCTACCAGGTGTGGCCTCTTGAAGAGACTTACTTCCTTGTTCCTGGATATAGAACCGGGCAGGGTGTACACCTACGCCTGCCCTCTACTGTTTGTTAGCTGTATTGCAGCACCGAAATAAGAACACACATGTGCCAAATTATAAGACACACACAGTGGGCTGTGACAGGAAAAGAGACTGATGTCTGTGAAGGACCAAACCCTACAGGTTCCTAGGAATTTCACTGTGACGCATTGGGATTTTCATGGTCCAACTCAAGAGTAGATGTGTGTGTGTGTGCGTGTGTGTGTATGCACACGTGCACACACTGGTGTGAACATGCAGGTGTATGTGAGTGAGAATGTGGGGCTTGGTCTCTGCAAAGGCTGTGTGCCCAGGGTTGCCTCCCAGGTGCAGTCACAGGCAGCAGGTGGGGTGAAGGGCCTGTGTGCTGGCTGCCTCCCGGGTTCTTGGAGAACAGATCATTTCCCAGGTGACCCAGGTCACTGTTATTATCGTCTCAGGGCACAAAGTCTGCATCTGTCCCCCGGACACAGAGAGGGGCAGAGAGGAGGAATCAACAATGTGGACCTGCCTATTTAAGGAAAACTCTCACGCTGTTGGAAAGCCCAGTGCCTTCCTGCTGAACCCACCCCCTTGGCCCCGCACAAAGGTCCTCCTGAGATAAGGCCAAGTTCTTTGATCTCCATCGATCTCCAGGCAGAGGTGACTCAGAGGCCCTGCTCACACAGCCCAGCTGCTGCTGTGGCAGGAAGAGCTTCTGAGCTACACCTGCTCAGCTGGGGCTCCAGCCAAGTCCTCTGAGAGGAGCCTGGCTAGCTCAGGTCCTGGGGAGGATGGTGGTTTTGAGGGAGGGGGCTGGCACGCCCTCCCTGCCCACTTGATCCAGCCCCCAGCCAGGCACATGGCTGTCCCAAGCACCCGAGGGAGACGAAACGCGTGCCCTTCCTCATGGAGCCTGACTCGTGTCCTCTGCGAGGGATAGAGCCTGGACACTGTGGTTTGCCCTCATCACTTACCATGGGAGCTGCGTGGGTGTGATTTGTGCAAGACCAGGGGACTTTCACAAAGGAAGAGGAACAGAGGGATCGGAGAAGTTGGGAGAGGGGAATCTGAGGTGTGTGTGGAAGCTCCCTCAGAGATAACTTAACCCCGGGTGGGCTGATGGGGGAGCATGTGTGCACACACGCGTGGGGGTAAATATGCATGTGAATATTTATGTGTATGTGAGTGTGGCAGTACACATATGTGAGTGTGTCCATTTGTGTGTGGGTCCGTGTGTGTGTGTACATTTGTGTGTGGGTCTGTGTGTGACTATGTGCATTTGTGTGTGGGTCTCTGTGAGTGTGTGCATTTGTGAGTGTATGCATTTGTGTGTGGGTGCACATGTGTTTGTGTTTGTGGGGGGCACATGTGTGAAGGGTACATATGTGTGTTTGTGGGCATGCATGAGCCTGTATATTTGTGTGGGGGTGCATGTGTGTGTGTATGTACGTTTGTGTGTGAGTGCAAATGTGTGTGAGAGTGTTTGGAGGTCACGTTTCTGGGGGGTTGCACATGTATGTGAGGCCACACATATGTGTATGTATGTGTGATTGTGATGTGCCCAATGTGTGGGTGCACGTGTGTGTGTGGGTGCACGTGTGTGTGCTTTGTGTGGGTGTACATGTGTATGTGTGACGTACATGTGTGCGGTGTGCACAATGTGTGTTTGTGTATGTGTGCACGTGTGTGCTGTGCAAGTGTGCGTGCGTGTGTGTAGGTGCACATGTGTACATGTGTGCATTTGTGTGTGGGTCCGTGTGTGAGTGTGTGCATTTGTGTGTGGGTGCATATATGTGTTTGTGTTTGTAGGAGCACGTGTGTAAAGGGCACACATATGCGTGTATGTTTGGCATGCATGTATGTACATGAGACTGTATATTTGTGTGGGGGTGCATGTGTGTGTGAGTGCGTACGTTTGTGTGTGAGTGCAGATGTGTGTGAGAGTGTTTGGAGGTCGTGTGTGTGTGGGGAGTGCACGTGTGTGAGGCTGCACATATGTGTGCGGCTCTGTGTGATTGTGATATGCACAATGTGTGGGTGAACATGTTTGTGTGTGAGTGCACTGTGTGTGTGTGCTGTGCACACTGTGTGTGTGAGAGTGGGTGTGCACGTGTGTGTGTGAGCATGTGCACGTGTGTGTGTGGGTGGCAGTGGTTTTCTGTCAAAGCCGAGTGTATAGCAGTGGCCTGGGAGCTCAGAGCGAGGGGAAACAGGCCCGGAATAAACGGGCTGTTGATTGACTCGAGTTACATCATTTTCTTCCCCTCCGGAGCCTATAAATCTCACGCTCCTTGTAAAAACAGAATTTAAAAACAATTGAGCCTCCTGGGCCCCTCAGTTCCAGCTCCAGCTCCTGGGCCTCGGGAATGAACCAGTGAGTGCACCCCGGCTGGGGCTCTCACTCTCCCTAAGACCCAGGACCCCCACCCACCCCCACTCTGAGGCCAGTGGCGGAGAGGCCACCACTGTCTCAGGAGCTTCGTCCCTGCACGTCCGGTCTCCTCCCAGACCTGCGGCACCCAGTGTGGTGTAGGCCAGTGCCTGGCAGCCTCCAGTCCACAGGCCATGCTGGGGTCCTTAGAGCTGCTTCTCCCCCAGATGGCCACCCTTTAACGAGGCGCAGCGACCCGTCACCTAGAAATCCACATCCTTTGCTCCCTGCCCATCACTGTGCCTCTGCCACCAGCACCTCCTCAGTGCTCAGGACGCACCACCCTGTTCGTGCCCCAGGATGGGGACAGGGAGGGCAGTGGTGTCTTCTTTTCAGCAGGGGTTCATGGCCTTCTTACCTTTCTACCTTCTGGATGTGGTTCAGTGGACTGGGGCTCCCTGTGATCCGGCCTCTTCTAATCACGCTCTGGTCACTCTCTAGGCCCCAGTGCCCAGCAGGTCGATGTGGGTCCCTTTGGTCCTGGGCAGCCACCGGCTCTCTGGCCCGTGCTTCTGCGACACCCGAGCACAGAGCAGCCCGTTTCATGTTGCCTTTGTGCCTGTCGCTAGTGTACTGTGTGCACTTGGTGCGGGAAGCCATACGCTATTGTCACCTTTTCAAACGGGGTTTCAAAAGGGTCTCAGGACTTAGCCCTTGGGAATGGCAGGATCCACCCCACCCGTACCCTCAGGTCTCACCGGTACAGGTGGGGGCAGCCACGAGGTGGGGCAGGACACAGCGTTGCCATCACCAAGACGACGGTGAGAGTCCGACCTCCTGGGCTTGGAACAGCTTGGACAAACACCAGAGCACTCAGCCTGCACCACGTGGGGCGGGCGGCATTTGCAGTCTCACCTCCGCAGTGTGTGCCGCCAGAAGCGATGAGCGGAAGCTGTTCCAGGCGCCAACAGAAGCTGCCTGGCCCCTGCCTCAGGAAAGCGTCTTCCTCCCACAGCAGGCGTGGACGGCTCTCCTGGAAAGCCCAGGGAGGCCGGGGAGACAGCGGAGGGAGGAGGAAGTCCGTGAGGATCAGGGGCCCCGCCAGCTGCCGCCAGTGCCTGCTGGGTCCCAGGCCAGGGAACCCCCAGCTCCCGCCTGGAAACCCACGTGTGCAGTCATAAAAAGCACCGACAAAGGCGAGGGCCGGTGCTGGGAGCGGCCGCACTTCCCCGCAGGCCTGGCTTCCTTTAATCCTGAGCAGTAAAAGCTGCAAGGTCTCACATCCCAGAACCTCATAACAAAGAGGGCTTTTCCCCGAGTATTTACAACTCCTGGCCGTGGCCTGTGACAATGTGACGGCTTATGTAATGATGTCAAAGAGGCCTGTTCAGCTTAGAGACCCCCCAGGGGCTCCCCCGGCTCTGCACGGGCCTCATCTCCTTACTCCACCAACATTGCGGGCAGCGGACGGGGCTGGTGAAGGGGTTGCTGCTGAGGCACCAGGAGAAGCTTCAACTTTGGGAAAAGGAAAGAAAGAGCTTGCAGGGGTGGGGGCTGCCACCCTCCCTCCGTCTGGGTTGGGAGGAGGATCTACCAGCAGCAGGGCCAGCCCCTCCTGGACACTCCTGCCAGCCAGAGGAGAGAGTCCTGGTGTAGCCTTGATGCCGCCAAGAGGGAGCATGGGGCCTCCAGGGGTCTCCGTCTCTCCCTCCGTCTCTCCCCAGCCACTCTACAAAGTGGGTGCGGAGCAGGACTCCCACAGTGGGGCCTGGGGCACTAGGAGCCCCAAGGAGGGGGCTCCGCCTGCAGGGTCGCCCCCAGCCTGCCGGGCTCACTCTCCTCCTCTCTGAGGCCACCTTTGCCACCCTGCCCCGCCTGCCAGTCCTGGCCATCTTGACAGGCCCTCAAAAGACTTCCTAAACCCTATAGCCACTCCCAGACAATCTCTCCACACTCCCCGCGATGCTCCTGGCTGGGCTCAGGGTCCTCGGACACAGACCTGGCAGCTCACTCGCTCATGCCCTCATTCCTGGCCAAAAGACTGTACCTGACATGAAGCCTCATTCACAGGGACGGAAGCCAGCAGGTTCCCCTGTGACAACATCCGAACAGCCGAGCGACCTGGCACCCTCCCTGGATGCTGGCCTCTGAACTGGATGCATGGCCCCCACCCAAGCACTGAGGCCCTGGCATGATCCTGCGGGCACAGGCAGGCTCCGACTCCATGGGGTCAGGATCTAAAGCACAGATGTCCCCCCTGATTCCGTCGTCACCCCCCCTTGATTCCGTCATCACCCCCCTACCTGCCCAGCCTTGGTTCTCAAACTCGGCGAGTGAGCAGATCAGCTGTGGGACTCGGCGGGTCGTGGGCAGCACATCTGACCCTCCCTTGTGCTGATGTGACACAGAACCCTGCCCTGGGCCAGAGTCCCTGAGGGTCCAGGCCAGCGGACGCCCCTGGTGGTGCTGGAGAAAATACTGATGTCCTGGGGGGAGGATGCACGCGAGGGGCTGAGCAGAGCTCTGGTCACCTGGTAGCGCACAGTTTCTGGCCCCTACATGTGGCCTCTGAACTCCGCCAACCACCTCTCCCCCAGCCCAGAGCTGGCTCAGCCTCTTCCAGGCCCCACTGCCTCTTTAATTACTGAAAATGCGTCCTTTGGAGGGGTGACCCCCAAACCCCCAGGTCCTTCTGAGGGACACAGGGAGTGTCCCCAAGGAAATCTCTCATGCCTGTGAGCTGCAGCCCCTCTTCTAATGAGCAGCCTGCCAGGGAGGAGTGACTTGGGTAAGCTGCTCAGCTGGGGTAGGTGGCCGGGCTCCCAGGAGGTGTTAGCCGGCCCCAGGGTACGCACAGCTGCAGAGAGCCAGCTCAGGCCTGAGCATCAGCTCTCTCTGGGAGATGAACGCAGGGGATGCCCTTCCTGGGAATGGACCGAGTCCTTGTGGCAGAGGCTGAGGGCTGGCCATGCCCCCAGAGTAGAGGCACACACAAGTCCCACTAGATGGTCCCACCTGAAGCCCTGACCACCGGCCAGATGGGTGTCCCAGCAGGGGTGCCCTGGGCGGCTCTCAGGGACTGTGTTTATTTCCTGGAGCTGCTGTAACAAAGTACCAGAAACTAGGTGGCTTCAAACCACACACTGTGTGCTCTCACAGTTCTACAGACCCGAAGCCTGAGATCCAGGGGAGGTCAGGGTTGGCTCCTTCTGAGGCTCTGAGGGAGACTCTGTCCCCAGCCTCTCCAGGTCTGGTGTTGCTGGCCATCCTTGGCCCTCCTTGGACTTCCTTGGCGATTCTCAGTGATCCTCTACCATCCTTGGCGATCCTTGGCCATCCTTGGTCCTCTTTGGCCATCTTTGATGATCCTTGGCCCTCCTTGGCCTTCCTTAGCGGTTCTCAGTGAGCCATGACCATTCTTGGCCATCCTTGGCCCTCTTGGCCCTCCTTGGCCCTCCTCGGCCCTCTTGGCCCTCCTTGGCCATCCTCGACGATCCTTGGTCCTCCTTGGCCATCCTCGACCATCCTTGGCCCCCCTTGGCCATCCTCGACCATCCTTGGCCCTCCTTGGCCATCCTCGGCCCTCTTGGCCCCCCTTGGCCATCCTCGACCATCCTTGGCCCCCCTTGGCCATCCTCGACCATCCTTGGCCCTCGTTGGCCATCCTCGACCATCCTTGGCCCTCGTTGGCCATCCTCGACCATCCTTGGCCCTCCTTGGCCATCCTCGACCATCCTTGGCCCTCCTTGGCCATTCTTGGCTTCTAGACACATCACCTCCATCCCCGCCTCTGTCTTCACATGAGCACTTCCCTGTGTGTCTTCTTATAAAGACACCCTACTTCCTTGTTCAGAGCCCATCCTGATTCCATGTGACCTTATGTCAATTAATTTGCATCTGCAAAGATGCTTTTTCCAGAAAAGATCACCTTTTAGGTTCTGTGAGGGCATGAATTTTAGGAGGAGCATGATTCAGCTTGCTGCAGGGGCCATGGTCAGCCCTAGGAAGGGCTTGTGTTTGAGGATGCCAGACTTGGTGGGAGCTGACCCTGGAATCCGACCTGGCCTGGAGGTCAACCAAGGGTGATGGCAGAGGTGACCCATCCCCTCCCCTTTGGCACCTCAGGATGACCGCCCGCACCCAGCCCTATGCCCATTTTCATGAGTGCACCACCTCCCTGAGGGCTGATTAGAGGAGCGGGGAACAGGGCCTCCATCTGGAGGAAGGAGGTCTCGAAGCAGTGGCCACCACAGGCAGTGGCTTTCAGGCCTCTGGCAGTCGTCTCTCTGGAGCGTTCTGGCTCCCAAGCCCCCCACCAGCCGCCGCGTGGCCTGACAGCAGGGGGAGGCCGCTTTGTCTCAGGGTCAGGAACAGAGAAGGTGGGCTCCTGCCCCCACTGGGCCATGCTCAGCCTCACTAGGCACAATGTCTCCTCTGTCTCTGAGGGAAAATCCCTCTACAGGAATCAGCTTTCAGGCCCCGCCTGGCTGTGAGGGCCCCCAGACGCCTGCCCTGGGAGGAGCCCACGCACAGGGCCTGGAGCGGGGCTGGGTGGACCTCAGACCCTGAACACCTCTGGGAGCTCCTCGGTCAGCCCAGCCTGCAGGCAAGGCGAGGAGGCCCCAGGCTCTTCAAAACTAACATTGGGAAGTGGAAACACTTTTTGTGTCTGAGACTGCATCTTTTTTTATTCTGAATTGTCACTTGGCAGGGCACCCCCTCAAGACCTTCTCTGGTGGCCTTTTAAGACTCTGGAGACAAAATAGCCCAAATCCAGGTGTGGCCGCCCCATGCAGAACTCTGCCTGTGAGGTCTTTGCTGGAGGAGGCGGCACCACAGGCCGGCTGGAGAGGCTGTTTCCAAGGAGAAGCCTGGAGCTCTGCAGCAGCCCTCGGGGGGTCCTGCCCCCTCTGCCTCCCTTAGATGTGGACACCCAGTCCCAACAGCCCCTCAGCCCCCGCCCTGCCCTCCCAGGCCCACCCAGAGGCGTTGTCTTTCAACGCTCATCCCACGGTCAGGACCAACAACGGCGGCGGCCCCGGGCAGGGATTCTGTTGCCCGGCAGAAAGTTATTTGACCCCAGCACTGATCTGGTTACTGATGCAGAGCGTATCAGCCGCTGCACATGGCTGCCGCCCATGACATCTGGGCCAGAAGCTGAGCCTTTTCTTGGAGGCGGAGGTTACAGTGGCAGGGATGGGCACAGTGGATGATGGCGTGCGGGTACTAGAGGGGATGCCAAGGCCCACTCAAAGCGCCACCACTGCACTTGGCCCCCACCCACCTGCAGGGGAGACCTCAAGAGATTCACAGTAACCCCACATGGGGGTCCCAGAGCCTCAGGAGGCCCCTCGCCTGCCCCCCAGCACTGGCTGATGCTGGCAGTGCCCTGGGAAGCCAAGGCCACTGTTACCCCCATTCCACAGATGGGGTTCAGCGGCCCAGAGTGTGTGACCTCACCCACAGCACAGAAATACAAGTTCACACAAGCAAACAAGTTGGAAAATGCTGGGTTTTCTCAGAGACCCCTTGGGAAAAGGAGCAGGAGTCTCTGGGGACCGGAATCCCCCACAGGAGGGAAGACCTGGGGGACTCGGGCTGGGGCCTCCAGGAAGCTGGATGTGCTAGGCGTTGGGGTCCCAGAGGCGAGGCCCCTGCCGGGCCAAGTGGGGAACTAGCCAGGCCTGCGAGAAGCTCCAAGATGCCCCCTGTCCCCAGGCACCACAGCCCTGTCCACACCCCCAGCTGTTGTGACTGAGGGACTTGTTCCCTGGTCAGGTTTCTTAATCTTGAAACTGCTGACATTTGTGGTCAGATAATTCTGTTGTGGGGAGCTGTTCTGTGCAGTGGGGGGTGCTCACAACATCTCTGCCTCTGCCCAGTAGACAACAGTGACAACCAGAGCTATCTCCTTGGTCGTGGGCCAGGGGCTTTGATGACAGGGCCCTGCCTGTGTCAGCCTTCCTGGGGGAGGTCTAGCAGCATGCGCGGAGCTTTCGTCACTCGCCTGGCAGCCGGGGCTCTTAGGAAAGCAGGTGGGAAGCAGGCGGAGACCCTGTGGGTTCAAAGGGCACGGGGCCCTGTGCTGCCAGCCGAGGGGTCCTGTCTGGGCTGCTGCAGTGGATGCGGCTCCCATCAGAGGGTACAGCTGTCTCCCCTAGAACAGAGGCCTGAACAGATGCTTTCGGGCCAGGAGTCTGTTTTATCAGACCCAGGAAGGAGACCCCCCAGGGCTCCAGAGACTTGGCTCGGGCATCAGTGCCTGGTGAGGACTCTGGCACATGGAGCAGCTCACGCAGCTCATACGCAGAATCTGCAGCCAGGTGGGGGCTTGGGTTTGGGCCATTGTCCGACCCTCTGCGCCTCCATTTCCTACGTAAAAGGTGAGACACAGAAGCCAATGCCCACGCCCTGGACCCCCCGTTCAGATTCAGTGAGACCGTGAAGCCCAGCATCCACAGGGGCCTGCCGGGGGAGGGCACCAATGCTGGCGGGTAGGGAACTCCCCAGCCCCTCCCAGGCCAGAGGAGAACAGGGGCCCAGCCAGACCCTTTCCCCCCAGGCGAGGAATGGGCGCCTTCTCCCTGGGCCCCTCCTAGGAAACTTGTGGCCCCTGGACCCCTCTTCCACTCACCACCTCTGCCCCCAAGGGCCTCCCAAACTGCCCAGGGAAGGCACCAACCACATCCTGTCCCAGCAGTTGTAGGTAGGAAGCAGCACTGACCAGCAGCCTTGGGCCAGGCACAGCTGCCCAGCGGGCATGGTGGTGTTCGTGGTGGCGTTCCAGATGGTGCTAGGGCAGGAGGCAGAAATGCTTGGAGTTGGGGGGCTGGGGGCCTTTCCTCCCACTTCTTCATCTGAGGGGTCAAGCATCCGGGTAGGACCCCTCCAACCCACCACCCCCCACCCCTTCCCGACTGTGTCTCGCTATCCAGTTTTGCAGGAATGGAATTAATGGGATCCCCGGACAGAGCCAGGAGGGAGAGGCCCAAGCTGTCTCCCAGGCTGTAGTGTCGGGGGCCGAGGGGTTTGCAGCAACACTTAGTAACTTAACAGGAGGACCGTGGGGCACACTCTCTAGAGGCGTCCTGACCTCATCATCATCACAGGAAAACCAGGCAGAGGAAGGGGCTATGGGCTCACAAGGAGCTGGCCCCACAGGTGCCAGAGCCCTCCAGCCCAGGGCGAGCCTTCACACCCCTCTCTTCCAGCTGCCTGGCCCAATGAGTTGAGTGTGATTCTGGCTGTGGGAAGAAAAACATTCACAGGAGAGTGGGCAGGGGCACCCCAGGCCGTGCGGCTTCTGGAGAGAGGGGCACGCCTGGGAGAGGCCCCCACTGCCACCCACTGGTTATGGTGGGCTGTGTTCTCCGGCCTCCCATGCAGTCCCTGCCTTACCCACAGGTGCCCATGGCTGAGCTTGTGTTGGGCTGAGCCGAGTCCCGCCAGCTGGGAAGAAGTGCACCCAGGAGGTGGGTCAGGGGAAAGGACAGTTGTCTCTGGAAGGAGGCTTGGAGATCACTGTCCCTTTAAGAATGCAGGTCCTCTGCCAGGGCTCTGATTGCGATCACAAGTGATGATGGCAGAGTCTGCCCAGAGAACAGCAGCAGAGCCCTCCGCCAAGAGGGGTTAAGGATGCCTTTGAGACTTCTGGTCACCCACTTCACCTTGGGCTTGTCAAATCAAATGGTGGAGTTTAACTCTCGCCTGGCCAGAGCCGAGCAGCAAAGCTAGAGGCGGGGAATGAGGCTGGGTGGGCCTCAGACCCAAACACTTCTGAGAGCTCAGCAGGGAGGCCCTGGCTGGCAGACAGAGCAGGAGGCCCCGGACTCTTCAGAAACTGAAATTGGAAATTGGAGATGCTTTTTGTGTCTAAGTCTTCATCCTTTAATTGTCACTTGGCAAGGCGTCCGCTCAAGGCCTTCTCTGGTGGCCTTGTAAGAATGCAGGGACAAAATAATGCCAATGACAGTGGCCCTGAACAGAGAGCAGAGGCCTCACATGGCGCCCATTCTCTTCTGCTCTTCTTCCCATCTGCCCCTCGCTCCCTAGGCATCCCCACCACATCCCCTCTCAGCTCAGCGGGGGCTGCCTGGCTGCTGCCTCAGCAGGGGCCACTTTTCTAATCCTGGGGTCTCAGACACACCCTTGTGCCTCCACCTCAAATCCCAAGGCAATATCTGCCCCACAGCCTCAGGACCCACTTGCCAGTCCAATGGCAGAACAAACAGCCCAGAGAGGTTGTTGGGGAGGGTGGGTTTTTGAGAAGCTCTTGCAGTCATCACGACAGAGCCTCCTAAGCGAGGGCGAGTCAGACCCCAGAAACCTTGGATCTCTGGCCGAGTGGAGGTGCCCCTGGTTCATACAGGCCCGAGCTGCCCTCAGGGCCCTCCTCCCTCTGCCTCCAGCCAGAGACTTTCTCACCTGCTGCTCTGGGGCAGAAATCGGAGCCACCTGGAGTGTGCCTGCCAGGGTCAGGGGGTGAGGAGATAAGGGCCTGGCTTTCAGCTCACAGGAAGTGGGCCTGAATGCGGAGAATAGCAGCAATTCCATCTGATAAGGCCCCGCTAAACCCCACATTGACAGGCCCCACCGCCCACCCGGGCTCCAGGGGCCAAGGGAGGGGCCGCCAGCCCACTCAGCCCTGCAAGCTGCTCCTGCCCTTCGGCCTGGGAGGGGGCCTTCCTCTGCCCTGGCCTCCATACCTCCAGCACTTGGGTGGGCTTTGATCACCTGTGGATTGCAGGGGGGAAGCTGCGCAACTTCTCCACTGCCCCTTCCCCCTGCCAGCCTGGGGGGGGCGCATACTGGGAGTCTGGAGAAAGGCAGCCCCCCCCCGGCACACTTGGAGGTGGGGGGCATTCCTAGCAACCCCCTTCATCCCCGAGTCCATTGATGAATGGACCCTCTCTGCAGAGAACACAGCCCACCAGGGAATCCCCCAGATCAGGACCCCAGGTACAGAGGGGTTCAAAGCACGTTTGTTGAATGAATGAATGAATGAATGAACAGATGAGCGAATAGCCCAGGCTCCACTTCCAGGCTGAGTAACTACTACAAAGGGACACACATGGGACGGGGGCTGCCAGGAGGGACTTCTCTGAGCCTCGTTCTTCAAGGAGCCAGATCCCGGAAAGGAAACACATTCGTCCAAATCCTCTAATTTGCTGCCCAGAGGAATCCTGGTGCCCAGGGCCGCTGACAGCCCCTTCTGTGGGAATGGGCAGAGAACAGCCTTCCTCCCCGTTGCCTGGCACCCGGACCCAGGGCTCCTGGGCTGCGTCCTGGGCTCACCGTGGCTCTGCTGTGGGTTAAGCAACCCCTTGTTAGTAGGCTCCCCGCTCGGGTGGAATGGCTGTGAGCTGTGGCCCGGCCCCGTCTGTGGCCAGATCTGCACACAGCCCCGGGGGGCCTCAGGGACTCCGGGCTCATGACACAGACATCTCCACCTCTCAGGATGAGGGAGGGTCACCTCTCTGCCCAGGCAGTGGCTCTATCATGCCCCTAAAACATAGACTCTGGCCCTGGGACTGGGTGTGCATTCCTGAACAGGGGACGGGCTTGGAGGTCCCACCCTGCCAGGCTCCCTGCTCCGAAGCACCCGTGGGTCCCCCACCTCTGTCTGGCCAAGCCCCCGACCCTCCTGCCATGGCCTTCAGCCCCATTTTCAGGCTCCGCATCTCCCACTTTCCTGACAATGCGCTCACCTCTTTCCAGGCTGGCCTGATATGGGAGGTGCGTGCACTGGGAAGTGGTAATGAGATTCTGCCACGCGCTGTGTACTCGCTTCCGAGAAAATCATCTATTAATTGATTCCAATTACTCTTAATTGTTTCTCATACGTTTCAATTAGGCAGCCCTGTTGTTACAGCGGGAGCTGGATTAGGCGAGTAATCCCCAGGCCTCTAATGTCGGGGTGGTGTGGGCAGTGGGGGGCTCGGGGCTGGGGGAGGCCGTGGGGCGGCTAGGGAGCGGTGGGGGGGCGTGGCCTGGCCCCCCCTCGGTTCGGTTTGGTTTATTTTGTTTTGGGGGCTTTATGGGCTGTTGTTTTTTTCCATTCTAGATCGGTCTTATGCTTCAAGGGTTGATTTTTTTTTTATTGTGGCAAAATACATATAAGATAAATTTCTAATTTTAACCATTTTAAGGCGTGTCATTCGGTGACATTTAGCACATCTGCATTGTTGTGCAAACACCACTTCTGCCGACTTCCGAGAGGCTTTCACCACCCCAGGAGAAACTGCGCCCCAGCAGCACTCACTCCCCACCGCCCGTCCCCCCAGGCCCTGACTGCACCCCAGCAGCACTCATTCTCCTCCGCCCATCCCCCCAGGCCCTGGCAACTGCTGACCCATCCCTGTTCGGCCTCTGGATTTGTCCTCTCCATGGAATTCTATGATCTGTGTCCTTTGGTGCCTGGCTTCTCTCACTACGCATCTGTGTTCAAGGTTCTTCCTCACTGTAGCGTGGGCCAGTGCCTCACTCCTTTTCTTGGCTAATATTCTGCTGCAGACTCCTCTGCTGGTGGACATGAGTTCTTTCCACCTCTTGGCGATTTTGGACAGTGCTGCTATGAACATGAGTGTGCCTGTTTTTGTCTGAACACTGCTTTCAGCTCTCTTGGGTCTATATCTAGGCGTGGGATTGCAGGTCACACGGCCTTACTCCTCAGCTTACAGTGGCAGAGTCCAGGCAGCAAGGTGGTGGGGAGGAGAGCCAGGTGTCCTGGAGAGGTGGGTGCCTGTCCCTCTGCATCAGACACAGGGAGGCCCTCGTGGGGGTGAAGGAGGCTGGAGCAGAGGAGGCAGGAGTAGCAGAGACCCCCTTGGCGTGGCAGGGGTCTGGCTCAGAAAGCACAGGGCCTTGTGTGCTGGAGAAGGGGCCACTTCCCACAACGGGGAGGCTGAGCAGGGCCAGTGCTTTGGCCTGGCTGCAGGATCTCAGAATCTTGGGGCTGCATCTGACCCTAGGAGTCTGGAAACCGGACTCCAAAACGTGCCCTAGCTTTCCAGCTCATGTGGAGATGCAGGAAAAGGGGCTTCAGACCTAGAGCAGCACGGTGAGGGAGGAAAGATCTGCCCCTTTGATGAGCACAGACGTCTCTCCTCCAAAAAGCCTTCCTCCGAAGGCATCTAGAACCTTCTCTTGGCCAAGAGCCATCGCGGCTAAGGTCACAGATGTGGTGGTGGGGTTTGGATGTGCGTCCCCTCCAAATCTCATGTTGAAGTGTGATGCCTGATTTTGGAGGTGGAGCTTGGCAGGAGGCGAGTAGATCATGGATCATGGAAGGTTTGGCTCCATCCCCTTGGTGATGAGTGAGTCCCCCCTCGGTTAGCTCATGCGAGATCTGCTTTAAAAGAGTCTAGGACCTCCCCAGCCTCTCCCTCTTGCCCACTCTATCACATGTCACACGCAGGCTCCCCTCCCCTTCTGCCATGAGTAAAAGCTCCCTGAGGCCTCCCCTGAGCTGAGCTGATGCTGGTGCCATGCTTATACAGCCTGCAGGACCACGAGCCAATGAAACCTCTTTTCTTTACCCAGCCTCAGGTGTTTCTTTGAAGTAATGCAAAACGGCATAACACACGTAAAGTGCAGCTGACCTGGCACAGGATTTATTTACCAGCAGCGTGAGCCAGGGCACAGCCTGTGATTCCCTGGGCAGCTGCTTCCTCAGCTGCCAAACGGAGACAGGCTCACAAAATAACCCAAACCCCGAGGACGAGTGTTTACCAGGCCTTGAGCTTTCAGGAAAGAGGGAAGACAGAGCAGGCACAGAAGCTTCCAGACGATGAACTGCAGCCTGGCCCAGCCCAGCCAGGGATTGCCGGGGTTGGATGTAGGGGTTGCCACAGGTCCCACCACGTCAGGGACTTCCATCAGGAAGGGCACAAAGGCCAGGGGGAGATGGCGAGGCCAATGAGTATGCCCATAACCCACCCCCCCACATTCTCTGAAGAGAGCCCCAGATGTCACTAGGGTCATTTCTGAAGTGAAGCATGGCTGAGGACCAGGTCCTCAAATTCTGGCTCCCACAGGGTCTCTGAGGTTCCTGGCTGGCCGCCATCAACTCCTCTTGTGGGGAGGAAAGCGGGACAGGGAACCAGCCCTTGACACCTACAATGGCCACAATGCCTGCCTTGCAGAGGCTGTGCCCAGTGGAGGAGACCAGCCCAGCCCAGGGCTTCCTAGAGACCACGGGGCTCTGCTCCACAAAGCCACCACTGTGGCCTCCACCACCTCCAGGTTCACCCACGTCCTTCTCACGGATCTCAGCTCTGCCCATCAATCATCATCGCCAAGTGCTCGCCGGGAACAGAGCAAACGAACACTCACCCTCACTCAGCTCATTTCACTCCAACAGCCATCCTGCACTGCAGGCATTTTTAATCCACTTTATAGATGAGGAAACAAGGCCCCTGAGGTCGCCAACTAGGATCAGCAATGGCCTGCGCCTTCCGCGGAGGGCCATCCACGCGTCCAACCCCATAGGATGTGCCTGTACGAACAGCAGCAACATGACCCCATAGGCTCAGAGCCAGAGTCCCCAGCGCCAGCCCCGCCATGTCAAGGGCACAGCCAGAGAGGACGGGGTGGCAGGGAGACCAGGTTCCCCCCTGTGGCTTCAGGAGGGTGGGCGCCCTGAGAGAACTCGCTTCAAGGCCCCTGTCCCTGCCTGGAAGGAGCCCAGCGTGCGAATTCCAGCTGCCCTGCACAGCCCCAGCGTCCTGCTCTGAGGCCTGAGAGGAAGCGTGTTTGGGGAGCTGGTGTCTGGGTGCAAAGGGAAGCCAGATCACCACACCGAGGAAGGCACTTCAAAGGAGACTTTTCACAGCCTTCCGCTTGGGAAAGTGAATGAAAGAACGTTATTGACTGAGGGCTGGGGCCGGCCTGGAAATAGCAGGACATGGAAGCCCTTGGAGGATGGGGAACAGTTCCTCCCCTCAGGGCGTCCGTAGAGAACACGTCCTTAGCCCGGTCGCGTTAGCACGTCGCATGTCCGAAAGCGTGCTCAACAGGATTCTAAAGGGAGCAGAGTTTATTTCTTTTAACTTTTGACTGGCCAATCCAAACAAACAAACAAGGCTTCAAACAGAGCATTGGAGGATATCTGAAATCTAACCTTTGGCTGAGGTTAAAACACACACACACACACACACACACACACACACACACACACCCTTGGACATAAATCTGCAAATAAACTTTCCAAAGAAAAACACCTACTTCTTTCAAAATCCAGCCTTCTTCCCCGTTCTTTCTGGCATCCTGGTGGAAGGTGCTGGCCTGGCAGGGGCAAGGAGGACTCAGGAGTCCACAGAGCCCAGCTGCCCACACCTCCCCTGGCACCCCAGCCACCTCTGCCCAGGTTCACAGGAGGCCCGGGGGCCAAGTGCCCCATGCTCCTGCACTGAAGTGTGGGAGAGCTCAGACTGGTCTCCATGACCAGCCCAGCCCTGCTCGCTCTCTCTGGTCCTCAGAACCTCCTTACTGTGAACTCCGCTCCCTGAAGTCAGTCGTGGATCTGTCAGGCAGCCCCACAGAGGAGGCTGTGACGTCTCGACAGCCTGCCCAGAGTATCGCTGACGCTGATGTGCAGAACCCCAATCTCCACAGCTGTGCCTGAGAACAGTGAAGATGAAGGGAGAGAGGGTGTGGGGTCTGACTGCTAGGCCCAGCCCCTGCATTCAGGCTTACTGACCTGCCAAGATAGCGGGGGACATGCATATGTATCGGTGTGTGTATCTTATGTGCGCATGTGTGCACGTGCGTATATATGTATGTTGGAGTCTGTGTGTAGGTGTAGGCATGTTTATCTCTGTGTATGAGCACGTGTGTGTCTGTGGCTGTTTGTGTACATGCACATGTGTGTACATGCACATGTGTGTGTGCATGTGGAGGGGTGTGTGTGCATATTTGTAAGCAAATGCATGCACATGTGTGTTGGTGTGTCTGTGCATGTGTGTTTGCATGCACATGTGTGTTGGAGTGAGCCTGTGTGTGTGCACATACATACACATGTGTGTTGGTGTGAGACTGAGCGTATTCATGCACTTGTATGTTGGTGTGAATCTGTGTGTGAGTGCATGCATGCACATGTGTGTTGGTGTGAGTCTGAGTGCATGCATGCACATCTGTGTTGGTGTGAGTCTGTGAGTGCATGCATGCACATGTGTGTTGGAGTGAGTGTGTGTATGTGTGCACATTCACACACATATGTGTTTTTGTGAATCTGTGAGCACATGCATGCACATGTGTGTTGGTGTGAATCTGTGTGTGAATGCCTGCATGCACATGTGTGTTGGTGTGAATCTGTGTGTGAATGCATGCATGCACATGTGTGTTGGAGTGAGTCTGTGTGTGCATGAACATTCACACACATTGTGTTGGTCTGAATATATGTGCATGTGTGAGTGCATGCATCCACATGTGTGTTGGTGTGAGTCTGTGTGTGAATGCTTGTATGCACATGTGTTGGTGTGAGTCTGTGAGCACATGCATGCACATATGTGTTGGTGTGAATCTGTGTGTGCATGCATGCATGCACATGTGTGTTGGAGTGAGTCTGTGTGTGCACATTCATGCACATCTGTTGGTGTGAATCTGTGTGCGTGTGTGAGCGCATGCATCCACATGAGTGTTGGTGTGAGCCTCTGTGTGAATGCATGCATGCACATATGTGTTGGTGTGAATCTGTGTACATCTGTGAGTGCATGCATCCACATGTGTGTTGGTGTGAGTCTCTGTGTGTGAATGCATACACGCACATGTGTGTTGGTGTGAGTCTGTGTGCATGTGTATCTGTGAATCCCACTGTGAATTCTAATTCAGGAGACAGGAGAGAAAGGCCCCACCTGAGAGCTGGCACATTCTTCTCCCCAGTGCTCTGAGCATCCCCACCGCTTCCTCCATCGAAGGCACCCAACTGCTGCTCCTGAGGCTGTGGCCACTCTCTTTTCTGGGAGAACAGGTTTAGCAGGGTTCTTAGGAGGTGCTTGATTTCTAAAGCTGGGATCTTGTGGGTTAGAGTAGGGGCCATGCCAGGTCACCAAGACATCATCAAGGGGACCATCATCAGGGACCTTTGAGCTAGAGGCCCTTGGGGTGGGAGCTGGGGGAGACCCACCAGGTGCAGAGGAAGGCTGCTTGGCCACTGCGGGGCCAGCCCCCAACAGGGGCTGCGGGCACACACCATGCAACCATCTCTGCCCCAGGCTGGCTGGCTTTCCCTTGGTGTGATGCTGTGCGGTTTTCCATTTGGTCTCTCTGGTTGGGGATCCCCAGAGAGCACACGATAGAGTTCCTGGCTGACCGGCATTTCCACCCCTCGCCCTGGTGACCTGGAGCATGACACTGAGCATTGGTGCTGGAACAAAAGATGGAGGGAAAAGAAACAAAAGTCACACGCACAGGCCCACATGCACGGACACACACATGGGCACTTGTGTACACATAGATATGCACACAGACACATGTACACACATATGCCCACACACTGGCACGCACATGTGTGAACATAGTACACAAAAACACATGCACACAAATGAATACACACAGACACATGTGCACACATATAGACATGCACACACATTCACACAGACACGTGTGCATGCACACACGTGTGCACACACATGAACATCTAGCTTCATGAAGCTCTAGCCTCAGCTGTCATTTATTCCATTCTCATCCTTCCAGAGAAACAGGCGCAGCCGAATTCTCTTTGGGAAGTTGCAAGGACCCTCGCAAGGCAGGAGAAGGGGGCATACTGGGCCCCAAGCCTCCCAGATGCCAGGGCTTCCGTGGTCCTGCCAGGGGCTCCTGTGGCCTCAGATGAGAAGCCCCGTGGGGAACAGATGTTCCCTTGCTCCTCTGGGGCCCAATTCGAGGCCCCAGGACATTTGGCCTCTAGGCTTATCACAAACACACTGTCCAGGGAGCAAGTGCTCTGTTTACCCTTCAGTTATCTGAGCAGTGAACCAAGAAGCTAGGGCCAAGGTGCCCTCCTGGCTTCCAACCCGACTTCCTCATTTCAGAGGCTCCTTTCCAAGTGGGGACGGGGTGCCCGGGGAAAGCCGCCTCTTCTGTCTGACTGCCCAGGGTGGCCAGTTGATGAGTATCTCACCAGGGCTTGGCCTCTGGGTGCTCAGCCCCTCCACCTCCGGCCTGATAACCCGGGCTCCACCACTCAGGGTCCCACGCCATGAGGGCTGCTTGGCTGGCTGGGGAAGCTCCTGGAACCCAGGGGCTTGTGGCTACCATGCCCTCCTGGAGCCCCAGAGGCAGCCAGGACAGAAAGTGTCTGAGCACAGGCCAGGCCAGGGTCCTCTCTGGGCAGGACACACTGTGGACACACATGCCACCGTCCTGTTTTCTTTGGAGCTGACTGCAGCAGGCCGAGCCCATGAGGACAGGCCAGCAGAGAAAGGGCTGTCTGATGGCAGTGGACCATTTCTGCCCTTTTCTGTGCGGCTGTGCTGAGCTCCCCAGAGCCCAGCAAGCAGGAAGAAGCCCGTTGTGACAGTGACAGGCACCCCAGCAGCTGCCATTCAGGCCAAGGAGAGGCAGTTTGGAGCCCTGCTGCTGTCTGGGGAGAGTTGCAGCTTCAAGGCGATCGATGGGGAGCTTCCGTGCACTCCCCTCTCTGGCCTCCCCATGTCCCGCCTTTCCGGGTGCTCAGAGGCATCTCCTGCTCTCTCCTTCTGGAGGGCAGCTTCCTGGCCACCCTCACCTCCAGCTGCTGAAAGCCGAACCACGTTTTGTGGGATACTGCCCCCGAGGGAGACAGCTCACCCACCCACCACAGTACCATCAAAGACAGACGTCCTGCTTGTCTCGGTATCCCTGGCCCTTGCCCAGGGTGAGGCACAGGGTGGGCCTCCGCGCATCCGTGCCCGGAAGCAGGAACAGAGGGATGGGTGGATGAGTGGCAACCATCCTGGGTGGTCAGTAGGACCCTAGAAAGTGCTCAGAGCAGAGCGGAAAGGGCATGACCCCTACCCAGTGAATCCACAGGGGCTTCCTGGAGGAAGTGCTACTTAGGCTGGGATTTCAAGAGCAACAAAGCTTTGTTGCCCACCGAGCGATTCAGGCAGTGAGGTGGGAAGGAGCGTGGGAGGAGGCTGCGGAGCGACCATTGCCTTGGTCTCGCTCACACCTCCCACCTTGCTCGTGAAGGTGACAGTCCTACTGCGGACCCCTGGCTGCATTGTGTGTGTGGTGGGGGGTGTGCAGAGCTCAGTTACCCCATCTGCCTCAGCCTCCCTCAGAACTGTGGGAGACGGGGCTAAACTCCCCCCTCACCTGCCTCACCATTCCCTTCCCCAGCTGCTGGAATCCTCAGAGAGCCCCTGTCACTCAAAGGGAGGAAGAATCCACTCTGGCCAGGGCCGGTGCTAGGGCAGCCCAGCTCAGTCCCATAGGAAGATGCGGTTCTGTGCAGCAGCTGAGGTTGGAAGGGCCACCAGGCAAGTGGGGCTGGGGGGAACAGGTGTGCCATCCCCCGAGCGTGCCTCCTCCTCTCCCTGGGACCCGCGTGAAATTTCTGTCTGATGCTCCGTCAATGGCAGGCGATCTCTGCTGCGTATGGACGGATTCGCTGCCCAGGTTTGCAGGTCCATCCTCTGGAATCTGCTGTCAAGTAGCTTCATGGGTAAAGTGTGACCCTATTTCCTTTGGGTAAAACACAGGTGGGGGCTTCCAGGTCTGGGTCTGCCTCGGGGGATCCTCTGCTGTGGTAGCCGAGTCCTTACCTGGGCCCTTTGCACACTGTACCCCCTAAATCCCCAAGCAGACCCCACGAGCCCACCCTCCAAGCCACCATTGCCCCTCGGAGGGAGGTACAGGTGGTGGCCTCTCCCTCCCTTCACCCCGTTCCTGAAACAATTTGGGGACAGATGGCACCAGTGTGAGGCAGGAGCGTTTACCTGATCCCCATCTCAGAGGTGCTGCAAAACGCCATAAATACCAAACACCCGCTCCCGGAGAGCCAGCGCCATGGATCAGTGCATCTGGGGATGTCTGGAACATTCCGAGGGAAAATAAAACAATTATTTTTGACAACTTGCATCAATACCATCTACGTTTTTCCCCCTGCACAGGGCTCCCTCCCCCACTCTGAGTCTGTCCCTTCTACGCGTGTCTGTGTCTTCAGGAAATAGAGCCGGGACACTCAATAAGCCAATTGTTAGCTCCATCGATCTTATTTGGGGGCCTGAAAATTCAGCAGCCAGCACAGTGTTAAATTATTAACTAAATGTTTCCACTCACTGGGGACGTGTTTTGTAAAGGCCATCTAGATGAACAACGGCCTCTTTATGAAATTAACAGCCAAAATGGTGTCAGGGTGTGGGGCAGAAGTCATGGGGTGGCTGAAGGCAGAAGGCCCTGTGCACCTCCAGACTGGAGGACAGAGGTGAAGCTGGCATTGGGGGCCGTGCTGCAGCAGGACAGAGCTGGCTGGAGTCCTCCCTGGAGGAAGGGGAGCATGGCCCCCGTGAGCTGACCCCAGCGCACCTTCCCTCGGGCTGTGTGGCAGCTGAAGGCTCCAGGCTAGGGAGGGGGATGTGTCCAACCCCGCACGCTCCTTGGCCAAGTTGCTGCCCCCTGAGCCCTCGTTTCTCCCCCTCTGAGCCCTCGTTTCTCCCCCTCTGAGCCCTCGTTTCTCCTGGGCTATGATGGGTGAGCCATCCAGGCCACAGAGGATGTAGCAGAGCTGAGCAAGCTCCAGAGTGCAAAGCTCTCGAGAAGTGACTGTCGCCTGGTGGGTGTGGCAGATGGCGGCTGTCTTACCCCAGCCAGGTTTCCATCCCCGTTGGCAAGGGTAGGTCTCAGAGGGAGTGACCAGGGCTCACCTGTCCTCCTTCAGAGGCTGCAGGCCCTGGGCCTTGTGGTTGCAGCTGCTGCCTTAGAGAGCTTCCCATCCAGAGGGGAAGCAAGGGGGGCAACCTGGCGACTTTGCCCCATGCTTCCTAAGCAGCTCCTGAATGGAAGAATCGGGGTGGTCTGGCAGATGGAGATCAGTGTCCGGCCAGCCTGGCTAGCGAGACCCGCCGTGAAGCACAGACAAAGAGGAAGAAACCAGGATGTCAGAACACACACACACACGCGTGCGCACACACACAGAGGGTCCCTAACTTACGATCGCTCAACTTAGGAATGTTTGGCTTTACGACGGTGGAGAAGTGATCATAATAATTCAATAGAAAACATACGTCGGGTTTTGAGTTTTGATATTTTCCCAGCTATCAATTTGTGGCCCAACACCCTCTTGCTGTGTGGGGCAACAGCAGCAGCTGCCGCTCCCAGGCCAGCCACACAGTCATGAGGGTGAACCGCCCGCGCTCTGCAGCGCACTGTGTGGCCAGACGGTGTTGCCTGACTGTAAGATTTCCGAGGACATCTGAGGCAGGTGAGTCCGGGCTGTCTTCTTCGGGTAGGTTAGGTGTATTAAATTCATTTGGCTCACAATATTTTCAATTTATGATGAGCTTCTTGGGAGGTAACCCCATCTCAAGTTGAAAAGCACCTGTCCTTTTTAAATGTAAGGATGGGAAAGACCATGATTGAGGTTGCAGGTTGCTGGTGATCTTCCCAGCCCAGCCGTGCTCAGCCTGGATGAGGCAGCTAGGGAAACCCAGGGTGCACGATGGCCTCTGAGAGGGGAGCCTCGTGCCGGCGTGGCTCACCTGTGCCACCAACACCCTCCCCACCGAACCCCAGAAGTAACCTTGGAACCCACAGTTCCATACCAGGTCCTTGGGAGAATGAATGAACATATTCCTAAGACAATACTCTCCCAACTCCCAAAACACTTCAAGTTATTTGTGGAAAGTTCCAGGGGAGGAAAATTAACAACTCAAACCTGAGAAGCCCTCTGGGCAGGTGGGAGCAACCAAGCCACCCACTACTTCAGTGGCCCCTTCTGCCACGTCACCTCTCTGCCTGCAGGCAAGGCAGCTTGCTAAAATAAGTGTCCACAGTTAGCAGTGGCTAGAATAGGAAGTGACAGAGGTGAGTCTCAAACCAGGCAGTCTGGCCTCAGAGCCCCCATGCCTGTATGATGTGTGATATATACGGTAGCCTATACGTACCATGAGGGCACACTTGGATGACTTTGACACACGTAGCCACCACTAGAATCAACAGAAGGCTTTTCCATCACTCCTGGTCTCTTCCAGTCAATATCCCCCAAGGGCAAATGGCCAGCCGCTGTTCTGATGTCTATCACCTTGGATTCATTTTACCTGTCTTTGAACTCCGCATAAAGACATCCACGCATAAGGCACTGTTTTGTAGCCAGTTTCTTTTGTTCGACATGAGGATGTCTGAGGGCTATCTATGCCACTGCACTTGTCAGCTGCGTGTTCTTTTATTCTGTATGGCAGTAGCATGCATGGTATGAATAGATCCCAGGTTGTCTATCCACTGTCCTAGGCATGGGCGTTTTGGGTTGTATCAGATGTGGGCTATTACAGATAAAGTTTCTACAAGTATTCATGTGCAAGCATTGTGTGGACTTAAGTTTTCAACTCATTTCATTTTGATATAAATTGTCCAGGAGTAAAATTGTTCACTAGTAGGATACATGAATGTCTACATTTATGAGACAAATTGCTTTCCAAAAAGTTGTACTATTTTGCATTTCCACCAGCGGCAATGTGTGAGTGTTCCAGCTGCTCCGGTCCTCACCGACACTTAGTGTAGTCAGTCTTTTACATTATAACCGTTTGAGTGAGTGTGAAAGAATATCTCATTGTGGATCTAGTATGCATTTCCCAGATGAATTGTGATATTTTCACTGGGTATAAGTGCTTTTGTGAAGTGTTCGTTCAAGCCTTTTGTCCATTTTTAAATTGGATTGTTTGTCTTTTTATCAATTGATTTTTAGATCTTTATGTATCCTAGATACAAGTCCTTAGTCGTTTATATGTATTACAAATATTTTTCCCCAATGAGTGGCCTGGCTTTTTATTTTCTTAGCTGAGTCTTTTGATTGGTGAATGCTTTAAATCTCTTCCTTTGGGTTTAGTGCTTTGTTCAGACTTTTTTTTTTTAATTTTTGCTTTACTTCCTAGCTCTTCTCTCCTCCTGGGACTCCAGTTACATATGTATCAGATATTGTCCCACATATCGCTCAGGCTCTTTTCCTTTGGTTTCAGCTTTTGGTTTTTGTTTTGTTTTGTTTTTTTTGAGATGGAGTCTCGCTCTGTCACCCAGCCTGGAGTGCAGTGGTGCAATCTCAGCTCACTACAAGCTCCGCCTCCCGGGTTCTCCGCCTCCGCCATTCTCCTGCCTCAGCCTCCCAAGTAGCTGGGACTACAGGCATCCACCACCATGCCGGGCTAATTTTTTTGTATTTTTAGTAGAGACAGGCTTTCACCATGTTAGCCAGGATGGTCTCAATCTCCTGACCTTGTGATCCACCCACCTCGGCCTCCCAAAGTGCTGGGATTACAGGTGTGAGCCACCGCTCCCAGCCTGGTTTCAGTATATTTTTTCTATTATTTAGATTGGATAATTTTATGGATCTGTTTTCAAGTTCACTCACCCTTTCTTCTGTCATCTCCAACTTGCTGTTAAAAGCCCATCCTTGGGCTGGGTGTGGTGGCTCATGCTGGTGATCCCAGTGCTCTGGGAGGCTGAGCTGGGAGGATCACTTGTGGCCAGGAGTTCTAGACCAGCCTGGACAACATAACAAGACTCCCTCTCTACAAAAACATTAAACAATTAGTCGGTTGCGATGGTGCACCGTCATAGTCCTAGCTACTTGCAAGGCTAAGATGGGAAGATGGTTTGAGCCCAGGATCACGTCACTGCCCTCCAGCCTGGATAACAGAGCAAGATCCCATCTAAAAAAAAAACTAAGCCTATCTAGGGACTTGTTATTTCATGCAGTATACTTTTCTGTTTTGGAATTTTCTTTTGGTTTTTAATTATAATTGGCATTTCCCTGTTGGCATTTCCCCTCTGTTAGTTCATTGTGATTACCTTTGCCTTTAAGTCTTTGGACATATTTATAAGGTATTTTTAAATCTGCTGATTCTAACATCTGGCTCATATCAGAGTTGGTTTGGATTGGCTGTGGTTTTTTCTAGGCTATGGGTGACAATTTCCTGTTTCTGTGCACATTTAGTAATTTTTTATTGTATTGGATGTTGTAGATGACATTGTAGAAACTCTGGATTCTGTTGTATTCCTCTGAAAAGTTTTGGTTTTGGTTCTAGAGAGAGTTTCAATCACTAGGTGCTCACCCTGAGTTTGCAGAAGTGTGGCTCTACACTTTATTAGGTTGGGTCTTCTTCTGTTTTATCTTTAGGATTAGTCTTTGTTCTTAAGGCTCAGCCCTTCTGGGACTTTAGTGGAAAGCCAAAGGTGATCATCAAGCTCTTCTAAGTTGATGGGACTCAAATTCCAAAGCCCTGCTGTGGTAAGCAGCAAGTGAAATCTCTGTGTAGCTCTTGTTTTCTGTGGGGCCCTTTGCAACCTCCCTCATGCATGAGCAATTCAGGGGTTTGAGGGGTGTATATGCACACAGGAGGATCATGTCTCTGTGGCTCCTTCCTTTCCATGGTTTCTCCCCTCAACTTACAGATGCTCTGACAGCCTCACACTGCATCCTCTGACCCATCTGTCCCATAAGACTGCAGCTTTCTGCCCGAGTTCCAGCTGCCCTGTACCAAGTAGGCTGCACAGTGGCCTTGAGGGAATACCTGGAGGACAGTGGCCCTCACAGTGCACTGCTTTCCTTCAAGGGTTCAGTTCCTCCAGTTCCCACCTGCTTTTTGTTATTCTCTAGTGCTATCAAGTTTTTTTTGTTTTAAATTATTTTTTTCCAAGTGTATCATTGTTATCTGCAGGAGAGTACATCCAACAGAAGCTACTCTACCACTGTGGGAACCGGAGGCTCCTGGGCCCCACTCTTTATTATGCCACATGCACATCCATTTTAAGCCAACAGCCACACGCACCTCCACTGTGAGTTCTGTGGCCTCATTCTGTCATCCTTGCCATAGCCCTAGGAAGTGGCTAGCACGGCAGCATCCATTTTACAGGTGGCAATAATGAGGTTCAAACTGGCCAAGTACCCCACCTAAGGACACTCAGCCAGTAGGAATGGGACTTGGGTCTTGAATCCTGAGGTGCTGATGGCAAATCCCATGTTCTTCCCACTGTTGGTTCCAAATGTGTCACCGGGATGCAGCAGGACCCCCTCTGTGGTCCAGGCCACCCCTCGGGTCCTCCCATGCTGCCCTCTCGGGTCCTCCCGTGCTGCCCCCTCTGTGGTCCAGGCCACCCCTCGGGTCCTCCCGTGCTGCCCCCTCTGTGGTCCAGGCCACCCCTTGGTTCCTCCTGTGCTGCCCTCTCGGGTCCTCCCGTGCTGCCCTCTGCAGCCGAGGGTTTTTCTTGGCAGCTGTCTCACTCCACCCAGAGCTACACAGTCCCCCCACCCTGGGCTCCTGGGAGCCAACAAGAGCCCCAAAGAGGCCACGTGGCTGTGGGCCAGGGTCTCCCCCATCCAGGGGCCTGCGGAGGGGCTGCCTGTGAGCGTGCATATCAAAGGGGGCATTGAGGGGCGGGCTCCAAGGAGACTCATTCTCCGTCAACACCCACAATGTGGGCTTTGTGAGACCTGGCAAGGCTGCGCTGAGCTGAGCGAGAACTTTCCTTTTTCTCCTAGGGAGAGATTATTTAATTTAAAAATAATTGAATGTGGAAAATGTTGGATATGGAAACTGTTTATCAGGCTTCCTTTTTTGTTTCTCCCGTTGGCCCTGCCCCACGGCGGTGAGCGACGTACCCTTCCCCAGGACGTCTTGGAGGTGTTTGTGCGTCGAGTTCTGTGTGACATAGGCTGGGGGCTTGGGGGCTTCCAGTGGAGGAGCCTGATGGAGCTCCATGGTCAAGAGGGCCTGGAAAAGTCAGGGCCTTGGGCAGAACACGGGGGCCTGCCTGGTGCTCAAAGCACAGGGCGGAACACTCTGGAGACACTGCTGTCCCACGGTTCCTGTTCAGCAGCCTGAGCTCCTCCTGGAGCACCCGCGGCATACGTGGCCCTCCCGCCTCTCTGCTCACCCTGCTGTCTCCTTTCTCTCCCCTCCACCGTCCCCAGTCTTTGGGGGCAGGCAACACAGACACCCCCTCCACCTGCGAGCCTCTCGATGGCCAGCCAGGCCCACCCCTCACTCCTCCAAGCTGGCTGCAAGGAGGCACAGGCAGATGCATCTTCTCACCCCGGCTGCACCCAGACTGGGGTCACTTCTGGTGCCCAACAGCACCCACCCCACTGTGAGGTGAGGGTGGGTGGCTCTACAAGGGAAGGGGCTCCTCTCACGTTCGCCCGCCCCAGTGGCCTAGTGACCGGCTGAACAGACGGAATGAGTGACCATGCAACCAAGTGGCTCCTGAGCAGTTCCTAACACTGTTCACCGGTGCTCTGCCGCTCCCCTTTCGTGCTTCCATCTGTAAAATGAGGGACTCCAGGCAGGCCCTGGGGACACCTGAGTGTCAGGGCTGGCTTTGCAACCTAATCCTCTCCAGAAGTGCGCAGCACTCACCGGCAGCTTGGGACACCCATGAAGTAACTTGCAGCGACCACCTTGAGGGCCTCACAGGTGTCCAGGAAACCCAGGTGCCCAGTCTTTCCGGGGAGGGTGGAGGGGGTCAGTGTACAGCCCCGGGAGTGTGAGTGTGGGAAGGGGCAGGCGGCCGTCCCTCCCAGGACACTGGTTCCTGGATGATGGTCTTTCCACAAGGTTCTGCACCAGGCAGACAGGCAGAGGGGCTCCATCCAGCCCAGAGGTGGCCCCAATGCTTAAAGCGCCTCCACCCCATTCCAGAAGGAGAAACCAGGCCCAGGGAGGGCGAGACTCTCAGGGCCTCCATGCATGCTGGCCACAGCCACTGGCTCCCTGGCATTGGCCCAGGAAGGAGCCCGGAACACCCTGGGCCTGGCCCACGGTGGTGCAGGTCCCACTGGCGAGAGCCATCCATCTGCTCCTGGAAGGCCCCGCCCTCCTGCGTCTGGTCCCAGGCAGGCTCTGTGCACACTGGGTGGGAACAAGGGCCTGTAGAATCAAGGCAAGAGGCAGTCAGGGGGTGGGGGTGGGGGCAGAGCCGTCTCTCACTGCTGGGGAAGGTCAGTCCTCGGAGTAGCTTGGGAGTCCATGACCCTGCCCCAGGTCCCACTTTGGAGTCATTTGGCTCTTCTCAGACTTCTGGGGTAGCAAAGCTGAATGGGCAGGTTCCGGGCTAAGGAGCAAACACCATGCCTAGGCCTTGGTGAGAGCTGCGGGCTCCCCTGATCCAGATCTGGCCTGATGCCTGCTCCAAAGCCCCTGAGGGCTCTGGGCTGGGGCGGGAACAGGAAGGGCAGCCACCTGGTAGTGTGGTCAGGAGGAAGGGGTTCCTTGTGCAAAGCAGCTGCCCGAGCCCATCCCCTGTGACTTCAGGGTCCTGGCAGTGTCTGTGAGCAGCCCCAGAGCTGGTGCCGGGCACTGAGTTCCGTGAGCCTCTGGACACGGGGCTGTGCATCTCGGTGGCTCAGTCTGCTTTGGCCGAGGCTAGAACCGAACTTCTGGTCAGGCTGCCCATGCCTCTGGTCGGAGCACGGGGCAGCCTGTGTCCATCTGCTGGCAGCAGGCAGAGTTCTGCCCAGGTCGCAGAGGGGTTGCTGAGTCTCCCCAACCCACGTCCCAGCCTGGGGGGTCTGGC
This sequence comes from Homo sapiens, assembly GCF_000001405.40. Classification (NCBI taxonomy): domain Eukaryota; kingdom Metazoa; phylum Chordata; class Mammalia; order Primates; family Hominidae; genus Homo; species Homo sapiens. The sequence goes on from NC_000001.11 coordinate 3,348,173, forward strand.
CCAACCGTAGCCCTCTGGGCCCCTGAACAGTTCTGCAGGGTTTTGGCTGCAAGGATGAGGCTCGCTGGCTCAGCCCAGGACCATAGGAATCTGCCCATGCCATGCAGCCCTCAGTGCCCACAAAGGCTGGGCTCCAGGCCCTGAGCTTTTTGGAGCAACTACTCGGCTGCCTGGCCAGGTCACTCGTTAGTATTCGTGTGCTAGGGCCCAGGAGAAGCAGAGAGTGGAGAGAGGCCAGCGGTGGGGGCAGCTCTTCAGCACCATCCCCAAAATCCGCGGGCCAAGGACATTTGGACAAAGAGCTGTCTTCATTGAGAGCAGTGGGCACGGCTTCTGCTGCCCACAAAGGCGGCTTGAATGGGCAGGGACAGTGGGGAGGGACATGCACGCTTCTTAAAGAGGCCCTCCGCCATGGCCTCCAGCAGAAGGAGGGGGGCTTCCCCGGAGCTTTGAACTCACAGTGCCCCTCTTGAGACATGACCTTGAATGTCAGGTGCCACCAAGCCCTGTCCCTGTCTCCTGACACTAGCTGTTCAGTTCTTCACAGGAACAGTCTGTCCTCCCCTCTGCCCTTGGGGACCGGGGCCGCAGTGAGCCTGGGGTGGGGGCCCTGGGGCTCACCCAACTCCACCCACTCTCCCAAAGAGCTCAGAGCTTCCCGCATCTGCAGTGGGCAGTTTTTCCACCCAGGCCAGCAAAAATGAGGGAGCGGCCCATGTCCTAGAGTCCGTGGTGGGGAGAGGCACCTGATGGGGCACCTCACTTTGAGAGGCATTAAGAGAAGGGTCCACCGGGGCAGCGCTGGCCTGGGAACAGCCCACTGGCATGGCTCTGTGCTCCTGCCTTTGGTGGGGGTGGGGGCGGGGCCCAGCATGGCCGGAGAGGCTGGGGCTTTGTAATAATCACCATAACGATTATTGAATTTGAAAAGCCAGGAGTCAATGCATTTCTGCACGATTTTGTCAGCAACAAACCACAGCCTCGCCCTGCCCCACCTCCGTCCGCATAGTGCCCATGGCCAGGCTGTCTGGGCGCAGCATTCCTGGGCCTGCTCTCTGGCTCCCAGTGAGGGTCCCCGCCCCACGGGAGATAAGATAGAGCTGGTGTCAGGGAGGAGGTGTGGACGGGGCCGCACCGGCACGCTGTGAGTGATAAAAGGGGCTTTGGAAAGGTGCTGACGTGGCACCGTGCTTAATGAGGTCATCGCCGAAGCTGCTGCCCCGATAACCTGGAGGTCAGGCTCCCAGCAAGTGGCCATGGCGGGAAGCAGGGCTGTCTGCACTGCCCGTCTCCACCCAGCACCCAGTCGGCGCAGCCACTGGGTGCCCATGGGGCTTGGCTCCGAGCTTATTTCAGAGCTGTCATCCTCAACCCAAGGGTGTCCTTGTCCCGGGGCAGCTGACCCCTCTTTCCCACTGGCTGGTGTGCTGGCAAGGGTGGCGGAGGAGCCGAGGCAGCCCGGCAGAGCTCAGGGCCGCCCGTGAAAGCCAGCCTTGGATGGTAGCTTCCCCTCCCTCCCACTCCAATGCACCCCGGCTTCCTGCGCTCTGGGGGTCTTCAAAGCTCCCTGGCTGAGCTGTCTACTGGGAGCTTTCTGTTCTCAGTGTTCACAGAGGCCTGAGCTCTGCTGGCCACGGTGCTGGGCTTGGGGATTGAGGAGCCTCCAGCCCTCAGCCTCCGCAGCCCCCGCAGCCTCCAAAGCCCGGGGCTGGGCTTGCTCAGGCGCCCTCTGCCGTGAATGTTTAGCTCTGCTCCCTCCCACCTCTTGAAAGCAGCCTCTTCTGTGCCTAGCGGGGTCCTGAGCCCTGGAGGAGACAGCAGTCAGAGGCCTGGACCTGACTCCTGTCTTTGAGGGGGGAAGAGGACAGGGCAGAAAAGACCTGGGGCCAGGTGCAGTGGCCCAAAATCCCAGCACCTTGGGAGGCCAAGGCGGGAGGAAGCCCAGAAGTTTGAGGCCAGCCTGGACAACATAGCAAGACCCTATCTCTACAAAAAATACAAAAATTAGCCTGATGTGATGGCATGTGCTGGTAGTTCCAGCTACTCAGGAGGCTGAGGCAGGAGGATCGCTTGAGCTCAGGAGGTCCGGGCTACAGAGAGCTGTGATCACACCACTATACTCCAGCCTGGGCGAGAGAGTGAGACCCTGTCTCAAAAAAATGAAAAGAAAAGATCTGGAAGTGGGAGGGGAGGCGGCTCTCTACCTCCAACCTGGGCACCCTTGAAGCCACCCCCTCTTTCCCTCCTGGGCTCTACTGCTCCGTCTGTGCAGCCTGGGGCTGCAGTCAGGGTCAGGTTTGGTGACACTTGGATCCAGACATAATGTGTGTTAAGATCAAGGGCCCCGGGCTGATGTGGCCTCCCAGCAGCCTGCAGGACAAGGGGAGGGGACCAGGGTGGCAGGCAGCTGTGGGCGGGTGGAAAGCAGAGCTGGGAGCCAGCCCTGCCCGGCCAGGGCTCGGGCACAGCTTGGCTCCATGCAGGGCCCTGGGAGCACCCAGAAGGCAGGGCTTTGGCACCATGCAGCCTCCCAGATGGCCGGGCCGGGCTGGTTCCTCCCTCCCAGGACAAGAGCTTTGTGTCTGCCGACTTCTTCCCAATGCCGCGTCCAGTGTTTTCCTCTTTCTGGGCCTCAAACTCTTTTTTGAGGCCAGGTGGGTGGGGCCCAGCCAGCGCCAGGCACTTCTGGCTGGGGGATATACACCCCCCAGTCCTTGCAGAGCCCACTCTGAAGGGGACTTGGGGATTCACTTCAGCTCTCGCTTTATTATGGAGCCTGGGAGAAAAACAAGTCAGAAGACCATTTCCAAAAATAGCCAGCAGAGAGCGGGAACTGTCTGCAGAGCTGCTGGTTGGCGGCCCTCTGGGCAGGGGCACAGACAGGCCAAGAGATCCCCGTGTCCTGGGAATGGCCGCTGGCTCGCTGGGCCAGACGTTTTGGGGGCATGTTCACCAGCTTGTGGGTCTCTGAGATGTGGGTCTCAGAAGCACCTGCTTCCCACGGGGTCCACCCCGGCCCCTGGCCAGTGCCAGCTCTCATCCCCACCAGGCACTTGGGTGGCCACAGGGTGTCCCTCCCGGTCCCTCCAGGTGGAAAAGACTCTGTTTGGCACAGGCATTTTGAAGACCCAGGAGAGACTTCTGATTGAGGAACTCCTGCTCTCCTGGGCTGGGTTTAGGGAAAAAGCTCCATCCAGGGCCCACGTGGGGTCCCAGAATTTCTTCAGAACCCAGAACCCGTCTCTATAGGAACGCAGAGGGAGCAGCACAGGGACATAGGTCTTCTCCTTCCCATCCCTGGTCCTGGAGCAGGTGCCTGGGCCCTCAGCTCACTGTGTCACATTGGAACCCGTCTCTGTCCCCCTCCCTCTCTGTCCCCCTCCCTCTCTCATCCCCTTCCTCCTTCTCTCCCTCCCTCTCTCTTCCCCTCCCTCTCTCTCCCCCTCCCTCTCTCCCCCTCCCTCTCTCTCCATCTCTCTCTCTCCCCTCCCTCTTTCTCCCCTCCCTCTTTCTCTCCTCCCTCTGTCTCTCCCTTCCTCTGTCTCCCCCTCCCTCTGTCTCTCCTCTCCCTCTCTCCCCCCCCTCTGTTTCTCTTCTTCCCTCCCTCTCTCTTGCTCTCTCTCACCATAGCCCCTCCTCTTGCAGTCTCCAGCCATTTGGGGGGTTCCGCCTCCCCCTTGAGAACTCACACACTCACTCTGTGTCTGTGACTTGGTATGGAAGGGAGAGCTGGGGGCGGGGAGGCACTGATGCCTGAGGGTAGCTGGGCTGTACCATCCTCAGCCTCGCCCAGACCCTCCAGAGACCCTAAGGACCTCCCCAAAGAGCAAGATGACCACACACTTTACCTCCAGAGGAGAGGAGACACTCCTGCGAGGGAATGGGGAGCACAGTGTGAATGACTCTGGGCAGCATGACCAGCTCAGACAGCCCCAGGCCAACCCTGGCACACCGGTGCATGGTCCACCTGCCTGGCACAGTCCACCTGCCCGGCCCTGGCACTGCAGGGTGTGGGCCCTTCTCCCTCCGTGTTTGGCCCTCTCTGCCATGGGCTGGTGCTCCCCTCCACCCAGCCGTGCTGCCCCCACCTGCGGACTGATTCAATTCTGCCCCCATCCCAGCCGTGCCCACCCCTCCCACGACTTCCCACGGCAGAGTTGTGGTCCTGGCGGCTGGCTGCAGCTTTTAATTGTTTTTCTCCCCCCAGATGCTCTCCACTGACCCTCCCTCCCCTCCGAAGCCGGCGCCCCCCTTGCTGCCCGCAGTGGGCTGGGGGAGGGGACACGGATTCCAGTAGCATTTCCGCCCTCCGCTCTATCATTTCGTTTGTTCTCCTTTCCTTTCCCTTTCTTCTCCCTCCACGGGCCCAGCCTCTGTGATTAAGCCTCAAGGCCTCCTGCTGCTTTTAATAGGCCTGCGGGCCTGACCATCTGATGAGAACCGCGCAGCACAGCTTGTTCCCGAATACTTGCGCTGGAATCGCCTAATGCACGGTATTAATCATCACTGTCAGGCCGTTCAGGCCCTAAATACACCCACCCAGTATAAAATTATCCTAAACAGAAAAGAAGCAGGCTGCGATTGGCCGCATATTGAAAACAGACATGAGACAGCCCCCGCCCCCAACTCATCCCCCTCCCAAATTTCAGGGCCGCCTCCAAGGCCTCTGCCCGGTGTCAGGAACAATAGCTAGCTCTCGGTGGCAGTCAGGCCGCATTTGGTGTTCACACAAGTCCCACGTCGGGGAGGGGGCCGTCCTCTGCACAGGGCCCTGAGTGCCCACCCTGCAGGCTTCGGGGCCCATGCGTGGCCGGAGGCAGAGGGCTTCCCGGTTGGGCTGAGGGCTGTTTCAGAGCAGTGCCCTGAGGAGGACCAGGCCTGGGGCTCTGGAGCCAGAAGTCAGGAAAGGGAGGCTGCAGCCGCACACCCGAAGAGCTCGAAAGCTGGCCCCCAGCCCAGACTCCCACGCAGGGACGTCCCTCACAGCAGGATTTGCTGCTTCCTCCTGACCAATGCCCTCCTGTAGTAAAAGTTAACCGGGTGTGAAATGCATGTTGCCTGAGGTGCGGTAAAAGTTTACGAGGGCTGGGCAGCTCCTAGGCATGGGCAGGCCCATTTCTCACCTGCAGCCTGGGTCCCTGCAGAAACCTGGCTCGGCCTGGGGGCTATGGCAGGGCCCTCATTGGGTGAGGGAGGCCCGGGGTATTTCTTGCCACATCTGAAATTGGACCCGAATGCGCATGGGGACACCATCCTGCAGCCTCTGCGTTTGTCCTTGGGGTCATTGAGGAATCTCAGCACTGGCCCTGGCTTCTGGCAGGCACCTGGGCCATGGGAGCCCAAGGGTGGCTCCCTCGGGCCACCCCGTTACACTCCAGCCAAGTACTGGGGGCCACGGGCTGAGGGCACAGGCCACAGGGGATGAGTCCAGCCCCGCAGTGTGACCGGCAGTTGGCAAACCATTGACTCAGGCCACCTCACTGCACCCACAGGCTTTGCAGAGAGAACAGGACAATCCTAGCTCAGGCTGGTGGAGGTTTGGGGATGCCGAAGCAGCCAGAGAGTGGCCAAGGGGGTTGCACTTGGGGCCGGACCTCCTGACTCCTGCCTCTGTGTCTTGTCACCAGGCCTTACCCTGGGGACCCCTGCTCCCAGCGGAGCCAGTAGTGATGACAGGCGCAGCTGGGAGCAGCTTGGTAGACCTAGGGGGTCTTTCTAGAAGCCAAGGGGGCCCTTGGCACACACATGTGGATGCAGGGCTGCCCACCCAACACTGCTGAGCCCACACAGGCCCAAGAGAAAAGGGAAGTGTGGCCAACTCTGGACTCCCAGTAGCTTTCTCCTGCCCAGCCACGCCCATGGAACCGGGTCCTGGTCCAGGCACTTGTCTCCCGTGAATTCCAGAGAGAAACCTTAAGCGATTACAAATGTCTATTAAACATTAAATGGTGGTGGATTCTGGACTGCAGAGCATTTGAGACGCTGCAGATAAAGAACCATTGCTAGGCCGGGTGTGGCGGCTCAGGCCTGTAATCCTAGCACTTTGGCAGGCCGAGGTGGGTGGATCACCTGAGGTCAGGAGTTTGAGACCAGCCTGGCCAACTTAGGGAAACCCCGTCTCTACTAAAAATACAAAAATTAGCCAGGCGTTGTGGTGCGTGTCTGTAATCTCAGCTACTCAGGAGGCTGAGGCAGGAGAATCGCTTGAATCCAGGAGGCAGAGGTTTCAGTGAGCCGAGATTGCACCACTGCACTCCAGCCTGGGTGACAGGGCGAGACTCTGCCTCAAAAAAAAAAAAAAAAAAAATACCTTGCTTAGAGCTGCCACCAGATTCTCCACTGCATTCCTTGGGGTCATCCAGGCCCTCAGCCCTTTGACCACAGGCACTGGCCATAGGTGGACAAGGTCACAGAGGGGCCATGGGAGCTCAGAACCACCTTCTCCAGGCTGGGGTGTCTGGTGTTCCAGCTCTGTGCTGCTGGGGTGTCTGCAGAGCGTTCCATTTCTATTGGATAATTTCCTTTCCTCTTCGCTGAGTCAGTGCCAGCTCCAAGGCTACGACAGAGCAGGCTGGGACCAGGACGTCTAAATCCTGACCCAGGCAAGAGGCTCCTGATACCAAGTCATGCACAGACAGGAGGGGACATTTCGATGGATGGCGAGGTCTCCTCTCTCCCAGAGGAGAGTGCCCTGTGTTCCCAGGCAGAAGAGGCAGGACCGGGCCGCACCATGAAGGGCTACCTGGCCAGGTCTGCACCTGCTGAAGGGAGTGGGGTCAGTCATTCCAGAGCTTGGGGGAGGCGGAAATCTGACCAGAGGCAGAAACCTGTAGAGTGCTCTGTGGCTGAGCACCAGGGGGGAACCCACCGGGACAAAGCCAGGACTGCTGCCCTGAGACCAGGCCTCCCGCACCGATACCAGGCCTCTCGCCTTGAGACCAGGCCTCATAGTGCTGAGGATTGGATCGTGGGCCACAGAACACCCAGACCTGAAGGTGTGCCGGGGAGCTCCGAGCTCCAGGCTCTGCAGCTGCATCTGGGGCCAGGGCCTGAGGCCTGGCAGGAGGGGGAGGGAGAGGAGTACAGAGTGGAGGCCTCCGGGGTATCAGGTACAAAGTGAGAAGGGCCTAATGCAGGGAGATGGCCACACCCACCCACCCACCATCTGACCTCACGAATTAATTGCGCCTGCTCTTCCAACACAGCTTCTCTTTCCATTTCTTCAGCCTGGCGGGGGGCTTGGCCTCCATTTTCCTGTCTCCCAGGCAAGGGGTTGAACTAAACAGTCCCTACTGGTTGGTGCCACCCTGGGGAGCTAGGTCTCAGGGGCTCTGCTGGTTGCAGCTCTTGTTTGAAGGAGGGAGTTTTGCAGGGACCCTGACGCTACAGCCAGGCGTGCCCAAGAACAATAAAAACAAGGGCAGCATCCGCTCGACGGTGGGTGCTCTCCTGCTGGGGGGACCGCTATCCTGGCCACACACCTTCACTCTTGTGGCCCCGGACCCTCAGCACCTCTCAGACCACACAGATGAGAAACTGGGGCCGGGAGAAGTGCAGCCGCCACCCTGAGGGTCTGAACCGTTCAGGGGTTGCGGTCCACTTGCCCCCAAGACAGTGCACTGCCATGTGGGGGTACACAAGGCTGCTGGCTCAGAGGCCAGTCCTGCCCGCCCAGCCTGTGTGTCTGTGAAAATCAGGGTGCCCTGCAGATCTCAGACCCTTCCTCCCCCAAACACCCCCCAAACACCCTGGCCGTAAGATCTGAGGTGAATGTGAGCAAAGACGCCTTTCCCCACTCCTCTGGGCACATCCTGATGAGTGGCCCGTTGGTGACAAGTTGACAGAGGGGCCCCTCCGTGACAGGTGATGGACTTTGAACCCAGTGCAGCTTTCAGGGCCCAAGACCTTTCATGTTCTTCTGGAAACGGTGCCATTGGCTTTTCCCATGACTCCCACGAGGGCGTTAGCAGAACCTCCCTCATCTTGAGCAAATCACGTCCTTTCGCACACCAGCACGCGGGCACAGATGAATCACGCAGGGGGCTTGAGCAGGCCGACGTGTCTGGTGTTTGTGGAATTGTTCCAAAGCCCCCCCCAGCCCCCCTGCGCCAAGCCACCATCTCTAAAGGTGACAGTGCCCCTGGCCAGGGCGGCCACTCTGGCCTGATGCATGACCGTCTGCTCAGGACGTGCGGCTGCCGTCTCATCAGGCGGAGGGAGGTCCGACGCCGTGTCCACACCCAATCTGCCCTCCGGGGAGACGGGAGTGGGGGAGGCAAGCATTTGAAATCCTCCCTTTCCAACAGAGAAACACTGTTGGGGAGACGGTCAGAGGAGGCTGCCCCCAGCTCTGCTTTTCCTTGCCTGGGTGCAGAGTATTTAAAAATAAAAGCCGCAGCTGCCAAGACAGCCCATGGAGCGTTTGCTGTGTCTGGACGCTGTTCTAAGGAGCGCTTCACATAGATGATCTTAGCCTGCCCCAGAGCGGCCCCAGGAGGAGGCACTGTCTCTAAACCCACTTTACAGACCAGCAAGCTGACAGCAGGAGATGTGAAGTCACTGGGCAGATCGAGCAGCTCGGGAAGGTGGGCACGGGACAGATCCAGGCTCAGAGGTGAGAGTCCTGGAGACCGGGCCAGTGTGGCGGTTCCTTATCTCCAGCTCTGGGATCGATAAACTGTAGGGACCCTCAGAACCCAGGTGCCGGCTGGCTACCCCGGATCCCGGCAGCGGGAGGGCCGAGTCTCCTGAGAGCCGGGTGGCTTTGCTTTCCATCCCACAGACCCTGGAGCAAACACACTGCCTGGACTTTGTCCAGATGCAGAGGCTACACCCAGCTGCAGCTTGCCCACAGCAGCCCCAACTGAGGACCCTGAAAGTTGCTGCCATCCTCAGGCGGGTGCAGAAAAGGAGTTTCTGCTGTGCGAAGGACCCCCAGCCCCAAGGAAGGCTGCATGCCGGCCCTGTCTCTGCTGTCTGGGGCCGGGCCCTGGGAAGCCTCAGCAGCCAGTCCACCTGCGGGCGGACCTGGCTCTTGGCCCCCAGGGTCTGCGTGCCTCCACCTGGGCCATGAACGGGGACCTAACTGTTAGGCCCTGCTGTGCCCTCCTGAAAACGAAGGCTGCATTCCTGCTCTTCATGGCTGGATACACCTAGTGGCCTCTTGTTAAATGCCAGCCCCACCCCCCGCCCCGAGCTGGAAAACCTTCAGCCGTGTGCTTCCCTCCTGGGTCTCCAGCTCCAGCCGTGGGAAATGGAGCACAGTCGACAGGCAGGATGGAGAGTCTCACCACGGGGCCTGGCCAGTGGCCCCAGGAGGCTCAGGGTCAGAGCTTTCCAGAGCCCTGGATCCGCCCCTCCTTCCCCTTGATCCAGGAAGCGCCGTTCCCCCCACGGGCCCCCAGCCAGTGCTGATGGAGAGGGGCAGCCGGCCCACAGGGCATCATCCTCAGTCCTGTTCTGACGCTTAACCCACCCTCTTCCTGCCCAGTCGTCTACGCCCATGGCCGCGAGCGCCTCTGCCTCCGGAGCAGTGGCCTTCCAGCAGCACTTCTCAACCCAGGGCCACTCTGACCCCCAGGGGACACTGGCAACACCTGGAGATGGTTGTGGTTGTCACCTCTGGGGGTGCTGCTGGCATCTGGTAGCTGGCACGTAGGAGCCCTGCCCCACATCCTGCAGTGCCCAGGACAGGTCCCACAGCAGGAAGTGACCCAGACCCAATCGTCCCCCATGGTGAGGCAGAGAAACCCTGTGGTCTCATACAGCGAAAGCACTGACCCACACTGACCATGAGGCAAGAGGCCCACTCGTGAGCCTTGCTGTGCCCTTCACTGACATGCTCGCCCATGAGCTGAGTCTGCCTTGACCACTGAAGGAGGCTGCCCTGGCTAACGGCGGTGCCCAGTGGCCTGGCCTCACGCGTGGGTCCATCCCGGAACCACACAGTGGGCCTGGCCATGACCCCCTTGCCCAGGGCAACGTGGACCACACAGACACGGTGCAATAGGCCACTTTCTGGCCTTGGAGGGAAGTTTGTCTTCCTCCCTGTACACAGATAAAGTCACCATGAGACTCCCGGTTCTGCCTCCTGGGGACCCAGCCTGCCTGCTGGGGAACCGTAGTTACGCAGGTCCTGAACTGGGTCTTCTCTGGATGCGAGACCTTCCCCCTGGCTGAGGGTGCTGGAGAAGACCTGGGCAGTGGGTGGCAGCCATGGGGACTGATGGCAAAAGACCTCGGCGGGTACAGAAAATCTCCCACAGTGGAGGAGGTGTTGTCTCCAGAGGCAGCCGCTGCGCCCCAGACTCCCAGCCGCGGCTTCGGATGCAGCTGGAATAAGGTTCCAGTGTTCCCTTTCCCGTCACCAGGCAGAGCCCCGAATTCTCCACTGGGGCCGGAAGAGGAGCTCTCGGACCCCTCCCTCCTGCCCTCAGCCCTCTCCGAAGAGCTCAGAAACATCTCCGATTGGAACACGACACAGACCATCCTTCCCAGAGCAGCAGGCCGGCTGGGGCTCCCGTGAACAAATATCGCCACGTGTGCGCGATCAGAGCTGAGTAACCTGCTCCAAACCCAGGACACTGTGTGTGAGTCCCACCTCCTTCCAGTCTCCACAAAGTCACAGTGTGTGATGATTCCTGCCGGGGAGGAGGGAGCTCATTCCAAACTCAAGCCATTTTGAGGAAAACAGACACCCCTCTTGGGCCGCAGAGGAGGTGGGGAAGCCGTGAAGATGTTCTCCATGGCCGGCTCCCATGAGGAATCAGAGGGGGAAAGCACAGCCGCTGTGGCTCATGTTGTCATCTTGGGTCGCATTACAGCCAGTTGACTCGCGGAGTCCTCACTGGCCAACTAGAGTCTTCAAATCAACCAATGTCCATTATTTGGAGGGTCTCACTCTGTCACCCAGGCTGGAGTGCAGTGGCTCCATCACGGCACACTGCAGCCTCCACCTCCCGGGCTCAAGCGATCCTCCCTCCTCAGCCTCCCGAGTAGCTGGGACTACAGGCAGGTGCCACCGTGCCTAGTTAATATGTCCATTTTGTGTTGACTTGGGGTCTCACTATGTTCCCCAGGCTTATACACATTTTTAAATGCAGACTTGTTGAAGTTGCTGACCCTCCTGGCCAAGGGCAGCTGCCTTTGTCCTGGATGTCAATGTCCATGAAAACAGCCTCAGAACTATCAGGGTCTCCCTTCCGACCAGGGCCTGAGGCAGAGCTTCCAGAGACCCTGCACATGGAACACATTGGAAGCCCTTGTCGGGTGCCACCTTCTAAGTAAACACACTTAAAAAAGCACAAAGCAGCAAGAATTGCGGCCCGGGAGCAGTGGCTGCAGCCTCCCGAGGTGAGCCTGTCTGCACCATCTGCATCGCATCTCTCCCTGCAGCTACTCCAGGCTCGGGTTTCAGCCTCCCCTCCACCTGTCACCGTTGTTTATCCTCCTCAGCACTCACAGCCCCATCTCTCTGGGCCTTGTCTTAAAGGGTCTTTAGAAAATTTTTGGCAATCTTGACTTCTTTCCCCCTTGGAAAAAAAGCGTCCTCTGTGTGCCTGAGGGGAACGCACTGGGTTGATCCCTCAGCGGCAGCCAGAAGGCAAGGCGGGAAAAACGAGCCTGGCCTGAAACCACGCCCGTGCTCAAAGTGATGTTTACTTAGAAGGTGGCACCCGACAAGGGCTTCCAATGTGTTCCATGTGCAGGATCTCTTGGAAGACGGATGCCGTGTGCACGCAAAGACGGCAGCCAGCTCCTCACAGAAGGCCGCCCGGCTCAGAACAGGTCCCTTCAGCCGGCTCAGCAGCCAGTGAGAAGCAACAGCAAACGTAATTAACTCCATGCGTTCCCGTTAGCGGGCCGCCATCCCTTGTCCCCAACTGTCACATCTCTGAAAGCTCTGGTAAATGAATCGAACACTTCTTTTATCTCATCGTCCAGGACATGGCGCTGTAATGCTGAACATATGTGCAGAGTTTGTGTGTTCTTGATCGGGAACGGGAGGCCCAGGACACGTTTTCTGTGGCAGCTCGAATGCAGCTGAGGGCGCTTGCGGGCCAGAGCGACCAGTCCCCTCTAGAAGCAGCGGAGTCTTCTGGAGCCTGTGCTGGCTCTTTGTTGTTGGATGAACAAGTCTTCTAGGCTCTGCCTTGCCAGGATGGAGCACCCTCATGCTCTGTGATGGGTGTGCCGGGCCACAGGTCCCCAGCCAGAAACAGAGGCTAAGAACTATGCCAGAGGTTTTGGTTCACCTCTGTCACCGGCTGACACCACCGACACGTTGTCCTTAGGCACCAGACCTGCCAGTGAGCCCCCAGCAGAGCCCGGTCCAAGTGCGGGATGGACTGTGGCGTAGATGCTGGGAAGAGGTGTCCACTGCTCTGTGGCTGTCCAGTCACTGCCCTTACATCCAGAGACCCCCGCTCACAGCAGAGGAGGAGGGCCATCAGAGCCAGGTGCCACTCTGATGCCCTCCCTAGGTCCCGTGGGGAGGAGAGAAGGCTACGTGGGCCTCTGGGCAGACCTGGGTGGGACAAGCACAGGGCCCAGCACGCCCATCGGGACAGGAGTCCAACTGACCGAGTGCTGTGGCCACAGCGCCCGCAGATGACAACAGGAGCGGAAGAGCCATCCCACCCGCCTGGCTCCCAGCAGGACCCCCTGACTCAGGCCCTGCTGGGACCAGGCCACTGCATTTTCCCCAAGTGGAACATCCCTGGAAAGTCACAAACATGGGGCCAGATGTGCGGGTGCCGTCCCGCGGCGGGAACGAGGCAGGTGGCTGGCGGCCGGAGTCTATGCACTCTCGTTTTCTCGGCGGAGCCACTTGTGTGTGCTGGAGCGAGGACACTGACTAACAACGGCGGCAGTGTCTGCGGAACAGCGTTCCATTGAGCGCAGGAAAGGCCTTTTGAAGTGGGGACAGTTTTAAGAGGCAGCATTCCTCGCCTCACATTTCGGCTCTGGGGCGTGGACAGAGGGTGCCACAGATACCCTTTGGGAGGCCCCCGTCCCCCTTTAAACCAAGCAGCTGCTTTCACCGTCACAGCCTGTGGGCCGTCTCCCCTGGGACCCTCCTCAGCATGGGCTTCAGCTGCACGCCAGCCCCCAACAGGGCTGGAGACGGGGTCTCTGGGGATGACGTGTTGAAGCCGTCCAGGACCCAGAGCCACACTGAGCACTCATGGCCTAGACCCTCCACCGATGTCTGGGCAGCTGCCCCCTCCCTCACAGCCAGCAGGCAGAACGACCCCTGAAAGTTGTGTGTAGCACAAGATAATTGCAGTTTTGTGGAGGAAAGGAAAAGGCTACAAAGAAAAGGGTATCTGTGGAACGTGGCCCTGCTGTTCCTGCATGCCACAGTCCACATCCTACCCAGCTGGAACCCTGAAGCTCACCTGGGGCATAACACCGGCCCAACTGTGAGCTCCTCGGATCGGGAGCAGATGGGGAATCGGAAGGATGGTGTTGTGGGGCTTTTGGAGAAGACCCCACATGGGCTGGGGTGAAGAGTGGAACAGAAGGCTATGTGACCAGGTGGTGAGAAGTGACTGTGACCCGGGAGCGAGGGCAGGTGGTGAGAAGTGACGCGGTCTGGGAGGGCAGGAGGTGAGAAGTGACTGCGGTCCAGGAGGGCAGGTGGTGAGAAGTGACTGTGGCCCAGGAGGGCAGGTGGTGAGAAGTGACTGTGGCCCAGGAGGGAGGGCAGGTGGTGAGAAGTGACTGCGGTCCAGGAGGGCAGGTGGTGAGAAGTGACCGCGGCCCAGGAGGGCAGGTGGTGAGAAGTGACCGTGGCCCAGGAGGGCAGGTGGTGAGAAGTGACCGTGGCCCAGGAGGGCAGGTGGTGAGAAGTGACTGTGGCCCGGGAGGGGTGTCTGCTGGTAGCCAGCTGGTCCCGGGGACATCTGTCTGGAAGGTGAAGGAAGACACCTGTGTTCACTCAGTCCCATCCCGAGGCAGACATTTCTCCAAGGAGCATGGAGTGGCCTCAACTCCTTCCCCTGCCTTTGTCTTCATTCTAGTCCTGGTGACCCTGTCCTCCTTCTAGCAGACGTGCCACCGGCACATGAGTGAGTGCAAATGTCAAACATGATGGAAAGTTCTGGAGCCATGCATAGCGGGCACGTGGTGTGTATGCTTGTCCACCCTCTGCATGGGACACCCAGGCGTCCTTCCACCTGGGAACCAGGCAATCAAAGCAGACTCGGGCTCACAACGGGCGGTCATGGTTGCGGCAAGAAGAGCCAAGGAAATATAAAGGAGGCTGGGGAGGTGCCCGGGAGTGGGGCAGGCAGAGATGGGTCAGGAGGGGCCAAGACAGCTCAGCAGGGTGGGGCTCGGGTGTCATCGGGGTCCACCAGGCCAGGCTCACGGTGGGAACCAGTGGAAGACGGAGAAGAGGAAGCAGGGTCGCCTGGGACTGCCGAGGGCCTTCGGGTCACAGATGGTCCTTTCTAAAGAGTAGGAGTCATCAGAACTCTCTGGAAGCAGCTACCACAGATCCCACAGCAGGAAGAATCTTCTGGAAGTTGGAGCCCTCTTGAGGCTGTCACAAAGCCGGCCGGGTCTCCTCACAACCTCACAGATCCTAAAATCCCCCCCGTGGGACGGTCTCCTCCCAGGCTGCCCTGACCTGCTCCAGGGAGCGTCGGGGAGCCATAGGGAGTGTCGGGGAGCCAGGAGCAGCACAGCCTTCCCTGTAGCACACTCTCAGCTGGCCCCAGAACTGTTCGGGGTTCACACAGGAACGAGCCCTCTTTCCAGCTCAGCGTGGTCTCGGGATTTGAAGACACCACAGCGTGCATCATTATGTAGGGGCAAATCAGCCCCTCCTGGCTGCTCTCCAGGGAGCAGAGAGAAGGACCCTGGCATGTGAGAAGCTGCTACCCCACCCTGCCGGAGTGGGGCCTTTCTGACTGGGCAAGGCCCATCACAGCCAGCCTCCCCTGGGGAGACCAGAGGCAGATGCTCAAAGTCCTCCAGCCCGGGGGTCGGGTGGTAAAAGGCTGCTGTCCGCTCCTGACTGCATCTCGGGGCCCGCGACAGTGTGAGAAGGGCTGCCCGCCTCTCAAGACGGGTGTCCCATTAACTGCTGTCTGTCCACTGTCATTTTCCTTTGACAACTTGTTGAACACAGCAGCGTCCCACATGAGATGGACAAGCTCACATTGCCCTTAATTAAACATACCCCAGGAAGGTATTCTTCTCCGGGAATTTCCTCCCAGCAGGGAGGGAGTCTCTGGGCTGCTGGTCCCTGGATGCTCGGGGCCGAGGGATCCCGGTGAGCACGGGGGAGCTGGGACTTGGAAGCCTCTGCCAAGCCCTTCTCAGGCCCAGATCCTGCATTCGGGCAGTTTGATTTTCTTGGGGCATCCTGAGTGCCATCCATGGGTGTCTTCCTTTGTGAGAATCTTATCCTGCCTTGATTTCATGAGCATGAAATTCATAGTGAGCTCCCATTGCCCCCCAATAAGGCCCCCTTGGAAACAAGCCCCCACAGTGGCCGGGGGGCAGGTGCACAGCTCAGAATTGCCCACTTGAAGGTCCTTTTCCAAGGTGACCACAGCCACCCAGGAGGAAAAACTCAGGAAGCTGAAATGTCAGGACCAAAATCCTTTCAAAGAAGGAGAAGGAGGAGGAAGGAAGGAGGAGAAAGCAGAAAACTCCAAACATCACAACACGGGCCCGCTGCAGCTCCCACCTCCAGCTAAAGCAGCCCGGCCAAAGGCAGCACCTCCTGAGCCAGCCCGCTACGCACACCTCAGCCCTTCATGAGTTAAAGGCAGCGCCCCCCGCCCCCCGAGCCAGCCCGCTACGCACACCTTAGCCCTTCATGAGTTCCCTCATTTTGTCTGCGGGGGGGAAGTTCACATGCCTCCCCCGCATCTTGTTGCACGTGGCCTCTGGCGTAGAAACTGCTGGATGAGATGCAAAGTCCTGCTACGCAGCCTCAGTCCTCCGAGAGCTCCAGGTGGGTTTCTGGAAGGGAATAGGGGTCAGACCCACCCAAATCCACCCCACCGTGGCCACGACGTGGCAGTGAATGTGCTTGAAAAGAAGACAGAGCAAAGCTTTTCCTTCGGCGTGAGGTCCTGGGCGGAGGTCTGTATTGTGGGTGGTTTATCGGTTCTTCAGGGGCCCCTGGTTTTCCATGAAGTGGCCCCCAAGTCGTCCTGCCTGGCAGCCTCACCTTGACCTGGTAATTTACAAACCCAAAAGTGCCCGACAAGGAGCCACAGCCTCTTGAAGCGCTCAGAGGTTAACACGGTGACACCCACCCTATCTGGGGCACTTTCTGGACAAGCCCCCGGAGGATGGCTCCTCTTCCATTCCAACCCAGGCCTCCACTGAGCCGTCCACATCCAGGATTCCCACCGCTCAGCCCCTCACCCCCGGCAACAGCCTAGTAATGACCCTGGGCTCCTGCACGTGGCCCCCTGGTGCAAGGGCAAAATTAAAGCAGGCTGGACAGCAGCATAGTTATTTGCTGCCGGGCAGTGACTTCCTCCCCCACTCAGCTGCGCGGGGGACAGGCGGGCCTTATGGAAACCAGAGGCAGAGCAAAGCTTTAATTTTCATGGCCGGGCCAGGAGGCCCAGAGGCCCAACATGGGCCCGCGCAGCCTCAGCCAGGTGCCCCGAGCAGGACACGTTGCTTCGGAAGGAAGCAGCATGTTTTCGGGGACCCTGTGGTTTCTGGGTGCTGCTGTTCCCACCTGGCGAGCGCTGCCTTCTGCACGCTGCCAGGGCTGTGTGTGTACGCCGTCCCTCATTCCCTCGTGCAGCCTGGGAAAGCCTTACCCAGTGCTGGGCCCCTGAAGTTTCCTCCCAGGGGATGCAAAGGAAGGGAAGGCACCAGGGTCCCCAGGAGAAAATAGGTTTCTCTGAGCCAGGGACCCACTCGGCCAGTGGGCGAGGGCAGCAACCTGGAGCTGGCACTGTGGGTTCCTTTTGGGTCTGTTCAGGAAAGTGGGAGTCGGGTCGCATGGCCCCCCGCCTGGAGCTTGGCAGTGCCCAGGGGGCCTTGGGTGGGCGCAGTGACCCTGGGCGCCCTGTGCCGCCGTCCTCCTCTGCCACACACTCAGCCTGCTGTGGCACCAACAAACCCCTACCAAGCACCTACTGTGTGTCACACGTGTGCCAGATCTGGTTCCCCACCCCTGGGCTGGGGGCTGTCCCTGCCCCTGAGGGTCAGGAAGAGGAAAGGCGCGTGTGGCTGGGTTTGGGAAGGAAGGAGAGGCAGTGAGGAGGGGACCTCCTGGCCAATACAAGTGCTCCCTCCCGCCTCTTCCTCCTTATATTGGGCAGGCCCACACCCCAAAGCCCCACTGTATTCCACCACAGGACCTGAAAGAGCTCTGGACCATGGGGTGATCCATGGGGTTGGTGGTGCCCCCAGAGTCAGCCAACAGACAAGGAGAGGGAATACTGGGGGCTCTGTGCTAGGCAGCCAGCGGCCCTGAATGTTAGCTGCAGGCAGAGGTGTCAGGCCCTGAAGCTGCCACTGCACACACAGGTCATAAATCCCGCCTAAGTGGCTCCCGTCACCTCGCCGCGGCCTCGTTTCCATTCTGCAGCAGCCAAAGGTGATTAATGAGAATTATCATTTGTGCTAATCAGAGCCGTTTGGAGGAGGTTGGGGTGGAAGGAAATGCCCTTTGTGGGGCTGCAGGGACGACTTTGAAGGCTGTCAGCTGCACGTGTTTATGTGCGCAGGGATGCACGTGCACACACATGCACACATACACACACGCACACATGCACACAAACGCACACGCATGCACACATGCACACACACGCACACACGCACACAAACATGCACACATACGCGCACGCACACACACATACACATACATGTTCATGCCACATACGCACAGAACTGGCCTGTGGGGCCAGGGAGGGTCTGGGAAGATGGCGAAGAGGTGAGGCTAAGAAATAACCCTTGACCTGTGGCTCAGGGGGGCTCTAGCGCCCCGATGTGCCGACAGCCGGAGAACACAGGCTTCGCACAGCTTGGTCCGGCTGGAATGAATTCTTTCCTGCCACTGAGCACGACCATGACTTAATGCGCTTGGCGGCCGCTCGCAGACTAGACAGGCTTGGCCAAAATCAGACCCAGTGCAGCAGGACTCCGGGACGCGCTGATGTCCTGACGGGAAGGCACGCACTCTCTGTGGGTTCTGCCTTCTCCCCTCAAGTGGACGGCCGTGTCCCCTGCCCTGGGCCCTCCATGCCTGTTCGCGCTCAGTATGCCGGGACACTCTCTTCCCACCCATCTCCCAGGCTGTGCCGACCAGGGCTGTGCAGCGGGCCTCCCAGCCTCCGTAGCCTGCTCCGGGGGCCAGTGTGGCTTAAAGATACAAAGTGTCCTTTTATTGGAAATATCAATTCAGAAAGGGGCTAGTAGTAAGCTGAGAATATTTGGATAATCTTGACAGCCCTGAGGACTAAAAAAGACCTTTTGTTCCCAGAGAGAAAAAGGCCGTCGCACCACCCTGGGCTTGCTGGAGCAGTTCCAGAAAAAACTGAGGTCGGAGCAGAAAAATGATTAGGGCGTCTCGTGAAAGATCTCTACTCTAGGTCAAATGTTTATTATTATTTATTTTATTTTTTTACTAGAATGTGTGGTTAACATGCTATTGCATAACATCAGGCTGTAACCGTGTCTGTGAACACCACGTCAGTCTACCCGGTCTGTAGTGCACAAAGAGAACTTTGTAGCATCCCGGGGAGTGAGGGGGCTGCACGTGCGTGTTTTGTTTTGCTAGGCTTTGTTTTCAGGATGCTGACGACCGGTTAAAGATGGAGCAAGGGCCGGGCACAGTGGCTCACGCCTGTAATCCCATCACTCTGGGAGGCCGAGGCCGGTGGATCACCTGAGGTCAGGAGTTCGAGACCAGTCTGGCCAACATGGTGAAACGTCATCTCTACGAAAAATACAAAAAATTACCCGGGCGTGGTGTTGGACCACTGTAATTTCGGCTCCTGGGGAGGCTGAGGCAGGAGAATCTCTTGAACCCGGGAAGCAAAGGTTGCAGCGAGCCGAGATGGCACCATTGCACTCCAGCCTGGCCTGGGCAACAAGAGCAAAGCTCTGTCTCAAAAAAAAAAAAATTGATGGAGCAAGCATCTTTAGTGTTTGCGGCTCAAGAACATAACTGCCATGGGGAGGTCTCTGCTCCATTTGGACAGGAAGCGTGTGCGGGTTTCATGGCAGACGTGACTTGGGAGGGGTCTTGTCTGGCAGAGGAAAGTTGAATTCAAGCTCTTTGCTGTGGTTGAGCCAGGTGGGGACACCCCTAGATGCTACCTTTCAGCTGATCCCAGGCCTAACGCACCCACAGCCAAATGGCTTTTGGGGAGTGGCTGGAATGTGACAGCTGCCGGCCCAACAGCTCTCAAAAGTGCCGGGCTCAAGCGTCCATTGTCCAAAAACACGTGCGGTCCTGTGGTTCCCTAGGTTCACAAGGAGAACTTCTTCCCCGCTGTAGACTACGTGTATAAATAGAACATATTGGCAAGAGTGGAAGGAGTGTATTTTAAAGCACTTACACTTCTGAATGTATGTTTTATACTGATAAGAATTAATGGAGCCGGTAGTGAGTACACTGATTTTCAGTGTTATGATTCTGTTATATTTTGTTTTAATTAAATGGGATATGAAATCGAAAAGGCAAGCTTGTCTTCAAAAGAAGGCATTTGAGGAAGAATCAAACTAACTCTTTGTACTTTAAAAAATCATTTAAAAGTAGTTGTTGTTTAGAGAGGAAGACTAAACAAAAGCAACTTAACGTAAAAGTAAAGTCATCATCTGCAGAGAGCTGGAGGAGGGGACAGAGATGAAGGGTTTGGGGAACATTCTGTACCTGACATGCCAGAGGGCCCAATCCCCTCAAAGAGTCAGGGAACCTTCTAGAAAACAGTCTATCCATTCCCAACAGAGGGGAGGAGGTGAGGGCAACCTACCGAAATCATGCATCGCTGAGAACCTGCTGGTCCTTCCAGAGCCACCCGCCCGTGGCTGACGCAGGCACCTGACATTCATTAGGAGGCAGTCCCGACAGATGCTTCCTCGTGGCGGACTTCCCAGCTCAGGAGCCGCAACACGGGCCAGGCTCCGACACCTCTGTCTGGAGAGAAGTTTGCGGGGGTCTTGGCCACCAGAAAAGAGTGCTATGATTGAGCCCTGGGTGGTGGAGCCCTGGCTCTGGCTGGGCCCCGGGCAGGAAGACACCGTAGGAGACTCTTCTGTATCCATGGCTGTTCTGAGCATCTGTGAAGGATCCAGAGCTCCAGAAAGTCAAAAGCCAAGCAAAGGCCACGAACCATGCCTCACCCCAAAGACAGTGTCTCCCCCAAGCCCAGCCGCTCCCACCCTGAGGGGAAAGGGGCCATCTTTGCACAAGGCCCTCCTCTTGAGAAAGCTCCAATGCAGTCACCAGGGAGGTGTCCTGGCTCAGGATAGCAGACAGGGACCCACCCGTAAACCGTGTTGTGCTGCTTTAAATTCAGCAGGATTTTTTCTTCTTTTCCCATGAGTTTTTATTCACATCCTGGTAACATCAATAGAGGCAGATCTGCCAGAATAAGTCATCTCTGCAGCTCCCTCCAGGGAGGAAAGACAATGTGTCCTCCCATCTTTGTCTTTTTCAACAGAAAAAAAAATAGCAATAGCAAAATCCACAAAGAAAGATCAGGATTAAAATGTTCTGCAGCTTCTATACACCCCCATTCAAATTCCGGGTAATCGGCCGCATGCTGCCTCCCCTCGGAGAGGCCGTGGGGTTGGCGGATGCAGTTCAGAATCATTTGTGTCATATAAGTGCTTGTGATTAGATTTTTAATAAACCATTTTGATTCTATTTCCTGGGCTTAAATAGATGTCTGAACGTGGCTGGTGAGGACCTGAAAGGGATCCAGGTAATATCATTGTGGGGGACACACTCTTAATTCCTTTGATATATTTTGTCAAAGGTGACTAGCTGTAGGTACAGGCTGGAACTCGGGGGGAGCGAGCGCGCTATTGAACTTAATTGGTTCCATTTGTCATTCAAAACTGACTCTGCAGCACCTCTGTCTGTGAATCACTTCCTAACTTGCCGATCTGGCCCATCGTGCCCACGGTTTGGGAAGGAAGCCAGCTTTGGCTTCCAAGGGAGATGTCTTAAGCAGAGTTCACGTCCAAGGGTGGGCTTAGCACACAGCTCAAAGCCCATCACCGAGCATCTGGGTGGTCTCTGGCTGGGATGCTACCACCTGAGAAGCAGATCATCCAGGAAGGAGCCTGTGTCATCCAGATATCCGGCATTGCAGTTTCCAGCATCTCCGTTCTTCCACATCCGCTGGGCAGCTGGGTATGAGGAGAAAGGATGGGCTGATTCGTTCCAGTTCACGGGCCCTGGGGCCCTTCTCCACACAACCAGCCGGACTGTGGCTGAGCTCCAGGCTCTGCTGAGAAAAACAGAAATCCTGGGAAGTAGAATCATTATAAAGAACCATTTGGAGGAAAAGCATGTCTCTCTCAATTAAGCCAAAAGGAGGCCCAGGCCAGCATCTTTTTATGCACGCATACCTGGGCCTAGTCCGGGAAGAAACCAGAGTTGGCTATTTGCAGGGCATCCAAAGACAACATTGTCTGCACCAAGAATCCTTTGCCAATGACCATTTTTGTATGTCAAAGAGCAGCAAGAGCTGTTCTTTATAGGGATTGGCAAGGTATTTGCTTAGACTTGGCCTGTTGAGATTTGAGCTATTTGCAAGAGCTGATCTCAAAACATCAGGCCTGATACGAAAGGCAGTGAGTCACTGAGCTCCTCCAGCCCGGCGTGTCACAGGGAGAAGAAAGAAGGATGGGCTCGGAGAGACTGAGTCAGCTGCAGGGAAGGCACTAAATATAACTGGGCTGGATCCATCCTGGCCCTTCTCCATGCAACCAGACTTTTGCTAAGCACCTACTATGTGCCAGGGCCCAAAGGGTGCTGAGATGAACAAACCCACCGTGGCCTCTGCTTTGGGGAGACTGGCCACTGTGACACTGCACCTAGGGGAAAATTGCAACCATAACACTTTCCAGAGGACAATGATCTGGAAAATGTTGCAACTCTGATTTCCAGAGAGGCAAGTAACCAGGAAAAGGCTTTCCACATCCCTCAGCAGAGCCCGTGAATAAGAAGGGAAAGGATTTGAAATGGAGGGATGAAGACAGACCCCTGGGAAACGGAGGCATAGGGAGTGCTGGCTGACAGTCTCAGTCATCTGGAGGCGCCTTCATTCATTCATTTGTTCCCCAAGCATGCATTGAGCACTCATGGTTTGCCTGGCTCTGGGAATCAGCCAGATAAAACCTTCCAGCCCCACCACCCACCAGAGGAGAGGAAGTGACCTGCGACGTGATAGCCATGGCCCAGTGCAGTGTCCATGCTAAGAAGGGCAGGGACTGTGAGAGTGTCTGAGAGGAGCCTCACCCTGATGTGAGGGACCAGGGCAGGCTTCCCAGGAGAGGTGTCCTGTGCTCTGCCACCATGACAACTCCTGGAATGGTGTTCCCTTGTGTCTCACCATACGAAGTTGGGGAAGCCATAAGTGTCTGGGCAAGTTGAGGGGAGGGTCTGCTCCCCATCCATCCATCCACTCATTTATTAATCCATCCACCATCTATTCATCCATCCGTCCACCCACCCATCCATCCATTAATTATCCATCCACCCACCCATCCACCATCCATTCATCCATCCATCCATCCATGCATCCACTGAATAATCCACCCATTCATCCATTCACCATCCATCGATTCATCCATTTGTCCATCCACCCACCGATCCACCATCTATTCATCCATCCATCCACCCACCCATCCATCCATTAATTTATTCATCCATCCACCCACCCATCCACCATCCATTCAACCATCCATCCATCCATGCATCCACTCAGTAATCCACCCATTCATCCATTCACCATCCATTGATTCATCCATTTGTCCATCCACCCACCGATCCACCATCTATCCATCCATCCATCCATCCATCCATCCACCCACCCACCCATCCACCCATCCATCCATCCATTCGTTTATTCATCCATCCACCATCCATTCATCCATTCATTCCACATCCATCCATCCACCCATCCATCCATGCATCCATTGAATCATCCATCCATTCATCCATTCACCATCCATCCATTCATCCATTTGTCCATCCACCCATCCATTCACCCACCCATGCATCCATCCACCCATTCATCCATTCATCATCCATCCATACATCCATTTATCCATCCACCCACCCATCCACCATCTATCCATCCATCCACCCACCCATCCATCCACCCACTCACCCACCCATCCACCATCTATCCATCCATCCACCCACCCATCCATCCATCCACCCACCCACTCACCCATCCTTCCATTCATCCATCCATCCATCCATTCATGGAAACATTCAGTGAGCCCTGACTGAACACTGATCCTGGGTGAGGCCCTGGAAGAGCTTCAGTTGCTGTTGGCTACCATCATCAATTAGAGGAGAGTGAGCAGGGCAGGGCGAGCCAAGGTGCATGGCGCTGGTCCTGACAGTGTGAAAGGAGTCAGGTGGACAGCCAGCACCCACCGCCCAGCCCATCTGCCCTTTCTGGCTGTGCAAACTTGGGCCAATTACTTAACTCTTCTGTGCCTCCATTCCCTTATTGACAAATGTGGATATGAGGGTGGCTACCCCTGGGGGAGACATGAGCATCCAATGACTCAGTGGTGAGTCTCAGCACCTGTGGGCCTCAGCTCTGCATAGCACTGGCCTCTCCAGAGAATAAGCGGATGAGAAGACTCTGAGCTGCTCCCGCTCAAATGTGTCTGGTCCTCCTAAGGTCCATCTGGAAGTCACTCCCTGTGTGCAGCCTGCACATTTGAGAGGGCCTGAGGGTGACCAGGCCATGAGCCTCTGCACAGCTCTTACTGAGATCATGCACAAACCCCTCAGGAACCAACCAACGGGGAAGAGCTGGGTGAGGGACCCCAGGGGTCCTTGGTAGGTTCCTCAGCCTGTCATTCAGCTGCCACACGTGGGGGCTTTTCTCCAACAAAGGAAAGTTCTGGGCTTGCCCCAAAGGCCCTGCTTCCCATGGCTCCAGGGTGCAAGCCAGCTATTTTAGGGAACCCCCACCCCAAGCTGCATCAGCTCAGCCCATCATGAAGAATTCCTCCCGCATCTGCTGTGGGGTGCCACGTTTACAAGCTCTGCAGTGTGTCACCATCTAAGTGGCCAGAGAAAGGTTATGAATGTGACACTTCCCAGGGCCTCGTGTCACCTCACAGAGAAACCGCTTCCTGTGGGCGACCTGGGCTCCCGCCTCACCCCGGGCAAGGAGTTGCCACAAGCCTTTGGTTTGGGGCTGTTGGGCTTTTTTTCTTTCCAATCTTTGCTATGCTCAAAAACCAAACCAAAACAAAAGTATCTCACTTGAGAATGTCACAGCCAAGTCTGCGGTAACGTGCAACCTTCAGGCTCAGAGCCTCCTCCTGCTCTTGACCCAACTTAAATCAAATTCAGGTTTGAACAACTGTTAGAGCTGTTAATGTTTGAACTATGGCAGCCTGCTCTGGGTGGAGAAGCTGCTGCTCTGGCACAGCTGCCCCAGATCCCACCCTCCTCCAGAGCCTGAGTCAGGGCCACGGACGGGGTTCTGGGCCCAGCCTAAGGAGCAGGGACTGGTGTGGGGCCTGCTATGGGGTGGGGAGAGGGCCTGATGCAGAGCCTGCGGGCTCGGGGAATGACTTACCAGCTAGCGGGGTTTGGGGGATTTTGCACCAATGGCCTTCACCAGTCCAAATTGCCCAGATGTTGTTATATCAGCAGCTTGGGCATCAAACTCTCACCGCCGCAGGACCAGACATGGATGCTTCCACCTCGTAAGGAGCAGGACACCCAGTGGGGCGGGGCTGAGCTCAGGCACACACAAGAGTCTCCTCAGAGCTGGGGTTTCTTGGGAGCACGGGGGTTAGGGGAGCCGGCTTCTGCATGCGAGCTCCACGGGACAGTCTCAGTCCCCCTGCTGCAGTGCCGGCGGGAAACGGCAACAATGCCAGAGCATTCACACCCAGAGTCTCCTTAGAGCCCCTAGATTCCTTGAGGTCGGAAATCGCCATGCCCTGGAGAGACAGTGAGAGCCCCGCCCCAGCGTGCCTTTGCGGTGACCCACATCTGGGCAAGTAGACACTGTGGAGACTCCAGACACCTCCTCGGGGAGCCAGGGGGTTCGGGGGGAAGTCCCAGGCCGTCGTTGCAGACGTTTCTCAGCAGGTTCAGGCTCAGCGCCCCCACATCCTTGCTTTGACCTAGTCATCTACGCAGCCATGGAAATCCGTCTCTGTGCTTATGAAAAACACCCCTGCAAGGCCACAGAACCAGGCCTGGTCAACCTGGCGTGACAGACTTGATCCACCCCTGGGGTCCCTCCCTGCAGGCAGGACAGACGCGGGACCTGGAGCTTCTCTCCTGGGGGTGCTGGGCAAGCGGGGCTGGGGCATCAGTTCTAGCAGCCTGGCCCCGTGTGGCAAACCCACTCCAGCCTGCACCTCCGTGAGAAAAACAGCAGGGATTGCAGCCAGGAAGGAGCCCAGCCAACGCGTGCTGCCCTCCCTGCCATCCCCACGGGGACACATGGCCGAGCCTGGGACGTCCTGCCAGAAAGCATCCACAGGAAGAAGACAGAGCAGGGAACAGACCCTGTCCTGGCTGCTGGTGTTGACCAGAGCCAACCAAAGCCAACCAGAGCCAACCACGCTGCTTCCATTTGGAGCTCTGGGTGGAGCTTGGCCTGCTTCGGTGTCCTCCTGGAGGCTTGCTGAGTGGGAAAGTGACTGCCACTTTGGATGGAGGTCCCCATACCCTCCTGGAGGGAGTGTGGTATATCGGCCAGCACGAGGCAAACCTCTCAGGAGGGCCAGGGCTGGATCCCGGGGTCCCAGCCGCTGACCGCCAGGGGCCAGGGCCGGCTTTTCATGTTGCTGCTGCTTCCACCCCTGCCCCGAAACCAGCACATCCTCATCAACACAAGACCCTTCTCTGCCCTGCTCTGGGGTCCCCAGATCAAAGCCAGCAGAGCCAGGCAACGGCACCCAGGGCGCCCCCTTGGCAAAGAGCTTTCCACTTGACCATAATGCGGGATCCCTTTAAAAATGACACATCTGTAAGCTGGGATCCCCGTTACAGAAATACAGTTTATACACAACTTTTCAGAGGCGAAACATACCTAAGCTACTCCCAACACGTATGGCAGAGACGGAGGCTCCCTGGACACACGTGTCCCCAGAGGAAGGTCCAAGGACTCCCCCACCGGCCCCGCACAGCAGCCACCTAGCAGCTGGCCTGGGTCTGTGAGGAGGGCCCCTGATGCTCAGCCAAGGGCCCTCTGTGCGACTGTGGCCTTTCTCCTGGGGGCCGCTGTGCACATCTGAGACCCTCCGGAAGGGGGAGGGGGAGCTCTGCAAGCGGAGGCAGAGGCATTCTCTAAGGCAGAGCGCACAGCATAGCCTGTTCACTGGGTGCCCCTCTCCTACTCACTGCAAGGGCTGGTTCGTCCCTTCGGGGGTCCTGAGGACCTCACTAAAGGCTTCCAGAGGGCCAGAGGTGCTTGTACTTCTTGACTATCCGGAAGACCCAGGTACGGCCCCATTCTAAAGAGCAGGTGAGCAGGAGCAGCCAGGCGGGGGAGCAGCAGGCACCCAAGCCACCAGTGGCCCGAAGTGGCCGCCACAGGCACACAGCAGAGAACCTTCGGTGTCCGGGCAGGGCTGAGCACAGGGGTCCTCCAGGACATCTTCAGCAGGTGCCAAAGGCCAGCTCCCAGTTCCTCAGAGCCCACCCCGCCTGCATGTAGCCACAGCCTCCAAGCAGCTGGAAAGCAGAAAAGAGGCTTTCTAGCTCCAAAGGGGGGACACCGAGGCAGGACCCCAGACAACCCCCACACTGTCACGATGAGGATGGTGGGAGATCGGGGCTGGGAGGGCCTGTGTGACTCAGAGGTCAGTCTCTGAAGCACCCTAGAGGGAGGGGCCCAAGCCCTGCTGGTACTCCCCCCAGGACATGGTGCTCCCCACTGTGTCCACCCACCGGCTGCCGAGCCCAAGGTTTCGACAGACCCTGCTCTTTCCACGCACTGCCAATCACCTCTAGGCGTTCTGTGTTTCATGAGCCTGTATCTCAACCCTTCATTTCACTAAAGATGCAAGAACCTGGGTCTGAGTCACCAGTGTGCTCCTTTATTTCTGACGGTCAGGGCTGCAGCCCATGGCTCACAAGCCAAACCTCAGAGGTGCCACGAAGGACGAGCCACATGCCAGAGAGGAAGCCCAGCCCCCAACACCCCCAGGCTGCTGGGAGAGCAGTGACGGGGCCGAGTTTGGGGACATACCAGGAGCACGCCATGTGCAGGTTGCAGGAAGGGGCAGGGACCACTCCTGTGGCAGGGGGCACAGCACAGCCTCAAGGCCCGGGCTTGTGTGGCCCCTGTCCTCCACTGGTGTGAGATCAGGATGCATAAGTCCCACCCCAGGGGACCTTGAGAAGCTTGGGCACTGCGCACGGTCAGATGGAAACTCCTCTTTGCTTCCCTGTCTCAACCAAAGTTTTCTTCAATGTTCATAGACGCTGCTGGGAGGTCGCTCCCCACCCAAGTGAAGACCCTGCCCAAAGAATAAAGAAAATAGGAATAGGAAGGAAGGGGAGGAGGGAACGAAGGAGAGAGAGAGAACTAAGGGGAAACTCCACAGCAGAGATGGCAGAACTCCGGAACCTGGGCTGTGGGCTGGCTGCCGAGGGCTGTGCGCTCCCTCAGAGCTCCACGGCATCTGGGGTCCAGGTGCTTTGGGGGAGATGGTCAGTGCACCCCAGGAGCGCCACAGCATCCCGGTGTCTTGGTGTTTAGGGGGAGATGATCTGTGAGCCTCCATGTTTGCAGGGCATCTGGGTGACTGGAGCTTTTGAAGGGAGAGGGTCTGTGACCCCTGGGGGCTTCCACATGGCATTTGGGGTGTCTCCGTGATTTCTGGTCTGTGGCTTTTACTAGATTTTCGAAGGTGTCTGTGGCCCCAAGAGGCTACAAAGTGTGGAATTTGGTGACTCTTTTTCTAGCGCGTTGCATTCCTCAGATCTGCCCAGCACTGACACAAAAGCAGAGCCCCCCAGGCGTGGACTCCACGTGTCCCGGGCCTTCTTCTGCCCTCAGAGTCCCACTGGGTCACAGGGTCCTCTTGCTGCATCTGAATTCTGGGCCATGCTCTTGGGGCTGTCTGAGACCCTGGGACCCTGGCCCTCATCTCTCCCCCAGCACGCCCCACTGCCTGAGAACCATCCAGTGAGACCACAGTCAGGCGGGAGCTAAGAGCCACAGCCCCCTCCAGCTTCTTCCAGAGACAAGCCCCAGACAGCCCACCCTTGCTCTCTGTCTCTCTCTGCGAGTTTAGGAGAGAGGCTGGCTTCCATCTTGGAGGAATGGCTGCCAAGAGTTGCCTGTTTCTCCAAGCAGCAGCCTCTCTCTCTCTCTCTCCCCTCACTCTTCCCCCACCCCAACCCTCCCATCCTCCTTCGTTTCCTCTCCTCCCACCTCCCTCTCAGCCTAAGCAGGTGGGCCCCAGGCTTGCTGACCGCCGACCAGGCCTCCTGTGTCCCTGGCCGTGGTGTGGCCCCATCCCACCAGCCACATTTCTCATTAGCACTGGGTCCCATCACCACCCAGCCCCCTATTGGGCATCAGGATGGGGATTTATGAGCTCACCTAGGCTCTGTGTTCACACCGGACCGAGGTGTTTCCAGAACGCCTTTCCCCCACCTCCTTCCATCACAAGAATGGGCTTTCTGTTTCGGCTACTCGTGGACACCATCAATTGTGACCATTGTGTGTGCGCACGTGTGCGCATGTGCCTATGACAGCCCCATAGCCAGGGCTTCTTACTCTGAATCAGCTCATGGGTCCTTAAAGAAGGGGGTCAGGGTAAGGAGACCCTCTCCCCCGGCTCCCGCCAGCTCCTGGCTGTCAGAGGTGGACTCCATGGCCATGGGCTTCTGGGGAGCCTCCTGGCAGCAGCAGGAGACGGGACCGAGAGGGCAGCGTCCCAGGGCTCCTCTCCTCCCTGCATGCTCAGAATCCACTAGGCAAGCTGATGATGGATGCTGCGGCGTTCCCACCTGCACGCACACCCTGGACGGGGCCGGCGGCTGGCCATGCCCACTGAACCTGGAGGACCAGCCCAGAAGAGAGCCCACAAATTAGAAGTGCAGGAAACCTCAAATTATATGCAAAAAATGTAAAGGTTAAGAGAAATTTTCCCCCACTTCACTTGGTAACTCAGCATTTCTGATGGGGTTGATTTATGAGCTGGGGGAGCTGCCCGGCGCCGGGGAGTGGGAGACAGTGGACAGGAGGGCAGTTTCCTTTGGAGGTCCTAGGACTCCTGAGGCTCACCCCCAAACAACTCAAAGCCAGGCGTTTAAGCAGCGATCAGGCAGGGAACTGGATTCCAGATCTGGAGAGAGACACAGCCCAGTGGCCATGGTGGCCTCCAGATCACTACCTGCTAAAGCCGGCCGTGTGGAGACGTGGGCTGGGCCGCTCCTTCCCTCTGTGGCTCCCTCCTGTGTTCATTGATCACGCGCAAACAGAAGCGAGCAGTGAGCCCGGGTTGGTCACTTGCATGCATCTGTTCGTTCGTCTACCCACTTCTTATCTGTACTGGCCTCCTATGTCACGGAGAACATCCCAGGCCTCAGGCCTGCCCCGAGAGACTCCCAGAGGGCCTTGGAGGTGTCAGGGCTAGAAGACTTCACACCAAAACAGGCCCGGCTCCCAGACGTGGCTGGATGTAGCACGCACCCAGGTTGGAAAGGCTGGGCTCGCGCCCTAGGGCAGGCGGAGACATCGCCTTTGGCACAGATCCTTGGCGCTGTCCCCACCTGGTACAGTAAGGAGCCTGTGTTCAGGTGCACATGGCTGCGACCTTGGACACCACCTCCCTGAGTGTTCCTGTTGCCAGTGTTTCTTCCACCGATCCCTGATTTCCAGGAGCATCCAGAGCCCAGGGAGGCCCTGGTCAGATGCAACTTGGGCAGCCGGAGGGCCACCAAGCTGGGGAGTGGTGGCCTCTCTCTGTC
Organism: Homo sapiens; assembly: GCF_000001405.40. NCBI lineage: Eukaryota > Metazoa > Chordata > Mammalia > Primates > Hominidae > Homo > Homo sapiens. Next base: position 3,378,321 of record NC_000001.11, read on the forward strand.
CTTGTGGGTGCTGGCAAGTCTCATGCCAAGGGAAGCAGGGACCGGGACCTGGGACTGCCCAGGCCTGCTTTGTGGATTCCAGAGGACGTGAAATCTTGTGGCTCCCAGAACAGGGCTCGGGGACCCTCCCTCTGGTCCTTGAGTCGGCCCTGGAGAGCACACGGGGCAGCCATGGCACAGCTCTGGAGTCCGGCAGCCTGGGCTGGGAGCTGGCCCTGTCTCCAGGGGCCTCCATCTCCTCTTCTACAAAATGTACCATGGGGCAGCAACACCGTACCCACCTCATAGGCCCGCGGCGATGAGCGAGGGGCCTCGACAGCACCCTGCATGGCCCTGAGTGCACAGAGACCCTGGGGAGGAAGGCGAGAGAGGACAGGAAAGGTGGCAGGAGGAGGCAGCGGTCAGGGCAGCACCTGCCCTTTCTGGAATCAGAGACAGTACAGGCCCAAGAAGCCAGGCCTGAGCCTCCACCTGCCTGGCCAGAACCACGGCCCAGGGCCACTTCAGGAGCATTTCTCTGATCTGAGACAGAAAAGCAGTGGCTTCTGAAGTTCTGTCCAAGCTCCTCCTCCATCTGCTCCCTCCTTCAGGAGTTCCCAGATGGGTCCAGCAGGACCCCAGCAGGGCTGGACCCTCCATGCTGGGACAGGCAGCCAGATGTGGTCAGGCATCTCAGGGGAGACCCCACACCTGACTGTGATAGCAGACACAGGCCTGGCCCCTCCCAGCGCGCCCTTCCTGGTGCACCCTCCCCAACACACCCCCTCCCGGTGCACCCCTCCCGGTGCACCCCCCCAACTCACCCCTCCCAACACACCCCTCCCAGCACACCCCTCCCAGCACACCCCTCCCAAAACACCCCTCCCAACACACCCCTCCCAGCACACCTCTCCCAGCACACCCCTCCCAACACACTCATCCCAACACAGTCCTCCCAGCACACCCCTCCCAACACACCCCTCCCAACACACCCCTCCCAGCACACCCCTCCCAACACACCCCTCCCAGCACACCCCTCCCAGCACACCTCTCCCAACACACCCCTCCCAGCACACCCCTCCCAACACACCCCTCCCAGCACACCCCTCCCAGCACACCCCTCCCAACACACCCCTCCCAGCACACCCCTCCCAACACACCCCTCCCAACACACTCATCCCAACACAGCCCTCCCAGCACACCCCTCCCAGCACACCCATCCCAACACAGTCCTCCCAGCACACCCCTCCCAACACACCCCTCCCAGCACACCCCTCCCAACACACCCCTCCCAGCACACCCCTCCCAGCACACCCCTCCCAGCACACCCCTCCCAACACACTCATCCCAACACAGCCCTCCCAGCACACCCCTCCCAGCACACCCATCCCAACACAGTCCTCCCAGCACACCCCTCCCAACACACCCATCCCAACACAGTCCTCCCAGCACACCCCTCCCAACACACCCCTCCCAACACACCCCTCCCAGCACACCCCTCCCAGCACACCCCTCCCAACACACCCCTCCCAACACAGCCCTCCCAGCACACCCCTCCCAGCACACCCCTCCCAACACACCCCTCCCAGCACACCCCTCCCAACACACCCCTCCCAGCACACCCCTCCCAGCACACCCCTCCCAACACACCCCTCCCAACACACCCCTCCCAACACACTCATCCCAACACAGCCCTCCCAGCACACCCCTCCCAGTGCAATCCCTCACCATGCACCCCTCCCAACACATTCATCCCAACACAGCCCTCCCAACACACCCCTCCTGGCGCACCCCCTCCCAACACATCCCCTCCCCGTGCACCCTCTCCTAACATGCCCCTCCCGGTGCATGCCCTTCCGGCACACCCTTCTCAGCGCACTCATTGCTGGTTCAGGGCCCTCAGACCAGGGCTTCTCCTGGCTCTCCTGGAGGAAGGGTTAGCGCCCACCTGGCCCCCCTCAGAGGTGCCCCTCTGTGGAAGGAAGGAGTTAACCAAGACCTCCTCAGTCACCCCAGGGGGCCCACCAGGCAGAGGGGAAGCTCCTCCCTTTAGGGGCCACCAGGTGTAACTCCCACCCTGTGACTATTAAATTGGTCAGGGGTTGGGGACCCGGCCTCCGGGGACAAGGAGAAATGGCTGGGAAATGAGAGTGACAAGGGAGGAGAGGCTGTCAGGCCAGAGAGGGGACCCCACCCGCAGGGCAGCAAAGCCTGAGCGTGTACTCGGGACCAGGACCCCTGGGGGAGTTGTTGCCTCTGGTCTCCAGGCCTCTGCACCCGAGAGGGTCGGGGACAGACCGGAGGCTCAAGAACACTGTCCCATGTGGGTGAGAAACCAGCCGTGTCCCTGTTCAGACACGCTTGAGAGAGCCAGAGATGTTTACCCTGGCAGGGGAGGGTTAGTACTCAGGCCGCACGCAAATACCTGCAGGGCCATCATGTGGAAAAGAGAGGCTTATTCTGCAAGGTGAGGGGGGCATTACAAGAAGGGAGAGCCTATCCCCCAAGAAACAATTCCCAGTGACTCGATGCATTCAACAATACACTGGCTGCCTAGGAGCACAATGGGTGCCTCCTCCACAGAGCACAGTGATATGGGCCTGGAGACTGGCTGTCCCAGTGCACAGGTGGGTCCCTAGACCTGCAGCCATCAGTGGCCGGATCACAGGCATTGAGGAGGCCTCAGATGTGAGGTTGGATGGAAGGGGCCAGGGTTCTCCTCCAGGAGCTCTGCCATGACACAGAATCCACATTTCTGAGAGGGAATTGGCCATCGCTTCAATGTCCTCCTGCTGGCTTCGGCCTTCTGCTCACCAAAGGCTTCTCGCCGCGTTCCCCCAGGACAAGCACACATACATGAACGCACACACATACATACATGCACAGGTGCACCCACACACATGCACACCCCCCACATACATTTGCACCATGCAGGAACACGCCCACACACAAGCACACACCCAGATACATGCACGCCTGGATGGCGAGGGGCTTGGAAGCACTTAAAATAGTGGGACACGGATTGTTTTTCCAGGGATTTATTGGGGAGAGCCCCAAGGCCTGGAAGTCAAGATGAAGCCAATACTCTTGTTTTTTTCTGGTTTTTTTTTTTTTTTTTTGAGACAGAGTCTCTCACTCTGTCTCCCAGGCTGGAGTGCAGTGGCGCAATCTCGGCTCACTATAGCCTCTTCCTCCCAGGTACAAGCAATTCTTGTGCCTCAGCCTCCCAAGTAGCTGCATACCACCACACCCAGCTAACTTTTGTATTTTTAGTAGAGACGGGGTTTCCCCATGTTGGCCAGCCTGGTCTTGAACTCCTGACCTCAGGTGATCCACCCGCCTCACTCTCAAAGTGCTGGGATTATAGGCATGAGCCACCGTGCCCGACAGAGGCCAACACTCTTGAGTCAACAACCAGGCCCCAGGAGAACCCCATGCCATGGCTGTGGTCACTCACGCGTCATTTACCTTCTCCCTGGCCCCTGTACCATATATGAAGAGAGAGAGCCCAAAAGAGACGCATGCTGAGAGGGAGAGATACAGAGACAGACAGAGAGAAGCAGAGCAGGGGAGACAGAGAGGAAGAACCTGGCACCCAGGCCACCACCTGTACAGGGGCTGTGAGTCCCCTGCCCCACAGTGACCTCCAACCCAGACCCGGCCAGTGGTGAGGGAGGGGGGGCCTCGTGGGTCTTGGCCAGCCCAGCCTCGCTCCCTTCCTGTGGCAGAGGAAGATGGCAGGGCTGCCGACCACAGCTCTGGCTTGGCGGGCCTTTCCAGCGGTTTCCTGCTGCGCATCAGCAGTCAGGGTGGGAGGTGAGGGGGCCCTAAGAGGCCTTTGTGCCTGGGGAGGGGCCTCACCACGTGGGGCTGGTGGCCCTGGGTCTGCACCCTAGAGGATGGGAAGCCTGCCTCCCTAGTGACAACCAGCCGCTTGTGGCCTCCTCCCTCCCATGCCACGCCCCTGCCACCCCTGTCCTGGCAAGAGATGGGGTGCAATGGGGCGGGCTGCTGAGTCTGTGGTTCTTGGATTGGGCTGGCCCTGGACTTGGGCAGGGCAGGCAGTGACCTCCCTGGACAGCGTGAGGACCCTTCCTGCAGCCCCTTTAGGGACCAGGACCTCAAATGTCAAGGGATTTGCAGTCCTGCCTGGGGCACAGCTGTGTCTGCAGAAGCTGGTAACACAGAGGCTGTCTCCCTGGGAACCTGCCCTGAGTCCTGAACAGCAGGGTGGCCACAGACTCCCCACCAAAGCGAGGCTTGAGCCAGCCGGGGCCCAGAACAGGGGGAAGGTGTTGGCTGAGCCCATGTCTTGGGTGCATTAGGGGTGAGTCCTGCCTCTTGGGAAGTGGCCTGAGCCCCATCAGCTGGTCCCTGGGCTGAGGGGGATGCACTCAGGAGCACGTACTCCTGGCTGCACCAATGGGGTGCTGTGACCCAGGTGCTCCAGCTTTGAAGACAAAAATCCGGGTCCCAGGTGGGAGGGCACGGCCCGCCCTGGGTGAGCACCAGCCCTCAGCCCACAGGCACTGTGTACAATGTGCTGTGACGTCAGCAGGCCTCTATGGAGAAGTGGACCCATGGGCTGGGGACGGGACTGGGATACTGCCAGCCCCATGTGGCCAGCTGTGCTCCTGCTACTCCATCGTTTGTATATTGAGCATCCCCCCGCCGCCAATGTTTTCCTCGGGCTCCAGCCCCTAGCCTAGTTATGCTTCTTGGACCCACGTCCCCTGTGGACCACAGGCCCACCTACAGTTCCGAGTGGACAGAATTCACGGCCAACCCTGGGCAGAGAAGGGACCTGGCCATTCAGTCACAGTCACTTGGTGAATGGAGCAGAGCAGCCACAGCCCACGAGCTTGGGAGCATTTCTGCCGCTGCCGTCTCTGAAATAAGACAGGCTTTGAGTGAATCTCCCACTGCCCTGGATGGAGCCAGAAGGGGCCCAGGGGCAGGCACGGCTGTGTGTGATAGGGAGCACAGGGACCCCAGGAGCACGCCCCTCTATCCTGGCTGACCTCCCGCCCTGCACCCCAATCTATCTCACCCAGCACCTCTGGAAACCCTTAGTCGGGAACCCCAGCTTGGTGGTGGATGTCAACAAGGAGACTGAGAGCAAGTGGAACAGGAAAGAGACTCGAGGCCCTCTGCCTGTCTCTGCTGTGCTCTGGGGGCCAACTTTCCCTGGAAGCCTCAGGGGAAGAGGGAACACCATGCACAGAGACCGGGGCACGTGGACCACATGCTTCCCCATTGATTGGTGCCGACGTTTAACTTTTCAAAAGAATTCCAGCACCAGGCCCGAGATGGCTAGGAACCCAGGAGAGTGCATGCCCAGCATCTGAGGGTCAGCCAGCACCAGGCCCGAAATGGCTAGGAACCCGGGAGAGTGCATGCCGAGCATCTGAGGTGCCCAGAGTCAGCCTCCACTGTTTTCACTTGGACAGGTCACTGTCTCATCCTGACTCCCCTGGGTCCTTGTGACTCCCTTATCCATCACCCCTGCCCGCCCAGACACACCTGCTCAAAGACACACCTGCCTAAGGACACACCTGCCCACCAGGACACACCTGCAGAAGGACACACCTGCCCACCAGGACACACCTGCAGAAGGACACACCTGCCCAAGGACACACTTGCCCACCAGGACACACCTGCCCAAGGACACACTTGCCCAAGGACACACCTGTCCAGGAACACACCTGCCCACCCAGATACACCTGCTCAAGGACACGCCTGCCCACAAGGACACATATGCCCACCGTGACCCACCTGCCTGCCAGGACACACCCACCCAAGGACACAGCTGCCCACCCACATACACCTGTCCAGCAGGACACACCTGCCCACCCATATGCACCTGTCCAGCAGGACACACCTGCCCAAGGGCACTCCTGCCCACAGAGACATAGCCTTTCTACTTTAGGGACCTGAGTGTAGCGTGGCCCCATCCCCTGCCCCCTGCCCTCCCTCCTGCCCTGTCTGGGCTGGGCTGCCCAGGAAGCTTGCCCAAGATGCTGCTGGTTTGAATTCAGAACCCAGAGTAGCTACTGGCCAGAGTGGGGGAGGCTGGGGGGCCTGCAGCCGCCACCCATGGTCAGGCTGTTTGAGGGGACACCGTCTCTCCACAGTGGACAGCAGGTCAGGTCTCCTCATCGGTGGTCCTCGGAGGAGTGGGGGTCACAGCAAATAAGAAAAGTCCTAGGGGTTGCCACTCTGCCCGTTCAGAGGCAACAGTGACAACAAAGCAAAGCCAAGTTGGTTCGCGTGTGACTTTGCGGGCGTGGTGAGAACAGCTAGGCGTCTTCATGCTGCTGGGTGTCAAACTGAAACTCTCCAGCTTTAAGGAAACCAGATGCTTTTCTTGCTCTCAGAGTGATGTGCAGGCTGCCCTGAGCATGCACACACACATGCACACCCAGCAACACCTTCACCTTCAGACACGCTTTTCTCTAGCGCAGCGTCCCAGCTCCTTAGCAGAGGGCTCTGCTCCCAGATGCAGCAGTCCCTGCCTTCTCACACGTGGGTCAGCTTTGCTGCGGGGGTGGGGGTTGCAACTCTGGAGGCTCATTTTATCGCCGGGCCAGGGCAGTGATCTGCTCGGTGAGAAAAGAAAAGGCCATTCCCTGCCTTTCTGCTGGGCTCCTGGAGACTCCTGGAGACTCCCGGGCATGGGCAGGCTGGGTGGGCTGGGAGCCCCGCTGATGCCCGGAGGGTGGGCTGAGGTCTGGACGCCGACTTGCCTTCCTACTTGAGCCCAAACAGCCAGGTTTCTGGGTGGGCAGAGGCTGTGTGCAGACTCCAGCACACAGGGCACCTCTGACTCCCGCTTCGCTTTCCTCCCAGCAGATCTCCGAAGACCTGGGCAGTGAGAAGTTCTGCGTGGATGCAAATCAGGCGGGGGCTGGCAGCTGGCTCAAGTACATCCGTGTGGCGTGCTCCTGCGATGACCAGAACCTCACCATGTGTCAGATCAGTGAGCAGGTAGGTCCGGGCTCATAACAGGGGCTTCTGCCTCTTGGAATTGTCCCTGAGGATGTGGCACCAAGATTGGTGGAGGTGCCGAGGCAAGGGTTGTCTGAGCCTCTTTGGGGACATCTGCCAAGCCCTGGCCTGCAGTGGGGGTGCTGTTTGGTGCTTGGCCAGCACTGGCTTCCGGGGAGCTGACTCACCCCGGGAGGGCTCCATTGGAGCCTTGCTCAGGGACCCTGCCTGAGGCTGGCAGTTCCTGAACCCCGAGATGGTGGTTCAGGTGGAAAAGAGCAATGAAGCAGGCAGGACCGCGGATCACAGGGTCCACACTTCCTGCAAATGCCGCTTCCCTGAAGGACACGGGAGAAGCATAGAGCAGGAACAGTCACTGAAAGAATCCATCTAAATGGCGCTGTTTCACCAAATTTTCCGAAGAGTCCGCACCGGCCAATGAGGCAGCCACTCGGGGGGCCTCCTAGAGCCTCCGGGGCCTCTGACCAGCCTGCTGAAGGCCTTGGCCTTTTTGGCACAAAGTCCCTGTCCTGCAGGCAGCGAACCAGGCAAGAGATACCTTCACTTCCGTCCCTGCCACCTCGGGGCTGAGGAGCCCCCTAAGCTCCCTGGATCCTTGACCTCCACGGCTGGTCCACACCACCACCAGAACAGGCATCCAGACCCACAGGCTGATCAGGGGAGAAGACGCGGAGTCTCCTTCCACTCCAGAAGGCACCGTGTCCCCAGAGCTGGTCGCTGCTTCATGGATTTCTCTATTTCAAGCTTGCGAGTGGCCCCTGGAGGCCCTTCTCACTCTCAAGCCAGGCCTCCCGGGCGGCACTTTCCGCCTGCATCCTGAACACCGTGCGTTCCTCGGGGTGCCCGGGGTGCCCGGGGTCCCCGGCCCCTTACATCACAGTAGTCTGGTTTTTCCTGTAATATCTTGGGGTCATACATGAGATTTCATTTGAAAAAAAAGAAAAGGATCCCATGGCTGTGAAAAATGTGTGTGAAGACCACGTCACGGAACATTCCCGCGTAGCCTGTGCAAGCCATTGAAAGTGATTCAAGGCTCTCGACTTTACAGAAACAATTTTGCATTAAGAAATGCACAGAGCAAACTCCAGGGAGGTCCCGCAGGCCCCGGCTGGCTGCCAGGGGCTCTCCCTCATTTGCCGTCCCCTTGGCTGTGGAGCAGAATCTCCATCGAGCAGTTGCTCCGCTGGACAAGCTCGTTCTGGATGGGGACATGAATCTACGCTACTACCAGGACTTCCGTGGCCTTCAGTTAGAGCCAAAAATGTTTAAAATAACTTTTTCTGATTGAAAAAAAAATACAGAGATGAAGCAAAAGAATAATCATAAACATAAGAGCAGAACTTAAAAAAATTTTTTTCTTTCTTCCAGATGAAAGTGAAATTGGAGTGAAGGAAAATTGGGCTTGAGGCGCATAGAAGGACGGTCTTTCCGTCCCCTTCTGGGGCTCAGATTTGCAGAGTGTGTCCTTAGTCGTCCGTTGGGAAGCTGACGGGCAGGGGCACCGCGGGGCTGGGCCAGGGCTGTGCTTTTGTGAGATGCAAACTATAGTAATGAAGGGCCCAGATTTTTTTTATTTAAGAAATAAATGTTTATTAGAACTTTTGAACTAAACTTAAGCGGTAAAGTGGGTATCTTTATGTGTCTAGCTTTTTAAAAAACAAACGTGTAATCTCAAAGAGAAGCCTGTCTTTAAAAAAATCTTCATTGTATTATTAATATTTCGGGGAAGCTTTCCTTTTAGCTACACATGAGGTCCAAAAGGAATGGACTGCTTTGCAGCCAACTGTGTTTCCATGGTCAGGACCAGGGGGCAGAAATCCTTTTTGCCAGGATGGAAGAATGATCCTGAATCCTGATCCGTTCCTTCCCTTTACCCCACCGTCATCCCACAGTGCCGACTTCCTCCAAAGCTCCGTCCTAGAGTCAGAAACATACTTGGCGCTATTACCCAAACCACAGATAATGTCAAAACTCCTCAGATACCTCCTGACCTGCTAGATGGCTCTCTCCAACACCGCCTCAAGGGATTCGTTCTCTCTGTTTTAGGTCCATAGGCTGAATTAAAGCCACAAACCCAGAGGGAACTCGAAATGCACATTTAAGCAAATGCAACACCAAAATGGCCCAAAGCAGAGAGAAATTCCTCCACTCGGGGCACTTCCGACCCCCTCAACCCCCTTGTGAGACCTTCCCCTCCGACAGGGAGAGGAGCCCTCTGCTCTTGAGAGCACCCCTCATAGGTAGCACAGCCGGTGACGTCGGGTGTTACAGGGCCACCGACGCTCCTGCCCATGTCCCCGCAAAGGTGCACCTCCGAGCTGGATAAGCCATGTGGCTGGAATGCCCGGGAAAGCAGGAGCCGGCCAGAGGCTGGAGGAGACTCGCCGCCCAGGCACGGGGAGTGAGGTGGCTGAGTTGGCAGCTTCTTCTCCTGAAATCTCAACCGTGAATTTCAGTTATCAAACGAAAATGAGCATTGTGTGGAATGTATTTTCCTTTGAATAATAATAAGATTTAAACACTACAAATATGAAAAACTGCTCTCAGAAACCCATAGACTCTCATAGGACATGACTTTTAGCAATGCCTTTTGAAAGGGATATAATAGATTTCAATCTAGTGTTTAAATGCCCTCTCGCGCGCTGTGACGGCTGTGACGGCCGCACGGCCTCGGCAGAAAGCATTTCCATTCCCTGGCCTTGACCACGGGAACGTGGGTTCCTGCAAAGCAACCTATTTGACCCTATGCGGAGCTAAAATAAAAACTGCCCTGAAATATTAATAAAGCCAAGAATTTTTTAAAAGCTTTTAACAACTTCTCTTTGAGAAGGAAACATCACATGATACTAATGCCATTTCTCAGATTTCCACCATGCCAGGAGTTCCACCAGGATTTCCTGGTACTTACGAACACCATCCCCACACACAAACACACACAAGTGAACAATCTTCCTCCCTTCCCCTCTCTCTCTCCCTCTCTCTTTCTCTGTCTCTCTCTTTCTCTGTCTCTCTCTTTCAAGATTGCACACACACCCCCACCTCTAATACAGCACAGACACAGAAGGGAAGGAACCATATCTGAACATCCGAGCTCCGTAAAACAACGTCGAGTTTGCCAAATGGTATTCGGCAGGGAAAATACTTCGGTCAGAAAAGCATCACCATCATTTTGAGGTTCAAGACATGTGACCTCAGCCCCCATTTTCAAAGGAAAAAGGAGACTAGGGCAGAAGACAGTGTAAACGTCCTAAAAAGAAAGTTCTGGAAGCCACAGCCTCCCAGAAGAGATGAGCTCCTCTACTGGGCTGAGGAGAGAGGCCGCTCTGAACTGAAAACTCAGGTCGATATTCAGATGGGGACCCAGGCTGGGGCTTTCCCCGAGTCTCCTGCTACTGGCAGCCAGGACTTAAGCAAACTCTGGGGCCTGGCCTCCAGGGTGCTCCTATGTCCTTGGGGTGAGACCCACACTTTAGGGGCACTTTGGAGGCGGGGGAGTCACACACCTCCTTCAGCCCATCCCGGGCTCCTCCTGGCCTTCACTGGATGTGGGTTGCTGTGCATTCAGATGGGGTCTGGGGGCAGACGCCACCCCCGCATCCCTCATGGTTCCATGCAGTGTACTGGCGCTCTAGCTGATGCTTTGGGGCGCTCCAGGGCACCTGCTGAGCTGGGCAGTGCAGCACCCACAGGCCCGGTTCTGACTGTCTGGCCAGGACCCAATTCTGGCTGCTCAGAAGCCTGCTCAAATCACTGACCACGTGTCCCTCTCCCAGCATCCCCTAACACGCCCCAAGACACCTGCCCTGTACAAAAGAGGACCGGCCATGTGCTCCTCTGCAGCCACTGGGGAGAGGCAGGGGACAGGGGCTTGAGAACATGTGAGCCCCGGAGCTTGAAAAGGCTCAGCAACCAGCCAGCACCTCCCCAGAGGCTCCCCACTGCCCTGCCGCCTCGCAGTGCCTCATGGACGGAGGCAGGACCGGCTAAGCTGAGGGAGGCATGGAGGCCCCGACACCCTCCTTCCCAGGCAGGGCTGGCCCAGCATCCTGTTCCTTCCCCATCTCAGGCCCCATGGGAATCGGACCGTCCTCTCCATGAACAAGAGCTATCCCTATGGCGTGGGGCTGAGGGGGCTGCTTGTGGGCCCCACCTCCACGTTCTCATCTGGCAATGAGATTCCCCCTCCTGGCCCCAGGGGACCTCTTGAGAGGTGACCGGGCCCATCCCAGCCCTCCTCATGGCTCATGGGAGAGCCGAGCAGAGCCAGAGGCCACATTGGGCCATGAATTTGTTCCTGGGCCCGGCCCTGTTGCCCAAAAGGGGACTTGTGGTTTTCTATTTGCACAAGGAGGCCCCAGATCACGGCCAAGGGCACACTGGCCCCTTCCGAGGCCAAGGGTCCCGCTGCTCCTGAAGCGGCGCAGGCTCTCTGGGGAGCTGCTGGGAGCAAAACATCCCTGCACACAGCTGCGGGGACCGAGCCTTTCCCCTGGGACTTTCGGGGCAATCAGATTGCAAGGGAGATAGGGCTCTGAGGTGTCAGAAGTCGTCGTGGGGGACTTTGACTTGCTGCCTCGTCCGAGCATGAGCGGAAGGCACAGAGGGGCCCTCGGGAATCTCCATGCACTTTTCTGGGGGTGCGCCCCCCCCCCCCCCCCACCCTCTGGCTCCTACTTTCCCTTTTGGAAAATTCAAGACACTCAGATCACCCCTGGGTGGTTCTTTCTCCTGTAATTATGAACAAATGAGCTGGTTTGAAATGTTTCAGGAGACACAGACAGGGACAGTTCCTGAATTTGTTTTAACGTGAAGAAAGAAAACAAGAGCTTGGCGATGAAGCGCCTGCGGGGGGATGCGGGAGGCAGGGAGGAGCTGTCACAGCCGGCGCTTTCTGTTTTTTGGTTTATCTTTTTCTCATGTTGCCTCAATAGGGCAAGAATGTTGGTGGTGGGATGTCAACTGTCTAGTGGGGCTGAAGATGGCTGGGGACAGGGCTGAGGTCAAACACAAATGTCGGGGAGCTGGACTCAGGGGTGCGGGCCCCCCAGCGTACCACGGAACGGCTGTAGGGCTCTCAAACGACCTGTAGCACCCCTGGATTGAGAGAAGCAGCCCCAATCTGCATAGCGCCCTGGGGCTGCCTGGGCATCAGACAAACCCCAAAACCCCAGGGCCTTCCAGGGGCAGAGCAGGGGTCCCGGCGCCCGCCGTGGAGCAGCACAGCCCCTCCACAGAGTGTTCCGCGCAGGCATTGTGTTAGAAGAGTGGCCGCCGGTGGCCAGGCAGCACCGCGTGGACAAGAGCCCGCGCGGGTTGTTCATGAGAACCAGGTGTCTCTCGGGTCGGCGGAGGGCATTTCTCTTTTGCTTTGCTGTCCTGGGCTCTGACCCGGGTCCCGCGTTTCTGTCTGGGCGTGTGCCCTGTCAGGGTTGCGGTTTTAAACAGAGGGCATCCAACACCCATCATCTTGTTCTGCCCCGACCCCAGACATGTTCATATTCCCTTTGCTTTTATCTCTCACAGTGTGTTTTTTTTTTTTTTTTTTTAGACAGAGTTTCACTCTTGTTGCCCAGGCCAGAGTGCAATAGCACAATCTCGGCTCACTGCAACCTCCGCCTCCCGGGTTCAAGCGATTCTCCTGTCTCAGCCTCTCAAGTAGCTGGGATTACAGGGGCCTGCCACTATGCCTGGCTTATTTTGTATTTTTTAGTAGAGACAGGGTTTCACCATGTTGGTCAGGCTGGTTTCAAGCTCCTGACCTTGGGTGATCTGCCCGCCTCGGCCTCCAGAAGTGCTGGGATGACAGGCGTGAGCCACCGCCCGAGCCATCCTCACAATTTTTTTAAATTAAAAATCATAGATTGTTAATTTGGTTAAGGCAGGCAGGAGCCTCCCACCATGCGACACAGTTTACCCCCTTGAAATGGGCGGGAGGAGGGCAGGGGGCTCCTTCGGTATTTCATAACCAGCTTACAAAAGACTCCAAAATACATGCAGGTTGCTTTGATTCCCATTTTACGGGGCCCCCTTTGGAACAAACTGATCCTCTTCTTGGTGAAGAACAAGGTTTAAATTCAACTGTGCCGTCTGAACCGCTACGCAAACCACCTGTCAGGATTTGTATATTCCTTTCCTGCTCGTTACAGGCTCACTTTACTAGACGAAGCTATTTAAGAATGATCAAGGTAATTTAACTGTGGACTCGTCATTTATATTTTTATAATCCAGATCCAAACCACACAACTAAGAAACAGATAAGTGTGCACAGAGTTTTATTTCATGTCTGGGTCGCTGGGATGGTGACGGCATATCGCACACCACACAATAATAAAACTTAGGCTTAATAAAAATGCTTCAGCTATGTGCAGGACAAGAGGAAGGTGGCGAAGCCCGGGACTCCAGCGGGCTTTTCCTCGCTCTGCCAGAGGATAGGACTGTCTATAGTCTGGGAGCCTGACTGTGGTCTCCTCCAGCCGCTCAGCACGGAGGAAGCCGGAAATTGAGGCCGGCCAGAGGCAGGCTCCCAAGCACAGGCGTGCACAGGGTAGGGAGAAAGGAGACCCCTGCCCAAACCCCAGCGCTGCAAATCGGGGTGCTGCCCCTGCTGGCGCTTAGGGCATCATCACTACGACATGCTCAGCTCCTGGGCCGGCCTCGGGGCTCGGGGATCATCACAGCGCTTTCCCACACTCACAGCGTGTGGAGACAGCAAGGAGTTAAAATGAAGCCGGGAGCAGCACTGAGACCCAGCCACCTCCGCTAAAACCAAAATGCAGGGGACGATCCTCAGCCCAACATCCTCTCTCTCTCCCAAGGCCAGGTGAGAGGCAGACCGGGTCACCAGGGGAATCTGCTTTTGGGAAATGGTTTCAAAGAATTCCGATTCCACTGGCTGCTTTCACGTGTTTTGTGAGAAAAGCCTCTTGCACAGTAAACTCAGGCACAGTTGAATTCTGAAATCCAGAATGGTGAGCGATTGAGTTTTTTCCAGTAAGCACACGGAAGGAGGGTTCACCTACTTGATTCAAGCCTGCCTTTAAAGTTTATTACGCTGGTCAAAAAGAGACAAGAAAGCCCAAAAGTTCGCTTGATGGAAAAAATTCATTTATTCCAGGAAAGAGAAAACAAGAACGGCCGCTGCTCAGATTCAACCCAGTTCCTTTTAGTCTGCAGTCCGGTGATTCCCACCTGGTGGAATTTGCATGGAGTTTTTCGTCTATTTGTATTGTTAAATTCTATGATTAAGCGGGAATGAGAACCGTACCACTAAGAGCTTCATATTCGAAAGTCGTCTCTTTTCTTGTGAATTGATTTGATATTTTAAAAACTTTCTTTAAAGACCTGTAAGGAGAAGGTATCCCAAAGCTGGCAGCCATTGTAAATGTAAATGATTTCTGTGTCTTAAAGAATATTGCTGGGAGCAATGATACTAATTTTCATAAAAGGCTCTGTCTGAATGAACGTGGCCTGGGCTGACTCTAGGCTCTTCTCGGGCAATTTCTCTGCCTTCTGTTGAGAACGTGGCCATTTATTTGTCCCAGAAGTCCACTTACCTACAAGAAGCCGCCTCTTTGTGTCTGGAAAGTGATAAAAGGGGGAGAAAATAGGCAGGGTCATGCTAAATACAGTTTGAATTCGGAGGACCTGTGTTTCGTGTTGTTCACCCACGTTCAGTCAAGTCATTGTTGTTACAAAGAGAACCTGAAGTGTTGGAACAAGGACTTAACTTCAGATCCAGTCTGTTTGGCATCATTATTTTTTTAAAGCCATTTACAGCAGACATTTATTGGCGCTAGTAAACTCAGCTGTTGTTAAGAGGGTTCCCCACCCTCTCAGATCCTTAAACCAAAGGGAAAATTCCAGCCTTGCCCGTGCAACACAACCCGGGGACTTAGGCACGACTTCAACAGCATAGCGGAGGCGAGTGTTTATAAAAAGGCATAGATGCCTAGATGCTGTCGCTTAAGCAAATATACTGTTCTTCTTCCTTTCCGGCGGCCAGTCGTCCTCCCTGAGGCCGCTGCTGGGGGCTAAAGGCTATCAGAGACTCCAGACTTTATTTTTGCTTCAACAGACTTCTCCCACCATGCTGACTTAGCGCGGTCTGAGCAGGACCCACCGCGGGTCTCACGAGGAAAGGAGGATTATAAGCAGACGGCAGGAATGTGTAGGGAGCTGCAGTCATAATTTATGACAAGCCCTGCAGGAAGGGGTCTGCAGTACAGTAAATGCGCAATTTGTGACGCTCTCGAGCCAGGAGCCGGCGCAGGCTGGGTCCGCAGACGCCCGGTTCCCACCGCGGCCGGCCCGGTCTTTGTCCCGGGAAGTCGCCTGACCCCGCCGGCCAGGAACAGTGGCGTTCTCGGCGCGTCTGGCTGATAAGGCCTTTGTGACACCGGGGACAGGCTGTAAAAACGCAGCCAGCTTTTGTCTGCACCTCCGCGCCGCTGGCAAGGGCGGGGCCGGCGAGTGTGGAAAAGTTTGCGCGGATTCCCGTTCACCTCTGACCCCCGAAGCAGTTGGAGGCAGGTCGGGGACCCCCGCCCCCGCCCCGCCCCGCCTCGGGCCCTGCGATCAGCAGTAATAGCGATTAATTCCGACTGTGGCTCCAAGTCCCATGGCCAAGGCGCCCTCCTCCTGCAGGTCCAGGGCCAGGGAGGGGGAGCCCGCGGCCCGGCGCGCTAGACCCTCCCGCGGCGGCGGCGGCTCCAGGGCAGTGTCCGCGCCGGAGGGGAGGGTCCCCCGGCAAGTCTGCTGCCCTCGGAGCCGGGGTGGGGTCCCAGGAGACACCGGGGGCCCTCGGATTGGGGGAAGAGGTGGGGGAAGGGGTTTCCTTCCGCAGCGCCGCGGATCAGAGGAGGGAGGCCTGGCGCCCTCGGAGCTGCGGTGGGGGGCATCCCAGGAGATCTGGCTCGGTGTGTAGAGAAGGGAGTCCGGGCGGCGTCCTGGGAGTGTCTGTGGCCTGCAGAGAGGGGATGGGGTTGGGGTGTGGATCCCGGGAGGCTCGGAGGCGCTCGGAGGCTCTCGGAGGGGGCCAGGCGGAGGATCCAGGAGGGCCGCCCAGCCCCCGTCCGCCCACCCAGCCCTCTGCCCGCCAGTGGAGCGGAGCCGAGAAGCAGGGAGTGCGGGAGGATGCCCGAGGTCTCACGTCAGGACCCTCGACGGGGGTGGGGTGGAGAGGGAGGTGGTGGGTGGGGTGGGTGGTGCGGCCTGGAGTGGAGCCAAGGGGCGGGCGGCCAGGGTCCACATTGCCCTCTAACGGGACCCCTCGAGAAGCCTCAGCCTCGCCCGCTGACCCTCCTCTCTCCTGCCCAGGGCCCGGGCCAGGCCACCTGCCCCACGGGCATCAGCCAGGCCGGGCAGTCACTCAGCAGCCCCTTCCACTTGCGCCTGCTACAATGCCACTCACGGCACCGCTCAGAGGGTCACCCGGGCTTTGTCCCAGCTGGCGCTTCTCATCCCGCACTTTGGGCCCGATTTTCTAATACAGTGGCTCAAGTTTCTTTTTTAAAAAAGAGACAATGATTCAGCCACTGTGTGATTTTTTTTTTTGATAAGATGATACAAAACTGGGGTCCTAATAATAATGGGTTTAATTGAAGAAGTTACCATGGGCCAGTTTCTCCTCTCCACTTTTACATCTCCTCATAATTTTAGCAACTTACCTGACGCCCCATAAGGGAACTTCACACACTACTGACAGAGGCCGTGCACCTGCCTGTCCTCCTTCGTGCAGTTCCTGTCTGGGTGTCTTGGGAGTAGCAGACACTGGGCATTACCGTCACGCTGTGACTTATGTGTGTCTTTTGAGAGTTCCTTGGTGTCATTCTGGAGTCAGTTGGGACTGGCAGATTGTAGTGAAATTCACAATGTGGGGGACATGGGGGAGGAGCATGCAGGGGCCACACCCAGCCCTGTCTCGGGGGTGCCCAGCTGTGTCCAGCCACAGACCCCAGCCAGGTCCAGGTGCTGGAGAGCCTGGCCTGACACAGGATGGTCAGTGGGGATGGGAGTGTCACCCACAAGGATGGCCACGTCCCCTCAATCCCTGGGAGCCCTTCCCTTTCTGAGTCTAGACCCACTCTGTTTTCTTGGAGGAGCCTCAGCCCCAGGTCTCGCAGGGGCAGGTGGATTTCCCTTGGGCCTCTCCCCAGCCTCACAGCCAGTCCTCCGGCCAGGCCTGCAGTTCCCTGGAAGCTCCCCAGTTACTGTGATCAGAAGAGAGTCTCAAACACCCACATGTGCAGGGTGGGCAGTGACTCCCCCAAGAGAAACACACCTGCCGCCAGACACTCCCGGACCGAAGACACAGGGTTCCTTGTGCTGGCGGCATGGCCCGTGCCCTGGCCCAGGCCTCAGATGGCCTGGCCTCCCCTTTGTGAACTGCTAATTTTCTTCATCTCGACCACCACTTCCACACCCCAAGACAACCTCCTCTTTTCAGGAGGCCCCTGGCAAGCTGCAGTGACACAGCCCCCAACAGCACTGCTCAGTGAGCAGAGTTCCAAATGGAGGTCCCCTCGCCCCCAGGGCTTGACCAGGCTGCAGAATCTACCTGAGCCCACCAGTTCTCAAGGGTGTCCTCCATCCCAGACTCCCGCCTGTGGGGTCAGCAGCAAGGCGCCAAGCTGACAGTGGGCACACAGTCCTGCCCGCCCCAGCCTTCCTGGCTCATGGCATCCCCGCTCCTGGGAGAACCGCAGCCCCATGTCCTGACTCACTGGCCAGGCGCAGCTCATGGCCACTTTCAGAAACAACCAGATTCACTCCACACCCTGAGCTCCCCCTCCCCCGCCGCCACTGGCAAAGCGGGTCTCACTTACATACACAAAATGGAACAAAAGAAACTTGAGAACCCACCCAGGTGGGCTCTTGGTGGAAGCGGGGCTCTGCTGTGCCCCCAGGACACCCCCAGCTGGGAACTTTCATGTGGATCCTACCTGTTTAGTCGGCCACCCCCTTTATGAATATCCTAAAACCCAATAAAGCAAATTAAAAGGGGACGCAATTCCTTCTGCGCATACTCTGCAAAAGTTCCATAGTGGACCCTCTTGGTGGCAATTAGAGGAAAATCAAGTGCAGGCCGAGCTGCGTCCACAGTGTGAGGGCTGAGTGTGCACTGAGAGGCTCTCCAGACACCAACAAACCACACTCACCCTTTCTCTCTGGTCTCTCCATCCTAGATTTACTATAAAGTCATTAAGGACATTGAGCCAGGTGAGGAGCTGCTGGTGCACGTGAAGGAAGGCGTCTACCCCCTGGGCACAGTGCCGCCCGGCCTGGACGGTAAGACCCCTCCCCCAAACCGGGCCACGGCCCCTGGGAGCCCCCAGCCAGCCCGGAAGAGGAGCAGATGCCTGGGAGGACCGAGGGCCTCTCATCACCTCAAGCCACCTAATGAGGGCCAGGCGGCCCCCAAGTGCTAGGTGCCTCCATTTTTGCAGACCTCAGGCCAGCAGAAATTGCCCGCCTCCACAAAGGCTCAACCTAATGGCTTTCTTGTTCCTCTTCCCTGGGGCATCCAGGAGGTGCACCCAGAATTTAAGAAGGGCTTCGGGCAGTGGGCAAACTGGTATCCAGTGGATTATGTCTTTGCAATGTTAGGGTCCCAGGTGATTTTTTTAAGCTATGTTTTATTATTGCTATTATTCTTATTAGCAGCAGCAACAGCAGCCTTTGCTTTCCCTGGTACTTAAATGAACGAACAAACAAACACCAAGCCAGTTTTGTAGCTTCGAAGCATTTCTGGCTGCCCCAGAGCTCTCTGTGGGGTGGGAAGATTTTGTTTCATTTAAGAGAGTGGATGATGGCATATGTATCTTTCAAAGCAAAATGTGCATCTGTAGCTAAAACTCCAAGAGAAGTGTTAGGGGAAGTTTCATTTGGCAAGAGGGAAAATGCGGGGTCTGAGGCGGGTCTCACAGTGATGCGGAGTCGCCCCGCTCTTCCAGACAGGGCTGTGGGAAGCCTTCCAAATTTCCTTTTCCCTAGATCTGCCAGTCCCTCTCTGTCGAGTAGAGATGGGACAAGTGAGTTTCCCTTTCACCTTCCTCCACACCCAAGTACAGCTGAGAGGATGCCTGAGAAAATTCCAGTCCCACACAGATGAGCTCTTCCCAGATACAGGCTCATTCCTGCCTTCACGTCATGAAGCCATGTGTCCGTTCCCCTACGGGGTCCTGGAACAGCCGGCCAGGAAAGGCTCTGTGGGCAGTGAGGCCCTGGCCCGTCGGCTCCACGCCGGTCCCTCTGAGCAGACGGCTCCAGGGTTCGAGCCTAACTGCTTTACTTTGGGAGGCCCCGCAAGTGAACAGGAACGCAAGCTCCCTCCTGGCCGTTTCCGGCGCTGGTGATTCCTGCTGGTGCTGGAGCCTGGAGGGAGGCTGAGTTTTCCTCCTCGCTTCTTGGACCTCCCCTTCAAACACACCAAGGCTTAGTGATTAATGCCATTTGCTGCAAGTTTCTCCAAGGAACCACTCTGATTTCACGGTGAAGGAATGGTGCTGGAATGAGCAGGAAGGCTTCGAGACCAGACATGGAGAACTCCGCCTTCATTTACCCTTGCCATCACCGAGCGTGGCCCAGCTAGCTGGGTCCTTCCTTGGTGCAGTATCTGTTTATGTCCCTGAGTGTCCGAAAGGAAATGACCACAGAAGGATAGTTTAACAAGCTGGAGCCTATCTGCAGCTTCCTCTAAAGTTTGGTTTTATTTAGGCCATTGAGAAAAGAAAAATCAATTGCCGAGATCTGGATAGCAGGGGGGAGGGCCTCATTTTCCTTAAAATAATTGTTGAAAAGATCTATGAATCTTAGACAGCGCACAAGAACGCCAAGAGACAAATCTACTTGACTTAAGGAGAGTGCTTGACTATGGAATTTCATTTGTACGATGAAATTTCTTTCTTCCAAAAGGTTTTTTAAAAACCTTGATTTCTGCTCCCCACCCCGCTCCAGCCCCTGATATTAAATAACCTGGGTCTACATTTTCCTAATAATTTATCAAACATTTGTGGGCTAATTGCTTGCCACACATAATAGCCCAACATCAAATATTTGACTTTCCCTACTCTTTCCTGTCAAGATCATGCCTCCCCAATAGCCGCCTCCCCCACCAGTTAAACTCTGAATCGCACAGAAAGAAAATGCAAAAATGTTCCTCACTAAGATAATTATCATAAAAAATCTTTTATCCCAACCCCAGCTCAATGCAGCCAGCCCCTTATCACTGCAGGGACTTGGAGGAGGCTCTCGAGCTCCTTTGAGCCTCGAGTCTGGTAGATTAGTACGTAGACGCCACTTAATTGTGAACCCCTCGGCTCTCCGGGGCCATTAGGCACTGATTTATTTTTCTGTTACATTCCTGCTCTGCCATGAAGATTGCTGATGGAACTTCAGATAGGCAAGTGAGGCGCAGATATGACAAACAAGATGTGAGGTCACCACGGCGTTGGCTTAGTTGGCGTAGGTGACAGGTGGATGCTGTACCGCGGCCCACGCACCCCTGCCAGATGAAGAGAGTTTCATTTCCAATCACTATATTTTGTGCTTTTGTTGGGAGAAGAGGGCTTGGCTGGAGACCACGTTCAGGTAGTGAAGAAGACACAGGAGACCCTTGGGGGCCAGCCCGCTTCGGGAGAACCGAGCCTCTGCCCTGCCGTCCCGGGGCTGGACACATTCCCTCTGCAGAGCTGCAGCTCTGTCAAGAATGCGAGGCCCATTTTCACACAAGTGATTCAGACCACGGGGAAGCCACTTTCAGATGCATTCGACTTTGTGTTTTGCTTTTACACTTACAATGAAGAGGAAAGAATTCTCTTTCGTGAGAACTTTTTGCTCTTGGGAGAAAATAAAGAAAGTCACTTCCATTCCCATATGCTTTTCTTTTGAGAAAGCCTCACGATAATTTGCTTTTCCTCTCTCCAAAAGAGGTCAAGAGGAGGCAGTGCGTGGAGGACAGAGCGCATGAGCCAGCCAGATCGTGAGATCAGAGATAATAAGATGGGAAACATTATCAGAATAGGACATGTTCTTTCAGCATTTCTTTAAAGCAGAAGTTTCTTGTACCGAGAAAGTGAAAATGCCATAAACTATGCCCCCGTTTCTGGCCCCTCCATGAGCCCCAGGGGTGTATTCAGGGCCAGCCTTACCTGCCTGGAAGACAGCCGGGAGACCTGTCCATACCACTCAGTAAGGGCAGGCCAGGCTCAGGTGTGTCCTGTACCCGGCTCTGTCCTCTGATGGGGGCCCAGCTCCATCCGTGGAGGGCTGGGGTTGGGGAGCAGCAGGGCAGGGATGGTCACTGAAGTCGGCTCCATCACGTCCAGGGCACCCTCCAAGGCCATTGGAGTGAGAATCAGACTGCATTCTCATTTGCAATCTAAATTTTTATTTTCATCCCAAATTCTAAATGAGAACTGGAAAAAATAAGTTGGTCAATAATATGAGTGGGTGGGGTTGGCATTTCTTCTTGTCTTTGTTTTCAAATTTCAACTACTATGATTGTTCTTCATTGGGTCCAGAAAGAGTAAAATAAAAGCTGGCATTTCTAACTGAATCACGATGCTGGCTGGAGGCCCCATCTCAGCCTCCTTCCAGCCCGGGACGTTGGAATCCACCCACAGGCAGCTTCCCAGGTCTGCGGGTTGGCTGTGTTCTGCAATGGTCTTGGTGCTCAGATCTGCAGGGCTTGTTCCCCAGTGAAAATCCCAGTTTCTGAAGACAAGGGAAGGCCTGAGAGGGGGTGATGGTGAGCATCCCTCTATCAGAGGCTCACCTCGCTTTCCCCAAAACCCTCAGTGGGAAATTGGGGCCCTGCCAGCCCTGCTTCCTCGGCCCCAAAACCATGGGCAGGCTGCAGGCCCACTGCTCCACCTCTTCCTTGGACGAGCAACTCGGTGTTGCCCAGCCTCAGTTTGCCAGTTCTGAAGCGGGCATGCGAATACTGTCGCCCTTCCCTGGGTGCTTGCAGGTCGATGCGGGGCTTCAGTGCCCAGATTCTCTTAAGCCCTGAGGACAGGACCTGCCACGTGGGGCTCCCACCAGACCCCAGGGGTCAGCCTTGCCACCCACATCATTTGCACAGTGGGCTCTCTCTGAAGAATTTGCAGGCTTGAATCACATTTCAAGGTGGCATTTTGTAGACTTCTAGGGTGAGTATTTCTTGCCCACCTCCTCCCAGGCTGTGCACCCTGTCCAAGGATCCCTCCTGGCAGCTCCTAGGTGGGTTTGGTTTGTTCAGTGAGTGAACAAACTCGGAAAGCTCCGAATGGCAGCCTTCCCCGGAGAGGTTTGGGACGGAGCCCTCCAAGCCCCAGAGGCTGGAGCTGAGGTGTGGACCGCAGTCCTGTGGGAAGTGGACTGCGCAGGCCCTGGGCATCCTCTGGCTTTTTTCCCTTCATGATCTTGTTTTCCCCCAAACCAGTGCTTTCCTGAGGTTCAGGTCAGTGAGCAGGGCCAGGATGCCTGGACACCGGCTGAGAACGAAATCACAGTGTTTGGTGCATCTTGACCAGCAGTGGTGCCTGCCCACTCACCCCCAATGCACACACCCCTGGGGCTCCTCTCGGCCAGACACCCCTTCCCTGTCAGCCAGATACTTACCTCTGTCCAAAGACGGCACCAAAAATCACATCTGGCAAGCTGGCATCTGTACCTTGGTTGGCAAGGGGTGGGTGGGTGCGTGCCATCCAGTATGCCTGCTGTGGTCTCTTGGGGCCAGCACCCTGCTGGAATCCCCACCTTGGGCACCTGAGGCTCAGGGAGCCAGGCTCTGAGGACCCGCCAGGGGTGCTGGGGTGGCCCAGGCCAAATAGCAGCATCTCTACCCTTAGGCTCAGGGAAGCTTCCAGTCAGCAAGGAGGTGCCACTTCTGGTAACCCCTGCACTGCCCAGACTGCAAAGCAGCCCACACTTTCCTTAGGACTCTAAAAGGCCTATGACCGTGGTGGTCTCTCTGACACAGGGAGGGGACAGGAAGTGACAGCCCTCTTCCATCTGCCCCCATCCCCCCGTCTCCGCGGCAATCCTTAGGTTCAGGCCTTTGAGTCAACGTTCAGACCAAGCTCATGAAGACTCTGCTCAATGCTGGGCACTGGGTCAGTCCTCGTGCACGTGCATACACACCCAAACACACATTCCCACAAGCACCCAAATGCACACACACAAATTGCATGCATACACACATCACATGCACACAAACACAAACATGCACGTTAGCATACACACATTCATATACAAGCATGTGTACACATATTCATGCCTGCACAACTACACACCCATTGGCGCACACACACACAAACCAACACACAATGTGCGTGTTCACACACATATTCACATGCACATGTGTGCACATCAAACACATATGCACACACAACATAGCCACCCATGCGCACGAACATATATGTATAATATGCACGTATGCATACATAACACAAATGCACACACATGCAGACAGAAACACGTGCATTCACACATGCAAAGTATGCACCCACATGAACACACAGATGCACACATGCCTCAACACAAAGGCATCCACAAACCACACATGTGCAAGTATGAAAACACACCAGTGCACACAAATATTCACGCATGTAGGTGCATGCAGAAACACATGCATCCTCACACACATGCACATGAGTACCCATGCAGGCCCACACAAACATGGGTGTAAGTGCATAGACATGCACACACAGTCACACAAAAATGCACAGACATGGATGCAGATATGCTGAGATATTCACACTTACGTGTGCATACACAGCTGCCTGCTCATGCCCAAGACGCCCCCGTGCACTCACACACTGGTGCACACACCATTGTTCAATTCATTTGGGAAAGAGCTCAGTGCCAGCGTTCTTTCCAGAGCCGGGGGGATGAGGCATCTTGTTGGGGGGGTCTCCCGTCTTAGGTGGAAGGCTGCTGCCCAGCTGCTACAGGCAGGGGAGGCAGGGACGGGCCCAGAGCCCCCCACCGGGATGACAGCTCCAGGCTGATTGTTTGGCTTGGCAAGGCAGTCAGGATGCTGCCTCGTAAACTTAATAATAGCTGCCCCCCTTTTAATTTGTTTGACCTTGACGACAATAATTTATTATATGCACTGGAGCTCTGTCATCGTTTTTCTCCTGATTCATAAACAAAGCACTTGGCCCGGCTTCCTCCTCCACTCCCGAGCGGGGCCTTCTCCAGCCCACAGTGGCTGCCTGAGGCACAGGCAGGGCCGGGTGTCGCCCGGGGCTCCCTCTGAGGCACAGATTGGGGGGTCCTTTGGTCCTGCCCAGGGCTGGGCCCTGGGGACTCCACATGCCTGTTTCCAGGGCAGGCTGGTGGGCCCCAAGTTGAAGGCTGGAAGGAAGCAGTGCAGGACTGGCCAGCCTGGGTGCAGGCCCTGAGGCACCGTGGTGAGGGGGCCAGGTCTCCAGAGTCCCCTGATAGCCCTGGGCTGGGTCTCCAGCTCACTCACCACCACCTCGTTCTCTCTCTTGCAGAGGAGCCCACGTTCCGCTGTGACGAGTGTGACGAACTCTTCCAGTCCAAGCTGGACCTGCGGCGCCATAAGAAGTACACGTGTGGCTCAGTGGGGGCTGCGCTCTACGAGGGCCTGGCTGAGGAGCTCAAGCCCGAGGGCCTTGGCGGTGGCAGCGGCCAAGCCCACGAGTGCAAGGACTGCGAGCGGATGTTCCCCAACAAGTACAGGTGCCACGCCCTCCTCTGAGTCTTCCTCCCCTTCCCGTACCCTCCTCTGAGTCTTCCTCCCCTTCCCGTGCCCTCCTCTGAGTCTTCCTCCCCTCCCTTCCCCCGCCTCGCCCCCCAACAGGTGTAGACAAAGGGCCCCCTGGTGGGACACACCCTGGGGATATGTGCCCCTTCTGGGACACTGGCGCTGCGGGCAGAGCAGGTGCAGGATCCCGTGGCCAGAGCCGCAGGTGTCCCCTGGCTCCGACCGCAAATGTCCTGGCCCCAGAAAGCCACCTCCTAGGCTCATGGCCCTGCCTGCCAGGGCTGCGCTGCGGGGAGAAACTAGAAAGGAGAAAAACTCAGGCCAGAGCCCAGACCTGCAGCCGCTAAGCCCAAGGCTACTTCTGTAATAAGGTCCCAGACCGGGATGGGGGTGGCAGCACCCACCACCAAGGGATTCATGGTGGCCCCACCCTCCGGACACACGAGCAGCTCCTTCTCAGATGGTAGGCAAGAGCCAGAAGGGGTCACCCCTATCCCCAAGGCACCAGCCCTGCTCCCCACCAGGTGGCAGCGGACTGTCCCAGGAGGGGCTTCAGAGACATGAGCGGGCCCACGGTGGCCCTCCCCTGCCCTGAGACCAGGCAGGAGCCAGCATCTGGGGCCTGGGCGGCCTTGGGGACCTGTGGCCCCCGGGAAAGACAAGATTCCTGGTCTCTGTGGGGAGTGAAACCAGGACATTCAGTCCAGTGCTGTAAGGAGCTATGGAGACTTTTCCAACCTGGGCCCCTCCTCCTGCCTTTGAGGATTTCCTCCAGGACAGCCTCGCAAAGTCAGAGCAAAGCCCATCAGGCCACTAACCGGCTATGTGATTGCTGGGGATTACCGCCCATCCCCGCACCGCTCCCTGGGGACGGCAAACCCTCCACCCGGAACAGATGACTGAGAAAATAAACGTTTGGGCAAATCCCAACTGCGGCCCTTCCCAGTAAACGCCGCTCAAGAGGGTCCGTGTTTTCTTTACATAAACACATAAATCACAATTAACAACGGGGGAAAAGATACAGTCTCCTGATGCTCGGGAACCAGGCGTTTCTGATCTGAATGGATGGCTGGGCCCCGTAATTAACGAGCCGTGATATATCACTGCTTTGCTCATGAAGATTAACGGTCATCCCTGGGACAAGGGAAGCCGGGGGTCCCCCAAGAGCAGGGAATTAGAGCGACTCCTTCATCCAAGTGCAGCGGCCCCTCCGAGCAGCTGTGCTCGGGTCCCCTCCGTGTCACCTGGAGACCCCCGAGTGACTCCCGACCTGCGTCCTCGGTGTGTGCCCAGCACTCAGAGGGGCATCCTTGGGTTTGGGGGACTTGCCCCACTCCTGGGTTCATGCCAGTGTTGAACCCCTTTTTTCTTAGGCCCAAGCCTAGCTGCAAGGCCAGGACCAGCTTGAGAGGCACCCAGGGAGTGTGGGCCGGGGTCCGGCACTGCCTCCAGCCGCCCTGGGGGTGGTCTTGGGTGAGGGATGGAACCATCCAGGTGCCGGCTTCCCCATCTGCTAGGGGAAGGCCGCCTCTGCCCCTCACAGCCCGGCCACGGCAGAGAGGAGGTGGGCAGGGAGACACCAGCATGTGCTCTGATCCCTCGGCAGCGTGGTGGGGGCTCCGAAGGGGCACTGGGAACAAGCTGTATGGTTGGGGTCCCCTCCCGGGCAGAGGGCAGGTAGTCGGGCCCCGCAGTGAGCCTCGTCCTCTGCGCAGCCTGGAGCAGCACATGGTCATCCACACGGAGGAGCGCGAGTACAAATGCGACCAGTGTCCCAAGGCCTTCAACTGGAAGTCCAACCTCATCCGCCACCAGATGTCCCACGACAGCGGCAAACGCTTCGAATGTGAAAACTGCGTGAAGGTAACCTGCGGGGCGGCCCCGTCTCAGCCCCGGGGCAGCAGGAGGCTGCAGACGGGCGCCCGCCCCCGTGCTCCCTACACCCCCTGGTCCAAATGTAGATGGAGTGCGGCAGAGTGGGTAGGAGGCCCCTGCGGTGGCTCGGGCCCTTCCGTGTGACTAGGAAGGAAAGGAAGTCTCAGGGAAGACCGTGTCCCCCAGGTCAGAAGGATCAGGGCCGAGACCAGAACCCAGGCCCCTCCAGAGCGCGGCTCCTGTCCTCCCGCCGGTGTGGAAGGAAGAGGCTGGCGGGGCTGAGCCGAGCCTCCACCCCGAGCCCGCCAGGGTCTCAGCACCACAGCTGAAAACGCTTTCTGCAGCCCTGTCTCACGCAGCCTCAGTTCAGGAATTGTTCTTGAGGAAAGCAGCCGGGGAGGCTCTGCGGCTCACTTAAGGCCCTGCAGCGGGTCCTTGCTACACAGAGACCTGTCCCGGCCTGCTTGGTGCAGACTGCAACGTGGCAAGAGAGACAGGCAGGGCCCTGCCCCCCACAGCCGGTTGGTCCGCCAGCCAGAACCAGGCCAAGGCGGGTGTCCAGGCAGGGCACGCGCCAACGGCATCCGTCTCCCCAGGTGTTCACGGACCCCAGCAACCTTCAGCGGCACATCCGCTCGCAGCACGTGGGCGCTCGGGCCCACGCCTGCCCCGACTGCGGGAAGACCTTCGCCACGTCCTCCGGCCTCAAGCAGCACAAGCATATCCACAGCACGGTGAAGCCTTTCATATGTGAGTGGTCGCCCAGCCTGGCCGCCTGCCCTCCGGGTGCGCGGATGCCGTGGCGGTCGGGCCGAGGTGGGCCATCCCCCAAGGTCTCCCCCGATCCGAGGGGCCCCAGTTTGTTCATAAAGCACTCATGGCAGGTTCTGACATCTCTGCCGCGTGCAGCCTGGTCCCCGGCAGGCACCCTCTGAGTTTGTCCCTCACTGCTCCCCTTCCCCATCCCGTCCTCCTCCACGGCTCCCCTTGCTTCACCTCACAGGGGCTGGAGGGGGGCAGTGGGTGATGGGAGGGACCAGGGTCCTGCAGAAGGAGCTGGACCCTCCCTCCCTGTTGCTACTCCCGTCCCCCGAACTCACTCCCCACCTGTGCCGAGCTCCAGAAGGGCGTGCTTCTGTGCTGCCCTGCACGTGACAGTCTCAGCAGACACCCACTGGGATTGTCAGGGCGGTGTCTCTAGGGGGCCCTGTCTGTGCCCAGTGCTGTTCCAGTGCGGGGGCCAGCCCTGAATAAAAGACCAGCTGTCTTTAGGAGGCTCGCACACCAATGGGAGGAGACAGGCAAGCCAGACAAGCAAGGTGGCAGGCACAGCTCTGGGTGCAGCGGTGTGGGGTTACAGCCTCACAGGGGGCCAGGCTGGCAGCCTGGTGTGGGAGCTGAGACTGCCTGTTCGATGAGAGGCGTTCCAGCAAAGACACAAGGAGAGTGAGCCCTGGGCACCTGTGGAGGAGGCTCAGGAGGGAGCTGTGAGCGTAGAGGCCCAGAGGCCAGGGTTTGTTTAAGGAGTGAGTGAGCGGAGTGAGAAGAAAGGGCCAGGTGGTGGCTCACACCTGTAATCCCAACACTTTGGGCGGCCCAGGCAGGAAGATCACCTGAGGCCAGGAGTTCAAGACCAGCCTGAGCAATGTAGCAAGACACCATTTCTACCAAAAAAAAAAAAATTTTTTTTTTAATTAGCCAACCACGGTAGTGTGTGCCTGTGGTCCCAGCTGCTCAGGGGGCTAAGGGCAAGAGGATGTCCTGAGCCCAGGAATTCGAGGCTGCAGTAAGCCAAGATCACACCACTGCACTCCAGCCTGGGCAACAGAGCAAGACTCTGTAAAGAAATAAAAATAAATAAGAGAAAGGTAAGAGGTCACCAGGGCCGGGTCCAAGGGGCCTTGTGGGCCAGTGCAGGGACTATGACCCTGATTCTCAGTGAAGTCAGAGGCCCCTGAAGGGTCCTGTCTGCTGGGCCTTGTGCCGAGTCATCGCTTCCCAAGCATTCTTACACAGCATCCTTACGAAAGCCTGAGAGTGGGGCCCTTCTGTCTCCAGTTGTCATAGGAGGAAAGGGAGGCTACAAGATGTTGAGTGACCGTGGGCTCAAGGCCAGGCTGTGGAGCCCAAATTTTAGCTTCAGGGGCCTGGCTCCTGGCCCCCGGCTGGGTGATTTGAACCTTCCAGGCTCCGTTGCATCAGCCTGGAGAGGCGGGGTGCTGGGAGCTTGGGAACCTGGACTCAGGTGTTCTTGCTGATGTGGGACCACTCAGGCACTGACCACTTGCACAAGAGGTGATGTCCGCCAGCCAGCCGGGCCCCTGTCAGCACCTGGGCTGTGCCCGTCCCACCCACCTCCCAAGCCCCAGCGTCCAGCCGTCCTGCTAGGGGTGACTCCGCCCCCAGCCTAACCTGGGCCACATGCCCCCACCAACTGAGGAACCAAAGGGAGATGGAGCTCTGCCTGCCGGCCGTTCCACAAGTACTGTTTTCCCATTTGCTGACCACCGATCTCCCAGGAGGAGCATGTGTGCAGTGTGCCCGGCTCCGGCACCCCGATACACAGTACCCCTTTCCTCTGGGAGAAGCCAGCACGGTGCGAGCTGGGCAGGAGTCAGGGGCTGGGGCGGGGGGTGACTGCTCCCAGCTGCAGGTCAAGTGACTCCAGTGAGAGCGGCACCAGTTGGTGCCTCAGATGACAACGTGGAGTTCTATAGCAAGCTCAGGAGCAAGAAAATTGGACCTAGGTTTAAACTTCCTTGCCTCTCTGGGCCTGCAGACGAGCGTTCTAAAGTCCCGTTGCATCGCTTTAATGATGTGCATTCCAAGAGCTGCAGCACCCTGGGCAGCTGGAGCCCACTGTTCCCACCACACTGCAGGCTGCTCCCCATCCCTCGTGGATGGAGTGAGGACAGGGAAACTCAACTGGCCCTGCCCCGCCTCGGCGACTCTTGCGCTTCTTGTCCACACACTCGGCTCACCTTTGTGCCTTGGCTTTTTGCTAAGGGGATAAAGCTTAAAGGAAAACCCCAGATGTGGGCAGATCGGGTTTATGAAGATTCTCATTCCCTTAGAAATTAGATCAGACACAAGCAACGCAGCCCTGGTATCCCCCAGGCCACTGCACAGTGTCCTTTGGTGCAACTGCAGAAGGGGGTCTTCAGGCTTGGAGAGGAGAATTTGCAAACAAGTGAGGGAGTCCAAATGGCGTGGCCCTTTCCAGGAATGGTCAGTTGCTTGCAGGAGAGGTCACAGCTGCGCAGGCGCTCATGGCCAGACTCCGTGTCCACCTGCTGGGTGACACACCCATGGCACAGGCAGATGGAAGCCCTAAGCCCCCACCTCACTGGCCACACAGACGGAGGGGGTGTCATTCCTGGTGGTGTCTTTCCCACCAAGGCGCTCACCTGTGCCCTGGGCTGTGTACAAACGTGTGTGTGCATGGGTGTAAGAGAAGGGGTGGGTAGAGCGAGAGGAGAGGAGAACAGGACAGAGAGGAAGTATAATATCTGGGAATGAGGTGCACAGGCTCCCACTGGGCACTTTGCAGAAAGAGCCTTTGCTTTAATAAGTATGCACGTGTGAGAGTGTGTGAGTGTGGGCGCGTGCACCGGTGCGTGTGTGTGTGAGAGCGTGTGTGTGGACACATGAGCTGGTGCATGTGTCGGTGCGTGTGAGAGCGTGTGAGTGTGGGTGTGTGAGCTGGTGTGTGTGTGAGTGCATGAGTGTGGGTGCGTGAGCTGGTGCCTGTGTTGGCATGTGTGAGAGTGTGTGAGTGTGAGCACGTGAGCCGGTGCATGTGTTGGCGTGCATGAGAGTGTGTGAGTGTGGGCGCGTGAGCCGGTGCATGTGTTGGCACACGTGAGAGTGCATGAGTGTGGGCGCGTGAGCCGGTGCGTGTGTGTGAGCGCGTGTGGGCGCGTGAGCTGGTGCGTGTGTTGGAGGATGTGAGAGCACGAGGGTGGGCACGTGAGCTGGTGCGTGTGTGTGTGAGAGCGCATGAGGGTGGGCGTGTGAGCCAGTGCTTGTGTTGGCACGCATGAGAGTGAGGGGCGTGTGAGCCAGTGCATGTGTTGGCACGTGTGAGAGCATGTGAGGGTTGGCGTGTGAGCCGGGGCATGTCAGTGTGTGTGAGTGTGGGCGTGTGGGCCGGTGCGTGTGTCGGCGCACGTGACAGCGTGAGTGTGGGCGCGTGTCTGTGAGTGCGAGTGTGGGCGTGTGAGTTGATGCATGTGAGTGTGTGAGTGTGGGTGTGTGTGAGTGAGTGTGGGCACGTGAGTTGGTGCGTGTGTGTGTGAGAGTGTGGGCGCGTGAGTTGGT
Source organism: Homo sapiens (assembly GCF_000001405.40). Classification (NCBI taxonomy): domain Eukaryota; kingdom Metazoa; phylum Chordata; class Mammalia; order Primates; family Hominidae; genus Homo; species Homo sapiens. The sequence continues at coordinate 3,409,219 of NC_000001.11, forward strand.
GCGTGTGGGTGTGAGAGTGTGTGAGTGGGGCACAGCCAGGGTGTGCTTGTTTGGCCGGCAGGGCTGAGTGCCTCCCCGAGGGCCAGGTAGGTGACCGAGGGGTATTTACAGACCCTCCCTCTGGAGGGTCACCTGTCCATCAGCAGCCCTCCAGAGAGGGCAGATTTGATGAAACGAGACAAAGTTCTTCTCCCCTCAGCCTTGAAAACGCCCCGCCAGGCTGGACGAGCAGGAAGGTAGAGCGGTTAATATAAATAGATATCGTGATGAAAGAACACGATCATCTTAGGGGAAAAGCTCCCAGCTGGAGTCGAAGGAGATCAGGCAGCCGACGATTTCTGGTGAGCAAGAAGCTTGCTGAAATCATTGTTTCCACCACGCCGTGTTTAGGAAGCAAATTGTCCTACAGAGAGAGACACTCGCCGGGATGTGTGTGTGTGGTGTGCGTGTCTGTGGTGTGTGTGTGCGTGTGTGTGGTGTATGTGCATGTGTGTGGTTTGTGTGGTGTGTGTAGTGTGGGTGTGTGTGTGGTGTGGGTGTGAGTGTGTGTGGTTGTGTGTGGGTGTGTGGTGTGGGTGTGTGTGGTGTATGTGTGCATGTGTGTGGTTGTGTGTGGGTGTGTGGTGTGGGTGTGTGTGTGGTGTTTGTGTGCATGTGTGTGGTTGTGTGCATGTGTGTGGTGTGGTTGTGGGTGTGGTGTGTGTGTATGTGCATGTGTGTGGTGTGGGTGTGTGTGCGTGTGGGGGGTGTGGTTGTGTGTTTGCATGGGGGGGTGTGGGGGGTGTGCATGTGTGTGTGCTGTGTGTGCATGTGTGTGATTGTGTGTGTACGAATGTGGTGTGTGGTTGTGTATGTGCATGTGTATGAATGTGTGTGGTTGTGTGTGTGCGTGTGTGTGGTGTGTGTGCATGTGTATGAATGTGGTGTGTGGTTGTGTGTGCTGTGTGTGTGCATGTGTAGATGTGTGTGTGTTCCTCCCTTTTTTCTTAGAAAAACAAGAGGCAAAAGACAAGCTGGTGATTCGCTGACAACCGTTCACAGGCCTTTAGGAAAATGGCCGGAACCCCCAGGCCGCTGGGTCCTGGAGTCTAGCTGGGCCGGCACTGCCCTCTCCTGTTGAGAGAAGATGCTGGCACTCGCCAGCCAGAGCCGGGCACTGCCGCTTCCATCCCAGTCTGAGGAGGTTCCCAGTAGTAGGATTTTCACTTTTCTCAAGCAGGGAATAGTCCCTCTGCATAGGGCTCCTGCCCGGGGTGACCTCCTATCCATGTCCACCTCCAGCCATCTCCAAAGGGTAGTTGAGTACTGCCAGGAGCCCCAAAGTCCGGGATCCCCGAGTTGGGGCCTCCTGAGAACCTCAGGAACTGTCTGTGTCAACCCAGAGGCTGCCTTCTCCGGGGTGCAGGCAGCAGGATCTGGTGCGGAGAGGGGAGGTGGGAGGACACTAGGAACACTGTGAACTTCTAGAGAGCAGGAGGCACAGTCTGCGTGGTCAGCGTCCTGCCCCCACCCCTGCTAGAACAGCTGCAAAAGTGAAGACGAAGGCAGGGCGGGCCCTGAGCCAGCTTGCCCTGAATCCACTGATGGAGTGGCAGACACCATCACATGCATTCGCTTTCCCCGTGCCCCGCCCTGGAGAGCAGGTTCACCTTCCCCAGGGACTTCTGAAAATCTTGGCTCCTAAACTAGCAACACCGTGGGGTAGGAGGGTGGAAACAGCAGTGGCAAGCCCATTCTCCAGCAAAGAAGGTGGCGGCACAGCAGGAACTGTACCAACCGGCCCCCCGATCTGTGCTGGTCACTGGAGGCCAGTCTTGGGTGGGGCGCATGCACACACACATATGTTTCCACATGCTCATGTGTGCACACGTGTGCACACTCAGACACGCACGCTTGCAGAATACACACACGCCTGCCCAGACACGGACACTTACGCACACAGACACACATGCACCTGCCTGTGTATTTGTGTGTACGCACACACGCATGTATGCACAGTACACACATATACACCCATGCCCACGCACATGCACCCAGACAGACTGCTTCCAGCCCCAGCCTCGCCCCTCCAGCGGCTGGCTTTCCCAGTAATTTCATGTGGCGTTTTCAGCAGGGTTTCCCGGTCATTTCATGCGGGTTTGTCTTGGCTTCTGCTGATGTTTTAGGTGAGGTCTGCCACAAGTCCTACACGCAGTTCTCCAACCTGTGCCGGCACAAGCGGATGCACGCCGACTGCCGCACGCAGATCAAGTGCAAGGACTGTGGCCAGATGTTCAGCACTACCTCCTCCCTCAACAAGCACCGGCGCTTCTGCGAGGGCAAGAACCATTACACGCCGGGCGGCATCTTTGCCCCGGGCCTGCCCTTGACCCCCAGCCCCATGATGGACAAGGCAAAACCCTCCCCCAGCCTCAATCACGCCAGCCTGGGCTTCAACGAGTACTTTCCCTCCAGGCCGCACCCGGGGAGCCTGCCCTTCTCCACGGCGCCTCCCACGTTCCCCGCACTCACCCCCGGCTTCCCGGGCATCTTCCCTCCATCCTTGTACCCCCGGCCGCCTCTGCTACCTCCCACATCGCTGCTCAAGAGCCCCCTGAACCACACCCAGGACGCCAAGCTCCCCAGTCCCCTGGGGAACCCAGCCCTGCCCCTGGTCTCCGCCGTCAGCAACAGCAGCCAGGGCACGACGGCAGCTGCGGGGCCCGAGGAGAAGTTCGAGAGCCGCCTGGAGGACTCCTGTGTGGAGAAGCTGAAGACCAGGAGCAGCGACATGTCGGACGGCAGTGACTTTGAGGACGTCAACACCACCACGGGGACCGACCTGGACACGACCACGGGGACGGGCTCGGACCTGGACAGCGACGTGGACAGCGACCCTGACAAGGACAAGGGCAAGGGCAAGTCCGCCGAGGGCCAGCCCAAGTTTGGGGGCGGCTTGGCGCCCCCGGGGGCCCCGAACAGCGTGGCCGAGGTGCCTGTCTTCTATTCCCAGCACTCATTCTTCCCGCCACCCGACGAGCAGCTGCTGACTGCAACGGGCGCCGCCGGGGACTCCATCAAGGCCATCGCATCCATTGCCGAGAAGTACTTTGGCCCCGGCTTCATGGGGATGCAGGAGAAGAAGCTGGGCTCGCTCCCCTACCACTCGGCGTTCCCCTTCCAGTTCCTGCCCAACTTCCCCCACTCCCTTTACCCCTTCACGGACCGAGCCCTCGCCCACAACTTGCTGGTCAAGGCCGAGCCAAAGTCACCCCGGGACGCCCTCAAGGTGGGCGGCCCCAGTGCCGAGTGCCCCTTTGATCTCACCACCAAGCCCAAAGACGTGAAGCCCATCCTGCCCATGCCCAAGGGCCCCTCGGCCCCCGCATCCGGCGAGGAGCAGCCGCTGGACCTGAGCATCGGCAGCCGGGCCCGTGCCAGCCAAAACGGCGGCGGGCGGGAGCCCCGCAAGAACCACGTCTATGGGGAACGCAAGCTGGGCGCCGGCGAGGGGCTGCCCCAGGTGTGCCCGGCGCGGATGCCCCAGCAGCCCCCGCTCCACTACGCCAAGCCCTCGCCCTTCTTCATGGACCCCATCTACAGGTATTCAGCACCCCAGCCTCACTGGCTCTCCCTGGGGCGGGGCCGCGGCGGTGCTGGGCGGGCTCAGTGCATGGTGGTGTCTCTTTCAAGCTCCTCCAAGGTCGTCCCCCGGCCTTTGCTGACTTCAGGAAGATGCCCCTGTTCTTGGGGGGGTCTGCACCCCTCAGGAGGGATGCCTGGCTTGGCTGCTCCTAAGCTAGGTGCCTGGCCCGGGCCGTGTTTGGGAGGCCAGGACGGGTGCTCCTGGACACGTGCAGTTTGCTTGCACCGATGACCACTCAGACATCACACTGCTGGCCTCGAGCGCCTCCTATCCCCAGTAACCCCACCCCCCACCCCAACCCACACCCTTCCCCACCCCTCTCTCCAGCTGTCGTCTCTGGTCTAGCTCTCCCCAGCCTCTACCTGCAGAAGTCAGAGGGGCCTGGGCTGAGTGCTTCCTGCCCCTCCTGGTGCGCTCCTGCCCCTGGAGCCACAGCGGCAGGGGGAATGGGGAGGGGGTGTCTTTCTGGGGGCCCCGGGGGAATCAGAGAAGGAGCCAGTGGTCCTTGGAGGGGAGGAGGAGGCGAGGGATGAAGCAAGCATTGGAGGGTTTTCTAGGCACCAGTGTCCTGTGTCTCTGATGCCTCTCTTGGGGAAAGGCGAGTTTAATGCCACTCCCTAATTTCTGGACAGGTTTGCCCCTCCCTAGAATGCAGGTGGGTTGGAAGAGCAGGGCTAGGCTTGGGGAGGGGGTCCTACCCCCACCAGCACCTGTCCCTGTGCTCCCCGCTTCGCCATGCAAGGAGACAGGCAGGAGACCCTGAGCAAGTCCTGTCCTAATAAAGCAAAAGCGGCCAGTCATAGACATGCTGGGGGTGCTGTGTCTTGCAACGGGGTGGCAGGTTTACCAAAGCGCTCTCAGTGATGGGAAAGAGGCTCCCAAATCTAACCCTCACTATGGGAACCCAGGCAGACAGAGAAGAGCAGGCTGCCTTCAAGAGCCACCAGGCCAAAGGAGGGTCAGTGGATAGCCCTGCCCACGGCCTCTGTTTACCACAGGAGGTTTGCATTGTGATTCAGTGAGCAGGCTTGTCACCGGCATCTGGGGAAGGTTCTGGAACTGTAATCTCCAGCAGCCCTGGAGGGTGTTTAGACAGGGCCCTGTCTGGGTGCTGCAGGAAGCCCCTGGTGACCTCCCCAGGACAGAAACCTGCTGGCCACTCACGTTCATCAGCACACACGGGCAGCACACCCCGTGCCAGGGGCCGGGTCAGAGAAGGAGCGGAGGAGGCCTTGAGCCTCTGGTGTGAGCCACGCTCTGCTGTGAGCAGGTCCAGGGACCCCCTTCAGAGTGGTCCCCACTCATGCAGGGCTGACCGGCCAGTTAGGCCGGGGTGCACGGGGCCTTCAGAGAAAACTCCAGCCGCCTGCACTTAGCACCCATGACCTGCAGGGGTGCTGGCAGCCAGGGGTCTTTGAAGGCCCTCGAGGGGACCTTGGAGGCATGGGAGGTGTGAGGGAACCACTGAGGGAGAGTGTTCAGGGGCAGGTGGTGACAGGGAGGGTCCGTCTAGGGGTGCAGGTGGGCTGGGCTCCCGACATCCCCAAGGCCCACAGAGGAGTCTGGTGAGCGTTGGGGCAGCCACGGCGAGGTCCACACCATGGCCTTGTGACTGGCCAGGTATATGGTCAGGCGGGGTGGGCGGCTCTGTGGAGCGGGTGGCTCGGCGGGGCGGGCGGCTCGGTGGGGTACGTAACCCTCTGTGCTGTTGTCCAGCAGGGTAGAAAAGCGGAAGGTCACAGACCCCGTGGGAGCCCTGAAGGAGAAGTACCTGCGGCCGTCCCCGCTGCTCTTCCACCCCCAGGTACGTCCTCAGTGCAGGTCAGGGCGCCCTGTAACCCACACGCCAGTGGCCCCATCTCCCGGCTGTCGAGGCTCAGTGGCCAGGCTGGAGCCTAAGTCCCCGTCCAGGCCATACCACGCACAGACGCCCTCAAAGGCAGAGGAGGATTCTCTCCCTGAGGCCCCTCAGGTCACTGTAGGCTGGAGAGGTTGAGGACTGAGAGTGACCCTCACAGGGCCACCCCAGGGACCTCTCTGACCCCTGGCTCTGGGCTCCAGGAGGGAGAAGGAGCTTCACTGGAGTCGTGGGCAGAGCCTGAAGGAGCGAGGGCAGGGATTGTGAGTGAGGGGAGCAGCCTCAGGTGGCAGCCCAGGACACAGCGTGGGCGCTCTCTCTGGGGTGCACAGGACCTGAGTATGTTCAAATGGACCGGAAGAGAGGAAGGGCCTGAGCATGCAGAGAGGGGCATGGAGCCAGGCCCCAGGGAGGTGGTGGGCAGGGGGTCTGGAAAGAGACCCAGAGAGCCCCCCAGTCCAGACAGGTGGGTGCAGACCCTGCCAGGCCTGGAGGTGCTCCTGCCTGCCCCTGAGGCCACATCCTGGGAGCAAAATAGCAGGTGGGCAGCATGGCCAGGGCAGAGTCTTCCCGACCTCCTGTCCCCTACTGACTTGGTCTCATTGCTGGGAGCCTGGCCCCTTCCGCAGCGCCATGGGCTGCACCTGGAGGGTCCTGAGGGTCGCACAGTGGGCCTGGCCCTGACAGACTGCAGACCAGACCGGGGCATTGTTCTCTTTCTCGGCCTTCCCCGCCGTGGACGGGCCCCCCACCTGGTTTGTGAAACCTGCGCCCAGGCTGAGTTCACAGCTAAACTTAGCGCCTCCCATTGTTTCCCCGGGGCCGTGGAGTTTGGTTAATAACTTCCCCTGATTTTCCTCGGGATGGGCTGGAAAGAGCCACGAGCCAGCCAGGCGCATCCTGCGTTTGTTTGTGCGGGGAGCGAGGCCGGGAATATCTGATCGGGCGGAGCAAGCCGGGCGGGAGAGGCCCACCCAGGCCCGAGGAAGGGAGCCCAGCGGGGGGCAGTTTCCATTGTCCCTCCTGCCCGCTGCCCCCACGGGCCTGCCACCCCCGCTGCCTGTCCCTGCAGCCCGGAGCCAGGAGGTGGGGGGCGGGAAGAGAGAGATGACTAATAAGTCACCAAATGGTCTAAGGTTGGGCTGTCACTTGGGCAGAAGGCGCCAGTTACTAAAGACCTCGACAAAGCCCAAGAGGCCATGCCTGTGGAAAGACCTCAGCCCTGCTGCTCCGGGCTGCGGAGGGGCTGGTGAGGCCCAGTTGATGGCTCAGGGAGCAAGGCAGCTTCCATCTGCCCATCGCTCATCACTCGTTCTCATCAGGATGAGAGCATGCCTGCCTCGCAGGGGCGGGAGAAGCCTGACCCCCACAGCCTGGGTGGGGCTGGAAGGGGCCAGAGGGGAGGCCTTGGCCACTGTGGACGGACACGAGTTTCTACTCGTTCGTTTCTTTCTGGGTATTTTTATCGTAACCAGTTCCCCAAATAGCAAAACGTCCCCACCACTGGCTCATGTGGTCTCTGGGAAGCATTTGTAGAAAGCCCTCTGCTCCCTACCAGCAGCAGCTGGATAAGTCCCTGGCAAGCAGGTCTCCGAAAAGCTGAGTGCCAGATGCCCGGCACTCGGACTCTGAGAGACCCCAGCCGCGTGATGGGATAGTTTTGTTTGCTAGTGGGCAGCCAGGGCTAGGGTCTTGCTGTAAATGGGCGGGTCACCTCTGTGGAGCTGGCTCTGAGCATTGCCCAGAGGCAGCGAGCCCTATATGAAGCCCCTTGATGACGCAGGTCCTCACCTGCCCTTCTCCTCACCCCCACACCCATTCCGTGGAGGCTGGGTGCCAAGGACCGGCACCCTGGCCAGTTCCTCCCAGTGACACCAGCACCTGGGGAACCCCAAGCTCTCCCTTCCCTCTGCATCTGTATCAGCTCCTGCCTCACCCTTGCCCTCCCTCCTCATCCCCTTCTCTGGGAGCTCCCAGGGGAGGCAGGCTATGAAAATACCTGTTTAGCAAAGGTGTCTGGAGGGCCCTGTGGGTCAGGCATTGGGCCCTGGGAGCACTGGCCCCACCTTCAGCAGGCTGGGTGTGTGGTGCCGAGGCCCGGGGTTTGTTCCCTGTTTTGCCTTTTGCTACCCCTCAGGGGATGATGAACACTCTTCCTTTTCAGCCCCTGTGCAGCCCCCTACAGGGCCTGGCACACAGCAGATATCACAGGGTGGCCCATCTCCTTCTCCACTGAGGTCAGCTCCAAATCTTCAAAGAGAAGGGGAGCTGGGAGAGGCAGGGCTGACACTGAGCAGCTCCATCAGCCCAGCCCTTCCCCTCTCCTGTCGCTATTGTCAGAGACCTCAGTGGGGCCAGGACAGTCTGGGATTCTGATCAGAGCTCTGCCCACCAATCCCATGCTTCCACTCTCCTAATCGAGCAAGCCCTGGGCATCTCCAGGGAGCAGAGAGGCAGCTCCTGTTGCCCATATCAAATTGCCCTGTGTCATGTGACATGTCACATTATTATTTTGAATATTTCCTTTGTGGGTTTAAGTCTTAAAGAGGCTGTTGAATTCCTTAGTACTTTGCCTGCAATTATGGCATGCTGCCACTTGGTGGCAGTGGTTCTGCAGGCCCACAATCTATGCTTTAAACGGAGATTCAGGTTGCTATTGTAATTTTTCAAGACTAAAAAATAAACTTTTTAATGTTAAACTAGATGTAATTCTGCATTTAACCCAAACTAGCCAACCAGAAGTGCTGGCCAGGAGTCAAGTCAGCTGGGCATTTTGCCGGCCTGGGTCAGATAAGGGGTAATCATAAACATCAGCTACCTGTATCACTCAGGTCCCGCCCAAACCGGGCAGTGAGGCTGGTTGCTAAAGATCAGTTTCAGCTCCTGCAGGAAAGACCTTAAACTACAAACGAGGGACTGGGACTCAGGGAAGGACAAGAGCAGGGCTGACTACAGAAAGGTGAAAAAATCCAACCCAGGGTCCAAGAAAATACTAGGAGACCATTGCTTCCAGTGCCCACCTGAGCACCCTAAGATATGCTGTTGTACAGAACCCCCAGCAGTGCGTGCCCCTGAAGACAGGTGAGAGTCAGCTGAGTCCATAACCTCCCACTCTTATGCCTACAGATGTCAGCCATAGAGACCATGACAGAGAAGCTGGAGAGCTTTGCAGCCATGAAGGCGGACTCGGGCAGCTCCCTGCAGCCCCTCCCCCACCACCCCTTCAACTTCCGGTCCCCACCCCCAACGCTCTCCGACCCCATCCTCAGGAAGGGCAAGGAGCGATACACGTGCAGGTGAGGGGCCCTTTGGTGCTGCTGGGACAGCCCTGGCGGGGCTCGAGTGCCACACCTGTGGCTGTGAACCTGTGCTTCCAGGAAAAACTCAGAGTCCCGGCCATAGGAAAGCACAGCACTGCAATCAGCTGGTTATCTGCTTGAGGTCATGCTTTGCAAATAAGTGACTTGGGTGGCCTCCCCTGCCTCACGCCATGCTGTGCTCTTGGGAGCTCAAGAATATGCAACCTCAGCCCAGCCTGAACTGGGAAGGCTGGGCCTGAGGTGTGCTGGTCAGTGACTAACCTCAGCGCTTGGAGGGATGGGAAGCCCAGTGCTACAGCCTCAGCCAATTTCTGCAGTGTCAGGATGACACCCTCCCGGCCACCCTCTGCTGGTGCAGGCCTGTCCAAGTCTGTTGGAGCCTGCCCTGTTCACCGCCAGACTGAGGGGCCGAGACGCTTCAGGGGGCAGGGGCTGCTCTGTCTACTACTGTGGCCCATGGCAGCCTGCTCTGCAACTGAGGCTGGGCTTCAGGGCCGTGGAAGGGACTGAAACTGGGATGCTGGGATGGGTCCACCTGTGCATCAGGTGTGAGACCCCGAGCATTAGCTTGAAACCATTTCTGGGAAATGGCCATGTAAGCCCACCCTAATCCTCCCTCACCCTCCCCACCTCCCTCCACCCCAGGTACTGTGGGAAGATCTTCCCCAGATCAGCCAATCTCACCAGACACCTGAGGACGCACACTGGGGAGCAGCCGTACAGGTAGGTGCTGCGTGGGCTGGGTGTGGGGGCGGGGCCGCCTGCCTCCGTGCACCGCTGACCCACTCCTAGGAGTAAGTATGCCATTCCCAGGGCTCCCTGCTGGAGTGAGCAGGCAGTGGGCAGGGCCGGGTGCTGAATTCTGGTCACTCTGGCCCTCCCCTCCTGGCCTCAGCAGGATGTTTGAGGATGAGGCAGGAGGTGCCCAGGAACCTTCTGGAAGGCATCTGCCTGGCTCTCAAAGATGTGAGGGAGCAGCTCTCCACCCACCCTAGGGTGTTCACTGGGGCAGGGGATCCTCATCAGAGCAGGGCTGACCAGAGCCAGGGCCCAGAGGGTCCACATGGGAGAAAACCTCAGCTTCCCCACACCCAGCCCAACTCCGTTCATCTCACGACGGCCATAGCTGCCCCCACACCCCCACTTCTGGTGGGCCAGGGAGTGGGCCAAAGGCAGAGTGAGACTCCGTGCAAATGCGGGTCCCCACCCCCCACTTGGAGCCCACTGAGGGATTCCACGGGGTCCCGGGGACAGCCTGGATGGGAAGCGGTGCGTCTGCTTCCAGGATCCCCCCGTGCTCCTCTCATCTGAGGAGCCGGCTGGCACCTGCAGTGAAGCAGTCACACAGCTCATCGGGATGGGGGAGGCATTGAATTTGGGGCTCACAACAGCCTCCCAACAGGCTTGTCATCCCATTTCAAAGATGAGGGGCCCGAGGCTCAGAGATGCCCCATGAATCACCGGGGTCAGTGCCTGGGAGTGGGCATTTTAAGCGAGAGCCCCAGACAATGGTAACTGGGAGGCGAATGGGGAAACGCTGGTTTTCTGCCAAGGCTGGTTTAGTGACACATGCAGGGTGTGTCTGTTCACAGAGGCCATTGGGGATAAAGAGTGCTTCACACGGCTTAAGTTGACAGCATAAGATTTCTGTCCTCTGGCCACACAGAGCTAGAGGGGCCACATGATAGTGCAGGCACTGGGGACTCAGTCTGTGTCTCCATCCCTGGGGAAGGAGACCAGCTGAGGCACCTGTGCATGTCGTGGTCACTGACCCCCACTCTGAGACAGAGCAAGCATCCCCGGCTGCCCCAGGGCTGTGTCCCAACTCGCAGGGTAAATGACAGCTTATACCACTTACGGGTCATCTGTTCAGCGCTCACAGCCCTCCCCAATTCACAGGCCCCCCCTTACCCACCCTTCAAAAAATAGTGACTTACAACTTAACAAAGGCTAGCAGCAGAAAGATTTATTTGGTCTGGTCCCCTCCCAGAAAATGAGCTGTGTGTTTTTTCTGTAATGAGAGCCGACTTCTGGACAGCGTTGTGTGCTAAGAGCCCCTAGAGGGTCGGGGTGGTGTTTATAGAAGAATTTAATTATCATTGATTTCTTTTGCTCTCTCCAATCTGTGAGTTTCGACTTTGGTAACAATAATTGCTTTGCAAGTTTGTGTTGCAAATCCTGACTTTATCTGGCTCAAGGCAGGTCTGTGCCGAGGGGTTTGGAGCGTGTAGCTTTCCTTTTGATACCACTGGTGGTTTCTGGACTGGCTTTGATAATCAGAAGGATTTTAAATTGGAGGAGGGAAAGTGCCGGCCATCCCCAGAAGCCTGCCAAGAGGAGCTCAACCCCCCATGCCCGCCCCAGTGTGAGCCCCTTTCCGGTGCCAGCACCCACGTGTGTGCCCGCCGCATGTGCATATGTGTGTGCCCTGGAGAGGTCGGGCTGACGCAGCCCCGCGCAAGCAGGAGGAAGCAGGCTTCTCATGGGTTGCCTGGAGTGATAGGGTAATCAAACCAGATGACATTGGAAGCCTCTTCCGTTTAAGTCCTTGCCTCAGATGACCTGAAATCGTTCAGAATGTGTTTCAAAGCCCTGAGGTAGGGAACGTAGAGCCTTTGGTGCACCAAATATGTTTCTTGGAGGTAACTTGGCCCCTAGCTTCTCCTGGCCTAGAGGTCTTTGAGTGAAGCGGGAAGGTGAGATTGAGTTAATGGCAGTCTTATTTCTTAAAAAAAAAGTTAAGCATATAGGCTTTGCGGGATTTGGGTTGGAGAAGCATGAAAATTGAACTGGGAGTGGGGAGAGGGGCTGCTCCTTGGTCTTCGTCCTGACAGCCGGCCCGGGGGTCTCTCTGGGAGGCTGCCCAGTGGAGCCTGGAGTCACAGCCTGGATGCGAGCAGGGCTGCCCGGGACTCCTGCTGGGACCGAGATTCCTGCCTCAGGGCTGCTGACTCCCTAGTCTGCCGTGTGCTTCCATCATCTCCCCAGGCTCCATCCTGCCTTCTGTGTGAAGCTGGAGCGTGCAAGGGAGGCACAGTTGTGCTTCCATCGGGGGCTGCACGCGGCCCGTGCATGTCCTTTCTTTTTTAGTTGTATTTTTACGGCTGGGTTTCAAAATCTCTTCTTTCTTCCTCTTCCCTCACTTTTACAGTCACCAAAAGCAGATCCCCCTGTAGTGGCTGCAGGAGACCTCACTGGATCCTAGGAAGGATGCCGCTGCCCAGTGCTCAGGGGCTCGGGGGCCCTGGCCACCCCCCCTGACCTGCCCATACTCTGTTGTTCCCCTGCCAATGGCTTCTCTGGGAGTGCAGCAGGCACGGTCACAGCAAGGTCCTCTCAAGGCCCTCCGCATTGCACCAGGGCCAGGCTACCCTGCACGTTCTCCTTCCTTTTGGAGCTCACGGGCGTGTTATTTTACGCAGTGAGACCATCAATTTCACTGGCCGCTTGTCAGCTTATTTACAACGCAGACCCCAGCTGCTCGGAGAACTCTGCTCCCTCGCAGCCCTGGGCTCACGGCTCCCCTAAATTTCAAATGGACTTCTCTGTCTGGGCCATTTATTTAGATTAGAAGCAAGAGAGGGCCACGTTCAGGGCTCTCTGCAACCAAATTGAACGCACAGCCCTGTTCGTGGCTCTCCCCGGCCCCAGAGCTTCACACAAGGGACTTGCTCTCCAGTTTTATGAACAAGCTTCTTTTCCAATCCCATTTCTTACCTCGGATCCACAATTGCTAGGGTTTATGCAAGAGCCATTAGGTGGACTTTCTGCAAAAGTCTCTGCATTTCCAAAGAAACCAGGAACTGAATGAGCCGTGTTTGAGCACACATGCAGACAGACAGGCAGACACACAGGCAGGCGGACAGACAGGAAGATAGGCAGGCAAACAGACAGGAAGACAGACAGGCAGGCAGACAGACAGGCAGGCGGACAGACAGGAAGACAGACAGGCAGGCGGACAGACAGGCAGACAGACAGACAGGCAAACAGGCAGGAAGGCAGACAGACAGGTAGATGGACAGATGGATGGACAGACAGGCAGACAGACAGGCAGGGCAGACAAGCAGGAAGGAAGATAGGCAGGTGGACAGACAGATGGACAGACAGGCAGGCAGACAGGCAGACAGACAGGCAGGGCAGACAGGCAGGAAGGCAGATAGATAGATAGGTAGGCAGACAGACAGATGGACAGACAGGCAGACAGACAGGCAGGGCAGACAGGCAAGAAGGCAGACAGACAGGCAGGTGGACAGACAGATGGACAGACAGGCAGGCAGACAGACAGGCAGACAGACAAGCAGATGGACAGGCAGGAAGGCAGATAGACAGACTGGCAAGCAGGCAGACTGGCAGGCAGACAGACAGTCAGGCAGGCAGACAGATTGGGCTGCCTCAACATGCCAGAGGGGCACATGGCCCCAGCTGGGTGGGAAGCCTCTGGCTGGGCAGAGCCTGAATGCTCAGACTGGCAGGTGCTTTGCATCCGGGCTGGAGACGCAGAGTCCAGTGTGTCCTTTCTCAGCAGTCAGTCAGCCTCAAAAGCATGGCGGTCCCAGGGCCAGGCACCACCATTCCAGTCTAAGGATGTGTCAGGGTGGGGGATGTGAGAAAATGCATTGGAGGGTGTAAAATCCCTCCTTTCTGGGAGATTGTGTGGGACACGTCGGGTAGGGGGGCACCCAAGCATCTCCAACCCTGCTGCCGAAAGGGCTCCATCCTCGGCCTTATTCTTGTGTGAGTTCACAGGCCGAGTCAAACAAAACTGCAGCGCCGCCCAGGGCAGGCTTTGTGGATGGCCAGTCCAAGCCAGGGCGCTGCCTGTCACTGGGCTGTGGGAGGAGACGCTGGGACCCGGGTGCCCGGAGGCAGCTCAGCTGACCCGGGCAGGAGCAGGGGCTCCCAGAGAAGAAGCCCACAGGCCAGGCCCCTGGGATCAGGAGCAGAGAAGGCTGAGGGTCACTTCGGGGAGCTCAGGGACTTCGATCACCAATGCTTCTTTTCCTGTCTACTGTTGAAGAGGCCAGAGTGAGCCTGGCCTCCGGCAAAGGTTGGAAGGTTCAGGAATTGAGTGGATGAAGCCTTAGGGCAGCACCAGGGAAGTTTGCTGGGACGAAGTGGGATGGGGATATGCCTCGGCCAGGCGTGGGAGAGGAGTGCCCTTCTCCCAGGACTGCCTCCCGTTCTCTAGGGGACCCATTTTCAGACTTGCTAGGTTTTACCAGGCAGCCTGGGGAGTTGGGGGAGACTCGCAGGCTCTGAGATTCCAAGGACAGTTTCTCACGGCCGCAGCCCCTGCACGTGGGGAATGCTGAGCTCCTGGGCCCGGCAGCAGCACCCGGAAGGTGTGGGACTGAAGCTTCCTGCCTTGGGGAGGCCCCTGCGGGTGTGTTGATGGCAGGTCAGACTCCCTCGCCAGGCTTTTGTGATAGCAAACACCAGCCCAGGCCCCTCCTGTACAGGGCAGCACCGTGCCGAGAAGGCCGAGCCACACAGCCCCTCCCGGTCTGGGAGGCCAGGACTCCCGAGTGTCACCAGGCACGTCCCCATCCATGTGACAAGGGCATGTGACCAGTATGCTGCTCTGGAGCGGGCCACCGGCACCGGTCGGGGCGGGGTGGGGCCTCTCGGAGTCCTGTCCTCTGTGGGAACGAAGGCCACTGTGCTTAGAACAGCCACACCCACTCCGGGTGAACAAACCCTGCCCCATCCTGGTGCCTCCACAGAGGCTCCCACAGAGGCCCTGGCCTGGTCTCCAGCTGCTACCAGGCCCCCCCGGCCAGGATCCTGCTGCAGTGGGTAGACTTTCTGTGTGCTGTGCCATGGGCATCATGGAGCTTGCTTTGTTTTCAAAATATGAAAACGCATGATCATATAAACAGAATGTTCAAGTGCGTGTGTGCCTGTGGGATCAGATGAGCACCGCTGCGGGCGTTCTGATGACCAAGAGCACACACAAGTGTGCACACACAGGCATGGCACACACGCACATGCCAAGCACCCACGTGCAACTGAAAACCATGCAGTCAGGGTTCCCTTCACCGTCGCCCAGCCCAGCCGGGTGCCTCTCAGTAAGCCAGTCCCAGCCCCCCGCCGGATGCCCCCCAGGGAGGAGGCTGTCTTCACAGAGGCAGCGCACGTGCATCTACAGAGCTCATGGGGTTCCTCCTTAGCTCATCCCCAGCTCCCCCTCTTCGTTTCAGGCATGATTTTCTTGCTGCTCAATGCACATGTCGCTCAGGCCCCCTAGTTCTCAGCCCCGCTCTCTAAAAATGGGAGAGAACAACCCTCCCTTTCCCTGCCTGCAGGGTCACCACGTGTGGCTGTGAAGGTCACTCCCAGCCCAAGGGCCCCACACTGAGGGGAACCCTCCACACGCAGCCCTCCTCGATCGCTCATTATGACGACTTTCCAGCCGCAAGGGGCCTTGCTCTGATAAACTCAGGGTGTTAGAGTCCTGCTCTGCCTGATGCCGTGGAGGCCAGATGGAGGAAGGGGGTCTCATCCCAACTTCCCCACGTGCACGGTGCAGGCCGGCAGCAGCCCTGCCCACCCTGGGGGAATAAAGATAAACCGAGCCCGGGAGCTGGCAGTGCCCAAAGGGGCCAGTGTGGTCTTTGTGTCCTTAATAGAGGAGGCAGCCAACAAGTGGCAACATCCAGGGCAGCCCCCAAGCCCTCCATGAATGGACTGGCAAACTGAGGCTCCAAGTGAGGTGGGGCCTGCCCAGGGGCCCCCAGCCACCTCGAGGGGTGGAGGAGGAAGGTCACAGGGAGCTGGTCTGGGAGCTGGTCTGTGGAGCCCCTCCGGCTGGGAAACTGGCCTTGCCGAGTGTCTTTCCATGGAGCAAGGCCGCCCTCTGGAGGCTGCAAGGAGCATGTCGCCCTCCGGCTGCAGACCTGCCGGCCCCGCGGCCTGGGGGCCAGGGAGACCCAGACAACAGAGGGCAGGAGACGCCGGAGGGTCGGGCGCACCGCCTGCCCAGGGGACACGGGGCACACTCCAGGGGGATCCACCAGCCAGCCACAGAACAGTAGGAGGGTGAACGCCTGCTTGCTTTTTTTTTTTTTTTTTTTTGAGATGGAGTCTCGCTCTGTCGCCCAGGCTGGAGTGCGGTGGCGTGATCTTGGCTCACTGCAAGCTCCGCCTCCCGGGTTCACGCCATTCTCCTGCCTCAGCCTCCAGAGTAGCTGGGACTACAGGCGCCCACCACCACGACTGGCTGATTTTTTTGTATTTTTAGTAGAGACGGGGTTTCACCATGTCAGCCAGGATGGTCTCGATCTCCTGACCTCGTGATCCACCCGCCTTGGCCTCCCAAAGTGCTGTGATTATAGGCGTGAACCCCTGCTTCTTGAAGCCGGGGCTGTTTCTAGGGACAGCTTCCCCAGGATGCCTTTGGCTCTGCAGCTGGGAGATCCAGCAACCTCCGGGACACGGCGGGGCAAAGCTGTGCACGGGGCACGGGGCAGGGGCGCGGGCTCCCTTCCCCCCACCCTCTGTGGCCCGGCCTGCCATGCAGAGCCGGGGCCTGCACTGAGGAGCGCGTGTGCCCCTTCCAGGTGTAAGTACTGCGACCGCTCCTTCAGCATCTCTTCGAACCTCCAGCGGCACGTCCGGAACATCCACAACAAGGAGAAGCCTTTCAAGTGCCACCTGTGCAACCGCTGCTTCGGGCAGCAGACCAACCTGGACCGGCACCTCAAGAAGCACGAGCACGAGAACGCACCAGGTGGGCCACGCGGGGTGGGGCAGCCCCCAGAGCACCCACACGGGCAGGCCCCACAGAGGGGGAGGGGGAACAGCAGGGGAGTGGGCGCCGGGCAGGGAAGAGGGCCACAGACTACCCCTCAGGAAGCCAACAGGCACCCCTCAAACCGTGGTCATTAAAGAGAACCTCGTGCTCTCCGGTGTCCCTAAGAAACCTGCCTCCCTAACAGCACCCCAGGTGTACCCCGTTCGCGGTTGGTTTGCCCCACGGAGGGAGGGGTCCAGCGAGAGGCCGCCCCCTGATGCTCCCGCCCCTCCGCAGTGAGCCAGCACCCCGGGGTCCTCACGAACCACCTGGGGACCAGCGCGTCCTCTCCCACCTCAGAGTCGGACAACCACGCACTTTTAGACGAGAAAGAAGACTCTTATTTCTCGGAAATCAGAAACTTTATTGCCAATAGTGAGATGAACCAAGCATCAACGCGAACAGAGAAACGGTAAGAAAACTATCGCGGGCTGGGGAAAGTCTGGACCCGGCCAACAGCCCTGCGTGGCCACCCTCAGAGGACATGCACCTCCACCCCAGCACCAGCCCCTAACACATCCAGATAGGCGCAGTGGGGGCCTCACCACAGAGGGTGAGGCCCCTGGGCTCTGGGAACCTGGGGAAGCTGCGCTGTCTGCCTCAGTTCCTCCACCTGGAGAGTCATGAGAGTAAGCACCCCTGGGCTTATGACCTCACTGTTAACATATGTGTGTGCAAAACACTAGCCAGGTGACCGAGCCGGGCACAAGTTCAGCTGTGCCGCTGACACTCAAGGACATTTTGATTTAATCTGAGGCACTAAAGATTTCCAAACCAAAATGCTGCACCTTTATACACACATGTACACACATACACATGTGTACACATGCACGCACACACATGCACACATAGGTATGCCCCGTGTACATGTACACATTCACATGCACATATGCACACAGAGATGCACGTTTGTATACATGTGTATACATATGCCATTGATGAATCCTCACTTGTTCCTCACCTGGCCTTGCTCTGGGAGCTGCAGTTTAGGGGATCGTGCCTGGGGACAGGGCAGGACGTGCCTGGGGACAGGGCTGTGGTCTGGGCATGGGCAGTCCAGGAACTGTGTGCTCTGCCCTTTGCGTGCAGGTCCCCAAATACGGGCATGCACGTGCACTCATGCACACACGTGTACATAACATGTGCGTGCATAAACATGCCTGCCTAGATCTACACACACGCATATGCACACATGCAAGTACATGCACATGGACAGTGTGTGCACATACACATGCGTGACGGACAGCCGTGTGCGTACACCTAGAGACACATGTACACGCATGGGCGCACGTGCGTCTAGACACACAGCAGCAGAACGATGGTGGAATTCGGATCCAGGAATGTCGGCGCATGCTCTGTGCAACCTGGGATACCAGGGCTCCGTAGGCCTCACTTACTCTGGGGGAGCCTTCAGACACCCCAGCGGGGCTGCTTCCTTTGTGAAAGCTAACACCAGCCAGCTGGCAGAGAACCGAAGGTGTTCCAAACTCCAAGAGGCCTGAGGGGGTGATCCCCTGATTCTACAGAAGGGAAAACGGGGCCCACAGAAGTGGGGTGTCTTGCTCAGGCCCAGAACCTAGAGCCAGATCCCAAGCTTTTACCGCACTGGCCATGGGCGGTCTAAGGCTCTGTACCCACAGGGCCCAGCTCACTCCCCACCACCTCCAGTAGGTGAAGAAGAAGCCCCCTGAGACCCCAGCTCCCTCAGAGCCCATCCCCTCCTCCAGGGCAGGGCTGCGTCTTCCTGTCATTGCTTCTAGGAGAGTGGGGGTACCTGGGAAAGAGGCATCCAAGCAATAAACACAGGAGGCAGTTGGACACTGGCTCTGGCAAAGCCACGTTCCAAATCTGTGCCCCTCCTAGGAAGGTGAGCTCACCTGTAGGGCCCTCAGCATCTTCATCCATCAGAGCCCAGAGCGGGCTCAGAGGAAGGGGCGGGGGGAGAAGCTGGCTCTGGGCCGTGGTCCCAAAAGCCTCACCTCCACCCCAGTGCAACCCCACCTACTCTGCAGCCCCCAGGCTGTCCCGGCATTCCCCAGTGGGCTCCAGGAACGATGGCCTGAAAGGAACTCTGCCCTGGCCACGCTGAGACAGCCGCATGGGAGCTGTTCGTGTTCCCTGCAGCTGCGTGTCAGACCCATGAGCGCCACAGGCCAGGCCTTACCTACGCCCCACAGCCCCGTCCCCAGGCACAATCCCCTAAGCTGCAGCTCCCAGAGTAAGGCCAGGCGAGGAACAAGTGAGGATTCATCAATGGCATCCTTGCCGGGGTGGGCCCAGGACCAGGAGCGTGTGCGGAGGCTGAACCACCTGGAGGACAGCAAGGCCCCCCTACCCCGAGCTAGGGTGCAGCCCGGCCGCACTGCAGGAGACCCACCAGGACCCCGAGCTAGGGTGCAGCCCGGCCGCACTGCAGGAGACCCACCAGGACCCCGAGCTAGGGTGCAGCCCGGCCGCGCTGCAGGAGACCCACCAGGACCCCGAGCTAGGGTGCAGCCCGGCCGCACTGCAGGAGACCCACCAGGACAGAAGGCTGTCTCTAAGAGAAAGAGATGTGGCCGGGCCTCCCCCTCGCCTATGGCAAGGCCCACAGTGCCCTGCTTCTCACAGCCCTAGGGGTGGGGACGAGGGAGGCTCTCCACACCTCAGAACATACGGGCACAGCCGGCCTCAGACGGACTCAGACTCAGGCCCTCGGAAGACCCGTCCTGCTGAGGCAAGGTCCCCGGGTCCAGCTGGCCTGGTCCTGAGAGCCCCTGCGTCACTGACGAAAATGAGAACAGGGCAAGGTGGACATAGGCAGCCAGTCCCTGGGGTGGCGGGAACGTTCCCTGGGCCTCCTGCAGAACCAGCTCCTGCCCTCCGCCATCAGGAAGGATCCAGTTCTGTCAGGAGTCCTGGTCCTGCAGCCCCGTGAACCCCTGAGTTGAATCATGTCCCTCAGCATTCCCAGGTGGAAGTCCCAGCCCCCGGTACCTCAGAATGGGACTCTCTTAGGAGATAAGGTCTTTAAGGAGGGATTAAGCAGAGGCCACACTGGGTAGAGTGGGCCCCAATCCAGCGGCACTGACGGCCTCTTAAAAAGGGGGCACTTGGAGAAAATCACGCAGGGGAGAAGGCCAAGGGAAAATGGAGACAGAGGTCAGGGTGATGCGCCTCCCAGCCAAGGGTCACCTAAGAGGGACAAAGGTCACCAAGGATGGCCAAGGAGGGCCAAGGGTCACATAGGAGGGCCGAAGAGTGCCAAGGTTTGCCAAGGATGGCCAAAGAGGGCCGGCAGCAGCGGGAGCTGGAGAGAGACCAGGGACAGATTCTCCCCCAGAGTCTTGGAAGGAACCCGGCCTGCCCTCGCCTGGATCTTGGACTTCTGGCCTCAGAGCTGTGAAAGCGTCCACGGCTGTTGCTTCAGGCCCCCATTCTGTGGGGCTTGGTTTGGGCAGCTCTGGGAAACTGACTGTCCTCCCTGTTGGAGCCAAACCAGCCACTGGGCCCTATTCTGTGTCCGTGCCGGATGCTCCGCTCCCCAACACTAAAAAGCAAATACTCTGTGCATGGGGGGTGTGCAGCAGACATAAAGAGGGCAAAGTCCCTGCCCCCAGCTGGTGGGAAGCCCATGCAAACCCACGTGGGGCCACCAGATGAGATCTCACAGCACATGCCCATGTGATGAGCCTGGGCTCTCACCCTGCGCCATCTCATCCCGTCCTCAGAGTGGACAGGGAGGGGTATGTCCTCGTGTCATCGAGAGGGCACAGGCCCCAAAGACAGAACCCCACCCGAGGGCACCTCACCAACAACCAGGGTGAGAACCAGGACCCGGATCCCAGCAGCTCCGTGGCTGAGGAGATGGGTGTGTGTACAGGACGCTCTTGGCCCCCAACACAGGCGACCAGGACCGAGGAACTCTCCTCAAGCCCTGAAACCTGGTGAGGTTCTGTCCGTCCTGGAAGGCAGAAAGACAAGAGATAGACACGTGGCCCATCTGTGGAGAGCCAGGAAATTGTGGCCTCCCCAAGCCCAGTTCCCGTGCACACAGGCGAGTCCGAGACACGGAGGTCGGTCGCCGTGAGACGCTGTCACTTTCTTGCTTGGATGCCAAGAGCAGGACCCCTGCATCTCACCCACACCGTGGATACCTCCCAGGGCAGCGGGAGGCAGTGCCCCCGGGCGGAGTGAGGACAAGGAAGAGTGGCCCTGGGGCTCTGGGCATGGGCAGTCCAGAAACTGCGTGCCCTGCCCTTTGCTTGGGCCCCTCTACCAGTATGTCCAGCATGTGCCCGGGGGCCCTCAGCTCCCCTGGGGCCCAGCCCACCCAAGACACAGCTCTTGGTCGTGAACATGAAGATGAGCCAAACTCTAGTGGCTCTTCCTGAAAGAAATGAGAATGCCCAGCCACACCCATGCACGCTTTGTTCTTTTTTATTTAATACTGAGGAACCGGAGTGGAGGGGTCCTGCCGGGCTGCAGTGACCCTGAGGGAAGTCAGGAGAGCCCTGGGCTGCAGAAGAGTCCCCCCACAGGCTCCGAAGCAAGCTTGTCCTGGTGCATTCAGACTGCTCACAGCAGGCTTTGGGCCCTCACTCTCCAGATCCCAGAGAGCCCTCCAGGGCTCCCGGCTCTCGGGCCAGTGCCCACGTCCTCGAGTTGTCAGCCTGAATTCCTTCCCCCTGAAGTCTGCCCTGAGGGTGCCCCTCGTGCACTGCCCAACCCCCGTGCCAGTGCAGGTCCAGCTTCCCCACAGGACTGCCCACTGCTTCCACCCCAACACCGCCCCGGCCCTGGTGTCCTCCCGGCCATAGCAGCTTGCTGCTGGGCCTTGCCCTGCCCCCACCGCCCCGAGCGCTTGCCCTCCTCTCCCGGGATCGCCCCCAGGCCTCCGTGCCTCTCACTCTGCAGAGTCAGTGGCTGGGCCCAGGGACCCGCGGGAGCTCCCTCAGGAAGGGGGCTGAGTGTTGTCGGGGGAGGCAGTGGGGGCAGAGCGGAGTCACCAGCCTTTGGGGGTCCATGGGAAGGACAGAGACACCCAAACTCAGTCAATCTCCTCCTGCATCATTTCAGGGCGGACATGCAGATCGTGGACGGCAGTGCCCAGTGTCCAGGCCTAGCCAGTGAGAAGCAGGAGGACGTGGAGGAGGAGGACGACGATGACCTGGAGGAGGACGATGAGGACAGCCTGGCCGGGAAGTCGCAGGATGACACCGTGTCCCCCGCACCCGAGCCCCAGGCCGCCTACGAGGATGAGGAGGATGAGGAGCCAGCCGCCTCCCTGGCCGTGGGCTTTGACCACACCCGAAGGTGGGGGCAGCCGTGTGCTCCAGGATGGGGCAGGGAGGGAACGTGGGCGTCCATCACGAGGGGGACCTCCCTCTTCAGCCACTCGTGAGCCCATCCCTGGCTCAGCCCCTACTCCAGCACAGCCACCTCAGGGCCTCCACACACAGGCCAGGGCAAGGCTGGGCCAGGGGCAACGGGGTCAGGGGCCCTTAACCCCCCCACCCACCCCCAGGGGCCCTGGAGGCTGGAAGCAGAGTGTGGAGGGGAAGGCATTTCCCTGCACTGAGCAGACATGGAGGCCCCCGGCCCTGCAGCAGAGCTGCCTGTCAGCCTGGGACAGCGCGTGCAGCCACTAGAGGGCCGTGGGCACACGGGGGCCAAGCACCCACCATTCTGTGCCGGCCAGGGCCACTTCCCCATGTCCTCAGTGTTCGCCACCAATATCGGGCCTGGGCGACACTGCCAGCATTCCCAGATGCCCTTGGGGAGGCCCTTCGGAGGTGGCACTTCCTCTCCAGCCTGGATGCTGCCCCTGAGTCCTGGGAGAGGGAGCCCCGGGCCTCTCTGAGCTGCCTGGGGTCTTAGAGAATTGAAGCCTTCTTCTCCACCCTCCACTGGCAAGACCTGAGCCCCCTGCCTGCTGCCTGATGCGTGTGCACGCACTCACCCCCTCCCTGACCTCTGTCCGTCACTCTCCTGCATCCGTGTGCCTTCCCGTCCAGGCGTCTGTGTGTCCGTGTGTCTGTCTCCCTGTGCATGTGGCTGGCAGAGATGCAGCGGCGTGCATGCAGGCCCGGAGCTGGGCTTGCAGCATCAGAGAGGCGGCCAAGGCCAGGCTGCTGACAGCAGGCCTTCCCTCTCCCCGGTCATTGGTGCAGGTGTGCTGAGGACCACGAAGGCGGTCTGTTAGCTTTGGAGCCGATGCCGACTTTTGGGAAGGGGCTGGACCTCCGCAGAGCAGCTGAGGAAGCATTTGAAGTTAAAGATGTGCTTAATTCCACCTTAGATTCTGAGGCTTTAAAACATACACTGTGCAGGCAGGCTAAGAACCAGGTAGGTACCCGCCAGAGCCCCTCCCCCACCCCACCTGGCCTCCTCAGCCAGAGGACAGCCAGCACTCCTCTCCCGCCGTGGCCCTCCTAGGCCTGAGGAAGCTCTGGTCACGCAAACGCCCCCACGCTGCATCCTCCAGAGAGGCCCCAGCGACCACCGCCCTCCCGCAAGCTGGGGCGCAGCAGGGAGGGGCTGAGAGCCGATGACCCTGGCAGGACCCTCACGAGGGAGCTCACTCATGGACACGGGCAGCTCACCTTCCTGTGGTCCTCAGTGGGAAAGGTCTGTGAGCAGGTTTCTGGCCCGCCCAGCCGCCTTCGTCTCCCTCCCTCTCTGATCTGGGCCCCAGTGGCCTGCAGCCCGGGCTTTTCCCGGGGGAAGAGCTGTCCAGCCGGGCAGTCTCTGCTTCCCAGCTGGAGCAATGAGGTCAGCGAGGGTGCCAGGGTTTTGGCCCCAGGCGCTTCTCGGCTTCTCTCCTCAGGGTAGGTGGCCCCAGGGCCCTGCTCCCGCATTTCTCTCCAGTCTGTAGGGACTCAGGGTCTCATTCAGCACTCTACAGCCCTCCCAGAGGGAACAGGCCCGCCCCAGGTCTCAGCAAAAGCCGTCTGCGTGTCTGTCTTTGTCTTTTTACTAATTCTGTCTGGAGTGTTAACTCGGGTAGGACAGTGCTGGGCTTCCCCACCTTCCCTGCCCTTAACCCACACACGATGCTCCCCAGGTCCCATCCCCACCTGCCCTGTGCTGGGGGCAGAAGGATGTCCCATGAACTAACGCCTGGAAACACATCTGTACTTCCTAAGAATCCCATTGGCCCAGAAACGCTGCACATCCCTGTCCCAGAGGCAGCTCTTTGGTGTCCCCACGGTCACCAAAACAGACATCCCCTGGCAGGGGTGGCTCTTGTTGACCCCCAGTTCCCAGGGCCGTCCCAAACCAGACACGTGTCTGTAGTTTCTGCTGATCACCAGGTGGAGGAAACAGGGGGAAGGGGTGGGAAGGAGAGGAGGCTTCGAGGGGGAGCACCCCAAAGCAGCCAAGGGAGCTGGTGTGCACAGGAGGCCCTGCACCAGCACCCCAATGTCCTGGCATCACTCGGAGCAGGGGGCGGCCCTCGTCCCTCCCGCCGTCACGCCTGCTCATGTCTTCCTCTTCCAGGCTGCGGGGAGAATCCGGGTCTTAGTCCCTCTTGTTCCTTCTGCCCCCTGTGGCCCAGGGCAAGGTTGAGCCAGGCCAGGGCCACGGGAGGCTGGGAACGGACGAGGCTTGGCCCTGCTGGCCGGGGATGGCCTGTCCTGCCCACACACTCACCTGCCTGTCCAGGATGGCCTGCCCTGCCCATCTGCTGCCTGTCTGGGATGGCCCGCCCTGCCCACGCGCTCACCTGCCTGTCTGGGATGGCCCGCCCTGCCCACGCGCTCACCTGCCTGTCTGGGATGGCCCGCCCTGCCCACGCGCTCACCTGCCTGTCTGGGATGGCCCGCCCTGCCCACGCGCTCACCTGCCTGTCCTGTGTGTGTGTCATCCCCTCCCCGCCAGGCATATGCAATGATGCTGTCCCTTTCCGAAGACACTCCTCTCCACACCCCCTCCCAGGGTTCTCTGGACGCTTGGTTGAAGGTCACTGGAGCCACGTCGGAGTCTGGAGCATTTCACCCCATCAACCACCTCTGACGGGCTGGGCAGCCGGGGGCCGGTGGCCAGAGCGAGGGCACCAGCCACGAAGGACGGAGGCGGGCGGGGCCCCGGAGAACCCTGTCCCTGCGTGTGGCCACTCCTCAGCATCCTCCCCACCCACCATGGTTCATTCCGACTTTTCCAATGGAAACTCAGATCCCAAAAGTCCCTAAAGCAGTCGTAGAGTCTCACCATCTCCAAGGATTGGTCTTGAGAACACTGTTCAGTGACGGCCATGCAGGTGGCCGTCCAAAGACAGCCAACGGAGCTGCCTCGCAGAATCAGCCAGTGGGCAGGTGGACGCTCTGCTGAGACAGAAGCTGGTGGCCACTGCCGGGTGCCCGCGTGGGGTCGCGGAAGGGAATGGATAGACTGGTGTGCTCAAAAGAGAGAGATCACTCAAATGATTTTTATAATGAAATGACAAGAATAACCCTTTTGGTAACCGTATTGACTGCAGAGTCTATTTAAGCATGTGGTTTTAAAAATAGACAGTATTTTTTAAAAATCAAAAAATGACTTGCAAATTGTTTTTTAAAAGTAATTTTGCATTGCTTTGAAATTTGAGCTCATTTGCAAACCCGAGTCTGCCTGGGAACCCGCACTGTGCCTGGGTGTATTCTTTATACTGTAGATAATGGAGAAATTTTCTATCTCTGTCCCTATTTGTATAAGCCAAGGTGATGCTGGGTGCCCCGAGGCAGAACAAGAGGCGCGGGGCCACACCCGTGAACCATGCAGACGGCCGAAGAAGTCTTAGGCAGGGCGCCCTGGGCTGCAGGCCTGCCCGAGGCTGGGATGGGAAGTGTGCCTGCCCTCGTGTGACATGGAATTGGTGTCAGGACCGCCACGTGGCCTTCAGAGGAATCCACAGGTCCCCACCCAAGATCCCTCAATTATATGGGGAAGTCGAGGGCCTGTGGCTTGGATCCGCCATGCAGAGATGTGGCCGGGCACCCATCTTCCTTCCCTCCTCTGTCCCTGCCTCGGCCACCCCACGCGGGAACCCAGCGCCGTCCTCTGAAGGCAGGGCCTTGGCCACGTCCTGGGTCTCCCACCTCCCACCTGACCCCAGCGGCTCCGGTGTCCTCCACGTGGCTGCCCTGGGGAGCAATCCCAGCGGATCGCTCCGGGCCACCAAGCCGCACCTGTGCCTGAGACTCCGGATGGACGACACAGTCGTCACGTCGCTCTTCCTGCGGGTTCTTGGCGAGACACAGCTTGAGAACAGAAGGGCGTCGGGGGAACCTGCCGCAAGGAGCAGAGACAGCACAGCCCCCCGGGCCCAGCCGCCTCCCTCTCTTGGGACGCAACTTCTTCCCCACTCGGATGGGCTTTAAATTATTCCCATAGGGGCCAATTTCAAATAATAATTTTTTTCCCTGATGGAATTTACCTTAATCTGTATATAACTTGTAATTTTTTCTAATTCATTTCTTTTCTTATTTTATTTCCTCCTTAACAGTATTTTTGGCATTAGACATTCTTATTGTGAAGAAATAATGTTAATATAAGTATCTGGTGAAGGACCAAAACCGTGTGATAAGGTTGTGTGTCGTGTGGGAGTGGGGCGATTTTTTATGTGCCAAATACCCCCGTCCCCCCCATGAATCCTGCTGTCCCTGCTGCCGTTTACCAGACAATCATATGTTTTTGTTAAATTTGCGTTTCAGTTACATTTGCATTTAAGACAAGTGTTCTATTTATTTCTTGTATTGTTTGGAAGAAAAAATGATGATAGAGTCCCAAAAAGAAGAGAAAAAAAATGCCCAAGTTGCCCTTTAAAAAAAAAGAGCGTAAATACAAACAGGAGTGGTGCAAGCCGCCTTGGTGTGGGTTTGTGTCACGTGTGGACATCTCCTCAGGCTTTGTGTCACGCGTGGACATCTCCTCAGGCTGTCCCCAGCGGTGACGGGAGGTGTCCTGGCTGCTCCAGGACAAAAGACAATCGTCTCTGTGGGTGCCGGGTGGTCCAGGCTTGCACTGAAGACGTGCCACGGGGAGGCTCCTGCAGGAGGCTCAACCCGACGGATCACAGTGAAAGGGATTCCTCCCACGCCAGATCTGCACAACGAGGCAAGACAGGACCCACCTGTGCGTGCGCTGGGGCCATGGGGTGGCCCCGCCGGGGCAGCGGGGGAGCTGCCTGCAGAAGAGCCAGCTGGCGTGTCGGGAAGGATCCAGGATCTGCAAACACAACTGCTCAGGCCTTCTCACGCGTTTCCACAACATCCCCTGGGTCAGACCCACCAGGTACCCCGTAGGAATTTCCAGTTTCCCTTGATCTAGATGGGATTCTTATAAAAATTCAACCTCAGACATAAACACCCCATTTCTGTAAACCCAAATTATATGGTTTCTTCTGCGAAAGAGTAAGGTGTGTGCTTTTTTTTTTTTGCAATATGACCCCGTCTCTCTGAAGTGGGACATTCGGACGGATGGAGCCCTCAGCGTGTCTTTTCAGCAGGAGCAGAACCGATGAGAGCCGCCCTTACCGTTGGTCTCCGGATCCCCCAGTCCCATCCCGCCGTTTTCGGCTGTCTTCCTAACCGTCCTGTCTTCTCTTGGCGCTCTTTCCTTCCACCTTTCCCAAGAGTCCTGGTTGCACGTTTTAAGTCATATATTTTCGTCCCCCTGAAAATGATGGCAAGCCCAGTTTCTCCTGAGCATTCAGACCCCCAGGCCCCAGCACTTGGCGTTTTCAGGAGGCCCTGTTCTTAGAGCCCCTGACAAAGGCAGCACTTATTTCCTGGGCTGGTGCGCCCCAAAACACGGCCCCGACACTTAGTGTGGCCCCAGGCCCCAGCGAGCCTCGCCCTCCCAGTTTTGCTCTGCCCAGCAGTGTTGGTGCCCAGAGATGACAAGGGCCAGGGAGCCTGGCCCGGGTGTGAGAATTCAGAGATTCTGGCCTCCAGCTGTCACCACACCGTAACGGGGCCATGTAACTGTGCAGCATGGACAGGGATGCGACGGGGCAGCTGGCTGTGTCCATGGCCAGGTGGCCAGGGTCAGGGCTGCAAGCCAGGGGTCCAGGGCCCTTCCGTTCAGCCCAAATGCTGCCCCAATGCTAACTCCTTGGATTGTCAACCCCCATCCCCCAAATGGAAATTCCGAAGGAGGCCTCCTCGCACCTGCCCTCCGCTGCTCCTCAGACCCCAGCCCCCAGCGAGCCGACGTCCCCACCCGTTCCTGCTCTCATCCCCAGGTTGGGCACGTGGGGTTCCTCCTCTGTGGGCCTGGCAGACCCTTCATGAGTGGGACCCAAGATATCACTGACTTCAACCCAGAGGATCGAGCCCCTGCACCCTGCCTGGGGCCCTGGGGTGTGGAGCAGTGGCTGGGGTGGGCGTGGTGTGGCCTGAGAGACTGCCCAGCTGGAGAGGCCTTCCTTTACAAGGCCACGCGTGCAGCTGTCCCATCCAGACCCCGACTGGCCAAGACCTCCACGTCCCCAGAGTCCAGCCCTGGAAATTCCAAGGGCCCTGGCGTCCTCTGCCTTCCCCGCTTCCCCATGAGCGTCTGCAAAACACTTGCCTGAATACATATCACGTATTTTAGACTCGAAGCCTCAAAGCACTGGATTGTGGTCCCCTGCCCCCTCTGTCCCGTCCCCCTGCCCAAGTGACTGAAACCTACTGAGCTATATTCACTGTGCTGTCCTAGGGGGAGGGAGAGCAGAGCTCGCCCCTGCACTGCAGCCTTGTGGGGGAGGGCAAGGCTCTCCTCCCAGCCAGGGACGCCAGGACATAGCTGCTCCTGGTCAGTGGAGGTCAGCCGGGTATCAAAAGCCATGAAACTGTGTCTCTGTAGCAATGAGTGATACTGTGACAAAACCATCCTTGCATTCTTCCTAGAAGAGTTCCTCTGCTCCTTCCATTCCATTTTTGTGTTTGTTTTGTTCTTTTCTGTCACTGATCCGTATTACCACTTTTGGAAAAAAATAAATAAATAAATAAATAAAAGGCAGCTTGAGTTTCCAAACGTGTGATTCACTTGTGAACAAAAGTCATTCTAACAATTGCCTTCAGCGTCACGTGCATTGCCACTGCGCTTTCGGCACGAGGGATGCTGAGCCCTGGTGTCAGAGTCGTAATTTAAAGCGTGTGTGTATATGGACTTTGTCCCTTAAGGTCGATATAAAGAATCCTCGCAGAATCACAGACCTGTGCCGCCCGCCACCTTCTGCCATTGTTACATTACAGATTTGGTTTAGTTTTGTTTTGTTTTGTTTTTTCTTTTAGAACTGTATAGTATTGAAAAAGAAATCAAATGTAAATGTCTGGTTTTCATATAATGTTTAAAAAGACCATTGAGAAGGAGGCTGGCGCTCGCCCCATGTCCCCCTTGATTGTAAATTGCTTCTGTTCTGTTTATAAGTAAACTGTGCATGACTCCTGCTTAGCGGTCATTATCGTGTCTGTTGGTGAAATTTTTATTAAAAGGAAAATTCTGTAGATGCACTTATTGAATATGTGATTAGGATCTACGTCTGAGACTAGGAGTCCTGAACTGCTGACGCGAAAGAGGCGCAGTTCCCAATTAATACGGAAATCGCTGTGGGAGAAGAATGAAATAAGACGTGAAGTGTAGGAAATCATGAAAAGAACAATTTTGCAAATTGCATTCTGATGCTTGTGATGAACACAAATGTACTTGTGTAGAGACATTTCCTTAAGAGAAAGCCTAGGAGAAGCCGATTTGGAGGTTAATGCTGTAGAATAGGACTGTATACCAAATGTAATCTTTCCAATGCTCCAATGAATTTATACATGAGATTGATATGCAATAAATCTGTGTGCTTTTCTAAGCCTCGGTGCCCGCGAGCTTCATTGAGGGAGAGGCCCCAGGCCTGTGGAAGGGAGAGGAGGAGCAAGCCAGGGCTCGGCCGAGGTCCAGGCTCCCTGGCTTTGACTGAGGAGTCCCGGGGCCAGGCCCTGATGCCCTTGGAGCTTTGTTCCCTCCACCCTCCGGGGCAGACTCCTGGCTATTCCCATTTTCCAGAAAAGAATAAGCTCAGGAAGGCATCAACTCCCTGGATGGCCCCAGAGCGAGCACAGTGACCTCCAGGTGTGTCCCTCTGCCAAGCATGACAGCCTCCAGATGCAGCAGCCTCCAGGCATGTCCCCCAACTGTGCCTGCCTCCAGGTACACAGGACCCAGGGCCCACCCCACAGGCCTTGCCCCAAGGCTTCCTGGGGATGCAGCATTCCCTGTTGGAGGTGCTGGGGGAACCCGTCTTCCATGCCAGCAGTCCCCACGCTTTTTAGCACCAGGGACTGGTTTCGTGGCAGACAGTTTTTCCAAAGACCAGGGGATGGATGGTTTGGGGCTGATTCAAATGCATTACATATATCGTCCACTTTATTTCCATTATTATTACATTAGAGTATATAATGAAATAATTCTACAACTCACCATAGTGTACAATCCGTGGGAGTCCTGAGCTTGTTTTCCTGCAACTAGGCCTTCCCATCTAAGGGTGATGGGAGACAGTGACAGATCATCAGGCATTAGATGCTCACAAGGAGCGTGCAGCCTCGATCCCTCGCACTCGCAGTTCACAATAGGGTTCCCGCCCCCATGAGAATCTCACGCCGCCACTGATCTGATGGGAGGTGGAGTGCAGACGGTGATGCAGACGATGGGGCGTGGCTGTAAACACAGAGGAAGCTGGGTTCCGCTGCGCCCCCCATGCTGTGTGGCCCGGTTCCTAACAGGCCAAGAACTGGTCCTGGCCCATGGCCTGGGGTCTGGGGGCCTCTGTTCTAGGCCAGTCCTCAACCCACCCCTTCCTAAGGGTGGCCCTCCCCATGTCAGCCTCCCTGAAGTCTGTGTCCACCAGCACCTCACATGGCCTGATGCTGCCCTGACAAGGGACAGCCACAGGGGTGGGATAGGGGGTGAGCTAGAGGCCCCGGGGCTGGAGCAGACCCAGTCCCCTCAGGGGCTTCTCTTGTCTACCCCCAGACTGCCCCTGGGATTCCTTCCTGGGGCCCTCCTGCCTCTGGGAGAGGCTCCATTCCCCTACCCTGATTCTGCTCTGACCCAGAAGCCTAGGGGGCGTAAACCTCAAAGGGGAATGTCCAGCCAGACCGAGCCCAGCCTCCCCAACCAGGACTGCCCCAAACCGTCTCACCCACGTAGGCCCCCACTGGCTCCCTGCTGACACAGAGTTTAACTGATGTCACCCAGGTGACCTGGCCTCCCACCCCCACCCCTACCCAGGGCCTCTGAATGTCTCCTGGGCTCCCTCCTGTCCACCCCTCCCAGTGGGCCGGGCCTCTGGAGCTGTGCCCCTCCACCTCTCCCCTCCCTTACCCCCGAGTGCCTGGAACACAGGCCTGGCTGGGGTTCCAGGGAGGTGGGCAGTTATTACCCACACGCGGTCGACAGCCTCGCTTTGGAGTCAACACTGCCGGCCTTCGACCGTCTCCCAGCAGCATCTTCTTCCGAGGACCCCTGTTTGAGAGTGGCCCAGGCTGATTATAAAACTGATCTTTATGATGCCTGACACCTGCTCACATCAGCCACCACCACAGCTACCGCCTTGGCCATGCCTATGGGAACCTCTCACCTACCTGAGCCCTCACGGACCCTCCTGCCCGCAGCCTCCCCTCCCCACTCCCTGAAGCTCCCCACCCCTGACCCCTTCGTGCCACCCTCCTCAGCCACTCCAGCCCCCAGGGGGCAGCCCCGAACTCCCAGGACCTACACCACCAGCAACAGATCCTCCCCACCTGCCAGACCACATGGGAGGGGGCAGGGCAGCGCCTCTTCCACACGCCAAGAGCCCTGGGCTGCCTGTCTGACACCCCCGTATCTATCCCTTCGCATTTGTGTAAGGAGAGGCAGCTGTAGACGCTTTTTTACAGGCAGGGAAATATCTCACCTTCCTCCAGCACAGCTGAAGTGCTCAGCGATTCTAAGCCTCCTCGTAGACCGGCATCTTCAGGCCCCAGGTCACGCAGGGGACCCCTTAGCCTCCATCCACTGAGTCCAAAAATACCACATGCACTGGATTTGGGGCTGTGAGGACTCCTGGGGGCTCCCTGATTCACCTCTCAGTCCCCAAAGCCTGGCTTGGGGCCCATGCTTGGGAGAAGGCTGCCTGCATGAATGAATGAAGGGATGAGTGAATCGGTCACTTGCTGTGAGGGCCATTACCCAGCAGGGATTCTGGGATCACCAGGGCCTCCCAAGTCCACCAAGGGGCCAGAGCAGGCTCTAATTGTAGGTAAATGGAAGCCGGGGGGCTGAGGTCCTCAACGGCAGCTCCTGGTGCAGCCAAATGGGCCCACGCAGAGGCTGATCTCGGAACAAGATCCCAGACCCGAGTCTGGGGTGTTGAGCATTTTTATGTTCTTATCACCACCACATGAAGTGTTTACACATTGCCGGACTAGCGGGGGCAATGCGCTGCAATATTCCAAGGTTCCTTCCCTTCCCGATGTGATTGACGAAGCGTCGGTGAGATCTTAAGCCCCCTCAGTCAGACGTGGGCTTGGCCCCGGGAGCCTGAGGCCCAGAGACAGCTTGAAAGGCTTCTCTCTGGGAAACATGTTTCCGCTCTCAGAGGACAAATTATGTGGATCACAGAACTGATGGATGGCCCTGCTCCCAAAAGTCACTCACAGCAATCGAATGACAGTACCCAACCTCCCCATAATGGCCCTTGCCTGGAGCTGGCCACGCTGGGGCTCCAGGCGAGTGAAAACCCTTCCCATCTTTGTTCAGCCTGGCAAACTTTCTCCTCATTAGCCCTGGAGGGGAGAGGAAAAATCTATGGAATAAGGGAGCTATCTGATAATGGCCCTATTGTCAGGGCGACCCCAGAGGGAAAGAGAACAGAGACTCACAGAATATTGCTGACAAGTGGACTTTGTCTTCCTGCGCCGGTTCCTCGCATAAAAGACGGAGGAAAAAGGCTCCATTTTGGAAACAGGGAAAAATCAACAGGAGAAAAAAAATGTGTCAATGAGGAATCTGTTTTCTGGGAAAAGAGATGCTTTTTAATTCCCCTTCAGATTCATTTTGGGCCAAGTGAGCTTGTCAGTTATTTGCAGAGAAGCTATTTTGAGAAGCATTAACCTTAATTCTCATGGCAGCAAAAGTCTTCCAAAAATCAAAACGTGTCCTCATTTGGGGTAAAATGGCCAGAGCGAGGGTGGCTTTTGTGCAGACAGAGGTGCCCAGAGAAAGGTGTCCCACAGCATAAGTTGCTCAAGGGGGACTCTGGGACAGAGGCAGCCACCAGCCCCGAGCCTGCCTGCCATCCCTGCTGGTGGAAGGGGTCCGGGCTCTCCACGGCGGGACAATGTCTCCCACAAGCCTTGGTCCTCATTCAGGACAGGGAAGGCAGATGGAATTCACTCCCCCAGTTCCAGGGAATAAGAGAAAGAAATTCTGAGATGACAAGCAGTGGACCAGAGCCCGGGCATGACCTGAACCCCAAAGAGGCGCTGAGGTCCACCCAAGAACCGGAGGGAGGGAGCTGGCTCTTCCTCTGTCCCGCATTGGGGTATGTGGTCCTGGATTCCTGAGCCGATCAGGCCACCCAGAGGCTCCAGGAAGCCAGAGAGGCAGGACAGAGCAGGGTCCAGCTTTAAGACGCGGTGAACAGCAGGCACTCATCCCTGTAAGATCTGCACACCAGCGCCCATGGCAGCCTTGTCATCACAGCCCCAAGCCGGGAAGGGCCCGAACGTCCACCCATTGGTGCCTGCAGGAACTATGCAAAGGAACGAAGACTTCCCAAATGAGAACAGGCAGAGGCCGCTTACTCAGAGCTTGTTGTAGCTAGACAGCCAGCCACCATTGCCTGCCTGGCAGAGCCTCCAAGGCAGGCGGGGGGGTGGGAAGCTCCGGAGTGGAGATGGGGAGGCTCCAGGCGAGCCCCAACGGAGGCTGTTGGCCTGGGGAGCTGGAGGTGGCTGACCAGAAGGAGGTGTCCTTTGGGATTAGGGAGGGGACCTGTGTAGAGGTGGAATATGAATTGAAGTGGGGACAAAACCTAGGGAAGCCGTCAGTTGCTAATCAAGTGTTGGCCATTTGGGGCTGGCTGCGGCAGACGTTAGTGCTTTTCACTGCTGCAGACTGTGAGCCAGTGTTGTTGTTTTTTTTTAAATAAAATTTCATTATTAAAGCAGTTTTAGGTTCACAATAAAATTGATCAGAAGGTGCAGAGATGCCCCATGTGCTCCCAGTCCCCGCACGTACACAGCCTCCGCCATTGCCACCGTCCCCCATCTCAGCAGATGAGCCTGCATCCACACGTCCTCACCCACAGTCCCCGTCGGGGCTCACTCTTCGTGTACATTCTATGGGTTTTGACCAACGTGGACACCACATCAGCGTCATACAGCTGGGCTTCACTGCCCCAAAATTCCTCTGGGCTCTGCCTCTTCATCCCTGCCGTCCTGCAACTCTGGGCTCTGCCTCTTCATCCCTCCCGTCCTGCAACTCTGGGCTCTGCCTCTTCATCCCTCCCGTCCTGCAACTCTGGGCTCTGCCTCTTCATCCCTCCCGTCCTGCAACCCAGGCAATCCGACCTTCTTATTCCCCACGGTGTTGCCCTGGCCAGAATGTCATGTCGTTGGAATCACAGTGTGTAGCCCTTTCAGATTGGCCTCTTTCACTTAGAAATATCCATTTAAGCTGCCTTCATGTATTTTATTTTTCTTTTTTTGAGAGGGAGTCTTGCTCTGTGGCCCAGGCTGGAGTGCAGTGGGGTGATCTCAGCTCACTGCAGCCTCTGCTTCCCGGGTTCCAGTGATTCTCCTGCCTCAGCCTCCTGGGTAGCTGGGATTGCAGGCGTGCTCCACCATGCCTGGCTAATTTTTGTATTTTTAGCAGAGATGGGGTTTCACCACGTTGGTCAGGCTGGTCTCGAACTCCCAACCTCAGGTGATCCACCTGCCTCGGCCTCCCAAAGTGCTGGGATTACAGGCGTGAGCCACCCCACCCGGCCTCCTTCATGTCTTTTCATGGGTTGACCACTCATGTCTTTTAGCACTGAATGATATTCCACTGTCTGGATGGACCACAGTTTATTTAACCTCTCACCTACTGAAGAACATTGTGCTAGCTTCCAAGTTTCGGAAGCCATGAATAAAGCCACTATAAAGGTTTTTGTCTGGATATGTTTTCAACTCCTTTGGGTGAACAAGGACTGTGGTTTCTGTGTCATACGATGAAAGCGTGTTTACATTTGTAAGCAAACACCAAACCCTTCCAGAATAGCTGTACTGCTTTGCATTCCCATCAGTAACGAAGGAGGGTTCCTGCTGCTCCACATCCTTGCCAGCACTTGGCATCACCTGTGTTCTGGATTTAGGCCGTTCTAAGAGACGTGTAGCAGCATCGCAATGGGGCTTTAATTTGCAGCTCCCTAATGGTGCCATGTGGAGTGTCTCCCCACTGCTTCCTTGCCTTCTGCAGATCTCCTCTGTGAGGGGTGTGTTCAGGTAGCCACTTTCTTATTACTGAGTGTGTTCTGGTTCTGCACATGGTCCGGACTTTGGTCCATTTCACCTCTGAAAACAGTGATCCATCCATTGGAAGGAAGACCGCTCAGCAATGATGGGACAGCCGCTGGAGCAGGCCTCAAAGCCACGTGGCTGAATCTCTAAGCCAGTGAGCCAGTGAAGGGAGCCACGTGCTGGATGGTTCTGTACAACTGACGTCTGGAAAAGGCAAAGCTACAGGATGGGGTGCAGATCCACGTTGGGGGCGCAGACGCAGGGGACTGACTGCGATGGGCACGGCAAGACTTCTAGGGGTGACCGACGCGTCCTATATCACGACCGTGGTTACACAGGTATACATTCATTAAAACTCACCTCGCTGTATATTTTAAAAGGATGATTTTATTGCACGTAAACTGTGCCTCGATTAACCTCATTTGTCAAAAACTGTGTGTCCCACCCGTCCCCACTTTAAGGCTGGGGTCTGTCATGGAGCTGCCGTTCCTGGAGGCCCTGGTGCAGCTGAAAGCAGCACTTTACACCCAGGCTCCCCGCCTTCCCGCGACCTACACTGCTAGGCTCACCCAGGCTCCCCCCGCCCCCAGACCTACACTTCTAGGCCAGCTGGCCACCCCACCCTTGGAGAGGCTCTTCCCCCACTAAAGCACAAGCTGACCAGCTGCAAGCCCAGTGGGTCCTCGTGACTGGGGGCATGGGGCGGGGTGGAAGGGTGGGTGGCAAGGAGCAGAAAGGGTCTGTGGCTTTGCTAAGGGCCAGTGCCGTGGGCTCCCAGCCTTGCCTGGCCCCAAGCCTTTGGCGTATGCCTACTTCCAGCCCCTCCCAGTCAGCACAGAGCTTCTGAGCAGATTTTCTGCTTGGTATCATTCACAGAGTTTAAAAACACACAGAGCAGCACTGTAGGCTTTGATGGTTACATATGCCCATAGCAAGGGAACAAAAACGTGGTATGAGATGGATAAATACCAAATTCTGAGTTGTGGTTTCTTCTGGGAAGAAAGGGAGGTGGTGGGCTGGGGGCCGGCGGGAGTGAAGAGGTTTGGAGGGTGGGCTTCAATTTCATGTGCCGTTGTAGATGCTTCAGGGCCCTCTAAATCACATTCAGGTCGTCTGCAGAGTGACAGAGACAGAGAGAGGAGAGAGAGAACGAGACAGAGAGTCACTGTTACATCCTGTTTTACGTTTTGTTGCCTCACTGTGCAAGCCAGGCCAATGTTGAGTGGCAGTGCTCAGAGTGCACTTACTTGCCAGGCTCAAGATCCCAAAGAGAAAGTCATCCATTCTCCAGCGTCAGGTCTGCTGTGAGCTATCGGGTGCCCTTTATGACACTGAGCAAGTGACCTTCCGATTCTACATCACTGAGATTTTTATTTTAATAGGCGTTGTTGGGTTGGAGCGAATGCTTTCTCTTCACCTGTTGAAAAGTTATATGATTTTTCTCCTTCACTCTGTTAATGTGGCAAATGACACTGACTGAATTTCTTTTCTTTTTCTTTTTTTTTTTTTTTTGAGACGGAGTTTTTATCACCCAGGCTGGAGTGCAGTGACTCCATCTTGGCTCACTGCAACCTCCGCCTCCCAGGTTCAAGTGATTCTCCTGCCTCAGCCTCCTGAGCAGCTGGGATTACAGGTGCTCGCCACCATGCCTGGCTAATTTTTTGTATTTTTAGTAGAGACGGGTTTTCGTCATGTTGGGTAGGCTGGTCTTGAACTCCTGACCTCAGGTGATCCACCCGCCTCGGCCTCCCAAAGTGCTGGCCACTGACTGATTTTCAAATATTAAACCAACCTTGCATTCCTAAGATAAGCATCATTCGATCATGAGATGTTACTGATTATATAATAGCTGGATTTGATTTAATATTTTATAAAATAATTCTGTACCTATATCCATGAGGAATATTAGTCTATAATTTTGTTTTCTGGTGACTTTTTAGTATTGGTGTCAGGGCAATACTGGCCTCATGAAATGAGTTGAGAAATGTTTCTTCTTCTTCATGTTTCTGAAAGAGGTTATGCGAGATTGGTATTATTCCTTCCTTTTGATTGAATGTTTAACTGAATTCACCAGTGTTGTCACTAGGGCCTGGAGTATTCTTTGTGTAAAGGTTTTTTTGTTTGTTTGTTTTTTAATTAAGAATTCTTACCATAAGTTTAGGGATTAAAAAAATTTAAAAAACAGGCCCTGTGCAGTGGCTCTCATCTGTAATCCCAGCACTTTGGGAGGCTGAGACTGGCAGATCACTTGAGTTCAGGAGATCAGCCTGGACAACAAGGCAAAACCCCATCTCTACAACAAATTTAAAAATTAGCTGGGTGTGGTGCATGCTTGTGGTCCCAGCTACTCAGGAGGCTTGAGGCAGGAGAATTGCTTGACTCCGGAAGGTTGAGGCTGCAGTGAGCCGTGATTGCGCCACTGTACTCTCGCCTGGGTGACACAGTGAGACCCTGTCTCAAAAAATAGTAATAGTAAATAATAAACAAAATATAAAATTGTATGTTTTCAATAGATACAGTGCTATTTTGATTTTCTATTTGTTCTTATGCTAGTTTTGATGATTTGTGTCTTTTAAGGAACACGGCCATTCCATCTAAGTGATTGAATATATTGGCAAAAGTTTACTCAGAATATTTTCTTATCATTTTAACATCTGCAAGATCAGTAGTGGTGGCCCTCTTTCTCTCCTGATATTGGTAATTTGAGCCTTATCTCTTTCTTTTCTAACCTCGTATTATCAATTGTATTGATCTTTTCAAAGATAACCTTTTATTTTATTGAGTTTCTCTATTATTGTCTATGGTACTGATTTCCATTGATTTCTTATTTTTAAATTTACTTTGGTTTTAATTTGCACTAATTTTTTTTCACTTAAAGATGGAAGCTTAGATCAACTTTCAACATGTCTTCTTTTCTAACAAGCATTCAAAGTCATCAGTTTCCCACTAAGCACGTTAAGGGCAGTCCATACATTTTCATATTACGTATTTTCATTATAATTCAGTTAAAATATTTTCTAATTTCTCTCCTGCAATTCCTTCTTTGACCTTCAGATTACTTAAAAGTGCATTGTTTAATTTCCAAATATTTAAGAATTTTTCAGATATCATTTTGTGATTGGTTTCTAATTTAATTGTGTTGTCAGAAAACACACTCTGTGGGATTTCAGTCATTTTAAATGTATGCAGGCATGTTTTATGGCCTAATACGTGGTCTGTCTTGGTGTATATTTCATGTGTACTTGAAAAGAATATGAATTCTGGAGTTGTTGGGCACAGCGCTCTATAAATGTCAATTAGGTCAAGTTGGTTGATAGGGTTGGTCAAGTGTTTTATACCCTTGGTGATTTTGCTATCTAGTGTCCTATCAGTTGTTGAGAGCAAGTGTTGAAACTTTCAACTATACCTGTGGGTCTGGTTTCCTTTCAGCCTGGTCAGTGGTCATCTGCTCGTGTGTATTTTGAAACTGTTATTATGTGGATATGCACTTAGGACTGTCTTCTTGACCAACTGAATCCTTTATTATTACAAACTGTCCCTTTTCCCCATGGCAATATTCTTATTCTGAAATCCGCTTTTGTCTAATATCAGCATTGCCATGCATGCTTTCTTGTGACTAA
This sequence comes from Homo sapiens, assembly GCF_000001405.40. NCBI lineage: Eukaryota > Metazoa > Chordata > Mammalia > Primates > Hominidae > Homo > Homo sapiens. The sequence continues at coordinate 3,447,913 of NC_000001.11, forward strand.
TAGTTGCATGCGTATCTCTTACTTTCCTTTTACTCTCATCCTATCTGTGTCTTTATATTTGAATCACCCTATCTAATAAGCATCATGTCACTGGGTCTTGCTTTTTATCCAGTCTGACAATCTCTATCTTTTAATTGGGGTGTTTAATCCATTCACATTTAATATAATTATTGGTATGGTTAGATATAGGCTACCATCTTGATATTTGTTTTCTATTTGTCAGATCTGGTTTTCGTCTTTTTTTCTGTTCCTCTGCCCTCTTTTGGATGAGTATTTTCTAGGATTCAATTCTCTCTTCTCCCTGGACTTATTAGCTGTAGCTCCTCACCTTAATTTTTAGTGTCTGATCTAGAGTTTTCAGTATTTATCTTCATCATTGTCTATCTTTAAGTGATATTATACTCACTGTAAAATATACAAACTTTACTCTGGTATATTTCTATTCTCTCCTCCTGCATTTTGAACTTTTACTGTAATATATTTCACTTTTACATATAAATTTGATAATACACTGTCGTTATTTTCACATTAGTCTCTGATCTTTTAAAGAACTGTTTTGGGCCGGGTGCAGTGGCTCACACCTGTAATCCCAGCCCTTTGGGAGGCCAAGGCGGGCAGATCACAAGGTCAAGAGTTCAAGACCAGCCTGGCCAAAATGGTGAAACCCCATCTCTACTAAAAAGATACAAAAATTAGCCAGGCATGGTGGTGTGTGCTTGTAGTCCCAGCTACTGGGGAGGCTGAGGCAGGAGGATCACTTGAACCCAAGAAGTGGAGGTTGCAGTGAGCTGAGATCGTGCCACTACACTCCAGTCTGGGCGACAGAGTGAGACTCCATTTAAAAAAAAAAAAAAAAAAGGAATGTTTTGAAGCACAGAAAAAAAGCCTCTCACATTTATTGACATATTTGCCATTTCCAGTGGGTTTCTACTCCTTGTGCAGACCTGAATTTATATCTGGTATCATTTTCCTTTCGCCTGAAAAAATTCCTGTGACATTTCTTATAGTGTGGGTCTACTGGTGATGAATTTTCTCAGCGTTTGCCTTAACATGTCTTTATTTTCCTTTCATTTTTGAAGGATATTTTCAAGAGAAATGGACATCTTGGTTGACAGTTTTGTTTTCTTTCAGCACTTTAAAGATGTTGTTGTAGTTCTCTCAGCTTTCAGTGTTTCTGATGACAAGCCAGCAGTTATTTTGGTCTTTATTCCCTTACGATTTTTCCCTCTGTCACTGGTTTTCAGCCATTTCATTATGAGGTACCTTGGTGTGGTCTGCTTTGTACGTATGCTGCCTTGACATCTTTGTACTTATTCTACTTCATTTTAAGGTCCTTGATTCTGTGGATCTATGAGTTTTTATTACATCTGAAAAATTTTCAGCCATTCTTCCTTTTTTTTTTTTTTTAATAAGACAGAGTCTTGGTCTGTCACCCAGGCTGGAGTACAGTGGTTCAATCACAGCTCACTGGAGCCTCGACCTCCCTGGGCTCAAGCAATCCTCCCACCTCAGCCTCCCAAGTAGCTGGGACTATAGGCATGCACCACCATGCCTGGCTAATTTTTGTACTTTTAGTAGAGACAGGGTTTCACCATGTTGCCCAGGCTTGTCTCGAACTTCTGGCCTCAAGTGATCCGCCCGCCTCAGTCATGCAAAGTTCTGGGATTACAGGCGTGAGCCACTGTACCCAGCCATTGCTTTAAACATATGTTCTTCCCTCCCCACTCCCTCCTTTCTGGTCCTCCAGTTACACATATTGTTAGACTGCCTGATGCCTGATACCGTCTCAAGGTGGGCAAGGCTCGGTTTCTGCCTTTTCCCTAGGTTTTTCCTCTGCGTGCTTCAGTCTGAGTAACTTGTCCTGGCTTCAAGTTTACTGATTGTTTTCCTCTGTAGTTTCATCTGCTGTTAATCTCATCCAATAGATTTTTTGTTTCCTACACTGTATATTTTCATCTTTAGGATTTCCATTTGATTCATTATTATACTTTCCATCTCTCCTTTGACTGTGATCATCGTTTCCTATAAATCCTTGGGTGGTGTGTGTGTATATATTATATATATGTGTGTGTGTGTATATGTGTGTCCGTGTGTGTCCGCGTGTGTGTGTGTGTGTGTGTGTGTGTATAGAGAGAGAGAGACAGGGTCTGGCTCTGTTGCCCAGGCTGGAGGGCAGTGGTGCGAGCTCAGCTCACTGCAGCCTCCAAATCCTGGGCTCAAGTGATCCTCCCACCCCAGTCTCCTGAGTAGCTCACCTAGCTAATTTTTTGTATTTTTTGTAGAGATGGGGTTTCACCACGTTGCCCAGGCTGGTCTTGAACTCCTGGACTCAAGCAACTCACCATCTCAGCCTTCCCAAGTGCTGGGATTACAGGCATGCGGCACCATGCCCAGCTGATCCTTTGGGGTATTTTTGATTGTTGTTTTAAATGCCTTCTCTGCGAATCCTGTCATCCGTGTCATTTCTGGGTCTGCTTCTACTGACTGATTTTTTTCCTAGTTATTTGTCACAGGTTCCTGTTCCTGCTTCTTCACATGTCTAGTAATTTTGCATTGGGTGCTGGAGGTCGTAAATGTGTAATTTTGCATTGGGTGCTGGAGGTCGTAAATGTGTAATTTTGCATTGGGTGCTGGAGGTCGTAAATGTGTAATTTTGCATTGGGTGCTGGAGGTTGTAAATGTGTAATTTTGCATTGGGTGCTGGAGGTCGTAAATGTCAAATTGTTTGAGTTTCTGGATTTTACTGGCCTTCTTTTCAAGCATGTTGAGTGTTATGCTGATGCACAGTTAACGTACTTGTGGATCAGCCTGGTCCTCTCAGGACTTGCTTTGAACTTCTGTTAGGTCATGTCTAGAGGAGCTGTCACCCTAGGATTACTTCAGCCCTTCACCTAGGACATGGCCTTCTTTGGTATCTACTGAATATTCTGGGTGGTCAGGATTTTTTCCCTCTGTCCCTGGTTTTCAGCCATTTCATTATGAGGTACTGTGGTGGGGTCTGCTTTGTACGTATGCTGCTTTGACTTCTTTGGACTTATTCTCCATTGCTTTGAGGTTCTTGGATCTGTGGATCTACAAGTTTTTATCACATTTGGAAATTTTTCAGACATTCTTTTTTTGAGACAGAGTCTTGGTACAGTGGCTGGAGTACACTGGCTCGATCATAGCTCACTGGAGACTCGTCCTCCCCAGGCTCAAGCGATCCTCCCACCTCAGACTCCCAAGCGGCTGAGGTCAACGAGGGATAGTCAGCGACGGTGCTTCCTTCCTGGTGGCTGACGTTCCAGCGTCCCCTGGCCTGGTATGAACTCTGGTGTCACTCTGCTCACAGAGCTCCCTGGTCGCTGTTGGTCCCTGGCTTCATGGGATCTTACTCTGCTTATGCACAGTTCAGTATTCAGCCAAAGGCTCAAGTGGACCCCTGTGGGGATTTTGGGGGCTCCACTACGTCGCTGCCTTCTCTCCAGGACTCTTTCGGGGCTCCCCTGCACTGCTGCCTTCTCTCCAGGACTCTCTCCATAGTCCTTGGCCTCCTTGGCTCCCCAACTCTGTCCCCTGTAGCCCAGTGAGGCCACCAGCCTCTCTTGGCCAAAGGCTTATTTACCTCTTTCTCCAGGAATTTCTGTCTCTGCACCTGTTGTCCAGTGTTAGAAAGAGTTGTTTCTCGTATTTTTTGTTCCATGTTTGAGTTGTTTGTGGTGACAGACAAGTCTGGTACCGACTACTTCGTCATGGCCAAAACACCTGACATGTTTTAAATTCTCAATTTGGGGAAGATACATGGGGTTGCTTTTATATATTTTTATATAAAAATATAAATACTATATGCATGTCTTTGTAAACCAGAAATGGTCCCTAATGATGACTAGGGATCCTGGGCTTTGGCGTCAGACAGACCTGGGCTCTAACTGTGGCTGGGCCACTTACCAGCCAGGTAACAAGGGGCAAAACATTTCTCCTCTCAGTTAAGCGGGGGGCATCTGAGGGGCTTTCTGTAAGAATTCACTAAGATGACGCGTGCAAGGCCCCCAGCATGAGGCTGGCACATAGTAGGTGCTTAATGGGAAGTAATGACCTGCTATTTTAGGGTACAAGGAGGAGGGGCATTTGCTCCTCAAACCCAACCTTCTTCCCACCAGCCCGGCCCCCCCAGCCATGGGCCTCCACCCACCCAGCAGAGGCGTCTCTGTCCTCCATCCCACTCACAGCCGCGCCCTTGGGGCCCTTTCCCAGCTGCCTACGGGCTGGAGAGGACACCCATGGAACTGCAGTGGGTAACAGGGCAGCCCAGCGTTGAGGGCCTGAGAACTGAGGGCTGTCATGGCCTTCCCTCCACCCCGTGTGCTCCTTAGGGCCCCAGGGAGGGAGGGGAGCAGGTGGGAGCACCGCCCACTCGGCCTGGCAGGGAGGACAAACCTGCCCAGCAGCCTCAGCTCACCCTCAGCCCTGGACACCTACCCTGGAAGGTCGAGCCAAAAGGCCTCCCGAGGGGCTGCTGGCCTCAGGTACCACCTAAGGCTACGGGCTGTCTGTGCTGTGGCCCCAGTGGCTGAGTAAAAGCTTGGAAAACTCAAAGCAAGGCCCGCAGGAGCTCAGGCCACCTCAAGCCGCAGGAAAGGAGCTCTGCTCCCGCAGATAGAGGTGTGCTTTCTGGCTGGCACACTGGTGCTCGGCCAGAGCGCTGCCCACCCTACAGCAATGCACAGTGGCTGTTAAGCTTGGGGGATCCACATCTTCTCCCCTGCCAGTAATGTGGGAGGGGAAGGCCCCCAGGGCAGGCTGAGCCACAGGCTCGGGATCCCACCACAGAGGTGCAGGAAGTGCCACGGGCCGACCCCACTGGCAGGCCTCCCACTGGCAGGCCTCCCCGGAGTCTCTCTCTCCTTGCGAGCCCCTTAGGTCTCCAAGCTGGTTCCTTCCAACCTCTCCCTTAGGCCTCATGCCAGGGCGATCTCCTGCGCCAGCATCAGGCCCTCATTTACAGCAGAGGTGACAGAGGCACAGAGAGGTCCTGACGCCAGCTCAGGTGACATCCCCAGCAAAGGGACCATCCCAAGCACACGCTGAGTGGCCTCTGGAAGCCAGCAGGACATGGGGAGACGAAGCCAGACCCAGGGTGGCTGAACGGGCCCAGCAGGGGCTGGACAGAAGGTGTGGGGTTGGGGGTAACTTGGAGGCAGCTACTGAAAGAGGGTTTTACAGGAAAGCACTCAGTGGGAATCAGGAACCTGGGTCCTGCTGACTGGCCTGGGGCAAGGCTTCTGTCCCCTCACTGGGCCTCAGTGACCCCACCGCACCTCAGTCCCCTCACGGGTCAAGGCTCCGGGACACCCCAGCTCCCTCCGGCAGGCCGGGCCTCGTCGGTGCAGTACCCATCATGGACTCAGGAGGGCAGCAGCCACCTGCCTTTCCCAAGAGCTGCCTGGAAGTGGAACCTCCCCACAGGCGGCTCCAGGTGGAGGCTGCAGCCCACAGGGGTCAACTCTTAGCTCCTCCCTCATCCACCCTCCCTCCCAGGGGATGGATGGCCCACGGGACCCATCCCTGAGGCCAGCCTGTGCCCTGCCCAGATGGCACCTGACACCCAGGCAGCCCCAGCCACAGGGCAGACATTGGGGGACTAGTGGGTGGGGCGACCAGAGCAGGAGGGGCAGGGCAGGCCGCCCCTCTACCTATGACACCTGAGAAAATGCCAAGTGACAGCCCCAGAGCCTGTGGTGTCTCCTCAACCCGCAACGGGATCTCACGGCCGCCCAGGCCAGGGAGGCAGGTCCTGGGAGGAGGGTGGTCAGTGCCTCTGGCTGGCACACCGGTGCCCGGCCCACGACCCCAAGGCCTGGGGTCAGTGAGGGGACGCTGGTAGAAGCTGACCCAAAGCCCAGTGTGGATGTTCACATGGAGGCCTTTGGCAACAGGCCTTTCCTGAAAAGGGGATGATGGAGGCAGGTCAGAAGTGGGTCTGAGCCCTGGGACCTCAGGTCACATTCCTGAATGGCCAGGCCCAAGCTTGGGAGGCTTGGCTCAGCCCCCAGCCCCTCCCACAGCACCAGGTGGCCTGATTCCTGAACCCCCAGCTGGGGGGCTGCTGCAGCCTCTGCCCGGGGCCCTCCCTCACTTTCACACGGGTTCCCAGCAGGCGGAGCAAGGAAAGGCCAGGCTCGGAGTCCAGGCTCAGCCTTGTGCACGAGGGCGAGCGCCTTCCTTTCCAGGACTCGGTCCTTCTCTGTGAAATGGGGATGACCGCGACTCAACCACACCAAAAAGGTGGCCAGAGTGCTTTGCGCCCTCTTGGCTGTCTTTGGCCGCCTGGCTTCCAAGAATCCAGAGGGCCGGGCCTTTCTACAGCAAACATCGGTCCCCGCAGGGCTGGTCTCCTTCCCCGAAGGCTTCCTGGAGGAGGCAGTGGAGCGGGGCCTGGAAGGACAGTGACGCAGGAGGGAGCCGAGCCGCTCTGGCCCCACGCCTGGCAGGCGACTCCCGGGCCGGCCTCGAGGGGGCGTGGGCGCGGGGAGGGAAGGCGCAGGCACCGGGCGGCGGCGGCTCGGCGGGAATCGAGAGGCGCGATCCAGTCCGGGCGATCACGTGGGCTCCAGCCGGCCCAGGTGGGGCTGTGACCTGTGACGCAGGCGGCGCCGCCACAGGTGCCCGGGACGCGCCCCGCCCCCTCCCCGGCCCTCCCCGCCCGGGCCCTCGGACCCGGAGCAGCCCCGCCCGCCCAGCGCCCACCTGCGGGGCCGCAGCCGCCGCCCTCCAGCCAGACCGCGCAGGAAGCGGAGGAGGCGCCCCGGGCCGGACCGCGCTGCCGCAGGAGCGAAGCGGCTGCAGGACAGGACAGGACCCGGCGCTGGAAGCTGCACCGCCAGCGCGCCGCCCCTCCGTCCCTCCGCCCCGCGGCGCAGGTGAGCCTGGGGGACAGGTGAGCCGGGGGACAGGTGAGTCGGGGCTCGGGGGAGCCGGGTGGGGGGATTAGCCCGGGGGAGGCGCCGGGAACCCGGGGCGCTTCTCCTCCCCCTCGCTTTTCCCGCAAGCCCCGCCCCGGCAGCCGCAACAACTTCGCGACCCTCCTGGGGCTCCGCCGGGGCGGGAGAGGCGGGGCTCGCGGGCTGAGCCGGATGCGACTTTGGACCCGCCCCCCCACACACACCAGGCAGCCCCCTGCTTGCCCCCGCCCGCTCGCTCGCTGCCCTCTCTTGACCCCGAGTGGCCGCTTCCTCTTCCTAAAGGAAAACTTCCATGCAACCGGAACCTGGGTTCAGACTTGAGCGCCGAGGACTCTGGAAGCCCCAGGGAGTTTGAAAGAGCATGGGGTGGGGGGCGGAACAGAACGACCCTCCCGGGAGCTCTTTGGGGAATCTGACACCCAAACCTGCTTTGGCCCCAAAATTTCAGAAAAGCCCCGAGAAGGAAGAACCCCACACCCAAGACAAACCCAAACCATACGCCCCTCCCCCACCCTTGACCTTGGTGGGCGGTGGCAGGGAGGGACCTGCTTTGTCTCCCCTGAGAAGGGAGATGGGGAGGGGGAGGGGTGCGTCCCACCTACCAGGGAGCCGTGGCCGCTTGTCTTGGCCGCTCAGCCTCTTTCTGCGTCTGTGAAATGGGAACAGTATCCCTTTTGAGATTTGAGCAGGTGGGGGGACTGAGGGAGTGGCAGCGATGGCAGGTCTTGGTGACCTCTGCTTCTGACCTGAATCAAGGCCTGAATCTTCTCTGTGTCCTTGAGGGGAACAGTCTGTGCACCACCTAACATGGGGGCCTAGGGGGTGCGTGTGGGCCTGGCTGGGGGTCCAGCAAGAGGGTCCAGGTGCTGTGCCTGGCTGCAGGTCCTGACCCCTCCGTGGCATAGTTCCCAGGTGTGTGGGTTTCAGGCTCACATCCTGGCTCTTTGTGAACTAAGCAGCTCTTGGGGCCTCGGTTTCCTCATCCGTAAAATGGGACTAGTAGGAGTGTTGAGTTAGAAGATGTTGACCCACAAGTGTGCCAGGCAGACGTGGACCCTGCTGTGCGATGCCCACAGCCAGCAGAGGGGAACAGGGTGAGATGAAAGGTACTGTCCAGAGCAGGAGCCATGGGCTGAAGGTAGGCACTCCTCACCCACCCCAGTCTTGCTGGAAGGGAGGTGTCTTGGGGGCTTCCTGGAAGAAGTAAGTCACCTGGACCAAAGTCACCTGGAGGGTGGGATGGGCCCTCCCTCCACCTGGACACTGGGGAGAAACCCTTGTTGGGGGGCCTCCCTGAGGTCGCTGGCTCTTCGGGGGCCATCTCTGACCCACAGGACCACCCTATGTGGGAAGCACTTTCCACCTACACATGAGGAAACTGAGGCACAGAGGTGAAGCAGTGAGAAGCGGCGTGCCAGGGTCCCCACAGCTCACATGTGACGCGCAGGTCCCCATCCTGAGGATGGCCATCTGTGTTCACGTTGTGATCCAGGCGCAGGCGCTCCCCGCGAGTTTGGGTCTGAGTTTTAGTTTTGGTTTCCAGATGGATCTGGGCTGCTCCTGTCCTTAGCACAGGGGACCATCCGTCTGGAGCAGCGTCCTTATTTCTAGTGACTCCCTGGCTGAGGCCAGAACCCCCACTCCCCCCGGTCCCCATTTGGGGACAGCCATCCAGGTCAGGACAGGGCCTGGCCAGCAGTCCCACCCCCGCAGGCCACATTCCCTCTGCACCTGGTTTCCTTACCTGCCCGGGAAAATACCCACCTTCCAGAAGTTTGGGGAGGGGCAGAAGACAGTGGATGACAGGGCATTCAGAGGGCACTGTCTGTGTGTCTGTCCTACAGCGGGTGAACGGGTGGCAGGAGACCTGTCACCCACACGGGCACCTGTCAGAGGCAGGCTCTGATTCCCACCCTTTGGGGGAACCCCGTGAGTGGCAGCAGAGCCAGGGACAGCAGCTGGGTTTATGGGATGTCTCATTCAGAGCCGGAGCTGGGGAGTGACTGGAATGCACTTTGGGCTGAACCAGCTATGTCCAGGTGGGAGGGCCAGGTGCACTTCCCCGCCCCCACCGCGCAGGGTGGCTCTCTGCTTAGCTGCCTAGGATTTCCCTACCGCAGCCCTAGGGACCTTGATCCAGATAACAGGTCTCTCCAGCAGCCTTGCCAACCAGTAGCCAGGACTCCTGACTACCAGCAGTGTCCCCAGACGTTGGCAAATGTGCCCTGGGGGCCAAAACTGCCCCAGTGAAGGCCGCAGAGCCAAATCCCTGGCCACCTTGCAAACGGAGCTGGCTGATGTGTGCTGCATGATTTGCAAAAGCAAGTCCTCCCCCCGATTATGTGACTGAGTCCGAAGTTTGACGGGCAGAATTACCGGAGTACAAGGGCATCATTGTAGCTTGAGTTTGCCTTCACTGAGGTTGGATGGACAGGTGCTAGAGAGGCCGCGCCCCACTGGGCCGAGTGGGGTCAGCCGGACCTAGAGGCCAGGGTAGGAGGGACAGAAATGCCTGAGGGTGGGACCACATGAAGCTGGAGGCCTGTGCAACATCCTAACCGGAGGGGCAGCAAACTTGGGGCAATTGGGTCCTGGTGGCCGTGACAGCAGCTGTGCCCAGAGCCCAAGGCGCTGGCTGGGAGATTGTACTGCTATGGGGATGCTGGAGGCACGGGGCTGGCGCCCACTAGACTCACTAGAAGCCCATCTCTCCGGAAGGATAAGGGGGCAGGAGGGCGGGGCTACAGAGCGGCCCACCCAACCAACACTGGGTCCGAGATCCAGCAGATCAGCCAAGGCCAAGTACGGACAGGAACGGACAGGCTGGGCAGGGGGCCCTGAGACTGGCCAGCGACCACAGATTCCACCTGCTTGGACCGGCCAGGCGGGGGCCCCTGAGACTGCCCAGAGACCATGGATTCCGCCTGCTCGCCTCTGCTGCACGCCTCCTCCTGGCAAGTCCCTCATGCCCCATAACTATATGTGTTGGGGATACCAGGTGGGGTATTTAGTGGTAAAGAGAAAAGAGAGAGTTCTGGGCCCCAGGGCTCAGCCATGGGAGGTCCTTTCCAGCCCACCCTGAGGAGAAGCAGCAGGAAGTCGCCCAAAAAGTGGCACAGATGGGCCCAGAACCTCTATGGGGCTGCCCTGGCCCAGCCTCTGCTCATTTTGAGCCAAGTCCCCTTGCAAGTTGGTTCTTGGCACGGAACACCAGGGCCTCTCTGGGAAGACACAGAATCAAGGTACTAGGAGACCAGGGCAGAGCACGTGCCGAGGCAGGCATTTGCTCTTCAGTGTGGAATCTGAGCCCGACTGTGGGGACACGAACAGGAAACTGTCCCTGCCCCGCAAGGGCTCACAGACATGGGGAGACAGGACAGCCAGCCAGCCAGCCTGCGGCTCCCTCTGCCCTGTGCATGCCCTGTGCTAAGCCCCCACTCAGCAAGTCAGGGCTGCCTTTGCTGGGGAGCAGATCTGCCACTGGCCCACGTGGCTGCTGCAGGAAATCTGACCTCTCTCTGTGGCACTGCAGCCGGGACAGCATGGCCAGCTGCTGAAAGGAGTCTGCCCTCTCAGCCCCTCCCCTTCACTGGCTCCACCAGGAGCCGACCAGCATCTCAGTGAGGAAATGGAAAGAGGCCACTGTAGAAACCAGCCGGCCTGCAGGACAGGCTTCAGGATATGGACCTGGCATGGGGCTGGGGGTCCCATTGGGCCCTCCCGGTCAGACACCTGTGCTCAGGGTGTGTGCACTTGGACCTCCCGCCATCATAAGGCCTGTCTCCTCAATAGAAGCAGAAACAATCAACCACCAGCAGCAGATGTTTGAGGAAAGCCCTGTGCCTGAGAGACAGAGGCCAGCAGAGGCGGAGACAGGAGGAAGTATGTGGCAGGGGCGCAGCTCCAGCAGCCAGCGACAGAAAGAAAGAAACTCGCTCCAAAGAAAATGTAATCCTTCCTCTCTAAGACAATAGAAGATGTTACACCCATAAAGCAAGAGCAGGATGCCAGGAATGAAGAGCAGAGGGCTCTTTGAGGATAATGAAAATGATAAGACCAGGGGCCAATAAGAAGTCCAAGTAGAGAAAACCTCACACAGAGAACAAAGTAGGGGAGGAAAGGTAAGGAATTAGGAGAAAACACCAGAGCTTAATACTCATTAGTGGGTATTCCAAAAAGAGAAAACAGAGTGGAAGAAATAATATGAAAATCTGCGCAGCCCTAGACAAGAGTGACCGCCTGGCAGGGTTCCACCCAGTGCCTGGCTCAGTGGACTAACATGGACCCTACGGGGGCACATCAGCACGACAATCAGAGCTCCCAGGCTGGCTCAGTGAACGAACACGGACCCTACCGAGGCACATCAGCAAGACAGCCAGAGCTCCCAGGCTCCAGCAGGTGCGCCAGACCCTCAGTGGGGCCAGGGAGAACCACACACCGGTTGTGATCCGAGAAAGAGATCGGGACATTGGGGCCCTTCCCCAGCAACTCTGACAACAAGGGAAGGGCGCTGCCCGACTCTGGGAGAAAACCATCTACAGTGGGAATGCTCATCTCCTCACCAGTCAGGGGAGAGGAAGAAACAAGACATTTTCAGGCAGTCCAAAAGATGGCTCCCATGTGGCTTCCTGGGACAGTGCCTGGGGATGTCCTTCAGGGCAATGAGGGCCGGGAGCAGGTGAGAGGGGCCCCGGAAGCAGCAGAGGAGGTCCTGGGATCCGCCCAGGGTGAGGCCCAGAGCACTGGGCCCTCTGGAGAGGGAGGACGGGGGGTGTCTGGGAAAAACACTGAGCTGGCCTGCCAGACATATAGAATATATTCTCAAGAAGCACATGGCAGAGACGCCAGAACACTCAGGGAAAAATTAACTGGGGAAACCAGGCTGGTCAAATGAGAGAAAATCATTAACAGGACGTGGACAAGGCCCTGCCCTGGGGCTCAGCGCCTTCTGCCGGCACAGGCATCGTGTGATGGGGCCAGCCGTGATGGAGTCCTCGTCCAACAGGCAGGGAGGGGGTAGGAATGCCCATAGGTGGGGGTCACTGAGAGCAGGCTGTGCCTTTTTCTGGGAAAAGCTGAGGAGCCCAGAGCAGTGGCCTCCGGGGATCAGGGCAGTGTGGAAGAGGGGACGCTGGGTTTTCATGCTAAGTCTTTGGTGCTCGTTGACTTTTGAAACGGTGTCTGTGTCTTCATAGTTCTTTAGAAAAACTGAAAAACAGAAGGCAACGGGTGCCTGCCAGGGCCACAGCTCCCGAGAGCCGGCTCCTGGGGGGCTCTGGACTGCCCACACCCCTCAGGCTCTCTGTTAGGCCTGTGGGTGCGGCTGCCTCGCTGGGAGCGGAGGTCACACCCAGCAATGGCTCAGGCTCTGGCTCGCCTGACAGGTTCCCGTTTGGGCGCCTTCTGGCAGTGGAGCAGACTTTGATCTCTCCTGGGACAGCTGCTGCCAGCCAGGGCCAGGACACCGTCTCAGAGGACGTGGTCAGGGACAGTCAGGCCTGGGCAGTCTGGCCCCATTAGGAAGGAGGAAGGCCTCTATGAGAGTCAGAAGGTTGAGACAGTGCAGGCTGGGGTCTCTGTATTTGGGGGCTGTGGGGTCTTGGGGACATTTGTTTGGTGGGAGATGGGGCACAGTGATGTTGTGGGCATGTCAACCCACATCAAATGCCCCCCAGGTAAAGTCATCACATTTAGAATAAAAGGACCGCAGGGCCGTAGACCGCCTACGCTGGCCACCCACTGGAGTGTGCTCTGCTTGGCGTGTAGACAGAAGCCTAAAAGAAATGGATTTCTCGGCCGGGCCTGGGTAAAACGCAGACACCCTACTGTGAGCGGGTGATCCTGGGATGGTGCAGACCAGCGTCACTCTGGTCAGTGTCATGGACACCAGCCCCGGGGGAGGCCTGTTGTGTCTGCCGCTGTCCTTGACCAGTGATTTGGAATGTCCTGAGGAATGTACCCTCCCGGCCAGCGTGGGGGCCGTCCCTCCCTGGGGCCTGGGAGGCTCAGCCGCACGTGCCTTCCTGGGATGGTTTTAGCAGAGAATTTGTGTCCTGGGAGAGTTTGGTGGCTCCCGGGGCTGAGCAGGGACAGAGGGGTGTCCCAGGTGCCCTGTGGACACTCCAAAGGTGCTAATCCAGGTCAGTTGTGTGGCTGACTGTAGGCAACCTCCCTGCAGGAAGTGACTTTGGGCGAGTGACTCAGCCTTGTTTTCCCATCAGAAAAATCAGTTTCCACCCGCAAGAGACTCCGGTCATTTTCATGTGTGTGACGTTCTGGGTGTATAGGAGGCATACTGAGTGGTGGTGGTTATTGTTTTTATCTTTATTTTTTAAAAGGGAAAGAATGAAAGCAGCGAGTTTTCTCCATGTCGTTACCTTTTGAACCTACGAAGCTCCCTGAGCATAGGGAGCATGAGCTTGTCTGTGATTCGGCAAGGCCTTGGTCACTGCGGCGCAGACGCAGGCCTCACACCGGCCAGGCCTGTTACACGCTTTGCACGCTTTACACTTCCCACCGTACCTTCAGGAGGTGGGCCTTGCTCTTATCATGCCCATTTTGCAGATTTTGAAACTGAGGCACGGAGAGGCAGCGTCACTTGCTCATTGACCACATGCCTGGGTCAGGGCTGCTCCCTGACACGTGTGGGGAGCCCCTGAGCAGCAGAGGGGAAAGCTGGGAGGCCTGAGAGACCAGACCCTCGGAATCCATTGCTCAGTGGCCTGAGGGTTGCAAGTGCCCAGGGGGGTTGCAAGCAGCCCGGGGCGTGAAAGCTCACTGTGGGCCTGACCGCTGTGGCCGAGCAATGCGCCGTCACTCAGGAGGTGATGTGTAGCCACAACAGCCCCGCAAAGTGCCTGGAAACAGACCTCTGGGCCCGGCTCCTGGAGGCCGTGTCGGCTGGGGGCTCTGCACATCTCGGTCACACGGGGTCCAGGCCATTGAGGCTCTGCCTGGCCACGCGTGCCTATAGTCATGGCAGCCAGGGAAGACGCAGAGGCAGGTCGAGAGCTGGCTCTCCACATTCCTACCTGGCAGGCACGTATGTCCCAAAGCCAGTCTCAGGACTGTGCCATTCCCAAGGGGCAGAAGGGCAGCCCTGCCTCGGGTCTGGAAGGAGGAAAGTGAGAAATGGGAAGCAGTAGTGTCAGGGGCAGGGTGCCAGCCCCGGACCATGAAGGGAACAGTGGGGTAGAGATGGGCTCGGGGGCACGCGCTGCCAGGAGGGGCGGGCAGGAGTGTGGCGGGGGCGGGGCAGCCCACGGGGTGTGGGGATCGGGCTACAGAGATGTCTACAGGGCAGCTCCCGCTCTCTGCTGGGGGGTGTACGTGGGACTGTGGGCTGCCACCCCTGCCACCACCACACCTGCCCAGTGGCCAGGTGTCATACTGGACTCTCGGGCTGGTGACTGGTGGGGCTCCTGAGACCAGAATTGTCAGCTTTATGCCCAGTTCAGAAACGTGGAAAAATGCAAGCGTGTTGCCTGGTGTGTGGAAAGGTTCCATGGACAGTCCGCGACAGTCATATCACTGTGTGGCTAAGAGAGGGGAATCACACAGGCCTGGGCTCGGGCCGGGAGCATGTGGGCAAATGCACCTGCCCTCCCCCCAACCCAGCAGAGCCTGGCTCAGGTGCCTGGAAGACCCCAATGAGGCAGAGGCTGTGGTCACTGCCGCTGTGGCTGATGCCGGCCTCAGGAAGCCCCCCAGTGCAACGCCATGACCCTTGCGTTCACCACGAGGAAGTGGTTCCAGGAGGCTGCATGGCTGCCAGGTGTGAGCCAGGATTCCAGGCCAGGTCTTCAGGGCTCCAGGGCCATGCACCTGAGCTGCCCCACCTGCCTCCAGGCTCAGGAATGTGTCCTCAGTGCGTGCTGCCCATCAGAGGAAGCAGTGTGGCCTCCCAACCTCCAAGGTCCAGCCTACCCCCATAGGCTGTGCCCACCTGGTCCCTTGGAGCTCGGAGAACCAGCGCCTGCCCAGTCCCATCCTGTGTCCAGCCTCCGGCCTCAGACATGGCTGGCTCCCAGTGGTCAGGACTGGCTGTGCCACTGATCCACTGTGCTCCTGGCTGCGTCGCTGTCCTTGCCTGCTGTGTCCTGGGAGCTGTACTGGAGCCCCGGCCAGACATATGCAAAGGGGTAGGGGGGTGGACACCCGCGGGGGCAGGGGAGAGCAGCCTCACGAGACCTCACTTCTGCCCTTCCCCCAGGACCCCACAGCCGCCCAGCATGGCCCAGCGGCACTCAGACAGCTCCTTGGAGGAGAAGCTCCTGGGACACCGCTTCCACTCGGAGCTCCGGCTCGATGCCGGGGGGAACCCAGCCTCCGGGCTCCCAATGGTCCGTGGCTCCCCGCGTGTTAGAGACGATGCCGCCTTCCAGCCCCAGGTCCCGGCACCCCCACAGCCTCGGCCCCCGGGGCACGAGGAGCCATGGCCCATCGTCCTGAGCACAGAGAGCCCGGCGGCCCTCAAGCTGGGCACCCAACAGCTGATCCCTAAGAGCCTGGCTGTGGCCAGCAAGGCAAAGACCCCAGCCCGCCACCAGAGCTTCGGGGCGGCTGTACTTAGCAGGGAGGCCGCCCGGCGGGACCCTAAGCTCCTCCCAGCCCCCAGCTTCTCCCTGGATGACATGGACGTGGACAAGGACCCCGGGGGCATGCTGAGGCGGAACCTGCGGAACCAATCCTACCGGGCGGCCATGAAGGGCCTGGGGAAGCCAGGTGGCCAGGGAGATGCCATCCAGCTAAGCCCTAAGCTCCAGGCTCTGGCTGAGGAACCCAGCCAGCCTCATACTCGGAGCCCGGCCAAAAACAAGGTAGGGGCCTGCTCGTGTGGACCGTGGGGAGGGGGCTGCTAGGCAGAGGGGCGGCCTGGCCGTCTCCACCACCGTCATCTTCTGCATCATGGCAGCTGCCGTTAGTAAGCACCTGCTGCATGAGGGCTCTCGACTGGTTTATTCCAGTTCAGCCCAGTCTGTGAGTGTGAAGATCCCACCTTACAGATGAGGCAGCAGAGGCTCGGAAAGGTCGAGGGTTCTACCGAGGCCCCCAGACTCTGGTGTCCCCGCTCCCAGCCTTGGTGGAGGGCAGATCCCTGGAAGGGCCCAGTCCCTGTTTCCGAGCTCTGGACAGGAGCCGGCCTGCCTGGATGATAGGGTTCAGGGTGACCTGGCTGCAGTGACTGGCCTGGGCTCCATCTGCCCCGGCAGCTCCAGACAGGGACTCAGGCGGGAGGGACTGAAGCGGGGCAGCTGTGCGGTGGCCTGGGGCTTAGGAGAAGTCTGCACATTCCCTCTGTACACAGAGCCCTGCTTCCCTGCCTGCTGGTGGTGGCTCTAGGTCTGGGGCATGGTGGCGGCAGACCCTTTGCTGGGCAGGGTGTAGCCTGACTGCATGTGTCACTAGGGCCCAGGGGACAGAGCGTCCAGCTGGGGCTCCTGGGCCCAGTGTCCCTCATCCTCGGAGTCACCATCCCCTGCGGCTGGGGGCCAGGCCTTCATTTCAGGCAGCCCTGGAGCTGGAAGCCACGTTCAGGGAGAGTTGCGTGGTACCTGGACACCCACCCAGCCAGGACTGCGACTCTGGCCACCCTGCTTGGTCTCTTTAGCTGGTGGGTCTGGGCTCAGGCAGGGCTGGGGTAGGGGAGGCGAGCTGCCCTGGAACCGCCCATCAGGAGGCCCTGGCAGCCCGAGCACCCTCAAGAATGCAGAGCAGATGCAGGGCTGGCCCCAGGGGCGTCCTTCTTGTTGGGCGCCTTGCTCAGACGTGTTGGAAAACAGGCCCCAAGCATATGGGCTGCCTCAGTGAAGGACGAGGGCGGGGGCAGGTGCTGTGTGACCCAGATGAGTTCCTGAACCTTCCTGAGCCTTGGCTTCCCCATGTGGAAGCAAAGATCACAGCCGCCCTCTGGGCATCCTCTGGGCAGTGTCCACGGAAGGTGTGTGCCAGAGCGTCTTCTTCACTGGTTGCCGTCCCAGCTGCCTCCTCAGGCCCAGCTCCTGCCCAGACTGGGAGTGGCAGTGCCAGCCTCAGGAGACGCCAAGACCACCTGTCAGAATGTCCCATGGGCGTCCACTGCAGGCCGATGGTGGCTGAGGTGGGGTCCCCCATGTCCCCAGCACCAGCCACTGTCCTCGGTCACAGCTCTCTCTTGTGCCTACCTGAGACGCCCAGGACTCAGAAATGCCTCAGCACCTCTGCCGCAGGCCCCTGCACCCCAGCAGCTGGAAGGGCCCCAGCACTCTCTACACCCACCAGGCCCAGGCCCATGGGGCTCCGTTCATTCATTCACTGTTTATTTCATGCAGTCAGCAGACACTTCTGGGCACCTGCCACATGCTTGGTGCTGGGGTTCCAAAGTGAGCCCACGGGCATGGGCCTGGTTCTCAGAGGGCCTCCAGCGCAGGGAGAATGCCGAGGGCTGGGCTGAGGGCAGCTCGGGGGTGCTGGGAGCACAGAGGAGGGGGCTCCCCATGGCCTCGGGTCAGGGTAGGGTCCCGGAGGAAGGAGGGTTAGCGCAGAGGCAGACAGGAGGAGAGGACGGAGTCGGGGTGGGGGAGGCAACAGCTCCAGCCAGACCTGGAGGCCGAAGGGGGGCTGGGGGAGTCCTTGAGGTGGGGTGCGGGGCACGGGGCTGAGGGTGCCAGGCCAGGTACAGCTGGGAGCACCACACACTCCCAACCAGTAAGGGGAGTTTACAGGCCCCAACTCGTTCCGAGAAATCAGCCCCTTTCCTTCCGGGAACCAGCATACCTGTGGCGTCAGGAAAGTGTGGTGTCCCAGCCGAGGAGGGTGGGCTCCGAGTCGGGCACCTGAGCGTGGGGGCTTCCCAGGAGCCCAGCCCTCCCGTCACTTCTGCCATCCCGGCCTCCTGCTGGGGCCCCCAGACCCATGCTTGGGGCTGGACACTGGCCAATCCTTGCTCGTCTGTCCCACCAGGTCCTAGTCCCCAGGGGCCTGTGTCCTGCCCCACTGTCCCTTCACAGCCCTCTCCCAACCTCACCTGCCCTGCCACGGGCCTGCTCGAAACTCTTCTGAGCGTCCCCTCACGATGAGTTCAACCCTTCCTCCTCCTCCAAGCAGCCCTCAGTCACGTGTCCTGCCTGCTCTGAGCCCTCCTCCCACCTCTCTTGGCCTCTGCTTGGCGGCCGTGAGGCCCTGTGGAGCTGACATCTATTGGGCACAGCTTCGCATGTGGAGCCGAGAGGTCTCTGGGGTCCCAGGGCAGAATCGCCGTGGGCAACACCTGCCCCGGCTGACAGCTGCGGTTTCTGTGTCTCTCTTTTGTGCAGAAGACGCTGGGGAGGAAACGTGGGCACAAGGGTTCCTTCAAGGACGGTGAGTGTGGCTTCGGGAGGCACCGCGGGCTGGGCTCCAGTTGAAACTGGTCTCACTGGGGCACCCTGGGGTTCGGGTGGGCCTCAGTTTGGTGTCTCGGGGTCACCAAAGCTGCTTGACAGGGTCCTTCCAGAGGCTGAGGTCCCAGTGGCTGGTCTGTTCATGTAGCCCTGATGAGTCTAGAAAGGTCTAGAAAGTTCCCTTGGACTCTATTCTGTGTGTTCTGAAGGGCAGGGTACAGACAGAGCCCCCAGTCTTGCCCTGAACACCCCATGTGTGTGCTGGGCCCAGCCTACAGTGGCCGTGTTGGGGGACCAAGGCCAGATCAGAGGGCACCGGCCCCACACCGCGGGCTCTGCCCGGACTCTTCGAGGCTGAAGGGGAGCCATGTGTTGGGGCCTCCAGCATGGGTGGCGGTGGTGCACACTCAGCCTGCTCGGGGGAGATGAGAACATCCCACAGGGAGGTTGACATAGGGAGGTGCCTGCTACCTGGGTCCAAATGCCCGGGGGTGTAAAGAGATTAGAGGCAATGAAGCCCGGGGAGGGCTAAGGCCTCGAGTGCCCAGCTCCAGGCCTGAGGCTCCAAGACACAATGGCCCCTTCCAGCCCCCAGAAGCTTTGTGGACAGGCATGGGCCCAGGAGGGGGTACCCAGGTCTCCTCTACGGAAATCCCTGGGAAGTGTCCCCAGGAGGCAGCAGCGATGCCCCACGTCTCAGGGTAAGGCTGGTTGGGGGCTGCTGTGAGGGTTTGGAGGCACCCTGAGCCGGGACCAGCCCATTTCAGGTGGGACTTGTGGCATAGGAGAGGTCTTGGGACTGGTGCCCAGCCTGGGGCAGTCCCCTCCCAAAGCCTCCCTCTCCCACACAGCCGTGAGAGCCTGTGGGCCTAGAGGACTCAGCTGGCGGGTTGCAGGGAGGCGCAGCCTTTTGCAATCCCCCAGGGCCACAGGTTACCCTCCTTCTCTCTCTAGACCCCCAGCTCTACCAGGAGATCCAGGAGCGGGGCCTGAACACCAGCCAGGAGTCTGATGACGACATCCTCGATGAGTCCTCCAGCCCCGAGGGAACCCAGAAGGTGGACGCCACCATTGTGGTCAAGAGCTACCGGCCCGCCCAGGTCACCTGGAGCCAGCTCCCAGAGGTAGCGCCGGAGGGTGGGTGAGGCTGCCCCACAGAGGCAGGGAGAAGCCACAGTCCCCCTGCTGTTCCTTCCCCAAGCCCAGGCGGCTGGTCCCCAGCAGCAGCCCAGTCCTCCCAGGGAGGGTGGGCAGCCTTCCCAGAAGCCCCTCGGCTGTGGGTGGCAGACCTGGGGGTCTCCCTCCTGTGCCCTCAGAGTCACCCTGCCCATGCAGGGCCCTGCCGTCGTGCGTGCGAGGGCCAGCCCTGCTCAGACTACCCTTCAGGGAGCTGCGGGCGCCAGGAGTCCCTTCCCAGGGCCCCCGCCCCAGGAGAGGGCTGAATGATCTGCGTAGGGAGACAGCTGGGATGGGAGGGGCCGGGACTTGGAGCTGGGGCCAGGGCCAAGACACTCCTTCACTTTCCATATCTGAAATTGGGGGCCCGTCCCTGCCCTGCAGGGGTCTCAGTGGAGAGCGTGGCCCGGCATTGGTCCCCATGCTTGGGGGAGATGGCTGCTCCTACCCCAGGTGGACCGGCATGTGACCCGCACCCTGAGGCCCAAGGGAGGGGACCATGTGGCCGTGGGCGTGGCGGGCAGCGGGGAGGGCGGGCCCCCACCTGTGGTACAATGGGGCTCCTTGTTCGCCATTCAGAGGGGCTGGCACTGCAACCACCCACCACACACCATGGTGCTGCGTACCCTGGGACCCCGGCCAGGGCAGGCCCAGCGTGGGGTGAGGGCAGGCAGCGGGCAGCCTCCCCACAGATAGAAAGGCCTAGAAGTGCAGTCTTACTCTCCTGCTGGGAGCTGGGGGCGTGTGGTCTCCCTCTGTCGGGGATGGAGTCCAGTACCGCACCCTGGTAACTGCCAGAGTTTCCGACCCTGCATGGGAAGGAGGCACTGGTTTGGGGAATGGGGGACTCACCCTTGGCCCAGGCGCTGTTGGCGGCCTTTCTGCCCAGCCCAGTGAGGAGCAGAGCACGAATCAGGGTGGCCTGAGTCCTGCAGAGGGGACCCCTGGGCGGTGTGGCAGCCCTCCTGGTCCTGACGTGCTCTACCAATCGAGCCACACTCCCGCCAAGGCGACCCGCCAGCTGTGGGCCCCGAGGAGGAGGGAGCCCGGGCGGAAACAGCGTCACCCATAGCTTCCAGGCAGGGCACTGACTCGCCTCGCCCAGGTGGGGTCTGAGTCACAGTCCTGCCCTCCACACTCCCTCCCTGGGTGGGCTCCGCACCTCTCCATCTGCCGGGAAGATCTGTGGGACAAGATCCCCCCCCGCCCTCTGGCCTCTCCCTCTGGATGCCCCATGCTCTTTCTGGGCTGCTTTGGGGCTCTGGCGGCTGGGGGGAGCGGGGGGCTGACCCAAGGCGGGTTACACAGAGAGGAAGGTGACGGGGATAGGCCCTCGGCAGGACAGGCCTACTCCAGGATCGGACCTACCTGAGCCCTGTGGGGTGGCTGTCCATGTTGGCCCTGGTCCATCAGGAGGAGGAAAGAAGGGAGACTTTGGCCCAGGCTTCTAGGACGTGTGACCGAGAGCTCCTGGGCCTGTGTCCCCCCAGGTGGTGGAATTGGGCATCCTGGACCAGCTCTCCACTGAGGAGCGGAAAAGGCAGGAGGTAAAAGGGCCCTGGGCGGGAGGGCTGTCCCCCATGGCCTGGGCCATGCAACACCCGGGGAGGGGCAGCAGCCACGGTGGCACCACCCAGCCATCCCTCTGCGGCCACCTCCAGTGCCAGGCCCTGTCACGCTGACCAGCGCCTCACACAGCCCCGGGCTGTGCTTCCACCTGCGCCAGGCCCTGACGGAGCCCCTTCACGTCACCGGGTGAATCCTCGGAGTCCAGGGGCTGCCATCACCCCCTTCTCTGACAAGGACGGGGGTCGTTGCCCAGCTTCAGCCGGCTCATAAGGCACCCAGCCAGGGGCATCCAGGGACGTCGGGCTGGCATCTCCAAGCTGGCCATTCTGACAGCCCCATCCAGGGGTGTGTCTGGGGTTCCTGTCCCCACCTGCCCCTGCCACCCGGGTCACGTCCTCCTGTTCCAAGCATTGGTCACCGAGGCACGCCCGTGTCCAGCGTCACTGTGGGGCTCACCTAGGCCCCTCTCCACAGGCCATGTTCGAGATCCTCACGTCGGAGTTCTCCTACCAGCACAGCCTGAGCATCCTGGTGGAGGAGTTCCTGCAGTCCAAGGAGCTGCGGGCGACCGTGACCCAGATGGAGCACCACCACCTCTTCTCCAACATCCTGGATGTCCTGGGTGCCAGTCAGAGGTGAGGCCACGCCACAGCCTTCCACACAGGGTCCTCTGCCAGGAAGGTGCCTCCCCCCGTGGGCACCGCACTGTCATCAGCAGGCCCCTGGGAGCCTGCGCTGCACCTTGATGTGGATGGTTTAGAGCAGCTGCTGGCTCCCGCGGAGTGTGATGACCTCTGAGGGTCCTTGAGGCCACCAAGAGCTGGCCCCAGGGCCGGGCTAAGCACTGGGGCTGTGGCATCCTGGTCGTTCTTAAGACGTGGAGCACTTCCCAGGGGTACAACCCTGCCCCACTGCCAAGCACCACCCCACCAGGACGTCCAGGCACAGAGGGCTGCATGATCCAGGCAGTGGTGGCCACAAGCTGCTCACCTGTAGGCAGGAAGCCTCGAGTTGCAGCTCTGGGTCATGTTCCACCCAAAGGTGTCTGGTGGCTGGACCTGAGCTCTGGTTGCAGGGCCTGGAGGTAGAGAGGCTGGACATGCAGCTGCAGCCATGCACGGGGGTATGTGCGTGGGGTGGGGTGGGGTGTGTGTGCGTGGGTGTGTGTGTGGGGTGGGGTGTCTGTGCATGGCTGTGTGTGCATGGTCAGTGGTGTGTGTGAGTGGGCTGGCCCCGAGGCCTGGAGGGTGGCTCGGGAGCATCCAGCACCCTGGTGTGTATGCATGGGTGTGTGGGGGCAGGGGTGTGTATGCATGGGCAAGGGTGTGTATGCATGGGCAGGGGTGTCTGCACGGGTGTGTCTGCACGGGTGTGTGTGGACAGGGTTGTGTGTGCGTGGGCAGGTATGTGTGTGTGTAGGTGTGCATGGGTTTGTGTGCCTGGGCAGCAGTGTGTGTGCATGGGTGTGGGGCAGGGGTGTGTATGCATGGTTGTGTGTGCGCGGGTGTGTGCATGGATGTGTGTGCATGGACGGGTGTGTGCACAGGCAGGGATGTGTGTGCGTGGGCAGGGGTGTGTATGCGTGGTCAGGGTTATGTGTGAGTGGGTAGGGGTGTGTGTGAGTGGCTGTGTTTTCGGTCAGGTGTGTGTGAGTGGGTGTGTGTGCGTGGGCAGGGATGTCTGTGTATCTGCGTGGTCAGGGATGTATGTGAGTAGGTGTGTGTGCGTGGGCAAGGGTGTCTGTGCATGGCTGTGTGTGCGTGGTCAGGGGTGTGTGTGAGTGGGCTGGCCCCAAGGCCCGGAGGGTGGCTCGGGAGCATCCGGCACCCTGGTGTGTATGCATGGGTGTATGTGCATGGATGTGTGTGTGGGCAGGGGTGTGTGTGCGTGGACAGGTGTGTGTGCGTGGGCAGGGGTGTATGTGCGTGGGTGTGTGTGCCTGGCCAGGGGTATGTGTGTGGGCAGGGGTGTGTGTGCATGGGCAGGGGTGTGCGTGGGTGTGTGTGCCTGGCCAGGGGTGTGTGTGCGTGGGCAGGGGTGTGCGTGGGTGTGTGTACCTGGCCAGGGGTGTGTGTGCGTGGGCAGGGATGTGTGTGTGCATGGACAGGTATGTGTGCATGGGCAGGGGTGTGTGTGCGTGGGTGTGTGTGCCTGGGCAGGGGTGTGTGTGCGTGGGTGTGTGTGCCTGGGCAGGGGTATGTGTGGTCTCGACCCTGTGCTGCTCCCTATATGCAGGAGGACCCCGGAGCATCGAGTCTCCTGAGCCTCAGCCTCAATGCTAACCTGAGGGGCGGTGCCTCTGGTCCCCTCGTGGGCTTGGGTGGCGCTGGGAGATGATTAGGGGCCTGTAGTGCCTGGCACAGGGCTGCCCCAACAGTGGTGGTTGCTGGCGCATTCTTATATCAGCCCCGCCCCTGGCGAGTCCCACCCATCTGCTGCCTGTGGGGTGCCCTTGCGGAACTTTGGGGCCCTGAGGGTGGGCAGGGAGCCGCCTTGTCCCTGGAGACAGGGGCTTCCTGTAGAGCTCCAGGGACCAGCTATGGGAAACTCCCAACCTCTGACTCAGCATGGGATGGGGCTGGGGGAGGGGGAGGGGTCTGGGATAGCGGCTGCCCCTCCCCCAGCTCTGCCCCCAGCCAGGCAGGCTTTGTGTTCTCTGAGCTCTGTGTCCTCCGGTCCCCTCTGCCTCAGGCAGCTGCATGTTTGCCTCTGACCTCCTCAGGGCTTTAGATTGCTGCCCTGGGGCGGGAAGCTCCGGCCTCCTCCCCCAGCTGGGCCCCCGACAGCTCCTGGCATTCACAGTGAACTGTCTGGGGAATCATCGCTATTTGGGGTAAGCGGCTGGTGGGCGGCTCTCCCAGACCTTTCTCAGAACCTGCAGTCACCCATATGAGCTGCTGACCGGCCTGGCCGGCCTGGGCACGTACGCATGTCGTGGCCCTGCTCATCCAGCAACCGAGGCCTCCCATGACCTGCTGGGTCCTCGTCCACGGGGACTGCAGCTCCATCTGCTGGGGATTCTCAAGGGCAAGCAGCTGTCAGGACACTCTCCCTGCAGGAAGCGTGGCTCCTGCGTGGGTGGCAGGCCCAGTCGGGCCCCGTGAGCAGAGGAGGAGGGACTCCCGCCCACCTCCACGCTGGGTAAGGGAGTCCTCCGAAGGACAGAGCTCTTGGGCTGGGAGGACCTCCTGTGGCGGCGGCCTGGAGACACGGATGTGGTCTCGGGTTGGGTGCTCTGAGGGTCTGCAGGATGGACGAGGCTCCAGCCACCGCCTCACACAGCAGGTGACCATCGTGGGTCCAGCCAAGCCCAGCCTTGGTGGCCGTGGCCGCCCATGGGGGCAGAATCCTGGCAGCCCTGGCCTAGCTCTGACCAAGTGTTAACTCCCTTCATCCTGATCACCCTGGACCAAGGCCTGGGTCATGGGGAGGTGAGGGGCTGGTAGCCCCTTCCAGGGAGTCTGCCAAGAGCCCACAGCTGGCCCCCCCCCGGCCTTGACTGTTCCCTCAGAACGGGGTGGGGGACCTAGTGAAAGTAAACAGTTCATGAACCCAGCTGGGAGCTTGACCAGCAGAGCTGCCTCGGATTTGGGACTCATCCTTGGAAGGGGTGGCCCCAGGCATCGCCCCTCTTTGCTCTTGTGCCTGTCCCCTGAGTCTCCGTCCTTGAGTTTCTTCCCAGGGGCAAGCTGGTGCGGCAGCGGGGGCCCGGGCCTGTGTGGAGGCCCAGTCGTTTTAGCTGGAAGGAGCTTGAAGGGCGAAGGGCACCAACTGGACAGGGCACCAGGACAGGAGGTCCAAATGGGCCCGCCTTTGGGGACAGTCCCTGGGGCTGCCCCTGGACAACAGAGGGACGGCACCAGTGCGTGGGATCGTGGCAGGGGGCTCTGTAAGGAGCCCCAGGCCTCTGACCACTTCCCACCCGCCCTCCCTGCTGTCCAGCATCCCAGGTCCGGGTCCCGCCCCAAGTGCTTGCTGTGTGCTGCCTCTGGGAGCTGAGCTCAGCTCCTGCCACGTCCATGTATGTGTGAGTGTGCATGCAGATGCATGTCTGTGTGTGCACACGTGGGGCCCGACCACCAGGCCCGTGGCACCCTCCTCACCCCTCCTTGCCTTCAGGTTCTTCGAGGACCTGGAGCAGCGGCACAAGGCCCAGGTGCTGGTCGAGGACATCAGTGACATCCTGGAGGAGCACGCTGAGAAGCACTTCCACCCCTACATCGCCTACTGCTCCAACGAGGTCTACCAACAGCGCACGCTGCAGAAGCTGATGTGAGTGGGCGGCCCCGAGGCCCGCAGGGTGGCTCAGGAGCATCCTGCACCCTGGTCTCCCAAAGCACATTCCTGCTCCCAGCCCAGCTTCTGCAGGTCCTGCCTGATTTTGGTACAGGCTGGCCATGCAGAGCCTGGAAGGACAGCCTTGTCCTCTTGCAGAAGCAGCAACGCCGCCTTCCGAGAGGCCCTGAGAGAGATTGAGAGGCGGCCGGCGTGCGGGGGCCTGCCCATGCTCTCCTTCCTGATCCTCCCCATGCAGCGGGTGACCCGGCTGCCCCTCCTGATGGATGTAAGTCCACGGCCTGAGGGTGGGGCCGGGCATACCATCCTGGGGTCCCACGGCCAGAGCCCTGCCCCGGATGGAGCATTACGTGCTTGTGACCTTCTCCTCCAGGCTTGGCCTATGATATTGTAATAGTTACGATCCTAAGATGGCTTTATTAACCAGGATAACTTTGTGGTCGCCGCCACCCACAGAGCTCACTGTGCCGGGAACTGTTCCAGCCCTTGGCGGATTTGTGTTCACTTACTCAATGGTTCATGAGGTTCAGGCACACTGACGAGTTGGAACTGGCATCACCCAGAGCCCTGCTGAGCCTCCTCCCAGCCCCCACCCCACCAGTCCTCCTAGACGTGGTAGCCCTGTCCCTGGCACCTACTCTCCCTGTTCTGTGGACGCAGAGAGGGGCTCAGAGAGGCTCACCAGCATGGGCTGTGTGTGTGGGATGCCAGCCCACAGGGCAGAGGGTATATGAGGGTGAAAGGTGTACACACACACGCACACATGTATATACAGTGTACACGCACTCAGGCACGTATGTGCCCATGTGCACACAATGCATATGTATGGATGCACGCCAGTACACACATGCATGCACACTTGCACACACTGCATTGCACCGATGCATGCACATGTGCACACAATGCACACGTTTGCATACATGCACACACAGGCACTGCACACACATGCACCCGGTGCACACACATACACGTGGATGCACACACATGCATGCACATGGTGCACAGGCATATTCACACATGTGCATGCTGCCCATACACACAGCCCCGCACATGGCAGGACTGAGCTAAGCTTCCTGAGGCTACACATGGCAGGGTTGCCCAAGCCAAACAGAACCTCAAACTCCTGGGGGCCCCAGGGATGTGCAGAAATGGGGCTGCCAGGGGGCCTCCACTGACGATTCCCCAAGTTGGATGGAGATGGCCGAGGATGGGAAGGGAAGGGTTCCAGGCAGGGGTGCTAGCTCCTGTTCCCACTCAACCTGGCCTGACCTGGCAGAGCTCCAGGTGGTGCAGAGGCCGTTCAGGGGCTGTACGTGCTGTGGGGCCCTGCAGGAGCCCCCTGGGGGCAGCTGTTGACCACCCTGCAGCCCCACACGGGGTCTGGCGTTGGTGGGAGCCTCCACACCTGGGATGCCAGAGGGGACTTTCTGTCCCATGTCTGTTGTCCATCCAGACGCTCTGCCTCAAGACCCAGGGCCACTCCGAAAGGTACAAGGCTGCCAGCCGTGCACTGAAGGCCATCAGCAAGGTAAGATGGGGCCTGGCCCCAGCCCTACCCGAGTCCTGTACCCCGACCCTGTCCCCACCCAACCCCACCCTACCCGATGGCATAGGGCTGGCTTCCCCTACCTTCCAGGGCAGCGAGTGTTCTCAGATTATCCATCCCAAGCCTTTCACAGCGCTGACAGGGAAACTGAGGCCCAGAGGTTCCCAGATTATCCATCCCAAGCCTTTCACAGCGCTGACAGGGAAACTGAGGCCCAGAGGTTCCCAGATTATCCATCCCAAGCCTTTCACAGCGCTGACAGGGAAACTGAGGCCCAGAGGTTCCCAGATTATCCATCCCAGGCCTTTCACGGCGCTGACAGGGAAACTGAGGCCCAGAGGTTCCCAGATTATCCATCCCAGGCCTTTCACGGCGCTGACAGGGAAACTGAGGCCCAGAGGTTCCCAGATTATCCATCCCAGGCCTTTCACGGCGCTGACAGGGAAACTGAGGCCCAGAGGTTCCCAGATTATCCATCCCAGGCCTTTCACGGCGCTGACAGGGAAACTGAGGCCCAGAGGTTCCCAGATTATCCATCCCAGGCCTTTCACGGCGCTGACAGGGAAACTGAGGCCCAGAGGTTCCCAGATTATCCATCCCAGGCCTTTCACAGCGCTGACAGGGAAACTGAGGCCCAGAGGTTCCCAGATTATCCATCCCAGGCCTTTCACAGCGCTGACAGGGAAACTGAGGCCCAGAGGTTCCCAGATTATCCATCCCAGGCCTTTCACAGCGCTGACAGGGAAACTGAGGCCCAGAGGTTCCCAGATTATCCATCCCAGGCCTTTCACAGCGCTGACAGGGAAACTGAGGCCCAGAGGTTCCCAGATTATCCATCCCAGGCCTTTCACAGCGCTGACAGGGAAACTGAGGCCCAGAGGTTCCCAGATTATCCATCCCAGGCCTTTCACAGCGCTGACAGGGAAACTGAGGCCCAGAGGTTCCCAGATTATCCATCCCAAGCCTTTCACAGTGCTGACAGGGAAACTGAGGCCTAGAGCCAGTGGAGCTCTCACACAGTTGATGAGCCCGTGGCACGGCTGGTCCAGGGCAGGCACTGTGGGCAGCCAGAGGCTGGCTGGGCAGGTGTCCTGGGCACACTGTGGGCCGTGTGGGCTGTGCCAGGGCCCTGTAGCACCAGCCTCTCACACGGGAACCATGCCCTGCAGCTGGTGAGGCAGTGCAACGAGGGGGCCCACAGGATGGAGCGCATGGAGCAGATGTACACGCTGCACACACAGCTGGACTTCAGCAAGGTCAAGGTAGGTGGCCCCGGACATCAGGGCCACTCGGACCACTTCCCACTCAGCCCTCCCTGCTGGCCTGCGTGTGAGGTCACACCCCTGAGCCTGAGGGCTGGAGAGTGGGTGCCTGCCCTCATGAGGCCTGGGGGCTGGGCCTCCTAGGGCTGGTGGCTCTGGTCTCTCCAGGCCTCAGTCTCCCGATCTGGGAGCGCCCCTTGTGGACCCCTCCCCTAATCCCACTGGGTGGGCCTCTGTGGCCCTTGCCCCATCCCCAGGACTGCACCGGCAAAGGGTAGACCCTAGGCCCTGAGTGACCAAGCCCAGGGGGCAACAGGAGTGGCCCTGTCAGTGCACTTGCCTGGGGCCAGCGCTCCTTGCTGGCCCCTCAGGGGCTGGGCAGGGCCTGAGGACAGAGCGGAGGGGACAGGGTGATTTCAGGGCCAGCCCAGATTCCATGTTTCCCAGTGAGGCTTGGATTCTGGGTAGGGTGAAATATTTCCAGCCCAGGCCCGGGCAGCCCTAGTCCCTGCCACAAACGGGCAGGGCTCATACCTCTCCCTCCAGAGCCCCCCACCCACGATCCCACACACTGGCCGCATCCTCTGTTGTCCTGGGACAGCCCAGGGCCCCTCCCCTAAGGCGGGCCCAGGTGGGTCTCCTGTCCTGGTGCCCCATCCAGGGGGTGTCCTTCAGGGTGGAGCAAGAAGTGGGTGACAGGCCACCAGCCACCCTCACTCAGGGCCACGGACAACCAAGTAAGGGTGCGGGGTCCCAGCTGGGGGAGGGGGCTCCCGGGGTGGGTCAGGGCGGGCTGCCTGGGGCAGGCGTCAGGGCGGTGACTTCGCGCCGCTGTCGCTGAGCCCACACCCGTGCAGCCCTCACGCTTGTCTCCCTGATCCTCTCGAGTCTGGGGTGTAACGCCTGCCCCTGCCAGAGCAAGGACCCCCTCCCAGGCCTGGTCCACCCCTGAGTGGGGCTCTCACCCCCACATGGTCTTGAAGTTGGTCTTGGAAACGGGTGTGGGGGTGGGGAGAACAGGCCCATCCAGGAGGGAGGGTGGTGGCAGAGGCCGGGAGCGGGAGGTGCCGGGGGCTCTGAGTCTGTAGTGGGCACAGGTGGGGAAGCCGGGGCCCACAGGGAGCAGGTGAGGAGGTGTCAACAGTCGCTGAGGAGCGGGAGCTGGTGGGCAGGCTCCTCATTCCCACTCTGCCCTCCCCCCCACCCTGTACTGCCACCCCCTACTGCGACACCCATCCCCGTCACCCCCACACTACCCACCCCATCACCCCCACACTGCCCACCCTCTGGCCTTTGCCATCCTTCTGCCCCCCACTGACTCCAGCAACTCAGCACCAGGCAGCAGGGAGGATGTTCTGTGGCTCAGGAGCCAGGAAAGGCCCCAGACGTGGAGCGTGGCCATCACGGGTGGGCCTGCCCCTGCCAACCCTCCCTCGGGGCTGAGCAGGTCCTTGTGCCTAGGAGGCCCAGCGTCTGCGTAATTGCCACGGAGGGGTGAGGTGTGTGTGGAGGCTTCCCCAGCACTGGCCTTCGAGTCCTGGCTTGGGTGAAATGTTCAGTGGTCACCCAGCCCTGGGCTATCGGGCAGGGTCTGGTCCGGCCTGGCGCACCTCGATTTGAGGCCCGGACACATTGTGCCCCTTTCCTCTGTCCAGCCCCGACTGAGGGCAGCCAGCTGGTCACCCAGTCCAGAGGCAGGAGTCAGTCCCACCTGGTGCTATGCGTCCTTGACCCCCTGGGGACCTGCTCACCCCGGCTCTGTCCCCCCCAGTCCCTCGCACTGATCTCCGCCTCCCGGCTCTGTCCCCCCAGTCCCTCCCACTGATCTCTGCCTCCCGGTGGCTGCTGAAGCGCGGAGAGCTGTTCTTAGTGGAAGAAACCGGACTTTTTCGAAAAATTGCCAGCCGGCCAACGTGCTACCTTTTCCTGTTCAACGATGTCCTGGTTGTGACCAAGAAGAAGAGGTGGCCTTAGGGCAGGAGGGTGTGGGGAGCCCCACTCCATGGACACTGGACCGCTGGCCCTGGGGCAGGAGGGTACAGGGAGTTGGCCCTGAGCCCCTCTGACCTCAGAGCCGAGGCGCGGCTTCCACTCGGCACATGCTCTACGTGACACTCGGGGGCAGGTGGCGCTCGCTGTGCAGCCTCTGACCTCCTCTGCAGACCTGGGTCTGCCGGTGATAGCCACGAGGAGGACTCGAAAGCCATGGCCTCTGTTCTGTGGGACGCGGGAACTCTTGGAGCCCGTCCGTGGCTGCCTCCCCACCACTGCAGGGGAGCCGGGTGGGACCTGGACGGGAGCCCAGCAGCACTGGGTAGGAGCTGGGTGGGACCGTCCCACCGACTGCCCGTGTCTCCACAGCGAGGAGAGCTACATGGTCCAGGACTACGCCCAGATGAACCACATCCAGGTGGAGAAGATAGAGCCGTCTGAGCTCCCTCTGCCCGGGGGCGGCAACCGTAGCTCCTCCGTGCCCCACCCCTTCCAGGTGACCCTGCTTCGCAACAGCGAGGGCCGCCAGGAGCAGCTCCTGCTCTCCTCGGACTCCGCGTAAGTGGGCTCCCGGGAGGGCTGTTCCCAGGCCACAGGCACATTAGCTCCATGGGGACCGGGTTGTCCCCCTGCCTTGCTCGCTGTTGCATGGCTGGCTCTGAACGCCCACCGTGCACCTGGCCCTGCTGTAGGTGCTGAGGTAGAGCCAGAAACAACAGAAATGGCCTTGTCCTCATGGAGTTTATGTTCCCGGGAGGGGACGCACCAACAGTTGGGCCACCAGGAGTGGGAACAAGGGAGGAAACGAGGTGGGGGGTGGGGTGCGGGGGGTGCCGTGAGGAAAGCTTAGCCCATGTGAGCAGAGGGAGGTGGGGCCGGAGTGTGGGGTTGCTCAGCAGAGGCCCCGAGGCAGGAGAGCCCTGAGGCCCCGAGGGCACAGCTGCAGGTGGACAGCAGTGATGCTGGGGTGCAGCGACCCTGGCCGGTAGGGGCCAGTTCAGACAGCAGGGTGGTCCTGGCACTCAGAATGGGAGGGGGCACTGATGGAGTCTCTGCGGGCCCCCCGTGGAAGCCAGGCACACAGGTGCGCCAGTCTCCATATTCCCTCTCAGCTCGTCTTGACTGAGGACAGCTCTGGGCCGTTTCCAGATGAGGATGCTGAGGCTGAGTCTGTCACAGCAAACGGAGGGGGCAGGGAGCTGGGGCCCAGTGCCAGGAAACGGGGTGGCCTCAGGTCCAGCAGGCTGGGGTCTGGGTGTGTGGCCACTACCCAACTCTGTGACCTGGGGCTGGGGTGACTTGGGGGTTAGCCTGCCTGGCACAGTCTGCCCAGCCACTCCTGCCCACCCCCACCACCCCCATCTCCTTGCCACGGCCCCCATGGGTGGCTGTCAGAAGTCAAGGAACATCAGACGGGCAGGATCGGTCTCCAGGCCTGGCTCATGCTGTCTCTGGTCCCCAGGAGTGACCGGGCACGGTGGATCGTGGCGCTCACACACAGTGAGAGACAGTGGCAGGGCCTCTCCAGCAAAGGAGGTGAGTGCGGGCTGGGGCCTGCAGGGCTGGCCCTCTGCCGTGGCTGGCACTTTGGCCCCCACTGTAGCCCAAGTGAGCCTGGCACCTGGCCTTGTGCTGGGGCCTGGCAGTCGGGGGATGGGGTGCCCCGGCCCCGGGGGATGTGTCTGCTGGAGGCCGTTGGGGAGTGGAGCCTGGCCCATGCCTCCCGACAGCCCTGTGATGGCCACTGCCCTATGCAGACCTGCCCCAGGTGGAGATCACCAAGGCCTTCTTCGCGAAGCAAGCAGACGAGGTCACACTGCAGCAGGCGGACGTGGTCCTGGTTCTGCAGCAGGAGGATGGTGAGTGCAGGGGCGTTGGGCACAGATGGGTGGGAACGGACAGGCGGGCGTGAGTCAGCGTCCAGCCTGGCCAGGTCCAGAGCATGCCGGGCTGCAGGCTGACCATGTGCTCACCCTCTCTCGAGGGCTTCCTCAAAGGGAGCACTCCCACATCCCCAAACCTCAGAATCAAAAGCAGGTTCATGGTCACTGTGTCCCACGTGGGGAGGAGGAGGTGTCTCTGCCCTCCCAGGGGATCCCCGCTCAGCCAGGCCCAGCACGAGCCTGCAGAGGGCAGGCAGGGCTCCTCCTCATGCCGGGCAGCGCTGTGTGGGGTGTGCTCAGCCCAGCACCCTTCTCAGTGGCGAGCACCTGAGCAGGGGCTGGGTGCCCGGTGACCATGAGCAAGGCCTCAGCAGCTGTCTGCTCTGAGCAGGAGCAGGTGGTCAGTTCTAGGAGAAGCCTGGCCCTGGTGTGCTCAGGCATAGCAGCTCAGAGGGGCCGGGGGACCCACGGCCTTCCCCTCACCTCCCTCCCACCCCTATCCGGGTTCAGGGTGGCTCTATGGCGAGAGGCTCCGGGACGGAGAGACGGGATGGTTCCCCGAGGACTTTGCCCGCTTCATCACCAGCCGTGTGGCCGTGGAGGGCAATGTCCGCAGGATGGAGCGTCTGCGGGTGGAGACGGACGTGTAGCCCTGGCGAGGCCAGCCGGCGGCAGCACAGCCTGTCTCCAATCAGCAAGTGGTCGTGCCTGGCTCTAGAGAGCGTGGGGAGCTGGTCTCAAGGACCCAGCATGGTTCCCTGGGGCTTCCCAAGAGCCTGTGGCTGTGGTGCCGGGCTCCAGACACTTCACGGAAGGAAGATCACATGTCCCCAGAGAGGCACCCCCAGGCAAGCTCGAGGGGGCCACACCGTGTCCCAGGGAGCCCAGCCTATTCCCGTTGGCTGGCTGGGCCCCTCAGCTGCTGGGCCCCACCTCCCCACTGCACCCAGGGGGCAACTCCACCTGGACTGATGGGCACAGGAGGCACCAATAGCGATTATTGGGGGCAATGCGAGGTCTCCTCCTATGCCCTTCCTACCCCTGAGTGGGACAAGAAGGGCCCTGAGTGCCCAGGAGTGCCCCACGTTCTGAGAAGGGGCCGGCCGGAGGGAGGGGACCCGGCAGGGAGATTTCGGTTTTGAGGTTTCTAAATACATTAAAGTTATTTCTTAAGAACCTGGATTTTCACAGTGACTCTGAGCCCAGGCAAAGACCGTGGCCACACATTTTCCAGGGACATACTCAGGATGCCGCGGGCCGGCACCAGGCCCCCTGTGCATGGCCCCCTTGTGTTGGGTGCCGTGTCATGTGTGGTCGCCCCAAGCTCGCCCCTGGTGTGGCCAGTCTGCCCACCGGCTGGAGCACTGGAGCAGGGCCAGCGGCCCCTGATCGTGTACTGAGAAGCCAGGGGCGGCACAGCTGCGCCTTGCAGGGCCCAGGCTGGCCAGTGGTTTAGAGGACTCCGGGATTCAGTAGAGCTTTTGGGGATCCCTCTGCAGTGTCCCCAGGGTTGGAGACAGGCCCCACCTCCCTCCCAGTTTTTCCTCCCAGCCATCTCGTCCTGGGAGCTGCAGGCAGAAGAGGCAGTCCCTGAGCCAGTCGGCTGACCTGGGGTGGCACAGCAAGAGGAGGACTGGTCCTCTCTGTCCCAGGAAGCCCCCACCAGCCCTCCTGTGTCCGACGCCAATGCCCGTTGCCTTTGTGGGCTTGGGTAATGCTGTCCTCAGGGAGGGAGCACCCAGCATACACCTGAGAATCTGCCCTGATCCTCCTGGGTCTGGGGCCCTGGCTTCTGCAGGAAAGTCAGGGGTGCATCTACCCCATATGCCAACCAGAAATGGTGATAGGAGACTGCCCTCCACCCCTCCCAGGCTTGGGGCAGCTGCAGGACCTGGTGCATGAGAGGTGGGGTGGGCTGAAAGAACACGCTGCTCCCAGCCCCCGCCTGCTGGACCAGGGCTTAGGGGAGGAGGCGAGGTCTGGAGGGCCGTGCAGTGCGAGGAGGGCCAGCTCCTCTCCCGGTCACCTCCATGGCCTTGGGCAGCAGCAATGGCCCAGTCCAGGCTCGGAGCCCACGCAGGACTGTCCTGGGCAGGGCTTTGGTCAGCGGCCGCCTCGCAGGGCGGGGCACAGCCAGGGCTCTGGGAAAGAGGAGGCACCTGGGAGCAGAATCCCCTGAGATGGGGCCAGCTCCTCCACGCCCAGCGTGGCATCTCCAGCCTCCGCTGTCCTGCCTGTGAACTGGTTACTCCCTGGGCTTTTCCTGGAGCTCCTGTGGGAGCAAACTGGCAGCCAGGGCAGGGCATGTGTGTTGGCAGGTGGTGTGTGCATGTGTGCTAGCATGCCTGTCTCTGTGTGTGCGTGTGTGTTGGGGGGCGGGGGGGCGGGTAGCCAGGGGGCAGCAGTTTCGTGTAAACCCAGCTGCCCTGCAGCCTCCGGGCGGTTCTCACTGCCAAGTTCATGCTCAGCTCACGGAGCAAGGCGGATCTGGAAAGCCTGGCCTCTGACTCTGTGACCTCACTCTCACGTATGTGACCTGGGGCAGGTGACTCAGCCTCTGCGCCTCAGTTCCGTCTGCAAGTGGCTACAGCAGCCTCTGCGTTTTAGCGGGCAGTGAGAATGCTCAGCCTGCAGGGAGGGGGTCCGGGCCCAGGCTGGGTGGCTGTCCTGCTATGGCAGTGGCCAGGCTGTTGTTGGGGGCATCTGGGGCAACCTGGGGAGGGCCCAGTTCAGGCCTGCTCAGGACGAGAGCCCCTCCCGGCAGAGTCAGGAAGCGCAGGCCTGGGCTGCCAGTGAGGTGTGGGCCCAGGCAGGGGCGAGACCTATGGGCAGGAGGGGCGTCAGGAGAGGGGGCCACAGGCTTGTGTAGCCCCGTCCCCAGCACCAGTGCCAGCTCACGCCCGTCCGAGGGCCCCTGCTCAGCCTGGGGTGCCGCCTTCACTGGCCCAGGTGCTATGGCCCCCTCAGCAGGACAGAGCCAGCCTGGACCCCCAGGACGATCACCCCCTCCCCGGGGTCTTCTTGCTCACTCTCCTCATGGAACCTCAGCCTGTCCCGTACTTCCAGTGTTGGGGTCCAGGGACACTTCCCCGCCCACAGTCAGATAATAGGGCTCCTGCGGGGGCTCTGCCACACGGGCTCAGCTGGAGAGGGGTCCCAGGAGACAGACAGGGCTTACCTTGCTCAGCCCTCCTGTGCAGCCACATAGCCTGGGTAGCTCTCTGGCTGCACAGACCCTCCTGTTGCAGGGGGTGAAACTGAGGCCCAAAGACCCTCTTCCCACTGCAGGGGGCTATCAGGGCTCTAAAGACACCCGTCTAGCCAACAAGGCCTGTGCCCCGAGTAGGTTGCCAGGGTGCCCACAGTGCTTGGTGTCCCAGCCCATCCTTCAGGCCATTGTTGGCCTGGGGTGCTGTGGGGGCTGTGTGGATGCAGGGCAGTGGGAGGGGGCTGCTGCTGAGGCCTTGCGCCCAAGCCCTGTCCCCAAGGCCACCCTGGGCAGGATAGCCCAGGCCGAGGGCTGGGGTTCATCTTGGCAAACTTCAGTGCCCAGCCCTGGGCGGGCACAGAGTGGACACTGCTGGGTCCAGACAGGCACCACCTAACCTTTCCTGCGGCCAGGGGAGCAAGGGGGGTGTGGTTCACAGGAGCACAGAAGCCACGCGGGAGTGGCCGCCCCAGCTAGGCCGGGACAGCCATCAGACTCGACAGGCCACCGGTCCCTCCGTCCAGCCAGAGATGGGACAGGCCACCAGTCCCTCTGTCCAGGCACGGAGTTGGGTCTGTCACCTTGCAGGTCCAGAGCCCCACCGTGAGCACATCCCTCCATCCCACCCCCGTGTCCCCGCCACCCCGTCCGGTGTGCCATGTGTATCCTCAGCCCACAGAGCCCCTGCTGCTGTCCTGTGACCGGGAATTTGTACACAGGGTGCGCACTCACATGACCTCATCCTAGTTCCTGCTGTTGCCCAACCACGTTTTAGGATCTATCTGAGCGGCTCTGCTCATCTTTCCCCTCCGGAACATTCCAGAACATGCCCCACCCTGGCGGTGTCCTCTGCAGGGACTCCCCTTCCCCAGCCTGCCGCACACCTTCCTCTCACGCCACCTGGTGTCTGGCAGAGGCACTGCTGGCCGGGCCCCGGGGCCTCCGATGACCGGACTGCCGCCGGCTCCAGGGCTGGCCCTGGGACCCCGGCGGTTCATGGGGGGTCCTCACCCCACATTTACTCAGAGCCCTTGGCCTCCAACTTTTGCTGGTGGGCGTAAGCCGTAGACCGGTGTTTTGATGTGCAGATCTCTGGTCTTCGCGAGATGGGCCTTCTCCGTACACTTGGCCTTGGCTGTGGGGTCTCCGTGAATTCTGCCCATCTCCTCCCCTCTCCGGCTCGGCTCGGTCCTCCCTTCTCCGGCTCGGCTCGGTCCTCCTCTGGCTCGGCTCGGTCCTCCTCTCTCTAGCTCAGCTCTGCCATTCTTGACCCCAGACCTTTGTCCATTTCAGACATGGCAGGTTGCCCACCAGATGCCACCTGTGGGCTCTGTCGCTGGGCCTTTCCAGCAAACTGGAATGCATCTGACATAGCTGGGAAGTGACATTTTTTCATGTCACATTTGCCTTCCAGTTGTCATTTGTCAGGCCTTTTGAGGTCTTTATAAACTGTATCAGAAGAATTGAAAGAATCCAGAAATTCTTTCGCCAGATACATTCCCGTAGATTTCCAGGTTTTATTGCCATGTTGAACGGTGTCTTATTTTGTAGTTTTCTTGTCAGTTATTGTTGGTGTTGAAGCACTATCGATGTTATAGGTTTTATACATGTTGTACATTTTCCATGCTTTATAGGATTTTATTGCCAACCTTGCTGAATCCTTATCATCAGCTATAGCAATGTCTGTTAGCCCTTTGGGGTTTTCCGTGGAGATAATCCTGTCCCCTGAGAACCACGGCAGGTGTGTCTTCCCCTGAGATCCTTATACCTCAGTTGCTTCTCCTCATCTGAAGATACTGCCTGCTGGGGCGGTGGGGGGCAGTGAGGCTGATGCAGGCATCTTCTGATTTGACTTTATTCACTCCTGTGACGACACTCACCGCGCTCTACCCAGGTCCGGTTCCAGGTGGTCCAGGTATACAGCGAAGCCCCTGCCTCCCGAGTTTGTGCTCTGATGGGGAAGGCCTAGCACAGACATGGGATGTCACGGCAGGGCTCTGAAGAGCAGAAGGCTGGGAGGAGGTATAGCAGGACCAGACGACTGTCACCCCAGTGGGCACGGCAGGCCCCGCTGGGCGGCATCTTTTGCACAGACCTGAATTCATCGGTTTCTCCCCTGAACATGACTCTTGCACCTAACCACTATCAAAAGAGGTCCTTTCTCAGGTTTCCAAGAATGCCTATCCCAAACAGGCATTGAACTCTGTCCAACGTTCTTCCTGCTGCCATCAATACAGTCATCTGATTTCTCTTCTCACCCAAATGCACCGACGCATTTTCTGATGTGAAACCGTCCTTGCATTCGATCCAGTCCATTCGGTCAGGCCAGTGTTCTTGGTAAAATACTCTTATTTGGATAGCTAATATTTGATCTAGGATTTTTGCCTACATGGAATGAGTCTGCAGTTACTTTACTTGTTACTGTCCTCTCTTGGTTTTAGAGCCAAGTTTCCGCTGCCTTTGTGGGATGAGGTGAGCTGTTTTTCCTCCATTTAAAATTTCTGGGCCAGGTGCAGTGGCTCACGCCTGTAATCCCAGCACTTTGGGAGGCCGAGGCGGGCGGATCATGAGGTCAAGAGATCGAGACCATCCTGGCTAACACAGTGAAACCCCGTCTCTACTAAAAATAAAAAAAAGTTAGCTGGGCGTGGTGGCGGGCACCTGTAGTCCCAGCTACTCAAGAGGCTGAGGCAGGAGAATGGCATGAACCCGGGAGGCGGAGCCTGCAGTGAGCTAAGATCGAGCCACTGCACTCCAGCCTGGGCGACAGAGCGAGACTCTGTCTCAAAAAAAAAAAAAAAAAAAAAAAAAAAAAAAAAAAAATTTCTGGAACGAGTCCTGGTTGACAAATGTATGGTATACACCTGGTGTAACCATGCATGCTACAGCTGTGCCAGGATTCCTGGGGCTGAGCGGAGGGAAGGAGCGGCTCTCCCACGGCTCTTCGCCTCTTCTTAGGCCACTGCCTGATTCGCATTTTTAACCTCCGTTTACACCAGTCTCGGCATTTTTCCCCCAGTTTATCATTTTTCTAAGTGTTTTCCAAGTTATTGGTACATAGCTGCTCATAATTTTTATACCTTCTTCTCTATTGTGTTTGTAGTTAACTCTTGTGTATTTTTTTCTCTCGTGTTTAAAAAATCAGTCTTGCAAGGTGCTTTCTTGCTTCTTAGTCTTCAAAGAAGGAAATTTCGGTTTTCTTAAGCGTTCCATTATTCTGCACCTGCTGAATGTAAAGTTTATACACAGAAATGTAAGTGTGAGTATCACTTATCATCAGAGAAATGTGAATTAAAGCCACGAGGCCGAGTGCAGTGGTTCGCACCTGTAATCCC
Source organism: Homo sapiens (assembly GCF_000001405.40). Classification (NCBI taxonomy): domain Eukaryota; kingdom Metazoa; phylum Chordata; class Mammalia; order Primates; family Hominidae; genus Homo; species Homo sapiens. Next base: position 3,486,481 of record NC_000001.11, read on the forward strand.
AGCACTTTGGAAAGCTGAGGCAGTCAGATCACATGAGCTCAGGAGTTCGAGACCAGCCTGGGCAACATGGCAAAATCCCATCTCTACAAAAAGAAAATACAAAAATTAGCTGGGCGTGGTGGCTTGCACCTGTAGTTAGCTTCCTGGGAGGCTAAAGTGGGAGGATTGCTTGAACCCTGGAAGCGGAGGTTGCAGTGAGTCGAGATGGCGCCACTGCACTCCAACACGGGTGGCAGAGTGAGACCCTGTCTCAAAAAATAAAAATAAAAATAAAACCACAATGAGATATCATCTCACACCGTCAGAATGGCTATTATTAAAAAGTCAAAAATATAACATGTTGAGGATGCAGACAAAAGGGAATGCATATACACTGTTGGTGGGAATGTGAACTCACTTAGCCTGTATGGAAAATGTTATGGTTTTTCTCAAAGAACTAAAAATGGAACTCCCATTCCATCCAGCAATCACACCACAGGGCACCTGCACAAATGAAAGGAATTCATTATATCAAAAAGATGCTCACACTTATGTGTTTATCACAGCACTGTTCACACGAGCAAAGATATGGAATTAACCTGTGTCCATCAGTGGATGACTGGATAAAGATGTGTGTGGAGGTGTGTGTGTGTGCACGCATGTGTGAGTTTTACATATCATATATATATATATATATATATATATATATATATATATATATCTGCATTCCATGTAGTACGGACATGCAGTATTGCATGCACACACACCATGGACGACTACTCAGCCATAAAGAAGAATGAAATCATGACTGTTCCAGCAACATGGATGGAACTGAAGACCACTATCTTAGGTGAAATAACTCAGAAACAAAGTCAAATACTGCATGCTCTCCCTTATATGTGGGAGCTAAATAACGTGTACAGACAGACAGAGAGGGGAATAACAGACATTGGAGACTGGAAGGGTGGGAGGGTGGCAGGGAGGGATGAGAAATTACTTCATGGGCAGAATGTACACTACTCAGTAATGGTAACACTAAAGCCCAGACTCTTCCACCATATGCTATGTCCATGTAACAAAACTGCATGTGTACCCTGTAATTTTATAAATGTTGTTAAGCTGAAAAGGTGTGTGTATGTGAACACAGTAAACATGTAAGTATAAACACAGATGTACCGTGTGTGTGCAAGCTTATTCAGGTTACCATTGCTATGTCTTACTTGCTTAAACTATTGGTTTTTGTAAAGTGCACGTTCAAATCACCCATGACAGCTATTTCTACCTGCTCTATCCATCACTGCTGGATGAATGTTCGAGCCTCATTGTTGGGTGCGTGTATGTGTATGTATATTTACAGACTGTTACGATGCTTCTTACCCTGAAATATTCAAACGCCTGCCCTAATTCTCCTTTGGTTTACTCTGCATGTCTGTGTTTCTACCCTTTGAAGCATGTCTTTTATAGTAAAAATACTATTTAGTATATTTTTAATGCAGTCTAGTCTGTTTTTAATGATGTTTTTAATTGACAATAATTGTAGATATTCATCGGATACACAGTGATGTTTTGATACATGGGATGTCTAGTGATCAAATCAGGGTAATGAGCATATCATCATCTCAAGCGTTTATTATGTGTGTTGAGAATGTTCAATATCCTCCTTCTTGCTGCTTGAAACTATATAATATATGGTCAGGAGTTTGTTTTTCCGTCGTCATTTGTAACCGTTAACATTAGGATCTGTGAGCGTGTTTTCTAGTTATTCTGCTTTATTTTCCTCTGCTCCTGACCGCCGTTGGATAGCTGAGATTTCCTCCGGATGGGCAGAAGCTCGGCCTGCCTTATGGCTTCCGTAGCTGAACACTGTGTCTTCACTGAGCGGGATGAGTGATTGGTACCTGCCAGGCCCCCCGTCCACACCCTCACACCATGCTGAGACTGTCGGGGGTTCCCATTGGGGAGTAATGGTGATATTCTGACTCTCTGAATTCCTAGGCCATTTGGGAACTGTGGTGACTGAATATCTCAGAGCACCCTCCTGGCTTCTTTCTCTTCTGGCTGGAGAACGTCTCTAAGAGCATTTTAAAATCAGGCTTTTCTGTAGAAAAATGGCCGAGGCCTTGAAGGCCTAAGAATAACATGGACTTTGCATGCCTTTGATAGTTTAGCTGGATGTAAAATTCAGCCTTCAAATATTTCCTTCAAACTCTGAGGATGGAACATCACAGTTTTCTGGCTCTCCGTGTTTCTCACGTATAGTCTGAGGTCAATTTGATTCCCATTCTTTTTTCTCTGGGACTTTAGAATTTATCTTTGACATTGATGTTCTTCAAGGTCTTATGGCTTTTTTATGTTATTTTTCCACCTTGTGCATTTCCAGGCTGACTGAGATCATTCACCTTTAGATCTGAGAACGTCTTGGTCGTCGTTGCTTCATGTCAATGACTTCTTACTTTTGTATTTTGCAGTTAGATGGATGTGAATGAACACCTCCCTTACCCATTTCCATTCATCTATCTCTGTACGTTGTCTCTCTTTACGCCTCCCTGCTATTCCTGGGAGAATCTCCTGAGCTGTATCCACTCACCCCATCTGCTGGATGCTTCATTTCAAGGTATGCGTTTTCCACACTCCGTCTGCACCCCAGTCCGTCTCTCTCTGGCTGCTGCTTCTGCATCCCCACCATCCTGCCCTCCCTTATCACTGTTCTACTTTAAAGTCTCCCCACAGCGGTCCATTCATCAGCTTCCTCTGTGACAGCTCCCTTGCTGTCTGTGAGCAACCAAGCTCACTGGACTCCTCCTCCTCCTGCTGGTGAAATTGTCTGCCCTGGGGCCTCAGCTACCTTGGCTGGTTTTAGGGTGATGGGGGCGGCAGCCCAGACCCTAAGGGGGCCTTCTTAAGGGAGAGAGAGTCCTATGTTGCGGTGTGAGTGCAGCCCTCTCCATTGGCCACCCCACTCTGCAGAGGAGCCCCCAGCCACCACCTCTACCCTCTGCCTCTTCCTTCCACTCTGGGCCCTTCTTCCAGGAGAAGTCAGCCTCAGCCCATGAGTGCCAGGTGCTCGGGAGGGCTGGTCTGTCCTCACCCAGGGAGTCCCTGCCCCTGCGATGCTGCCCTCCCCCCACTGCTGATGCTCAGGTAGGGGTGGGTGGGGTGAGCCCAAGGGAGTTCGGCCTCAGTCCAGGTTGCCCCTCCACACCAGCCCTCCTCCCCCTGGGCCATTCTCTGGGAACAGCCAGTCTCTGGGTCTCAGCGGTAATGAATGCAGCCCCAGCGTTCTCCTCAATAGCACTGGGAACTGAGATGAGTCCCAACTTCTTCACTTGTGTGGCACCCCCACCCCTGCAAAGGGCCCCGGGTGCACTGGGAGGTCCCTGGGTGCACCGTTATGCTGGCCGGGCCCCAGGGAGGAGCCCACACAGAGTCCACGTAACACAGCAAACACACAGGCCACGAGGAGGTTGCCTGCTCCTTTACCTTCCTAGGTTTACATGGTACCGGAGCCAGCAGCCTGGTGAGCCCGCAGGAGCCTGCAGACCTGAATCAGGGTTTCTGGGGATTGGGCAGGAGATGACAGGCAGCTTCCAGCTGATCCCAGGGCTGCAGCGGGCATGTGCAGTGGCCCATAAATACCTTTACATAAATACGGGCTGGGCGACTTCCAGTCCCAGGGCCTAGCACCAAAAAGCCTGCCTGGAGGACAGTGGCCCTGTGCCTGCACCTGCGCCTGCACCCACACTGGCGCCCACACCTGTCCTCAGTCCAACTCAGAGCCGCGGGGAGAGCGGGACTTCCTCAGCCCAGGCCCAGAGCGTGCCCCTGGGTTCTGCAGAGCCAGGCCAGGAGGCGCCTCTCTTCCAGCGGCCATGCGAGGCTTCCCTCCTCAAGGCCACACCAGCCTCCAAGAGCGACAGGTTGCTGGGCTGTCCACAGCCCTCCACGGCCCTCAAAGGAAGGGCAGTACCAGGAGCTCTGGGCCCGTGAAGTGTCCTTCTCAGTGGTCACCAAAGGCCAGGGTCCCCTCTGGCTGGGACTGGAGAGGCGGGCTCCACGGGACTGCCTCTACTAGTGCCTCGCTGGTCCACCGCTCCGGGATGTGGGTCTGCTGGAGGCGGGCAGTGTGCCCGCTGGGGAAAAGGAGAAAAGAGGGCCAGTCCAGGGTGGGGCGGGTGCTCCCAGAACAGACTGGGTTCTGGGTTGGCACCTCTCCCTCCCACCCCTCCCTTCAGCAGCTCAGCCCAGCAGGTGGGTGGGGCCCACCCATCCTTCCCAGCCTGTCCTTCCCAGCTCTGGCCCCAGCCTTGGTCTCTGAGCTCCAGATTCCTGGGGCCCAAGGCCCCGGGTGCAGCTGCTGCCCTGTGGGGCCCAGATTATACTTAAGCACTCTTCGTTGACTTTGCCATAACCCACCCTCCTGGCAAGCCCACGGGCATTCCCCACACCCCTTACCTGAGCCCTGGGCTAAGGACGGGTTCTCGGGGAGCCGGAGGGGCCCACCTGGAGGGGAGAGAGAGCAGGCCATGTTAGTACCCCCAGCCTTGAGTGAGCCACAGTAATGGCAGCAAGGCGTGACCCCATCCAGGCCTTCAGGGACCTCCACTTCCCCCGCACAGTCTCCTTCCCTTCTCAGTCCTTTGCACTCGGGGAAGGAACGGGGGCGGGAGCTGGGGGGGGGGGCTCTCCCTCTCCCCATAGGAAAGCTCTCAGCCCCTCCAAGCCTCTACTACCCGCGACATCAGGGGCTTTACCGAACGCCAAGCCAAGTCCACTCCAGGGGAGGGCGCAGGACCCAGGACTCCCCACGCCCAGCAACACACTGCCCATGGGGCCCCAGGCTCCTGAGGCCTCCAGCTCAATGTCAAGGCACTGCCCCCGGCACCCGGCACCCAGCGCAGGTGCCGGCAGCCGGCGGTGCAGTACCACAGATGACCACTAGATGCCGCTGCCGGGCAGCCTTTTGTCCCTGCACCAGCGCACAGGCTGCTGCCCCGCCCCTCCTCTCCTCGCCCCGCCCCGCTCCACCGAGATGGGGGCTCCCCTGTCTTAAGGCTCTGAACAATCTGCAGCCAGGACTGCCTTAGAAAGGCACAAACAGATGCACACATACACAAAGTCAAGACTATTTGGGGGCCTCCAAGCGGAGGACCCCAAGTGTGAAATCCCCAGTTAGCCAAAAAGCAGAGCCTGCAGCCTGGCGCCCGGCCTTTGCCCCGCCCACATGTCTTGCCCCGCACAGGCCCCAAGCCTGCCTCCCACTTCCCTCTGCAGAGACAACCTTTCCCAACACCGCTGGGGGGTACACGGTGCGGGGGTGGGGGGGGGGGTGCGGGCAGCAAAGTCTGGGCTGGCCAGAGGGGTGGGGGCATCCCAAAAGCACTGCCTGCAGGCAGAGAGCACATTCCAGGACAGCCTCAGGGTCCTGAAGGTGGTGCTAAGGAGCCACCCTCACACAGGTGCTGGAGCACGCTCACACATGCCCGGCACACACGCCTGTGCCCCCTGCCGCACATGCATGCACTATTGCGCAGACGCACTGGCTACATTCACACACTGATGCACACGTAACACACAGGCACTGGCACGCACAGGTGCCTGCTGCCTGTGCAGGACTGCGTGCGTGGACTGGCACGCACAGGTGCCTGCTGCCCGTGCAGGACTGCGTGCGTGGACTGGCACACACTGGGTGCCACACACATGTACTGGCACACATGCACACACACCCTGCTGTACGCACTGTTGCACGTGCGTGCACAGACACACCCTCACACCCTGGTGCACGTGTATGGGGGGCAGGAGGGGCAGGGATGGCCAGCGTCCATCCACACTGTGGATGGTCCAGCCCAGCCATGGGGTCATGACCCTCTTCAGGCCCCCGGTGCAGTTTGCAGCCCACCCTTGCAGCTGTTGGGGCTGGGAAAGATGGGCTGTTTCCAGCTGGCAGCATGGCCCACCCCTGTCCCCTGGTTAAGTGACTGTGAAGCTCACACTCCACCCATCAGAAGCCAAGTGACACTCTGGGTACCGGGTGGGGACAGATGACATTCGCTATGTCTGAATAGCCATAGGGTGACCCGGCCAACTCCGCAGTGGGTGAGAGAGGGATCCTCTGCCAGGGTGGAGCTGAGGCTGATTGGGGGATGGTGCCTTCCCGCCCTTCCCCAGGAAGCCCAGCTCACCTTCCCGGCACGTGGGCCCCATGTAGCCATCCACACAGTGACACTGCCCACTGACAGGGTCGCAGTCAGCCCCACCCCCGCAGTCACAGTGCAGGGTGCAGCTGGGCCCAAACTGGCCCCTTCTGCAATCTGCAAGGCGGAGGGGGCGGGAGACAAACCTGAGCATCATCCTTGCCTTCCCCGCGCCAAGGAGCCTGGGCCTAGGGGCCCGCGGCAGAGCCCAGGTGGAGTGAAGCCTTCTGCCTGGGTGTGTGCGGGAGCTAAGACCTTGGGCCTCGGTTTCCCCTGAGGAGTAAACAGTCCCTGCCCTGCCTTCCTCAGCTACATTCTGCAGCCAGTGAGCTCCTGCATGAGAAAGCCCAGGCCCCAGGCACACGTCCAGAGTCACCACCGAGTTCCTGCCCCGCCCCAGGAGGGCAAACAGGAGCCAGTGTTCAGGGATGCCCCCTCAGGGCACAACAGGCCTGAGAGCCACAAGGCCAGGTAAGCAGCCCCAGCAGGTGAGCCCCTCCTATCCTCAGGTGGGTCCCTCCTATCCTCAGGTGAGCCCCTGCTATCCTCAGGTGAGCCCCTCCTATCCTCAGGTGGGTCCCTCCTATCCTCAGGTGAGCCCCTCCTATCCTCAGGTGAGCCCCTCTTATCCTCAGGTGAGCCCCTCCTATCCTCAGGTGGGTCCCTCCTATCCTCAGGTGAGCCCCTGCTATCCTCAGGTGAGCCCCTCCTATCCTCAGGTGGGTCCCTCCTATCCTCAGGTGAGACCCTCCTATCCTCAGGTGGGGCCCTCTGGGCTGGAGGGGCCACAGCCCCCTTGATGTCCCCCAGTCCACAGCTGGCAGATCAGGGAAGTCTTTCCACCCAACCAGAGCCCCCTCCCATGACCATGGCCTTCCTGGGACGTTGTGGGGGCCACACGGCAGGGCCTGGCCTAAGGCTCCAGCAGGAGGGCCATGCTTGGTACCGCATGTCCCAGCAGCTGACTCCAGCCCCCCCAGGGGGCACAGTCCAGGTGCAGAGGCAACAAGAGGGGTTGGTGGCCAGCCCAGGACTGGCACAGGTAGGGCCCAACCAATCAATATTGGTCACTGATGGAGACCCACACCCACGCCCTTCCTGGGCAGGACCCCAGACTCACCCAGGTTACAGGTGGCTCCTGAGCGCCCTGGTGGGCAAAGGCAGAGACCGGTGACAGGGTCACAGGGTGCCCCCCCGTCACAGTCACAGCGCTGGTGGCAGCCCTCTCCAAATGAACCTGGCTCACACCCTGGTGGGGGCAGTGGGCTCAGTGTCCCCCTCCTGTCCTGCACCCAGACGGGACGGGGCCAGGGAGCGGGGGTTCAGGGAGGCACCAAGCACTCACCCCTCTCACAGAAGTGGCCGTGGAAGCCGGCAGGGCAGAGGCATCGGCCACTGATGGGGTCGCAGGGGGCTCCATGTTGACACCAGCACAACCCCTGGCAGCCAGCCCCGTGGAAGCCAGGGGGACAGGCTGAAGGACGCCGGTTACCACGAGACAAGGGCACACGGTGGCAGAAATGTCCAGTTTGCCCAGAGTGAGTAAAACCCGCCAATCCAGGGGCCCGAGAAAAGCCCCCTCCTGCCCGTCCTCGTCCCTCCCCACTGCTGCTGGCTCCCCACCTCCCCACCACTTCACTGCTGCCTGGATCACCCACACGGGAGGAGTGGACAGTGGCTCAAAGGGGCCCCAGCCCAGCTGCACAGGCCCCCAACTCACGGTGCTCGCAGGCCTGGCCATAGAAGCCGGGGCCGCAGCGGCAGGTGCCCGTGGCAGGCTCACACGTGCTGTTGTTGTGGCAGGAGCACTCCAGATGGCAGGCGGCTCCGTAGCGCCCAGGGGGACAGGCTGGGGACAGGGCAGGGTGGGCAGTCCTTCGGCACCAGCCTTGCCCAGCCCTATGGCAGCCCAGGGCACCTCCCTGAGGGGATGCTGGGGTCCCGCTGGCCCCGCACACTCACCCAGCTCGCAGTGCCGCCCCGTCCAGCCCAGGCCACAGGAGCAGCTGCCGTTGCTGGCGTGGCACAGGCCCCCATTTCTGCAGGAGCAGGTGTGCTCGCAGCCCACGCCAAACCGGTTCTGGGGGCAGCCTGGAGACAGAAGGCAGGTGCTGCCTGGAGCTCTGGCCGAGGGCTGGGCTCCCTCTGGGGATATGTCCCCACAGGCTGACAGTCACTCGGTAAATGCTTCCTGAGGCCCATCAGTGCCAGTCTCTGCCTGCTGGGCGGGCACATGCCAGGGAGTGGCACCAGCCGCATCCTCTCATTCCTTGGTCATCTCAGGCTGCCAAGTGCCAGGCCTGGTCTAGGAACTGAGGGTGGCTCAGTCATGAAGGGGCTGGGTGAGCGCCTGCCCAGCCTGCAGGAAGGGGTTCACAGAAGGCTTCACGGAGGCAGCGGCCCACTGTGAACCAGCTGTCTCCCGCTTGGGAGTGAAGGCACATCCTTCAGGCCTGAGAAGTAGCGTGGCTGGGCTGCCGTGGGCTCAGAGGTGGCTGGCTGTAGCCCTGCTGTTACAGCCGGATGCCTGATGACCGGCCTGATGGCACTATCCTTCCTGGGAGTGAGGCGGGGCCAAGCTACATCCCAGCTGGGGCCTGAGCCCTGGGATCCTGAACCCTCTGCTGCCACAGGCTCCCAATGAGCCCAGAAGGCCAAGAACTGCTGTGGGGGCAGCCAGTCCCTTGATGCAGACTAAGGGTGGGACCAGGCCAAGAGGCTGTGGCTGTGTTCATGAGCACTGGGCCTGTCTGAGCAGGAGCCACTACGCCTGTCCCCTGGGTCCAGCCCATCTCTCTACTCTTGACTGTGCTCTAGGCCCACTTCCACTTTGGTCCCTGAGCCCTGGGCCTGGCAGAAAGGGCCAGAAGGACTCCACCCTCGGGCAGAAGACAGCCACCCAATCCCTTCTGCAAGGGGCCAGGCAGGCGCTGGGTAGGAACCTGCAGCCCCCACGGCCACCTCTATGAGGATGGGGTCACTGGGTGGCCTGAGCCTCGGGGGCTGAGTGTCGAGGTAGGGGCTGGGGTGGCATGGGACGGTCCATTCCCCCAAGCAGGGCAGCGTAGTCAACACAAGCTACAGCACTCTCATCTCAGCCCCAGGGTCAAGTGGGGAGCTGGTGGCAGCCAGGATGTGCGGGTGTCTGGGCTGGGCCCACCCCTCCAGTGTCCCCACGGCTAATCCAGTGACATCTCTGTGAAGGGCCTGTGAGCATGCCCTCTGGAGTGAACACTCACCTCGCTCACAGCGGACGCCGGCTCTCCCCGGGGGGCAGAGGCAGGTGCCGGTCACAGGGTCGCAGGCCGCCCCCTGCCCACACCCACACACGTGGGTGCAGTTGGGGCCGAAGCGGCCCTGCGGACAGGCTGCCGGGGAGGAAGTGGTGATCGTGGCTGGCTTCCCTTCTCTCCCTGCCCGGTCAACCCCGGAGTGGGGATAGGACAGGATGGGATGGGGTGAGGGGACCCTGGGTCTGCCCCAGACAGGGTGGGGCCAGCCAACTCTCATGCACCCACCCTGGCATCTCCCTTCCACCCGCAGGCCTGCTGGGGGCCAGGCCACTGCCGCCTGCTCTGCAGTGACTCACTGCCACCCCCGCCCACCCCGCCAGCTCTGCTGGGGTCCCAGAAGGGGAAAGTCCCTGCATGACTGAGGGAAGAGGCCCGTTTCCCAGCAGGACGCTTGGCCACAGTTGAGCTGCCTGGCTGACCTCTGTGCCTGGCTGTGCTCAAGCCCCTGGCAGACATGGCGCAGGTCGCCGGGCACAGCAGGTGCAGGGGCAGAGCTAGCAGAAGCCTGTGGGACCTGGGGCCACATAGACACCCCCAGCGCTGCAGGTCCTTTCTGCCCCTCTGGCTTAGCCCCACTTGGGGCCAGGCCCAGCCAGAGGGGGCTGAAGGGCAGGGAGGTGGGCAGTCGGGGGCCATCCTCCTGCAGGCTGGCTGGCCCTACCCTGGAGACACAGGAGGCGCCACTCAGCACTGCTGCCACCAGCCACTCACTGAGGTTGCAGTCCGTCCCGAGGAACCCAGTGGGGCAGCGGCAGGCCCCCGTGGCCGCATCACAGGAGCCCCCGTTGAGACACCCACACAGCTGTTCACAGCCTGGCCCATACCGCCCGGGCGGACATCCTGCAGGGAGAGGGGCTAGCTGCAGGGGCTGGGGCTGGAGGCTTCCCCAGTGCCCCTGAACACAGCAAGGCAGCTCTCATGAGACCCCCACACCCTCCATCTTCCACCCCCTCAGATGAGGGCCTTCCCGGGGACCAGGGGAACTGGGGCCCAGCACGCCAGGCAGCACTGCCGAGTCCCTGGGTGGGCACGGGCAGCACTCACGTTGCTGGCAGCTGGGGCCGTGGTAGCCAGCAGCACATGAGCAGGTCCCGGTGGCAGGGTGGCAGGCCGGGTTCTCACCGGGACACTGGCACATCTGCGCACAGTCCTCCCCAAAGCTGCCGGGTGGGCAGGCTGGGTGGAGACAGGCAGGGTCGGTCCTGGCCCAGCCCCGCCAAGGAACAGGCAGCCTCTCTGGATTCCCCCTGCCCAGCCGCTCCTCGGGGTGGGGGCTTGGGAGCACCTACCCTGCTCGCAGCCGGAGCCAGTGAAGCCAGGGGGACAGCGGCAGGCCCCAGTGACGTGGTGGCAGGCAGCGCCAGGCGGGCAGCTGCAGCGCTGGGCACAGGCCTCTCCAAACCAGCCCCGCAGGCAGGCTGCAGAAAGATGAGGGCTGCGGAGGCTTCTAGGAGGGGCCCGTGGGGATCTGTGGGCCAGGACAGGCCGGGAGCAGGTGCTGTGGGTACGACCCACCCAATGCTGGCTGAACTGGGGGCTGTGCTCACCATTCTCACACCTGGAGCCCCCCGCCACCCCGGAGGGCAGAGGCAGGCCCCGGTGGCAAGGTGGCAGGGGCCTCCCCACCGGCAGGCACAGCGCCCCTCACAGTGAGGCCCGAATGTGCCCTTGGCACAGGCTGCAGGGACGAGACAGATAGGGCTGAGAGCTCAGCCTCTGGCAGCCCCGCCCCATGGAAGGCGAAGGAGCCGGGAGACAGCAGCCGGGGCTCAGCACTGAGGCGACGGGAGCCAGCGACAGCCCTGAGGCCAGCCGAGTGCCCAGGCCCCCCTCAGACAGCAGACCCAAGGCTCCTGACCTGAGCAAGGGACCGCCCAAGTTGTACCCCAAGCAGTGGGGACGGCGCCTCTGCTGGAAGGGGGGCTCGTGTTAGGGGCTTGGGTGGGAGGCCGGGGCTTTGAGGAATGAGGCAGTGTTGCCCTTGCATGTCTGGGCTCTGGAGGGGCTGAGGCCCCGCTGGGTGGACCAGGCCCTGCCGGCACAGCAGCCACAGCCAGACTCCCACTGGCAGGAGGCCCCCAGCCAGCACAGGCTCCAGGACAAGGGGTGAAGGGGCCCCTCTCTGCATGCAGGAAACAGGAACGGCCCCCTGAGCCCCAAAGCATCCTCCGTTCCACCCACCACAGGGCTGGCTGGGGCTACCCCTGCCAAGGCAAAGCAGCAGCACTCTGTCCCCACAGGCCAGCTTCCTAGGCTGAGACCCTCCCAACAGGGTCTTAGTGCTCCGACGGCAGCTCTTGCATTCACAGGACAACAGGTCCCCTGGTGAGGCCCCAAACCGGGCACAGTCCTCAGCCCTGCAGTAAGGCTGATGCCACCCCTTCCCAGCAGGGCCTGCAGACCCCCCTGCTGCCCCGCCCCACTCACGGCTCTGACACTTGTCCCCAGTCCAGCCGGCTGGGCAGAGGCAGCGGCCCGTGTGCGGGTCACACAGGCCCCCGTTGAGGCAACCGCCGCTGTGCCGGCAGCCAGCTCTGACGTCCCGGGGGAGGCACTCTACAGGAGCAGAGGCAGGCACGAGGGTGAGGGTCCTGCCTCCTGGGCCCAGGAGACCCTGACCCATGCTTCCTGCACGCAGAGCTGAAGCCTACACCCCAGGGCGCTGCCCCCTGACCTGGGAGCCCTCCTAGGCCTGCAGGCGGGGCTGCACCAAGCATGCTGGGGTATGTCCCTCCTCTGCCGCCCAGCGCTCACCCTTCTCACAGGCCAGGCCGGCCCAGCCCTCTGGGCACGCACAGTGGCCTGAGACAGGGTCACAGGTCCCTCCGTTCTGGCAGAGGCAGGAATGCCGACAGTTGTCGCCGTACAGGCCGGCAGGGCAGGCTGGGGCCAGGGAAGAGGGAGCAACCTGCATCCCCCAGCCAGCTGGCCCCACAGGGTCTGTCTGGCTTTCCAGCCCCATGTTGGACTTTGGGGTCAGGCACCTTGCAGGGGGCTGCCCCTAGGATGACCTGCCAGCCCAGCCTCACTCCCCATCCCTGCCTGGAGAGGGGCACAGGTGAAAGGCACGGTCCTCAGTCCTAACAGCCCCTTCCTCCCTCCCCCAGGCACCAAGTGTCCTGTGGGCCCTGCAAGAGGCCAGCACCCTCGCTCAGGCCTGGACCCCGGTCCCTGGACTCCTAGATGTGGCTTACCCTGCAGGCAGGAGGGCCCCATCCAGCCAGGGGCACAGTGGCACTGCCCGTGGACAGGGTCACAGGAGGCCCCGTTAAAGCAGGCACAGGCCTGGCTGCAATTGTGCCCGTAGGTGTGGGCTGGGCAGGCTGCAGGTGGAGAGGGCTGGTCAGAGCCAGGGGTGGGCAGGACCCCAGGGGTTGGCAGCAGATCACAGCCAGCTGGGCAGATCTGCCGGGGTCCCCTCGGCTGCTATGGCCAACTCTCCCCTCCCTCTGGCTCAGGCCACCCACTCAGCAGAGTGGCCACAAAAAAGGACCAACGCTCTGGCCCGAGTGAGCAAAGCATCACTCTCAGGGGGGTTGCCTGGTAGCTTCAGACACTCAGGACAGGTGGCAGGAGGGAGTCTCCTACGGAGGACCTGGCACCCCCTCCTGCAGCACCCCGGGCTGAGCAGGGACCTCACGCACTCTCGGCACAGCGGGGGCCCCGGCGGCCAGCGGGGCAGAGGCAGGAGCCATTCACGGCATCACAGGCAGCTCCGGCGGTGCAGTTGCAGGCACTGCGACAGTCCAATCCAAAGAAGCCGGCCGGGCAGGCTGCAGACAGCGGGCAGTGATGTGGAGGGGCCCACACTGGAGGCCACCCAGCCTAGCCCCCGCCTGTGCCGTAGCTCACCATGCTCGCAGAAGGTGCCCCTCCAGCCGGCCGGGCAGGTGCAGGCCCCGCTGACGTGGTCACAGGCTGCTCCATGCTGACACTGGCACCGCTGCTCACAGCCGGGCCCAAAGTGGCCCTGGGGACACTCTGAGATATGCAGCCCCGGCCCACAGTCAGCCAGAGGGCCAGGAGCCTGACCCAGCCGTGCCCGGGCCTTGCCGCCATCCCCAGGACTGTGGGACAGGCCTGGCTCATGAGAAGCCCCTTCCTGCCCAAGGGAGACTGGGCTCACTCACATGCTTCATCCCCCACCCAGGTGGGGCCATGGGAGGCTTGAGGGGGCTCCAGGCATCAGCTTTAGGGATGGGAACCTCCCCAGGGGCTGTCCGTAGGACGCCCAACCCAGGCCTCCCCCGATTCCACCAACCAAGCCTCGGGGGCACACACTGAGGGATACCAGCCTCAGTCCTAAGCAGACCCCTTCTCCATCCCCCAGGTGCCAGGCCTCCCACAGTGGGGGACAGACCCTGCCCCCTCCTGCTGCGGCTCCAAGTGAGCCTGGTGCAGGTCGGTGAGAGGGTGGGACCTTGGTCCAGGCTGCGAAGCAGAGCAGTGGGGGCTGGGAAAGCTCAGGAAAGGCAGAGGAAGCCAGGCCAGGGCCCAGCCGCAGTGCGCATGTGCGTGCCTGCACGTTTTGGTGGGTGTGTGCGCGCACAGGAGGGGGCGCGGCCAAAGGCTTCGTGTGTGTGCGTGCAGGAGGGAGTACGGTCAAAGGCTTTGTGTGTGTGCACGTGTGCATATGTGTGCGTGTGCGCACTCAGGAGGGTGGCAGCCAAAGGCAGGGCCGGGACTCACGCTGCTCGCACCGCGGGCCCACGTAGCCAGCCTCACACAGACACAGGCCGCTGATGGCATCACAGCTCCCGTGGCCAGCGCTGCAGTTGCAGGGGTGGCTGCAGTCAGGTCCCCAGTGCCCAGTATCACAGGCTGCAACAGAACTCAGGGTCACCCGGCGCAGGCCCAAGCGCGGGCCACGGGCACCACAGCCGAGTCAGGCACAGGGGCGTCTCAGGACTGGGGCAAGGCCTCCTGCAAGCCCCTAGTCCTCGGGGGCCCTGGGCAGAGGCCTCTCCAGGGGCTAGGAAAGGAGGGATGTCTGGACAAAGGGCAAGCCAAGGGCCCCCGTACCTCTCTGGCAGCTAAAGCCGGTCCACCCGGGGGCACAGCTGCAGTGTCCGGTGGCTGGGTGGCAGTGCCCATCATTGGCACAAGAGCACCTTGTCTGGCAGCTGGGACCATACCAGCCTGCTGGGCACACTACAGGCAGGCGAGAGAGGGTGAGTGGGGCCTGGCCACCTACCCCAGGTCAAAGGCTCAGGGGCAGCTCCAGCTCACTCACCGTCCTGGCAGCGGCTGCCGACGAAGCCAGGGAGGCACAGGCAGGCTCCGGTCTCAGGGTCGCAGCGGGCAGCGTGCTGGCATGCTGGGCAGATCTCCTGGCAGCCCAGCCCCCAGCGGCCCTCGGGACAATCTAGTGCCCACCCCCATGGCCAGTCAGTGCCCAAGCTGCCCTTGCTCAACACATCAACATAACATGGCACGATGCCCCTGGAGCCACGGCCGAGGAGGTGGAACCACTGTTACCATCTCAGCCTGCCCCGGGGAGGGGAGAGGACCCGGGCACCTCCTGGGGCTGCAGGCTGCGGGGTGCGCACCCACAGTAGAGGACCCCCAGCCCCCGGCACCGTTCAGCTGGCAACACAAGGAGCCGAGCCCGTTAGAGATGGAGCCTCATGCAGAGAGGGAGCAGCCCGAGAGGGCAGCCTGGAAGCCCCAGGAACTTGGTGGGGCAGCCACAGACCCCCCCTCCCTACCCCAGGGGAGTGCACTGTGAGCTCTCACACCTGCTATAGACGGGCCTGGGATCCGCAGGGCTGGGGCCCCCACAGTTCAGGGCCCCACCAGCTTGGAGCCGTGCAGCCTGGGGAGGCGGAACTGGGGCTGCGGCTGACACTCACCTGCCTCACAGTCTTCCCCAGTCCTCCCCGGCGGACACCGGCACTGCCCCGTGACCCCGTGGCAGGGGGCCCCCCCACAGGAGCAGGAGCTCGAGCAGTTCACGCCAAACGTCCCCACCGGGCACTCTGCAGGAGAAAGCACGAGGGGCCTTAGCCGCACCACGTGGAGTGGACTGACCAGAGCCTTTCCCCCAGGGGCTCCTGGTGAGTGTGCCCCCTGTGCCTCACATGGGCTCCTGGCGAGTGTGCCCCCCCGGCGCCTCCTCACATGGGCTCCTGGCGAGTGTGCCCCCCCGCGCCTCCTCACATGGGCTCTGGCTCTAGCCCCCGGGGGTGGGGCTGCTGAGCACACCTGGGGTCCCCAGAGTGGCCAGGCAGGTCACAGGAACAGGCAAGGGAGGAGTGAAAGGGGAGCTGACGGATGGGAGGAGAGGGGAGGGGCAGGGCTGCTGGGGCAGCGTGGGAGAGGCTGAAGCAGATCCCTCGGCCATCCAGGACCCTGGAGAGCTCCCGGGAGCCCGAGGTAGGGCCTGCTCTTCCTCCGCCACCGTAGTCACCAGAGGACCTGTCCTGGTCAGGCCAGTGTGTCCCCAGTCCAACCTGGCGATGCTGATCCAGTCTCTCCCACTCCCCTCCACCCAGCTGGGAGCCCCTCCAGGGACTCGGCCCGAGGGCTGGGGAGGCTGTGCACCCACTCACTCCACCCGCAGAGTCACTGCCCTTTCCCTGTGGGATGGGGCTAGAATGGGGAGGGCAGGGGGCCTCCTGGAGGCCTAGGGTCCCCCCTGCTCCACCCGGCAGGTGAATGAGACCCCAGGGAGCACAGAGGCCAGGGAGTCACAGCATCCCAGGAAGGGGGACCTGGGGAGAGAACGTGGGGGCTGAGGATTGGGACCCCTGGAGAGGGCCTGCAGGGGCTGCTCCCCATGGCCTGGCAGAGCCGTGGGTGCTGGAAGCCCTGGAGTGACCTCCCTGGCAGAGCTTTCCTCTGCCCTCCCACGCCTGCCCTGACCTTAAGGGCCCGGCCTTGGCCTCTCCAGTGAGGACAACAGAGCATGAGGCTAGCCGGGAGCTCGGGTAGCAGCGAAGCCTCCCTGCCTCCCCCAGCGAGGCGCAGCCACTCTGATGCCCTGCCTGCTGCTGGAACTAAACCTCTCCCTGGGCTCACAATGGCATCACAGCAGCCCCAAGAAGGCAGTTGACAGAGACCCCGTGCTGCATGCCAAAGATCCACAGAGCCCACGTGTCAGAAGGCCCACAGCGGGGCTGAGAGCCAGGATGTGCCCTGCCTGGGGAGGAGCACCGGTAATACAGGCGGAGCAGCAGACCTGACCCCGCTGAGGCCCTGAGGACACACCCTGGTGAACCCTTGTCACCAGGGCCCATCCCCAGGGGCACCCGCCCATAGGGACACAGGCACGTCCCTGGGACTACAGGCCTGGCACTCACCGTGCCCTAGGGCACTGGGCAGTGTGCACAGGGCTGGGTGGCGTCAGGGAACCCCCCTCCACTAACTGGAGCAGATGAGTGCTGGGCAGGAACAGTTTCCAGACCCAACAAGAGGGGATGTTATCTTTATAAAGAGTGTTGATCTTTCTATCAACACTCGGATGTCATCGCCTGTGGCTTATCCTCGGAGCACCACAGGCTCTTAAAGAAAAGAGGGGAAGGGGCAGAGGAGGAGCAGAGGAGGGGCAGGGGAGGAGCCTTCCTCCTCTCAGGAACTGGGGGCTCCGGGAGTGGTGGAGGTGCTTCTCTGGCGAGGCCTGTTCACTGTCTCTGGTATAGAGAGCAGGGACTGGAAGGAGGGTCACAGGCATCAGGGGAGGGTGAGCTGCTGGTGTGTGTCTGCATGCACCTGCCTGCATTCATGTGTATGTGTGTGTAAGCAGTGTGTGCATGTATGTGTGTATGTGTGTGTAAGTGGTGTGTGCATGTATGTGTGTACACGTTTGGGGGTGGGGAGCGGGAGGAAGGGTGGGGAGGGGATGCTGGGGAGTCAGGAGGAGCTGAGTCCCATGTCCGCGCACTGATGAAGCCCTAGGGCTTGTGCACAGATGGGAAGTGGGCGCTCAGAGCTGCTGCACACCGGCCTGAGACCACAGAGCTTCTGCCAGTCCAGGTCAGGAGTCTTGGCCTAGAGTGCTCCGGCCCTTAGTGGCTGAGGCCAGGGTGGCCTAAGAGCTGGCTAGTGGGTCCTTGGGTGGACGTTGCTCCCTCTGCGGACCCCTTCTCATTCCCCAGATGGAGGTGGGGAGGGGAAGGGCCCATGCTGGGGGGGCTTGAGTCCAGAGAGCCCCCTGGTATGGCCCCAGGGGAGGCAGAGGAGGGGGCTGGCCCCAGGGGAGGCAGAGGAGGGGGCTGGCGCCGGGCTTCTCGCTCTCTCCAGCCCAGGCCATGGTCATGCTGGTCACACAGCAGGCCCTCGTGGCTCCCGTCTCTCCCGGCCAATGGGCGTGGACAGCGTGCGCCATGCCAAGGGAGGCTCCGACCTGCCCAGGCCCTGTTGGCGGCCGCTGCGGCAGCTCCATTACTCATGCCGAGGGCGTCTTCCTTCCCCTCATAAGCCGATGACACACTCGGGTATTTCCTATCCTGGTCATGAGACTGAGGAGTGACCATCCCGCTGAGCCTCAGACCAGCTTGGTCAGCTTTCTGCTTGGCCAGGACCACACACCGTTGTCCTGGTTATTGCACCTCCCGCCAGTGCAAGCTGGGGCAGCCAGGACACCCCCACCTTCCCAGCCCTCTTGGCAAAGCCCCCAGCCCCACGCACGCTGGGCTGGAATCGCGTCGGGCAGTTGGTCCCCGGGTCTCCCAGGAATACCTAAGCATGGACTCCGCTGGTCCATCTCTCAGCCAGCTCCTAACAGCCTCCTCCCCTGCCTGCTATGTGGGCATGGGGCTCCCAGGCTCTGTGCCTGCTCACACCCAGGCCAAAGCATCCACGTGCAGGGGCCTGCAGCCACGACCCCAGGCCGGCACTGCACCCAGACCACTCTCTGAACCGCCACCTCCAGGGGCAGCCTCTGCTGCCGGCTCACATGTGAGGAGGGAGCTGCTGCCCCGGCCTCTGAGAGAAGCCCAGTCTGTTCTGGTCAAGCAAGAAGCAAGTGGACCAGGGAGGAGTTTGGAGAGAAACTGGCCCCTCCCCAGGTCAGGCCCTGGGCAGACAGCAGCTGCTGCCCTGAGCAGACCAGACTGAGACTAGCAGCCGCACCACTGCCATGTGACAGGCCGTCAAGGCAACACCGGTAGCAAGGCAACACCGGTAGCAAGGCACCACCTGGGCTTAGGCAAAGGGGGCCGATAGTGACAGCTGTGCAGCCCTTCTGAAGCCTACCCTCCAGCCAGGCAGGCAGCCTACACCCCACAATGAGACTGCCGGGAGCCCCAGGGGCCGGCCACTCACCTTGGCCACAGTCCTCTCCCTGGAAGCCAGCAGGACACCGCTTCCCACACTCGCCGCTCACGGAGTCACAGGCCACGCCCACTGGGCAGGTGCATGCCTGCCAGCACCCCGGCCCAAAGTAGCCCAGCTCACACTCTGCAGGGCGTGAGAGAGGGGTGGGTGGGGTTAACCGACCCTGGCGCCCCCCGCCCCCAGACCCCATGCCTGGACTCACCTGCCTGACAGCGCTCGCCCCGGAAGCCAGCCTTGCAGGAGCAGCTGCCATCCCTCTTGTCACAGGACTGCGTGTGGGGCTGCACACACTGGCACTCCTCCGAGCAGCCCGGCCCAAAGGCCCACGGCGGGCAGGCTGCACCCACAGAACCGTTGAGGGGGGCTCCCGTCTGAAGCCCCACCCTCCCAGACCGCTTCCACCAGCCCTGGGTCAGCCAGGACGACAGCCAAGATCATGTAGGGAGCTGTCCTCCTCCACCTCTCCCCCTGCAGCCCACCGCCCCTTCCCTGAGTGTCTGAACCCCAGGGATGGGTGACCCCACCAGGGACTCAGAGCTTGGCCTTGCTGCCAGGAATCTCCAAAAGCCAAGATAGGCCTCATCCCCCGGAGGCTTCTGCAAAAGGCCTGGCCCTGCCCTCATCTGCAGCCCTACCACCCATCAAGGCTGGGAGGCACAAGGTTGGGGACCATCCACCCAGACGCCCTGGATGCCAGCACAGTCACAGTCGAGAGGATGTGGCTTGGAGTCCACAGACTCATGGCGGACCCCAGACCTACATCCCAGTGGGTGACCTGGCTGGGCCCCGATAGCCTCATCCTAACCCAGACTACAGGTAACAGGACATGGACCATCCCTTCCACCCGCTGCCACCACCATGGACACTGGAAGGGGCAGTGAGACTCACTGAGGTGGCAGAAGCGGCCGTAGAGCCCTGGGTCGCAGAGGCAGGCCCCGTAGAGGCGGTGGCACCGGCCCCGGTTGGCACAGTTGCATTTCTTGCGACAGTGCTTGCCATAGTAGCCCTTGGGGCAGCCTGGGGGCAGCGGGGCTCCATGTGAACCTTGGTGGCAGCCAGCCTACCACATGTGGTCCCCCCATGTGGTAGGATGCGCGGGGGCCCAGGGCCCAGCACAGGAGCTGGGAGCAGCCCCCGCCAGGGCACTAGGTGAGCCTTCCGGATGTGGCCGTCTGCCCTGGCTGGTCTGTCCCCTACATCCCCTGCCCCCAGGGTTTGTGGCAAGGGCGGGTGGAAGAGCACATTCCTCGGCCCACACTGGAGAGATGCACAAAGCTCACGCCCCACTCTCCCCAAAGTCTGGCCCCCATCAGGAGCCGCCTGACTTCTGTCCCCTGGTGGTCACTAAGCTTGATCTCAGAGCCTCAAAGCGGGAAGGACACGTGGCCCCAGTAGACAAGGTCCCAGGCCCAAGCCGCAGGTGGCCCCAGAGCTAGAAAGGTCCTCGCCTTTCTTCCCCAAACAATTCTCTCTGGCTGGGTCCTGCCCCACGTCCTTCCTCCTACTGAAGGCGGTAGTCAGCTGAAGGTACCCCCACAACTACATACACGTCCTAGTCCCCAGGACCTGGAGACTAGGCACAGTTGCATTTCTTGCAACAGTGCTTGCCATAGTAGCCCTACATTATCCAGGCTGGCCCTGAATCCAAAGACAAACATCCTCATCTGAGAGGCAGGCGGAAGCCGAGACAGAAAGAGGAGGCCTGGAGAAGGGGAGGTGACCCCTCAACGCTGCAGGCAGCCTGGAGGGTACAGCACGATCCCAGGGGTGCAGCACCCAGGAATGAATACGGGGGTTCCCCAGCACCCTGTAGAATAGAAAGGGCAGACAAAGTGGGGAAGGGAGGCACACTGACAGGGAAGAGGTAGGAAGCCCTGTGTGGCTGCCTGGGGTCCCCACCACCACCAGGCAACCAGCCCTGCAGAGCCCAGCACATACGGCCAGGAAAGCTCACGGGGCCACCTGGGGGACAGGTTCTAGGGTTGGCTGTCTTCCTCTCACAAAGGCAGAAAGTTTATGATACGTTAGCTGCACTCTCCATCGAAAGAGGCAGAAATGATGAAGTCTGAAGACTTAAAGATGAAGCTTTAGCCACCTGGGAAACATTTTCTGGACTAATTCCTCCAGAAAGGCTGAAACTTCAGAGTTAATAAGGGAGCCAACATCATCCCTTGCAGCCACTGGCCCCCAAGTAATCCCTTCTGCAAACCTCACCCAGCCATCACCAGCTCTACTTGAATGCTTCCAGGAACAGGGACCTCACTGCCTCTCAAGGGAACCCATTCCAAAAGTGCTGCTCTGTAGTCTTATCGTCTGCTACAGTTAGGCCCTGGGAAAATTAGCAACAGTGAAAAAGCAATACCCCTCTCATTCAAGGGCCTCATTCTCTCTCAAGCACAGCCTAAAGCTCTGGAGACAGGGAGGCAGGAAGGAAAGGGAGTCTAGGAAAAGTTTGGTAGCAGTTTCCCTGCTCCAGTGGGAGGAAGGAGACAAGGAGGACGTGGAGGGGTGGTGTCTCCCACTTCCCTTACAGCCCAGGGGTAATTCCAGAAGCACCAGAAGAGGCTGCACGCACCATCCTCACAGTTAGTTCCACTGACACCCGGGGGGCAGCGGCAGGCCCCCGTGACAGAGTCGCAGGTCCCACCATTCTGACAGCTGCAGGAGAAGCTGCAGTTCTTCCCAAAGGTGTCCGGAGGACAAGCTACAAAGAATGACAGGGAAGCGTCAGGGTCACCAGCCAGCACGACACTCTGAGACCCCTTCCTAGGGTTGGAGGCTTGGGTTTAGAAGCAGTTGCCTAGAGATAAAATGATGGCACTTGTACCACATCACCCCTGCCCATGCTCATGGCAGACATCACTAATTGATCACTGACTCCTCTCTCTGAACACCAGCAGAGAGAGGAGTCTCCTCCTTCTGAACCAGCTCTTTCAAACAGGCAGAGCCTCACTGACAGTTATGACGGGTCCCTGGCCATCTGAGCTAGAGGAACCCCACCTGCCGGCTGCCCTTCAGCAGACACCCCTCACTGTCTTAGTTATTTGCTGGCTTGCTTGTTGCTGGACCGTGAAGACTGATATTTAGGAAGGACAAACACTTTAACTTGCTTGTTCCCAGGGAATCCTTACTGCCTGGAACAGTGCGTGGCATAGAGTGGACAGTCAGGGGATGTTTATCAAAGGAATTAACAAATGGATGAATGAATGGCTCTGCACAGAGCCCCCTGCCCAGGGCCAGCAGGCAGGAGTAAAACTGAATGGGCTCAAAGGGCTGTCCCCAGGTCTTGGGGCTCAGAGGCCCCTTCCCAGCCCCCAGCCCCTGCCCAGCTGCCTCACTCTCATTGCAGATGAGCCCAGTCCAGCCCTCGGGGCAATCACAGCCATCCAGGCCCAGGAGGCAGGTCCCTCCGTTCCTGCAGTCATCACAGGTCAAGCTGCAGTCATGGCCAAAGGAGTCATCCAGGCAGACTGGGGGCAGACCAGGATGGGGGGATTCAGAGCCTGACCCCTGGCCTCAGCAGGCACAGAGGCCCGGCTCAGACCCTCAGGCCAGGGAAGGGGCATAAGGGGCATCCTCGGCCCATGAGGGCCCCCAAAGGGTGACATGGGGACAGATGCTGGGGCCAGAAGGAGCCCTAACCTGGAAGCTGTGAGCCCGGTCCCGCCCGGCTCAGCCCGCACGAGCTGCGCAAACTGAGCCAGTGGCTCACCCTCTCTGGGCCTTGGTCTAACATGGCATTGCAGGGGTCCTTCCTCACGTCCCCAGCCTCTGATTGGATGGCAGCCTAGCCCGAGGGGTCGCTGGCTGCTGGCCCTGCGAGCAGGAGCCCCCGGGGGCTGGGCCCGCGCTCACCAAACTTCTCTGTGAGCGTGTGTTCGCCCCGCAACTCTGCCTCTTCCTCATCGGCCCCGACGTCGTCATCCTGGAAGAGTTGCGGCAGCTCGTCCTGGAGCACGGCAATGTGGGGCAGGGGCCGCACGAAAGGCAGCTCGCCGTCCAGGTCCACCATCGGCTCCTCCAGGGCTGCCAGGGGCACAGAGGCGCCTTAGCCCCTGCCACCCACCTGCCTGCTCCAGCGACCCCCCGGCGGGTAGGGCTGGGCCTAAGCCCCACCCCAGGGAACCCCACCACCCTCCTACTGCCTCCACTACCCCCACCTCCTCAGCCTGGTCCCAGGGGTCATCCCAGCTGCACCCGACCCTCCTTCTCAGGAAAGAGAAGGCTCTGGGCCCTGAGGACCTGAACCCGGCCCCTCTGCCCCCAGCCTCATCCCAACTCTAGGGACTCTGGGGCCTAGAGGGGTAGGGGTGGGAGCAGCTGCCATCAGTCCCAGGGACAACATCACCTTAGGTCTTGGTCCCTTCTCTCACGTGGTCAGGACAGGTGCTGGGCTCCGGGAGGATGCCTGTCTCACCAGCTTCCCCCACCCCACTGTCCCCAACCCCCACACGGCCCTCAGAAGAGGCAGGACCTCAGTGGGTCCCCAAGGGCCCAAGAGCCTCTGAGGTGTGTTGGCCCAGAGAGGCCAGGGGGCAAAGGACCCCAGGCAGGTGGGGGTGGGGTGGGCCAGGCCTGCGGGACGCAGGGTCAGCTGGGGCAAACTCGAGAAGGCAGAGGCCGGTGCTCCGCGGAGGGCGGGAGACTCACGGCTGCAGCCCCTACGGTCCTCGTGCAGCCGGTAGCCGGCCTCGCAGGAGCACTGGAAGGAGCCGGCCAGGTTGGTGCAGTGGTGCTCGCAGCCGCCACGGCTGGAGGCGCACTCATCCACATCTGCGGGCGACCCGGGACCACTGAGGCCTGTGCTCCCAGGTGGGGAACCAGGAAGGCCCCTGCCCACCCAGTCCTACCCACAGGACTGAAGCCCTGGTGGCCCTGCCAGAGCTGAGTAGCATCTCTTCAACCAGCCAGTAAAACTCACCCTCAGCCACAGAGGCCACTCTGGCCATCCTCCCAGCCCAGGGTCAGAGCCATGGCAGACACGTGCTAGGGGGGGCCAGGCTGGGAGGGGCCGGCCAGGCAGCAGCCAGGGGGACAGGCCCAGCTCCAGGAGAGAGCGGCCAGTGACCTCAGGCCAGAGGGAGGGAGGGGACAGGTCAGCACAGCCCTCCAGGCAGCAGGCACTCAACCAACACCCACAGCCCTGCACGCAGCAGGCGCTCAACCAACGCCCACAGCCCTGAACTCAGCAGGGGCTCAACCAACACCCATAGCCCTGCACGCAGCAGGCGCTCAACCAACACCCACAGCCCTGCACGCAGCAGGCGCTCAACCAACGCCCACAGCCCTGCACGCAGCAGGTGCTCAACCAACGCCCACAGCCCTGAACTCAGCAGGGGCTCAACCAACACCCACAGCCCTGCACGCAGCAGGCGCTCAACCAACACCCACCACAGCCCTGCACACAGCAGGCGCTCAACCAACACCCACAGCCCCAAAGCAAAGCACAGAGCAGGCCGACCCCATGCCCACCATGGGGGTACCAGAGCCAGCCCCGTGTCCTTCCTTAGGGCAGCCCTGCTCCCAGGCCACCCCAGCTGTGCAGTGGCAGGGCAGTGCTCACCCTCACAGCCGCAGCCATCGGCACTGAGCCGGTAGCCGGCGTAGCAGCCGCACTCGTACCCGCCAGGGTTGTTGGTGCACACCTGCTGGCAGCACGGGCTGTCTGCACAGTCGTCGACATCTGTGGAGCACACGCCACGGGCCCCCTGGTACCAGGCACCTGCACGTGCACACGCCCCCACCCACACACAACTGCATACGACCACACACAACCCACGCGCCCGACTGCACCTGCAGCTGCCCACAGCCTCACGTGTGCACACCGACATTCATGGCACCTGCAGACAATCGCACCCACCACACAATCACGCCCACGCACATGCACGTTCCTGGTCCCGCATATGTGCACACACAGGACACATGTCACAGCCCCAGGGCCACCCGCCTGTCTGCTGTGGACAAGGTGTTGGGACTGGGGCTAGAGGGTGGGGACTCCATCTGGGAGTCAGGGTCTGGGGTGTGACTTCCAGGACACTGGGTCCTTCCCAGGTGAAGGGGTGGTACTGAGGAGGTGCTGATGGGGCTAAGGGGGTGCCGTGAACATGGGTATGGGCCTGGCGGGCCGATGTGGGCACCAAGGTCTTTCCCGGCCAGGATGCTGCCTCTGTCAGACCTGCCCTACCACCCCGCCAGGGCCCAGGCAGCCAGACCAGGACTCAGGGAGACTGACGAGGACCTCCAAGTCATGGCATGGAACTGATCCCAGACCCAGGGCAGCAGCGGGTCCCTGGAGTGGGGTGCAGGCATCTGGGAGGAGCCAGTGCGCACCGATGCAGGTCCTCTGATCTGTGTCCAGCTCGTAGCCGCGGGGACATGTGCACAGGGGCCCAGCACTGGTGTGGCTGCAGCCATGGGAGCAGCCGCCGTTGTTGGCCTCACAGCTGTTCACGATTTCCATCTCAATCCCTGCCGTGAGACCAGCCACCCAGGGTATGGGATGGCGGCTAGGATGACCCCCACCTACCTTAGTTACCCCTACCTCCACCCAGCAGCCAGCCTCGGGCCTGGGGACACCCGTGGGAAGCAGCAACATGGAGCTCCCAGGCCTTGTTGGGTCTGGGACCCCCTGCTCTCCCTCGACCCTCTGCTCACCAAGGGCTCACACCCAGGGCTGCCCCTGATTGACAAGGAAGCCCTGCCCTTCAGCCAAAGCAGGCCTCGGGGTCCTGGGGAGCAGCATGGCCATCCCGGGCACCTTCAGCCTGTTGCCGGCTGCCCACTCACGGTAGCACTGCCGGCCATCGGCGCCCAGCTCATAGCCCGCGTGACACACGCACTTGAAGGACCCCTGGGTGTTGAGGCAGCCATGGGCACACTGGGCCAGCCCTGCGGCACATTCGTCCACATCTGGAGGGGAGAGACCACAGGGAGGGCTCAGAGGTGCCAGGAAGGGCCTTTGCATGGGACCAGTGGAAGACAGTGCACGGCCTGCTGACACCCAGGGCCTGTGGCCGCATGACACAGGCATTCAAGGCCAATCCCACTGTCCCTGACGGCCACTAGTCACAGCCCTGCAGGTCCCCTGGGATGAAGAAGTTGGCACCCACACAGGTCTCACACTAAGCCTGTTGCATGACCAGGTGCCAGTGCCCAGGCAGCACTTTCCTGGTGTCAGTGAGGACGTGGAACCACACACCACGACACCCCGTGGCCATCCGGCGGGGGCCTGATGATATGGTCTGGCTGTGTCCCCACCCAAATCTCACCTTGAACTGTAACTCCCACAGTTCCCACGTGTGGTGGGAGGAGCCCGGTGGGAGGTGATTGAATCATGGGGGTGGGTCTTTCCTGTGCTGTTCTCATGATAGTGAGTAAGTCTCATGAGATCTGATGGTTTTAAAAACGGGAGTTTCCCTGCACAAGCCCTCTCTTTTCCTACCGCTATCGACGTGAGGTGTGACTTGCTCCTCCTGGCCTCCCGCCATGATTGTGAGGCCGCCCCAAGCCATGTGGAACTGTAAGTCCATTAAACCTCTTTCTTTAGTAAATTGCCCAGTCTTGGGTATGTCTTTATCGGCAGCGTGAAAATGGACTAATACCATTGGAAACTGACCACTGCCTGGTCTGGACACACACCGCTGCCTCAGAGACTCACCCTGTGGACCACTGGGGCAGTGGCAGCCCGACCCCTCCCCAAGGCTGCTTGGCCCAGGGAAGAGTCAGGAACACCCAGACGTGCAGGGACAGGGTTAACAAATAAACGTCGCCCAGCCATGCTGCAGAGGATGGTGTGGTGTGGCAGAGGGGGCAGCGGTGTGTTCCAAACAATGGCACCTGCCTGCAACCTGACTCTAAGCAAGCACATTCACAAACAGCCCCAGTGAAGCAGCAGAAGCAGCCCATCCCATACGTCTAGGTGTTTCCTGGGCTCAGGAACAATGTCTCCTTTCTTCTTGAGTTCTATTTTTTTTATTATTTTACTTGTTTATTTATTTATTTATTTATTTTTAGACAGGGTCTCATTCTGTCACCCAGGCTGTAGCACACTGGTGCAATCATGGCTCACTGTAGCGTCAACCTCCTGGGCTCAAGTGATTCTCCTGCCTCAGCCTTCCGAGTAGCTGGGACTCCTGCCTCGGCATCCCGAGTAGCTGGGACTCCTGCCTCGGCCTCCTGAGTAGCTGGGACCACAGGTGTGCACCATCATGCTCAGCTAGTTGGGTTTTCTTATTTTTTTGTACATACAGGATCTCGCTATGTTGCCCAGGCTGGTCTTGAACTCCTAAACTCAAGTGATCTGCCCACCTTGGCCTCTCAAAGTGCTGGGATTACAGGTGTGAGCCACCACACCTGGGCTTTTTTTTTTTTTTTTTTTTTTTTTTTTTAAGAGACAGAATCTTGCTCTGCCACCCAGGCTGGAGTGCAGTGGTGTGATCATAGCTCACTGCAGCCTTGACCTCCTGGGCTCAAGTGATCTTCCTGCCTCAGATTCCGGAGTAGCTAGGACTCCAGACAGCACCACCACACCTGGCTAATTAAAAAAAAAATTGTTTAGAGACAGGGTCTCGCCATGCTGCCTAGGCTGGTCTTGAGCAACTTGGCTTAAGTGGTCCTCCCTCGTTGGCCTACCAAAGTGCTGGGATTACAGGTGTGAGCCACAGCGCCTGGCTCATTTCTCCTTTTCTCTTATTCATCTCTTCAGTTTTCCTGCTGGGCAGGCACTACTTAGGAAATACAATAGTTTAGGCCAGGTGCAGTGGCTCACGCCTGTAATCCCAGCACTTTGGGAGGCCGAGGCGGGCGGATCACAAGGTCAGGAGATTGAGAGCATCCTGGCCAACATGGTGAAACCCCATCTCTTCTAAAAATACGAAAAATTAGCCAGGCCTGGCGGCGGGTGCCTGTAGTCCCAGCTGCTGGGGAGGCCAAGGCAAGAGAATGGCGTGAGCCTGGGAGGCGGAGCTTGCAGTGAGCTGAGATCACGCCACTGCACTCCAGCCTGGGCAATAGAGCGAGACTCCGTCTCAAAAAAAAAAAAAAAGGAAATACAATAGTTTAAAAACTATAAGCAACACCTGGGCTCCCTGGCTCACTCCTA
The DNA here is from genome assembly GCF_000001405.40 of Homo sapiens. NCBI lineage: Eukaryota > Metazoa > Chordata > Mammalia > Primates > Hominidae > Homo > Homo sapiens. The sequence goes on from NC_000001.11 coordinate 3,514,320, forward strand.
GTGAAATGAGCCTCGGGCTGGGAGCAGCTTTTGCGAGCCTTCCTACCCTCGCCCCTCAGCCCCCAGCAAGGGAGATGAGACCGCCACATCCCAGGTCACCCAAGGGGGCAAGGCCAAAGGGCCTGGTCTCATGGGAGGCCACGGCCCCAGAGTTAGACACGGGTCCCTCCACAGCACCTGGGTGCGCTTTCTGACCCTGGGCGGGGCGGAGCAGGGGAGGGGCGTCCTACCTTCACAGGCCTTGCCGTCCGCTGCTAGCTGATAGCCCACGTGGCACTCACAGCGGGCGAGGCCCCGGACCACCTGGCACCTGTGCATGCAGCTGCCGTTCCTGTTGGCACACGGGCTTCTACCTGCAGCCACGGGCCCGAGGAGGGGGTTGGGGAGAGGGGACCCCAGTGGCTGCAGGGCGCCTGCCCCCAGGCTTCTTGTGAGACCCCTCACCCAGTGCTCTCCCCACTCTGTGCTCCAGGCTGATGGGCTGGGCAGCGGGTCTCCCTCCTCCCAGGTGCGGGAAGCCCCCAAGACGCCGAGAAGACTCTGCAGTCTCAGGACGCGGCCAGCCAGCCCAGGTCAGGCAGCGGCCCAGGCCAGCTCCTCCCACCACCCTTCTTAGCCCAGGTGCTGGCGCTGACACCAAGGCGGCGGCCCCCCAGCTCTGTGACTCCAGCCCCTTCATGCCCACACTGGGGAGGACCCAGAGGCCCAGGTGGGGGCATTCTCTCAGCACCTGCCCCACCCACAGCCCCCATTTCCATATTCTGGAGGACCACTGAGTCTGCCGCACCGTCACCATCAGCAAAGCCCCCCCTTTCCACGCAAGCAGCCCTGAGGACTCAGAGCAAAGTGCCAAACCGGACTGGCCTGCCTCCTCCTCCCAAGGGCAGCAAGCCTCAGGTGGGCACCTATGGAAGTGAGGTGGCCCCCATCCTGAGCTTCCTGGCCCCAAATGTGCCATCCCTACCAGGCCTCTCAGCAGCCTTGGGGGCCTCCTGAAGACCCACTTCCACCCAACAGCCCAGGCGAGGCAGCTTGTCCTGCCTCCACCCCCAGGTCCTCCCTCCCAGGCTGGCAGCACTCACGGACACAATGCCTGCCGTCCTCCTGGAGCTGGAACCCGGGCCGGCACTGGCAGCGATGCCGAGTGATTGTGAGCTGGACACAGTGGTGCTGGCAGCCGCCATTGCCCAGGGCGCAGGAGTTAATGGCTGGGGACACAGGGAGGACCCCAAGTCAGCCCAAGAGGATGCCTGGCCGACAGTCTGTCCCTGGCTGGCATGGAGCAGGGAGTGGCATGGCCACTTCTTCCTGCTGTAGGACCCCTCCCAGCCACTCCGAGCCCCTCCGCCTTTTCATCTCCATCGTCACACGCTGCTCCCTGCCCGGCTCACAGGCCTGGTTTTGCCTTCTCTGCTGCCTACAGGATCCTCAGGCCTGTGGGGGATTCACTGGATCCTCCGGCCCCGGCCTGATCGAGGGCTGGACACAGAAGGGGACCCCACCCAGACAGAAGCCCAGCACCCCCCAGCACAGAACACTAAGCACCAGGGGTCTCTGAGAAGCTGCAAGCGAGGGCTCAGTGCCCCAGCAGGCTGCATCTCCCTGGAGGAGGACGCAGGCTGGCAGGGGGTGACTGAGACCCAGGCATCTCACCATCGTGGTCCTTAGGCCAGGGTGGGGGCAGATGTGGGGATGCCGTGGACAGCTGCCATGGGCCACAGGCTTGGCCCCCAGTTCCCAAGGGACCAGCACAGCTCCTACCCACCCCAGGCCAGGCCACACCTCACGCCTGTCCCCACGCATTGCCCATGCCCCCATTCCTTCATGCACATTCCTGCAGAGCATGGACTGTGGGGTCAGGTTGGCCCAGTGGGTGCCTGTACCCCGTGGATGGATGGGGCTGTGCCCTGAGCTGGCGCAGGGAGGCGGGGACAGGGCGCTGGGCCAGGCTGGGCACCCAGGGTGGGCACTGGACCTCTGCCAAAAGCGGTAGCCAGCCCCTCAGCGGGGGTTTGGTTACTGTCAAGTCTGGCAGTTGCCTTGTGGTTAGGGAGGGAGTCAGCCCCGAGCTCAGAGGGAAGCCGCAAGAATGTGCTGTTGCCTGTGCCCGGGCAGGGGAGGCCGTCTGCCCAGGCCTGTGCCCAGAGCAATCCCAAACCCCATTACCAAAGCGCCGAGACTCTCTCAGAGTGGGGAGGCTTCTTTGAGATGCCGCCTCCTCTGGGGCACCTCCTGGGGGACTGCCACCATCCCTGGGAGGTGCCTGGGCCTGGGGCCGAGTCTGGGGAACCCGTCTACTGTTGCTGCATAGCGGATGGGAAGCCCGGCACCATGGAGGGGAGGGCGGTCAGAGGTCAACAGAGCAGGCAGCGGCTGGAGCAGCGGTGTTGCCTCTGGGCCCTGAGAAGGCAAAGCCCCCTCAGAGCAAGCTGGCTTAAAAACCCACCGTGCTCGCCGTACCTGTCCCACAGGGGAGCAGGCGCTGAGGGTCCCCTCCTGGGGCAGAGCCAGCCTTGGGAGGCTATTGGGGGTCGCAGTGATGGCTCTGTCTCCTGCCCCACGTGTCCCTGGCACGTGCAGGCTGTGGGGAACCCAGGGCAGAACTCAGGTAAGCCCGTCTGCCTCTGAGCCCCTCGCCCCATCCACCTAACTGCCCAGACAAGATGGGAGCTGTCCTGGCCCCCAGGCCCGGCCTGCCTCACCTGAGATGGCCCTGCTGAAGCCACTACCGTGGCTCCAGGGGCCTCTGAGCATGGCCTGCGCCGGCCCCGCCTTCCCAGGGGCCCTGTTTATTGTGTTCACCGCAGCAACAGCACCCCTGTCTGGAACACGTAATAGGAAACAGACCCCCTCCTGGCAGGGCCAGGCAGGCACAGGGGGCACAGAGCCCATGGCAGGGAAGCTGGGCCGTCAGGATCCAGGCGCCACAAGGGCCCAGGAGGCTGCGGCAGGGCTGGGAAAGAAAGAGGCTTCTCATCACCCCCTCCAGACAGGCAGAGCCCTGAGACGCACCCAGGGACCACCGGGCATGGCGCGCACTGGAGCCCACCAGGGCGGGGGGATCAGAGGCAGGGATCCCCCCAGAGCCTGTCCTCTTGCCACTCCAGTCCACACAGTTCTAACACCCCAGATGCTCCCAAGCTGTGCGCAGCCGGGAGCCAAGCCCAGTGTCGTCGCATATATCCTGTGCCACGGATTCCCGGAAAGCTGAACCAGGCAGATTTTCGCCAGCGCTGGGATATGCAGCTCAGGAGGGGCCACCCCTGCGTGGCCAGTGCCCAGCACTGCTAGGGATGTGTCCAGACCCCTCGGGACACTGAGACCCAGCTGCAAAACACACAGCCCAGCCACCCCTACCCAGGCCACAGCCAAAGGCTCACACCTGTTACAGCCTGCAAAGTGGACCAAGCTCAGACCCGGCAAAGCTGAGTGTGCCCATCAGACGTGGACTGGGGATTTGCCTCCCAGTGGGGGAAGACCCTCCCTGTCTGTGCTCCACAGCCCTCACCTGGCTCACCTGCGGACAGATGCGGGCTCGACAGCAAGCCCTACTGTGTCTTTCACTTCTTTAATACTGAAGTGGTGTTTTCTCAAAGGAAAAAATCCCCACCCAGTGGGGGTTTGATGGTCAGCATGCATAATCGCACCGCGTGCTTCCGCAATCCGGCCCGACATTTCTGCCCCTTCCTGACTCTGGAGTCTTGTTCTGCCAAGGCCTAACTTTGGTCCTTGTCCACTTCCAGATCAGATGCAACTGACTGTTGTTGGGGGACACTCTGTTATGAATGGAATGTGTCCCCCCTAAAAAATCCTGTGTTGGAGCCTTAATCTCCAAGGTGAATGTATTTGGAGATAGGGTCTCTGAGAGGGAAGAGGGTGGGGCCCTGACCAGGTAGGATTCATGTCCTTGTAGGAAGAGACACAGAGCACTCTCTTCATTATGGCAGCCAGAGCTGCCTGGGTCACCCTAACTCCCCAGTTTGCCAATTCTAGGAGACATCACTCCAGCCCAGCCACATGCAGGTCCACTCGGGCTGGGGTGCAATTCCAACCTCTGCCAGCAGGAGGCGGCACCACCCAGGATTCTGCCAAATGTGAGGGTGAAGCTCTGCAAAGGTAAAGGGGCCTCCTTCCGTCTGAGCTGCCTTGGTCTCTGCTCGAGGCGCAGCATCCTGGGCGGCGGAGGGAGTGGAGGGTGGGGCATCAGCGGCCAGGCCCAGCCTCTGAGCTCGTTGGCTGACTGGCGGGCTGCGCCGAGGCAGGGGCTGGACACAGGCCCACCAGCTCCTCTGCCCAAGCCTCCAAACCCAGCCCAGTGGTTTCCAGGCCAGCTCTACAGGGTGGTTCTGGTCCCGTTGGTTTCTGGTTCTGGTCCCTGCTGGTTTCACGAGGCTTGTAATTACTGCCCTCAGATAGGGATGGTTTCTAGATCTTGAGTCTCCTGCCACGTGTGGTCAGTAGTCACCCACAGCCCTGCCTTCTAGGAAGCCCTCTGTTGGGGACAGGGCCAGGATGGCAGGCTGGGGTGCGTGTTCATCCCCCAGCTCCCCTCCAGGCGGGCCTGCCCTGTACACCTGCCCCCATCCCCTGCCCTCTCAATGGGGCCTCCTTGTTGCACAGGGGCACTACTGACTCACAGCCTGTGAGAGCAGCTGTCCTCGTCCACACGCCAAGGGGTCTGAGCCCATGATGTCACCCCAACAACACAGAGCACCAGGCAAACAATGGCCCTTCAGCATGGCCACCAGGCGTCCAGAAATGGAGCAGGGAGGGAAACGCCCGCCACCCCCCTTCCATGGACCAGGCTAAGCTGACCCCACAACCCACACCCCAGCAAGGCCCCCACCCCTGGCCAGGGCCAGATCATCCTGCCCAGCGCCCGCCTTTCTGGGTGGTCAGCTCGGCCCATGCTTGGCTGCAGTGGTCCAGACCCACTGGCCAAGGTGACAGGTGGGTCCCTATAGACAAGTGCTAGCAGTGCCCTATTGGCCTACCAGGGGCACCGTGTGCTTTAGGGAGTGGCAGGCAGCAGCTGGACCACACACATGGAATGAAGGAGGCCAGACGGCGGGGGCCAACAGGGGCACTCCCAGGTGGGAGCTGCACGGCGCACCATGGGCACCCAATGCCCGCAGTGCTTGCACCGCCACACGCGCCTACTCGCTGCTGAGCGTCAGCTCCGACCTGCCCTCCTGGGGGAGGCCCCGACCCAGGGCTGCGTGAGCATCACACGGGTTCAGCTTCTCCAGAGCGTTTAGGAAGGCGCCTTACTTGTCACCAGAGTCCCGGGAGGGCAGGCCTGGTCTATATCGACAGGGCAGCAACCCACTGCCTACGCAGTGCCCGGCTCCAGCACACCAGGCGGCGGTCAGAGGGCAGCAAGGCGGCCAGCCCTGACCCTTCAGCACAAGCCAACGGCCTGCCAGCAGCCTCCCCTCCCGGGCCGGGCCTCCCCTCCAAGAAGGAACCAAGGGGCCAGGGGAGGGGGTCTATGCAGCCTCTCACTGCTGTGATGGGGAGACCCAGGCCTGGGTAGGGAAGAGTCTGCCCCAGGGCACACAGCACACCCATGGCAGAGCCAGGTGGGGAGGCAGGGCTGGGAGGCCACCCCCAGCCGTGTGCACATGAGTCCATCCAACTCTGGGGGACACAGGGAGGGGATGGCCAGGCCACCAGGGTGTGACAACAGAGTCCCCTCTCCAACAGTGTCCATCCCAAAGGCCTGATGGGCATGGGCCGAGAAGGGGAGAAGGACAGCGGGCCCACCTCTTCCCTGGGGTGGCACAGCGTGTTTCATCTGGAGGGACCTCTGCTGGTAAAGCCAGTGACATCTGTGGCCCTCAGACAGGGCCCAGGAGTGCTGCTCAACCCAAGGCACATGAGGGAACAGCCATGTCCAAGGCTAGGGTCCAGAGTCAGCCAGGCCGCCTCCGGGGTCATGCGCGGGCATCATGCTGGCTCAGAGCAGCCCAGGTACACAGAGGCGGAGGCCTCCAGCGCAGTGCTAGACCACATGGGAGCTGCTCTCCTCTCTGAGTGTTGCACGCTGGCACTCTGCAGGGTGTCACGGAAAACCAAGAATGATGCCCCCAGACACTCGGGCCAGACCACTGCTCCCTACATCACCGGGGAAGGCAAGGGCGGGCTCAGGTTTAGGGGCTGAGAATGAGAAGCAGGCTTGGCCCCACCCTCGGGCCTCACTAGGCCCTGCTCTTCCCACCCCAGAGACCGGGCGCCCTGGGCAATGGGGCACACCAGGACTGAGCGGCCGGGGCAATGGGGCACACCAGGACTCGGCGGCCAGGGCAATGGGGCACACCAGGACTGGGCGGGCAGGGCTGGGGAACGGGGACCCACACTCTCACAGTGTGGGAGCCACTGGCAAAGTCCTTCTTGTAGATTCTCGCTTTTGAGAGGGGAACCCTTTTGGTGTCTGATTTCCATAAGATAATCTAGAAGGCAGGGAGGTGTGGAGGTTGTACCTTTCCTGGCCTCTCTCTGCCTCAGAGACAAGTTCAAGTACGTTTCAAGGCCCCTCTGGAGTGTTTTAAGGCCCCCCTCAGGTGCAGCCTCCTCTGGGGCCTTCCCAGATTGCTCCGGGCCCTGGAGGTGTCAGCCCCCTGAGAGCTCTGGCCCCATGCTGGGGAAGGAAGGGTGGATTTTTAGGCAGCTTCTCCACCAGCCTCTCTGCAAGCCTCACTCCAAGCTGCTAGTGGGGAGTCTAACCGCAGAGCCTCAAGCCCGTGGGGGCATGTTCCTTGTCCCCCTGCAAAGCCCCAGGCGGGGTCACGACACCCTCCCGGCCAGGAGGACCCTGGCAGGCCTGGGGGAGGGGCTCCACGGCAGCCCCAGGTTCCCGCTGAGCAGCCCGCCCTCAACTGGCCCATGGGGGTGGGAGAGGCCACTCCTGAGGACCGAGGCCTGGGCAGAGGGTGCCAGTGTGAACCAGAAGATGCCCCCACACTGAGGCAGGAAGGTAAGGCAGTGGAGGGCGAAGGGTCCCAAACTCCCCAGGGGCCAGAAATCCAGCCCTATCCCCATCAAGCCCTCATAGAGTCCAGGCAGCCTGGAACGGACTGGGTGGGCAGTGCCCTCTAACAGGCCCAGGCCGAGCTGCCGCAGGAGACCCCCCACAGGGCAGCCCTTGGCCAGGAGCTGAGATGCCCCAACACCCTCCCCATCCCAGGCCGGCGTCTCAGGCCCACAGTCTGGCTGGGTCCCTCAGCAACAAGAAGCGGCTTGAGACGGTGAGGCACCCCTCAAACAAACACGCCTGGCTTTGCCTGGGAGGTGGCCCCCAGGGGACTCCGTCCCCGGTCTACAAGCTTTTCAGGCCCCCACAGAGAGCAGCTCCCGCTGGGCCCAGGCTGACAAACCCATGCCTATCCTGGAAACTCCCGGGAGACCGAGGAACCGGCCCCACCCTTGCAGGTGTCAGCTCCCAGGAACTCGCCATCTGGTATCCCCCACGCACAGCTCGCACACAGAGGCCACCATGGGCAAGGGACAAGGGGGGACAACATGCCCCAGAGAGTGCCAGGAAGGGGGTCTGGATGGTGCCCAAGCAGGGTGGCCTAGAAATGGGGCTAGTCCTCACGTGTTCCCAGGCCAGGGGTCGCCAGGCCACCACCAGGGACTTCAGGGAGAGGAAGGCATTTCTCCAACTCAACTAGCCAAAGGCTAGTGGGACCCAAGTCACTCTTGTTGCCAAAGCGAGGGTCACCACCTGTTCCCAGGGGGTGAAACCCCCAGCATCTTCTGTGGCGAAACAGACACATCACAGCTCCGGGGCTGTATTTCCTGAAGCTTCAGCGTAAAGGCCTTGCTGGGAGCCTCAGTCAAGTGAAAGAGAAGGTGCGCTCCGAGGTCACTGCTCTGCATCCAGCAGACCCCTGAGTAGGTGAACGCACTTAGGTGACAGGCTGGCACGCAGGCGAGAGTCTCACCTGGGCCCTCCATGGGGTGAGGAAGCCAGGAGCCGGGCACCAGCCCTGGAGAAGGCTGTGGAGGCACCGGGAGCCCACCACTCACACAGGCGACACCCTGAGGGGGTGACAGCCAGAGGGGCCCCGAGGTCCCAGGAGCCTCCTGCCAGGCTGTGCAGGCCCTGCCCAGGGGCCCTGGCATCTGGCCCGGAGAAGACCTTTAAAATGGGCGAGCACCGCAGATTAAGCCTTCTGGGGCCCTAAGTGTGCAGACATCCCCAGGACGGCCTCCTGGGAGGCAAATCCCAGAAGGCCCGGCTATAGGAGGAGACTCCAGCCGGGTGAGTGATGGGTGGGTGGGCAGTGGGTTGTGGTGGGTGGGGTGGTCCTTGTCCCTTTTGAGGGTTTCAGGGAAGGTCACCATCACACAGATGGTGAAACAAAGCCTAGGAGAGTGAGTGTCCCAAGGCCCCCCCACTCACAGTAGGAGGCCAGGAGAAGGGATTAGAGGCCAGGAGAGGCCCCACTGGGCTGACACCTGGGCTGCCCTTCTACAAGGAATACCCTGCCTGAGAGGAGGGTCGAGAAAAGGACGTGCCCCCCAAGAGCTGCCTCTTCCAGGGGGCCTGAGGGGACCAGGGGGTGCAAGGCTAAAGTGCCCCAGGCTCCCAGAAGCCCCGCAGGGCAGCGGGCTGGGGCCGCACCCCCGTCTCCGTTGTCCGGAAGCACATCACAACATTCCTGCATCTGTTTCTACTTTCAGACCCAGGGAAACTTTACAGAGCGGCTGCCTGGATCCCCATGGTGGCCGGGACATGTGAGTGTGTGCCGGGGGGGGGGCCCCAGGGCTGGCGAGCTGCTCTGCCACATCACAGGCAGGACCGGGAGGGAGGCTGCTCAGAGCCGGCTTGGGCCCTGCTCCGGGCCTCCAAGGCAGGAAGAAGGGGCGTCCTGACGCCCATCACCCAGAGAATGACCCCCCATGCCTCCCAGACAGAGACCAGCAAGAGGGTCAGTCCCGTCCTTGCTTGGGGCGCCTGTGCCCAGAGCCAGCCAGGAGCAGGGGTGCCGAAGGGTGAGGGTGGCTGACTGGCTACTTACTCTTCACCCCAGATTCCTGGGCTCCAGCCCCCTGCTCAGCCCTGTGCCGGTTCCTAGAGGCCTGGCACCTCCCCTGCTTCCCTCTAACCCTCCCTCCCTGCGGCCACAGTCCGTGTCCGCGACACCTCCTCCAGCCCATTCCAATAGCCAAGAGACCCCGCAGAGGAAGCTGAGGGACAGGGTCCCGCTTCTTCGTCACCCCTACCCTACCTGCCACAGCCCACACCCTCCAGGCTCCCCAAGCTGGGCAGGGATCACCTGGGCCCACAAAGCCTGGCTCTGCGGGCGAAGGGTGTCCTCACGCAGCCCCTGCCCTGACCAGGCCTCCTCGGCCAGCGTCCCCCACCACGTAGCACGTGACCCAGGTCTCCCTCAAATCAAATGTAGGGGACATCACAACCAGGCCAGGTCCCTGCTGATAACCACGGCAGCTTCTGTTGTAGAGAATCTTTAATAGGATCTCCACCCACGGGCTCACTCCCCTGTCCACTGGGAGGGGCCTCAGCATCACAGCGGGGCTTAGTGTGGCTGCAGAGGGTCTGCAGCCAGGGTCCTGGGGACCTGGCAACTTGGCATTCAGTCCTTTTACCGGCCTGAGCCTGGGGCAAGGTGCGGGCAGGATTCCATAGAGCCATGCTCCGCAGGAAGGAGCCACTGCCAGAGCGGCCTCTGCCTCTCCATGTCCACAGCCACCCTCTCAGGCCAGGCCTGGGCACACCCCAGAGGGTAGGGATGGCTGAAGCCAGGAGCCCAGGCAGGGTCTCCAGGCGACACTCACCCAGGCAGGTCCTGCTGTCAGTGTGGAGCCGGAAGCCGGGCTTGCACTCACAGAGGTAGGAGCCTGGGGTGTTCACGCACCGGTGCTGGCAGCCACCGTTGTGGGTTCGGCATTCGTCCACATCTGAGCAGGAATGGGGAAGGATCAGCAGCTGGGCACCTGTGCCCTCCTGCTTTGCCAACACAGCCCCCCAGGTGCCGGGGGCCCAGACCCAGGTCCCTCCCGTGCCTCGAGGGCACCACCCATGAGCCCCTCACCCACATCTGCCGGAGACGCAGCAGAAGAGACAGGGTCTGTGCTTCCACCTTGGACACCTGCTCGAGAAGGAAGAGCCACCGCCTCGAGGGCCGGCCAGAAGGTGGGGAGTAGCAGAGGGCTCCAAGGACAGGCTGGGCCTCTAGCGCCTTTCAAGACTGAACCGGGAGCGCACGCGGTTTTCTTAAGTCCAAATCTACAAAGTGCTTCCTGGGCGGTGTCAACCGCTCCACCAGGACCCACAAGCCCAAAAAGAGAAACTGACAGCTTTTGAGACGGCCATGCCCAGGCTGTGGGGGGAAGCCTGAGAAAGGGGAGGGCGTGCTGGCTTCAAGAGTGTCCCCGCAGTTCATGGCCATCTGGAGCCTTCCAGTGAGGCCTTGTCTGGAAACAGGGTCTTGGCAGCTGTCCTAAGTTCAGGCTCGAGATGAGATTGTTCCGGATGAGGGTGAGCCCTAAATCCAATGCGCCTATCCCAACAAGAGACACACAGAGAGGGCCATGTGGAGACCAGGCAGATTGTGGTGACGAGGCTACGGGCTAAGGACGGCCAGAAGGAAGAGGCCAGGAAGGTCCTCTCTATGGGTTCATAGGGAGCGTGGCCCCGCGGACACCTTGGGTTCAGAATCCTGGCCTCCAGATGGCGACAGAAGAAACTTCTATAGTTTGTAGCCACCCCGTTTGCGGTGTTTGTTCCAGCAGCCCTGGGAAACCAATGCAGCTGGGGTCAGCCTGGGCCCCCCACACCCACAGGCTCCCCGTGCAAGGACCCAGAAGGCCACCATATCCCAGGACAGAAGCCTTCGCTGTGCCGGCACCCTCCCCCATGAAGTGCCACCCGCCATCCCAGAGCAGCCCAGACCCCGTCAGACCCTCCCTGCCCAAGGGCCAGCTTGGTTTAGAACCACGTGTCCTCAGGTTCCAGACTTAGCTGATGCCCCACTCAAAGGCGGTAGAGGGGAGTAGGAGAGCAGGAAGGGGTCGAGAGCAGCCTGGTCCTGAGGCCTCTCCCCGCATCTGCGCTGCCTGGACTTCCACAGCCTGGGGACCAGCCAAGGGGGCAGAGCAGCAGTCCAAGGCCACAGACACCTCGCAGGACCCTTGTCCCTCCCACTGCTTACCAAGCCCCCTGAACAAGCGTGGCTGAAGAGAGCAGGGAGGGATCCAAGGGCAGGTCCACTTTTGAGAGGACGCCTCCCATCACAGGACACCTGGGCCTACCTGCTCCTGTCCCCAGCCCCGTGGCACAGGCCACAGGGAAAGTGCTGGCTGGAAGCCCAGAGGCCCAGCAGGACCCCCGGGATGCACCATGAGCTGAGAGCCGGTGGTGCTCCAGGCATCCTTCCCCTGAGACCCTGCCAGGGCTGGAGACCCAGGGGGCTGCACCCAGGCCCATCACCACCCTCTGCAGGAACGCAGCGGGAAAGCACAGATGTGCAGATGGCTTCGGGCTGCCCAGCCTCTCATGCCACCCTCCAGGCCCCCCTCGCCAAGCTGGGCCTCGGGGGAATCCAGGCAGCGATCGAGGCAAACAGAACAGAGCAGACAGGCAGGAGGCCACAGGCTTCCTGGACACCTGTGTGTGCAGCCCCTGGGCTAACCTGGGTCAGAAGCCCTGCAGCTGCTGGGCCCCTGCCAGCTGGCCAGAGCACCCGGCACACAGGGGCTCTCAGAGGAGAAGCCAGTGGTGGGGACAGACGGAGCTGTGCAGCCTCAGCACTGCCCAGAGAACACGCCATGACCCCCACCAGAGAGACTTCCAGAAGCACTCCAGGAGGACTCTCCTAGGGGTCCGGGGCCTCTGGGCATGGCGGAAGCTTTGGAAGTGCCAGTAGTGCCCCGGCCAGAGAGGCCAAGGCTAACATGAGGGAGAGACCACACGGGCCACATGGACAACATAGACCAACTATAGGAGGTGCCAGGAGAGGAGGGCAAGAGCCCGGTACCCAGGCCAGGGCAGACATGGGCATTGCCCCAGCCACCGCAGTCCACGCCTGCTACTCAGGCCAGGTGACACCTATTTTTTTTTTTTTTTTTTTGAGACAGTCTCGCTCTGTCGCCCAGGCTGGAGTGCAATGGTGCAACCTCGGCTCATTGCAACCTCCACCTCCCAGGTTCAAGCGGTTCTCCCTGCCTCAGCCTCCTTAGTAGCTGGGATTACAGGCACCCGCCACCACGCTCGGCTAATTTTTGTATTTTTAATAGAGACAGGGTTTCGCCATGTTGGCCAGGCTGGTCTCCAACTCCTGACCTCAGGTGATCCACCCGCCTTGGCCTCCCAAAGTGCCGAGATTACAGGCCTGAGCCACCGTGCCCAGCCCAGGTGACACCTTTTATCCGACAACCTCACCCACCCTGCAGCCGGGTTCACAGATCTGAAGGGAGGGAGGGGCCGCTGAGAGCCGCCAAAGAGTCACCATGGGGAGAAAGATACACAGGTGCTCTTCCAAAAGCTATGAGCCGAGCATCTGGGGCCCTCTGGCCAGGGTGACAATGGAGGCCCCGCCTGCTGACCTTGCCTCGAGAGGGAAGGCAACATTTAGCTCAAAATGCCACCAGCAGACTCCCACTGGGCTTGGCCTCTCTGGGAGAAAATATTATGATTTCAAAAGACAAGTCCTCGACCGTGTGGGAAACATGGCTGGCCTGATCCCTCGCTTCCAGGGGCTGCATAGAGCCAAGGTCTCCCTAATTCTGCTTAACAATCGCCAGGTCCATGATCGGCTGTGACCACCAAGGCCTTCCCACCACCCTCCGGTTCCCACCCACGGTCCCTGTGAAAATGCCCACCTTCCAGGCTCCATCCTAAAACTCTGGCGTCAGAGCACTGTTGACAGGTGCAAGCGGCCAGCGCCAGCACACACCAAGAAGCTCTTCATAGCTGTCTCCAAGCCTGAGTCAACGGATGGTACCCACCCACCAGGCTGTGCCTGCCACCTATGGAAACCCTGCTGCCCATCCACGCTCTGAGAATGTGCCTGCAACCCAGAGATGACACGAACAGCCCCAGGAGGCCAGGGTCTCTGCCTGGGACCTCCAGGGCCATCTACTGGAGGCACAAGACACACCCACTCTGGGGAGACCCCGAGGGTCCCTAAGCCCTGAGGCTGCCTCCCAGAGGGGGCTGCAAATGAGACCAGGAGCCCCTCTCCACCTGCACCATGAAGTCGCCACCACAACCTTCACAAAGGCCAGGATGGTTTGCGGGAAGATGCTGGAAAGCAAAGGGTTAACGGGCCCCCAACAGCGCCCCAAAGAAGCTGGAGGGACAGAGGGACCTGGTGCCCTCCAATGAGAGTCAGCTGGGGGCAGACTCATGCCCACTGGGCAGGGCAGTGTGGGTGGCACCCACCTGAAGGGCTCAGGAAGGAGACCCTTTCCCCCTGAGCTCAGATCCCTCCATCCAAGACCCCCGAGAGGGTCTCTGAAAAGTAACGATGTAAGTGTCCTCCTGCTACGTGGACAGGAACGCTGGGACTCCAGCATCCCAGCCGGGTTCGGCTCCACCTCTCTCAGCCACTAGTCCCTCCAGAAATTCCACGCTCCCTCTGAAAATGCACAGGCCCAGGTCGGCTAGGCCAAGCCCTTCTCACCCCAGCAGCACCATCTGGCAGTGGCAGGGGGCTGTGGTGGGGGAGACAGGGCCTGGGTGGGGGTGCTGAAGCGCACCCAGGCTTCCGGTGCCTGCTATTTGCTGTCAGCCAGGATCAGCTTCTGGACACAGCGAGCCAGCTCAAGGGTGAAGGATTTGGGGCCTCCCACTTGGACGACAGAGGCCTACAGGGACAGGCACTGGGCCAGACAACCTCCTGCTGGGGTCCCCTCCACTCTGAGATCTCAGCCCCTTTGAACTGAGCAAATCCCCTTAATAGAAATGATTTTCACTCAGAAAGCAAGGTAGGAACGCGTCACCCAAACCCTCTCTGCCCCACTCCCAAGGCACCCCACGTGATGGCAGGGCTGAGCTATTCCCAGACGGCTCCAAGGACCCCGCAGGTGCTGAGCCGGTGACCCTGGCTGCGGCTGTGATCTGAAGAGCCGTAGGCGCAGTGGCCTTTCAGGACAATGTGGTCAGCTGAATAACGAATGTCCCCCAGACATGTCCACATCCTCATCCACAGACCCTCATATGGCAGAGGGACCTACCTTTGCAGATGGGACTGAGTTGAGGATCTGGATGGGAGGTTATCCTGGCATATCCAGGTGGGCCCAACATGATCACAGGGTCCTTATAAGAGGGAGGCAGGAGGGTCAGAGGGCGGGGAGGAGGAGATGTGAGCGTGGAAGCAGAGGTCGGAGGGAGGCAGGGATTGGCAGGTGCTGTGCTATAGGCTTTGAGGATGGAGGAGGGGCCACAAGACCAGGAATGCAGGCGGCCTCTATAAAGCTGAAAGGGGCAAGAGACAGACTGTCCCCTAGAGCCTCCAGAAGGAGCACAGCCCTGCCCACGCCTTGATTTTAGCCCACTTTGGACTGGGCCTCGCAGGACTGTCAGGTAATAAATCCGTGCTGTCCTAAGTGCTGAGTGTGTGGTTATTTGTTACCGCACCCACGGGGCACAACTGCAGAAGATACCACTGTCGTCTCAGGAGTCACAGACACTCGGACCATCTGGGCTGGAAATCGGGGCTCCCAGTGCCAGCTCTGCCAGACCGGCCCCCCGACTCCTGTGCCTCTGTGGGGCTGGTCACACAGCCAGGTTCACGGGAGCCGCGTGCCCTGCAGAAGCTTGCTCCCTGGGTTCCCTCCTTTGCAGACCTGTGATCCAGGACCATCCCGTGCTGCCTACACACAGACCATGCTGCCCACTGAGCCCTGTAGTGGGACCAGGGCCCCCAGGAAGCACTGGCCCCCGAGACTCAGAGGCCAGTGTGGGGGCCTGAGCCTGAGGTTAGCGGGGCCCCAGCAAAGGCCGAAAGGAGCTTGGAGGCCCCTATGAGTCAGGCGACAAAACCTGCTCATTCCAGGGACAACGGCCCACCCTGGAGGCAAATCCACTGTCCCTGTCCAGCCCCAGGCCAAGCCCCACACGGGGCAGGGGGCAGGCCAGAGAGGCCCCAGACAGCTGCGACATGAACCTGGGGGGAGCCATCTGGTGAGAGACGAGTGGGCTCAGAGAGCGGCTATTTTAAGGAACAGCTGGGCCAGGATCCTGCTGCTGCCCTCGGCTAGATACGAGACTATGGACTTTGGCAGCCTCACAAGAGAACTGTCAGCACACTGGCACACAGCGACACGGCTGTGCCAACACGGGCTGGTTCACCAGGAGCCTGGCGAGACCTGCAGTGTCTACCAGGCTGGGAGGTGGAGGAGCCTCAGGGAGCCCATGGGGCCCCCAGCGACCACCACCCACGTCCCACAGCTCCCAGCCCAGGACTACACAGGCAGGTGGACAGGCATGGCTGGGCTGCCTCGAACCAGCTGCCTCTGCAGAAACCACCCAAGACGCGCCCCTTCCGAAGCCCACCTGGACTTATAGGAAACTTGGAGGGCTCTGGGCCCCTGCCAGAAAGCTCCGCTCAGGGCAGTTATCAAGTTCCAAGCCCTGCTTTGTCCCCACACTTGCCACGGGGTCCTCACCCCCAGGGAGCACACACCATTACCTATGGGCCCTTCTCCTCTCTCCCCCAAAAGCTGGAGCACGCTTTAGACCAGGACAGGGGCTCCCAGCTCCCGAGCGCCCAGCGACACCCAGCCAGAGGCCTTGGATGCTTCGCAGTCGCAAGGCATTTAGTGGCACTGTGGGTGGACCTGGCCTTGGCTGAGCCGCCCAGCCGGAAGGCTGCCTACCCAGCGAAGATGGAGCCTGGGCTGCCCTAGGCCAAGTGACCAAGCCAGGGAATGAAGGAAGCCTTTGCCACACTGAGGGCGTGGTGCTTAGTCCTTCACGCAGGAGAGAGGCAGAAGCTCGGCCTGGCACTCGAAACAGCTAAGGAGGGGTGACGTCTCTAAGGAGCCATTTCAGGGCCCCCCGCCAGCCACTGCCTACCCCCGGGTGATGCGGCTGACGACTCACTGGGAGCCGCAAACCCCACACTCCCTCCTCCAATTCCACCCCCTCCTCCAATTCCCGAGGGTGCCCAGCTCCAAGCTCTGTGGATCCCAGGGAGTTCAAAGCAACCACCTGGAGGGAGGCGGGCCTAGTGCAGGCGCCAGATCCCAGCTGCAGAGAGAGGCAGGACGGAACGAGAGCAGGGCTGTAACCTGCTTCCCAGGCCACCAGGGTTCTCAGCTGCCCATGCCTGTGGGGCTCCAGGAAGAACGGCACCTGCCACATCCACAGACAGGACCCCAAAGGGGCTGAGCTCTGGAGACCCCGGAGACTCAGCTCCGGGGGTCTCAAAGGGCCTTTGTCTCCAGCCTGCCTTTTCACTTGACCCGCAGAGTCGCCAGTGCCATGGGGAGCGGGGAACCCTGCTCCCACAGACAAAGTCAGGGGATGTTTTTCTTTCCTCCGGTCAAGGGACCTGGCTGTTAGTAGCCTCTGCCGACAGCCCTGAGAGGGGACGGGGGTGACCGACTCCTCAGCGCCCACGGACCCTGTCCCAGAAGCAGGCGCGCCTGCCGGGCACTGCCCCGCCCTGCTCCCTCCAGCCTAGCAGGCAGCGCCCTGGCGCAAACTTTAAAAACAGGAAACAAAGGGAGCGCGCCGGGGAGCGCCCTGGCCCCGCCCGCCCTGCCCAGGCTCGCCCGGCGCCCACCTGGCCTCTGGTCACCGGCGCTCACGGGGTAGCCGGCCTGGCCCAGGTGACATGGGTAGCAGCCCCTCCAGAGGTAGCGGTAGTGCGTGCCCGCGACGCGCGCCAGGCCCCCCAGGAGCCCAAGGCACCAGAGCGCGGCCAGCCCGCGGTCCCGGGACGCCCCCATGGCCTGGTAGGCCGGCGGGCGGGAGGGGGCGAGGACCAACCGCGCTGCGCCCTAAGCCGGCGGCCGGGCGACGGGGCAGGCGGCTCGGGCTGGTTCTGGGTTCCGGGCGGGCGCGCAATCCCAGCCCCGGGATCCGCTCCGCTCGGCGCCGCCCGGGAGCCGCTCTGGGCCGGGCGCGCCCCGCCCCTCGCCTTTAAGTTCTCAGCTTTCCCTCCGCCCCGCAGGTAAAGGCCAAGTCCGCAGACAACCGAGGGAGCCGCCCCCGGCCCCGCCCCGAGCCCCGCCCCACCTCCCCCAGGGGGCCGCGCCGGCCCGCCCGCCCCGCGCATTCCAGCGTGCGCGCTCCCGGACCCGGACGCAGATAGGGACCTAGGCACAAACGCAGACATCCACATGTGACCCACAGACACAGGCACACAGACTCACGTGTGCAAACATGCACACAGGAGGTACACAGACACGCACGGACATACGCACAGGCACACACATGCACAAACATGTGTGTTCTTGGAGCCAACACGGAAAAGAAGCCAAAGCAGCAAAGGGAGCCGTCCTGGCCGGGCCGCGGGGCGGGGGAGGGGGGCCGCGGGGCGGGGGAGGGGGGCCTGCAGAGGCGGCTGGTGGGGCTGAACTCTGACAAGGGTGGGGAAGATGGGGAACTGGTTTGAAGCTGCAGCACCGATGTGGAAACATGGGCTGAGACACCCCCAGTCCCCACGTCCAGTGCCTGCACTGTCCTGTCCTCCCCTGGCCCAGGGCCCCATACTTGGAGGGAGCCTGGGCGAGGGAAAGCTGGCATCCCTGCAGCAGGTGGTGACGGACAGAGAGCAGGGAGAACTTGCCTGCAGGGTGGCCAGCAGTGCCCAGGTGTCAGGCTGCAAAGGCCACGGAGGTGCTTCCAACCCCAGAGCCCTGGGTCCCCACGCTCCTCGAGGGCATAGCCCGGGGGAGGCAGTCCTCCCAGGGTCGGCAGCAGAAGGAACCACAGATTAGAGCCTCGTCAAGCACTTAACCTCTGCAGGAGAGCCAGGGCTGTGATTCCGGCTTGGATCAGAGTCCCCAGAGCCCCCCATCCTCTCTGAGCCCCTTCTCGCACCTATCCTTGGTCGGGGGTCACTGGGCTCCCACTCCTAGCCTCCATGGAGATGGAAGAGCTGTGACCAGCAAGCTGTGGTGCTCAATGACCCTCAGCAGTGATCCCTGCCTGGGACCAGCCCAGCACCACCTCCAGCACTGGCGGTGAGGGTCCACAGAAGGACTGGGCGCCCGCCCACACTGTTCCCGGCCTTTCCAGGAAGGCCCGAAAATCTCCCTCCGAAATGCAGTGGAAGTGTCCCTGGAGCTCAGCCTGTTCCCAGAGATGCAGCCTGTGTCTCCTCCCAGAGGACAATAGGTGAGCGGTGGGCACAAAGCCACATGACTGGGGCCACTGCAGAGACAGAAAGCTTGGGGATACCTTCCAGCTGTCAGGAAGGAGGAGGGTGCATGCTCCCTGGGCCAGCAGGCCCTGTATGTGGGCAAGCCTAGGTCAGGAGCATAGCCACGGGTAGAGCTGTGGGGAAGAAGGACTGCCAACCTCAGCTGCGGCCGCTGTGCCAGGCCCTGGGTTCTGGGGATGCAGTGCCATCCTCACCATTCCCTGCAGGGGAGGGCTACTGTCCCCATTTTAGAGGTGAGGAAACTGAGGCCCAGACAGACTAAGATGCTGTCCTCAGGTCAAATTCAATTGAGCAGAACTCCAGCCCCGGCAACTCAGGGAAGCAGGCGGCCCATCCCGGCAGAGCCTCCACCTTCTCTCCACTCTCCACTACAGCCAGGGGCCCACCTGCTGGCCGAGACCCACCCCTCAGAAGCCTGCCCAGTGCTAAGATGTGGCAGAGACAGTCTCTGCTGATCCAGGGCACCTGGGAGCAAGGGCTGAGGGGCCATCCTTGAGCGCGTGGGAAAGAAGAGGCCCCACCCAGTCCCAGCCTGTCTCACCTTGCCCCGTCCTGTCTGCCATCCAGAGGCCAGCCCGCCCCCTTGGCCCCCAACACTCTGCAGAAATGGGCCTGCCTGGGCCCTGCCTGTCTGCGGGGCCTCCTGGGGAGCCCCTCCCATCAGCCTCTGAGCCCTTGCCATGAGGAGCCTCTAAATCGCACGGATAGACAGGCTGACGGGCCTGTTTGAAGGCACCTTCCACGCAGGGCAACATCATTTATGACCGTAATGTGCAACTCATTGCCAACAACTCACCAGTTAGTGCCAACAGAAGCTCGAGGGTCCCGCCCTCCGCAGCCACAGCCCAACAGGGCCTCAGCCCAGCAGTTTCCATGGAGGTAGGGGCCAGGCTTGAGAGGGGTGCAGGGGAAGACACCAGAGGCCAGGCCTGCAAGGGCACGGGCTGCGGAGGCAGCATCCATCCTCCAGGAGGTGCACGACCGGCCACCCTGCGAGCGAGCTCTCTCTGGTCTCTGTCCCTCTCCGCCTGCTACAGGATGGGGCCCAGTACTCGGCGGGAGCCTGGGCAACAGAATCCCTGCACCTCCGACTCCAGTCACCCTCACCAACAGGCGACGGGGCTGGGGTCCTCCATCAGCACCCCATCTGGGGAAGGTTCCTCAAGAGGCCCTTCCTTGAAGGGATGCTGTCTCCCAGCTCAGGCAGGCCCCACTCTGACACCCTCCAGGCTCCGGGGTCTTGGGAGGAGGAAGAAGCCCACAGGAAGCAGGAGGCACCAGCCGCACCCTCAGGATCCCATGCTGTCCCCCAAGTCTTGCCCACCCTGGGAAAGGGCTCCTGCCTCGTGCTGTCTCGAGGAGGAGGGAGGAGCCCAGGAGCCGCTGCGCGAGGCCCCAAGCAGGGAAGGTCAGGCACTCGGAGTCTACGGCCAGCCGGAGCCCACAAGCCCCAAAGGCCACCGAGCCATGCACCGTGGCTTGTCCCAGTGGACCTGCGTGCTAGCGTCACACATGTCACCTTCTCAGTCAGTATGTTCTTAGCAAGAAAGAATAGAAGAGAACTACCCAGTGAGCCATTTTTATATGGACTGCAATGCTGAAAAGGATCATATTTGCACCTATTATGTTAAATAAAATATACTATTAAAATCAATTTCACCTATTTGTTTTTGCTTTTCTGACGTGGCCCTGAGAAACTGTGAGACAGCATGTATGGCTTGCGTGTGTGGCTCACATTCTGTTTCTGTTGGACAGCCCCAGCTTTGCTAGTAAGAACTGAGGCCCCAGGCGAGCTGTGGAAACACTCTGTGCCTCAGTTTCCCCATCTGTAACACTAGCACCTCCCTCCTGTGGGAAAGGCGCTTGACTGAGGATCCATAAAAGTCAACAAACGTGGGAGTGGGAGGCCGAGTCTGGAGGCCTGACCATGCCCCTTCCCGGCCCTTTGCTCCAGCAGACACCCCAAGGCCACGCAGAGACCCATGGCAGAGACAGTGTCCAGAGCTGATTCCCAGAGGGCGGGGGACGTCCTGGGAACTGTCCACCTCCTAAGCCATGGTGGACACAGCCATGGTCCGGAGACATCCTGGAAGCCAGCCAGGGACCGGAGCCCTGGCCCTCTCCCTTGATAGCCATCACCTCCATACCCCCACCTCAGCACCCCACCAGAGCCATCTGGGGGCCACCACTCCAGCCCCTCCATTCCCCTTGGGGCTGCCATCACCCCTTCCATTCATCTGGACTCCAAATCCCGCGTCCATCCAGGGTGAGGGCTGGGCTACCACAGCCCGTGTGCCCAGTACCCAGTGCAGGACTGGGGCCACAGAGGCAGCTCCTGGCCCACTGAAGGGCTGTATGGCATGGCCACATCCCGGGGCATCTCTGGCCTCAGTTTCCTCATCTGTGCATGGGCAGAGGCCTGAATGAGACCAGCTCAGGGGCCCTGAAGCAATGAGACACATGACTCGGGAAGGAGAACCAGGGCCAGGTGTGTCACCGCGACGGTGCCCGTGGGATCCAGGCAGAGGAGGGCAGCCAACAGAGCAGGGCGAGCCTCCAGGGAACAGCTGTCACAGCGCAGCGAGGCCTTCGGGAAGCTTCCTGACAACAAGTTCAGGCAAAGGAAATTGTCTTTTCTGCCCCAAAACCCCCAAGAGCTATGGGAGCCTCCTGGTATCACATCCCCATCTCACCCTCAGGGTCACTCACATCAGACACCCTCATCTGACAGGCAGCAGGGAGGCTGCCCCTCTCCAGAAGGCTGCCCCTCTCCAGAAGGCTGCATCCAACCCTCTGGTCCTCCACACAGACCACCCTGGCCCTACACAGGCTCCTCCTATCCCGTAGCCGGGAGTCCCCCGCTTCTGCTCCTCTCCTCCTCATCTGCTGCCCCATGCCCACCCGCCCACCTCCCCTCTGCCCTCACATACAGGCCATGATTAAACCCTCATTCTGCCCAGCTGGAACCCCAGTGTGGGGGCCCCCCAGCGGCCCTGGGTCCTGCCTTCTGCCCACGGCTCCTGGGACATTCTCCTGGGGTTTCGCTAAGCCAGTTTCCAGAGGAGAAATGACTTCCCCAGGGTCATGCAGGGAAGAGAAGTGCGGCCCAGGGGAACCAGGTCTGACTCTCCCCCAAATCCTGTCCTCACTGGGCCACCTCCTTCGGGTTCCTCCAGGGGAATGGCTCGGGCAGGCACCCACAGGCGCCCCTCTGGTTGGGCACAGGGTCTCTCCTGCTCATCACCCTCCCCAGGCCATGGCAGGCGCCAGGCAGACTGTCGGGCAGGGCTCAGTGCTGCAACTCTCCAAGGGGGCATCCCTGGGGCCTGGACAAAGAGTTTCTAGGCAGCTCCGGCTTCGCACCCTGGCTCTGGCCGTCCTCTGGTGGCCTCGGCTTCCCTGAACGAGCCTTCCCTGGCAGTCTAGACACTCACCCTTCCTCCCGCCCAACAGACCATGACCTCCGATGCATCCTTCAAAGACACCAACTCAGAGGTCACCTCTGCAAAGCCTCCCCAGCTGGCCGGCCCACCCTAGGCTGGACCCCCCTACCCCTGCCCACCCTCCTCTACGACACCCCTTCATTGGCTCATTCATTTAGTTTTTTATGCAACAACGATGTGTGTGCCCACCACAGGCAGGACATGGCTCTGGGGTACGGGGGCATCGCCCCACCCAACTGAGACGTCCGTCCAGGTCCCCACAACCTGGAAGAGCTGGAGTATAAATGAGCCCCAGCTGAAGCTCTGGGGTGCGGAGGGCTCTGGGCCGTCCCTCCTGCTAGGCTAGGGAGGAGCCCGGGCGTGGCCGTGGGGGGCAGCAGCCCACCGGTAGAGAGCGCCTCCCAGGCCCAGGCTGCACCCACAACACCCCCTCCCCTACTCAGTGCCGCCACCGAGCACGTCCCAGCCGGAGAATGTGGGGTCTGGAAGCTGTTTGGGAAATGCTTTCCTGATGTGGAAACGCAGCCGGCGTCTGTGCCTGGGAATGTGTGTGTGTCAGCAGAAGGCTCTCCCAGCCCCCAGCGGCTGGCTCCAGCTTCTCCCCTCTCCAAGCTGGGCGGCCACCAGGCTCCTGCCAGGACCCAGGCCAGATCGAGGGCCAGTGCCACCCCCAAATGTCACTGCTCCCCCTTGGGGCTGGGCCCTGACTCCGGAACTTCAGGCAAAACCAGAGCCTGGAAGTGGACGAGGTCCAGCCAACACCCCCAACTGCTGTGTGTGTCTGTCCCTCAGTGCTCACCTCCGACACCCGCTCCACAAGGCCCCCCTCCAGCCTTGCGGCTCAGGCGCCTGGACACGTGCCTCTACCTCCCTGAGAGGGAGATGATGCCGGGCTGTCCACGCTGCCCTGGCCTCTGAATGCAGAGCTAGTGTTGGGCGAAGCTGGGCTGGGTGTGGGAGCCAGAGAGGCTGTGGGCATAGTGGGGGCTGCCTTCACCCAGGTTCCTAGGGGCTCAGGCATGGGGTGAGGGGGCTGCCAGTGGGGCCCAAGGGGGCCAAGGCCCCAGGCAGCCCAGTGCCCAGCCCAGTCTACCTCCTCAGCGGGCAATCTCCCACCTAGCCAGGCCCCTGGGGATGGCATCACAGACCCAGCACCTGGCATGAAACAGGGGGAAGGAGCTAAGCCCTTGGCTGGTGGCGGGGGGTTGAGGGTATGAGAGAAAGGAGTGACACTCAGAGAAGCTACCGGGAGCCACGGCCCATAGTCCTGACCGAGGTGGCCATGTTGCAGGGAGAAGGTTACAGGCCCAGCAGGCACCCAGGTGGAGCGGCGATCACCACCGCCCACAACTACCTGTGTGTGCTCTGTGTGCCAGGCCAGGGGTGCTCCTAGGTGGGCAGATGGACCCTGAACGAGTGGCCGGGGGGCACCGGGCCCTGGGCTCTGCCCTCACGGACACCTGCAGCTCACTCTTCCCCGCTCCCACGGAAGGCGGGAGAAGGCGGGTGTGGCCACATGAGCAGAGGGCACAGGCATCACTTCCGGCCATGACATTTAAAAGCAAGTGTGAGATTCTTGGTCCTCTCATCCCACCCCTGCCCTGGGCACACGCATTGGTAAGGGGACCTGGCCTGGGGTCTGGATGGGATGATGGGGTGGGCCATGGACACTGGAAGGTAAGGGCGTGTCCCCCGCAAAAGTGCTGGTCCATGCACAGGTGGAGACCATCCCAGCTAATGCAGGGAGAGGGTGGAGATGGGTGGCCTGGGAGGGGCTGGGACCAGGCTTGGAGTGGGGGAAAGGAGCCACCCAGAGCAGCAAGGGGCACAGGGCTGCAAGGACAGGGCAGTGGTCAGTGTGCACCTGCTGGCCCCCACTGCAGACAGCATGGCCCAGAAGGTACTAGAAGGAGGCCACTCTCAAGCTTCTCTTTAATCTGCCTTCGTGGGCTCAAGGCTCCTAAGCCCCAAAGCCATCCCATGCCACCCCGCCCCTGCAAGTGGCACGTGGATCTGCCTGGCGGTTTCCAACCGTTGACCTCCAGAGCCCAGCCCAGAGCAGGAGGTCCATTTGTGGTCTGGGGTCTCACACAGTCCAAGCTGCCTCCCTGCGGAGACAGAGCAGACCGGCCTCCCCAGCGTTCCTCGCACCCCTTCTCCCACTGTCGCCACCACAGAGCTTCTATCAGGAGCAGGGGGGGCCCCCACCCGGCCTCAGAGCACACAGGGCCTGGCAGGGGCCTCCCCGAACCATTCCAATGTCAGCCTCATGGTAAACCCATTACCCTGTCTCCACTCCTCGCCCAAGCCAAAGGAAGGAAAATTGAAACCACCGCTGTTTCCGCGAGCCCAGCTGCCATTCCTGACTGCAGCTGTCCCTGGCTGGGGCCAGGCAGAAACAGGGGGGAGCCCCCTTCTCTTGTACACACCAGCCCCCAGGTGAGCCCACGATGGAGTGGTCCTGTCTCCTGGCTCTGAGGGAGGCATCAGACTCCCAGAGCAGCCCCCGAGAGCCTGAGGCCTGGTCTGTCCCCGTGAGGCTCTGCTGCCGGCCAGCAGAGCATGTGCCTGTGTGTGTGTGTGTGTGTGTGTGTGTGTGTGTGTGTGTGTGTGTGTGTCCGCGCTGTCTGTGGGTTCTCTGTTACCAGGCTCTTTCCCACCCAGCTGTGCGAGGCCCGGGGGCACCTGAGCCCTCGAGGGCTGACACAGCACCCGCTGGGGATGTAGCCCCCAGGCAAGGCCAGCCCCACGCCCCGGGGCCCAGACTCTTGCTGGGACATCAGAGCTGCCAGGGGAGCGGAGAATGCAGACAGGCAAGAGGATGCCCCAGGTCTCACACTGTACTCAGAGGAGTGATCCGGGAGGCTTCCTGGAGGAGGTGGCACTCAGCTGGCCTTTGGACATGACATTTTCAGGGACATGAACAGGCCTCAGTGGGGTCAAGAGCCCAGTAGGATCCCAGGGGGTGAGGGGTAGAGGATCAGGGAAAGGCCTGGGCCGAATCCAGTGATCAAGGGTGCCCTGGGGAAGAGATGGGGCGTGGTGGGGAGGCGGCCCAGGGCACCGGGTCTAAGGTGCAGTGTCACTACAGACCCAAGGCCCAGAGATGAGCAGGGGCCAGGGACACAGGCAGCAGCGGCCTCCCATCAGGAGGCTGGCCCCCGGACAGAAAGGCCAGGCAGGGCCAGCAGAGATGCATGGGGGAGGGGCCGGGGTGGCTGTGGGAGATAAAAGTAGAGGGAACACGACGGGAGAGGGGGAGGCTCAGGGGGCTCAGCGGGTCTCTCCTTCCTAGGAACACGGCCCCACCTGCACACGCCTGGCTCAGCACCTCGGCCCTGCCAGGAGGGAATGGTGGGTTCCACTCTTAGGAGGCACAGGGGGAACGTGACTTGGCCCGGGTCATGCAGGAGGCACCTGCCCTCCCGAGGCATCCGCAGTTCTGAGAGTTCACAGCCCCTGACTCTGGGGCACAATCGCCCCAACCTCCTCATGAGTAGCCCCTGGGAAACCAAGCTGGGGCCACTGGGGCTTCCGGGAGGACTGGAGAAAAGTGGCTACCTGGGCGCCTCGGTTTCCCCAGCCCAGGAGGCCCTTGGCTTGGTGACAGAAGCTTCTAGGACAAGGGCAAGGCCTTGCCTGAAGCATCCACTGGTCACCTTCCCAGGCCCAGGCTTATCTTCCCAACAGATGGCTCCCGGGCCAGGCCAGGGTCCCAGGGTGCGCTGAGCTTTGCCATGTGAAGGTGTCCACTGAGCCTCCCCAAGCTCCAAGTCTGAGGACTGCAGCCTGCGAGAGTTACGCAGGCCCCCGGGGTCGCACCTGTCCAGCATCGAGGCTGGGATCCAAACCCAGGCCTTCTGGGCTGCTGCCTAAACCCACCAGCCCTTCAGCCCTCCGTGTTTATCTGGAGCACGGCCACAGATGCCTGCAGGCTGCCCAGCTCGGGGTGTCCTCCAGGAAACTGCCCCAGCGTCCTGGTTCTAGGCAGTCAGAGAAAGCCTCTTGTCTTTCTGTTGCTGGGCTGGCTCTCACCGCTGACGCTGAAGGCTATTATTTTCCCGGCTTGGCCTTAACTGAGAACGTGCCTGCCAGGGTGTGCTCATTAGAGTCGGAAATGAAAGCTTTTCACTCGCAGCGCCTCGGACGGAGCAGGCCTCTGACCACAGACGCCCTGTCGGAAATGCTGCCATCCTGCCTGGAAGGAACACACCTTGCAGCCGGGTTTCCCGCTGCACTGGGAAGACAGCCAGCTGAAGAATGTTGGCCTGGGGAGGCCCAGATTCAGCCACCCACAGGAACGTGGCCCCAGCTTTGCAACCGGAAGGCCCAGGTTCAGGCCTGGGCTCCAGGGCCCATGGGCGAGGGATGCTGAGGCCTCACCACACCTCCATCTCTTTCCCTGCGAGGGCAGCCTTCCCCACAGCTGTGTTTGCTTGTTCACTCCTGCTGCTCCTACAGGACGCCTTAGTCTGGGTAATTTACAAACCCCTGGATGTATGTCTTACAGCTCCAGAGGCTGGGAAGTCCAAGATCCAGGCACGGCAGACCAGCCCTCTGGATCCTCCAGGGCAGCTTCTCAGGGCAGCTTCACAGGGCAGAAAGGGAACCACTCCCTCCGATCTTTTCTGGGGCAGTCATCCCATTCCCCACGGCAGAGCCTTCCTGGCCTCCTCACTGCCTACGAGGCCCCACCTCTTCACACCATCACACTGGGGAGTCCACTCGAACGCAGGAATTTTGCAGGGACACCGACATTCAGGTCGCGGCACCAGATGTTTGTGGAATACCCACTAAGGGCTGGGCGCTTCTGGCATGGGGACTGGGAATGAGTAAGAAGCCTCTTCCACATCCAGAGAAGCCACCAGCTAGAAAGGGGAGATGGCATCCTGGGGCCAAACAGTCAGCAGCCCAGGTGTCAGGGCGGGGTGGGGCCAGGCGCAGGCTGGGGCCCTGGACTTCAAAGGGCTCTGGGCACCTGTCCCCTCTGCCACCCTCCAGCTCTGACTCCGCAAATGCTCCTGCGCCCTCTGGGCCTCTTGCTCCATTCTCTAAATCCCCCATGGCACTGCCCCGTGGGGGGCCTCAGCACTGAGCGTCACAGAGCGGGGCTGCCGCCCAGGCTTGGCATGGAGTGTGGGTCGCACAGGGCTTGCGGAGGCTTTCGGCCACCATGACCACTCTTCCGGTTCAGCAAGAGCACATCGTCCCAGGAAGCAACAAAGTCCTGGAAGCATTAAAGCCTCCCCAGGAGACTCCCGTGGAAATGCCGTTCTCCTGGGTGGAGGCCCTGCCATGGGTGGGACAAAGTGTTGCTCCCACAGGAAGGTCAGAGAAAAAGCTCCAGCACCAAGGGGCTCATGGAGTGCAGGCGGACATGCGGGCACCTGGCCTGGGTGCCAGGACCAGGGTCCAAATCAGGCCCCCTTGCCCACTCGTTTCTCCCGTGCCTGGGCTCCGCGGGAGAGGCACAGCTGGCCCGAGGGGGGCAGCCGGTCAGCGCCCAGGCTTCCTAGCCCGCAGCCCTCGGTCACTTCCCACATGCCTTCCTCTCCCTGGGGACAGTGGGAACCTGGCAGTGCCCTCAGGCAGCAGGCAAGGGTGTGAAAGGCCGAGCCCACAGTGGCAGCAGAGAGTGGGCGGGGATGGGTGGGAAGGGCAGAGCGACAGACTCCCGGGCACAGGGGCTCCCTGGGGGCACCGTGGGGGGAGTCTCTGGTGGTCCCTGCTACCCTGAGCTCACCCCCTTACAGCAGGTCCCTTTGCTCTTGAGAAGGGTGGCATCCCACAGAGCCCACCCGCGTCCCACAGACACTCCGATGAAAACCCAGCTCCACCCTGGAAGCCCCCGCGGCCAAGTAGCAGCTGAGAGCCGGGTCCGGCACCGAGAAGGAAGAGCTGCCACTTCCACCAGAGAAGGCGCCTGCTTCCGCCCAGACCCGGCCTGGCCGCCTCCCCCAACCCCCGGCTGCCCCGTTTCCCGTGATCCGTCCTTATCTCCTGGAAGGAGGGGTCAGCCGGGGTGGGAGCAGCACAGTGTCGGGGCTGAATCCAGCCCCAGTGTGGGAAGGCAGCCCTCGGGCCTGGATGGGTGGGGTCCACCCGGCCCTGGAGGCCAAAGGCAGCACTGCTTCCTCCTTCTGAACAGCACAGAACACCTCTCCCCATTACATTGTCACTGTGGTCTTCCAGCCAAACCATGGGCTTAATGCGAGGGTTGGACCCATTTTATAGGTGGGAATGTTCACAGGACTGAACTCCAACCCGGCTGGCAGTGGAGGGAGGAAGCTGGGCTTGCATGGACACCTGCCAGGGGTCCCCAGGCCTGGATGTAGGGTCCTGGCCGCCCCCCACTCAGCCTGATGTGGGATCCTGGTCCCCGAGGACCATGGTCAAGAGGAGGCAGAGGAAGGCAGGTGGAGAGAGTGGGGAGCCCAGGCCGAGGGGAAGATGGGCCACACGAGTGGGGCAGCTCTCCTCTCTGTCCGGGGTTTCTCTGCAGCCCGGGCCGTGGGCCCCGAGCATTTTCCCCAAAACCTCTAGATTGCTGTAAGGGCTGAGAGCAGGACTTGCCGCATCTTACAGAGAGAGACTGGAGTTCAGAGTGGCAGAGCTACTCGCCCAAGACCACGCAATAAGGAGCTAAGGGAAGTTCAAACCTGGCCCTCGCTGACACCAACGGCTGGTTCTGTGGTGGCATCCTCAAAGTGGCTTCCCTGGAAGGCCTGGGCCATCCTGGAGGTGAGCTCGGGGCCAGGCAGCCCGGGCAGGAGCTCTACAGAGGAGCCTGAATTCCTCCCCAGGGCCTGCCAGCTCTGGCACGCACAGGCCTGAGCCCACCTGCCCAGGGGCCTGGGAGGAGGGTGGGCACATGTCAGAGGCCGTGCCCTGCCCAGGAAATGGCAGAAGCAGTGGCAGGCACCCAGCCTCCCCTGGGAGATGAGCCCACTCCGGACTGCCCAGCCCAGCAGAGCAGAGCTCAGCTCCTGCCCCAGGCCAGTCTCCCAGAACATGACAAACACACTGGCCTGGAGACGCTCCCAGGGCCGGGGCACCCTGAGGCCAGTCTCCTGTGCCAGCACTCACTCAGAGCTTGATGGGGCCGAGTCATCACTGCAAGCAGGTTCCGGGCCCACCCCATCAACTTGGCACACACTGCCCTGCCAGGGGTCCCCAGGCCCTGCGGGTGACCAAGCAACGCGGCCCTTCCCTGCTCTGAGCAGCCCGAACCCTGCGTTCGTGCTCACTCTCGGCTGCCGGCACCCCCTGAGCCATGCGCTCACTCACTCGCTCGGCAAGACTACATTTTTGGGGGAGGCTGGGCTGGCAGAGGGACAGAGAAAACACAGCAGGCTCCTGGCCTTTGGCAGGGCCCCCTCGGCCACACGGTGACTCGGAGCCCTAGCCATCCCAAACACGCAGAGCTGGGGGTGAGAACCCCCGGGCGGGAGGCGGGGCGAGGCCAGGGACGGGGCAGGAGAGGAAGCGTCGGCACTGCTGGGAGGCAGAGTCTGTGGCCCGGTCCCTGGCCGAGATGCCGTCTAGCCTCCTGGCTGGCCCCGGGTCATCCGGTCCACGCCTCTGCCTCTGGCCAGCTCTGCCAGATGGCAAAGACCTTTTCTGTCCATAGGGACCCCTGGCAGAGAGATTCCAACACCTCCTGAAGGGATACGGGTCGAGGCCCGGGCCTAATGTGTTTGCCGTCACCATGCTGGGCTCTGCAGTGTCTGTCATGGAGTTGACATTCCAGAGGCACACCACCTGCCGTGCCTGGACGCCCAGCCCGCGTCAGCCCTGGAGGGGCATAAACACGGCCGGCAGCCCCAGAGCACGAATCAGGAGACCCCCGGCTCTGGCCATGGGCAGTGGGAAGCCCATTCACCACCCGGAGCCGCTCTATCGCGGGAGAGCCTCTGCGCGCCGCACCACTCGCTGACACAGGAGGCGGGAGTGTGGTCAGTCTGTCTTCCGGGGCCTGACACACACCTGCCAGGGACCCCATTACAGGGCCCACCACCACCCCAGGCTGAGAGAGACACGGAAGGTCCAAGCATCAGGCTAACCCTCTCCCCCCAGCGTCGCAGCGGCATCAGGCTAACCCTCTCCCCCCAGCATCGCAGCGGCATCAGGCTAACCCTCTCCCCTCAGCATCACAGCAGCCAGCCTGACCAGGCTCTGGAGCCCACAGACCTGAACAGGGGCTCCTGGGGCTGCAGGGCGGCACCTGTCCCCTCTGCCCCCAGCACCGTCTGCACCCTGTAACAGGTGCTCTCAACCCCGGAGCACAGCCTTTGTGCAGGGGCCCTCGGGGGCCTCTCCGTTGGCTTCCCTGGGCTGGCCTGGGTCAGTGGAGCTCCTCCTAGGAGGGACCCCCACGCAGCATCCTGGGTCACCTCAAGAGCCTGCCCTCATGCAGGGGCTGCTGGAACAGGCCCCGACACCAGCAGACGCTGGCCAGCCTGGGGAGTGCTCCACACACCGCAGCCCTGGAGCATCGGGAACCTGCCAGGCAGCCCCCAGCAGGGTCTTGGGCCTCTCACTCTGCTCTGCCTGGTGTTCCCAGCCACAGGCACTGAGACCACACCATGCCCCACCAAGGCCCGGCACCAGCCCTGGCCTGGTAGACCCAGGGCTTCCCACACACCATCGAGTGGGGTTTCAGACCCCACGCAGCAACTGGGGAGACAAGCGGGCTTGGGCCGGGGAACAGCGGGGCAGAGGAGCCCATCTGGAGCTGGGGGCAGGGTGGCCGAGGGGGCAGGTGGCACTCAGGGCTGGGTCCAGGCTGACCTCGGGAGGATGACTCGGGTCACCGGACAGTGACCCGCCCTTTGCTCCCTACCCCAGCTGGGTGAGCACCCCCACTTTAAAGGGGGGCATATACAAGGATCTTGGGGGAGAAGGAAGCTGCCTGTGTCCCATGGCTTGGCGGCGGGGCCAGCCCTCTCCCTAGGACACACAGGCCCCCACCCCATCAGTTACAACAGGGGAGTTTCAGGGGCCGGGGAAGGTGCCTGTGTCCGCTGCGGGTCTTCGTGCTGCCTCCGCAGGGACTCCTAGCCCCAGGGACACCAGCCCGAGAGGGGTGCACTTCTTCCCCAGGGTTGAGGTGAAATCGGTTCAGCACAGGCCCCCCAGAATGCCAGAGACCAGGTAGGGGGGTCTGGTCTTCACCCTGACACCTCAGTCCCTGCCAGTGAGCAGCCCTGGGTGGGGGCTGAGTGGACCCTTCTGAGGGACTGCACAGGCAGCCGCAGGGGGGAAAATGTAAGCTGTCCCGCGCCTCCTGCGTCCCACCTGGGACAGGCTCCTCGGTGGGTCGGAACCTCCAGCTCCAACGTGTGGAGGTGGCCAAGTCCTGGGGCCATCCCATACCTGGAGTGGACAAGGGTGGGGGCCCTGCAGGAGAGAAGGCATAGCAGCTGGGCCCCTCCTCATCACGGGTCTGGGAGGGGGTTCTCCTCCCCTCATCCTGCCCAACTCCACCTGCACCTGGCTCATCCTGGAGCCTCTGGGGCTTTCCGCCACCCCAGTGGAGCCCCTTTCACAGAAACCAAGGCAAGAGCCAGAATGGAGCGGGGGTCCGGGAGCTGGCGGGGACTGTGCCACAGGTGGAGCCATCCTCCCTCCTCACTGAGCCGGGGCTCCCAAGCCTCCCAGGCTCCGCGGGTCACAGAAGCTTCTCCCCTCCCCCAGCCTCCCGCTGGCCACAAGCACAGGCTGGAGAGGAGCACACAGAATCTGTTTCTAGAACATCCCAGACAGAGCAGATGCCCCTCCCACCTCCCCTGACCCCAAGTCCAGCAGGCTGGCCCCTGCCCCCCTCCAAACGGCTCGCAGCTGGACAGCTGGAGACAGCGTTGCGTTTGGCAAGGGAAGTTCTGGGAGATGATGACAGTAAGTGTCTGACCGGGACAGCAGAGCAGAGGCCTGAGGACTCTCCCAGGGGCCAGGCTGCCCAGATCCACCCCAGGGTCAGATGCCAGGGCAGAGGCTGGAGCAGGCAAAGGAGTGTGAGTGGGAGATGGGGACAGCTTGGGGCCCCCACTGCCACCCTCCTCGGCCTCCTCCCCCACCTCAATCCTAATCTGTTCTCATCTCTCCCAGTGGGTTTTCCTTCTGTCTGTCCTTGACTTTGCTGCCAGCCTGCCAGCCATGGTGGGGCTGAGCTACAGGGTCTGCTTAGAGCTCGCAAACGCTTCTAGCCCCAGGTCTTGCCTGAGCCATCCCTGCCCGCCCCTCCTTCCTCCTGCATGGCCCCCAAGGTGCCTCCCACCAACACCAGGTCCTCTGAGTCCCCACAGAGGCAATGTCAGGAGTGGGGAGCGAGTTGGGTGAGGAGTACCCCGAGTGGAGCCCTTGGAGCAGCCTGTGGGCCAGGAAGGAGGGTGCCAGGGAGGGCACCGAGGCGGGGTGGCAGTGGGCTGGGAAGGGGGCTGCCAGGGAGGCCGCTGAGGCGGGGTGGCAGTGGGCTGGGAAGGAGGGTGCCAGGGAGGCCGAGGTGGGGTGGCAATGGGCTGGGAAGGGGGCTGCCAGGGAGGCCGAGGTGGGGTGGCAGTGGGCTGGGAAGGGGGCTGCCAAGGAGGACGCCAAGGCGGGGTGGCAGCGGGCTGGGAAGGAGGGTGCCAGGGAGGCCACCATGGCGGGGTGGCAATGGCCTGGGAAGGGGGCTGCCAGGGAGGCCGAGGTGGGGTGGCAGTGGGCTGGGAAGGGGGCGCCAGGGAGGCCGCCAAGGCAGGGTGGCAGTGGGCTGGGAAGGGGGCTGCCAGGCGGGGTGGCAGTGGGCTGGGAAGGGGGCTGCCAGGCGGGGTGGCAGTGGGCTGGGAAGGGAGGCCGAGGCAGGGTGGCAGTGGGCTGGGCCATGCCCTACCTTGGCAAGTCTCGCCATCACCCTGCAGCTGGTGGCTGGGGGGGGGCCAGCGGCAGTAGAAGCCCCCCACGGTGTCCCGGCACCGACCCGCACAGCCCCCGTTGGCGTTGGCACACTCACCCACATCTGCGAGGGGAGAAGCAGGTGAGGTGCCAGCCACGCGGCCACCTCCTCCCTCCAGCCTCGGCCCACCCGAGGCCTCAGAGGGATGAGGCTCAGGGCTCCCCACAGCACAGGGGACATTGTCCACCAGAACAGGCCCCGCAGGAGGGAGGCTGGGTGTGGAAACCCAGCAGCAGGGGAGCCGCACTGCAGAACGGGTCCCTCCCTCGCTCCCAGGGAAGGTGGCCTCTCCCCGGGCCTTCAGTGTGGTGTGGCTCTCAGGAGCAACATTTGGGTATAGCTTGGCAGAGGAGGTGGCCCTGCTCCCGTAAAGCAGCCACACCCTTTTTGTGAGTCCCCAGAGATCGGCTGCCGTGTGTGTTCCGGTCAAGCGGTCTGCCACAGCTGTGGGTTTTCAGGAAAAACCCGGCTTCCCTTGGCTCTGAGGCCAGGAGGAGTTTCACTGTCACCTGCACAGCCACTCCCCCTCCCGCCTTCGGACAGCCCCAGGCCCCATCCTCCCTTCCTGGCGCGTCTCTGGGGATCACGTGGCATCTGAGTTGGGCCTGGAGAGCAGGTTAGGAGCCCTGAACACCACATCAAGTTGCTGAGCCCAGCCTGCCAGGACCCAGAGCCCATGCCCTAGCCCGCCCTCCGTCTTTGCGGGTGCGGGAATGTGGCAGTTCTCCCGGGGTGCGCCTCTGCCTGGTTCAGGCAGCAGGACTTCCCCCGGGACTTGGTCCTGGGCAGAGGCAGCGTCACTGCCTCCCCACACAAGTGACTGGGCTGGTAGGAGCATCGAGGGAAGAAGGGAATCAAGTGACCTGCCTTGAGAAGGTGTGGGACCCAACTTGAGGTGACGCAGGGACCAGGCGCCTCTGCCCACCCACCCCTGCTGAACTGCACCATCCAAACTTCCAGGAATGTTCAGCCCCCTGTGCCCCCGCCTCTAGAGGCCAAAGACCAGGCCCTCCCCAGCTGCATGGGGATCGGAACCTGGAGGCAGGCTCAGAGCCAGTGGAGCCCCCAGCATGCTGAGGACGCAGATGGCCAGACGCCAGCCCAGCCCACAGGGTGCTGTTCCCAGAAGATGAGGCCGACCTTTCCCACCAGCACCCCAGACAGACGGAACACAGCGCGGGCCTTTCCGGACCTGAGCTGGCCCAAAGCTCCCCAGTGCCGGGGGCATTTCTCTCTGCACCTCCTCAGGACGGGCCCTGGAAGAGCCCCGGGCGGGGCCAAAGGCCTCGGGGCGGCCACAGTCCCATGAGAACGGGCCAAGCGGAATGCAGGCCAGCCGTCTCCGGACTGTTGGAATGCAGCTGTCAGCACAGCCCTGCGGAGGTCCATGGTGGGAATTTTTTGGGAATTCCTAGAGAGTTACACAGGGCGAGACGGAGGCTGGCCAAGGCCAGGGGTCAGAGCCAAGGTGCCCAGGGTCCCCTGTCTGCCTGGCCCCGACAGACTGCCCTGGCAGGCAAGCAGCAGCCCCTCCTCTGGTGTGGGGCAGGCACCCAAGCTCTGGGACCTGTCCTGACACTGGGGCCTTGAGGCCAGGTGGCTGGGAGGGCGGTGTCCAGGCAGGTGGGGCTGGACGCCAGATGAGCTTCCACACAGCTGCTGGCACAGCTGGGTCCCCAGCTTCCCAGGCCTGGAACACAGCTGGCCATGTGAGCACAGGTCCCCAGCACCGGGGCAGCCTCACAGCCACCCACCCCGACCCTGCTAGGCTCCACGGGGAAAGGAGCCCACTGCAGCTGGGGGCCTTCAGGGACCCCCCCACACCCACAGGAAAAGCCCCTTAGCCTGGCCTGGCACAGGGGCTGCAGGGTCTGGCACTCAGGACAGCCACCGCTGCCTGGTCACCCTCACTGAGGCTGCAATCGCCCCTTGTTCCCCCAAAGCCCCCAACCCCAGCATCTCCATGCTGGCTGGGACCCCGCCTTGGGTACCTGCGGGCGCCGCCTCCACCCCAGGCCGGGCTGAGCTCTAACATCCCCGTGGCTCCGCGCTGGGTGATCTGTCCCCAGCCAGACCATGCAAGCTCTGGTGGGGACTGGCCCCCCTAGTCTCGGGGCCCCCGTGCTCAGCCCAGAACAAGCCCACAAGGGCCGCAGGAGACCCTTGGTGAATGCTCAAGAAGCTGCAGGTGGACCGGCCACCAGGAGAAAAGCCAGAGCCCGACAAGGCAGCTGGGGCTCCCCCAACCCCTCAGGCTTGGGCTGGAACTCTGGGCACCACGCAGACTGATGCCCCATGGCCACAGGCAGACCAGGGCCCAGGACGGAGAAGTTCAGCTCCAGAAGCAGGTGACGGCTCCTCCCCAAAGCCAGCAGAAGCCTCTCTTTCCTCCAAAACCCAGGACCGGGGTGTTCAGGGCTCCAGTCTAGGCGAGAAGATGGGGGGCTGCCTGGGGGCTTCTGGGGGCACATGGTCATGCTCGGGTCTGGGCTGGCTGGCGGCAGGCACCCCGTTGGTTGACTGCATGCAGAAGGGTCCATCAATTCACCGAAGACACTGGCATGGGATATCCAGGGCGACTTGGCCCCGCTGCTCCCCACAGCTCACCCCGCTCTCTGGCCCCACAAGGGCTCCAGCTCGGGCTATGGGCGTCACTTATGGCCTGGAATTTACCTAGGCAACACTGCAGCCCAGGGAACCACCCGGAGGCTGACCAGCCTTCCCGTACAAGGTGAGTCTTGAGCAGGGGCCTCTCAAAGCCCAGCTACGTGGGCACCAGACAGGCCCCTTGCTCCAGCTTCTCCCAGGGATGATCCAAGCACAGGCACGGGTGGGCGGTCGAAGGTCAGAACCAGGCTAGGCTCTGAGTCTTCACCTGGAGACTCACAAAGGCTGCCCTCACCACTTCTCGCCAGCCCCAACCCAGGGGTCCCCGCTCTCCCCAGAGCTGAAGTGATCGTGGATGCCACCTGGTGAGTCCAGCCTGAAGGGTGGTGAGGGGAAGGCTCCATGCCCCCAGCCCTCCCCATCCCGGGAATTTTCTATCAGCAGAAAGTAACGGCTCCCGACACAAGACATACCCAGAGGCGCCACAGACCCAGCAGTCCCACCCCTAAGCACCTGCCCAAGATAAATAGAAACAGGGACTCAAACCACGGTGTGTGCACACGCTCACAGCAGACTTGTCCACAGCCATCAGAAAGGGGAGGCCACCCGGGTGCCCACCAGCGGGTGATGAAGACAGACATGGAGGACGACAGCGAGGAGGAACCTCAAACCTCGTGCTGTGTGAAAGGAGCCCATCTCGAGAGGTCACACAGTGTAGGATAGGGCGTACCAGCTGGCGGGTCTGGGGTCTCCTGGGAGGGTGAGGAAAATGTCTCGGAATGAGATAAAGGTGATGGCTGCATAGCACGATGAATGCACAAAGGGTCGCTATGTTTCAAAGGGGTTATTTTATGCAATGTGAATTTCACCTTCATTTAAGAAAAAAGAGAAAAACGTCATCCCAAGACTGGATTCTGCACCTCACTTCTCCAGCAGTTTTGATACAGAAAGAAGCGGTCGTGCCCAGGCCTCCGGGGTGCTCCGTGCCGGATCTGGCCCCATGCCAGGGGCCTAACTCAGCAGCAGTGACTGCAATGTCACAAGTGCCCAGCAGCCACCCAACCGGGGCAGGGCTCCGAAGACCCAGCCCTTGCAGCCGATCCAGCAAGCACAGGCTGCAGAGTGAGAACCCGAGGGGAGCAAGAGGGGGCCCACACCCCCACCGCCCGTGCACTCACCCTGGGGGAGCCAGTGTCCCCCGTGTGCTAGTCCATTGGCAGGAGACCCTAACGGGTGTGACAGTGGGGCTCTCAGATCAGCCGCCAGGTGTGGACAGGGCCAGGATCCGAGGCTCCAGCCGGCCAGGGCTGGGCAGCTGCCTGTGTGCCTTGGGGCCTCGGAGTGTGAGGCAGGTGAGGAAGAAGATGTGGATCCCAGCTCTGAGAGCCGGGCCCGCGTGGCCATGTGGCCAGGCAGCTCCCCGCTAGCGATGCCAGCCTCCTGGCCTATACCAGGCCAGATGCCCCACAGATGTGAGGCTGCCAGACCCAGCCCCCGTGGTGGTGAGACACCAGAGGCTCCGCTTGGGGGTGGCCCCGCCCCATGCAGGTGACAAAGTGTTTCCTAGGATCACACCTGGGGATGGAGCAGCTGGTGTCAGCCTGCTCCTGCGTGCAGACCCCAGGGGTCTCAGCCAGCATGAATCACTCTGGGAGAGGCTGCTGGGGACGACAGGACCTAAGGGGCCAAAGGGGTGGGATGTGGGGAGCCTCCACCAGGGGAAACTCTCGCCAAATTCCAAGTCAACGGGCAGCATCAGGCCCTGAGCCAATCCAGCTCCACACATCACTCTGGGCAGTGCCTCCCCTGGGACCAGGCACTGGCCATGTGGCCAATACAACCCCATAGCAGGCTGGCTGGAAACCCTCCCTGGCCAGACACAAGGTCAACACAGACCCAACACATGCTCCCAGGATGCGGTCCAGCTCCCACCCTCTCAGTGGTCACAGGCTGGCTCTGACTTATATTGCCACAGCCACAGGGGACAGGAGACAGCACCCCGCCAACCCTCCCCACACACCCCTCTGCCCAGACACACCACACTGCAGGGGAGCCCGAGATGGGGGAGCTGGATGGGGGGAGCTGGATGGGGGCATCCAGAAACCAGCAGGGCTGCGACTTCCATCAGGAAAACCAGCCACTCAGGTGATCACCCTGCCCGAGGCCACCCTCTGGGAGCCTCCGGCACTTGTAAAACCCCTGTCACCTCCCAATTCAAGCTTCCACGCAGAAGCCTGAGAGCTGAGCTCCCTCTGGTGCCTCTGTTCGACCAAGCCTTGCTGGGTGCCCAGGTGGGCCGTTCAGACATCAGCAATCCCAGCCCCTTGAACCACACTTGTCCCCAAGTCAACGTTACCATCAGCCCAGGCACGGGAGGGGACCCCTGCTCTGGACACGCCAAACTGTGGCTCAACTCTGGGTGCATTTTCTCACCCAACCCTCAGGACCCCAGCGGTGGCTCCCCTCAGGATTGCCACTCCACTGACGAGCACATAGCCTCCCTATGCCCGAGCCCCAGGCACAGAATGCAAACCTGGCCACAGAGGAGCCTTAGCACTCAACCCCGCCCACCAGGGCCAGCCTCCCAGGCAGGGCCTTCTCCCTGCTCCAGGCTGTGGGGACATGGCGAGGGCAGGTGTCCAGGCCCCCACAGGAACACAAGCTGCCTGGGGCTGCGCCTGATGCCAGGAGGGCAACAGGACTGGGGTCTAGGACAGAGCCAAGAAAGCGCTGAGGCATCCTGGTAAGACCACGCGTGGCGGCTCACGCCCGTAATCCCAGCACTCTGGGAGGCCCAGGCCGGAGGATCTATTGAGGCCAGGACTTTGAGACCAGCCTGGGCAACATATGAGATCCCGTCTCTACAAAAAATAACAAATTAGCTAGGTGTGGTGGCGCACGCCTGTCATCCCAGCTACTCGGAGGCTAAGGCAGGAGGATCGACGGCCTGAGCCCGGGAGTTCAAGGCTGCAGTACGGTATGGTCACACCACGGCACTCCAGCCTGGGTAGCAAAGCAAGATTCTGTCTCTAAAAAAAGAAAAGAAACCCTGGGAGGCTCCCTTGGAAATGAGGAGGCCACAGCCTGCCAGGGTGGCTTGAGGGAAAGGGCCGCTGTGCTCACCCACCGGGCCCAGACCCCCCACTTTTCTCTGCAGCCACCTTGCCCTCCAAGCCCAGCTGGGTCTTCCAGTCCCCCACCAGGTAAGCCTGCTGCTTCATCCCGAGGCCCCACCAGTGGACAGATCAGATGCTGCTGCCCAGGTCCCCCTCAGAGTTCAGGCTCAGTCCAAGGCCCAGGGCCCGGCCAGGCCCCAAGGACATCTTGAGAGGTGCCCAGCCCCTAATCCCCTCCAGACAGACCTAGCTGCCACTAGGGCTGGTGGCCAGGGGCCTCAAAGGTAACGCACAGCCCTGTTCTGAGGGTACAGGGAGGCCCCAAGCTCCGCCTAACTACCAGGGCCTTGGAGCCAGGCTGCCCCATCACAAGCCCCGCCCCCCACTGACCCCCCAAATCCTCTTCCTTCCCTCCCTGGCTCCAGCCTGAGGATGGGGATCCACGGCCGATCGGCTTTCCCACCAGGGGCCCAGCCTGCCCAGCTCCCCCCACCCCAGGGTACTCCGGGTACCCTGTGAGCCTGGCGCCTCCAGCAGGACCCCCGCTGCCTACCCCTGGGCGTGCTGGGTCTTTTCCTGAGAGTCTTCAGGAACAGGCGGGACGGGGACACAGGCAAGAGACCCTCCCGCCCCCCACCAGCCCCAGGAGGAAGAGCTGACGAGGAGGGGGAGCCTCACCATGCAGGATAGAGGCTGGAGCCACGGGAGAGAGGCCTCCCCACACCCCAGGCAGGGGAGCTGTCCTCAGAGATGGTGATCCCTGAGCCAAGTCCGCCCACTGGGCCTCAGGCTATGGCAGGAGCAGGATTTACGAGGCCCTGCCTGCCCGGGAGGCCACGAATCTTCCCAGCCTGCAGTACTGGTGTCACCCAGGCAGGTCAGGGCTGGTCCCAAAACCTCAGCCAGGAGCACTGACGAAAACCAGCTGGCCCGGAGTCCACCACGAGTGGCTCCAGAGGAGAGGCAGGGCAGCGGCAGGCATCGGGGGCTTCACAGGGGGCCCTGCACTGGAAAGTCACCCCTTCAGGAGGGGTGGGCAGCCTCTCACCCCGCTGTGCCTCAGAGGTCCAACTTCTGGGAACAGGTGGGCCCGGGAGCACCCCGTTGGCCAGCACACCAGAAAGTGCCGACGTGGGTGGGTGGCACGGCTGGGGCCTGCCTGGTCTTCCTCCCCAGGAATGTTCTGCCTGGAACCCAGCTGCTCCCCTCCGCCAACACCTCAGGGGCAGGGACAAGCGGGGGGCCCTGTGCGAGCTTGCTCTGTGGGGCCCACATGCCTCCTGGTGTCCTGTGGGGAACAAGCTTGGCGCCTGCTTCCAGAACGCCTGCTTGGGGTGGGGAAGAGCACATGCGCCCCATCCCGCCCCCGGCAGCCACCGTGACCCCCTTGCCATGCACCCTGCTGCATGCCGTGGGCAGGGGCACTAAGACGACACCTCAGGAGGAGACGGTGAGGACTCTGGGTTCCAACACTGGGCTGGGAGCATCAACCAGCGCCCCGACCAGGCGGCTCCGAGAGAGTGTCGCTGGGGGATGGCAGGAACACTGGAAAAGCCAGCGGGGTCTAACAAGGGGTGGGGACCCAGCCGGGCCAGGCGGGAGGGGGACGGCACTCCAGGTGTCCCGGTGAGAGGGGAGGGCGGCTTCAGCCTGGGGGAAGAGGGGCAGGTAATTCACCTGGAGTCAGGTAAGGGCCCCAGGGTCCCAGCTGCTACAGGAGGCAGCTACATCCCTTTCCTGGGGCTGATGTACCAGAGTGTCACTAACCAGGTGGCTTAAACAACAGAAGCCTCTCTTAAAGTTTTAGAGGCCGGAAGTCCAAAGTGAGAATGACTGGGCCCCCCAGGCAGGTGCTCCAGAGCCTCTCCCACAACTGGATCCTCTCACTCTAGCCTCTGTCTCTGAGGTCCCCCTGCCCCTCCTCTCCTGTGCCAGCCTCTCTCCCTCCATGAGGACATGAGTGACAGCATTCAGGGTCCACCTGGGCAACCCAGGGCCACCTTCCCATCTCAAATTCCTGAAAGTGATCACATCTACAAAGTCGTTGCCATTCAAGGTAAAGGTCACAGTTCCCTGAGATTAGGCTGTGGACATCGCGGGGCCACTATTCTGGAAACCACAGTGTGGAGGCTAGGGCCACTGATTTGGGGGTTGGCCTCTTCCAGCTCCCTCAGGGAAAAGACAGGGCGGCTGGCAGGGGAGTGGGACAAGGGCTGATCCCAGGTCCTGCCCGGCCCTCTCCCGTCCTGGAACCCAGCCACACCCTCTTGTCCAGGGCAATGGGAGAAAGCAGGAAAGACCAAAGCCTGGATCCCACCAGGCCAACACCCCACGCACGGGGCCTGCTGGCCGGAGAGAAGCACAGGTGGTCCCCACCACCCACCCACCCACCCACCCAGGGCTATGGATCAGGGCCGAGAAGGGGCCTCTTCTGCCCAAAAAGACAGCAAGCAGGAGGAGCTGGGCACGAAGAGGGTGTGAGCTGCAGGAGGCCTCTCCCTGCGCCTCCACCCACGCTCAGCTGGAAGCCAGGTGCCCAAAGGCAGGGCAGAGGCCCTGAGGGCCAGGTTCCAGGCTGGCATGGCCTCAGGCCGCTGGGTGTGGCTGACCCCCAAGCCGCTCTGGGCCTCCACCACCCATGTCCAGACGAGACAGGAAAGTACAGGCAGGATGAGAGCCGGGGCAAGGCGACTCCTGTAAGCACTGAGGGCGCCGTGTTTAATGTGGGCGGCTCAGAAATGAAAGCAGGAGACGGCAGAGCTCCTGGGGTCTGGCCTGCGGCCCCCATCCTCCACGACTAGAACCAAGACCCCTGTGGTTCTCATGGCTGCAAAGGGGGCCCCAGGGAGCTGAACCCGTCAGTGAAACAGCAGGAGCCTGCAGGGCCGAGAGGAGCCTTCTCCAGCCCGCCCTGCCCCGCAGGGCTGCCAGGTCAGGTGCCTGCTGCCGCTCATGCCAGAAGCTCCTCCTGGGGTCTCAGGCCAAGACCTGGAAAGCCGGGCCAGCGGCGGCATCCAAAGGCAGGACTTGCCCCTGCCCCCAACCAAGGAAGCGAGGTATCCTGGAAGACTGAGCTGGCATCCTTCTGAGCATCTGTCCAAGAAGAAAGTGCCCCAAATAAGTCTCCAACTCAAGCTGTCCCATCATCTCTGGGGGAGGGACTGTGGCTGCAAGTCCACCTAGGACTGGCTACATCTCAAGTCTGCCCGCCCACCCACAGGACTCACGGGATCCTGGCTGGCCCTGGAACCAGCTGGAGTCCGTGGCCAGGGGAGCCCCTCTCCAAGGTGGGCTGGGTTCAGAGACCTTGGGGGTGGGCTCCACCTGTTACAGCAGGAGTGGCCTTCCGTGGCCCAGGTGCTAAGTGAACCACGTCCCTGTTGCTGGGCCACCCTGTGAGTCCATGCTCTGCTCCCCAAGCCCCGTCAGGATTTCCCAGGATGGGGAGTGGGGCAGGGTCCCCATACATAACCTAGAGCTCTGTGTGAGGCCCGCAGGCCAGGTCAGAATTAAACTCCATGATCTTGGCACAAAGACACCCCCATGAGCTCCCAGAGGTGACAACGTCACACTCATTACATGAAGTTTCATGGTAAGTGGCGCATCCAAAACCGCCGGCTGGCTGAACCAAATTGGCCCGGGACCTCCTCACGGAGCCACAGCCAGCAGGGGTAGGAGAAACCTCGGCAAAGCAAGAGACGCCCTGGGCCTCCTCTCGGCCGCCCACCAGGTTTTCTGCCTGCTTCCCACTCCAGTGAGTCAGGAGCGGGTCACAGAGGCTGCAGCAGCGGAACTACCTGCAAATGAGAGGACAGAGGACCCGGTGACTGCCTGAGGCCGGGACACACTGGAGACGAATAGGACTGACCACCAAGCAGACTGCAGGCAGCTTAAGAGCTCCATTGTGGACAAGGGGTGGCACGTACGTTATCCTTCAAAACAGGACACTGGAGAGCAGAAGAGGCTCCAGTGAAAACACAAGGATGCAGGTACTTCACGTCCCTGTCCCAACCACACGCGCTCACAGACCGGAGAATGTTAAAAACTGCCGAGCCTGCCGGGTGAGGATGGTGAGGCTGCCTCATGGTACAGGGGAGCCAGGGCTGTGGAAAGAACGAAGGCAGCCCCTCAGCCGACCTGACCTAGGAAGCCGATCCCGGCTTATCTGGGGGGCCTGGTGGAATCACATGGAGTTTCATGGGTGCTGGGGATGCGGGGAAGGCAGGAGGGAAGGTCGGAGTCAGAGAGAGAGGCAAGGACATCGCAGCAGCCAGGAGAGACGGGCGCTGCTGCCTTGGAAGGACGAGGAAGGAGCCACGAGCCAAGGAACGTGTGAGCTCCCCAAAAGCTGGAAAAGGCAGGGAGACGGCAAGACTCTCCCTGGGTCCCCAGAAGGGACCAGCCCTGACAAGACCTTGGCGTAAGCCCAGGGAGACCTGAGCTGGGATTCTACCTTCTACGACTAGAGATCACAGATCTGTGCTGTTTGAAGCATTACACTTCTAACCATTTGTCATGGCAGCAAAAGAAAAATTGAACCTTTACCATGAAAAACAAACAGAACGCAGCTTCCCCCGCAGAGCTCTGCAGGCTGCTCCCGGCTGCAGCTGCCCTTGGCTCCCAGGGTGGCGAGGGCATCCTGCCCGGCCAGGCTGGCCTGGAGGGGTCTTGAGGAGGAGCCACTGTCTAAGCAAGCCCGGCGTCCAGGCTACGTGCCCACCTCGCTGGGCGGTTATCTCTGCGCCTGCAGCTCAGAAGCCCTGCCAGCCTGCGGTAGCCAGAACATTCCAACCCCAATTCCCATCAGACCCCGCCCCACCTTGGCACAGGCCACAGGGAGCCGGACACAGGGCCCGCTCATCCCTCGCTCACTCCCACAGCCAGCGCTGCGGAGCACCGAGGGATGCCCAGCCCTGGCAAGGAGAGACGGGGGGCCCAGGAAGCACCAGCAGCAGGGGGAGTTCAGGGGATAAAGTGCAGAAGGGCATATCAGGGAAGGCCTCCCAGAAGAAGCGGCCCGTGGGCAGACGTCGTTTGCACAGGCTCAGGGAAAACCGTCTAATCTATGAGGCGCCGTCCGGGTGGGCACAGCAGTCAAGAGGGCTGGGTGTCTCCACAGGCTCTCAGGAAACAAACATCGAAAGCTCAGCCCTATCGTGAGTGTTGTTGGGTGGTCTGCTGTGTAAAGGAGCCACACAGAGCCCTCTGCATAGGAAGCATGCTTCCGCGGTGCAGCTGGCCTTCCCCTCCCCGCTCCGTGCAGTGGTTCAGCCGGGCCGGTGGTCACGATCTGGATGTGCTAAGTTCAGAGTCTCCTTCAGACCCTCAGCACTCACTGCCTGCAGGACACACATCACCCAGCTCTCCTGGTCCAATGTCACCGAGGTGACAGCTCCAGGAACTGCCTGACCAGCTTTTCTCCTTTCTCCACTCTGAGGACTGTGCAGTGCCACCGTCCCTGCCTCTCTCGTCCCCTCCTCTCTCTCCCACTCCACCAACTGGTCATGCATAAATGTACATGTGACTGTGTCGACCTCCTTTCTAATTTTCTTCTAAAACTGAACATCTAGGTCTGGTGCGGTGGCTCACACCTGTAATCCCATCATTTTAGGAGGCCAAGGCAGGAGGATCACTTGAGGCCAGGAGTTCAATATGTTGGGACAACTAAGGCCCTCCTCAAAGACTCAACTTCCTGGTCATAAGTTGTAAGGTTGTAAATCAACCCTACCCCCTTCCTGCCCCGACTTCCCTTTTTCTTGCTCGCAAGACGTGCGTTTTCCCTATTTGGAAAGAGTTTCGTTCTAAGCCAACTGGGATCAGCTTAGGTTGTGCGGTCCAACTGCAGCCAATAGGGGAAAAACACAGAAACCAGAACTGCGTTAGGGATAAAAATCCCTTCCTTTCTCTGTTCGGTGTGCTCTTGCGATCGTGATGGATGCGAGCAGCACCCTTCTGCCTTGCTGAGAAGTGAAGTTGCCTTGCTGAGAAATTTTTGGTCTAAGTGCTGGTTCTTGTTTGCAGCGCTGAGCACCTGTTTCTAACAAATACTAGCCTGGGCAACACAGCAAGACACCATCTCTACAATTTTTTTTTAAATTGGTTGGGCATAATGGGGTGCCTGTGGTCCCAGCTACTCAGGAGGCTGAGGGGGAGGATCACTTGAGCCCAAGAGTTCAAGGCTGCAGTGAGCCATGATTGTGCCCCTGCACTCCAGCCTGGGTGACAGAGTGAGACCCTGTCTCAAAACAAAACAAACAAAAATAAAAATGAAAAATAAAACCGAATATCTTAGAAGATTCTTCTCCATCACTC
Source organism: Homo sapiens (assembly GCF_000001405.40). Classification (NCBI taxonomy): domain Eukaryota; kingdom Metazoa; phylum Chordata; class Mammalia; order Primates; family Hominidae; genus Homo; species Homo sapiens. Next base: position 3,559,096 of record NC_000001.11, read on the forward strand.
ATCCCCTCCCTCTGCACTGGGAGCTCTGGGAGCTCTGGGAGGCAGCTCACTCTGCAAGGTGGTTGGAGGAGGAACCCTGGGGGCCTCTGCAGTGCACTAAGGCCATTCGGCATGGCAGCCACTTGCCCCGTCCTTAAACCTCAGGCCCTGAGAAGTCATTCCAAAACTACTACCTTCCATGGGGTGGTTCCTCCTAATTTAGGTTACTGGTCTTGCAACAGAAGAGCTTCCTCACACCACTAGGAACCTCGACATTTGACCATTCAAACATCAACTTGCAGCCCAGCAAGGTAGCACACACCTATAATCCCAGTGCTTTGGGAGGCTGAGACAGGAGGATCATGTGAGCCCAGGAGTTTGAGGCTGCAGTGAGCTATGACTGTGCCACCGCACTCCAACCTGGACAAAGAGCTAGACCTTGTCTCTTAAAAAAAAAAAAAAAAAAAAAAAAAGAAGAAGTCTACTTGCAAACACTTGTGATAATCACACTTACAAACCCAGTGGCTTGGGAGTGGGACGGTGGGAGTATGAAGCCCAGACACTGAAAGCGCAGAGCCATCCTCTGCGGAAGACACAGGAAAGGAGGCGTCTGGACATGCACCAAGCAAGAAAGCACCAAAATAAGCACTCGCCCGGCCGGGTACGGTGGCTCAAGCCTGTAATCCCAACACTTCGGGAGGCCGAGGCGGGCAAATCACGAGGTCAGGAGTTCAAGACCAGCCTGGCCAACATGGTGAAACCCCATCTCTACTAAAAATACAAAAAATTAGCTGGGCATGGTGGCAAGTGCCTATAATCCCAGCTACTCGGGGGGCTGAGGCAGGAGAATGGCATGAACCCGGGAGGCGGAGGTTGCAGTGAGCCGAGATCACACCATGGCACTCAGCCTGGGCAACAGTATGAGAGTCCGTCTCAAAATAAAAGAAAAAAAAAAAAAAAAAGGAAACACGATGAGCCCATCTCCTGGGAGTCGGGAGGTGCTCTCAGGGCAGGAGAGGGCCTGGCAAGGTTAGTCCCAGAGGGCAAAGAAGGCTGGGCTTTTTTTTTTTCTTTTAACTAATAGATTTTATTTTTTAAAGCACTTTTAGGCTTATGGAAAAACTGGACAGAAAGTACAGAGTTTCCTTCTCCCAACACACATAATTTCCTGTATCATTCAATCCTCCATTGGAATGACCGCTTGGTACAGCGGACGAGCCCACGTTGACACATTGTTGTTAACTGAGTCCAGGGTTCCTTTCAGGGCCCACTAGGGGCTGTGCATTCCATGGACTTGGACAAGTGTCTCATGGCCTGGATCCACCATTGTAAGATCACGCAGAGGAGTTCCTGCCCTAAAAATCCTCTGTGCTCCGCCTATTCACCCCTTCCTCCCTCCTTCCTCACCCCTGGCACCTCTGCTGTCTCTACGGTGTGGCCTTTCCCAGCAGTGTGTGGCCTTGGACTGCTGTCCTCACTCAGCAACTTGCATTGAGGGGCTGAGAGGCCCCCCTGTTCTCCAAGAGAAACGCTCCATAGGCAGGGAAAGGCTCTGGGGATCCGGGGTCCCTTCCCAGGCTTGGGGGAGGCTGGGTGCCATCAACCCCTCCCCATCTGTGGTTTCCAGGGCAACCCTGGAAACCAAGAGTGGGTCGCCTAGAAACGGTCAGACTGGCCCCACCCACTCTGGATTTCCAGGGTCACCCGGCAGTCCCCTCTGGCAGCCACCGGAGCAGCCAGGAACAGCCTCAGGCGTCGGCCGCGAGGGGGTTGCTGGGCTGGCTGGTCCCCCAGGTCTCTACGCGAAGGGGGTGCTGGGCTCTACCCCCAGGCCTCTACTACCCTCTGGCACACATCCATCTAGTGCCCCAGGGGCTTCGGAGGGCAGGGGTCAGCTCTAGGCCCTTCTGTACTCCCAGAGCCAGGCATACAGGAGTCTCTGGGTCACATGAAGCTGAAGGTTCTCCCCCAAGTCTGCCCTGGTCTCTGGCAGGAGATGCTACAAGGGTAAAGGACCCGCTGGCAGGAGAGACGGCCTTTCCAAGGGGAGGCGGCACGGCAGGTCGGGTGGAGGCTGCACGCAGACCTGAGGCTGATGGAAGGGGGAGATGCAGGCTTTGAGCTGAGCTCCAGGCAATGGGCAAGGGAGGGCCCCTCCACGCTCAGCTGAGGAGCAAGGGCTACGGGGCACTCAGAGCTTCCTGTCCAGCCAGGAGCCCCCTGGGGACCCAAGCTGGAGAGGGACTCAGGCATCTGGAAGGGCCGGCAAGTTGGCAATGGGAGGCCCTGAAGGTTCCCACACAGGACCCCAGGGTGAAGAAGTCACTAACACTGTTTCCAGAAGTGGGGTCACCCCGCTGGACCAGAAGGGCCCCATCACCTTCTGCCATCAGCCCAGGACGCAACGCCCTCACCATCACTGCTGGTGGAGAGACCCTTCCTGCAGACACCAGGCCTGGATGGTCGGGGACCATGCACCCCGCAGGGACAGAGTCACAGACCCGGGGGAGCTTGTGGGAGGCCCAGGAGCCAGGTCTGGATTCAAAGTCAGGTGCGGCTGATGACAAAGACCGTTCCCGCCCGCATCCTGGGTGTGCCCTAGGAAAGCTGCCTCTTCCAGAAACGCAGAAGCAGCAACAGAAAACACGGGGTGGGGTGGCGGGGCACACGGCAGGGAAGCCTGTCCTGCCAGGCCATCTGACTTCGCTCTCCTGACTTCTGACAGTTTCTCTGCTTACTCTGAAGTTACCAGGTTTGTCCTGTTTCTACAAACCAGCCTCCAAAACGTGGGAGGGGGCTTTTCGTTCCCATTTGTTTCCCAGAAAACAAGACAAAATGTCAAAGGAAGGAAGCCAAGAACATTCCTTGGTTCCTCCAAAGATCCAGGTCTTCACTCCCCTCCGTGGCCGAGTTCCTGGGACGTTTCATTCTTTGGCGGTGCTGGTGGGAGGCCAGCGTCATGCTTAGCGGCTGCCCCAAACCAAGGGTAAGGGGTAGGGGTAGGGGGCTGGTGTGGGCGAGCCAGGCAGTCTCTCTGCCCTCTCCTCTGTGTGTCTCTCAGCCTATTTCCGTGTCTCTGTCTCTTTTTGTGTCTCTCTCTGTCCTTTCTCTGTGTCTCTATTTCTCTGCGTGTTTGTCTCTTTTCCTCCATCTCTATCTTTTTCTATCTCTCTATGTCTCTTTGTCTCTGTCTTTTTCTCTGTCTCTCTTCATCCCGGTCCCTCGCTGTGTCTCTGTCTCTTGCTGTCTCTCAATATCTGTTTCTCTGTCTCTTTGTCTGTCTCTCCATCTCTCTTTGTGTCTCCCTCTCTGTCTTTGTCTTTCCCCCAAGGGCACTGATTTCTGACTCATGTGGGGTCCACCCAGATCCCCAAACCCTCGCATAGTCAATACCCACAGGAAGGAACCCAGAGGCTCAGAGGGCCTGGCCCCTGGCATCCCCCTCAGTCTGGACACAGGCTGTGACACTCCCTGCGCCTCTGGCTCAGCCTCTGAGTGCAGATCAAGAAGAATAAGAATCTGGGGCTCAGCACTTTTCTATGATTTCCTTAAGCAGAGCTCAGACCCCCGCCAGGGGTGGGCTGGAGCCTTGCTGGGAACCCCCCAGGTCGGAGAGCCACTACCAGGCTGGACCAGCCAAACCCTCACATCTCTCCGGTCTGAAACCAAGGGTTGGACAGGCTCAGGCCTCTGTTGTTCATGCACCTGCTGACCAGCCCCTCGACCAGACCGCCCCGTCCAGCACTCAAGGCCAGCAGCAACACCTCCCTCTGGGCCAGCTCCGGACAGGGCCTTGGTGACAGTGGAGGTGAGGACCTTGCTGGGCCAGCCCCTCTGTACACCCACCCCCAGGAAGGACGGTGGGCTGTCCTCAGGCGCCCCCAGGCCATGGCTGGAGGAAGGCTTTCAGGCACCTCTCTGCCCACCGAGGCAGCCCCCATCCTGGACTTCTGTCATCCCCTTGCTGGTCCTGCCCACACCCCTTCTTGGTCCAGTACAAGGGTCCCTCCCTGGAGGCTGCCTGCTCTGTTGAGCAGCCCTGCCCCTGCCCCCTGTGTGCAAGCCCAGCGCCGGCCCCTCACAGTGAGTCACACACATCGCACATGCACCTTGTAGGTAGCCTGTCCCACCTGCCCAAACCTTCATCAAGACCATGGTTTCCCGGGGTCCAAGCCCATCTCCCTGTCACTCACATATGGCCACGACGCTGGGCACTGCAGGCCCAGAGTCAAGCCCCATGCCTGGCACCTATGGCAGCCCAGGTGTCTGGGCTTGGTGGACAGAGCCTCCCACCGCCCAGACCACCTGCCCTGTCCACAGACCAGGCCACGCCCCAGCTATAGGTCCGTCCCCTCGTCGTAGCTGGAGTCACAGCTGGGGCAGGGGATGTCTGCCTCCCCACTGGACTGTAGGTCCCTGAAAACAGGCCATGCCTGCTCGGCCACCATGGTGTGGCCAGCCCCCGATCGTGCCTGGCACCCGGGAAAGGCCAGCAGACATTTTAGAAGAACGCACTTTGCTGACGGACATGGAGTGAGGAATGTTTCACTCATGAGCTGGGTTTGGCGTCGGTTCTATGGTTTTCTGCAGAGTCCCCCTCTGGCTCCCCTGACACCCCTAAGAAAGAGAGACGAGGCTGATGTTCAGGTTGTTTGAATTAAGGAGGCCCTGGGGTCAGCAAGTCCTGCTCCCATTCTACAGATGTGAACACTGAGACGGAGAGGCTGGCACAGACACCTGAGTGTGGGAGGCGCAGGCCCTGCGGTGTCTGCGCGTCTGGGGAGGGAAGTCAGACCTGCCAGGTGCCCTGAGAGGCCAGAGCCTGCCCCTTCCCAAGGCAATAGCAAAACCCTGCGACCTGAGGGCACTTGTCCTGCCAGGCCAGCCCCTCCTGGGCATAGGCACAAACAGCAACTGCTCGTTGTAAGGGATAATTGGAAGGACAGCCGAGAAAGGAATGAGGCCAGTAGACCCAAGTTCAGGCAAGCTGATTTACTGTCAGTCCTGCCGGGCTACCTCCTGACAACAGCAGAGGAGGCAGCCCTGCTTACAGACTATGGCAGGGCTTTATAGGGCGAGGAACTGGGTCAGGGTGGGGGAGCTGAGTCGGGGTGGGGGAGCTGAGTCGGGGGTGCAGAAGGGCTGAGTCGGGGTGGGGGAGCTGAGTCAGGGGTGCAGGTGTCTTGACTGTATCCTAGAGATGTTTTTTGCCAGCTTTGTTATGCGAGGTGAACAGATGTTAACCTCATCTTGTAACTGCCTGGACAAACAGCTACTGGAGGGGTCAGTAAAGCGGGGGGTTGTCTTTAGCCCTGGGGGAGCTGTGCAGAGGTCACAAAAGACTGCATTGTAAGACCCATGGGAAGGGAGAGGGAACAGTCTGGCCGGGGTGACCCTAATACTCGTGTTCCTTCCCTCACATCTACTGGAGCCCAAGCTTCCCCTCCCTCTCCTGTGCCCAGCACTGGCCTCCTCTCCCCACTGTGCTGGTCTAAGGTTGCCCTGGCCACCAGCCCAGCCCTGGCAAGAACCACCATCTCTCCTGGTGGCCACACAACCTCCTCACTGGACCGCCTTCCTCGACCTCCAATGTCCAGAGGTAGCTCCCCAAAGCAGGGGTATGGCCCCCACTCCCTTAAAACCCTCAGCCATGCAACAGGGGTGAGTGTCCCACTGGACAAACCCACTCTGCACCAGGCTCCCCCAAAGCTGGGGACGGGCCCCCTTCACCCCCATCTGGGCCCACCCAGGTCCTCACACAGACAGACCTCCCCTCCTGTGAGGCCCCGCCATCCCCACTACCACGGTCCCGCTCTGGCCGAGGCATTTTCCAGCCTGTATCCTGACATTTTCCATGGCCCCGCTCCAGCCGAGGCATTCTCCAGCCCCATATCCTGACATTCTCTACGGCAGGCACCACCGCTGAATTACACCTTTCCTTCCAATTCTGTCCCAGCACCAGGACGCGGACCCAGGAGGGCAGGGGTTTTGCTGGACTGGCTGGTGGGTTCCAAGCACAGGGCCTGGCACGCAGTGGGGTCCGGCGATGGACGCATGAATGAAGCCCCCTAGGTACCCCCTTCTTACCCTGGAACCCCCTGCCTGGGTCTCGTCCTCTCTCCCACTGTGTCCCCGAGGCCTGGGCAGTTGGGCGTCCCCAGGCGCCTCCTTGTTTATCAGACATGGCACCGAGATGGCATCAGCAGTGGGTGAGAAACACACGTGCAGAGCCCATCCCCAGACCCCACTCTGCCCCAGAGTTCACCAAGTTCCCTTCCTAGCTGGACCTTAAAACCCCCCGGGTCCTGGTGCCTGCTCTGGCCTCTCAAGGCCACCAGGGGGTGCCAGCGCCCCACCCTGAGCACGCGGCAAGAAGGGAGGTGGGGACCCCTTGATTGCAGGAGGCCCCTTCCAAGAGGGGTCCAGGGAGCAGGACCAGGAGCCTATCGGTGCCTGGCTTGAGAGGAGGACGCTTCGTGCGGGGCTGCCTGGCCTGGCCCTGGACGGTCCCCATGGTAGGACCTGGGGCACAGCACCAGGGTGCCCGGTGTCCAAGAACCTCCTGAATTGCCCAGTTAAACAGAGTGGCATGGGGCTGTCCAGGATTCCCTGTCCCAGGGGTTCAGGGGCCTGTGTGTGCCAAAGCCCACTGCAGTTTCCCAGGAGGGCAGGGGACCCCCAAGTGGAGGTGGCCACGTCACCAAGAACAGAAGTGCGTGTGGACATCCAGGTGCCTTCCAACTCTGCTCCAGCCACGCTCGGCATTCCGTCCAGGGCAGGCACTGTGGACCCTGACACCCAGCGGCACAGGGACTCTCATGGGGTGCAGTGGGGATCCAGCTTCCTCCTCCCTGAGACCTCAGGGTCAGCTGCTATAGGACCCGCCGTGGACCACTGCCCTGCAGGTTCATAGAGCCCTGATCCCACCACGGTGGGTGACCTCCCCCAGCGCTCTCAGCAGAGAAGACATTGACCCCTGAGGCTGACCTGGGTAGCAGACCCCTGAGGCCAGCACCGGCTGGAGACTTTAGGAGGCTGTCAGCACCTCAGTCACCTCCTTCTCCTGCAGTCACTGTCCTGTTCTTGGCTAGCCTGGCCTCAGTGATGCTGCCCAGGCCCCCGGCTTGACCGGGCCAGAGGGCCGGGCCCTGCTCTGGAATGCCTGGGGCAGCCACATCAGAGAACAGATTCCAGAAGCACGCAGCCCCTCGCTTGCAGAGCCTCATTCATTACTCCATGGGAAGGGGGGCATGGGTATCGCCCCAGGAATCTTAAAAATGGGCAAAATCAGCAGAGGTCCTGGCATCTGCCTCCCTGAACAGGGTTGGCACTGGGCAGCCAGCGCTAAGGCAGGGTGGGCACAGGACGCCGGCCAACCTGGGGCCCACTTTGGCAGCCAGGCCAAGAACCGAGCTGTTCACAGGCCGCTCTGGAAGACCTGGGTGTTCCCTTGCTGGAAGGAACCCCGCAGGGCCAGCAAGCCCCACCTGTCTCTGGGCAGCGTCACAGGCAGACCTCGAGGACCAGCCGCTCGGCCCATCAGAGGGACCCCGGGGCCCTTCCCCCAACGCACTTCACGCTATGAGCCCCCCGGCGCCCCATCAAACAGCTGGAAATGGCTGGGGCTGGAGAGGCCACAGAGTCCAGGTCAGCTGCCCAGGCACATGAGGGCACGCCCTAGAGGGGCTTTGCAGGGATCCCAGCAGACACCTGGGCTGGCTGGGTCCTCGGTGCTACAAAGCGATGGCCCCCAGAGCTCACCCAGACTCAGGAGGCAGCAGTGCCTCTCTCCTCCAGCCTCAGAAATAACTGGGTGCTAGACTGAGTGCATCCTGGGGAGCGTCCTATCTGACTCTCACCACGGCCCCTACGGCGGCCCTCACTACCACACCTGTTTTCCCAGGGCGGAAACTGAGGCATAGTGAGGCCGTCCTGGCCAGGTGTAGCACCCAAACCCACCAGGGCCCCACACCCCAGCGGCAGGTGCACTTGGGGCCTGCTGCTGCCCTGTGGTGGCCAGAAGGGCCCCAGCCCTGGTCGCACGGTGCTGGCAGATGGGCAACGCCTCACCTACCCTGCCAGAGTGCTAGAGGCAAAGATGTGAGCAGGAGCCGGGCCACACGGCGAAGACAGAGCCCTGGTCCCTCCCAGGGATGCACTGGACATGGGCAGGGCCTGGACACGCTTCCTCCCTTCCTACCCGCCAGGGCTCACCCAGCCCAGACCTGCCCCTGAGGCCACAGCTCCAGAAGGCCCAGGCCCTGCCTCCTCGCCTCTCCTGGGATCCTCCCCTCCCTACAAAGGCCCCAGTCTTGGGCATAGCTCCCCAAAGCCGGGCTGTCAGTGGACTGGCACTGCCAGAGGTCAGGTGGGACCTGCAGACCCTGCGTGTTTATTGATTGCACGTGGGCTGCGTGTGGCGGGGATCCCTCCTGCACCCCCAGCATGGACATGCCCCCCCCAGGCTCTCCCAGGACAAGCCACCTGCCAGCCAGCACCGCGCAGCCCTGCAGGCTCTGACCACAGGTCCCGTTTGCCGGGGACACGGCCAGCCTGGCCTAGCTCCTTGGCCATCACACCGTGGGCCCTCGGTCCCTAGGAGCACCTGCGACCCAGAGCGTCACCCTGCAGGCCGGGGTTGTCCAGCCAGGGGCAGGGGGGCCTGGGACGCTGCAGCGACCTTGAAGGAGACGGCCCTCCACCGACCTGTCCTCCGGGACCTGGTGCAGGCAGGACAGGCCTGTGTTTCTATGACAGGTTCATGGTAGGACCTCGGCATAGGAAACCCCTCCCCTCTTTCCTCACTTAGGTGGCTGAGACCTGCCAGGAGCCCAGAAACCAGCCTCGGGCTCCCCCAGGCTGCTGCCCGCCACCCTGGACCCTTCTTCCCAAGGGTCTCACAGGCACTGCCGTGCTGTGGGACAGGCCCAGCCACGGGGCCCAGCTGCTGAGGAGGCAGAACCCGTCCCATAAACGCCAGAGAGGCCTGGCGTGCAGGATCGCCTGCAGGAATTCCCCAGGAATTTGCACCCGGAGTCTCCACAGCTCAGCCACAGGCTGCAATTTGACTCGTCAACATGTCTACTGCAGCCAGGGCCTCTGGGGTGCAGAGGCTCCCAGAGATTCCTGGAGTGATGAGGGGGTGAAGTGTGCAGGACCTGCCATGAATGTGTCATAGACACACTGGGCCTTAGCCCTCAGTGCACCCAGTGTGTGCTTGGGTAAAAACCAAGGCCCCTGAGGGCTCTGGCCTCCAGGAACACGGCAGGGGAATGGGGGCTTCGGTAGTGGTCCTAGGTCCCACATGGGGGCTTCAGTAGTGGTCCTAGGCCCCTCATGGGGCCCACGGAGGCCACCCCTTTGGCTAGAGCAGGACAGGGAGGCTCAAGCAGCAGCTCAGCCCAGCAGGCTCCTTAGGAGTCCCAGCACGCACCCACTTTCTTCAGGATGGGGGCCCATCACCTGCACCCCAAGCAGCTCTCCCCAGCACTCAGGCTAAGAGCCCCCCAAATGCAAGGACACCCACAAACCATCCCCTGCCTGGCCCCTTCGAGCCACCTCTGTTGCCCCCATGCCCTGCCCTGGATGCCAGCCAGTGCCCTATGACCTTGCCGGCCAGCCCTTTAGCCCCTCCTGACGGTGGGTTTCTCTACATCAGCAGGATGGGCCGTGAGCACCGCAGGGGACACCTGTGTCCTCTGCACCTTACAGAAGCCCTGTGGGTGAGGTTTGCCCCTCTGCTCCCTCCACCAGCCAAACACAGCCTGAACCCACAAGGGCCTGCAGAGCGTGTTCACAGGGTGCAGGTCTGCACCCCAGCTCCATGCAGCTTGGCCTAGCCTCTCTACCCAGAAAAGAACATGCCAAACCCTCAGTGTGGCCCATGAGAGCTGTCAGGCTGGGCACTGCAGCTTCCAGGCGAGTGGGCAGAGCCTGGCTTCACTCAGCTGGCAGCTGCCCGGTACGGGTCTGCCAGAGGCCAGGGCACAACCCATAGCCCCAGACACTCCCAGAGGGAGCTCCTGCAGCCGACTCCATCCGCCATAGCCACCTCCAGCCCACACCCTAGAGACCCCCGCCACCAGCCGCCTGTTCAGGGGGGGAGACCGAGGCTCCTTCAAAGATGCAGGACCCAAAGAAGCAGGGACAGCCTCTGGGACCCATCACAGGGCACCCAGGCCACACCAATGCCCAGACACCACCCCGCCGCCCCTCAGCCGGGGCTCCCAAAGGCCCTCAGCCTTGCCCTGGGCAGGCGGTCAAGGGCCAAAGGCCAATACCAAGTCCATCACTGACTCCAAGCAACTCAAGAACTGCCAGGGGCTCAGTATCCCCATCTGTGAAGTGGAACAGGCACAGCCCCACACCCGGATGCCATGGTCAGCCCCAGTGCTGCCCTGAAGTCCAGGGAATCTGGATGGGACAGGATGGCCGAGGCAAGGATCAGGGGACTCAAAGGATCCTGGAGGCTGAAGGTCTCTGACACACCCAGCTAGTGGGAAGAGCTGTCCAAGGAGACCATCCAGGAGACTGGGGGGCCACGGGGTCTCCGGCCTGGGGCAGGCACAGGGAGCCAAGAGGCCTGGTCGTCCTCTGAACAGTGTTGAAGTGGCCTGCCACCGGGCTCAGTGGCTGCCTGGACAGCCGTCCATGCTATGGGCAGGAAGACTTGAGATGCCCACTCACCAGGCAGCACAGGGGCAGTTGGGGGAGCCTACAGAAGCCCCCCACCCCACAATGCCTGGGAGGGTCCGCCTCTTAATGTCTCCTGCTGTAATTATGTCATTAAAAGACTACCCTGTCTGTGAAGCCAGCATGGGAGAGGCCACACAACCCCACTGTGCACAGAGCCAAGGCCAGGGAGGATAGCATTATCCCAGGAGAAAGACAGAGGCCCTTTTGTGGGTGGCAGGGAAGGGGGAGAACAAACCTGGTAATTAAACAATTCACTGCACAAACAGGAATCCCCTTCCCAGAGTCAGCCCTTTGAAAGACAGGCTGGATTCTGCAGGCGGTCTCAGTCTCCCCAGCTGTCCTGTCGAGGAGGTGGCCCAGCCTGAGCATAGCAAGATGGTCGTGGAGGGGCCACACCTGTCCCAGCCGACTGTCACGCAGGGACTGAGGCCAGAGAAGCCAAAGTCAGGCACCTGCCCCACCCACTCAACCCACTTCAGGCAGAAGGGGCCGCCTGGGACTGAGGCCAGTGAAGCCAAAGTCAAGCACCTGCCCTGCCCGCTCAACCCACTGCAGGCAGAAGGGGCCGCCCGGCAGGCACTGGCTCCCACGGGGAAGCGGGACTCGGGGGATTTCCAGGGACTCAGTGCAGTTAAAGAGGATGTGCGTGGAAAAGCCAAAGGCCACAGGGAAAGGATAGCCAGGCAGGCTGCTGGGCATGGGGTTTTCTGATTACCCAGAAACCAGGCAGAGCTCCTCAAAGCCTGGGACCTGAGGGCAGCCAGACAGGGTGAGAGTCAAGGAGGCATCTTCCGGCCCAGGTGCCAGGTGCTCTGTCCACCCGCCGGGGCACACCCGCTGCTCCAGCCCTGCTCAGCAGACAACCACTGCACCACCAACCTTGCCTCCAAGAAAGACCACATGGGCCTGGGAATGTGAGGATAGGAGGCTGCCCCTGCCCTGCCCCTGTGCCAGGCCCTCACTGCCTGCAGGGCATGAAGCCCACAACTGGCCTAGCAGGAAATCATCCTGCCCCCTCCACCGCCCAGCCTGGTACCAGGCACAGAGCCTGCTCAGGAGGCTAGTCATCCTCCCCATTCACACGGCAGAGGCTCAGCCCTCCCTCCAGCCATCCCCCGGGGCCACCCAGTCTCTCCCCTCCACCAATCCCCAGGGACAGGGCCCCAGGGAGGCTGTGGCACACGGGGACACACACACCACAGCCCTATCTCCCCCTCTGAGCCGGCTCAGCACCAGCTTGTCTTCATGGCTGACACCTCCATGTTCCTCGGGGGCCTCCAGGGACCCCATTAACTGTGAGCACAGACAGCCAACAGCCTGGGGAGCAGGACACAGAGAGAGGGTCTGGGGGACCAGGGGTGGCCCTGGGCCATCCCACAAGGAGGGGACAGCCATGGCCAGTGGCTGGGTTTTCTGATGGTCCAGAAACCAGAGAGTGCTCCTCCAAGCCTGGAACCCAGAACAGCCAGGAAGGGCAGGAGTCAATGAGGCATCTCCCAGCCCAGGTGTCAGGTGTCCGGTGCTTGTAGGACACGACCCCACCATGGAGGCCAGAAGCCTGTTCTTGCTCTCAGAGGACTCCCACCCCCGAGCACAGAGAGCAGGAAAACACCGAGACCAAGGCCAGCCTGCCCCAAAGGCCAGAGAGCAAGGTTCCTGAGTAAGGACATCCCCCCCAGACACGCTGGGTCCTCCCCAAGGGTGCTGGGTCCTCCCGGCTCCAAAGGCCAGAGAGCAAGGTTCCTGGGTGAGGGTGTCCCCCCAGACACACTGAGTCCTCCCCAAGGGTGCTGGGTCTTCCCCCCAAGTGTGCTGGGTCCTTCCTGCATATGCTGGGTCATTTCCTGGTATGCTGGCCCTGCTGGGTGTGCTGGGTCCTTCCTGGGTGTGCTAGGTCCTTCCTGCATATGCTGGTTCCTTCCTGGCGTGCTGGGTTCTCCTGGGTGTGCTGGGTCCTTGCGGGTGCACTGGGTCTTCCCTGGTGTGCTGGGTCCCCGTGGGTGTGCTGAGTCCTTTCCAGGTGTGCTGGGTCCTCCTGGGTGTGCTGGGTCCTGCTGGGTGTGCTAGGTCCTCCTGGGTGTGCTGGGTCCTCCTGGGTGTCCTGGGTCCTGCCAGGTGTGCTGGGTCCTCCTGGGTGTGCTGGGTCCTTCAGGGTGTACTGGGTCCTCCTGGGTGTGCTGGGTCCTCCTGGGTGTGCTGGGTCCTTCCTGGGTGTGCTGGGTTCTCCTGGGTGTGCTGGGTCCTTCCTGAGTGTGCTAGGTCCTTCCCGGGTGTGCTGGGTCTTTCCTGGGTGTGCTGGGTCCTTCCTGGTATGCTGGGTCCTCCCGGGTGTGCTGGGTCCTTCCTGAGTGTGTTAGGTTCTCCCAGCTATGCTGGGTTCTCTCAGGTGTGCTGGGTCCTCCTGGGTGTGCTGGGTCCTCCTGGGTGTGCTGGGTCCTTCCTGAGTGTGCTAGGTCCTTCCCGAGTGTGCTGGGTTCTCTCAGGTGTGCTGGGTCCTCCTGGGTGTGCTGGGTCCTCCTGGGTGTGCTGGGTCCTTCCTGGGTGTGCTGGGTCCTCCTGGGTGTGCTGGGTTCTCTCAGGTGTGCTGGGTCCTCCTGGGTGTGCTGGGTTCTCTCAGGTGTGCTGGGTCCTCCTGGGTGTGCTGGGTTCTCTCAGGTGTGCTGGGTCCTCCTGGGTGTGCTGGGTCCTTCCTGGGTGTGCTGGGTCCTTCCTGGGTGTGCTGGGTCCTCCCGGGTGTGCTGAGTCCTTCCTGAGTGTGTTAGGTTCTCCCAGGTATGCTGGGTTCTCTCAGGTATGCTGGGTCCTTCCTGTGTGTGATGGGTTCTCCTGAGTATGCTGGGTCCTCCTGGGTGTGCTGGGTCCTTCCTGGGTGTGCTGGGTCCTTCCTGGTGTACTGGGTCCTCCCAGGTGTGCTGGGTCCTTCCTGAGTGTGTTAGGTTCTCCCAGGTATGCTGGGTTCTCTCAGGTGTGCTGGGTCCTTCCTGTGTGTGCTGGGTTCTCCTGCGTATGCTGGGTCCTTCCTGGGTGTGCTGGGTCCTCCCTGTGTGTGCTGGGTTCTCCTGGGTGTGCTGGGTCCTTCCTGGGTGTGCTGGGTTCTCCTGGGTGTGCTGGGTCCTTCCTGGGTGTGCTGGGTTCTCCTGGGTGTGCTGGGTCCTTCCTGGGTGTGCTGGGTTCTTCTGGGTGTACTGAGTCCTTCCTGGGTGTGCTGGGTTCTCCTGGGTGTGCTGGGTCTTTCCTGGGTGTGCTGGGTTCTCCTGGGTATGCTGAGTTCTCTTGGGTGTGCTGGGTCCTCCCTGGTGGGCTGGGTTCCCTCAGGTGTGCTGGGTCCTTCCTGGTATGCTGGGTCCTCCTGTGTGTGCTGGGTCCTCCCTGGTGGGCTGTGTTCCCTCAGGTGTGCTGGGTCCTCCCTGGTATGCTGGGTCCTCCTGCGTGTGCTGCGTCCTTCCTGTGTGTGCTGGGTTCCCCCAGGTTTGCTGGGTCCTCCCAGGTGTGCTGGGTCCCCCCGCCAGGTAACCCCTAGTCCTCCTGGGGCATGCTAGGATCATTTCTCACACCAGACACAAAAAGCCTCCCCCAGGGTGGCCTCCTGGCTGAGCCAGCTCCAGGCCCAGATGGAAACCTTCTGCTTGGCTGCACCCAAAGGTAAGCACGGGAAACAGTGCGGGGAGCCTGGAACTACAGCCCAGGACCAGGGTCAGGTTAACCCGAGGCCACGTCCACAGGACAAAGCTGAGATGCCTCCCCAGGAATCAGCCCAGGCTGGGGCTGCTGCAGGCTGCAGGCCTCTGGACAAGGTCCCATGGCAGGGAGCAGGACCAGAGACAGCCCCAGCTCCAGCTCCAGCCAGGGAGTGCACAACATGGAGAGAGGCTGTGAAAAGAACATCCCTGCCCCAGAGCCCGCCCTTCCAGGAGCCCCGTCCTCCCCTCCCACCACTCCCTGGGGCACAGAGTCTGAGTCTGGCAGCGGCAGCTCCCAGGCCTGGCCGTGGCTGGTCGCCAAGAGCAGCCCTGGGTGGCGTCTGGAGCTCGGGCGAGGGGTCAGACTCCCACCCTCAGACACAGTGGGCAGCATTGAAAGGCAGTGGGGAGGGCCGCTTCCTCTCCATTAATCAATGGTCCCAGTTTAGAAACAGTCGCCCTGAGCCAACGCCAAGGGCTAAACGGGCTCAGGACACCACCCAGTCCTAGCCACCCAACCTTCTCCAAGGCTCTGCTTCCTGGCATAGCCTCAGGGCCCCAACAGCTGCCAGAGCCACCTCCAGCCCACACCCGAGAGGCCCACACCCGAGAGACCCCCACTGAGGGCCTCCTGCTTGAGGCAGGGAAACCGAGGTTTCCTTCAAAGGTGCAGGACTCAGAGTGGGCCTGGGTGCTGAGGCTCCAGGCAGGACCACTGATGTCTCCCCCGGCTTGGCAGGCACACAGCAGGTACCCAGGAGCACCTGCCAGCTGGCCCCCAGCAACGCCTGGCTCCATCTCACCGAGAGAGGCCGAGGACCTTCTAGAAGCTTGGCTGACCCTTCCTTCATTCCCGACCCCGTACCTCAGGGCCAAAATGACTTTCTCCTCTGCTCTGCTCCTCTGCTCCTGTCTCTGTCCTGTCTGGAAACTTGTCCGGAACAAATTGCACCTCCCAAACCTTCCCCAGCCCACAGGCCCACCTCCTCCAGGAAGCCCTTGGGGCAGCCAAGCCTCTGATGGGCATCACTGGAACCCTGACCACTCACCTGGACCCAGGAGTGAGGGTGGCAACACTCTAGTGTGGTGGTGCTGGAGACCCGTCTGATCTGCCCCTTTGACTGGTGCCGGGGGTGGGGGGGTGGGAACTGAGGCCCAAAAGGGAATCAGAGCCAAAGGTTACTATTTATTTATTTACTTATTTATCTATTGAGACAGGGTCTTGCTCTGTCAGCTAGGCTGGAGTCCAGTGGCGCAATCTTGGCTCACTGCAACCTCCACCTCCCAGGTTCAATCAATCCTCCTGCCTCAGCCTCCTGGGTAGCTGGAATTAGAGGCGCCCGCCACCACACCTGGCTAATTTTTGTATTTTTGGTAGAGACGGGGTTTCACCATGTTGCTCAGGCTGGTCTCGAACTCCTGAGCTCAAGTGATACACGTGCCTCGGCCTCCCAAAGGACTGGGATTACAGGTGTGAGCCACCACGCCTGGCTTGAGCCAAAGGTTCTTGAACCAAGAAAGTACCTAGAGGTGACCCAGGCCTCATTTCTCAGAGCCTGCCCTTGTCCCATGAGGTCAGCTGAGACCAGATCAAGAGATCTGTAGAGACTTTTGTGACTTCGTGTACTACAAAAGACAAATCTATTAGGAGGTCATTTGTTCTCAGTAACTTTTTCTTGCTGGTCTTTTCATTACCAATTCTGAGCCAAGCCCAGGTCACCAGTGGGTGTTGGGGAAGGGGTGGGGGCATCCATCCACGCTTGCCAGAGCAGCGCACACAGGTGGGACCCGGGTGCAAAGGCAGGAAGAGGCCAGGTTTTCAGCTGTGAAAACTGTTCCTGGTTGGTCTGATGAAACTGATACTCTGATGGGACCCCAAAGTCCTCCCAGGGACAGGGGAGGGGGTCTTTAGAGTCCCCCTCGCTCCTTTGCAGACCCACAGGGCAAGGAAACTGGCAGTCCTGGGGGATCTTCCAAACCCTGGACCACTCTGGGAGACTCCACATGGCAGCTGGGTGCTCTTGTGTAATTACCCCAAGAGCCAGGGTATTAGTCCGTTTTCCAACTGCTGACATACCCTAGACTGGGCAATTTACAAAAGAAAGAGGTTTAATGGACTTACAGTTCCACGTGGCTGGGGAGGCCTCACAATCATGGCAGAAGGCAAGGAGGAGCAAGTCACATCTTACATGGATGGCAGCAGGCAAAGAGAGAGAGCTTGTGCGGGGAAACTCCCCCTTATAAACCATCAGATCTCATGAGACTTATTCACTATCACGAGAACAGCACGGGAAAGACCTGCCCCCATGACTCAACCACCTTCCACTGGGTCCCTCCCATGACACGTGGGAATTATGGGACATACAAGATGAGATTTCGGTAGGGACACAGCCAAACCATATCAGCTGGGGACAAAGTCTGCACCTGAGCCATCACAATGGTTGTCCCTGCCATGACCCCCACTTCCCGACCCTTCTGCCAGGCCCACTCCGGGCCTCACCTACGTGGACTCACGCAACCTGCACAAAACATCGCCAAATCTCCTCCCTGCTGAACAGAAGGGGGACTGGGGTCCAAGAGGTGGAGTAGGTTACCCCGGTCACACAGGCACAGGCCTGGGGAACACCAAAGCCAGCCCTGGACAAAATGAGCGGCTGGCCCTGACTGTGACTGCGCCGAGGCCTGCACTGGGCCGGGGAAGCCTTCACTGCAGGGCCTGCCCAGCGCCGGGCCCTCCACCCTCCGGGCAGACAGGCCCGCTTTGTGCTCCCACGGCTCCCGCTGCTTCTGCGGAAGGGCTCCCAGGGCCTCAGGGAAACACTGCTGCAAAGTCCCCGCCCGCTGCAGACCCGAGACTTGCCATCTGGGCCAAGGAGGGAGAGCTGGGGCTGTGGGCAGCAGGGAGGGCTCCTTCCCCCCACTGCCCTCCATAGCTGCCCAGAGAGTTCCTGTCTCCCTCCCCAACTCCTTTGTTCAAATGAAATAATTTGGGGGAACCAGAAAATATGGCTTTTATTTTCAAAACTGGAATCAATTATAATTGGGGGGTTAGTGAAATATTCCCAACTGCGTTTGAGCTCAGGTCTGCAGTCCCCAGACCCAGAGTGGAGGAGGGACAGGAAGGTGATGGTGAGAGGTCTAGGTGGGAGCACTATGGGCAGGGGCTACACCTGCAGGCAGCACCCCCTCAGCCCTGGTCCTGCACACCTGGCCCTGCAAACCCGGCCTGCACACTCAGCCCTGCACACTCAGTCCTGTACACTCAGTCCTGCACCCTCAGCCCTGCACACTCCACCCTGCATGCCCAGCCCTGCACATTCCACCCCTGCACACCTGGCCCTGCACACTCCACCCCTGCAGGCCTGGCCCTGCACATCCAGCTCTACACACTCCATCCTGCATGCCCAGCCCTGCACACTCCACCCCCGCACACCTGGCCCTGCACACTCCACCCCTGCACACCTGGCCCTGCACACTCCACCCCTGCACACCTGGCCCTGCACATCCAGCTCTGCACACTCCATCCTGCATGCCCAGCCCTGCACACTCCACCCCTGCACACCTGGCCCTGCACACTCCACCCCTGCACACCTGGCCCTGCACACCCAGCTCTACACACTCCATCCTGAATGTCCAGCCCTGCATAATTGAGCCCCGCACCCTCGGCTCTGCACACCCAGCCTCCATACCCTCCCCTTCTTCCGAGAGAGTGACCAGCGAGGAGGCCGGGCAGCCACCCTCCAGCTTGTCAACTGCCCCCTGTGAAGGCCACGTCTGCCCCAACTGGCCACTCTCCCAGGAGGCCCGCTACCCAAGGGCCACAAGCCAGCCACAGGGGAGGATGCTCCTGCCCTGCAGGGGACCCTGCTCCCCTCTCCTCCAAAGCAAATCTCAACAGCTCCCCCGGGACCAAGGCTTGTCCCTGCACCAGGTGGCAGCATGGCCAGAAGGGAGCACATGGCACTCCTCAGACAGACCTGGCTTCAGCCCCAACTAGGCTGCTTGTGAGCTGAGCACCAGCAGCTGCTGGGTCTCCTCAACCTTGCTTTCCTCTTTCATGAAGCAAATGAAGTGTGGAGCTGATGAGGTGACGCAGGCAGAGAGTGGCCCAGAGCCAGGAGGGAGCTCCCAGCCTCCAGCCTCCCTGCTCTGCGGTGCGTTCCCACGGTGACTGGGGCATGGGGCTGCTGCTGTGGATGCTGAGCCCCGGGCCCAGGCACCGTGAGAGTCTGTGACACAGAAGTCAGAGCCAAGAGGCTGGTGGGGCGCAGGGAACCTGAGTGCACCCCACCCCCAAGCACCCAAGCATGGGCATCTGAGCCCACTCCGCAGTGCTGGCCTGGGCCTGGGGAAGACAGGCCCCTCCCACTGGGCATGGAGCCCCCCCAACAATGCCAAACCCCCAAAGATGCAGAGCCCTCGCCCCACGCTGGACACTGAGCCTCCACGAGACGCCGAGTTCCCCCACAGGGTGTGCAGCCCGCAGTGAGCCTCCTGCAAGCCCTGTGCCTGCCGATGCCCCGGGGTCCACGCGTCAGGGTCTCATGGAGCAGGGGGCTTGGAGCTGGCTCCTGACAAAGATGAGGTGGGAGGAGGGGACTGACGGTGGGCAGAAGGCCAGCCCTGAGGGGGCAGGTCAGGTGTCCTCCCTCCCCTCCCAGAGGACACGGCCAGGAAAGGCCACCCCGCAAGGCCACCTCCTCCTCGCCCTCCCCTAGGAACAGAGACCACAGGAGGCTCTGCTTGGCCGACCAGTGAGCCACAGCCCCGTCCCGGAAACCTCCCCAGCCTGCCCAGTCAGCCCTGGTATTTCCGCGTGAAACCAAAGTCAAGCGGCGCACATTGCCAAAAGATTAGACAAATGAGACGGAAAGGCCCTCGGGACATTTCTCAACTCCCACCTGTGGCCAAATGACAGCTCCCAAGAAGCCAAACGTGACAGTGGAGCCCACTCCATCCTGTGTGGACCCCACCTGTCCTCGGAACAGGGATGGGTCACCTCTGACCAGCCCGCAGAGGGACCACAGGGAGGCCTGGCCAAGGCCTGCAGCCTGGATGTCACAGGGCAATGACAGGGCAGGGGCCCTGGGGGGGGGGGGCCCTTTCGTCCACACGAGACAGACAGATCTCAGTCCATGGTCACTGCAGCAGCCCTCCCAGCCACCCAGCATCCAGGAAGCAGCAGGCACTCGCGGTGACTCGGCAGGGGCCGTCCCAGCTAACAGAGGACATTCAATAAACCCTCCAGCACCAACTGTCCGCCTTTCCAACAATGGCCAATGCCCCAGGCTGCTGGCACCCAGCTCAGAACTCTGGGGAGACCCAGCACCTCTGCAGAACCCCTCCTCAGCCTGGTCCCCAGCGGAACGTGGAGTGGGCAGGAGTGTCACCCAGCTCAGAACGCTGGGGAGACCCAGCACCTCTGCAGAACCCCTCCTCAGCCCGGCCCCCAGCGCAACGTGGAGTGGGCAGGGGTGTCCTTCACAAACACGGGGACCTCCTGATTCATCCGATTTCCTCGAATCGCTTCCTGCTGCCTGCCTGGGCACCGGAGTGCATCTCTCGCTCTGCCCTGGCATCTGCCTGGCATGGAGCCCCGGTGGCCACCACACGAGCAGTCCCAAAGCCCCAGGGCCACTGGGAGTGTTTCATGCCATCGGGACGGCCGTGGCTCAGGCTGTCTGAGGCCAGGATGAAGAAACCCGGGACAGAGCAGGAAGCCACAGAGGAAGGGAAGACTCCCGCTTCCCATGGCCCAAATGAATCAGGACGAGGCTCTGCCGCTTTTCCCCGCATTGGCACGCACTTTTCTTTACAGAAATCCCGTCACCCCAGTAGCTTGCTTTCAGCCCATCCCCACTCCCTGCAAGCATCTCCTTCGCCACCAGCTCCTGCTTCAACCTGGTCTTCAGGGCCTGTGCGGGAGTCCCATTTACAGCTGTGCTGCGGTTACTCAACCAGTCGCCTTGGCTAAGACCCCCGGGTGTCCCCCATCTTTTAACACTGAGGACAACGACAGTTCAGCAAGGTGGCAGCACAGGTGGAGACCCTGGGACCTGGCCACCCCCTGCCTTTCTAGGGGGCCAGCGTCCCCATTTATAAACAGCAGGGCTGGACGCAGTGGGCGCTGAGATGATATGCTTCAGCGCCACCCACTGACGGGGGGTCTCTCAGGGTCACCCTTCCCCTCGACACCCTCAGAGGGGCTGCAGGGAACTGGTGGAGGGATTGCGGAATGTCCTCAGAAGAATGCCCGTTCACTCGGGGTGTCCCCTACACAGCTGTGCTGGGGACGGCCAGTGGCCGACACATCCTCGCCCCTTGCCCACAGGCTGGCCATGGCCAGGGCCTTGGTCCCCCAGGGGCTCCACTCACCATACTGACAGCGGGGTCCCTGGAAGCCGGGGGGACAGTGACACGGCTGGGCTGAGCCTGGCACACAACGGCCACCGTGAAAACAGAGGCTGGCGCTGCATTCAGCTGCGGAGGGAAGGAGAAAATCGGTGAGAGGGGCAAGGAGGGGTGAGGCAGGGGGAGGTGAGGCCTGAGGGTCTCTCGGGCAGGCAGCCCACCCAGCCTGCCAGGTCCCCAGCCCCGTTCTCTCTGTCCTAGGTCACACATTGCCCGGCCACCAATGGAGGCTGGCGTGTCCCCAAACTCCAGCCACGGCCACGTGCAGTTGGGGTTAGGCGGAACCCCTCTGGAGGGCAGTAAAGCCCTAACTCACTTCACCTAGATGGGGAGGAGCCAAGGGCATTTCCTGGGGAAGGTGGGCAGGGAGTGGGGTCTGAGAGGGGTGGGAGGAGGGAAGGTGGGGGTGCAGGGGGGAGGGGTGGGCTGCCCAGTGGTCAGCGCTGCACAGCTGCAAGGGCCGGCTGAGGACCCCCCTCAAGACCCTGATGGTAGAACCTACTAGGTTGGCCCCAGCCCCGGGAGGGGAGGCTCCGGCCCAGGCCAGTCAGACCCCAGGGAGGGGAGGAGGAAAGGTCCCGGCAGGTGGGGAGCCAAGTGTTGACAGCGGCTGCCCTGGGGCTCCCCAGGGAAAGCGAGGCCAGGGTGTGAGGGTGGAGGAGGCCACAGCTGGACCTGAGAGGCAAGGCAGGGGCTCTGGAGAGAGAGGGGCGCCTTGTGGCTTGGCAGGCAGCCCCGTTACTGACAGACCCACACTGCCTCACTGCCCCCTCCACAGCAGGTGCCCCCCAGGCTGGACCGGGTGCCCCCCGGGGGCTCCAATACCAACTTCCTTCACCGGGCAGCCCCTACCCTGCACGTTACTACTTGGGAGGGCAGGGCCAGGGTGGGATGGCAGGGCCAGGGTGGGTGGGCTGCACCTCACCCCTGAGGGGTGCTTGCTGGGTGACTGCATGGTCAGCACAGTGACCTGAGACCCCCTGCCCCACCCCGGAGCCTGTGTGACCTGTGGGCTCAGTGAGTTTGTGTGTCACTCACAGCACCCCTGCCAGTAGCAGGGAGGGAAGCTCTAGACAAGGGGGCCCTGCCGGTGGCTGGGCTGGGGCTCCTGGGATTCCCAGGCACAGGTCGTGTCAGCTGAGAGGAAGAAGGACACTCAGGCACTCGTCGTCTAAGCAGCCCCAGACCAGGGGCTGTGCCCGGTGGGGAAACTGAGGCTCAGAGACTTCATTACCTGGCCTGGACCACAGAGTGAGCCATGACCGGCTCGGGCTTCAGGGCCTATGTGGCCATCCTGTTTACAGATATGCCCAAGGCCAGCACCCAAACCTGGACTTGGGGTCAGGAGGACCCGGCCTGGGCTGGCACAGAGAAACACGGGTCCCTGTGAATGCTTCTTCCTCCCACCCTCCTGCAATCACAGCCACTACCATTGCCCCAGGCATGGCGGCATCCCCTCCCCACCTGGGCCCTCACACACATCTGGCCACATTCAGGCCCTACCAGCCTCTTCCCTCCAGCCAAACACCTGCAGCCTGAGGATGTGTCCGAACGCGATAGGGTGGGGGCCAGGGGGCTGCAGGGAAGCCGGATGGAAGTTGCCATGACCCTGGAGGAAGCACAGGAAATTCCCCAGGGACCGGGGACCAACCCGGGGCCCAGTAACAGGAAACATCCGTGTCCCAAGTGTTGAGGCCTGATGCCTGCTGACTTGTGCAACTGCAGCAGCAAGCCAGCTGTGTTTAGTTCCCACCATGAGGAAGGTTTTAGGTTTTCCTTGTCCTGAAGACCTCTAGCCCCAAATAGCCAAGACCAATCACCCCCGGGTGGGGAGCAGGTGCCGGCCTGGAGACCACCCCTAGGATGCTGCCCTCCCCAGGCTCTGCTGAAGGACGGAAGGCAGGACCTGCCCAGATCTCGGAGCCTGGGGAAAAGCAGCCACTCACTGCCTCCCTCCTCCCACCCTGTTTCCCACGGGCTGGGCCCCACCCTCCTGTTCTCAGGGCCCCTCTCCTGGAGCCCGTGCACACCACCCTGTGTCCCTCCCCTAAACCCCATACCATTCCCTCCCTCCCTGCCCTCCCAGGAAGCATCTGCCTAAATCTGAAACAAAGGGGAAAAGGGGCGTGCTTCTGAAAATCCCAGCCAGATCCAGCATCCCTGCTGTCCCGGCTGAGGACACCATCTCTCAAGGCAGGCGGAGCTGACTCTGCCGGCGGAGAGGGGCACACGGACCCTACCACAGATGCACCCAGCAGGACACCAGGCCCGGGGCAGCCACTGCCCTCTCTTCAGTGTCCAGGACAGACATTAATTGTTGCTCTTCATCCTGGGCTAGAAGGAGGACACGGAGACCAATGATTAACGTCTGTCCCAGGCTGGGAGGGTACAGCCACAAGATGTTCCCCGGACCCTGGGGCAGTCACTGGGATGCGCACACAGCGAATCCTCCCAGCAGCTCACCGAGCGGCTCAGACCAGGGGTCTGGGAGATAGCCCCGTACGCACTGGATCATTCACCTGCATCCCGTCCAAAGCCAGTCCAGTCGGGTCCACCCTCAGGGTATCTTGAACACACCCACGTCTCTCCACCTCGTCTCCTCCATGACACCAAGGCCACCGTCATCCCCTGCCCTCTGCAGACGCCTCTTAGCCGGCCCCAGCTTCTCCTGCTCACTCTATTTCCATTCTCTACCCTGCTGCCATAGTGACTTTTTAGAATACAACTCAGATCTTGGTTCCCCGGTTGCAAACCCTTCACTGGCTTTCCATTGACTTGGCACAAAACACCGCGGCCCCCAGATCCTCCCTATTAGACCCCCATCCAGCTCCTGGCCTCACCCCAGACTCAGCTCTCCCTGCTTGGGGGCCTCCCATGAGAAAGCTGCTCTCCGTGTGGACAACTCTTCTCTTCCCCAAATGTCACTTCCACAGGGAGGCTCCCTAACCCGTCTCCAAATCAGAGCCCACAGCGCCCCGCTCTTGCCCCCTCTAGTGCCTCTCAACTGTGATTAGGCACTCAGTTGGGGTGACAGCTCACTTCCCATGCCAGGCCCTGGGCTCCCTGAGAGCAGCCCCCAACTCCATCTTGATCGCTGTCACGCACCCAGTTCCGACACGCAGGTGCACCAGCAAGCTTGTTGATGAAGGGGTGAATGAATGAACAAACCACCGCATGGCCAGGCCAGCCAGGTGTGAGAGACCTGTGGATGCTCCTTGGGGAAAGGGAGGGTGCAAGGGGACGGAGGAGGAGGGCTACCCATGGACTTGCTCCCAAGGGGTGGAAAAATACTACGAGGCTCTAAAACAAAGATGCGCAAAGCTGCGCTCCAAACCGAGAGCAGGTGTTCCTGGTAGACACCCCCATGCCGTCAGCATCCCCTCCGCACTGCAGCATGTGCTGACAACCCACAGCCACCAGACAACCCACAGCCACCAGACAACGCGCAGCCACCAGACAACCCACAGCCACCAGACAACGCGCAGCCACCAGACAACGCGCAGCCACCAGACAACCCACAGCCACCAGACAACGCGCAGCCACCAGACAACCCGCAGCCACCAGACAACGCACAGCCACCAGACAACGCGCAGCCACCAGACAACGCGCAGCCACCAGACAACCCACAGCCACCAGACAACGCGCAGCCACCAGACAACGCGCAGCCACCAGACAACCCACAGCCACCAGACAACGCGCAGCCACCAGACAACGCGCAGCCACCAGACAACCCACAGCCACCAGACAACGCGCAGCCACCAGACAACGCGCAGCCACCAGACAACCCACAGCCACCAGACAACGCGCAGCCACCAGACAACCCGCAGCCACCAGACAACGCACAGCCACCAGACAACGCGCAGCCACCAGACAACGCGCAGCCACCAGACAACCCACAGCCACAGCCACCAGACAACCCGCAGCCACCAGACAACGCGCAGCCACCAGACAACGCGCAGCCACCAGACAACGCGCAGCCACCAGACAACCCGCAGCCACCAGACAACGCGCAGCCACCAGACAACGCGCAGCCACCAGACAACGCGCAGCCACCAGACAATGCACAGCCACCTGCAGCAGCCCGGCCTCCAGAGCTGTCGAGGGCCACGCCTCTCCCTCATTCACAGAATGGGAACTGGCAGTGAGGACCGTGGCCATTTGCCAGCTGCCCAGCTTCCCAGGCATCTGCTCTAGGGTGAAACTGGGCAGGTCTGCCTCAAATTCCTAGACCTAAGGCTGGGAGGGCCCTTAGAGGCATCCAGGGTGCCACCGGCGCAGGACGGCAGGTTTGGGGAGGGCATGGCGGCATGTCCAGGCCATGTCTGTAGCCTCTTTAATGCCCCCCACTTTCTCACATTGGACTGAACCACAAGCAAACGCCTCTCCCAGTGGCTGGAGCTCATTTCCAGAATCGGGTTAACTGTGGAAAGGGGACTGGATTCCTCTCCAGGGACTCGGTTCCTGCAGGTGAAGACCTTGGGCCACTTCTCTGGAGCTGCCGCTTGGCCAGAGCCCTTGGCAACTTTTCTTCCTGCCCCTTGAACAACCCAGCCATCCTTTGGGAAGTTGGGGTGACCACCAGGCGGATCAAGCCTTCCTCTCCTCCTTCCTCGCCCACCACCCTGGCTCTCCAAAGGTGATCGCTGGAGCAGGGGCAGTGCACCCAGAACCTTCCAGAAGAAGGAGCTCCAGCTGCCACTAAGCATCACTCTGGACTCTGGTGACTGGCGCCACGTCTGTGCCTCATGGCCTGTGTTCCCCCACACCAGAGTCCCAGGGCAGGCCCACGTCCCCTCACCATGCACCAGCAGAAACCTCCAGGGGACAGGGACGGAGCCGAGGATCAGGGACTCCTGCCCCTTCTGCTGAGGACATTGAGCAGTCCCCAGGCCTGCATCTGAGACGGTAACCACAGAATCCAGGGTAGGTCTCTGCCCGCAAGCACCGGGGAGGCATGGGCGGGTGGTAAGGCCGCTGCCCTCAGCACCTGCACACCCCCTGGATGGGGCTCCCAGCCCGGAGGTGCCTGGGGACTCTAAGGCGTCACGGGGCTCCCCACCCAGCACCCTACAGGGCAGCTCTTGTGCTGAAGAGGGAACAGAAGGAGGTTCTGGGCCAGGTGTGAGGATGGAGCTGCAGCCATGAATGGGAGCAGGTGTAGGTGTGAGTGACACACGTCCTGTGTGTGGGAGTGAGTGACACGTGTCCTATGTGTGAGTGTGAGTGAGGACACATGTCCTGTGTGAGGACGTATGTCCTGTGTGTGGGTGTGAGTGACACATGTCCTGTGTGTGGGTGTGTGGACACGTCCTGTGTGTGGGTGTGAGTGACACATGTCCTATGTGTGAGTATGAGTGAGGACACTTGTCCTGTGTGTGGGTGTGAGTGACATATGTCCTGTGTGTGGGTGTGTGGACGCATGTCCTGTGTGTGGGTGTGCGGACGCATGTCCTGTGTGTGGGAATGAGTGACACATGTCCTATGTGTGTGAGTGAGGACACACGTCCTGTGTGTGGGTGTCTGGACGCATGTCCTGTGTGTGGGTGTGAGTGACACATGTCCTGTGTGTGGGTGTCTGGACGCATGTCCTGTGTGTGGGTGTGAGTGACACATGTCCTGTGTGTGAGGACACTTGTCCTGTGTGTGGGTGTGAGTGACACATGTCCTGTTGTGGGTGTGACACATGTCCTGTGTGTGGGTGTGAATGAGGACACATGTCCTGTGTGTGGACACGTCCTGTGTGTGGGTGTGAGTGACACATGTCCTGTGTGTGGGTGTGTGGACGCATGTCCTGTGTGTGGGTGTGTGGATGCATGACCTGTGTGTGGGTGTGACATATGTCCTGTGTGTGGGTGTGAGGACGCATGTCCTGTGTGTGGGTGTGAGTGACACATGTCCTGTGTGTGAGGACACTTGTCCTGTGTGTGGGTGTGAGTGACACATGTCCTGTTGTGGGTGTGACACATGTCCTGTGTGTGGGTGTGAATGAGGACACTTGTCCTGTGTGTGGGTGTGAGGACACATGTCCTGTGTGTGGACACGTCCTGTGTGTGGGTGTGAGTGACACATGTCCTGTGTGTGGGTGTGAGGACGCATGTCCTGTGTGTGGGTGTGTGGACGCATGTCCTGTGTGTGGGTGTGTGGACACATGTCCTGTGTGTGGGTGTGTGGACGCATGTCCTGCGTGTGGGTGTGAGTGTGGACACACGTGCTGTGTGTGGGTGTGAGGACACATGTCCTGTGTGAGTGACACGTGTCCTGTGTGTGGGTGTGACACATGTCCTGTGTGTGTGTGAGGACACATGTCCTGTGTGTGGGTGTGAGTGTGGACACACGTGCTGTGTGTGAGGACACATGTCCTGTGTGTGGGTGTGAGCGAGGAGACATGTCCTGTGCATATGATTGAGCATGGTGTGTGAGCATATGTCTGCACATAAGCATGCATGTGGCGTGTGGCCTTGTGCACGCTCGAGTGAGCATGTATGGGCATGATCGTGAATAGGTGCTCACAGATGTGTGTGCGTATGCGTGTGTGTGTGCCAATCTGTGCAAGGCAGTGCATGAGTGAGCTCGTCTGGTGGGCGGCGGGTGCAGATGCAAACGTGTGCCTGGCACAGGGGTCTGTGAGTCTGGATGTGACTCCATAGGAGGAGAGACGTGGGGTGTAGGGGTGGGGGTCACAGTGGGACAGCAGGTCCTGCCAGGCCATTTGTGAAGCCCGTGCTGTGTCTGCATGGAGGAAAAGGGAGCCCAGAGCCTGGGGGGCCAGCTCAGCCAATTCCCACGCTGGGACTCGGGGCTGGCATGCGGCCCGAACGGAAAAGGAAAAGCAAATGGCGGAGGCAGGAAAATGGAGGGCGGCCCGGGGTCCACAGAGGGCCCTGCAGCCCCTTCCCAGCAGGCCCAGCCAACCAGGTGGGCAGAGGCCACAGGGCCCAGATGACCCAGGAGGGGAGGGAGACCTGCCGGGCCCGCCGGCCTGATGGTCCAACAGCTGGACATGGGGCCCCAAGCCCAGGCCTCACCCTGGCACCCCTGACTATAGGTGCCAAGGCCGCAGGTGCACCAGAGCCCAGATCCAGGGCAGTGTCCAGCAGCCTGGACCCCCATCGATTCTGCCAACCCCACCTGTGTGCAAGGAGGAAGGCCACCACCCCCGTCCGGGGTTTCTGCAGCAACACAAGCTGTATATAGCACCCTTGACATAAGTAACTCCATCTTAGAGTCAGACTCTATTTCATATCTCACAGGGCACTTTGCCAACAAGGACAAGCTGTCTGTTGCTTAATAAACAAATTTTAAAAATAAAGATTGCATGCAACACAAACAAGCACACTCTCCACTCTCAGGCCTCACCGAGGACTCCGCGGTCATAACACCAGCGGGCCTTCAGCTGCTGGAAAGGGCTGTCCTCGTGGAAAGAAGTCAGCATCTGCCCCGAAGGCTCTGCCACATCAGAGGCCCTTGTAAGGCCCACGGAGGCCGCCAGGGCCAGACCAGGAGATGCTTTTTGTCTTTGTTTGTCTTTTGTCTTTCCTCCCGTTGACCCTTTCTCCTATCTCTTTTTCTCCCGGTGTTCAATGTGACTTTGTTTGTTGTGAAATGTTTAACCTATAGCATTTATATATTGACTAAGTACACTGTGATGTATAGTTTGCAATGTTGACGGGCGTGTGGAGCGGCGGGAGCCTGCGTGCCTGCGGCTCTGACTACAGAGTGAACCGGAAGCACGAAGGAGAACCGCCTCCTCACGAACTTCATGGAGCTCACAGCCTCTGTGATAGAAATAGCATCAATAAAGTCTGACATTGTGGAAAGACAGGATCATGCTCATGCGTGGACCTGGCTATCTCTGAGCCTGCACTGCTCATGAGACAAACCATCGCAACACCTCCCTGCAGACTCAAAGCCTGCGCAGGCCATGGATTTCCTGAGAATGTGTTTGTCCTCCCTGGACAGCTCAGCATCCCCCAGGTAGCAAGGGGACAGGAGGGGCCAGGAGGGGACAGGAGTGGCCAGGAGTGGCCAGGAGGGGGCAGGAGTGGCCAGGAGGGGGCAGGAGAGGCCAGGAGGGGGCAGGAGGGGGCAGGAGGGGGCAGGAGGGGGCAGGAG
The DNA here is from genome assembly GCF_000001405.40 of Homo sapiens. Classification (NCBI taxonomy): domain Eukaryota; kingdom Metazoa; phylum Chordata; class Mammalia; order Primates; family Hominidae; genus Homo; species Homo sapiens. Next base: position 3,587,973 of record NC_000001.11, read on the forward strand.
TGGCCAGGAGGGGGCAGGAGAGGCCAGGAGGGGGCAGGAGGGGACAGGAGGGGGCAGGAGTGGCCAGGAGGGGGCAGGACAGGGCAGGAGGGGACAGGAGTGGCCAGGAGTGGCCAGGAGGGGGCAGGAGTGGCCAGGAGGGGGCAGGAGGGGACAGGAGGGGGCAGGAGGGGGCAGAAGGGGACAGGAGGGGGCAGGAGGGGGCAGGAGTGGCCAGGAGGGGGCAGAAGGGGACAGGAGGGGGCAGGAGGGGACAGGAGGGGGCAGGAGGGGGCAGGAGTGGCCAGGAGGGGGCAGAAGGGGACAGGAGGGGGCAGGAGGGGACAGGAGGGGGCAGGAGGGGGCAGGAGTGGCCAGGAGGGGGCAGGAGTGGCCAGGAGGGGGCAGGAGGGGGCAGGAGTGGCCAGGAGGGGGCAGGAGTGGCCAGGAGGGGGCAGGAGGGGGCAGGAGTGGCCAGGAGGGGGCAGGAGAGGCCAGGAGGGGGCAGGAGGGGACAGGAGGGGGCAGGAGTGGCCAGGAGGGGGCAGGACAGGGCAGGAGGGGATAGGAGTGGCCAGGAGTGGCCAGGAGGGGGCAGGAGGGGGCAGGAGGGGACAGGACAGCCTGGAGAGAAGCTCTGGGTAGTCGCACTGAAGCGTCCTCCCTGGGCCGTGGGTGCCTGGGGGTCTGCCCCAGAGTCGAGGGCCAGGCAGGCTGGGCACAGAGAAGGGCTCCAAGGTCCTGCAGCCCCAGCCTTCACAGAGGCAGGGCCGGGCCCAAGCTCTCTAGACTCAGTTCTTGCTCCATCTGCAAATCCAGAATCCCACCCCTTCTCTCTGCCCCTCCTGACCCCCTGAACTGAGTGAGCCCTGTCACCTCTCACAAGGGCCACCATGAAGCAGCCCTCACTCCCACCTCTGCCCTGCACGGCAGGCCCAGCCCCTCCTTTGCACAGACTCTGCCCCTGCCCTCATGAGGGCCCCAGGCCTATCCCCCTGTGGTGGGGTGGAAATCCTGTCCCCCAAATATTCCTGCCTTCCTGTGACCTCTAAATGTGACCCTGCTTAGAAATGGGGTCTTTGCAGATGTGATGAACACCACGACTGAGATGAGGCCCTGCTGGATTAGGGTGGGCCCTAGGGCCTATAGAAAAGGCCCCAGAGACACACAGAGGGGAGATGACCATGTAGAGACGGAGGCAGAGTGGGGAACGAGGCGTCTACAACCACGGAACGCCGCGGAAGCTGGAAGAGATAGGAAGGACCCTCCCCTAGAGCCTCAGGAGCAGGCACAGCCTTGCTGACACCTTGATCTGAGGCTTCTCTCCTCCAGAACTGTGAGAGAGTAAACTCACATTGGTTTCAGTGCTTGGCTCGTGGTCCCTCGCTGCAGCAGCCCCGGGAGCTCATACCTGCGCCCCCCACCCCACGCCCGTCCCATTTGCTCCAGCCACAAGATCCTGCCTCAGGGCCCCGCACCTTCTGTTCCCTACTCAGTGACCTCTTCCCAGGGACGTGCAAGGCCCACCCCTCACATCAGTAGACCACCACCACCCGGACAGAGGAGCCTTCCTGGACCCCCATCCAAGCCAGCACCACCCAGCCCCTCTGCCCCTTCCTCCTGCCTCACTTTACTCCGTAGCATTTCTCACTGGCGGCTTCATCCTTTCCTGAGTGTCTCCTGCAAGGACAGGAGCCCCAGGAGGTCAGGGCAGGTGCAGGTTTCTGCTCACTGCTACCCTCTGGGTCCTGAGCACCGTGGCTGGGCCTCCATGACCGTATGTCAAGTGGATCGCCTGCATCGGCCCCGTTCAACACATTTTAGGGCACTGTTTTATCTCTGTGACTTTGTGGCTTCTTTATTTTCCTTTTCTAAGATGGCCTCAAGATTCAAGGTGCAATTAGTTTGGGAAAGCCTGTATAGTCTGTCTCAGGAATCCACAGGGCACATTCGCATATTAAAGGCTCTGAAAATTCCTGCAAAAGAAGAAATCTGCTGAACTCTGGTTTAGGAAGCGCTTACTGGACCACAGAATCCCTTCCCAGTGCCCATCACAGCCCATGGAGCTGGTGCAGCTCCTAACTGTATGCTGAGGCCCTGCCTCTCCGTCCAGTGGCCTCCCCCTCCCCTGGGCCAGGCCAGCACAGCCCGTATGAGGAGTTGCGGGGTACAGGGGGCTGCAGGCAGGGTATTCCTGGGCTTTGTTCCTCCACGGTTCCATCTCAGGGTGTACATGCGGAAGGACCAGCGAGTCAGCTGCTCCAGGCTGGCGCTCATCTGCCACTCTGCCCACCGGGGAGCCCGGCTTGGAGGAGGGGTGCCCAAGGTAAATGGTGCTGCCAGGACCAGGGAGACTCCGGCTGAAACATGGGCAGGGTCTGGGAAAAACCTGGCACCGGACCAGGATAAAAGTGGAATTCAGAGAATCCATGAGCAGGAAGGACACCCCCCCAGCAAGAGGAGTGGGTCCGAACCCCACTGCACCCGGGCCACAGGCTCCGCAAGGCGTTGTGGGCTCTGGAAGCCCCGGTCATGAGGCCCCACCGCCCCGCCCGGCACTAAGTAAGTGGCTCTCAGGGAAATCATAACACGATTAGCAGCTTCCGGCCAGTCTCACGGGCGTTAGCCTACTCCTCGCTCCTACACAAACACGGCAGGGCTCCCAGGCCCTGACATTGTCCTCCACGGCCGGGTGTCCAGGTCACACGGAAGCAAGGAAATTTCACAACGGCTGGGGGCTGGGGGGCATCATCGGCTCAGGGGCCTCCCCTGTCCCTCCCCTGCCAGCAGGGGCTGGAGGGTGATGGAGAAACAAGGAAGGGGGCAAAGGGTGAGAAAAGAGAGGGCAGAGACAGAGCCAAGCCCTGACCCACAGGGCCCTCTAAAGAGTGAGCGTCTGTCCTGCACAGGGGCCGTGTAAAGAGCGAGCATCTGTCCTGCACAGGGGCCGTGCACCCCACCATCATCCTCCAGCTCACAGGGACAGCGGTGCCCTGGTCTAGGAAGCAGGGAGGACCCTGGCTGGGCGCGGCCCCAGTGCCCACAGGCACACTGGCTGGGGAGACCGTGAGCAGCCGTGTGTGACTCTCAGCAGACCCCACAGAGGCAGAGCCTCCCAGGGGCTGAGGGGCTCCAGCACCTGCAGGGACCTTGAGACTCCCACCCAACACAAGCCCCCGACCCCACCAGCAGCCGCGCCCCGCCCTCCTCGCATGAGCCAGCAGAGATGGGAAGCGCACGGCAGAGCTGGAATGTGGCGTCGGAAACGCTCGGCTAACCCAGGGTGGGAAGGCAGAGCCTCAGCTGAGCACGGGGAGGCAGGAAGAGATATCCCAGAACCACCGAGCAGGGGGTAAGGCCCTGGGCTCGGTCCCCAGAGACCCCTGCTCACAAGCCCTTGGCCAAGGGATGCCAAGACCAAGGTGCCCGATCACCATGTGTGCCACTGTCACTGTCACTGCTACTAACAGGAGTCACCACAGGCCAAGCAGACTTCACCCAGGCCTCCTCCTCTAAGAACAAGAGCTGGCACTGCTTGAGCTCTTACTGTATACAGGCACCAAGCAAAGGCTCCACATGAAGTGACTCATTTAATCCCAGGTTTTCAGGTGGGTGTTGTCACACCTAAGTCCTGGAGCCTGAGGCCTGATGGGGGCGCGGGCGAGGGGGCTGTTGGGGGCTGCTACCAAGGTCTCAGAGCTCACAAGGGACCTGATGGGGGCGCCAGCGAGGCAGCTGGTGGGGGCTGCTACCAAGGTCTCGTAGCTCACAAGGGACCCGATGGGGGCGCCGGCAAGGGGGCTGTTGGGGGCTGCTACCAAGGTCTCGTAGCTCACAAGGGACCGGATGGGGGCACCAGCGAGGGGGCTGGTGGGGGCTGCTACCAAGGTCTCGTAGCTCACAAGGGACCGGATGGGGGCACCAGCGAGGGGGCTGGTGGGGGCTGCTACCAAGGTCTCGTAGCTCACAAGCGACCTGGAGGGAACTGAGCCCAGTACTGAGCCATGTTTTCCACTCTTGGCTGCTTGGACGGGCATCGGCATCCGGCCCATCAGCGAACACTTGCTCCACATGCTGGCTCAGGTCAGGCCAGGCCAGGGTCCCTGAGGCCACCCATTCTGCCCTGCCAGGGCACTACTGTGGGATGCAGAGAAGCCCCCAGCCCCAGCCAGCCCAACAACCTCACACAGTGGCCCCAGGAGAGCAGCCGGTCTAGAGAGAGGCTGGCACGGTGCCCCCAGGCCTGCAGGTCCCGGCGTGCAGCCCACTGCCCTGAGAGGGGCAGCTTGAGGAAGGGCCTGCAGGCTTCCCTGCCTAGACTGGAGGCCTCGTGGTGTGGGGAGGTCCAAAAGCCTTGGCCAGGCCCCCCGCTGACCCTGACTCACTGCTCCCTCTCTGACGTTCCGGGCTCCCAGGCAGCCCCCCAGACACTCCCGCAGTCCCCAGCACCACCCTCCAGGCCCCCAATGGCCCTCATCTGCTCATCCTCACTCCTGCAGGCCTCGTCACACCCTGGCCACAGGAGAAGCATCTGCTCACAGTCAGCATCCCAGCCATGAGCTCCACATGGGCAAGCACCCGCTGCCAGGGTCCCCGAACCCCCAGGACTCGGCAGCAGCTGAGCCAAAACCCAGCAAACAATTGAGTGACCAAATAAATGAATGACTCTGTGGCTAGCACAGGACGCGCCAGGCAGCACCCCTCCCACCCTTGGGGCTCAGGGGTAGCCCGTGTGAACCCTGACTCCTACCCACCCACCGCCCCCCTCACTTGCTGGGACCCAGCCATGGGGTTGAACAGGGAGCGGCCAGAGAAGGAGATCACAGGGATTCCCCGGACCATGAAAACAAGCAAAAGTAAAAGGTACAAACAAGCAAATCTTGCGCTAAAAACGAATGTTTAAAAACAAGAAGAAAGCCAAAGCTCAAGTCCAGGATCTGTGTGGAGACCCCACCGACGTGACAACCAGGACCCCCACCCTCCCCTGCTCCCTGCCCCCAGCCTCAGCCCAGCCCGGGCTGCCCCGGGGAGGGTCTCAGCCAAGATGCCCTCCACCCCACTCCGGCCAGCAGGGCCAGGCCAGGGCAGAGCCACCACGTTCTTCTAAGGCTCCAGGGTCCCACATGCAGATGGCGGCCTAGTGCCTGGCCACAGCACAGGCAGACAGAGCTGGCAGGACGGGCCCAAAGCTCACCTCGAGCCAGGCTGGTGATGGAGATGGGCACACTCACTAGGCCCTGCTGGGACCATCGAGACACTGAGATCCCCACAGCGGGGAGCGGCTGAACCAGCCTCGGGGGACGACCCAGCAGCCCCTGCCCTCAAGCCTGACTCTGAGACAGTTACTGCTGACGCAGGTGAACACAGGGGCACACGAGGATAGCCAGAGCCCAGCTCGGGGCTCGGAGGGGACGGCATCGGGGGAACGCGGCTGCGCACACCTCTACCTGCAGTTGCCTTCCCCGCCCGGGCTCTCCACCCCCGCCCCACCCAGGACCCCAGGCCCAGGGGCACCCCCACCCCCGCCCCAGCCATTCATGCGGCTGTGCCTTCAAGTCCCCTCCTGGGAACAAAAAGCCCGCTCTCCCCCAGTAAACCCTGGGGACTCGGGCTGGCAGCCCCACTTCCTCTCCCCGCCCCCGGCCTGCTCCAAGCTGCCTATTGTTTCCCCCCATTATTAGAATCCCCTTTGGCAGGCCCCAGAACCCCTGCCTCAGAGTGGAAACCCGGGGGAGCCTTGGCTTTGATGTCTGCCCCCTCCCCACTAAAAAGACCCCTTTGTTCCTCCCAGACGACAGGAGCAAAGAAACAGGCACAGCTCAGGTGCCATCAGCAACAGTGGGGGCTGGGACCCCCTCCGAGGGGCGGCTGGCCAGCACCCCCCTCCCTGCTGCCAGCAGTGGCCCCATCTCCTCCTCCTTCCTTGTTACTCTCCTCCCTTCCTGGAGAGAATTACCCACTTCCTCTACTGGAAAAACATGGCCATCATCCCTTCTCTTCCCCTTTTCCTGCTGGAGCTCGGGCCAGGACGGGCAACTTCAGCCCCGGTTTGCAGCCTGCATGCTTCCTGTGTGAGAAGAGCCCCTGCGGCTCCAGGCAACTACCCGCCATAAGGACCCCTAGAGCTGGGTTCTGTTCCTGTCACCGGAGCCCAGGGGAGCCCACTGTCCATTAAACCTCAACGTGGAGCGTGCTGGCGGGACATGGTGGCTCACACCTGTAATCCCAGCACTTTGGAAGGCCGAGGTGGAAGGATCGCTTGAGCCTAGGAGCTCAAGACCAGCCTGGGCAACATGGTGAGACCCTGTCTCTACAAAAAATACAATAATTATTCAAGCGTGGTGGTGCACACCTACAGTCTCAGCCACTCGGGAGGCTGAGGTGGGAGGATTGCTTGAGTCCAGGAATTTGAGGCTGCAGTGAGCTATGGTGGTGCCACTGCACTCCAGCCTGGTTGACAGAGTAAGACCTTACCTCTAAAAAATAAACATAAAAAGTAACAAAATAAAAATGTGGGGAGTGCGTGACTCCCGGCCACACTCCACGGCGCAGCCTGTCCCTCACTGGCAGGATGCCACCTCGATTTTTTAGGGGAGGCCGGCTTTATGGGACAGGGTCCCATGACCTCTGGACTGACCCCTCCCAGGGAGGGACACTGACCCCTTTGCCCAGGCGGTTTCACTGGCGGGGCTTCTGTCCCCATGCCTGAAACCCTTCCCAAACATCTCTGTAGCTGTGAGCCCCATTCCTTTTACAAAGCAGAGGCTTGAGAGCCGCCCGCTCAGCTCAGACCACCCAATTCCAGTCCTGGGCCCCCATCTCTGAGCCCCAGCACATCAGCACCTGCCCGGGTCAGGTCGTATGCAGCACGGGCCTCTCCAATTGTGCTGGCTACATAACGGAGAGAGGAAGGAGCGGCTCCCTTACACCCACTGAAGCTGAGGCCCGCCACCCGGCCCGGATTGGCCTTGGGAGAACACGGTATAGGGAAACAGGGCAGGGAGAGGGACTCAGGGAGCTGGGGGTGAGCGTGGTGTGGCAGGTAAACCCCGAACTAGGCTCAGGAGTCCATGAACCACAGACACCAATGCATGGCCCCAGGAAACCCTCAGACACCCTGCCAATGGCAGGCTCCTGTCCTCCGGCAGAGCCAGCAAAGTGGACTGACCCCACCCGGCCCCAGCTCTCTCTTTCCGCAGCTCTGCCAGCCTCGCTGACGTCGCTTTTGCAGCCTTTGGCAAACGGCGTTGCTGAGCGAGTGTTCCCTGAGTCTCTCGTGTTGCTGGGGAAGGGCGATCCCCACCAGGCCCGGGGCAGATTCATGGCTCTGCTGAGTCCTCTGGGGTGGAGGTGGAGGGAGGGCGGGGAGGCGCAGGCGGCACTCACCCGAGAGGCAGCCCTCCTCGTCGGGCTGCTGCATCCACCCTCGGCAGCACCTGAGCACGGTCCGGGCCTCCGTGGTATACACCTGCCTGTAGCCCATGTAGTAGACGGTTCTAGAAAGAAAGAGAGAAGGGAAGTGCTTACCGTCGCGGGACTGGCTGTATTCGGCTCTCACTGCACCCCTGGGGAGACTGACTCTGCGTCAGCCGGGTTCCCGGCGGCACAGGCTGCAGCACCAAGGTTCCTGGGTGGGGTGGCTGATGCCAATGCCCAGCCAGGTTCTTCTGAACGAGGGGGCAGCATGGAGGCAGCAGGGGCCATGCTGGAGCCAGCGACAGTGGCCTCGTGCTGCATGCAACCCGGGAACACGCTACCTCACTGCCCCTGCCTGGCCCCCTCCCTCCCGACGGTGGTCCTGGCTCCAGGCTGGCGTTGGGACGCACATCTCACCGCTCACTCGGCTCTCAGTACCAGGCAGGTCTGTGAGCATCTCGGGGAGTTGGAAGTGCCCAGCCCTGGAGCCAGAATGGCTTCTGGGATGAGCCAAGTGGGCCCATGGTGCCCGGGACCGGGTGGGCTGTGCCAGGCAGGGGAGGTGCCAGTTCAAACTCCATATTTTGAGTCCATCAGTGAAGCAGACGGCCCCAGTAGGAGCCCCACACACAGGTGCAATGGCCACTGCCCCCTACACCTAGGAGGACAAAGCTGAGCTGGGGAGACAGAGGAGACCTGGAGGAAGCAGTTAGGGGAGCAGCAGGAGGACCTGTGTGGGCCCAGGTCAGAGAGGAGGCACCATGGCGGGCAGGCAGGGAGGGCTTCCCGGAGGCAGTGTGGCCAGGGCAGCCTTGGTTCACAGGCTGGCTCCTGCTCAGATGGGACGGGCTGCGGCTGTCACTAAGGCTGAGCAGAAAATGGTAAGGCCCCCCAGGAGACGGCAGTGTCCTGCTGGGAATGGGCAGCCCGATCTGGCCAGCCTGAGAAGGTGCCCACAGCCAGAGAGACCCCAGCTACCCAGAGGACATGACGTCCCCCTCCCCAAGTCCAGACGCTGCCTCAGGCCACCAGCACCGTGCAGTCCACAAAGCCCGGCCACCTCAGGGCACCCTGCGCCATCCCCTGCCAAGCCCCCATCTCCACCCCAGGGCACCCCGCGCCATCCCCTGCCCAGCCCCCGTCTCCACCCCAGGGCACCCCGCGCCATCCCCTGCCCAGCCCCCGTCTCCACCCCAGGGCACCCCGCGCCATCCCCTGCCCAGCCCCCGTCTCCACCCCAGGGCACCCTGCGCCATCCCCTGCCCAGCCCCCGTCTCCACCCCAGGGCACCCTGCGCCATCCCCTGCCCAGACCCTGTCTCCACCCCAGGGCACCCCGCGCCATCCCCTGCCCAGCCCCCGTCTCCACCCTGCTCCTACAGGCATCACCAGCCCCCACGCATGGGAAGTCTTGGCAGAGCATTTGGCAAGGGGCCTGCCTCTCCCACTCTGGAACTCACCCTGAGTGGGACAGCTACAAACCTAGAGCAGAGGGAAGGTGGGAGGTGGGGGCACCCCAGCCCACAGCCCCAGCAAGCCTCCCACCATCACAGCCCCATCCCGGGGCTCGTAAGTCTCAGTTCCTCCTTGTCTGGGCCTCTTCCAACTCGAGCTGCCCCCAACAGGCCGCCAACCACCCGCTCCATGCCCCCTAAAGTGAAAGACCCTTGGAGAGGGCTGGTCGGCCCGCGGACCCCGCAGCCCCTGTGAGGACCGCCCACTCATTGCCCTGCAGCCACCAGCAGCTCACACAGCTCCACTGCCACCAGGGAGCTGGTTCACGCAGGGCTGGGGTCATCAGGGGAATGAGGCCTTGGCCACACGGATGCCTACTCCTCTGCCTTCTGGAAGGTTCGCTGCCTCTCGAGGAAGCTCCTTTCCTGCTTCCCCAGAGCATGGGTCACATGAGCCCCAGGATCCGCCTGCCCACCCTGCCGTCCTTCCTCGGGAAGCCGCCCTGACGCCTGGGTCCTCACCCCTCCACTGCCCAAACAGCCTCCACCCTCACTCTAGCAAGGACTACTAGCAAGACAGACGGCCACCTGTGCCACCTGCCCACCCTGACGCCCTGTCTCCCGCTGCTTGTTCTGCAGTGACTAATGTCCCCACAAACTCAGGTCCACCCGGCTGTGACCTTACTTCTTGGAAATAGGGTCTCTGCTTCACCTGCAGTCAAGTTAACATGAGGTCATTCACAGTGGATGGGGGACCCTAATCCAGTGACGGGCGCCCTTATAAGAAGAGGGAAATTTGGACGCAGGCACAGGGGATGGCTGTGTGAACAGGAAGGCAGAGACGGAAGTGGCGGCCACAAGCCAAGGCACTCCCAGACAGCCGGCAGCAGAAGCTGGGGGCTGTGACAGACGCCCCCTCAGAGCCCCTGCAGGGGCCCAGCCTGCCCACACCTTGATCTCGGACTTCCGGCCTCTGAAGCTGGGAGAGAATAAAGCCCTGCTGTTTTGAAGCCACCTGGTTTGTCGGGGCTCACTGCAGCAGTGGCAGGAAACTCTTGCACAGCTCACCGCGTGGTACCTGCCCAGGGGTCCCAAGGCTCTGAGGCCTTTGTGTTTGCAAGGACAACTGCTCACGTGCATGTGAGCAGCGGGAGGATGGAGACAGAGGCAGAGAGGGACAGAGGCAAGACAGAGAGACATAGAAAGAGAAATCGAAGGAGTAGAAGATGCGCCCGCCCCGGGCCTGCCCTGCAGCCTGCAGACCCCACAGCCAGCCACCCTCCCCCATCTCTGCCGCTGTCTGCAGGGGCGGTGACCAGGGGCCCAGCCAACAGCCTGGGATCAAGGGCCCTTGAGCCTCTGGGAGTGGCCAAGGCAGCCGGGCTGCCGTCTCTGGGTAACAAAACACCCCCAGCTTGCCGGGGCTGCTGCATGGGAAGCCGGAGGTGGGCCCTGGGGACCCTGATCCAACAAACAAGCGGGGCCAGTGGCCGGCCGGCGGGCGGGCCGCTTCCCGGAAGCACGTGCTCATGCACGCGCACTGCACAGAGACGCTCTGGGAGCGCCTTGCAAACCCCGTCTTGGCAGGACATGAAACCACTTGCCCGGACAGAAACCGACCACCACGGCGAACAATATTTGGCAGAGCTGAGAGTGTTTGGGCCTGTGCGTGGTAAATATTTATCCCCTCTCCCAGGCTGCAGCAGTGCCGGGCTACGTGCTGCTTCCCTGGGCCGCTGACCACCCCCTCCATCCCCCCAAAAGGGAATGACCCTTGCAGTCCCTGCAGCCCCGTGAAGACCAGCCCTCCGTTCTCCTGCAGCCAGCACCAGCCCACACGGGCTCCAACGCTGGGGAGCTGGTTCACGCAGGGCGGGGGTCGTCATGGTAACGAGCCCCCCCCCCCCCCCCGGGGCCCACTCCTCTGCCTTCTGCAGCCACCAGCTCACAGTGGAGGCCACGGCTCAGGGAGTGTGGGCCTGGCAGGAGGGACCTGAGCGGCAGCTCCACCCTCAGAGCCCCTCCCCCACCCCTTCCTTCTCAGGGACCTTGCTCTGCAGAGCGCGGGAGCCCCTTTATTCAAAGGGCCCCCGGCCGGGTTTGTCAGGGAAGTACCCACTGAGGGGGCTGAAGGCAAGACCCCTGAATACCCGGGCGCCCTCTCAGCTGTACTCACAGCCTCACCTACTCTGGGCCGGGCCGGGCTGGAGCACCCATCACCCCGCGGCCCTGCCTGAGGCAGGCAGCAGGCTCCACAGCCCAGAAGCCAGACGAGGGGCTGACGCCTGCTGCCCTTCTGACCGCAGCCACCACAACACCACAACACAGCCACTGCGGGGCCAGCCTGGGGAGGGGGCTCATCTAATCCTCACCGCTGCTGTGAGCCAGGTGGGGAAACTGAGGCTTTGGCGGGTTCCCACCCTACTGGGTCTCATCCAGCCTGCTGGCCTCCCCCCCAGAGCTCAGGAGAGGAGGTGTCTCCTTGTCTGTCCAGGGCAGGAGGGTGACCCTGCACCAGGCAAGCCAGGGTGCCCTCGGGCTGTGGGGTGAGCAGCTGCTGCCTCTCGCCCTCGGCTCTCAGCCACCCTGCATCCTGCTCCAACCAACTGGAGAATTACCAGTGGAAAAGAATCACCACAGAAAGAGAAGGCCAGAAGCCAAGCCCTCGGGGACACTGTCCTGACAATGAGGCCCCAACAACCTGGCACAGGCACACTGCAGGCACAGCTGGACATTCAGAGCCACATGTGGCACCCTTCAGGCCTGGGCAGGGTGCCTGCCGCCAAGCCTAGCTGTGGCCTCACAGCCCGAGTCACCAGTCACCCAGTCGTGTGACGGTGGAGGGCCTGGCGGCAGTCTCGGCCCGGCTGGCGAGGTGGCAGATGGAGGTGCGTAGAGGCTGAGGGGCGTGCGTGGTGCCCTGCCGGCCAGCACTCATGCTTGCTCCTCACTCCAGGGCCTGAGGAAGCCCAGGCCAGCCCCTGACCCTGCCCTGCTGGGGCTGTTCTGCGCGTGGGCACCCCGTTTCTGTGCCCCGTTTCTGGGCTGTGCCAGGCAGCCCAGAAAGGGTTAGGCTCTGACAGGCACGACCCCAGGCCCAGGAAATACTGTCAGCTCAGTTCACGGGTGAGAAAAAGGAGGCTGACGTCGCCAGGCTGGTAGGGGTGGAACCAGCGATGAAACCACGAGCCTCCCATGGCACCAGCTCACCCTTGAGTCACCCCTCAGTGCCACAGTGCTGTGGGGTCCCGCCTCAGCTGCCCCGGCCTGGGCTGCAGCGCCAGGAGCCTGCCCAGCCCTTCCCTGCATCTCCCCAGCCCGGGCTGCCTTCCCTGCATCTCCCCAGAACCCAGGGGCCTCAAATGCTCAGTGCCCCGGCTGAATGGTGGCCAAGCCAATGAGCAGCGCTGCCCTTGCTGAGCCCAGCCACACATACCCAGGTATCTGCTGTGTGGCAGAGCTGTCCCTGTGGGCACAGGAGGAGTGGCCTGTGCCCACCTCCACGATGGCACCCAGAGCCCAGCTGGGATGCTGGGGTCCCCACCAGTTCCACAGTGAGTTGGGAACCTGGTCATAAGCACTGGGGGCTCGAGGGCAAATGGGCAAGGGCTCAGGGTTAGGGACGGGGACTCCTGATGGCAGAGGAGGAGAAGCAATGCTCTGAAGGAGGACAGGCGGGAGCTGGAGGGCGGGGAACAGGGCTGGCTCCTGGGAGGGATGAAGGGAGCAAGCCTCAGGCCGGTGCTCCAGGCACCACCCAAAGTCTTGCCGCGTGGAGTGATATCTGGACCTGGCATCTGAGGAGACTCCCCCGAGGCTGCACAGCTGGATTCAGCCTCCAGCAGCTTGGGAGGGGACACAAATTGGAAACGTGGGATTTGGGAGCACCCTGTGCCCACGAACAGCCCCAGAAGCATCCCAAAGGGACAGGGGCCCAGGCCACATGTCACCACCTCACTTGGGGCTGGTTCCAGTAGAGCACACAGGACGCCCATCCCCCCGGCACCAGGGTGGTAAGAAGCCTCTGGTTCCCCCAGGAGCGGGGGCCAGGTGAGAACAGCCCAGGGTCCTCGGAGGTGGACCTCGGCCCCTCCCCCATGACAAGCCCAGGACCTTGAGGCAGAATGGCCACCTTTCGGGAGGGAGGGTTGGTGAAGAGGCCCGGACACCCTGCATTGGGTAATGCCGGGAGGGGATCCCCTGCCAGTGCCCCCCCCTCCAAGCAGGGGGACTTTGTCCACGGCTGCCCCCAGTGCCCTGCCAGGAGGCTGAGGACCCCGGCACATCGGCAATGCTGCTCCCACCCTGCCTTCAGGCTAGCCTAGAGACCACAATGGAGAAATCATGCCCCCATAGCGAGGGGACTTCCTCAGCCCGGCCACCAGCACTCTCTCCAGCCCTGGGCTCAGATGGCTTCTGGCTGCTTCTAGAAACAGAGCTCTTCCACCACGAGCTGTTGGCGGGAGACCTGGCTGATGCAAACAAATTCCCGCAGGGAAATCCACCTGCATCCATGCACGCATGACATCCACAGGGCAGGCCCGCATCCACGCATGGGTGACAGTCAGGACAGACTGCAAGCTGCTATTTTGGGGAAAACAATGAGAGGAGATTTCTTCTTTTTGCTCAGGGTCCCTGAACCTCAGCCCTCCTGAGATCTCTTGTTTTGGGGGCTCAGGATCCCTGAACCTCAGCCCTCCTGGTACTGGGCCGGGTCGTCTGTTCGGGGGGTCGTCCTGTGTGCTGAGATGCTCAGCAGCATCCCTGGCCCCCTCAGCCTGCCCAGCTCACCTGTCACCAAACCTGACTCCACATCTCCACTGTCCCGGGGTAGGAAGACAGAACTGCCCCTGAGTGAGAACCACCATTATTGCTTAACGGTTTTTTTCTCCTCTACTCTGAACACATCTGAATTGCGCAGCAAACACACATTGACCAGAAAGCTGCCAGAGCCCCCTGGAGCAGGTACAGCAGGTGCAGGTGTCCCGCGTGGACCCCATGCCCAAGGGAGCAGCGCAGAGCAGGGCCTCGGCTCCTCCGCAGATCCCAGGCTGAGAAGCTAGCCACGATCTTCTCTGAGAATGCGTTCCTGCCTTCCCTCCCACAGACACACGGAAACTCTCCACCTGACACGGGGGCTGCCAGCTCCCGGCACAACCCGCTTTGCGGCAGGGCTGGCTCTGCAGAGCCTGAGTCTATAAAAGGGGGAGAGGTGTGCACAGGCACTCAAGTTCGGTGTTGAAATAAAATCTTGCGCAGTAAAAAGTTTCACGTGTGTTGGGGAACAAGGCCCTAGGGCCAAGAAGCAGCAGCCTCCCACCGGGCCCCTGGCAGGCTGAGACCACTCTCCCCTTCCTGCGTGGCCAGCATCCTCCCGGGCTGGGCCCCTCCTCCTCCACACACCCCTCACAAAGGACTCAGGTGCTCGGCTAAACAGGAGAGGGCTACAGCATGTGAGTAGCCCCATGGCAGACCCACCCTGAGGGTGGGAGAGGCCTCATGCTCAGATGAGGGCTTCAGGCAGGGGTTGCGTGTGGCCCTGAGACCAGGACGGGGTCCTGGCCTCAGCTGCCCAGCTCCCGGGTGGTCAGTGCCGCCCTTTGTGTGAATGGAGCCCCTCCCCCAACACGGGCCCCTGCACTTACCTCCGCTCATGACCCACGCACCACGCCTGCCACCCACAGCCGGCCTTCCACACCGGCACCGTGTGGCTTAAGGCCTGCACGCACGGCTGGCGGCGGCCCACCAGGGTCAGCTCCTGCTCAGCACACACGTGGGGCCTGGAACAGAGACACGGAGAGTCAGCGCCTCGGCCACCCCCAGCCGGCAACACCCACCCCTCCTGCACCCCCAGCCTTGGGTGTCAGCTCATCTGGAGTGAGGTCCAGACCCGTGGCCAGGCCTCCACGGCACAGTGCCCATGCCAGTGCCCCAGGCCAGCCGTGGGACCCAGGCTTGAGGGCACAGGAGCTCAGGGGAAAAGGCAAGATGACCGCAACATCCCCCACGCATGGCCCACAGCGTGGATCCTAGTGCCCTAAGACCTTGCAACACAGCCACCAACGACGCTGCCTCAACAGACAGGAACTGTGGCCTCAAGGCACAGTCACACCTCGTCCAGAATCCAGGACCAAGCGCGGGCCCATTCTGTCCTCTCCACCCCAGCCCTCCCCACCTCGCTTCAGAGATGTCCCCAGGCCTGATGTTGCTGGGGCACATGGCTGGGGTGAACCCGGGCCCATCCCCTGTGAAGTCAGCGGCTCCCCGGCATCCTATGACCCACACTGGTGAGTGTTTGCTCTTGGAGGAGGAGGTGAAAACCCCAGCCCCATCCCTGCCAAACTCCTTCAGGTCCCTCCAAGGCCTCTCCAGCCCAGAGGCTGCATAAACCAGGGGAGGGGGCATGCCAGGGACAGGCACCTTAAGCCAGCCATCCAGACCCCACCGGGCTCGGAGCAGGTGGAGAAAGGACTCAGGCCCTGCGGGGGGAAGGGTCAGAGGGAGGGACCCTCCAAAGACAGCCACACGGGCCAGCACCCCCAGAGCAGGGGCTCGCCCCTGGCCTGCCCTGACCGAGGGGTGAGGCGGGCTCCCTCCACAGAGGCAAATTCGGGGGGAGAGGACAAGGCTCCAGTGCTCGTGTCCCACTACGTCAGGTGACGTCTGGGGGGCCTCAGAGGAAAGAAGAGGCTTGTCCTGCTCTCCCAGCTCTGGACTTGCTCCCCAGAACCAGGGCCAGGCATACCTGGTGCGGGCCGGTGTCTCCCCTCCAGCCTCAGGTGCAGCAAGCCTGGCAGATCCCACCAGAGCCCCTCCCACCTCCTGGGGGCAAGCAGGTGGCATGGGTTCCCCCAGCCTCCTCATCAGAGGTCCCCACCCCACCGGGAATATTGTCCAGGCTCGGTACCGCCCTCCGCCCAGGCCTTGCCAGGAGCTCCTAACCAGCCGCCGCCCCGTGGGCCGGACCCTGGCTCAGCACTCAGAGACTGCCCGCCCCGTCCAGCCACCCTGGCCCCAGGCCAGCCGCCCCCAGATGGAGGCTCTTGCAATGGAGGACTTATTTTTCCTCTTTCCTGGGGCTCGTGCTGTGTGGGAAGCCCTGTGTCCCCTCTGACTTCAGCCCACCCCCTTGTGCTGAACAAATCCAGAAAGCACAGACCCAACATAGCGATGGCAAAAACTGAGAGGGGCAAATGGCAGGGCCTCACCAGCCGGGACAGCAGGGGCTCCACCAGGCTGCTGTGGCACCCAGAGGAGGGACCCTGGCCTCCAGCTGCCCACCCACGAAGGGGCAGACGAAGGCTGGGACCAGAGTCCAGCTCCAGGTCTCCAGTCAAGTCCGAGAGGGGCTGGGGCTGCTGCTGGACATGTCCTGCCCATGACCTCCTGCCGAGAGGTTCTGCCCACACTCTCCCGCAGTTTCCCAAACGTCCCATCCCAGGGCTGAGGCTTGCCCACCCGAGGTAGCGTTGATTCCTGGAGTCCAGGCCCAGGTGACTGCAGGGTGGGGCACAAGGCAGGGCACGAGGCAGGGCAGAGCTCCTCCTGGCCATAAGCAGGGTCCAGGTTCCCCACCAACTCCCAGACAGACCGGCAGCTGCAGCCGAGAAGCCTCCGCAGCAATGGGGACCCTCCAGCTAGGCGGGATCAGCTGCACGAACCCAGGGCAGGTGGAAAGGCTCTGCCATTGCCTCTTCCTGCACCAGGAAGACAACTCTCACCTGGGTGGAGAGCGAGACTTCCAAAATCCCCGACTATTTCTACCTGGGAGCTGGGGAAGAGGTGACTCGTTCAGGAGTGCCTCCTCCGTGCCCAGCACCAGGTCCTTTCCTGACATTACATCATCGAATCTCTCCCCTCCCAGGGAGGAAGTGACAGTGACCCCCTGATCTGCTCAAGATCACCAGCTAATGGTGATGACTAAGGGCCAGGTCTCTCCCACCTTCCCCCAGCACTGTTGGGCCTCTGTGTCCTAAGGGCCACGGATCCCAGAGTGAGAATAGGGGAGGGGGCAGGACCAGAGGTTGGATCAGGGACAGAGGGTCACGTCTCCAGGGAGAGCCCTCCTCAGCCTCCCTGGGGCTGGGTCCTGACCTCATTCCTGACCCCCAGACTACAGCACCCATGGGGGATGGTCTCACAGCCCCCAGGGCCACTGCCCCACCCCACCCTGCTGTGACCCAAGGCTGACCTCTGTGGATCACATCCTCCCAGCACCTGCACACACACAAACACACACCCTCACACTCACACTCTCAGTCACACACAAACTCACACTCAATCACACACATTCACAACCACTCATACACACACCCACACACAGTCACACACTCACAGTCACATACACCCTTACTCATACTCAGTCACACACACCCACACACACAGTCACACACACTTTACATGGACTCGAACACAATCACACTAACAGAAGGCACTCACACATACTCTCACACCCACACAATCACACAAACGCAATCACACACATTCACATTCATATGCATGCTTACACACTCAACATGCTCATACACTCACGCACGTTCACACACACTCAATCACACTCACTACCATACCCACAATTACATACACACAACTCACAATCACTTTCACACTCAAAATCACACACCCTCATACACACATATGCTTACCTATACACACATATACACAATTACACACATACACACACAATCACACACATACACATTCACACTCACACACAATCACACATATTCTCATACACTCATACACTCACATACACACACATACACTCATACAATGACACACACACAATCACATACATACTCATGCACACGCACACTTCTGTACTCTCACGCATGCAAGCTCACAAACTCACACACACTCGCACACACATATGCACTCTCAAACTCCCATTCACACACACTCACAGATACACACACAGGCACACACACTCACTTACACACTTTGCCTTCTGGCTGCCAGGTGGGTTTAGTCAATGGGAGGACCAGGAAGAGATGTGGAAGAGGCACTGGGGTGTGGCCCTCCTGTCAGGGGCGGAGGCCGTGCCCACTCTCTCCAGGTTCCAGGACCCGGCCCCCACCCAAGGGATGGCCTTGGCTCCACGGTGGCACCCCCGTGCTTCCTGCGCCCCTTCATGAAGATCCCTCCCCAACCCCTCCCGGGACAGTGCCACCCTGTCCTCCTCCTACTGACAGATACTCTGTCCCCCTGAAACTTCAAAAATTCACACTTTCATGTAACAGTGTCAAATTTGGGATCAGAGACAGGTGTTTTAAAGAACTAGCACATCTTGGAGGGCAGAACTCGTGATGAACGCACCCACCCCACCAACCATCGGGCTCTAGGGCTGCAAAGCGTCATGCAGTGGTTCTCAAAGTGGGGTCCCCCGGCCAGGACCAGCAGCCTCTCCTGGGAACCTGCAGAAATGCACACTCCTGGGCCCCACCCTGGACCACTGAATCCAGGACTCTGGGGGTGGGGCCCAGCATTCCTCGGGGTGGGAAGGATTGCGTGTGTTTGCCCAAGCCCACCAGGGGATGCTGGAGCACACTCAAGCTTGTAACCCCAGGCCTAGCGGTTTGAAGCAAGGTCTCACCGCCAAGCAGCCTGGGTTTGAATCTCAGCTCCCCACGCCCCATCTTTAAGACGCGCAGGTTACTGAACCTCTGCCTCAGTTTCCTCACCTGTAAAATGAGGACTCACAGCAGTGACCTTGCCAGGTTTGCATGAGGGTTAGATGAGCCTGCACAGAAAAGGGCTCCCGACAGCCCTCAGGAGGTGTGAGCTAGTGTTACTGCAGATACTGGGACTGTTTATTCCGGAAAAAGTGTCACTTGTACCTGGAAAGTGGGCCATAGGAACTGCTACAGGCATTGAACGCTTTTGCCGTCCCTGTGCCTTGCAACGCACTTACCCACGGCGAGCCCTGGGCACAGGTGACCTTGAACTCCTTGCCATAAAAAAACGGAAGCCGGGGGGAATAGGCCAATGATCCCTGAGCTTCTGGGCTACAGGGTCCAGCCCCTGACTCTGTGATGGCCCCTGTGCTGAGGGCAGCCACTGTGAAGGGACTCTGTCACCATCTCAGGATGGAGATGACACAGAGAGGGCAGAGCTGTGAGCTTGGGTTTTCAACAGACACCCCAGGCCTGGGGCCTGCTGTGCAGCCTGGAGTCACTGACCATCTCTGAGCCCTCAATTCAGCATCTGGAAAGCAGGCGTGATGACAGCTTGGGCCTCCGGGGCTTGGAGACATCAGGGACACGGCCGGGGTTAGGGGTACTGAGGGGTTGGGTGCTCCCCTCAGAAGGGCCTTCTTGTCCTTCCCGGCCCTCCTCAAACCTCAGCAATCTCAGCTGCCACTAACCAGCAAGACGACAATGCTGAAGGACTCACCGAGACCCCTTGCCAACCCCACCCTGGACCACCCAGCAGCCCTTCCCGCACATCACACCCGTCACTCTCCCGGCCCCTGCCCGCCTGGTGCGCCCTATGTCTCCCCAATAACTCCTCCCCTTCACGGCTCTCCCCAAGGACGGAGGGCCCTTGCCCTGCCCAGCCAGGCTGTGGTCCCTGAAAGCAGCTCCTGGATGGCTCTTGCAGTGACCCCCAACAAAATTGATTGATCATCAATCAAGCCAGCCTTCAAGGAGGGGGTGAGTGTGGGAACGACTGTCTCCTCTGGGGACTTCAGCACTGCACACACGGCCACAGCACCGCACCCGCACGGCCCCGGCGGCCTTTCCACCTGTGAGGATGGAGAAGGTGGCAGGGGAAGGGCAGGCAGAAGAATGGACAAAAAGAAACCTCCCACTGCTGCACATGGGTCTGAGGAGAACCCAATAAAGCACCTGGTGACCTTTGACAGGACCAGAGTCCCAGGCCTTTCTGTTCCTTGCGGCTGGATCCCGCCTCCCATCTGGGGGCGTGGAACAGGAATTCCCAAACTACAAAGTGGACCTGGTGCAGTCGGAGGCGGAATGCTCCCAGCTGGTGGGCCATCTGCTCCCGAGCAGAGCCGGGGCTCCACGGGCAAGAGATGGGCGGGCATGCTGCGGGGTCCCTCCAGGGCAGGCAGCGACAGTCTGGGCCCAGCGACGGCATCACCAGGTTGGGGAGGGCGGGGATCCAGAAAGCAGGCAGCCAGCCTGGCTCAGCTCCCCAGCCTGGCTGAATGCAGCCCCTGAACAAACCCCTGTGGGCGGCGGGGGTGAGGGGAGTTGGGGGGGCTCGCTCAGGACAGCGGCCCTGGAGGGCGGGGCTCGCTCAGGCCAACGGCCTCGCGCTTATTTTTAAAGGCTCGTTTTTACCCCCATGGTTCTCCTCTGCTTATGCTTCCCAGGGCCCCATGCAGCCAGCATGCGGGGAATCTCAAGGCCCTGGGGTTGGGGGAGCCCAGCTCCTGCCCTGGGGCCCCTCGGACTCTCAGGTACCTTCCTGTAGACAAGGAGACAATGAACAATGTCACTCAAAGCCCCAAAGGCAGCAGCTCACAGAAGTGAGAGCTCCTTCCCCTCCAGGTCACGTGCTGTGAAACTCATGGCCCTAAGGGGAGGCTGAGAACAGCTGCCTTCTACACCCTGGGGTCGGGGAGCAGGCCTGCTGACAACCTGCAGGCCTCAGGCTCACGAATGGGGCCCTTGGAGCCCATGGCCCCAGTGGATCCAAAGAGCTACTTGCAAGATTGGACTTGAGCTTGCAGGGCCCGACCCGCCCTGGAGGGAAGGCATCATATCATTAGCTGATTCCAGAACACTGGCCATTTTTGTAGCACAGCTGCCCAGAGGGGACTCCATCAGAGAGAACCTGAGCCCCGCGAAGCAGACACTCCTCTCTGTAGCCCAGCAGCACCTCTCAGGGTCTCCAAAATGTGGAGCTTCCAACCATGGCTGGTCCGAGCCCTGCGGGTCCATGCCTTAGCAGGTGGGCAATCGGCCCCCGTCTCCCAGACCCCGTTCCCAGATGCCCAGCCAGCAGCCTAGGCCTCCTGCATGAGGCCCCAGGAAGGAGGCCAGCCATCCTTCCTCATAGTGGAAATTCACTTTGGAGTGACCTGAATCAGCAGATAGATCAGTTCTGCCCGCTCCAGGGATGGGGCAAAGCACCTGGATCTGCGAGTTGGAGGGCACACCCCTCGCTGCCTCCGACAGCGTCTCCTAGAGGCCCCGGCTTCTAGCATTAACAGGAGGTTGGCAGTAACGCTTCAACTCAGCAGCCAGTGGTTCAGGAACACTCAGCCAGCGGGGGTGCCGCTGCCCCGTGCCAAGCCCTGCCTGCTCATCAGATTCCCAGGAGGAAAGGGTAATGGGGAGGACAGGATCAGCAGGGACTGAGCACTCTCTGGGATCTGGCCTGCTCCTCTGGGGTAAGGGAGCCAACAGCGCCCTTGCCCCACCCCCGTACCAGAGCCCACAGCTTCCTCCTCCTTTCTGCTCCACAGAGTGAGCCTCAGAACGGGCCCTGCACTCCACAGCCCAGTGGGGACCTCTCCAGGGTCCAGCGCAGGGTCCCCGCACTCACTCAGCCCACCAACTCCGGCCCACTGCGGCCTGGCTGCACGTCCAGGCACGTGCCAGGTGCTTACAGGACAACAGGCCTGTGGAAGGCACGCCTGCCACCGTCACAGAACTCAGACTCTCGCTGGTGGACGATCTGTGAGCAGAGGCCTCCAGTGGATACGCCTGCAGCCAAGAAGATAAACCAGGGGCACAGGCCCCCAGCGCAGCCACCGCCACTTACTGCAGCCAGGGAGGCTCCCCAGGAGAAGAGCAGGATGTGAAGGACAGAGAAGGGAGAGGAGGGGAGGCTTGGAGAAAGGATGAGCAAAGAGAGCCAACTCTGCTGCAACCCATTTCCACCACTTCAAACAGCTTTGCCCCAGGGTCACGAAGGACCTCCCGAGCCCAGGTGCAGAGGCAGGACACAGGAAGCAGACCCTCCACTCCTCCCCTGGAGACCCCAGCAAGTCTGAGTCCGGCAGCGGGCCCAGGAAGGTCGCTGACGGTTTCCACAGTGCACTGGTGGCAGAGGCCCCTCGCAAGAGCAGGGACATCCGAGCAGAGACAGCGGGACATCCACCTCCGCCAAGCAGCAGCCCACCCCTGGGACTCTGGGGAGCCTATGCCCCTGGAAGCCCCTGGCTGGTCCTGGGAGGAGGTGGCTGGCTGAGCAGCGAAGGCCACTGTTGTGTCCCTTCTGAGCCTGCAGCTCTCCTCGGACAAAGGCATTGGAATCACAGGAAAGAGGAATGTCCCGCCGTCATGTGGAGTCAGGACTAGGGCCGTTCACACTGCGGATGCCAAGGCCCCCAACCCAGGGACAGCATGGCTTTGAAAAGGCCTCCACTTTCTGGAGTAAAGCCAGACCCAGGGTGGGGTCTTGGGAGCTTGGACCCCCTCCTCTTCACCAGCTCGACGTGGCAGCTTCTTCTGTCAGTCCCCAGCCAGCTGCAGCTTGGTCCTGCACCGCCAGGTTTGTGGTGGGCCCTAGAGCACCAGGCCCTGCTGGGGAGTGCTGGACGGGAACAGCCTGAGGGCCCCTCTGTGGCCCCTGGACGGGGAGGCTGTCAGACAGGAGGCCTTCACCTGGACCTGGCCCTCGCCCACCCACCCCTGCCAGCAAGGCCAGGGAGTGCTGGGTGGGGGCGCCAGCGACTCCCCTCCTCCTCCTCCTCCTCCTCCTCCTCCACTGCCGCACGTTTTCCTTTGAGGCCAACACAAGGATTGATTTGCTGTTCATGAGAGACCGCTAAACGGCCCGTTGGGGAATCATCTTTCAAAATTAAATTCATCTCGGCTGGCTTCCTGCCCATTCTGGCACTCAGTTCCTTCTCCAACAGCCCAAAGCACACATGTTTACCACACAGACCAACTCCATTCAGCTCCCCCATCTGGGCACTGCTCGCCCCTGCGAAGGCCCCCAGACCCCAGGAGACAGGCTTTGGAGGGAAGCGGGAACAGACGGCTTCCTCTCTGCCTTCTCCCAGCCGGGCTCTGGGGCCAGACCCTGCCCGGAAAGGGGCCCAGATTCCTCACCGCTTCCAAGTACAGTATCTGCCTGAGCCTGCAGGACCCACATCACGGAGCAAAAGAAGGGGAGAGTGGGAGGGGGGGAGGGGACACGGCGAGGGGCCCTGCCACAGAAGGGCCCCAGACTCGACCCTGGAGCCCTGTGTCTCAGCCACCTCCTCCCCAGTTAACGCAAACAGCCCATTGTTCTGGAGCCCCAGGGACAAAGCCTCGGAGCTCGGTCCACCACGGGCCTCCAGAGGCCCCGGGGTCCCTGGACGACCGGCCGAGCCCTCCCAGCTCCTGCTACTCACATGCCGGGCTGCAGCGGGAGCAGGGGCCGCGGCGGAACGCTGGCGCCCACGGGCACGGCGGGGAGCAGCAGCAGCACCAACGCCAGGACCACCGCGCGCCCCGCTGCCCTCGCCTCTTCAAGGAACGACATCGTGCGCGCCGGTGCCTCCTCCGCTCTCCGGCTCACAGGCGGCCCCGGCGGCTCCCCGGAGCCTCCGCCTCCACGTGCGCCATAGGACGCAGCCACAGGTGCCCGCGCCCGCTCCGCGGAGCCCAAGGTCGCTGCAGGTGCGGAGCGTCCCGGCTTCCCGCCCGCGCCCAAAGTGGCACCGCGGAGACCTGATCGCCGGGTCCACCCTGCAGGAACTCGCCCCGGCGCGTTGAGCACAGTGCCCCGGACTCAGAGCCTGGAAAGCCGCCACGCCCCCGGCCCGCCCCCAGCCCGGACCCCAGTCCCGACCCGCCCTGGCTCGCCCGCCCCCTGCGCCCTCGGCCCCGCCCCTTCCCCCTCCCCATCTCCTACCCCACCAGCGCCCCGCCCCCGGCACGGCCCCTGTACTTGCCCGTATCCCTCACCCCAGCCCGGCTCCTGCTTCCAGCCCCGCCCCTAGCCCCCTCCCCTCTCCGGTCCCGGCCCCGCCCACAGCCTTCCCGAGTCCCGCCCCAGACCCCGCGGGGCTGGCGCAGCCCCTTTGCGCTCCCTGCTCGTCTCATGCGGAAAGTCCAAGTCCTAACCGACTCCAGTGACCAATCCAGGAGGGGCCGGGCGCCAGGGGGCCACACCCCGCAAAGGCAGCTCTCTGGGATCCCGGACCCCAGACCTCGATCTCAGGAGACAGCCCTCAGCCTCCCTCACTTCTCAAGTCCCACGGGGAAGCCAGCCTCGGCTTGTCCTGCCCGTGGACGCTCCGTCCACCTTCGCCCTGACACCTCACCCACTTCCCGCAGGGCAGGGGTCGGGGAAGGGCTTGAGGAGGGCGTGGCCAGCCTCTGCAGCCCGCGTGCACCCTGGACACCCCTGCTTCGGGGACCTGCATTGTTGGTTCCCAACCACCTTCTGGGCATCCCCGTTCCTCTTTCTGTGCTGCATGTTCTTGGACAGTGGCCTGGAGTGGGTGGGCGCGGGGTCCCAGCAGCCACAGACAGGAGGAGGCGCTAATTTCTAGGGTGCCCATGGGCACAGAGGCACTGTCTAGGGTGCTAACTTCTAGGGTGCCCATGGGCAGAGAGGCACTGTCTAGGGTGAGGCTTCTGCGAAGCAAGATTCACTTGTCTCCTTTGAAACCTGGTTTTGGTTTGAAATTGACTCCAGGGGCCAGGACCAGGTAGTCTCAGGGATGGAGATGGAGTCTCTGGTGTCAGAGCTACCAGACACTCAGGAGAGTCTCTTTTTGAATAGCGGAGGGAGGTGCAACCTGGGTGAGACCGGATGGGGGCCAGGTGTGGCCCCCTCATTAGCCACACAAAGAGCCAGCCATGCCGGTCCCTGCTAGAGAGGTGCGCTGACCATCAGCTCAGCCACTGAAGCCTGGCCAGGCCCTGTTCCTTGGAACCTTCCCCCTCCAAGGCTTCGTGTGGTTTGGGGGAGGAACTTCGCTAATAGGGAGCACTGGAGGGAGCCCTGGCTGGGAGGGGCTTGGGAAGGGAGCACCCCCTGACTGTCCCGATAGGAGGGACAACAGTACCCCCAACACACACAGGCTGTCTGTGCCTCCACACCACCTGGAGGCTACAGTCCTCTGGGGGTGGGTGGCCGTCTGGCCAGCCTTGCTGTCACCCCAGCTTTACAGAAGGGGAGACCTAGGTCACAGGAGGGGGAGCACCCCAAATCACCCAGCTTGTGAACTGCAGATCCGGGAACTGAACATAGGGGTCTGGCTCTGGGGACCTTCGCCTAACCCTGTAATCTGCTGCTTATAAACAACAACAACAACCATTGACAGGCACAAAATAGCCAGGAATCCCCAAGAGGTGAGCTAGTTCACTGTCTTCTAAAACCCCAGCTACCAGTTGGTGCCCCCGTTGCTGATGCTCCAAACACTGCCCTACTCTGTCCTACGGGGTTCTCAATTCTGCCTCTCACCCACCCCCACTGACCACCCTTCCCGGGATCTCGGCTGCAGGGGCTGCCCCAAGCCTGGGTTTGGGGGCTACTTTCCTCCTGGTCTCCCAAGAGCCTGCACCCAAGAAAACCTCCCCAGTGCCCCACTTCTGCGCTGGGCCCCTGTCCTCGGGTGGAGGTGCAAGCCCGTGAGTGTCTCCCCCACCCTGAGAGCTGTGGAATGGCTTCCCCATCTTTACATCTGATTCCTGCTCTTTGAGAGCTGGCTTGGCACCCATGGGTGGTCAGCAAGTGTGTGTCAAGTGAATGAATTAACACCTTGAAGAAGTTCACCTGCTTCTCTGCTGAATTCCAGCCGGCCCTGGGACGGGGGTGGAGGAGGATGACTCACTGTTTGAGAACATTCTCCAGCTTATCAGAGGAAGAAGGAAAGAATGTGGATGGATCCTGTGGGTTCAAAAGGAGGTCTCTGGGCAGGGGAGGGTTCAGGTTTCAAGCAGCCTGAAACGTATAAAATGAGGGGCCCTCTGGAAGAAAAATCATATAAAAGTAAGTTATTTTACAAAAATACTCGGCCTCGTGTATGCATTTCTAGGGCCCTGAAACATGACCTCTGCTGGCCCCGCAGAACCCTGCCGCTGTGCTCTCCCCTGTCCCAGGCACTGCCGCTGTGCTCTCCCCTGTCCCAGGCACTGCCGCTGTGCTCTCCCCTGTCCCAGGCACTGCTGCTGTGCTCTCCTGTCCCAGGCATTGTGTTGAGCAGCTGGGGGAAGAGTCCTGGGTAGGCCCCAGGTGGAGAGGCAGGCAGGAAGGGGATATGTCCTTCCTGCTGGAAATCCCTGCGGTCAGGACACCTGCCGTGCCCTCCCAGGCCATGCATAGCTTTTTCCCACGCCTTTCAGGGTGATGGGGGCAATCCACCGGGGAGGTCTGTGGTCTTCCCCCACTGCGCTCGCTCGTCCATAGACAGAACCCTCATTCTCAGGCACAGCAGGCAGCTCACTTCTCTGACAGGCAGGCCCCTGGGGCTGTCCGTGCCCCTATATCTCACCCCCTCCACCCTAAGCCCAGGTCCTCTGCCCAGCCTGGTACTGGAGGGCATGGGTGTCACTCAGACATGTGACTGTCTCAGTCCCAAAGTGTGTCTTCCTGCCCACAAGACAGCCGAGCGCCAAAGAGGGTGCCTAGACTTGATACATGAAAAAAGGCATCAGCCTGGCGTGTGTGTTTAATACACTTCTGTATGCAGATTGAACTCATGGTAGACAAGGTTTCTTTTGTAGCAAAAAATAAACTACGCAGAGCACAGTAAATATTCTCCAAGAATGATCTTTGTCCATTTTCATAATAAAGTGACAGTCTGTGGGACAGTTACTGCAAACATTTTCCCAGTCTGTAGTTTTGGTTTTAATATGGTTACTGAGGTTGTCAGACTATATAAGCTTTGAATTTCATGTACTAAGATGTATGTAGTTTTTCCTCTGCAGTTCCCTCCATTGCTTAGAAGTAAGCACTAAGCTTAGAAGGTTCACTAATGTTTATTCTTTTTTGTTGCTTCCATTGCATTTATTTACGTATTTCCCTCAGCATTTATTCTGCTGTCCGCCGTGAAGGAGGAATCTCCCTGGTTAGCCAGTGGTTCAGGCACCAGCAGCCAGCCCAGCTCCTTCCACTGATGCGAGGCAGCCTCTTCATCCTGAACTCATCACAAACAGACTCTGTCTCTGGGTATTTCCACTGGGTCTTAGCTCAGCCCCAGACCGTTTAACCTCCTTGCCCTGCATTCCCAGGATGAGACAGAAGGGCCTGCCGTGTTGATTCTCATGACAGCTTATCAGGAGCTTGTCTAAACGACGGCACAGCCAGTACCTCCCCACTACTCTCATCTTTCCCCTGAAAATTACACTGATAATTCCCATCCGTCATTCTTCCAAATGAATTTTGGAGTCACTTTGCCCAGTCCCTTCAAAGTTGCATTGGACTTCTCATTGCAATTGCCTTAAATGTATGCATGGAGAAAAAAGGACATTTTCAGAGTCGTCAAACTTTGGGAAGGGCAGGGACCGCAGCAGGGGGTGCACTTTCTGACCCCCCAAGGAGGCAAAGGAGAGAAAGGGCGGCTGCAGAGATTGTTGCAGGGCACTGCCCCCTGGTGCAGAGCGCAGGTATTAGAACCCGCTGGTCCCATGGCTGGACCCACTGGCCTCCCTCTGGTCCTCTTTCCAAGTGGGGGCTTCCCATGGCTTCAGAGACCTGTTGGGTTACAGCTGCAGCTCAGGCCTCAGCTCCCAGACCAAGTTCCATCCTAAACACCTTTCAGGAAATCATAGCCAAACATCCCAATTCCACTGTTAGGTATGCCAACTCCACTTAGGAAGTACAGACCCGGTGAGTCATCACATCCCTGCGTGTTCTTGGGAAGGCACCAGGTGGGAAGCAGGCCGAATGGAGGTCTATATTAGACCCCAAATGTAGATGCCCGCACCCGGGCCTGCAAGAGGGCCCTGAGCCACAGCACCTGGCATGGAAGCCCGCGTGTGGGACCCACCCACCTGGTCCCAGCCTCTCCACCCCCCACCCTATCCAGTGGGCTCAGCTCTCCTGCTTCTCCCCTCTTTATCCCACCTGGCCTCGACTGCTTCAGGCCTGGTGGGGCACCCAGGCCACCACTCCTGGGTTACACGCAGAACTGGGCTTGGCTCAGAGCCTCTCCCCAGTAGACATAAGGAGTGGACAGGCTTCCATTTCTTCCATTTTTAAATCTGGCAAACAATTCCTCTAGCTTGCCTGAAAAGCATTACTAAAAGACACTACCTTTCCATGTTTTTGTCTCATTCTCTGCTGGAAATAATAAAAACAGCCTTTGGATGGAGGAGAAATAACGTAGGGAGAAAGAAGAATCAAACTACCAGCTCAGTGGATAACTCAAGGTGCTAATTTCCAAAGCAAACTGCTCCCCATGTCCGGTCCGCGGGCTGGCGGTTGCACGCTCCTTCCCTGCAGCCTGACTTTAATCCTTCCAGAGCTGAGAGTCCCACAGAGAGATGCAAAACATCCCTGAAAGCTCCCCGAACGAACATTTCTGTCAATCCAAGAAAATAATCCAGCATCTTTTCTGAATTTTCACAGACATTTCTCCTGATAGGAGAGTGAGCAAAGTCATTGATGCTAAAGGTGTTTTCTGACCCTCAGATGCAAGGTGCCCGCAGCAGTCCTCACGTCAACACCAACGACTGCCCCGTACCGCCCCGGTCTGTTCCTCACATCAACACCAACGACCACCCCGGACCGCCCCAGTCTGTGCCAGCACCCCCAGTGTGAGATGACCACAAAATCCAGCAACACCCAGCACGTGCAGGTGATGGCCAGAGACGGGGGTGAGAGAGGGGGTGGGAGGCCGGGGGTGAGAGACGGGGTGGGAGTCTCTCCAGATAGCAAAGGATCGCACCAGAAACCCTGCACCAAATACGTAACTGAGTCTATGGCCAGCCTTTGGGTAGCCGACTCTGAATTCATTTCTAAGCCTCTGAATTTGCCCCAAAAGAGAAAGTAAAGTGAAAAGATCAATCTGTGGCATACCTAAGGTGGGCTGTGTGATGTGGCCCCAAGCGTGGCGGGGGAGAACGGGAATCCCGGAGCAGATGGCCCGGTCAGAACCCCAGTGTCCCAACTGCCGCCTGGCTGGGATGTCTTCCTTCCTGGTTCTGTGCCTGTGTCCTCCTGAATGACAATGGAGACAGCAGAGGGGCAACCTCCGGTTCCAGTTCCTGCTCAGCGTTTGAACCATGGTACCAGCAAGCACAGCTATTGTTCTGAGGACCAGACAGTGGCCAGACACACAGGCCTGGGCTGCGGCGTGCAGGCTTCCCCCTCTACACCCTGCTCCCGCCATCCCTCCCTCCAACCCTCCAACCCCGGACACACAGGCCTGGGCTGTGCCATGCAGGCCCCCACAACTGCCCGCCCTCCCACCCCCGGCTCCTGCCATCCCTCCCTCCAACCTCGGGGGCAGCATCAGGATGAAGCTAGGTCTGGAAATATGAAGGTGTTTCAGACCAGGTGCTGACACTCAGATGGAAAACTGTACCTACTCCCGCCACCATGCTAGCAGCTCAGGACACAGCCTACTGGGTTGAAGAGTGGCCTCCAAAGACGTTGGCCCACATCCTCCCCTGCCACCCGTGAATGTGACCTTATTTGAAAAAAGGGTGTCTGCCCCATGTTCTCACTTATGAGTGGGAGCTGAATGATGAGAACACATGGACACATGTGGGGAACAGCACTCGCTGGGGCCTGTGGAGGGGTGGTGGGGAGGGAGAGCATCAGGAAGAAGAGCTAATGGATGCTGGGCTGAATAACCAGGTGACGGCTGACCTGCACAGCAAACCACCACGGCACACATTTACCTGTGTCACAAACCTGCACATCCTGCACATGGACCCCTGAACTTAAAACAAAATTTGAAGAAAAAATAAATTAAACTGGGAAAGAAAAAAAGGTGTTTGCAGATATAATCAAGTAAAGGATCTCCGGATGAGAGCATCCTGGATTTTCCCGGCAGGCTGTAAATCCTCGGACAGGCGTCCTTGTAAGAGAAAGCAGAGGGAGATTTGAGACAGAGCCACAGGGAGAGCGCAGCGTGGAGACCGAGGCGATGTGTCCATGAGCCAAGGGGAACCGGGGGTTGCTGGAGCTGCCAGAAGCTGGGAGAGAGACAGGCTGGCCCGGTCCTCGGTCACTTGTTACAGCACTGCAGGAAACTCCTGAGTGAGGCACCCAAGGCCCTGTCCCTGGGGAGCCCCCGGCCCAGAGAGGAGCGGGGCCTCCACAGCGGGTGCTGCCCTGCCCTGCCCTGGGGCAGCGACACCCTGCAGGCCCCTGGCCCCAGCCACCTTAGCAGCACCTACACACAGGAATAGACAGAGGCTCCCCCATCACCCCGGCGCCATCCCCAGCAAGGCCAAGCCTGGGAGGCAGGGCGCCCTGCTGTCCAGCAGGCTTTGTGCAGTGCAGCCCTTGCATTTCTCAAGGTCAGAGCGGTGTGGGCCGCACCCTGCCTGCCACGCTGACCAGAACCAGAACCGACACACAGTCCCCAGCAACATTCTGTTTAAGACCTTCTGGCCCCCAAGTTAACCTGAAGTCTCCCAGCCTCCTCCTGGGTCCCACTCACCCAAAGGAAGCCCACCCCTCGAGACCAGGCCTTCCCACTGGATCCACGGCCGAGAGACCACCTGGGGACCCTGGGCCCCACACGGCGAGGGGCAGGTGGGAAGCAGCGCAAAACCATCCTCCTGCTGGGGTGCAGAGGTGGAGGAAATTACCATCAACGCGACTCAGCCTTTGAGAACTGCACGAGAATGACACCCCTGCTACTTCCCCGCAGCCTGCTCTTGATCCTCAAACCCATCCGAAAGGCCCCTTCCCCGCCGGCAGGGAGAGGCATTTATTTGTGGAAGTTGCTTCTGCTTCTGTCATGACTTGCCAAAGAGTAAGGGCTGTGTCTGCAAGACACCACCTGAGCGCTCACGACTGCCCCAAGCACTGCCAGCCCTCGTACACAGCCCTGGGACCCGCCAAGCCCCAGCCCTGGCTCCATGGAGAAGGGAGAGGCTGAGAAACATTCCTCAGCCCAAAGTGCATCCCCCAAAGCACAGCTGTCTCTGGAAGCCCAGGACCCTGCCTGAGGGAAGAGCCTCCAGGCTGCACACTGACCTCCAACCTGGGGGAGCTGGTGCCGGCACCTAGAGGACACAAACCCTTGGGCTGCCCTTTGGCACGTGGCCCCCTGACTCCCACATCCATCGGAGAACAAGGGCACAGGCAGGACCCACTGATTTTGTAAAATGCAAAACCATAACATGTGGAAATTAAGATAAAAACCCACACTTCCCAGCGGAGATTTCCAGTGGCAGGAAGATAAATAATGACTTCATGTAGGGCCTGAATACACACACCCAGCGTGAAGCTGCGCCCTCTAATTGGAAGACCTCGCATGGGTGATGCTGCCACCTGCTGACAGAAATGGAAATAGCTCCTTCAAAGCCCCAAGAAATACACAAACTCAGGGGCTCCCCTCCCGGGACCTCACAGCCACACCCCAATCACGAACCATCTTCCCTGCCCCACGACCAGTGTGTGTGGAGAGAGCAGCCATCCGGCTGGACGTTCCATCATGCACGTGTGACACATCATTACATGTGTCCCCCAGAAAGGCACAGTCCAGTCTTAACCCCAGTGCGTGTGATATGACTGGTATGGTTTGGCTGTATGCCCCCACCCAAATGTCATCTCCAATTGTAATCCCCCACGTGTCGAGAGAGGGGCCTGGTGGGAAGAGATTGCATCATGGGGGCAGATTTCTCCCTTGCTGTTCTCGTGATAGTCAGTTCTCAGGAGATCTGATGGTTTAAATGTGTGGCACTTCCCGCCCCCGTCACCCCTGCCGCCATGCTTCCCCTTCATCTTCCGCCATGACTGTAAGTTTCCTGAGGCCTCCCCAGCCGGGTGTAATGGTGAGTCAATTGAACCTCTTTCCTTTATAAATTACCCAGGCTCAGGTAGTTCTTTATAGGAGTGTGAACGTGGACTAATACAGAAAATTGGTAGCAGGATAGTGGGCACTGATATTAAGATACCTGAAAATGTGGAGGTGATTTTGGAACTGGGTAATGGGCAGAGGTTGGAACAGTTTGGAGGGCTCAGAAGACAGGAAGCTGTGGGAAAGTTTGGAACTTCCTAGAGACTTGTTGAATGGTTCTGACCGAAATGCTGATAGTGATACGGACAATGTCCAGGCTGATGTGGTCTCAGACGAAAATGAGGAACTTACTGGGAACTGGAGCAAAGCTATATTTTAGTAAAGAGACTAGGAGCATTTTGTCCCTGCCCTAGAGATCCGTGGAACTTTGAATTTGAGAGAGATGATTTAGGGTATCTGGCAGAAGAAATTTCTAAGCGGCAAAGCATTTGAGATGTGAGCTGGCTTTTTCTGAAAGTGTACAGTCATGTGCGTTCACAAGGAGATGATCTGAAATTGGAACTTATGTTTAAAAGCAAAGCAGGACATAAAAGTTTGGAAAATTTGCAGCCTGACTATGTGGTAGAAAACCCATTGTCTGGGGGAGAAATTCAAGCCATCAGCTGTAGAAATGTCTCCAAGACATTTCAGAGAGCTTCACGGCAGACCCTCCCATCACAGGCCCAGAGGCCTTGGGGGCAAAATCAGCTCCAGTCAGGGCCAAAAGGGGTCAAGGGACAGCCCAGGCGGAGCCCGTAGGTGTGCAGAAGACAAGAGGTGAACTTCGGGAGACTCTGCCTAGATTTCAGAGGATGTATGGAAACACCTAGAAGTCCAGGCTGAAGTCTGCTGCAGGGGCAGAGCCCTCATGGAGAACCTCTGCTAGGGCAATGCAGAGGGGAAATGTGGGGTGGGAGCCTCCACACACGGAGTCCCCACTGGGGCACTTGTAGGGACCAGCCCTACAGGGTCAGTGGGTCTTTCTCCCCATGTGCAGAGATGAGAGATCGTAGAAATAAAGACACAAGAGAAAGAGATAGAAGAAAAGACAGCTGGGCCCTGGGGGACCACTATTACCAAGGCGCGGAGACCGGTAGCAGCCCCGAATGCCTGGCTGCGCTGTTATTTATTGGGTACAAGACAAGGGGGCAGGGTAAGGAGTGTGACTCATCTCCAATGATAGGTAAGGTCACGTGGTTCACATGTCCACTGGACAGGGGGCCCTTCCCCGTTTGGCAGCTGAGGCGGAGAGAGAGAGGAGAGACAGCTTACGCCATTATTTCCGCATATCAGAGACTTCTGGTACTTCCACTAATTTTGCACCTGCTATCTAAAAGGCAGAGCCAGGTGTACAGGATGGAACATGAAAGCGGACCAGGAGCATGACCACTGAAGCACAGCATCACAGGGAGACAGGCCTCCAGATAACTGTGGGCAAGCCTGACTAATGTCAGGCCCTCCACAAGAGGTGGAGGAGTAGAGTCTTCTCTAAACTCCCCTGGGGAAAGGGAGACTCCTTTTCCTGGTCTGCTCAGTAGTGGGTGCTTTTCCCTTGGCACTGACGCTGCCACTAGACCACGGTCCGCTTGGTAACAGGCGTCTTCCCAGACGCTGGTGTTACCGCTAGACCAAGGAGCCCTCTGGTGGCCCTGTCCGGGCATAACAGAAGGCTCGCACTTGTCTTCTGGTCACTTCTCACCATGTCCCCTCAGCTCCCATCTCTGTACGGCCTGGTTTTTTCTAGGTTATGATTGTAGAGCGAGGATTATTATAATATTGGAATAAAGAGCAATTACTACAAATTAATGATTAATGATATTTACATATAATCATATCTATGATCTAGATCTAGTATAACTCTTGTTATTTTATATATCTTATTACACCGGAACAGCTCGTGCCCTCGGTCTCTTGCCTCAGCACCGGGGTGGCTTGCTGCCCACAGGCACTGACTAGTGGAGCTACGAGAAGGGGGACACTGTCCTCCAGACCCCAGAATGGTAGATCTACCAGCAGCTTGCACCCTGCACCTGGAAAAGCCGTAGGCACTCAGGGGCAGAGCTTCCCAAGGCCTTGGAAGCCCACCCCTTGCATCAGTGTGGCCCTGGATGTGAGACATGCAGTCAAAGGAGATTATTTTGGAGCTGTAAGATATAATGACTAACCCACTAGATTTTGGACTTGCATGGGGCTTTTAGCCCCTTTGTTTTGGCCAAATTCTCCCTTTTGGAATGGGACCATTTACCGAGTGCCAGTACCTCCATTATACCTTGGAAGTAACTAACTTGTTTTTGATTTTACAGGTTCATAGGCAGAAGGGACTTTGTCTCAGATGAGACTTTGGACTGTGGACTTTTGAGTTAATGCTGAAATAAGACTTTGGGGGACTGTTGGGAGGGCATGATTGGTTTTGAAATGTAAAAAGGACATGAGATTTAGGAGGGGCCGGGGTAGAATGATATGGTTTAGCTGTGTCCCCACCCAAATCTCATCTCGAATTGTAATCCCCACATGTCGAGGGAGGGACCTGGTGGGAGGTGATTGGAGCATGGGGGCGATTTCCCCCGTGCTGTTCTTGTCATAGTTCTCACAAGATCTGATGGTTTAAGTGTGGCACATCCCACTACCCCCGCCGCCATGTAAGACGTGCCTTGCTTCCCCTTTGCCTTCCGCCATGATTGTAAGTTTCCTAAGGTCTCCCCAGTCATGTGTAACTGTGAGTCAATGAAACCTCTTTTCTTTATAAATTACCCAGCTTCAGGTAAGTTCTTCATATTAATAGCAGTGGGAAAACAAACAAACACAGTGACCTTATTTGATCAAACATGATGATGATCGACTAAAGATGAGGTCACTAGGGTGGTCCCTAATCCAACAGGGATGTTGCAGAAGAGACCCACCTGGAGAAGGTCGTGTGAAGATGGAGGCAGGGATGGGAGCAGTGCATGAGCAAGCCCAGGACACCAAGCAGGCCTGGCAGAGCAAGACATGCGTCAACCCTCAGGGCTGCAGAGGGAGCATGGCCCTGCACACTCCTTGATTTTGCACTTCTGGCCTCCAGGGCTATGAGGAAACACGTTTCTGTTGTTTTTAAAACAGTTGTTGTTTTTAAAACCAGTTTGTGATGCATTGTGACAGAAGCCCCAGGAAACTCATCCATACTGAGTGAAATTTGTTTATTGTCTAAAATACAGTCCCTCCATCATCTATCCCTCCTATCATTTCTGGAATTTATAGACATCCAAGTCACTCCCCATATCCACAGAAGGCTCAGGCACCTGGTTCAGAATCCTCATTGTCCTGCCAGCTCCCACCAGCAGTCTGCAGCCTCGGCCCCAGCCAGTGTCACTTCATCCCATTCCCTGGACATCTGGTTCCAGGACCACAGCTCCATCCTTGGCGTGGTCCAGAACTTGCTCCTACCTCTCTCCCCCATTCTCCCTCTTTCTCCCCCCCATTCTCTCTCCCTCTCTTTCTCATTCTCCCTTCTCCTCCCTCTTTCTCCCTCCCTCTCTCTGGAATCTCTGGTTCCAGTTGCCCATCACTGACTACAGCTTGCAGCTGTCCAGGTATTTCTCATCTACATCCACTCAGCTCCCTCCCGGCCTCTGTTCTTCCTCCCTCAGGGGTATTCTCCCACTCACCAGCACCTGTTGGATCCGCGGCCATTTCTAACCGGACTGGATACTTGGACCTCAAGGTCCCCGCTGGTAAGATAGCTGGGAGACACTCGTCTGTAGGTCCCTCTGGCAGGTCTTGCTGGGCGTGCCAAGAACACATTGCCCTGACCACTCTTTTCTGGGCCATTTCTCACGCCTGTGCTTGCAGTGGGCACCCTTGCCGGGGAGACAGCCTCCCTGTGGGACAAAGACCACATTGGTCCACAGGATCCAGGGTCCTGTTTTGTAGTGCACCCGCTGTGGTGCAACATGCGTCTGGGCACACCAGCGTCGCCCGTTTCCTGTTGTAGTCTTTCCTCTCTGACTCCAGGGGTATTGGGTCTTTCTGCCAGCGCCCATGCAACTTTGGCAGCCTGGCCTGTCTGCTGGCAAGTGGGGCAGAATCCCTGCACTCCACCATTCTTGGGCAACACTCCCTCTAGGATTTTGGCCTCCCTTTTCTCTCTGGTCTTTGACCACCGCTACCCAGCAAACTCCTCCATCTAGACCAGCCAGCATTGGTTTCTTCCACTCCCCCAGCTGCCGCGTGGGAGGCGCCACTGCAAACTTCCCTGGGGTCTCCCAGCTGCTCAGAGATCCCCATGCCCTTCCCTGATCAGCTCCCTGCCCGGTTCTCATCCCGGCGATTCTAAACCGTCCATCTTTACAAATACTCCGCTCCATCCCCACTCCCTGACTGAAGTAAACAGATGTATCCTGAACTCCTCATTCTCCCCCCATCTCACTCTCCTCGCCTGTGTGCACCTCGCCTCGTGTGTCTTCCTCACCTCCGAGCAGAGGGATCTGTCCTCCTGCCCGAAGGTAACCCTGACCCCTGGACTCTGCGCCTCCTTCCCGCAGCCTCCACCAGATTGCGGGTCCGTTCACCGCCCCCCTCCACACGCGCTGGGGGCACCTCCGGGAGCTGGGGCTAGCGCAGGGCACACACATGTTCCACCTCGAACTGCGAGCGCTGACCGGGATCTCTGGGCAGCCCTCTCTGTGTGCACTGGCTTGCTGAAGGCTCGCGACAGCCTGGGCCCGGGCGCGCATTCCAGCACTTTCTACCCTCCGGCTTCAGAGTGCATTGCTCTGTGGATCCGTCACGAATAAGCCGTGTGTGAAGAACGCCAGGTCCCGGCAGAAGATCGCTGCCCGGCGTGCGAACTCCCCCACGGTGCACCAGGGCCGCCGCCCTGCATCCTCCAACCTCAGCTCCCCGGCACCGCGACCCTCCGTGCAGTGCGAGCCCCCGATGGGCGCGCGCCCCCACCTGCGCTCCAGAAGGCCGAAGGGGGCATCCCACTTGCAGGGCGGGTCACCCGCTTTCCCCGCGGGCCAAGGGGCTCCAAGATTCCCAGCCCCTCCTTCCCAGCCGCTCCGCGACACCCTGGCAACCGGCTTCGGCCCCGCCCCTTCTCGTTGTGTAAACAGGAAGTGAGCCTGCGCGTGACGGTCGCTTCCGGCCCGGCGAGGGGCGGGAGCGATTGTGAACGGCGGCGGGGCAGAGCCAATCGCGGAAAACGGCAGGAGGAGAGCCAATCCCGAGGGTCGGCGGACGCGGGAAGGGGCGGAGCCAGAGGCGGGGCCGGCAAGGCGGAGCCAATCGCGGCGGTCCGCGGGGCGGGGCCGGGGGCGCGGCCGGGTGGTGGCGGTGGCTGCGGCGACGGCGGTCGCGTCGGCGTCAGGGTCGGGGTCGGTAAGGGGTGCGGCAATGCTGCAACTGCGGGACTCGGTGGACTCGGCCGGTACGAGCCCCACGGCGGTGCTGGCGGCCGGCGAGGAGGTGGGGGCAGGCGGCGGCCCGGGCGGGGGGCGGCCGGGGGCGGGGACGCCGCTGCGCCAGACACTCTGGCCTCTCAGCATCCACGACCCCACGCGCCGCGCCCGCGTCAAGGAGTACTTCGTGTTCCGGGTGAGGCAGGGGCCAGGGCCGGGGCGGGGGCCGAGGGCGCGGGGCGGGATGGGGGCGGGTGGGGTCGGAGGCGGGCGCCGGGCGGTCCCGCAGGGAGCGAGCTGTGACCTGTGATCTTTGCCCCCGTCCCCCACCCCGCAACCCGCCCAGCCCGGCAGCATCGAGCAGGCAGTGGAGGAGATCCGCGTGGTGGTGCGGCCCGTGGAGGACGGCGAGATCCAGGGAGTGTGGCTGCTTACCGAGTAAGCCGGGGCTGCGCTCTCCTTGGTGGGGGGACTCGCCCCGAGCCGCCGCGCAGCACCTTGCGAGGACTTCCCGGGGTGCTCGTGCCACGCTCAGGCGCCCCGTGCCGCCCCTGCTGCCCTTCCAGGCGGGCTGGCCTTGGCTAAGTCGAGACAGCCGCGTCCAGTGTGGACTGAGGCCCCTCCTCTGCCTACAGGGTGGATCACTGGAACAATGAGAAGGAGCGGCTGGTGCTGGTCACGGAGCAGTCCCTGCTTATCTGTAAATACGACTTCATCAGTCTCCAGTGCCAGCAGGTGGTGCGGATAGCGCTCAACGCAGTAGACACCATTTCCTACGGAGAATTCCAGTTTCCCCCTAAATCGCTCAACAAGTAAGCCTGTTCAGAGTCCAGTATCACTGGACCTAAGCACCAGAGTGGACCTTACAATTCAGCCCTTTTAAATCAGCCCCCCAAGCGGTGTGTCTTCTCTGTCATTAATTATAAGCACAAAGGCTCCAGCTCCAAATATCAATGGGAAGTTCCTTAAAAAGAAGCGACTTCTGGGCAATTGAGTGCATTAAAAGGAATTCTGGCACAGAAGGCAGCTATTAGGCTGGTAGTAAAAAGACTTACATGAGTTCAGGATGCATTGAAGTAGAGCCCAGCGTGTTAAAAAGGAACTTGGATGTTCTTCAGGAAAAGTCCAAACTCTGCATTTTTCTCCAGCCAGGGACAGATTGCATATGACACATCAAGTCTTGCTCTGGCTAATTTTTTAAAGAGAAATGGAGGGTCCCGTTGTAATTTATAGATACCACTAAAAGACAAATTTGGAAATATTTAATGACCAGCTTTCAGGAGTTGATCTTTTTGCTGTAGGATAATTTTCTGACGTGAGGAACCTAAACATTACTACAGTCAGTTAAGCTGTAGAACTTGGGTTTTTGATGGAGAGATTTGGATGGGGGATTCAGGAAGCTAAAATAAAAATTTTACCTTTTGGTTAAAACATTTAATATGACATAAGGAAAAGGAAGATTACACTTCCTTTTCACTCATTTGGCTAGCCTATCTATAATTATTCCCTTTTTTTTTTTTTTTTGAGACGGAGTCCCACTCTGTCACCCAGGCACCAGTGGTGCAGTCTTGGTTCACTGCATCCTCCACCTCCTAGGCTTAAGTGATCCTCTCACCTCAGCCTCCCAAGTAGCTAGGACTACAGGTGCCCGCCACCACACCCAGCTAATTTTTGTATTTTTTGTAGAGATGGGGTTTTGCTAGGTTGCCCAGGCTGTTCTCAAACTCCTGGGCTCAAGAGATCCGCCCATTTTGGCCTCCCAAAGCGCTGGGATTATAGATGTCAGCCACCGTGCCCAGCCAGTATTCCTGTTTATTAATTTTTAATCATGTAAAGATTACCAAAATAATACATTTAATAACCAAAATATACCTAATTTGTCATATTTATACCCACAGTATTTAAAGCAATTGTTAGTGGAGATTGAAGTTACTACTAAAAACCACAGGCCGGCCAGGCACGGTGGCTCACGCCTGTAATCCCAGCACCTTGGGAGGCTGAGGCGGGCGGATCACCTGAGGTCAGGAGTTTGAGACCAGCCTGACCAAAATGGATAAACCCTGTCTCTACTAAAAATACAAAATTAGCTGGGTGTGGTGGTGCATGCCTGTAATCCCAGCTACTCCGGAGGCTGAGTTGGGAGAATCGCTTGAACCCAGGAGGTGGAGGATGCAGCGAGCCAACATCAGGCCACTACACTCAAGCCTGGGCAACAAGAGCAAAACTCCATCTCAAAAAATAAAAATAAATAAAAACAAAAATAAAAACTACAAGCCGTTTTCCATTGTGATATGTCATAGGTCTTTTCTGTAAACGTGTGCTTTTTGCTGTCATATTCTCCTAACTGATGAGACTGTCAGATTGTCCATGAGAGCACTGTGGCCTGCCATGCTAAGTCTGGCTATTTCTTCTGACTTTTCAGGCGAGAAGGTTTTGGGATTCGAATTCAGTGGGACAAGCAAAGTCGTCCTTCCTTCATAAACAGATGGAATCCCTGGTCTACCAACGTGCCCTATGCCACTTTCACAGAACACCCGATGGCTGGCGCAGATGAGAAGACAGCATCTCTGTGTCAGGTAAGAAGACAGGCACATAAATAGCCGCGCCCCCCGCAGTGATGGAAACACCCCCCGCAGTCACGGAGACACTTCAGGTCTGCACTGTCCGGCGGCCACGCGGAGCTGCCGAGCACTTGAGACGTGGCTAGAAATGAGAGAGGAAGCTCTCATTTTAGAGTTGATTCCCTAAGTTGTCAGAAATTCTGGTTAATTTATGTTAAAGTAGCCGCATGTGGCCAGTGGCTGCTGGTTAGCATAGCTCCATAATGTGGCCTCCTGATGGTGATCTGGGTGGGGAAGGGCCCCAGCTGGGCTTCAGAGAGTGGCAGCAGACCCAGCCGTGCCAGATGACCAGTGCGGATGCGCACCAGGAGAGGAGGCCTCGGGGCTGGGGTTAGAGCAGAGCCCAGAGCCCAGAGCCTGGCGGGGGTCCTGCACTTCCCCAGCTGTGTGCCTCGGCCTGGTTACTGACCTGGTAGGTTGGGTGACGGCAAAGCCACTCAGCCCTGTATACAGGAAGGGTTCTGCAGGTGCTGGCTGCCATTGGCCACAGGAGAGCATGGTGGCAAGATTTCCACACACCTAGAGAGCTCCGTGGGGACGAGAGTTGAGAGACCCCCAGGATGTGGCAGAGGCAGCCCTTTCAAGTGAAGGGACGAAGAGATAGGCGGCATTTGGAGGGATTTAAGTGTCTCAGAATGCTAATTTTTTCAAGTAATAGACATTCTTATCTTGCCTGACAGTTAAAGCTCCATGTTTTTCTCTCTTTAAAGTTGGAAAGCTTCAAGGCTCTGTTAATCCAAGCTGTCAAAAAAGCCCAAAAAGAAAGCCCTTTGCCAGGACAGGCGAATGGCGTGCTGATCCTGGAGCGCCCCCTGCTCATCGAGACCTACGTGGGACTCATGTCCTTCATTAACAACGAGGCGAAACTGGGCTACTCCATGACCAGGGGCAAAATAGGCTTTTAGCCGCTGCGTTCTGGGAGCTCCTCCCCCTTCTGGGAGCTCCTCCCCCTCCCCAGAAGGCCAAGGGATGTGGGGGCTGGGGGACTGGGAGGCCTGGCAGTCTTCATGCTGCCCTGCTGCTGCTGGAAGGATGGGGATCTTTCACCTTTAGGGATCTCAGCACAATTAGAATCGTAAAGTGAATTCTATCTATTTAATTGGATATTGGACTCTGCTCATATAAGCTACAGACAAAAGCCAAAAGACTCTCGCTGTCCCTGTGCTGCTGGTATTTCATTCTCTGTAACTTCAGTTCTGGTGTTTTCCTTGAGTATCTACTTGGCTTCTCGTGGTTTTTCCCACCCCAGCTGCCCCAGCACGCGGGACCCATAGCACACCCCTTAGCGCTTGCCTAGGTTGCTGAAAACAGGGAGGCACCTGGTATCTCGAGTGCCTGCAGTTGCAAGTATGTTTACACCTGGTGTCCAATTTTGTATTTTAAAATGTAATCCATTTTTACTTCAGCTCATCCAAAAGCAGCCAGCAGACCGGTTGACTGAGACCGGTCTGTGGCTGTGGGCCCCTTGGTGACCCGCTGCTCTTTTGGAAATGGGTGACCTGAAGTGACACTTTTTCCACAATTAACCCAAGTTGTGTTAATACTTCAGGTCTGTTTCCCAGACCCAGAAAGCTTTACAGAAAATCATTGTAAGACAATTTATTAATTTGAGAAAGTCACCTTGACAGTTCTTTGCACACAAGTTTTACACCTCTCTGGATTCGAAGTTTGTATTGTATTCATAGTTAAAGGGAATCGGGTACTTTGCTTGTTGAATAATGCACTTTAAAACAAGGAACCGTATCAGGCCAGCATGGTGGCTCATGCCTGTAATCCCAGCATTTTGGGAGGCTCAGGCAGACAAATCGCTCTAGCTCAGAAGTTGCAGAGCAGCCTGGGCAACATGGTGAAACCCGTCTCTACCAAACAGACAAAAAGCAGCCAGGCGTGGTGGCACATCTGTGGTCCCAGCTACTTGAGAGGCTGAGCCAGGAGGATCGCTTGAGCCCAGGAGGCGGAGGTTGCAGTGAGCTGAGATGGCACCACTTATTGCACTCCAGCCCGGGCGACAGAGCGAGACTCCATCTACCAGATCCTTATGACGCAGCTGATGCCTGCCTTGGTTCCTACCACTCTGGTGTAGACAGAGGACTTTGTCCAAGTCTCACACTAAACATGCCCGGGCTTCGATGTGCCTGGAGGATTTCCCCACAGGGACCCACGCACCTCCCTGTATCTGCGCAGCTTGCTCGTGTGGCTGGAAGCGCTGTCGATAAGCTTCACGCACTGGCTTGCCAGTTCTTCAGCTCTAGGACTTGTAGCTTTAAGCAAACGGTGTGGCATGGGTTGAGTGTGGCCACCTGCAGGATGTGCAGGGCTGCCTCAGAAGCTGGCTGGGGACTCTAGCCTCTGTGTTCATAAAGACATTAAGAAGTGGATGGATGTTGTTCCTTTTTTGAAGTTGTCATTAAAGTAGGTGCAACAACCAAGAAAGTGTCTCTTCCCTCTTTGAAAGCCTGCCCCATCTCTGCCGGCTCTGCACCTGTGGGCCTGTTCTGCCTGTACCATGCGGACTGCCTGTCACAGCAGTGCCGAGTATGGTTCTCTGCAGAAAGAGATCACGATATGCAACAACCTAGGTTTGCAACCCTGATCCCCCCACCTGTGGTGCCAACCAAGTCTGGCTGCCTGCCGAGCACCAGCTGGAGAGATTGATGGAATGGTTCTGGGTGGTTCTAGGCACTTCCTGCAAATAGCCAGGGTGGAGACCCACGCACACTGGTTCCGAAACCAGAGTAGACATGAGACTTCCTGAGGAACTGACTCAGCTGGTCGGGGACCTGCAGCTCCCATCCCGAGGGGACTGGACCTGGGGGTGGCGCTGCTCTCAGGTGCCAGGGCTCCCTGCCCACACTTCAGACCCACTGTGGGGAGGCTGGATGTGCCCCACAGAGATGCCCCCTCGTTGTCCTAACACATCCAAACAGAGAACCCAGAGCAGGCCGGGTGTCTGGCGGGAGCTAGTGGCCCGGGGCTCAGTTACTGTAGGGCTATCCATCTTCCCTAAGACTGACCAGAACCTCGAACCTAGAAAACCTGCCTGTGACTAAACGTTTCAAGAAGAGAAGTAGTTGTATAAATCAGCAAGTATTTATTTTAAATAATAAAACTACAGTTTTATACCATACATATTTACAAAAATGCTTTGCTATAGAAAAATAGAATCAATCACTGAATCCAGACCACCACAGTGGAGAACCTCCTGGTGAAGCTGTGTTTTTTCCCACACTGGAAACACAGAGTAGCCCTGTTTCTGCACACGTTAGTGCACCGCTGCTACGTGTGGCCGCCCAGCTGTCTGCAGGCTGTGCCGACCACTGCCTCTGTCTCCAGGAAGCAGAGGCAGAAGTGATCCTTGCTGAGGAGGGCCATCGAGTCTCCGCTTAAATGCCAGCACAGAGAGAGCACTGCAAAGTCGCCTAGAGAGAGACAGGTGGCCAGAGGATTACAGCAGGGGAGGCCCAGATTCTGGGGGATGGGCACCCCCTTGTCCTGCAGGCCAGCACAGTGCCTGGAGTGACCCACATAGGCAGAGCCAGGGTGGAGCCCCAGAGCTGCCTCAAGTCAGGGAGAGGCTGCTTCTAGCCCATAAAGCTGAGGGCAGCGGGTCCCCTGTGTGTCCGTCTTGAG
Source organism: Homo sapiens (assembly GCF_000001405.40). Classification (NCBI taxonomy): domain Eukaryota; kingdom Metazoa; phylum Chordata; class Mammalia; order Primates; family Hominidae; genus Homo; species Homo sapiens. The sequence continues at coordinate 3,631,329 of NC_000001.11, forward strand.
GTTTACGCAAAGACTCTGAGGGCAGTTTCCCTGGAGTGCTGCCGGAGACAGCAGCTGGGCTTCAACAGTTCAGCCCGTGTGATGCCAGACTGCACACAGCAAGGCTGCCACGTCCGTGGCCTCGGGGATGTGCTTACCTTCCCCAGGCACCTGCACCGACATGCAGCCCGCTGGGGACCACAGGTAGAGCCTGCTGCCTCCCGTGCAGATGGCCAGCCGCGGCTGCTGCGGGTCCCACTGAAATGCGCGCACTGGGGACAGCTGCTCGAGCACCGCGAACAGCCTCAGCTTCTGAATGTCCCAGACCCAGACGGCATTGGGAATGTTGTCTGAGGAAGGAAGGACAGGGCACCGGTGTCATCCCTGCCTGGCTCCTCTGTGTTGGCCCTGCCCCTCTGCTCTGCTGTTGACACCACAGGAGGGGAGGGGAAGAACCGGTGGGGTGGGGCGGCTGCACCCTGCAGTCTGGGTTCAGTTGGGCCCTGTAGGGCTCCTGGCCAGGGCCAGGGTGGCCATCACGGGCTGTAAGGGGCCCAAATGTGTTTCTTTCTTTGGTATTTTTTTTTTTTTTTTAGCCCTTTACAAATGGAGAAACCCTTAACAAAAGGCGGGCTGCAGTGTGCCCAGCCCTGCTTTCTACTCAGCAGAGTGGAGCAAGTGAGCAGGGTGGAGGCCTCCTGACTCATGCGCGGACCTGCGGCTGCTGCAGGACAAAGGCCCAGCGCCTCCAAGGAGCTTCTGTGAGCACCTCGGCTACTGCAGAAACGTGAAAGGAGGTGACGTGTCGGAAACCCCCAACTTCATTTTCTTTTCCAGTCGCTTCTACACCTGGGGCCACAGGACACAGTAAAGGGTGAGACAGCACCTGCGTCAGCACAACTGACCGTTCCTTGTCGCCAGGAAGTAGCTGTCAGGACTAAATGCCAGCATTCCTATGCCGATTTTCGGGTTTGCTCTGTCGGTAACAGGTTTCAGTGTCTGTAAGGAGACTGGGACAGAGGCGATCTCATCTAGAACACCAACAGGAAGAACACGCCATTGTCACCCTTTCGGGAAGTACGCACGCGGCTGAGAGGCTGCTGTGCCTGCATCGGGCATCGCGAACCCAGCTCCTCTGTTCAAAGGGGAGGAAAGTGCGGCCCAAGGGCAGGAAGAGCTAAGCAAAGCCTGGCAGCCGCAGCGAGGGGCCTGCCCGCAAGTGCCCCGGATGAGAGTGGCACCATCACCTGCCAGGCCCGACTAGGTGGGGGGTGGACCCCACGTGCCAGGGGCTGACTGGAGAGGGACATGGACAGGTCCTAGCTGCAATCTCAGCAGCTCCAACTCCTCAGCACTTTTCTGTCGACTACCAGCATCTGAGTTCACAATCCCTTCCACCTCAGCGTCAGTACCCTTAGACTTTCCGGCTGTGGAAGAACCATCATCACAGCAGAAGCAGGGGCTGTGGAACAAGGACGCCCCTGGGCTCCTGGGGAGCGCCTCCTGTGTGCCAGGCTGCACCTGTCCTGACCCCCATCCTGAGCACACACCGAGCCCCGGGGTGGGCCCGTCGGCACTTGGGGCACCGCTTCCTCTACCTGCAACCTTCAGATGCCCTCATGCCCCTGTGGGATGGGTGCTTTTACTATGCCCATTTCAGCGATGAGGAAACAGACACATAGGAAATGCCCAGAGTCAAGAGGCTGCATCAGAACCGGGCCTCAAGCCGGAGACAGCGCTCGGGAGCACCGCCGGGTTCCAGACCCACTCTGAGCGCCACCCACGGAAAAGTGTTTCTTTGAAAAACATCATTCTCGGAGCTCCGGAAAAACATCCCCTCGGAGCTCCCGCTGTCAGATCCGGGTCTCCAGGGCTCATATTCAGTAACAGAAGCCGCACCTTCACGGCCCACTGCGCAATTCAGACCCTAGTCAACCTCCAGCCAACAGGCTGAGGGGCACACTGGCTGGAAGCATGGAAGGGAAAAAAAGTTTTTTTTTTTAAACATAAGGAACATCCGAAGTTTATCTGGACAACGAGGAATCTTGCATTAAAAAAGGAAAACAAATGACATCACATGTGCTACTTACATTTACTCTCTGAGCTCGGGAGAGGGCCGGCCCCGGCCCGGGGCGGCGGGAAGGAGAGGCAGCCCAGTCCCAGCTGTGGGCTCTTCTCGGCCTCCTTATACACCACCTGAAAGACACAAGGTGGCCACGCCCGGCTCAGGACAGGGACCCGGAAGCCAAGGATGGACGTGGCAAATGCCCATGACAGCGCATGGTCAACAGGTGTGCCTGCCATGACAGCTGGTCCTGCTGCCACCGGGAGAGACGGAAGCACGAACCCCGCAGTCCCGAGAGCTGAGATCACCCAGCCACCCTCTCTCGTGTCCTGCTGAGGAGCCCACCCTTTGAGACACAGGCAGCAAATGTGTGCCCTGTGATTACAGACGGGAGACCACTGCAGCCACCATCATCCAGCAAGGGAGTGGGCTCAGCCTTCCCTCCGTGATAAGAGGATACAGAGAACACTTGCACCAACACAGCAGAGGCCCCGGGAGCAGCAGACACAGACCCGAGGTGGGGGCATCTGTGCCCGAGAGCCTGGCAAGCAAAGGACAGCGGCCCAGGCTCAGTGGAAGGCGGGCAGCCCCTACGCCCCTGAAGAGCCCCAGGTAAGGGAGTCACCTGGCCTGGTTCATGCCTTTAAAGCATGCTCTGCTGCTGTGTGGCGAAGGGATTTGGAGAATGCAGGAATCACAGGCAAACCTTCAGGACCTGTGTGGCCAGCCCTGCTCGGGCTCACCTGTCCAGACACCCTGGCCTCCAGCCACACAAGCCACTGGCCACGTCAGGAGGCCCCTCTGCCTGAAACACCCTTTCTGCCCAGACACCGCGCAGCTCCTCCTCCTGGTCTTCACTTAAACACCCCTCCAGGATGCATCCCCGGCAGTGGCTGATCTGGCATGCGCAGCCCCAGCCACTCACTGGCCTCTTCATCGAATCCAAGCCGCCTTTCACTCAGCTCTGTCGGTTACAGGTCAACACCAGGAGGGCAGCATTTGTCTCTGGCTCCCAGCGCAGTGCCCGCTGCACACATGGATGCGTGGCCCACTCCTCGGGGCCTTTGCATTTCCTGTTCCCTTGGCCTGGAACGCTCCCTCCCCGAGTCCCTGATCACTGGTGCAGCATCTGTGCCTGCGATCCCTCGCTGGTGGCCACTCCCTGCCACCCCGTGGAGACACCCAGCTCTCCAGCCCCTTCCCTGTCTCTCCAGCCGCACTCTGCAAGTGCAGGGGTCTGTCTCTTCTTCTCTGGCTGCGGCCCAGAGCACAGTGCCTGGCACGACAGCAGATGCCCAGTGTTTGGGGGCAGGAGACCCTGGCCACTCTGTACAGCACAGGGATCTGCATCCAGACAGACCACAAAGGAGAAAACTGGACTGGGGTGGCAGCGGCAGAGGACAGGCCAGGGCAAGGCCCACTTCAGACCCTTTGGGCAGCGTGGAGGAGGAAGAACAAAGGCCAGGGCAGGGCCAGACGCGTGAAATGTCACAGTAGCAAGTTTACGGTGATGGAAGTGCCCGGTTAAATAATAAACCACAATCAAGAAAGCAAAGTGAAGGAGCAGTTTCCCACCGCCCTCCCCAACAGCCTGCTCAGGCAGAAACACGTGTTCCAGACTTACTATCTTGGGATCATTAATGGCTGCAGGATGCCCAAACTCCGTGATCATTTTCCAAGTCACGTGATTAAGGATGCGCACCTGAGGAAGGAAACCATGCACAGGTGAGGCAGGGCCCGGCCCGCTGGGCGGTCGGACTTCCTGAGTGCCCTGCACTGGTTCCCACCTTTCCATCATAGCTCCCAACTGCCAGGAACTGACTGCTGGGGCTCCAGGCCACAGACTTGATGCCCAGGGACCACTCGTAAGCGCTGTACGTGGACAACAACCGGCCATCCAATGAGTACAGCAGAATCTTGTACTGCAGATGAGACATTTCAGTTAATAATGAATACACCCCCGTCGCCAGGAACACACCACAGACGCGGGTGCTGCAGAGTGACATTGGTGCAGATAGCACAAAGCTGGCAGGACTGTCCGCGTGGCCGTGGAAAAGCTGGAACTGCCAGCTAGTACTGAGATAGTCACGGAGAGGCAGTGAGAGCATGAGGAAAAAGGGGAAATTGGGAGGTCAACCTAATGGCTCGCTGATAAAAGTTCAACTCGGCCGGGCACTGTGGCTCACGCCTGTAATCCCAGCACTTTGGGAGGCCGAAGCTGGCAGATCACTTGAACACAGAAGTTCAAGAGCAGTCTGGGCAACACGGTGAAACCCCATCTCTACAAAGAATACAAAAATTAGCCGGGCGTGGTGGTGCATGCTTGTGGTCCCAGCTACTTGGGAGGCTGAGGTAGGAGGATCACTTGAGTCCAGGAGGTCGAGGCTGCAGTGGGCCGTGATCACACCACTGCACTCCAGCCTGGGTGACAGAGCAAGACCCTGTCTTTTAAAACAAAGCTCAACTTGTTATCTGAAATAAGATAAAGCAAACTATATTGCAGCATTCAGAAAGCATGAAATTCCGGGAAAAGCTCTCGAAAGCAAACATGTCACCTGGTCATCTTCATACCTCCAAGCAGGTGTCCCACACTGCCAGCACACAGCCGTTTGGGGCCCACTCAATCCCTGTGAGATCCTGGGTGTCCGTATCAAAATGCTTCCAAAGGAAGGGGGGGAAACATTAAATTTGGAAAATATTTTCGTAAATAAATAATTGCATTTATGACTGATGTTCTTAACGCACTTAATTTCCTTATATAGAAATTGACAAAATCTCAACAGCTCTATCCTGGAAATGCATGAAATCCCTGTAGAGCTGCTGCTGGGGCTGCACCGCCACAGATGCCAGCGTCAGTGCCTGGCCAGCCCCCAAGGGCGGCTTGGTCTCCCCGCGCCTGCACTCGTGTGCACACTCTCCCCCTCACCTTTCCTTGCCTGGCCAGCCCCCGAGGGCGGCTTGGTCTCCCCGCGCCTGCACTCGTGTGCACACTCTCCCCCTCACCTTTCCTTGCCTGGCCAGCCCCCGAAGGTGGCTTGGTCTCCCCGCACCTGCACTCATGTGCACACTCTCCCCCTCACCTTTCCTTGCCTGGCCAGGCTCACTCCTTTAGACCCAGCTCAGACAAGTCCCTTCCAGAGCACTGCCTGGATCCCGGGTTCTGCACTCTGACAGCATTCCAGAGGTTGCTCTACCTTAATGATGGATTGTGCTGGAATCGTGTTCATATGTCTGCTGTGGGGGCAGTGCCCTCTGTGCCTGGGCACCTGGCAGAGCGCCCTGCCTAATGCAGGCCCTCAGTCAAGGTGAACTTCCACGTCCCCCCAACTCCCGACGTGGCACACACATGCGCAAACACCATCACACAGGACAAGGAAAAGGGCTCAAATGTGACAGCATATTCACTTTTAAAACACCTGGGCACGCGTCCTTTTCACCAAGTCTCCTGAACACACAACCGGGTGCCACTGGAAGTGATTCGCAGCGCACCTGCCCTTTGTTAATACAACATCACCTTGCTCCATATCCTACCAAAGATCCCCTGGAATCTGGAAGGATCTACTTCACTCGATCCCTCCACAGTCAGCAGGACAACTTTATTCCAGTCTGGGGGACGCCTTACCCGCAGGAGCTGCCAATCACTGCAGACGAAGATGCTCACGTAATCTTTGCAGTCGCGCCGTTCTGCCAGCGCCATGTAGCGGCCGTCCCTGGTGAAGGTGATTCCTGTGGGAAGAGGCAAATGCACTGAAATCAAGCGGCCACAAAATCAAGCAAGAGAAACCACAGTAGTAATTCACAAGGAAGGAGGAGGAAAAGAAAGCAGAGGTGAAAAGAAGGGAAATGGCACAATGCCGAGCACTGCTCCTCAGACAGACAAGAACATTCTAGCGCAGAGGAGAAACCCAAGGCACGGTGCCTTCACCCTCACAACGCAGTGTGTGCTGGGGGAAGCTGTACACACACAGGAGCCGGTTTGCAAGGCTCTGTCAAAAATACCAAGTGATGTGACCTCTGATTAATCACAAATATGAGTGAGAAACACAGGCCTTCGAGTCCCCCCATGTCTAAGCTGCGGGACACCCAGGGCTATCTCCAGCTAGGCAAAAGGCAGCTGGTTCCTACCATATTTATTTTACCTTTGAATTTAATTATTTGGAAGAAGTAAACTGAAGATGAAAATGTGTGGCCAGGCATGGTGGCTCACGCCTGTAATCCCGGCACTTTGGGAGGCTGAAGCAGGTGAATCGCTTGAGCCTAGGAATTTGAAAGGAGCCCAGACAACTTGGTGAAACCCCATCTCTACAAAATATCAGCCGGCTGTGATGGTGTGTGCCTGTAGTCCCAGCTACTCAGGAGGCTGAGGTGAGAGGATCACTTAAGCCCAGGAGGTCGAGGCTGCACTGAGCTGTGATCGTGTCACTGCACTCCAGCCTGGGTGACAGAGCAAGACCCTGTCTCAAAAAAGTAATAATAAGATGAAAATGTGGAAGAAACTTTAGTTGAAAATGTTAAACTCTTATTTTCCAGTTCTGTATTAGCTTAAAAAGCCCTAGGCCAGAATTCATCATTCCTGAGTGAAAAGAATACCTCAAATGACGAAACCACGGTGTCCACTCCTATCAAGAGATATGTATCTCATCTGGAGGGACGCTAATATTCCAACTATAAGAATAAGAGTGTGACTGCATTGCATTCAAATGCAATTTCCAAACCGCTGGCAGCAACAGAGAAAAATGAAAGCATCATTCCAACTGTGTATGTTTCATTCCGCAAAAAGACAGTGCGGTGTCGTCCAGGACTCAGGAGTGGCACCTCCCACTAGCTCTGCGCGGTCCAGTTAGACGCGCTGGCAGTGGGCCACCCTGCGCCGGCCCCCTTTCTTCCAGATGGCTCACAGGCTTCCACAAGGAAGGGACACTGGTCACATATCCCTCTGGGATGCCCAGAGATGACAGGCAAGACCTCCCCCTTTCGCAGACATCATATTTAGTCCACAGAAGAGAGAAAGCTCAGAACTGGATGCCTGAGGTGGGCCTCTCAACAGGCATCGGCTGGAAGGGGTCTGAACGCCCAGCTCTGCCGCCAAGGTCAAGGGGACCGGCATCAACGCCACCGTTCTTCCATGTCTTAGGCCACGTTGTCTTGAGTCACTGTGGTCATGTTTTAAAAGGGGACTCTTGCCTTTTTGAGACACATATGGAAATATTTACAGATGAAGTATGAGGAGACCTAAGGTCTCCTTTAAAAGAGCCCAAGGGGGTTGGCTATGTGTTGATATGCTGCTGAAGCTACTTCTGCCTCTTTGAAACTTCCCGTGACAAAAAAGTCAAACAGCTGCAAAGAAATGGCTTTTGCGTGGCTCCGATCGACTCACCCTGCAGACAAGCTTTCGGGTATTTGATGTAAGACACGGATTTTGTGCACAAGGACCAGACGGTTATCCGCAGCTGTTGGGGGAAAGGGGAAAGAGAAAGGAAACACTTCTTTAGCATCATCAGAGACCGTCTCAATCCTCAACCCGCCCACGCGTCCCCAAGCACAGGCCTGACTGCTGGAGTGGATCTATCAGGACCTGGGGGATGCCTGCCCTCCTACCGGAATATTCAAATGCGTATTTTACTGTGGTTACGGTAAATTTGGTGTTCTTGGTTTTCTGTTGTTGTTGTTTTATACCAAAATTGAGTGACACAAAGTTAAATCCAAGTGCTTTTTCATTAGCTTTTTCAAAGTGACCATAGGTTGCATGTTATAATAACCCTGAGTTACTCAGAGAAAAATCTTGATCTAGAAACCACCACGGGTTCAGTCTCCTTTATGGGAAGACAGAGGATCTGGAGATTGGATGCAGCCACTCCGGGACTCACCAGGGGGCTGTGAGCCTGCATCTGCAGCCCTGAGGCAGGAGCAGCCACTCAACACCCAAGAAGGTGTCCGTCTGCCTCCTGCGTGTGCTCGCTGGCCTGGCTGCATCTGCAGAGGGTTCTAGAACATGCGCTGCTGGACTGTCCACTTTTCCACCCCTTTCCCTGACTCAGGGAGCTGAGAGCTGACTAGGCTGGCACAGTGAGGCCAAAAGATGATTTTCTAACCAGGCCGACGAGGGCGTGCCTGCTGAGGGAGAGGCACCGCAGTGGGTGGTCCAGCCCTCCCCGTGGCAGCGCCGCGGGACTTCCAGGGCTGCTGTGTCCCTCCACCTGCATTTCCCACTGAGACCCCGTGGAGCCTACCAGGGAATCATCTTGCTTCCCACATCCCCGGCCCACTGATGAATCTGGTAGTTAACTGAAATATGGCCGAGGTGCGGGGACACAAGGTGCGGGGTGGGGTGCTGACTGCCAGCTCCGTGTGTGGGGACACAGGGCTGCGCAGCTCCATGTGGGGTGGGGTGCTGACTGCCAGCTCCGTGTGTGGGGACACAGGGCTGCGCAGCTCCATGCGGGGTGGGGTGCTGACTGCCAGCTCCGTGTGTGTCAGGCAGGGGTCCTCGCTGAGGATGAGGCCCGGGGTGGGGGACCGTCTCCAGCAGCGTAAGTGGGGCCGCAGCGTGTGGGGCACAGCATGTCCACAGTGTCACTCCTGCAAACGCTGCCAGGTTGTCAGTATAGGATATTAACAAATGATTTAATTTAAATGTCTACGCATCATCTCTTCTTACAACAGAAAAGAAAATCTGATGTCTGTAATTGTTTCTCCAAACAACATATACAGCGTTCAGGAGAGAAGTCCTGAACACACAGGTAGTGGATCAACGAGCTCCAGGGGTCACGTGGCAGCACGGAAGGGCTCCTGTGCTGATGCTGAACCCGAAACACACTGGCCGTTCTGGGGACCATGCCTCGGAACTCCAGCTGCACAGAGCACTTGCTCCTCTAACAGCTCCACAAGCTGAGGCCAAGGAGGGCGCTGGGGCCTGAGCGAGGAAGCGTGCTACTTCCCACCAGCGTGTCTGAGGCTGAAACCTTGCCCAAGCCTCTCAGACTCAGCAGGGTGGGTGCAGCGCCTGAGGCTCTGAGCATCAGCAGGGCGGGGTGGAGCGCCCGAGCATCTCAGCATCAGCAGGGCGGGGTGGAGCGCCCGAGGCTCTGAGCATCAGCAGGGCAGGGTGGAACACCCGAGGCTCTGAGCATCAGCAGGGCGGGGTGCAGCGCCCGAGGCTCTGAGCATCAGCAGGGCGGGGTGCAGCGCCCGAGGCTCTGAGCATCAGCAGGGCAGGGTGGAACGCCCCAGGCTCTGAGCGTCAGCAGGGCGGGGTGGAGCGCCCGAGGCTCTGAGCATCAGCAGGGCAGGGTGGAGCGCCCGAGCATCTCAGCATCAGCAGGGCAGGGTGCAGCAACGGAGCATCTCAGCATCAGCAGGGCGGGGTGGAGCACCCAAGCATCTCAGCATCAGCAGGGCGGGGTGCAGCGCCCGAGCCTCTCAGCATCAGGAGAGTCCATGTGCCACCCAGGGCAGAGACCTGCCCTCCAGAGCCTACTGCAGAGTCACAGGAGAAAAGCACATCTCCCACCTGTGGCCCTGCATCCCTGTGGGGTGCGCCTGGCCGAGGCTCCCCACTCAGGCACATCTTAGGAAACACAGGGAGCACTTTAAGCCTGATTTTTACCTTCATCTCACAAAAACAAAGAAACAAAAACCTTTAAAAGATAACTTTGCAACTTTTAAAAACCCAATAAGAAAAAAAGGTAGTTAAATATACACCTTCATCAGCGCTGTTACCTTCCACTGACCACTGGAGAAGCCAGCGGAGGAGACCCGTGGGATGGGCTCCACAGCACTCAGCAGCAGGAAGAAAGGACCAGAGGGATCCACATGACCCAGAGCACTCAGGAGGGAAGGAAGGGGCCGCTGATCCACGCTACGACCCAGTGTGCTGAAGACGGAAGGAACGGGCCACCGATCCACACCACAACTCAGCATGCTCAGGGTGAGAGGAATGGGCCACGGATCCAAGCCATGACCCAGTACACTCAAGACGGGAGGAACAGGCCACTGATCCATGCCACGACCCAGCACTCTCTCCACACCATGACCCAGCACTCTCAAGATGGAGGAACGGGCCACTGATCCACCCCACAACCCAGCACACTCAAAACCAGCAAGATGCCAGGGAAAAGGAAGCAGACGCACAGCTCCACGCACCATGGCTCTGTGCAGATGGGATTCCGAGTAGGCAGTGCTGCTCGCCCCGCAGCAGGCACCGGCTGCCGGACACAGGTGGGAGACGGACTGAGCACAAGGGGCACGAGGAGCCCCATGCCACGGGCGAACAGTCTTGGTCCTGATTGTGGCGGCAATGACGTGCAAAGTGACTCACTCAACTGTGCTCTTAAAGTGGGTGAATTCTCTTGCTTATAAATTGTTTTAATTGCCTTTATTCAGATATAAGAAAAAGTCTGCAGTCTGGATATATTTTTAAAGCTAACTATAGACTATTTACAACATACACACTCAAGTTTAAGGATGCAGAAATGTAGAAGGTAAAAGGATAGAAAAAGACATATCAAGAAAATCCTAACCAAGAGAAAGGTGGCACTGCCGCATTCGTACGGGATAAATCAGACTCTGAAACAAAAAGAACCGTGAGACATAAAGAGGAATACTTTACAACAAAAGGCCTGTGCCACCGCGGAATCATGGGAACCGCTTCACTAGGAAATCTGTTTACAAACAGTTAAAAGTTTGTATGCAGCTAACAACAAAGTCTCAAAAATACATTTAAAAATCTGGCAGAGCCGGGCGCACTGTTGTGCACCTGTAATGCCAGCTATACAGGAGGCTGGGAAGGAAGGATTGCGTGAGTTTAGGAGCTCGAGACCAGCCTGGGAAACAAAGGGAGACCCCAACTCTACAAAAAAATTGTTTTTAAAAAATCTGACAGACTACAAGAGCAATGAAGAGGAATCAGTCCCATCAGATATTCAAACACACCATAGAACCTCAATAATGTAGACAGTGTGGTGCTGGCACATAGGTGGACCAACAGTGGACTGGAATGGAAACCAGAAGTGATCCTGCAGGTATAATGGAACTGAGCTCCTGCTATAGCTGGTGAAGATAGCCTTCTAAATAAATGCTGCTGGGAGCTGGGCACGGTGGCTCACACCTGTAATCCCAGCACTTTGGGAGGCCGAGGCAGGCAGATCAACTGAGGTCGAGAGTTTGAGACCAGCCTGACCAACATGAGAAACCCCATCTCTACTAAAAATACAAAATTAGCCAGGCGTGGTGGCGCATGCCTGTAATCCCAGCTACTCGGGAGGCTGAGGCAGGAAAATCGCTTGAACCTGGGAGGCGTAGGTTGCGGTGAGCTTGGATCACACCATTGCACTACAGCCTGGGGGACAAGAGCGAAACTCCATCTCAAAAAAAAAAAAAAAAAAATGCTGCTGGGAAAAGGTAGAAATGGATTCAGACCCCACAGTGTGCCCCACTACGTGAACCTGCTTCATTTAAATGGAGCATGTGTGAGCGTCTGTGTGTAATGAAACAAGATAGGAAAGCACTCAACCTCACCGAGAATTAGGGAAACGCAAACTAAATCCAAACTGCAGTATCATTTAGTCGCCTGGATGGAATCATTGTAATCCTGCCACAAAAGCCTTGGCAAATGAAACCCCTCCGTCTGCTACGGCCAAGCAAGGCTCTCCTAGAGAGGCTCTCCGGGTATGTGCCCAGGAGACGGGGACAACACGTTCACAGCCACACCGTCCGTGGTGACGCACACGTCCAGCAGGCGAGGACTGAATGGCGTTCCTCACGAGGAAGGGAAGGCCCAGCGATGCCTGTCAACACGGAGGAGTCTAAAAGCAGTGACGGGGAACAGCAACAGCAGAGACTGCAAAGTACAAGCCCCTATAAATCAACTTTACACTGCACAGCAAGCAATGTGGTGTTTAGACACATCTGTACAGTGAGACTCAAGAACAGTGAGGATGTGATTCACGCAAGACGTGGGGCAAAGGTGCCCTCAGGTGGGGAGGGCATTGCTACGAGGAAGAGAAGGGCTCTGAAAGCGCGGCAGTGTTCCGCTGCAGGCCTAGGGGTGAGCCGCTTTTGATGACTCACTGAACCTCGTCTAATGGGCGCAAGCTTGCCTTTTCACGTTAAAATGCAAGAGGCAGGGACGTCTCCCATGCTCCACAGCACCCTCACGTGGGGTGGCGCCTTCGCAAGTGGACTCAGCGGCCCCACTAACCCCCGAAATGGGGTCGCGCCTTCGGAAGGGGACCCAGCGGCCCCGCTGAGCCCCGGACATGGGGTCGCGCCTTCGGAAGGGGACCCAGCGGCCCCGCTGAGCCCCGGACATGGGGTCGCGCCTTCGGAAGGGGACCCAGCGGCCCCGCTGAGCCCCGGACATGGGGTCGCGCCTTCGGAAGGGGACCCAGCGGCCCCGCTGAGCCCCGGACATGGGGTCGCGCCTTCGGAAGGGGACCCAGCGGCCCCGCTGAGCCCCGGACATGGGGTCGCGCCTTCGGAAGGGGACCCAGCGGCCCCGCTGAGCCCCGGACATGGGGTCGCGCCTTCGGAAGGGGACCCAGCGGCCCCGCTGAGCCCCGGACATGGGGTCGCGCCTTCGGAAGGGGACCCAGCGGCCCCGCTGAGCCCCGGACATGGGGTCGCGCCTTCGGAAGGGGACCCAGCGGCCCCGCTGAGCCCCGGACATGGGGTCGCGCCTTCGGAAGGGGACCCAGCGGCCCCGCTGAGCCCCGGACATGGGGTCGCGCCTTCGGAAGGGGACCCAGCGGCCCCGCTGAGCCCCGGACATGGGGTCGCGCCTTCGGAAGGGGACCCAGCGGCCCCGCTGAGCCCCGGACATGGGGTCGCGCCTTCGGAAGGGGACCCAGCGGCCCCGCTGAGCCCCGGACATGGGGTCGCGCCTTCGGAAGGGGACCCAGCGGCCCCGCTGAGCCCCGGACATGGGGTCGCGCCTTCGGAAGGGGACCCAGCGGCCCCGCTGAGCCCCGGACATGGGGTCGCGCCTTCGGAAGGGGATCCAGTGGCCCCGCTGAGCCCCGGACATGGGGTCGCGCCTTCAGAAGGGGACCTAGTGGCCCCGCTAATCCTCGAACGGGTCTGGTCCTTGCTCTTGTGAATGAGACTGATGGACGGTGCCCGCAGCTCACTTCCTGGCCAGCACGTCTGGAATTCCGGTTTTGTTTCCTCACTTGCAACCATTAAAGTTCGCATGCAAAGCTGGAGACACATTTTGACATCTTGGTCAAGATGCCCCATGCCTTGAGGTTACCGGTCCTCATCCACCACCTGGTCTTAACGTTTCCTCTAAGGCCACCAGCAAAGTGGTCATGACCTTAGTCTTAGGTTGAACAATGTCATCTAAATGTACTCTATGAAAAATCAGTTTGTTCTGTAGCAAAGGTGTTTTCAATATTGGTGTGTGTGACATGGGATGCTCAACAAAACCAGGCTTTTATCCATCTTTTAAGGTTTCTAAACTCTATAGATGGTAGTTTTCCTTCTGGGCCATTTAATAAGATAATACAACAAGGCTGACCCCATGACATGAGCCCTTCTCAAGGGCAGATTTGGGCCCAAAGCATTACAGGCCTGAAGACTGTTAGACACGGCTGCGTGAAAAGCTCAAATTATCCTCTCTGAAACACTCAGGCCGAAAGTGCCTTCCAATGTCAATACATAGTGCGGAGACATTGGTGGGCCTTTGTTTCCTGTCTTATTCTCTGACAGCCCATAATAGCAGACATTAGATTTGGAGTATTTTTTAAAATCGAAACTGAAAAATATGTAAAGCCATCCAGCCATCTGAAGCAGTTGATTCAGCAACCCTCATGGCTGGATAAAACTTTATCCCAGCCGATGCCAGCTTGAAAAAAGCCGAATGAAACCCTACAGAGCATCTGCAGCCACACGCTGGGAGAAATCCTCCCAGGTGCCATCATCTACGTGGTGTGCGCGGCGCAGCGGGACGGGAGGGCTGCAGTGTGGTGTGAGCGGCGCAGCGGGATGGGCGGGTTGCCCCGTGGTGTGCGTGGCGCAGCGGGACGGGCGGGTTGCCCCGTGGTGTGCGCGGCGCAGCGGGACGGGCGGGTTGCCCCGTGGTGTGCGCCGTGCAGCGGGACGGGCGGGTTGCCCCGTGGTGTGCGCGGCGCAGCGGGATGGGCGGGTTGCCCCGTGGTGTGCGCGGCGCAGCGGGATGGGCGGGTTACCGAGGTGCAGCCAGCAGCCCAGACAGCTATGAGCACTCAGTGGACTTGGGCCCAAACACTGGGATCCAACTCCATCAGAAAAGCACATTATTAAAGGAATTCGTCCATTTTTCTGTATCTTAAAAAGACACTGCGGACACCAAAGACCTGGTATCTAAACACTTGACATATGCCTAATTTTAACTTAAAATGCAGTCTCCTATCCCAGATCCCTCTGATTTATTCTCGGATGTCAACATTCCCCTCCGCGCTGAGCTCAGCACGGAGGCTGTTGTGCGGTACCTACAGCAGGTGAATGGGCGGCTGCCGACCGCCCCGAGCCACGCCCCCAGGCCAGGCTCCTGAAGGAAAGGTGCGAGCCGGCTCATATCACAGCGCATTTTCTATCGTTGAATTAAAGGGAGTGCCGAAATCCTAAAAAATCTAAATTAAGATTTTTAAAATGTTTTTTCTTCAAAACTGGACAAAAGATCAGACAATAATACTTAGTGGCTTATAATGCTCTGACCTAAAATATACACACCACTATATACGCTCCCCGGCTCCCTCCAACCCCGCCAATCTACCAGCCACTCGGGAGCCACCTCAGTCATCAGACCCAGGGCAGCAGACAGTGCCTGTGTTCACGACACCCTTATCTGACTCAGTAGCAGCCCAAAGCACGGGCGGTGGGGCTCGCAATCTGGATACGCCAAAGAGAAGCCACAAAGTGCTTCCTTTAAATGACGAGCTGAAAGTTCTTGACGCAACAAGGAAAGAAAAAATCCTATGCTGAGGTTGTTGCTCAGATCTTCAGTAAGACCAAATCTTCTATCCATGCAATTATAAACAGTATATTGTTATCCTTGTTCTATACTATGATTGTTGCTAATCTCTTACTGTATCTAATTTATAAATTAAATGTATCACAGGTATGCTGTATAGGAAAAAACACAGGAAATACAGGGTTTGGTACAATCTGAATCCCCTGGTGGTCTTAGAATGCATCCCCTGAGGATAAGGGGAGACTAGCATACTCCAAACACACCCCCTCTCGCACTCCCCAGCTGTTTCGAGAGCAGAGGACAGGATCACATGGCCAGTAAGGTGTCTTGGGGCTGACACTTACATGGAATTCCGTGGTGTTGAGAATGTGGCGCCCGTCCGGGCTCCAGCACGAGGCCACCAGCCCGGCTGAGCCCTCGTCTATTTTGCAGTGCCATTCGGGCTGCTCTAAAGACCAGACCTGGATTGAGAGAAGAAAGAAACACACAAGTGCAAACTCATCAGCACCGAGAGACAGCGAGGACAGCTCGCTTAAACGCAGCGGAGACCCGACCGCACAGGGTGTCTTCAAACTCATCAGCAGTCTATAGCGAGGCCTCGCCGAGAGACAACTCCCTTAAAACCAGCAGAGACCCGATCACACAGGGTGTCTTTTAGAACCTTTCATGATGAAGGGCTGGTGCTGGATTCCAGTGTAAAAGTAAGCCACGCTTCTTGGTGATTTCATTTCGTTGTTGTTTTAAAACTGTTTATTCACATTGTCATTCCTAAGACCTCATTTAGTTAAGCTTTGGACACAGAAGAAAACACGACTTCTTAGGACTTCCTGAAACACACCACATCCGCGTGGCTAGATTGCTGTCAACACCTCCGTTTCTCAACTATATTGCTTAGAAATTAAGACTACGTTGGAGTTTCCTTAGTTTAAATGTTCTTAAACTTTAGAGAACGTTATAATTTCAAAAGAAAACTGGCTTTGAGCTGCACGGACTTTTTTTTCAAACTAGAAAGGCACAGAACAAAACCCCTCCTTCCCAGGGGCCCTCAGAAGGTGTCCAGATTCTAAGCGACACGGCAGCACACACCTGCACCAGCCCTCGCTTGTACATGGCGCACAGGATGAAGAGCGAGTCTGCCGACCACTCGATGTGCTGGATCTGGTCTAGGCACGTGTACAGCTGAAGGATCTGAAGGGTGTTCACATCCCGGACCACTAACCGGTACTGGACACAGGAAGCCTAAAAAATATGAGAAAGCAAGCACCTGACATTCTCCACTCCAAAAGAGGGGGGCCTTCGGAATGCTACTGCCCTGGCCTTCAGTGACTGTGGCCTTCTCTCCTGCCAGAGGTTTCATGTCTAGATCACCAGTGACATCCCCAGCCCCTAAAGATCAGTTCAGTTCATACAAGGGTAATGTTGAAATATACAAGCCAGGTTTTAATATTGCTATACTCTATTGTAAAGTATAAAAGTATGTTTTAACTCGCTACTTAAAGCTTTAAGACATTTTTAAGTCCCTTCTTATCTGTATGTTAAAAACTAAACTTAAATGGGAAGTAGCATTGGGAGAAAGCTCTTCTGTGAACTAATAACCAAAATCCTCTGCTAGTTTTATAAACACTTTTGGACAATTTCCTCAAATTTATAAAGGGTAAGAATTGAGGCTTCACAGATGACAACGAAAATGGCAAGGAATGCATCAATCTTCTTATGCAGTGCCGAACTCAGAGCCAAAACAACAGAAGATCAAAAGACAGGCTTTCACTTCTGCACACATAAAGATGCTTCGCAAATGCTCATTTATCTCCATTAACCTATTCCTAACACGAAACGGGAAATGTTTAAGTGTTAGTACTATTTTCTTAAAGATAGTTTCTTCTTGTCCATATTTGTTCATTATGTCCCTATCCAAGCAAACAATTTCAAGTAAAAATAACGCCTGAGTACTCACCTGCTGAATGTATATTTTACTACAGTTTCAAGATCAAGAACTGATGTTTAAATATTAACTGCTTCGTTAGTTTTACTTATCAAGGTCAAAGTAGTTTGTGTTTTATGAACCGATATCAAAAAAGAAAGCCACGTTAGTTTTCCGTGGGAGAAAAGAGAGACAGGCGGGTGACGGCAGATTGGAACAAGGAGCTACCACAGCACTTACTTTCTCACACTGTAGCTTTGAAAACTGTGATCAGTTACAGTGAATTCCTTATGAAATGGAATATTTTTACCAACACCTTGAGGAACCACATAAACTCTACTGCAAGATATGAAAACTAGAAACATGGACCTGCTCTCCCCAGTCCTCAGGGCTTTCAAGAAGATGATTCCAGTAACAGATCATTACCAAGTGTTTCAGGGTATTTTGACCAGAGTGTACAAGCTGGAAAAAAACACCCAAGTTAAGCAAGCAGATGTAATCTTTCTCCTTATAATTCACTGAAATTTTCATAAATGGTAAAAACAAAAAACAAACCTCTCATTTAATTGAGGAGGGGGGCACATTGAAAATATACCAAGGCTGAGATGCCATTTAAACTAATGAGGTTTTCTGTTTTGTAGCTGATGCTATTTTATGTGATTTGGAATAAAACCTCCCTGAAGAGGTAAAAAACGTAATTTGAGAGTTAAACTCTCAAAAGCTAGACAGAGCACAGGAATGTCAGGAGTGGCAAAACCTGAAAAAGCATCATGATACATCAGTCAGTTAGTACAGGTGGTGGATAAGGAAAACGAAGCCCACTTTTTACGAGGCATGTTTCTTCTTAGTGGCTTTCCAATGCCAATTGTCCCCCTCTTCTGAGGACATACATACTAGGCATCCGGGTTATCCCTCTCTTCTGAGGATATACACTACTAGGCATCCAGGTACATACACTATATGTTTTGAAGCTTAAAGTTATAGCTCTGTGATTTAAGCACCCTTCTGCCACCCATGGAACGAAGACCTCAAATCCCAGCCATGAGGACAACTACTTCCTTACCTGGGGATAGAATACTAGTATTTAAATCATTTATTCGGCATGTGGTAGAGGAGAAGAGAATTAGAGGAGAAGTAGAGATGACAAAGTAGCCACACCACTTACCAGTTTACAGGCAACAGAATCATCAATTTGCCTTTTGTGACAAAGTAACAACAAAGAGCCGACATCTCCTATACCCTCACCTGTGTGCAGTCGGCACTGCCGATACCCACCTTTCCAAGGGCACCTCCCCAGACCCCCCACCTGTCTACGGTATCTTCCTGGGTCCCGCACCTGCCCGGGCACCTGCCGGGGTCCTGCACCTGTCCGGCCCCCATATCTGCTTGGGGTACCTGCCTGGGCCCCGCACCTGCTTGGGGTACCTGCCTGGGCCCCGCACCTGCTTGGGGCACCTCCCCGGGCCCTCCACCTGTCTAGGGTATCTTCCTGGGTCCCGCACCTGTCTGGGGCACTTGCTCAGACACTGCACCTGCCCCGGGTACCTGCCCGGGCCCCGCACCTGTCCGGGCACCGCACCTGCAGGATCCCCAAGCTGCCTCCACCCACGCGGCCGCCCCCGGCCCTGCCCGCCGGGGACGCTGGCACCGAGGATGTCCTGCCCGTGGCCCAGGTCCCCGCCGCTCACCAGGTACTTGCCGTCCGGGGAGAACTTGCAGAGTAAGCTGGAGAGCTTGAATACCTCGGAGAAGTTCATGGCCGCCGCCTGCCGCGGGCGCCACCCTGCGCCCGAAAACCCGCGGGACCCCTGGGCGCGCAGCAGGCTGCAACAGCCGACGCCGGCCTCCGAGGCCGGAAGTCAGAAGGCGGAAGTGAACTGCAGCCTATCAGCGCCGCCGGCTTCCGCGCGGCATTGTGGGGCTTGTAGTTCTTGTGCCGCAGGGCTTTAAAGGAAACGCCCACGTTTCTTCCGACCAGGGATTTCCGACCCGAGAACCTTACCTCAAAGGCCGGGAGGCCTTTGAGCACCTCCAGCTAGGGCTGCTGATAAAAATGTAGAAAGCACAGTAAAATTTGAATTTCAGATTCACAACAAATCTAGTTATAAGTATGTTCCCAAATATTGCACGGGACATGCTAATACGGAAAAATTACTCGCTAGTCTGAAATTCAAATTTAATTGAGCGACCTGTGTGTCTGCGTGTGTGTACACATGCATATATATATATTTATATTTATATGTAAATGTATGTTTACATGTAAATATATGTTTACCTACAAATATATCTTTAATAAGTAATACGGTGTCTGTCGCACATATATTATATCGTGTATGTAATGTATAAGTATTTATTTCGTTTGCTTGGGGTTTTGTTTGCTTTTGCTGAGTCCGACCCCTCTACCTGCCGCCTGGCCCTTGCCTCACGCTCCAGTGCCACTGAGATCAAGGAGAGAACGAATTTGCCGCTGACTGGGCAGAGCGAGCGCGTGGATCGCGGCCACCGCCCGTTCATCACCCGCGCGCATCTGGGCTGGCACCGGGCGAAGAATCGTGCGGGTCTGGGACCTGGGGGCCCAGAGGGAGCGAGCTCCTGCGCGGGCGCTCGGTCCGCAGGTTTCGCAGGCTCAGGGGCGTGCCTCGTTCTCACCCCCACTCCGGACCCCGGTCCTCTTCCCTAGACAGCGGCCCCCTCCACCCCTGGCTCCCGCAGGCCGCTAGTAGTCCGCGCCAGGCCCCGCCGGCGCCTCTAGGGCCCCCCAGATCGCGCAGACCCTGACATCCCCGCCTGGCCCTGGGTTCTGGGAGCTGAGAGCCGGCCAGGGTCCTGCTCGTACCTCCGGGCGCCCAGCCTCGGGTCTGCTCCCCGCGGACGCCCCAACCTCCCCGGCCGAATGGATGGTGGTGCGCGCGCGTCCTACTCCGGCGGTGCCGGCCTTTTCTGTTGCCAAAACTAGACCCAAACCTCTGCATGGGATTCGTCTTTGGGTCCCCACCCCGTGCGCCCAGCAAACAGTGGGTGAGCCATGAAGATGTGCGAGTCAGCCGGACCCTCCCCGTCAGGCGCGGACCCGCTGCGGCCAGAGAACCCAGTCTGCGCCAGCCCGGCTCGCTCGCGAAGCCACGGGCTTCACTGACGCGACTTTCCAAGACGTGGGGGTCACCATGGGCAGAGGACATCGGTTCGGAGCCAGATCACGGGCCCCATAAGCATCAGACCATAAGCAGCGCCGCCACTGAGAGCCGCTCGGAACTCGCCCAGCATGTCGGGTCCCCTAGCCAGGGCCTGGTGTACGTGGTCGAGGGCCCTGGAAGCCCCGATGGCCTAGGAGGAGCAGGCGGGCGGGGCGGCGGGTGTCGCTGGCCGGTAGAGAGCTTCGGCCTGACCTAGCGCAGGTCTGGTGCGCGCAGAGAACAACTCCAAGCGCACCGACGCCCGCGAGCTCCTTCCAAACACCGAACGGGATCCAGAGCCCGAGCCCACAGGCGGCGGCCGGGGGAGGGAGCAGGGTGCTGGCCGCCGCCCGGGAGTGTTCGCGTCCTGGGTGACCCCTGGAAGGACGTGGGGCCCAAACTCCGGCTGGGGTTGGGAGAGCAGCCCCCAGAGGCTCTCCGCGGGATCCTCTGCCGGGCGGGACCGTGGCTCCACAGGAGAAGTGGGTGGCAAGCCCTGCTTGGCGGAAAGCAGCCGTTCCCCTCCTCCTGGGCCTGGGGCGGCGCCCCTCACCCCTGTTCCCCGCCCCTCACCCCTGTTCCCCGCCGGCCACATCCCCTGCCCCTTGGATTCCAAGCGCCCCGCGCGCCGAGGAGCCCAGCGCTAGTGGCGGCGGCCAGGAGAGACCCGGGTGTCAGGAAAGATGGGCCGTCTGGGGGACAGCAGGGAGTCCGGGGGAAACGCAGGCGTCGGGCACAGAGTCGGCACCGGCGTCCCCAGCTCTGCCGAAGATCGCGGTCGGGTCTGGCCCGCGGGAGGGGCCCTGGCGCCGGACCTGCTTCGGCCCTGCGTGGGCGGCCTCGCCGGGCTCTGCAGGAGCGACGCGCGCCAAAAGGCGGCGGGAAGGAGGCGGGGCAGAGCGCGCCCGGGACCCCGACTTGGACGCGGCCAGCTGGAGAGGCGGAGCGCCGGGAGGAGACCTTGGCCCCGCCGCGACTCGGTGGCCCGCGCTGCCTTCCCGCGCGCCGGGCTAAAAAGGCGCTAACGCCCGCGGCCGCCTACTCCCCGCGGCGCCTCCCCTCCCCGCGCCCATATAACCCGCCTAGGGGCCGGGCAGCCCGCCCTGCCTCCCCGCCCGCGCACCCGCCCGGAGGCTCGCGCGCCCGCGAAGGGGACGCAGCGAAACCGGGGCCCGCGCCAGGCCAGCCGGGACGGACGCCGATGCCCGGGGCTGCGACGGCT
Source organism: Homo sapiens (assembly GCF_000001405.40). NCBI lineage: Eukaryota > Metazoa > Chordata > Mammalia > Primates > Hominidae > Homo > Homo sapiens. The sequence goes on from NC_000001.11 coordinate 3,652,638, forward strand.
GCAGGTAGGAGGCCCAGGGCCGGGGGGCGGTTCGGCTCCGCGGGCGGGGGCTGGAGCGCAGCGCTGGGCAGGCACCTGGGCTCGCAGCTCCGAAGCTGGGAGGTGAGGGGAGAGCGATCGGGGACGAGCTGGGACAAGGCGACACAGGGGCTCCCTCGGAGTTGGATCGGCCCCTGGGACTTGGCGCTCGCGAGAGGCTGGAGCGGCCAGAGTCTAGCCTGCGAGGAGACGCGGGTCCTGCCCTCAGCGCCGGCCGCCTTTGGCGCCAAAGACAGCCCCGCAGGGGTTCCGGGAGGGCCCTCCTCCTGCTGTCCCCTCTCCACCCCGGGCTCCGAGGGCCGTTGGGAGGGTAACCCCGGGAAGAGGCCGGGGTGCGGGGCGCGGGTGCAGGTGGAAATCGCCAGCAAGCTCCTCCCCGCCCGCGCGCTCCCTCCGACCTGCAGGGCTGTGCCAATCCCGAGGCCTCAGCTTCCCTGAGGAGCCAGGGCCAGGCCCCCCTCTGGACAGGGAGAAGGATCTGGGCGGGGGCCTTGACCCATGGAGTTGGTTACTAAGCGGTTTCGATGGTTTCCCGAGGGACAGCTCCCTGTGGCTCTGAGTTTGTCTGTCGAGGGCTCCTGGCCTGTCTCCGGAGCGGTCCCAGGTAGAGAAAGCCCGTGAAGAAATGGCCCGGGCCGGCCTGGAGGGAGACACCTCACGCCCCCTTAGCTCCTGGGCCGCCTCCTCCTGCAGCCCCTGCCTTTCCCGGGGCTTGGACTTGGGGAGCGATGATTACCTTTGCTCAGCTTGTATTTTGGCCTGGACGCTAGGAGATAAGCCCATGTAGTATGCACACGTCTGCTACATAAACAGGGGACAGATAGACGATCTTCAACCAGCAAGGGTGCAGGGAAAAGCAATGCACCCCAAACTTCTGACCAGAGGTCATTTGCTTCCAAAGATGCTGCCATCTGTTTATTCACTGTCTGGACATTTGGAAATGGCTCAGGCTCATTAACACAATGCTTTGGTTTTTGTTGTTTTGTTTTTTGTTGCTGTCATTGCTGTTTATTTGTTCAGCCTTAGCTCTGGGGGAGGAGTAAACAAAGCGCGTGGCCTCTGGCACTTACTGAGCGCTGAGCCACCCCTCTTTGGATTTATTCGGGGAAAGATTAAAAAGCATTTCATTAAGAACAGGACACGGTGTTTGAAATGTTGCCATATATGAATGTATGCATTACGTATGTAGTTTTTAAAATAAGATAAAAAGTTGGCTGGGCACGGTAGCTCACGCCTGTCATCCCTCACAGCCTTTGGGAGGCCAAGGTGGGTGGATCACCTGAGGTCAGGAGTTCGAGACCAGCCTGGCCATCATGGTGAAACCCAGTCTCTACTTGAAATACAAAAATTAGCTGGGCATGGTGGCAGGCACCTGTACTCCCAGCTACTCGGGAGGCTGAGGCACAAGAATTGCTTGAACCTGGGATGGAGAGGTTGCAGCGAGCTGATATCATGCCACTGCACTCCAGCCTGGGCAACAGAGCAAGACTCTGTCTCAAAAAATAAGATGAAATAAGATAAAAGTTGGTGTCAGAGGCTGCAGTGTGGCAGCTGCCTATTGTCAATCAGAGGTAGCCTGGGGTGAACGGAAGGCGGACCTGAGCGGGGCTTGTCTATGCGCGGCGGCCACCAGAGAATGGCTCGGGATGTGAGCCCTGCCTTGCAGTCCTTCTCGTGAAAGCTACAGCGAACAGTAGCTGTCTCCAAATCCCGAAGGCCAGTCGCATGGAGAAGCTGGTCTGGCACAGTGGTTAATGGGGTAGTATGGAAGTCAGAATGCTGGGGTTCAAATCTCCTCTTCCCCATTTACTCCAGCAAGTCACTTAACCACTTGGAGCCTCAGGTTACCCATCTGCAGAGTCGGGTAATAGTAGTTCCTGCCTCAGAGGCTTGGAGAACAGTCAGTGAGGTGCCGTCCGAAGGGCTTGGGAGAGTGCCTGGCACCCACTCAGTGTCCTCACACATGATGGCTTCGGGTCCCAGGTGCTGTTCCAGAGCTGGGAGAGCCAGGAGCCCTGGGGAGAGACCCGGCTCCTTAGTATCTGGTAGGTATCTCCAGGGCAGGAGGGATGGCAGTGAGGCAGGCATCTGCCCAAGGCGTGGGTGGAAGCTGATGGCATCTGTCAGAAGTATGCACTGGGGCAAGGATGCCTGGTTTAGTATTTATTTATAGGGCATGCCCCACCCAGGTCCAAGAATGGATTGATAACACTGAGCACGTGTGAAAGGCACGGCTAAAGTGGAGAGAAGAGAAGAGGCTGAGGGCCGAGAGAGGAGCCGCACACCCACTCCAGAACCCGGACGAGGCCCTGCCCTTGCCCAGCGGCGGTATTAACCCTGAGATTCCGAGCACACCAAAGTGACATCGCGTACACGGTGAACCCTGTGTTTGCAAAAAGTCAGAAAAAGTCTTCAAAACATCCTTTAAGGCCAGGCGCCGTGGCCCACGCCTGTAATCTCAGCCCTTTGGGAGGCCGAGGTGGGTGGATCACTTGAGATCAGGAGTTCAAGACCAGCCTGGGCAAAATGGTGAAATCTTGTCCCCACCAAAAATACAAAAATTAGCCGGGGGTGGTGTCTGGTGCCTGTAGTCTCAGCTACTCAGGAGGCTGAGGCAGGAGAATCGCTTGAACTTGGGAGGCAGAGGTTGCAGTGAGCCGAGATCACCCCACTGCACTCCAGCCCGGGCAACAGAGCGAGACTCTGTCTCAAAAAAACACGCAAAAAATACTTTTGGTGTGTGTTTCATGTAACGAGCTGCCATTTTGCGGCTTGCCTTTGTTTTCCAGTGTGGGGAGGGCTAAGGCAACCTTTTAAGATATCTGTATGTTATTTCCTCGTGATTTTGCTTTAAAAGCAAAAAAGAAAAAAGCTGAGATGAGTTACTAAATGACAATAACGCCTACTTTTCTTTTGAATTCCCGTGTTATTTGTATCTGAATGTGGTGAAAGTTTTCTAAATGTAATGTTTTATCACCAGTAAGTAGGCTGAGTGATCACTTACTCCTACCAGTATTTAATACTTCCATGTTCTGCCCAGATTCCTTTAACAAATACACAAAACACACTTGTAGCTGGCAACATCCACTCGTGTATAATGAAAACACACAATGGCTTTCTTAGAAGTTTGCCTTCTTAAGTGGGTTACACAGGATGCCTCGAAAATCCTTCTCTGTGGGTCGTGCAGAAGGTATTTTATTCTAAAAATTCCCTCTACTCAGCCGGGCGCAGTGGCTCACGCCTGTAATCCCAGCATTTTGGGAGGCTGAGGCGGGTGGATCACGAGGTCAGGAGATCAAGACCATCCTGGCTAACACGGTGAAACCCCGTCTCTACTAAAAATACAAAAAATTAGTCGGGCGTGGTGCGGGCACCTGTAGTCCCAGCTACCCAGGAGGCTGAGGCAGGAGAATGGCGTGAACCCGGAAGGCGGAGCTTGCAGTGAGCTGAGATCACGCACTACACTCCAGCCTGGGCGACAGAGCGAGACTACGTCTCAAAAAAAAAAAAAAAAAATCCCTCTGCTCATTGGCATTTGAGTGTAAGACAGCTTATACCAAAGTGGGCTCAGACAGACATATGCACATGTTTACAGACTTTCTGCCTGCCCCCTGGCAGTCCACTCTGTGCTCAGTATTTCTTTGCAGGCTAAACACTCGCTCATCCAAAGTGCTTTCTTTTCCTGGACAAGTTGCACATCACAGACCCAAAGAAGAAAAAGATAATCCAGCCCAACTCTTGTTTTTTAATGTTTCCTGTAATAACTCACATTTAGCCCATGGTGGCTGTGAGCTGGTACTTGGCTAAAAAGTTTACATTTTTTTCCCTGTAATCCCCACAATAGCCCGTTGAAGTAGATACTATAATTATGCCCATTTACAGATGAGGAAACTGAGGCTTCAACTGGCTATTCTACTTGCACAGGGTCACACAGCTGCAAAGTACGGGAGTGGGGACTCCAGCTATGACCACGAAGCTGGGACTGGGGCTGCCAAACCATCCTTTGCCTGGGTCTGCCGTTGGCTCAGACACGGCCCCCAGACACCTAGGACCGTGGAACATTCAGGCCGGAAGGGCCCTTCCAGAACATCTAAGCCAGGGGTAGAGAGTCCAGGGTGCTGTGAGCCTGGATGGGGAAAAATGGCACCTTGTATTAACCTCAAAGCAAATTTCAGCATTTCCTCTAGTTTTGAATGTAGGCAGCAAACTACAGTCATAGCAGTACCTGTGACCTCACCAGTGGGAACCACTGATATTTTCATGGTGTCCGGTAATAGCTGCAGCATCTTAAAAAGTGGTTTGTGCTTGTCGCTCCGTTGCAATTATGGCGGTGATTAGATCTGCTCTCAGGCTTACGACTTAATGTATGAACAAAGAAGCGCACATATGATCACCTCCCAGTTTTGCTTTTTAAATATTAGGGTCACTTTGTAAGTTTTCTCAGGCTGCTGTTACAAATGACCACAAATTAAGTGGCTGGAAACAATAGAGAGTGTTGTCTCACGGTTGTGGAGGCAGGAATCTGAAGCCAGGTGTGGGCAGGGTCGGGTTCCCTCGGAGGCTCTGAGAGGGGGCTCGCCTCCTGTCTCCCTCCTAGGATCTGGGGGCTGCCGGCCATCCTGTGGTTCCCAGGCATGCAGATGCACCACCCAGTCTCTGCCACCATCTTGCCATGGCCTTCTCCTCTGTGTCCCTGTGTGTCTCTCCTTTTTTGTCCCTTAGATGGACACCTGTCCTTGGATTTCGGGCCCACCTGGAAAATCCAGAATGATCTTATCTTGAGACCCTTACCTAAGTGGCATCTGCAAAGACCCTGATTCCAAATAACATCCCATTCTGAGGCTCGTTCCCAGAGGCTGCATCCAACCCACTAGAGTGGCTATGTTTCAGTAACTCGTGATCCTGTGTATTTTGCTTCATGTATTTAAAACATTCTCCCGGACAAGGCGTCTGAGATTCCCCAGGCTGCCAGAGGGGCCATGGCGCAAACGGGGAAGAAACCTGGTCTAAGCCACGCCCCTCTTTTCAGGACGAGGATCTTGGAACCCGGACACTGAAGGTCGGGGTTGGGCACAGCCGGGGATGGGCAGCCCCCCTCTCCCCCAGCACCTCCCGCCTGGCGCCTCCTCCACAGCCCCTGCATCCTGGAAAACAGACTGTTCCACACACTCCAGCAGCTCCTCTACCTGGGGACTGCTTGGGCCGCATAGCCCCCAGTTAGGGACAGAAACCAGAGGTATTGAACAAGAAGCCCCACCGGGAGAGGCGAGACCCGGGCCCCAGCCCTGGACCTGGCCGTGGGTGCTACAGAAGGTCGGGGGACATCGGTCTGCGCGGAAGGGTCTGGAGAGGCACCTCTCAGGGAGTTGGACAGAGAGGAGACGCCGTCCCAGTGGTGGCCTCCAGTGAGGCCTGGAGAGACCAGGTGGCAGGAAGGGCCCTGCTGGGGCCAGAGCAAGGGCACGGAAGGCAGGTCTCATGGAGCAGGGACCGTGGAGGGGACATGGGGGACACATTAGGGATGGACAGTGGCCGGAAGATTCCGTGGGCCTTGGAGATTAAATCGGGTTCCCCAAAGAGCAAGCTGTGGAGAGGGGAAGGGAAAGTTGCCTCCCTCTTCCCTACGGGGTTCTTGTCAATAAACGATTGACAAAAGACAGACTCACAAGAGACAACAGTTTTAAGGCTGTGCCCCCGCCCGGAAGTGCCATAAAAACAGGAGACTCAGCAGTAACCAGATGGGAGCGGTGCAGATGTCCGTCCTCTGTGACAGAAAGGAAAGGGGGCCTGGGCTTCTGGGGAGCGGTAGAGACAAATGAGGAGAGGGTGAGGGAGGAAACGTCTGGGCATAAAGGCTGCCTCGTGGTGCAGCTATCAGTCTCATGGTGAGAAAATGCGTCTTGGCGCGCGGCTCTCTTCCTGGCACACAGACCATTACTAATGAAAATGTCCTTTATAGATGTCAATTTTCTTTAGAAAAGAGAGTTTTTTACTTTATTTTAGGGAGCTGAAGAGCTTTTTTTCTGTTGGCTGGTTCTCAGTTGCTTTTAGCTCAAAGTAATCAACATGTCAACATGGCATATTTTGGGGTGACGTATTCTGGTCTCCTACAGTCATATTTTGGGGTGACGTATTCTGGTCTCCTACAGTCATATTTTGGGGTGACGTATTCTAGTCTCCTACAGTCATATTTAGGGGTGGCGTATTCTGGTCTCCTACAGTCATATTTTGGGGTGGCGTATTCTGGTCTCCTACAGTCATATTTTGGGGTGGCGTATTCTGGTCTCCTACAGTCATATTTTGGGGTGACGTATTCTGGTCTCCTATAGTCATATTTAGGGGTGGCGTATTCTGGTCTCCTACAGTCATACTTTGGGGTGATGTGTCCTGAGCCCCATTGTTTCCTAGTCTGAAACTTCCCCAAGAAGCTCCACGGTACAGAAACTGGGTGGGTGTGTTGTCCCATAATGCTTTGAAGAGGCATTTCTATGGAAACAAAAGAAAAAAAAAAAAAGCTAATCATTGGAGCTGACTAAAAACCAGTTTCTGAGCCTGGGGGCCGTGGCGGGGCAGGTTTGTAGATGTTGGGCTCCGAGCATCTTCTGCGGTTTGGTCTCTGGCGATGTCTGGGCGGCCCACGCAGCAACAGGCGTGAGGGTCCCTCGCACCTGGGCTTCGTGGTAATCTCGCTGATGAGTATTTCAAGTCGTCCAGCCTCAGTTTGCAGGATTTCTGGGCAAAGGGCAGTTTTGTTCTTCGTGATTCCAATAAGAACGGTGGGAGAAAATTGAAAGTGTTAGTTTGGGAGTTGCAGCCAGATACTGGAGGAAACTAGAAACATCAGGAACCCGTCCAGTTTGTAGACATCAATAGATAACAAAACCCCAAAGACGTTAAACAGGACAAGAATCTAATATGGGGCGCACAATATGGCTTTCTACTGAAATATATGTTCTTTCTACATCACCCCTCTTTCTACTAAAAATAATCTCAGTAAGATTATTATTATTATTATTATTTTTGAGACAGAGTTCCACTCCGTCGCTCAAGGCTAGAGTGTAGTGGCATCATCTCGACTCACTGCAAACTCTGCCTCCCGGGTTCAAGTGATTCTCCTGCCTCAGCCTCCTGGAGTTACAGGCATGCACCACCACTAATTTTTGTATTATTATTACTTTTTTTTAGTAGAGACAGGGTTTTGCCATGTTGGCCAGGCTGGTCTTGAACTCCTGACCTCACAGGATCCACCCACTTCGGCCTCCCAAAGTGCTAGGATTACAGACGTGAGCCACTGTGCCCAGCCTAGTCAGATTAACTTGTTTGTAAAGTAAGTCTAGCCTCATTAAAATTGGCCTGATTATTTGCACAAGTGCAGCAAGAATAGTAAGTGGCCAGCTAGGCTTTCTTTAGGTCAGCTTTGCTGGAACTTTTAATAAATCTCAGGTTAGGCTTTCAAAAGCCTCTTGAGGCTAAGAAGTCAAGCCAAGGACTTGATATCAGACTTCACCTGCAATACCTATAGATTTGGGTGGATTCCTCTTTCTCAAGGTTCCCAACGTATTCTTGAGAATTACTGCCAAAAAATCACAGTCTTTCCTCAACCCGTGAGGCTGCAGAAGCCCTTTAATCCAGGTACAAGGGCAATTTTGTTTTCCTCCAACGGGTTTCATTGGCTCCATAAAGTCAACCTTAGTTCCTTAAAGCTACTCACATCTGATTTTATGCACATCACTCTCAAATATGATATTCCGGTCAAACACTTGGTGAGCTAACCAACATTTCCAGTTGTTTCCTATTACAAGGCAGCAGATTCATCTTGAACTTAAGCAAATAACTCTATGGCCGTAAAAATAAAAATGCTAATAGTTTCTAAATTCTGGAGAGATCAGGTAGGGAGAAAAGTCATCATTTCAATTTTGCTTATAAAAGTGTAATGTACCAGAATGCTGTAAGTTATAAATAGTTTCTTCATTTACATTCTGGAAATTCTTGCCATCCAGTGGTGTGATCTTAATGTATCAGAAACCTGTACTGGTCAAAGTCTTCCCCATGAAATCTTCTCGAAGACACAACATTTTAGAATTATAGTTGCTTGCAAAAGCTTTCGGGAAAGCATCAGAGCCAAACAGTTAACTGTGTATGACAGAAAGGCTTAAAATGGCCTTGGCTAAAGATGTGATGACATCATTACAATGTAACTGATGAGGAAGTTTGGTTATTCCTGTGGTGTATACTTTCACATAATAACTAGAATTACAACTAATATAGAATGTATCAGATTTCTAAGAATTTCATATAATTTCTGGAACTCTTATATGAATATATATCCATGCAAATATAACTCACCCAGAGAAGGTTAATCATCACTTCATATTTTACAGTGCTTCCATGCAAATTTAGTTGATCAAATAAGCCCAATTTATTTAATATCTTTTTATTTTATCTAAAACAATTTTCCCTTTAACATTGGCAAAATAATCTATGTTTTTATAAGGAGAGAAAATAAATCCTTTTGAGATATTCCAGGGGCCAATCTAGGAAATCCCAAACGTTAATTCAGGGTCAAAAAGACTTAATTTAGAGTGTGTGATTTTGGAAAGTTGTCAAAATGTCAAAAGGTTGAAAGCACTTGATTAAATAGAATCCCAGATCATTATGAAATAATACTTAATTCTCATTTAATCAAAGTAACAATGAAATATTCAAAGAGAAATGCAGAAAGTTAGATAGTTTAAAATACTCTTAGATCTGGCCAGGCATGGTGGGTCATGCCTGTAATTCCAGCACTTTGAGAGGCTGACATGAGCGGATCACTAGAGCCCAGGAGTTCGAGACCAGCCTGGGCAACATGGCAAAACCCCGTCTCTACCAAAAATACAAAAATTAGCCAGGCATGGTGGCACATGCCTGTAATCTCAGCTACTCGGGAAGCTGAGATAGGAGGATCCCTTGAACCCAGGGAGATTCATGCCACAGTGAGCTGAGATCGCACCACTGTACTCCAGCCTGAGCAACAAACTGTATATACACACACATGTATTTTGTGTATATATATATATATATAATATGTATTACATATATACATACACTATATATAATATGTATTATATATATACATACACTATATATAATATATGTATTATATATATACACGCTATATATATAATATATGTATTATATATATACACACAATATATATTTTTTATTTTATTTTTTATTTTTTATTTTTTTTAATTAGCTGGGTGTGGTGGTGCCCACCTGTCTCCCAGCTACTCGGGAGGCTGAGGTGGCAGGATCCCTTGAAGCCCAGGAGTTGAGGCTGCGATGAACTATGATGGTGCCACTGCACTCTAGCCTGGGTGACAGAGTGAGACCCTGTCTCAAAAAAAAAAAGAACTAGTTCACACCCATGTTTCCTCCTGCTGCCCCAAATTGCCACTCTCCTGGAGCAGCCCCTGAAGGTGGAGACCAGGCACCTGCTGGAGCAGGAACTCTTCCTTCACCGGCTTCTGTTGGGGCCCCAGGATCCTGCAGCTGTGGCATCCACAGGGAGTAAGGCCAGCCACGGAGGTCCTTTCATGTCACCAAGCTGCAGGGGAGGAAAAGTGACATCAGACAGATCAACAGGAGAAAACCCATTTTAATGATATGTCCACGAATGGGAGTCCCACACGGAGATGAAACTGGGGGAAGGGGCCAGATGGCGGAGGCGTCTGCGTCATCCTCAGCTGCAGGAAGATACAGGACTGTGGGGCTGCTGCAGGCTGAACCAGCTATAGCAGGGGAGTTGACTGGTGAATGAAGGTGGTTTCGTCACGCGGACATGCGTCTCTCAGGCGATCAGAGTTACCTGGAGCCGCTCTCCTCCCGGCATAGAGACCTTTACGAATGGAAATGTCTTTCATTTCTCTCCCAGACAGGCAGCTGGGCAGAGCCACTCCTGTGTCTGCAGTTACTCGAAATAATGGATATACCCAAGGCATGTTTGGGGTGGCACATTCTGCCCCCTCAAGCCATGTTTTGGGGTGGGGTGGCGTGTCCTGAGCCCCAACCCAGGTGTCAGGGCTATGGAGGGGACATTGCAAGGGGGCCTAGAGGGGCCTCTATGGGCCTTGGAGATGGAATCAGCTCCCCACCAGGCCCCAGGACAGACCTGGCTGGGGAGCGCAGGGAGGGGTCCCCAGTGTGAGGACAGCATGGGGCTGCCTCTTCCAGCAGCTCCGAGCGCTCTCAGAGAAAAACGAAATTCTCTTTTATAAGAGAAACTTGTCTCTGGTCCCATGTGTTGCCCTTTGGGCACTGGCATGAGTAATCTGAGGGCGGCGCTTTCCTCACTGCAGTGGCATCATACAGATGAGGGCTTTGCTGATCATTATCTGGAAACAGTGATCACTGTCCCATTCACAGATGGGGAGGCTGAAGCCTGGGAGATCAATTCATGCCACCAAGATCAGCTGCAGGCCGGGCCACCCATGCCTGAGGGGAGAAGGGGCCTCTCTTCTTCACGAGGCTGGTGGCTGCGGCACCTACAAAGACAGGTTAACAAGAGGACCCTCTGCCTATCACGAGCCTGGTGGCTGCCGTACCAGTAATGAAAGACAAGTTAACAAGAGGGCCGTGCAGGCTTATTTACGAGAAGTTCCATGTGACACAGGAGCCTTGAGAATGGAACACCCATCGAACCGGGGAACTCTGCATATTTTCCTCCTGGGTTTGTGGGGTGTGGACAGCACGGAGCGTGATGAAAGGATACAGGCGGCTGGGCGTGGTGGCTCACGCCTGTAATCCCAGCACTTTGGGAGGCTGAGTCGGGCGGATCACTAGGTCAGGAGATCGAGACTATACTGGCTCACACGGTGAAACCCCATCTCTACTAAAAAATACAAAAAATTAGCCAGGCGTGGTGGCGGGCGCCTGTAGTCCCAGCTACTCGGGAGGCTGAGGCAGGAGAATGGCGTGAACCAGGAAGGTGGAGCTTGCAGTGAGCCAAGATCGTGCAACAATGCGAGACTCCATCTCAAAAAAAAAAAAAAAGAAAGAAAGAAAGGATACAGACATCCTGAACCGGGGGCTGGGGCCAGGTCTGAAGGCTCTGATCTTCCTTTCTTCTGGGTCTAGGGCACATGAGGGTCTGTGACCTAATTCAGAGGAAGGCCAGAGAACTCTTTTATGGCCTGCCTCAGGGTGACAGGGAGCAGGAGAGAGCATACCTGCTTTCCCTGGCTTCTCAGATGCCACCGTGCCAGGTTTTGGGGTAGTGGTATGTCTTGAGCCCAATCAGTACCCTGGGGGTCGTGGCCGGCCCCCCTCCCTCCATGCCACAGGCTCTCTGGAGAGGCCACTGCTGTATCCCCACTGTGAGCTCGATCTGAGCTGCCTATGGGACCACACCTGAGAACCCCCAAGGGTGGCACTGGCAGACTTGAGGTGCCCAAGTGAGGCTGGTGCAGCCCCTCTGCCCTGCCAGTCTGGGCACGGGCCCCTGGGCATCGCGACTCCTACCTTCCTACCAGCCCAGATGCAGGGCCTGAGCCGGCAGGGCTTCCACCCAGCCCAGGGTGTGTCCCCCTACCAGAGGCGCTGCATTGGATAGGAAGGACCCACCTGTTTCCCTGCCCAGTACCAGCTGGCAGGCCCCCCGTGGCTCAGGGTGCCTGTGAGGAGGGGTGGGGGCTCTAATTGCTCACCTGCTGCTCTGAGGTGTCAGGCAGGGTTGGGGGTGGCACCTGGGGAAGGCTGGGCTGAGGGGGCAGGCTGCCCCTCCTGCAGGAGAGGTGCAGTATTTCACTGGGTCCTTTGGAAAGGGCAGGGAAGCTCCTGCTCGCCCGTACTGCACCATTTCCTGTGATCTTAGCAATGACTTCCTGGCTCCATTTTCTCCACCAGTCCGAATACATGAGCCAGACCCGCAGCTTTCTCTTCCACAGCCTCCTGGCCTCCGGGTCCACCTGGGTGGTGCCCACCCGCCAGACTGGGGCCTGGTGGTTGTAGGGGACGGGGAGCAGCCTTGCTTCAGTGTGGGTCATTCCTGACTGTGAGATGGTTGGGGGGCAGGGGTTGTAGAGTCTGTGGGAGGCCTCGGCTGGGCCTCAGAGAGGGGTATCTCTTCTGCAGAAAACCCAGCCACCCTTACCAGATGCGGTCAGGCTACAAAGGGAAGATGTGCTCCCTCTTTAGAGGCAGGTGATTCCTGTGAATCCGATGACCGAGATAAGGTGCACGATTCAGTGGGCAAGGCAACTCACCATCCTCTCTTTATGGTCCTCGCAATTTGCACCATGCACAATGCAGGGTGAAGTCAGCCCCCAAATTACAGAGGAAAGACTCTGCGGTCTTTGTCAGTTAAACAGGAGATGCAAACTCCAAGCTAGTTAATGAGCTGTGATCGGCCACGCTCACGATTCAGTGCAGGTCTCTCCTTCCTGCTATCACAGTCTTTGCCGGCTGCATCATGACTACCAACCAGTCCCCTCATAATTACAAGAGTCTCCTGTCATGTTTTCTTCTGGAGCGAGGCATGCTCCAACTTGCTTCTGGGTTCTTAATTTTTGATCAGGGACGGCTCCTTGACTAATTATTTGGCAGTAATGAGGGAGGACAGATCGAGTTGTGAAAGTCCCCCCCAAGCTTTTAGAAGGAAGCTGCAAATTAAAAAATGAGGTATTGGTAAACAGGATGCTAATTGGATTAATATGAAAATGATGAATTCTGATAAAAATAGCAAAATACACCGTTGTAAGATTGAGGCCAGTATAACTCCAAGAATTCATTGTCTAATGTTCAGCTGGTCAGTCTGGTCTTTGAAAGTATTAGAATAACAGAAAGAGTCTACTCTTGACGATGAAGTATACGGTTAGTAATTTATGCAAAACAGAACTTTAAAACCGGAAGGACTTGATATGAGTGGGGTGCATGGAAATCATTCGTATTTTGAAGTTTCATAACTCTGACCCCTAGGTCCTTTGGTTTGTCTCTCTTTTCTTTTTTTTTTTTTTTTAGACAATTTCTCTCTCTGTCACCCAGGCTGGAGTGCAGTGGCATGATCTTGGCTCACTGAAACCTCCACCTCCCAGGTTCAAGCGATTCTCCTGCCTCAGCCTCCTGAGTGGCTGGGATTACAGGCATGAACCACCGTGCCCGGCCTTTTTTTTTTTTTTTTTTTTTAAGAGACAGAATCACCAGGCAAGGTGGCTCACACCTGTAATCCCAGCACTTTGGGAGGCCAAGGCAGGTGGATCACCAGGTCAGGAGTTTGAGACCAACCTGGCCAACATACAGTGAAACCCCATCTCTACTAAAAATACAAAAATTAGCTGGGTATAGTAATTCCAGCTACTTGGGAGGCTGAGGCAGGAGAATCGCTTTTGAAGCCAGGAGGCGGAGTTTGTGGTGAGCTGAGATCGCACCATTGTACTCCAGCCTGGGCAACAAGAGCAAAACTCTGTCTCAAAAAAAAAAAAAAAAAAAAAAAAAAAGAGAGAGAGAGAGAGAGAATCTCACTCTGCAGCCTAGGCTGGTGTGCAGTGGTGCAGTCACAGCTGACCACAGCCTCCAACTGCTGGGCTCAGGCCATCCTCTTGCCTGTGTCCTGAGTAGCTGTGACCATAGACACACACCACCACATCCAGTTAATTTAGTTTTGTTGTTTCTTGCTTTTAGAGACAGGGTCTTGCTATGTATCCCACACTAATGAATGTAAAATCTTAAAATGGTGCCTGGTGCAGAGTAAGCTGTGTGTTGGTGGGGTGTAATTATGGGTCATATTGACAGTTTCACTTCTGCGGCATGCCCTCAGGAACTCACTGATGCACACAGAGGGACCTGCTGGCAAATACTGAAGAGCTGTGGGGAGAAAGGAAGGGGTCTGACAGTGAAGGTGGGTGCGTGGGCGGGGGGCTTTTAATGGTCCCTCTGCTGGCTCCCTCCCCACCACCTCCTGCCCACCTCCCTGGCCTTGGCTGCAGGCTAGGGTGCCCTTTGACCTCAAAGAGGCCTGTCCTGTGTGTCTCACTGAGCAGGAACAAACCGTCCCAGAAGCCCTTCAGCTCGGAAGTGAGTAAGCATTGGCGGTGGGGATGGTGCTCTGAGCAGACGCGACTCAGTGCCATGCGGGCGTCTCTCCCAGGGCGGCTTTCAGACTGACCCCCAAACAGAGGGCTCAGAAAAGATGTTTTTCAATGAGGGACATTTATGGTTGGCAAAAAAAAGTGGCTCCCCAAAGGTCTTCACGTCCCAATCCCCAGAACCCGTGTCTATGTTATTTCCCATGGCAAAGGGGACCGTGATTCAGCTATTTTGAGATGGGGAGGCCATCTGGCAGGATCCAGGTGGGTCCAGTGTCATCAGGGGGCCCCACAAGAGGGGTGAGAGAGGGAGCTGATGATGGAGGCAGAGGTTGGAGGGATGCATTTCAGAGATGGAGGAAAGTGTCACATGCCAAGGAATATGCCTGCGGAAGCAGGAGAGGACGGGGAGGTAGGGATTGTCCCAGGGCCTCCAGAACCAAGAGAAGACAGGGGAGTAGGGATTCTCCCAGGGCCCCCCAAAGACAGGAAGAGGGGGAAATGTATTCTCCCGGGGTCTCCAGAAGCAGCCAGCCCTGCCCGCAGTTTGGCTTTAGCTCCCTGGTACCCATCTCGGACTCTGACCTACAGAACTGTAAGAGAGTAAATTTATCTCATTCTGTGCTGCTCATTGTGTGGTCATTGGTTACGGCAGCCACAGAAAACAGACAGTGCGCACATCCGCATGGTCCCCTCTCCAGCTCTTGCCTGATAGGCATAAACGAGGGCAGCTGGGCGCGGTGGCTCACGCTTGCAATCCCAGCACTTTGGGAGGCCGAGGCGGGTGGATCATGAGGTCAGAAGATTGAAACTATCCTGGCCCACATGGTGAAACCCCGTTTCTACTAAAAATACAAAAAATTAGCCAGGCGTGGTGGCACGTGCCTGTAGTCCCAGCTATTCAGGAGGCTGAGGCATGAGAATCGCTTGAACCTGGGAGGCAAAGGTTGCAGTGAGCCAAGATGGAGCCACTGCACTCCAGCCTGGGCGACAGAGAGAGATTCTGTCTCAAAAAAAAAAAAAAAGAAAGAAAAAAAGTAAAAAAGAAAAAAAGGAAATAAACAAGGGCTTGCCCTGTAGTTCACATCTGGACCACCCAGCTTAAAATAGGGCAGGGGAGTTCAGGAATAGCTTTGCAACCCTTGTGTTACGGTGCACAGGTGTGCAAAAATTCTCCTTGAACTCCCCCTTCAGTGTCCCCCCAGGGCTCATGGCCACTGTCACTCTGTGCTAGTTGCTCTTCAGACCAGGGAACAGACTTGGCCATGGCTATGGCCAGGGTCCAGCTGCTATTGCTCCTCCTGTCACCCACCCACCTTTTGTCTCCAACAAGGATGTTGAGAGGAGCCAGGCACCAGCCTCCCTGGGTTCAGGTCTTTCCTCTCCCCTCACTTTCCTATGAACTAGGGGTGGGGGAGGAGGAGTGCCTGCCAGGAGGTCACTGCAGCCAAGGAACCCAAATTGGTGTGCTTGAGAATGACCCATGGATACACTTTCCAAAGAGTCACCCGGCTGCGATGAGGGGCCATCTCCCCTCCTGGAGCCAACAGCCATGAGTAGCTGTCACACACATCCGTGCAGCACCTAGACACACATCCGTGCTGTCCACTCCGTGCTGCTGCAATTGTGGGGGAGGAAGGTGGCACAGTGGCAGCGACACACACTTCCCTCTCCAAAATTGGGGCGGGGCTCCTCAAAATCCTCTGACCAGCATTAAAGATTCAGAATTTGATATTATGGCTGCATATAATGTTGAATTATCTGAACTTGCTGCACGTGTGTGTGTGTGTGTGTGTGTGTGTGTGTGTATTGTTGGTAGGACCAAAACGGTTAATTATCAGCAATTTCATGGTTTGACCTAATATTTTAAAAGAGAGGTTCTTACCTGCTGGAAGCATGTACTGGTGTATTACGGATGAGACGGTCTCATAGGTGGAATTTGCTGTGAAATGCCCCAGGAAACAAAAAGCCAGAGGTCAGAGTGATGAGAGCTGGGGACGGGTGGATGGGTTCCTGGGCCGTTCCCTGTAGTGCTGAGTGTGCTTGGAAGTGTCCACAATGAGGAGTAGAAACGAGTACAAAGCTGGGTGGAGACAGCCCTGTCCTGGCTGCCCTGAGCTCGGCCCTGTCAGTCGCCTTGAGGAGGGTTGGGGGGAGCAGGGATGCAGGGTGGCGCGTGCATGCCAGGTGGCAGGCGGCAGGTGCTGGCTCCAGGCCCGTCTCCAGCCCCAGGGCTCCAGGCCATGCTCCGCCCCCAGCTGCCCTGCAGCTCCAGGCCGGCCACGCTGCCGCCTAGTTTCGCAACTCCAATGTCATCACCTAGGTGACAGGGACGCTGCTGCCACCGCCCGCCTGCGGGAGCCAGGAGCCAGCCGAGGGCCACTTCCACCTGGCCCCACCGACCCTCCGGGGCCCAGGCTTAGCCAAGGTAGGCTTGGGCTTGGCTCGCCCTCCTCTCGGCCTGAGTCGGGGGGAGTCTCCTTGCCACCGTGGGTGCAGTGGCTCCGGGGGCCCACCCTGGGGTGCAGAGAGCCCCTCTACGGCCTCCCAGGAGGCGGCTTGGAAATGCAGTACTGTTCAGGCCAGGGTGGGGAGGCCTTGCCCACAGTTCTCCTGATGGGACAAGCCACAGCTCTGGGGAGCCATCTGCCCCAAGTGGCACATCAGGGCTCCTCGTGTGACCCTAGGATCGGGGGCAGAAGTGGCTCTGGTACCGCCACCTCCACCCCTTGGACCCACCAGGAGCTCTTTCCACTTCCTGCCAAGGAGGCGCAGAGTGACTGCCCCAGCCTGGCACGTCCGGGGGCTTCCCGGCTGGGGGCCGCCATCCTCAGCCTCACACAGCTGATCCAGAACCTCCCAGTTCTCCCCAGCCCCCTCACTCTTTTGTGGCCCCGGAGCCTCTCCCGGCAACAGCAAGCCATGCCCCGGCCTCCCCGGCACTCACGCAGCTACTCCCAAGCCTGACCATGACGTGGACGGCAGGAAGGGGCTGGGCATGTCCTGTTCCTTCTGCCTGGGTCCTGCTTCCAGGGCTGGACTCCCAGGCTGGGGAATCCTCAGGGACCCATCAAACTGGGGGACAGGGGAGGGGCTTGTGGGGATTTGCTGTGAGGAGGGCAGAGTGTGTACGTGGCAGTGCCTGCGGACACATGTGTGCGCATATGTGAATAGGTGTGTCCATGTGCATGTATGTGCAAGTGTGTTGCTAGAGGTGAGAGGGTGGGTAGGGAAACTGAGTGACCAGCTCCTCCCTGAAGCCTTGGGGGAATGTCCGAGGGGCCAGGGCCTCTGGATCCTGTTCCCTTGGCTCTTTGCAAAGTCTCCAGCCTGGCCTCCTGGATGGGCATGTGGCTCGGGGGGCGAGACCATGGGCTCTTCCTGGCTTGCTGTGTCGCTCTGGGTGCGTTTTACACCACTCTGAGGATCTCTCTGCTCATCCCTAAGGCAGGGATGATGATGGGGCCAGGGGACCACATGGGCACAGGTAAGGCAGGGATGATGATGGGGCCGGGGGACCACATGGGCACAGGCTTCTGGAATGTGGGTGTCGTCTCCCTGGGGTCCCGCAGTCTGAACTCAAGACTCAAGAGCCCCATGTCCAGGTGGGGATGTACAGGAGCCCCTTAGAAGTGGGGAAGAAGGCCAGGCGTGGTGGCTCACATCTGTAATCCCAGCACTCTGGGAGGCTGAGGCGGGTGGATCAACAGAGGTCAGGAGTTCGAGAGCAACCTGGCCAACATGGTGAACCCTGTCTCTACTAAAAATACAAAAATTAGCTGGGCGTGGTGGCGCACACAGCTGTAATCCCAGCTACTGGGGAGGCTGAGTCAGAAGAATCATTTGAACCTGGAAGGCGGAGGTTGCAGTGAGCTGAGATCGTACCACTGCACTCCAGCCTGGGTGACAGAGCGAGACTCTATCTCAAAAAAAATAAAATAAAATAAAAAAGATAGGAAAAGAAAAAGAAAAAGTGAGGAGAAATGAGGAGGAAGTCGAGCAATTTAACCCCAAATGGTGCTTCTCCAGCAGTCACTCTGTTCCTGTCCTGACCTGACCTGCTGGGCCCCGCCCGCTCAAACCAAATCATGGATTCTGTCATCGCTTCTTCACGGAGCACCTACTGTGTGCCAGGCGGGTGCTGGGGCTGCAGCGCAGAGAGCAGTCAGGGCTTGGTGGTCTGGCCCGCAAAGAGTCAGCATGTGAATGTCTCTCCATGCGATGGGTGCTGGGAGGGAGGAGCCCTGGCAGGTCTGGGGAAGACCAGCGTCTCTTAAATGGGGGTGCGCGGGCCCTGAGGAGTGAGGCTTCCTGACAGCCGTCCCTCGTGGGTGCCATGCTGGTCAGAGTGGGGTCTGGCTGCACAGCCTCCCTCAGGGCTGGGCTGGAAGCACAGGTCGGCTGGCACCTGTCCAGGTTTCAGGGTTCCAGGGCTCCAGCTGGAACTGCCTCAGGGATGGCAGGGGTGGGCCTGTCCCTGGAGAGGCGTGGGGTGTGGGAGCTGGGAGCGTGACGGGAAGCAGCCCCCTCAGACCTGGAGTAGCATGGAGCCTAGGATCCATTGTGACCTTGGTGGTCCTGTACCCTGTCCAGCTCCAGTTGCTGTTCCTGCCTCTCCCTGACCTACTGGCTGCCCAGGCTGCCCCTTGGCCGAGCTCCACCATGGCCAGTGCCCCTCCATTCGCTTGTGAGTCCCACAAGATCACAGCCCTGCCCAGGGCCTAGGCAGCTCTTGGGCTGACCCAGCCATCGTCGGGAGCCCCCTTCGTGACGGGGGCAAAGGCTGGATCGTTGTCTGCCCTGCAGGAGCCGGGGCCTCCAGAGGACGGGCTGCCTGGCGGGAAGGTGGAGCTCACCGGAGCCCAGCCTAAGCCAGCTGTGGTGCTTCTGAGATGTGCGGCCCTGGGCAGGCTGCTCGCCCTCTCGGGGCCTCTGGGAACACCTGGGGACTTCCCGCTGGGTTCCTCTGAGGATTGAATGAGCTTGAAAATATGGAGGATTTGGCACAGGGAATGCTGGGCAGCAATATCAGAAAGGCAACCCTGAGAGCCAGCGGACAGCCACTCTGAGGAACAGCAGTGGCTGCCTCTGGAAGGAGTGAGGGGTGGGTGGACCCCCGTGATCGCTGCACGGGGGAGGTCACGGGGCTGAGCGGCCACCACTGTGCAGGGGAGGTCACAGGGCTGAGCGGCTGACTCCAGAACAGGAAGGGAACACGCCAGGAGGGAGGATTGCTCACTGAGTCAGGGCGGGACTCAGAGGGACGCATGACAAGTTCAGGGAGTTGACAGCTGTCTGGAAGGGCACGTCTGCTCAGACCGCAGGGTAGGGAGTGGTCAGCAGGGAGACATGTCCACTGGTGCAGCGGGCGTGTCCCAGACCCCTTAGAGAAAAGCCCAGAGCCAGGGGTGAGGGGTATGTGTAGGGTGGGGACATCTCAGAGTGGAGCATCCCCACCAAGGGTGTCCAGAGGAGGGTGGCCAGGTGGGGACAGCAGCTTGAGAAGGGTCATTCTCTCTTGGTTGGAGGAGTGGAAGTGCTTCTCTGGGGAAAGAAAGAAGATTCTGGAGGACAGCACAGGCACTTCCAACATGGGCGCTGGCCGCACAAAGGCTAGTGACACCCGGTGTGATCCCTTGGGGTAGAAAGGGGGTGTGAGAGGAGGATCGGAGGGGGCAGAGGACAGGGATGTGTCTGTGCAGAACGAGGCTGTGGCAGCTCCAGCGAAGGCGGCTGCGGCCCCATCAGTCACCTGCCCTGCTGAGGGCAGCGCTGTACTCATCACCTGTGAACACAGGTATCGACTCAGACACCCACTCTGGCCATAAGCTCCGCTCTGTCCCAGCCCTGGACCCCTCACCCCCTATCCTTGGCAGTCGGTCCTCTGGGTCTTCTTCCTGTGCCCACTGTGCTGGTCTGAACCTCCCTTAGTGACAGATCTGCTCCTACCACCCCCGCCAGGGTCGCCCTTCCTCTAACAGGTGGGCTCCTGGCAGGAAACATCACCAAGCTCAGCGCCCCAGTTCCCTGACAGGGCCCCACTTCCCTCCTGCCGCCAACCTCGTCCCCCCAAGGGCCATGTCCCTGCCCACCCCTTCCACCCCTTTCTTAGAGGAAGCTCAGCCCATCAGGCCGCTCATGCTTCTGACCCCACCTCCAAACCCTCCTGACCCGCTTACCCCCAGGAGCACCGCCCACTCCAAGGCGCAAGCAAGCTGGGGCTGGGGTGCAGACTTCTCTTCCACCACCCACCCTCCTCATACCCAGCCTCTGAGGGCCTCACAGACATACATGATTTGCCTCCAGTGGGCCAGGGTTATCTGTTTACCGCGTTGCATGCCCCCGGGCATGGAGCTGGCACCGGCTGCCGCTGCAACTGGGCACTACCCGTTTCGAGGACGCCTCATTCCCTGAGAGACTGAGGATAGGCTGGTGCTCTGCAAAAGGGTGCGGAGACCACTGTAAAAGTGGGGTGAGACACGCGTGCTGACCATGAAATGGAGAGGCACTCGAAGGAGCCAGGGACCCGGCAGCCAGCAGACCCCACCTTTCCGCCCCCGTGTGTGCAGTTCTGTCGCTCAGCCTGGTGCCTTTGGGACCCGGGCCTCATTGGTTCTTCCTCCACTGCCACCACCTGATACTAAATAACCGTCGGTCAATGGCAACTCGATACGGTTTATGGGGCATCCACGGTGTGCCCAGATAGAGGAGTGCTTTCGCTTTTGATATGCGTAGAGTTACTTCATTCCACCTAGCGCTTCTAGGAGGCACTACAATTATCTCCATTTTACAGACAAGGAAACAGAGGCTCAGAATGGGCAAGACATCTATCTGAGGTCACACAGCTAGAGCGCGGCAGAGGTGGGCTGCGTGGGCAGAGCAGGAGAGGGAACTGGAGTGTGTGCCCGGCAGTGCTGGGCTTCAGGGCACGAAGCGGTGGGGCAGGAATCATGTGTCTTGGTATGACCCAAACACATATATGACAGCAAGAAGGCCTGGGCAGGCAGCAGAGGACAAGGCGGGCCTCTTGGATGTCTGGATGTGGATTGGGCCTCAATGTACCGGTGAAGATAGATGGACAGGCAGGGGATTTCCAGAGAGGGGCTTCCCAGGCAGGGTGCGGGGTGTGGCTGTGCGGTGGGAACACGGACTGGGGAGGGGATTGCAGCCGGGCCCGTGCCTCCCTTGCTCAGCTCCAGGTCAGGCCAGGGTAGAGCCAGGCTGCTGGGTTCGACCTCCACCCTGACCAGCTGTGTGCCCATGGAGGGCTGGTCTTCCCTCTCTGTGCATGTCTCCTGGTTGGTAACAGGTGTGTGGCCTCACTGGGCCGTCGTGGGGTGGCTGGAATCCCCGGGAATTAGCCATGCTTTGGTGTTTCTACATTTCACTTGGCTGAGTGTGAACTGACCCAGGAAGCTGGTTGGGGGCACCCCCACCCACGGGGGGTCGGGCATTTTGGTTTGGTCATGGCCTCAAAGCTTCTGGGGTGAGGCTCAGGGATTCCCCCAGACTGTCCTGGGCATCTGCCTCCCCTCCCCTCCCGCTTCCCGTGGGCCACGGCCCAGGAGAGAGAGGGCAGCTTGCTCAGGCACCTCCAGCTGTCCGCATATTTCACACGGTGCACGCTACCCCACCGTGGGAGGCTGTGTTTGTCTTTCATCCCCATGCTGGGCTTCCCCAAACTAGGGGAGTGGGGCAGCAGGCGTGCCATCTGTGGCGGTGAGGGGGGCTCTCAGCCGCATCCTCCTCACCAGGCCCTGCGGACAGGCCTTCGTCCCTGCCCCTGACCTGCTGACGAAGCCGTCCTGGCAACCCTGTCTGAAGGACCTGGCCCCATCGTACCCACAGAGGGAGGCCACATGGTCCTTAGCCTCTGTCGGGAGGGGCAGGCAATGCTGGCAGAGGGCCTTGCCCCTGAGAGGGAGGCCCTCCTGGCCCTCACTCCGGGGGACCCCTGTCCTTGGCCCCAGCCTGCCAAGCGAGAGCGGCCCCTCTTCTTGCGGTGGCTGGAGGGGAGAGTGAGGCCCCTTGGCACAGAGGGCCCCAGGAGGCTGGGCTCTGATGACGCCCTGCAGGAATTCCGCTGGGCTGCTGCCTGGGAGAGCCGCTGTCTCACACAGGGCCAGCCTGCCTGGCTTCATTCTGGTGCGCTGACCGCCCGACCCCTCTGCCCAGGCGGGGGCTCTTCTGGGTTCTGGGTCCTGGGACCTGCCTGAGTCCCTGGGAAAAGGGCACAAGGGGATTGAGACGGTCTCCTCCCACAATGGCCCAGGTGTCTCCTCCCACAATGGCCCAGGTGTCTCCTCCCACAATGGCCCAGGTGTCTCCTCCCACAATGGCCCAGGTGTCTCCTCCCACAATGGCCCAGGTGTCTCCTCCCACAATGGCCCAGGTGTCTCCTCCCACAATGGCCCAGGTGTCTCCTCCCACAATGGCCCAGGTGTCTCCTCCCACAATGGCCCAGGTGTCTCCTCCCACAATGGCCCAGGTGTCTCCTCCCACAATGGCCCAGGTGTCTCCTCCCACAATGGCCCAGGTGTCTCCTCCCACAATGGCCCAGGTGTCTCCTCCCACAATGGCCCAGGTGTCTCCTCCCACAATGGCCCCAGGTTTCTTTGCCACTTCAGATTGGAATCGTTGATCTGCTGAAATAACAGGTAAAATCATTGGTGGTTTGGGAACCACCGGAATCAGAAGTGCATTGAGATGTTTGCTTTAGGGGTGGCCCGGGGCGGGTGGAGTTCCTGGGGGCTTTTCCCTCCTCCCTGAATGGAGGAGGACACCCTGCACCCCTCCTGTGATCCCCCTTAAGAGCCAGTGTCCGGGATGGCTGGGCCAGACGGGGCAGAGGGGCCTGTGTCTCCTGCCCAGGCTGAGTGCGGACGGCTCGGTCTCAGAGCTCCACCGAGGGGTGGGTAGGTAACAGCAGCCCTGCGGCCAGGGCCCCTGCAGGTGGGAGTGGGTGTCCCCATGGGGAGTGCCTCTTCCAGAGTGGGCTCAGTCGGGGTGGAGTGTCCTGGCTTATCAAAGGTGGTTGTGGAGCCCTGTCTGCCCCAGGCCTGGGCAGAGGTGGAAGGGGTTGGGGAACTGACGAGGCCTTACCTGTGGGCCCATGGCCAAGGAAATGTCTGGTCTCCCACCTCCTGTCAGGTGGTGAGGGGAGAGGATGGGGCGTCAGCCGGAGACGGGGTTCCTAGAGGAGGCTGGGTCCTGGCCTGGCCTGGAGAGATAGGGATGAGATGGGAGGGCAGGAAGGGGGTGGTAGACAAAGGCTGAACACAGAGAGCACATAGCCAGGCATGTGGGGACTGGGGACAGGGGACAAGGAGGGCACCCATGGGGACAAGAGATAGGGAGAGGACAGAGGGACAGGAGACGGGGAGGGACAGAGGATGGGGGACAAGGAGGGGACAGGAGGACGGGGACAGGGAGGGGACACAGAAACAGGAGCTAGGACGGGGACAGAGGATGGGAGAAGGAGAGGTCAAAGGGACAGGGAACAGGGAGGGGACCCATGGGGATAGGGCAGGGATCTATGGGGACAAGGGACAGGGAGGGGACAGAGAAACAGGAGATGGGGAGGGGACAGAGGGATGCAGACAGGGAGGGGATAGAAGATGGGGGGCTAGGGGACAAAGGGAAAGGGGACAGGGAAGGAACCTATGGGGGACAGGGAGACAGGGGGACAGGGAGAGGACAGAGGAACAGGGGACAGGGAGGGGATGCTTGGGGACAGGGAGGGAATGCTTGGGACAGGGCAGGGGGACAGGGGGCTGTGGCTTTCGTGGGAAGCTATGGAAGACGAGGCCAGAGGGGTTGGGCAGGGTGAGATGAGAGAGGCTGAGAGCCCCTCACCGGCTGCGGACTCCTCCCCACAGGGCAGAGGGGAGCATTCGGGTGCGGCCAGGCCATCAGAGGACCTGGGCTTGGCTGGAGTCCCAGCTCCTCAGCCCTCAGTAGCTTTGGGCCAGCCACTGGGCCTCCTGGCCTCCACTTGCTCATCTCTGAACTGGGGCAGGGTTGGCGTGTGAGCCTGAGGCCCTGCAAAGTGCCTGGCCAGCCTCAGCTCGGAGCCATGGCACAGCACCCCCTCTCCGCCACGGCCCCGACAGCTGGGCGTGCGTTCTGCTGTGGGCAGCTGCCCTGAGCAACGTAGGGTGCTAAGCAGCATCCCTGTCTTGCACACTAGATTCCACAGCACCCTCTGACCCCGTGGAAAATGTCCCCACATGGGAATATCCTCTGGGGGTGGAACTGCCCCTGGTGAGAACCCCTAGGCTGAGACCTCAGAAGGCCCTGAGTCAAACCGAGAAGTCATCAGAGAGCCTTGTTTTCAGCTCCAGGGAGCTTGGGCAGGCTGGTTTTCTGGGCCACACAGTCCCCTCCCCAGCCCACCTGTGCTCCGTGGGTCCCGGGGAAGCTGTGGGGGCCTAATTGCTGGTGTGAGTTCCTTTCCTGTTCTGAGTCACACGTGTGTGGGGGCTCTCCCTGTGGTGCAGCTGGTACAGCGGCCCCTGGAGTTGAGGATCCAAGCAGGCTGAGGTCTGGGTTTGCCGGAGGGCCCTCGGTGGCTGGTCTTTGTCCTGCTCCCACTGCTGTGGGCACTGTAGGACTTGGAACGCTGGTCACCTTTCCAGCCTGGCAAAGGGAGGGGACTTGTCTGAGGCCTCATGGAAGTTGGGGCAGGGTCGAGGTGCCCTGCTTCCTGGGTGTGCCAGCAGCCTACAGCCTGGCTACAGCGTAACCAGGAACACCCAGCACAACTGTCCTTTGCAACTCTGTGCCCTGACTTGATGGTGCCAGGGCTGGGGGGGTGCCGGCCAGCAGCTCCCCAATGACCACCCCCAAATGCTGTGGCCACACAAAGCCTTCCACTGCAAGACCTGTGGTAATACACACTGGACGCCCCTGTTACAACTGAGAACTCATTTATTTCATTTCCTTCCTTCCCTTTTTTTTTTTTTTTTTTTTAGAGTTGTGGTCTAGCTCTGTTGCCCAGACTGGAGTGCAGTGGTGCAATCATGGCTCACTGCAGCCTCGAGCCCCTGGGCTCAAGTGATTCTCCCACCTCAGCACCCTGCGTGGTTTGGACTGCAGGCACATGCCATCACGCCCTCATGCCCAGCTAATATTTTTTTAAGTTTTTGGAGAGCTGAGGTCTCCCTGTGTTGCCCAGGCTGGTCTCAAGCCCTTGGGCTCAAGTAATCCTCCCTCCTTGGCCTCCTAAAGTGTTGGGATTACAGTTATGAACCACTGCACCCAGCCCATCCCTCCTAGACTAAATCTTCTTAGAAAAACCTACACTTCCAATAATGTATTTGCATTTTATGATGTTGATAAAACTTCCTAAAGATGTCTTATGAAATTGGTCTCCTTTCCCCATTGATACACATGATTTTTAAAACTATTGGCAACGTTTCAAAAGCAATTTCTGTTTTGTCCCAGAACCGTGATCCCCTTGTGAACGAATTTTCAAATTAAAAGGCAAATGGTTGGGAAAATTGGATTTAATTGAAAGGCCATTTTATTAGAATTGACTTATTTTTCTCGCCACTGGGATCCTTGCCTGAAAGGCGGCTGTGGGCAGAGGGCACATACTCCCCCTGCCCCAGCGCAGCGTCCCTGCACCCCCAACAGAGCTTCCTGTTCCTCATGCCCAGTACTCCCAGATGCCTGCGGAGCCAGTCATCAGCTCAGGTGTGTGAGGCCGGTTGGGGGAGCCCCTGCCTGGCGCCTGTGCCTGTGAGCAGTGTTCCTGTGGGGCCCTGGGACCAATGCTACCAGCGTTGGCGTTTTCCCAGGAAGTTGGGAATCAGGCATCTCGTGGCTTCCGGTTCAAGTTCCTCCGTGTGCTTTAAGTCTGGGCAGGTTTCCGGGTCCTGGTTTTGGCTAATGAGGAACCCGATTCCCATGGGGGAGGCCGGTGGCTGCAGCAGGGCCCCGAGCAGTGGCAAGGCTGGCCCTCATGACAGTGTCCTCCTCAGGGGGCCTGTCCCAGGCTCTTCATGACTCCCCTGGAGGCTTGTTAAAGGGGCAGATTCCTGGGCCCTGCCCCAGCCCCACTGTGGGGAGGGGTGTCCTGGAAGATGCATCTGCCCAGGGCTTCCGGCTGGTCCACACGCCTGCACCTGGAGGCCCACTGCCCACATCTCAGGCAAACAGGCCTGGGGATGTTTGGGGACCCAACTCCTGGCGTGGAGGAAGCCCCTTTCCCACCCCACATGCTCCTGGTGGTGGCCTGTCCTGTGAGCCTGGAGGGCCGGACGGGTGGGATCGGGGACCCACGACCACGCTCGCTGGCCTCTGTCCTGTGCCCAGGCAGGGATGAGAGGCCAAGCTGGTGTCCTGCAGTGCACAGTGGGTGCCGGTCAGGGGATGTGGAAGCTGGGTCTCCGGCAGGCAGAGGCGCGCTGACAAGAAGGGTCGCTGTTCCTCATTCAGGGTTCAGTGGGAAGAGAGGGTGTCGCTTCAGGGGGAGTTCACAGGATGCCGACTTGAAAATACAGCCAACGCCCATGTCCCAGGCATAAGATCACAAATCATGTTTTGCCGACCAGTTCCTGTGAGCCCTGAGCCCTGCGCGGAGGGATGCCCCGTGCACACCTGTTCACGGAACCCCTGGACCTCCAGTAGGGGTGCGGCGGGATGCCGTCGGCTCCCACGCTGTCTGTCTCCCTGTCCCTCTCTCTTTCCCTCTGTTTCTCTGTCTGTCTCTGTCTGTCTCTGTCTCCCTGTCTCTCTCCATCTCTCTCTGTCTCTCTCCCTGTCTCTCTGTCTCTGTCTCTCTCCATCTCTCTGTCTCTCTTTGTCCTTGTCTCTCCCTGTCTCTGTCTCTCTCACTCTCTGTCTCTCTTTGTCCTTGTCTCTCTGTTTTGTCTCTCTTTGTCCCTGTCTCTCTGTCTCTGTCTCTCTCTCTCTTTGTCCTTGTATCTCTCTGTCTCTCTTTGTCCCTGTCTCTCTCTGCCTTTGTCTCTCTCCGTCTCTCTTTGTCCCTGTCTCTCTCTGCCTTTGTCTCTCTCCGTCTCTCTTTGTCCTTGTCTCTCTGTTTTGTCTCTCTTTGTCCCTGTCTCTCTGTCTCTGTCTCTGTCTCTCTTTGTCCTTGTATCTCTCTGTCTCTCTTTGTCCCTGTCTCTCTCTGCCTTTGTCTCTCTCCGTCTCTCTGTCTCTCTTCCTGTCTCTCTCTATCTCTTTCCCTGTCTCTTTCTGTCTCTCTTTGTCTCTCTCTTTGTCCCTGTCTCTCTGTCTCTCTTCCTGTCTTTCTCTTTCTTTGTCCTTGTCTCTCTCTCTCTGTCTCTCTCTTCCTGTCTCTATCCCTGTCTCTATGTCTCTGTCTCTCTTTGTCCTTGTTTCTCTCTGTCTCTCTGTCTCTGTCTCTCTCTGTCTTTGTCCCACCTTAGCCTTGGGAGGGGACAGCTCACAGGCTGACAGATGAGGTCATGTGTCCTGAGCATGAGGTTTTCAGGTCTCACCCACGCTGTAGCATGTCAGAGCTTCGTTCCTTTTCATGGCCGCGTAATGTTCCATTGCTTGCTGGCACCACATCTCCTGTGCCCGGCCCTCTGCTGATGGGCGTCTGGGCTATGTGCACCGTTCAGCTACCAGGAATGGTGCTGCTGTGAAGGGAGCTGGGATTTTGTCATCCACCTGCTGTGGATGGCAAGTCCATTTCCATCTCTGGACTCAGGTGGCCCATCTACAAAATGAAGGGGATGCGACCCAGAGGCCTCTGGCGGCAAAACCTTCCCAGGCTTGTCCTCTTGGATCTAAGGGAATTTCTTTCCTCCGAGTCCAGCCCCTCCAGTGCTCCTGCCCTTCAGGAAACATGCCTGGGACCCCTCACTTGTGCCCACCCAGCCTTGGCCCACATACCTGCACCAAGAGGCTACCCTACTCATACTGCTCAGCCCAAAGGGACCCACCGTGGGGTATGGGCAAGGGCGGGTTCTGCTCTCCCCCGGGGCCCTGTGCCAGCCTCAGCTGGACCTGCGGTTCTGCTTCCTGTCACACTCTCCCATTTTAAATTAACGGAATGGTGCGGTCCCCATGCACACCCTCAGCTCCACTGGGGTTTTAGCCCAGCCCAGGATCGGAGGCCTGCAAGGGCACACCCACCTGGCCACGTGATGGTGAAGTGGGGTGGGGCAGGGCAACCAAATTAACTTCTAATTCTAAGAGCCCCTGGAGCATTCATCACCAGCACTTACAGCCGTGTGACCTCACACAAGTCACTTAACCCCTCTGAGCCTTGGGGCTCCTGAAAAGTGGATGGAGCGGTCACGCCCACCTGGGAGAGGTGGCTTGGGCCAGCACCCTCTAAGCTGCTTGTCCCAGGCCATCATGGCTCACGGACCGCCCCTCAGCCTGGCCTGTGCCACTTCTCCAGGGCCCGGCACGTGGCAGCCACAGGCTTCTATCAGCTCCCGCCTGCCTGGGGAAGGACAAAAACGACAGGTTCCAGGCCATGGCCTGCACCCCCGCTGGCCGTGGGCAGGTCCAGGCCTGCCTGCCTGAGCATTGCAGGGCGGTGGCCAAGCCTGTCCCATAGCACCTCACCGAGGACCTGGGAGGCTGGCCCAGGGGAGAGGTCACCTCAGCCGGGGCTGGGGGCTGTGGGCAGGGTGGGCTCGGGTTTCCCTGTCCCCTCCCCCAGCTGTGCTCTGCCTGGACACTGCCACCTCCTCATGGGTGTCCAGGGCCACTGGGAGCTGGGCCCAGGGGTTCTCAGGGGAGCAATGGTGGAGACAAAGACCAGCGGACGGGCGCTGGGGTCAGAGCTCTCCAATCCCTGGGTGTCTCCTTCTCAAGGCGTGACCACCCAGGCAGTGGCCGGCTGCAGGACAGGGCAGCTTCAAGTTCCCAGCCTTGCCAGGCTTCCCTGTGGCCCTGGGGTGCAGGAAGGAGCCCCAGCTCAGAAGGCGAGGGGGCGTCTGTGTCCTGCAGCAGTGGGCACAGCTAGGCTCTAGCCGGGGGCTTGGCTGCAGCCTCCAGCGCAGCCCTCACACACGCTGTTCCCAAGATGGGGTGACCGGGACCGGAGCCACCTCCAGGTCCCGGGCATCAGGGAGACCCCAAACCTGGCTGCATCCCCCAGGCCAAACCCAGACACAGGGGATCGTAACAGACCACAGGCCTCACACACTTGTTCCGGCCCAAGCATCCCCCAGGCCAAACCTAGACACAGTGGATCATAACAGACCACAGGCCTCACACGCTTGTCCCGGCCCAAGCATCTCAAAGAGTCTGCTCTCCTGAAGGCCCTCAAGGCAGCCCCAGGAGCGGGTGTTGCTGTCACCCCCTCTTCCAAGGCGACGGCTCTGAGAAGCTCCTGCCTGCCCAGGGCACCCCCACGGATGGGTCTGATCCAGGCCCGCCACCTCCAAGGCAGAGCTGCCCACCTGGCCTTCGGTTTCCAGCCGCGGGGAACAGGGTGGACGAAATGACAGTGGAGAGGGCACAGGGAGGGCAAGGCGGGGGCACCTGCTCCAGGGATGCCCCAGGCAGGCCCACTTGCCTGCCGCCCCCACCGAGGCTGTCACAGGAGGACAGAGCACGAGTTCCCAGGGTGCTCAGGTGTCATTCCTTCCTTCCTGCAGAGCGAGCTGCCCTCGGAGGCCGGCGTGGGGAAGATGGCCCAGTCCACCGCCACCTCCCCTGATGGGGGCACCACGTTTGAGCACCTCTGGAGCTCTCTGTGAGTGCGCTTGGCTGGCCAGAGCTGGGGGCCCCCCTGGGAGGCACTCTGGGCTAGCCTCAGCCACCTTCGCTGGGCTAACTGGGCCAGAGCAGGAGGGGTGGCCCCGGGAGGACTCTGGGCTAGCCCCAGCCACCCTCACTGAGACTTTGGGCTAAACTTGGCAACCCTCACTGGGATTCTGGGCTAGCCTCGACCACCCTTGCTGCACTAACTGGACCAGAGCAGGAGAGGTGGCTCCACACTAGTCTTGGGCTAGCCTTAGCCACCCTCATCAGCTTGGGGACAGGGCGGGTCGGAGGGGCAGGGAAGAGGGACTGCTGCCCTAGGCCTTCCCTGGGGATGCAGGACCAAAATTCAGACTCTTTTCTCTGGCCAGCTCTGGAGAGGGCCCATGGCCAGCAGAGGCCCAGAATAACAGAGCCCATGACTGGCTCTGCCTCTCTGGCACTCACAGCAGCCCTGGAATGGCAGGTGGAGGACAGAGATGGGATGAGAGGGAATGGGAAGGGCAGGAGACGTAGGCCTCACCAGGAGTCTCAGGCTAGCCTTGAGCTCTGGGCCTGGGAGGTATTGGGGTGACACCCAAACTGGGGACTGACGCTTCTATTTTCCTCTCCCTGCCCCAGGGAACCAGACAGCACCTACTTCGACCTTCCCCAGTCAAGCCGGGGGAATAATGAGGTGGTGGGCGGAACGGATTCCAGCATGGACGTCTTCCACCTGGAGGGCATGACTACATCTGTCATGGTGAGTGGGGGGGCTGCCCTCTGCAAGAGGACTGGAGTGGGGACAACAAATGTGGCCTGTCCTGTCTTGGGAGCCTGGCAGAACCAGGAGATAGCCTCTTGGTTGTACAGCTTCCCCTGTGGGTTTCTGAGGACACTTCAAATTGCAAAGGAGAAAATGTATCAGCTCATGTAACTGTCAATCCAGAGATAGGAATGGATTCAGGCATGGCTGGATCCAGGTGTAGGAAGGGCTTCAGGCATGGCTAGATCCAGGTGTAGGAAGGGCTTCAGGCACAGCTAGATCCAGATGTAGGAAGGGCTTTGGACATGGGTGGGTCCAGGTGTAGGAAGGGCTTCTACTGGTGGATCCAGGTATAGAAAGGGCTTTGGGCATGGCTGTGTCCAGGTGCTTCACAGCTGCCTCGCTCAGTCTCTTGGTCTGCTTTCCCCTGCAGTGACTTTGTTTTTAGGCCGCATCTCCTCTCATGGTGAAGAGTACCAGGCTCCACCAGCATGCCCTATCCCTGTGGAGAGGAGATCCCTCTTTTCCCATAGTCCAGCAGTCCTGCCTCCCGTTGATCTGAATGTGGTCATGGGCCCATCTCTGAGCCACATCTGTGCCTCTGATTGGCCTGGCCTCCACCATCAGTGGAACAGGGTGACAATGGAATGGAGTGGGGTGGGCCTCCCCACACAGGGACCCCCAAAGGAAGATGGAGGTGCTGTTTCCAGGAGAAGAGGACTGGATAGGGGGCAGGCAGGGCCAGTGAGGCCTCCGGCACCCCATCTTGGCAGGCTCCCCCATTCCTGGGAGTCTCAAGCCCTGCCCCATTGGCTGCTCCTCTGGGGGAAAAGGCCAGGCTGTGGGAGCTGGTGGGGGCCACGCTCCTGCCTACCTCTCTGGCTGCCCATAGCCAGGCCTCGACTGTGCCGGGAGGTGGATGGCAGGTGGGCACCACACGTGAGGAGAGAGCAAAGATCCCGACCTGGGAGGCCCAGCGAGGCCAGCCGTCCCCGCTGGACTCGTCAGCTGCTCGGCCCCGCCCACAGGCTGGCTGCCCCGCCCCGCCTCCGCCGCCCAGGGATTCGTAGGTGGGGAATTTGTTTGCGCTGCGGAAAACCAGCCCGAACTGTGGGGATACGCGGAACAGCGCGTCTGGGGCAGGGTCGGGCCTCCCTCACTTATGCTCAGCCCGAAAGGGAGGGAGGCGATGCTGGGCCTCTGGGGGCCTGAGAGCACCCGGCCTGGCCCTCCTCCTCCCTCAAGTCCCCATTCCAGGAGCTGGAGCCCCTTCCTTGCCCCTGCGCACGACTGACTGTCTGAGGCATGGGGGTGGGCGGCCCAGCCACCCTGAGCACTGGAGGGAGTGGGGGCTGTGGGGCTCCAGTCAGAACGAACAGAGTGAAGCGGGGTGGGGGAGTGTAGAGGTGGAGGGGCCGTGTTGCCTGTTCCGTCTCCATTGCGGATGCTGGGCTGGCCCAGAGCCATGTGGGGCCAGAGAAGGCACCTCCTTGGGCAGCCACAGTCCCGGGGGGTCAATTCCTCCGAGGAGCCCCTCAGCCTGTATCTGAGGGTTCGACCGCCTGCCCCTGCCCTCCCACCCCTGCTCAGGAGACCGTCCCAGTGGAAACACTCGACAGTGTCTGCGCGTGTTCTAGTCCCGTGTTATGGGTGAGGAAACCGAGGCAGATGCTGGGAAAGGGTGGGCTGGGGATGGGGCCGGGTAGTGCAAGAAAGTGAGACTGCAACCTCTCCCCTCTCTCGCTTTGGAACAGTTCTGCCGGCTGCTCTCTGGGGACAAGGGTCCTGACCCCACCCCCTCCAGGTCCCCTTCTGGACATCCGTGTCCTCCAATCTGGGGAGGGGCAGGAACTGGCCGCTGGACCCCAGGGAGGGAGGGAGGAAGACCCATAAGATTGTCCCCTGAGATCCAGAAGCCACCTCCCAACCCCAAGTTGCTCAGCCACTCCCCCTGCAGAGGGCAGAAGGCCCCTAAGATGGCACAGACCCACCCTGTGTCGGGAGGAGGACCTGGACTCAGGGAGGCAGAAGGAGCAGTTCTACATTCCTGAGTGGGTGGAGCGTGCTTGTCCTCCCCAGCCCCGGAGGGTTCCCTGAGCTCCATATCGGGGTCTGGTCCGAGCCCCCGCCTGCTGGAACGTGCCACTCCCCAGCCACAGGGTGACAGTGGGAGCCTCGAACCTCCGCAAACAGCAAGGTGGCTGGATCTGTCTGGCAGCGACACGCCTCCTCCCAAAGCCATGTATGAAATTCCTAGGTGCACAGCTCGACTCACGGAGATGGGGGATTCCCTGGAATGAAGGCAGGCCCAGGCCTGCGTGGGGAGAGCCAAGCCTCATTCTGACCCCAGGGCCCAGCCCCCTCACAACAGTGGCTGCTGGGCCAAGAGCATGCTGTCCCCTACCCCTGACTCCCATGGGAGCGCCAGGTACAAAGACAGAGACTCCGAAGGGCGCCAACGGGTGGGCTCGGGCAGCCTGGCACAGGGCCCAGGGCTTAGCTGCCTTGAGAATGGCCCCTGGCCCGCTAACTCCAGGGGTCCCAGAGTGGGGCTGGAGCTGAACTGGGGGGCATTGTTTTAAAGTTCAGCCCAGGAGCTCAGGGAAGCTGCTGTGCTGGGGCTGGGGACCTGGACCCGGTTCAGTGCGGATGCGGGCATGGGGGGCTCTGAGTGCCCCCTGGAAAACTGCCACCTGCAGCTCAGGGGCCCAGTTCTAGCCCCACCACGAGGCTGGTGACCTTGGACAAGAAACACCACACAGGCCCGGCCTCGGGTCAGACAGGCGGTTCTAGTGCCGGATGTTTCCGGGGCTACCGATAGTCCTGAGTTCGTGGCTCAGGTGGGGGGCCTGCTTGTGGAAGTGGCTGCACACGCACCTGCCCCCACCTGCCCCTGGCGGCTCCCTCTGGCCACCTGTCCCTGGGTGTTGGTGGCATCTGGCTGCTCCCATACTCAGGGGCGGGTCTGGGACTCATCCAGCAAAGGGGCCTCAGCTCGGGCAGGCACAGTGCTTGAGCGCAGGACACTGGTCCTCTGCAGTGGGGCGTGCCTTCCGCATCTGGGGGACGTGGGTCTCCCCGAACCACGAGCAGGCAGATTGGTTCCCGTTGGACACAGGGTGTCTGAGGGATGCCTTAGCCACCTGCTTAGCAGCCGTGGGAGACAGGCGGAGCAGGTGGTTTCAAGCTCCCACAATTCTCTGAGCCTCCATGTCCTTGCTGGTGAAGCTGGGGTGACAGGGGGTAGGAGCCCAGAGCAGAGAGCCCTTTGGGAGGTGGCATAGACTCTGGGATGCCAGGTGCTGGGTGCTGGCTCTGCCCAACCCCGTGGGCCTCGGACAACCCTCCTGCCACACTGGCCCCTGCAGAGGAGGCTGAGTTTAGGCAGTTCAGGAGAGTGGGGTGTGGGCAAGAGCAGTTGAACCCTCAGTGGGCTCTAGAGGAGTCCCAGGCCACAGACTTATTGGGGAGACTGTGAGCTCTGTGTGGCCATAGCAGGAAACAGACCCCGTGGTCACTGTGGCCATCTGACTGAGGTGGCCCAGAAAGTCCAGCAGGCCGAGGTGGGTGTGGCTGGGGGCTCCGAGGCCAGGTTTGCTGAGCTCAGGACCTACCCCTTCCCTTCTGAGCTGGGCAACTTTTAAAGAATTACATAGCCCTCTGGGCCTCAGTTTCCTGTCTATAAATGGCGCTACTGAGAGGCTCCAAGTCACCCACGATGTGAGGATGTCCAGTGGTGCCGGGCCCATCGGGAGTATGTGACAAACGCTAGGTGTGAGGGTGAGGGCAGGGAGGAGGCCCTGTGTTTAAGAAAGCTGCTCCTCGGACACCAGAACAGCAGAGCCAGGAGGGCCTAGGATAGGATCTGGGACCAGGGCCTGCTGCCTTTGCCTGGCACAGTTCCTGCCTGAGCTGTCCCGTGCCTTAGGCTCTGGCTGTCCCTGAAGACCCTACATGGCTCACAGGGACCTCACTCTAAAATAGGGCCCCGTTCTGCAAGAGGAGAGCAGGGGGAAGCCTGTGGCCCGGGCCTCCCCATGGGCTGGGGAGGGTGGGCCGAGGAGCCACAGCTAAAACTGGCCCAGCCCCTGCCCTCTCAGGACCCTGGCTGGTTCCCTGAATGAGGAAGGCTTGACGGGCTTCTGGATGCCACCTGGGTGGGGTCTGCCCTGGCCACCCCCACACCGTCTGGGAAGAGCTGCAGAGGATAAAGCTCCCTCGTAGGCTCGCAGGCTGCGAGGAGGCAGTGTGGGTGTGATGGTGGGGCGGGGGTCCTATCCTCACCCGGACCCACCCGAGGAGTCTCTGCAGTGCTGGGCCTGGGCTTGGAAGCGAATCCCTGCCCCTCTGAGCGCTAGCGTCCCCTCGGACAAAACCAGCGCAGGGCAATGAGACCTGCGGCCCTTGCTGGCTCTCAGGATGCTCCACAAGGAGGGAGGACACAGGAGGGGAGAAAAGGAGAGAGAGGCAAGTGTCTCCTCCCTCCCCTCCCCTCCACTCTGCTCCGCTCCCGTCCTCTCCCCTCCCCTCTCTGTCCCTAGAGCCTCCTCCAGGGCTGGCCCCTCCCCTGTGCCCCTTCCTGCCTCTCCTGGCGCCTTTCTCTGACAACAGGTGTTGTGGGCAGGTGGGCCACAGAGCGGGGTCTACAGCTGGTGGGGCAGAAGGCAGGCTGATCTACCCTGGGAGCCCCGGGAACCCAGTGGCAGGACAGACACCCGGGGTCAGAACCTTCGGACACTTGGGGGCTTGAGACCCTAGAGGTCACCCCAGATAGGCCTTGGTGACTTCAGGGAGAGGTATTCTCCCCAGGCCCAGGAGAAGGAAGGGCGCAGGTCCCGTGCATGTGTGGCCCCCAGGAAAGGGCAGGCGGACAGAGGGAGAAGGACACCCCTCCCTTCCAGGGAGGATCTGTAGCTGGAGGAAGGGTGGGGTCATGCGTGGGAGCAGGGAGGGGGCTCAGCTCACCACGGTCAGCTCTGAGACTCCAGCCCACCCGTTACCCCCTCCCAGAGAGCCCCCACTCAGCCTTTCCTTTGGTGGGCTTTCGTGACAAAGCACTTTGGGGCTGCACAGAAGTGAACCCCACCCAGCACCCAGGTCTCAGAGCCTTGCAGCTTCTGCGGCCTCTTCCATGCGGTGGGATGAAGCCAGCTGCCCAGCAGGGACCCTGTGCCATGAGTTTGGCCTTGAACTGACACATCACTGGCACCAGGAAACGAAGTCCCCCTGTCTGTTCTGGCACATAACCCCTCCCACTAACTGGTTCCTGAAGAGTGCCGTGGCCTGCGGCAGCGTCGTTCCCCCCTGTCCTGCGGCCCAGGGTCCTGCGGAAAGTCAGGCGGAATCCCCGGTGAGTCAGAAGCAGAATGAAAGCAGAATGGAGGACCCAGCAGGGAGGGAACCTGGAGGAGGCGCTAAGGGCCACGCCAAGGGGGTGTGGCCCCAGATCCCCTGTCCCTGTCCTCTGCAAGGCTGGGCCTTGGGAACGTTTGCAGAAAGCTGGGTGCCGCTCTGGGGCAGAGGCCAGTGGTTTTGGGTGCTTTTGAGTTGGAAACGTGTAGCTCAGCCGCACTGGGATCCCCGCAGCCTGGCCCAGATGCTAAGGGTGGAGAGATGCGGGGTCTCAGGCACGGTGCCCTGGGCATGGGTGGGGCTCGTGCTGAAGGCAGCCTGGCTGTCTTCCTTCCTCACGTCCTTCCACTTGGCGCTCTCCTTTTGGCTATTTATAAAACCATCAGGCCGGCCCTGTGCATGGGACTCGCCTGAGTCTCCTTTTCAATGCATCATTCCCTTTGGCAGGAGAGGACACCGCCTACAGAGGCTGAGGATGTGCCCTGTGGGGGTCGGGAGCGGAACCCAGGCCCCGCCTCGGCCCTGCTCTGAGGGTCTGTCCATCCCTGGGGAGCCCGCCCCCAACCCAAGAGGGGTCCCAGGCTCAGAAGCAGAAGGCACCCTCATCCCCAGGGCATCCCCGATCCCAGCAGGAGTCTCCTAGTGCTCGCCCTGGGCTCTCCTGCAAGGAGGCTGCTGCTTTCCCCAGAACATCCAGTCTGGGCCCCAGCCGACCCCCTGCAGGGGGCTTCCCAGAGACGCCCTTCCTGAACCTGATCTACCAGACAAAACTGTCTTTTTCTCAGTCGTCTCCTCCTGAGTGCTGCTGCCCTTCCTGTTGGGGGCTGAGATCCTCTGCCACAGGAAGAGACGGGCGTCCAGGACTCACCTGCTGCCTCCCGGCCCTAGGGCCCTGAGCTGGGCTCTCCAGGCCCCAGCCCCTTGGGGCACAACACCTGGAATCGTCCTTTCGTCCTCAGCCCGGCCTGCTGGTGGGGCAGGGCGGGTCCCCAGGGCTCCTCAGGCAGCTGCAGTCCAAACCTCCCCTGCCCTCACCCAGCTCTGCCCGCTCTCCCGGGGGTGGGGGTGGGGAGCGATGAGGCCCCTGCCGGCTCTCGGTGGGGACGACAGGGAGGAAGGAAGCTGGGGAGATGGAGACAAGAGAAAGCAGGCAGGTGGTTTGGGATTTGGCAGGAAAAGGTTGGAAGGAAAGGGGAAAGGGTCTCCGCATGGATTTCTCAGCTCCCCATGGATTTCTCAGCCCTCGTGAGAGCCACGGCGCCCTGGGGACTGGAAGTGTGGGTCCGCAGGCCCCAGTCCCCAGGTTTGTCTGAGCATAGATGCCCTGCCTGCTTCCAGGGGGACTCGGGCCCCTCTGCCAGGGTCAACTTTGTACCCAAGACGGCTGAAATACAATGGAAATTCAGACGGCCCAACAGGGAGTGGCAGTCACCTCAAAGGCCCCACTAGACGGGTGCGGGGCACCACTGCAGAGCCCCTCCCTGGCTGTGCCAAGGCCGTCCACGCCTGCAGGGGGCCCCACTGCCGGGCTGTTCTTTGGCAACAGTGGCTTGTCCCTGTTTCCTGGGGGCTTGGCCAGTGCCAGGGTGGGCTCCAAACGCACGGCTCTGGGCTCTTGGACTCACCCCTGCTTTGGGCAGGCAGTGGAAGGCAGGCCCCACAAGAGCTGCTCACTCCCGTCACCTGTCTCCCTCGGGGGTCTAGGGTCGAACCTCCTGTGAGCCCCTCCTCTCCATGCAGCCCTTGGACTGGTCCTGGCGGACCACCGAGTTCCCCGCGCAGGGGGCAGGTGCGCCCCACCTGGGTGCCAAGGGAGGCGACACCATCTCTCCCCCTTGGGGTGGCCCAGCCTTGCCTACCATGATCTCCAGGGCCGGGGCTCAGCCCTCATGCCTGGGAACAGAGGCTGCTTTACGGGGTGAGGGCCTGGGGCCCCCCGAGCCTTCCCCAGGCAGGCAGCATCTCGGAAGGAGCCCTGGTGGGTTTAATTATGGAGCCGGCGCTGACCGGCGTCCCCGCCCTCCCCACGCAGCCTCCTTGGTGCGGTCCAACACATCACCGGGCAAGCTGAGGCCTGCCCCGGACTTGGATGAATACTCATGAGGAATAAAGGGGTGGGCCGCGGGTTTTGTTGTTGGATTCAGCCAGTTGACAGAACTAAGGGAGATGGGAAAAGCGAAAATGCCAACAAACGGCCCGCATGTTCCCCAGCATCCTCGGCTCCTGCCTCACTAGCTGCGGAGCCTCTCCCGCTCGGTCCACGCTGCCGGGCGGCCACGACCGTGACCCTTCCCCTCGGGCCGCCCAGATCCATGCCTCGTCCCACGGGACACCAGTTCCCTGGCGTGTGCAGACCCCCCGGCGCCTACCATGCTGTACGTCGGTGACCCCGCACGGCACCTCGCCACGGTAGGTGTGACGCGCCATTCATAGGATCTCTTCGGGGACTTTGCGGGGGATTTTGCTGCAGTGTAGGGTTCAGAGGGGCATCCTTCTGCCTGCCTTCCTGGCCTGGAGTCTGCTGCCAGTTGGGGTGAGCAGAGGTAGGAAGGGAGGCGTTGAGGGGCTAGAGGCAGGTCCCAGGCATGGAGGCAAGCAGATTCGGGCTCCAACAGCCTGTGCCCACCTGCTGGGCAGGGACCCGCAGCCAGGGAGAGGAGGCCGGGTCCATGCCGATGGGGCTGCTGGTGTTTCTGCCTCGTGCTCGGGGGTCTCTGATGCTCCTTGGCTTTGGGGCTGGCGGCTTGGTCCAGGCTCAGAGTTTCCGAGCTGCCCTGCCCTGCCCCAGCTGCCAGGAGCTCAGTGCACCCTAGAAGTCATCTTTGCTCCTGGGCTTGGGTGTGAAGCTGCCCCCGCCCTCATCAGGGAATTTGCTCATTTGACAGCAGTGGCAGACGGTGCTTCTTGTCAGCCCCACGGGCTCTTCTCGGTGTGGGTCTGAGCTCCAGGGCCAGGACCTGTGGCAAACTGGGCTTGAGGCCTCTTGCGCCACCCGCCCCCTGCAGTGGGCTGCTGGCTTGGAAGAGGGGAGGGAAGGGTCTGCAGCTTGTGGTTGGCCCCTGCAGCCTGAGCCCTGGGGACCTGGCCTCACTTCCAGACTTGCCAGGTCCCTGGGGGCCAGGCAGGCACCAGCTGCTAATTGAGAAGGTGGAAGGCTCGGCACAGCTGCTCCACGTGGGGCCGTTCCTCCTCCCAGGGAAGCAGACAGCTGGGACCATGGGTACCTGTGCCACACGGGAAACTCAGCCATGGGCAGGGGGCAGCGGGCAGATAGGCAGAGTCCAAGTGCCCCGAAGCTCTGCTGGCACTGGGATGTAGAGGCCCAAAGATCTGGGGACGGAGGCCTTTGGAGCCGTGGGCTCCCCAGGCAGTGTGACCAGGGTGTGTGTGACAGCGATGTGTGTGAGCGTGCACATCAATGTGCATGTGGCGGGTGGGTATTGGTGTGCGTGCATGTGTGTGTCTAAGCGTGGATGTGCATGCAATACGCAGGCGAGGATATGTGCAGATGTGTGTGTGTATGTTATGGGTGTGTGTACAGGCTGGTGTGTGTGTATGTACACGTGTTTGCCTGTGTGTTGTGGTGTGTGTACGTGTGAGCAGATTGGTACTGCAGGTGTGATTGTGTGATTTGGGTGGGTAGGTGCTCACGTGTGTCCGTATGTGTGTTGCGATGGATACATGGATGTCTGTGCCTGTAGCTGTGTGTTCCCAGGCAAGGCTTTGAGAAGAGAGGCAGTGTGTGTGTGTGGCCCAGAGGGTGGGTGAGGGTGTGGGTGACCCAGCCCCACAGCCTGCCCAGATGCTGGGTCCATGCACTCGAGTCTGGCGGCACCATGGCCTCTCCACACGCCTGCGTGATCTTTTTATCTGAAACCCAGTGCTGGGACTGTAGCCCAGAGCGTGGAACGGCTACATCAGGCATGGGGTGTCCCTCTCTCCCTTGTCTGGCTGTCACCCACTTGTGCATTGATACATGTATCCACCAACACGTTGCTATTAGAAACGCACAGCAGGCCTGGGGCTCCTGGGGGGCTGCCTTGTACCCCCAGACTCTCCCAGGAGGTGTGTGAGCTGGGAGGGGCTATCTCCCGGCTGCTGGACCGCCTGGAACCCGAGGTGGATCCAGAAGCCTCGGGTGGAGAGGCCAGTGTCGCTGCCTGGCCAGCCGAGAAGCCTGGGGACCTGGGGGACTCTAGTACAATCTTTTCCCTTGAATGGAGCAGATGTCACCATGTGACTCACCCTCTCGGGGGACTCCACCAAGGTTGAGTATGTGGTTGCGCAGACGCCATTCCCGGGAGGGGTGGGGAGGTGGAGCCCTGCTGCCCTGGCCTGCAGACCCTCACTGCCTGCAGGAGCTGCTGGTGTCCACTCGGCTGCTGCTGCCCGGTGCCCTGGGCGTCAGCAATGGCCAGCTGTGCCATCACTGTTTCTTTTTACACCAAGGATTACTGTGGTTCGTTCGTTCATTTGTCCATTCATTCATCCCATCAGCAAGTGTTAACTGGGCACGTTTTGTGTGTTAGGCTGAGTGCCAGGAGCAGGTGGAGGCAGTGCCCAGAGCCAGCCATGTCTCCAGCACCTCTTCCCTCTCGGGGGGAGGTGGGCTAGGCTGGGCCATCCTAATGGGCGGAGTGGTGACTCAGTTTCCCTGTTTCTGTGCCAGAGAGAGTATTCATGACCTCATCTTACTGCAGGAACGTATTTTGAGAGAGAAAGTGGTATTTGGCCCAAAGGGTTTTAAACCCAAAGTGAGCGAATAGAGTTGTATTGGAGTTGGTGGCTTTGTGAGGCCCTGGTTATTCCTATCAAAGCACAGTAGCTGCTCCGGAGCCCGCTGGGCCAGCCTGGCCCTGGGAAGAGGCCCCTGGGTTGCAGGACACTGTCTGAGCCCCCAGCTGGGCCCGCCAATTGCCCCCAGCCTGGCACAGGGTTCCAGGTGTGGGCTTGGG
Organism: Homo sapiens; assembly: GCF_000001405.40. Classification (NCBI taxonomy): domain Eukaryota; kingdom Metazoa; phylum Chordata; class Mammalia; order Primates; family Hominidae; genus Homo; species Homo sapiens. The sequence continues at coordinate 3,693,491 of NC_000001.11, forward strand.
GTCTGTCTCTCTGGCATCTGCCAGCTGAGTCTTTGGTCAGTGACGCCGCTCTCTGAGCCTCAGTCTCCTCTATGATGAGGACGGTGTTCACCGTAGCTGCTCGGCTGCGGGGCCCAATGGGAGCCACTGGTTACTTGCTGCAGATGGGGACGCAGGGGGGCCTGGCCTGGAGAGCTGCCGCCTCAGCCCCTCCTCCCACAATCCCACCCATGCAGCCTTAGCCCCTCCTCCTGCAATCCCAGCCCTGCAGCCTCAGCTCCTCCTCCCACAATCCCACCCATGCAGCCTCAGCCCCTCCTCCCGCAATCCCAGCCCTGCAGCCTCAGCCCCTCCTCCCGCAATCCCAGCCATGCAGCCTCAGCTCCTCCTCCCACAATCCCACCCATGCAGCCTCCGCCCCTCCTCCCGCAATCCCAGCCCTGCAGCCTCAGCCCCCTCCTCCCGCAATCCCAGCCATGCAGCCTCAGCCCCTCCTCCCGCAATCCCAGCCCTGCAGCCTCAGCCCCTCCTCCCGCAATCCCAGCCATGCAGCCTCAGCCCCTCCTCCCGCAATCCCAGCCATGCAGCCTCAGCCCCTCCTCCCGCAATCCCAGCCCTGCATTCTCAGCCCCTCCTCCCGCAATCCCAGCCATGCAGCCTCAGCCCCTCCTCCCGCAATCCCAGCCCTGCAGCCTCAGCCCCCTCCTCCCGCAATCCCACCCATGCAGCCTCAGCCCCTCCTCCCGCAATCCCAGCCCTGCAGCCTCAGCCCCCTCCTCCCACAATCCCACCCATGCAGCCTCAGCCCCTCCTCCCGCAATCCCAGCCATGCAGCCTCAGCCCCCTCCTCCCGCAATCCCACCCATGCAGCCTCCGCCCCTCCTCCCGCAATCCCAGCCATGCAGCCTCAGCCCCTCCTCCCGCAATCCCAGCCCTGCAGCCTCAGCCCCTCCTCCCGCAATCCCAGCCATGCAGCCTCAGCCCCTCCTCCCGCAATCCCAGCCATGCAGCCTCAGCCCCTCCTCCCGCAATCCCAGCCCTGCAGCCTCAGCCCCTCCTCCCGCAATCCCAGCCATGCAGCCTCAGCCCCTCCTCCCGCAATCCCAGCCATGCAGCCTCAGCCCCTCCTCCCGCAATCCCAGCCCTGCAGCCTCAGCCCCTCCTCCCGCAATCCCACCCATGCAGCCTCAGCCCCTCCTCCCGCAATCCCACCCATGCAGCCTCAGCCCCTCCTCCTGCAATCCCAGCCATGCAGCCTCAGCCCCTCCTCCCGCAATCCCAGCCATGCAGCCTCAGCCCCTCCTCCTGCAATCCCAGCCATGCAGCCTCAGACCCTTCCTCCCACAATCCCACCCATGCAGCCTCAGCCCCTCCTCCTGCAATCCCAGCCATGCAGCCTCAGCCCCTCCTCCTGCAATCCCACCCATGCATCTTCAGCCCCTCCTCCCGCAATCCCAGCCCTGCAGCCTCAGCCCCTCCTCCTGCAATCCCAGCCATGCAGCCTCAGCCCCTCCTCCCGCAATCCCAGCCATGCTCTTCACTTGCTTCCCACACTGTCCTTCCACATGGGGGACTGGATAATCCTGTGGTGGCTCTGGCCAAACAAGGCCACGTTCTGAGTCTGCGGCTCCCACGGACTGGGGTTGATCAATGCCCAACCCCGAGGTGGACACAGAGACATTACCCACTTCTGCCTGTAGCAAGGAAGGAGCCGATGGCTGGATGAGTGGGGCCCCTCTAGAAGAGGCTGAGCGCTGGAGACGTCGGAGCTGGGTGCTGTCTACCAACACCCAGGAGTCTCCCTGACTTCCCAAATGTCCAGTTCATGGCCCCTTGCCCCCCACTTCCTCCTGGGGCCGCTGTTCTTCAGCTTTAGGGTCTCAGGAGGTTAGCCAGGGTGATGGGAGACACCCCTAGCTCTCCTGCGCCCTCTCTATGGAGGGGCTGGAGCCTGTCTCGCCGCAGGGCCTGGGCTGTGCACCCTTGGGCCTGGCCTGTTCCCACCCTGCCCCTCCGCATGGTGGGCATCCATGCGTTGCGGGAACGTGGCCACCCCTGTGCTGAGGAGCAGCACGGACGGATCTGGAGCTTTGGACACCCCCACTCCCGTGCGCCCCATGGAGCCAGTGTCCACTCTGTTCCTGCAGAAAGTGAAACCTCTGGGCAGGATGGGCCTCCAGGACAGGGCCCTGGGGCGGGGGGAAGCCAATCAGTGCAGCAAGCTGCAGTTACTAGGCACCTACTCTGTACGTGGGGCTACGGAACCAAGGGACGCAGCTGGCAGACGTTCTGGGAGGGCCCCCGGCTGCAGTGCTGGGGATAGACCACAGGGGGGCAGGGCCAAGGCCAGGAGCCGCCTGCAGGCTGGGACGATCCAGGGAATGGGGCAGCCCCGCCGGTCAGGTGGTACCACACCGTGGGATTCTGGGCAAGATTTGCTGATGGGCTGGATATGAGGGAAGGGGTGGGGGAGACCCCAAGTTTTCTGCCCTGAGATTGGTAGAACTGCAGCAGAGCAGGGGTGAAAACGCCGCGGTCGGCCGTGGCTGTGTTGGAGATGCCCGGCAGCCATTGCATAGCTGAGAAGGAGCCGCATGCAGGGAGGAGGACGACGAGCGAGCAGTTCCCAAAGCCCCATGAGGGAGGGGTTTCCAGTGGTCCTGGGGCCTGAAAAGTGTGACCACCTGGTGGCTCAGTCCTGTGTGCATCAGAGGAGGTGGTGGGTGGTGGTCAGGCTTAGGGTGGAGTTTGAAGGTGACCTTAGAGGAAGAGCAGGGGAGGATTCCAGAAAGATGCTGAGGTTCCATTTGCACCCTTGCAGGAGGCTCTGCTGCTCCCCAAGGCAGGAAAGGCCGGCAGGGTCTGGATGTGAGGTGGGTAAGGAGTTGGGGCCACACTGGCAGGAGCGGCCATGTGGACACTCAGTTGCTGGTGTGGGCAGGCAGGCTGTGGAGACGACCTCTAGGGAGTCCTGCACATGGGCACTTACAGTCAGGGCTCTGGGGGATCTGCACGGAGGCAGGGAGAGACAGCGGCTGGAGCTGAGCACTGGGCACTACGACATCCGAGACACCAAGCAGAGGGGGAGATGCAGAGGGGCAGCCTGGGAGGCCAGGAGGCACGAGAGGCTGGCTGGGAGAACAGAAAAGGGACTGGGGCTTGGCAACCCAGAGGCTGCTGAGTTCCCACGGTTTGGAGAGGGCAGGGCCCAACTGGGAATGGCTCATGGGATTGCTGAGCATGGCCAAGGGAGCCCTCAGCATCCTCTCCAGGCCTTGTGTCATGAAAGACCCCGAGCAGCGGTGGGGCTCAAGCCATGTGGGGCCAGGGGAGGGACCAGTTGTCCTAACTGGAGATCCAGGGATCAGAGGAGCCACCCCACTCACCCGCCTGCTGTGCCTAGTGCACGCCCGCCTCCGGCCCCCCTGCCACCCTCGGCCAGCTGCTATTTCTGTCTCCTTTGTTCTGTCCCCCATTGGACCTCCCCCCAGTCACCAGCCTAATAGGACCTCAACTTGCTAAACCCAAACTAAACTTATCTTCCCCTGAGAGGGGATGGTGCCGTGTCTCAGCCAGCAGGAAATCCACTCTCGCCTTTGCTCAGGCCAGAGCCCTGGAGGCACTCTCCATGCCTGAGGTCCTGTGAATCCTGCCTGCAAATGTGCCTGGGGCCCCTGCGGGGCCCACCTCGCACCCGCGGCCCACGTCGCACCCGCGGCCCACCTCGCACCCACTGCTCAGATACATCTCACAATTGCTGCCTTTGCTGACGCCCGCCCTGTGTTCTCAACACCGGAGCCAGAGGGAGCGCTTTGCAGCCCCGGGCGTCTCTGCTCAGCTCCGACCACCTCTCCCGCTATCCCCCTGGGCTCCGTCTCTCCCTGCACAGGCCCTCGGCCCTTCCTCTGGCTGCAGGCTCTCTGCCCTGCTGGTCCCCAGCCTGGAAACACCCCCAGGCCCACCCAATACCTGGGGCAGATCTTTCCCTTCCTGCAGGCCCGCCTTCACCTTTTCCCGAGCCCGTCCTTGCCTGGACGCCAGCCCTGGCCCCTGTGCCTGGCTCTGTGTTTCTGAGACCACTTTTGATCCCAAGCCCCTGCACGCTTGCTGGCTGGTTTGTTTACTGTCGTCAGCATGGAGGGCCGGGGTCGTGTCTCGTGCCGGCTGCCATCTTCCTGCACCTGGGAGGGTGCTAGGATGTCAAGCCTAGGAAATGGGTGTGAAGAGGAGACCTGCCTTTGCAGGAGCTGACCAAGGCCAGTGCACTGGGCGGGACCATCCGTCACTCCTGAGCCCACTAACTGGGGAGGGGACAGGCAGAGCGGGGCTGGGTGATTCCTGAGCAAGCATGCTGCTGTCTCTCTGGCTCTGGGGCCTCTGCCCTCTGCCTCGATGGCCCCCCACAGCCGTCCTGGACCGCCTTCTCCACCTTTGGGCTCCTGCTCCAATGTCCGCTTATCACCGAGGGCCATCGGAGGTGGCACGCCCCGTGACTGCCTCCCCCTCCCTGTACCCTGCACTGCACGTGTCATAATTCAAGTTCTCGGCTCAGCCACCCATTCTCGGCTCAGCCACTAATGTGTGCTGGAAGGTGTCCAGGAAGCCCTGCTAAGCATCTGTCAGTGTCTCCAGCACAGCAGGAGGCTGTTACAGGTGGCGCCTGATTCACATCTGCAGGACAGGTGGATGGATGGGCAGACAGATGGGCAGGGGCATGTGTGCAAGGACACAGGATGTCAGGGCTGACACCTGGGTTGGGCTCTGGGGTGCTGGCAGCAGGGTTCGGAGAGGGGAGAGAAGCGTGTGTGAGCTGTGCCTTCCCCCTCGTCTTCCCGGGCACTCGGCATTCTGGGTGGGAGGGCCTGGACCAGCCCGTTTCCAGGTGGTTAAATAAAGTCTGTGCATCCTGTTGGCCACCTGCCTCTCATAGGCAGCAGCACAGGGCCTGATGGGGATACAGCCTGGATACCCCACTGGGGCCTCCCGCAGACACTCAGGGTCCAGGCTGCCCCTCGCCACAACCTGGAAGGGAGGGGCTGGTGGGCCAGCCCTCTGGAGGAGGCCTCTCAGGGGAGGTGGGCTTTGAGCGGGATCCGGGAGGCAGGGGGCAGAAGCTGAGGGACGTGGAGAAGGGTCTGGGGGAGGAGGCGGCGGCACCGTGAGTGGACTCCGGGGCGGTTAGCAGGTGGAAGGCAGTGAGGGTTGAGGAGAGGGTGGGGCGAGGCCCTTGCACCAGGCCACAGTGGGCGGCTCAAATGTGGGTCCGTGGAGGCCCGGGGGGCACCAGGCTACCCTGGAGTCATCTGAAGTCACCTGGGCGTGTGGAGGGACATGCATCTGCAAGGCCCCCATGTGGCGCTAAGCACAGAGTGGGTGCTGCAGACGGGCTCAGCCGCTGCGGGCAGGTGCAGGCAGGATAGCAGCGGTGGCCCTGGGCCTCGCAGTCCTGCAGACACACGTCTGGGGACTGCTCCTGGGGGCGCGTTTCTCCGGTGTGAGGTGTGGAAAGTTCCACATGGCCCTGGCACGGGATTGGGCAAGGCCTCGCCTCAGCCCCGGGTGAGAGCAGAGGGTGCTGTGGGTGAGAGCACAGGGTGCTGTGGGTGAGAGCAGAGGGTGCTGTGGATGAGAGCAGAGGGTGCTGTGTGCACATTGTCGGGAGAGGGAGGCTTCCCCCCAGCCGCATGTCGAATCTTGTTGGCATTTCCATTCGTTTAATCACGGGCTCCGGGAGATGCTGTGGGAAGTACCGGCAGGACGGAGGTCTTGCCCTGGTGGGATGGGCTCTCTTCCTCCGAAGCCCAGGCTGCTTGTCAGTCACTCACCCCTGGGTGAGGTTGGGGCCCAAGTTCAGACATGCCCACGAGAGATCAGGGAGTTTGAGGAGCGGCATACTCTCAAAAAACCACAACAGTCTGGTCTCAATATTCTCCAGGGAACGAGGACACGGACCTCCTTGTTCTACAAGAGCTGGGGTCACAGCTCAGAGCCCCTGTCCAGGCTGGAGGGAGAAGGCCAGGAGGCCAGAGGGAGGCCAGCTGAGCCCTCAGGAGACTCCAGGCAGGCCCCGATGCCAGACTCCAGCCCTCAAACATGCTGCCTTCTGGAAACGTCTGTCACGGGCACACCATGCACCATGCCATGGCTGCCAGTGGTGGATGAAGAAGAGCATGTCTCTGCCCCGTCTGGAGCTCCCGGTTCCTGTCCTAGTTGAACAGAATGAATGAGAGTGCGGGATAAATGCCGGGCGGGGAGCAGGGATGCTCGGGCGGGGGCAGGAGCTGGAGAGGTGACAGGAGCGAGGGAGGCGGAGGTGGAGCTGGGGAGGGGCCAGCGGGGCGTCAGGATTTCAGCTGACATCCCTACTACGCTTTTTCACGTGCCTCCCTCTCTGACTCGGATCCTAAGTGATTAGGATCAGAGGAATCTCTGTTTCCAAGAGAAGGGGGACTGCATGGCCAGACCGTGGGCTCGGGCCCCAGTCTCCTGATCTCCGCCAAGCCCAGGGCCCCAGGAAGCGGCCCCATCCTTGGGAGCTGTCCTGGCCTCAGCTCCCAAGGATGGGGTCCCTCGGGAAGCTGTTATTGCTGTCTACGGGGCAGGAGCTCCGTCTTTCGAGCCTCTGCACTTGTGGAGACAAAGGTTTCCGAATGAGCATTTGTGCCCCGCCCTCCCCACCACCCCTGCCAGGCCCAATGCAGGGACCAGGCTGCATGTGCCTTCCCCGCCTCACATCTCCTCCGCTGGAGGAGTCAGCCAAAACCGTGGCCTTTGGAGATGTGGCCAGAGTCATTGTGAATTTTGCTGGCAGGTTTCTCTGTTGTCATTTCCACTAAAAAATACGTTCCGTTCTGGACAGTACCACATCTGTCCCCTGTCATCCGATGGCACGGTCGTGACCTCCCATGCCTTGCTTTGCATTGTGTCTTAAATATCCTAGGCTCTGATAAAAGGCACTGTGGATACCGGGAAGCGAGAGGAGTGGACTAGGGGGGAACAGGGACACAAACTTGAAAAAGATTTATTTCCCATCTACTTGTAAAAAAAATCACTCAAATGCCCCACGCCTGTAATCCCAGCACTTTGGGAGGCTGAGGTGGGCAGATCACCTGAGGTCAGGAGTTCGAGACCAGCCTGGCCAACATGGTGAAACCCCCGTCTCTACTAAAAATACAAAAATTAGCGTCTGTAATCCCAGCTACTGGGGAGGCTGAGGCAAGATAATCGCTTGAACCCAGGAGGTGGAAGTTGCAGTGAGCCGAGATCCCACCACTGCACTCCAGCCTGGGCGACACAGTGAGACTTCGTCTCAAAAAAAAAAAAAGTCACTTGAGACGGTTTACACATTTTAAACAGTCAACAGGTGCAATGGGAATCTTTTAACAAAACCACAAAATCCAACTTAATCTGAAATAGAACAGAACCCATGCGGCGGGAGGGTGATGATGGGGCCCAGCTCCCCTCCAGCTCCTGGCCGGTGAGGACAAAGAGTCTTTCAAGGGGCTGTCCCCGCCCTCCACATTCTGAGGAAGGCAGCCTGGACCCTGGGCACTGTCTGGGCTTGGGGCTGTGGCCGACATGGCGGGCAGTGGCACACCGTGGCCACTTCCCCCAGTTGGATGGCCCGCGTGGATTTCAGGGTCTGTTTCATCCAACCAAGAGTTTCTGAGCGTCCTGTCGGTACTGGCTATCTGGACACCTCGGGGAACAGGAGAGACCCCGACCCCTGTGAGCACCTGCCCCCGAGAGCACCTGCTCTTCCCCATCCGTCCCTGTGCCCAGGGCTTAGCGACTGTCCTCTGCGTAGTGAATCTGGATTCCCGTCCCTGTTCCTCGGCGGAGCCTGCCCAGCCGTCGTTCCTCCTGGCTGGGTTTTTGTGCCAAGGCGTGGAGGTCATGCCTCGTGCATGGGAGCTTCCTGGACATTGGTTCCAGGAGGGCTCCCGGGCGAGAGTCACTTCCGATGAAGTCTCAGGTTACCATACTTCTGGACCCTCTTGATCCCCACAACCATCCTACGAAGTCCACGTTGATTTCTTTTTTGGTTTTTTTCGAGACAGAGTCTTGCTCTGTCACCCAGGCTGGAGTGCTGTGGCGTGATCTCAGCTCACTGCAACCTCTGCCTCCCGGGTTCAAGCAATTCTCCTTGCTCATCCTCCCAAGTAGCTGGGATTACAGGTGCCCACCACCACGCCCAGCTAATTTTTTTTTGTAGTTTTAGTAGAGACGGGGTTTCACCATATTGGCTAGGCCAGTCTTGAACTCCGGACCTCAGGTGATCCGCCTGCCTCGTCCTCCCAAATTGCTGGGATGACAGGCATGAGCCACCACGCCTGGCCAGTACATGTTGATTTCATCCCCACTCTGCAGATGAGAAAACGAAGACCTAGGGAGGTGGAGCGATGGGCCAGGTTACACAGGTGGAGCTGAGACTTGGCCCCAGGACTCCTGACCTCAGAGCCCTGCTTGGCCCCCCAGGTCCCTGGGAGGTCTCTCCTGCCCCTCTCCTGGATGGGCAGAGAGGCCTGGTTTCCAGGATGGTGGCGTAGGGGCATCAGTAGACCCAGAAGAACCTGCTGTTCTGGGATGGGCAGCCCTGGCCACCACTTCCTGCCCACCTTGTGGGAACCCCCAGACCTCAGCCATCACCGTCCCCAGCTTGGCCGACGGTAGATGCTGGTGCTTGGATTGGGGTGTCCAGCCAGTGGGATGGGGCTTCAGGGCTGGGCTGAGCTCTGGCCTCCCCCACACTGCTCCTCTCTGCTCTCAGACAGGCAGGCCAGGGGGCAGGCGGGACCCTCCACAGCCCTCCTGGAGGGGGCCCAGCTACTGGGTGGCCTCTCAGTCTCTGACCCCTCATTTTGGAGCAAGGTCACTGGCCTGCTGCCACCCCAGGGGCATGGGTGGATCAAACCAGTGAGGTCTGGGAACTGTGTTGATACCTGTGACTGGCCCAGGCGAGAGAGCAGCCCCATTTACCACTGCCTGCTGCCCACACCCCAGCCCCCAGCCCCCAGCCCCCAGCCCAGAGCTAATCTCCAGCACAGGTGCACCCAGGGAGGTCCCCAACCCATCCGCAGGGAGGAGAGATGAGGCCTCCTGGGTGGGTGCGTGGGGGCTGCAGTATTTCCCCTGGCAGAGCACTCCTGCCCCGCAACAAGGCCCTGGGGCCCCAGCAGGGCCTGGTGCGTCCGCGGCCTGGAGGCTGGCGGGAAGGCCACCCGCTGGCTCTCTGGCTCCCGCGCACTCCTTGGGTCAGGCCCAGGAGCCCTGCACACACATGTAGGCACTTGTGGCCGCCGCGGGCCGGGCGTGTCCTAATTAGCCCACTATCTTGGGAGCTCTTGTTGAAAGCAAAACAAACCAAAAAAGTCCTGGTTGTGCCCGGGTTCCTCCCCGTGGCTTCCGGGGGCCCTCTGGTTGTGGGAGACCCCGGGCTCCTGTGCAGGCCTGTGTTAGGTTCAGGGTTCCCTGTTTCAGCAGCTTGACCCCGAGCAGGAGCCAGGCCCCAGGGAAAGCTCCTTGCCGCCAGGCAGGAAGCGAAAGGGAAGACCAGAGTCCCCCGAGCCAGGTGGAGGGGCTTGTGGAGGATGCCTGGGGAGGCCTAAGGGGGAGGTCAGAGACCCAGAAAGCCCCCTACACTTCCCAGATGCTGCGTTCCCAGCTGCATTCATAACTGCAGCTGCAAAGCCTCTGCCACCCACTGGGGGTGTGACAGGGGCGGTGACCACAGGCAGGGCCAGCGTGCAGGGAGAGAGGTCCCCTGGAAGCAGGAGGAGAGGACAGCGTCCCCTGGGCAGAGGACAGGCCCAGTAACCCTGGGGAGGAGGGGGCTTCAGAGGCCCCCACCCCGTGTCACTGAGCCTGAGGATGAGAGGGGACCAGAGGGAGAGGCCGACATCGGGGCCCTGCCTGAGGAAGGCCCTGCTAAGGGAGCCTGCCTGGGGCCCTGGGCCACAGAGGACGGCACCGAGAGGGCTTCAGGCCTGCTGTCCGGACACTTGTCCACTAATTAGGATTCCCGCGTGGGGCCGCCTGCCGCAAGGGCCTGGCTCACTCCCGCTGGGCTGTGCTAGGCGCAGAGATCCTATCAGCTCTTCTCCTCTTGCCTCAATGACTAATTCCTTGGCACCTTCCTCAGATCATACAAGAATGTGGACAAGTTAAAATATGAAACACGTTGTCGTGGGTCTGCATCCTGCTTCTCCCAAACAAGGGAGGCATGGGCTTTTTGCCCCACTGGCTGTCCTGTTCTCAGGGATGGAGCAGGGATGGGAGTCGGGCAGGGGGACCCTGGAGCCTGCCCTTGCCTGTCATCCTGACCTGAGAAGCCTCAGCTGGGCAGCCCTTGAGCCCCGGGATGTTCTTGCCCGGGGGACTCAAATGAGTCAGGAATGGGGAAGTCGTGCATCCCTGAGGCCATCCCCGGGCCCAAAACAGGGAAGACCTTTCCAGGAAGGCCACCGCTGGTCACCTGGAAGAGAGAGGGCACCACGGAGAGGGGAGGGTGGGCAGGCTGGCACCCGGTACCCGGTGATGGGAGGGGCCGGCTCATGTCCCACACTCACTCCTGGGCAGCTGGACTGGGGGAGCCGTCCTGCATTCGCTTGTTCGTTTGTTCTGCCAGCTCGCTTGTTCAGCGAGCCTTTCAAGCAGCCACGCTGTAATAGGAGCACGGACTGAGGGTGTCGGCTCCGAGCCGTGTGTGTAATTCTGCTTTTTCTAGTAGCCGCATTCAAAAAGGTGGAAAGGAGCTGGCGGAAGTCATTTAATTATTTCCTGTATTCACCCGTAACTGTGATCGTTTCAGCCTGTAATCAGTAGGAAATGGTGAGCGAGGTGTTTTCCGTTCTTTCCGTGGTCCTGAGCCCTTGGAATCGGGGTGCGCTCACACACTGGGCTCAGGTCCATCCACATTTCACACACCCCCACCCTGTGTGGCCAGTGGCCACCGTATCCAGGGTCCTCGTGGGTTCACAGTCGAGTAGGGGAGACAGAAGCCATGGGGGACATGCGAGCCTGCCCTTCCGGAGAATGGCTAGAAAGATGCTCAAACCGGGTGACGAAAGAGAACACCTGAGGCCTGGGCGCTGCTCCTGCCCGTGTGGCCAGGGCTGACCCCTCGGAACAGTGACCTCTGAGCCCGGACAGGGCTGGTGAAGGGTCGTGTGCAGACCACAAGTGCAGGCTTCCAGGAAGGGCCTGGGCCCGTGGTCGTAAGCAGGTCTCAGACACCTCAGAGGCCTCTTGGGCCTCGGTGAGGAGTCTGGGAGCCGGGGACTCTGGGGCGGGGCCTGGGCTGTGCGACCAGAGCCTGGCACTGCCCCTTGTCACCCCCACCATCACCCAACCTCCCATGTGTGTAGCTGAGGCAGGGGTCCATCCTCTGTGCCAGAAGCCTACTGGCAGCTCGCCGGTGCCCAGGGTGACACCCAACCAGACACCAGGAGGAGCAGGAGTAGCCTTTCTACATCTTTCTCTGAGGGGGGCAGTGGCTGCTTCCCCAGACCCCCTCACAATAGCCCAGGAGCCAGGAGAGGCGAGGGTCACCCTTCCCTGGGATGTTATATTTTGTTTCGTTTTTTGAGACAAAGTCTTGCCCTGTCTCCCAGGCTGGAGGGCAGTGGCGTGATCTTGGCTCTCTGCCGTCTCAGATTCCTGGGCTCAAGAGATCCTCCCGCCTCTGCCCCCCAGAATGCTGGGATTACGGGCGTCCCCCCGTGATGTTTTTAAGCTGGCACCATGGCTTATCCACGTGGCAGCGTGTGGGAGCTTCCTTCTGTCTTATGGCCGAGGAAGAGGCCACTGTACAGACACACTGTTTCTTTATCCATTTGCCATTCAGTGAACCCTGGGCTCCTGGGAAGGACCTGTGGTGCAGGAAGTTAGGGAGGTTGTGGGGAGCGCGACAGACCAGGAAGGAGGCTGCAGTGGTGCCGGAGAGGTGGGCAGGGCCCGTGCTGCAGGGGGTCCCCGTTCCACTGGTGGGTGGGCTCCCCAGGTTGACAGCTCACAGCCAGCTTAATGGTGCCAGATGATGGCAGCTTCAGCCGAGGCCTCGTGCCAAGACCCTTGCAGTGGAGCCAGGGCACGGGTCGCCCCTGACGGCTCAGGCCTGCTGGGGCTGTTGGCTGTCCTGGGCTGGAGCACACAGGGAGAGGGCCTGCCTGGCCTTTGGTGGCCCTGGGAACAGTGGTGATGGCTCTGGTGAGCAGCAGTCCCCTGCCTCCTGCCCCTCCGGCATCCCGGGCTGAGCTGCCTCCACGTTGGACTGCACTCAGTGGAGGACTCAGTAGAGGACTCAGAGAGGACGCAAACTCTGGACTTGCCTGGCGTCCTTCTCCATTGGATGCTGGAGGGGCCGGGGGATGCGGCCCTCGTCAGGGACCTCAGTGGATGTGTGTCCTAGGACCTGCAGAGCCGAGGGCCTCTGGGTCACTAAACCCAACCACCTCTGATGGAGAAGGCTGAGGTGCAGGAAGGGGCTGAGCCTGGGAGTCCCGGCGAGGCCCCTGCACCCTCCTGTGCGGGCAGTGCACGTTTTGTTTTTTGGATTGGAGGGGGCAGGCTGGTGGGAGGGAAGAGTGTGCTCACAGCACACCACAGCTTCTCTAAAGAGGGACACAGGGCAGAATGACCGCCCCCCGCCCCCGGCCCGCCTCCGCCTGGCTCTGCCCCTTCCTGCCCTGCAATCCCAGTTCACGGTCTGGGGGTCTCAGCCTGCACCTTGCTGACTGCTGGTGACCTTTGTGCCGTCTGCTGGGGCCGCTAGATCACTGGGGTCAATCGTTTCCCCAGCCCCATAGCTCAGTTTCCTCATCTGTAAAATGGGGACAATCATGGTGCCCACCGCAGGCCTGGGGAGAGGGGTAATAGGGACAATCACGGTGCCCGCCGCAGGCCCGGGGAGGGGGGTAATAGGGACAATCACGGTGCCCGCCGCAGGCCCGGGGAGGGGGGTAATAGGGACAATCACGGTGCCCGCCGCAGGCCCGGGGAGAGGGGTAATAGGGACAATCACGGTGCCCGCCGCAGGCCCGGGGAGAGGGGGGTAAAGGCATTTGTTTGCGTTGAGCCTCGGGGGTCACAGGGAAAGCGCTGTTTATACATGTGCAGTCTTCCTCCAGCACCCGCCTCTGGATTTGGAAGGAGGGTCTTCCTCAGCAGCCCACCAAGTGAGGTCTGCCCTGCCCTGGATCTGAGACATCGAGGCCAGACCAGCACCCCCTCCCTCAGCTGGGGCCTCCCTTAAGCTCCTGGCAGAGGCTGATCCATGCTGGGGTCCCGGGGCGCCACAGACGGTGGCGCAGGGGACACACCCACAGGGGTTCCTGTTCCTTGGTGTGTGGTCCTGGCGGGGGAGCTGCGGGTAGGGGCCTAACGAGAGAACCCCGGGCCAGGGGGCAGCAGGGGTGAGGCTTTGCCGGCCCCTGAGCGTGGAGCGGCCTTTCCAGTCGGGGTGAGGCCGTTCACCGAGAGATGAGGCCGCCCAACTGGGAAAATTGGGCTCAGCCATTGAACAGCAGTTCCACCTTATCCCACCACCTAGAGGGCCAGACCTAGTGAGAGCCCGGATCTGGTCTCCAGCACCTCAGGGGCACCCACGCACCCAAGCCCAGGTGTGCGCACCCTGCACTCAGGGCCCACTTGTGCCCAGCCCACCTCCCCCACTGCCTGGCTCCCTGGGGCTGGATCTCCCCACTTTGAGCTGTGAGGTCCAGACCCCGATGCCGCCCGGAGGGTACAGTGAAGCCCGTGTGGGCATCAGGGCCTGGGAGCCTCCCCCACCCGACGCCTCCCCTCCAGGTGTGCAGAGAGTCTATTCCGCCTCATCAACGGCTGGGTGGATCCCCAGAAACCCTGGCACCGGGAGGCTGATGGAGGGGAGGGCGAGGTGAATATGTCAGTTTATCCCAATGCAAGTAGTGGCCTGTTGGGATGGGGGAGAGACCCGGGGAAATATTTGGGATGACTGGAGCCGCTGGCCCTTTAAGGCTCCTGTAACAGGACACCTCCTAGACGGGACAGGACGACTGACTGTGTGTGTTTCCCCCTCCCTCCTCCCCTTTCCCGCGCCAGGCCCAGTTCAATCTGCTGAGCAGCACCATGGACCAGATGAGCAGCCGCGCGGCCTCGGCCAGCCCCTACACCCCAGAGCACGCCGCCAGCGTGCCCACCCACTCGCCCTACGCACAACCCAGCTCCACCTTCGACACCATGTCGCCGGCGCCTGTCATCCCCTCCAACACCGACTACCCCGGACCCCACCACTTTGAGGTCACTTTCCAGCAGTCCAGCACGGCCAAGTCAGCCACCTGGACGGTGAGTTCCCCTAGTCCCTGAGGGCTGCGGGCTGCGGGCTGCGGGCTGGAGAGGAGGTGGCTGCGTTCCCCGCACCTCAAGAGGTCTGAGCTCGCCCCACTGTCTGCTCGGGGTTCCCACCTGGCCCGGGCCAGGAGGAGCATCGGGCAGGAGGCGGGTCTCAGGGCCGGGCAGTCTGGGTGTGCCCACCCCTCTAGACGTGAGTGGCCAGAGCCAGTCAGCCTCCAAAGGGCCACAGAGGGGACGGACTTGGCCCTGCTGGTGAGATCTCTGCCAAGACTGGCCAGCGGCTTCCCCATGCTCAGGTGGGATCTTTGGTTTGAAATCCTGTCCTGGACAGAGGCACGGGCTCTGCTGCCAAGAGTTGTCTGTCCGAGACAGGCCCACAGCCCTAGGGTCTGCAGAACCTGCCTCCTCCAGGCAGCGAGACGCATCTGCGGGTGGGTGGATTTGGGCTTTGCTGGCACTGTCTCTGGAGTGTCATTTCCAGGAATTGGCATGCACCAAGGAGATGGGGTGGAACCACCGTGCCAAGGGCTCAGGTCCTCACTGCGGTGCCCCTGGAGACAGACTGGCCCACGGTGGGGATCTTGCTAATTCTGATAACATCACCTGTGCACAAGGCCAGTCTCCTCGAGCCAGGCACCATGCTCAGGGCTTTGAGTTGAGCTAACTCTTGCACCCACCAACAACGCACAGGGCTGACTCCATCACTGCTCCCCTTTTACAGCCAAGGAGGCTGAGGCTCGGGGAGGGAAGTGGTTCGCCCAGAGTTCTGCTCATAGTAAGTGGGGGCAGCCACCTCTGCATCTGTATTCCTAACCACTGAGCTGCCCTGCCCAGACAGCTTCAGGGGAGGGGGTCTGTCAGGAGGGGCAAGGTGAAGGCTGCATGACCCCAGCCAGGAGTGGAGGGCACGCAGGGGCTGGGCGGGAAAAGCAGCCCCAAGAGCCCTCCGGGTCTCCCCTCCTGCACCGAGGAGGGGGCAAGTGAGCCCTGCCTGGGCACCCAGGCCATGGCTGCAGGAGGGGCTCTATGGGACACATGTTGGTCCGGCCCACTGGGCAGCGTCCCCTCCCCCACGAGGCCCCGCCTCCCCGGGCACAGCTCAGTGCTGGCCCCCTGAAGTCCATGCAGGGCGGCCGCATTCCCACCCCCTGTCGGGAGTGCTGAGCAAGGGGCCCCTCAGGTTTTTCCGCTTTAAGAATCGGGTCCCACTGCCCTGCTGGCCATAGCTGCGGTTTTCCCACGCTCCTGGAGGGCCGAGGGGCAGGGCGGAGCCTAAGGTAGACTGTCAGGCTCTGCAGGTAGCCGGACAGTCCTGCCGGGCTGGTCTGGGGTCTGGGTTCCAGGCCCCGCCCGCCCCCACCTGCGGTTGTTTCTGATTCTCACTCCAGCCACGGGCTCCCCCAGCTGCTGGCTCCGGGCTAAGAGAAGGCTCAGCCCGGACTCGCTGGGCTTGATGGGAGGGGGCTCTGTGGGCTGTTGGGCTGAGGGGCAGAGGACCTGGCACCTCCTCCGGGGCCTCCCACCTCCATCTGGCAGGCAATGCCGACCCCAGTGCTAACACCCCGTTTTCTCCATTTGGAAATTACTCCTCCACGCACCTTACTGCACGATGGAGATAAGGATGGGAAGACCGTGCCAGGGCTGTGGCCAGCACGGTGCTTAGCTCGCAGCAGGAGGCCCATGCGTTGTCTTAATTGTGGTGGTGGTGTGCTGGCCTGGGCCTCCCAAATGAGTGGTTCCGTGGCAGCTGCACCTGCCTGTGGGGCAAGGGGGACCAGGCCTATCCTTCCACCCCACTTGGAGGTCTGAAGCCAGGTCAGAAAGCCCCAAGGCATCCTCACCTGCACACCTCCAGCAGCAGGAGCCTCACCACTGCTTCTCTCCCACACTCAGGCTTGTTGCCTAAGTCCACTCTCTCCCCTCTAAGGACACTGACCTCCTGCCCTGGGGTTTATGATGCTGGTGGTTTCTGGAGAGTGTCTCCCTGGAGTCCTGGCAGGCAGCTTGTGGGAGCTCTGCCTCCCTTCCTCCCATGGTCTGAGGATGCTGATGGGGTCTTCACCATGCTTGGAATGCACTGCATGTGGTCTGAGCTGATCCTCATGGAAGGACAGGAGCAACCCCCTCTCTGGCTGGCTTCCCCCATCTAGGGTATCTGCCACCCCCACCCCCTGCCAGGTGTGTGGCATCAGGTTCAAGGGACTTCATGGTTTTGTCTCAACTGCCTTGTCCTGCAGGACGGGGTGGCCTTGCCCTGTGGGATGGGCTGGTCTGCTCAGACCAGGCATCCCGGGCTGGTCAGCTGCACCAGCGGGAGGGGAAAGCTGTGCCTGGTGCCCAGCAGAGGAGCAGTGACACCTCCTCGCTCCCTCCCTGCTGGGCTCTGTGGATGCTGGGGCGGGGGGAGGGTGGGGGGGCGCGAACTGGGGAGGAAAATGCTGTCGCCTGCACCCAGGGCTCCTCCTCCGAAGCCCTGTGGATCCAGGGGGTGGGACAAACATTGATAATGAGATTTTTGGCACCTCAGCTCTCTGGGGCCAGAACCCCCTCCACCAGGGCTTCTTTCCTTGCCCAGGGAGGGGCAGGCAAGTGGTCGGCTCACAGTGCAGAACGGGGCCGCCGGGCAGCCCGCTTGCTCCCAGCTCTGGGGTCCCACCATGCGGGTGCTGCCCAGCCCTGCTGCCTGTGCTTGCGTCCGGCCTCTGCACCGTGACTCCTGGGGCTCCCGGCACGCCAGCCGGCTGGTAACTGATAGATAATTCATATTTTTCTCAAGTACAAGTCCACATTGGCTGCCGCCCTCCTTTCTCCCCGATCAGGAAAAACACCCTCACCAGCCCCCAAGTGACCACAGATCAGACCTCAGATCTCCTTGGGCACTGAGAGGTCTGGAGGCTGCGGTTCACAGGTCTGTGCATATGTGTGCATACACACGCATGTGCACACACACAGACACAGCACCCTCCCACATGCATGCACACACGTGGATACACAAGTACCTTATGCACACGCAGACACATGTAAACACACAGGCATGCGTGTACATGCACAGGCCTCCCCCCATCACTGCCCAGGGTTCTAGTAGCTCCCACCCCATGGAAACCCAGGAGGAGGAGGAGGCGAGTCGTGGGTAACCGAGCAGCCAGAGGAAGGATTTGTGTTTAGCCACGAGAGTGTAACCAGTGACCAGTGACAGGGCAAGGCCGGCATTTGGTGAGAGGGACCCTGCATGGTGAGAGGGGTGGAGCTGGCGTCTGCTGGGGTCCCAATCCCAGAGCTGCCCGTGAGCACCTTCTGCTTCGCCCCTCTGCCCTGGCATCCTCACCTGCAAAGAGAGGTATGGCCTGCCAGCCATGGTGGGGACAAAGGAGCTGGCTCTTGGGACTTCTTAGGTCAGGGCAGGGTACCTGGGGAGCGCTCCACACACGTGAGCTCTGAGTGCAGTGCTGATGGTGACACCAGTGCCCTTCTCCCAGTTCAACACCCTCTGTGGGACAGTGTGGGCTCAGAGTGTGGGCAGAGCTCTCTGCAGGGCATGCATGACCTGGCCTCTGAGCCCTGCTGGCCACTCCTGTCCTGGGAGCCCTGCAGGTTGGCAGTGGTGTGGACAGCTGGTTCCAGGAGGCCCTCGGGGCAGAGAATGAACAGGAGTTCCTCTAGCTGTCAGAACAGCCCGACGCGATGGGCATCGGATGCTGTGACACCCCGGCTCAGCCGTTCTGCCCCCAGCTCAGCCTCATCAGGGAAGGTGGCTGTCCTTGGTGTTTGGGAAGTTTGGGGACGGGGCTCTGAGGTCAGGCAAGAAGGCAGTGTGGGGTTGGAAGCCCTGGCCCAGCACAGCATCTGTGGGCACCTCAGGGCATGCTGAGTGACACCACCCACAGCCCACGAGGCAGGCTGCCATGGCAGGATGGTGAGGACACACACAGGTGCGATGGCCAGCTGCCCCAGCATTCCTCCAGACAGAAAGATGGCCCGGACACAGCCCCCTGAGTGCCCTCCAGCTGCTCTCAGACTCAGCGTGTGTGTGTGCGCGAGCGTGTGTATGTGTGTGTGTGTGTGTGTGTGCGCGAGCATGTGCACACATGTTTGTCTTAGGGGAGAGCTGGCTCCACGGGTAGGAAAGCCCCCCGTCCAGGAGGGACATATGGAAGGACGGCCAGGGAAGCACAAAGGCTCTGCACGGGATTCCTGGGGAGAATGAGGCTGAGTCAACACTAATGGGTCTGGAGCAACCTTCCCAGCGCCTCGGAGGCTTGCAAGCAGGAGAATAATAGCGGAGGTGTCCCAACACGATCATGGTATCAATTGCATTATCCTAAAAGTTTATGGAATGCATGAGTGGAATTAATACCTTTTACTGGCACCAGAAGCAATTATATGTGCGTAAAGCTGAGGGAAGAGTTCTAACAATGTTTATTGTGGAGATGAAACGTGGATTATTAGGGGAAACAAGAGTACTTAGGGCGAAATTGCAGCAATTGCTGATATCATGTGGCGCAGGGATCTGCAGCAGGGACGGAGCTTCCAGCAGGCCTGCTCTGGCTGTGGTCAGCGCCTCGGGGCTCGTGGCCCGAGCCGGGGTTGGCTCTTCTCTCTTCACTTTCTGGAGCAGCCAGAGGAACTCACTCTTGGGCCCTGGAGGTCACAGAACTTAGCCTTGGAGGCCCCAAGTGAGGCTGGGGAGGCCCCAGCTCTGAGACCCTGGGTCCTGCTGCCCCACCCCACACTGCCTGGTTCTTGGAGGAGACAGGAGGGAGAACCCCTTGGGGGACAGGATTCCCTTCCATAGGCATGAGACTGTTGGGGGAGAGGCATGATCCAATTTACGTTTTAGGAAGAATCATCTATTTTCTAGGACTTCTTTCCAGTTTGGGGACAGCCCTGTGGACCCAGCATGTCTGATTAGTAGCGTTGGCAGCAGCATTGCCCCTATGTGCAGGGCCTCCCACACTCCCCATTTTACAGATGAGGAAACTGAGGCTCCCAGAGGGCACACCAGGGTCACCTGTCAGCAGAGGGCAGAGCCGGACCTGGCCCCAGCAGCCAGACCCCTAACCTTGCCCTTGCAGCCCGTGTGGTGCCCCACCCCGGCCCCTACAGGTCCCTGGACAGGTCCCCACGAGCAGCCCCTGCCCCCTGCCCCACCCTCTGCTCCCAGCTCTGTGGGGCAGGTCCCTGTGACCCTCAGGGCCCCCAGGGGAACCAGTGATAAGGAGGTGCTGACACCTCAGAGGGACCTGCCTGTCCCTAGGGGAGAAAGCCTTGGACCGAATGGGGTGTGGGGGGAGCCCAGGCTGTACCTTGGCCCCCATGAGCCTTCCACTGCTGTCTGCCAGTGAATCAAACTGGGACTGGGGGTGGAGAGCTGTCCCTGTCTGCTTTCACTGCTTGGTTTTGTTGACAAAGGAAAATCCCTCAAGAACGCTTTATCACTGGAGTGCTCCGAGGCTGGCGAGCCTCATGGGCGAGAAGCCAGGCAGCTGGGCTTGGGGACCGGCCTCTCCTGGTGCCTCCCTGCCCCCTCTGCCTTCACCCCTCCCAGGCCTGGCCTCACTGCCACTAACTCCCGTTGACAGGGGGAAAGAGAGGCCCACAGGGGAGGGCCGTCCCAGGCTTCTCCTGGACCCAGTGCTGACGCCAAGATGCGGTCGTAGGTGACCTGGACCTTGGGCCGTGTGGGACTCGGGGCAAGGTGGGGGGCTCAGCTGGGCAGTGAGTTAGTTTTGCTTCCCGGTCTGGTGGGTTTCTGCCACCCCAGGCCAGTGGTCACTTCTGGGATTTTCTGAGATTCCAAAAGTTGAAGCCACGGACCCTGGAGACCCGGACCCTGGAGGCCCAGCCCCTGCCTCTGGGTAGAGAAGGCCCTGAGCGACCTCCAGACCTTCTGTCCCTTTTCCGAGGAGCCTCAGGAAGAGGGGGACAGACAATTCCAGGGTGTCCCGGCTGGAAAGAAAAGCATCTTCTCTGCACTCCAGGCGGACAGCGTGAGGCTCAGAGATTACGTGGCGGCCGAGGCTGGTGTCCACAGCCAGGGGTTACGATGGGGCTGCAGAGGCCGTGAGCGGAACAGGGCATTTTAGGGCAGAAAGACCCTTTTGGAGAAGGTAACAGCACTCCAGGCTTCAGTGAGGCAGAAGTCAGAGCCCATGGGGAAACCGCACAGGGGGATTACCTAAAGCCCAGAGCCACCCCAAGGGTTGCAAACCCACCCCTCCCCCAGCCATGCCACTGGAGCGAGGCACCCAGCTCCTTGCACCTGGCGTTGGGGAGACACCACTCTCTGCAGGGGTCAGAGATTCGGAGGCCAAAATTCTCCTTCCCCCAGGCATTTCAATGAAGATTTACAAAGTTTAGCAAAAACCTAGATTCTAGCCAACTATTACCTTAAAAGCTGAAGAGGGACCACCCCACCATGTCCACAGCTTACTCCCCTCCCTCCGCTGTCTCCGGCCACCTCCAGCTGCTGCCAATTCCAGCCCCCAAGGCTGTCCCAGGAAGCTGTGGCCAGAGACTCCGGGACTGTCCTGTGAGCAGAGGGCACCCACTGACCCTGGGGCACCCTTCCAATCCCCACAGCTGACAAAGCCGGGCCTCAAAAGGCTGGGTTAATCCTGGCTTCTCCTCAAAGCCACCAGTCAGGGTGGGGGTGAGGATGGTGGGGGCAAGGATGGTGGGGGCTTCCTCCCCAGGAGTTAAGGGGCCCTCTCTGCAGTGAGCAGAGCAGGCCTGTTGCCAGCCTGCTGGGCCCCTCGTGGGACAGCTCCAGGGCCTGGCCCACAGTCCCGCTAGCTAGGTCCTTGCCAGAGGCCGGAGGAGAGGCCAGGCTACTGGCAACGGGCCCTCCAGCTGGCGCTGTCAAAAAGCAAGTTGCGGGCAGAGGACCCTGCGCTTGGTCCCGGCCCAGGGCAGAGGCTGAGTGTGGTGCTTTGAACACTCTGTGTCTTCAGAGCGGAGGGGCAGCTGCTGGTGGGCATTCCGGGGCCCTCTGCAAGCCCCAGCTTTTGTCTCTGCGGACCCAGGGCACTGCCCTGCCACCCCCTCTGTCCCCAAGGCCCCAGATGGGGTACCTGGGTCCTGGAATAAGAGCAGATGGAGTTCCTCGCCCTGCCTGGGCAGCTCATTCCTTCCCGGGCTTGGGCAGAGTGACAGTGATAGTAGCAGCCACAGGGCACCCGCACGCGGTCTCAGTGAATCAGGACAGCGGCGACCGGGTGGGGACTGGGCCCTGAGCTCCTCACACAGCATCTCGGCAGCAAAGTGGAGGCTGGAGCTGTCCAGGCTGGGCCACCCAATCCCAGCCAGACACAAGGCAGTCTGTGTGAGTCTCAGTCTCTATTGTCCATGGAGACCCATCCCCAGCAGGACCAGGGCAGGTGAGGCCCCTGGCTGTTGTTCCCCTTACCCCTAAGGGGCTTAAGTCCAGCCACGGGGTAAGAAGCCCATGTCCCACCTGACACCTCTGTAGTACCGTCTTTCTGGAACCCGGGGTGACGCCTCTGCAGTGCCCAGTCTTCCTGGAACCCAGGGGTGACGCCTCTGCAGTGCCGTCTTCCTGGAACCCAGGGGTGCTTAAGGCGGGTCTCTGCCTAGACCCCGACCCCAGGCCCCAGGACCCAAGTCAAGCCCAGCAGTGACAAAGGGCTGGGAGATGGAGCTTGGGGGTCAGACAGCTATGGTCTGGGTGCTGGTCCACCCCAGCTTAGCAGGCAGGTTTGGGTCACTAAACGGAGTGACAGTGCCTGACCTCCCAGGGCCAAGGTCAGGTGAGGGCCCCGCGCAGGGCAGGCACCAGTGGGCAGTGGATGTGGCCATGAGGGTGGACCCAGGTGCCCCATTCCCTGGCAGGTGGACAGCACTCACTGTCTCCCCAGGTCTCCACACCAACAGAGGCAGACACCTTGGGCAAACGCTGCCTCGCAGCCTCCCCCAACACTAGGCCCCTCTTATCTCCTCTGCCTGTGGCCCTCGTCTCCTACTGGACCCCTGGGCCTTCACTATGCACTGGAGACAAAGCCACCAAGTCTATCCTGGGCTCAGCACATACCTGCTTCCCTCCCCTACCCCGATCATAGCCCAGGATGGAGATCCCTAGAGGCAGCCGTGCATGGGACGAGGATCGAGCAGGCTCCAGCTCCTGTGGTCTGGGTGCACTCAGTGTCTCCCAGGGAGCCGCGCTTCCAGGCCGTTGAGAGTCCCCCGTGTGGCTCCTGCTCACCTGTTTAGGACATGGCTCAAGGTCGTGGTGGGGCAGACTGCCCAGCTCCTCAGGGTTCCCACTTGCCCCTGGCCTGCCCTCCCCAGTGAGCAGTTTCTTGTCCACAGCCTCTGGGGCTCTAGCAGGCCTCCGTCAGGGCTGAGGATCGCTTGGCATCTGCAGAGGATGTTTCTGCCTCTGGTTCATCCTCCATAGAGCTCCTGGCCTGGGAGCCCCGGCTGGCCAGCATGGGGGTGCCAGCAGACACATCTGTCTCCTGCAGCCCCCCCAGCCAGGAGCTCTTTCACAGCAGCCTCTTTTCTTGGGCAGCGCTGGGCCTGGCACTGGCTGTGGCCTCACAGGCATTCTGAAGCTCGCTTGGGCCTCTCATCTGCCTGGCCCATGGGCTGTGGATGTCCTGGTGAGTGAGCCGTCACTGCCTCGACCATGGGAGCCCCAGCTTAACACCAAGGTGTTCTGAAACAGGGGCGATTGCCACATGTGTCCTTTCCCCCTCCCCAGGCTAGTGGCTTCCCTGGGGCAGGGAGGGACCAGCCCTGTGACATCCTGCCAGGCCTCCCTGACATCTGTCAGAGCCCAGCCTGTGCTCCCAGCAGCTCTCTGAGGGCGACAGTGACTGTGCACCAGTGAAGGCCACAGCCTCCCACGAAGGGGGCTGTCACCAAGGGGGCCCTGTGGCTGCCACCTGAGGATACCCTTCCTCTCTCAGAAGGAGAAAGGGACCCAGGAGGACCCTAATCCACAGGCTGTTGACCCTGGCTCAGGCATGTGTTTTAGGGGGTCCATCTGTGAACCCACGAATTTAATGGAAAGGGTTCTGTGGCTCAGCCCCAGGAGCTTTTCTAGGGAGAGGAAGGGTCCAGGGCCTTGGCAGAGGGTGGGCTCAAAGAGGCCCGTAACCCCAGAGAGGAGAGAGATGCACCCCTAAACACACAGACGCACACACAAGCAAGGGAACTGGATAAAAGTGAGCAATAAAAAAAATCGTTTAAAAAATAAAAGCCCCCACTGCAGGCCCCATCTTCCAGAATCTGTTGCAACAGATTCACCCACGCTGGTTAACGGTATTTGCGGTTTGCAAGATGCTACACGTCCCAGGAAAATGACAGACAAGTTATTATCACCTCTCCGCTGTCCTCCTGCCCAAACCTGCCCGTGCCGGGCACCCAGCTGCCGGGGAGCGAGGAGCGGGCACAAGGAAATTAGCAGCCCCCCGCTGCACCCTCCCCTCACCCACCCCCGCACCAGCCCTGCCAGGCCCAGGGCTCCCAGCCAGGCCGGGCCCATGTTGTACTGGGGCGGGGGAGGAGGGGAAGGAGAGGAGGGTCGGAGAGGAGCCGGCAGCGTGGGGAGGGATGGGCACAGTGGCGTTTGGGCAAACCCTTTCCTGCAAGCAGGACGGTGCACGCACCCTGGGCAGGCAAGTCCAGGCGGCTCCGTGTCAACAGCCGAAGATAAATACGATTTTATCAGCTCGGAATCTGTTGAAACACATCCATCTAGCGGTTCTAGGGAAGGAGAAGGCAGGAGGGGGGCGGCGGAGGGGAAGTGTCTCCACGTGACCTTTCCTATAGAATAGGCTCCACCGGAGTCCTCCTCCTCCTGCCCGTTTTCCACAGGGCCAAGCCCAGGCCTGAAGCCTAGAGGCCTGCTGGGGAGACAGGAGGAAGGAGCTG
This sequence comes from Homo sapiens, assembly GCF_000001405.40. Classification (NCBI taxonomy): domain Eukaryota; kingdom Metazoa; phylum Chordata; class Mammalia; order Primates; family Hominidae; genus Homo; species Homo sapiens. The sequence continues at coordinate 3,717,695 of NC_000001.11, forward strand.
GGGGAGCGCTGGAGCCGTCCTGGGCTCAGCCACCCTCTAGAAGGACCTGGATCTCTCAGGGCTCCCTTCCCTCCTGTGGCCACCTGTGTCACCCACCCCCAGATGCTGCCAGGGCAGGGGACATCACAGACATCCTCCCCGAGGCCACCCAGCTCCGGCCCGGCTGGGCACCTGGGGTCCAGTTAGTGCCAGGGTGAGGTCTGCCAGGCATGTATGCCCCAAAGGCCATGTGAGCACTGCACTGGGGACACCTGTGGGGAGGAGAGCCAGGCCCAGGACCTTGGTGGCCTTACTGGCCAGAGGGGAGGAGAAGTGCTCACATCGCCTGAGGACAGGGGCCTCCTTGCTCTCCACCCTGAGGCCTGGGCCTCCCTCCGCCACTGGCCCAGGTCGAAGACCTGTCCGTTCTAGGCCGCTCCACACTCCAGTCCGAGCCCCCACTTCCCGGGGTGGGTGGTCCGGCCGCCGCCTGCACCGAGTACCAGGGACAGCTCCCGGCGCGCCCAAGCTCCTCCCCGGGGCGGGGCGGGGCGGGGCATCCACAGTGCTCCCCGCGCCTGGGCCCCCAGGACCTCTTGCAGACGGGAGTCCCTCAGACAGTGCAGAGACGGGAGCACGCACTGGGCCCTGCACCCACTTCGTAGCGCCCTGGCCTGGGACGCCCCACCACGCAGCTTCCAGAGCAAGGATCGCCACTTCACCCTGCCCGGAGACCCAGAGGGAGTGGGGCGGGCTCAGCAGGGCGCTGCTGAGAGGCCGCTGCCTAGGTCTGCGAAATGGGAGCACTGCTGACCCTGAGGCCCAGGCGGGCGGGAGCTCAGGCTCCGCAGAGGACTATGGCCGGGGGTGCTGGGGCAGGGGCCTAGGGGAGGGGCTGCAGGGGCCAGGCAGGAGCTGTGAAACCCCTCACGCTGTTGAGACTCCATGGGGCTGTCAGGGAGCGACGGCTGCCGGGGCCTCTGCCCGCAGGCTTGGTTGCACCCAGAGCCTTACTCCATCTGTGTCCAACTGGCTGAGGAGCCCAGGCGGCCTCCCCTCCCCCTGAGTGTCTGGGGCTCCTTGGTGGATCTAATGACCCCCATCTCAGGCCATGGGCTGTGGCACTAGGGTGGAAGAAGCCTCGGGGGACTCAGCCCCGGAAAGGGAACTGTAGGGAAGCGGGGCCTGTGTGGCTCCAGCCCCCCGCAACCAACACCTCCTCACCTGGTGCTGAGAATAACGAGGGCGCAGTAGCCACTAACACCTGCAGGCCACTGTGTTCCCAGGGGACACGCAGTGAGTCAGAGATGCAGGTGGAGAGGCTTGTGCAGTGGCTAGAGGCATCCCAGCTGACGAGCACAAAGCCAAAACTGCCACCCACAGGGCCGGACCTCAGAGGCCCTTCTCCTTTTGCCGCCCCTGAGACTCTGACCTGAGCCACCCCGGCCGGGGTCTGTTTCAAGGGGGGTCTGCCGCGCCCTCCCTGCTCTGTGGTTTCCCTAGGGAGCGGCTAGGATGGATGGCATTTGTTGAGTACCACCTGTGTACCTCCATCTGCTACACGTTACTGAGGAGAGACGAGGGGGACAGAGCCAGGTGCCTGAATTCCAGGGGGCCTGTGTGCTCTGCACACAAGAGGTGCTCCATAAATGCTCAGCAATGGGCAGCTCGCCCTGCAGGCTGCCCTGGCCTCGGAGAAGCCTGGCGACACGGCTGCCGGCCCTGTGTTCCTCTCCCCTGCTCGGGGCACTGGCAGACAAGAGCCTGCCACCACCTGGCCCCTCCTCCTTCTGTCCCCAACCAGCACAGATGGAGACCAGGCGTGGTGTGTAGCTTCAGGCAGGGCCTTTGTCCAAGAGACCAGTGCCTGGACACAGGCCACTGCAAGTTTGGGCCAAGAGCCCTCCCTGTCTGAGTCTCCTGAGGGTCCGAGTCCCAGAGGGTCTGTGCTGCGAGCTGTTCCCATGTGCCCTGGGGGCAGGGCTACCTGCTTATCCTTCCAAGTGATGCTGTGGGGAGCAAAGGGGGCATTTGTAATGGTGGGGACACTGTACATCAGTGGTCACCTCCAGGGAAGCCAGACTGACCCCACAACAAGGAGACTGCTGTACTTCCCGCTGTGCCCAAGCCTGCAGCTCCGACAGTCCAGGGCAGGCGCCCGCACAGGGGTGGGCTGCTAGCTCTGCAAGGCTGTTTCTGCTTTTCTTTTTTTCTCTTTGTGTGTGTGTGTGTGTGTGTGTGTGTGTGTGTGTGTGTGTGTGTGACGGATTCTCACTTTGTCACCCAGGCTGGAGTGCAATGGTGCGATCTCGGCTCACTGCAACCTCCACCTCCCGAGTTCAAGCGATTCTCCTGCCTCCTGCCTCAGCTTCCTGAGTAGCTGGGACTACAGGCGCCCGCCACCTTGCCTGGCTAATATTTGTATTTTTGGTAGAGACAGGGTTTCACCATATTGGCCAGGCTGGTCGAACTCCTGACCTCAGCTGCCTGCCTTGGCCTCCCAAAGTGCTGGGATTACAGGCGTGAGCCACCGCCCTCAGCCCGTTTCCTGCTTTTCTAAACAGCGCCCAGCCTCCCCTGCAGGGCTGTGCATGATGGTTCCTTCCTGTGTTTTAAACAGGACTGGGGATGGGCGGCTTCCTGCCTAAGGCCCTGTGCCCAAGGTGGGGGTCGCAGGCAGGGGCAGTGGAGCCACTCTGGCTCCAGGGGCTCCAGGTGGACGGAGGACCTAGGAGGGGCCAGCTCTTTGGTATCCAATTCCCATCCTGAGGAGGCCACTGAAGGACCCCCTTCCACTTGTCCCTCCAGCCCCCTCACACCCATGGCAGGGACAGACCAGCGTTCCTGGCTGGGTCTCATTCGGGGAGCCCAAGTAGCTCACCAGAGAGGGGACCGCTCCCACTGCACAGGAACAAGGGCACTCAGGGTGCCGGGGACCCAGGCCCCACCCACCATGGCTCGCAGCCTCCGTCAGCTCCATCTCCCCTGTCTCTTTCCTTTTTCCTTCCTGGCTTTTCGTGTGCCTGCACCTGCCAAGGACCTATGTGGCTCCTGAGAGCCCCTCATGTCCCTTGATGGCCAGAGAGGCAGTACTGGTGGCCAGTGGGGGTCAGGGGGTCAGGGCCCCCTAACTTCCTTGGCAAAGGGAAGACTCCACCTGCAGCTTCCCTGGTTCTGCCAGTAGCTCCCTGTCTCTGACCTCAGTTTCCCCAACTGTTCCACGGTGGAGTGCGATGGGACATTCTCCAGGGCACTTGCGGCTGCAGTGACTTGTGATTCTGAGTCATCGGGGGCTGGTGAGGGGCACAGAGGGCATGGGGTGGCAGCAGAAGTCATTCTCTGAGCCTGAGACTGGGGATCATTCCTGATGGCCCTTTGGGGAGAGAGCATGAGGACTCCCAGCAGGTGACCAGGAGCCAGACGCTTGGGAAATCAGCCAGCTTGGAAGTGAGTGGACGCCCCTGCAGCGGCCTCAGCGGGGTCACTTTTAGAACTCATGAGAGCCGGCCTGGGTCCTCAGATGGGCAGCCGGGCCCTGTGAGGCAAAGAAGCTGGAGGCCTCTGCAGGGGCTGGCTCAGGAAGGGTGTCATCCAGTCCTCCTGCAGCAGGGCCCACGCCAGCTCCAGACAGACCTATTAGCTCCTCGAGTCCCAAGCTGGGGATACTGGGGCTGTGAGCCCAGAGGGGCCCCCAGAGTGGCCAAGACCAAGCCACACAGCTCGGCTGCTCAGACTTGGTGGCCCCAGCAGGAGAGGGTGTCAGAGTCACCAGGGCTGCTGAGGCCATGAGAGGCCTTCACACCAACCCAGAGAGCTCTCTATGGAAGCTTGAATGCATAGTGGGCAACCAGCCCATCACACATTAACCACTTGCTCTGTGCAAATGCCAGAGAAGCCTAGCTCTGGTCTTAAAAACAGATTCAATGCTGCAAACCCACCTCTTCAAAATGCCGCAGTCAGGGACATGGCTTCCACAGGCCTGGCTCCCAGCCCCCGTTCCCGCCCTCACTCTCCAGCAGCCCCTTCTTGCTCTCCTGGCCTTTCTTGTCCCCATCCATAAACCTAAAGCCTCTCTGCCTGACTGCCACCGGCACTCACACCCCTGCTGTCATGGAGCCCAAATGACCCGATGGCTGTGGAGTGGGTGCCAGGGCAGCTGTGCCTGGATTCACGCCTCAAAGGACAGACACCTGGAGGGATTCAGCAGAGGGGCTGCTTGGGGCAGTCTTCATCTGGGGGTTGTGGAAGGGGCACCCATGGGGAGGACGTGGCTCCCAATGGGGGGTGGCCTGGACAGGGGTGCAGTTGGGACCACTGGTCTCACCCGCTCCCTCTCCCCCACTCCAGTACTCCCCGCTCTTGAAGAAACTCTACTGCCAGATCGCCAAGACATGCCCCATCCAGATCAAGGTGTCCACCCCGCCACCCCCAGGCACCGCCATCCGGGCCATGCCTGTTTACAAGAAAGCGGAGCACGTGACCGACGTCGTGAAACGCTGCCCCAACCACGAGCTCGGGAGGGACTTCAACGAAGGTGAGGGCCCCCAGCTCCTCTGCCCACGGTGGCACTTTGCCCAGCATCCCGGACAGCACAGCCGGGGGCTGCCTAACTGGGAGAGAGTGGGGCTGACAGCATGGGCTTAGCCATTCCCCTGCGGAGGGCTTTCAGTGCCTCCACCAGCCCCCATTTTCCCAGTTCTGAGTGGGACCTGGGGGGGCCCATGCTCCTGGGCAGGGGCAAGTGGTCTGGGCAGAGTCTGAGGGGCAGCGGCCTTCTGGGGCCCCAGAGATCCTATGAGTCATAGCCCCTCTCTCCAGTGTGCCTGGCAGGGCCTACGGGCTACCCCAAGGATTAGCAGGAGAATCAGGGGGCAGAGCCACTGGGCAGGCACCCCCAGAGCACAAGGGCTGCCAGCTGGCCTGAGCCTCACCTGGAAGCCCACAGGACTGGGCCTGGTGGTCTCAGTTCTGCTGCGATGCACCTGGCACAGCTGGGCGCCTCTCTGCACCTGGCACAGGGGTGGGCACCTCTCTGCACCTGGCACAGGGCTGGGCACCTCTCTTCACCTGGCATGGGGCTGGGCACCTTTCTTCACCTGGCATGGGACTGGGCACCTCTCTGCATGTGACACAGAGGTGGGCACCTGGCATGGGGCCGGGCACCTCTCTGCACCTGGCATGGGGCTGGGCACCTCTTTGCACCTGGCACAGGGTGGGCACCTCTGCACCTAGCACAGGAGTGGGCACCTCTCTGCACCTGGCATGGGGCTGGACACCTCTCTGTGCCTGGCACAGGGCTGGGCACCTCTGCATCTGGCATGGGGCTGGGCATCTCTGCACCTGACACCGGGGTGGGCACCTCTCTGCACCTGGCATGCAGCTGGGCACCTCTCTGCACCTGGCACTGGGCTGGGCACCTCTGCACCTAACAGGGGTGGGCACCTTTGCAGGTGGCACAGAGCTGGGCACCTCTCTGTGCCTGGCACGGGGCCAGCACCTCTCTGCACCTGACATGGGGCTGGGCACTTCTTTGAACCTGGCACGGGGCTGGGTACCTCTCTGCACCTGACATGGGGCTGGGCACCCTTTGAACCCGGCACAGGGCTGGGCACCTCTCTGCACCTAGCACAGGGGTGGGCACCTCTATGCACCTCTCTGAAGTGTCGACCCCTCCCGGCAGGACAGTCTGCTCCAGCCAGCCACCTCATCCGCGTGGAAGGCAATAATCTCTCGCAGTATGTGGATGACCCTGTCACCGGCAGGCAGAGCGTCGTGGTGCCCTATGAGCCACCACAGGTAGGCCAGGAGCCAGGCTGTGCCCAGGGCCCTGCAGTCAGCTGTACGGGTCGGGGGAGGGGTCCCCTGAGGCAGCCCCTGTCCCTCCTCAGTTGGCTGATCTGCCTGCCTGTCCTGTCGGCATCTGTCCAGGGCTCCCTGCTCTGTGATAAGTCTGTGTCGGCGGCTCCTTCCTCACCCACACCCGCCCCACTGTGCACACTGCTGCTCTGTCCCCACATCCGCCTCGGGCACTCTCGGGGCCTCAGTGTGCCCAGCTCCATAGTGGGGAGTGGGTCTTCAGCCTTGCCCTCTGTTGGTGCCCAACACTGGTTCCGGCCTGGGGCTCCCAGACACAGGGATTTGGGAGATGGGGAGGTCCCCGCCCATTTAGACCCTGGATTGGCTGGGGCAGAACCAAACCAGCAACAGCGCCTGAAGGGGTGGCAAATTCTACAAAGGGGGTTGAGGGATGGTGGAAAGACTCCTAGGCCAGGCCAGGGGCCCAGGAGAGGTGGCCTGCAGGAGGCTGAGGCTGGTCAGCAGGGTGGAGAGCCGGGAGGCCCCGCTGGGCACCACGTGGGTGGGGGGTGCAGGGGACTGGGGGGCATATAGGCTGGAGGGGAGGGGACACGGAGAGGCTGGGGGCTTTGACTTTTGGCCCAAAGGCAGCATAAGTTTCTGGGACACAATTCTGGAGCTGATGTGGGGCCCAACTGGTGTGAAAGGCTGGGGTAGGGGGAAACAGAGGGTTTGAAGTTACTGCGGGATGGTGGGGCAGGGGCAGAACAGGAGGTGAGGAGTGGGTACCAGGCCCCCAGGGGAAGGCAGGCAATGGCAGGCCTCTGCCTTCCCTGTACCTGGTTCTGAGACCAGGCTCCATGCTGTACCCAGCCCCAGCCTCCCCCACCAGGTCCCCATCCCTGTACCAGACCCCCAGGACACCCCAGACTCCTGTACCCAGTCTCCAGGTCCTCCACAAGCCTCTACCCTGTACCCAGGCCCCCTTCGACGTCCCCATCCCACCATCCTCTAAGAGCAGCCCCTTATGTCAGCAGAACCAGGGCCCGGGAGGGCTCCCTGAAACCCATGTCCCACCCTCACCTGCCTAGGCCTGCCAGGAAGGCAGAGCTCTATCGCCCCCTGGTGGCTGCCGTGTGACAGCAGTTCTGAGAAAGGCCAAGATTTTCCCAAACCCCTAATAGCTTTTGTATTTGTCCCCAGGGTGACATGAAAACTGCCCACATTGTGGTCTGGGGACACTCATTGATCAACGGTTTTGGTTCATGGCTGGGCGCAGTGGCTCACGCCTGTAATCCAAGCACTTTGGGAGGCCAAGGCGGGTGGATCACTTGAGGTTAGGAGTTCAAGACCAGCCTGGCCCACAGGGCGAAACCCTGTCTGTACTAAAAACACAAAAGTTAGCCGAGCCTCGTGGCGCATGCCTGTAATTCCAGCTACTTGGGAGGCTGAGGCAAGAGAATCGCTTGAACCCGGGAGGCAGAAGTTGCAGTGAGCCAAGATCGCGCCATTGCACTCCAGCCTGGGGGACAGAGAGAGACTCCGTCTCAAAAAAAAAAAAAAGAGTTTTGGTTCATGTCTCAGCTGTACTGCAAAATCCCTGGGAAACAGGAGTGTGCTGGGGGTGGGTTCGCTGGGGACAGCTCTGGTTCCTCTTTCTGCCCAGGTGAGCCCGCAGCATGCAACACACACGTAGGGCCACAAAATCTGTGCAGGCACACTCACACCCAGCATCTGGGCTTGACCTCCAGCCTGTGTCAGGGGAGAAGGTTGGGGCAAACAGACCACAGGACTCTGTGCTTCTCTGAGAGCAGAGACCAGGTCTGAGCCCTCCCAGAACCCAGAACCAGCCCAGTGCTTGGGGTTCAGTGATCTTCATGAATGGGTGGCTGGATGGGGTGAGTGGGTGGATGGGTGGATGGATGGGGGTGGGTGGGGTGGATGAATGGATGGATGGGTAGGTAGGTGGGTGGATGGATGGATGGATAAATGGGGTGGGTGGGTGAGTGGATGAATGGATGGAGTGGTGAATGGGTGAATGGATGGGTGGGTGGACGGATGGATGAATAGGGTGGGCGGATGGATGGGGTGGGTGGGTGAATGGATGGATGGGTGGGTGGGTGAATGGATGGTTGGGTAGAGGGATGTTGAATGGATGGGTGGGTAGAGGGATGGGTAGATGGGGTGGGTGGATGGATGGATGGATAGACTGATATTGTTGAATGGATGAGTGGGTGGATGGATGTTTAGATGGATGGATAGATAATAAATGGGGGAGTGGATGGATGGATGGGGTGGGGGGGTGGATGGATGGATGGATAGGATGATGGATGGATGGATGGGGTGGGTGTGGGGGGTGGATATGTGGGTGGGTGAGTGGATGGATGGAGTGGGTGGGTGGGTGGATGGATGGATGGATTGACTGATATTGAATGGATGGGTGGGTGAATGGATGGTTGGATGGATGGACAGATAATGGGGGGAGTGGATGGATGGATGGGGTGGATGGGTGGATGGATGGATGGGATGGGTGGATGGATGGGGTGGGTGTGGGGGTGGATGTGTGGGTGGATGGATGGAGTGGGTGGGTGGGTGGGTGGATGGATGGATTTATTGATATTGAATGGGTGGGTGGGTGGATGGATGGATGGATTTATTGATATTGAATGGATGGGTGGGTGGATGGATGGTTGGATGGATGGATAGATAATAAATGGGGGGAGTGGATGGATGGATGAATGGGGTGGGTGGGTGGATGGATGGATGGATAGGATGGATGGATGAGGTGGGTGTGGGGGGTGGATGTGTGGGTGGGTGGGTGGATGGATGGATGGATGGAGTGGGTGGATGGGTGGATGGATGAATGGATGGGTTGATATTGAATGGATGGGTGGGTGGATAGATGGGTAGATAATAAATGGGGGAGTGGATGGATGGATGGATGGATGGGGTGGGTGTTGGGGGTGGACGTGTGGGTGGGTGGATGGGTGGATGGATGGATTGATATTGAATGGATGGGTGGGTGGATGGATGGGGTTGGTGGATGAATGGATGGATGGATATTGAATGGATGGGTAGGTGGATGGATGGGTAGATAATAAGTGGGGGAGTGGATGGATGGATGGATGGGGTGGATGGATGCATGGATAGACGGGTGGGTGGATGGATGGGGTGGATGGATGGATGGATTGATTGATATTGAATGGATGGGTGGGTGGATGGATGGTTGGATGGGGTGGGTGGATGGATGGGGTTCGTGGATGGATGGGGTTGGTGGATGGATGCATGGATGGATATTGAATGGATGGGTAGGTGGATGGATGGGTAGATAATAAATGGGGGAGTGGATGGATGGATGGATAGATGGGTGGGTGGATGGATGGGGTTGGTGGATGGATGGATGGATGGATGGATGAATAGATAAATGGGTTCGATGGATGGATGGATGGACGGATGGATGGATGGATGGGGTGGGTTGGTGGATGGATGAATGAGTGGACAGATATACAAATGGCAACAACTATAGAGCAGGGCATCCCCCTGCCTACGTGGAGCCAGGACCAGACATGGAGCTGGGGGCTGCCACCTTAGTGGATTGGGGCTGCGTGCTGATGCTAGCCCCTCTCCCTGCTCCCCCATGTGCAGGTGGGGACGGAATTCACCACCATCCTGTACAACTTCATGTGTAACAGCAGCTGTGTAGGGGGCATGAACCGGCGGCCCATCCTCATCATCATCACCCTGGAGATGCGGGAGTGAGTCCCGGGCACACGGGGTGGAGGTGGGACAGGGCTGGGCAGGCACGGCCGGGGGAGAAGGGGAGCTGTCATGGAGACCTGCAGGCCAAGGCTAGCTTGGGGAAGAGACTTTGGGGTGTGCTGCTGGAGGAAGGAACCGCCCCCTGGCCTGCAGGGCCTGCCTGGGCACAAGCTGGGCCTCCGGAGGGAGGTGGGAGTCCCCGGCGAGGTCTCAGGGCAGCCTCACAGCTTTGAGCCTCTGACTCCCTCTAGCGGGAACACTCGCTGCCGGCACTGGGTGCTCTGTGGTGACCGAGGGCTCTCAAGGCCGGTCCTGCAGGGTCCGAGGTGGGTGGGGAAGGTGGGCAGGTTGAGGGTGGGCAGGGTTGAGCTCACAATTCTGGCTGTGCCCACCCGACAGTGGGCAGGTGCTGGGCCGCCGGTCCTTTGAGGGCCGCATCTGCGCCTGTCCTGGCCGCGACCGAAAAGCTGATGAGGACCACTACCGGGAGCAGCAGGCCCTGAACGAGAGCTCCGCCAAGAACGGGGCCGCCAGCAAGCGTGGTGAGCGGCCGGCCAGGGGAACTGGACGCGTGTGGGAGGAGAAGGGGACACATTGGCAGGACACAATGTGAGCCCGCGTCCCAGGGACAGGGCCAGTCCCTGAACGGCCCCCCACGCCCAGACTCCTCCCTGACGGAGCCTGAGAGCAGCCCCCATATAAGTCGCTTGTCCTGGGCCAAGGGCACCTCAGAGGCCTGGGTGGCACCGCAGGTTTGCCCGTCCCTGTGGGTTGCTCACCACCGGACCCACCTGGAGAATCGATTGGCCCCAAGGGTGGGGCAGGTCTCCCTCCTCCCGGAAGGAGGCCTCACCCTCTGGTCCTGCCTGCTCACCCCGCCTGCCCTGCCTGGCCTTCCAGCCTTCAAGCAGAGCCCCCCTGCCGTCCCCGCCCTTGGTGCCGGTGTGAAGAAGCGGCGGCATGGAGACGAGGACACGTACTACCTTCAGGTGAGTGTGTGCTCCTGCACGGCAGCCGGGAGACCTGCCTCACCTCTGTCGTCTGCTGAGCCCAGGCTGGGCCATGGGGAGGGACTCTGGAGACCATGGTGGAGGGGGCGGGAGGAGCCCAGCCCTGTGTGAGAGGGTCCAGAGGGCAGAACCTGCTTGCAAGAGCCAGACCAGCAGGACCCAACTGCAGGGCATTCCTGAGAGTCCCCTCAGTCCCAAAAACCCAGCGTCATGCCATTTACAATGAAGCCATGTGTACATAGCACAGGTAGGGTGGTGCGGAGTGCCACCAGGGTAGAAGTTCAGCAAGAATCCAGGACCCTAACGTTGGCCAGGACCCGTGGCCACGGCCAGCCCCCATGAGTGTGCCTCTCACATGTGGCCTCCAACAGGTGAATTAAATCGGCACAGGCTTGGCTGGGAGTCATCTTCCATGATGTGAACTTTCTGTTTTTTGAGCTCCAGAATGAGCCCCAGTTGGGGTCAGTGGCTCATGCCTGTAATCCCGGCATTTTGGGAGGCTGAGGCGGGTGGATCACTTGAGCCCAGGAGTTTGAGACCAAAGTGGGCAACATGGTGAGAACCCATCTCTACAAAAATTAGCTGGGCGTGGTGGTGGCGTGCAGCTGCAGTCCCAGCTACTCAGAAGACTGAGGCAGGAGGATCACCTGAGGGCAGGAGGATCGCCTGAGCCCAGGAGTCCAAGGCTGCAGCGAGCTATGATGATGCCACTGCACTCTAGCCTAGGCGACAGAGCAAGACGCTGTCGAAAGAAAGAGAGAGAGAGAGACAGAGAGACAGAGAGAGACAGACTTGGTTTCTAAAAACCCAGTATCTGTTGGTAGGGGAGGAAGAGGGAGGCTTGGGGGCCACAAGGAGCAGGCATGGTTCTTGGGGACAGGATACCTGCCCACTGAGTCAGGGGCTCTGGTTAGACCTGCTTCTTGGGAAGAGGAAAGAAGATCAGGGGATCCTGAGCCTCTGGGGTGCTGGGGAACCCCCAGAAAGGACAGATGCTTTGCCAAGCCCAGGTCCTCCTGAGGCTGCGGCCACCCCCCTCCCGTGGGGGTCTGGGGCACGTGGGCAGAGATCTGCTCCTCTGTGCTCAGGTGCGAGGCCGGGAGAACTTTGAGATCCTGATGAAGCTGAAAGAGAGCCTGGAGCTGATGGAGTTGGTGCCGCAGCCACTGGTGGACTCCTATCGGCAGCAGCAGCAGCTCCTACAGAGGCCGTGAGTCAGCCCTAGCCCACCATCAGTGTGGGGAAGGAGGACATGGCTTAACCCCCCAGGAGAAGGCCAGGAGGACCAGAAACCCCTCCAGAAGGCATCATCTGCCAGGGACAGGCAGCAGGGTCCAGAGCAGAGCCCACCCCACATCTCCTCCTCCAGGAAGCCTTCTAGCACTTGGGGCTGCCCTGGGACCCTGGGTCATGGCCCTTGCTATGCCTCTGCCACTGAGGGGCCTTGTAAATGTCTGCTGAGTGGAAAGGCCAGGAGGGGTGGCCAGAGTGACCATGACCCACCAAGACCAGAGTCCGATTCCAGTGGCACAGGTCATCCCCCTGCCTCCCGGCCCCGCCATGGCCAGTGTCCTTCTCAGGCGCAGGCCCAGTGGCCGTGCATGGCCATGGTTGGGGACAGGGAGGCTGGGGGAGGATGAAGCCACTCTCTGACATCAGAGGCTCCACCCATTCGCAGCATGGGGGCATCACGGGCATGGGTGGTCGGTGGGCACGAGGCTGCCTTGCTTCCCACCCATGCGAGCCGTTGCTTCTGAGCAGGAGTCACCTACAGCCCCCGTCCTACGGGCCGGTCCTCTCGCCCATGAACAAGGTGCACGGGGGCATGAACAAGCTGCCCTCCGTCAACCAGCTGGTGGGCCAGCCTCCCCCGCACAGTTCGGCAGCTACACCCAACCTGGGGCCCGTGGGTGAGTCCCTTGGGCAGTGCGGGCCCACGGGCAGGGCGGGGAGGCCCACTGGGGGCGCCTAGCTCAGGACACACCACCCAGCTCGGGACCCAGGGCAGGTGTCTCTGTGGCTGGCTCCTTCCAGCGGTTCCACCCTCTGGGCAGGAGGCGCAGCCACGGATAGCCCTCTCTGCCCACTCCTGGCTGTGGGAGGTGGAGGGGGGCGTGGTTAAGAGCGTGGAACCCACATGCATGCACTGCCTCTTGGCAGGCGAGGGAGCTTGGGGAAGGCTCTTAACATTACACAGCCTGTTTCCCCATCAGCAAATGGCCACAGAAGTACCAGGCTCACTCCTTGTGAGGAATAAATGGTGCAAGACCTCATCAGGGGCCCCAGCACAAGCCGGGGGCTCCATTGGATAGAGTTTGGGCCCCCTTCCCCTGGAAGGTCCTCATGTGGGCAGGACCAAGCATGTTCCCAGTGCCGTGAGCAAGCACCCCCAGGTGTTTCCTGAGGCCCTGGGATGTGGCCAGCACTCCAGTGCCAGCTGCGATTGCCCTTACAACCCAGTGCCCCGTACGCACGGTCACCCCCGTCCCTACTAGGCGGGGCGAGGAGACAGGGCCCCAGGTGTTCAGCCCTTGCTCAAGCCTCTAGCTGGCAGGGGTGATGCCCAGCGTCACATCGCCAGGCCTTGGGATGGCTCCCTGGTGTCCAGAGGTGTCTGGAGCCTGGGTGGAGGCTGCACCTGGATGCCCAGCCTGGCTGCCCTGATGGCCCCACCTGCCTCTCACCCAGGCCCCGGGATGCTCAACAACCATGGCCACGCAGTGCCAGCCAACGGCGAGATGAGCAGCAGCCACAGCGCCCAGTCCATGGTCTCGGGGTCCCACTGCACTCCGCCACCCCCCTACCACGCCGACCCCAGCCTCGTCAGGTGCGTGGGCTGCCGAGGGCCTGAGCATGTGCTGTCACCCTGTCTGTTCACCTCTGTCCTTCTGGCCATGTCAGCTGCCCTGCCCCACCCTGTGTGCTCACCACTCGCAACCCTGGATCAGACAGGCGGGCGGGGGCAGTCAGGCCAGGAGCATCTGCAGATGCTGGGGAAATGGTCCACTTAGAGGAAAAGCACAAAAAGCCGGGGTCCTCCACTGACCTGTCCCCAGCTGAGCACGTCCCCTCCCTGAGGGATGCCGTGGCCACCTGTGGGCTGGAGCCACCCTTCGGAGACAGCGGCAGTCTCCGCCCCAGCCAGGCCACTCTCAGAGATGGGGGCTCGCGCAGCCCTGTGCTCGGAAGCTAATGCTGCTTCCTTTCTCAAATTCTCTCTGCAGTTTTTTAACAGGATTGGGGTGTCCAAACTGCATCGAGTATTTCACCTCCCAAGGGTTACAGAGCATTTACCACCTGCAGAACCTGACCATTGAGGTAACGCCCGGGTGGACCCCGCTCTGCAGAGGCAGTAGCTGGAGGGGCCCCTGTCCGGAGGGCAAAGAGCCTTCTCTTCCTTGCTCTCGTGGCTGGGAAACTTGGAAACCCTTTCCCACGGGCAAGCAGATGCGATGATTTGACTCTTGAGAGCTTAGGCAGATGCAGCCAGGCACGTGGCTGGTGGCGCGGGACACAGGCCCAGGCCTCCGGATGCTGAACTGGTCATTTGAGCCTTTTTGGACTCCCAGCAGCCAGTGTGCCTTTGATTTTAGGGGATGGGCTGTTTCCAAGGCACAAAGAACAGAAGAATGTAAGGCCCCGAGGGAGTCAGTCCAGTTCAGTGCCATTTACAGAGAGGTCAGCGCCATTTACACAGACAGGAAAGGGGACCTAGGGAAGGCAAGCACCTGGCCCGAGGCCACACAGCTCTTGGCACCCATGGCAGCTGACTGCAGGCACCATGATTAAACAGCCACGGCTTGTCTTTGGGTTAGAGACTAGTGGAGTACAAAGCCTGCTGGTAGCCTAGGACGGTGTGAACCACAGGGCACCGTCAGTCAAGGAAGAGCAAGCCCTCTGGTGGGAACCTGCCCCCCAGCCAGTGCCGCGGCCCAGGTCCAAGGCCCGTCCCAGACCATCCCCAGCCTGGGGCTGCAGACAGAGATGAGGGTCAGTGCGAGCTAGGGCCAGCTGCTCAGCCTAACTGTCCCTCGTGCAGAGAGTGGCCGCGTCTGTGTCCACTAACCGCCCTCCCCGCAACCTGTCCCCAGTGACCCACGCTGAGCCAGCTCCAGGTCACGTTAACCCTTGCCTCCCCTGAGTGATGTGTGTGCTTGGTGTGGTGCCCAGAGGGTGTTGGGAGCTCAGGGATGAGCTGGGGGTCCACTCCAGGGGGCAGGGACATGGAGACCAAGGAGGGCCCTGCCCTGAGGCTGGGAGGCAGTTCCTCCCCCAGGGCCAGGTAGATGCTCAGGGGGCTCCATGTCTAACACTCCCAGGTCAGGGCCCAGGCCCCGCACAGGCCAGGAGTGACTCTGGTGGGCTCTCCCCCTCCCCCGTCTCCTGCCTACTCTGGTTGGGGGTGTAGGGGCCAGGGTGTGGTGTGGCCAGACCTCCAGGCCCAGGGCGACCCCCCCTGCTCTCCCTGCTCCACTGCCCCCTGCCCCTAATGCGCCGGCCTCTCGCAGGACCTGGGGGCCCTGAAGATCCCCGAGCAGTACCGCATGACCATCTGGCGGGGCCTGCAGGACCTGAAGCAGGGCCACGACTACAGCACCGCGCAGCAGCTGCTCCGCTCTAGCAACGCGGCCACCATCTCCATCGGCGGCTCAGGGGAACTGCAGCGCCAGCGGGTCATGGAGGCCGTGCACTTCCGCGTGCGCCACACCATCACCATCCCCAACCGCGGCGGCCCAGGCGGCGGCCCTGACGAGTGGGCGGACTTCGGCTTCGACCTGCCCGACTGCAAGGCCCGCAAGCAGCCCATCAAGGAGGAGTTCACGGAGGCCGAGATCCACTGAGGGCCTCGCCTGGCTGCAGCCTGCGCCACCGCCCAGAGACCCAAGCTGCCTCCCCTCTCCTTCCTGTGTGTCCAAAACTGCCTCAGGAGGCAGGACCTTCGGGCTGTGCCCGGGGAAAGGCAAGGTCCGGCCCATCCCCAGGCACCTCACAGGCCCCAGGAAAGGCCCAGCCACCGAAGCCGCCTGTGGACAGCCTGAGTCACCTGCAGAACCTTCTGGAGCTGCCCTAGTGCTGGGCTTGTGGGGCGGGGGCTGGCCCACTCTCAGCCCTGCCACTGCCCCGGCGTGCTCCATGGCAGGCGTGGGTGGGGACCGCAGCGTCGGCTCCGACTTCCAGGCTTCATCCTAGAGACTGTCATCTCCCAACCAGGCGAGGTCCTTCCAAAGGAAAGGATCCTCTTTGCTGATGGACTGCCAAAAAGTATTTTGCGACATCTTTTGGTTCTGGATAGTAGTGAGCAGCCAAGTGACTGTGTCTGAAACACCAGTGTATTTTCAGGGAATGTCCCTAACTGCGTCTTGCCCGCGCCGGGGGCTGGGGACTCTCTCTGCTGGACTTGGGACTGGCCTCTGCCCCCAGCACGCTGTATTCTGCAGGACCGCCTCCTTCCTGCCCCTAACAACAACCACAGTGTTGCTGAAATTGGAGAAAACTGGGGAGGGCGCAACCCCCCCCAGGCGCGGGGAAGCATGTGGTACCGCCTCAGCCAGTGCCCCTCAGCCTGGCCACAGTCGCCTCTCCTCGGGGACCCCTCAGCAGAAAGGGACAGCCTGTCCTTAGAGGACTGGAAATTGTCAATATTTGATAAAATGATACCCTTTTCTACATGGTGGGTCAGCTTTTTTTTTTTTTTTTTTAACTTTCTTTCTCAGCATTCTCTTTGGAGTTCAACCTAGCGCCCATGAGCCAGGCTGAGGAAGCTGAGTGAGAAGCCAGGTGGGCGGGACTTGTTCCCAGGAAGGCCGGGTGGGGAGGAAGCCTAGAGGGAACCCCAGGAAGGGCAAATCCAGGCAAATCTGCAGGAATGCTCTGCCATGGGAGCAGCTCCTCCCTTGCCACGGCCACCTTCTCTAGCACTGCAAGGTCCACAGGGCATTGCTTTCCTTTCTAGGCGGTGGCAGTCAGGGAACAGACTGAGGTAGGTGTAGGGGGGTCTAGGCCTTCGTGGAGCACCCCAGGGAGTTAGTAGGCCCCGGGGAGACAGAGTCTGCACAGGCCCTTTCTGGGGCCACCTCCATCCACGAGGAGCAGCCTGAGCCTTGGTGGCCGAACCTTGACCGTCCCGGAGCACAGCTTCAGGGCAGGGAACCGGAGCCCCTGGGGGGCCTCACGGGTGTGACGAGGCCCTTCATTGCAGGCAGGTGGGCCAATGGGAGCCCTCACCCACGCAAGCCGAGACACCACCCAGAGTGCAGGCTGCCTGGCCCCTTCTGGCACGGCCAGCTCCACACCCCCTGCCTAGGGTATGTGTGGTCCTAAGGGCTAGGAGCTTCCCCTACTAACATCTCCCAGAAAAAGCAGTTAAGCCCCTCAGGGCACAGCAAGGTTAGACACAGCCCCCATCCCCAGATCAGGACTCCATCTTGCTAAGTGGCATCACCGTCACCAGCCTCCCCTTATTTAAAAGCAGCGACTGGTGTTGCCGCAGGTACCTGGTCTACGAAGACGCAGGCATCCCTCTCCCACCGTCCACCTCCCCGGGGGCCGCTGACAGCACAGTCGCCTGGGTGCACGCTTGTGGGGGCAGCAGGAACGGGGCTGTCGGCTCTCAGGGGATCTGGCTGCAGCCAGGGCGAGGGCCTGGCCCTTCCTTCCAGCTCCTTCCGGCTCCTTCCAGCTGAAGGGCAGGAAGCTCTGGCCGCTTAGCTTCTAGGGTTCCATCTCCCTAGAAAGGTGCCCACGCCCAGGGCATCAGTCAGTAGCGGCAGCAGCAGCAGACTCGGGGCTTTCCCAGGGTGGCGCAGCCACCCCAGCTGCATGTCACCTCAGCTCTCCATCTTATTGCCATTTTGTAGATGAGGAAGCTGAGACCAGAAAGGCTAAGACCCATGCCCCAGGCACCACACCCATCTCTTGGGGGCTGGGCACCTGCTACCCGAGGCCACCTCCTGAAGCCCCCACTCTTCCCCCATGTTCCACTTCAGGAGCCGCGGGGGCCCATCCTGACACCCGGGGTTCCTCAGCCCAGCGCAGATGTGCTTCAGTTCCAGAGGGCTTGTTGATTTGTTTCTTAGGTACGTTACCTGTCCACCCTGAGTCCAGTGAGGCTGTCCCAAGAGCCCCTGTAGTGTGCTCCTGGGAAGGGCTGGGGGGGCTGGGGGGGCTGGGAGAGGCCCAGGGGCAGCTGTCACTGGAACCCCAGCCAGATGTCCAAGGAAGCCGGCCAGAACACGGAGCAGCCAGATGGCCCCAGCTGCACCTGTCTAGGGAGCCCATGCAGCCTCCTTGCACTGGAGAAGCAGCTGTGAAAGTAGACAGAGTTGAGACTTCGCCGTGGTCAGGAGAAAATGCAAATTCCCAGGAACAAGAATCCTTTAAGTGATATGTTTTTATAAAACTAAACAAATCAACAAATAAATCTTGAAGGCGGATGGTTTTCCCAGCAGTGCAGGGGTTGGAGGGAGGCTGCTGGCACTCCTGGGGCCAAGGGGGACAGGCAGTGGTCCTGAGTCTGCTCAGAGAGGCAAGGCAGAAGGAGCTCGCCAGGCAGGTCAGCTCACATCTGTCCAAGTCGCTCTGGTCAGAAACAGCGACTCTCCCCCATTCCCCCAGCGTTCCCACCAGGCCTGGGCTGCTGGGAAGCCCTTGCTGTACCCAGGAGCCCGACCCGCAGTATCCTGGCACAGAGCCACTTGTCACTCAGAACAGTCAGTGTCTCCAACGCACAAACATCCACTCCTCTGTTACCAGTTAAAGCACTTTAATGCTTTAAGGTGAAAACGAAATCCCATCCGTGTTTTTCGTGTAAGATCGTGCTTCTCCGAGCAGTATTAATGGACGCCCTCCAATGACATAACAACTGTTTTTGGTAATGTAATCTTGGGAAAATGTGTTATTTTTTTAGCTGTGTTTCAGTGGGGATTTTTGTTTTTGTAACATAATAAAGTGTATGTTCCAATGACCGGTTCTCATGACTCAACCTAAATCTCCAAAGGGCTCAGACAAACAGGGCGGCTCCTCACAGGCAGGAAGCCCGTGGCCTCTGTGGCCGGCCCTGGCACCCCACTTGAGTTTCTCTGTGTCGTGAGTCTGATGGGTCCCTGGGGTGTCCCTCTGCCCTGTGCCTCGGAGGACCTGCGGGCCAAGCCGAGTAGCCTCATGGGACTGACCGGGCCTCTCAGGCCTCCTGAAGTACAGGCCCATGAGCCCTCATCCAAGCCCTGTGGGGCCCAGGCCTTCTGGACTTTAGCTAGGCCAAGCAGGGTCTCAGGGCGTCACAAACACCGACACAGAACGCACTCCCGTTTCTCAGCAAAACCTAAGAAAACAAAAGGCAGCAGAGAGCCTCATGTTGGCTCAAGCCAGGCTGAGACCAACGGGCTTCATTTCAGTTCTCTTGGTTCTCAGGTTTCTTGGTTTCAGAGTTGTGAACAGGGACTAGGGACTTGTCACAGCAAAAACAAGGCTCTAGAAATCTGTTCAACCTTGAAGGAGGCCTCAGTCTTTTTAGAAATTGGCCTAAAACAAAGATAGAAAGGACCAAGGCAAGAGGGGGAGATGCCGCCAGGAAGCTCCGCCGAGTTCCCCCACAGGTGAGGTGCCATGCCAAGCCCTGGCCCCATCTTCCTGGCTAGCGCTCACGCCGTCACACCAGAGCCCGCCCACCCCTTTCCCTAGGCTCCTACCTGTCCCCACGTCCACCAAGGAGGGCTGGGCGGTGGTGGGCCCACCCCCTCATAGCCGCAGGACTCTGGATCATGAAGGTGTTGAGGCCTCAAACTAGACAGGAAGTGGAGGGATTCTGGATGTTCCCTCGGCAAGAGGGTGCCACATAGAACGTAGAAACGGGGACTCTAAAACGCCCTTTCAGGAATGAACACAGAAATGTGAGTGCTTTCAGCACAAGGGTGAGTTTGAATATCTTTGTTTAAAAGGTTAGTTATTTTTTTTAAGTATAGCGTGAGAAATACAGGCCATTATTTTCAAATATATAAAAACATCTCCAGTAAGTTCCACACAGAATTTTGGAAAGCTAAGCTGGACTCAGAGCAGGTCTGCTGCTCCCCAAGGCACTACCCTTCGAAGGAAGGTTTCCACCCGCCCCCGGCTGCAAAATGGAAAGGAGAAAGCCCGTTTCCAAAAGGTCTCCACGCCCCTTTGGGTGGAAAACAGCCACTGTTCATTCCCGCGTTCACATCCAAAGAGGAAGCCTAGATTCAGGTGACAAGAACAGAATATGGGCTTTTCATACCACACACATATATTTCCTATTTCTCAGGAATGGTGCTGTGTCATTACTATGCACAAAATCGGATTCTTCAAGAAAATTGTTTTTTAGGCCGAGCATGGTGGCTCACGCCTGTAATCCCAGCACTTTGGGAGGCCATGGCAGGTGGATCACGAGGTCAGTAGTTCGAGACCAGCCTGGCCAACATGGTGAAATCCCATCTCTACTAAAAATACAAAAATTAGCCGAGCGTGGTGGCACACGCGTGTAATCCCAGCTACTCAGAAGGCTGAGGCAGAAGAATCGCTTGAACCTGGGAGACGGAGGTTGCAGTGAGCCGAGATCGCACCATTGCACTCCAGCCTGGGTGACAGGGCAAGACTCCATCTCAAAACAAACAAAAAAAAATGTTTTTAAATACTGGTGTAATTACCCCAAAAAAGGCCTAAGGAGGCCTGCAGCCCGCCTCATGCATGCGACATTTAGCCTTAACAGCTTCACCAGCCCTCGGCCCTGTTTGCCACAGAAAAGCTGAAACCGCAGGTTTCTGAGTCAATTTACACCGCCCAATCCCTGACCTGCCCTCTTCCTGAGAGAGCCAACCAGAGGCCTCCAAGGCCCTGCCAAGGGAACTCTGACCGGAAGAGCATCTCTGAGGCCTGCGCACAACACAAAACACCTAAGCAAGCCCAACTTGTGTCCTTGGTCTGAAGTCCCATCCTGAAAAGCCTGGTTAAACCAGAAATGAAACATACATGGTTTCCCAATGCTTCCCCTTCTGAGTCTCCAGTGAGGACAAGATTGCCATGAGGTTTTGTCTCCCTCTCCCAGTAACAGTAACAAGTGAAACAGGCAACTGGATATCAGGCAGGATCTTGGCTCCAGCCTCGAGTTGGTTCACGGAGCTTCTGTCTTCACCACGGAGGCCTCTGCCGATTCGCAGGGCAGGTCCACAGCTGACCGGTTTCACCACGACTGCTCCACGGCCACGGTCACCCGGAAGGCCCTGAGGAACTGCTCTTTGGTGATTTCAGGAGGTTATTTCCCTGCACATTTGCACAGATTCAGGACAAAACCCAACACTGCGGAGCCAGACAGTCTTCCTCTTGTTGGGGCATGTGAAGGGGCCACTGGCCTCTGGGTGGGACACTGATCCTAGAGAGGCCCACCTGCCCCTCTTGGACAAGCCCCACCCAGGTCCAGGAATTCTGCTCAACCTCTCTGGTTCCCAGTCACCCCCAGGACTGACAGAGGGTAGAAAGTGTCCTATCTTCCAGGATACATGGTATCCACTAGATCTCAGGAGTTCAGAAGTAGTTATTTTATAAACTCAGAGTTTAAGAAGATTTCTCAGGACGTGTCAGGCAACATGGTACACGCACAGAACCCCAAAGGAGCATCTCTCAGAATCTCCCTCAAGTACACGCAACGTAAATGATCACTGAGATGGACAATTTCAAATCTGAACCCGGTATCTGGAATGCAATTTTCCACCTGAAATTGGCATATCATCTGCACTGACTGCAGCCTGGAAGGCATCTACCCATTGAGCATCAGGACATCCCAGGTTCCTCCTGAAAACGTCACCCACCTTTAAGGGTTCTGACAAAGTGTCTGAAGAGCTCTCGATAGGAGTCCTGGTAGCGGCTAGCCTGGGTCTGGGAGCGAAGGGACAGGGACATGCCCCGCCCGGTGATGCCCAAGGAATTCTGATTCTCCATCTGCAGCACGCCTTGGGACCCACACACCCAGCTAACGACCTCTATCTAACCTGCGGAATCAACCCGGCTGACGACCTCTATCTAACCCGTACAATCAACCCAGCTGATGACCTCTATCTAACCCATACAATCAACCCAGCTGATGACCTCTATCTAACCCACACAATCAACCCAGCTGATGACCTCTATCTAACCCACACAATCAACCCAGCTGATGACCTCTATCTAACCCACACAATCAACCCAGCTGATGACCTCTATCTAACCCACACAATCAACCCAGCTGATGATCTCTATCTAACCCACACAATCAACCCAGCTGATGACCTCTATCTAACCCGCAGAATCAACCCAGCTGATGACCTCTGTCTAACCCACACAATCAACCCGGCTGACGACCTCTATCTAACCCACATAGTCAACCCAGCTGATGACCTCTATCTAACCTGCAGAATCAACCCAGCTGATGATCTCTATCTAACCCGCACAATCAACCCGGCTGATGACCTCTATCTAACCCGCACAATCAACCCGGCTGATGATCTCTAACCCGCACAATCAACCCAGCTGATGACCTCTATCTAACCTGTAGAATCAACCCGGCTGATGACCTCTATCTAACCCGCACAATCAACCCAGCTGACGACCTCTATCTAACCCACACAATCAACCCAGCTGATGATCTCTATCTAACCCACACAATCAACCCAGCTGATGACCTCTATCTAACCCGCACAATCAACCCGGCTGATGATCTCTATCTAACCCGCACAATCAACCCGGCTGACGACCTCTATCTAACCTGTAGAATCAACCCGGCTGATGATCTCTATCTAACCCGCACAATCAACCTGGCTGATGACCTCTATCTAACCCACACAATCTACCAGGCTGATGATCTCTATCTAACCCACACAATCAACCTGGCTGATGACCTCTGTCTAACCCACACAATCAACCCGGCTGATGACCTCTATCTAACCCGCACAATCAACCCAGCTTTTCACAGTGGACTGGCGAAGGGTGGAAAAGGGCAAGGGTCACCTCCAGTCTCTGGTCGCAGCTGTCTGTGCAGTGCTGGCTGACGTCCTGGTCGCAGCTGTCTGTGCAGTGCTGGCTGATGTCCACGCTAACCACGGCCTCACAGGGAAACTTCATGCTGATCACAACAGCATCTGCATCTTTTAAGGCGGCCATATCTAAGCAGAAGAAAACTTTAGATGATACAAAAGTTGATTTAGGCAAATGAGAAACTGTTTTGTTTGGTTTTGTTTTTGAGAGAATCTTGCTGTCACCCAGGCTGGAGTGCAGTGGCACGATCTTGGCTCACTGCAAACTCTGCCTCCCAGGTTCAAGCAATTCTCCTGCCTCAGCCTCTCAAGTAGCTGGGATTACAGGCGTTCACTATCACACCCGGCTGATTTTTTTTGTATTTTTAGTAGAGACGGGTTTCACCATGTTGGCCAGGCTGGTTTCGAACTCCTGACCTCAAGTGATCCTGCAGCCTGGGCCTCCCAAAGTGCTGGGAATACCACCACACCCGGCCTGAACTCACGGCTTTAACTGAAGCAGTGGGCGGAGGGCATAGCCAAGTAGTGACACAGAAACTGGTCCTTAATAGAAAATTAAATTGTTCCAAAATGGGTCCCTGAGAGGCACGGGGACGCTGCCCAGCAAGCAGTCCAATTCCGTGTTTGCTAAGCTTCTGTAGCGTTGGCGGTCCCGGGCCCAGGCACCTTCTGGACCCTGGGAGTACAGCCATGGGCCTAGCAGAGCCAGTCCCCATGTCCCACCCGGGGAGCGGGCCCCAGACAGGTACTTGTCTGGCCTTCTGAGGAAGAGCGAGAAGTGGACAAGAGGACAGTGGGGTTGCGGGGGGCGGCACCCGTGAGCCTGAGGCAGGAGATTAGGGTCTGGAGGCAGGGAACCTAAGGCTGTTTCACAACTTCCTTGAACTATGTTGAAGGGAAAACCCTAACTTTCCACTCCTAAGTAACAAAAGGACCGGAGGCCTTTGCAAACCCCACTCACGTTTTCTGCCTGGCAGATGGGAAACTGGCTGTCTGCAACAAATCAGACTGATTGTGGGTCAAGTCTTCCTTTGCAACTTTGTAACTTCACTCACTCCAGCCTCTGAATGGTCGCTGTTCACACCAATCAGACTGATTACAGGCTGAGTTTTCATCTGCACAGAAGTATAACTTTGTAACTTCACTCCAGCCTCTGACTGGTTGCTTTTTGCAACCACTTCGTTTACATGAGGTGAGCATGAAGTGGCCAATGGGAAACTTCTAGGGGGTATTTGGGCCCAAGAAGATTCTGTATCCGGCCCTAGAGCTGCTGCTCGGGCCGCTCCCACACTGTGGAGTGTGTTTCATTTTCAATAAATCCCTGCTTTCGTACTTTTGTTGCTTCATCCTTTCTTTGCTTTGCTGGGTGTTTTGTCCAATTCTTTGTTCAAAAGGCCAAGAACCTGGACAATGTGCAGTCAAGACCCTCGACCGGTGACAGGCCCGCGGGGTCTGCGGAGACCATGGCCTCCACCTGTGCTCTGGAGAGCTCAGAGCAGGTGGGCACCTGGTCCAACTGAGGTCTTACAGGGAAGAGATTGCAGGCAGATGGCCACAGCCAGGATGAGGACATGGCTGGGATCGGGGTGGTGGCCAGCGGAGCAGGGTGTGTGGGTGAACTTTGGGCAGACGGGGGAGGCAGTGCCAAAAGGGGGTGCTGACGAGACAGAGTGAAGCAGGCACTGAGAGAAGTCAGCACTGGCACTGGCTGGGCCTGGACTTGCCCCAGTACACAAAGTGTGGTGTGAGGGGTACCACGTCAGTCCCGGCCCAAGCCTCAGGATGTCTCAGTGCTTCTACTTTGGTCCCCTGAGGCCATCAAATGTGTGGCCACGCTGCTGTGGGGACCTGAGGAGGCGTGGGGACGACACGGAAGAGAACCCAGGTGACAGCGGGGCCCGGCCCTGGGACCCTGGTGGGGCTGTTCCAGGCAGGCCGCTGACCAGCTGGCTGTAGTCACGTGAGTGACCACCGGGCAGACCAGAAGAGGGACTCCAGCCAAGCCCAGTCCAGGCTGCAAAATCCTAACTACCCAGTGGCTGTTGTTTCAAGTGTGTGGTGTGTCATAAAGCAACAGATAATCTGTCCTCTTCAGCAGCCCTCAGGACCCACCCTGAGCTTCTGCTGCCAGGCCAGGACCTAGGAACCAGCATCCCCAGCCCCGCCTTCACCTGGTGCTCGCTGATGATCTGCTAATCTGTGTGCATCCCACCCTGGCTGTGACTTCCAGCCGGGACTGTGTTTCTTCACCTTTGCAACCTGAGAAACGACAGGGGCCTGTCACATCGCAGGGGCTGGAGAAATGGTTACTACAACAGTGACTCTCAAAGTTCATCAAATGTGAAACACTTCCTGCATGATGCCTGAGGGATTCAGTGACGCGACCATTTAGTCATCTGTTTTACATGTGCTCCATGTTACTTTATCTGCTCCCCAAAGCTGGGAGTGGGGGAGGAATCCTGAACAGGGGCCCCAGCCTGTGCTACATCTTCAACCAGCCTCGGTGGCCATAGGAGCACCTTGCAACAGTGAGGCCCACTCTTACCTGGGCAGAAGACATGTCCCAGAGAAAACACAGTGTCCGGAGTGGCTTCCCCCAGCAACATGCATACGGCATCCACGTCGTGCACAGCAGCGTTGTAGAAAGTCCCACCTGGACACAAGGGAGGGTGAGCTCTGGCTTCTGGTCTCGAGGGAAGCTACTGGCGAGAAGCATTGGAGGGTTCTGGGTCACAGGGAACCACGTGACATGGACACAGATGCCACAACGCTGTGCATTCCCCCAAAAACGCAGATGCCCACCTGCTCTCTTTAGGGAAGCCGGAGAGGCCGCCGGGAACAGGCAGTGACGGCGGTGATCCAGTGGATCCTCCCCAGGGCGTGGCTGACACAAACTTGCTTGTGCAAGAACTGGAAAACCGGATCAAAGTGCCTAGCAAAGGAGTCAGGAGATGAAGCAGGCAAGCCTATTCCCCGAAGCCCATTCTCCCTGAGACACCTGGGCACAGGTGCAGACATCACCTCAGCCAGCCCAGCCCATAGCTGCTCGGAGAGCATCCCTCACGATTTCAGAAGCTGCCTCCGGCGGGCAGCAAACAACTACTCCAGAGACGCTGCAGGAGTAAAGTGGAATGTTAAGAGCGTGCTTTGAGACCTAGAACATTCCAGAATCCATGCTGCTAACACCACTCTATAAACCATCTCAGGCACGAGAATAACAGAAGAAAAAGGCCTCAACAAAGTAAATTGTGAAAACATTTCCGGTATGACTTACTTCAGAATTTAACTTGCTAATTTTGAGGAACAAAATACAGATCCCAGCCAAGTCACAGAATAGGCTTCTGTGAGTCAAATTCTATTACGATCCTCAGGGACAGATGCAGTGGCTCACGCCTGTAATCCCAGCACTTTGAGATTTGGCTGAGGCAGGAGGATCACTTGAGCCCAGGAGTTCAAGACCAGCCTGGGAAACTTGGCAAAAACCAATCTCTAGAAAAAATACTAAAAAAAAATTAGCCAAGCTTGGTGTCACACACCTGTAGTCCCAGCTACTCAGGAGGCTGAGGTAGGAGGATCACTTGAGCCAAGGAGGTTGAGGCTGCAGTGAGCCATGATCGCGCCACTGCACTCCAGCCTGGGTGACAAAGCAAGACTCTTTCAAAAAAAAAAAAAAGATGCTCCCTTCCTCAGCCTACAGAGGTCAGCCTCAGGTGTGGGCTGGACAGGAGCCCGGGGACTTCCGAGGACTGTGATCTCCAGGCTGGCCACACAGGTGCGTGCAGTTCGTAAAAAACACACCGACTCGGGCACTTTGCTGTGTGTATCATGTATGAACGTGTGCATTCTGTGAATGTGATACCCGAGTGAAAAGTGTGAAAACCTGCCTAAAGCAGATGCCACAGATAACTGAAAACTAAAATTTGCAGGCCGGGCGCAGTGGCTCACATCTGTAGTCCCAGCACTTTGGGAGGCCGAGGCAGGCAGATCACAAGGTCAGGAGATCGAGACCATCCTGGCTAACACAGTGAAACCCTGTCTCTACTAAAAACACAAATTAGCCGGGTGCGGTGGCAGGTGCCTGTAGTCCCAGCTACTCGGGAGGCTGAGGCAGGAGAATGGCGTGAACCCAGCGGTGGAGGTTGCAGTGAGCCAAGATCGCGCCACTGCACTCCAGCCTGGCGACAGAGTGAGACTCCGTCAGGGTAAGACTCCGTCAGAGGAGTGAGACTCCGTCTCAAAAGATAAATAAAGTAAATAAATAAATAAATAAAATTTGCCAACTTTCCAAAAACACACAAAGCATTAACATTCACGAACGTTCTTCTGCAGTGGCAATGGGCTTTGCTGAGACACAACACCATCCGCTAATACGTTCAGAGCCCTCCACATGCGTTAACAACCTGGGGTCAAACTCTCCCCTTGCTACACTAGTAAGAGCATGTCCAAACCTGGACACACCAAAGGTGAGCCAGGCCTGACCTGTGAGCAGCACCGGCCAGCTCTGCGAAACACCAGGCAGTGCCCAGCCCAGGCCTGAACACAGTGGCTGCGCCTGACCCCAAGGCTGGGTGGCTGCCCGCGAGCCCGTTTACCTGCTGTGGCTGTCCACACCCTGTGGACAGCAAGTATAGATGCTGCTCTAGCTGCTGGAGACACCGCTCATGAACAGGGTGGACATGTCACACCCAGCTGCTCGAGTGAAGGGAGGAAGCCAGGACCCCATTGCAAAGGCTGTACATTCAAAATATCCCAAATCCAGCCATACTGCTGCCCTGGTCCGGGCCCATCATGCCCCACTGGCCCCCCAATACCCCTCACTGGTGTCCCTGCGTCCTTCTCCTCCGCCCCCTGAGTGTGAGCTCAAACCAAACCAACCCCTGGCGGCTTTCAAAGCCTCCGGGTGGCCCCCAGGCTCCTTGGGCCTGGGACCTCCTTGCCTAGCCCTCACCCCATTCACTCCGTTCCTGCCAGCAGGGCCACTTGGCTACACCAAGGCCTGGAGAAGACTCAGTGTCCTCTTTGTAGAGTGTGCTCGTCCCCGGATGCCCCCACGGCCATCTCACTCACCCACCTAGGTCCCTGCTCCAATGCCCCCTCCTCAAGTCTTCCCCAGCCATCTCACCTAAAACAGCACTCCCACCAGCCTCCCTCTCCCGACTCAGCGTGAGTTCTCTCCGCAGAGCTTATTGCTACTGATGTGTTGAGATCTACGCATCTGCCTCTGCCCCCAATTCAGCAGCACAAGCATGGGGACTTTGCAGCATTCAGAGCCATTTCTCCAGCCCCCAGGACGGTGCCCGGCACACAGCAGGTGTTCAGTGAACCTCTGCTGACAACTGAAACCGTACCGCTGGTCGTTGAGGACAATGTCTGCATCCTGTTCCCGAACCACTCTGGTGTTGGCCCAAATGCTCAGCTCTGAAGGCTTGCTCCACATCACACAGCTGGTCCTCCACCACGTACAGCAAGCAGCAGCTGTTCTCATCCACCACACTCTGCAGCAGTGCCGGGCTCCCGAAGCCCACCCCAAAGATGCCCAGGCCAAGGTGGCCAGCCACCCCGGCTCCAAAGTCACGAGAGCATCTCGGGCCTCCTCCGGGGAGCACCCTGTGGGAGGCTTCAGAAAAACTCTGGCTGGTCTGCTCTGAGGGCACTGCTGGTATCTTTACTTGGAAAGCAGGAAACACTGAAAGGTGGCCGGTGGAGGCAGATGGTGTTGCATCCTCCCGGGCAGACAAGTCGCTGGTGGTGGTGCTGATGGCAGGAGGGTTGACAGGGAGCAGAGACGTGTGGCCCACAGCGGGAGGAGGTACCGTGCCAATGCTGGGACTGCCTGAGAGAATGAGCTGAGGCTGAGGCTGACGGGGCAAGGGCGGGTGGCACGGGTGTGCAGTAAGGCTGGTGGCAGCGAGATCCGAGGCGGCTGAGCTGGACAAAAGACACATTCACTTAAACAAAGTGGCAGGACTCACAGCACCCAGTCCACAATCATCTCAGAGGATCAACAGTGGGGAGTTACCCTACAGACCAGTATGTATCTGGCTTGTGATAAGGCAGCATTCAGGTGGCCACGCACACTTTAACAAAACTGCGAGACTTCACAGGGTTTACTCCCTAAGTAGGCAAGCCACTAGCAGATCCCGTAAACGTAGTGTCATCAGGCGGCCTGTCCACGTACTTTGGAAACGTTTGCAGGGCAGAGAATCCTAAAATAGCCCGCAGCCCGCTGGGATGACTCCTGAAACACCAGCGTTGGCACTGACATTTACATGAGAATGGGCGTCCGCAGGCCGTGCTGCCTGCCCGAGGACAGGTGTTCCAGGATGCGGTCCCTCCGCACGCGCACGGGCAGCTCGCAGGCCCTGCAGTAAAGGGTCTCCACCACAGACGTGTCCCCAGAGTCACTGTGCTCAATCAGGTGCTTCACCACCAGGTCGGTGAACTCCGCCGCGTAGTCGTGTAAAGCCTTCTTTTTCCCGCCCATTGTCGGGTCCGGGATGGAAACGGAAGCAGCCTCGACCCCCGACCGAGGGACCCGTGGGATCTGCGCTCACCGCCCTGCGAGCAGAGGCGTTCGTGTCGGAGCCCCCACACCTGGGGAGCGGGGAGCTGCGGTCCCTGGTTGTCCCACAGGAGAAGGGGGAGGGAACGGGGCAGGCGGGGAGGATGAGCGCTTCCGCGTGCAGCGGGGGCTGGAGTGGGTCCGTCCGAGCTGGAGTGGTCTCCGAGGGGCGGCGGATGCTCGGAGGGGGCGGATCCCTTAGGGCTGGGGGCCAGGACGATCCCACCCGGAGAAGCCTCGCGGGCGAGAAGAGGGTCCCTTCCTGCGGGGGCAGATGGAGGCGCGGGAGCCTTCCCCGGGAGGTGACCGAGGCCAGTCAGCGGCCCCGGGGACCCAAGGCCGGGGACTCTCGGCGGCCGGTGGACGGGCAGGGCCGGCCCGCCTGGGCAGGCGGCGGGGTGAAGGTGTCCAGGGCCTGAGGCGGCAAAGTGCCGCCGCCGTCAGCCCCGACTGCCACCCACCAGGCACCCGGCCCATCCCCGGCTCCCATCTAGGGATCCACACCCGGGCGCCGCGGCGCCGCGGTTTAAAGCCTGTGAGATCCCGCAACAACCCGGATCCGGAAGCGCGGGGTCGCGGCTGGGCGAGGGCAGGGGTGGGGCCTTCGGTGCAGACCCAGGGCCAAGTCGAGGGAGGCTCCGGGCGCGGGGCGGGGTCTTGGGCGTGGGGGCGGAGCCTGCGCGGGGCGTAGAGATCTGACGGGTCCCAGATGCACCTGCACCCAGGTGCTGACTGCCCCACCTTAGGCGGTTTCTCTGGGCCCGTTATCTCCAAGTGGAGCCGCTCTCCCCACAGGATTTCCCTGATTGGCAAGAGGGTTTTATTTTCTTATTAAGAAAATAAAATTGACTTTGCAATTTACAATTTTTTTTTTACAGTAACCAAAAATCTTAGGCTTGTTAGTGTTTGACTTTCCACTCAGTTTTTGTTGTTTTGTTTTTGGTTTTTGGTTTTTGGTTTTTTTTTGAGACCGAGTCTCCCTCTGTCACCCAGGTTGGAGTGCAGTGGCGTGATCTCGGCTCACTGCAACCTCCGCCTCCCAGATTCAAGCAATTCTCCTGCCTCAGCCCCCCAAGTAGCTGGGACTACAGGCGCGAGTTTTATCAATAAAGGCCCTGAAGGCCCAGGTTGCTTTTCCGTGAGTACAAGAACACAACACCTGTGGGAGGTGTGGGCCCAGGGGAGGGATGCCGAGCTCACACGACCCCTAGGTAGCAAATAGACGCACGTGTGCCTTTCACACTCCACCCTCACTTCACACTGGCCCACCCACTCCTTGTTCTGGGAAATGAGGACGCAGCAGGAGATACCTGTAGCTAACACACACACACCTTGCCCCCCGCGATGGCCAGACTTCCAGGGCTGCCTCGCTTCCCAGATACATTTTCTGGTGCCACTTGTAGGGTCCAGCCCTATGGGGCTTAGCGGGTGTTCTCCCCGTGTGCAGAGATGAGAGATTGTAATAAATAAAGGCACAAGACAAAGAGATAGAAAGCAGCTGGCCCCAGGGACAACTACCATCAAGACGTGGAGACTGGTAGTGGCCCCAAACGGCTGGGCTCGCTGATATTTATTGCATACAAGACAAGGGGGCAGGGTAAGGAGGGTGAATCTTCTAAGTGATTGACAAGGTGAAGCAA
This sequence comes from Homo sapiens, assembly GCF_000001405.40. NCBI lineage: Eukaryota > Metazoa > Chordata > Mammalia > Primates > Hominidae > Homo > Homo sapiens. Next base: position 3,748,461 of record NC_000001.11, read on the forward strand.
GTCATGTGATTACAGGATACATTTTAGGTAGGCAAGGCAGAGAGAGAAGGCAGCATACGTCAGCGTTTTCTTCTCTGCACTTATAAGAAAGATCAAAGACTTTAAGACTTTCACTATTCCTTCTACCGCTATCTACTACGAACTTCAAAGAGGAACCAGGAGTACGGGAGGGGCATGAAAGTGGACAAGGAGCATGAGCATTGAAGCACCACAGGGAGGGGTTAGGCCTCCGGATGACTGTGGGCAGGCCTGGATGATATCCAGCCTTCCATAAGAAGCTGGTGGAGCAGAGTGTTCCCTGACTCCTCCAAGGAAAGGAGATTCCCTTTCATGGTCTGCTAAGTAACGGGTGCCTTCCCAGACGCTGGCGTTACCGCTTGACCAAGGAACCCTAAAGCGGCCCTTATGCGGGTGTGACAGAAGGCTCACCTCTTGCCTTCTATTCACTTCTCACAATGTCCCTTCAGCACCTGACCCTGCACCCGCTGGTTATTACTAGATTATGTTAGTAATGCAACAAAGAGTAATATTAAAAGCTAATGATTAATAATGATTGATAATTGTTCATCATCTCTATATCTAATTTGTATCATGACTATCCTTATTCTAACTATTTTCTTTATTATGCTGAAACAGTTTGTGCCTTCAGTCTCTTGCCTCGGCACCTGGGTAACCCTCCGCCCACAGCCACTGGTCTGCATTTAAGCCAACTCCAAACATACCTTCTAGATCTGGGGGAAATCTAGCCATTTTCATATGAAGTGACAAGACGAGAAGCTTTGATTTGTTTGTATAGATTGAATGTCGGTCCCAAGATAAGCTTTCTATTTAATATTGGCTTCGCTATCGATCAAATTGTCACCATGAGTTTCTGTTAACTGAACCAGAAATTTACTTGAGTGTTTTAATAGACGAGGAGTCTGTTGAACAGCGTTTCAGAGACCAATGTAAAAACAAAGCATAATACATGTGATTTTCAAACATGCTGGACCTCAGGCCAATGTGACAACATTTCCTGTGGTCCAAGTCCCCAAAACAATTAGAGATTCATATGGAAGACTACAAAATAATCAACAAAAGAGAAATTGGCAAGGCAAGAATTCTTTCTCAGTATTTGAGGCTGGTAAAAGTGCTTTATTTCTTATTAAAATACAGTATGTGTCACTTAATAACAGGGATATGTTCTGAGAAGTGCATCATTAGGCAATTTCACCATCCTGCAGACGTCATACCGTGTGCTCACACAAACCTACGTGGTTTACAGCCCAGTCTATGCCTAGGCTATATGCTATACCTGTTGCTGAGGCTGCAAACCCGTGCAGCATGTTCCTGAGTACTGCAGGCAGTTGGAACACAACGTATGTGTGTATCTACACATGTCTAAGCACAGAAAAGCTACAGTGAAAATACACTATTAGATTTTTTTTTTTTTTTTTTTTTTTGAGATGGAGTCTCGCTCTGTCGCCCAGGCTGGAGTGCAGCGGCGCAATCTGGTCTCACTGCAAGCTCCGCCTCTCGGGATCACGCCATTCTCCTGCCCCAGCCTCCCGAGTAGCTGGGACTACAGGTGCCCACCACCACGCCCAGCTAATTTTTGTATTTTTAGTAGAGATGGGGTTTCACCATATTAGCCAGGATGGTCTCAATCTCCTGACCTTGGGATCCACCCACCTCAGCCTCCCAAAGTGCTGGGATTATAGGCATGAGCCACCACACCCGGCCAAAATACAGTATTAGATTCTTAAGAGACTACCATTGTATTGGTCTGTCATTTGGTCTATGATTGACCAAAATTTCATTATTTGGTATATGACTGTAGGTCAAAAATTCAAATATATACTAGGCTTGTTTTGTACTTTAGATGCAAAAAACTGAAGAGATTTTTGGATGATAAATATTTTTTATAAAGTCATATTGGAAAGGATGGGGTCATGAATTTCTGTGGGGAAAAGAAAGAGAGATCAGATTGTAACTGTGTCTATGTAGAAAAGGAAGACATAAGAAACTCCATTTCGATCTGTATGAAGAAAAATTGTTCTGCTTTGAGATGCTGTTAATCTGTAACTTTAGCCGAAACCCTGTGTCACAGAAGCATGTGCTGTATTGAATCAAGGTTTAATGGATTTAGGGCTGTGCAGGGTATGCCTTGTTAACCATCCGTTTGCAGGCAGCATGCCTGGTAAAAGTCACCGCCATCCTCCATTCTCTATTAACCAGGGACACAATACACTGAGGAAAGCTGCAGGGACCTCTGCCCAAGAAAGCCTGTCCAAGGTTTCCCCCCACTGAGACAGCCTGAGATGTGGCCTTGTGGGAAAGGAAAGACCTTACATCCCCCAGCCTGATACCCATGAAGGGTCTGTGCTGAGGAGGAGTAGTTAAAGAGGGAGGCCTCTTTGCAGCAGTTGAGATAAGAGGAAGATTTCTATCTCCTGCTCATCCTTCGGAACAGAATGTCTTGGTGTAAAGCCGACCATTCGTTCTACTCTTAGATAGGAGAAAACCAGCCTGTGGCTGGAGGCGAGATATGCTGGCAGCAATACTGCTCTGTTCCTCTTTGCTACACTGAGATGTTTGTGTAAAGTGAAACATAAATCTAGCCTACGTGCACATCCAGGCACAGTACTTTTCCTTAAACTTATTCATGATACAGATTCCTTTGCTCACGTTTCCCTTCTGACCTTCTCCCCACCATCACCCTGTTGCCCTGCCACACTCCCCTCACCAAGGTAGTAAAAACAGTGATCCATAAATACTGAGGGAACTCAGAGACCAGCGCCGATGCAGGTCCTTGCATGCTGAGTGTGCCGGTCCCCTGGGCTGACTGTTCTTTCTCTATACTTTGTCTCTGCGTCTTGTTTCTTTTCTCAGTCTCTCATCTCCACCTGAAGAGAAATACCCACAGGTGTGGATGGGGCAGGCCCCCTTCAAATTTCCTTCAGTCAGCAAGCAGAGAAGCCTTTCTTCCCATTCAGACCCTAATCAAGGCTTCTGAAGGTAGGGGTTTTGTCTTTCTCTCCTTAAAAGATGTCTTGAGGTAGGCATTTGAAGCCTGGAAAATCATTCCCAGGGAGTCAGGCTACTCTTATCTACTCTTCTAGGTATTTCTTGGCCAAATGTTTCTAATCCCAGAGCCCACCCCCTAAACCTTTTTTTTTTGAGATGGAGTCTCACTCTGTTGCCCAGGCTGGAGTGCTCTGGTGCGATCTCTGCTCACTGCAAGCTCCGCCTCCTGGGTTCACGCCATTCTCCTGCCTCAGCCTCCCAAGTAGCTGGGACTACAGGCGCCCGCCACCACGCCCGGCTCATTTTTTGTACTTTTAGTAGAGACGGGATTTCACTGTGTTAGCCAGGATGGTCTCGATCTCCTGACCTCGTGATCCGCCCACCTCGGCCTCCCAAAGTGCTGGGATTACAGGCATGAGCCACCGCACCCAGCCTAACCTTTTCTAATACAATTACTGTCTTCAAGCCAGCACATGGAGACATTTGAGCTGGACTCCTGTGTCCTTGGGAGCTGACTTTTCTTTTTTTCTTTTCTTTCTTTTTTTTTTTCTTTTTTTCTTTTTTCTTTTGGAGATAGGGTCTCACTCTGTAGTCCAGGCTGGAGTGCAGTGACGTGAACACAGCTCACTGCAACCTCGACCTCCCCAGGCTCAGGTGATCCTCTCATCTCAGCCTCCTGAGGAGCTGGGACTACAGGTGCACGCCACCATGCCTGGCTAATTAAAATGTTTAACTCCTGGGCTCAAGCATGCCTCCCACCTGGGCATCCCAAAGTGCTGGGATTACAGGTGTGAGCCACCACACCCAGCCCAGAAGGCAACCTTCAATATTGAGCTTTGCTCTTCTCAAAAACCTGGTGTCACAGCACTGGCCTCCAGCGCATCCAGCCGCGGGCCCCTTTTGCTCAATAACGGTTTCTATGGAGACATCTGTGATGCCACCACTGCTCCCAGGAGCCCACAGGACCTGGAGCTCTGGAAGCTGATCTCCTCCCACTGCACCAGCCAGCAGGTTCATGTTCGAGGCCATCTTCCCCTCCACACCCCAAGCCAGGCTGAAGAGAGATCCACGGGAAAAGCCGGGCCTGTCCTCATTCAGGTCCACATTCAGGCAACAAAGCTCACTTGGTCTTTGCATCCCACGCCTCATGTTACCTAAGGAGGCCAGCCCATCTCAGAGGCACAGTTCGATGTCCAGCTCGATGGCCAGGGCCCTGGTGCTCCTCCAGAGCATGGCCAGCCGGGACGCCCGGTGCCCAGAATGGAAACCGCACCAAAAGCCACGCACGCTCAGCAAGTCGGTCCAGACCATCAGCCGCTACTACAGGAAGACGGTATGGGGTCCCGGGAGGAGGGCTGCCACGAGCCTTGAGGTGACCTGTTTCTTCTCCTCCCCAAAGGCCCATAGAGCTGTCAGCCCACAAAGCATTCCACAGGCCTTCTGGTGATGGGTTACCAAAGGGGGATTCCAGGCAGGCAACGAATTGAGCGCTAGGGGTGGAAAGAGCCCTGCGGTCCTCTCCCTTTCTGAAGGGCCTGGTGCCTTAGTCCCCACATGCCACCGGCTTCTTCTGGGTTAGCTGCTTTGGGTTGGTCCTCCCCTCTTGCAGACCTTGGCTCCCGGTGTCTCTGGTTGGCCAAGGGGAGAAGATGTACAGTTTGCCCCAAGACTCCCAAGGTGCATCTTGAAAAGGAGAGTGAAGGGGAGAAAATGTGAAAGGGGACCTCAGCCAGTCAGGTACGCTGTGCCACCGTGTACTGGGGGAGCCCGAGATGGTCACCCCGGCTCCTGGCAGCTTCCTGGGTGAATGCATTGCCTGGACCTAGTGGACTATGGTTTCTTTTTTTCTTTTTCTTTTTTTTTTTTTTTTTTTTGAGACGGAGTTTCACTCTTGTCACCCGGGCTGGAGTGCAATGGCGCGATCTTGGCTCACCGCAACCTCCACCTCCTGGGTTCAAGTGATTCTCCAGCCTCAGCCTCCAGAGTAGCTGGGATTACAATGTGCCACCTTGCCCGGCTAATTTTATTTGTTTGTTTGTTTGTATTTTTAATAGAGATGGGGTTTCTCCATGTTGGTCAGGCTGGTCTCAAACTCCCAACCTCATGTGATCTGCCCGCCTTGGCCTCCCAAAGTGCTGGGATTACAGGCATGAGCCACCATGCCCGGCTGGACTATGGTTTCCAAAGTGGGTCTGCGTGGCTCTTGCTGAGCATCCAGTGTGCTGGAGAGGGGACAGAGGGGACACACTGCTGCAGCCTGCACACACGCAGGCCCTTTCAACCCCAGTGGGAGAGTGGCTTAGTGCCTGTGACCAGCAGCATGTGTGGGTGGGGTCGGGGGGCCTGTCTGTGAATCTCAGCCGACAGTCAGGCAGAAGCAGGGCCCCCGTCTGTCTAGGCTTCAGGATGCCTAAGAAGCTCTCGGTGGGCAGCCAGTGCTCCAGAACCAGGGGGTTGTTGTGGGCAGGTCTCTGGGGAGGCCTGAGGGGCCACACGGTGTCCTGGGTGTGGGGTCTGCATCTACATACGACTCATAGGCACCTGCCATTGGGGCGATTTGTGATGGTTTAGGGAAACAGGGTCTGCCCTTGGATGGGCTGGCCTACAGTCAGGGGCCTTCCTTGTCTGTCTTACTTTCCCCGCTCTGCCAGAGTGAACCCAAGGATGCCGCCAGCCTCACCGGCTTCATGTCCAAAATGGAACTTCGAAGGGTCTTCCCCACGCATCCTGACTGCCCCCAGTTCAGCACCAGGGCCACATCCATGTCCCACTGTGGTAAGAGCCCCCCACCAGGACCGCCTGTGAAACTGCCTGTCAGAGTCGAGGGGCCGGGGGAGGCCTTCCTGCACCCTTCAGCCTGCGAGCAGCCGCCAGAGTTGGCCTCCACAGTGGCCCCAGCTGCTGCTTTTGAAATCCGCTCTGTGCTCAGGGAGCCAGGGCAGCAATGAAGCTGGGGGTGGAGGGGGGCCCACTTCTCCTGGCCACTATGATTATGATTTGTCTCCCCAGCCTTCTTGCTTTTCTATTGTTTCACCCACTAAAAATTCAGTAGGGTCAGGGGCTAGGGGAGTGGAAATGGTTGAAGATTCTGGAAGCTTCAGGAAAGAACCCCATAAAGCCAGATAGCTCATTAGGGACAGTGCCCCTGGGGAGCCCTAGCAGCTATCCGGTCCAAACCCTTCACTGCTCTGATGAGAACAGGAGGCTTGGAGCAGGCAGCTGCCGAGCTCCATGGGCATCTGGGGGATGCTGCCCAGAGCCAAGGCTTCATCCCAGCATCTGCTCCTGGACCTGGACTGGTTCCATGTCCCCACACAAGACACCATTCTTAGGGATGGCGAGCTTGAGCTAAATTCCTATAACCAGTAGCAAGGGTGGGGTGGGGGGGTTGGGGAGGGGGTCCCGTGCTGTCCACCAATCTCAGCCAGCATCAGGTAGAAGCAGGGCCCTCACCTTTCTAGGCTTCAGGCCCCCACTGCCTCAGCAAGAGGGTCTCCACGGTGGCCAGGGCTCCAGGACCAGGCATTTTTGTGGGCAGGTCTCTGGGGAGGCTGAGGGGCCACACGGTGTCCTGGGCGTGGGGTCTGCGTCTACATACTGCTCATAGGCACCTGCCATTGGGGCAATTTGTGATGGTTTAGGGGAAACAGGGTCTGCCTTGGATGGGCTGGTCTGGAGGCAGGGGAGCTTCCGTTCGACTTTTAGGAGGCACATTTTTACCGAAGGAAAGTAGGGTCTGCCCCTCCGGGGGAAAGGGGGCATCAGCTAGAGAAATTCAGCCACACTTGGGTCTGCTGAGGTGGAGACACCAGGGCAGGCAGGAGGATGAAGCCCACCCTTTGGTTCAGCCCTTGCTCAGTCCCATGCATCCATTAAAAAAAGCCACCTGTGTCCCTACCTGGTGTTTAAGGATAAATAAGAGTCTGCCCTGGAGATCTTGGGGAGACAAGACCGCAGCAGTCACCAGATGGCATCTTTAACACTCTACAGGTTCACCCACTGAGGCCGATTTGTCCGGAGAGATTGACAACAGCTCGGAGACCTGGAGAGGCACCCAGGACCTGTTCTTGGCCAGGCGGGGCTCAGACACGAACGTGGACGGTGAGGGAGCCCCTAGGGCCTCTGCCTGCACCTGCTGGGCCCCTGAGCTCGAGGCCTGCTTCTTGCAGGGTCGCTGCTTGTGCCCTGCGGAATTCCCTCCCGGGACTGTCTGCCTCCTGAGGACTCACACAGAAAGGCCTCCGGGCCTCCCTTGTGCAGAACTAGCCCTGCCTTCCCTGACAGCATAGGCTGCAGTCCCCCCAGGACCGTGGCCCCTTGTCTTTAGTAAAAATCGTAGTTGAAAGTTTTGTCCCCTTGGCCTTTACCCAGTGGCTGATGGGTGCATCCCTCACTGTGGGTAGAGACCCCCCGGGACACTGCTCCCGCAGACAGGTGTGCCTGTTTCCATTTACCAAGAGGAAATTCCCAGCACCATGTCTCCTTTCTTGCCTTAACTGGAGGAAACCTAGAGTCTGTAGTGACCAGCTCCCCTCAACCTCAGGAAGGTGGAGAATCTCCTCCCTCCTCTCAGTTTAAAGATGGAGAAACTGGGCCGGGCGCAGTGGCTCACGCCTGTAATCACAGCACTTTGGGAGGCCAAGGCGGGTGGATCACGAGGTTCAGGAGTTCAAGACCAGCCTGGCCAAGATGGTGAAACCCCGTCTCTACTAAAAACACAAAAAAATTAGCCGGGCATGTGGTGGGCACCTGTAATCCCAGCTACTTGGGAGGCTGAGGCAGAGAATTGCTTGAATTTGGTAGGCAGAGGTTACAGTGAGCTGAAATCGTGCCACTGCACTCCAGCTTGGGAGATAGAGCAAGACTCCATCTCAAAAAGAAAAAAAAAAAAAGAGAGATGGGAAAACTGAGGCTCCAGGAGGGGACAAGCAACCAGGTGTGCAGAGACAGCATCAGGATGACCCCCTCGTCCCGACTCCCAGCTCCGGCTCGTTTGTCCTGGGTGTCTCGGCCAGAGCTTCCGCACCTTCCTGCACTCCCTCAGCACGCGCTGTGCTGGGTGTGGGCGCCCCATCGTGTTCACAGCAGCACCACACTGTGTCCTCAAAATGAGGGTGACAAGAGTTAGGAGACAGATTGGAGTCTGTCTGGGCAGATAGGGGTTTCCGAGGGAAGTCTCGGAAGGGTGGATGTCGTCATCGAAGACGCCAGAGGAGCTCGGCAGGGAAGGGTCTCATTTCTCACTTGGCCTCCGCTGTCGCCACAGGGTACCTCCTTCCCTTCAGTAAGAGCATCTGCGAGTTCGATTACTTGCGGAAGAGGAGAAAATCCCAGACTTTGAGTCCGGTCACCAGCAGCTCAGTCGCATCTCAGAGCTGCCTGAGAAAGAGGATGCCCTGGTACCTCTCAGTCATCCACGAGAAGGTACTGGCGGAGGGGGTGCAAATCCCGGCCCCCCACCCCTCTCTCTGCGTCCGGCTGGGAGGACAGCCCTGCTCCCTGACAGGCTCTGGTTCTAGTATCTGGTTAGCTGCATCAAGCAGGTCCCCATGGCCTAAAATGACCTCCAGACCCCCTGCTTTGACAAAGCTCCTCACCCCTGTCCATCCTCACCCCAGTGGGTGGCAGTTACGCCGGCATGGAACTCAGACTCACCGGCACGCATGACTTCCAACCGTCCACACATCTTTGCACCCACAGTATCTGCTTCAGAGAATGTATTCTAAATAATAAAAATCATAACAGGAATAACCAGCTTGATTTATGCACAAGTTGATTCATTGTAGTGTTATTCTTTTTTAAATCTATATTTATAAGAAAGACTAACCTATATTTTCACTGTCTTATAATTCCGTCATCAAATTTTAGTATCAAAGTTACTCTGGCCTCATTAAAATGAAAGAAAGAAAAGGCTGGAAAACAGTTCCTTTTTTCTTTTTATTTATTTTCTTTTTTTATTTTATTATTATTATTAGTAGTAGTAGTATTTTTTGAGACAGGGTCTCACTCTGTCACCCAGGCTGGAGTGTGGTGGTGTGATCCCAGCTCACTGAAGCCTTGAGCTCCCTGAGCTCAAGCAATCCTCCCACTTCAGCCTCCCAAGCAGCTGGGACTACAGGTGCGTACCACCACACCTGGCTACTTTTTGTATTTTTGTAGAAATGGGGTTTCCCCGGCCAGGCGAGGTGGCTCACGCCTGTAATCTCAGCACTTTGGGAGGCAGAGGTAGACAGATCCACGAGGTCAGGAGATCGAGACCATCCTGGCTAACACGCGAAACCCCGTCTCTACTAAAAATACAACAAATTAGCCAGGCGTGGTGGTGGGTGCCTGTAGTCCCAGCTACTTGGGAGGCTGAGGCAGGAGAATGGTGTGAACCAGGGAGGCGGAGCTTGCAGTGTGCTGAGATCGCGCCACTGCACTCCAGCCTGGGTGACAGAGTGAGACTCCATCTCAAAAAAAAAAAAAAAAAGAAATGGGGTTTCCCCATGTTGCCCAGGCAGGTCTCGAACTCCTGGGCTCAAGTGATCCACTCGCCTTGGCCTCCCAAAGTGCTGTGATTAGGGGTGTGAGCCACTGCACCCAGCACCTTTTTTCTTTTTCTATTCTCTGGAAGAGTTTGTATAAGACTGATGTGATTTCTTCCTTGAATTCTGAAGAATTTGCCATTGAAGGCTTCTGTGTCTGGGGATTCCTCACAGGAGCACTCTTATTTTATTAATTAATTTATTTATTTATTTTTGAGACAGAGTCTCTCTCTGTTGCCAGGCTGGAGTGCAGTGGCGCCATTCAGCTCGCTGCCACCTCTGCCTCCCGGGTTCAAGCAATTCTCCTGCCTCAGCCTCCCAAGTAGCTGGGATTACAGGCACGCACCACCACACCCAGCTAATTTTTGTATTTTTAGTAGAGACGGGTTTCACCATGTCAGACAGGATGGTCTTGATCTCTTGACTTCGTGATCTACCCACCTCGGCCTCCCAAAGTGCTGGGACTACAGGCGTGAGCCACTGCGCTCAGCCTTTATTTTTTAGAGAAAGGGTCTCATTCTGTTGCCCAGGCTGGAGTGCAATGGCACGATCAGAGCTCACGGCAGCCTCCATCTAAAGGGGCACTTTTATTTTTTAATTTGTTTATTTAATTTATTATGAGACAAGGTCTCATTTTGTCACCCAGGTTGGAGCGCAGTGGAGTGATCCCAGCTCCCTGCAGCCTTGACCTCCCAGGGTTCAAGCAATCTTCCCACCTCAGCCTCTCGAATAGCTGGGACCACAGGCACACGCCACCATGCCCATTAATTTTTTTCGTTTTTTTGTGGAGACGAGGTTTCTCCATGTTGCTCAGGTTTGCCTCGAACTCTTGAGCTCAAGTGATCCTCTTGCCTCAGCCTCCCAAAGTGCTGGGATAGCAGGTGTGAACCACTGTACTGGGCCCCTACAGGAGCAGTTTTAAAAATCACAAATTAGGCCAGGCACAGTGGCTCACCTCTGCAATCCCAGCACTTTGGGAGGCTGAGGTGGGTGGATCATGAGGTCAGGAGTTCAAGACCAGCCTGGCCAACATAGTGAAACCTCATCTCTACTAAAAATACAAAAAAAAAAAAAATAGCTGGACGTGGTGGCAGGTGCCAGTAATCCCAGCTACTTGGGAGGCTGAGGCAGGAGAATCACTTGAATCCAGGAGGCGGAGGTTTCAGTGAGCTGAGATCGAGCCACTGCACGCCAGCCCAGGCGACAGTGCAAGACTTTGTCTCAAAAAAAAAAAAATCACAAATTCAATTATTTAAAAATATATCCAGATTTTCTTTTTCCTCTAGTTTCAGTTTTGGTGTTCTGTGTTTTTCTAGGAATGCATCTATTTCACATAAGATTTTTTATGTATCAGCCTAAGGCTGTAAGTGGTACAAGGATAATTACTAGCTTTGATGCAGCTTGGGCAGGGTGGGGACGGCCTCTGTCTCATTCCCGACGTGGCTGCCTTGTGCCTCCTTTCTTTTTCCCCATTGGTCTCATTGGAGTTTTATCAATTTTAATAACCTTCTCTTAGAATCAGCTTTAGATTTTGTTGATTTTTCTCTAGTGTCTGCTTCCTTCTTTCTCTGCATTCTTTTGAAACTGGTAAAGTTTTGATGAAAATTATGGACATGAGTCACAAAATGTTGGTGATTTGGTGCAGGGCACAGAGGTGTTGGGGGGTCATATGACTGAATGGAGACACAAGGGGGCTTGCCAGTCCCAGCTCCTGGGGGTCCATGATATTCATTTTGTTTACTCCTGCAACTCTACCTGTACATTATTATAGATTTCACTGCTTCAAGAGTGTTCCTACCCTTTAACCAAGTAATTTCATTTCTGAGAAATAGGCTGAGCATATCATTAGCCAAGAGTCAGGCAGATATGCTGTTGTTATTCATGCAGGCAGCAGGGAGGGGATTTACCAGGTCATGCGTATGAACCATCCAAGGGAAGGGCTGCAGGCTTGGCTGCCTCCAGGAGCTCCAAGGGGCTCATCAGGCTTTTCTTTATCTCCTCTCTGCCTTCGTCTGGGCTGTCATAGATAAACTCTTCTCATTTGGTGGCAAGAGAGCCACCTGCAGCAACAAGTTTGCAGCTGGCATTGTGTGAACTCGGCAGCTCTAACAGGAAATCGGATCTCCCTTCCAGCAGTCCTTGCACTATTTTGAGACGTGCAAGTGTCTCGGGACCATGGCTTGGGTGATGAAATGTGATTTCTGCACTTTTTTTTCCCTTTAACTTTGTATTTCAGGCATAAAGTGGTAAGAATCCATACTACAAAGATTCCCATGTACTTTTCCATTCCCCAAATGTTAAATGTGGCCACGTTTGCTTTATCCTTCTCTCCTCTCTCTCCCCCTTGCTCCTCTCTCCCTCTCTCCCTTCCTATATCATAAATTTTCACACCTATCTTTATTCCTTTTCTTCTACTTTCTGCGGGATTAATTTTAGTTCTTTTTCTGAACTCTTGAGATAGATACTTGGGTCATGATTTTCCATTTCCCTCCTGGTATATGCATTTTAAGGCTATAAATTTGCCATTAATCACAACTTTAACTGCGTCCCACGAGCTTTGATGTGTCCGGATGTTCATTATCAGTTTAAAATGTTTCTAGCTTTCCTTGTGATTTCTTTTTTGACCCATTGGCTACACAGAAGCCTATCACTTACTTTCCAAACATTTAGGGGACTTTCTAGTTATCTTTCCTTCCAGAATATTCTGTTGGGATCATTTTCCTTCCACCTGAAGAACTCCCTTTAGTATTTCTCTAAGTTCAGATCTGCTGGTCACAGATTCTTTCAATTTCTGTTTGCCTGAAAACATCTTTATTTTTGTCTTTAATTTTGAAGAATTGAGGGAGTTGAGATTCTGAGAACAAAAGTTTGAGGAGCTCCCCGACAGGCCCCTAGGGAAGCTTGGAGGGTGTTGCCGGTTAAGTGTCGGGGCTGCAAAGAAGACTGGTGTCCTGTGGTATAGTGGGGTGCAGGGACACACCACGGGCCAGGTCCGAAAGGGAAGCTGCCTTGCAACTCCTCGGACGAGGATTTAGGATCTGTTCTTAGGATGGGTGCAGAGGCGCTGGAGGTGCCAGGCATGGCTGCAGTAAAGAGCTGGCACATCTTGATCTCCAGATGTGTAGTGCTAGCTCTTTACCGCAGTACCTATCTTGAAATCCCTGGGACCCTGGGGTTTTGGGGTACCACGACAGCAGATCTGCTCCTCCTGGGTGGGCTGGAGGCAGGTCAGGGGAAGAGTGTGTGGCTGCATGGCCCACGGGGGCTGCCCTTGGTTTTCTGCCCAGGATCACTGCCTGTCTGAGCTGGAGATACAGGTTCAGAAGAAAGACGAGGAGATCCTGCTGCTCCAGGAGGAGAGGGAGGCCCTGAAGATGCAGCTGAAATGCCTTCTGAAAGGCAAAGGCCAAGAGACATCCATGTCCCCAGGCAGGAGGGTGAGCCAGCCCCAGCGGGGCACAGCGCAGAGCTCTAAGACGGTTGTTTTCAAAGCGTCCAAAGCTGCTAGTGACACACAGGCCCCTGGCAAACCCCCAGGCCCCCTGGATCCTATCAGGTCCTCACTGGAACGTGGACCGGTTCTCAGGGTTCTGATCAACAGGCAGGGGAGAGGCGAACAGAGGCACGAAATGACAAATGAGAGCCATGAGCTGATGCAACAGGGGGGGGAGAGATGAATGGAGGCGCAAAATGACAAATGAGAGCCGTGAGCCGATGTCTAGGCACCTGCACCTGGCTTCTGACTTGCTTTCTGAATGGGGCAAGGCACAACGCTGTCGGGGCTCAGGGTCCTTATCCATAAAATGAGGGCTGAGCTCACCTGTGAAATCCTGGGGCATGGAGGCCACCCTGCAGGCGGATTCCCCGGGCCTGGCTCTGTGCATCATCTGCAGTGGTAGCTTGTATTACCCTGCCCTGGCCAGGAATCCCTTCTCCCCACTCTCTGGCTGTGAAGCCCCCTGCGAGGTTGGGCATGGGGTTGGGGTGGGGGTGGGGTAGAGGTGGGGATGCAGGTGGGGATGCTACCCCACCTCTAGGTGTGGGCAGAGGACTGGACGAGGCAGGTCTGTGTTGTGCCCAGGGGCGGTCACCTGATCTTCCTAAGATTTCTTTCACACCTGAGGAGACAGCCTGAGTTTATGCTGGGGGCCAGAGATGAAGCAGGAACCAGGGGGAAGGCCCCTGACCATGCCAACTGCCCTAAATGCCTCAAGGGAAGGCTGCCTAGACACACAGGGCGGGGGCAGGGAAAGGTGGCCAGCCGGCGGCTTCCACTCTCTGTCCTCCCCAGGCTGCTGGGTGGGTGTCTGAGGGTGGGCCACCCAGGCAATGACATGCACAGTGGGCGTGTGTAAGGCTGGCTGGCCTTGTCCTTTACTGCAAGGCCACTTGCTGGGGGCTGCTCTGGGGGTGCCTAGAGCCCCACTGCCCCCCAGAACTGCCCATCCGCAGGTTCCTGTGCCCTCCACTGCCACAGCACCCACATCCCCCAGCCCCTTGGCAGGAGGATGCAGGTCCCCTCCCCAGACATGAGAGGCCGCTGTCCCTTCTAGGACAGGCAGTGGTCTGTCCCTGGGGTGCTGCAGGAGGGGCTGGAAAGCTGAGGGTCCCACGGGCGTCTTGCAGGAGCAGCTCTCAGACGCTTCGCTGAAGCTGGGCAGGCTGAGCCTCCTGAAGGCCTTCTCCAGACATGAGGAGGAGCTGCAGCACTGGTGGCAGGTGCGGGCCGCCTGGAGAGCAGGCACGCAGTGGGGGACCCGGGCCCAGGAGCCACCTAGGCTGCTTAACTAAGAGGCCCAGGCCCCAAGTGTCCCTGCTGCAGCCCTGACCTGGGGTGCCCCACTCCAGGGGAGCAGGTGAGGTGGGTGGGTCGTTAGCCCCCTTGAAGGCACAGGTCAGGTGCAGTCTACTGACAGAGGGAGGACCCGTGACAGAGGCCACAGTGCCTGGGCCACTGTTGGTGACCTTGCCAGGCAGATGCTCTCCCACTCCCTGGACCCTGCAGCAGCCTGGAAGGAGGCGCCCTCCCCGGTGCCCCCGCCATGAGCATTAGAGCCCTCTGCCCTGGGGGTGCCCCGCAGCCCTGCCCAGCCCCTGCCCTACCCATCTTACAGATGCAGGAGGAGTCTGCGGCACCGGAGAGGGGCAAGGAGCCCGACCTGGGAGGTGGCGAGGAGGACGAGGGCCTGGAAGGGGAGCCCGATGGGGTGGAGGACACGGGTGCCTGGGGAGGTGTGAGCCAGATGGGATCCGTGCATGAGGAGGGAAGCGAGGAGGAGGAAGAGGAGGAAGGGGACAGGGATGAGGACTCAGAGGAAAGGGAGCTGCCGGAGGAAGAGGAGATCCCCAGGAGAAGGGCCTCCTCCCTGGCCGAGTCGTTTGAGGAGGAGCTGCTGGCCCAGCTGGAGGAGTACGAGCAGGTCATCCTGGACTTCCAGTTCAACCTGGAGGCCACCAGGACCAGATACTCCCTTGCAACAGGTAGGGCCTCGGCGGGGGGCACTGGGCTTTGGCCACTCAGTGGTTCCCGGCCCAGGAGCTGGGACGCCCAGACGCTGCCTGCTCTGGTCAGTGAGCTGGAGCAGGGGCAGGTGTCGGCAGCCTCACCCAGGCTGGCAGAGCCCTCCCAGCTGCCGCAGTGGCCCGGCCCTCTCCTTCTGTCCCTCACTGCCCCTGCTTGCTCCTGCTCACCGCCTCTGCCTCTGTGCCCAGGAGTGATTGCGTCTTTACAACAACAAGTGGATTTCCAAGAAACCCAGCTGCGAAAGATCAATACGGAAAATGAGACGCTGCAGAAGGAGCTCCGAGAGCGGAGGCAGCAGCTACAAGCCATGACCGACAAGGTGGCCGTGCGCTCAGTACCGGCCTCCGCTCCATGAGCATGGGCCCCAGGCTTCATTAACCCCCGGCAGCTCGGGGCAGGCGCTGCCCGTCCCATCTACTGATGGAGACTTTGAGCCTGGGGTGTCCAGGCAGCTGGCCCAGGGTTGTGCGGCTGATAGCGGCCCCGCTAGGATTCCCCAAGGTGTGTGGGAGGCTGGAGCCCATGTGCCCAGCCACAGCTCTGCCCTGTCCCTGGGCTGGAGGCAAGTGTCCCTGTCTCCTGAGCCGCTGTGCTCTTGGCCACTCCTCAAGCATCTCCTGGCCCCTGAGTCCTGGGGGTAAGAACGCCCTATCCGTGCTTAGAGAGACTGCTACTCCACTGAGCCCACTCTTGTCGTTTTTGTTAAGCGTTTTAGGTTTTTACTCTTATCAAAGTTATTCATGCACATCGCTTAAAGAATCAAATAGTTCCACGAGGCCTGTCATGAAAACCAGGAGCCTCTGACCTCCTCCCTCTCATTCGCCCTCTCCTAAGGCATCATTTTAAATTCTTCCAGCACGTTCTTTATGAATCTATCTCCAAATCTCTAAATAGCATGCTCATAGTGGCCATTCTAGATTGTTCTCCATCTTAACATTATTTAATGCTTCCTTTTTTTTCCTCCCTTGCCACCGCCCCCCAACACACACAAGGGCAGCCTTTCCATCCACCCTCCTCCTCGTATCATTCTATCACAATCAATGTTGCACTGACATCATTAGGACAGTTATTTGTCTCACACACATACATAAATAAAATAAGTTTTACAGAACAGTACTAAGATTCATAAACCACAACTTTAAAACTGCTGCATCCCACACCTTTTGCTTTCTTGCCCTCTTCACTTATTTTTGGTGGAGCACATCCTCCAGTAGTTTTATCAAAAAGGATAAATGAGGCTGAGCACGATGGCTCACACCTGTAATCCCAGCACTTTGGGAGGCTGAGGCAGGTGGATCACCTCAGGTCAGGAGTTCAAGACCCGCCTGACCAATATGGTGAAACCCCAGCTCTACTAAAAATACAAAAATTAACCGGTGTGATGGTGGATGCCTGTAATCCCAGCTACTCAGGAGGCCAAGGCAGGAGAATCGCTTGAACCCAGGAGAAGGAGGTTGCAGTGAGCCAAGATTGCACCATTGCACTCCAGTCTGGGCGACAAGAGCAAAACTCCATCTCAAAAAAAAAAAAAAAAACGATGAACAGGGGTAAAGTTTTGGGGACAGGATATGTTGGCAAATGTCCTTACTCTATACCCTCATAACATCTGGGTTGGATATAGCATTCCTGTTTGAAAACCATTTTCCTTCAGCATCACAGAGGCCTTCCTCTGTTGTCTTCCAGGTTGGCCGATGATAAGTCCAAAGTCGTTCATGGTTCCTTCTGGGTTGGTTGTTCCTCTCTGGAAAGTTGTAAGATCCTATCTTTGTCCCAGGTGATCTGAAACCTCCCAGAGTTGTGCTTTATTGAGGGTGTGTTTTCATCTGTTGTATTGGGCACTCAGTGGCCATCTGGAAACTCATGTCCTTTAGTTCTGGAATTTTCTTTGGTTTTATTGTTTTTTTATGGCCTTCTCTCACACTATTGGACCTCCTGTCCCGCTCTTGTTTTATCTGTTATCTCAACCTTTTTGTCTCTTTGTCTCTTACCGATACTTTCTAGAAGATTTCCTTAACTTTATCAACAGCTCTTTTCATTTTGTTATAATATTTTACTCTGATGTTCTCTGAGTGTTCCATTTTTCTTTTTTTGAAGCGCACTCTTGTTTGGCTTCACAATTGCAGTATTTTCCCTTGATGACAGCGTTCATCATACTGTTAGTTTTCTAACTTCTTGCACCACTTCTATTTCCTACAAGTTTGCTTTTGGTGTCTGTCATTCATCTGAGAGCTTTGCTCCAATGTTCGAGTTGACTGGACTCTGAGCACACAGGTGACCACTCTGTGCTCCCTGGCAGAGCAGTGTGCTTTGCTTTGGCATTTTAATGGAGAGTTTCTTTTCTTTTCTTTTCTCCTTTTTTTTTTTTTTCTGAGATGGGTTCTCACTCTGTCACCCAGGCTGGAGTTCAGTGGTGTGATCACAGCTCACTGCAGCCTCAGCCTCTCCAGAGTCGGGTGATCCTCTCGCCTCAGCCTCCTGAGGAGCTGGGACCACAGGTGCACACCACCACACCCAACCAATGTTCTTATTTTTTGTAGAGATAGGATCTATGTTACCCACGCTTCTCTCAAATTCCCGACCTCAAGTGATCCACCCACCTCAGCCTTCTAAAGTGCTGGGATTACAGGTGTGAGCCACTGCACGTGGCCTAGGGCTCTTCATTTCTGAAATAACATTCCACCAATCATCCTCATTTTAGCCTCCATGTTTAGAAGAACCCAGACCAACAATGTCTGAGACTTTTAGGAACTCAAGTGTGAATTGGGCTTATTTTCTGCTTTTCCTACTGCCGGCTATTTGGCTTTCTTGGATCTGGGATGTCAGATACCACTCAGCCACCTTCAAACTCTCCAAAATATTTTTAGTCCTTTTTCTTCTTCTCTTCTCCCTGCCTTCAATAGAAATCCCGCTGCTATTATTTTAGGGAGCTTTGGGGAAGGAAAAAAGTTAGATGCCGGAATTCAGTCTGTTATCTAAACCTGGGAGTCCCCCAAGCCAACCCTTCTGTCTCCTTCCAGTTCTCCAACCTCCGAGAAGATAAGAAACACCAAGAGATGATGGGGCTCATTGAAAAGGACAACCAGCTCCTCCGACAGGTGACAGCCTGGGTGTCGTTAAATGATCAGCCAGGCCACTGTTCTTACTGTAAGTCCCAACACAGCAAAGGGCAAGACGGGGCTGGAGCGTCTTCACAGCTGAGCCAGGACCCCTTCGGTAGCATGCCACTCGACAGATCTCTGCACCCCACGTCCACACAGAAGGCTCCTCGCAATTGCTGGGTCCAGACTGGACTGGAGGGACCCAGCAAGCGTTCCCAGTCCTTTTTTTTTTTTTTTTTTTTTTGAGACAGAGTCCTGCTCCGTCACCAGGCTGGAGTGCAGTGGTGTGATCTCAGCTCACTGCAACCTCCGCCTCCTGGGTTCAAGTGATTCTCCTGCCTCAGTCTCCCGAGTAGCTGGGACTACCAGCACTTGCCATCATGCCCAGCTAATTTTTGTATTTTTAGTAGAGACAGGGTTTCACCATGTTGGTCAGGCTGGTCTCAATCTCTTAACCTCGTGATCCGCCCACCGCAGCTTCCCAAAGTGCTGGGATTACAGGCGTGAGCCACTGCACCTGGCCGCCGGCCATCTTTTAGGAAAAAGTGGATGGGTGCCACACATACTCAGGTTGGGCGAAATGACCCCACCTCTTTTTTCTCCCCGGCTGTCCCCAGCAAGTGTCGGAACTGGAGAGAAAGCTCACCAAGCGGGACTGTGTCATCTCAGAGTTGGACACCAAGGTCAGCCAGCTGCAGGAGCAGGTGGAACTGGACCAGAACCACCTGCAGAGGTGGAAGCAGCTGCAGGAGGATTTGCAGAGCAAGAAGGAGATGATTCAGCAGGCAGAGCAGCACACCCGCGTGGCCCTGGAGAGCTCCCAGTCCAGGGTATGCCCAGCCCTTCCTCCTGAGGGTCTGTCCCAGCAGCTGGCGGCCGAGCACCCAGGCCTCTGCCCACCGCCCACCGAGGTAGAACCGGGGTCTGTGTACGCTGGGGCTCGGGCTGGTTCTGCCGTGTACACCAGCATCCACACAGAGTTGACACTCAAGAAATGTGGGTAGAGGACGGAGTGAGAGTGCAACAGAGTAGCCCGGAAATGTTCGTCAATGGCAGTGGTGGGCGGAGCCCCATGGGCAGGGCTGCGGGTCTTGGGTTGCATTGTGAAGGGGTTGGATCACTGGCTGGAAAGGAGGAGGGCACCTGGATAGGGAGGCATGGTGTTGCCCCCCTCATCTCTGAGTCATAGCGTGCTTGCTGGACCAGGCACCATTCTAAGTACCTTCTTGGTATCAAAGTCATGTAGCTCCTTTAACCAGACTGCGAAGTAGTTATCATGATCCTCACTTAGTAGACAAATAGGAAAGGATGAACAGTCCCCCTGGACAGCAGACCTGCTTTGCGGTGGTGCTGGGATTTGGCAGTCTCAACTGCAGGGCTCCACTGGGGTGTCATATGAAACGTGAGCAAGGCCAGAGTGTGCCCTGCTTGTGAGGGCCCCATGCCAAAAAGGAAATCAATAAAGAGCTGACCTTTTTTTTTTTTTTTTTTTTTTCTGAGACAGGGTCTTTCTCTGTCATCCAGTCTGGAGTGCAGTGGGGTGATAACAGCTCACTGCAGCCTTGGCCTCCCAGGCTCAAGCTGTCGTCATCCCACCTCAGCCTCCTGAGTAGCTGGGACCACAGGCATGTGCCACCATACCTGGCCAATTTTAAAAGCTTTTTGTAGAGACGGTCTCACTATGCTGTCCAGGCTGGTCTTGAACTCCTGGGCTCCAGCAATCTGCCTGCCTTGGCCTCCCGAAGTGTTGGGAATACAGGTGTGAGCTACCGTGCCTGGCCCTGACCTTGATTTAGAATCCAAAATTAAGCAAAGGTCAAGGTCATGTATGGAGGCTTTTGAAGTCAGGTTCCCACCAGAAATGCCAACTGCAACTCAACTGCGTCCTCTTTCCTGCTTGAGTCCACCTCCTTCCGGCTGGGTCAGACTGAGGCACCCACCCCTGGTATCCCTTGATAAAACAGTTTGGGATCCAGCCGTAGTCCTGGTGAAAGCGTTAGACCAGAGGCGGTCTAGGTGTGTCCATTTGTGCGCCAGCCTGCACTGACCTGGTGGAGCCTGGAAAGCTGAGCTGAGAAATATTGTGAAGCTAAGTCCGGGTGAGCAGGAACTAGCGCCAAGCCTGATGGTGAGGCCCCACGGGTGTGGGGAAGTGAGGCTGGACACCCCGGGTAGCTGCCAACCTCTACCCTGGGGAGGGACCCCCAGTACAGAGGCCCAGCCCCTTGTGACCTCACGACCTCCAGCACCTGGCACGGTGTTTGTACAAAGTTGGGCGCTCAATAAATACTGGAAAGAAGGAAAGGATTCCACTCCTCACACAGGCCAGGGGCCCATGACATTCCTGCTGTCACTTAAACCTGTCCGAGCGGCAGTGTGGACATGCTTCCACTCGGAGGCAAGGCTGAGCCTCTCGGGCCCAGCTCCTGTGGGGCACCTCTGCGTCGTCAGGGTTTCTGGACGAGGAACTCGTGCTGAGCGTGCCGCATAACTCAAGGGGTTCCTGTCTGAGGCTCCTGGGGTGCAGATTGGAGGGGTTTCCTCTGCAGCTTCCTGGGAGGCACGATTAGCTACCTCTGGGGAGGCGGCTGCGGGTGTACAGGCAGACAAGGATCTTCATGGCAGCAGAAGACGAGAACGCCTTCTGGGTCTGTGCGCGGGGGCCAGGTTCAACGCTGCTGTCCATGGCACAGACACCTCCTAGTCAGCATGGAAAGGAGGAAGCACCAGCAGCGCACTGTTAAATGCCTAAAGTGAGAGTGTCCCCAAGGGCCAGGAAGTCCGCTCACTGCAGCTCCCCTGGGCAGTGGAGGATGGTCCAGGGGTTACGTGCGGCTTCTGTACTATTTTGGTTTGTTGGTTTAAAAATATATATATATGTGTGTGTAGGTTTTACTTTCCAATTAGAAAAGCCCACCTGGTGTAGGAGAGTCTTTGGGCTTTGGGGCTGGGCCGCACAGGGTCAGGGGTTGGATCCGGCACCTCCTAGCTCTCAGACAATCCACATTGACTTCTCTGACACCTGTTTCCAGTTTCTAAAGCCATGAAAAGTGAGGGTGAGCTGTTCCTTCCTGGTACATAAAAAATAAGGTGGTGGGGGGTGCAGCCCACTGGCCAGGTGCCTTCTTGGGTAAAGGCGAATGATAGTGTTGTCCCTTTGCTCACAGCTCGAGAGGTTAAGGAATAAGATCATCCAGGCCACCTTTAGCATCTCCGGGACCAAGTCCTTGGCCAACGAGATCTCTGACAATGACATCCTGGAAGCCCTGCAGGTATACCCCTAAGCTCAGCTGCCTCTATCCGGGCCCCAGACCCCCAGGCCAGAGCTGTGGTAGGGGGTTGTGGGGGGCCTAGATTCCAGGGACTCTGTTCTCATCCTACCTGTGTCACCTATTCACTTGGACCCCAGGACCCTCCTTTCTCTCAGCTCAGGCAGAGGGGATCAAATCATCCTAAGGCAGGTGGGGGCATGGCACGGGAGTCTTAGCTACTCTCAGCAAAACGGGGGACGGGCATCAGAGACCAGCAGTAACTGCCACAACCCATCCTGAGCGCTGTGGAGAGGGGACAAGCCGCTCAGGGCACGAAGATTCTCCCACAGCAGGAGCCCAGCCCCGGCTTTGTCCAGCTTGGTCCCCTCCGCTGGTATCACCACCCACTGATCCAGGGCCCTGGTGCAGACCCCTCCCACCCCGGCCACAGCCTCCTGGGCTCCTTCCTGACCAGGGGTCCCCAAGCAAGGGCCTCGGAGAAGTAGAGGGGTGTAGGAGAATTCAGGCCTTGGGGTCACTGGGCATGAGGGGGTCACCACCCACCAGCTGGGGGCCACACACTCACTTTTCTGAGCCATAGATGCCTCCCTCTGTGATGGACAGCGCATGCTCACCTGCAAGGTGTCGTAAGACTCAGAGCTCTGGGAGCCGGGCACCGGCTATGGCTCTGTGTGGGGCTGTGTACTACGAAGGGGTCACCTCTCACCAGGAGCTGCTTTTGTTCCCAAGACCCACACTTCACCCTCTGGGGCTGCCCTTGAACCCCAGTGTGTGCCCCTGACCTTCCAGCACCCACGTTCCTGGGGCCTGGTTCCCTTCCTCTGCAGAGTGGGGGGCCCTGGACAGTGCCTCTCCTGCAGAGCTGTAATGTGGAGAGAGGTCTCTGCGGCCTTGGTACTGTTGTCTGGGGGAGGGGAGGAGGAAGGGGAGAGAAAGAGGAAGAGAAGAGGGAAGACAGAGGATGGAGGGAGTTATTCCCACCGCACAGTAGCCAGGGAAGAGCACCTTTGCTTGCTTGCCATAGCCTGACATGAACCAGCAACGGCCCAGAGAGGAGAATGGAAGAGAGGTGGGGACAACATTCCCTCTGTACAGGACAGAAGGGACTTGAGGGACAGATGTGACGACCTCAAAGATCTCTAGGAGTCTGGGGCTCCTCACAACTCTAAGAGGGCTGAAGAGGGGGCTTAGTGCAGGCTTCTGCGGGCTGGTGGTGTGCACCTGCCCCCGGCTCCGCATTCTGTGACTTCACTTCCGTGGCTGAAAATCAGCCACTGTGGGAATATTCCCACCACAGAAACTGGCAACGCCACAAAGCCGAGGGTTGTTTGTTTTTTCTCCCCCTGGAGAGCCGGTTGTAAGTATTCACCAGCACACCCCTGCTGCAGCAAGCCTCTCTGGAGGAGGAGGAGAGGGTGGCGTCCCGGGCAGCTGGCACGGACTGTGCAGACCGGCCTCAAGGCCAAGGTGAGGAACTGGGAAGGCCACCTCGACGGCTGTGTTTCTTGTGTAGAGAATTATCTCAGAGAGAAGCGACTACTATAATCAGCTGAAGCAGAAAGGC
Source organism: Homo sapiens (assembly GCF_000001405.40). NCBI lineage: Eukaryota > Metazoa > Chordata > Mammalia > Primates > Hominidae > Homo > Homo sapiens. The sequence goes on from NC_000001.11 coordinate 3,771,452, forward strand.
GTCAAAGTGCCCCCCCTGCAACAGTCAGAGGCCTTCCTGACCAGCAAATCCAAGAAGGGGACCTCCAAGTAGGCCCAGCCAGGCCCCCAAATACGGTCAGCCCAGCAGAGGCCGGGGCCCAGCTCCAGAACCACCCGCCCCCACCATGCGTCCTGCTCTCAGACTCAGAATTAAACCCCGGTGTTGGCACTGTCCCACCTTTTTCTTCTCTGGGATCCACGCGGGGGCCTACTCTCCTCTGCGACCTTGAGCTACAAGGACACTCCCCATTCCAAAGCTCACTCACAGGGAGTCAGCACACCAGCCTGTGCCCCTAGCTCCTAACAGGTCCCCTTGCGGCACCAGGCTGCCAGAGGCCTGAGCCGGGGTGTCCGCCCAGCACTCAGCACAGACCTCACGCCTGAGCAGAAGGGGTCTGTGACCTTCTGCCCTGGGGGCTCTCCTGGCTGGGGCACTCTCTTGCTGGAGGACCCCTCTGGAAGATGGTGAGGGTGGGGGGCTCTGTTCCCATCCCCCCGCTCCTGGAAGGAAAGCTTTACGCACGGGAACGGTGTCTGTGGTCCCCGACGCTTCCCCGGCGCCTCTGAGGCTCTGGGCGCCTGAACACCTTCGGAAGGGACTCTCCCCATTACCCTTCTCTGCTCCCCACCCACACCTGCTTCCCTTCCCGCCGCGAGCACCGAGCGTGGGCCACGTGCGGGCGCCACGCCCCTCAAGCCCCGGAGGAGGACGGTCCCCGCGGCCGGGTCCCCGAACCCAGCATTCAGGCCCAGACGCGCCCAGAGCCTCCCGCAGTCTCGTCGGCGCTGCAGCCGGGTCCCCGCGGGGCTGGGAGGCTCGTGGCGTCGGAGGGGCTCCAGCAGGGGTGAAGGAGGTCGGGGACCCTGGAGGCCCCAAGGGCGAGCCGTCTGGGGGCAGAAAGTGCAGCCCTCTGCAGACCCTGCCCGGCCCCCCTGCACCTCCTGGCCCCGGGGCTGGGCGGCCTAGAGCCCCGGCCCCTTCCGGACGAGGCGTCTCCCGGCCCCACTCGCCCCGCCCCCAGCCCCTTCTGGACCAGGCGCCTCCCCGCTGCGGCCCTAGCCCTTCCCCGCATGGCCCCGCCCCCCTCTCGCCCCGCCCCCTCTCGCCCCGCCCCCGGCCCCTTCTGGACCAGGCGCCTCCCCGCTACTGGCCCCAGACCTTCCCCGCATGGCCCCGCCCACCACTCTAGCCCCGCCACCTTCCGGACCAGACACCTCCCCGCTGCTGGCTCCAGCCCTTCCCCGCGTGGCCCCGCCCCCGCCCTCGCCCCCTGCCCAGGCCCGGCCCCTGCGGAGCCCAGAGACGCGGGGACACAGGTGAGGCGCGCGGGGTCCGGGCTGCGGCTTCCCGGTGCGGCCGCAGTGGGCAGGTGCGACTGTGCGCGGCCTCGCTGGCTGAGAACTGGCGGGGGTGGGGGCGTGCCCTGGACTGACCCCCACCGGCCTAACCCGCGGTGCGGGGCCAGGGCCGGAACTGCCCGCCCGGCTCCTTGCCCGGCTCCTTGTGGCTGCTGGGGACCCCCGACACCAGCCACTTTCCCTTCCCGGCCCTTAGCAAGATCGGCTTCTCCGGTCACCTTTATTTTTTTAGGCTCGAGGCGTCTGCCGCACCTCAGCCCACGACCTGCCCCGCTGGGAGGTGCGGGCCGCTGGCCAGGCCCTGACCGCAACCTGGCCCAGAGGCCCCAGCCCTCAGGCAAGGTTCTCCGGGTAAGTGTGGGGCCCTGAGGCGCTGTGGGGTGAAGAGGTCTATGGAGGGGCGCCTGTGTACCTAGGGCCTTCCTGCACTCACAAGCCCCCAGGAGGTGCCAGGATCCGGGAGCCTCCCAGGGCCTGGAGGGGAGTCCCTGATGGGTTCCTGCCGCCACACCTGTGACCATCACATGAGTGTGGAGAGACGTTTACTGAGCAAGTGAGGGAGGCCAGCCTCAAGGGCCGGCTCTGGTGGCTGTGCACCGGGGTGACTTGGGAACAACGTGTTCTACGTCAGCAAGACAGGAACCCATGATCCCAGAGTTGAACACACTGGGCTTGACCCCTCCCACCGGGAGGCCCATGGTGGGCTGCTGCTGTGGACTTGGAGCCTCAGCACTCCCGAGACTAATGCTGCGTGGATGTCGGGTTGCAAGGCGGCTGCTGCAGCTCCAGCAGCTCCAGCCATCACGTCGAGTCTGGAAGAAGGAGGTGGCTGCTGCTGCTTTCACAGAAGCAAACTCTCCCATCCCCTGCTGCACCCTGGCTCCTGGACCCCAGCTGGGTGACTTGGGAAAGCAGGGGTGGTGGTATTAAGCTTGTCTTACCCGGGTCATGGCTGTTACCTGGGGCTGGCACATTGCTGCTGGGACCAGAATGGGATTCTGCACACCAGGCAAGAGGGCGTGAACCTCGGGTAGGCAGCTGACCGCTCCACATGCTCCGGGAAAACAGCACCCATACTCCAGTAGAGGCTGGGCCTCTCCGGGCCTGAGTGCCAGGCTGCACTGAGCCAGGGCTCCCACCGAAGGCACACTTTATGGCTTTGAGACAGCTCCTTCTGCCTCTCTGGGCTTTGGGGGAAGGCAGACATGGAAGTGCCGGGAGTCTCAGAACTGCCTGGGGCCTGAGTTTCTGAGCTGGCTTCTTGCAGGGGAGTGGCTGCTGTGCCTTTAGGCCTCTGTGCCGATGACCTGGGAGGAAGGTCAGCCTTCCCCGCTGGAGGGGGCCCAGCAAAGCCTCAGCTCCTAGAAGTGAGGGGCCTGCCATTGCCTGCCCGAGGACCCCACTCCTGGGGGCCAGATGCTGAGAGGGGACACTGGGGGCCCAGCAGACCAGAGAGCTGACCCCAGTCCCACAGCCTGGGTGGGTTGTCAACTTCTCGTGCCCCCTCCAACTCCTCCACCCCCACACCCCCTTAGGTAAATAGGAGGTCGAAACAGAGGCCAGAGGGTAAAGGAGGTGCTTAGAGTCCGGGCTGGCTCAGGCCGGCCGGGCAGCTGTGCTAGTGCTTGGAGTTCCTGCTCAGTCCCCGTGGTCTCCTCGCCCCTCTGGGCACTTGGGCTGCCAGGCACCGAGCTGAGTGCCGAGATGCAAAGATGAGTCCCAGGTCTGCAGGAGTTGGAGCCCAGCAGGGAGCTGGCCTTGGGGCCGGGCCCCTCCTGCTCTGGGCAGCCACCCAGCCCTACGACCCTCCTGTCTCTGTAGGGCCTCCCCAAGGCCTTGAATCCACCCCGGCCCCGTGCTCAGTGCATCATGCCCCCCAAGCCCCAGCCCTCCTAGAGGTGTGGGTGGGGGAGGGGCTGCAACCCACACAGGCTGAGGACACAGCTGCTGCCACTGCCTGGGGCCAGCCACGCATCCTCCCCAGACAGGGACCGGTCTAGCTGTACCAGCCGCTGCCCCGGACCTGCTGCCCTGCCCCACCCCCCCCTCCCCTGGCCAGCCTCCCCAGAGGCCAGAAGGCGCCTTATCGGGCAGGGTTAAGGAGGGGGACAGTTATCAGGGGCTGCAGCCTAGATTGGGCCACAATGTCCTCGTCTCTTGAGGGTGGCAGGCTGTGCAGGCTCCCTGATAAAAGCACCGGGGAAGGGAGGCTCCTGGAGTGTGCTGGAAGGAAACACTGGCCTCCCACATGCCTGAGGTCAGGGCTTGGCCTGAGATGGAATTCTCGCTTGGTCCCATCCTCCCGGCCTGACCCTGGGCAAATGACTCTACCACTTTGTGTCTAGGTCACCTGTTAAGTCAGGCGACAGACCCGGTGAGGGAGTCAGCCCCCGACCCTTAGTGCCCCTCTCCTAACAGCAGCCTCAGAGGGGGTCTTGACTGCCGCCCTCCATCCGCTTGTTTTACAGTGAAGCCACAGCCTGGCCACCTGTCTTGATCTCCCCACCGAGAAGGCCCCGCCCCTCCCGCTGCAGCCCCACAGCATGCAGCCCCAGGAGAGCCACGTCCACTATAGTAGGTGGGAGGACGGCAGCAGGGACGGAGTCAGCCTAGGGGCTGTGTCCAGCACAGAAGAGGCCTCACGCTGCCGCAGGTGAGGGGCCTGAGGGCAGCCTGCCAGCCATAGCAGGCTGGTGTCTCCCTCCAGAGACGCCTGCCCTAACCCCTGCTACCGGCCCCATCACCCTCCACCCCATCCTGGCTGGGAGCCCACGGTCCAGCAGCTCAGCAAACCGCAGCCTTTGGCCTTCCCTCTGGTTGGCTGTGGGCGGGGAGAGCTTCCTCTTGACTCCAGCAGAGCGCCCAGGCCCCTCCCCCTGACCCAGACCAACGGCCACAGTCCACTTAGGGGGCCCCTCATGCGGCCCTGGCCTGGGGCTCACCTCCAGTTGGTTCTCACCCCAGGATCTCCCAGAGGCTGTGCACGGGCAAGCTGGGCATCGCCATGAAGGTGCTGGGCGGCGTGGCCCTCTTCTGGATCATCTTCATCCTGGGCTACCTCACAGGCTACTATGTGCACAAGTGCAAATAAATGCTGCCCCGCATGCACGCGGGGGGCTGGCCGCACACGTGAGAGCACAGGCCTGGAGACACACCCCTTGTACACATGGACCCCCCCACAGACACGGACCCTGCGGCACACACAGCGCACAGGGCACACGCGCTGGCAGCCAGGCACACGAAGACACCAGGTGCACAGCTGTCATCGGCCCCACACGGGGGCGCACAAACACCTGGCACACAGCCCTTCAAAGGACCTACAAACAGCTGGGCACACGTGGCTGGGAGGCCTGGGCCCAGCCTCAGCAGGAGCTGCAGGACACACCCAGGCTGGGCCCTGCGGCCTGGAGCCCCCAGCTACAGCCTCCTCTCTCCCAGGGCCCAGCCCCTTCCCTTGTGAAGGCCAGGATGAGGGGTTCCTTCAGCGGACAAACCGAGCCCACCTCCCTGGCAGCCCCCCGGGGTGGGATCCTCCCGGCTGCTTTCCTCCGTGGGAGCAGTGTGCAGAGCTGTGTGGCCCTGGGCAGGCCCCTGTCCTCTCTGGGCCTTTCTGACTCCTGGTTTTGTAAGGGTGGCTATGTGTCCCCCGCCCTTGTCTCAGATGCACCATATCTTCCTTAGTAAGTGGGCACAGTTCTTCCTAGGCAGCCCACCACGCGCAGAGGCTGGGTGTGTCCCTCTTGGGGCCGGCGGCTGCCAGGGAGGACCCGGGTCTACCCTCCCTCCCCAGGGATGGGCCTGGTCCCTCCAAGTACTCCTTGTGGGCCAAGAGCCTGTGTACAGAGGCATTAAGTGTCTGTTGAATGAACGGTGGATGACAGCCCTTGCCATAGTTACCTGGCCAGGCGTGACATCCAGGAAGGCTGTGGGAAGGGCTTGTTTCCCCGGGGCAGGCCCCCCTCCCATGTGGCTCTAGGAATGCACCCCTACCAATTGGGCCCTCTGGCGAGGACAGCCGGCAGGCCTGGGGACCCGGATGTGGCTGGACCTCAGCTGTGTCCCAGGGACTTCGGTCCCATTCCCCCCACCCCGATCCTGGCCTCCAGTCCCAGCCCCCGGTCCCAACCTCCATTCTCTTGGTAGGTGCTTTCCTGGGTCTTGTGTTTGGCCCTCACCTACCACAAAAGATCCCAAAAAGCCTTGCCAGAAACATCCCCTTAGGGAAGGGGTCCTCACCCCAGGGCTGGGGGTGGGAGACACGGGCAGCCACTATCCTCACGGGCACAGAGAAGGGAGGCCACAGGGCCAGATGAGGTTATTGGAGGGCTGAGGCTGCGCCTGCCCCAGGCCAGGTCCCGCCGAAAGCATCAAGTCAGGTAAACAGGAGGGGCTGCGCCAGTCTTGGTAGGGAGGCAGACTCCACATCATCCGCCTTTGGGGCGAGCAGGCTCACTTGAGATCTGCCTGGGCCAGCCGGTGGCAGGTGGAGCTGCATGGCTGATTGCACACTGCCCCAAGGCTCCTGGCTCCAAACCCAAGGAGGGAGCCCAAGGGCCTGTCCTGGGCTGCGGTCTGAAGCAATGATGCTTTCCTGGGAGCCTGTTGTTGGGTGGGCTGCTGCCTGCCCCAGCCCCATGACAGCCTGGATCTTCAAAAAGAGATCCCTACCTCTGACCTGCCACTCCCAAGGAGGGAAAGGAGTAGCCAGCTGGTACCCTCCCTGAAGCCCAGCTTCACAGGACAGCACTGCCTTGGGGCTGCTGTAAGGAAGTGGCAGAGGCCGCTGGGCCCAGCAGTTTGGCTGCATGGGCCCCAGAAGGCAGCACTCCGACCTGGGGGTCCTGGGGCTGGGCCTCCCCAAGAACTGGTGCGGCCCAGGAGACAGGCGAGGGCACAGGATGGGGATGGGAGCTGTCCCAGTTCTACAGTCAGAGGGGAAGTGGCCCTGGTGCTTCTGCCACGGGTCCCGCATGCCAGTGATGCCCACGCACCCCCACAAATGCTCCTTCCCACCTGTCAGGGGCTGGCATCAGATGGCACAGGCGCATGTCGGGTCTGCCCTGGATCTGTCTGGCTGCATCTGGGTCCGCCCTGGCAGGGGCCCAGCATCTTCAGCCAGGGGCTCCACCAGCAGCCCTGCCAGCCCCAGCAGGGGAGGCTACAGGCAGACACCCACGGGTGCTCATTGGGCCAGGCACTCAAGTAACCCACAGCCGCCTCTCGGGCACACCACTTGTCCCCTAAGTGACCATGGTGGAGACAGCAGCTCCAGCCCCAGTACCCCCAGGGTCATGGACCTAGGCTGAGCTGAGCAGTGTCCTTACAGCTCTGGGAGGGTTGGGGAGAGGATGGGACAGGACCCTGCTGAGTGGCCGCCTGGCCTACCCTCCCAGAGACTCACGAACAGGAGGATCTGCTGTGGATGCGTCTGGGGCCTGGGCTCCTCTGACTGTGCACCTGGGGTATCCAGGCAGCCCGACACCTCTGGTCCACCTTGTGCTCCAGGCAGGGGCCCAGCAGGGTGAGGCCAGTTCCCAGGACCCCTGGTCAAGGGCACCAGCTTCCCCATGACAGTGGCAGGTGCCTCTTGCTCCCTGCTGGCAAGATCTGGGTGGGGACAGGAGGCCCTCAGCCTCCCCACATAGAAGCCACCACTGGGCTAGAGTGAGCTTTGTGACACTTCGAGCAACAACCTCTGGCAGTGCCGGTGGGAAAGGATCTGCTGGGCCAGGTGCGGAGCTGTTTTTATTAGTGAGTCGGGGGGTGGGGTGGGGTGAAGAAAACATCAGAGACACCTGTGCTGCGAGTTAAATACATTTCCAGCATCTCACGCATCACAAGCTGCATCAGGAAAGGGCACAGCATGTGGCAGCCTCATCCACACCCACGCAGTGACAGATGTGTTACAGCATGGACACCAAGTCCCCGGGAGCCAAGATGGCAGCTCCAGCATCCCTCCCTTCCTCCCTTCCTCCTTCCCGGGCTGGGCCGGGCCATGCAGAGAAAGGGCAGCCTCTGCCATGGCAGCCCCAAATCACCTCTCAGAGCAACTGTCTGGGGTCCCCAGCCCCAGAACTCCAGCAGAGTCCTGGCCTGGGGAAGCCCCCGTGCCGCCTCAAGCCTCCAGCAGGGCAGGCCCCTGGCCAACTGTGGCATCTGCCTTGACTGCCCAGAGCAGCAGGAATCAGGTTTTGGGAGGACACAAGGCAAGGCAGTCATCTGACACACCCACGGCAGTCCAGCTGGCACTGAGTGTGTGGGCCTCGTCCTGTCTGGAGTCCCCTCCCTCCCACAGTGGGCGAGACGGGAAGGCCTGGCGGTGACCAGACAAGTGGGTCCAGGTCTCAAGGCAGCCTGGCCCATGTCCTGCAAGGCTCTGAAGAGCCACCCAGCTGTTAGTCTGCCCACTGCACAGGGCCCCGGGCCTCTCAGGTTGACAACTAAAGGTGTGTGGGCTGTGGGGCTCTTGCAGATGCTTCCCAAAATCACCAGTCATTTCTACAGACACAGAAATCGAGACACTGAACAGAGAACAAATGGTGTCATTCGATAAAGCTGATGAGTCTGCTTCTCACATGGCACCCAGATCGTAAGGCAGTGGGGTCTGTAAAATCATCGCGGTGGCTGGCCGTGTCCTCATGAGCCAAGCACACTGACTCCCGGGAGTGGTGTGCACGCACATGTGGTGCCTGGACATACACGAAGACACATGGACGTGGGGGTCTGACCTGGACATTCACAACGGAAACGTCTACAACAGAAGGCGCCCAGGACCCACCTTTCTGGCGCATAAATGAAGATTTTTGGCTCAAAAACCTAAGCATCCTCCAGCTTTTGCTACCATCTGTCCCTCGGCTGGCTGAGGACTGCCGATGCTTCCCAAGCAGAGGCGTCTGGTCCACTCCTGGGGCTCCACCTGCCTGTCACTGCAGCACCAGCGTGCACACGATGGAAACCCCACCGATGCCGCTCTCCTCCGCTTGGCCCCGCTGAGCCAGGGTGAGGTGCTGCCACTGCCTTCAGCCTACAGGCTGCTTGCCTGAAGGGGTCTCCACATCTCCACCCCCACAAAGCAATCCAACAGCAGTATGAAGAGACGCAATTCTGCCAATTCTAAGGTCACATTAAAACTTTTCCCCCCAAGATTATGATCACTGCCAGCTGGAGAACCCAACGCCCTTGCACATGCCAAGCTGCATCCTGGCATGATATGGTTTTACAAGATGCTGCGTCATAGAAAGTGACCGTGCCGTTCAAGGAAACGCACATCGGTTGGCTTCCCAAGTTTTCGGGTCTCCGAACCAGTGACAGTCACGTGTCGCTCAGTGACACATGAGAAACGTGTGCTTAGCCGCTGCTGTGTGATCACAGAGTCTTTACACAAGCCTCGATGGTGCATGTAGTTTTATTTATGTGTTTTCATCTGGAAAACCAAGTGTCCCAGCAGCATGACTGAACATCACTCACTTCCCCTACTTGATCTACAAGGCCAACGACGAGAGCCCAGACCAGGATTCCAAACACACTGCACGAGAATATTGTGGATCCGCTGTCAGGTAAGTGTCCGTCACTGACCCAGACGCTGTTACGTGGCACATGACTGTACAGTGCCACGTAACAGCACTGTACTTTTCTCCCATAAACAGTTACCTGCCATGTATCTACATGATTCAGAACATTTTGAACAGTTAATTCTGACACTTGAATAATCCCATCAAAAACCGTAAAATCACTTTGATGTTGTAACGACAACATAGCATCACTTTACGACAGAATCATCTGGAAAAACAGAACAACGAATACATACATCTTAAAAAATGCTGGGGTGGGCCAGGCACAGCTCACGCCTGTAATCCCAGCACTTTGGGAGGCTGAGGCGGGTGGATCACGTAATCCCAGCACTTTGAGGGGCAGAGGTGGACAGATCATGAGGTCAAGAGATCAAGACCATCCTGGTCAAAATGGTGAAACCCCGTCTCTACTAAAAATACAAAAATTAGCTGAGCTTAGTGGCACACACCTGTAGTCCCAGCTACTTGGGAGGCTGAGGCAGGAGAATCGCTTGAACCCAGGAGACACAGGCTGCAGTGACTCGAGATCACGCCACTGCACTCCAGCCTGGCGACAGAGCGAGACTCCATCTCAAAAAAAAAAACCAACAAAAAAACTGGGGTGAAAATCTAACGGATAATTCAGCATTGCCGCATAGAAACCTCCGCAAAACCGGCCAAACAAACGCGGACAGGCGGCCCTGGCGTCAGCGCACGACAGTCACGTGGGGAGGGGCAGTGGCCAGGTCGGCCTTGGACGGGTACACCACCTTCAGGCTCCCTTCCAGATCCACCACCCGGACCTGCTCCACCACCAGAAGGGAGGGCCCGTCCTTTCCAGCACTGGGATTCGTTGTGGGATCTGGAAGTTGTCCAGAGACTGCATCGGCTTCAGTATCTGAGAGTGATCCTTCCTCTTTATTTTCTAAAGTGTACTTTTTCATTTCTGCCATTTTCTGCAAATAAAAAATACCTTTTTAACCTGGAGATGAGAGGTGACCCAGGGAAGACATGCTGCTGTCTGCCAACACAGTAAGCAAAAAAGAGGCAAGCAGGACGGGTGGGAAGTCAAGGAGCAGAGCACCACTCACGCTCAAAAGCGTTTCTCAGGAGGAGCCACCCCACACTCACCAGAATGAGGGCATCCATGACATCCTTGCAAATCTGCAGACTGGTGGCACTTGTTACTTCCAAAAACAAATCAGAAGTCGTTTTCTTAACCTTAAAAGAAAAAAACATTTCAGAAAAGAACAGTTATCAAATGTAGACATCAGCAACTGCAACATTTGTTCTCAGGAAAAATCTACAAAACTGTGTGGCCAGGCACAGTGGCTCACACCTGTAAATCCAGCACTTTGGGAGGTTGATGTGGGAGGATTGCTTGAGCTCAGGAGTTCAAGACCAGCCTGGACAACACAGCAAGACCCCATCTCTACAAAAAAATACAAAAATTAGCCAGGTGTGGTGCCATGCACCTGTGGTCCCAGCTACTCAGGAGGCTGACATGGGAGGATCGCTTAAGCCCAAGAGTTTGAGGCTGCAGTGAGCTATGATCTTGCCACTGCACTCCAACTTCGGCAACACAGCAAGACCTATCTCAATCAATCAATTAAGCAGATGGCGTCACACACACCAAGCCCACTCCTTACAGAGGAAGACTGCAGTGCTGCACACAGCATCCCGGGCCGTCACGCAGCACCGAGCATGAACAGTGAGCTGTAGCTCTGAGAAGCCAGGGGGCCCTTTGACCCCTCTGGGCTGCGTTTTCTATTGCACACAATGAAACCTCACAATGCAGCAGATACTTGTGTGTGTTAATTCTTTTTCTTTCTTCCTCTTCTTTTTTTTTTTCTGGAGACGGAGTTTCACTCTTGTTGCCCAGGCTGGAGTGGAATGGCGCGATCTCGACTCACTGCAACCTCTGTCTCCTGGGGTTCAAGCGATTCTCCTGCCTCAGCCTCCTGAGTAGCTGAGACTACAGGTATGTGCCACTATGCTCAGCCTTCCAGGTTCAAGTGATTCTCCTGCCTCAGCCTCCCGAGTAGCTGGGATTACAGGCATGCACCGCCACGCCCGGCGAATTTTGTATTTTTACTAAAGACAGGGTTTCTCCATATTGGTCAGGCTGGTCTTGAACTCCTGACCTCAGGTGATCCGCCCACCTCGGTCTCCCAAAATGCTGGGATTACCGGTGTTGAGCCACCACGCCCCGCAGACTTGTGTTAATTCTACAGGGAACAGCCTAGAAGACACACCATGTTCACACACATGCCACCCTACCTTTGTCTTCTCACTGTTGGTTATTGGTGGGAAGGAAATCACATCACCGTCTGCATCCACAAGACACGGGTAATTTTCATTTCCATCCAGCAAGTGAAGGTATCTGTATGGGAAGAAATACAAATTCCAGGCATAATTATAAAAGAAACACTGTGCTGGGTGTGGTGGCATGTGCCTGTGGTCCCAGCACTCAGGAGGCTGAGACAGGAGGGCTGCATGGGCCCAGGAGTTGGCTGGGGTGTGCTGTGCCAATGGAGTGTCTACGCTAAGTCTGTCATCACTATGGTGAGCTCCTGGGAGTGGAGGACCACCAGGCTGCCTAAAGAGGAGTGAACCAGCCCAGGTCAGAAACAGAGCAGGACAAAAAGCTCCGGTGCTGATCAGTAGTGGGACTGCGCCTATGATTAGCCACCTCACTCCAGCCTGGGCAACATGGCGCGACCACATCTTAAAAAAAAAAAAAAAGAAAAAAGGCACAGCTGGGCGTGGTGGCTCACGCCTGTAATCCTAGCAGTTTGGGAGGCTGAGGCAGGCAGACTGCTTGAAGTCAGGAGTTCAGGACCAGCCTGGCTAACATGGCGAAACCCCGTCTCTACTAAAAACACAAATATTAGCCAGGCATGGTGGCAGGCGCCTGTAATCCCAGCTACTCGGGAGGCTGAGGCGGCAGAATCGCTTGAACCTAGGAGGTGGAGGTTGCAGTGAGCCAAGATCGTGCCATTGCACTCCAGCCTGGGCGACAAGAGTGAGACCCCATCTCAAAAAAAAAAAAAAAAGCACACACCTGAAAACATACCTAAAGGGTAAAATGGACGACTCAAAAAGTTCTTTACACAAATTAAGTGTAATATCAAGGGCCCAAGCATAACAAGCTTCAAAGAACAAAGTATTCTGAAGCCTGTGTTTACAGAAATCACTGGGCTAGTTACGGATGATCATCTTGCTTAGAGCAGCACCAAGGACCCTGACTTGGATGATACCCAACAGCGCACGGTATGGATAAAATGCTGTGGGTTGGGCTGGCATTTATGTCTGTTTCCTAATGGCTAGTTTATATCCTGTCCTGTCCCATCCTGAGGGCCACCCGCCCCCTGTGGAATGGCCAATACCTCCGCTCCTAACACCTTCCACTTCCCTCACGTCAGGGCCATCTAGATGACAGACTGGTTCCACAACGTCTCCTTTGGAAAGAGAATGCTTTCTTTGTACCCTGTTAAGAAGCTTCTGGGTTCTGGTAGCATTAGGCGGTTCCTGAGGAGCACAGACTAACTCAGCTGAGGCCAGCATGCGGCACTCCCCCGGGCCCGGCCCCACCCCACCAGGCACGCTGCCCACCTGTGCAGGCCCGACACACTCTGCCGCTTCTTCTGCTTCCTCTGCTCCTCGGCCTCCAGCTGCAGCTGCCGCACCAGCTCCTTGGCCTTGGCTTCTTTCCGCCCCAAGGGGACAATCTATCGGGCAGAAACCCACAAACTCCACTAGGGTCACAGCCACAGAACTCGCCCATCGTGTCGATTACGGCCTTAAGCCTCAATGAGCCCTCCCGACTCCCGCCCTCATTCATCTCTACAGCAGGCAGGGAGCATCCCACGGGACCACGCAGCAAGAAGCTGCATGTGGGCTGCCACTGCAGCGTCCCGGGGAGACCTGACGCCCAAACACACCGATCCTACTGAGGCAGGGCTTAACCTTAAAGCCAGCTCATGCACAACTGTTTCCAGAGGTCTGCCATCCTCAGAAGGCCAAAAGAGGAGAGAAAGGCTGAGCAGCCGGGACCTCGTGCACTCCACAGATTCAACAGCCCAGGACAGCACGACACAGCAACTCACCCTACTGCCAACCCCACGCAAACGGTTTTACTATCGGGACAGAGACCAAAATTTCTGATTAAAAGGTAGTGAGCGAGTGAAGGAAACCATTTTCCCAACGACTGCTCATCCGCCGAGTCCTCTCACAGCTGTGCACCGCTTCGAGTAACCGCAAACGCGGTCTGTTTCATTATTTCATGTCTTTGCAAGAACAGCATCGGATCCTACTCTAAAGAAAATGTTCAGGCCGGGTGCGGTGGCTTACGCCTGTAATCCCAGCACTTTGGGAGGCCAAGTTGGGCGGATCACCTGAGGCCTGGAGTTTGAGACCAGCCTGACCAACATGGAGAAACCTCGTCTCTACTAAAAATACAAAATTAGCTGGGCGTGGTGGCACATGCCTGTAAACTCAGCTATTCGGGAGGCTGAAGCAGGAGAATCGCTTCAACCCAGGAGGCAGAGGCTGCAGTGAGCCGAGATTGTGCCACTGCACTCCAGCCTGGGCAACAATGGAACTCCATCTCCAAAAAAAAAAAAAGTTCGGGCTGCAGTAGCAGCATGGCGTCTTTCGACACCAAGGAGACTCTTCAGCAGACCCTGCAAAGGAGGCTGCAGCACCTTGAGGTCCTGTGGGGGCCGGGCGCAGTACAGCAGGGGCCCTTTGACGGCACGGAGCTCGTGGGTGGCAAGGGTGGCAGCCGTCCTCTTCTCACAGAGATCTTCGTGGAGCTTGGTCTGTAACACAGAAGCAGTGATGAGCAAGGTCTCTTGTGCCCTGAAGCCCAGCGAGGTGTCCACACTTCACCCTTGGCTGGGCTGTGTGCCAGGAAACCCTCCCGGTCCAAGGTCTTCACAACCACGCCACGCCCCTTTCCGAGACAGGGCTCCCCTCCAACTCCTCTCCACCCGGCCAGCCAGGCACTCACTTTGTGGAATCACCATCAGGAAAACTATCTTAACCTATCAATCAGCAGACTTTCTTCCTTCTCTAATTCTGACATAATATTTGAGATTTCAAAGAACCCATCTTGAACTAAAATGTAAATAAAGGCTGAGCTTTAAGTTGTAAAGCCCTGGCTGTGATGCCTGTTCCCTTCCTCCCCAAGCTGCAGGCAGGACTCTCACGACAGTCACTCTCGGCCCGCCATGCTCTGTCGCTGCCACTGCGGGGCGCACGAGACTTTCCCCTGGGCACAGAGGTGCTTTATATTTTAAAAGTTGGTCAGGTGTCACAGAAAAGCAACTGGGAAGTTAGTCTTGCCAAAACCTAAACAATTCACAGAAGAATGTGCTGGCAAGAGTTGATGACTTTAATACTGTCTTACATAAAACAAAATGTGTGATTTACTGCAGAAGTCAGAAAACCCACCAAAATATCAAAAAATCAAGGAACCCTGATTTTCCTTTTTTTTTTTTTTTGAGATGGAGTCTTGCTGTGTCACCCAGGCTGGAATGCGGTGGTGCAATCTTGGCTCACTGCAACCTCCACCTCCCAGGTTCAAGTGATTCTCCTGCCTCGGCCTCCCCAGTAGCTGGGATTAAAGGTGCTCACCACCACGCCTGGCTAATTTTTGTGTTTTCGGTAGAGATGGGGTTTCGTCATGTTGTCCAGGCTGGTCTCAAACTCCTGACCTCAGGTGATGCACCCACCTCGGCCTCCTGAAGTGCTGGGATTACAGGCGTGAGCCACCGCACCAGCTGGAACCCTGATTTTCAACTGCAATAAAGCTATCCAGAAATTAGGATAGGCCAGGTGTGGTGGCTGACACCCGTAATCCCCACACTTTGGGAGGCCAAGGCGGGTGGACTGCTTGAGGTCAGGAGTTCAAGACCAACCTGGCCAACATGGTGAAACCTCATCTCTTTTAAAAATACAAAAAAATTAGCCAGACATGATGGTGAGCACCTGTAATGCCAGCTACTCAGCAGGCTGAGGCAGGAGAATCACTTGAACCCAGGAGGCGGACGCTACAGTGAGATTAGACTGCGCCACCGTACTCCAGCCTGGGAGACAAAGCGAGACTCCTTAAAAAAAAAAAATCAGGATAAACCGTTAACACCATATGTGGAGGAGCAAGGGATACGACCAGTGACCAGGACCAACCAGGCCAGGGTGCAGGCGTCTGTGAAGAGGCCATCTCCACGCTGGAGACACCTGCCTCCCGGAGGGGACTGAGGCCTTACCCCCTCCTCAGCAACACCTGAGCCAGAACCTGCTCTATTCCCTTTTTGGAGCTGAGGAAACTGAAGCACACAGACACCCGGCTGGGCCCCATACTCCACTGCTGCTCCTTCGGACACGCTGGCCTCAGGATGTGTCCCAGCTTGCGGCGTCTCACACCTCTGTCCCAGTCATCTGAGGACCCCCACGGGCACCCACCTGCGAGGTGAGGAAGCGCTTGAGTGCATTCCCTGGCTGCAGGTCCATGCCTCGCACCACGGCCCCCACAATGTAGGGCCGCACATCCCGGACCTCGGGGCTCACTCTGACTGTCAGAGGTACGGGGTTTTCAGAGACGTGCAGGACCCTGAGCAGCAGCCGGCCGGCATCTCCCACGTCCTGCTCCTCCCCATCACCACCTTCCCGCCTCTGCTTCCTCTCCCTCCTCTTCCTCCGGCTCTCTTCCTTCTCCGAGCCCTCGGCACGGCCCTTGCCCTTCCCGCCACCACGGCCTCCGACGCGCAGGTACTCCAGGATGGATCTGGTCTGGCAGCCGCTGACCATCTTCTCCAGGCGCTTGTCCCTCAGCTTGTTCCCACGGAAATTGATCTCCTTGAGCTTGGGGCAGTCCGCAAGCTCTGCAGGGATCTCGCTCAGCTGGTTGTTCGAGAGGTCCAACGTCTGCAAAGAGAAACATGGACGCGTCAGACGCCCGGACTCTGGGAAGAGAGTCCAAGGTCATGCTCGAGAGGCAGGGAGACCACTCATCACTCACAAGAGCCACCACTGGCCTGTCTGTGGGGACGCGTCCCTGGGGAGCCACAAGTCATTCACCTTTGAGTCACTTCCCCAGCTCTGCACCCCACATCAAAGGCACTATCCGAGGAGCCTCTCCGAGGAGAAGGCGTCAGCCACGGTTAACAGTGATCTCTGCAAAAGCTTCTGACTCAAACATGTCACCCTCTTTAACAACCACAGCAGCCCTGCAGCTCAATCATCACGTTAGAGAACAGAAAGGTGACAAGAGACAGGGGATGTCTGGGTGTGAAACGTGACCTCATGTCGGGACCTAGCCAGGACTGCTCAGGTGAGAAGCAGGTTCCCCAAAGTGGTGTTATTTTTTTTAATTAAATGAGCTAAAAAAAAAATACAGCAAAATCTCTAAGAGCATTCTTCTTCATAATGAAGTGCAAAGTTGCCCGCAGTGACACACAGAGTGCTCTCAGGGTTCACGCAGGAAGGAAAGGGGAAAGCCGACTTCAACGGCGATGGGTTCTCAGCCTTCGTCTGACCCAGGACAGGTGCATCGGGCCCACCACCGTGTGCCACAAAGATGCCCAGGAAGCCCCGTGGCCCACGGGAAAGCGTTTTCTATGACCGTGACTGATCAGACTTTGGCAAAACGTGCAGGTGACCTCACTGAAAGGATGGAAGGGGTACAGTGGCACCTGATGCACTCTTAGGATGTCTTTCCCAGGGTCTGGGCAGCGCAGGGAACGTGCGTGTGAGGGCAGCCACTTCCATGACGTGAGGCGGCCGCTGCAGGTTCAGGCAAAAGGGGCCCATCCGCCTCCACTCTGCTCTTTCCTGGCTTGGTACCCAGGCCCCACAGCCTTGCCTGGGTGGTGGGGCAGGCACTGCGAGCAAACCCTTCTGTCCCAGCTTCCTCTAGGGCTGGAGGAAGACCCTGCTCAGGATGCAAAGCCTGACCCTCGGGGATCTCTGGCAGCCTCGGTGCCGGCTCTGCCCCCAGAGAGGAGGCAACAGCATGTGGGCCCCCTGGAAGCCAGCACTCGCCCTTGGTCAGTGTGGCTGGTGAGTCCTAGTTACACTGGGTGTGGAGGAGACAGGTAGGGCTGGACTTGATAGACTCTGAACAGAGTTGGGGATGGGCTGATTACTCAGAGGACACCTCCTGCTTCGCCTGGAATGGATGGCAGGGGTGATGGAATTTCTCAAGCCCCAAGTTGTGAAGGAAATGAAAAAAGGAACCTGCTGGAATCCTCCGGCTCAAGCAATCAAGCTGCTCAGACACGGGTAAGGGCAGCATGGCTCAGAAATGGGATGGCGCTCAGAAGCGGGAAGGGTGGCACGGCTCAGACATGGGAGGGTGCACTGGATGAGTTCCCTCAGGGAGAACAGAGACCCAGGGAGGAAGCGACAACTTAACAGTCAAGCAGGAACAGCATGTGTAAAAGAAATAAAAGGGCTCGCGTGCCCTCTGGGAGAGAATGGGGCAGTCTAAGCAGCAGTGACGCCTGCTGGGGAAGAACACAAGGCAGGGGCTGAGACCAAGCCCAGCTGCTGGGCACTACCTGAGCCACGCGTCCATCGGATCTAACAGAACTGCCACAATTCTGTGCTTCTCAGCACAGGGTGGGCTGGGCTGGGATAGACTTGTTGGACTGGTGGCTCCAGCCCAGACCTCCCTTCCGGCCCCACATGGGACGAGAGCCAATCTACTCCTGGAATCCAGGTGGCCTCACAAAGTACCAGGAGCCGTATCACCAATGCTGTCGCCAGCCTGCAGCACCAGGAACAGTGCGGCCGTGAGCTCAGCCTTCTAGAGCTCCTCACCTCCCTGTCAGAGCCCTGGCTCCAGCGTTAGAACCAGCCTGGGCCACCAGCCCAGGGCACAGCCTGCCTGGCAGAGGCCAAGGGAAGCTCTGAGGTTGGAAGCTCGGGGGCACAGGCATCTGAGGTTCTGCTCTGTGGGTTTCTGCGCTGCCCTAAGGGGCTTTGGTCAAAAAGCTTGAGAGTTCCCCTCAAGTGGAACCTCCTTTCTGCCTGCAAACACGCAGTGCGGCGTCTCCCTCCGCTGACAAAGAGCAAGTTCCTTCAGACCCAGGAGCAGCAGCAGAGGCGAAGGAGGCGGGCGGGGCCCCACCGGGGCGCCCAGAGCAGCCACAGCCAGTTCAGCCTGCAGCCTGCAGTGAGTCCCCGAAAGGATGATGGCGGGCACTCGGAGAAGGGTCTTCCTTCCAGGCAAAGACTGTCAGAGAAAGGGCATCTGAGCAGCTCAGGACCTGCCTGGAGGCTCTGTGGGGAGTCAGGGGACAGGAAGGGAAGCGGGGGAAGGAGAGCAAGAGGGAGGGCAAGAGAGTCACCATCTGGGTGGGGCGCAAAGCCGCACATGTTGGGGAGTCCTTGTCAGAAATGCAAGGCCCTGCTGACGAGGTCGCACGCTGGCCCCTCAGGCCAGCACTGGGCACCCAGTGGCGGCCTCAGCAGGAAATGAAGCCAGAGATTTCACACATGAAGGGTGGATGAGGGTGGCGTCAGTTTTCACTTGTGTGAGGGAGCAAGCAGGCGCGCCCGCAAGGATGTGAGGTGCACACTGGCTTTGGGGAGGATGAGTTACACAGGGGGTGGCTAGGGGTCCTCCTGACACCTGATGGGATGAAATGCCGTCACCTGTCACCCGGAGCTGACACTCTACTGCAGGAAACACAACCCTCGCAGTGGCTAAGCTGACGGCAGCAACGTGGGTCCTGACTCTGGCCTGGCATACCGGCTGCCTTCCGGGCCCATGGCTTTTGCAGGGGACCTGCTGCCGGGGAAGGATCCTAACTTCATGGTGGTGACAGGCTGACATAAACCAACCCAATAAGGAGCGCCAGCCCCTGAGTGAGCCCCACTCCCTCCGGCAGCAACTGAGAAACTCGGAAGCTGGGGGAGAGCCTTTGGCTTCAGGAGGGTTCACATTGAGGCTGAACTCCCCTGTGCAGCTTGGCCTTGGGAGGGGAGTGGCCCAGGGCCTGAAAGGATGTCTTTACTAAGGCACCGTCCTGCCCACATCAGCTGTTCAGGTAACATCTGTCCCATCCATCCCTCATTCCCACACGGACACCACACGCCTGCGTGATGGCCACTTACAATGCAGTCAGGAGAGGTGTGACGTGCCCCCATCCTCGGCTCACCACAGCACTGCCAGCTGAGCCCCACGGGCCACAGCAGCGGGAAGCAGCCAGGGAGGGCCGGCCGGGTGCTCTCAGGTCTCAGCAAGCCACGTGGCTCTGAGGCCAGGACACTGGGGAAGCCAGGCTCCCACGCAGGCAGAGCTACTGCTGAGGCCATAGGACAGCAGAGGCCTCGTCCCCAGTGGCTGGGAGGAAAGAGGGTCAGGGCCTTTGCACTGCAGGTCCCAGCCCAGGCTTGGGGGTGCTCCCTGGGGAATGGCTGTGGGGATGGGCACTAGGAGCCAGGCCGAGCTGCTTCCATTTGCAGTCTCGCCCCTCTGGGGAGGGAAAGGACAGGCAGAAGCTCTGTGCTGTTATTTTGGCGGCCCCTAAAGAGCCAGTCCTCCCAAAGAACCGGAACTGGGCTCGCACTTAGTTAACCCACGGAACGCAGGAAAGTGGCAGGAAGCATGTTCCAGGTTGATGCCTGAAGAAGGGCTGGCAGCTGCTGCTTTTGTACTGAGGAGCCCTGAGCCCTGTGAAAGAAGGGGAGGGAGAGGCCCCGAGACGACACACGGAGAAGCCCACCCACCCCGGCAGCCCAGCCCTGAGCCCACGCCAGCTGAGCACAGCCACGCGAGCGACCAGCAGCAAGAGCTGCAGCACTGTCCACTGTTCACTGTCCACTGTCTGGCGGAGCCAGCCCAGAGCGCAGAGCCGCTGCTGCTTTAAGCCTCGTGGTTTCGGAGTCAAGCAGCCACAATGACCAGCACTACCTCCCCCATCTCTTTCCCTCTTCGTGTACTGCGTTACCCTCCCAGTCTTCCTACAGAGGAGCAAAGAGCCTTCAAGACCCAACGGCACGCAGCCACAGAGAGACAGGGCTGGAGCCCGTGCCTTCTGTTTTTTTTCCTTTCCTCCCCCTTCTTTCTCTCCTTTTTTCTTGAGACGAAGTTTCACTCTTATTGCCCAGACTGGAGTGCAACAGCACCATCTTGGCTCACCGAAACCTCCGCCTCCCAGGTTCAAGCAATTCTCCTGCCTCAGCTTCCCGAGTAGCTGGGATTACAGGCATGCGCCACCACGCCCGGCTAATTTTGTATTTTTAGTAGAGACGGGGTTTCTCCATGTTGGTCAGGCTGGTCTTCAACTCCCAACCTCAGGTGATCCGCCCGCCTCAGCCTCCCAAAGTGCTGGGATAATAGGCATGAGCCACCGCACCCGGCCTCTCTCTCCTTTCTTTAAGACAGGGTCTAGCTCTGTTGCCCAGGCTGGAGTGCAGTGGTGTGATCATGGCTCACTGCAGCCTCAACCTCCCAGGTTTAAGCGTTCACCCCACCTCAGCCTCCTGAGTAGCTGGGACTACAGGTGCACACCACCACACCCAGCTAATTTTTGTATTTTTTATAGAGACAGGTTTTCACCATGTTGCCCAGGCTGGTCTCAAACTCCTGGGCTCAAGTGATCCGCCCGCCTCAGCCTCCTGAAGGGCTGGGATGCCAGGCATGAACCACTGTGCCCAGCCTGCCTTCTGTTTCTGAGCTCAGTTTTCTGGTTTTCTACACTCCCCATCTCCCCACAGCACCAGGAAGGACATCAAATGCATTTGCCTTTGTGTGCGAAATTCCAATGTGCGTAGCTACATTGCTGGGCATAGTTCTGGTAGCCATTCCTCAGAAAGGTACCCAAAAGGACATCTGAGTGCAACAAGGGATTCCAATAGCTCTTGCATGACCCTCCAAGAAACAGGTCTCCTGATAGAGAGCCACTGGACGCCTAAAATTTACGAACAGAATGGCCCAGGGGAAAGGGAACTTGGCCACCTCTTTTGGGATTTAGAAAACAAGACACACTCTTTGACTTGAATGACATTGTTTTGGGCACCATAAAGAGGAATGCTTTACCAGGCAGGTGCTACAGAGAGCTGGACGCACACTTTTTTTTTTTTTTGAGACGCAGTCTCACTTTCTCACCCAGGCTGGAGTGCAGTGGTGCAATCTCGGTTCACTGCAACCTCTGCCTCCCGGGTTCAAGCGATTCTCCTGCCTCGGCCTCCCGAGTAGCTGGGACTACAGGCATGCACCACCACACCCAGCTAATTTTTGTATTTTTAGTAGAAACGGGGTTTCACCATGTTGGCCAGGATGGTCTCGATCTCTTGACCTCGTGATTCGCCCGCCTTGGCCTCCTAAAGTGCTGGGATAACAAGCGTGGGCCTGGCCCACAACACTTTTAAGAACTTGAATACTGAAAGACATCTATGAATTTGAAGAGAAATATTGCAACTGACTGGACACTTACATGATGTAAGGCACAATGTTAAGATACATGCCTAGTACATCAACACTCTGGAAAACCAAAAGTATCTGTCAGGTGGGAAGGTGGGAGTAGACCATGCTGTATCCAACATCACACCTTAGTCCTAGAGGGATGCCTACAGCCCTGAGGACCAAGGAAAATGCCAGTGAACTCGCCTCTTCCAGGAAATGCCAATGAAACCACCTTTGCAAAAACTGTAACAGTGAGAAAATTATGGTGGTGAAAGAGATCTGATCTAACCAATCCCCATCTTTGGCCTTCCAACTACCTTTTTTTTTTTTTAAATGGAGTTTTGCTCTTGTTGCCCAGGCTGGAGTGCAATGGTATCATCTTGGCTCATTGCAACCTCCGCCTCCCGGGTTTAAGCGATTCTCCTGCCTTGGCTTCCTGAGTAGCTAGGATTACAGGCATGTGCCACCATGCCCAGCTAGAGATGGGTTTCTCCATGTTGGTCAGGCTGGTTTAGAACTCCCGACCTCAGGTGATCCGCCTGCCTCAGCCTCCCAAACTGCTGGGATTACAGGCAGGAGCCACCGCGCCTGGCCCTTCAAACTACCTTTAATTATTCCTGGGCTTGGGCCAAGCTAACTTTGGGAGACATTTGTAATTTAAATGATAATACTCCTTCCGTAAAACTCAACTGCCTTTGTAAAGCTAATGAGGGTCCACGAGGATAGGAGGATGGAGGAACCTGAATTCTGCTAAGGGGTAGACATAAACAACTGCCAGCTATTCTTCTGGAGGTCACAAGATATGCGACTTCCCCAGTGACTCCTGCAGATAACAGCACTAGCAGCACTGTGGAACCTAAGACCGGCCTTCTGAGCTGTGTCTTTTCAGGGTTTTTGCATGTCTGATCAATGGCTCTACCTGAAACCAAAAAGAGCTCCCCGCAGCCCCAGCCAGAAGTGACTCAGTAAGCAGGACCGTTTCCCACACCCCTATGATTGCACCTCAACCAATCAGCAGCAAGCACCCGTTGCCTAGCCACCCTCCCCTTTCCCCAAACTATCCTTGAAAAACCCCGCCTCCAAATTTTTGGGGAAGCTGATTTAGTAATAAAACTCGGCCGGGCGCGGTGGCTCATGCCTGTAATCTCAGCACCTTGGAGGCCAAGACAGGCAGATCATGAGGTCAGGAGATCGAGACCATCCTGGCTAACACAGTGAAACTCCATCTCTACTAAAAATACGAAAAATTAGCTGGGTGTTGTGGCGGGCGCTTGTAGTCCCAGCTACTCGGGAGGCTGAGGCAGGAGAATGGCGTGAACCCGGGAGGCGGAGCTTGCAGTGAGCCAAGGTTGCACCACTGCACACCAGCCTGGGAGACAGAGCGAGACTCCATCTCAAACAACAATAATAATAACAGTAAAACTCCAGTCTCCACTTTAGCTGGCTCTACATGTGTAAAACTTTCTCTATTGCAACCCTCCTGCCCTGATAAATCAGCTCTATCCGGGTAGTGGATAAAATGAACCCATTGGGCAGTTACATCAGTAACCATGTGTCACTCTACAGTGGGTTTGTTTTTTTTGCCACAGGGTCTCGCTCTGTTCAGGCTGGTATCACAGCTCACTGCAACCTCCACTTCCTGGGCTCAAGTGATCCTCCCACCTCAGCCTCCCGAGTAGCTGGGACTACAGGCACGCGCCACCAGGCCCAGCTAATTTTTGTATTTTTGTAGAGATGGGGTTTCACCATGTTGGCCAGGCTGGTGGTGTGACCTCAAGCGATCTGCCCGCCTCAGCTTCCCAAAGTGCTGGGATTACAGGTGTGAGCCACCGCGCCCGGCCAGGGTTTGTCTATATATCCTTATATAGATATGTTACTTGTAAAATGAGTTGCAATGTCTTGAGGAATTGCTACAGCAAATAAATAGATAAGCTGCTAAAGTGTATACGTATTTTATTAAGAAATGTCCACATAGGCCAGGCGCGGTGGCTCACACCTGTAATCCTAGCACTTTGGAAGGCCGAGACAGGCGGATCACATGAGGTCAGGAGTTCGAGACCAGCCTGACCAACACAGTGAAACCCGTCTCTACTAAAAACACAAAAGTTAGCCGGGCGTGGTGGTGTGCGCCTGTAAGCCCAGCTACTCAGGAGGCTGAGGCAGAAGAACCGCTTGAACCCGGGAGGCGGAGGTTGAAGTGAGCCGAGATCGCGCCACTGCACTCCAGCCTGGGTGACAGGACCAGACTACATCTCAAAAAAAAAAAAAAAAAAAAGAAATGTCTGCATAAATTCAAAGACGAAAAATGGGGGAAGAAATGCAGGACTGCCTTAAGGATGAAACCAAAAGAGAAGATGGAGAGAACATCTGGCTGGGTTTAGGTCGTGGTTCTGCCATGTGGCTTCCCTACTTTCTTTTAGGCAACAGATTCAATGGGCACCTGTTATAGGCCAAGCATTATCGCGGGGCCTGGGGATCCAAGATTAATTAGTAAACAGACGCTGGACAATATAGTCTGGAGAAAAACCCAAGTTACCTGCTGCTTACTTTGGGCAGGCCCTTTGGCTTTCTGTAAAACAGGAATAACCACCCCTACCTTGGAAAGCTGCTATTAGGATGAAGTGAAATATAATCTTCAAGATCACAGCATGTGGCATTATGCAAAATCCAGGGTGCCCCCTTCACCACCAGACTCACTCTCAAGTCACTTCACAAGTACTAGATACAAAAAAGACAGGTCTCTACGCTCGATCTACAGGAGAAGCCAGGTTTGCTAACAATTACAAAATAGCGTACCACGTGTAAAAGTCCAGTTAACAGAATGCGGGGGAGTTCAGAGGCCACCTAGTATGTTGGTGTGGCCAGGAGAAGGGGGAGTTGGAAGGCGGCATCTGCTTCCCAGGGGTGATGCCCCCCGCAGCTGGCTCCTTTCAGCCTTGTAGGAATTCCCTGGGCCCAGTGCCCCAGGGGGCGTCACTAGGAACTGCTCGGCCCCGAGAGGGGTTCCTTCTCCAGGGCTACTCCAAGGCCCCATCCCGCCCCGCCCGGGCAGCCCCCGCTGACCTTGAGCGAGGCCAGGTGGGCGATGTCGGGGCTGAGTTCTCGGAGGCAGTTGTCAGCAGCCGCCAGTTCACTGAGCAGGGGCAGCGCGCCGGGGCGAAAGAGCTCGGCGGGAAAGGAGTCTAGGCAATTGCCGGTGAGGTTGAGGCTCTGCAGGCGCGGGGCGCAGCGCGCCAGGTCGGCTGGCAGCTCGCGCAGCCGGTTGCCGCTGAGGTTGAGGCTCTGCAGCTGCGGAAGGCCCGGCGGCTCGGCGGGGCCCAGGCCTTGGCCCGGCGGCAGCGCCTCCAGCGCGTTGCCCGACAGGTCGAGCACCCGAAGGGCAGGCAGCGGCCCGAGCTCGGGGCTCAGGCCGGGCCCCAGCGCGTTGCGCCGCAGCACGAGGCTGTGCAGCTGCGGCAGGCCCTGCGCCAGGCCAGGCCCCGGCGCGCGCAAGCTCCCGCAGCCGCTCACTTCCAAGTAGTGCAGCAGCGGCAGGGTGAAAAGCCGCGGCGGCAGCTGCCCACCCGCCGCCCGCACTCGCTCCTCCAGCCCGGGCCCCGTCAGCAGCAGCTCCCGCCGCCGCTCGCGCTCAGCCAGCTCCAGCTCCGGCCAAGACTCTGACACCGCTGCCGCCGCCATGGCGCCTCAGCTGCTGGCAGGCACCCACCCACCAGGGTGCTTCCGGGGCAGCGCGCGCCACTTCCGACCTGTGCCGGAAAAGCCCATAGAGAAGCCACCTGGCTGCTAGAGTGCCGCCGCGCGTGCCATAGAGGAGAGTGGCCTCTCCTGCGTAGAGCCGGGGAGGGGCTGGAGAGCGGCTCGCTCTCTCCGCGGGTAGGGGTGAG
The DNA here is from genome assembly GCF_000001405.40 of Homo sapiens. NCBI lineage: Eukaryota > Metazoa > Chordata > Mammalia > Primates > Hominidae > Homo > Homo sapiens. The sequence continues at coordinate 3,796,683 of NC_000001.11, forward strand.
GGTGGGGGTTATGAACCCAAAAATATCTGAGACAGGACTCAATGAAATGTAAAAAGTTTATTTTGCCAAGGTTAAGGACACGCCAGTGTCACAACCCTAGGAGATCGTGACGATGGTGCCCAGGGAAGTTGGGATGCAGCTTGGTTTTGTACATTTTGGGGAGACGTGAGACATCAATCAACACGTGCGAGTGTACCTTGGTTCAGCCCAGAAAGGCTGGACAATTCCAGGAGAGGGCTTTCAGGTCACAGGTAGAGAAGAGACCGGAGGGTGCATTCTTTTGAGTCTTTGTTCAGCCTTTCGCTGACTGCACAATTTATTATGCATGTGAGACGCGGGTAGAGGAATAGTCGCTTATGCTTTAGTCTGGCTTACTGAATCTTCATTTCTACGTAAACAGTAGAGCAAAGGAAGCGATCAGATATGCATTTGTCTAGGTGAGCAGAGGGATGGCTTTGAGTTCAGTCCTTTGTCTCGCACCTGTGAAGGGAAGCTATCAATTTGCATTGCCAGGGTGAAATTCAACAGAACTGTTTTAGGGTAAAGATCTTGAGGCCCACAGAGAATTTCTTTGTGGGCAAATTGTGAGGGAGGTGTGTAGCTTTAAAAATATGTATTTGTAACTATCTTATTTAGGAATAAGACGGGAGGCCGATTTGCCCGAAGCAGTTCCCAGCTTGACTTTTTCCTTTGACTTAGTGATTGTGGGGTTTTGAGATTTATTTTCCTTTCACAGGGTGGGGTGCGGGCGGATGGAGGAGCCAGAGTCTGTGCTCTACTGTGCCCCGACCGGCTTGTTTTGGAATTCCTGCACTTTTGAGTGGTGTAAACCAAAACCAAAATTCTTTTTTTTTTCTTGAGACGGAGTCTCGCTCTGTCACCCAGGCTGGAGTGCAGTGATGCTATCTTGGTTCACTGCAACCTCCGCCTCCTGGGTTCAAGCAATTCTCCTGCCTCAGCCTCCCGCTGGAACTACAGGTGCATGCCACCGTGGCCGGTTAATTTTTATATTAACCGTGTTAATATAATTTTTATATTAACCGGTTTTCGCCATGTTGGCCAGGCTGGTCTCGAACACCTGACCTCAGGTGATCTGCTCGCCTCAGCCCCCCAAAGTGCTGGGCTCACAGGCACAAGCCACCGCACCCAGCCCCCAAATTCTTATTTATTTATTTATTTATTTATTGAGACAGAGTCTTGCTCTGTTACCCAGGCTGGAGTGCAGTGGTTCCAGCTCGGCTCATTGCAGCCTCAACTTCCCTGGCTCCAGTGATCCTCCCACCTCAGCCCCTGAGTAGCTGGTACCACAGGCATGTGCCACCACGCCTGGCTAATTTTTGTATTTTTTGTAGAGCTGGGGTTTTGCCATGTTGCCTAGGCTGGTCTCAAACCCATGAACTCAAGCAATCCACCTGCCTCAACCTCCCAAATTGCTAGGATTACAGGTGTGAGTCACCAAACCTGGCCAAAAAATAAAATTCTAGAGGCTGGGCACGGTGGCTCATGCCTGTAATCCCAGCACTTTGGAAGGCCGAGGCGGGCGGATCACCAGGTCAGGAGATCGAGACCATCCTGGTGAACACGGTGAAACCCCGTCTCTACTAAAAATACAAAAAAAATTAGCCGGGCTTGGTGGCAGGCGCCTGTAGTCCCAGCTACTCGGGAGGCTGAGGCAGGAGAATGGCAAGAACCCAGAGGGCGGAGCTTGCAGTGAGCGGAGATTGCGCCACTGCACTCCAGCCTGGGCGACAGAGTGAGACTCCGTCTCAAAATAAATAAATAAAAATAAAATAAAATTCTAAGCCCCCCAACCATCTGAGTGGACCCCTCCTCTGGGCCAAGGGCATTCCCTAGTTAATCTGAAAAACTAGTTCAGGCCATGATGGGAAGGGTCGGATGTGGAGGGGTAGGGGTTGGACATGCCTCATTATATTCTCCTCCCTTTGGGAATTCAGGCCCACCTGACCATCATTAATATCAACACAGACTTTAAGACTGACAAAGCCAGGCCAGGTGTGGTGGCTCATGGCTGTAATCCCAGCACTTTGAGAGGCCATGGCGGGTGGATCACTTGAGGTCAGGAGTTTGAGACCAGCCTGACCAACATGGTGAAAACCCATCCCTACTAAAAATACAAAAATTAGCTGGGCATGGTGGCGGGCGCCTGTAATCCAAGCTACTCGGGAGGCTGAGGCAGGAGAATTGCTTAAACCTAGGAGGCGGAGGTTGCAGTGAGCCAAGATTGCACCACTGCATTCCAGCCTGGGTGACAGAGCGAGACTCCATCTCAAAATAACAACAACAATAAAAGACTGACAAAGCTGACTCTTTGTAGCAATGATACCAAATTCTAGCCTGTTTCTAGTAGAGCATTATGTGACTGATCAAGGCCCTGAAGGAAATTGAAGTATTTTACCCCAAATTATATTTCCTTGCTGTATCTTAAAACAATCCTGCAAGGCTGCCTATTGTGGGGGAAATCCACATTCTGAAGATAGTATCCTTGCTTTGCTAGGCCTTTTTCCTGATCCAGGAGAGAATCAACTCTGATAATAAATAAATAAACAAAGAAAAAAACAAAAACCATTTACAGGCCGGGCGCGGTGGCTCACTCCTGTAATCCCAACACTTTGGGAGGCTGAGGCAGGCGGATCACCTGAGGTCAGGAGTTCAAGACCAGCCTGGCCAACATGGTGAAACCCCGTCTTAACTAAAAATACAAAAATTAGCCAGGTGGGGTGGTGGGCGCCCGTGATCCCAGCTACTTGGAGGCTAGGGCAGGAGCTTCAACCCAGGAGGCAGAAGTTGCACTGAGCTGAAATTGCACCATTACACTCCAGCCTGGGCAACAGAGGGAGGCTCCATCTCAAAAAAAAAAAAAAAAAAAAAAAAAAAAAAAAAAGAACTTCCAGGGGCTAATTTTGAAGGAAACCAGGCTCAGAGACCCAGATGTGGATCCTACTGCTCTGGGGCAGTTAGGAAGAGTGAGCCCACCACTACTGGGCCAAAGTCAGGATGATGCAAGCTGGACCTTCAGACAGGGTGTTACTCGAGATCACCTTCGGAACAAGACATGCAGCCCTGCACCCCCCTGCACCCCCTTGCACCCTTCTGCATCCTCCTGCACCACCCCCACATGTTTCCCACACCAAGTTTTCCTTCCAAAACCTCTCACTCAGCCCAGAAGACAGAGGGTCTCTTGGAGGCATGAGCCCAGCCATGTCCCATCGGCTGGCATTTGTTTAATAAACGGCTTTCCTTCCACCACACCTCGCTTCTCATGTTTTTGGTCTTTGAGCAGCCACGCTTGAGCTGGTTGCAGATCTGGTGCCTTGTGTGAGGCACTGTGTTGTGAGTGGCTCAGCCTGTGTACCTGGTTTCCAATGAAGGCAGAGATTGGCCACAGCAGTCCCAGGATTTACCCACTCTTGCTGTCAGGCAGGACAGCAGCTGCTTGAAAATGCCAGCTGCTCATGGCCAGCTGACCCCAAGGCTAGGACCTTAGGGAATTCCTAGTGGCTGCCGAGACTGCCTTTGTCTTGGGGATTTTCCCTTCCCTCTCCTTCATGACATCAGCATCTCTCATGCTCTGCTGGTGGGAGGGAAGCAGTATGTGGGATGTGAACTGAAGTGCACCTGGAAATCCTCTGCATCTGCCATCTGGGGCTCTAGCTGTCTAGAGCTAGTATTGGTAGTCTGTGGTGCCACCTGGGTCTCTGTGCCATCTGGACCTAACGCAGGTAACTCTGTGGTGCCGCCTGGGTCTCTGTGCCATCTCGACCTAACGCAGGTCGCTCTGTGGTGCCGCCTGGGTCTCTGTGCCATCTGGACCTAACACAGGTCACTCTGTGGTGCCGCCTGGGTCTCTGTGCCATCTGGACCTAACGCAGGTCACTCTGTGGTGCTGCCTGGGTCTCTGTGCCATCTGGACCTAACGCAGGTCACTCCATGGTGCTGTCTGGGTCTGGGACAGGACCTCAGGACTTTGCTCCAATCTCCCCTCTGTTTGGAGGGATCTGTTTGGAGGGCTGTGTCTACATTGGATCTATTTGTGTTTGTGTCTCTGTTTAGTGTTGCACCCCCCTCTGAGGGTGCTTAGGCACAGTCTGCATCCCAATGGCCAAGACTAGGTCCATCTGGTTGTCAGAAAGTAGCAAGATAGGCTGCCCCTCTCCTCACTAGGTGTATTTGTACATTTTCACACTGCTGATAAAAACATACCTGAGACTAAGAAGAAAAAGAGGTTTAATTGGGCTTACAGTTCCACATGGCTGGGGAGGCCTCAGAATCATGACGGGAGGTGAAAGGCACTTCTTACAAGGCGGTGGCAAGAGAAAATGAAGAAGATGCAAAAGCAGAAACCCCTGATAAAACCATCAGATCTCATGAGACTTATTCACTACCTTGAGAACGGTGTGGGGGAAACTGCCCCCATGATTCAAATTACCTCCCACCTTCTCCCTCCCACAACCTGTGGGAATTATGGGAGTACAATTCAAGATGAGATTTGTGCTGTTATGACCGTCCTTGAAGATTTCCCTGAACCAGTTAACATTGTCTCTGATTCAGCGTAGGTACTACATGTTGCTCACAACAATTGAAACTGCCTTAATCCAATTTCTGCCTGATGATGACCTATTCTTTCTTTTTCAAAGGTTTCAGTCTGTGCCCAGAGCAAGGTCTTCTCCTTTCTACATTACTCACATTTGGGCCCACACACCCCTCCCCGGACCCCTCTCGCAGCAAATGCTAGAGCTGATACATTAGTTACTCCCGTTTTTACAGATGCAGGTGGAGGAGTAGAGTCTTCTCTAAACTCCCCCGGGGAAAGGGAGACTCCCTTTCCCGGTCTGCTAAGTAGCAGGTGTTTTTCCTTGACACTGACGCTACCACTAGACCACGGTCTGCTTGGCAACGGGCATCTTCCCAGACGCTGGTGTTACCGCTAGACCAAGGAGCCCTCTGGTGGCCCTGTCCGGGCATAACAGAAGGCTCGCACTTGTCTTCTGGTCACTTCTCACCATGTCCCCTCAGCTCCCATCTCTATATGGCCTGCTTTTTCCTAGGTTATGATTATAGAGCGAGGATTATTATAATATTGGAATAAAGAGTAATTGCTACAAACTAATGATTAATGATATTCATATATAATCATGTCTATGATCTAGATCTAGCATAACTCTTGTTGTTTTATATATTTTATTATACTGGAACAGCTCGTGCCCTCAGTCTCTTGCCTCGGCACCTGGGTGGCTTGCTGCCCACATCTCCCCCCTTTATATTAACTAGGATCACCATCGCCATCATTGCTTGTCATTGACTTCGGACTTGTTTTCGGACTCCTTGGAGGCATCTGCAGACTAAACGGAGACAACATAAGCATACCAATACTAATAATGCCAGTGACAACAATGATCCTCCAAGGGGTTTGATCCATTTAAAGGGATTAAGATCAGATAATTCTTTAGTTATTCCTTCAAAAATGTCTGAGCCAGGAACAGTGGATGAATGAGCTTGTGAAGCCTCAAAAATTTGCTCTTTAAGTTTTGAAATATCCAAGGTTAAGTTATCATCCCAGGCTTTTAAATGTCTTGAGACCTTTTCCCAGCTATGTTGACCTTTATTATAAGCATAAGGCATTATGCAATAGTCAGAAGTATTCCAATCACACTGTAATTGCATAAGGTGTTCCAAATTCATAACTCTGTCTCTGAGCCACATTACACTTTGACGGAGATCATTAATTTGATTGGCTAATTTTTTATCAATTTGAGCCTGAGAATTCCAAAGTCCGGAGGAGTTTTTCTGCCGTGCTTTAACATATTGAGCGGTTTGAACATAATTGTAGATGGCAACTCCAGCAGCTGCTGCTGCTGCAGTAACTGCAATTAGACCTGCAATGACGGCAATAAGAGTAAAAATAAATCTCTTTGTTCTTTTGAGGATAACTTTAAGAACTTCATTGACTATGTGAATAGAGGGGGAAGACTCCCAAGGACGATGTAGAGAAACTGGTATCCATACCTCCTCCCTAGCCCGTACCAAGAGAATACTTGTAGTGGGAATGAAAGTAGCATCAATGCATGTGAACAGCTGACAGTTATCACATTCTACAGTTTGTGTACTGGGAATGATAATTATATTTCCAACCAACAGCATGTAAGGGGGTTTGACACAGCTCCTGATGGGTATCACCTGTTCAGATATCAAGGTGATGTTGAATGTGTGTGTTTTGGTATTAGTGTGAAGGAGTTGATAGGTAGTGTTCCGTATCCTTATTCCTGTCATAGCTGCAGCAATTTCCATAATTCAGGATGTTCTGGGGTAACAATGGGATGAATCATTTTTGGTGTAGGGGGAACAATGCCTGCGTCCATCCATTTAAATGGGTAAGGAGACACCCATTGTCTCAACCTGTATGACTGCCATCCATCCTCTATATGATCTTTTTTCTTTTCTTTCTTTTTTTTTTTGAGATGGAGTCTTGCTTTGTTGCCCAGGCTGGAGTGCAGTGGCGCGATCTTGGCTCACTGCAAGCTCTGCCTCCTGGGTTTACGCCATTCTCCTACCTCAGCCTCCCGAGTAGCTGGGACTACAGGCGCCTGCCACCACGCCCAGCTAATTTTTTGTTTTTTAGTAGAGACGGGTTTTCACTGTGTTAGCCAGGATGATCTTGATCTCCTGACCTTGTGATCCACCCGCCTCGGCCTCCCAAAGTGCTGGGATTACAGGCATGAGCCACTGTGCCCGGCCCATCCTCTATATAATCTAACAAATAGTTAAACTCCGAGCATTTTGTATTTTGGGTGGAGCAATTTCGCCAATAATGCCCTTTTGGAGCCCAGTCAATAACAACACCCGTAGGTAGGGTTTGGAACAGTATGGCCTTCGGAGTATTAGAATCATTTCATAAGATTGAATTTAGTTAAAAAAAGAAAAAAGGCCCCTTTGTAGGTTTCTTGGAGCAGGCTGGCAGTCCTTTTGTTTCTCAGAGTGCCTCATCCTTGGAGTTATAATGCAATTTCAGTCGCTGGGAGGGAACCCACGCGGGTTGTTGTCCTTTTCCTGGGGAAACACAAGCGAAAGCCCTAGCCCAAGTTATGACTCTGTCTAATTCCCATTTGTTAGTTTTTGCGTCCTTTCACCATACCCGCATTCGTTTTTGTGGATCAAATTTATTTCCAGTGACATGTGGTTCTGTGGCTGTAAAGTTTGGTTTCTTGCTGGGTGTAAGAAAGCTCGTGTAAAAAGAGGCAGGTTTAACTGAGCATGAGGTGTGGTGCCATCCCCCTTTGTTTTATGTCCTGCTTTCGAAGTTGACCTTTCAGTGTTTTATTGGCTCGTTCCACCGAGGCCTGTCCTCGAGAGTTACAGGGGATGCTGGTTGTGTGAGCAATTGCCCACGTCTCAGTGAACTTTTTAAAAGCAGCACTAGTGTAGCTGGGGCTGTTATCAGTTTTCAGTTTCTCGGGACAGCCCATAACGGAGAAACAGGAACGCATATGTCGTTTACCATGAGCTGTACTTTCCCCTGCGTGACAAGTGGCCCAGATAAAATGAGAAAAAGTGTCGATAGTTACATGTATAAAAGAAAGCTTGCCAAAAGCAGGATAATGAGTCACGTCCATTTGCCAGAGAGCATTCTGTGAAAGTCCTCTAGGGTTAACTCCTGAGGAAAGTGGCTGTAAGATTAACACTTGGCAAGTAGGACGGTGACGAACAATGGTTTTAGCTTGTTTCCATGTAAGGGGAACTTTTTCCGGAGTCCTGCAGCATTGACAGGTGTTAAAGCATGAAAATTTTCTGCATCTGTAAAAACGGGAGGAACTAATGTATGAGCTCTGGCATTTGCTGCCGAGAGGGGTCTGGGGAGGGGTGTGTGGGCCCGAATGTGAGCAATGTAGAAAGGAGAAGACCTTGCTCTGGGCACAGACTGAAACCTTTGAAAAAGAAAGAATAGGTTATCATCGGGCAGAAATTGGATTAAGGCAGTTTCAATGTTGCGAGCAACATGTACTACATACGCTGAGTCAGAGACAATGTTAACTGGTTCAGGGAAATCTTCAAAGACGGTCATAACAGCAGGCAGTTCAGCTCGTTGTGCTGAAATAGCCCCTGTGTTAAGAACACGTTCTCTGGGACCTGTATATGCTGCTCGGCCATTACAGGAAGCATCAGTAAAAACAGTGACAGCTTCAGCTAATGGGGTGTTTCTAGTAATGTTAGGTAAAATCCAAGAAGTGAGTTTAAGGAACTGAAATAATTTTACATTAGGATAGTGATTGTCAATTATACCCGAGAAACCTGCCAAGTGTACTTGCCAAGTGATACAGGTTGCAAAAGCCTGTTGAACTTCTAATCGGGTGAGGGGAACAATGATTTTTTTGGGCTTAATAACCTGACTTCTAGCTGCATTGCTAAATAGTGATAAGGAGAAGAAGTCTGGATTTTTTTTTTGTGGAGGGGGCGCAGTAACCAAACCGGCTGCTGCAACTGTTTGTTGTCCTGCAGAAAAACAAGATATTAACACGGAGCGTGAAGGTGCCGCGAGATCAGCTGCCTGCTGAGTAAGATCAGCAGGCTGTGGCTGATTTTGTGCCGCAGGGACGGCAGGTATTGGAGGTTGTAAAATTACAGGAAATTGCCAGGCGTTGGGATCCCCATATTTTCTTGCCTGTGCTATAGCCCTCATAAGAGGAGTGTCATTTTGAGGAATCTATGTAACTTGTTGCTTGTGAGCAGCAAGGGTAGACGAGATTACCTGCCGAGCACGTCCTTCATGGGCCTGAAATTCAGGCTGCTGTGGCAACTGCGGACCAGGCTTCAAAGGAGTCTGTGACTCCAGGGGAGTCGGATTAGTAGGAAAGGAACCAGGTTTCAAGGGAGCCTGTGACTCTAACCGAGTCTGATTAGGAGGAAAGGAAACAGGCATGAGAAAACCAGGCTATGGAGGGATAGGGTTGAGGGCCTCATTACCGGGCGGAACAGGCAGAAGGTTGAGACCCCTACAGCAGGGCTGAACAGGGACAGGGTTGAGATAAAACAGGAGGGTTTTTATAAAGCTTAAATAAGCTGAGTACTTAGTACTGGCTTGTCCCATGGTGTCCCCGGAATACTCTGAGTGCTCTAGCTTACCACCAAGCTTACTGACCACAATCCTCAGGAATCTCTGGTCAAAATCCTCTGCTGAATCCCACACTCAGGGTGCAACTTCACACAGCGAGAGAGAGCCCCACGTTGGAGCGCCGGATGTAGGGACCAGCCCCACAGTGTTGGTGCGTTCTGCTCCCCATGTGCGGAGATGAGAGATTGTAGAAATAAAGACACAAGACAAAGAGATAAAAAGAAAAGACAGCTGGGCCTGGGGGACCACCACCACCAAGACGCGGAGACCGGTAGTGGCCCCGAATGCCTGGCTGCACTGTTATTTATTGGATACAAACCAAAAGGGACAGGGTAAAGAGTGTGAGTCATCTCCAATGATAGGTAAGGTCATGTGGGTCACATGTCCACTGGACAGGGGGCCCTTTCCTGCCTGGCAGCCGAGGCAGAGAGAGAGGGGGAGAGAGAGAGAGAGACAGCTTACGCCATTATTTCTGCTTATCATAGACTTTTAGTACTTTCACTAATTTGCTACTGTTATCTAAAAGGCAAAGCCAGGTGTGCAGGATGGAACATGAAGGCGGACTAGGAGCGTGACCACTGAAGCACAGCATCACAGGGAGACGGTTAGGCCTCCGGATAACTGCGGGCGAGCCTAACTGATGTCAGGCCCTCCACAAGAGGTGGAGGAGCAGAGTCTTCTCTAAACTCCCCCAGGGAAAGGGAGACTCCTAAGTAGCAGGTGTTTTTCCTTGACACTGATGCTACTGCTAGACCACGGTCTGCCTGGCAACGGGCATCTTCCCAGACGCTGGTGTTACCGCTAGACCAAGGAGCCCTCTGGTGACCCTGTCTGGGCATAACAGAAGGCTCGCACTATCGTCTTCTGGTCACTTCTCACCATGTCCCCTCAGCCCCCATCTCTGTATGGCCTGGTTTTTCCTAGGTTATGATTATAGAGCAAGGATTATTATAATATTGGAATAAAGAGCAATTGCTACAAACTAATGATTAATGATATTCATATATAATCATGTCTGTGATCTAGATCTAGTATAACTCTTGTTGTTTTATATATTTTATTATACTGGAATAGCTCGTGCCCTTGGTCTCTTGTCTCGGCACCTGGATGGCTTGCTGCCCACAGATGTCTGGGTCATTTCCAATTCAGAAAAGACTGTGCTATGGGAAAATGTGTTTCTAAAAATTATGGAATTGTTTCATTTACAAAATAACATCTGATAGTTCAAGATTTCTTGCTTCCTGGGTTTTCACTAAAATTTAAGGTTACTAAGAATAGGAATTCTAATTAATATATAATTCTGTAAATTGTGTTATTGAGAGAAAAAATAATTTTATGTAATTTGAAAGTTGTTTAAAAGTTATTTATGAAGAAAGATAAAAAGAAACTAATAGGTAGGGGAGAGAGTAATAAAACAAGTTTTGGCTATGAAGATGTATTTTTGGTAAGGATATGAAGAAAATAAAATAATTTTATATAAGAAAGGATATTATGTGGTAAATTCTTATCCTAAAGTAAAATGACTAGAAAAGAGAGAAGTATCAGACACGTCAGAAAGTCCAAACATGTTGTAGATGGTCAGTGTAGGTTGTGATAAGGTTTGTAAAGGGCAATTACCTGAGACTGGGTAATTTATTTTTATTTATTTATTTATTTATTTATTTATTTTTTGAGACAGAGTCTCGCTCTGTCGCCCAGGCTGGAGTGCAGTGGCGCGATCTCGGCTCACTGCAAGCTCCACCTCCTGGGTTCATGCCATTCTCCTGCCTCAGCCTCCTGAGTAGCTGGGACTACAGGTGCCTGCCACCATGCCCGGATAATTTTTTTTTTTTTTTTTGTATTTTTAGTAGAAATCGGGTTTCACCGTGTTAGCCAGGATGGTCTCGATCTCCTGACCTTGTGATCAGCCCGCCTCAGCCTCCCAAAGTGCTGGGATTACAGGTGTGAGCCACTGTGCCTGGCTGAGACTGGGTAATTTATAAAGAGGTTTGATTGGCTCAACGTTCTACAGGCTGTGGAGGAAGTATGGCCATGAGCATCTTCTTGGGGAGGCATCAGGGAGCTTTTACTCAGGGCGGAGGCGAAGCAGGAGCTAGAGAGTGAGGGGGAGGTGCCACACACTTTCAAACAAGCAGATAACTCTCTGTTATCAGGACAGGACCAAGCGGATGGTGCTAACCTCTTCATGAGAAATCCGCCCCCATGATCCAGTCACCTACTACCAGGCCCCTCCTCCAACACTGAGGATTACATTTCATTATGAGATGTGGGCAGGGACACAGATCCAAACCATATCAAACTCACCACTGCACTCCAGCCTGGGTGGCAGAGCCCAGCAGACTCCCAGAGTTGAGGAGACAGCTGAGAAGCCAAGGTCAGGGTGGCTAGGGTCAGGGGACAGGGCACCCTTAGCTTGAGCACCTCCACTGAGCACCAGCCACTCTCTTCTTATGGGGCAACTCCCAGCACTGGACACTTTTTTTTTTTTGAGATGGAGTCTCACTCTGTCATCCAGGCTGGAGTGTAGTGGCGCAATCCTGGCTCGTTGCAACCTCCACCTCCTGGGTTCAAGCAATTCTCCTGCCTCAGCCTCCAACTAGCTGGGATTACTGACACCTGCCACCACACCTGACTGATTTTTGTATTTTTACTAGAGACAGGGGTTCACCATGTTGCCTAGGCTGGTCTCGAACTCCTGACCGCAAGTAATCTGCCTGCCTTGGCCTCCCAAAGTGCTGGGATTACAGGTGTGAGCCACCATGCCTGGCCACTGGATGCATTTTAGACAGGACCACTCAGGGGGTGTAGTAGCTCACACCTGTAATCCCAGCACTTTGGGAGGCTGAGGTGGGAGGATCAGTTGAGCTCAGGAGTTCCAGACCAGCCTGGGCAACATAGTGAGATTCCCCTGTACAAAAATGTAAAAATTAGCTGGGTGTGGTGGCATGTGCCTGTAGTTCCAGCTACTGAGGAGGCTGAGGCAGGAGGATCAGTTGAGCCCAGGAGGTTGAAGGTTGCAACCAGCTGAGATCACACCACTGCACTGCAGTCTGGATGACAGAGCAAGACCCAATCTCAAACAATAATAAACAAAGAGGATCAGGTGTCTTAGTCTGCTTGTTATAACAAAATACCTGAGACAGGGTAATTTATAGAAAGCAGAGGTTTCTTTCTAACAGCCGTGGAGGCTGGGAGTCCAAGCATCCTCTGGAGGGAGAGAGGGAAGGCAGGCTGTGTCCTCACAGGGTGGAAGGTGGAGGGGGATCCCACACCCAAGACCCCCCACCCACTTTTTTTTTTGAGATGGAGTTTCACTCTTGTTGCCCAGGCTGGAGTGCAATGGCACGATCGCGGCTCACCGCAACCTCCACCTCCCGGGTTCAAGTGATTCTCCTGCCTCAGCCTCCCAAGTAGCTGAGATTACAGGCATGTGCCACCACGCCTGGCTAATTTTGTATTTTTAGTAGAGACGGGGTTTCTCCATGTTGGTCAGGCTAGTCTCGAACTCCCGACCTCAGGTGATCTGCCTGCCTTGGCCTCGCAAAGTGCTGGGATTACAGGCATGAGCCACTGCGCCCGGCCCACTTTTTTTTTTTGAGACAGGGTCTCACTCTGTCACCCAGGCTGAGTGCACTGGCATGATCATGGCTCACTTCAGCCTTGACCTCCAGGGCTCATGTGATCCTCCTGCCTCTGCTACCCAAATAGGTGGCACTACAGGCACATGCCACCATGCCCAGCTAATTTTATATTTTTTGTAGAGATGGGGTCTCTCTTTGTTGCCCAGGTTGGTCTTGAACTCCTGGACGCCGGTGATCCTCTCATCTCGGTCTCCCAAAGGCTGGGTTTATAGGTGTGAGCCACTGTGTCTGGCCCCAAGTCCTTTTATTGTTGCACAAATCCAACCATGAGGGCAGGGCCTATGGTCAGGCCCCACCTGTCTATACTGTTGCACCGGGCAGTGAGTTTCCAGCCTGTGAATTTGTGGGGCACATTCACCTCCCAGCACCAGGAAACAGAATGCTGCCTGACGCTGCTACCTAGAGTAACACAGTGTTGCACGCTGAAAGAGTGAGGGTCATGATCAACTCAGTATACCACTGGAGGCGACGTGAGTAAACAGCAAACTGTTTCTCATACATGCAGAATGTTGGCAAACAAACTGCGTCTGCCACCTAGAAGGAATGCTGAGGGCAGTCACGCCTCAAGCACAGTGTTTCTTGTGATTAGGTACATCTGAAGCCTGTTAGTAACAATATGAACCTGTGATCAATTAAGCAGCTGACCGATCGTTACCTCCTCCTCCCTCCTCCTGCTACCCAATAAATAGGAAGGGCTGTGGAAGCTCGGGCGGTGCCTTTGCTCACTAGAAGCAGGGAGCTCTCTTCTTCTTCCCCGTGTTACCCTTCCGTTAAAATAGTTACTTTTGTTTTAAGTTTTCATTTCTATGTTTGTCCCTCTTCCTTCAGTCTCATAATGATGGTCTCAAGTAGTAACAGCAGTCTGCCACAACACAGGAGGTGTGAAATCCACATTACAGAGGCAAATGGGTTGCTGAGGACACTGATGTTGGTGATCAAATAGTTTGTGGGGGGCCTGGGCAACATGGTGAGAACCCACCTCTACTATACATATATATACAAAAATTAGCTGGGGGTGGTGGCTTGTGCCTGTAGTCCCAGCTACTCAGGAGACTGACGTGGGAAGATGGCTTGAGCCCTGGAGTTGGAGACTGCAGTGAGTCATGGTAGCACCACTGCACTCCAGCCTGGGCAACAGAGTGAGACCCTGTCTCTGGAATTAAAAAAAAAAGGTCCAGGCTGGGCGTAGTGGCTCACGCCTGTAATCCCAGCACTTTGGGAAGCCGAGGTGGGTGGATCACCTGAGGTTGGGAGTTCGAGACCAGCCTGGCCAATATAGTAAAACCCTGTCTCTACTAAAATTACAAAAATTAGCCAGGTGTGGTGGCAGGTGCCTGTAGTCCCAGCTACTTGGGAGGCTGAGGCAGGAGAATCCCTTGAACCCGGGAGGCGGAGGTTGCAGTGAGCCGAGATTGCACCACTGCACTCCAGCCTGGGTGACAGAGTGAGACTCCGTCTCAAAAAAAAAAAAAAAGTTCCCCTGCCTGGCCCTGCTCCAGGGCTTCATTCTCAGGAAGCACGGATGCCCTGGGAACAGCAGAGTTTGGAAGATGCTCTGGTGGGAGTTTGCAGCTGGGTGGGTGGGCAGTGGGGGCTCCCCTGCCTTCGGGCTGCCCACTGCCCTCTGCTGGCTGGGCCCCACCTCAGCTGACCCTCAGAAGTGCTCCCCATTTAGGGGCAGGTGCCTGACACCCTGAGGCCAGCTGTGCAGAGGGCTGGAAAGTGCCTAGAGTGTGTGTCCTCTTCAGTGCACAGCAAAGGGACCCTCAGTTCCATTTTACAGGTGAGGAAACTGAGGCAGCGGCAAGCTGTGGTCAAACACTCCCTGGTAACTGATCCATCAGTGGAGTCAGGATCCCCCATACTATTTTCAAGATCCAGAGAGTGCCAAGGTTCCTCTGGACCAGCACCTTCCTCCCTGCAGTCAGAGGGCAGCGGGGGCAGCTTTGTCCTGCAGCTGTGGCTGTGTGTGCCTGACCGCTAACTCTCTACTCTGTTGTTGAGGATGACAACACCGGCCTTGCATGGTTGTGGTGAGGATTCCGCGGACCCGCCTCCGTCCCGCTGGGTAGTCTAAGGCCACACCTCCCCGCAGGGTAGGCTCACAGGCTCACTGCCCGAGCCCTGGCCATTACCCTCCTCCCACGGCTCAGCCCACCCAGCTTTCCAATCAAGGGTGCCACAGCCACTGCCCCCGGCTTTCCTGGGCAGTAGGCAGGTGACCACCGTACAGTGCTTAGTTGAAAAGCAAAACAGCCTTGAGGGCTGGTAAAATCCCTCTTTCAAAGGGGGGAAAACCCATGAAGAGACTAGAAAGTATAATCCTCTACTGGGCACAATTAGAGAACTTAGAGAACATTCTGAATTTATTCCACAGGATGAAACTGGTCAATCATTTTCTCTAATCTCCATGTGGCTTCAAATTGTCCAGTTTCTTCAGCAGTGAACTTGTTTTGACAAATTACTTATTCTAGGGACCAAACCCTCAGGGCAACTTCATATTTGCCGTGTCTTTTTTCAGCAATTTTCAATCTACTTTCTAAGGTTTCAGGGCTGGGCTACACTTCCATGTTTATTAAAGTAAATGTAATTGACAAATTACTTTTTAATTGTAATGTTGAAATAAAGTGACAAAACATTTAGTGATCTTTTTATTATATTAATATACTCTGGGTGAATTAACCCTTAAGCCCTAAAACGACAACAAAAATATATTACTTAGATATTTTGTAATTCTGGTACTTGAAATAAAGACAAATAGAAAACTATGTTAAAATATTAAAAAGTTGCAAAATTTCATTAAAAACATTTACATTTGTATCCTAATGCCAATTTATACATACAATTCTTTTAAGTTAGATTTAATGGAATATCTTAACATATGAAAATAATAGAAATAAATATTAAATATTCAGAACATACTCATGAGTGAAAATTCAATTAATTAGTATTCCTAATTTAGATATTTATTTATGAATGACCAAGGGATTTTACAGTTCCTTTTTAATTTTTTGTACTTGATTCTTGGTCCCTTAACAATGTATAACCCTGTAAAACTCTCAATAGCCACTAATCACTGGTAGGATCATTTCAACAAAAACACATGATTGGGCCGGGCGCGGTGGCTCATGCCTGTAATTCCAGCACTTTGGGAGGCCGAGGTGGGTGGATCACAAGGTCAGGAGTTTGAGACCAGCCTGGCCAATATGGTGAAACCCCGTCTCTACTAAAAATACAAAAAAATTAGCCAGGCGTGGTGACACACGCCTGTAATCCCAGCTACTCGGGAGGCTGAGGCAGGAGAATTGCTCGAACCCGGGAGGCGGAGGTTGCAGGGGGCCAAGATCGCGCCACTGCACTCCAGCCTAGGCAACAGAGCAAGACTCCGTCTCAAACCCCACCACCCCCGCAAAACAAAAACAAAAACAAAAAAACAACAAAAAAACCCCCTGTAACTAACAAAAGAGGAACCTGTTTTAAATGAACCCGTTTGCTTGTCAATCACTAAAAATGAAGTCTTTTTATAAGTATTTTCTTTAAGTTACAATATATAGAAGGCATGTGTATATGTGTGTATATATATATATATATTTCTTAAAAGTGTTGATTGGTGAGAAAAGAATAATTCCTTGGTTAACTTTTCTCATTCTTGTTCTGTTTAAAGAAGTGTTTTGTCTGTATTTTAAAAATGGATTAGAAAATAATGGCCAACATCTCTTTAAAACCAGAAAAAATCATTTTACAGACATCTTGGCATCTATACTCTGTTTTGTCTAATAAACTTTAAAGTTATTTCTCTCCTTATACTTTTTTTTTTTTTCGAGACGGAGTCTCGCTCTGTCGCCTGGGCTGGAGTGCAATGGCATGATGTGGGCTCAATGCAACCTCCACCTCCCGGGTTCAAGCAATTTTCCTGCCTCAGCCTCTCAAGTAGCTGGGACTACAGGCCACCACGCCTGGCTCATTTTTGTATTTTTAGTAGAGATGGGGTTTCACCATGTTGGCCAGGCTGGTCTCGAACTCCTGACCTCAGGTGGTCCGCCCGCCTCGGCCTCCCAAAGTGCTGGGATTACAGCGTGAGCCACCGCGCCTGGCCTCCTCTCTCCTTATAAACACATTTAACCTGGGCGTGGTGGCTCACGCCTGTAATCCCAGCACTTTGGGAGGCCAAGGTGGGCAGATTATGAGGTCACGAGTTCGAGACCAGCCTGGCCAACATGGTGAAACCCCATCTCTACTAAAAATAGAAAAAATTAGCCGAGCATGGTGGTGTGCACCTGTAATCCCAGCTACTAGGGAGGCTGAGGCAGGAGAATTGCTTGAACCCAGGAGGTGGAGGTTACTGTGAGCCAAGATCACGCCATTGCACTGCAGCCCGGGCGACACAGTGAGACTCCGTCGCAAACAAGCAGACAAACAACACTGAGCAGAGCATATTCTTAAAGGTTCCTGGTAGGTCTTATATCTTACTCAGTATTCTCAGTCAACCAGAGGTATTAGTTTACCAAACGTGGAGATTAATTCATGCAAATTTATGGTTATTAATGTATCCAGGCCAGGGAGTACATTGTTCAAATCGGGATTAGTTTTTAGATATTTTGTTGTTTCACACGGTTGGCAATTAAAACATATTTATACACTAATTGCATTAATGCAAACTCCATCAACCCAAACCTTTCTAACTATCCTTTTTGAAGTCTGCCCATGCAACATCAGCGAGGCAAGCAGAAGCCCTGGGCACCAGGTGGGAGGGGACTGCCCTTCAGTCCATGGTAGCCTAGGCCCCTGGGAGCACAGGCTGGGGCAGCGAGAGGGTGGATGCTTCCAGACAGACCCTGACTCCCTCCACATGGCTGCCTGGATGTGACACAGGCCCAACCAAAGCTATGGACAAAACCCCCAGCTCACTCCCACAGGAGGGGATGGCTGGTTAGGAGACTGTTTTTTGAGGGTTGGTTTCATCATTTTAAGCAATGTGTTGATGTTTTAAACATCCTATCAACTCTTTGAAGAAAGTAAACTTATGGATCCAATCACAACATGGATGTGGAAGGGGCGGGAGGCCCATACCAGTGGGCTTCTGCCTGCTGTGAACACAGGGTGATCAGGTGGAAATTCATTTAACAGTGACTTCCTCCACATGTCTTTAGGAATTCGAAAGTGTGGAGAAAGTGAAGCGCCTCTGAGCAAAGGCACGGGAAGGGCCCACACCTGTGTCTACCTCAGTTCCAGCAGGGAGCTGATGCCTGTCACAGGGGCAGCACTACTGGAGAAGCATCCAGCAAGGTGCGGCTGAGGTGGGACCAATTCTCAAAAAAACTACGATTAAAAAAAAGATGTTCTCTTTTGCCTTTATTTCTTGCTATAGTGGGAACGTGAGTTCTGCTACCTGGGGCTGAGTGCACTGGGCAGCAGGCCCAGCAGACGGGGCCTGCAGGGGGAAGGCACGGCTGGAGGCCCGTGCGCACCGCCACTCTCCTGGAACCGCTGCTGGCCGAGCCACAGCCCTGCGGAAATTCTACTGCGTGTGGCAGAGACCGATGTGCAAAAGGTTTCTGGTGAATGTTTTATGGAAATTGCTCCAAGCACTAAGGAAAGCGGGACCGTGCCTGTGCTGACCGTGGCCTTGCGCGAGCGCCTCCCGGCGGTGCTCTCTGGCTCTCTCCAAACAGGACGCTTCCTTCTCTGATTCTAAGGAAGGCCTGAGACAGCCCTGAAGGCTTAATGTACAGTGCGGCCAGGTCCTGGCACTGCACGCAGGATCTTTGGTTAGCTGCATCCATATCGTTTGCACGAGAGCTGACGGCACAGACGCGTAAGAGGCGTGCACGGCGGGGAGCTGGGGACAGCAGCCAGAGCATGGGGCCACCAAGGCCAGAGAGTTCTGGAGAGATGGTGTAGAATCAGGAGACCCGCTCCATCCCTCACAGAGACCAAGGAGCCCGAGCGCCGCGTCAGCGCTTGGCGTACGTCCTGCTGGAGCTCTTGCTCAGTCCGCCCTTCGGGGTGGGGATCTTGCTTCCGGCCTTTGACCCCAAGGGGCCTGATGCGGCCACAGCTGAGCTTTTCCCTGCAGAGCAAGCACAGGACCTGCATTAGGAGGGGCACTCCTACCCACGGACCAGGTGCAGAACCTGTGGCCACAGACACCCAGCAACAACGTCCCAGGCCCATGCTGATGGCCGTCACCCGACTACAGGAGCCAGGGCTGAGCCTAGTAGGGTCTACTCTTCAGCTTCCTATTTTTTTTTTTTTTGTTGAGACAGAGTCTCACTCTGTCACCCAGGCTGGAGGGCAGTGGCGCAATATTGGCTCACCACAACCTCCACCTCCCGGGTTCAAGCAATTCTCCTGCTTCAGCCTCCTGAGTAGCTGGACTATAGGTGCCGGCCACTGTGCCCGGCCAATTTTTTATAGGGTTTCACCATGTTGGCCAGGCTCATCTCGAACTCCTGACCTCAAGTGATCTGCCTGCCTTAGCCCCCAAAGTGCTGGGATTATAGGCGTGAGCCACTGTGCCTGGCCAGCTTCCTGATTCTAAACACTTGAGTCAGTGATGTAGAAAGAGCGGAGGACGGGAGTGTGAATCCTAGGCCACCCGTGGAGCCTTCGCACTGCACAGCCAGTTTGCAGGTGGAGAAGGATTTTGGTCACACGATTCTGATTATTAGCCTGCTTACTAAGGAACCAGAACATGAAGACAGGCTTGGATGCTTTATTTTGCTTTTAAAGGGATGGGGTCTTGCCATGTTGCCCTGGACGGGGATGCTTTTTTGAATAAGTCAAAATGGAGGGATGCAGACTACACCTGCTCAGCGGCGCTGTCCCTCACCTGGCTGCAGTGCCGGGGCCTTCTGCAGAATGTGTGTCTTGCGCAGGTTCATCGTGCAGCCGGCTGGGCCCATCAGGTGAGCTTTCCATGCCTGCAGCAGAGGAGGCACACAGAGTGTTAATCAGGCGAGACGGACCTGGCACGCTACCTGAGACCCAAAAGGACTCGCTGTGTAAGCTGAAAACGAGGGCGGCCGCTCCAGCAAGAGCCGCAGAAGAACGGCTCCCTCACCTGGGCACCTCCCTTCGGATATGTTATGATAGCCTCTGCAGTCTGTGCAGGGTACAACTCAGGAAGCAAGAAGTCCTGTCACCAGGCAAGCCTGCATCTCGCATCCCCACCCAGCCACACAGGGCCCTTGGTGTCAGTGACTCTGAGCACAGCAGAGCGTGCACGCAAATGCAAGGGTGAGAAGCAGAGCGCCCGCGTGATTACGTTCCAGGCCAGAAGACAGAACGCGCCAGGCACCGCGGGCTCCCCGCCAGCCTGCTGCCCACGGTTCCTCGTGGGGTTCCCACTCTCTTCATCCCTGCTCTTCCTGAGCCACGCCACATGCACTTGCCCTGCAGAATGTGGGGCTTATGCAGGCCTGACTGCCTGGGCAGCCAGCTTCTTTCCTTTACGACCAGCTGTGGGACCGTCTGCATGGGGACAGGGAGCTCATCTCGTCCTCCTGTTGGATATAAACGCGGGATCGCTGGTTCCCTGAGTCTTCTGGACATTCGAGTTGTTCCTGGTTCCTTCCCTTCTATTTAAACAACACTCACGAGGCTGGGCGCGGTGGCTCACGCCTGTAATCCCAACACTTTGGGAGGCAGAGGTGGGTGGATCACCTGAGGTCAGGATTTTGAGACCAGCCTGGCCAGCTTGGTGAAACCCCGTCTCTACTAAAAACACAAAATTAGCTGGGTGTGGTGGCGCATCTCGTGTCCCCAACAGCTAATCCCAGCTACTCAGGAGGCTGAGGCAGGAGAATTGCTTGAACGTGAGAGGCGGAGGTTGCAGTGAGCCGAGATCACATCAGTGCACTCCAGCCCGGGCAACAGGGTGAGACTCCATCTCAAAAACAAACAACGCTTCCCAGGGACACTGCTCCAGCCGCTCTCCCATTCTCTGGTGGACCAGTATCTCCACCAGACACAGCCCTGCTTCTCCCTGGTTCCTCTCTCACTCTCACCAGTGGCTGTCAGTTTCTGGCCACCTGCGGCAGCCCTCAAGATACTAGAGCGCTTGCAGCCCCAGCCCAGCCCACTCCTGTCCCGCTTTAGCTGCTCCCGGCAGGCCTGGGTTCTGGTCTCTCCAGGCCACTGGCAACCTTCGTGTCCCTAAAGCTGGGGCGCCTTCTCACCAGAATGTGGCCCACCGGCACATGGGGTGCAGTTGCTTCCCCCTCCCCCGTGGAGGGACATGACCTGCTCTAAGGCTCCAATTCCTCCCTCCCCAGCACAGAGGTGGCAGGTCCCTCTCCATCCCTTGAATCTGGGTGACTGTGGCTTGCTTTGGCCAATGGGACAGTGGCAGACACGTGGCAGGGCAGGCTGAAATGAACTCATGCGCCTGGGCTTGTCTTGCTGTTGCCCTCTGCTGCTGTCGCGAGAACGCCGTGCCCAGGCTGGCGTGCTGGGCTCAGACACAGAAAGCAAAGCTGAGGTGCCGCAGCTGCCTCCAAGACCATTCTCAATCAGTCTCCGGCTGCGGACCCCAGGCACACGCGTGTGTGAGCCCAGTCAGGGCCAGCAGAGCCGCCTGGCCGCCCTATGGCCAAGTGCAGATGCAAGAGCCAGGCGGCTGCGATCAGCTGAACCCAGCCAGGCCAGCAGGGCATCCTCTCTGATGGGCTGTGCTCTGGGGCCTCCAGGACGCCACCCTCGTCAGGCTTCCTCCCCAGTGCATTTCTTCCCCAGCGCCTGGTTTGCCTTCTTCCTCCCACTCTGCCTGGGGCTTCTCCTCTGTCTACACTTGCTCTTTAGAAGAGTGCTCCCAGTATCATGACCTTAAACCCACTTCTTATACACGCTTACAAACCCCACATTTCCACCTGCAGCCACCTGTCTACCGGCCTGCGCGTCTGACAGGGATTTTAACTCCACAGCTCCAGGCTAAGCTCCTGAGCGCCCTGGATTCCTGACCGCAGTTACTTCCTTGCCATGTTGTGAGGACTCCACCGGCCAAGTCCTGGGTCTGCCTGCAGTGTGTGTCCAGAATCTGACCACTTCTCGCCACTTAGCTCTCTGCTACTACCCGACCTCTCTGTCCCACAGGCTGCTCTCAACAGAGCAGCAAAACTGGCTGGCATAGGGCCCGCCAGGCCATGCCCACTCTTCCGCTCAAACCCTGCAGGGACATTGCCTTCCACTCACTTTGAAGAATAATGGTCAATGATTTTTCATCCCCAGCATTGTCTTTCAGTCTATTTATGTTCTTTGATGAAGAGGAGGTTCTCACCTTTTACAATTTAATAGTTTTATTATAAAATGAGTGTACAGTTCAGTAGTGTTAAGCATGTTCACGATGCTTAACTCCAGAACTCTTTTCATTTTACAAAACCCAAACTCTGCCCCAAGGTTCTTCATTTTAATCTAATTGAATTGATCTGCCTCTTCCATCAAGGCTTAAGCTTTCTGTGTCCTGTTTGAGAAATCCCTTCCTATTCTGAAGGCTATTCTCTTATCTCTAGCATCTCCTGAGAGATTCATAATTGGGCCTTTCACATTTGAATCTCAGATCCACTCGGAGCTTTCTTCTGAGCAGTGTGGAGGGTGTCAAACTTCACTGTTTATCCCCCTTCACATTCAGAAAAATTCCAGATGTTAGAATTAGCACAAAAGGACTTTAAAGCAGATACCTAGTATGTTCAAGGACTTGAACGTGCAATGAAGTGCTACTGATCTATTAGAACCCGGGCGAACCTTGAAAACACGTTAAGTCAAAGACACAAAGGCCGCATAGTGTCTGATTCCATTTACAGGAAATGTCCACAGTAGGCAAATCCATGGAGACCAAAACTAGACATATGGTCGCCAGGGGCTGGAGAGGGGGCTGGGGAGAAAAGGGGCGGCATGTAGGCAGTGTTGTCTTTTGGGTGATGGAAAAGTTCCACACGTGTGCAGATGGTTGCAGAACCCTGAATACATGAAAACCCACTATCTGTCCACGGGGAGAGGCTGTGCAGACTAGATCTCCATGAAGCTGTTAAAAACAGGTGATCTTAATGAGTGAACAGAGGTGAATCTCAGCAGAGAAATGAAACCTGTAAAGAAATCCCAGCCAAACACAAATACTAGAATTGGAAAGTACCAGATTGAAAATGAATTCACTTAACAGAGGACTGGAGATGGAAGGAGAAAGGGCAGGGGCCATTCAACTAGAACAGAAAGGAAACACTGGACAAAGCCCAGTGACCCACAGAAGATTGAGCAGTCTTCACACTCACGAGCCTGCAGGCAGGAGAGAAGGGAGGGAACGCTGAAGAGAGAAAAAATATTTGAAGAATGAACGGCAAAACAATTCACACGAAATTAGAAAGACGTGTCTCAGCAGGCTGGAGTGGCAGAGTCTCCTGCTGGCCTCGAGGAAGTGAGCTGCCAGCAGAGAGGCCCCCGGTGCTGACGGTGGGGGCCTCTAGGAGTTGAGTGGCTCCGGGTTGACAGCCCCCAAGAACATATTACTGCCAGCTGCTGGGATGAGCCTGGAAGTGAGTCCTTCCCTAGCAGGGCTGACAGATGAGAATGAAGCCTGGCTCCGGACCCAGGGAACCCGTGAGGTAATGAGTGAGTGTGTTTTCTGCTTATGCTGAAGGGTGTGTGGTGATGTGTAAGGCAGTGCAGATAATGAGATACAGGGAAAGCAGATGACACATGAGATACGCCTGGTGACAGCCTTACAGGTACTACCTGTAAGAGGATGTCAATTCAAATCAGATGTTGGGAACAAGAAGGGAAGGAAGAAAAGGCAGTTACAGGAGAATGTGAGTACTGCTCCTAGTAGGAAACCAATGGCAATAACTGAAATCAGAGGGGATGATGGGCATTGCACGGGAGGACAAGTAAAGGTAACAACTCGAATGCAAACACAAAGGCTCCCACATTCTGGAGATAACCAGGGGAAAAGATGTATGTGCAGTGAAAACTGCTTCTATTGGGTAGAAAAGGGGCAGGATGCCCTGTAGGAAAAGCAGCCCCTGGAGGAAGGCGGATGGAAGCGGGGCAGGACGGCGCCTCTGTCTGGGGTGGAGGAAGGCAGATGGAAGTGGGGCAGGATGGCGGCCTCTGTCCAGGGTTCTTCCAAGATGCCTGATTCTATCGACCCGGAAACATGTCTTCTGTAATTACAGAACTTAATTCTTTAAAGTCCCCTAGAAATGTAATATAAAATGAATGTATTTACAGTTGGTGGCACTGCTAGCCAGGGCTCACCCAAGTCCCTCCAACACAGGGCCACTGGGACCCCCGTCACCAGTGGCAGATGTGGTCAGGACAAGAACTGGGAACAGATCTAATTTCCAGTGGCATCTCCTGCTGGCGGTGCAGGTGCCACTGTGCTGGGGCTGCCGCAGGTGCAGTGGGGGCCAAGGTGAACTGGTCGCCTCCAATACCTGAATTCTGTCTCCTGGGCCTTTGGAAACCGGGGCCCATGGATGTAAGAAAGGAGACACAGATGTTGGGAGAGACAAGGTTAAATAAAGCCTGCAGCTCAGAACGGGAAGGGGAAGTGTGTGTGCATGAGTGATGGAGCTTACTTCCCTTGATTTCTCCTGGCTGTGTCCACTGAGAGTCCAGCCACAGCGAACTACCCAGCAGCAGTGGGCATGAGGCCCCCAGCGCTGTCCTGAGACATCCATTCCTGCTAATGGGAACCAGGCCTCTGTGCCCAGATGGCTGATTCCAGGTCCGGGGAAGGAAGGCACCAAACAGGAGGGAGCTCTCTGAGGCTGCGTGGCTCTCATCCAGGCCTCAGGAGCCCAGCTGAAGAGTCTGCCATAGGCTAGAGCTGGGATAATTCACGCATCACTAAGCATGGTAACTGCTGTGACTGGAACACATTGAATAATTTAAATCCATGGTTCATAACGACACTACAGACAAAACAAAACAAATTAGCTGCCATGGAAGATGCTAGTGACCCAGCTTACTATTCTGAAAACCAGTAAACCAAGGAAAAAAATTAAACCTTCACTCTGCCTTTCCAATAGAAAGTCTAACCTAGGGTCACCACAGAGTGGACGAGCTTCTGCTTAGAGGAATATCCCAGCAGATGAACGAAGGAGGGATGACAGAATGAGGCCCCTCCTGAGTCGGTGGGTTAGGCCTTGAGCCTCAGCAGCTGCCACCGTCACACATATCACGCGCCTCCCGGGGGACACACCAGCATTGCCTGTGAAGCGGCCACACTCACACCGAGCCTGTGCACACCTGATGAGGCCCAGAGATCCCACCTCCTGTTTACAGGAAATACAGGGACAGAGAAACAGGTTAAGCGCCCCCAAGGGAACGTAGTCAGCAGATCCAGACGATGAGAAGCCCTACGGGGCAAACAGCTCCTTCCTTCACCAAGTGAATCATAAGGAAAAAGAACGAGAGAATGAACCTGTTCAAAACAGACCAACCAGGCACCGGGGCCTTCTATGGATCCCGGTAATCAGATGCTTCTGACCTGATGAGATGGCGGCAATGTGACTGACGTCTGGAAGGCTGAGGCTGCTGCTGTGGCTGTGTAAAGAAGTCCCGATTCCGAAAGCTCCGACGGGAACATTTACAGATGCAACAACGTGCTGTCTGGGTTGGCTTCAACATTACAAGAGAGGGGAGCACGTGGGGGCACGGGAGAAACAAGACGGGCTGAGTTGCTAGTTGCGCAAGCTCAGTGACCGTGACAAGGGAGAGTCCTGAGGGTTTCTGTCACTTTTCTGTGTACTCTGTGATGCATTTCAAACTCTGAGAGAGAGAGAGACTGACAGACAGACAGAGGGACAGACAGACAGAGGGACACAGAGAGCCAGATAACTGGGTAGACACCAGCGCTGAGAGCGGCTGGGGGCTGTCTTCTCTGTTTGGTGTGAGTTTTCTGGGGTCAAGAGAAAGCTACAGTGGCTGGGTTGGAGCCATTTTGCTGGTACCATATCCCAGAAGGCTGGGACAAGGGGAGCCAGCAGCAGGACACAGTGACACACTGCAGGTGGCAGGAGCTAAGGAGGTTGGAGTGGAAGTGGCTGAGCCAGATTCCCAAACTGGGTCCTGAGCAGGGCCCCAGGGCTCAGCATTCGCTGCCTGGCATAAAGAGGGCACCGCCAGCCCATCGTGTTGGACAGGGCCAGAATAATTGCCACGGAGCCTTGCACGCCCATGTCCCTCCTCGTCGCCTCCAATGCCAGAGGAGCCGAGCACGTGGGGAAGTGGAGGGTGGGCGTGTACGAGGCGGCCGTCCCCACTTGCCTGCTGAGTCACTGCGTAGTGCACTGGGGCAGGGAGGAGAGCTTGGAATCAGGTAGGAAAGAGAATCGTTTAACCAAATAGGGCTGGGTTTTATTAGGCAAAAGGGACCGCAGTGTTACAGAATCTGGGCAAGATGTCACTGAGGGTCTCATTATCTGGATAAAGGCAATGACCAGAACAAAATAAAACCATTTCATGCTGTATCCCAGTGACACAGGCTGGGCCTCAGTGAGTTGAGGCTCCTCGATAAACCATTCATAAATGTACGGAAGGAAATCATGTGAACACGTAGGTAAACGGAACGACTGCTCAGACAGGGCTCACTAGACGCTGTCCCCTCCCTGAACACTCATGTACTGTACTCTGTGGCTATGGTCCCGCACTGACACCACCACTGTCACCACCACTGCCATCCACAGGTGTGTCACCTACTTCACTGGTCCCTTCTCCCCAGGCCCCTCACCTCTTCTCCAGGGCTGAAGTTCTCATGACACAGGGGACACCGGTTTGCCAGCTTCTCCGGTTTGGCAGCTGAAATGATTTTAAAAAGACTCAGTCGCTCCCTGAATGACAGGCGACAAGACATGCTGCTGGCCTGCCCGCAGGTGCCCTTTAATTCACCAAGCCCTTGCACAGGCTCAAGAGCAGTGGCACTTCCTCCAAGAGGACCCCTGGTGACCCGAGGGCACGGGAGCCTGGGAAGGGGCACTCACGGTTGCAATCCTTGTGTTTTATGTGTCTGGGCAGCTCTTCCTTGAAAACAGCCTCACTGCAACGGTAACACTTTCCAAACCCGTCTTTTTTGTCACATTCCGTCAGCAAGTGCTCCGTCAGACTGGATATCTCGACCACCTGGATTTCGAAATACAGAGCAAAGCATGTTGCTGAGAAAGCGGCAGCGCCCTCCAGCCAGCCTGCAGAGCCTGTGAGCGCCTCCCCTGCCCAGGGAGGTCTGTGCCGCCTGCACATGAAGTAAGCCACAGGCTTCTATCTTCGGCATTTGCCCACAGACTGTCTGGAGTCACTTGTGATACTTTGCTGAAGACCCCACGTCCTTCCTTTCCTGTCATCTTAGCATCGGGCAGGGGCCACTGTCAAGGATGGGGAAGCTACGGTCGGCCTGAGTGTGAAGCTTGGATGAGGGCGCAGAGTGGCTCAGTGGTTACAGTGTGGCCCAAGGTTGAAATTGTGGCTCCCCACTATTTCTAAGAATGCACACAGAAACAGGACCACAGAAAAGAATTTTAAGAGATTCTCTCGCTACGTTGGTGTCTCTGGCAGGAATGACTTGTATATACTCTATAACTTCAGGCCGCAGGACTTGACACACTGTGAGCCAGTTCAACCTCTTTTCTTCATAAATTACCCAGTCTTAGGGATATATATATTTTTTGAGATGGAGTTTCGCTCCTGTTGCCCAGGCTGGAGTGCCATGGTGTGATCTCGGCTCACCGCAACCTCTGCCTCCCGGGTTCAAGTGATTCTCCTGCCTCAGCCTCCCGTGTAGCTGGGATTACAGGCATACACCACCACGCCTGGCTAATTCTGTATTTTTAGTAGAGACGGGGTTTCTCCGTGTTGGTCAGGCTGGTCTTGAACTCCTGACCTCAGGTGATCCGCCCGCCTCAGCCTCCCCAAGTGCTAGGATTACAGGCGTGAGCCACCTGCCCAGCCAGGTATTTCTCTATAGTAATGCAAGAAAGGCCTAATATAGGGGATGGGGAAGACTTGTTACACAGGACACGAATAGCATGAACCATGAAAAAGACTGGCAAGGTGGGCAATGCTAACATTAAAAATGCGTCTCTTCCTCAAGACACTTCAGACAGCGAAGACTGCATGCTGTGGAGTGGGAGCAGATGGTCACAATTCATGCGACTGACCAACCACTCACATCCACGTGTATAAAGAACGGCCCCAAATCAATAAAAACAGATGGACAACCCGAGGGAAACCGGTGAGAAACCAGGTGCTTTGCAGGACAGCCAAGGCCTGCAGACAAAAGGACAGGCACTCCACCTCATCTTCACCAGGGACAGGCACAGGGGGAACTCACCAAGACAGCAGGAAGCATGGCCGCAGTGCCACTGTGGGAAGGGGGCAGTGGCACGGTGGGAAGGGGGCAGTGGCACCGTGGGAAGGGAGGCAGTGGCACCGTGGGAAGGGCGGCAGTGGCACCGTGGGAAGGGGGCAGTGGCACTGTGGGAAGGGGGGCAGTGGCACTGTGGGAAGGGGGCAGTGGCACTGTGGGAAGGGGGACAGTGGCACTGTGGGAAGGGGGCAGTGGCACTGTGGGAAGGGGGCAGTGGCACTGTGGGAAGGGGGGCAGTGGCACTGTGGGAAGGGGGCAGTGGCACTGTGGGAAGGGAGCAGTGGCACTGTGGGAAGGGGGGCAGTGGCACTGTGGGAAGGGGGCAGTGGCACTGTGGGAAGGGGGCAGTGGCACTGTGGGAAGGGGGCAGTGCCTGTGCTGCTGGCAGTGGTGCCCAGGCACAACCCCTTTGGAGCACTCCTGGGCAGCCCCACTGAGCATCAGCACACCTGGCAATCCCACAACACATTGTGAACCCAAGAAAGTGCATTCCTGTGCATCCTGGAAGACACCAGAACGCTGTGGCAACATTGTTTATCATGGTCCCAAACTGGACGCAGCCCTGGCGCACAGCGGAAGGTGGATGAAGGTGCTGTGGTCCATTCAAGCAGTGGACACTATAAAGCAAGAAATCCAACATGACGCCACATGGTTCCGTTTCTACAAAGCTCAAAGAGCAAGGAGGACCCATTTGTGGTGTCAGAAATCAGACCCCTGCTGACTCTGGAAGGAGCCCCGAGGGGAGGTGGCGGCACAGCATGTTTCCGGTTCACTGGGCTGTCTGTCATATGGAATGACTCGCACGCATTTGCGGGTGTGTGCTTGGCTTCAGTTACTTTTCTCGCAACCTCTCCTCTGAAAATACTAAGACTTGGGACAGCTTTTTGACTCGGCCTTTCAACAGCCAGGTGTTCCCGCTCATGCAAGTAGCTGGCTGCTGTGCCGCTGGCCTGACCTGTTTGCAGTGGTCACATCTTGTCAGCATGAGACAGTGCTTCCAGTAGTGGAGATCCAGACCTTCCTCTGTGAAGGATTCACTCCTTTCCCCACAAAAAATACACAAACTGAAAGCAAAGCAAAGCAGGAAATAAAGGTAAGGATCTAGTTCCACTGATGGCCGTTCCGCTCCCACGTCACGAGGAAATTCTGAATTTCCCCAGTCCCTGTGATGTGTGCACTTTCCCTCTCATCTGGAACTGCCTCAGTTTGCTCTGCAGGGCCCGGGCTGGGCCTCCCTTGCAGGTGGCAGAGGAGGCTGGGTGTGCCATGTGTTAAAGCACGATAGGAAAGTCCTCACCAAGGAGGTGCCTGAAATCAACGGGCGAACGATCCTTCTGAAATTTCACTCAGCATCGTCAAGCAGAAAGGATATTTTAAGTTACAATAAACAGAGGGAAAGTTGTCTTGACTGACTCGGAGTGGATGCTGGTTAGTGCAGAAGGCACATTTCCTACCTTTTATGATGACTACGAAGGGCCAACTAGGGAGGACGCATTCCCTTTCCAGGGTTTCTGTGTGGCTGGTTGCCCTGACCATCGTACAATGGGTGGAAGACAGCGCGACTTACTTATCTAGATAGTGCTCATCCGGGATTCCCAGAGCTTCAGCAGGGGCTGCTTTCCCTCCTTGAATGTCTGAAGAGATTAAAACAATTTAAATAACTTTTTATAGAAATTATTTTCAAAATTTTAGTAAGCAGTTTGATGTGAGCTCTAAAACGATTATACAAGTAAAAAGGTAGCATGTTTTCCATTCAGCTGGGAGATGGCTGAGGTGCAGCAGGCGTGCAGTGATACTTGCTGAATGGACAGAAGCCGTTCCCACATGGAGCTTCCATGACATGCATTTACACACCCCGATTCTTTACACACCCCAGTTCTTTGTGCACCCCAATTCTTTACATACCCTGATTCTTTGGCTTCACAGCATCACTTTCTTTTTCCTAAGACACAGAAACAGTGAGGTCAGGGGCAAAGGGCTGCAGTGTGAGTGAGTGAGAGCCTGTTGAAGATATGTTTTCATCACGAAAGCACATTTCTGGGTTTTGTTTTAGAATTTCTACTGGCTGGCAAGGTGGCTCATGCCCGTAATCCCAGCACTTTGGGAGGCCAAGGTGAGTGGTGGATTGCTTGAGCTCAGGAGTTAAGACCAGCCTGGGCAACATGGCAAACAAAACCCTGTCTCTACAAAAAGTACAAAACTTAGCTGGGTGTGGTGGCGTGCCCTGTAGTCCCAGCTACTCAGGAGGCTGGGGAGGGAGGATCACTTGAGCCTGGGAGGTGGAGGCTGCAGTGAGCTGAGATCATGCCACTGCAGTTTCTCTCAAACTCAACCACTGACTGTGGAAAACACATGCAGAAGTGCAATTCTAGTTCCACAGACACCCACCCTGCCCCTAAAAAGAGCACAATTTTGTTCTTATTATCATTATTTTTAGACAGGGTCTCACTCTGTTGCCTAGGTTGGAAGTGGTACAAACACAACTCACTGCAGCTTTGGCCTCCTGGGTGCAAGCCATCCTCCTGCCCCAGCCTCCTGAGTAGCTGGGATTACAGGTGCTCACCACCATGTCTGGCTAAGTTTTTTTTTTAAGTTTTAGTAGAGATGAGGTCTCACTATGTTGCCCAGGCTGGTCTTGAACTTCTGAAATCAAGTGATCCTCCTGCCTCGGCCTCCCAAAGTGCTGCAATTACAGGCATGAGTCACTGCGTCTGGCCGAGAGTATGATTTTAGAACCAGAAAAGGACTTAATATGTAAATTCTGAAAGTTCTGGAGATGGATGGTGGCGATGGTTGCACAACAATGTGAGAGCACTCCATGCCACCACAGTGTGCACTGAAAATGGTAAGATTTACACTCTGTGCATTTTACCCCAACAAAAAAAGAGAAAAATCCATCCCATCCCGTCATTCTCCTGGGAGAGGCCTTCACCAGGCCCTGTGTGGGGCGCAGGTCTGCGCTGGCCTCGAGGCCCCCACAACCCATGGCCCCCAGCACCCCGCAGCACAGACCCACTGCCTGGGTCTTTCTCCCTCGTCTGCTCCTCCCTGGAGCCCCAGCTCCATGAGGGTGGGACTTTGCTTTGCTGCCTGCTGTATTTCCACAGCCAGATGGCGCCTGGCACGGAGAGGCGCTCCATAAACACCGAGCCAATGAGCAAGAGCTGCAGGCTCTCAGGACAGCTGTGTGGAGGCTGTGCAGCCCATCAGCATAGGCGACCCCGGGACAGACAGTGCTGTGTGCCCATGAGCATAGGAGACCCCAGGATGGACAGTGCTGGGAATAGCTCCTGGGCGGCTGCTGCTTCTGGAGCCACTGCCACCAGGTCCTGGGCTGTGGTGAGGGAGGCGGGAGGCAGGCGCCTGGCAATGGGCTTAGTACATGCTAGCTCATGGCTGGAGGGAAATCCCTTCAGTTTGCGACATCCGTGTCCTCGTTTGTGTACTAATCACAATGAGTGTGTGCTGAGCCACTGAGGGTCACTGAGCACACGAGTCATCCACACCACGATGCGGACCTGAG
This sequence comes from Homo sapiens, assembly GCF_000001405.40. Classification (NCBI taxonomy): domain Eukaryota; kingdom Metazoa; phylum Chordata; class Mammalia; order Primates; family Hominidae; genus Homo; species Homo sapiens. The sequence goes on from NC_000001.11 coordinate 3,828,326, forward strand.
CCAGAGGCTCACTCCTCATCCCAGGGTCTGCCTGCCTCCTTCCGCCTCCTGTGTCCTTTTCTGATTGTGACTCTGACGTTCCAGCATTTGGTGGAAATGTCACGGTGACTTTTTGCCATAGGAAGTTCAGCCTATATTCAGCCACATTTGATCTTTTTTCCCCATTCGTACCCATTTCTTCTTTTAAAAATCTGTGGTAAGAACACTTGACATGAGCTCTGCCCTCTGAATAGCTCTGCGTGCACTGTGCAGCCACGTGGGCTGCAGGCCTGAGGTGCCAGCAGGTCCCAGAACTCATTCACCTGGCACGGCTGAAAACTCAGGTCTGCGGAACGGAAACTCCCTGTGTTCTGCCACCTTTATATCTTTTTTTTAAGGAAATTTTCTTTCAACTGAAGGAAACTTCATCATAAAATTAGTGTTATGAAGCTAATTCATATCCCAGAAGCTGGGAGGCTGAAGAGGAACACATTTATATTCAACCAAATAGTATTTGTTCCCAGTACATATGACACCCCCACAGGCTTAGAGTAAGGGCTCATAGAAACAGAATGTTTACCTGAAACCTTCCCTTTTTAATGCGCTGAAGTCAGACCTTTATAGTCAAGCTGATTTTTCTCCTTTGCCTCTGAAGGTGGCTGGAGAGCTGTGGAGGAGAGCAGCTCTGGGCCCACAGCCCCTGGTCCCTCCCTAAACCTCAGCAGCAGCTCACATCAATTCTGACAGAGGATGGAGGGGCAGGAAGAGTATCTGCCACCCAATTCCACCTCTCCATGGAGGGCTTCTGTCATCCACCCCAAAACTAACCTAAAAAACCAAAAGGAATCAAGACGCTCATTTGCATAATCCCATGAAAAATAAGTCAAGTATGATGTGGATCTATACAGCAAAATACATTTCAGCTAAAAGCACACAGGTGAAAGACGTGTTAACTTCCAACCTGAACTTCAGCCTGAATTTCTTTCAGTGCTGCCAGCTGCCCTTGTAAAGCTTTTATTTCTTCTTTCTTTTGTTTTTCTGCTTCTTCTGTAGCCGCTTTTCTCCGTGCCTGGTAAGAAAATTATTTTTCCATTAGAACAGCTTGTTAGGGTAATCTTAGAAACTGGGAGACAAATTATGGCATATCAACTATATTTCTTATAAATTATAATATTCACTAAGACTAATAACAAGTTAGAATAAGTCTTTTCCATTGATTTCATTGGTGTCTATTGATAGATAAACCCACTGTGTCCTCACGGCTATCGTTATTCCGTTTGCAGCCTGGGAACCTAAGGGTCTCACTGGCAGAAAGTGGAGCAGCCGGGATCTGAATGCGGGAACCTGTGTTCTTTCTTAGCCAGGACGCCGGGGCTTCCCATACATGTGGCTCCTTCAAATGACATATTTACTTATTTACGTACCGAGTAACTGAGTAACTTCTTCAACACAGGATGACATCACAACTTCACCAAAGTTAACTCACCCTCATCTCAGCATCTGTAGCTCTGCCATCTATTTTAGCAAATCCCTCAAAAATTGTTTTGTAGAGAATGTTCCTGCGTGTGTTGCTGTCGTCTGGAGGAAGGTACTCCAGGATGGAAGCCTGGTGCTGTCTGTACATGTCCAAAATAATTCGAACCGCCGTCTCGCGGACCTCATACACTCTATGCTCCAGGGCACTCACTGAAAACTAAAGTTGGGAGGGGCTCTTGTTACTCATTCTTAAAATAAAACTAATTTCTTCCAGCTTACAAAAAAGGTACATTATAAACATGTGAAAAATAAAAGAGAAAACATCCGTATTAAGTATTATGAAATACTTCAAACATAAAACCTCACGGATCTACCGTCTCATCGTAAGCCGTGTTATACTTTCATCACGCTTGTTTTGGATCTTTTTTAAGAAACAGAACGCTGTGGCTATAGTGCAATTTCATCCCTGCTGTGCGTCTCGGGGGCCCACAGTTTCTCATCCTCCTTGGAGGTGTGCGCTCCTGCGTAGCCGATGTGCAGATTTCAGGTTTTTGGATTTGGGATCCAAACCAGTAAGTATAATGGAAGTATTCCAGAATCCGAAAACAATCTGAAATCCTAAACACTTCTGGTCTTAAGCATTCCAGATAAGGGGCTTCAACCTGTACCTGATATTCTCCATCACACTGCTGTTATTGTCTCTTAAAGACAGGCCGGGCGCAGTGGCTCACGCCTGTAATCCCAGCACTTTGGGAGGCTGAGGCGGGCGGATCACGAGGTCAGGAGATCGAGACCATCCTGGCTAACACAGTGAAACCCCGTCTCTACTAAAATACACGAAAAAATTAGCCGGGCATGGTGGTGGGCATCCTGTAGTACCAGCTACTTGGGAGGCTGAGGCAGGAGAATGGCATGAACCCAGGAGGCAGGGCTTGCAGTGAGCCGAGATGGCACCACTGCACCTCCAGCCTGGGCGACAGAACGAGACTCCATCTCAAAAAAAAAAAAAAAAAAAGACAAAGAAATATTTTTTATGATTTGTTTCTCTCCACAGATAAAGATCTGCACACACCATGCACCACCGAGTAGGATTAGACAGCAGGACGCATGTGGGGGCCCCCATTTGTTGGATGAAACACTGGCTATTTTTCTGAAATCACTGCCTCAGTCATTCCTTCAACAAATGCCGATGAGACCCTCGCCACGCTCCAGGCACTGTGGTGAGTGCTGGGCCGCGTGGTGTGTCACACGCGAGGTCTGCTTACCTTCATCACGTTGTCAATGGTGAAGCCCGAGCTGCCAGTGCCCAGGTCTTTCAGCAGCCGGGCCAGGAGGCCCATCTGACTCATTGCCAGGTGAACTGAAGAGTTTGCTTTCAATGGCTGCACCAGGTAGGATGGAATAATTTGGAGAGACTTAACTTCTTTAAACAAGGCCATTTCCTATGAAAGCCAAGGTAATTTGTTAATTTTTACTGGAAAATGCTGGAGGCAGTTTAGTACAATTCAGCATGATCTTAAACTAAACACTGAAGGGAAAAACAGGGAAATACAGATTGATAGTGACAAGGAGCAATGAGAGCACTGATCCGTAAGCTTGTATTTCTATTTAAAGCGTAACAACCATTAGAAATGAAAATCTGAGCCACAGGAAATAAAATCATGAAGAATAAAACGATTTTATGTCTACTGAAAGCTTTTCAGAAGCGTAATTGAAAACTTGAAGGTTTCTGTTCTCAGTATTCTCAGCTTCAAGGAAAAGGTTTTCTCATTTCTAAAATTCTAAAAGAAATTAGAGCTGCTGCTAGAATCACCGTTATTTTAGTATTTATTAAATGTCAGCCAAGAGTGTATGATTCTGCAGTGATACGGTCACCAGTGGGTTAAGATGGAAAAAATGTAAGTACCATTACATATTTGAATGTCTCTAAACAAACAAGTCTTTACGTAATTAAGATATTTATCACTTAATTAACCGGATATAGAGAAAAAAATAAGATGTTGAATCATTAAGTTACAATCAGAAATAAACCTGTTTCCAATAGGTCTGCAGGTCTTATCACCTAAAATAATCTCTTATCGTGCTGGCCTGACTCACTCTGGATTTGGGCCTGTGAGTGACTCTGTACAAATCTAAAAGCTAAGAGAAGAAGAGCATTCTCCAGGGAAGTTTGGACAGTAAACTCCTTAACTACAAACAGATGCTGTTGAGTGTGTATTTCGTCCACTAACCGGCACACTGGTGCACAATTGTAACCCTCGATAGATTGCCTTAAGGTTGTCTCACATAGAGAGAACATTTGAGCACCACCAAACTGCTCAGAAATTAATGTGGCTTAAAAATAATTAAATGAAGCAATAACATGTGCTCATTTGCAACATATCTTTTGAAAGATGAACCCTCCTCACCCCCAAATTCTAGCTGTCATAACCAGGAGTGTATTGTAGCACATTAGGTCGTAACCAGGAGTGTATTGTAACCAGGAGTGTATTGTAACCAGGAGTGTATTGTAACCAGGAGTGTATTGTAGGTCGTAACCAGGAGTGTAGTGTAGGTCGTAACCAGGAGTGTAGTGTAGCACATTAGGTCGTAACCAGGAGTGTAGCGTAGGTCGTGACCAGGAGTGTAGCGTAGGTCCTGACCAGGAGTGTAGCGTAGGTCGTGACCAGGAGTGTAGCGTAGGTCGTGACCAGGAGTGTAGCGTAGGTCGTGACCAGGAGTGTAGTGTAGGTCGTGACCAGGAGTGTAGTGTAGGTCATAACCAGGAGTGTAGTGTAGCACATTAGCATGACAGCATTTCTTCTTACCTTTTTATTAGCATTCCTTTTCCTTATTTACTCTGAAAATTTAGGTTTATTAAATGAAACTAGATCTGTGGTTCCTCATATTTTGGAGAAATGACCCCTTTGGATTCTTCTTTTTGAGACACTGTCTTTCTCTGTCACCCAGGCTAGAGTACAGTGGCGAGATCACGGCTCACTGCAGCCTCAACCACCTGGGCTCAAGCCTCTCGCCTCGGCCTTCCAAGTAGCTGGGACTACAGGGGTGTATCAGCATGCCCGGCTAATTTTTGTATTTTTTGCAGAGATAGAGTCTCACTATGTTGGCCAGGCTGGTCTCAAACTCCTGGGCCCAAATGATCTGCCTGCCTTGGTCTCCCAAAGTGCTGGGATTATGGGCGTGAGCCACCCCGCCTGGCCTGGATTCTTTTTTTTTTTTTTTTAAGATGGAGTCTCACTCTGTTGCCAGGCTGGAGTGCAGTGGCGTGATCTCGGCTCACTGAAAACTCTGCCTCCCGGGTTCGATTCTCCTGCCTCAGCCTCCCAAGTAGCTGGGACGACAGGCACGCACCACCACACCCGGCTAATTTTTGGATTTTTAGTACAGAAGGGGTTTCACCAGGTTGGCTAGGATAGTCTCGATCTCCTAACCTTGTGATCCACCTGCCTGAGCCTCCCAAAGTGCTGGGATTACAGGTGTGAGCCACCGTGCCCAGTCTGGCCTGGATTCTTTTTTAAGAAGGATCTGCACATCACAAAATTTTGTGTAAAACTTAACGTAATTCATAAGCTTCTTAAGCCCAAAGGAGGACTCTTAAGAACTCCTAGACTAGATGAATTCATTAGCTAGTTTAAAGATTTTCAAATTATGGTGCATAACTGTGTGCCCCAAAACTCATACATTTATCTCTATCTCAATATTTCCCATAATATCTAGCCTAGAGGAGGCATATTTGGTGAAAGAATGAAAATATTTCTATTAAGACAGTTATATTTTTTATTTCTTTACCCTCAGATTTTCTCTTTTGATATCATTTTCTGTGTGTTTTTATTTATTTAAAAAATTAATGGCATATGTTGGATAAAAAAAACATTGGAAAAACCCAACTGTAGATTTTAACTGAAGTTTATGTCTAAGACAAAACTGACCTTTTAGAGCATAAGGAAAGTGTGATGGTGAATCCCTGAGAATAATGTTAACTGAGTAGAGACAGAATCTTGTAAAAGGTGTTAAGAAAGCCAGAGAGCTACAGGAATATGTTTATCATCTACGGTTTCAAATGCCGTGGTGAAGTTCAGACCTGAATAAAATTTGCAGCTGTGACGCGGAGGCGGGCAGAAGAATCTCCAGTTCTGGTGAGCAAAACGGGAATGGTCCTCTCCACACAGTGAGCTGTTTCAAGTTTACTCAGTTTATGTTTAGGAATATATTGTGTAATGATCATTTTCAACAATTTCAAAGAAGCCTGAAAAACCTAAGAGAAAAGTGATGAACACGGATGAGTTACTACGGTGCAATTCCACCAAGAGGAAACATGGCATTTACTATCAGTAACACATACGAACATTATATCGAAAATGACATCTCGTCTGAAAGGCTGAAAATTGCAAACTGAAAACTGCTTTCTAAACACAGCACCTTGCATATAGAGGACATATGCTCTTACTTCACTCTGTCAGAAATCACTCCCCATCTTCCCTTCATACCGAGTATCTAACATCCCTGCTTCAATGGGTAAGCCCAAATCTTCCCTTCATACCGAGTATCTAACATCCCTGCTTCAATGGGTAAGCCCAAATCTTCCCTTCATACCGAGTATCTAACAACCCTGCTTCAATGGGTAAGCCCAAATCTTCCCTTCATACCGAGTATCTAACATCCCTGCTTCAATGGGTAAGCCCAAATCTTCCCTTCATACTGAGTATCTAACAGCCCTGCTTCAGTGGGCTGTTAGAAGCCCAACTGTGCAATGTCCATTCTTAAGGCCCATTCAGCATTAGAAAAAACAGTAATTCTCAACCTCATCAGGTTTCATGCAAAGTGAAAACACAAACTGAAGATGTGGTAGCATTGAACTAGGCCTCTACAAACGCCTGGCTTTGCAGACCATGGAAAAGCTAACACTGCTGGAGACCAGAGACAATGACCCAAGCAAAGGCAGATTTCCCAGACCCTTCATGTAAGATCAGTTGCACAGTATAGCTCTTGCTAGAGAACCTCATTTCTTAGTGATTCTATTGAGTTACAGTTGGTGACCACGTCAATGACCAACTGGTCCTCTCTCAAGCTGCTCTGGTCTTCTGTGGTACGGCGCATGATCTCATCCATGCACGCTGGAGCCAGCGCCAGCTGAGGGCACTCACGGAGGTCACAATGTCCTTTATGGCTCTTCTAACGAGAAAGACGGATGCTCTCAGTGTGTTCTTTAAATCTTCTTTTGGGGTTCCAACAGGCATTTCCATTAACTTCTTAGACAAGGCAAGCAGTGCATCCTCTCGGTAGGACCACGTCTTACAATAGGCCTCAGCAACCTACCACAAAACAGGCAGCATTTCATGGCATCACACAACCATCCTCCAACACTACACAACTTGAAGGCTTTGTTTTTTTTTTAACTAAAATGATTCATTTCTAAGAACAGAACTTTTATAAATGAAAATGATTCATTTCTAATAATAGAACTTTTACAAATAAATATGTATATTTAGAGAAATAATTTTCTCTGATAAGGAAATTTAAGACTATGTTAAAATATAAAAAGTATTAAATTCTCCAAGAGAAATATTTTAAAGCTGAGAACGAGGGAAAACCCTACTCATTTCTTTTTATTTTGAGACAAACTCTCACTCTGTCGCCCAGGCTGGAGTGCAGTGGCTCGGCTCACTGCAACCTCTGTCCCCCTGCGGGTTCAAGCAATTCTCCTGCCTCAGTCTTCCAGCTAGCTGGGATTACAGGTGCCTGACACCATGCCCAGCTAATTTTTGTATTTTTAGTAGAGATGGGGTTTCACCATCTTGGCCAGGCTGGTCTTGAACTCCTGACCTCGTGATCCACCCGCCTTGGCCTCCCAAAGTGCTGGGATTATAGGCGTGAGCCACTGCGCCTGGCCAACTCTACTCATTTCTATAAGGAGATACTTCCATCTTTTGCTATGCCATCCTTTTGCGCTGGAATTAGCTGGTATTCAGAAGGGAGCAGTTGTTTAATACAAGCTCCATGAATGCCAGAAGGAAACACCCAGGCTGAAATGAGTACTCACTGATACATCTTAGCTCATGTTTTTGCTGTTTCACATAATTTATAATTTACAGAAGGGCAGGCACGGTGGCTAATGTTTGTAATTCCAGCACTTTGGGAGGCCAAGGCCAGGAGTTCAAGGCTATAGTGAGTTATGATCACGCCACTGTACTCCACCCTGGGTGACAGAGTGACACTCTGTTTCATAAAAAAAAAAAAAAGGCCGGGCGCAGTGGCTCATGCCTGTAATCCCAGCACTTTGGGAGGCCAAGGTGAGTGGATCACAAGATCAGGAGATCGAGACCATCCTGGCTAACGTGGTGAAACTCTATCTCTACTAAAAAAAAATTACAAAAAATTAGCCAGGCGTGGTGGCGGGCACCTGTAGTCTCAGCTACTCAGGAGGCTGAGGTAGGAGAACAGGGTGAAGCCAGGAGGCGGAGCTTGCAGTGAGCGGAGATCTTGCCACTGCACTCCAGCCTGGGTGAAGAGCAAGACTCCGTCTCAAAAAAAAAAAAAAAAAAAGTTAACAAAAGACTTTCCAATTCAGGAAGAACAAAGGGAAGTCAACAATATTACAAATGCAAAGCCGTGGGCGTTTTCCCTCCTTTATGTGTAAGTACACAGAGGTGTGCGTACCATATAGACTAGCCTCCCCTCTGCCACCCCGTTTTTTTTTTTTTTTTTTTTTTTTACCAAGGTTTCTCCCAACACATCGATGGCAGAGCTGGCTTCTCTCAAGGCCTTCTCGGTTAAGGGCTCTGGCTCCCCTAACATGCCTCCCCTCCGAGCATCGCTGATGTCTGCATTACTCATTTCCGGCTCCACCACTGCCTCCCCATAATGCTTACGAATAGCTGGAAGAGGCCGCTCATCGTAGGGCAGGGACTCTGCCTGCAGTGAGTGAAGGAGAGAGGAAAGTGCTGGGGAGCTCCATAGGTCACATTCTCCAGTGCAACTCTCACTGGCAGGCTTACTGCGCTTACTTACCTGATCTGAAAGATGTTATTTTGCTAAATATCAGTATCATCAGATTAGAATAATTTATACAACAAATAGGATGTAATTGAAAAGATTAGATGAGGCTTTCTATTACTTTCTAAACTCATTACAGACCTAATAAAAAAAAGCAAGGTAGATTCCACCTCAATGACTGTTTACTGGTAGCAATTTCAGTTCAACTGACATGGAGACTACTAAAGTAAAGGCTATTACATCTTTTTTTCTGACAAGATCTCTGATATTTTCTTAGTTTATTGCTTAGAAATAAGCATCAAGCCTGATTTTAATAAACATGCTCACAAGGTGTCATTAGGCCTATTCCTTATGTGGCTATGCTCTCACTCAGCACTATGGCTCCTAGAATGGAACAGAGGTGGGTCTGGCTGGGGAGCACTCATGCACCCCATGCATGGGAACAGCACCTGGCACAACACATGTCCTTTACAAATACCCAAATAAATTGAACGCCAATCTGAAACAGAATTACCTACATTGATCTTTGGATGAGGATCTGTGGCAGGGAGTAACGGGTCTACTGCAGAATGCTGAGGAGAAATAGTTAGAGAATATGATGAAGGCTTTTCCTGAAGGAAAGGTTCTGCAAACTGGTTTTCTGTTCCTCTTTCTTCCAGTTGTGGTAGTGAGGGCATTGGCTTTTGGTGGCAAGGACTGCCAGAACGAGCGAGGGGCTGGAGGGGCAAATCAAAAGGTCTTCGCATCTAGAGAACAAAAAGGAACATTTAATTTCAAATGCCACTGCCACGCCAGATATATCTATCTCATTCCTTCAGATGAATAAGACTTTAGAAAGCTGTGCTGGAAGAGGCTCCTTGGCACAATGAAAAATTTCAAAACCAAAGAGAAACTTCCACAGAGTGAAATCTACTTGAAAGTCCCACACAATCAAGTTGCACTCATCTCAGTTGTCTCTCCACATTTCTGTGTTGACTACAAAAGTGACATACACATCCAAAATGCTAGTGAAGGAATGAGCATTTGTGCATGGAGCATGTCCACACATATGTGCCCCTGCAGGAGCACGGTGGTGTGGAGAAAGCACCTGGGCTGGACCCAAGTGGACTTTTATTCAAAATCTGGCACTGCTATTCACTGTGTGTACAAAGGAAAGTGATGTTGTGTCATCCCAACAAGCAAAGCTGACTGACCAGTTGCTGCACACTAGGCATGGTACTGAGTGTTTTGGACAGGTAGGCTCATTAATGCTTACTCTGTTTACCCCCATTTGAAAGCTGATGGAAAACTGAGGCATAAAGCTGATAAGAATTAGTCTGTGATCACAGAGCTGGAATGGTGGTGCCCGGATTTGAACCCAGACAGTCCAGCTCCAGAGTGTGCTCTCTTGTTTTTCAGAGGCAGGGTCTCGCTCCATCACCAAGGCTGGAGTGCAGTGGTGCGATCGTAGCTCACTGCAGCCTCGAACTTCTGGGCCCAAGTGATCCTCCTGTCTCACTCTCCTGAGTAGCTAGGACTACAGGTGTGTGCCACCAGGCCTGGCTATTACTTACTTTTTGTAGAGACAGGGTCTCTCTATGTTGCCCAGGCTGGTCTCGAACTCCTGGGCTCAAACAATCCTCCAGCCTTGGCCTCCCAAAGTGATGGGATTACAGGCGTGAGCCACCATGCCTGGCCTTGAGAGTGTGCACTCTCAATCACTATTCCGTATCTCAGAACCTTCATTTCCTAATCTGTAACGTGGGCTGAGTGCCCCATTTGCATGAGTTCTAAAATCAGAGGCAGAGCACCTTATGGGAAATATGTTCTCAATACACCGAAGCTGTTAGCATTACGTTCTCACTTGATCCTTACAACACTGAGGGGTCAGTGGGGCAGGGTCATCACTGCCTTTTCCAAATAAGGAAGCAGCTGGAGAGATGAAGGGATGCAGCAGAAAAGCAGCAGGGCCTCGGTTTTCCTGACCCCGGTTTGTTCCCTTTCCCACGACTGTGAGTCTCCTGAAAGAACATGCTGAGGCAAAGCCTCCCTGACGTAGGCACAGAGCTGAGGCCATCCATAACTGTCCCCTGAGCACTGCAGAGTGTTTTACACTACACTTCAAAGACATCTATCCACTGTTGTGAACCACACAGTTGAATCTCTGTTCTCCTAGGCTTTCCTCCACTCCGTCTGGGCTCCTGCACCCACCAGCTCGGCATCCAGGAGGCTGTGCAGCTCCAGCTGCTCGTACACCTCGGCACGATACTGCTCCATCTGCTGCTTCTTCTCCTTGGCGAGATCGTAGTCTTCCTTCTCCACGGCACAGCGTTTCTCTACCTCATACCTCCCAAGGCGTTCACCAACCTGAAGCACAAAATATTTGCTTTTTCTTTCAAATTTGGATCAACTCACATCAAATGCAAAGCTAATTTTTAAGAATCACGCGTGAACCGTCTTGCAAGGAGAGGGAGTGAGCACAGGGAAATGGAAGGAATGGGCCACACTCAGCAAAGGTCTGGCTGCTGTTGCTGTATGGGCATTTAATAAGCTCATGGTTTGGTTATGACTTTCAGGATAGCTGGTTTTCCTATTTTCCCATTGGGCTCAGGGTCCTAGTAACGAGGTAGCTGACCCTGACACCTGAACGTGAGTCTGAAGAGGTAAAGCTTCTGCTTCCATTTACATTTTTAAAGTGCTTATCTGTCTCCGTAACTTTATTTTGCTGAGATCTTTGAACTCACACTAACTTCACGGCTTTTAGTAACTGGTTTCTTTTACCATGTAGTTATTCTAAGTATACATAAAACCTATTACAGGCATAAATTAGGAACTGTTTTCTCCAAAGGCAATACCTTTTGCAAATCAGCAATGGCTTGTTTTAGTTTCTTGGCATAATCATAGCGTTCCTTTTGGACAGCTTCCCGTTTTCTTTCATCTAATTTTCGTATGATCTGTGCAACTTCTGGATCTTGGTACATATCAAAAGCTAAGTCATCTAGCGGAGAGATATAGTCAGATTTCCTAAAGGGAAGAAATGCATATTTTAGAGATAATTTCACGCCCTAGGAGTTCAGTGCTGAAGATGCACGGTTGAGAAGATGCCCCTCCCCATCCTGCCCCATCATGGTTCACAGAGCATTTCCTGCATGAGAAAACGGGTCTCAGAGAAGTAATGGGCCTCAGGTCACAAAGCTCTTAATTGCAAGCAGGCCTTTCTGACTCCAAAGCTCACGCTCTTGACCATGGACCAAACTGCACTTCAGGGCATCTGAGCCTCCAGTGCATTCGCTCAGAGTGCAGACTCTGGGCCTCGCCTCGTTATGGGCCCTGGGAATAGGACAGTGAATGTGAATCAACTGCAGAACAAGGAGAAAAACAAAAACAAAGACAAATGGATGACCAGGCCCCACCCTAAGAAATGTGACCAGTGGGCCCAAGATGGAGTCCAGGCGCCGTATTTTATAACAACACAGTATTTTTTTCTTCTTTTCTTTTTTCGGAGGCGGAGTCTCACTCTGTTGCCTAGGCTGGAGTGCAATGGCGCAATCTCGGCTCACTGCAACCTCCACCTCCCGGGTTCAGGCGATTCTCCTGCCTCAGCCTCCTGAGTAGCTAGGATTATAGGTGTGTGGCACCACACCTGGCTAGTTTTTGTATTTTTTAGTATAGACGGGTTTTCATCATGTTGGCCAGGCTGGTCTCAAACTCCTGACCTCAAGTGATCCACCAGTCTCAGCCTCCCAAAGTGTTGGGATTATAGGCCTGAGCCACTGCGCCCAGCCTGTATTTTTTTATTTTTTTCTTTGAGACAGAGTTCTGTTGACCAGGCTGGAGTGCAGTGGCATGATCTTGGGCTCACTGCAACCTCTGCCTCCTGGGTTCAAGCAATTCTCATGCCTCAGCCTCCCAAACAGCTGGGAGTACAGGCGTGAGCCAGCATGCCTGGCTAATTTTTTGTATTTTTAGTAGAGATGGAGTTTCACCATGTTAGCCAGGTTGGTCTGGAACTCCTGACGTCAGATGACCCACCCATCTCGGACTCCCAAAGTGCTGAGATTACAGGTGTGAGCCACTGCACCCAGCCAGCATCACAGTATTTTTGATGAACATGATAGGTTAAGAATTGCTACCACTGAGGTTTTACTCAAAGGGTTAAGTTGTATGGTGTCAACCATCATATCCTAGAGGAGATCAAAAACATTCCTTCAGAAATAAGTGATCTTTTGTAGTCACCTGAATAGCTCATTTCTGATTAAATATGACCTCTATTCCTCCTTTCCAGCTCTACAGTAGGGTCTAGAATGTAAACAGTAAAGTTAGTCTCACCAAGCAACGAGAGGATGAGGATGGAAGTGTCCCAGCTGCTGTATCAACCCCATTAAACAAGCCAGCTGCTTACGGCGACTTGAACACCCTTCGAGACAGGTACGTTTTAATGAAAACACTTGTCGTAAAAGTGTACTTGGTGAATCTGTATTATAATGAATTCAAGTGGGGCATAGGAATAGGCCCCCTTTAAGCACTCACAGCCCCCCTCTGGCATCTCCCCACCCTTGAGGTCACGGTACTTCGCTCACAGCAGCACCACAGGCTGGCGGCTGGGACGGCACCAGCAGCTCTGAACTGTGTCTAATCCCAGGGGTGACTAAACAGCGAAACATTTTGGGGTGTCTACAAGATCACATTAACTATTTTTAGTGTAACACATATGACACTTTAAGTCACGTTGCCTTGCTGTCCCAGAGATGAACACAAAGACTTCATTTGATTATAAAAATCCTTCAAAGTGAACATCATGTCCTGTGGTACCCAGTCCCAGCTCCTGTTGATTCAGCAGCAGCGTGGGGTGCCATCTACCCACTTTGGTACAGAACCCCCAGCGGCAATGACCGGATTCCATGTCCAGCACAGGCCCGCACGTGCCAGTCACACAGCTTTTCCCAGTCCTTGCACTTAACCTTCATAAAACCCCGGGCGTGGGGCAGGACAGGCAAACCACAGCCTGCCATCCCACCTGGCTGATTGGATTAAGGCAACAGATTTAAAGTCTAAATCAAAATAACAGAAAGAAGCTTTATTGGAGATACTGAGAAACTAAAGACTTAATCAGTTTGGTTGTTCCTGCCCTACTGCACTTGCTTCAGTAAGGGCAGAGCCCCAGCTGCGGTCTTTGTGGAGAGGCTGGCAGGAGGGAGGTAGCCATCCACTCTCAGCGCTCCTTCCCCACAGTGCTTCCATCCAATTGCCAGCTTGAAGGATGGGAAGAGTACTGTGATTTTTCTATTACACAAAGGAGGCATCTGAGGGAGAGACTGAGAAGCTGGTGTTATTTTTTTATTTTTATTTTTTGAGACGGAGTCTCGCTCTTGTCGCCCAGGCTGGAGTGCAGTGGTGCGATTTTGGCTCGCTGCAAGCTCCGCCTCACGCCATTCTCCCACCTCAGCCTTCTGAGTAGCTGGGACTACAGGTGCCCGCCACCACGCCCGGCTAATTTTTTGTATTTTTTAGTAGAGACGGGGTTTCACCGTGTTAGCCAGGATGGTCTCGATCTCCTGACCTCGTGATCCGCCCGCCTCGGCCTCCTAAAGTGCTGGGATTACAGGCGTGAGCCACCGCGCCCGGCCTTGGTGTTATTTTTTTATAGACATTACATGAATAGCCTCTACTCTCTGAGCACTCCACACTCACAAGTGCCTGTGACAGCTCTGGTCTGCACCAGGCCTGTGGGGAGGCGGTGTAGCCTCTGCAGGAGGGAAGGCTCGCTGTCCACCAGTGCACATGCTCAGCAAATCGCATGTGGCTCCTGAGCAACTGCAGAGAGAATCTGATCCAGGTTGTGTGCAAATAGAAGAGCCTGGATCAAGAATTAATCACTTTCTGCGAGCAGTCTGTATGCAGGTAAAAGTGAAATTACACCAAACACGGACAAATTTGAAATTTCTATTAAAGTTTAAAAAGTTGATCTTTTCTTTATTGGGAAGCTGCTGTCAGAGAAGAGCCAAGGATTATTTGGAATTCCTCTTTATTTAAAATTTTTTTTGTGCGTGTGTGAGATGGAGTCTTGCTCTGTCCCCCAGACTGTAGTGCAGTGGCATGACCTTGGCTCACTGCAACCTCCACCTCCCAGGTTCAAGGGATTCTCCTGCCTCAGCCTCCCAAGTAGCTGGGACTACAGGTGTGCGCCACCACGCCTGGCTAATTTTTGTGTTTTTATTAGAGAAGGAGTTTTACCATGCTGGCCAGGCTGGTCTTGAATTCCTGACCTCAAGTGATCTGCCCAACTCAGCCTCCCAAAGTGCTGGGATTACAGGCGTGCGACATAACGCTCAGCCTAAAAAACATTTCAATTCCTCTTTTTTTCTCACTGCGGCAACTATGGCAGCCCTTCCCTTCTTTCCTTTAGACCAGGCACCTCTGGAATGGAGTCCCCTCATTGTCATCCACAGCAGGCAGGTGGCAAGGGAACCACTGTCCCAAAGAGGTGCCCAGGACAGAGAGGGTGACCGAGGATGGCACAGCGGGGCCCTTTAGCTCCCCAAAAGTGGATTCACCCCCGGTTCTTACACTGCTAAAAAAAAAAAAAAAGAGGAAGCGGCAACAGCAGCAGAAAAATATGTATAATTTTTTTTTTTTTTTTTTGAGACAGGGTCTCACTCTGTCACCCAGGCTGGAATACAGTGGCATGATCTCGGCTCAAGCGATCTTCCTGCCTCAATTTCCTGAGTAGTTGAGACTACAAGCGTGCACCACCATGCCCAGCTAATTTTTGTATTTTTAGTAGAGATGGGGTTTTGACATGTTCCCCAGGCCGGTTTCAAACTCCTGATCTCAAGCAATCCTCCTGCCTTGGCCTCCCAAAGTGGTGAGATTACAGGCGTTAGCCACCACACCCAGCCTACAATTGTTAACACGACGAACTTTCCCCATACCCATTTTTTTTTTTAGCCAAATTTAGCAGTGAGAAAAAATATTTTTAACGGGTAGAGAGAGATTGGTAAAAATTGTGGTGTGTGTTTTTTTTTTTGAGATGGAGTCTTGCTCTATCGCCCAGGTTGGAGTGCAGTGGCACAATCTCGGCTCACCACAACCTTCACCTCCCGGATTCAAGTCATTCTCCTGCCTCAGCCTCCCAAGTAGCTGGGATTACAGGTGCGCGCCACCACGCCTGGCTAATTTTTGTATTTTGAGTAGAGACAGGATTTCACCATGTTGGCCAGGCTGGTCTTGAACTCCTGACCTCGTGATCCACCCACCTTTGGCCTCCCAAAGTGCTGGGATTACAGGCGTGAGCCACTGCACCCGGCAAAATTGTGTTTTTAAAAACGTATGTGATACATATTTTTCACTCCTCTAAAGAATAAACTTTTGAAGAGGCCATAAGGTGATGTCTCTAGAACTGATAACCTGGGTCCATTAATATCTTTGATTTTTACCATGAATTTGCTTGTGCTGATAAAATATCAAAGGACGGCTGACAGATCTTTGTTCTAAACGCATTTTAGGAAACTTCTAGTGATACCTGAACACAAGAAAGGAAGTAGTCTCTGCTGAGCAATAAATGAAGGTGTGTGGCTGGGCACGGTGGCTCACATCTGTAATCCCATCACTTTGGGAGGCTGAGGCAGGTGGATCACCTGAGGTCAGGCTCAGGAGAATTGCTTGAACGCAGGAAGCAGAGTTTGCAGTGAGCCGAGATCGTGCCACTGCACTCCAGCCTGGCGACAGAGCAAGACTCCATCGAGACCAGCCTGGCCAACCTGATGAAACCCCATCTCTGCTAAAAATACAAAAAATTAGCTGGGCATGATGGCAGGCACCTGTAATCCCAGCTACTCAGGAGACTGAGGCAGGAGAATCCCTTGAACTCAGGAGGTAGAAGTTATAGTGAGCCGAGATTGTGCCATTACACTCCGGCCTGGGCAGCAAGAGTGAAATTCTGTCTCAAAAAAAAAGGAAAAAAATAAATGCAGGTGTGCTAAATAAAACAGCGACCTTAATCTTTATGTAAATTTCAGACAATCCAATCAGTGGCTTATCCAGCTCTAAACTGAATTTAGAGGCTCTAAGTCCAGAATCCTTTGGAAATGACTGACCCTTTCAGGATTCTGAGGAAAGTAAAAGAAGTTCATTGATGGGGAGCAGGACTCTTACCTGGCGTACGTTCCTTCTAGAGCAGGGTCCTCGCTGTTGTGCCCAAGGTAGTGGTCAATCAACTTCTCTCGAGAGGCCTTTGGGGGCAAAACATCTGCTTAGTGTCTCAGAGAGAAAGAGGAACAACACAAAACCTTAACTACAAGATTTATTTCATATAAAGCTGTCAGCAAGGTTCAATGATCCTCATCTTTTGGAGAGACAGCTAAAACTGTTAAAGAAAAGTTTCATATGCTACAGCTCCTAAAAATCATCTGAAAGTTATTCACTAGTCAATTTTATGCAGATTATAAAAATGACACATTTTTTGGGTGAAAATAAATGACTCCCTCCCATTATAAATAGATTTACTTCCTTAGGAATTAAAACTTTCCAAACTTACAGTATTGCTTTCATCACTGAAATCTGCAGGGTCTCCAATGATATTTATGGCAACCAAAGCAACCTAAGAAAGTGTTAAAATAACAGAATTAAATATACAATGTTTGAAATGACTTAACCCTTTTATTTACTTATTTTGAGACAGGGTCTCGTCTGTCACCCAGGCTGGAGTGCAGTGGTGTGATCATGGCTCACTGCAGCCTTGACCTCCCGGGCTCAAGGGATCCTTCACCTTAGCTGCCCTGGTAGCTGGGACTACAGGTGTGAGCCACCATGCCCTGCTAATTTTTGTGTTTTTTTGCAGAGATAGGATTTCACCATGTTGCCCAGGCTGGACTTAACCCCTTTATAACAAACTCTGACCTACACTGTTATCAAATGGGATGATGTATATCAAAGCGTATTAATTGTTAAAATGTTATGCCAATATAAATAATTTTTAATAATTAACAAAGAATTTTAAATAAATTATGTTAGTATTCTAATGCTAACCAAATGGTTATTTTTAACCATTTAAAGCCTGGGCGCGGTGCCTCATGCCTGTAATCCCATCACTATGGGAGGCCAAGGTGGAAGGATCACCTGAAGTCGGGAGTTTGAGACCAGCCTGACCAACATGGAGAAACTCCGTCTCTACTAAAAATACAAAATTAGCCAGGCACATGCCTGTAATCCCAGCTACTCAGGAGGCTGAGGCAGGAGAATTGTTTGAACCTGTGAGACAGAGGTTGCAGTGAGCCGAGATTGCACCACTGCACTCCAGCCTAGGCAACAAGAGTCAAGAGTGAAACTCCGTCTCAAAAAAAAAAAAAAAAAAAAAAGTTCAAATCATAATAGCTAAAAACTCCCAAAGTTTTAACATAGCCTCAAAATGAGACATCCACGTGAGATTCAGTATGGAGCTCATCTTTGAAGGATCTTGGGAAATTAGACAATGAAAAGTTAACACAGCTCAGTTCCCAGTTGGTGAGTCTCACCTGAGGTGGGGAGTCACTTTTCCATCCTGCACCCCCAACCACTGTAGACTAACCCCACACCGCTTCCAAAAATGCAAAGGTTCAAGACAGGCACATTTGGGGCAGGAGGGCAGCTGGCACAAACTGGGAAACCGAGCAAGTTTTGAAATGAAATTTTTTAGTCTTTCATGTCAGTGAAGTGCTGCTTTAGATAGTTACTGCTTTTAAATGCAGGGCACATATATTATCATTCATGACGAGATTATCTGAACATAAGGACAATAAATAATCTATTATTTAAAAATCTTTATTAAAAAAACAAAACTCCAAACTGTTTAAAGAAAACCAAGACAACAGCCAGGTCATTGCTGGTAAATACATGCAGGTGGGTGGAGGAAGGAACAGGGTTAAGACTCATTCTTCTGGCTTCCTGGCGTGTTATGCTGCAAGGGGCCAGGCAGCTTAATTGGACCTTTGCGCTCTTGTCCAGCTCACCCGCTTGGTCTAGAGATTTGATTTGCTGGGTGCTCACATTCCTCTTGGAGGGGGCAGGGAGAGTTGTAAATGCTTGTGCTAATTAACAAGATTGCTTTGGACACAATTGATTTCTACTACACTAATCATGTGAGAAAAAGAAAAAAAGAAGGAAAGAAAGGGAGGGAGGAAGGAAGAGATGAAGAATTAGCAGCCTGAAGCTGGAGAGATTCTGGATTACATGCAACATTCATGTGTCCACAATTTCCACCAGGGAATTTACCTTGTGCACGTTGGGAGGGTTTATTTACAACTGTGCTGTCCTACACAAATAGGATGTGAGCCACATATGTCATTAAGGTTAAGTAGGCACATTAAAAAATTTAAAAATGCAATTAATTTTAAAAATATAGGTTAACACAACATATCCAAAATATTATCATTTCATCACATACAATTGACATAAAAGTTCTCATGAACTCTTTCGCGTTCTCCTTTTGTACTGAGTCTCTGAAGCCCACTGTCTGGTGATGCTGGCAGCAGCTCTGGGCACTAGGCCAGTTCGTGGTGGGCACTGGCCACGTGTGCCCAGAGGCTGCTGGATCAGACAGCACAGCTCAGAGAGCTCAGCAGTCTCCCAGAAGAGATCCTCTCTTATAAGATCACCTTGAAAATGCATCTAAGAAAAGATACGTGACCACATAATCCCACAAAGAAGGTAGGGGCAGAATCAAAGGCGAAGCTGCATGCATCTTACCTGATTATATATGTTGTATTTGTTGACATGGTTTTGGTGAAAAATCAGTTTAAGAAATTGTCCTACTGCATCCACATAAACTGATTTTAGTTCCCGGGCTTTGCAACCTGTCTTTTCATTATCACAGAGAGACACGTAGCTGAAAAACAAAACACAACTGAAGAATTTGAAAATGTGCTGTTCAATAAAACTGCTCCCTACTCTGATTGAACTCAATAGGCTCATTTATGTTTATTGTTTTATTTTTTAAAGCTAGACTACCCCTATGCAGGATCAACAGGTTTGAATAAAAGCTAAGTCTAGAATGAAAAACCTAGGAAAAACCCCTAGAACTCAAATTCTAATTAGTATTCTTCTTTTGTTGTTGTTGTTGTTGTTGAGATGGAGTCTTGTTCTGCTACCCAGGCTGGAGTGCAGTGGCGCGATCTTGGCTCATTCCAACCTCCACCTCCCGGGTTCAAGCAATTCTTCTGCCTCAGCTTCCCAAGTAGCTGGGATTATAGACGCTCACCACCATGCCCGGCTAATTTTTGTATTTTCAGTAGAGACACGGTTTCACCATGTTGGCCAGATTGGTCATCTAATTAGCATTCTTAAGAAAATTTCCACATCTGAAAAGTAGAGTTGAATAGCAGAATTCATAGAAATTATAGCGCTGCTTTTTAAGCACATTCAATAAGAGGCAGGTGTTAAGAAACTGTGTACTCTTGAACCAAATAGAAGTACATAACACAGGACCAAAAGTTAAGGGACAATTCATTTTTAAGAGCTTTCAGGGCCGAGCGCGGTGACTCACGCCTGTAATCCCAGCACTTTGGGAGGTCGAGGCGGGCGGATCACGAGGTCAGGAGATCGAGACCATCCTGGCTAACATGGTGAAACCCTGTCTCAACTAAAAATACAAAAAATTAGCCGGGCGTGATGGCGGGCACCTGTAGTCCCAGCTACTCGGGAGGCTGAGGCAGGAGAATGGCGTGAACCCGGGAGGCAGAGGCTGCAGTGAGCTGAGATTGCACCACTGCACTCCAGCCTGGGTGACACAGCGAGACTCCATCTCAAAAAAAAAAAAAAAAGAGCTTTCAGGTAGAATTAGCCTAAAAGCTGCCATGATACATTTTAAATTTCATTCTTACCCAAGTCTTCGAAACCGCTCTGCTTGATAGGGTGCAAAATATTCAGGCAAGCTTTCACTAATGTAGAACTCAATTTTACTTGAAATCATATACTGGTGAGCAAGTAACTGCAGTTTCCTTATTCGACATCTCTCCACCATTTGAAGGACAATTTCTTGTGGAAACTGGCAAAATCTGAAAGCAAACACATTTTTATATTTTCTGAACAACTTCTGCAGAGGGTTTCTAGATGCTAGCATCTCATTCTTGCAGGTAAGAAGCATTAACCACACACCCACTTTGAACAGAACAGTCTGTAGGTACTGATGGTACAAAGATGCCTGCGACATGATTCCTGTTCTCTCGAGCTTTTCTTGTTGGAGCTGAAGCTGGGAATTGAAATTTGACTTGATCTGCCTGTAACCCTATAGGAATCATACTCTTGGCAGCTAGTAAATGGTCTGATGTGAAACCTGCAGTTTTTCATAAGATAAATCAATCTTATGAGGCGGCACTAGTGGGCAGGACGGAGCCAAAGGATTTTCCACAGGAACTCAAATGCTTAAGGGCCCCAAGGTATCAATATTTAAGGAGTGCCTGCCTTTCACGCATAGTGGTCTAGGGAGACAAGCCTATGCTATGGGCCATGCTGGAGCTTCTTTGCTCAAAAGTGACATAACTTTTTTTTTTTTTTTTTTTGGGAAAAGGTCTCGCTCTGTCACCCAGGCTGCAGCGGTGTGATTATGGCTCACTGCATCTTTGATCTCCTGGGCTCAAGTGACCCTCCTACCTCAGCCTCCTGAGGAGTTGGGACCACAGGTGTGTGCCACTGTGCCTGGCTAAAATTTTGCCCAGGCTGGTCTTGAACTCCTGGGCTCAGGGGATCCTCCCCCTTCGGCCTCCCAAAGGGCTGTGATTACAGGTGTGAGCCACTGGGCCCAGCCCAAAAGTAACACAACGTATTAAATAACTAAGAGTTGGGTAGAGAATCACAGCAGTCAGCAAAGACCCCACACTGCTTCCAAAAATGCAAAAGTTCAAGACAGGCACATTTGGGGCAGGAGGGCAGCTGGCACAAATTGGGAAACCAAGCAACTTTTGAAATGAAATTCTTTAGTCTTTCATGTCAGTAAAGGGCTGCTTTAGATAGTTACTGCTTTTAAATACAGGGCACATATATTATCATTCATGGCGAGATTATCTGAACATAAGGACAATAAGTAATCCATTAGTTAAAAATCTTTATTAAAAAAAAAAAACTCCAAAACTGTTTAAAGAAAACCAAGACAACCGGCAAAGCTTTGAAGTTGTATACAGTCATGCACTGCATGAGACAGCGGTCCCATAAGATGACAACACTGTATTTTGACTTAGCTTTTCTATGTTTAGATATACAGATACCTACTTGTGTTACACTTGCTACCGTGTTCAGCACTGTCACGTGCTGTACAGGTTTGCAGCCCAGGAGCAATAGGCTATGCCACAGAGCCTAGGTGTGTAGCAGTAGGCTGTACCATCTGGGTTTGAGGGCACTCTAGGTGTTCGATGAAATCGACTGATGATGCATTTCTCAGAAAGAATGTCCCCATGATTGAGTGATGTAGGACTGTACTTTAAAAAATCCTTCCAAAAAGGGCCTATGATTTAGCTACTCAAATGTAGCTGATGAACACTTTATAGATGAATCAAAAATACCTTTCAAGCTGCATATGAAAAGAAACCACACAGCTAAAAAGGCTAGTATGCATTTATCCCTTCAAGATAAATTGACAGATACAGATTTTTTAAACTAAAAATAATTTGACAACCAAAAAAATGGATGCCCAGGGGCTACGGTTGGTGCAAACTTTACGGTTTCTTGGAAAAACGTCTTGCTCTGAAGGCTTCAGGCTCTCTGAATTCTGAGGTCACATGAACGGCACTGGGGGTCTCCCTATATCTCTTTAACCGCCCCGTCAGTGTCTCTCCTGGAAGTGCATCAATCTATGCCCTGAGCTCCGACGTAGAGGGTCCCACATTTTCTATGACCTGTGGTAACAGGGTGCCTTGTACTGTCATTGGGAGGCTCGGCTTCAGGGTATCCTCCTTTGTCTTTCTGCGATGTGCCTGACCTCAGGGAAGTCAAGAGACCCCGAGCCAAACCCAGTGGGAGTCTGTGGTGACCAAGGGCACACAGATCCTTTTCTTGGGTACATCCTCTGAAAGCACGTTACTGAAGTGAGTGTAGGTTATGCCCTTTAAAGCAATACCATGTCAATGCACAAGAGAACCATACTGGTGTGATTTTTATAACTACTACCAAAAAGGGTGGCTGTGTGTATACTTGAGAATCTTCAATCCCCAAATAACACGGAACATGTGCTGTGAGCGTACAGGACCTCTGCAGAGGGATGCTCCTGCCTGGGAGAGGCATGAGCAGGGTCATGGGGAGTCTGGGAGGAGAGGGCAGAGCGCTGGGCTGCCCCCGTGGGTGTGCTCCTCCTCCTGCCCTCCAGCCACAGGCTGGACCGTGTTAATGCTGCCTGCATGGGCAGTGCATCGGCCACGGCCTGGGCAGTATCAGGACGCTGGCTCGCCTGCAATCCCAGCTCTGCGGGTGACAAAGGCGCTGTCTGGCCCCTTCTGCTTGACTCTTGCTTCATTTCTCAGTTCATTCAGAACTCACTTCCGGGAAATGCAGGGACAGGGGGTCTTATTTGTTGCATCTCCTCAAAAACTCCAAAAGGAAAATACATTTTAATTGTAAATGAGATTTACATTCAATTTTCAGCAACTTGACTTCTGAATAAAAGCAAGACAGAATTATATCACTGAATTTAAAATGCCATACATATTTACGCGTTCGCGGGTTAGGAATAAATAGTAACTTCTCAGGCTTGAAAGCAAGTCATGAAAAGCACAGAGCTGACGAGGTGGGATGGGGTGGAGGGTGGGTTTTTATTCACATGACTGAGGGCGGAGGGCAGATGCCAAGTGAGTGCATGAAGGGGCTCAGCTGTAAAGACCAAAGCAGCAGAGGCAAAAAGACTTCAATGTTTTAGGAAAATAATCAAGCAAAACACTCATCTAATGAACATTTGTTTTGAGACAGCATCTTACTTGGTCACTCAGGCTGGAGTGCATGGCTATCACAGCTCATGGCAGCCTTGGACTTCTGGGCTCAAGGGATCCTCCTGTCTCAGCATCCTGAGTAGCTGGGACTGCAGGCGGGAGCCACTGTGCCCAATTGAACATTTTAATAAAGTATACGCGTGTTTAAGAGAAATGTGAAAGACATATCTTTTGGTTAAAGCTTGGTGTCATATAAAAACAGTTAGACACACACTCTTTCAGCACAGGAGCCCAACTGTAAAAGCAAAAAAAGCTGCACTCACAATCTCTGCACAGAAACTTGATGAGAATGTGCAGCCCAGCGTGTGATCAGGGAGTATGGTTAGACAGTTACGGGGCCTCATTTCTCTTCCTTCTCCTCCACATTTGCACATCTTCTTAAGGGAGTGTGGGTGAATGTTATAAGGGAAAGAGGGTCAACATATTTTCTTTAAAAATATAAACAGAAAGAGATGCCTGACACTGCATGCTGACATCCTTGGTCCTGATGTCCGAGTGATAGTAAAATCTGAGGCTCTGAATGAAAGGAGCCCCTGTACCCTCCTCAGGGACCCGAGGCTGCCTCCCAGCCCAAGCCCCGCCCCGTCCAGTCCTCACCTAGGTGACCGCCACCCACTGACAGTTGGCGCGTGGATCATGAGCTCCCGGGCACTGAAGCCGTCTTCGTGTCCAGATGAGCTGACGACTACAAATCCAATCTTGTGGGGCATTCTGCACGTTTGGGCTGTTTATAAGAGCAGGAAAAACTTCTTTAAAACAAAGGAATTCACTAACACATGGACATTTAAAGGGTTGGTTCATGCCTTGCTAACACACACAATAATGCACTAAGTATTCAGAATTTTCCCATCTCTTTGAAAAGAGTCTATTTTTTTTTGTTAAACACTTTTATAGATGCTTCTGGTTCTGCTTAAGATATCATTTAAGTTATCTTGACTTTTCCCAAATATGTGTCCAAAAAGTTTGACCAGTGCTGTGGATTGTGCTCCCCAAAAGGATACGCTGAAGTTCCACGTGTGGTACCCGTGAAGGAGACCTCATTTGAAAATAGGGTCTCTGTGGGTGTGATCTAGTTAAAATGAGGTCCTCGGGGTGGGCCCAATGCAACGTGACTTCTAAGAAGGGAAGAGACACAGCCACACAAAGGGAGAGCGCCATGTGGTGACAGAGGCAGAGACCGGAGCAACGCATCTCTAAGCGGGCCGGCCAAGGACGGCTGAGGATGGCCAGCAGGCGCCCAAGGTTAGGAAGAAGCCAGGAGGGATCCTGCCCTACAGCCTCCAGAGCGAGAGTGCAGCCCTGTCCATGCAGCCATCTGACTTCTGCCTGCAGAATGAATTTCTGGTGTTTTAAGCCATCTAGTTTATGATATTTTGCTATGTCTAGAATATAAACACAAACTTCTTTCTATTAGTTAGGAAACTAATACAACCAGTATGTTAATTAGTTATACAATACCAAGGGGAAAAAGGCAACGTAAGCGCTAGCATTAACAACTGCTAAATGAATGTGTATGACCAGAAGGAAGAGCAGGAATGACAGGCAGGCATATTAAGTACAAAAAGGTTCATGCAGAGTTAGGTTGAGGGACTGACTCACAGGACATTGAGCCCAATTTGCTCAGGGACTCTGGGTTACTTTTCAGTTACTAAGCCAGTCAGATTCCTCCTAAGTAAGCCAATTTGGGTTAGGTCTAAATCATCGGGGGAAAAAAAAAAAGGCTCCTCACTAAACCAGGATAAAGAAGACTCCATCAGAAAGTTCTCTGGGATAAGATATACTATTAATTGAAATTCCCAATAGGAGGTAACATATAAACATACCCCCACATAAAACTGTACGTATTTTGACATGCTTGATGCATGATCTAGATCTTTCTTTTACTTTCATTGAGAATTCGAAGAGGACCACTTCAATATATTAATTATTGGCTGGCATTATTGCTAATGTTTCTTGGAATGTATGAACAAAAGCACTAAAATAGAATGATAAACCATCGAGATTCTAGTTATTTTTTGCACAAAGTTCACTGCAAGATGTTACTGTATATTAAACAAAAACAAAACTAAACCAACTCAGAAAATAATTTTTAAAAAGCCCCCCAGAACAGGATGAGGCTGGGTGTGGTGGTTCCTGCCTATAATCTCAGCACTTTGGGAGACCGAGGTGGAAGGATCACTTGAGCCCAGGAGTTCGAGACCAGCCTGGGTAAGAGAGTGAGACCCCGTTTCTAAAAAACCAAACAAAAAAAGAATTTTGAAAGGATGAGTGTGATTTAACCCACTGTTAGCTGCACGGCCCCACCTGCACTCTGGGCAACCTATGCCAGAAACGCACAGCCCATGGCTCCCACTCCTTCGTGACCTGGCACTTCTGGGTCGCATGGGCTCTGAGCCTAGAGGTACTTTTCCCTTGGCCACAGCATCTCTCTTCACCCACTCCCCATCCAACAGTGTGCCAGGTCTTATCAGGCCTGCCCTTCCTTCTGATCCCACTGTCTTTTCTAGACAGCAACCACCTGGTGTCCCCACCTGAAGCGCCTCCCTCAGACAAGTCCTAAGTTCCTATTGTGTGAACGTGCCTCAGGCCCAGCTCCAGTCATCTCCATCCATGTCCTAACTCCAGAGCTCTTGGTGGGCTCCCCATCTAGGGATCAATGCGCCAACTCTCCCCTGACCCTCACTTCTTGTCCTGAATTCTGAAGTCCAGCCAAACAATCAAAGCTCAAAGTTAATACCCTTCAGCTCTGAAGCCCTCCAATCCTTTCATCAGCTTTTTTTCCTTTTTTGAGACAAGAGTCTCAATCTATCACCCAGGCTGGAGTGCAGTGGCGTGATCTGGGCTCATTGTAACCTCTGTCTCCCTGGTTCATGTGATTCTTGTGGTTCAGCCTCTCAAGTAGCTGGGATTACAGGCATGCACCACCATGCCTGGCTAATTTTTTTTTTTTTTTTTTTTTGGTATTTTAGTAGAGACGGGGTTTTGCCATGTTGGCCAGGCTGGTCTCGAACTCCTGGCCAATCTGCCCGCCTTGGCCTCCCAAAGTGCTGGGATTACAGGCATAAGCCACCATGCCAGGCCCCTTTCATCATCTTTCAGGGCAGGGCTTGTCACTCCCTATTCCACCTTGAAAATACCTCTTGTGCCCAGGCTGTTGGGTTCCAGTCTCCAAATTTTTTTTTTTTTTTTTTTGAGAGAGGGTCTCACTCTGTCACCCAGGCTGGAGTGCAGTGGCGTGATCGCGGCTCACTGCGACCTCTGCCTCCTGGGTTCAAGTGATTCTCCCGCCTCAGCCTCCCAAGTAGCTAGTATTACAGGTGCGCACCACCACACCCAGCTAATTTTTGTATTTTTAGTAGAGATGGGGTTTCACCATGTTGGCCAGGCTGGTCTCGAACTCCTGACCTTAGGTGATCCACCCGCCTCAGCCTCCCAAAGTGTTGGGATTACAGGCGTGGCCAATAAGCCCAGCCCCGATTTTTTTTTTTTTTTTTTTTTTAATACAGGTTCTCGCTCTGTTGCCCAGGCTGTACTGCTGCAGTGGCGTGATCATAGCTCACTGTAACCATGAACTCTCGGGCTCAAATGATCCTCTTGTCTCAGCCTCCTGAGCAGCTAGGACTACAGGCACATGCCACCATGCACAGCTACTTTTTTTTTTTTTTTTTGTAGGGATGGGGTTTCACTGTGTTGTCTAGGCTGGTCTTGAACTCCTCCCACCTTAGTGTCCCAAAGTGTTGGGATTACAGGCGTGAGCCGCCGAGCCTGGCTAGTCTCTGAACCTAACCAACACTCTCTGTTACGGCTCGAAGACATAAATATAGGACCTTTTCAGTCAAACAGAAGGGTGTTTCCAGTATGCTATACTGCCCCCAACAAATCTAAAACAAAGTACTGGCATTTAAGAACCAGCTAAGAGAAATGCACAGGGACTGTGGAGGCAATGCTATTACCTCAGTCTGGTATTTGAAAAGGATTCCTTTTTTAGTCTACCCCCTCCCAAAGACCTTCCAGTTGTACCCTAGGGTCCCCTCTGTGTAAACCTTCAAGTGTTACATAAGATACTTGGAATGTCACTGAAGGATGCCACTTTTAGGCTCTATAAAAATCACCATTAACAATTTGGGAAGAAGCAAAGCTCTGTTGAACATCCAGTTATTGGCTGGTCTTCCTCACCAGAGGCATGAGGGATCCCTGTTGTCCCAGGGGCAGCCATCGACATCCCGACAAATGCCAGAGTACATCTCTCCCCAGGCAGCGATGACTCCATGGCGGTCTCATCCCTCACTACACTTTTCCTAGTGCTGGCATGGTAAAAGGCAATTAACTATAAATTAAACGGAAACTCAGTGTAGCAACTTCCATTTTGTTACAAGACTAGGAAACAAAACTTGTCTCTGATTTTCTTTTTAAGAAGACTTTTAAGTGTGACTGCGCGCGGTGGCTCATGCCTGTAATCCCAGCACTTCGGGAGGCCGAGGAGGGCGTATTACTTGAGGTCAGGAGTTCGAGACCAGCCTGGCCAACATGGTGAAACCCCGTCTCTACTAAAAATAAAAAAATTAGTCGGGCTACTCGGGAGGCTGAGGCAGGAGAATCGCTTGAACCCGGGAGGCGGAGGCTGCAGTGAGCTGAGATCGTGCCATTGCACTCCAGCCTGGGCGACAGAGCGAGACCGTCTCAAAGGCTTATGGGTTTCTGATCAAGTCATCTTAGCGACTGAAAGGGCTTCAGAGAAATCTGAACTTAAGTGCAAACAAAACAAAACAAACTCCAAAACAAAAAACAACCAACCATCAGACTTTAATCTCTATAGGGACAGAGCAATTTTCCTCAAACTTTTGCTCAGCAGAACACATCTGAAACTGGCCCCCTATGTGCTACGCATCCAGAAGAGGAAAAGCCGGATCTGAAAACAATATTCCACGCTAAATGGGCCGTCCCGGCCGGGGCAGGCGGTCCCAGCACCCGTGCTGAGCTCCCCGGCATACGGCACGACGGGGCCGCGCCGGCTCTTCGGCGACAGCAAGGCCGGCATCTAACTCCACACCGTCCGCGCTTGCACCGCGCACCCAGGCTTCGTACCCAGCTCCCAGGTGGGGACCGCGCCCCCGCGGCGCCCGCGCCCCGCGCCCCGCGCCCCGCTCCCCACTCCGGCCCTGGGCCGGCGCCGCAGCGGCCCGGAAGGTACCTGCTTAGAGGGAAGGGCCCCGACTGGCGCTGCCGCGGCCCCGGTGGAGAGGGCGGCTGGGTCGGAGCGGTGCCGCGGCCCGGGGAGGCGGCCAGGCGGCGCCTCAGCACCCGGACCCCAGGGGCGTGCGGGACCCGGCTCTCGTGGACTTCCTCGGCAGCCGCCGCTTCCTCAGACGGAACTCGGGGGGCGCCCCTTCCGCCGCCCCAGGCCGCCTTGCACCCCAAGCTGCTGCGGCAGTGACAGGGAAGAAGCAGACCCGGCCACCTCTGCCCATAGCCCCGGCCGCAGCCTCCACTCTCATGACAACCAAGCCCAGCCCTGGGCCAGGGCCTCTGCGCGTGCGCGACCCCGCCCCACCCCAGGCCGCGCCTGCGCACAAGGGGAGGGCTCCGCTACTCTGGCCCTCAGGGTTGTGTAGTTTCCGGGGCCACGGCACCTGGGCACACCAGGTGGCGTCGCGCCTTTGCTTTCCTGAGCCTTCTGAGTAAGGTAATGTGGTGTCCGTGGGGCGACGCCTGCGCACAAGACCGCGTCGGGCCTCACTTTTCCCAGGCCTTCTGGGTAATGTAGTTTCCGGGATCGGCACCCGGCCTGTGCCAGCTTGCAGAGCTCACCAGGTGCAGACCCCTGCGGCCAGGGCGAGGACGGATCTGAGCAGCTGGGCAGCAGGTGCCACCGCCTGTGGGACCCAGAGGGCTTGAGGACATCTGCAATGCTCCAGAAGCCCAAGAGCGTGAAGCTGCGGGCCCTGCGCAGCCCGAGGAAGTTCGGCGTGGCTGGCCGGAGCTGCCAGGAGGTGCTGCGCAAGGGCTGTCTCCGCTTCCAGGTGCCCGCTGGGCTAGGCGGGGACGGCCCGTCGGGGAGGCGTGTGGGGAGAATAGGAGGTGCCGCTTTTCCTCTTCCAAAACGGAGGGTGCAGGCGGCGCCCGGGGCGGGTAGTTTTCGTTCGCCTCAGCCGCTAGGACCCCGGGCCCCCGCAGCCTGGGGTTCCTGAGCGTGGCTTCAGAACGCAGGGGGGTTGGGGGACGACCTGGATCACCCCTTCCCTCTTCCCACCTCTCGGGCAGGACAGCCCTGCATCAGAGCTAGGAGACCCGGGTAGAGTGCCAGGTACTGGCACGCGGGGTCACGGCTGCTCTGCCTGTCCGGCCTCAGCTTCCCCTTGAGTAACATGAAAGGCTTGGCTAGGTGGGCTCTGCAGGCCCCTTCCAGCCCTCGCAGCTGGGGATTGCAATCGTCACCTTATTCTAGGTTGGTTTTCTTTTTAGACCAGTACTAGGGTTACCAGGTGTGCATTGCCGGGGTCGGTGCGGGTGGGGTGGGAGTAGCCATAAAATGCCTAAAACTGACCAGTGCAGAGTAACAGGGAACCGGACTCCAACAAATTAACAGTGCCACGTGCCGGTCACACTTGTGCACAGAGGCAACCAACCGTTCTCCTTCGTGTGCCAGCACCGCTCTGGCGGCTGTGTGCTGGGGATGGTGGTGTTCAGCTCCTGGCAGCAGGGAGGCGGCGCTGTCAAAGACAGGCTCTATTTGAAGCGCCCTCAGGAGCTCATTTAAAAAGGGTGAATCCTGCAGAGCCAGCAGTCACCCCCTGATGTATGTTTTTCCTGACTCTTCGTATTTTAGAACGGCCCGCAGTCAGGCGCCCTTGCTCCCGCTCCCTCATCCTTGCCTGGGCGTTGGAGCGACTGTGGCATACAGGCGGCAGCCTGAGCCTGCTTCTTTAAGCACAGCTCATTCCGGTCGTTTGTGAGGCCTGCAGATGCAAAGCCCTCGTCTTGAGACCCTTCCTCCTCCTGTTGCTTCTCCCGTCCCTGCAGCTCCCTGAGCGCGGTTCCCGGCTGTGCCTGTACGAGGATGGCACGGAGCTGACGGAAGATTACTTCCCCAGTGTTCCCGACAACGCCGAGCTGGTGCTGCTCACCTTGGGCCAGGCCTGGCAGGGCTGTGAGTGGCAAGGACTTTGGAGGTGGGCGGGAAGCTGGCACTCTCCGAGGTCCTGGGGGCTTAGCTCCAGGTGCCCATCAGGGTGGGGAAGAGTCCCCCTTACTGTGAACTCTCGGGTCTCAAGGAGGAAGCCCTCTGGAGGCAGAACTGGTCAGCGTCGCTTAGGTGGCAGAGTCCTCAGTCCTCTCGTTCATGAACCCAGCTGTTCAATTGGTCGTCTTTTTCTTCAAAAAATCTTTTAATTTTATTTGCGTTCATTTGAGGTGTCCTAGCAATTCCCAAGAGCAGAGGGAGGGCTTTGGGGTTGGGGCCTGCACAGTTTCATGGGGAAGGTGGAGCCAGGAAGAGATGCTGTTCTGTTCTGCTGGGCTGAGCACCCTTCTGGAAGGACGAGGTGGTGGTTCGTGGGATGCTCTCACATTGTTCTCGGTTGGTGTTTGCTAAGATGCTGTCCTCAGGGCTCAAGTTTGGGGGCAATTGCTTTGAGAGGTGGTTCTTTCGGGGCATCTGTATTGAAGCCTCAGGACACAAAGTCCTGCCTTTCAGAACCAGCCGAATGCCAAGGTCTGCGCTTGTTTGACTCCCGTAAAAGAGAGCTTTTGGCCACTGGGGCAGGAGATGCCATCATGTGCCTTTACCTGGGAGGGTCGGCCAGTGTTGTGCAAATGGGGTCAGGCTCCAGGAGATGCTTCTGGCAGCCCAGGAAGGACATGGGTGCTCTGAGGGATGGAGCTGTGGCTCCTTGGCCTAAGGGGCAAAAAGAGAGAAGTCGAAGAGTAACATCCATGTGGCCACCTCCCCGGCTACAGTGTTGGGGGCTCCACTGTCAGCATTGAGGGGTGACGCCTCTGGTGTGTGCTCCAAGGTTGCAAACCCCCTTTCTCCACTGGGCCTTGTGCTTTTAGAGGAGGCAGCTGGAAAATGTATCACTGTGATGCCCCCTGGGGTGGCCCCTGCAGGAGGTGGGGGCTGGGCAGGGGTATGCTCAGGGTATGCCTCACCTTTGGATGTTATCTTTCTTTCCCATTTCAGGGCATAGTTGAAAGACAGCAGAGCACGTTGCTCTCTCTCTGTCTCTCCCTGCATCTCGCAGTCTCTGTCTCTCTCCTCTGTCTCTGTCTCTGGCTCTCTCTGTCTGTCTCTGTCTCTCTCTCTCTCTGTCCTTCCTTTCTCTGGCGCTTTATCCTCCTCTCTTCGCTGAGACCGCTAGTCCTCCTCCTTGTTAGACTTAAAAAAAATTTTTTTTCTTTTCTTTTATGAAAACATTGAGATGGGGTCTCCCTCTGTTGCACAGGCTGGCCTCAAACTCCTGGGCTCAAGAAGTCCTCCTACTTTGGCTTCCCAAAGTGCTGGGATTACAGGCATGAGCCACTGTGCCTGGCCAAAATATTTTTGTTTTATTTATATTTTGAAACTTTGTTGCCCAGGCTGGAGTGCAGTGGCACAAACCTTGCTCACTGTAGCCTCGACCTCCGTGTTTCAAGTGATCCCGTTGCCTCAGCCTCCCAAGTATCTGGGACCACAGGCATGCATTACCACGTCTGGCTAATTGTTTTGTATTTTTTGTAGAGATAGGGTTTCGCCATGTTTCCCAGGATAGTCTCACACTCCTGGGCTCAAGCTGTCCTCCTGCCTTGGTCTCCTAAAGTGCTGGGATTACAGGTATGAGCCACTGTGCCTGGCCTAAACCGTTTATTTAGAAATAATGACAGATTCCCAGGAAGTTGCACAGATAGGAAGGTCCAATGTACCTCTACCCTTTCCCTCAAAGGCAACATCAGATACAACCGTGGTACAATATAAAACAGGAACACCGACACTAGTGCAATGTGCATGTTGTTCTGTCATTTCTCCCCATGTAGATTCCTGTGACCAGCATCAGGGTCAAGGTACAGCCCTCTCCCATCCATCACTCAAGGTTCTCCCCTTTATAATCCTGCCTACCCCTGCCCACCAGCAATCCCTAGCCCGTAGCAACTGCTGATATGTTCTCCATGTCTATAATTTTGTCATTTAAAGAATATTAGGGGCCAGGTGCGGTGGCTTACACCTGTAATCCCAGCACTTTGGGAGGCCGAGGTGGGTGGATCACCTGAGATCAGGAGTTCAAGACCAGCCTGGGCAACATGGTGAAACCCCGTCTCTACTAAAAATACAAAAATTAGCTGGGCATGGTGGCGGGCGCTTGTAATCTCGCTACTCAGGAGGCTGAGGCAGGAGAATCGCTTGAGCCCAGCAGGTGGAGGTTGCAGTGAGCTGAGATTGTGCCATTGCACTCTAGCCTGGGTGACAGGCTGAGACTCCATCTCAAAAAAAAAAAAAAAAAGAATATTAGGTAAGTGGAATCATAAAGTATGTGACCTTTTGAGATGAGCCTTTTTCACTCCACATAAGGCTCCCGAGATGCATGTAAGTTGTGTGTATCCATAGTCCGTTCCTTTTCATTGCTGAGTAGCATTCCATGGTTTGGTTTTACCACAGTTTGTTCAACCATTCGCCTGTGGAAAGATATTTTGTTTGTTTCCAGTTTTTGACTATTACAAATGAAGCTGCTCTGGCCAATTATGTACAAGTTTTTCTTTTTTCTTTCTTGTTTTCTTTTGAGACAGGGTCTCACCCTGTCGCCCAGGCTGGAGTGCAGTGGTGCAATCATAGCTCACTCTAGCTTTCACTTCCTGGGCTCAAGCGATCCTCCTACCTCCGCCCCTGAGTAGCTGGGACTACAGGGGTGCACCACCATGCCTGGCTAATTTTTGTATTTTCTGTAGAAACAGGGCTTCATCATGTTGCCCAGGGTGGCCTATAACTCCTAGGCTCAAGCAATCTACCCGCCTTGGCCTCCCAAAGTGTTGGGATTACAGGCGTGAGCCACCGCACCTGGCCATCTTGACAGGTTTTTGCGAGATGTAGGTTTTCATGCCTCTGGGGAGAATGCCCAGGAGTACAGTGCTGCGTTGTGTGGTGTGTGTTTAGTTTCTGAAGACAAGGATGTCCACTCTTGCTGCTTCTGTTTAACATGGTACTGCAGGGTCTAGCCAGGACATTTAGGCAAGAAAAATAAAAAGCATCCAGATTGGAAAGGAAGAAGTGAAGCTATTTCTATTTGCAGATCATATGAACTTGTATGTAGAAAACCCTAAGGAATCCACTAAAAAGTGATTAGAACTAATCATCAAGTTTAGCAAGGTTGAAGGATATAAGATCATATGCAAATATAGAAATACACTTCCAACGAACAATCTGAAAATGAAGCAGAAAATCATCCCATTTACACTGGCATCAAAAAGAATAAAATACTTAGGATAAGTGTAACAAAAAATTGTAATACTTATATTCTGAAAACTGCAAAATGTTGTTGAAAGAAATTAAAGTTTTGAATAAATGGATTAACATCCCATGTTCATGGATTGGAAAACTTAACATTGTTAAGATGGTGGGACTCCCCAAACTGACCTACAAATTCAACACAATCCCTATGAAAATTCCAGCTGGTTTCATTGTAGAAATTGACATGCTGATTCTAATCCACAGTTCATATGGAATTGCAAGAGACCCAGAATAGCCAAAACGACTGTGAAAAAGAAGATAGTAGGAGGACCCACATATTCTGATTTCAAAACTTAGTACAAAGCCACAGTAATCAAGACTGACACTGGTACAAGGACAGATATATAGATCAATGGAATAGAACAGAGCACCCAGAAATCTATGTATCTGTGGTCAGGATGCCAGGACCATTCAACGGAGGGGGAAGAGTAGTATCTTCAACAGATAGTGCTGGGACAACTGTATATTCACATACAAAAGAATGAAGTTGGACTCTTAGCTGGTACCTTATACAAAAAGTACAATAAATGAAAGACCTAAATGTAAAAGTTAAAAATATAAAGCCCTTAGAAGAAAACATAGCGATAAGTCCTCATCGCCTTGGATTTGGCAAAAGATTCTTAGATTTGACACCAAAAACATGAGCAGCAGAAGAAAAAACAGATAAATTGGGCTTCATCAACATTAAGAACTCTGGCCCGGGCACGGTGGCTCAAGCCTGTAATCCCAGCACTTTGGGAGGCCGAGACGGGCAGATCACTTGAGGTCAGGAGTTGAGACAAGCCTGGCCAACATGGTGAAACCCCGTCTCTACTAAAAATACAAAAATTAGCCGGGCGTGGTGGCAGGCGCCTGTAATTCCAGCTACTCAGGAGGCTGAGGCAGGAGAATTGCTTGAACCGGGGAGGTGGAGGCTGCAGTGAACGACAGCCCACAGAATAGGACAAAATAGTTGCCAATCATGTATCTAATACGGGACTTGCATCAGAATATATAAAGAATCCTTATAACTTAATAGTAAAAAGATAACCCAATTAAACATGGGCAAAGGTTCTGAAAAGAAAGAAATGTCTCCAAGGAAGATATTCAAGTGGTCGTAAGCACAGGAAAAGGTGCTTGAGATCATCAGTCGTCAGGGAACTGCAAATCAAAACCACAGTGAGATGCTACTTCACACCCACTAGGATAACAACCAGTGTGGGCGAGGATGCAGAGCGGCTGGAACCCTCAGGCCCCATTGATGGGAAGGGAAAACGGTGCAGCTGCTGTGGAAAATAGTCTGGCAGTTTCTCAACAATTACACAGAATCGCCATGTGACCCAGCAGCTCCACTCCTAGGTATGTACCCAAGAGAAATGAAAACACGTCCACACCAAAACTCGTCCGTGAGCGTTTACAGTAGCTTTATTCATAATAGCCAAAAGGTAGAAACCACCTAAGTCTCCAATGATGAACACTTGGATCAATAGAGTGTGGCACATCCATACAATGGAAGTACTCACCATGAAGAGGAATGAAACACAGCATGGCCGAGCCTTGAAACCATGCCAAGTCAAGAAGCCTGCACATACAGTAGGGTTCCATTCATAGGAAATACCCAGAACGGGGATGTTAGAGAGATGGAAAATAGATTAGTGGTTGTTTAGGGTTGGGGGTAGGGTAGAGGGGAGGGAGGTTGGTAGCTAAAGAGTATGAGGTTTCTTTTTGAGGTGGTGAAAATGTTCTGAAATT
The DNA here is from genome assembly GCF_000001405.40 of Homo sapiens. Taxonomy (NCBI): domain Eukaryota; kingdom Metazoa; phylum Chordata; class Mammalia; order Primates; family Hominidae; genus Homo; species Homo sapiens. Next base: position 3,863,903 of record NC_000001.11, read on the forward strand.
GACTGTGGATGTGGCTGCACAACTCTGGGAATATAATAAAACCCATTGTATTGTACACTTTATTTATTTTATTTATTTTTTTTGAGATGAAGTCTTGCTCTCTCCCCAGGCTGGAGTACAGTGGCGCGATCTCGGCTCACTGCAACCTCTGCCTCCTGGGTTCAAGCGATTCTCTTGCCTCAGCCTCCCGAGTAGCTGGGGTTACAGGCATGCACCACTGCGCCCAGCTAATTTTTGTATTTTTAGTAGAGACAGGGTTTCACCATGTTGGCCAGGATGGTCGCGATCTCCTGACCTTGTGATCTGCCTGCCTCGGCCTCCGAAAGTGCTGGGATTACAGGCGTGAGCCACCGCGCCCGGCCTCTGAATTGTACACTTTAAATGGGTGAATTATAAGGAGTGTGAATTATATTTCAATAAAGCTACTTAAAATAAAGAAAAGAAACTGCCAAGTTGTGTGCTAGAGTGGCCGTCTTACCTTTCCACTGCGCAGTTTCTGTGCAGCCTCGCCAGCTTTCGGCGCTGTTGCTGTTTTTAATTTTAGCCATTCTGATTGCAGTGTGGTGATGTCTCGTTGTGCCCTTAATATGCATTTCCCTAATGGCTAACAATGCTGACTATCTGAATATCTTTTATAAAAACAGAGACAGGGTCTCACTCTGTTGCCCACGTTGGAGTGCAGTGGCAATCATGGCTCACTGCAACCCTGAACTCCTGGGCTCAAGCGATCCTCCTACCTCAGCCTCCCAAGTAACTGGGACTACAGGTGTGCACCCCCATGTGCCGCTAATTATTATGATTTTTTTTAGAGATGGGGGTCTTGCTTTTTTTTTTAGAGATGGGGTCTTGGTTGCCAGGTTGGTCTCAAACTCCTGCCCTTAAGTGATTCTCCCACCTCGGTCTCTGAAAGTGCTGGGATTACAGGCGTGAGCCACCGCGCCCAGCCCTAAATATCTTCTTATGTGCTTATTTGCCATCTGTAGATTCTCCTTGGTGAAGTGTTTCTTCCTGTCTCTTGTCCTTTTTCTAATTGGCTTATTTATCTATTTTTTTACTGTTGAGTTTTGAAAGTCACGCCTCACCCCACAAACAAAATACCTGGACATGAGTTCTTTGTCAGACATGTGGTTTGCAAATATTTACCCTGTGGCTTTTCATTCTCTTAAGAGCATTTTTTTTTTTGCGGAGTAAGAGTTTTTAGTTTTGAGGAAGCTCAGTGTGTTGATTTTCTCTTTTACGCAGTGCTTTTGATGTTAGGTCTAAGGACTTCCACCAAGTCCTCACTCCCCAGCATGTCCTCCTGTCTTCTTCTGACCCACTGATGTGATCGTGAGGCTTTTCTCATATGGTGGATCGCACTGATCGATTTGCAGGTGTGAACCAGCCTTGCGTTCCCACTTGGCCGTGGTGATATTTCTTTGTGCATGTTACTGAGTTCTCTTTGCTAACATTTTGTTAAGGTCCTGGGTAGACTTTGCTTTAACTTCCTATTAAGAGCCTGCCCGGAGAGCTCGCTGCTTTAGGGAGTTGTGAAAAGGCTCCAGGAGAGAGTAGGAAAAGTGATCGGAAGGATCTGAAAGCAAGGTCTCCAGGAAGGGCCAAAGTGGGGGGCGTATGGTTTGGAGGGGAGGAGGCCAAATGGGAAAGCGGCCGTCTCTTGGTGCGCTTTCATCTGTCCTCTAAAGCACACCCTGCCCCTCCCTCCTCTGTCCTCATGCCGCCCTTGTGCGTGGTCCCCAGCTGTTGGTGTCAGGGCAAGGACAAAGACCCGGGACACCTCAAGTCTGAGTCCTGGTGATTGCCAGGCCCTGGGGAATGGGGGAAGATGTGGTCAGAGGCTCTTCTTGTGACCGGGGCAGGATGTGTCTTCTGCTGGACCGGCACCTTTTGTTTGTCCCATTGGTGGCAGATGTGAGCGACATCAGGCGCTTCCTCAGTGCATTTCACGAGCCACAGGTGGGGCTCATCCAGGCCGCCCAGCAGCTGCTGTGTGATGAGCAGGCCCCACAGAGGCAGAGGCTGCTGGCTGACCTCCTGCACAACGTCAGCCAGAACATCGCGGCCGAGACCCGGGCTGAGGACCCGCCGTGGTTTGAAGGTGCGTGGGGGCTGCAGCTGGCAGGGGAGAGGCTTCTTTGGAGCCTGAGGTGCCAGAAGAAGTTGGATTCCAAAAAGCCCCCAGTGAAGGGCTGGCCTGTACCCTCGTGGGTTGAGGTGGGGGACTTGGAAGAAAATGTGCTCATTTCCCAGCATTTCCCAGCCTCGTGGGAAAGGTACCCAGCAAGGACTCAGGTGGGGCCAGAGTCCAGGGCAGCCCTCGGATGGGACTTTTTATATTTTTATAGATATGTTTTGAGATGGAGTCTTGCTCTGTCCCCCAGGCTGGAGTGCAGTGGCGTGATCTTGGCTCACCGCAACCTCTGCCTCCCTGCACCCTCTGCCTCCCAGGTTAAAGCGATTCTCCTGCCTCAGCCTCCCGAGTAGCTGGGATTACAGGCAAGTGCAACCACGCCCTGCCAATTTTTGTATTTTTAGTAGAGATGAGGTTTCGCCATGTTGGCCAGGCTGGTCTCAAACTTCTGATCTCAGCCTCCCAAAGTGCTAGGATTACAGGCGGGAGCCACCCCGCCTGGCCTATTATAATTATTTTAAAAATTGTGCTAAAGTACATATGACATAAAATTTACCTTCTCAATCATTTTTTTAGTGCACAGGTCATCGGCATTAGGTACAGTCACATTGTATGCGGCCATCCCCACCGTCATCTCCGGAACTCCTTCCACCTTGCAAAGCTGAACCCGTGTCCCTGTTACATCACTCCCCCTTCCCCCTCCGCCAGCCCCTGGCCACCACCATTCCGGTTTCTGTCTCTCTGATTTGATGACTCTAGGGACCTCATATGAATGCAGTCACATAGTATTTGTCCTTGTGTAACTGGCTTATTGCACTCAGCACAGTGTCCTCAAGGTTCATCCATATCGTAGCGTATATCAAAAGTTCTTTCTTTTTTTGAGACAGAGTCTTGCTCTGTTGCCCAGGCTGGAGTGCAGTGGCGCGATCTTGGCTCACTGCAAGCTCCACCTCCCGGGTTCACGCCATTCTCCAGCCTCAGCCTCCCGAGTAGCTGGGATTACAGGTGCCTGCCACCACGCCTGGCTAATTTTTTTGTATTTTCAGTAGAGACGGAGTTTCACTGTGTTAGCCAGGACGGTCTCAATCTCCTGACCTCGTGATCCGCCCGCCTCGGCCTCCCAAAGTGCTGGGATCACAGGCGTGAGCCACCACGTTCAGCCAATTTCCTTCTTTTTAAGGCCAAATGACAGTCCACTGCGTGTACATACCACGCCATCTATTCACTCCACTGCGTGTACATACCCCACTCTGTCCATTCACTCCACTGCGTGTACATGCCACGCTCCGTCTGTTCACTCCGCTGCGTGTAGATACCACACTGTCTATTCACTGACACTTGGGTTGCTTCCACCTTTTGGCCTGGCCTTGTAAGCCCATCAGAGGCGATGCTGAGAGATTGTAGCCTTTTTGGGAAAGGAGGGCTTGAGGGCCAGGCAGAAGCTCCTTGGTGGTATTTGAGATGCTTCTAACAACAAAAACCAAACAGGGATGCTGTCTGTGTCGCCATTAGAATACTTCTCAAGATGATGCAATCTGGCCAGGTGTCGTTGCTCACACCTATAATCCTAGCACTTTGGGAGGCCGAGGCTGGAAGACAGCTTGAGCCCTGGAGTTCAAGATCAGCCTAGGTAACAAAGTGAGACCTCATCTCTAAAAACATTTAAAAAGTGAGCCAGGTGTGGTAGTGCGTCCCTGTAGTCTTAGCCACTTGGAAGTCTGAGGCAGGAGGATTCCCTGAGCCCAGGAGGTTAAGGCTGTAGTAAGCTGTGTTCGTGCCACTGTACTCCAGCCTGGAGGACAGAGCAAGACCCTGTCAAAAAGATGAAGCAGTATGACCCTCATATTCTGCCCTGCTTGGCACCTGGGCTGGGCAGGACACAGACCCAGAGGCCCCTGGCCTGCCCTGTGGACTTGGGGGTCTTCTCGTTTTCCTTGCAGGCTTGGAGTCCCGATTTCAGAGCAAGTCTGGCTATCTGAGATACAGCTGTGAGAGCCGGATCCGGAGTTACCTGAGGGAGGTGAGCCTGAGTGAAGACCGGGTATGCTGGGCGGGTTTTTGAAGCCAGGCTCTGTGGGCTCTGGAAGCCTGTGGTCCTCACGATGGGTAGTTGGTAGGACCACACTCCGTGCTTGCGTGGATCTGGTGGGGCTGCTCTGGTGAGGGAAGCTAGCGCACGGACCCTGTGCCTCCTCCCTTCATGGGGGTGAACACCCATCGGGCCTTTTCAGCTGCACTTGAGGTCACGGGTTGGGGAGCGGGGAGGTGGTGGCTCCTGCCTGCCTCCCCTCCTCTCCTCCTCTCCCCCCGAGGCTTCTTCCTGGGCAGCAGTGGCAAGCGTCACGGCAGACACAGAGCCTGAGCTGTCATTTGCCCAACTGTGACCAAGGTCAGCAGGTGCTACAGGGATCTGAGGCCCTTCCCATGAGCCCATCCTTGGTCTGCAAACCTCTCCACCGCTCCCTCCTCCCTCCCAAAGGTGGAGTCAGCTCTGCCCTCATTTCCATCCACCCCATCGAATGTGGATTTCCTCATCACATAGCATGACATGCCACGCTACACCATACCACACCATACCAGACCACACCACACCAGGCCACACCACACCAAGCCACACCACACCAGGCCACACCACACCACACCACGCCACACCACACCAGGCCACACCACACCAGGCCACACCACGTCATTCCACACCATGCCACACCGCATCATTAGCACATGGAGGGTGCTGTGGAGGCCCCTGCAATGGGTGTCCTGTCCTAGTGCTGCCCTGCGTGGTCGGCCCCCACGCCCTCGGCCCACTCCTCTCTGTGGCACAATTGCTAATGCTGCACTGCACCCCGTTTTTCTGCATCTCTTCGAGGTCCTGGCGACTTGCCATGTTCCCTTGCATTTCCCAGCCTGCTCCCTGTAGTGGAGCTAACTGATCCTGATACTCTTCCCTGCAAGTGCAATGACCAGGCCCTTCCACGCACCACTGCCTGCCTGACCAGGGTGGGATGGCCGTGCCTGCCTGACTTTATTAGCTCATCTTCTTTTTTGAGACGGAGTCTCACTCTGTTGCTCAGGCTGGAGTACAGTGGTGCAATCTCAGCTCACTGCAACCTCTGCCTTCCAGGTTCAAGTAATCCTCCTGCCTCAGCCTCCCAAGTAGCTGGGATTACAGGCATGTACCACCATGCCCAGCTAATTTTTTGTATTTCTAGTAGAAATGGGGTTTCACCATGTTGGTCAGGCTGGTCTCAAACTCCTGACCTCAAGTGATCCGCCCACCTCGGCCTCCCAGAGTGCTGGGATTACAGACGTGAGCCACCACACCCAGCCTGTTATCTCATCTAAGTCTCACCCAGCCTGGGGGCTGGTGTGGTTCCCTCCATTTCACAGGTCAGAGTCTCCCAGGGTGGGACAGCCCAGCAGTGGCCGAGAGGCCACGTGAACTCAGACCCTCTGACCACAGGACTGGGCTTGGGCAGGGTCTCAGAGGGCCATGGAGTGAGATGGATCGAGAGCCAGTGCGGGTTTTGGGGCGCTGTGCACCAGGCTCACCGACGTTCCTTGGTTCCTCCAGGTGAGCTCCTACCCCTCCACGGTGGGTGCGGAGGCTCAGGAGGAATTCCTGCGGGTCCTCGGCTCCATGTGCCAGAGGCTCCGGTCCATGCAGTACAATGGCAGCTACTTCGACAGAGGAGCCAAGGGCGGCAGCCGCCTCTGCACACCGGAAGGCTGGTTCTCCTGCCAGGTGAGCTGTGTGCCCTTTATCCTGGGGCCACCCGGCTGGCCTGTGGAACACAGCCCGCCTGGGGCGAGGCGGGTGGGGACCTTCAGCCCTTGCCCTGCCTGGGCAAAGCCTTGTGAAGAGGTACAGCCCTCACATTCCCAGGGAGGGCGGCAGTGTCTCAGCCAGTGCCTCTCAAGCTGCAGTGCACACAGGAATCCCTGGGGAGCTTGCAGAGGGCTGCAGGGCCCGCCCCAGGGCTTGTCTCGGTAGTGCTGGGCGGTGTCTTAGTCAGCCCCGGCTGCCATAACAGATGACCCCTGCTGGGGAGGCTGGAACGGCAGCTGGTTACTGCTCATAGTTCTGGAGGCTGGAAGCTGAGATCAGGTCCGCACTCCCCCGCTGCCTTCCCAGGTGTCCCTGCTGCACCGTGCTAGGCGTGGTCTGGCCTTTAGTGGTGATGCATCTGTGTCTCTGGCGAGTCCTGGGCACACCCCTCCCCCTCCCATGGTGTGGGGAGCAACTTGAGGCGCCTCTTGGCGTTTGCACACTGCAGTTGCATTCCCGGTAAGGTCCACTGATGCCCGTGATCTTCCGAGTGCCACTCAGTGGGTCCAGCAGCAGGGGCCAGGTGGTGGGCATGGCCTGCGGTGCTTCTTCCCATGGGACAGGGCTCCTTGCTGCTCCTGCCAGGCAGATCCTTCTGGGGTGATGGGCTCTGGCCATAAAAACGCTTCTTCCAAGTTAGCTTAACATTTAGACTTTGCAGTGCGCTCGCTCACCACTCAGTGAGTACTTACTTTGTGCCTGGCACTGTGGGAGGGGTTGGGACACAAAAATGAAAAATCCTTCATCCCTGATGGCAGGGTGAGTCCTGCACAATGGAAGGTGAAAGACACATAAATGAGCGAGACAGAGGAGGCCAAGGGGCTGCAGGAGCCGCAGCCAGCATCCTGGGAGCCAGGGCCAGTCAGAAGCGGCCCCAGGGAGGGGGTGGGGCCTTAGAGCAGGTTGACTGATAGGTGGGGGTGCAAGAGTGAGCTGGGAGGGACCAGGTGCTCCGGGCATGGCAGTGGGAAGCAGTGGGCTCTGCTGGGGAGGCTGTGAGTCCCCAGGGTGATGGGGGCACAGAGTGCAAGTAGGCACTGGGGCTCCCGGCACGTGCTCTGCAGATGTCTGTTCACGAATGAGTGTGTTGAGTGCTGGGCTGCGGACCACAGGGAAGACGGAAGCTGTGGCCATGGCACCTTCAGTGAGGCAGCCCTGCCTCTGCATTGGGATCACAGGGAAACATCAGGAAGCCGCGGGCAATGGCTGGAAAGGGAGCCTCTGGGACATGGGTCCTTGCTTCTCACGCGCTGGTCCTGCCCTGGCAAGTCAGTACCTTCCTGGCCTCACTTCCCATGAGGTGGGGGTGCTGGTGTGTGATCACACGGGTAACAGTGACAATAACTACCTTGTCCTCTTTGGGAACTCAGAACATATTGTTAGGGGTAATGAGGGAAAAAGAAGGATCTGATTCCAAAGGCAGAGCTTTTTTTTTGTTTGTTTGTTTGAGACGAGTCTCGCTCTGTCACCAAGCTGGAATGCAGTGGTGCGATCTCGGCTCACTGCAACCTCTGCCTCCCAGGTTCAAGTGATTCTCCTGCCTCAGCCTCCCAAGTAGCTGGGATTACAGGCGCCCGCCACCATGCCCGGCTAATTTTTGTGTTTTTAGTAGAGATGGGGTTTCACCATATTGGCCAGGCTGGTCTGGAACTCCTGACCTCAGGTGATCCACCCACATTGGCCTCCCAAAATGCTGGGATTCCAGGCATGAGTCACCACCGTGCCCGGCCAAGGCAGAACTCTGAATCTCCCTAAAGCAGTATACCCTGGAGCAGGGACCAGCCCCCACGGGGTGCGTCTCTCAGTAAGATCACCTGACTTGGTGTATTAGGCCATTCTCGCATTGCTATAAAGAAATAGAGAGTGGGTAATTTATAAAGAAAAGAGGTGCAATTGGCTTACGGTTCAGCAGGCTGTACAGGAAGCATGGCGCTGGCATCTGCTCAGCTGCCGGGGAGGCCTCAGGAAACTCACACTTGTGGTGGAAGGGGAGGCAGGAGCAGGCACATCTCACGTGCGGGGAGCAGGAACGAGAGAGAGATTGAGGGGAGGGTGCTACTTTTAAGCCAGATCTCAGGAGGACTCACACTGGCGTGGGCAGCACCCAGGCGATGGTGCTAGACCCTTCATGAGAAATCCACCCCCAGGATCCATCACCTCCCACCAGGCCCCGCCTCCCACACTAGTGCTGACATTTCAACATGAGCTCTGGGTGGGGCTGCACGTCCAAAGCATGTCACTCGGTGACTGAGACTGTATGAGACTCACTTCTGGCCGGGCGCGGTGGCTCAACGCCTGTAATCCCAGCACTTTGGGAGGCCAAGGCGGGCGGATCACGAGGTCAAGAGATCGAGACCATCCTGGCCAACAAGGTGAAACCCTGTCTCTACTGAAAATACAAAAATTAGCCGGGCCTGATGGCGGGCACCTGTAGTCCCAGCTACTCGGGAGGCTGAGGCAGGAGAATCGCTTCAACACGGGAGGCGGAGGTTGTAGTAAGCCGAGATCGGGCCACTGCACTCCAGCCTGGCGACAGAGCGAGGCGCTGTCTCAAGAAAAAAAAAAAAAGAGACTCACTTTCTGGCCTTCCCTCATTGTCTTTTGGCCCCCAGGGTCCCTTTGACATGGACAGCTGCTTATCAAGACACTCCATCAACCCCTACAGTAACAGGGAGAGCAGGATCCTCTTCAGCACCTGGAACCTGGATCACATGTAAGCTCACAGAGCGAGGTTCAGACCCACGAGTGCCTGCAGGGCCCTGTCCCTGCCGTGGCCCTGTCCCTGCCATGGCCCTGTCCCTGCCACGGCCCTGTCCCTGCCACGGTGTTGCCTCCTTGGGTTTCAAGGGCTGCACCCGTGTTACAGCCCAGGGAAGGGGTACCTGATGGCAGCATAGGGGGCTGCTGAGTGGGCACACACCATTCCCTCCACTGTCAGCATGTGTACCTGACCCGGAGCCAGCCCTCCTGTCCCCTCCAGTCCTCCCTGTGGATGGAGCTGGTGGGCAGCGTCCTTCCCCAGAACACAGGTCCCAGCCCTTGGCTGTCAGAGGTTCTGAACCTCTGTGAGTTTGAACCAGGGTGAGCTCAGACAGCGGGAGCTCCTGGTGTTATGATAGGTAAGGGTGTTTTTCCCTTTTTCTTTTTCTTTTAGAGATGGAGTCTTGCTCTGTGGCCCAGGCTAAAGTGCAGTGGCAGGATCATGGCTCACTGAAGCCCTGAACTCCTGGCCTCAAGCAATCCTCCTGCCTCAGCCTCCTGAGTCGCTGGGACTACAGGTGCTCGCCACCATGCCTGGCTGGCTTATTTTGTGGAACCAGCATGAGCAGAAGTCTCAGCAGGCAGGAGTGTTTCACAGCCGTACGAGCTCTATGGCTCTAACAAATGGGCAGGATGGAAAACTTCATTCTTTTAAACTGAGATGCATTCCTTGAATATAATTGTAGCCTTGCCCTTGCTTTTTGAAGACAGAAGCCTTCAAATGCCCTTAAAATGGCTGTACAGGATGAGCATCCCTAATCTGAAAACCTGAAATCCGAAGTGCTCCAAAATTCAAAACGTTTTGCGACCAACATGACGCTCAGAGGAGATGCTCATCCGGGCATTTAGGATTTGGGATTTTTTTTTTTTTTTTTCTGAGATGGAGTTTTGCTCTTGTTGCCCAGGCTGGAGTGCAATGATGTGATCTCGGCTCACCGCAACCTCCGCCTCCCGGGTTCAAGCGATTCTCCTACTTTAGCTTCCCCAGTAGCTGGGATTACAGGCACGTGGCACCACGTCCAGCTAATTTTGTATTTTTAGTAGAGACGGGATTTCTCCATGTTGGTCAGGCTGGTCTTGAACTCCTGACCTCAGGTGATCCGCCCGCCTCAGTCTCCCAAAGTTCTGGGGTTACAGGTGTGAGCCACTGCATCCGGCCAGATGTGGGATTTTTTTAAGGATGCTCAGCTAGTCAGTATAATGTAAATATTCCAAAATCCTAAAAAAATCCCAAATCCAAAACACTTCTGGTCCCCAGCATTTCAGATGGGGACATTCAACCTGTATTGCTTTCGGAGTGAGATTTTTTTTTAAAGTATGTAAAACACTATGGTCATAGTTGAGCTTTTACCCTGTCCATACTCAGCCTCTACACCTTGCCCCGAGGGAAAACACTTGTGAAAGGTGTGTGTGCCCTTCAGAGCCCTCTCACTGCACCTTTACCACAAGCGTGTGAGTTTATCATGTACATACATGGTGGCCCACGCTGTCATCTGCAGAGCCGTGTAGCTGCACCTTTACCACACGCGTGTGAGTTTAACATGCACGTACGTGGCCTCCCACGCTGTGGTCTGCAGAGCCGTGTAGCTACACCTTTACCACACGCATGTGAGTTTAACATGTACATATGTGGCCTCCCATGCTGTGGTCTGCAGAGCCGTGTAGCTGCACCTTTACCACACGCGTGTGGGTTTAACATGCACATACGTGGTGGCCCACGCTGTGGTCTGCAGAGCCGTGTAGCTGCACCTTTACCACACGCGTGTGGGTTTAACATGCACATACGTGGCCTCCCACGCTGTGGTCTGCAGAGCCGTGTAGCTGCACCTTTACCACACGCGTGTGGGTTTAACATGCACATACGTGGTGGCCCACGCTGTGGTCTGCAGAGCCGTGTAGCTGCACCTTTACCACACGCGTGTGGGTTTAACATGCACATACGTGGCCTCCCACGCTGTGGTCTGCAGAGCCGTGTAGCTGCACCTTTACCACACGCGTGTGGGTTTAACATGCACATACGTGGCCTCCCACGCTGTGGTCTGCAGAGCCGTGTAGCTGCACCTTTACCACACGCGTGTGAGTTTAACATGCACATATGTGGCCTCCCATGCTGTGGTCTGCAGAGCCGTGTAGCCGCACCTTTACCACACGCATGTGAATTTAACGTCTACATACGTGGCCTCCCATGCTGTGGTCTGCAGAGCCGTGTAGCTGCACCTTTACCACATGCGTGTGGGTTTAACGTGCACATACGTGGCCTCCCATGCTGTGGTCTGCAGAGCCGTGTAGCTGCACCTTTACCACACGTGTGTGGGTTTAACGTGTACATACGTGGCGGCCCACGTTGTCGTCTGCAGAGCCGTGTAGCTGCACCTTTACCACACGCGTGTGGGTTTAACATGTACATATGTGGCGGCCCACGCTGTCGTGTGCAGTGTACCTGTTCATTGCATGCTGTGCTTAGATTCGGCATATTCATTTCAGCAGGTGCAGAACACTTCACTTTTTGAATAGGCTCTAATTTTAACATCTTTCCATACTGGGAGGCATTTAGGTTATTTCTAATTTCTCATCATTATAAAAATCCCTGGGATGAACACTCTATGGAATGAACCCATATGGTCTGGTTCCGTGCTATTTAAAGTGTGGTTACTTTCAAGCATTAGCAACATCTGGGAGCTGGGAATTCAGATTCTCAGGCCCCATCCAGACATAACCCAGGTGCCTGGGGATTGGGGTGTGCGTCCCAGCATGGACAAGATGCCCCAGTGTCTGAGCTTGAGTCCCTCTAGTGAGTGTGCTGGGTCCTAATGACACCTCTGTTCCCTCTCTGAGCCTGGCCAGGCTGCTCTCGAGTGTCCCAGCCTACACACTCGCCATCCGTGTGAGTTCATGCTTTCCCGGGTTCTTGCTGACACTTGGTGTCATTGTACTTTTTTGCATTTTCCCAACCCGATAGGTGAGACACAGATTCTCTTTCTCTAATTTTCATTTTCCTGATGACTAGGAAGGTTGAGCTTCTCTTTCCACGTCTGTGGCCGCTTGTGTCTTCTGTGTTTCTTTCCTTTGCTCGTTCTCTCTTGGGCTATGGTCTTATTTGTGGGCATGCTTTACACATTCTGGATACGTTAATCCTATGATATCTTTTATCACAAGTTTTATTTATTTATTTTTTGAGATGGAGTCTCACTCTGTCGCCCAGGCTGGAGTGCAGTGGTGTGATTTCGGCTCACTGCCACCTCCACCTCCTAGATTCAAGCGATTCTTCTGCCTCAGCTTCCCGAGTAGCTGGGACTACAGGTATGCACCACCACACCCGGCTAATTTTTGTGTTTTTTTAGTAGAGATGGGGTTTTGCCATGTTGGCCAGGCTGGTCTCAAACTCTGACCTCAGGTGATCTGCCCACCTTGGCTTTCCAAAGTGCTGAGATTATAGGCATGAGCCACTGTGCCTGGCCCACAACAAGTTTTCAGTGTTAATGTGCTCAGATGTTCCCTTTGTATGTTAAGAAATCCTGCCCTACCCTGTCTATCCGAAAGAGATTCTCCTACTCTTTTCTCTGCTGTTTGCTGGACCCCTTGCCACATGCAACAAGTACCCAAAAATGTTTTCTCCCCGCCATCCAAATGCTCTTGTCCTTTTCAAGACCATTGCAGGTGGGGACATCAATCTAGGGGACACAATCAGCATTTACAGAATGAAATAGGCCATCCTAGAACAGAGTACAGATGAAAATAGCAGAAGGGACAGCGTGAGTCAGAGGAATGTTTCACCAAGTGTTTGCTGCGGTTATATTTTCTCTCACGCTTCCTAAATATGTATACTCACACACAGATAAGTGTGTTGGGTTTTAATTAAAAATGTAGTTTTCAGCACCGGTCTTCGGAAAGTTGCAGAGACAGTGGTCTGTTTGCCACAGGCCTGTCCTGACGTTTGTGGGGGTTGACACCACGTGCCACATGTTTAATTATTTAAGAATTAAAAGCTAATGAACAATGAAATAAAATGCATGCTGTCCCCCTACCTGGACTTACGTAGCATCATGGCTGGGAAGGTTCGAGAAGAATTTGCAGGTCTTCCCCAGTTCCGGGATGTGCACAGCAGTGGAGCCTAAACATGGCCTGCCACCTGCTGCCTGCACCTTCTCTTCCCACCCTTAGTGCCACCTCACACCAGGGGCCTGCACAGAGAGCGTCCAGGCTTGGAACACCTTCCCTCTCGGGCTGAAGGGCGCGGGCCCTGGGGCTCAGCCTGTCCGAGGAAGACGGCCTGGCCCAGAGCCCATGCGGTTCAGGGGCCCCTGGGCGGAAGGTGGCACGAGGAGCGTCCGTGTGGGCTCTGGGTGGACCTGACTCCTCAGCCCAGAAGAATCCTGCCTCCCGTGGGAGGGCTGTGGCGGGTGGGGCCTGGAAAGCTCCCCTTTCCTGGAGCCCTGGGGACGTTTCTTTTAACACCATAGCGGGGTCCTCATGGCCTGTGTGAGCCCTGCCGCTGGGGAACTTTCCTTTCTGTCTCATCACAGCTGTCTTTGGCCGTCTTTGGCCCTTTACTTCACTTTATTAACGTTTGCTTTTTTGTAAAATTTATTCCTACCTTCTACCTTTGTGGGTTTCTTCTTGCTTATTCATTTGTTCGTGTCTCTTTTGTATCTAATCTATACTTAAGGTAGTTCCTCCTAGGCTGCATGAGTTGTGTCTTGGGAGTTCAGTTTTTTTTTTTTTTTTTTTGAGGCAGAGTCTCACTCTGTACTCAGGCTGGAGTGCAGTGGCATGATCTCGACTCACTGCAACCTCTGCCTCCCAGGTTCAAGCGGTTTTTCATGCCTCAGCCTCCCAAGTAGCTGGGATTACAGGTGCGTGCCACCCCGCCTGGCTAATTTTTGTACTTTTGGTAGAGACGGGGTTTCACCATGTTGGCCGAGCTGGTCTCGAACTTCTGACCTCAAGTAATCCACCCGCCTCAGCCTCCCAAAGTGCTGGGATCACAGGTGTGAGCCACCGCGCCTGGCTGGAGTTGTTTTGAGACTGAATGATTTACATTATGATTTTGTTTTTGATCCATGGATTTTACAGAAGTCTTTTTAGTTTCCGAGCATGTTTTCGTGTTTGTGTTCAGTGTCTTGTGTTCCTGCCTGCCTTTCGTTGTGGTCTGTTTCCTTGTAACTGGTCAGCGTTTGTAGATGTTCATAACACTCAGCACCTCAGTTCCACTGTGCCGGCTTTCTATTCTGTGCCGGCTTTCTATTCTGTGCCGGCTTTCTCTCGGTCCTGTGGCGTTTCCACCCCTTTCCTTTGGCCTTTATGTGCCATTAGGTTTGGGCTTATCTCTTGTTAGCCAAGGGTAACAGCCTTTCGTCTTCATCTAACCTGAGATTCTGTCATTCAGCCAGCCGCAGCTTGAACCTCCTGCTGCAGGTGTTGTGACAGCTGCTGTCTCCTAGAATGTGACTCTGTGGGGTCCCTCGCTCTCAGCTGTGTCCCCAGTGTGTGGGACGTGGGACAGAGTTTGGCCATGATGGCTACTCAGTGAATATCTTTTTTTTTTTTTTTGAGACGGAGTCTTGCTGTGTCGCCCGGGCTGGAGTCCAGTGGCGCAATCTCCTCTGACTGCAACCTCCGCCTCCTGGGTTCAAGTGATTCTTGTGCCTCAGCCTCCAGAGTAGCTGGGATTACAGGCACCTGCCACCATGCCTGGCTAATTTTTGTATTTTTAATAGAGACAGGGTTTCACTATGTTGGCCAGCCTGGTCTCAAGCTCCTGACCTCAAGTGATCTGCCCACCTCAGCCTCCCAAAGCGCTGGGGTTACAGGCGTGAGCCACCACGCTGAGCCCACTCAGTGAACCTCTGTTGACCGTTTTGTTGAGTGAATACAGATTGGATTTTAGCTGCTTTACTCTGGGTTTGTACCCACCATGCCGCATCTTCACTTTCTTCTGGTCTCTTGTGTGCCTTCTGTTGACTTACTTGAGTTTCCTTCTTTCCCTTGCCCATCACCCCACCCTTTTGTGGTTTGGCGTTCATGGTGTCCCTAATGTTAGTGATACTGGAAGACGGCACTGCTGCTGTCCCCTCTCCCGGGCCGGCCTCGCTGTGACCCTCTGCGGTATTCTTTAGTGTTCGTGTCTCACCTTATTTTAATCCTGCACAAAATGCTGGTGTGGTTTTATGGCCAACACTTCCATTTATTTATCAACAGATTCACCCGTGTCTGTGTTTGCCAGTGCTTCTTGCATCTCATCTCTGGGTTCAATTTCTGATTACTGATGTGTAGCCCTTAGTGTTTCTTCCACGAGTGGCTGTGAGGGGTAAACTCTACTCAGCATTTGAAAAGGTCCGTTCAACTTCCACTCTTGAGTAATTATTTAGTTAGTACTGAATTCTAGGATGACAGATACCTACCTTCAGTACTTTGAAGAATAACTCCATTGTCTTCTGGAATCTGTGAGAAATCTGTTGGCAGCCTAATTTTCTGCCTTTTTAATGGTAGTTTTAGATTTTTCTCCTCCTCTTGGAAAATGATAAGTATCTAGGTAGAGCTCTTTCTTTTGGATTCTGCCTGGGACTTGTATTCCTTGTGCTGAGGACACACTTTTCTTTGGTTTTGGAAAATGCTTCTGCGTTGATGAGGTGTGGCTTCTCTTTGATTCTGCCTGTGCGGTTTTCCGGGAGCGCCTGTTAGCTGTGTGTTGGACCTTCTCATTCTGCTCTCCTCATGCTGTGCCTGCGTCTGGGCTGCTGTCTCACTGGGACTTTCTGCTGTGGACTCCATCATGTTCCCCAAGATTCGTATGTTGAAACCCTAATCCCCAGTGTGACTGCATCAGGCGATAAGGTCTTTGGGAGATAATGAAGGTCATGAGGGTGGGGCCCTAATCCACTAGGACTGGTGTCCTTAGAAAATGGGAAAGGAGCTCACTCTCCCTCTGTCTCTGCCACGTGGGGACACAGCAAGAAGGCAGCCATCTACCAGCCAGGAGGAGAGCCCTTACTAGCACCCGGCGTGCGGGCACCTGTTCTTCCAGCCTCCAGGACTGTGAGAGAGTAAATACTCAGTCTGTGGTATTTTCCTCTGGCAGCTGGAGCACACTAAGACACTCCTGTATTGTTCAGGAATTCTCTCTTCAGCTGTTCATATGTTCATTCTGTCCGCTGAGTACATGCTTCCTTTTTTGGGTTCCTAAAGAGCCCAAAAGAAGTGCTTTTGGGTTCTTCATAAAACGAGCCTTTTTTATGCCAGTCTGGTTTCATTATTTCCATTTCTTTTTAATCACTTTAATCATTAATCATCCATTTTAAGCATATTTGTTTTACAGTCACATGCTAAAGCATTCAACCTTGCCCACAGGTCTGGCATTCGTTCTTGAGCCCTGGGAGGTAAACGCCAATGCCTTCAAATGTCCTGCCTGGTAGGAGTGTCTTTGTTCACCTGGGGGCCTTGGGTCACTGGATAGTTTAATGGCGTGATTTAGGATGGGGTCTTTGGTTCAGCTTGACCTCTAGAGGGTTTGAGGTGGAGGTTGGCCCCATGGGCCATCAGCCATGTCTGTGTGAGCCCCAGTAAAGGCTGGCACCCAGGCCTGGTGAGCTTCCTGGTTGGCAGTGTCGTCACAGAGGGCTGTGGAAGTTAGTGCTTGGGGAAGGTAGGGCTGGCCATGACCCCACAGGGAGGGGACAGCTGGAAGCTCTGGGATTGGAACCTTCCTGGACCGCCCCCTCTGTGCCTCTTAACCTTGGCTGATTTTCATCTGCAGCTATAAGAAACGATAACCTTGAGTCCAACGGCTCACTGGGGGATCTGCGAGTCCTTTCAGAGAGTTATGGAGTCTGAGGTGGTCTCAGGGACCCCTCCCTGCTGTAGTTGGTGTCAGGAGTGAGGGTCCTTGTGGACTGTGCTGGGCTCCTGAAGGGCCTGTCACGTGGGCAGCCCTCTGCCGCTGCTGGGTCTGCCTCTCCTGCTGGTGGAGCCTTCTGCTGCTGTGTGTTTGGGCCTGGAGCTCGCTTCAGTGGGAAGTGCTTCCCGTAGGCCTCCTCTGTGCTCCAGTGTGTCACGGTGCCTTCAGTGTGGCTCTGGTGGAGCCTTCTGCTGCTGTGTGTTTGGGCCCGGAGCTCGCTTGGGCCTGGAGCTCGCTTGGGCCTGGAGCTTGCTTTAGTGGGAAGTGTTTCCTGTAGGCCTCCTCTGTGCTCCGGTGTGTCACGGTGCCCCTTCAGCATGGCTCTTCGTGGGTTCGGATTTGATTCCTGCGGATGCCCAGGGTTTCCCTGTGACTTGGAAGCAACTTCCTGCCATTTCTTGCTTGTGGTTCCCTGCCTTGTTGGTCGTGTACTTTGGGCCGTACACCCTGCGTTCTGCGGATGACTGTGAAGGTGGGGACAGGAACACACTCCCGATGTCCACACCCTGTGTGCTCCCCTGCCTTCTCTCCCCACGCTGAATTCAGGCTTGTCCACGTGACACCAGTGAAGGCAACACTGAGCTAACAGAGGCCTGCTTGTGTGGGGGACTTGTCCCCTCTGAACACTGCCATGGCCATGTGAGGGAGCCTGTCCTGGCTCCTTCAGGATGGGGGAGGACAGGGGAGAAGGGCCCAGCCCTAGGCCACCCTCCATCAGACACAGCCCCGGTGTGCACCAGGCAACACCAGCAGAAGGCCCCCCAGGCCAACCCCCGGAAGCCACTGCATTTTGTGGTGGCTGCTTCTGCAGCATTAGATAACGGGCTCAGTGGGTTTCCCTTCCTCTTGCCCAAGCCCCGGGCTCCACTCAAGCTTTTCTATCCCCCTTAATGGCTATGGCAGGGGTCTCGGTCCCACCTCCCTGTCTTTCTAGGGTCCCCTGGGCCTGTATCAGGGACTGGAACCCTGGTAGGCCCCTGGACCATAGCTTGCCTGTGTGCACTAATTTCTCTTTGGTTTCTGGCAGCTGGGGAGCCCCTTTCTTTTGATCTCAACTAAGTATTTTAACAAGGTGACTTTTGGCTGGGTGTGGTGGCTCATGCCTATAATCTCAGCACTGTGGGAGGCCAAGGTCAGGAGTTCAAGGCCAGCCTGGCCAACACGGTGAAACCCCATCTACTAAAAATACAAAATACAAATACAAAAATTAGCTGGGTGTGGTGGCGCACGCCTGTAATCCCAGCTACTCAGGAGGCTGAGGCAGGAGAATGACTTGAACCCAGGAGGCGGACATTACCGTGAGCTGAGATCGTGCCACTGCACTCCAGCCTGGGTGACAGAGCAAGACTCTGTTTCAAAAAAAAAAAAAAGGCGACTTTTGCTCAGCATTTTGTGGGTTGTAGGGAGAGGGGTCTGCACCAGTTTAGCTCACTCAACACCCACCATAAGCCCTCCTGGCCGTGGGGTCTCTAAACCCCACTTGTTACTGCACAGTCTTCCAAATGGTTTATAAGTGAAACAACATCATGTTGTGTGTGTATGTGTGTGCGTGTGTGTTTGGGACAGTCTCACTCCAACCAGGCTAGAATGCAGTGGTACGATCTTGGCTCACTGCAACCTCCGCCTCCTGGGTTCAAGTGATTTTCGTGCCTCAGCCTCCTGAGTAGTAGCTGGGATTACAGGCGTGCGCCACTATGCCTGGCTAATTTTTTTGTCATTTTTGTAGAGGTGGGGTTTCACCATGTTGGCCAGGCTGGTCTCAAACTCCTGGCCTCAAGTGATCACCCACCTCATCCTCTCAAAGTGTTAGAATTACAGACGTGAGCCACCACGCCTAGCCTCATGTAGTTTTTTGTTTTCTTTTTTTTTTCAGACAGAATCTCACTCTGTTGCCCAGGCTGGAGTGCGGTGGCACAATCTTTCTCTCTGCAACCTCTGCCTCCAGGGTTCAAGCAGTTATCCTGCTTCAGCCTCCTGGGCAGCTGGGATTACAGGCATGCATCACCATGCCCAGCTAATTTTTGTATTTTTAGTAGAGATGAGGTTTCGCCATCTTGGCCAGGCTGGTGTTGAACTCCTGACCTCAGGTGATCCGCACGCCTCAGCCTCCCAAAGTGCTGGGATTACAGGTGTGAGCCACTGCGCCTGGCCTCATTTGTTTCTTAAACAGATACGCATATATGCATATAACGGTATAAGATTAGGATTGGAAAGATCAATAGCAAACCCTTAATAGTGATTACCTCTGAGGGGAAGGAGGGACATAAGATTACAAGTGGTATCAAAAGTGACTTCAGCTTCCTTTGTAAGGCTCTGTTTGTAAAACTTTCATGTTCTATCATGTAATTTTTTGGGGGTAAATGTATACGTAGATGAAACGTGGAGGCAGTTAAGCCAGTTGTTGATGGTGGGTGACTGTAAGTGATGGAAAGGTGGTTGACCCCCTTTATTTTCTGCGTACTTTTCAGTATTCTGAACAGTGACACGAGTCTTTTTTTTTTTTTTTTGAGATGGTGTTTTGCTTTTGTTGCCTAGGCTGGAGTGCGGTGGCGTGATCTTGGCTCACTGCAACCTCCACCTCCAGGGTTCAAGTGATTCTCCTGCCTCAGCCTCCCAAGTAGCTGGGATAACAGGTGCCCACCACCAAGCCCAGCCAATTTTTTGTATTTTTAGTAGAGATGGGGTTTCACTATGTTGGCCAAGCTGGTCTCGAACTCCCAACCTCAAGTGATCCACCCGCCTCGGCCTCCCAAAGTGTTGGGATGACAGGCGTGAGCCGCCGTGCCCGGCCACAAGTCAAGTTTTAAAAAGTAAGAGGAGCCAGGCTGCTTGCATCAGGCTCTGCTCAACAAACCTGGCCAGTAGGTGCGGCCGTGTGTCCGTGATAGCACTTAGGGGAATTTGTGAAGAGCTGTGACTGCAATACACTGCTATGACCTGTTGCCTGTGGCACTGTGACCACAGAAAATGATGTCTCTAACCTTACTTTGCAGAATAGAAAAGAAACGCACCATCATTCCTACACTGGTGGAAGCAATTAAGGAACAAGATGGAAGAGAAGTGGACTGGGAGTATTTTTATGGCCTGCTTTTTACCTCAGAGAACCTAAAACTAGTGCACATTGTCTGCCATAAGAAAACCACCCACAAGCTCAACTGTGACCCAAGCAGAATCTACAAACCCCAGACAAGGTTGAAGCGGAAGCAGCCTGTGCGGAAACGCCAGTGACACGTACACACCACGTCCTGGTCTTTGTTTGAGGCCTGACGTGGGCATCATTTTAACAGGTGCCTTTTTTGTTTTTTTGTTTTTCGTTTTTTTGGTCACTCCAGTAGCTCCTGGAAAAAACCTTAAAAAATGTTTCCTCCAAATCTGATTTCATTACATTTCTGAATTGTTGGGGTTTTTTTTGTTGTTTTGTTTTGTTTTGTAGATGGAGTTTCACTTTTGTTGCCCAGGCTGGAGTGTAGTGGCGCGATCTCGGCTCAGCCTCCCGAGTAGCTGGGATTACAGGCATGTGCCACCACGCCCGGCTAATGTTTGTATTTTTAGTAGAGACGGGGTTTCACCATGTTGGTCAGGCTGGTCTCAAACTCCTGACCTCAGGTGATCCGCCCACCTCAGCCTCCCAAAGTGCTGGGATGACAGGTGTGAGCCACTGCGCCCAGCCTGAATCATTTCTTATACCTTCTGACAGCCCAACTTCCAGAGGACAGCTCTGGGGTACTCGTTGGATGTCTGTGAGTACCTGGTCATACGGGTCAGTAGGGATAAGAATTGTCTCTGGGCTGAGGAATTCTTCTGTTCTCTGGTTTCACCAGCGTTGGGTTTGCTCATGTAATGTGGTCACCATACTCAAATGGTGTCATGGCTGAAGTTGGCCACCTTGCTTGAGGGACAAGTTGTTTATGTATCAGCTCTCTGCTGGGTCTCCCTTTCCATGGCAAATGGGCAGCTCCATCCTCTTGACTCTTCTAAATGCCCAAAAGAGGTGTCATGCTTTGGGGGTACGATGTTTATACTCCGTAAAGAACATACAAGGACATTCACTGCTGATTTTTTTTTTTGTTTGTTTGAGACAGGGTCTCACTCTGTCGCTCAGGCTGGAGTGCAGTGATGCAATCTTGGCTCACTGCAACCTCCGCCTCTCAGGTTCAAGTGGTTCTCCTTCCTCAGCCTCCCAAGTAGCTGGGATTACAGGCACCTACCACCAGGGCCAGCTAATTTTTGTATGTTTAGTAGAAACGGGGTTTCACCATGTTGGCCAGGCTGTTCTCGAACTCCTGACCTCAGGTGATCTGCCCGCCTCGGTCTCCCAAAGTGCTGGGATTACAGGCATGAGCCACTGCACCTGACCTGCTGAATTGTTTATAATGGCAAGAAATAGGAAACCCCCCAATGTCTGTTGAACAGCTATCACGTTGAACCACGTGAAACTGCTGTTTTCTAGGCCAAAAATGGTGAGCGATCATTTATTTCATGATTCAACCTGATACATTTACATAGTGCAAAACTGTGTCACAGTTTCAGGCTTTTATGAGGAAAGCGTTTCTGTGTAGAAACTGGAAGCTGTTCAGGGCATCGGCAGCTGAACCCTGCTCCGTTGGTCAGCGTTACTATCATCTCGGATCATATGGAGCTCATGTCAGCCGTGTGGGTGGCGGGTGCACAGAGACGGTCTGGAAGGAAACACGCGGATCTGAACAGCAGTAATCCTGGGGGATACGGGGGTTGGGCTAGATTACAGAGGGCTCATTTTCTACGTCATGTATTTTATGATACTTGAATTTTTTGAAATGGGCATTTATTTTATAACATGTTAAAATGTACTTTTTAAATTAAGTCATTTTGTAATATTTGAATTTTTACATTTGTTGTACAATCAGGAAAAGCAATAAAGATTTTTCAAAAATAGACATGTCAAGAAAGTTTGCACTCATTGAGGATGCTGAAAATAAGGATAAAAATAAGGAGTCTGTGATATTTTACAAATTGACTTCATTTACAAATTGAGTCATTTTACAAATTGACTTCAATTTTACAAATTGACTACATTTTCTTCACAGAGCTAAAGCAATACCTTAGAATTAACCCAGTCCTGTGTGGGGAATTTCTAGAAGTCCCATCTATGGTACGGTGATGTTTATCTGCTCTGATCAGGGAAGGACAAACAGTGGGAGAGTCAGGGCCTGGGAACCGGGGGGCCTGGTCCCTCTTCTCAGATCCCTCTTGCAGGGTCTGAAGAACTCTCTGGAGCCAGCAGATCCCACCTGTGCAGCAAGGAGCCTGGCCCGGACAGCTGTGAGGCCCTTCCAGCTCCATCGCTCCAGCCTCAGGAGACGAGCTGCTCTGTTTAACAGCCACAGACGTGGGCCTTTTTCAGAGACACATTCTTTTGTTGTCTGTCTGTTTTTTAAGACAGGGTCTTGTTCTGTCATCCAGGCTGGAGTGCAGTGGTGTGATCTCAGCTCACCGCAGCCTTGAACTCCTGGGTTTAAGTGATTCTCCTGCCTCAGCCTCTGCAGTAACTGAGACCCCGGGCATGTGCCACCATGCCTAGCTAATTTATTTTTATGTTTGTAGAGATGGTCTCACTATGTTGTCCAGGTTGGTCTCAAACTCCTGGGCTCAGGCGATCCACCCACCCTGGCCTCCTGAAGTGCTGGGATTACAGGCGTGAGCCCCTGCACCCGGCGCAAGACACATTCTTGAGGGAAGTCCTTCCTTCTCAGCGGTCCAGGCATGCTGTGCCACCTTGCCCTGGACACACAGGGCGGCTATCCCTCTACCACGTGGCTCCACGGTGCTGCCCCACTGCCTACGACTAGGCCTAGAAGGTTTTGTGTCCCTCAGGCTTTCTGCGCCATCCTGCTGCCGTTGGGCCTTGTCCGTGCCCCTCCTCACCCTTCCTGACTTGAGGCTTCATTTCTGCAGGAGTTGAGACACCGGAAACCCAGGCTTGTTGAGCTGTGTGTGAAGCGTGCAAGGCTCTCCTGGCTGTGACATGGTGTTTTGGTTGTTTTTTTCTTGCTTCCGGGCCCTTGGCTGGGCAAGGTGCTGGTGATTGTTACAAAGAGCTATCACCTATCAGGAGTTATGTCACCCAGAGTCTCAGGTTAGAAAAGGTGGCTGAACCTCTGCAACAAAGAAAGAGTGTGTGGTCTGTGCATTCTCACACAAGAGGGAGAAAAGTTCTAGGAGCTAAGAGTGTGGAATTCTGTGATCTGTGGGGCTGAGGGTCACCTGCTGGGAGGTCCTGGCATCAGTAAGAAGCTTCCAAGGGAAGAGCCCAGTAAAGGCCTGCAGACGGCCTCAACCAGCTCAGTGCCAGGCTCCATCCAGACGGCAAAGCTGCAGCAAACACGACCACAAGACATGGCCCTCCTGCAGCTCAGGAGGAAGCGCTGTAGGCAGAGCCACAGTCGGCCTGCGCCAGGGGGTGTGCGTGAGCACAAATACACTCTTTTGTATCTTATCTTTTATTCCCTCATTCGCCCCCCTTTGGTCAGTCCCCCTAGGTCTGTGCAGGCTACAGTCCACATGTAGACTAGGAAGTGTTTCTACCTGGCAGTGCTTGTTAGTGCAGGTTAACCACTGTGAGTGAATAGGGGTGGCCCCAGGAACACACACACTTTCCACTCTGCGTGCTGCGTCTCCTCTGCAGGTGTATCATCATTTGGGACAGTGCACCTCACTGAAGTCTGCTTAGAGGATGGCAAAATTCTCGTCACCACCAGGATAGGTGCTGTCATTTAAAAAAAAAATTTTTTTTTAATTTTTTGAGACGGAGTCTCGCTCTGTCACCCAGGCTGGAGTGCAGTGGCGTGATCTTGGCTCACTACAAGCTCCGCCTCCTGGGTTCACGCCATTCTCCTGCCTCAGCCTCCCGAGTAGCTGGGACTACAGGCACCTGCCACCACGCCCGGTTAATTTTTTTTTTTGTGTTTTTAGTAGAGAGGGGGTTTCACCAGGTTAGCCAGGATGGTCTCGATCTCCTGACCTCATGATCCGCCCGCCTCAGCCTCCCAAAGTGCTGGCATTACAGGCGTGAGCCACCGCGCCCGGCCAGGTGCTGTTATTAATAGTTATTCATGCAGCAATCTGAAGTTGTACTTTATTTATTTATTTATTTTAGAGGCAGAGTCTCGCTCTGTTGCCCAGGCTGGAGTGCAATGGCGTGATCCCAGCTCACTGCAACCTCGGCTTCCTGGGTTCAAGTGATTCCCCTGCCTTAGCCTCCCAGGTAGCTGGGATTATAGGCGCCCACCACCACGCCCGGCTAATTTTTGTATTTTTAGTGGAGACGGGGTTTCACTATGTTGGCCAGGCTGTTCTCGAACTCCTGACCTCAGGTGATCTGCCTGCCTCAGCCTCTGAAAGTGTTGGGATTATAGGCGTGAGCCACTGTGCCCGGCAAAAGTTGTAAATTATTTTCCCTGGCTACCATAAAATGACTTTATAAGCCACATTTCCAAATTATAGTTTGTTGATCAATAAATCACAAAGTTATTCAAAACAGGTGAAAGTCACAGCTCATGAGAAAAGGATCACATTAGAAGTGGAGAATGACACCTTCAGGGAGGGCAGTGTTTGAATAGTAAAGAGCGGAAACACTTCTTACAGGGCACTTCAACTATATTTTGCTTCCAATTTATCTGTTATAGAAAATCCTTCCTGTGCTTCATAGGACATTTTCACAGGGTTAATTCTAGCTGCTCTTGTAATTAAACCAGAAACATATAAAAGCTCAAAACCAGCAAGACTCACTTGTTCCCTCATGAAAAGGCCCAGTCTTCCCACATCGCAGGCAACTTCTCCTTGTCCTTGGTCACCCGGGGACCCCAGCTTGCTCCTGGTTGGTCCACTCAGCTTCTATGTGCAGGTGGCGGCAGGAAGAGGCCATGGAGAGAGCACTCCCAATGGCTTGTCTCCACTGCCCTGGGCGAGAACACACGGTGAGGTGCTCCCTGACGCCGCTGGGGCTGGGGAATGCAGTTCTCGTCAGGCAGCTGCACACGGACCTCTCTATGGCCTGGAGGAGAGCATGGCCTTCGCTGGATGGCTGACCGTCTCCACCACACAGGATAGGAAAGCCCGACACTTCTGCAGCAAAGTGGGAGTGGAAGTACACTCGAGAGAAGGGAAGAGGCCCTGTCCCGGGGGCCTCGGTGGTTAACAGGTCTAAAAGATGGACCCGTGCCGGGCGTAGTGGCTCACGCCTGTCATCCCAGCACTGTGGGAGGCCGAGGCAGGCGGATCACCTGAGGCCAGGAGTTCGAGACCAGCCTGGCCAACATGGTGAAACCCCGTCTCTACTAAAAATACGAAAAATTAGCCAGGCATGGTGGTACATGCCTGTAATCCCAGCTACCTGGGAGGCTGAGCCTGGAGAATCGCTTGAACCCGGGAGGCAGAGGTTGCAGTGAGCCGAGATTGTGCCACTGCACTCCAGCCTGGGCAACAGAGTGAGACTCAGTCTCAGAAAAAAAAAAAAAAAAGATGGACCCAGCCTTATGAGCATTTGGGAGCATGAGACTGAGGCAGGATGTGTTTCCTCTACTCGGCTCCCAGGCATTGAGAAAGGAATCCGGTTTTACGAACATACGACTGCTTTCAAAATATTTTCAAAATATATTTTATTTCTTTCTTACATGTATTTTGCAAAATTTCCAAGGTAAACATTAGCTCCACATACAGAAATAAAAGAGTTCTTTAAGAACTAGCATTGAATTCATCACAAGAATCATCAAATTATGATAATGGAAAACAAACTTGCCTATGACCAAAGCTACTGAGCTGAAGTGAAGAGCTGTCTTTACAAAGATCCCTCTCATTAAGCCCACTGCCCTGCAGCTGACTCAAGCCATCATCATGTATGTACGTGTATAAGAAAGGACACTGGCCGGGCATGGTGGCTCGCGCCTGTAATCCCAGCACTTTGGGAGGCTGAGGCGGGCGTATCACGAGGTCAGGAGTTTGAGACCAGCCTGGCCAACGTGGAGAAACCCCCGTGTCTACTAATAATACAAAAACTAGCTGGGTGTGGTGGTGTATGCCTGTAATCCCAGCTACTCAGGAGGCTGAGGCAGGAGAATCACTTGAACCCAGGAGGTGGAGGTTGCAGTGAGCCGAGATTGCGCCATTGCACTCCAGCCTGGGCGACAAGAGAGAAACTCTGTCTCCAAGGAAAAAAAAAAAAAAAAAAAAAGAAAGGACATTGGCACAGTACAGCAGCTTTGCAACCTCAAAGATGGTTTGAGTTTTAGTTCCCATGAGTACATCCTCCACAGGTATTGGGTGCTTTGCACTATTGACTTAGATGGGTCAGTTCTGAAGTTTGATTAAGACATTCTCTTGGAGATACATTTTATA
This sequence comes from Homo sapiens, assembly GCF_000001405.40. Taxonomy (NCBI): domain Eukaryota; kingdom Metazoa; phylum Chordata; class Mammalia; order Primates; family Hominidae; genus Homo; species Homo sapiens. The sequence goes on from NC_000001.11 coordinate 3,889,886, forward strand.
TAAATCTTGTAATGTGCTAAATTGTCAAATTGTTAATGGTACTAAATACTCAAGGACATTATTTTGTATGGCCCCTACATTTCTGCATCATCGTCGTCGTCATCATCATCATCTTTGGCTCTGAAATGCATTTTTCTGAACTCTCGTCTGCTCATTGAAGGACAAGATGAAGACGCAGGTGGGAGGTCCTTAGTGGAGAAGAAAACATGACTTCAGTCATGAGCAATACATATCTGCACCCGCATTTGCAATGTGCCCCACCCAGCGGCTCTAGGGCTCGCAGAGCGCTCTTCCCTTTTAGACGTGTGAAAATGCCTGAGTCCCAGCACTCGCCTCTAGATGAGAACTTCCTCCCTACTGGGCTGATCGAGTAAAGAGAAGGAAAGGTGCTGGGTTCAAAACAAAAGAAATTAACAGCAAGCGCGGGGTGGATGTTCAAAAAAACCACAAACCTGATTTCATGGAAACACACCTTTCCCGAGAGCAGTGATTCTCAGCTCGGGAGATGCAGGGAGAGCCCCCAATTAGCCAACGGTTTCATTTTCTCCTCGTGGGTTAAAATGATTAGTTTATGTTTAATGTTGTGTCGAGGCATTATTTACCTGCACTGAGTGGGGAGTGTGTGACCTGAATGTGCAGCTGCTGCCTGAGTACCCACGGGAGGAGGAAGGCGCCGCTCTTACCTGCATGAGCTCAACGTTTCCAAAGAACCGGCTCACGGGCATTGGCTGATTGCTGTCGTCATCTAGAAAGACGCTGTTGTCCATCTGAAGTGGTGGCTTCTGCACATCCTCTGTCTGTAGCCCTGGCTCATTCTGCTTCTGCACAGTGGAGCTGCTGTTGGATTCTTCTGCTCCGGACCCGGCACTGTGTTTTGGCACGGACAGGCCATCTCTAGTCTTTGCTAAGCGAGAGTCACTCACAACTCTGCAGCCACCGAGAGGAAGACTTGCAGCCCCCTGCTGCACAGAAACGCCAGCCTCGCTGCCTGGAAGCAAGGCACTGCCTTCAGCAAACTCATTTTCACAAGGGGTCTCAGGTGTCACTTTTGGCAAAGAAGCGCTGTCATTCTTAGGGACAAGCTTCTGTAATTCTGACTTCACAAGATGTCCTTTGTCACATTTGAACTTCTTGGACGTTCGCGTGTCTGTGGCTTTGTGGGATGAGGAAGTCTGTCAAGAAAAAAAATGTAAGGGGAACCAGACATATCTAGCAAATAAAACAGGCCTCAATCCAGAGGCTAGTATTTCTTCTCACATCGGAAATGATAAAGATGCTGTGACCACAACTTTCACAGATCGTCATTTCACTGTTTTGCCACCAAGGGACAAAATACAAGCGAGACTGAATCTAGACACACCCCACACCACTCCTACACTTTCAGTTTTCCCTAGTGGCGTTACAGCTCCACACCACTCCTACACTTTCAGTTTCCCCTAGTGGCGTTACAGCTCCTCAGGTGAATTCTGAAGCATATATTTATATATTATACAATTACAGTAAAAGAATCCAGCTTTCATTCATTTCTGCTAGGGCATAAGCTCTGTGAAGGCAGGGGTCTTTGCTTTATTCACCAATTAGTGCCTGGCACACAGTAGGTGCTCAAGAAATATTTGTGAAATTGACTTCGACAAAATTTTACCAAGCACCTCATCATGAGCAAAGCTCTGTGCTACACGCTGGCATATGGCCAAGTCCTAACCCCTCAACTGTAGGCTCCGTGAAGCGGCTCTACTTCACCGGTAAGTTCAGGAACTCGCTCCTCGGAATCGATGGCTGGGCTAGGGTGAACGGCAGACGGCATGAGATTCCTTTCCCCACCCACTCTGCCTTTCTCTTCAAGCCTCTGGCGGTGAGGCTGCACGGCAATGGGCCAGCATGACTCCATAGCACGCTAAGAGCAGAGCGATGAGCACAAGTGGCCTCAGAGCCTGGTTTAGACACACACACGGGTGGGCAGGTGCTAGGATCAGAGCCCGGGTCTAGACACACACACGGGTGGGAGGGTGCTAGGATCAGGGCCCGGGTCTAGACACACACACGGGTGGGCGGGTGCTAGGATCAGAGCCCGGGTCTAGACACACACACGGGTGGGCGGGTGCTAGGATCAGGGCCCGGGTCTAGACACACACACGGGTGGGCGGGTGCTAGGATCAGGGCCCGGGTCTAGACACACACACGGGTGGGCGGGTGCTAGGATCAGGGCCCGGGTCTAGACACACACACGGGTGGGCGGGTGCTAGGATCAGGGCCCGGGTCTAGACACACACACGGGTGGGCGGGTGCTAGGATCAGGGCCCGGGTCTAGACACACACACGGGTGGGCGGGTGCTAGGATCAGGGCCCGGGTCTAGACACACACACGGGTGGGCGGGTGCTAGGATCAGGGCCCGGGTCTAGACACACACACGGGTGGGCGGGTGCTAGGATCAGGGCCCGGGTCTAGACACACACACGGGTGGGCGGGTGCTAGGATCAGGGCCCGGGTCTAGACACACACACGGGTGGGCGGGTGCTAGGATCAGGGCCCGGGTCTAGACACACACACGGGTGGGCGGGTGCTAGGATCAGGGCCCGGGTCTAGACACACACACGGGTGGGAGGGTGCTAGGATCAGGGCCCGGGTCTAGACACACACACGGGTGGGAGGGTGCTAGGATCAGGGCCCGGGTCTAGACACACACACGGGTGGGCGGGTGCTAGGATCAGGGCCCGGGTCTAGACACACACACGGGTGGGCGGGTGCTAGGATCAGAGCCCGGGTCTAGACACACACACGGGTGGGCGGGTGCTAGGAGAGCCAGCCCTGGCCTGCAGAGTGTGTCTTTCTCTGAAGGCAATTACAGTGCTGTCACCTTTTCATCTGCAATAGTCCCCCTCTGGCAGATAAGTAACAGTCGATATTTTTCTAAAGCAACACATCTTGGAGTGGCAATTTTGTATAAAAATGGACCCTCGAGTCAGGATCTTGGCGTTCTCCACGGTAACAGGGCTCACCAGACATGCTGTCTTGGCAGACGTGGAACCAGCAACTTCCTGGGCAGAGGCCAACCTGGCTGCCGAACAACTTCGTGCTTTCAAGCGCGCTGAAGACCGCACTGCACCTGTGAGCTAGAGAGATTGAGAGCCACTCAGAGAGTGCTCTCAGGAAGGCAGCATGAACATGTAGACGAGAATTTCCCACCTAAAGAACACCCGAAGACCGCCCCTCCCACTCCCAGGATTTTATCATCTTTGTGGAGACAGCTGTGGCCCGAATGTGTAAATCCAAATGAAACTGTGCCTGGATTTAGGATACAGGATCTACTATTTCCACGATTTTGGAGGCTTGGGACGATCTGTCCCCCTTATCTTGTATATTTCTAGTAGCCACCATTTGTCCTTTAGTGGAAATTAAGTCAACTTCAAAGTGTTTAGAATAAGCAGCACATGCCCTTCCTTAGAAGGCTCTCCAACTTTCATACGTTGTCAAAGTTTTTAAAAAAAGGTAACATGAGGAAACCAAAGTTTCTCTTCCTCAAATTAGACTCCTATTCTATTAGCTGAATGCAGCTAGCGACTGTCTCACAAATTTTAATATTAACAAACTGGTCCACCTCTCTTTTATCCTGAATGCAAAGCAAACTCCTCTAATAACAAGAAAGAAATTAATTAAAGACATAACATTTAAAATAACTATTTAGGAATAATTTTCGGCATTCAGAAAGTTGCAAAAAATAGTACAAAGAAACTGGTGTGATAGCTCACACCTGTAATCCCAGCTACTTGGGAAGCTGAGGTAGGAGGATCGCTCGAGCCCAGGAGTTCAAGACCAGCCTGGGCAATACAGCGAAAGCCCATCTTTAAAAAATTTTTTTAAAAATTAGCCAGGTGTGGTGGTGTGCACCTGTAGTCCCAGCTATGTGGGAGGCTGAGGTGAGAGGATCACTTGATCCCAGGAGTCTGAGGCTGTAGTGAGCTATGACTGCACCACTGCACTCCACCTGGGTGACAGAGTGAGACAGTGTCTCTGAAAAAATAATAATAATAAAATAGTACAGGGAGTTGCCATGTAGCCTTCACTCAGCTTCCACTAATGTTAAACAACTACAGGACATTGTCAACATTAAGAAATTAGTGACATTACGGTACTCTTCACTAAACTATAGATTTTATTTGTATTTTATCGGTTTCTCCATGAACCGTTTTTCTGTTCCAGAATCCAGTCCACAATACCACACTGCACTTAGAAAACTCGAAAGGAATGAGTGTGAGTAGTAGAAGCAACAAACAGGAGCAATGCAGGTTGACATGGCCGGGAAAGGCCCAAGAGCTGCTGCCAACAGGCCCTAGAACTGGAACCCAGAAGGGGACGGATGAAGAGTGCCCTGCCCAACAGCAGATAAGAGAAATAAAAAAAGGAAAAAAACAAAAAAATAAAACACAGAAATAATCTGTCTCGGCTGGGCGCGGTGGCTCACGGCTGTAATCCCAGCACTTTGGGAGGCTGAGGCAGGTGGATCACAAGGTCAGGAGATCGAGACCATCCCGGCTAACACAGTGAAACCCCGTCTCTACTAAAAATACAAAAAATTAGCCGGGCGTGGTGGTGGGCGCCTGTAGTCCCAGCTACTTGGGAGGCTGAGGCAGGAGAATGGCGTGAACCCAGGAGGCGGAGCTTGCAGTGAGCCGAGATTGCGCCACCGCACTCCAGCCTGGGTGACAGAGCAAGACTCCGTCTCAAAAAAAAAAAAAAAAAGAAATAATCTGTCTCAGCCATGCACCCCGTAGCCCAAGACAGCTCCAGAAACCCTGTGGGGTGGCAGCTCCAAGGTCCTGTGATACTGTGGCAGTCAGAGTGTGTGTCTGAAACAGGAGGGAGAAGAGCAGGCAGCAGCCCACCGGAGGCCAGGACGCCCGCCTGCTGTACACAGGACACGCCAGTTGCCCACAGGCTGGGTGAAGTGCCTGCTACCACAGCACACCGGGGGCTGCGCCTCCGTCCTCTCACAAGGGCAGGGCTTTGCTGAGAGCCCCGGCAGACGTCATGGTCACAGTTACACCAAGGGGACTGAGGCAACAGAGGTTACAGAACTTGCTAAGAGTTGCCATAAACATCTCTCATCAAAATCCTCCCACTGGGTCTTAAACAAGCCCATCTCCCTAAAACGCCATCACGTGCCTCGTAGGGAAAAGACATCTCTGACCTAGAAAGCCACTGCCCCACCTCTCCTCCCTGCTGTGAGCCCTCCTCCGGGCGCTTTGCTGCTCTGTGCTGGAGTATGCTGTGTGGGGAGCCCAGCTCGGTGCCTGAACAGCTTTAAAGGAGTGGCACACCCATTTCAGATGAGGACAACTTGGGTAAGGAGCTTATGAGGTTATACGAGTGATGCCTGGCTTCCAAATCTCTATTCCATCACCACAGCTCACCCTAGATATGACCCCCAACAACTGCCTGAGGTGGGGATTGAACTGAAGAAGCTGCCACCCGCTCTGTGTTCTACGCCTGCACGTCTTTTCCCGCAGCAGGTGCTTCTCAAGGCTTCTGTCAGCATCTTGGCAGCAGTGGTTCTGAACTTTTCGCGTGCAACAGGTTCATCAGGTGGACCTTTTGGCCCCTTCTGCAGAGAAAAGCCAGATGATCTGCTGGGCTGGAAGCGCTGGCTGTTAACAGACACCTGAGGATCTGGTGGGCCTGGAAGCGCTGGCTGTTAACAGACACCTGAGCAGGCCATTTGCTGTCCTCTCCGGATTGACAGGAGTCAAAACATGAGATCGGCTTAGCTTCAGTTTCGTCATGGATTAACCACCTCCAAGGTGTCAACTCCAAAATGTCAAGAATTGGTCACAGTCTCACTTGCAGATTCCTGCTCTGCAGCTGGGCAGCTTGGACTGCTCCCACAGTCCAAAAAAGGAAAGACTTTCTCATCATTGAGATTCTCCTCATTCCAGTAGATTGTTTAATAACTGGTATGTCAGAAGCACAAACATGGTTTCTCCAAAAGGGCTGGCCGAGACTGACTTCAACATGATGGCTCGAGGAGCTTCACTGACCTTCTCAGAGAGTAATGAGCAGTCCCAAAACAGCCATTTAGAGAGCCTTTGGAAATGGTCCTATGGGCACCCAGCAAATGAAGAAACACTTGCTCCAGAACACCTACATACATTTGGTAAGGACACGGAGAGTCTGTGGCACTTGAGCTCCATCCTGCTGCAGCCAAGAACACAGGGCCACCTCCCCAGCTCCCAGGCAGCGGGGTGTCTTCCCAGGAGAGGCAGGATAGCAGTGCTTCCCTTTCTGCTCTCATCCCACCTGTGACTGAGACCAGGTCCTGAGTGAGTAGGATTGAGAAGAGGGGCCCTCCTTTCTGCTCAGACCCTATTTGTAGAATGAAGGCTTCACCTTGGCTCCATTCTACCAGTACGGTTTAAGCCTCTGCAAGAGGCTCCGCCCAGTGAACGGAGAAGACTGGGGCCCCATCAACCCCGTCCTAGATATGAGGTGGTTCCAGGCTGGGGAAGACACATTTGGAGGATCTCAGGCTGCTGCTAGCTCCCCCAGCCCCTATTCAGAGAGGAGCCCATTACTGTCCTCAGCTGCAGGCCCTGGCTCAGAGGCTCTGCCTGGGATGAGAGGCAGGCAACTAAACAGACAGCTCTTACACCTGCCCAAAGGCACCAAATTCCCTGCCATGGAATGTGGAGAAGTTCCGGCCTAAGGGAGCTGTTCAAGTACCGTGGATGCTGTGACGAAGGGGGTGGAGGCAGTGGAGAATCAAGCAATAGGCCAAATTGTAGGCCAACCAGTTCGCAGAAGAGAACCAGAGACTAACACGGCTGGGAGGAGGCCTCTTGGACACAGAACAAACTAACCAAACACTGACCTTAGAAAGTATCCCTTCGAAGAAGCCACAATTTGATTGGATTAGTTTGTAGAGCAACTTATGCCCAGGCTGTTGCTGAGAACAGCACAATAACCTGGCATTAGCGAAGTTCAACAGCTGGATGTGGTCAGGGAAAGAGGAAAAGGACCTCACTAAAACCACTGTCATCCAGAGTGGCTGGGTGCCACCCCCCACCAGCAACATCACAGGCTGAACACTGTGGCAGGGGAAATATACTTTATCAAAACAATCTACCCAGTTGCTAAACAAATAAGCATATTAACAATGACAAGCCCCAGGGTTGGGGACAGTACCCAGAATTGCTAAAATGTATTATCTAAAATGTCAAAAAAATTATGAAGGCATAATTCCAACAAAAAATTATGAAGCACTCAAAGAAAAAGAAAAGTAGGCTCATACACTGGAATAAAAGCAGGCCACAGAAGCTGTCTGTGAGAGTGACCAGATGTTGGATTTATACATATATAAAGGACCAAGGTAGCCATGATAAACAATATCAAGATCATGAATAAAGAAGAAACATAAGATAATGCTGCATCAAAGAGACTATCAATAAAGATAAATTACTTAAAAACCAAATGGAAATTCTGGAGTAGAAAAGTACAAAACCTGAAATAACAAAATTCACTAGAAGGGCTTAATAGTAGAACTGAACTGGCAGGATAAGCAAACTTGAAGACAGATCGATAGATTATGCATGCTGAAGAACACAGAGAAAAAAAGAACGAAGAAAAATAAAGCAAGCTGCAGAGAAATGCTGGACATCATTAAGTGCACTAACATACACAAAATAAGAACCACCAGGAATGCAGAGAGAAAGGAGCAGAAAAAATATTTGAAGAAATAATGGCTGAGAACTTCTCAAATTTACAGAAAAACATTAACCTATATATCCAGGAATCTTTTTTTTTTGAGACGGAGTCTCACTCTATCGCCCAGGCTGGAGTACAGTGGCATAATCTTGGCTCACTGCAAGCTCCGCCCCCCAGGTTCATGCCATTCTCCCGCCTCAGCCTCCCAAGTAGCTGGAACTACAGGCGCCCGCCACCACGCCCCGCTAATTTTTTGTATTTTTAGTAGAGATAGGGTTTCACTGTGTTAGCCAGGATGGTATCAATCTCCTGACCTTGTGATCCGCCTGCCTCAGCCTCCCAAAGTGCTGGGATTACAGGCGTGAGCCACCGTGCCTGGCCCCATATCCAGGAATCTTAATGAACAGAACTCCAAATAGGATACATGCAAAGAGATCCACAGACACATCACTGTAAAAATACAAAGATCAAAGGCAAAATCTTGAAAGAGAACAAAACCTTGAAAGCCCCAAGAAGAAAGCCACTTAGAAGGGAACCTCAATAAATGAACTGACTGAAACAATGGAGAATATTCAAACATATTCAACATGCTCAAATAAACTTGTCAACCAAGAATCCTATATCCAGCAAAGCTATACTTCAAAAATGGGCTGGGCATGGTGGCTCATGCCTGTAATCCCACCACTTTGGGAGGCTGAGGCAGTGATCACCTGAGGTCAGGAGTTTTAGACCAGCCTCGCCAACATGGTGAAAACCTGTCTCCAGTAAAAACACAAAAATTAGCCGGGCGTAGTGGCAGCCTCCTGTAATCCCAGCCATTCCAGAGGCTGAGGTGAGAATCACTTGAACCCGGGAGGCAGAGGTTGCAGTGGGCCGAGATCACACCTCTGCACTCCAGCCTGGGCAACAGAGTGAGACTCTGGTCTCAAAGCAAAAACAACAACAACAACAACAACAACAACAACAACAACAAAACTCACTTTACAAGAAACACTAAAAGAAGTTCATCAGGCTGAAAGCAAGTGACCCCAGACAGTAATTCAAAACCACACACACACAAAAACAGCACCAGTAAAGGTAATTATGTTCTTATATAGTTTAAATGCCTATTCCTCTACCTCCTTCTCTTAATTTAAAAAGCAATTGTATACAGTAATATGTGTATAATATATACAGACATGTACTATATTTGCCAATAACAAAACAAAGTGGGTGAAAGCAAACCCCTGCTGGCTAAGGAAATGACCACAGACAGAAAGTAATAATGATAACACAGTACTGTTGAGTTTGTAACATTATCAGATGTAATACATATAACAAAATACCACAAAAATAACCATATAAGAGTAACATTTCTGTATCACTTGGAATTAACCTAGTACAAATCTGAAGCTTAAGATGTATATGGAGAATATGAAGATTAAGCTGTATACGGTAAAACATAAAGCACTGGAAAAAACCCAAAAAAGTTGTGGAAAAAAAATCATTAAATTAAAATGCTACATTAGGAAATATTCACTTTAATCCACTTAAAGAAGGAACAGGGGAAGAAAAAGACAGACTTGTATAAAGAAAAGAAAAAGTAAAATGGCAAATGTAAACCTAACTACAGTGTATCAATAATATTAAATGTGCATGGGCTAAACAATTCAATCAAAAGGCAGAAACTACCAGACTGCATTTTAAAAAAGATCCAAGTATATGTGCCTACAGGAGACAAGTTTTGGTTCAAAGATAAAAATAGTAAAAGGAGTTGGAATTCACAAGTGGCCACTCCATTTGAACAAACCAGGAGAGCCTCCATGCAGCTCAGAGCCTCCCAAGTGGACCGGGACCCGCGCCGGGTCCACTGTGAAAAGGGTCCTTCGCCTTAACTGTTACACCCACGCAATGAGCACTTGCCCCTTGCCAGACACTGGCACCCCCCTTCAATCCTCACCACCCTCTTGGTGGATCCCTCATCACCCCACTTTTAGCACATTCAGTAGATGGGGCCAAGCTGAGGTCACTTGCTGTGTGACGTCCATTGGAGTGGCAGCAGTTGAGGGGCACAAACTCAGCTCTGCAGCATCTAGCACTACCAGGAGTTGAAACCAGTTCTGGAGAGGGTGCCCCACCTTCCTAGGAAAGTGGCCCGAAACCTCCCTTCAAGGGGGCGTGACCTGGGAGCCCCCTGTTGCCCAGGACGTGAACTGTGAGCTCCACTTCTCCCGAGGGCGTGGACCGGAGCCCCCCTTCTCCCGCGGGCATGGCCTGGGAGCTCCCCTTCTCTCGGGGGTGTGGCCCAGAGGCCCCATTCTGCGGGGGTGGGTAACCTGGGAGCCCCCTTCTCCCGGGGACGTGACCTGTGAGCTCCACTTCTTCCGAGGGCGTGGCCCGGAGCCCCCTTTTCACAGGGGCGTGACCTGGCAGCCCTCCTTCTCCCGGGAGCGTGGCCTGGAGCCCCCCAACTACTGCCGGGGGCGAGGCCCAAGCGGAGGCCGCTCCTAGGCCACAGGCACCCCGTGACCCCGCCCCGGTTCTCCAGACAGCAGGTGACCCAGAGTCCCCGCCCTGCCCGGCGCAGCTGCTGCCGGGACCCAGCCCTCACCTTCCGGCTCCTCATGAGTGTGAGCACCGCAGCCAAGCACCGCGCGCCCCGGCCAACGCGTCCCGGCGGAGCGGCGACCCGGAGTCTGCAGAGCGCGCCGCGGCGGCGTCCGACGTCAGCACAGCCAATCACAGTGCAGCACCCTCGTCATGTGATTCCCCCCCCCCCCCCCCCCGTGTTGGCTCTTTCGTAAGCGGCGGGCGAAGGTCACAGGCCTTGGGCCAGTGGTGGGACACTGGAGCAGGAAGTCGGCCTGTGGCCGGCCATGTTCATGAGGGCGCGTCCCTTGGCACCCCTGTAGCCGCTATGTTTCCCACGCCCGTGGCAGGCCTGAGAGATTATGTTTGCGGGGGGTGCTTTTTTTGTAGCTTCTGTGTTCGCCATATTTGAAAGGGGCAGACGGCCATGTTCGTGAACGGCGCTTCCCTTGGTGCACCTGTGGCCGCCATGTTTGAGCGAGGTGGGCAACTATGTTCTTGAGGGGGGAGCAACCATGTTCTTGAGGGGCTCTTCCCTTGAAGCCTCTTTGGCCACCATGTTTGAGAGGGGCAGACGGCCATGTTTGTAAGGGGCGCTTCTCTTGGTGCGCCTGTGGCCGCTATGTTTGAGAGGGGCAGGCAACCATGTTCGTGAGGGGCGCTTCCCTTGAAGCCTCTTTGGCGCCATGTATGAGAGGGGCGGACGGCCATGTTTGTGAGGGGCTCTTCCTTTGGTGCGCCTGTGGCCGCCATGTTTGAGAGGGGCGGGCGGGACGTCCGTGAGGGGCCCCTCCCCTTGCATCCCCTGGCTAACAGCCTGCAGGAGGGCGGGAAGTGCTTTCTCCAGTGCCGCAGAGCGCTGGTTTCTGAGTGCCGGTTAGCGGCCTTGAGCAGCGCGAGGGACTCCCAGGCCTGCCCGTGCTGCGGTCCCGCTGGGGAGCTTTGCGCGCTTGTCGCAGGCTGTGCTGCCCCGCGACATGCCGCTTTGGGTTGGGGTGGCCCGCCCGGGAAGTGGCCTCAGCTGTCCCCCACGTTGCGGGCGGGAGGGGGCCTTAGTGGAGGCCGTCGGTGGGCCCAGGAGGCCAGGGTCCGGCGTCGGGCTGGGGGCCGGTTTTCGTCCCCCGTTACGTGCAAGGCGGGAAATGACCCCTCCGCCGTCCCGTTACTCTCCGGGGCCAACGTGGACTCGCAGGGGCCACGCCTTTTCCAATGGCCACGCCCCTAGCAGGCCTGGGTGGACCCGCAGCGGCCACGCCTCCTCCAATGGCCGCGCCCTATCAGGTCTGGATGGACACACGGCGGCCACGCCTCCTCCAGCAAACACGCCCCTAGCAGGCCTGGGCTGCTGTGATGCGTCCTCTTTGGCCGCCGCTGAGGGAGGTGTTTGTAAAGCTGAGGACCACTGTTCTGTTGTGGGTTTTTTTGTTTGTTTGTTTGTTTTTTGAGACGGAGTCTCGCTCTGTCACCCAGGCTGGAGTGCAGTGGCGCGATCTCAGCTCACTGCAACCTCCGCCTCATGGGCTCAAGCCATTCTCCTGCCTCAGCCTCCTGAGTAGCTGGGATTACAGGCAGGCGCCACCACACCTGGCTAATTTTTGTATTTTTAGTAGAGATGGGGTTTCATCATGTTGGTCAGGCTGGTCTCGAACTCCTGACCTCAAATAATCCGCCCACCTTGGCCTCCCAAAGTGCTGGGATTACAGGCGTGAGCCACCGTGCCAGGCCCACTGTTCTTTTCTTTTCTTTTTTTTTTTTGACGGGAGTCTCGCTATGTCGCCCAGGCTGGAGTGGAGTGACGCAATCTCGGCTCACTGCAAGCTCTGCCTCCCGGGTTCACGCCATTCTCCTGCCTCAGCCTCCCGAGTAGCTGGGACTACAGGCTCCCGCCACCACACCCGGCTAATTTTTTTGTATTTTTAGTAGAGACGGGGTTTCACCGTGTTAGCTAGGATGATCTCGATCTCCTGACCTCGTGGTCCGCCTGCTGCGGCCTCCCAAAATGCTGGGATTACAGGCGTGAGCCACCGCGCTCGGCACACTGTTCTGTTCTTAAGAATTTCAACATAGAAATGAAATCCAGCCTTGCCTTAAACCCTCCAGCCCTCAAGTTCTCTGGGCTCTAGGATGTGTGTCTTCAGAAAAGGGCGCAGGGTGGAAGCCACATCAGAGGCCGAGGACACCTGGCCCCTCCCCTCTCCGCCCGCAGGTGGCTGCGCAGTCCAGGGCTGGCTCCCAGGTGCTCGGGCGCAGGGTGCACCCAGCAGCCCGTACTGTGCTTTGCAAATAAATGGGAGTCTTATTTCCTTTTTAAATCATTATTTTTTTTTTCAAGTGAGAACATTTAAATCAGGCAGTTTTGTCAGAAGCATTAGGTTTTCCACTTAAACTACAAAGGTTGAAAAGTGAACTGCATTGCATTGTGGCTTCATGGCCTGCTCAGGGTCCCTCTGTGCACTGTTCCAAGGCAGGGTGTGATTCATAATCTCTTCCAAAAGCATCAGTGTGCCTTCTCTTACGGTATGACTCTCTCAAAGCCCAGACATGCAGCTGATGCCTCCTTTTAGTGCCTGAGAAGGGAGAGTATTTAAGGATCCTGCCAGCTTGAGCTCTATGCAGCCTCCACTCTCTTTAGAAGTGTGACGTTTGGTAATTAGGTGGAGCCCTCAAATTAGACTGCACGTGGGGTTTTGCTTTCGGCAGTGAGTGAAGATGCTTGCAGCCCTGGTGTACACACACACACACATGTCCTACCTGGCTGTTGTACCCTCTCTCTTCCTAGCCCTGCGCTTCTCCCGTGTTATTATCCATGTTGTACAGAAGGGGAGGAGACAAATGTGTAACTGGCAGGAAATGCGTTTGAAATGGAAACTTAATATAATCGCTGCCAGCTGTTCAGAAAAAAATGAGAGCGAGCGATACTTTGTTAAACACCTAGCCTGTCCCATTTTCGCAGAGATTGATTTCATAATAAGCTTGGTTCAGTGGTTTTATTTCCCAGTCCTTGGGAGCTCAAAGTTTTCATCCACTGGGGCTTGGCTGGTGTTTGCCTGTCTTGTTTGTGGTTGGTGCCAGTTGATGTAAATGCCTCACTGCCTGGCCTCGCCCGCCCGATGGGGGCTCTGGGCTCCGAGCCATGTGGACTTTTAACATCCCAAAGGGCACTCTCCTTCCCTTCACCAATGTTGTCTGTCCTCTCCCCAGGTCTGGGATGAGCATGGTTTCCAGCCTCCCAGCTGTAAGGCCTGACACCCAGGCCATTGGTGAATGTCTCTCTCTCCCTGCCCACATCCTGTCAGATGCCGGTTGCTGTTAATTCTAGACTTTGAAGCCTCACGGCTGGTCTCTCCTTTTCCTCTGGCCTGGGCAGCCCACAGCTGTTGGGGTGATCCCCTGCTTCTGGGATCCAGAGCCACAGTCTTAGAGTGGCCTGTAAGTCCTGGCATGGTGCCTGGCACACTGTGGGTGCCCAGCAGGTGTTTGTCCAATGAATGTGCGGAAGGGCTTCTGAGCTTGCTCACCGTTGCCGCTCCCTGCTCCAGCCGCACAGAGTCCCAGCACCTGTTCCCCTGCCCCTCTGCTATCCACAGTGCCTCCCTCAGCTCCTGACCACTGCAAAGCCTCTTCCCCACTTCCCTGTGCCTGAAAACCTTCTTTCCCCAGCTCCCCAACCCACGTTTTGCCTGGCTAATCCATTTGTTAAACCTCAACTCAGCTTATATCTCCTGTCCTCAGGGGGCCCTTCCTGGATGCTCCCCCGCCCCCTACATTCAATCTGCCGGTTGCTGCTTTTTTAGTGTTCTGCACTCTTCTACCAGGACCCCGTGGCAGGCCAGGACCGTTTCTCCGGTGCTATCCCAGAGCATGGCGCATCCACTCATTCACTCAAGGTATCAAGCTCCACTGTGTTCTGGGGACTGGGCCAGGCGCAAGCCCAGGCATGGAATCATCACACAGAATTGTACGTTTGCAGTGTGATGGGAGCCACGGGGGAGAGGCCACATGGGCAACAGCACAGAGCTGGGGGTGTCGGGTGAGGATCCTGGGAGGAAGTGGCTGGGGCCCCCTCTCCCTCCCTCATCCTGTAGGATGCAGGCCCCTTTCAGGCCCACCCGGGGGAAACAGAGCCTCCTAGTCAAGGCTGGATGTGCAGTGGAGCCCTGTCTGGACAGGCTACCCCTCCTGACGAGGTGGGAGGTGTTGGCGTGGGCAGAGGAGCCAATCTTGAATTCTCTCCCCCGCTCCACCTCAAGCTGCCATGTGGAATTGCAGGAGACCCTGGAGGGAGCAGAAAACCAGGCTCGGCCGAAGCCACCTCCACACCACGGTTTCCTGGGTTCCCCAAAACCAGGCTTGGCCGAAGCCACCTCCACACCACAGCTTCCCGGGTTCGCTGTGTCTGCTTCTGTTCTTATTCCTGATTAGCTGTGCCCCCACCCGGCCAGGTCAGGGCACAGTGAGACTCCCCATGGTGGCAGGCGTGTGAAGTCTGTGCAGGCTTGTACGTGGCTGGCCCCCCACCTGAACTGTACGCCCCTGGAAGGCAGGGTCCGTGTTTTGTTCACGGAGGCTGGTGATACCCAGAGGACATTGGCTGGCTGGCTGGCTGGCCGGGGGCGAGACGCACACAGAGAACTTGAGGATTGTGGATTGGAGGAAACTTTGCATTCTTGCCCATACCACAAATTTCTGACTTAAAACACTGCTGTGCCCCAGTTCAGTATTTGCCTTTGACAAACACTGTAGGGCCAGTGAGAAAGTTGAAGAGATTTTTCAACTGACTAGCAGTCGGTAGACCCGTTAACTGAGGCCACCCCGGCCAGAGCACATTGCATTCCTGCCAACAGATGGTGGCCTGTATGATGACAGGGCCTCTCTTGCATATGGCCTTTTATAATTAAAAGAAAGAAGTAATAGGTAGAAAGAGAGAGAGAGAGGGAGAAGGCAGGGGAAAAAAAGCTTGCAGCATGCTTTTAAAATGTCATCGCACCACTGCACTCCAGCCTGGGTGACAGAGTGAAACTTTGTCAAAAAAAAAAAAAAAGTTCTCTTTGAATTGACCTAAACTAATGTTTTCTTAATAGCCCACCCTCTCCTATCCTCTCGGTCCACCCGACTTAGCTGGGCAAAAATAACCCTGTGGTAGGACAGCCGTCTGCTGTTGGAAAGTATCGCAGCTCCTCCCGTGTCTGCCCCGTGCACATGTGCCAAGGTCCTGCCTTGAATGAAGGACACAGCGGAGAAGGATGTAGGCTCTGAGCCTGCTAGGGTGCCTGAGAGACTCACAGGACTACCCCTGGGGCAGTTGGAAGATGCCCAGAAACTTCAGGGAGCCACCAGCATGGGGCAGAGGGTCTCTTCTGGAGTTGGTGGCATCAGAATCAGGTGTAGAGTACATAGGAACTGTTGGCGCCGTGCAGAGATGGGGAAGGAGGTGCCGGTGGAAGGGCCCAATGCCTGCGCCCCTGGGGCCCTCACTGGAGGCTGAGCATCCACTGGACTCTTGTAGCCCGCTTTGTAGACTGATCAGTAGTCTGTGACATGACGATGTTTGAGTAGAGTAGACCATTTTCTGCTTCATATATCCTACAACGTGCTGGGATCAGGAGGCAGTGGTGGGTCCATGGCATCTGACCCAGCCCGACGCCCTTGTGGTCTCCAGGCGGTCATGACCCATGGCCTGACCCGGCTTGGTCAGCCCGGCCTGGCCGTGTCTTCCCAGGTTCACACCCAGCCCTGGCCCCTCTCTGCCCCCTTGCCAGGAAATTTGAGTCCTCCTTAACGTTTCTCAATATTGTGGTTTTGTTTTGTTCTTTCTCATTCATTTGTCTTTTAATTTTTGGCTTCCGTTTTTTATGGGCACCTAATTGTGTGTGTTCTAAAAATTGAATTGTGCTTCTGTTCTTATTGATGGCAGCTAACCATCACTGTGTAAGTAGGCAGGATGTGGAGGTCTACCTAGGAGAACTCGCTTGCCTCTGCTTTTCACCGACGCAGGCCCGGTGGAGATGCTCCAGCGGAAGCCAGGACTTGTCTCCTGGTGGAGTCCACCGGTTTCATTCATCAAAAGTTTGTTGGGCTCTCTGCACACACGTTGTAAAGAGCACTGCAGGCAGTGCACAGGCAGGGCTGTGGGAGCTGTGGGCGTGGCTCCCGCCAGGGTGGAGCTGCACCCTCCATGGGGAGTCATGGTGCATGTGCACAGCTGCAGAGAGAGGCTGCAGGGCAGGAGAACCTCGGGAACCCCGTAGTCTCCGCTTGCCCTGACTGTATGAAGAACATGCTCCATTTGGGTATCAGTGAAACTGCACACCAGGGGGGAACATTCAAATCGTGAACTCCAACATCATCCAGCAGAAAAGCTCCGAGCGATGGGCCACTTTGTGCCTTGCTGCCAGCCCTCCGCTGGGATCACGCTGCAGTGTCCTTTGAAGAAAAGGCCTGGGATTTGCAGAGCCTGGAGAAGGCTAAATTTCCAACTAGATGAAAAAAAAAATTGCCATTTTATGAGAACCTTTGGGCAGTCTGGAAGAAAAACACCAAGATGAAAAGCCCTATTTTGAGAGCTCCCTTGCCTTCAAGCAGGGGCCGCTGGCAGTGGAAACCGGCTGGGGATCGGGCTGATGGCAGAGTGAGGTTCAGGCTGGGAGCGGGCATGTGGACAGGTCCCTCCCTGCAGATCCACGTCTGCCTCCCACTCGCAGATGCCCCTGTGCCCAGCGCACCGTAGGCTCACTTGGTCAAACATCAGGGGCATGGCAGGGCCAACAGATAAATGGATTTTCCCGCAAACGTACTAGTCATTGATGGGCAGCTGTTTTTCCCTCTGTGGCCGTGTAGCCATGCTCAGGCCATGTGCAGGATGAGGAATTCCTGAAGAACTGTCTGCACCCAGGGCAGAGATTACGGGGTTCTGAGGTTCCCCCGCCCCGCGGCCTCTCTTGGCGGCTGTGCGTGTTCAGTTGCCTTCATTGAAACCCAAGCATCCGTCCTCGGCTGCCACCGACACAGGTCAAGGCCACCCAGGAGGAGACACTGTGGGGCCCTGCCCAGTTCTCACGGGTATCGCATTTTGGCAGGACGTGGACCCAGGCAGGACTGGGAACGATGACCCTCAAGTCCAGGTCGGTTCCCATGTGTGGCCTTCAGGAACTAAAATCATCAGCTTTCAAATCAAACAGGTTTCATCTGAGCTACTGAGACGTCACGGGCTGTCAGTAAAGGCCATGAGGGCCCCCTAGGGGCAGCAAAGGCCGTGGGAAGATGCAGGAAAGAGTGAGTGGGAAGGCAGGGGTGTGGCGGGAAGGCAGGGGTGCGGCCGGAGGGCGGGGTGGGGCTTGCAGGCTCTCCCGCCTAGTGTCTCAGCCACTTGAAAGTGAGCTGTGAATAGGCATCACTCCACTTTTAGGGATGCAGGACAGTAGAGACTGTGTGTTGGTGGCATGTTTCAGAAATGAGACTTCTCCACGTCGGTGGGGAGGGGTCTGCCCTGCTCATGGGCCCTGGGAGCGGAATGGCCGACGGCCGGTCTCTGCTCACCCAGGCTCGCTCCGCCCCACGGAGGATTCCCCAGTTTCCTCGAAGGGCACTTGCCTACCGAGGTCCCTGCGGCTGTGACTTCCCTGTCATGCTGCTTCCTAAGAATCCAGAACAGATTCAGGTCAGTGCGTTTCGAGGCAGCTAAGTACAACGGCAGCGTCTGTCCTTAAACTTGAGTGCAGAGCCAGGGTCACCGCCGCCCGCTCGCAGCAGCTGACTGGTGTGAACTGATGGGGTGGACATAACCTGGCTTCTCAGGTGGGGCTTTGCAGGGCTGGCTTGCTCCAGGCTCCCTCCAGGCCACCTTGTGCAATGGTTTCACCTCGTCTTATTCTAGTGCAGGTTCGCCCCCTGCCTGGCTCCATCCTTCTTTTCAAAGTCTGGGCACAGAATGGAGGCCAGCCCACGTGGTTATCTGGTCTCCACACGTGTCTCTGGGTTTGTGGGGGTGTTGGCTTGCAGACCAGGAGCAGCTAACAAGGTCTGTACCTTGTTTCGAATTTTGGACTGAACTGTCTGGAATTCTTGGACGTTCTCAAGCTAACTCAGTTGCATGAATTTAGAGGCAAAAGGGTGGGGATAATTTTTCCCTTGGATTTGTCAGTTCCAAGATGTATAACTTTAGTATTCCAGAAAATAGATTTATACCAGATCGGGAATTTCTCTATTTCTCTCTCTCTCTCTTTGCTCTCTCTCTGTCTCTCCTCTCTCTCTCTCTTTCTCTCTGTCTCTCTGTCTCTCTCTCTCTCTCTCTCTCTCTCTCTCTCTCTCTCTCTCACACACACACACACACACACACACACACACACACACACTCAGTAAGAGTTCAGGCCAGTTACAAAGGTCAAGGACACAGTCCATGCAAGGCCTCACCCTGGTACGAATCACAAGTTCAGGTGCCCAAGGCCACCCTCAGTTTGATGATTCTAGAAGGACTCCCAGAACTCCTTGAAAGCTATTACACTCACAGTTGTGGTTTCTGTATTAGTCCATTCTTGAATTGCTGTGAAGAAATACCTGAGACTGGGTAATTTATGAAGAAAAGAGGTGTAATTGGCTCCTGGGTCCACAGGCTGTACAGGGGCATGGTGGCACCTGCTCGGCTGCTGGGGAGGCCTCAGGAAGCCTCCAGTCCTGGCAGAAGCCAGAGGGGAGCCAGCCTGTCTGGGTGGGAACAACATCTACATAAATCAGTTCCTTACCGGGAAAGGATACAGATTAAGATTGGCCAAAGGAGGGGAGGCAGGGGGCCGAGTCCAGGAAAAGTGCCCCAAGCGGAGCTCTTGCTGTCCCTTTCCTGTGGGACTGGGACTTGTGACTCTCCTGCGTCAACGTGGTAGCACGAGCGAGGGCCAGCCTCAAGCCACAGTGTCCAGGTTCTCACTGGGGCTCCATTCCATGGGCATGGCTGATTGAGTGACCACCCAAATGGTCAGTCCCCGTCCTGCGGCCGATTGCCACCGTGTGGTCCCCATCTCCCACCCTCCATGACACCGTTGGTCTTTCTGGCATGGCCAGCCCCACCCTGAGACCATCATGGTGGCTCTCCTCCACCCTAAGTCACATCACTGGACTCTCCTGTGTAACCCAAGGCCCTGGGCAAACAGTGACTCCTATCAGGCAGGACATCGTGGAGGTCACCTCCCAGTGGCTGAGGACAAAGGTCAGGCCTCTTTGGGGCAGGATTCAATTCTTACCGCAGACCTTCCTCCTCCCACACACAAGTGAGCTACGGAGAAAAGGGAATAGAATATCTCTCTGGTGGGTCTGGAATGCCCGTTTTCGGAGGCTGGTTGGAACTTTCTTATCTCCTTTTATTTCTGATTTCTGTTGAAATTCCCCGGAACTAATGCCTATTGTATGAACCTGATTACAAAGAGAGAGATTTTACAGAGCATTTTTCCTCTCAGGAAAAAGGAGGCACCCTGCTTTTTTCTCAGTGAGAGAGAAATGTTCTTTGAATAATTTTTTAATTTACTAAAAAATTTTTGATCCTACTGCTAAGGGGATGCAACCTTCCTGCAGAGAGGCGTGCAGATAAAGTTGTCTTAATATTTGCATTTCTGCAGAGCATGGGCTGCTGCAGCCCGGGGGGTGTGTACCGTGGTGATTTGTAAAGTGACTTCTACCCTGTCACAGGGGTGAGGAAAATGGGTCCCCAGGCTGTGAAGGCCTCGTCCCTCCCCACGGCCATGGGAACCGGACTGAGGTTCCTTACTTGGCTGGACACAGTTTGACCCAGACTCTTCTCCAAACCAGAGGCCAGCCTTCCCACTTAGTAAAAAATTCGTTATCCTTCCCCTAGATGTTATTAATTTCTTCCTGGGGTTTTAAAGAAGTCAGTGCATTTTATGGCCAGTGGAGTGTTGATGGTTCAGTGCACATAGCACCTGCGTCTGTGAGTGGAGTGTTGATGGTTCGGTGCACATAGCACCTGCGTCTGCGGTGATCAGCACCCTCGGGGCAGAGCGTTGCATCCAAACGGGCATTTTCGGCGTGATGTTCCCAGTGGGGCTTTTCCTAGCAATGGCTTTTTAAACTCTGCTGCGAGGACGCCCAGCATCAGCGACATCCAACTCCCTGGAACGGCAGGGCTGCCACTGAACTTGTGTGGTCCAGGCCTGGAGTGTCCAGTTCTCTCTCAAGCTGGGCACTGGGTCCCCGAGAGTCTCCCAAGGACAATGGAGAAGCAGGATGCGCGGGCTCAGAAGCAATGCGGCCCCCCAGCACTGCATGCCCAGCCACCCCAACTTCTAGGCAGCTGCAGGCTCCCACCTGCGCAGAGAATAGGCTGTTCACCTGCAACGGCGGCTGGCGCCGGGGGAGGTGGGCGTTCTGGGAGAGGAGGAGCCCCTGGCTGCATGGCTGTGCCGTGGGTGGTGCCGTGGACCTGCTGGTGGCCGAGTCCCTCTGAGGGCTGCATGTTTTGAGGGGACCCTGGCTTTGGCCTGGCATGGACCCTCTTGCGCAGATCATCTCGTGATTCTCCTGGCAACCCTGTGAGACGGACGGGTTCTTTCATTGCCCACTGTTGGCACCTGGGGAGATGGAGGAGCACAGAGGGGACACACCTTGCTCAGGATCACACAGCAAGGAGGTGCCAAGGTCGAGTTGGACCTGGACTCCCCACTTTCACGGCCATGTGGGTCTCTGCAGGGCACCCTTCCTGGAGGAGGACCGGTGCAGACCCCTGTTGAGTAGGGGACAGCCGCCTGGAGAACCACCCTTGGCCGCCTTAGGTAGGTGCCAGCGCAGGTGTCTGCAGTCCTGACGCCAGGGGGCAGGATGAGACAGGGGAACGAAGTCGGTGCGGCAGGCGTGGCGGCCTCGCCGGTCTTTTCCTGGGACGCTCTCAGGATGGCTCTCGGAGGGTGCCCGGGCGGCAGGCAGGGCTCAGAATGCGGCTCCGTTGCTCACTAACGGCCTTCAGAGTCTTCTGAGCAGTCCAGGATGGGGGCAGCAGCTGCCTCTGTAGAGAATGTGAATCTTTGGCTTCTCAGGTATCCAACACCTTGGCAAGCACCAGGGAGTGAAATCACTGAATTAAGAATGTGTTTGTGAGAAGTGGCAGCTGCTTCCCGCTGGGGCTCAGGGAGGGAGTTGCGGGCTGGGCCGGGGGCTGCTGAGCTCCGTGTCCACTGCTGTCTGGTCTGGAAACAGCGTGAATCCCGGTGACCGCCGCTCCCTCCCAGGCTGTCCCGGCAGGTTCTGAGCTGGTGAGAGGGATTTCAGGGTGGTGGGTGCTGTGCTGAGGCTTTGCTCCCCTGCTGGGTTGAGTGTCTGCAGCCGCCCCCACATCCCCCGCTTTGCTAGTCTTTTCCTTCACGCAGCCTTTGCTGCCCAGGGGGACCCACCCCAGCTGTTCTCGGGAGCCCAGCCCCTCTGCAGAGTTCTTTAGGCTGCTCCTACCCAGAGGGACCTTCCCAGCAGGTGGGCCTAGCTTCAGATCTCCAAGTCTGTGGTGGCCCCCACCCACTGAGACCCAGGAGGCCCAGCGGGACTTGGGGTTCAGGCCAAGGTTTGTCTGGCTCCCTCCTTCCTCCTTCCAGGCACGTTGTCTAGAAATCACCTCATCTCTTACAGGTCACCAGTTAATTGTGTTGGAGGAAGCTCTGGGATGTACGGGTCTGAATGGCCCACAGCAGTTCAGGCCCTGGACTGAGCCTGGAACCCGCCCCCAGGGCTGGGTCCTGGCCTCGCCCATCTGTCTCCCTTGAGGGGAGGGCTGGGTTCTTCTCTTGGCCTCAGTTCCCTCCCGTTTGCCATTCCAAATACTTTTTATTCCCTCCCCCTTCCCCCAGCATCTCCTTTCTCTTCCTTTGTCTCCAGCCTTGTCTGTCGCTTTGCTTCTGGGCCTTGGCATCTGGGCATGAACCCACCGCCTCCAGCCAGTGCGAAGAGTGGGCGCCACTGGCCGGGTTCATCTTGCTGTGGTGGCGTGTTTGGGGGACCTGGGGGGGGACTGATGGGTCCCCAGGGTTTCTGAGGATGTGGGCCTTGGAGCGCTCCCAAGAGGCCAGTCTTCGTTTAACGTGGGTGGTCCCCACAAATGCTGGGGATGGGGGGTTTCCGGCCGCCCTCTGGGCATGAACTTTGGGCCTTTATCCCAAGTCTTCGGGGCAAGGAAGGGGAGTGGGAATTAAACTGGTGCCGGCCGTTAGGTCCACCCAGCAGATCTACCCGGCAGGCACAGCACCGCGGTCCGGAGAGCGCCAGTGCCTGTCACCAGGAGCAGAGTGAACCCCTCGTGGGTGCCAGCTCCTCCTGCCCCTCCTGAGCCTGACGGGGCTACGGTTTTCAGTGGCTGCGACGCCACAGGACCTGTGAGGAGAGACTGCACCCTGAAGGTCTGGCGGCGAGCGGATCCTAAACAAAGTGAGGCCTAGGAGCGCCGTCCTGAAGGCACTGCTCTCCCCAGGGCCAGCTCCTGGCTATGGGGTCAGACAGGTCGCTGGGTCCTCACAGCCAGCGCAAACACAGATCCAGGCGTGGTCGTCCCGTGTCCAGGGAGCTGCTACCTTGTGCTGCTGGGACCTGGCATCGAGTAGGTACAGCCAAGCCCACAGGAACGGAGCCGTGGCTTCCAGGGTCGTGCAACCCTGGCCTGCCCTGGGCTGGCTGAGGGGCCCACCACCCTGGGCTGGCACTTGGGCTCCCCTCAAGCAGACTGCCTGTCTGCAGCCTCATCTCCTGAGAGCGGAGCCTCAGCCAGCCTAGGTGCAGGTCACCCTCACACGTGGCCGCACCAAGGCCACCTCACAATCACAGCCATGCCACATGCTGAGCCCCCGAGATGTGCAGGCCACATGCCAGCTGGCTGCTTCTGTTGTGTTTCTGCGGGAGCTGCATGAGGCTGAAGGAGAGACCCGGGCAGAGAGAGGCTGAGCCTCTTGCTCTTGGAGGCAGACGCGGGTTTCGGTGCTGCCCCCCTCTGACACCCTGGTCGACATTTCTGTTCCTGCCTCAGGCCTCCTCCTTGAACCTGCCTCTGACCTCACCAGGAGTGGGTTTGTCTGGCGACCAGACCCTGGTGGCCTTCTGCTGAAGCCTCTGCAATCGTTCCGCACTGGGGGCTCGGTGACCGCAGGTGGACCCTGCTCTGTGGGAAGCAGCCTGGGGGCTACGGGAGGCAGTGAGAGGGTCACCCCATCTCTCTGGAGTTTGACACAGTCTCCCATCTGGCCTCAACTGTACTGACCCCTGACCTCTGACCTTCAAGCCCCCAGGCCCAGTCGAACTGGTACCTTAAAAGGACACGGCCTGTTGGTGTCTGGGTGAGGCCACTGGGTCGATGTGGATGGAGGGTGGCTGGATGTGCTTTCTGGGGGTCCTCTGGACACAGGGGGTGCTGTAATCCCCTCCCCTTCCTGGAGACCTGGCGGACACGCCTCCTCCCAGGGACGCCCAGGCAGGCCAAGCCCAGGTCCACAGGTCGCCCTCTGTCTTCCAAGCATTTGAAAGACACTGACAGATGATAATACCTTTTTTTTTTTTTTTTCCATTTAGGGAAAGGCCTGAAAGTAAAATTGTATCAACATTAGGTTTGGCTAATGTTGCCATTAGGCAAACCTAATTTTAATGAAGCCAGGAGGTTCTCGTTTTGGGCCTTGACTGGACAGGTTTGAGCTAGAAACCACTTGAAGTATTGATCATCCATCTGATCATCAAGTTTTTTTTTTTTTTTGAGTTGGAGTCTCACTCTGTTGCTCACGCTGGAGTGCAGTGGCACGATCTCAGCTCCCTGCAACCTCCACCTCCCGGGTTCTCCTGCCTCAGCCTTCCAAGTAGCTGGGATTATAAGCGTGTGCCACCATGCCTGGCTACTTTTTTATATTTTCGGTTGAGATGGGGTTTCACCGCGTGGCCAGGCTGGTCTCAAACTCCTGACCTCAAGTGATCCGCCTGCCTCGGCCTCCCAAAGTGCTGGGATTACAGGCGTGAGCCGCCACTCCCAGCTTGTTCATCCAGTTTTTATTGAGCATCTATTATGTGCCGATATTGAGGTAGACTCTGGGAGTCACAGCAGTGAATGCAGCTGCCTGGATGCCTCGTGAGGGCCGGAGCCTCACTGGGGAGATGGACATGAACAGCAAATGCACAGCGAGGTTGGTCCCCGCACCTGAGACCACACTGAGGCTGAAGGAGGGGCTGGCAGTGCTAGGGCAGGGCTGCGGCTCTCAGCATCCTGATGTGAAATTGTCTCCGGCAGGAAAGCCAGGGGTCTGTGCGGGGATGCTGCAGGACACGAGAACCAGCCAAGACCTATGGCCCCTGCAGCCACCGAGGGCTCGAGAGCGCCCCTGTGGACTTGGCTGGGCCCTTCATGGTGACATCCAGGAATGCGGCTGAGCGCGGGTGTTGACCTCGCTGTTTGCTGGAATGTTTGGGTTCTTGGACCATGTCAGTGACGGCTGTGTCACCATGGCCTTGCTATCCCCAGGAAAACCTAACATGCACCCCGCGCCTGTCCTCTGGGACTCCCATCCTCCTCCTTTGTCTGACCCCTGAGAGGCTTACCGTTTCCCCAGGGCAGCCCCGGCTGTGGCCCTCGGCCCTGCTCCAGGCGGCCATGTCAGTGTCCTCCCTCGGCGCTCCCAACACCCTACCTGGCTCTGCGATGGCCACCCTGGACTCCTAAACACCCCAGAAAGGGAAGAGATTTAAGAGGAACCTTGATTCCTGCCATTCTGCGCAGTCGTGGGTCCCTCCTCCACCTGGGGCCCTCAAGGGGATTTCTGTCCGCACTCCCAGCCAGCGACCCCTCCCAGTTCCTGCAGCTGGAGCGGCCCTCTCTCCTGAACATTCGGGCACCTGCGTCTGTCACTGCAGCCAGAGGGCTGGAGTGTCTTCGGTCAACTCGCCATCCCTGCCACGGCTGGAGGCCACATGTCCCAGAACCTACCTTGCTGGGATGGGGGTTGGGGTGGCAGAGGCTGAACGCGTGTGAGGTTTGGGGGAGGACAAGCGGAGCGGGGATGTGTGGGAGGTCCTGGTGTCCACCGTGAGGATGGTCACACCCCATAGCTTTGTTGATGCTGTGGCTGTAGCAGGCCCAGTGGCTCCGCTGAGCCTCCCTAGCACCAGTGCCCAGTGAAGTGTGGGGGGCTGGACATAGGTGGCCTCAGTTCCTGGGACTCCCCCAAAGCTCTGGTTTCCCCCCTGCTCCCAGGCTTCAGGTGGACGAGTTAGTGACCACCCCCACTCCAGACCTCCCTCCCCTAGCCACCCCCACAGTTATAAAAACCTTCATTCTCATATGGAACCCCCTTTCCTGAAATCCGTAGAGTGACTGACTGCTTTCTTGAGTGAATCTGGACTGGGCCACATGATGATCGCTGTACAGAGCAGCTGAGCTCCTCTGTCTCAGCCTCCCTGAGTTCACAGCAGGCTCTGGGCATCATCTCCGTGTCATCCTAAGGCCACGGGCGGGGTTCCCACCAAACAGGAGAGCAGCTCTCCCGAGATGAAGCCTTCTGATAGCCCTAGAACCAAGAGGAACCGTGTGGGGTTGGGTGGGGTGTTTACTGTGCACTCCTGATGTTCCCTCCCAGTGAAGGACACCCACCTGGGACACTGTGGCCCCTGGCCCTCCCTCCCTCCCCTCGGTGGCAGAGAGAACTTCCTGGTGGGTGACAGCCCATGGTCCACCCTTGCCAGGTGGATTCAGGCAAAATACGCCAGGCTGTGTGCTGAAGGCATCCCATCTCTTCCTCGTCCCCTCTCGGCTGGATCGGGGTGGGGCAGCGGGTGGTGAGTGTGTCTGTCCTGCCAGTTCAGCCTCCAACTGGTCTGCTGTGGGGCAGGAGCCCACCTGGCTCTCCTGCAGAGCTGCATGGCCTGCCTTGCCTCACCCGTGACAACAGAGACTTTGGTTCTCCATCTGCAGACGCATTTGTCTTGTTTCTTATTCGGTCCAGAACTCGGGTGGGAAGAAGGGTGATGTTATTTGGGTCCCCTCAAGACCTTGACAACAGATAGTTTTTAATATCACATTTTAAAGCCGCCAACTTTCTCTCCTCCACTTTGGTATTTCCCTGATTTTTAAACAGAATGTCGGCTCTGGAGGCAGAAAGCTTGGGCTTGGATCTGGGCCCTGCCACGCAGTAGCTATGTGGCCAGGGAATACATAGCTTCCGGATCTCCGATCCCTACAGTAAAGTACAGATAAAAATACTTTTCATTGATGTGTTTGAAATCGAATGAGATAGTTAATGAATGAGTAAGTGCTCTGCAAACTCCAGAGCGGGGTGCGCGTTCTGATCTGTTTCATAGAATCTGACACGTACCCTTTCCCACCCCAGCGTCTCTGAATTGGGATGCATCTGACAGCAAGTGTGGCATCCGGGCTGCAGTTGCCGTTGTCTGCTCACATGTGAATTAAAAAAACAATCTCAGCATATGAAATCTCTAATCGCGTATGAACTTGGTGGTTATTCCTGGTGCCGTGTGGATAACTGCAGCCTCAACACCCCAGTCCACAAACCACGTACGGACCAACTGAGGAAGGAGTAGGGGTTCTTGTTGTTGCAGAAAACCCTCCCTCAACTTGCTCTAGAAGATACCAGCATTCATACTTGGAGTGGGCATCAGCAGCTTGGAAGACACAGCAGTGGGCCCCTCTTAGCAGGAGTGCCCCATCTCATGGCTCCCGACGACGACCCAGAGGGTGATGCTGCGTAGGGGCTCACGGACATTGGCACTCTAAGTCAGAGATGCTCAGGTGAAGGGGGCTCTGATGGTGAGGACATTCAGAAATAACAGAGATTGGCTGGGTACGGTGGCTCACACCTGTAATCCCAGCACTTTGGGAGGGAAGCCGAGGCAGGTGGATCACTGGAGGTCAGCCTGGCCAACATGGTGAAACCCCGTCTCTACTAAAAATACAAAAATTAGCTGGGCGTGGCGGCATGTGTCTGTAATCCCAGTTACTCGGGAGGCTGAGGCAGGAGAATTGCTTGAACCTGGGAGGCAGAGGTTGCAGTGAGCCAAGAGTGCGCCACTGCACTCCAGCCTGGGCAACAGAGCGAGACTCTTTGTCTCAAAAAAGAAAAAAAAAAGAAACAACAGAGACTTATTTTACTTATGTTTTCCTCTTTTCTGTGTGTATAATGAGAGAAATTAGGATGCCAAAAAAAAAAGAAAAGAAAAGAAAAGAAAAACCAAGGCCTTCTAAGTCTATAAAAATTTTTTAAGTAATTTTTTTTTTTTTTAAGAGACAGGGTCTTGCTCTGTAGCCCAGGCTGGGGTGCAGCAGTGCAATCCCAGCTCACTGCAGCCTTGAGCTCCTGGGCTCAAATGATCCTCCCACGTTGGCCTCCCAAAGCATAACACATTTTAAAATAAAATTATAGATAATAAGAAAGCATTGTGTTAAAGTTTAATTGGCAGCATTTTAAATTCTTTCTTACTGAGTTCCAGTTTTAAGCTCAGCTCTGCAGGTAAACAGCGGCACAAACCTGATTGCATTGCCTGGTCCCTCTGAGCCTCGGTTCCCTTATCTGACAGCAGGGCTGTATCTATTCTAGCTCTCTGGGTTGCAGGTGATGAGGAGAAGCAACCCTAATCGGCTGAAGCCAAAGAAAGGACTTCAGATCTCGTAACTGCAAATCCTGGGGTCTAGCCTCATAACTGCAAATCCTGGGGTCTAGCCTCCCTCTCTGGTTCTTGTCACCTCCTCGTGGGCTTCAGTCCCAAGTTCCAGATCGGGGCAAGACATGGCCGAAGCCCAGGGCCCGCATCCTCCCAGATTCCAGCCACCTGGGAGTGTGTCTGTGGTCCCTGGTCTCTGACGAGGTCCTGTGCCCTGCCATTGGTTCCAGGGGACTGCCGGAGCTGATGGGTCAGGCCTGCACTGGAGCTGGGTGGAGTTGGCTCCATCCTGAGGTTACCCCTATGCCAGAGGGGCATGGGTGGTTCCCAGGGTAGGGAAAGTGTGTGCTGGGTACCCAGACATCGAAGCCTACTGTGCCTCCTTCTGTGACAAGGCATGTGTCATGTGTTGCTCCAGGATGGGCATGTACTCATAGATGGGGCTCAACAGGTTGAATTCTCCTTTCCCTCCTTTCCTCTGGCTTATGGTCATCCACTCTTTGGAGCTAGCCAGGCCAAGTTGGAGGATGCAAAGGTGAATGGGGACACTGGCATTCCAAAGGGGACCCGATATAGTTTGGCTGTGTCCCCACCCGAATCTTACCTTGAATTCCCATGTGTTGTGGGAGGGACCTGGTGGGAGGTGATTGAATCATGGGGGCAGGTCTTTCCCATGCTGTTCTCATGATAGTGAATAAGTCTCATGAGATCTGATGGTTTTATAAGGGGGAGTTTCCCCACATAAGCTCTCTCTCTTTGCCTGCTGCCATCCATGTAAGATGTGACTTGCTCCTCCTTGCCTTCCGCCATGATTGTGAGGCCTCCCCAGCCACGTGGAACTGTAAGTCCATTCAATCTCTTTCTTTAGTAAATTGCCCAGTTTCGGGTATGTCTTTATCAGCAGTGTGAAAATGGACTAATACAGGGCCGCTTTGCAAATATGATGGAGCCTCACATCCCACAGAGCCAGGCTCGGGCAGATCTCTGAGGCAGGCTTTCTTTGTGAAGAGCTGCCTTGTAAGGGAGCCACAGAAAACACCTGGATAACGTAGAAGTCTTTGCCTGGGGGTGGGGAGTCAGCACGTAACCTTCTTATTTTTGGAATAAGCTCATGTGTTTCTGCTCATGGGGGACGAAAAACAACCTGCAGAGGCGCTTCGCTGTGTTCACGCAGTAGAGTTCCCAGGAAACCCTGGAGCTAATTCCAGGTCAAATTCTCATCCAAAACACTGGCTGCAAACGGCCCTGAATGCTGGAGTGATGGCAGGTCGTGACCAGACAGAGAAGACCAAGAGCCCTCCCGGGTTAATAGCGTAGGGGATTTATTTCCAGGATCACCACCCCCGGACTTGCCAGGCAGAGGGCTGTTCCGAGCGGCGCTGGAGGACAGGGTGCCTGAGGGCATCTCATTCTCCCAGCAGGACACCCTGGTTGCTTCCTTCCCACCTCCAGACCTTTATTGGCAATTCACCCGCTACAAAGGGCTCGCCCTCCCCAGTGCTATTTGTGGCTTTGCTGCTCATGTGGGTCCCCTGCTTGGTTCAGAGGAAACCTTTGTGTGCCCGGAAGGCCACCAGTGGAGGCCAGCAAATGCTGCCATTTCACCCCAGCCCACAGTGCCAGCTGCTGTTGTGGGGACAGTCTTTTCCCTTTTCCAGATAGGGGCTGAAAGTCATCTGCGTCTGGAACCCTCCCTTTCTCAAGGACAGTGGCGGTGGAAGGGGATGCTCTGCCCTGCTCCAGGAAACGATTCTTCATGAGTGGGCACACAGGCCGTCTCCTGAGACATCCACATTCTCTCTCTGGCCACTTTGCCTGGTGATGAAGGCCCAGGTTGGCAAGGTGTCGGGGACATCAGGGAGCCTAGGGTTAGTGAGCATTGGCAACAGTGGCTACTCACATCCCAGGGATCAGGAGGCCTATGGGGAAAGACCCAGTGCAAGCCCCCTCCCATGCACGACAAGGGGCTGCCCCCAGTTCCATGGAGTGATAAAAATGCCCAGTTGTCCAGTCCCTGAGGCACTTTAACCACGCAGGACCAGCTCCATTTCCAGGACTTGCTCTAGGTATCTTCTCCCAGCCTGCAGCCCTGGGCTGTCTTGGTCTCTGGGCCCCTCACCCTATGAATGCCATGGGGCTGGGTGCACTCTGCATATCTACATGTCATGGCCACCCATGCCCCCGTCCTCAGGTATTCACTGGCTGGCACTTTCCCCTGCTCTGTTCTGCAGGTTTCAGGCTGACAATGGGCACTGAAGTTCCAAGGGCATTGGAAATAGCAACTAGCTCGCTTGCCCACCAGCCCGCCCTCCCTCCCTCCTTCCCCCTCCCTCCCTCCCTTCCTTCCTTCCCTTCCTTCTTCCCTCTCTCCCTCCATCCCTCCCTCCCTTCCTTCTTTTCTTTGTCTTTCCCTCCCTCCCTCCCCCTTCCCCTCTTTTTCTCCCCTTCCTTCCTCCCTTCCTTCCTCCCTCCCTCCCTCCCCTTCCCTCCTTCCCTCCTTCCCTCCCTTCCCTCCCTCCTCCCTCCCTCCCTTCCTTCCTTTTCTTTGTCTTTCCCTCCATCCCTCCCCCTTCCCCTCTTTTTCTCTCCTTCCTTCCTTCCCTCCTTCCTTCCTTCCTCCCTCCCTCCCTCTTCCCTCCCTCTCTTTTTCTCTCCCTCTCACTCCCTCCCTCCGTCCCTCCCTTCCTTCTTTTCTTTGTCTTTCCCTCCCTCCCTCCCTCCCCCTTCCCCTCTTTTTCTCTCCTTCCTTCCTTCCTTCCTTCCTTCCCTCCTTCCTTCCCCCCTCCCTCCCTCCCTTCCCTCCCTTCCTTCCCTCCCTCCCTTCCTTCCCTCCCTCCCTCTCTTTTTCTCTCCCTCTCCCTCTCTTTTTCTCACCCTGTCACCCTGGCTAGAGTGCAGTATCTCACTGCAGCCTCGATGTCCTGGGATCAAGTGATCCCTGGCCCTCAGCCCCTATGTAGCTGGGGATACAGGTGCATGCCACCACCACACATGGCTAATTTTTGTATTTTTTGTAGAGATGGGGTTTCATCATGTTGCCCAGGCTGGTCTCGAACTCCTGGGCTCAAGTGATCACCCGCCTCGGCCTCCCAAAATGCTGGGATTACAGGCATGAGCCACTGTGCCCAGCTCTGGCCCCTGCTTTAGGGAAAGGTACAGCCAGATTATGACAGAAAGGCCTCTTAAAGCTGCCTCGATCATTTCTCAACATGCAAGCCCTGGCCTCTGACGGGGAGGTGATGGACTGGAATGGGGACTCAGAAACCTTTCTAGGGCTGAAAAAATCCAGCTTTACCTCTTCTTTTGGGTGGTGATTACATGGGTGTATACAGTTGTCAAAACTCATTAAAATGAGCACTTCAAACGTCTGTTAAAAAATGTCTTATGACACCAGCTAGCAGTTCTTGCTGTTGTTTTTTTCATGTGTGGGACTGGGATTGTTATGAGAATTGAATGAGATATCCATCTCAGGCCCTTAGTAGAGGGCCTGCGCCATGGCTGTGGGTCAGCAGAGGCTGGCTGGTGGCACCGTTACTACTTTTAATTCTTCCTAGTGTTTAGCCCCATCCTTCAGACACATGCAGGAGCCGTTCTGCCATCAGTGGAATTGGAGACTCTTCTGGTTCAATATCCAGACTCAGGGTCCCCTTTTCACCCTCGTGCTGCTTGCGCTGGAGTAATGTGGTCACTTGTGTGTTTCTCGTGTGGACAGATTGTTCCCTGCTCACTGCCCACCCACGCCAGGTGGTAAGTTTCACGAGGGCACCTGTTTTTTTCATCATCGAATTCTTGGCATACAGCACAGTGCTGGGCACTTGGAGCTCTTTGAGAATATTTGTGAAAGGATAGAAGGATGATGGTGAAGACGATGATAATTTTTAATAATAATTACAACAGCTTAAAAATTTTTAAATGTTTTTATTATTTGTCTTCCCTTTTCCCTCCTTGAGAAAACCAGTTCCCTAGTTAACTTTTGAAATCTTTTCATTGTAAGTAAAACACACACACAGAAAACTACACTAACAAATATTTGGCTTAATGGATTATGATAAGGCAGACATCCCTGAAACCACCACCCACATCGAGAGAGGGAACTTGGTTTCCTGCCCATGCTTTTCTTTTCCTCAAGCTTTATCTGATGACGAGCCCCACATCTGGCTGTAGAGATGCCATCCTTGAGGCTTTGCTGAGGCCTCTGCGGGGTGCTACCATGTTCCTCTGTCCTCCGCACTTCCTGGCAAGGGGCAGCTGGAACCGGAGGCTGCATCGGACTCTGCCTTCATTACCAGTAGAGGGTCTTGATTACGAGTCATCTAGGTTCTTGGCATTTTGAACAAAGGATTAGACAAGATGCACAAACA
Organism: Homo sapiens; assembly: GCF_000001405.40. Taxonomy (NCBI): domain Eukaryota; kingdom Metazoa; phylum Chordata; class Mammalia; order Primates; family Hominidae; genus Homo; species Homo sapiens. Next base: position 3,922,136 of record NC_000001.11, read on the forward strand.
AACAATGAAAGAATGAAGCAACGAAAACACAGATTTACCGAAATGAAAGTGCACTTCACAGAGTGGGAGCGGCCTCCAGGAAGCCACTCAAGAGTGCTGGTTACAGAATTTTCTGGGGTTTAAATAGCCTTGAGGGGTTTCCCATTGGTTACCTGGTTTACACCCTGTGTAAATGAAGTAGCGACCTGCAACCAGTCTGATTGGTTGCACAAGGCGACCAACTACAGGCTGAACTGAAGTTACGAAATTACACCTTATGCAAACACCTGGTTGGTTGTGGGAGGGGACCAATCAGAGGCTGAAGTGAAGTTACAAAGTTATACCCATATGCAAATGAAGACTAGACCCGTGACCAGTCTGATTGGTTGCAGGAGGGGACCAATCAGAGCTACTTTCCATTTCTCATCTACGATATAGAAAAGGGGGTGGTGGCAAAGGGAGGAGCTTTTGTTCTCTTGTTACTTGGGTGTGGAAAATTGGGGTTTTCCTTTTGATTCAGTTCTAGAAAGTCAGTGCAAATCAGCCTTAGGTTCCCTGCCTCTAGACCCTATTCTCCTGCCTCACTTTGGTCCTTTTGACAAGATTGTAGATGGTGCTGGTTTCTGTCATCAGGAGGCATGTAATAATGTCTGGTTTCATTCTTTTTTGATGGTAGCAGCTGTAGTGGGTGTAACTGTGTCCACTAAAAAGAGATGTCAAGTCCAAACCCCTGGCACCTGTGAACAGGCTCTTATTTGGAAATCGGGTCTTTGCAGATACAATCAAGATGAGATCATACTTGCTTAGGCTGGGCCCTAAGCCAGTCACTGGTGTCCTTATAAAAGAGGCAAATTTGGACACATAGAAGATGCAGCAATGCACTCACAGGGAGAATGCCACGTGAAGGCAGAGGTCAGGGCAGAGGTCAAGGCGGAGGTCAGGGTGGTGCCTCCGTGAGCCCAGGAATGCCAAGGATGGGTGACTGATGACACTGGAGGCTGGGAGACAGATTCTCCCTTAGAGCCTCTGGAAGGAGCCAGCCCTGCCAACGCCTGGGTTTGACTTCTGGCCTCCAGGACTTCGAGAGAATACCTTTCTGTGGTTCTGAGTCACTCCATCTGTGGGACTTGGTCACAGAAACCAACAGGGCTGCCATGATCCATTCACCCACTGGGCATTGCAAAACAGCGGTGTCCTAGTTCTCAATTCATCTCCGTCCATTACCAGATTCACCGTATCTGGAGATGCCTCCTCCCATCCTTTATCCTTCCCACGGTAGCTGTACTTGAGTTTTATCCAGAACTTGACCTTTTAAGCCATAATTCCCGGCCTTCTGCACCCTTTAATCTCCTCGAGTCTTTGCAGGGACACAGTGGAGTCGTCACTGCTGTTCTGAGAGGCAGTGCAGCCAGACGCCGCCACTCAAGTCCCGTTTCTGCCACTGGCTCCTTGGGGACCTGGGATGAACCGTGGCCCGGCTCCCTAATCAACTAAATGCTGGCTCTGCCTCCATAAGGCCCTTCCAGGGGAAAGGAGCAGAGGCTGTGAAGCGCCTGGAACTGTATCTGGCACACACCAGGGCTCACACATGGCCAGTCCCTGTCGTGAGGAAAGTGAGGCACGAAGGGGTTAAGCAGCTTACCCCAGGCCCTGGCCCTCGGCACCAGCACCCTCCAGGACACCTCGTCCTGAACCTTCTCTGGATCACAGCCCTGGGGCCCATCAGGATCTGTGTCCTGCCAGGTGGGCCTTCTGCTCCCCCACTCCTCACGCTTCCCAGTGACACGCCAGGGTCTGGGCCCAATTCCTCGACATCACACAATGTGAGTCAGTGGGTGGACCTCACGGGAGGAACGAGAGACAGACACAGGCCTGGGGTCAAGCCATGGACAGAGGGGTGTGCCGGGCGGGCCTGTGTCCCAGAGGGGAGATGGCACCACCCCTGTCATTCCAACTTTCCACGGGGACATGGGAGAAATCAGCTTGGTCATTTTTTTGGCACTAGGCGGTGTCTGGAAATGACAGTTGCCCGCACTTGAGGCCCCGGGCCTGTGAAGTTTTTGGCCCCCTAGCCTGGGAGGAGTCTGTTTGCTGGGAGAAGGGGAGCCGCTGTCTCAGCTGGCATGGGGTCCAGGGTCATTTGGGGACAGTCCTTCTCATTGCACTCCATGCTTCCCTGGTGATAGACGGATGGATTATGTAAGGAACTTGCAGAGTCTGAGGGATTAAGAAAAAGTTTGAAGTCATTACAGACACTCTGACAGCGCTGGCTGAGCCATGGATGGGCTTCCTGATGGGGCCCCTTTGAAGCTGGCCCTCCTGAGGGCTTTTTGCTGGAGAGGCGGACCTGCGGGCCGAGGTGGGGAGCCCACCCAGGTGGATTCATGTGAGGACCTAACCCCGTGGCCTCCTTCCTCCTTCCCAGGGTCCCTGCCTCCCTGCCCAGCGATGGTCTTAACTCAGGTGCACCCACCCCCACCAGGCAGGTGCCCCTGCAAATCCTCCCAATGCTTTGCTAAGCAGCGCCCCCGTGCCTGGCCTTGCCTGCCAGTGTGGGCGGGAGAATGACAGGTAACTCCTCCAGCTGTCAGCACCCAGGAGAAGAACAAGGGATGGGGAGGATTCAGTTCTGAGCCGGCGGGAGGAATGTGGTCTGCTCTTTCAGGGGGGTTTCAGCCACTTGGCAGCCTCTGTCTGGTTTGTTCTTAATGAAAACTGTCTTCCCAGTGAGCTGCCTGCCTCCAAAGTCCACAGCTTCAAGCCAGGTTCACAGCTGCACTCCCTGGCCCTGACCCTGGTCCTGGCCCTGGCCGCACCCCTCCCCTGACTGAGGGTGCTCTGTTCTCCCAGATACCCCAGCCAGGGCCAGAGGAGTCCCTTGGCAGTCCCTCCCTTCCCGGCCCATCAGCAACTCAGCTGCTGCATAAATCATGTCTGTGTGCTTCCTAAAGGGCCTCTCAATCTGCTCCATCCCTCCCTCCAGCCCCGCCACCCTGGGTGGCCCTCAGCACCTGCTCACTCATCTCCTGACTCATAGTGGTTTGTGCAACATCTCCCTCCAACCAGATGACAAATGCCTTTCTTAGCTGGGACCATCTGGAGTCCTTTCCTAAGTCCCAACGGCTTGTAACCAGGTGCCACGTACCTCAAAGGTGCTTAATGCTCACCAAACCTAGCTCCATCACTGTCTCTTTTGGGAAACCTGTCCCAGCCCTCTGGGGAGGTGGGATCTGGCCTGCCACCCTACCTGGGCCTGCTTTGGGAGGGAGTGCCCGACGCACAGGTGACCCCGGTGCCTTGCTCCTGCTTTGGGAGGGAGTGCCCGACGCACAGGTGACCCCGGTGCCTTGCTCCTGCTTTGGGAGGGAGTGCCTGCCGCACAGGTGACCTCGGTACGTTGCTGAAGGCTTTTCCTGCCTCCAGGCTTTGGTCTTTTCTGGAGGGCAGGGGTTGATTTTCATTCCTGGTGTCCTTGCCAGGGCCCAGCCAGGGCCATGTCTCTGCCGGCGCACGGAATGCTGGATGCAGGAATTGGAATTTCCGGGGGAGCTTGGCTCTCTTCTCTGAGGTGGGTGCTGTGATTGGGAGGTGGAGGCATCTCTGCCTTCTTTCTGTCCCCCCAAGGCTGTTATGTCACATGAGTCCCATATATGGCTTTGCCAGCCCAAAGCCTCCCTTCACTCAGCAGCAGGTCCACACCCTGCAGCCTTAAGTTTTCCTACCTGGGATGTGGGAGCTGCTTTTGGTCTAGCTCGTCTTTCCTCTGACACAGGGTCATGCAACTGTGGAGTGGCTCTCCTGTGGCCTGAGTGTCCTCTGTGCAGGCACCGTGGCCAGTGCCTTCCGTGTCTAACGTATCAGTGCATGCCATCCTCATGCAGCCCTGACTGGAGGGCTGTTGGCAGCTCCAGGGCACCCTTCACAGAGAACGCTGTGTTGTCCTAATTTTGGAGGTGAATTCGGGCACCGAGAGGACAAGCCACCTGCCCACAGAGCTAAGAAGTGGTGGGGGAGAGTTTGAAGCCAGGCTTTGTAGGGATCCCGTGTGGCCAGTGTTGACCAATGGTTGGGGGAAAGCTGGAAAAGAAGTCACTGCATTCATTTCCCCTCATTCCTGCCAAAAGAAATCACCGGCAGCTCAGTGGCTGCAAGCCATACACATCTTTCCTCCCGTGGTCTGCATGTCAGAAGTCTAAAATGGGTCCTCAGGGGCCTGTTCCTTCTGGAGACTGAGGGACAATCAATTTCCTTCCCTTTTGCAGCTTCTCCAGGCTGCCTGCATGCCCACGGCTCCTTCCTCCATCTGCAAAGCCAGCATGCAGCGTCTTCTCTCACACTCTGCCCCCTGCCTCATTCTCAGAAGGACGCTTCGGGACCACATTGGGCCCACCCAGACAATCCAGGAAAATCTTCCTGCATTAGTCGAAGTTCTCCAAAGAAATAGAACCAACAGAATATATACGTTTATATCTCTATACACCTCTATTATCTATCTATCATCTGTCTATCTACCCATCCATCCATCCACCCATCTATCTGTAATTATCTATGTAATCTATCTTATCTATGTATCTATCTATCTGCCTATCTGTCCATCCATCCAACCATCCTTCCATCCATCCATCCATCTATTCATCCATCCATTCATCCATCCATCTATCAATCATTATCTATGTAATCTATCTTTATCTATCTAGCTGTCTAATATATCATCTATCATGTATCTAATCAATCTACTTAATATATCAATTGATCAATTAGTCAATCTAGTCTATCTTATCTATGTATATATGTAATGTATCTAATCTATCATCTAGTCAGTCAGTCAATCTATCATCTTTTATCTAATCATCTATCTATCTTATCTATCTACTATCTAGTCTATCATCTAATCAATCAGTCTACCTATCTATCATCTATCTGTCTGTCATCTATCTAATCAGTCAGTCTATCTATCTATCTATCTATCTACCTGGATCTATCTATCTATCTATCTATCTATCTATCTATCTATCTACTATCTAATCAATCAATCAGTATTATCTATCTATCTATATCTATCTGGATCTATCTGTCATCTATCTATCTAATCAGTCAATCAGTCTATCTATCTATCTGGATCCATCTATCATCTATCTGTCTATCATCTAATCAATCAGTCTATCATCTATCTAATCAGTCAGTCAGTCTTGTCTGTCTATCTATCTATCTATCTATCTATCATCTATCTGGATCTATCTATCATCTATCTATCTGGATCTATCTATCTATCTAATCAGTCAGTCTGTCTATCTATCTGGATCCATCTATCATCTATCATCTATCTAATCAATCAGTCTATCATCTAATCAGTCAGTCTTGTCTGTCTGTCTGTCTGTCTATCTATCTATCTATCTATCTATCTATCTATCTATCTAGACATATAAGAGGAGATTTGCTGTGGGAACTGGCCCACATGATGATGGAGGCTGAGAAGTCCCATGAGCTGCTGTTTGCAAGCTGGAGACCCAGGGAAGCCCGGGTAGTGAGTCCAAGACTCGAAGCCTGAGATCTGTGGGGGCCACTGGCATAAGTCCCCAAGTCTGAAGGCCTGAGACCAGGAGCTGTGATGTCCTGGGCCAGCGGAAGATGGATGTTTCAGTTCAAGGAGAGAATGGATTCCCCCTTCCTCTGCCTTTGCGTTCTACTCAGGGCCTCAGGAGATTGGATGCTGCCCACATGGGTGAGGGCAGGTCTTCTGCACTCGGTGCACTGATTCAAAAGCTAATCTCTTCCAGAAACACCTTCCTACACACACCCAGAAATGAGGCCTTATCAGCTATCTGGGCATCCTTGGCCCAGTTAAGTTGACACACAGAATTAACATCTTTGGGGTCATGATTCAGCTGGCCACAGCCCTGTGAGCTCTGCTTAATAGACATCCAGCATTCTTCCGTGTTCAGAGAGAATAGGGGACCAGGGAGGAGGCACCAGACTCTGAACCTCTGTGGCAAATGCCAGGCTTGCCTGGGCTAAAGGGCCCAACCTTCCCCACAGCTTCAGGCAAAGTCCTTGCAAACCTGGTGCATTATTCAGCATTGTTTGTGGAGGGAGATTAAAATTGCATCTGGCTGTGGAAGCTCCTGCCCCCAACACCTGCCAGTGACAGAAGAGGCTGCTTCACAGAAGGCTCATTAAATATGAAAACATGATGTTGATTTCTAGCAAACTTAAATTACTTAAGCGGGTGTAAGTGGATAAATATTTCATGCTTCAGTTTATTAAGTTCCCACCAACAGTACGTCTGGCTGTACAGCCAGGGACCTCTCTGAATGCCTGTCTGTGGTCTTGGCCAGCAGACCTGAGGGGGAACCCACTCCTGGCTCCCCCAATGGGTCTGCTGCGCTTTCGGGGTCATGTTTGGGCCCAGCTGCGAGTCACTGGGGTACTAAAGGCTGCCCTCTGGTGCAGTTCCTGGCACAGTGGGTAATACCAAGAACCAGAGAAAAATACAGTGAGCAGAGAATAACGAGGGAGCAATTGCCTGCTGGTTTTGTTTTTCTTGGTGAGGGAAATTAGAACCACGACAATTTGGGAACTTAGCTTCTGCCCTGCTCCTCCTCAGCAGATGTGCGGAAGCTGTAGTGCATGTGGCTGCCAGGCCGTGTGATGGCAGGGGGCGAGCCCACCTGGGCTTCACTTGTGATGTGCCTGGATCTGCTGGCCTCAGAGGTGCCTGGACAGGGACGCCCATCGCCGGCCCTCCCCAGCCCCTGCTCTGCTAGACCTCCAGATGCACCCAGGAAGAGCCGTCTGTGTCCTAAAAACTGTACGCAGGACTGGTACAGCAGGGAGCAAGAAATGGACACACGAGCATGAGTTGTGTCCCCCAAATCTATGTGTGGAAGGTCCTAACCCCCAGGACCCATGGGCGTGACCTCATTTGGAAACAGCCTTTCAGAGGCAAGCAAGTTAAACGAAGCCATTGGAGTGGGCCCCAAGCCGGTGGGGTGGGGTCCTTATGTGAGGAGGAGATTTGGAGATACACACAGAACACGAACACACAACACACAACATACACATAACACACACACAACACACACCACACACAATACACACAACACATACACCACACACGCAACACACAACATACAAATACACACAATACACAGCTCACAACACAACACACAACTCACCACATACACATCACACACCACACACACCACACACAATACACAAACACAACACATACATCACACACATGCAACACACACAACACACTACACACAATACACAAAAGAAACACACACCACACACCCCACACACACTACATACACACACCACACACCACACACACAACACACACAACAAACGCAACACGTACACACACCACACATGCAACACACAACACACAACACACGAGTACACAAATATACAACTCACACCACACACAACACACCACACCACACACACCACACACATACACACACCAGAAACACCACACATACACACCACACACAATACACACACGATACCACACACACTACACACATTCACCACACACACCACACACACCCACACCACACACACCACACACATACACATAACACACATCACATGAACACATCACACACACCACACACACCACACACACACACCATACACACACACACAACACACGCAACACACATGCAACACACACAACACACACATACACAGAATACACAACTCACAACATACAACTCACCACACACCACACACACCACACACATACACACACCACACGAACACATCACACACAATACACACAACAAACACAACACATACACCACACATGCAACACACAACACACAACTACACACAATACACAACTCACAACATACACATAACACACATCACATGAACACATCACACACACCACACACACCACACACACACACCATACACACACACACAACACACGCAACACACATGCAACACACACAACACACACATACACAGAATACACAACTCACAACATACAACTCACCACACACCACACACACCACACACATACACACACCACACGAACACATCACACACAATACACACAACAAACACAACACATACACCACACATGCAACACACAACACACAACTACACACAATACACAACTCACAACATACACCACACAACTCACCACACACACACCACACAACACACACACCACACACAACACACACAACAAACATAACACATACACCACACATATGCAACACACACAATACACTACACACAATGCACACAATAAACAATTCACAACACACATCACACACACAACACACATCACACACAACAAACACAGCACATACACACCACACACATCACACAACACACAACAAACACAATACACACAAAACACACCACACACACCACACACCACATACAGCACACACACAACACACCACGTACACCACACACACAACACACCACACACACAACACACGAACACACCACACACAATACACACGACAAACACAACACATACACCACATATGCAACACACAACACACACATACAATACAAAACTCACAATACAATACACACACACAATACACACACAACAAACACACCACACCACACACACCACACAACAAACACCACACACACACCACACACAAACACACCACACACACGCACACACACACCTCACACACAGGGAGGGTGCCGGGTGAAGATGGAGGTAGACACCGTGGCGAAGCCTCTGTGAGCCAGGTAGTGCTGCCGTTGCCAGCAGCCCCGGGAGCTGGAGAGGGGCCCGGGACAGCCTCTCCCTCCTGCCTCAGGAGGTAGCAGCCCTGCACATGCCTGGACCTTGGGCTTCTGGCCTCAGGCCTGGGAGAGGACAGACTCCTGTTGCTTGAGCCCCCCAGTGTGTGGTGCATTGTTGCAGCAACCCCGGCAGATGGAAACAGCTGATTTTGTTCCTTCTGGGAGGAACGGAGGGGCGGAGGGGATGTGGTGGTTGAGTGTGTAGAGGGCTGGCTGGGATTTGAGCAGCACCTTTGGGTTTGAGAAGCTGAGGCAGGTCCATTGTTCTTCACAGCCACTGGGCTGTTGGGTTCTGGGTACCAAACAGTGTCCAAGGTGCTTCAGGGACTCGGACAGCCTGAGTGGCACTGCCATTCCCCACTTGACTGGCACAGAGAGAGGCGGAGATTCACCCAAGGTCACAAAGCCGGCAAAACACAGCTGGGATTTGAACCCAGCCTGCCCAACTCTGGGAGCCCTGCTCTTGTAGGGCACAGTGGAGAATGTCCCCGAGGGCATTTTCTGTTCCAGGAGGCAGAGGTGACTTGTTAGCCACATGGTCCCGATGGCCGCCAGGCTCTGCAGCCTCAGCTCACCTGGAGAGTGGTTCAGTGTCCTGTGGCTCTGTGGGCTACACTGGATGCAGGGACCACTCCCTCCTGCCCCAAGGGTGAGGCCACATGGGGACCTCTACCCATGCAGGCTGCAATTCCTTCCCCGCAAGAAAGAGGACTAGCAATCACCTTGGTCTCAGAGTCCAGCCCATTTCCAGCCGGGGCCGTTCCATTCTCCTGAGGTCCCTCTAGCAGCTTCCATCTGTCCATGGAGCTGTCACTGGGTGACTCCCTACGCTCAGCTTCTGCAGAAGCTCCTCCCAGGAATAAGTGGCCTCTCTCTGCTCCTTCGGCTCCATCTGAAAGCTAGAAACACATTGCTCCTAAAAGAAGCGTTTAGATCAGTCAGTTGTTGGGAGACAATTCTCCATGAATATTTCACAGTTCCACATGGTCAGTCCGGGCCGTCTGAGCAAAGGGCATTGTCAAACTAATAGAGTAGCAAGACATTCACTTACATTCCCGATGAATCAACCTAAAAGCCTTCCCCTCCCGTGCTCAGAGAGGATTTGTTTGCTTCCAGAGTCGAGATAAGGTCTCTGTATCAGGAGGGGACAGTGGGCAGATAAGCCGGCCACCCTATATAAGCCCCAAGTCTCATAATTTTGGGGCTCCTCTTTGGGGTGAACCCTCTGCACGTGTGGGGAGCAGCCTGGTCTGGCCACATCACTCTGCGGGCATCGGGGCTGGGGAACTGCTGTTAAGATGCTGCTTTTGCTATGGGTAATAAATGTCTTGTTTCTCTAGCCCAAGGATCTCGTGCCTTTCTGCCCAACGTGCGTGTAAAACTGGCAAGTTAACAGATTAGCTTGCAAACAGGGTAGCCACTGAAAGAGAAAGACGGGGGTCCTCTGGGCTGGTGAGAACTTGAGAGAGCTCCATGGAAATTAGTAGCAGATGTATTGGCCAAACCGTATAGTCAGCAGCGGGGTATGGGGGTACGTGGCCCCCGACTTTGTTGTCTGTTAATTAGCAAGGGTTTGGGAAGTAGATGAACGCTGGATGTTGGGATGTGGGGTTACAACTAGAAGCCTAAATGGCGTATTTGGGGTTTGTTTTCTTCTCCAGTTGGGGGAGAAAAGGTCTTGGAGTCCCCACAGCTGATACTGGGCTTGGGATGAGGCTGAAAAGATTAGAAGCTCGTTTGTTGGTTGCCTTCTCCTCCAGGTGGGAGGAGAAAGGATTAAGTGTTTCCTAAAGCTGTGTCGGGCCAAAAGCTGGGCCACAGACGTCCATGGTTGAGCCGCAGGCATCTGCCATGCCGCTCAAACCTGAAAGTAAGTCAGTCTCGCACAATGGCACGGAGATGTTTCCTCTGCGTCTCCCTGATTCACTGATGCCCCTCCAGCCTGACCTCAGCTATTGTGAGGGTTAGGGAGGAGATCAAGGTCTCTGTTCCCAAGCGGGAACCAAAGGCCCTACACGCTCATCCAAATATCCTGGGGAACTTCAGGGAGGAGAGGGATGCAGATGTTTATAGTTCTGTTGGATGTGGGCACACAAGTCCCCCTCCTGCATGGTCCCGTGGAGGAACGGGATACTGCCTGCAGGGGTGGCTAAAGGTGCCACGGAAAGTCAGCTGAAGCTCTGGTGGCATGTGAGGGGCAGGAAGAGCTCTGAGCCAGGACACTCCCTGGATTCTGCGAGGAGCACCGGCAAGGAGGCAGACCCTGGGACGAGGCGCCAAAGAGGAAAGTATCTCTTGACTGTTCCGTTCCCCTCTCCATCTCCTCTGCCCAGCCTGGAGGTAACGTGGTCTCCTGGAAGCTACAAGTATAACTCTTTTTTTTGTTTTTGTTTTTTATTTTGTTTTGAGACAGAGTCCTGCTCTGTCGCCCAGGCTGAAGTGCAGTGGCGCGATCTCGGCTCACTACAACTTCCGCCTCCCAGGATCAAGTGATTCTCTCACCTCAGCCTCCTGAGCAGCTGGGATTACAGGCACATACCACCATGCCTGACTAATTTTTTTGTATTTTTAGTAGAGATGGGGTTTCGCCATGTTGGCCAGGCTGGTCTCAAACCCCTGACCTCAAGCCATTCTCCCACCTCAGCTTCCTAAAATGCTGGGATTACAGGCGTGAGCCACCATGCCCGGCCAACTATAGCTCTTGAAGTGCTGAATTTAGTTAATAGGGTTTGAGAGAGAATTGCAGTAAAGAAAAAAAAAAAGAGGCCAGGCATAGTGGCTCACACCTGTAATATCCCAGTGCTTTGGGAGGCCAAGGTGGGAGGATTGCTTGAGGCTTGGAGTTGGAGACCAGCCTGGGCAACACAGCCAGAGGAAAATCCTGTCTCTCTCTATTAAAAAAAAAAAAGGAGATAAAAAGGTCTAAGGGACGTTGCACATGCTGCCTTTTGGGCCCATTTACTGTTTCTGCTGCTTCTGCTACATCAGGAACTGCCGTGGGAGCTGTGTTGTGTTGCGTTATGTGGTTGTCATTTTCCATCTCATAAGTGCCAGAGGGGATTATCTGGATCAGCGGAGAGCTGCATTTCTTTCTTTCTTTTTCTTTCTTTTTTTTTTTTTTTTTGAGATGGAGTCTTGCTCTGTCACCCAGGCTGGAGTGCAGTGGCACGATCTCAGCTCACTGCAGCCTCCACCTCCCAGGTTCAAGTGATTTTCTGCCTCAGCCTCCCAAGTAGCTGCATGCGCCACCACACCCGGCTATTTCTTTTGTATTTTTAGTAGAGATGGGGTTTCACCATGTTGGCCAGGCTGGTCTTGATCTCCTGACCTCAGGTGATCCGCCTGCCTCGGCCTCCCAAAGTGCTGGGATTACCAGCGTGAACCACCGCACCCAGCTGGAGAGCTGCATTTCTTTGTGTTTGTCCTGTTTGCAGGGCTCTCAGTTTCTTCAATCTGTAGATTTGTCTTCCACCAAATTTAGGAAGCTTCACCAAATACCATTACTTCCTCAAATTTTGCTTCAGCACTGCGTTCTTACTCCTCCCGTCCTGCAACCCCAGAGGACACAAATGTTTGGCCTTTTTCCGTTTATCATCCCAGGGGCTCCTGAATCTCTGTTTTTTCATGATTATACTCTCTGTTAAGAATTGACAATTCCTATTGATCTAGCTTCAAGTTCACTGACTCTTTCATTTATATTTTCTGATCTCCTTTTAGCTCATCCAGTAAGTTTTTAAAACAAATTTTCAGTTGCTGTATTTTTCAGTTCTAAAATTTCCCTTTGGGTCTTCCTCATATCCTCTGTGCTGCCAAGGCTTTCTATTTTTCCTTTTGTGTTAGGGGAGTGTGCCATTGTTGCTGCAGCATTTTTGTAACAGTGGCTTTAAAGTATTTGTCAGACAATCCTGACACTCACGTTACCCTTTCATTGGCAATGGTGGTCTTTGTTCGTGTGAATTGAGATTTTCCTGGTTCTTTGTATGCCGTGTAATTTTGGATTGTATCCTGGACATTTTAAATATTCTGTTATGAGATTCTGAGCTTTCATTAAATCCTTTGGAAAAGGTTGAGATTTTTGTTTAAGCAAGCAGCAAACTTAGTTGAGTTCCAGCTGCATGTTTCTGCCCACCTTCTGTGGGTTGTGCTTCCACGGGCAGCTCAGTTTTCAGTGCCTTCAGAGCACTTTTTTTTTTTGAGACGGGGTCTCACTCTGTTGCCCAGGCTGGAGTGCAGTGGCACGATCTCAGCTCACTGCAAGCTCCACCTCCCAGGTTCACTCCATTCTCCTGCCTCAGCCTCCGGAGTAGCTGAGACTACAGGCGCCCGCCACCACGCCTGGCTAATTTTTTGTATTTTTAGTAAAGACTGGGTTTCACCGTGTTAACCAGGATGATCTCGATCTCCTGACCTCATGATCCGCCTGCCTCGGCCTCCCAAAGTGCTGGGATTACAGGCATGAGCCACCGCGCCCGGCCCTTTGGAGCAGTTTTTAGGTCCATCCCACATGTGCGCCACTGAGTAGTGGGCCTTTGGGCCGAAAGGTGGTTCAGTTCTTGAAGTCTTTGCTGTGCGGTTTAGGGTCAGATTCATGCCACATGCAGCTTTCAGGGTGGCGATAGGACCAGGAATTTATAGGTAATGTTAGGTGGTTGCTTTCCGAAGCTTCTCCAGCTCTGCAATCGTCCTGATACACTTTGGCCCACTTTGGTCCTTTGGCCAAAAACCTAGGGCTCTAGTGACCCTGCTCTGACATGCACCTCTGTGAGTGTGTCCTTGTCTAGTGTCAAACGGTGGAGAAAAGAAAGAGGGAAAAGAGCAATGAGGTTTGCTGTGCTCTCTTGGGATCGCAGATCCACTAATCAGGGAGAAAGCTCTCCTCCCTTACTGTTTCAGCTCTTGTGGGTTCCTGTTGGGGTCTCTGCCGACACTGTCACAGGGTTTATTGGGGGCTGGAGTGTGAGAATAGAACAAATGTGGAATTTCCATATTTTCCCTGAGCATTGGGAGGCCTCTTTCATGTTTCTTGAACCAGAATTAGAGGGCTTGCCCTGGAGATTTCTCTGTGCCAGCACCGACCTTTGTTTTTCAAACTGCATTGTGTTCAGGCCAGGCGATCCTGGAGAAGAAAATGGTAAATCACCACCAGTTTGGTGGTACTTTGACATCTGGTTTTCTTTCTCAACCTGCCTGCTGCAATTTACTTTTCAGAGTCCTCCAATAACTGGTCTATGCGTATGTTCAGGTGTCACAGTTGTGTCCAGAGGGAGAGACCGGGTGGAATGCGCTTACTTCATCACTTCTGAAGTTGGAATCCTTCCCTTTATTTTTTTAAAGATAACTTCACTGGGCCAGGTGCAGTGGCTCACACCTGTAATCCCAGCACTTTGGGAGGCCAAGGTGGGTGGATCACTTGAGTCCAGGAGTTTGAGACCAGCCTGGCCAACATGGTGAAACCCCATCTCTACCAAAAATACAACAAATTGGCCAGGCATGGTGGTGCACTCTTGTAATCCCAGCTACTCCAGAGGCTGAAGTGGAAGAATCATTTGAATCTGGGAGGTGGAGGTTGCAGTGAGCCGAGATTGTGCCACTGCACTCCAGCCTGGGTGACAGAGTGAGACCCTTTCTCAAAAAAAAAAAAAAAAATTTCACTGTATGGAATTGTAGGTTGACTTTATTTATTTATTTATTTATTTATTTATTTATTTATTTATTTATTGAGACAGTCTCACTTCTTACTCTGTCACCCAGTCTGGAGTGCAGTGGCACAATCTGGGCTCACTGCATAGGTTGGCAATTTTTTGTTCCTTCAGTACTTTAAAGATGTTGATCCACTGTCTTCTTGCTTGAATCATTTCCCCTAAGAAATCGGCTGTCATTTTAATCTTTGTTTCTCTGTATGCAACATATCTTTTTCCTCAGGCTGCTTTCAGGATATTCTCCTTCTCACTGGGGTTAAGCAGTTTGATTGGGATGTGCCTATATGTTTCTTGTGTTTGAGGTTCATTGAGCTTCTTGAATTGGTGGGTTTCTGGTTTCTTTCAAATTTGAAACATTTTCAGCCATTATTTCTTCAAATAGTATTTCTGCTCTGCTCTCCTCCTTTGGAGATTCCAATTACATGTATATTAGGCTGCTTGACATTATTCCCAAACTAATTCTCTGTTAGTTTTTTAAAATTATTTTTTTCTCTTTGTGTTTTGTTTTGGATACTTTGTATTGCTATGTCCTTATGTTCACTGATCTTTTCTTCTGCAATGTCTAACCTGCTATTAATTCTATCCAATGCAGTTTTCTTTTTTTTCTTTTTATTTATTTATTTATTTATTTATTTATTTTTTTGAGACAGAGTCTTGCTCTGTTGCCCAGGCTAGAGTGCAGTGGTGCAATCTCAGCTCACTGCAACCTCCACCTCCCAGGTTCAAGTGATTCTCCTGCTTCAGCCTCCCAAGTAGCTGGGATTAAAGGCATGTGCCACCATGCCTGGCTAATTTTGTATTTTTAGTAGAGATGGGGTTTCTCCATGTTGGTCAGGCTGGTCTTGAACACCCGATCTCAGGTGATCCACCCGCCTTGGCCTCCCAAAGTGCTGGGATTACAGGTGTGAGCCACCCTGCCTGGCCAAAGTTGTAATAACGTTTTAAACGTTCTTGTCTGCCAATTCTAGCATCTATGTCCATTCTGAGTCAGTTTTGATTGATCTTTCTTCTTCCCATGGGTCATGTTTTCATGCTCCTTTGCATGCGTAGACTGTTTTGATTGGATGTGAGACATTGACATTTTATTTATCTATTTATTTTTTGAGATGGAGTCTTGCTCTGTGGCCCAGGCTGGAGTGCAGTGGTGCAATCTCAGCTCACTGCAGCCTCTGTCTCCCAGGTTCAAGTGATTCTCTGCCTCAGCCTCCTGAATAGCTCGAATTACAGGTGTGTGCCACCAGGCCCGGCTAACTTTGGTATTTTTAGTAGAGACGGGGTTTCACCACATTGGCCAGGTCTGGTCTTGAACTCCTGGCCTCAAGTGATCCGCCTGCCTCGGCCTCCCAAAATGCTGGGATTACAGGCATGAGCCACCATGTCCGGCCGACATTGACATTTTATATTGTTGGTTGCTAGATTTTTGCTGTTGTTGTGATCATTTCTAAAGTATTCTTGAGCTTTGTTCGGGGATGCAGTTAAGTTCCTTGGGAACATTTTGATCTATTCAGAGCTTGTTTTTAAAAATTTCAAATCAGTGTTTGGTCTAGGGATAATTATTTCCATGACGGAGGCAAGACCCTTCTGAGTAGTTTACCCGATGCCATGTGAATTCTAAGATTTTCCCGTCTGGCTGGTAGGAGCAGTAACAACCCACCCTGTGTGAACACGGGGAGCTGCTTCCTCCAGTCTTTTTGGGTGCTTCTTTGCCCAGCCTTGAGTCGTTTCCCTGCCTACATGCACTAATTGTTGCTTTGCTGAGTGCCTGGAGGGGACCCTCTGCATGTCTCCAGAGCTCTCTGTGCAGCTCTCTCCTGTTGTGTCCTGTGAACCTTCCTGCCTTGGCTTCCCTGGACTCGGCTCTGTCTCCTCCACTCGGGGAGTCCATTGGTCTCAACCTGGGTTCCCCATCCCTGCACCGCAGCCTGGAAGCTCACCCGATGGGAGAAGCTTGGGGAATGTTAGGGCTCACCTTGCTAGTTTTCCTCCTCTCAGGAATGTCTGTCCTTTGCTGCCTGGTGTCTCATGGCCTGAAAACCATTGCTTCATACTTTTTTTTGTTGTTGTTTTGGTTGGTTGGGAGGGTACATCCAATCTCTGTTACTACACTTGGCCAGAAGCATTAGTCTCTGCCTAATCATTTAATCAGGGTGAAAATGTCAGGAAAATAACACTAACATTTACTGAGCACTCCCAACATGCCAGATGCAGTGCTAAGAACTTCATTTTTTTTATCTGTAGAATCCTCGCATTGATTTGCATAAGCTGGTGATATTATGACACCATTTTCCACATGAGGTCCCTGAGTTTTGCAGAGGCCATGGAGCTAGTTAGTGGTATAATCGCCACTCAAGCCCTGGTCAGTGGGGCTCTTGGCCACACCGCTGTCCTGCCCTATTGGTGGGCAGGTGTCATGCTGCAATAGGAAGCTCCAGGAGGCTTTTTTCAGGGGCCATTCCAGGACACCGAGGGCTGTCTTTGAATGGAATTTGACAGTACTTTCTGTGGGTCTTCAAAAACAGATGTGACCCTTCTCAAGAAGCTTAAACTTCTGGTGATAACCTTAATTTAGTCATTAACTTTTTACTTCCTTATCCCATTGTGTGGTCTTCCATTGACTTGAATTTCTCCCAGGGTTGGACATATGAAGGGGTCATAGAGGTCTGGCCACAGTGGAGACCCTCTAACTTTACATGTGGGGGCATTTCTCTGGAGTTAGTAGCAGAAGGTCCAACATGAACTAGCTTAACCACAGAGATCTATTATCTCATGTGAGCACAGGTTCTGAGGCAAGGTGGGCTGCAGGCACCATGTGATCAGGGCTGCATCTCCCTTCCTTTGACTCTGCCTCCCCTTGTCCTGAGGCCCCCTCCCTCACGGCTTTAGGATGGCCGCCTGCCTGCTGCAATGAGAGGAGCTTGCTCATTCACAGCTGGTGGGAGAAGGACAGGTGGAGTGAAAGTCCTTCTCACCTCTCTGATTGGCCAGCCTAGGGCATGTGCCTGCTCCTGGACCTATTAGAGTCACCAGAGGGAGTCTGTGTGCTGATTGGCTGAAATAATCCCTGGCAAGGAGGATGACATACTGTGATTGGCTAATTGGGATCCGTCCAGAGTGAGAGATGTGCTCAGCCTCCCAAGTCCATGGGCAGCGCAGAGAAGGGGCCAATCTTTTTGGTTTTGGGTGCCAAACCCAGAACTGGTTCCTATAGGGAAGGAGGGAGTGGAGAAGGCAAACAGAATGGCTGGCGAAGCTGTCAACCAGGCAGAGGTGGACGGTGCAGCGGGTGGAGAGCCAGGCCTTGTCCTGGGTCCTCCAGCACGTCACTGTGGGCAACGGGCAGCTCCCAGACCAGGCTCCCTTCCTGCTCCTGCAGACTGGGAGGACTGCAGGACTAGCTGCACAAGACAACTGGCATTTCTGGGGTGCATGCTTGGTGCTGCCTCAGCACGATGTGAAGGCTGCGTGTGCACCGTCCCATCCCGGAGCCTCCCGACTTCTCTTGGGGAGGGGATCATGATCACTTCAGTTTAGAGATAAGGAAACAGGCGTAGAGAAGTTAAGAAACTTGCTCCAAGTCAAACAGCTGGTGAGCAACAGAGCCGGTGCTGACGCCTGTGTCCCTGGGACAGGCCATGTCCCTGGCAGCCCTAAACCAGGACACCCACCTGGCTGGGACAGGAAGGGCAGCGCCAGGTTCTGGGGTCTCCTCCATCCCCTCCCTCAGGACCTGCCTAGAGCAGCTGACTGAGAAATCCTCAGGAGGATGTGACGATGACTGATGCCTTCAAGCTCCCACTGGGCACACACAGGCAATTCCTCCATGAAAAGAGATGAATTCACAAAGGAGAAAGTGTATAAAATATTAAGAAGACATTAAGCTGAGGACACGTGAACCCCTGGGCAGCGAATGCAGGAGGCGGGGGCTGTGCCTCTGGACGCTGCAGCTGGGCTGGAGCCCTCTCCCTGCCACCATGGAAACAGCAATATCAGAAAGCACAGTCCTGGTTAGCGGCGTGCTCGTGCCATGTGCCTGTCAGTTCTGCAAGCATTTGTTGGATGTGAAGGTTGGTGTGATGACCACGCTGCCCACAACAGGTCAGTACATTCCCAGGACAGTCCTGAAAGGTGGGTTCTCTTTTTTCCATTATCCAAATAAGGTCAAGGACTCAGAGAAGCCACATAACCTAGCTAGGAGGAGGGTTCAAGCTGGGTCTCCCTGTCCCCAAGCCACACTCTGGACCCCCCCTCCTGACGCTGAATAACTGAGGTCTCCTTCTGGCCCCCTCCCCACCTCACTCTGCTCGGGACACGTGGCTGCATAGGGCTTCTATGCCCCAGAAACCAGGTGGCTCCTTTCCTCCTAGTCCCTCTCCTAATTGTTGTGTTGCAGGCAAAAGGGTGCGGACAGCTGAGGCTCCTCACTTCCCGCTCCAAAGCTCAGAACCTCCCTTCCCTCCTGGATCCAACAGAAGCAGCGGCCGCTGCTGCCTGTGCCTCTCAAACTTGTCACCCACGGATGCTGGGAAAAATGCACATAAAAGTAAGATTATGATATTTTTTGTAAATAAGTGATGCAGCAACTCAGATCTGATTTGGGCCGTCAGCCCAATCCAGCAGAGAGAGAGATGGCTGCAGAAGCATTTGCGTGTGTTCTCAGGGAACGTTTATTGTGGAAAGCTGGGCTCCGATAAAATTTTCATATAAATTATTCATTGTGGAATTCAGATGAAATGCCAAACACCCTCCCACTAAGGGACTGCCTTTTTTATTTTTATTTTTATTTTTTATTACTTCTGAAGAGAGAGTCTTAGCATCTAACGCCATCAGATGCTACTTAGTGGGGAGAAATGGATTGGTCTGCTGAGAGAGTACTGACCTTATGTGCGGGTCTCTGAGGATACCTGGCTTTTCTTAAAGGAGCCA
This sequence comes from Homo sapiens, assembly GCF_000001405.40. Classification (NCBI taxonomy): domain Eukaryota; kingdom Metazoa; phylum Chordata; class Mammalia; order Primates; family Hominidae; genus Homo; species Homo sapiens. The sequence goes on from NC_000001.11 coordinate 3,941,527, forward strand.
GTGGACCACATGCCAACATCCTGCCCGGGACCTCTGATTTTCTGAGGGCCACTGGGAGGTGAGAGTCCCTGTCTCTCTTGCTGCCTGTACTTGAGAGGAAAGTGGGTGGCGCCTACAGCACAGCCCTCTGAAGCTCACAGGGCACCCTTTGGGCCCAATCCAGTGGGTCTGCTCTGGGAGAGAGTTGGGGCAGGTGCTATCTCTCTCTCTCTTTTTTTTTTTTTTTGAGACAGGGTGTCACTATCACCCAGCCTGGAGTACAGTGGCACTATCAGCTCACTGCAGCCTCCATCTCTGGGGCTCAAGTGATCCTCTCACCTCAGCCTCCCGAGCAGCTAGGACTACAGGCATGAGCCACCACGCCTGGCTAATTTATGTATTTTTTTTGTAGAGATAGGGTTTCACCATGTTGCCCAGGTTGGTCTCAAACTCCTGGGTTCAAGTGATCTGCCTGCCTCAACCTCCTGAAGTGCTGGGATTACGGGCGTGAGCCAACACGCCTGGCCTGTCTCTCTCTCTCTCTTTTTGAGATAGAGTCTTGCTCTATCACCCAGGCTGGAGTGCAGTGGCTCGATCTCAGCTCACTGCAACCTCCTGGGTTCAAACAATTCTCCTGCCTCAGCCTCCCAGGTAGCTGGGACTATAGAGTCATATGCCGCCATGCCCTGCTATTTTTTTTTTTTTTGTATTTTTAGTAGAGACAGGGTTTCAAGATGTTGGCCAGGCTAGTCTTGAACTCTTGACCTCAAATGATCCGCTGGCCTCAGCCTTCCAAAGTGCTGGGATTATGGGTGTGAGCCACTGTGCCTGGCCTTTTTTTTTTTTTTTTTTTTTTTTTTTTTTAATTAGAAGATGAAGGCTCAGAGATTGTTATGGGCTGAATTGTGTACCCCCTTACCAAATCCACATGCTGAAGTCCTTACCCCCAGAACCTGTGAGTGCGACCTTATTTGGGGATAGGGTCTTGACAGAATTAAGTTGACATGAAGTCATTCAGATGGGCCCTAATCTCATAGGACTGGTGTCCTTCTAAGAAGGGGAGGTTTGGAGACAGGCATGCGCAAGCACACACAGAGGCCATGTGACAGTGAAAAAAGCCATCTGGGAGTCAAGGGGAGAGGCCTCAGAAAGAACTAGCCCTGTCCACACCTTCATCTTGGACTTCTGGCCTCCGGGACGAGGAGAGAATAAGTTTCTGTTGTTGAAGCTGCCCAGTTTGTGGCTTCAGGAAACCAACAGAGATGGGGGCACTTTTCAAGATCTGCCTTAGTGGAGCGGGACTCACCGCCTTGGCCGTGCGATCCTGCCTGCTGGTGTTTTTCGGTTGGAGGAGGTGGGAGCTCACTTTGCCAAGTCACCCTGAGGCCCCCCGTGACGCCAGGACGCAATGAGAGCGAAGCTTAAACAGGAACTCTGCTACCGTCTTTATTTCTTCCCTTTGAAGAACCCTGGAAAGCTCTCTGTAAATATTTGCGAAGTTAATTTCACAACCCACAGATGAATACATGGATGAATGAGTGAGTGAGTGCCAAACACAGCGCTGTCCCGACACCTGCCCTGTGTGCTCAATGACCAGATGTGACTTCCTCTAGGGCCCTGAGCCAGCCATAGCTTCAAGTCACTCCTGTGCCCTGAGGGCAGGGGTGCCAAGGGGTGAGGTCCAGTGGGCTGCTACGCCCTCAGCGCGGGGGCCTCTCGGACTCAGCCTTCGGGAAGAGTTGAGGTCTGCCCTCCGAGGCAGTCACTGGTGGGAGAGGAGGGTGAGGAACACGCCGCCCAGAGCTGTAGCTGCCGGGCAGCCTGGGCTTCGCTTTTCCCTTCCAAGGCTTTCCCTGCATGGCGAAGTGGCTGGCTCTGTTCACATTCAGGCATGGCCCAGAACAGCTTCACATGCACCTCAGATGATCTTTTAGGGGTTTTTAAATTTTCATTTTTTAGCAGTAGTTATCATTTTCTTTTCCCATAGGGAGAAACAGGTGGTGCCTAAACAAACAAACAAAAAAACCCCAAAAAACCTCTGACATTTACTGGATTTCTGCTGAAAATATTGAACAGTTCACAAAGGGGCTTTTGATCCTGAGAACCTTTCAGATCTTTGGTGCTTTTGTGCTCACCGATTCCAGGCCAGGACACCAATGCTCCCACAGCCTTGAAGCCCAGCGGGAATGGGCCGGTCCAGGCTCAGCAGCCCCATGGCTCTCCCTCTCCTTTCTTCATTTTCCACCAGCTCAATGTCCCTTGCCTCGCCCCACTGCATCCATACACATGTGTTTTGGTTTTGATTGTTTGCTGACACTTTTTGTTAGCGGCTCATTGAAGATTTCCAGTCTGCAGTAAGGACTCAGCCATAGAACCTTCTGGAGTCCTTGCAGCCTGGCTGAACCACGAGCTGTCCCGTGTGCTGCCCATCCTACGTTCTGTCTGCAGGGAACGTTCTTTCCCTCCACACCCGCACGTCCCCGAGACCAGCCCGGTCCAGGCTTTGGGGTCTGCCTGGCTGTCTCCTTGTCCTCCGCTGCCCCGCCACTCCTGTCCCCAGCCTGGACCCAGACCACTGTGTCTTGGCCTTTGTCAGGCTCCGTCTATCCCCGCACCTCAGGGCCTGGTCCCTGAACCAGTGCCTGACTCTGAGGGTCCACTCTGGCCTCAGTGAGTGACAGGCTCTCAGATCGCCACGTAAATGAATCAACTTCTGGAAGAAATAATGACAACATGGGTGTTTAAAAACATTTGTTCATTCAGCGTCTACCCTATCTTTGGAATGATGCCTTTTTTTCCCTCTGAAAAGAGCAGCATTTGGGGAGAGAGCGGGCCCTCGCCGGCGGCATTGGCGGAACCCAGGATGGGAGCCTGCCATGCCAGACGCCAGACACCCCAGGGTTCCCGCACACCTGTTCCCGATTGCATGAAGCGGAGGGGCCTCCTCCTCCCTCTTTGTTTGTGTTTTCCCCCTCCCTCTGTCCCTCCCACATGCCCCCACCCTGAGTCGGGATCTGTGCCGCGGTATAGACTGCAGTGAGTTTTGACCTCCTCCTCGCCATCCTCCTTGTCTTTTATTTAAAAGGCAGCAGAAATGGGACTCTGGTCTCTCTCCCCGCCCCTCCCGCCAACAGCTGCACAGTGTGGAGTTCACTGTTCTGTGGCTCTGGGCCTTTGTGTCTGGGCGCCCGTAGTCCTGAGCCCTGCACGGTGGGGAGAGGTGAGGGCAGAGACAAGAGTGAGGTGATGGGACAGCCGCCTTGTCCTCAGCGTCCCTCCAGGAGCCCCTCAAGGTTGGAATGGCAGGCACCAGGTCCTTCCTGGAGCCTCTCGTCTCTGCTAGGCAGTGATGTGTTGTAACATGTTCCTGGAGCACTTCCTCACCGTCTGTCTCCCTAGCTGGATTATCACTCCACTCCGAGAGAGGGGTTCCAATTTGCAATTGTAAATTGTCTTTTTTCCCCCTTTTCACTCCACATGCAGGGACTCTGACAGCTTGAAGGGACTGTCGTGGTGTGCAGTGAGCATGGCTTGTTTTCCACACGGCACAAAACACATTCCCTCTGGAGTCCCTGGGGGGATGGGGACAGTCCCCAGGGGTGCTGGGTGGGCGGTGGAGGCCAGGTGAGTAGGAGGCTGCGAGGGAGGGAGGCAGACGCTAGACACACAGTCTTTCTCCAAGTTGACCTCGGGCTGATTCCTGGACTCGACCCTGGACTCCTCCAGAGAATCGAGAGCCCATCCTGATGAGCTCATGTGTGCAATGAGGTAAGAGCGGATGGCACCGGTGGCACCTGACCTCTCGCCTCTGTTCCTTTCCCGTGAAAGCCTTTACACCACAGGGCAAGGGCCAGAGGGCTTCCTTGCTACACAGCCGGGCCCTGTCACTTCCCCCACATGGCACCCTTCACTCTCCTCACCCTGCTGGGCCCTGCATAAGGCATGCTGCCCACCACCTGCTGCCCTCTCTGTCCCGGGGGACACCGACCTCCTCATCGTGCCTCGAACACACCAGGGCGCCTTTCATAGGCATCTGCCCCGCAGACAGCTTCACTGCTGAATTCTACCAAACATCTGAAGAGGAGTTAATATCAGATCTTCACAAACACCTCCAAAAGACGGGAGGAGAAAATGCTTCTCAGCGCCTTTTGAATCCAGTGATCCCTAGGTGCCAAAGCCGGACAAAGATACCACAGGACATGGAGCTGGCAGGCACAGCCTCTCCCAGGTCTCACCCTCCCAGGAGGCTCCCTCCCGCCGCTGACCAGGGCCTCAGCTTGAATGCCTGCCTGGGAGGTTTCCTGATTGTTCTAGCACCGGCTGCTCAGTGCCCCATCCCTCCCCCAGCCTTGCTCCCCTCCCTATGGGGTCCTGCTGGGCACATGTGCCTGGCCCACCTGTCCGACGCCACCCCCCTCTCTCTGTCCCTGGGCCGATGATCCCATCTGGTTGACGCTTTCTCTCGTGTTTGCATCGGCTGTACCCAGAGCGGCATCTGGTTGCCAGAGGGCACCTCTGCTTGCATGGCGTGTAGCAGAGATAATGGCTCCCAAGATCCTTGGCCATGGACCCTTGGCCATGGACTTGTCCCCTCATAGTCAGGGTGGGGTGGGCCTTGCCTCTGTTCCTGGAGCTGTCCCTCCCATGGCCTTCGATGGCACCCCTGCTTGGGTCTTCACCTCCCGCACCCTTGCATGGATACTTACCTCCTGCACCCCTGTGTGGATCCTCACCTCCTGCACCCCTGCGTGGGTCCTCACCTCCTGCGCCCCTGCGTGGGTCCTCACCTCCCGCACCCCTGTGTGAGTCCTCACCTCCTGCACCCCTGCAGAGTCGGCTGCATCAACAAGGTGCATGGATCTGGCATGTTGCTGGCTACAAAGCCCCTTTGGTGCCTCTTCTGCACCTTGTTGCAGGGTTGATCTGCACCGAGGTCAGCAAAATGCTTTTGGCTCCTCCTGTACAGAGAAGGAAATCGAGGCTGGCACATCCCAAGATGGAGATGGCGTTCACGACAGCCAGGGGCCAGGGGATGATGAGCTGGTTTGTCCCAAGAGAGGGTGAAGCTTGTGACATGTATGAAGCATGGGTGGGCAAGGTGGCACGCGGGCACCCAGTTCCAGTCCAGTTAATCCTCAGGGTTGAGCTCAGGACCAGCAGAGCCAGGGCCAGACCTGGTGCATGGACCTGCAGGCCTATAGGGCATCTAGTGAGGGGGTCCCCTTCAGGCGATACAGGGACCGTTCTCCAGGGGCCACTAGGAAATCTCAAACCCACAGTTGGGCCCAGGGCAGCAGCAATGTCGAGTTCAAGAATAATGTCCAGTGGGAGGCTGAGCTTTGTCTAAGGCCTGCAGAGGATCCCTGGGGATGCTGTGGGGTTTTCATAGGACCTGGAAGGAGTGTGGGATCTGGGAACTTGAAGCCCAAGGTACAGCCATTCAGCACCATAGGTGTGGCCCAATTTCTAGGGTAAAGATGACAGTTTGGCCTGGGAAACATAACCCTGCTTGCTCAATTTTGAGGTCCAGGGTGTTTTTTCACCAGCTCCGCTTCCCAGAAGGGCCCCGTTCCTTTTTGGGGTTTCCTAAAGGCATCAGGGCCTGTTTCTTAGACTTGAGATCCAAGGCAAAGGGGCCTTTGCTCACTTTAAAAAATTTCTTTTTTATTGGTGCATAATAGGTGTACAGACTTTCTGCATACATGTAATAATTTAATACATTAATATAATTTGTAAAGATCCAATCAGCGTAATTAAGGCATCCATCACCTTCAATACTGGTCTTTTCTTGATGCTGGAGACATTCAGATTATTCTTTTCTGGCTGTTTTGAAATGTACAATAGATTATTGTGAACTATAGTCACCCTGCTGCTCTAACACTAGGACTTATTTCTTCTATCCAACCGTATATTTGTACCCATCAATCACCCTGTCTTCATCCCCCCACTCCCTTCCCCTTCCCGGTCTCTGGTACCCACAATCTACTGTCTACCCCCGTGAGATCCACCTTTTAGCTCCCCTGTGTGAGTGAGAACATGCCGTATTTGCTCTGCTTTGCTCATTTCACTTAACATGGTGGCCTCCAGCTCCTCCATGTTGCTGACTTTCAGGACCTCATTCTATGGTAGCTCCATCCACTCCCCCCAAAAAAATCCTCTGCCGTCCTTATGTGCCCTGAGAAGACTGTTTCCCAAATAATGCTACGGTCCCCCTTCTTCCCCCTGCCCCAGGGCCTGAGTCCACTCCCGCACACCAGCTCCCACCTGCTCCCAGCCTCCCCCTCCCATCTGCGCCGGCTGGGTTTTGGCTTTAATTTCAGCAAACACAGGCAATTCTTCTTCCCACTGGGGATGAGAACTTGCAGAAATACCACAGCGAAGGCAGCCTCCTCGGCTCCTACCAGCCAAGGAAAAGCAAAAATCCATAGGCGCTGCGCAGGGTGTGATTTACCTCCCGAGAAGTGCACATTCCCTCCACCCGGCATCGTCATCATCGTGTTGATCTCCTTCTGGAGCGTCCACAGCGCTCCCGACAATGCGAGTCTTCCCCAAATGGCATCTCTTTCATAAAGCGAGACACAGGTCCTGCAGTCCAGGGAGGAGGCAGAGGGGAGTGCTCGGCTCCACACCTGGGCCGTGGGACCGGTGTGAGTTCAGGTAAAGCCACACGGATGGAGAAACCACTTCATACACTCAGTGAAAGCAGTGTTCCTGATGAGTTTGAGTCAGCGCCGGGAAATTAGGGTCAGAGTCAACTGCAGCAAATCAACAGCCTCTCTGCCCCTCAGTCTTCTCCTCCGCAGAGTGGGCTGGAAGGTCAGTGCTTGCTGGAACTGTCATCTCTGTGCTCAATGGTGATTGCAGTGACTGGCGTGAACAGCCTTCAAACGGGTCCTTGGCAGGGGTGGGAAAGTGGAGGGGGGCACGCCGTCACACAGGCTCCTTATTAGGGATTTCTTTCCCTTTCTGACCTTAGAAGGATGCCAGAGATCTGGAGCTTTGGCGGTGGATGGACCTGGGTGTGAGTCATGGCTCAGCCATTTGCCAGCTGTGCAAACTCAGACAAGCTGCTTAAGCCGCGTCACACTTTCTGTAAAGGGAAGGTAGATGGGGGATCAGATATCGTACAGGGTGCATGGCCCTTAGGAGTGTCTGGTCCATAGTGAGGGCCCCGTGCATGGAAGACATAGCAACCAGGATGTGTGCTTTCTCTGAGCAGTGGCTTTGCTCTGTGGTGTCCACAGCTTGTACACTAATTTTGAGGACCTGGAGCTGGTTTTGAGGACCCTCCCTAGCAAGTACTTAGGAGTCTGCCACACACAGGTTGAGCATGGATTCATCTCTGGCTTCAACTCACAGCTTTCCCGCTGCTTTCCTTAGGCCGGTGGTTGACGTGGTCTCCATGAGCTGTGTGCATCCTCCAGTGACAGGACAAGATTTGTGCCCCCACAGGAAGGTCCCCAGCCTCCCCCCACCTGCCCTCTGAAAATCTTCCTTGATTTCCTTTCATCCGTCCCTCAGGGGTCCTGTCTTTGTGATGTCAGCGTGAAGTGGAATTCGCAGAATGGCTAAAGTGGAGGGAAGACTTAAAATGCATTGGATGATGATAGCAGCGTCATTTACAATCACCACGACTTGGAAGCAGCCGAGATGTCCTTTGGCAGATGATTGGAGAAATGAACTGTGGCACGTCCATGCAGACCATGAAATACTATTCAGTGCTAAAAATGAGTGAGCTTTCCATCCATGAAAAGACATAGAGAAACCTGAAATGCAGATCACAAAGTGAAAGGCCAATCTGGAAAGGCTACACACCCTATGACTCCAACCTGTGACATTCCCAAAGAGGGATTTTTCCAAAGAGGAAAAATTATGGGGACAGTAAAAAGAGGAGCTGCCATCATTAGGGAAGCAGGAGTTGAGGAGAGTCAGAGTGACACCACTGAAAAATCTTCTCTGTCTTGAGACTAACAAGGTACCTTCCTTGCCAGTCACAACCCATGGTCCTAAGATGGTCACAGCTAAGGAGGCAGCTTGGTACTGCCTGCAAGGACAAACTCCTAAAACAACAGAAAGCCCAGATGTCCCAATACCCATAGCAATATGTGCTTTCAAGATAATTATAGATGTGCTTTGATGTACTCATGTACTAGACTGTTAAGGATAGTTTTCTTTAAATCAGTAGCATAATCAATTTTGTCATGCTGTCTGCTCCCCCTCACAGAGTCGCAGCTTGGTTTAGTCATTACGTAGACAAGACCCCTATATAAGAAAAACTTAAAACAAAGACGGTGCATTCTCTCGGAAGGTCCCGTGCTCTGTAATGGAGTAGGTTTTAATAAACGTGCTTCCTTCGCTGCACCTTGTGACTCGCCTTGAATTCCTTCATGCGTGAGATCCAGAAACCCTCTCTTGGGGTCTGGATCAAGACCCCTTTTCTGGTAACACCATGGGTTGGGGAGAGGGAGGGGTGAATAGGTGAAGCACAGGACTTTTTTTGGGGCAGTGAAACTCCTCTGTATCATACTGTCACAGTGGGTCCATGTCATTAAACATTTGTCTAAACTCATAGACTGTACAACACCAACGGTGAGCCCTAATGTGGACTATGGACTTGGGGTGATTGATATGGTTTGACCGTGTCCCCACCCAAATCTCATCTTGAATTTCCATGTGTTCGGGGAGGGACCCAGTGGAAGGTAATTGAATCATGGGGCAGGTCTTTCCTATGCTGTTCTCCTGACAGTGAATAAGTCTCATGAGATATGATGGTTTCATAAACAGGAGTTTCCCTGCACATGCTCTCTTCTCTTGTCTGCCACCATGATTATGAAGCCTCCCCAGCCACGTGGAACCATAAGTCCAAAAAGCCTCTTCTGTAAATTGCCCAGTCTCAGATATGTCTTTATCAGCAGCGTGAAAATGGACTAATACAGTGATAATGACATGTTAATGCAGGTTCATCAGTTGTAATAAATGTACTATTTGGTGGGGGATATTAATAGTTGGGGAGGCTGTGTGTGTGGGGGTGGGACAGAGAGTACATGTGAACTCTCTGTACCTTCTGTTGGATTTTGCTGTGAGCCTAAAACCGCTCTAAAACCATATAAAGTCCATCTACAAAAGTATCTGAGAGGCTAAATCTATCTCTATAAGAAATATGAGGAAAGAAGTAGCAGGGGAGATGCAAAAGGGGAATGGGGTGGGGGTATTAGAGAGGATTTCTGGAATTTGCCCTGTGAGAGGCTCTGAGACAGATATAGGAGGAAGAGAATTAGGGAAGGGAGAAAAGAAGTATGGCTGTGGGCTATAAATTAGATCCACGCTGAGGCAGGAGGATTGCTTCAGGCCAGGAGTTTGAGACTAGCCTGGGCAACATAGCAAGACCTTATCTCTATCAAAAAAAAAAAATAATAAAAAACAGGGCATGGTGGCACATGCCTGTAGTCCCAGCTACAAGAGGCTGAGCAGGGAGGATTGCTTGCACCCAGGAGGTCAAGGCTGCAGTGAGCCGAGATCCTGCCACTGCACTCCAGCCTGGGCCACAGAGTGAGACTGTCTCAAAAAAAAAAAAGTTAGATCCATGATCATTTTCCTGAAGAGATTCGAGGACAGCTTAGTGCTACCTTTGATGCTGTATTCTACTTTTTTTTTTTTTTTTTTTTTTGAGATGGAGTCTCGCTCCGTCGCTCAGGCTGGAGTGCAGTGGCATGATTGCAAGCTCCGCCTCTCGGGTTCACGCCATTCTCCTGCCTCGGCCTCCTGAGTAGCTGGGACTACAGGCGCCTGCCACCACGCCTGGCTAATTTTTTGTATTTTTAGTAGAGACAGGGTTTCACCATGTTAGCCAGGATGGCCTCGATCTCCTGACCTCATGATCCGCCTGCCTCGGCCTCCCAAGGTGCTGGAATTACAGGTGAGAGCCACTTCGCCTGGCCTATTCTTCTTTGAATTTAATTTCTCATTGAGACTGGACCACATGGGATCCTAGCTTACATCTGGGTTACATTTGTAGATTAAGTTTAACCCATTTATGCCTAGTGTTCCATTATTGGAACGCTAAGCTTGTGGGAATAATTTATATCTGGCTGCTCAAGGTCACCCACAAGGTCTGATTTTTCACAAAAAATATTTGCTTCTGGACAAGACAGAATTAGGATGAAAATGAAGAGATTACGTGAACTGGAGAACCCCTTCTAACTTGAAAATACCTGTAGTGACCACAGTCTGACTTCTCCCTCCTCACATGAACCTTTTGGGGCATTCGATGAAGGAGCAGTCACTCCCTTCCTTCCCCAGTGGGGAACAGCAACAGATTCTGGCAGGTGAGTCTGCTGCAGAAGAGACAAGTTCTTATTTCAGCTGCGTGGAGCTGTGTCTGGGGCAGGTCGTTGACTTTGTCTCCTTAGGGTAAACAGCAGAACATGGATGGTGTTTGATGCCCGCATGAGTGAATGTACTCTTATTTTTACACAGTTATTTTTGACCATAAATTGCTGGATCTGCTGTAGAGCTCTCTGCAGTCATGACACACAGCTATTGATCCACCAAAGATCTATGCTCTCCATCCAAGCTGTAGGGATGTAATTGGGAACTGGCATTTCAGGTGGGGATCACATTTCCAGCCTCTATTATGTCTAGTAGGGCCATGTGACTGAGTTATGGATAAGAAATGTGGGCGGAAGTGTTGTGTGCCCCTTCCAGGCCTCACTTCTAAGGTGTTTCCTTCTCTCCCTTCCCCAACTAGTGACTGGATGGAGATGACCCAGGAAGGGGCCCTGTTGCCCAGGAAATGGGCTTGTCCTGAACCACAGCTTGAAGGAGAGCCACCGACTGATCAGGAATACCCAACTGGACTTTATTCCAGCAACATACAAAGCATTACTGTGCTGGGCCATGGTATATTATTGGGTTTCTTTTATTAGAACACTTGGCATTACCTTCACTAATATACACTCATCATAGTAGACATTTTCACTAGTTATAGATGATATGCACTATTTTCCCTTCTGAAACAGAAATTTGCAGCAGCACTGCCAAAGGACAATAGATTTTTAAAAATCATAGAATGACTGGAGTTCATGTCTCTGCAAAGAACATCTAAGCCCTAAGCCATCCAGAGTGGATGAGGCATCTCTGCATGAGTTAAATTACACACTCCAGCTGCTGTAACCAAGAAGGAGTTTCACAGTGGTCAAAACGTCGTAGAAGTTTAGTTCTCATGCATGTAACAGTCCAAACGCAGCTCCACAGTGGCAAGGAGCCAGCGTCCTTTCTCTTGCTGTCCTGCTGTGCTCAAGAGGTGGCTTCTGTCTTTGAGTCCAACGTGGCTGCTCTGGCCCCAGCCATCATTTCTATACTCCAGCAGGTGGCAAGTGGGAAGAAGAAAGGGAGAGCTTATGCCTTTCATTTTAGGGACACATGGCCTAGTGCTGCTCACATCACCCTGCTCACCTTGTGTTGGGACCAGAGTCTAGTCACATGGCAGCAAATAGCTGTGAGGAATATTGGGAAAGGTTGTCTTTGGCTACTTGGCCTCATGACCATCGGAAACTGCTGTACTACAAAAGGTGGGTTCTGATCATCTTAGTTGGGAATGCTGTGACAAATGACCATAGCCTGGGGGCTTAAACAACAAACATTTATTTCACACAGTCCTGGAGGCTGGAGATCCAAGATCAAAATGCTGGCTGGCTTGGTGTCTGGTGAGGGCTTGCAGACAGCCACTTGTTGTATCCTCAAATGGTAGAGAGAGAGAGAGAAAGACAGAGAGAGACAGAGAGAGGCAGAGAGAGAGAGAGGGAGCAAGCTCTCTTGAGCCTCTTATCAGGGCACTAATCCCATCTTGAGGGGTCCCTCCTCATGGCCTAATCAATCATCTCCCAAACGCCTCAACTCCCAACACCATCATGTTGTGGGTGAGGGTTTCAGCACATGAATTTGGAGGGGACACAGACATTCAGTGTGCAGAGGCTGCCACTGTGCCTCTCTGTCCCCATCCCTTTCCTGACACCTTAGAGTGTGTGTCCCCACAGGAAAGCAATGTCCTTCAACATCTCTTCCCAGGAGCCCCTGAGCACCCGCTTCCCTCTCACTTTATTACTGCTCCTATCCATACAGGTTTGGGCAGGAGAACAGGAGCCACACTCAGTATTTAGAGGAAAGAGAGACAGAGAGCACAAGTGAGAGAGATTGACTTAATCCAGGAAATCAGAGGCTCACACAGACATTGGAAGGGAGCGGTGAAGGTCAGTTTTAGGAAACCCAGAAGTGCAGAGATGACGAGGAAGCCCCGAAATGCCCCTGGAAGCCCGCAGTGCCCAGTGAGCCATTCCCAGGGAACGCCTGGGAACCACCAGAGGCTGACAAGCCTGGAACCACTGGGGGAGGGGACCTGGGAAACTGGGGAGAACATGGAGGTGACGGGATGACGCTGAGTTGGAACGGACAACCCAATGCAGGCTTCCTCTCCTCGCTTCTCAGCCCAGCAGGGTGGCTGGCTCATTTGTGGGATTTATCACCAACTAAGGGTTTTCAGGGGGTTGAAAATGGCTCATTATCCCTCCTAGATAATGTTGCCTCTTAGTAGAGGATTTGATGCTTTGACCCAGACATGATTCCTCCTGTGGGCATGAAAATATATATTTTTTCTTTTCAACTTTTAGTCTAAGTTCCAGGGTCCATGTGCAGGATGTGCAGGTTTGTTACATAGGCAGATGTGTGCCATGGTGGTTTGCTTTGAAGCAGAGACTGGTGGGTGCGGAGCAAGGCCAGTTCCGCCCTGCTCCAGCCTCTCCTGGCTCTGCCCCCTGCCCTCCACTCAGCACTTGGTTTCTGCAGTCACCTCCCCTCTCCGGTCTCTCCGGGTATGGCCCCTCTCTGGGTCACTCCCATCAGCATTCATCCTCGTCTCCAGGCATGGGAGGTCTCCGTGACCCCATGCCCCTGAGCACCGCTGCCCTATTTCTCTGGTCCCTTTCTCTGGACCCTATTTCTCTGGTCCCTTTTGCGGCCAGAGTCCTCAGAAGAGCTGGCTGCCCACCGCCTCTCCTCCCGCCCCTCTGCTGAGGCTGTATCGTGACCACCCCACCCCCCTGCCACATCACATCAGGGGGCCTGCCCTCTGTCCTCCTCTTCTGTTTCCTCTTCGTTGCTTTTCTCACGCTTGGCCCTTCATCCCTTCTCTCCTGGGCTCCCCGGACCTCCTGCGCATGGGTTTCTTTCTGCCCCTGTCTCTTTCCCTGCATTCTTGTCCTCTTCTCGGCATTCTGTTTTCAGTCTGTCCCTCTGCCATGTGACTGTCCAGTACACGTGAGTACATGGGATATGTTCCCCAAACCATGGAGGCTGGGCTTAGCCATGTGACCTGCTTTGGCCAAGGATGTTTTGACAGCACTGCACAAGCAGAGGTCTCAGCTGTGCTTCTGCGGCGGCGGGGCTCCCCCCCGGGGCTCCTGTCACCTGTCTGGGGAGAACGTGCTCCAGGCGCGGCCCTTCCAGAGAGTGTGGAATCCCCGGGGAAGCCCAGATGATCCACAGCCAGACGCTGGCTGAGGTTGAGAAACTGGCACTTGTTGATGTCAGCCACCGAGTTTGGAGTTTTGGAGTGGCTTGTCAGACAGCAGCATTGTAGCAATGGCCGAATCATCCATGAAGACGCTGAATTTCATTTTTGTTTTTTGTTACGGCAGCATAACTTTGCTGATCTGGTCTGTGACAAAATAACTTTTTCCTCTGTCAGTCTTTCTCTTTTCATTAAAAAAAAAAATGTAGTCATTATTTACTCTCCTCCACTCCCTCTCCACTCCCATCTCTACGTCACAGTAAGTCCTGAGTTTGTGTCTCCACTGCCACCGCCGCCCTGGCCTACGCCTGCACCTGCTCCTGCCTGGACGGTGTTATAGCCCCCGGCGGGGGTGTCCCCGCTGCTGCCCAGGGCGGAGCAGATGCTGAGTGAAATTCTTCTGCACACTCCCTGCCTGCGTCCCCCAGGCCTCCTGGCTTCTTGTCGCTCTCCCCTCACACCCACCCTACTCCTCTTCCCTGTTTCCATTTGCACACGGCGCCCACCTTACTCTGCCTGGAACGCTCTCTCTGCCTAGTGGCTGCCCACGGCCGGCTCCTCCTTATTGGCTCCTTTCCCACAGGCCATGCCCTGGGGAGAACTGCGGTTCCACCAATAAAACCGGAATCTGGACCTAGGAAGGACAGACTTCATTCAAAAGGATGACTGCAAAGAAGAGTGGTTGACTGCAGTGGGGAAGGGGCTATTGCTTGGGGGAGGGGAATATTTCTTTAGGGGAGGGAACTATTGCAGTGGGGGAAGGGACTATTGACGTGGAGATAGGAGACTCTCGCAGTGGGGATAGGGGCTACTGAATGGGGAGGGGATCATTGCAATGAGGAGAATGATGTGTGTCAAAAGTAAAAGTTCCCCTTCAAAGTTTCCCTTCTTGTTAAAGAATAAATCATAAGTGTTAGAAATGATAGTTTCTTTTAAAGACTAACTTCCTTTAAGCCTCCTTACTTTATGCTAATAACTCTTTGTTGGGCCCTATCCTATGTAGCTGTTAACCATGCTCACAGGCACGTAGTACATCCTATGTCCTTGTACCTTAACCAAAATATTTGTGCTGGACCTGCTCACAGGCACGCTCCAGCTTGCAGCCTATGCCTCTTCCCTATTTGGCTTAAGCAACTTTCTCTTTCTCTTTTTCTTTGTCTTTCCATTACTTTTACCTGTTTTAAAAAGTTTTAAACTGTTAGCCAATCAGGTTTTAGTTTAGATTGTGCCGCCTGGCTCCAGCCAATAGAGACAGGACACAGTAGCAGGGACAAACCGCCTAAGGGATAAAACTTGCTTCCCTCCTTTGTTCAGGTGTGCTTTTGCCATTGTTTCATCTGTGATGCTCACCCTTTCTGCAGAAAGTTAAAAATGGCCTTGTTGAGAGAATTAAATTTTTGTTCAAGTACTATCTCTTTGTGGCACCGGGGAACAAGCATTCTATTTCTAAATAAACATTTTTACATATAAGAGTGTGACCATAAGCTCTGCGAGCTCTCAAGAGTTTGGCAGAGGGGTTTTCTTTCAGCGTGGAGTCAACAAGGCTGAGCCATTCTTCTGTCTCCAGTTCCCATCCCGAAGGCTGACTCAGCATAGGCACTCACTAAATGTTTGTTGAGTGAGTGAATGGGCGGATGTTCACGGTCTCGGGCTGCACGGCTGAAAGGACAGGCCTGGCTGGGAATGAAGTGTGGTTGCGGCAGAGCCCACGGGCTCTTGGGACTGCTCTACTGGCCTGAGTGGCAGGGTCCTGTGTGAGTGTGGCAGAGGCCATGGGCTCTTGGGACTGCTCTACCGGCCCGAGCGGCAGGGTTCTGCTACCTGGAGCCCAGTCAGGCCCTGGCTGTCAGAAAAGCTCTCAGGGAAATCCCAGCTGGAGGGGCTTAGTGGGGTGAGGAAGAACTTCCTGTTAAGCAAGATATGAGCTGAGGGTGAGGAAGTGGGGAATTCCCTTCTCCAAGGATAACTTCAGGAACTCAAAGGGGACTGGGAGAGAGGCTTAGGGCGCATGACCTTGAGCTCCTCACCTCTCCTGGCCTCAGTTTGCCCATCTAGAAATTGGTGGTATGGCATTAAAGGAGGATCTTTCTCTCCGCTGACTGCTGTTGGGCCCAGCGTGGCTGGGAAGGGTGTCCCTGGCCACCTCGCTGTTTGTCCTAGTCAGAGTCTGCAGGGTTCCTCATTTCATTTTCTCCCAATATAACAAAGTAGGGGGCCTGGGACCTTGGACCGGCATCATGTAGACTCATTGGATTCTGGAATCCTTGCTCCCTCCATCCTGGAATCTCTGCCCTATATTCCATGCTGCAGGCATCCATGCCCTGTCCTGCAACATGGTTTATATTCAACTTTCCCTGTCTCTTCTCCCCTGAGCTTGTCATTTCTGGAGGGCAGGGGCTGTGTGTGAGCTAGGCTTCCTCCCAATGGCTCAAGACGGAGCCTTGTATTCAGTAGGTACTCAGTATGCTCACGTAGATTCTGTTTGATCAAAATTGCATGTTCAGTCTGTAAGCCAGAATGGTGAGAAGCGGGTTGTGTGCAGGGAGGACGCGCTTATACTGTCAGAAGTGGTTGACTGGGCAGGAGTCTGTGGGGGTCTTCATTGCATCTGAGCTCCTTCTTTCTCCTTAGTCCTTTAGGGGTATAATTTGATACCCAGACACTTAGCAGACACCTCCTGTTGTCGCCCTCACAGTGTGGGGTGTGGGAGGGGTCCTGCCTGTCAGCTGGCCTGGGCTTGAAAGGATTCAGCCACGAGAATCCATATTCTGTCATCTCCCAGCCTAGAGGGCCAGTGCATTACCCACACTTTACAGATGAGGAATTGGAGGCTCGGAAAAGCTTTAGAAACTTGCCCAAAGCCACATGGTTAGTGTGTGTTTGGAGCAAGATTTGAACTCTCTCTTCAAGTCCCTGTGCCTGCTTGTGTGTGTGTGTGCGTTCATGGGTGTGCATCCACACAGACGTGTGTACACACATGCATAAGCATGAGCATGTGTGCCTGCGAGGGTGTACATGGACGTGTCTGTAAACCACACTGCTTGCCACGGTATGTCCCTCACTGAGTGGCTGGCCTGGCTGCATGGGCAACAGCGTGGATTAGGATATCCCGGGAAGCTCCTGGATCCAGGGCCATGAGGAGACTCTGGAGGGAATTCTTTCAGGCAGGAAGCCCTTGGAGCAGGAGGAGCTTGGCAGGAAGAGGCTGTGCCCTCCTTGCCCTTTGAGCCGCCTTTTCCCCCAGTGCCCCAGGTCCTGGCATGGGTAAAGTCCCCTTCCCCAGCCCCTAAGTGGCCTGTGGCTACTGCCGAGCCTCTGACCTGGTGTCCCAGTTCACCACCTCTCAGGAGGCCTGGGTCCCCCCAGTGCCACTCCAGGCCCGGAGGCGATGCAGCCTGGGGTCTGCAGGGACTCTCTAGGGGTCTCCTCTACCCGGACACCATCTTAACCAAGCCCCTCCTTCCACCCTGTGCTATTCATTATTTTGTGTCCTTCAACACGGGACTAAGCTGGCTGAAGGGGGCAGAGGTTTGGGGTCACAACTCCAAGCTCTGAGAAGCCGGTTGGGTGGAAGCAGGTGGCCCCTGGTGTGTATCTCACAACACCTCCCTCCCCAGCCCCAGGGTGACCTGATTACCCCATTGTATTATTTAGGTTCAGAACATTCATCCACCCAACCCCTGGGGGCTGAATCCTGGCCTGGAGCCTCTGCTTCCCCAAACTTGCGGGGAAAAGCCTGGTCTTCTCTCTGTCCTTTCCCCACCAGCCAAACATCTTAAATCACCCTCATTTATTTGGCTAATTGAGGAGGAATGGTAGCAATGAGTTGGGCAGGTTGGTGAGTTTCTCTGAGACATTAATATTCTGATTCTGAGAGGGATCTGTCTGAATTCCTCAGTTACAGATAATACAATTATATTTCTAAATTCTTCCCCTAAATTAGTACAGATGGTTAAAAATACTCGCCTTTTAATTAATCGTTGGAACAATAGTCTTATGAATACAAATGAATCATTATCCCCTTCTACAGATGGCAGGGGAGGGGCAGGGGAGGGGCAGCTGCGGATTTGTCGGTGGTCCTGTCCCTGGAGGTCGAAGGTTGTGGGGTCTCAGCCGGATGGCAGGGCTGGGCCTCAGTGAAATTGGGAGTTGTAGCCCCCGGGGATAGAAGCAGGGGCCCCCCAGCCCATTCTTTTTAGTCCTGCCTCTTTGTTTTTTGAGACAGGGTCTCACTCTGTCACCCAGGCTGGAGTGCAGTGGTGCTATCTCGGCTCACTGCCACCTCTGCCTCCTGGGTTCAAGCGATTCTCGTCCCTCAGCCTCCCAAGTAGCTGGGACCATAGGCACACCCCACCCCACCCGGCTAATTTTTGCATTTTTAGTAGAGACGGAGTTTCACCATGTTGGCCAGGCTGGTCGCGAACTCCTGACCTCAGGTGAACTGCTGAACTCCTGAACTCTGCCTCGGCCTCTCAAAGTGCTGGGATTACAGGCATGAGCCACCACGTCCCGCCGTCCTGCCTCTTAAATCCTGTTAGCCTTTGGTTGTGACTTTTGTTTCCCAGGCAGGACTGAGAGAGCTGCCCTCTGCCTGAGGAGCCCTTTTGGTTGAGAAGAGTTTGGAAAGGAAAGATCTTAGTCTTTCAAGCAGGATGCCGTGTCTCTGTCCTCTCCTTCCGGATCTGGTTAGGAACTCCCTTGTCCTCCTTCCAGGCTCAGCCCCAGTGTTCCCTCTGATGTGAGGCTGGCGTGACCTCTCAGGCAGTTTTCCTCGCATTTTCCTCTGTGTGTGTGTGCGTGGGTGTGCGCTTTCTAGAAGGTGTGTTCGGTGCCATCACTGAGATGTGACTGTTGCTGTTGTGTGTCTATCCATCCCACAGGCAGCCCCGAGTCTTCTTTTGTGTCCCTGGATTCTAGCACAGGGCTGGCCTTGGAGAAGGCCAAGCACCACTGAAATCACTGTGCTTTAAAATTCAAAGCCAAATTCAATCCTGGACTTCATAAAAATTAAAAACTTTTGTGCATCAATGAACACTACCAACAGAATGAAAAGACAACCCATGGACTGGGAGAAAACACTGGCAAACCATATATCTAATAAGGAGTTAAAATCCAGAACATTTAAAGACCTATAATTCAACAACAAAAACAAACAGGCCAATTCAAAAATGAACAAAGGACTTCAATAGACATTTATTCAAAGAATATATACAAATGGCCAACAAGCACATGAAAAATGCTCAACATTGCTGGTCATTAGCAAAATGCAAAGCAAAACCACAGTGTGATACCGCTTCACACCCATTAGGATGACTGTTTAAAAACAACAAACAGGCCAAGTGCTATGGCTCAGGCCTAAATCCCAGAATTTTGGGAGGCCAAGCTGGGTGGATCACCTGAGGTCAGGAGTTTGAGACCAGCCTGGCCAACATGGTGAAACCCTGTCTCTACTAAAACTACAAAAATTAGCCAGGTGTGGTGGCAGCACCTGTAGTCCCAGCTACTCAGGAGGCTGAGGGAGGAGAATCGCTTGAACCTGGGAGGCGGAGGTTGCAGTGAGCTGAGATCGCGCCATTGCACTCCAGCCTGGGCAACAGGGTGAGACTCGGTCTCAAAAATAAATAAATAAATAAATAAATAAATAAATAAATAAATACAACAAACAGAGAATAACAAGTGTTGGCAAGGATGTGAAGAAATCGGTATCACTGTGCGTTGCTGGTGGGAAAGACAAATGGTTCAGCCACTGTGGAAAACAGTATGGCAACTCCTCAAACATTAGAAACAGAATTACTGTATTATCCAGCAGTGCCACTTCTGGGTATATACCTCAAAAGAGCTGAAAGCAGGGGCTGAAACTGGTATCTGCACACCTGTGTTCACAGCAGCCTTGTTCACAAGAGCCAAAAGAAAGGCGGAAGCAATGCATGTGTCCATGGATGGATGAATGGGTAAACAAAACGTGGTCTACCCACACAATGGAATGTTATTCAGTCTTAAAAAGGAAGGAGATCCTGACACAGGGGTCAACGCAGATGAACCTTGAGGACAATATATCTGCTATAGGCTAAGTGATGTAAGCCAGCCACAACAGGACAAATACTATACAATCCCACTTATATGAGGTCCCTAGAGTCATCCAATTCAGAGAGACAGAAAGCCTAATGGTGGGTGCCAGGGACTAGGGGAGGGGGAATGGGGAGTGAGCGTTGGATGGGGACAGAGGTTCATCTTGGGAAGAGGAAGGAAGTTCTGCAGGTGGATGGTGGTGATGGTTGCGTGACACTGTGAAAGTGCTTAATACCACTGAAGTGGACACTTAAAAAATAGTTCAGATGGTATAGGGGAGCACAAATTCCTCCTCTGCTCTTTTAGGGTCTCTGTTTGGGCCTAAGAATTAAACCAACTTAAGACAGATTGACAACAGAAAAGGAAACAAATTTTACATGTACATGGAAATCCTTAAAAGAAAATGAAGAGGCCGGGCACGGTGACTCATGCCTGAATCCCAGCACTTTGGGAGGCCGAGGTGGGCGGATCACTTGAGGTCAGTTGTTAGAGACCAGCCTGGCCAACATGGTGAAACCCCATATCTACTAAAAATATAACAGTCAGCTGGGTGTGATGGTGGGTGCCTGTAATCCCAGCTACTCAAGAGGCTGAGGCAGGAGAATTGCTTAAACCTGGGAGGTGGAGGTTGCAGTGAGCCAAGATTATGCCACTGCACTCCAGCCTTGGCAACAGAGCGAGACTCCATCTCAAAAAAAGAAAAAAAAAAAAAGAAAGAAAGAAGAAAAAGAAAATGAAGACCTGAAGTGACCAGAACAGACAGCTTATTTACCTTTTAGACAAAGAAGTTTGTGAGAAAGTGGCAAGACAAAGAGGTTTGGGCTAGGGGTAGTAAAGTGTGGGGAAGAGAGAGGAGCTGGGGTGCAGGAGGCTCTGGAAATTAGGGGTTATTTGGTAGGCTGGTTTATAGGTTAATTTCAGCACCGAGTCCCTGTCTCTGGTGATGGGGATGCTCTTCTCTTCTTGGTAACAGGGAGGTCACCTTTCTCAGGGAGATGTTATGACCTGCTTTTAGGTAGAAAAGGGGAGGCCAGAGAGGCCTTCTTGCACCTGCTGTTTCCCAAGTGTCTTCAGCTCAAAATAACCGATGTGCCAAAGCGGTATATTTTGGGGTGGCATGTCCTGACCTCTTTCAATGATAAGTTTTGTGTTTTGCATATTTTACCATAATTTTTTTAAAAAAGCCAAGTTTCCTTGGCCAGACAGCCTAACACTGGACATCGGTCAGGTTGGTATCCCCCAGCCTGGAACTCGCTCAGTGGAGGGTGATAGTAGAGGCTGTCAAAGAAAATGGGAGTCATTAAAGTGCTAAAATAAGTTTTTTTTTTTTTTTTTTTTGAGACAGAGTCTCGCTCTGTTGGCTAGGCTGGAGTACAGTGGCGCAACCTCAGCTCACTGCAACCTCCGCCTCCCGGGTTCAAGAGATTCTCCTGCCTCAGCCTCCCGAGTAGCTGGGACTACAGACGCACATAACTATGCCCGGCTAATTTTTGTATTTTTAGTAGTGACGGGGCTTCACCATATTGGTCTTGAACTCCTGACCTCGTGATCCACCCACCTCGGCCTTCCAAAATGCTGGGATTACAGGCGTGAGCTGCTGCACCCGGCCTAAAATCAGATTTTATTTGGGACCATTACAATGGGAGAAAGGGGACTTTAGTATAGAACTGAGCTCGATTTTTTTTTTTTTTGAGACAGTCTCACCCTGTCGCCCAGGCTGGAGTGCAGTGATGCAATCTCAGCTCATTGTAACCTCTGTCTCCTGGGTTCAAGCGATTCTGTAGTCTCAGCTTTATAAGTAGCTGGGATTACAGGTGCACACCACCGCTTGGCTAATTTTTTTTTTTTTTTTTTTTTGGTATTTTTAGTAGAGATGGGGTTTCGCCATATTGGCCAGGCTGGTCTCAAACTCCTGCCCTCAGGTGATCCGCCCACATCAGCCTCCTAAAGTGCTGGGATTACATGTGTGAGCCACTGCGTCTGGCCCTGAGCTTGATTTTGAACACAGCATCGGCAAGTGAAGATTTACAGCTAAGGAGCAGGGTGGGGTCTGTGGATGGAAAACAACTAAGAGGAAACCTCAGGGGTCGGGGGGATTCTGGCTCAACCCGCCTAACAGGATTCTTGTTGAAACCAGGCCAGGAGATCAGACATCACCTGCGGGATGTTGAGGATGAAGAACCCAACTGGATGTAGAGGGTGGTGGGGGGAGTCTCGCTCACCTGGCTTAACAGGGTTTTTGCTGAAATTGGGTGAGCCAGGCCTGTGAAGGACCGATGTAAAGGTCAGGCCTAGAGGGCTGAGAGGAGCCACAGCAGAGTCAGGTCCAGGAGAGGACTTGTCAAGGACCAGGAGCTGGAAAAGAGGCTTCCCTGCTGCAGCCCAGGTCAACCTAAATGAGCCTACCCAGGGGAGGTCCCACTGATGCGTTCAGGCTCAGGGCTGACACCGCCGTTACTGACACTTCCTTTTGGTAATTGGTCCCATAGACAAATTCCTCTGTCTGGTAAGGCCTGAGTCTTTAGCTGGGGCTCTCAAAGCCTCACGCCCAGCAGTGCCTAGTCCTGCTGTTGTTTGCTCTTCAGGGTCCGTGTGGCCAAGGCCAGCCATGGCTGCATTTTGTAGGCCCAAGGCTGAGCTTTGGCCACATGCAGTGAAAGCGTGGGAAAGGCTGAGGATTCAGAAAGTCAAGGTTGGCCTTAGCTGGGAGACAGTGCTGTGCTGGTGATGCTCAACAACCGGCTCTCTGATAAAATGTGCAGACGTTATTACTGATATAAAGGATACAGATCACACGATTGTCATTAACATCTACAATACTGTGTATTTTAAATTCCATATGATGAATTCATTCTCAAAGGTCACGTTTGTTGATTTTTTGTTAAACTCTTGTATCTGTTGTAGTGAAAGCTTGCAATTGATGAACAAGTATAGTTCTGACGTGAATGTCAGTTTGTATTTTTGTTTATATTAATGAGTAAGACAGAAATGAAACAACAGAGATATATTTCTAAACATCATCATTTTGTCAATTATGTGAGTGGCTCCTTTGCTGAATTGGATGATAGTTTCCAAATAGTCAAAGAATATTTCCTCATTTTTTCTGTGCTCATCACAGTGCAATGAACGGCCAGAAACACAACAATGTACTTTAGAGTTTAGTCCTCATTATTAGCAATTGCTCTCTTTTCTAAGACTAGGCGATCTATGGAACAGTAAATCTAACCTTGATTGACAGCGTTTGCCTACTTCCGTGGTGTAAACACTGCAACTATGGCTGATTTGAAGCCCATGACTGTGCCATCACCGAATGAGGGCTGAGAAGGGACCGGTGGTGCCACCACACACTCCCCACCGTGCAGCTGCTGCAGACAAGAGCCACCTGGTGTACGTGGTATGCAGTCAGATGCAGTCAAGTGACAGGGAAGAGATGAATTGTGAGTACTTAATATGTTCATTTTTATAATTTACTTAATTGAAAGTTTACATAGTTTAATTTTTAATAATGGCTGTGTTTAACTACTGGCTCCTAAAATTCCTGAAAATTTAACACGAGCGCCTGCCAGGTGGAGGGCCATGCACACCGCAGAAGGCTGGTGGCTTCTGTAGTGCCCAGGAGATGCGTGTACAGCTGGGCCCTGAGATGTGCACAGGCGCAGCCCTCCTACTGTGGGGCCCTGAGCTCACCAGGAAGAGCGGCCTGACTCTGGGCTTCTCAGGCTAAGGGGATCGGTTTCCAGGTCTGCTCAAAACCACGTGAGGTTTCAGGGCCCTGGGTGGTGGAATACTTTTGTCCAATCCTGCTGCCATCTTTAAACAAGGAATGGGGGAAAGAATACTTTCCTATAGATCACATTCCGAATATTTGGGAAACTTGGGTTGGATGCAGCGGCTCAGGCCTGTAATCCCAGCACTTTGGGAAGGCCAAGTGGGTGAATCACTTGAGGCCAAGAGTTCAAGACTAGCCTGGCCAACATGGTGAAACCCTGTCCCTACCAAAAAACACAAAAATTAACCAGGTGCAGTGGTGCAGGCCTACAGTCCCAGCTACTGAGGAGGCTGAGGCAGGAGAATTGCTTGAACCCAGGAGGCAGAGGTTGCAGTGAGCCAAGATCATGCCACTGCACCCCAGCCTGGGTGACAGAGTGAGATCCTGTCTCAAAAAAAAAAATTGAGAAACTTAACACACTGTTAATCTTCCTGGGTGGTCTCAACATGCAACAACCAGCTCTGAGGTTCACAGGGTCCCCTATGAACATGTCCTAGGCAGTACCCCTCACTGTCCCTCAGAGCAGGGTGATTTGGGGGAAGTTACTGAAGCTTCCTGGGGTTCAGGCATCAGTGATATTGAGGTAGGAGGTGGGACTCAACTCTTGGAGGTGGGGCTTGGACACTGGACCAAATTGAGGACTAGATAAAACAGGGCCAGGGCAGAAGCAGGTTTCCATAAGACATGCCCACCATTGTGCCATGTCAGTTTACCATTGCCATGGCAACACCTGGAAGTTACTACCTCTTTCCATGGCAACGACCCTGACAACCAGGAAGTTGCCAGGCTTTTCCTAGAAATTTCTGCATAAACTGCCCCTTAATTTGCATGTCATTAAAAGCAGGTATAAATGTGAGTACAGAAGTAGTTCTGGGTGGCTACCCTGGCCACACTGCCTATGTGGTAGCCCTGGTTCTCAAGGAGCCGTACCTCTCCTGCTGCTGTGCGCTGCCACTTCAATAAAAGTCGCTGTCCAACGCCACTGGCTCACCCTTGAATTCTCTCCTGGGTGAAGCCAAGAACCCTCCTGGGCTAAGCCCCAATTTTGGGGCTTGCCTGTCCTGCATCAATATGGTGTGATTATAATAGGTAGGGATGAAGATTGCACTGTGAGCCTATTGTGTCCCCAGCGTTCAGCACGAGGCCCAGCCCATGATGCTCCAAAGCTGCAGCACATGAATAGATGATTGAGGCCATGGCTGCAGGCAGTTGGTGCAGGGAAAGGTTCTGGGCAGTCAGCTGGTTCCAGTGTGGCTCCTGCAGAGGGGCTGATTTGCCAGTGCTATGGCCCTGGGCTTGGGGTAGTGTCCTGGGGCTGTGGTAGCAAAGTATCACAGACTGCTGTGGAGGTTCATCACGGCAGGAGCTGGCCCCTGCACCACTCTGCAGGCTGGGAGCCTGGGACCAAGGTGTCTGCATGGCTGCACTCTCTCTGAAGTCTGTAGAGAGGATCCTTCCTGCTTCCTCTGGCTTCTGGTTGCTGCCAGCAGTCCTTGGCATTCCTCGGCTTGCAGGTACATCGTCCCTTGGCCATCTTTTCCCTGTGCCTCTGTCTTCCCATGGCTGTCTTCTCAGATGGACCCCAGCCATATTGGATTAGGGCCCACCCTACTCCAGCATGAGCTCTTCTGAACTAATAACATCTGCAATGGACTTATTTCCAAATAGGGTCACATTCCGAAGTATTTGGGGTCAGGTCTTCAACATATCTTTTTTAGGAGGATGCAATTCATCCCATACCAGAGTGAGAGTGGAGATCCGTCATTCATTCATTCATTTGGTGCATTGACTGAGCACCTTTCTTCTCCCTTGTCTTTGGTGCTGATGTCTGGTGATGCTTGAGACAGGTGCAGTTCCTGCCTGCATGGAGATCTGGGTCTAACAGACAGGATGGCAGCAAACACCTCATCAGGTGGCCTGTTGGTTGTGCCCTGTCATCAGAGGTATGAGAGGGAAAGCACAAGTGGAGGCCTCTCCCATGTGGCCCCTTGCCCCGTGGGCCCTGCCCAGGTGTGGCCATAAGGCTCCTGGATACCCACAGTCACCTGTATGTGTGCCACCATCCTTTTCCTGTCCCACTTGGAATGTGGGTGGGACCGGAATGTCAGCTCTGGACGTCCTGGGACCTCCCCAGGGCCAAGCTCCACACAAGTGATCCCAGATTGATCCTTGAGGTGATGGTGGGAGGTGCTGTCCCAGGCAAATATGGAAGGAGAGCTACCTGGTGACTCGAAAATTCCATTTAAATTAGAAGCACCAGGGGACCGGGAACCAGTGTTGTTGGGACCTGACCACACTGAGACTCTGCAGGCGAGTCTTGGACCTCATGCCAATTTCTCAAAGGTTGGGTAGTCACTCACATACCTGTGTCCAGCCCAACCTCCACTTTCACTAGCAGATTGATCTTGGGTCAAGTTTTTAACTTCTCAGCCTCCTTCCTCATCTGGAAAATGGGTGACAACAGCTTCTACCTGGAAGGTTTTCAGTGAAGTTTGAATGCAGAGCAGCCGAGTCTTCCCTGTAAGGAGACCCATGGGTGTTTTCTAACCCCCAGATGAGAACTGTGCAGTTGCAGTATCCAGTGATGTGTCAGTTAGGCTAAGGGAAGGCTGGCTGCTACAATAAATAAACCTTGATCTTATTGGTGACTTTGCACAAGTTTACACACAGAGAGAATGCCTTGAGATAATAAAGGCAGAGAGATCAGAGTGATGCAGCTGCCAGCTGAGGAATGCCAAGGGTTAATGACCACACCAGAAATTGGAGGAGGCAAGGAAGGATTCTACCCAGAGTATCTGAGTGACTGTGACCCTGCTCAGATGTTGATCTTAAACTTGTAGCTTCCAGAGCCACAAGAGAATAAACTTCTGTTGTTCTACTAAACTGCTCTATTTGTGGTACATTGTTACAGCAGCCCCATTAAAATAACACGTGCATGAATGGACTATTATGACATCTTGTAGATATGACTTTTGTACCCACCTAACTTTTTAAAAAGCAAACATTACTAAACACCTGATACATGCCCTAAAAGGTGCTAGGTTTTGAGGTTACAAGAATGGGTGAGACATAGTTCTTGTTCTCATAAAGCTCATAATACCATGGTTTATATGCACAAGTCAATAGAGAAAGTCAAAAGGTTGTTATAGGTATGACAGACAGGCTAGGCATGAGGAGTCCCTGGAGCACCTAGGAGGGATGCCCAGCACAAGCTGGCAAAGAGAGTGACAGGGCACTGGAAAGATAGTTAGGTTAGAATAGGTCTAGGATGGGATCAGGGCTCAGGTGCGGAGAGACAGAGTTCCTCCAGGTAGCTAAGTCCTGGGGCTTGGACCAGAAGAAGAGAGTGTGTAAGGCATGACAGGAATGGAGTCACTCTACATGACTGGATGTGGAGTGTCTCGGTGGGACTGGGAAGGAGACATGAGGTCATAGAGGTCACAAGGAGCCACTTCAGGAGGGGTCTTATGAGCCAAAGTAAACTGAGGCAACCTAAGAACTTTATACCCCCAGAAAGTAGGGATGATCAATAAGTATTATGATTTAAATCATGGACAATTAAAGCCAATGCAATGGATACAAATTGGATATCTCTGGAATCATTCACATATCCATGTCTGGCCTAACCACAGAGTGGGCTACCCAAGGGCTCCTGCCTTTCCTCTACCCTGGGCAGAATTTTACACATTGTGAGTGGCCCCTGGCTAATGGACAAAGCAAAAACATTATCCGATGTCTCTGGATGTCCCACTTGCAGTGCCTGAGGCAAGGGCTGCAGCACAGGGAGCTTAATGGAGAGTAGATTCCCAGGAAGCTGGAGAGTAGCTTGATGGTAGTGGGACAGGAGGGGAGGGAAGAATAAATCAAGGATTCATTGTTGAGCTAGTTACTGCTGTGGACAGCTAGATCTTAATTCTGCTGGAGACCCTGTGAGGAATTTTGTAGAAGGCATTTTAGAATTGCTCTCCGGAGGATGCAAGGTGGGAGCATTTATCCACCAACTCCCAATTTCATTTGAAGGTTGTCTCTGTGTGTGGGACATTCTGCAGCTTTGGAGAAAGCCCTGGTGCAGAAAAGCAGGGAGTCAAGGCAGCCCAGGTTTGAACGAAGACCCCATCAACATGCACGGAACTGTCCACGATAGCAGTGCTGAAATCGGGCGGGCCAAGGGGAGCCTGCTACAGTCCGCCCCTTAACTGTTAATCTGCACATACCCCACCTTATGTTCCCTCTGTCACTGAATCTTTAACGTAGTGGCCAGTTGAACTCCCTAATGAAAGGCTTAAGCCGGAGGGATCTGTCAAACATAGCTAGTATTGCTGCTGTAGCAGGCCCTGAGCGGTCATAACTGAAATTCAGCAGCTCTTTCCTTCACCACTCATCCTAGATTTCTCAGAGCCTGCTTGGAATATGCTGATCACTGACACTAGTTATTGGTCCGGAGGTAATGAGGAGCGGAAGAGGGAACCCGAGGATAAGAAGCATCACCTTACGGAGCATTATCAGATGAAGGCTTGCCTTTTCATAGTCACCAATTAAGAGGGTTTTCCTCTCTAGAAAGGGGGAGAAAGTTCCCTCTTTCAGTTTGGAGGGGTCAATGGATAAGGTCCCAAATTCTCAGGTGCATTCTTCCACATGTCTCCATCCCTGGACTCAGGGTCCCACTCTTTCTATATTGATCCCTGACATTAGCCTTGGAGACCTGTCAAGGCTATGCATTCAGTCTCTTTTATGGTTTTTCCACCTTTAGATTTAATTACAGTCCTGATTTTCAGCACCATCTGCCCTCTGGCTGCAAGAGATGAGGGTCACTGTAAATGCTGCTATGGAGGCGTTCTGGCTTTGACAGCATAGCCTGAGCTGATAATTGGCTGACCTGAGCTTGTCATTCTCTTTCATCAAATCTAAGGCAGTTAACAAAACCCAGCAAACTCTCCCATCATTATAACTACCACTGCTTTCATACACTTCAAGTGCTAGTTAGTGTATAAGCCAATGCTTTCCTTTTGCCTGGACCTCATCCCAACACACTACAGGCAAAATATTTTATAGTTTAGAGGGATTATTGTCACACTTAACATCACCTAGGGATTTATCCATCAACTCCCAATCTTCAACATTTGAGGGTTGTCCCCGTGTGGGGGATATTCTGCAGTTTTGGAGAAAGTCTTGGGGCAGAAAAGTGGAGAGTCAAGGCAGCACAGACTTGAAGCAAGATCCCATCAATGTGCACTGAACTGCTCATGAGGAAGTGCTTAACATGTTAACTTAAGTGATTAACATCCCTGAAGACCCCGTCATGAAGTCTTTGTTGCTGTCTTTCCAGGGAACAGTCCAGTTCCACTATTCTATTCTGAGGATTGCTTTCTTCGTTAAGTTTGGATTCCCTAGAAACAGAGTCTGAGACAAGGTCTTGGATGCAGCTACTTTCATGGACCGGTGATCCCAGGGGGTAGAAGCAGGGATAGTGGGGGTGGAATAGGGCAGGAGGAAAGTTCAATGAAAGCATTTTCTATTGAGATGATGTGTTCAACTGAGCTCTAGTTCTACTGGGGACTCTGGGCACCGTGTAGAATGCCTCTCATTATTGTGCTTCTGAAGGAAGCGAGGCTGGGCCATTTGTCCATCAACTCCCGTCCCCTATTCTTTCAGGTTACCTCTGGGAATGTCCCCTTCCCATGCCTCTGGGCTGTGCCAGTGAAAGGCAGAGCAGCCTCTATTGCATCAGAGAAAGCTCTGACTCCAAACAGCAGAGAGATGCAGGGTTCCTGAGGTGGGGGACTTGTCCATGCCAATAGTGCTGAGGTCAAGTGGGCTGAGGCACTAAGGTGTGAAATATCACCAGCATCTGCTACTCCCAGCAGGCAGATTTGGATCCGGAAGGCTTCTACAATGTTCGAACATGTCAACTGCTGAAACCTTGCCTGCCATGGACCATGCCTTTGTTCCACAAACCTCATTTCTGTTCCCTGTGGTCCTGGCACTTCAACCCAACCTCCAAAGTCCCTATGGGTTTCCATGAATGGGGGCACACAGCATCTGTATCAGGAGAGCAGACGGCAGTACACCAGCTGGGCACCTGCTTATAACTTGTTTGTCAACTCCTGTTTATGCAGGAAAAAGCAGACAGCCAGCTGTCACGCTGTGCATGGATAAAACATCACATCAACTCCTGTTTTTGTATTTCGGTTGAGTAGTCTGCTGGGGCCCCAGGGGGTGTCAGGCCAAAACACTGTAATCCCTGGCTGGGATAAGTACTGCCTACTCCATTTTTCTCAGTTTGGACTCCTGGAGGCAAATGTCAGCTGTTTCATCAAAAACAAAATGCTCCCCTGTGGGACGATTTCAGCAGCTCACCTGTGAAGGGTATTACTTTTTCCTCCACTTCTGAAAAGTCTGTCCTAGTTTTCTCTTCTGCCTGCACCAACCTTCATGTTCCCCCTTCATGAATGAGGGACCTGGGAGTGCTTGCTGAGGGCGGCATGTGGCTCTCTGAAAAATATACTATGGTCTTGACCTTGCTAACTGCAGAAGCCCATCAGAGTGGGACTGGACAGCCCAGGTGTGGAAAGATCTGAAGACCAGGTGGGCAAAGGGGACGTTAGAGAGCAGGTGGCTCCTGGGTGGAACTTCCTGAGCACTTCAGCAAATGCAGGGGCAACCCGTGGTGGCTTCTCTACTTTGGGGCCCCCCCAGGACACCAGTAAGAAAAAATGGAGGACAGAAGATTTGAGGATGTAAACAATTCCCAAATTGTCTTTGAATTTTCTGAGAGCCCAGGACCAAAGGCTATTTCCCCGGGGGCAGTGGGAAGAGCCTGTGTGGGGAGTGGACCTTGAGGTGACTCTCACTTCCCATTTGTCTTGTATAACCTTGAACAAGTGACAGAGTCTCTCTGAGGCCTGGCTCCTTCGTTTCCAACAAGGGCATAACATTTTTCACCCCATAGGGTTGTCATGGGATTAATGAGGTGACACGGGCAACTTGCTGGCCCTGCATGAGGCTTAACAAAAGCTACCTTCTTTTCCTTTTCCTGGTGTGTAGGGAAAAAAGATCAAGCTCTGTGGTTCATTGCCTGGAAAGCACACAGGCTTGGGGATGGTGAGCCACACCGTCGTCCCGCCAACCTCCAGGCAGTCTGAAGCGTGATTAAAAGAATGGCTTCAGATGTTGGGAGCACCAGGAGCTACCTCCCTCTTTGATCTGCTCGATTAAAAAAATTCTGTCCTTACCATAGCCTCACTTCAGGCTTTTCAGTTCTGCAGGATTTCCTAATCCTCCTTTAAATAAAGATCAAAAAGGAACCAGCACTTAGCAGCTGCTTCTTTTTCCTGCTGGTCATTACTCTGTAGAGGTTTGGGTTGAAAGTCCTAGTGAATGACTCATGAGGATGGAGAATACTAGAGCTGAGGCTCCAAACTAGTTGGAAAATGTGATCACCTGGTACCTGATCCAACACCTGATCTGTTTCTTTCTAGGTTTCTAAAAGAATAGGTGCAAGTCTGTCATTGTGCTAAGCACAGAGAAGCTTTATAGGTGTTAACTCATTGGCTCCTAACAATACCCTAGAAGGTAGATGTGTTAGTCTGTTTGTGTTGCTATAAAGGAATCCCTGAGGCACGGTAACTTATAAAGAAAAGAGGTTTATTTTGGCTGATGGTTCTGCAGGCTGCACAGGGAGAGGCCTCAGGGAGGTTACAGTATTGCTCCTGGAGAGGCCTCAGGGAGGTTACAGTCATGGCAGAAGGTGAAGAGGGGGCTGGCATATCACATGGTGGGAGAAGGATCAAGAGACAGGAGGGAGGTGCCAGGCTGTTTTTAAACAACCGGGTCTCACATGAACTCATAGAGAGAGGACTCACTTGTTATTGTGAGGACAGCAGCAAGCCATTCATGAGGGATCTGTCCCCACGACCCATACACCTCCCACCAGGCCCATCTCCAACACTGGAGGTCACATTTCAACATGGGATTTGTAGGGGACACACATCCAAACTATATCAGTTGGTGCTCATTATTGTCACCCATTTTACAGATTGGGAAGGTGAGGAACAGAGGGGTGGAGAAACTTACCTAAGGTCACACAGAGTAAGTGGGAGAGCTGGGATTTTGGCCACAGTATTTTGGATCCAGAGTTTGTGTAGATGACCACTCTGCTGTACTACCAAGAATTCAACCAAAGGTAAATTCTCTATTCTTTTAAAAATTATTGATTGATTGATTGATTGATTGAGACAGGGTCTCACTTTGTTGCCCTAGCTGGCCTCAAACTCCTGGGCTCAAGCGATCCTCCCTCATTGGCCTCCCAAAGTCCTGAGATCACAGGCATGCACCACTGTGCCCTGTCAAGTTCTCTACTCTTACTAGATGTCCAGAACAATTCCTTGTGCAAAGAATGTGTCTTCCACTGCAGCTCAGGGGCTCCTGTGCACAGGGCTGACTGGACGTTTGAGACTCCAGCACGGTCGGGGACCCTATTCCCCACAGTGTCTATGGGGACTCCAGCACAGTCGGGGACCATATTCCCCACAGTGTCTATTGGGACTACAGCACGGCCGGGGACCCTATTCCCCACAGTGTCTATGGGGACTCCAGCACGGTTGGGGACCATATTCCCCATGGTGTCTAGGGGGACTCTAGCACGGTCAGGGACCCTTCCCCACAGTGTCTAGGGGGACTCCAGCACGGTCGGGGACCATATTCCCCACAGTGTCTATGGGGACTCTAGCACGGTCAGGGACCCTTCCCCACAGTGTCTAGGGCAGTTCCAGCACGGTCGGGGACCATATTCCCTACAGTGTCTAGGGCGGCTCCAGCACGGTCGGGGACCATATTCCCCACAGTTTCTGGGGGGACTCCAGCATGCTCGGGGACCATATTCCCCACGGTGTCTATGGGGACTCCAGCATGGTCAGGGACCATATTCCCCATGGTGTCTAGAGGGACTTGGAGAGTGAATATGGAGCAGCCCATAACGTTTGACATCCTGGGAGATCGGTGGCTGTGGGGCCTGATCATCCAGCTTGACTGTACCCAAATAAAGCAGAAAATACCTACTAATTTAGTTCCAGGGTTAGTTACAGGTGAAACATAGAACTGAGGAGCGATTTTTCTCCTTTTGACCTTAAAACAAGGGTGAAAAGGCAGAGTGAGCTGAGCTTTGCTCCCCAGAAGCTGCTAGTCCCAGTTGTTTCTGTCTGAGGGGAGTTTGGGAATTGGGGCTCTGGTCCCCGTGTGCAGTGAGCAGATGGGGCAAGTGGGTGGTGTGGGTGGGGGAGAGGCATCATCGGTTGTGAGGTCAGCAGACATTTATCTTCAGAAAGAGAAAGTCTCAAAGCCGGGCGCAGTGGCTCACGCCTGTAATCCCAGCACTTTGGGAGGCTGAGACAGGTGGATCATCACTTGAGGTCAGGAGTTTGACACCAGCCTGGCCAACATGGTAAAACCCCATCTCTACTAAAAATACAAAAATTAGCTGGGCATGGTGGCACATACCTGTGATCCCAGAGAATTGCTTGAACCCAGGAGACGAGGCTGCAGTGAGCCAAGATCGTGCCACTGCACTCCAGCCTGGGTGATGGAGCAAGGCCCTGCCTCAAAAAAAAAAAAAAAAAGAGAGAGAGAGAGAATGCCTCAAGCAAAGGGAATTTTCCCCTGGAGGAGAACTGTGTGCTGAGCAGGCAGTGGGTCCTGACTCAGGGGTGTGGCCAGAGCAGGGTGGGTACTGCCCTTCACTCTCATCGCCTCAGTGGAAGGTGACTTCCAGATCTGTTTCAGGACAGGGACACCCAGGTCCCCCTTCTCCCCTCAGGGGTGTGAGATGGCCTGAGGACAGTATGAGTTTGGGAGTAAGCTGCCTCCCAGCAGCCTCCCACACTCTCACATGTGCACACACGTGCACACATCACACACACCCAGGGCACACATGCACTATCACACACACATAAGCATGCACACACCCAGGGCATACATGTACACACACATGTGCCACCACACATATGCTCATACATGCATGTGCATACATGCATAAGCAGGCACACACTGATGCAGGGCACACATGCACAACCACATACACATACATACATGCACGCACATAAGCACACATGCACTTATACAGTGCATGTGTGCACATATATGCATGTGCACACACAATAAGCATACGCACACGGCACACATGTACACGCATGCACAACGATACATGCAAATACATGCGTGCTCACACACACAAAGCATGCACATGCTTATATAGAGCACACATGTATGCACATATGCACAGATGTACATGCACACACTCACACAGGGCACACATGTACACACACATGCAAACATGCACAACCACATACATGCACCTACATGAATGGGCACACACACAGAGGCATGCCCCCACATACACACTCCCCCAGGCCCAGACTCCCAGAGCAGGAATAGTTCTAGGGCTCTCCTTTAAGGCTTGGCATCCTTGCTGGGGCACTGACAGACACTCCAGGGTTTACCCTGGGGACTCAGCGCCAGATGCCTTTGGTAGCAGGGGCTGCTCCCAGGAATTTGAGGGGAAGCCCGCCAGAAGAGAAGAGCCAGTTAAGGCAGACGACCTGCAGCACCTGGAGAGATGGCTGCCCTGGGGAAGGGAGGGACGCTGCCACTGTGCCTTTAGCATGAGTCTTCATTTAGATGTTAATTATTCACTCAAAAAGATTTACTGAGCACTTACTGGGTGCCAGGCATGGCTGTCTAGGGTGCCATGGTCAGCAAAGCAGACAAAGCCCTGCCCTCGTGGAGCTGGCATGCCAGTGGAGGCAGCAACAGTATTTTAAAAAGTAAAATGTGTTTCTGTTTGAGGCTGAGTACCGTGGAGAAGGCATAAGGGATGAGGCAAACGGAGAGGAGAGCCGCGATTGGAAGCAGGTGACCAGGGAAGGCCTCCTGAGAGGGCCAGGAATAGGTGCAGACCTGGAGGAGGGGAGGGAGGAGCCCTGCAGACAGCAGGGAAAGAGCACTCCAGCCAGACGCACAGCAAGTGCAAGTGCCCTGAGGCACTGAGAGGGTGTGGCTGTGTCCCCACCCGAATCTCATCTCCAGTTGTAATCCCCATCATCCCCGCGTGTGGAGGGAGGGACCTAGTGGAAGGTGATTGGACCACAGGGGCGGTTTCCCCAATGCTGTTCTCGTGATAGTGAGTGAGTTCTCACGAGATCTCATGGTTTTATAAATGGCGGTTTCGGCTTTTTGGTCTTTCCTGCTGCCTTGTGAAGAAGGTGCTTGTTTCTTCTTTGCCTTCTGCCATGATTGTAAGTTTCCCGAGGCCTCCTCAGCCATGCAGAACTGTCAATTAAACATCTTTCTTTTATAAATTACCAGTCTCGGGTGGTATCTTTATCGCAGTGTGAGAATAAGTGAATATGGGCAGAAACACATGGCCAGTCTCCAGGAGCAGACAGGAGGCCCGAAGGCCGGAGCGGAGCCAGGGAGAGGAAAGCGAGGGACGCTGAAGCCGCGTCCCGAGGGCCTGGAGGGCGGCTCTGGTGACCTTGGCTCTTGCTCTGTGTGAGCCAGGAGCCATGTGAGGGTTTCGAGCAGAGGAGTAACATGGTCTGATTTCATTGTTTTGGGCTGGAGGGACTGGAAGATGGAGTTGCCGCTGAGCTGAGAGATGGCTGGGGACAGCTCTGGGGAATGTGGATTTGGACGCGGTAATATGCAATGCTTATTGGACATCCCAGTGGCGCTACTGGGGAATCTTTAGGAAAAGTGGACCTGACATTTGGAGGAAAGATCACAGATGGAAAACGTGCTTTCGGGAGATTTGAGTGTAGGGCTGAGGCTGGACGCGCTCACCAGGGGTGAGTGGGCAGAGAGAGGGAGAGATCCCAGAATGAAAACCCGGGTCCCACTGTTAGGAGGCAGGGGAGGAGTGGGATCCACAAGGGCAAAGCAGCCACGTCCCCTGACTACGGGGTCACCATTCACCTCGCAGGCCATGTGAATCGCACCCCTGGAACTGTGCAGGGCCCACCTGTGTGGCCACACGCAGTGACCCTGAGCAAAGGAGTGACCACAGAAGTGCATGGCAAAGCAGAAAGGTGTGACGTCTTGGAGGACGCGGGAGGAAAGCACGCCCAGCGGACAGGAGCCATCACGCGGCTGCGGGCTGCTGCTGAGAACCTGGCGTGGGCCACCGTCGTCAGCAGCGTGGAGGTAACTGACGACCTTGGCCAAGAAGTTGGGTGGCAGCGTGGAGGTCATGCTCAGAGTGAGTGGGCGCAAGAGACGGTGGCGGGAGAGGGAGTGGAGATCATAGGCGTGGATGGCTCTTATGAGCCTTTTCTCTGTAGAGGGGAGTGGGGGAACGGGGGAAGCTAGGAGGGAGCTGTGCCTTGTGCGTTGTGTGCTGTGTGCTTATCAGTTAAGGGGAAAAACAGCGGCAGGTGAGTTTCGTATGTTGCTGGGGATGACGTGGCAGAGGGACTATCCCACGAGGGAGCAGACGGAAGCAGGCTTGCTGGGGTGATGGCCTGGGCAGGGTCGAGGGGGTGAACTTAGTGCACAGTGGGAGGGCTGGCGCTGGAGAGGGGCCTGGACTGGCCCCTGGGGTGACAAGGGAGAAGGTGGAAGGCATGGGCACTGAGGTGGGTTGTGGAACCTCCTGGAAACTCCCATTTGAGACAGTGACATGATGCCACCACTCAGGAGACTAGCGTGTGGAGGGGCTGGGGGCCGGGCCAGCAGGGAGGATGAGGGGCCCCCTTGAGATGCATGGGCTGAATGTAAAGTGAGGCCGATGGCATGAGCTGTTCCTCATCCTCGTTGAGCCGAAGGATGCGGGTGCTGCGAGTTGGGGGATGGGCGACTGTCCCTGGGACTGAAGTTTTGCAGGCTGCCAAAGCGACAGGGCATGAGGGTCTTGCAAGGAGACCTCTAAAGATGAAGCAAATGCGAGGGGGGCTGAGGAGCTGTTGGAGGGGTGGGAGTCGGCGGCAGAAGTGCAGGGAGGGCCACAGGGGTTGAGGGGAAGGGCTGTGGCAGTCGGCGTGGCCCAGGGAGGGGCCAGGAGGATGGCAGCAGTGGTTGTGAGGGTGTCTGACATTGCGTGGCCATGAGGGAGGAGTTCAGCCAATGCTCGGTGAGGGCCAAAATGGAGGAGGGGCTGAGAGGAGTCAGACTCCTCATGACTGGGTGGGAGTGGGACGGGGGCAGGGCATGAGTGACAAAAGCTGAGCCTTCCAGGAACCAGGGCTGGAGGGGGACTTGGCAAAGGGGATGGGGGCCACCACCCCCACTGACATGGGACTCAGAAAGGAGGCTTTGACTGTGGAGGGAGGGAACGGGGTCTGTGCATAGACTGTTGGCAAAAATGACCCCACTCCCACCCTGTGTCTCTGCTCTTGGTGGGGCGGGGTCCCTCACAGACTCCGGGCTTGGCTGCGTACCTCGCTTTGACCAGTGGGACATTAGAGTCGAAGGCTGGAAAGCCCATGTCCACTGGGGCTTGTCCTTTTGCTGGGCCTGGAGTCCCAAGGCTCCCACGGGCACAGGCTCAAGCCAGCCTGCTAGAAGGTGAGATGCTGCCCGGGGGAGAACTGGGGAGCCCTGGCCGATGGTCTGCTGCGTGCAGAACGGGTGAGGAAGCCCAGCGAGATTATCCAGCCACTAACCCACCAGCCTGGGGAGCATGACACGTGAGAGAGCCCAGCCAGGACTAGCAGGGCCCAGAAAATTCACCCAGACAACCCGAGATTCGTGGGAAGGAACCACTGTGACTGTGGTGTGTAGCTTTAGTGCCGCTGGTTTTTGGTCATTTGTTAGATAGTGAGCAGAAGCTCACCAGTGTAGTCTGAAAGCCACCGTAAAAAGCAGAAGGCCACCCACCCAGCTTCAGCTCTGTGGGCCGAGGCCGTGGGAGGGAAAGCGGTCCCCCGCTAAGACAGAGCAGGGGAGGCGTGCACCATGGGGGAGAGAGCCAGGGCCCTGCTGGAGGCAGTGGGTGAAGGGACCCTCTAGAGGAGTGCTTGGAGGTACAGGGGATTTTGCTGATGACTGGCTGTGGGATCTGAAGGTCAAAAGTGGAGGGGCTTTTGAGAGCCGGAGTGGGTGGGTAATGGGGTCAGAAGGGTGAGCGCTGTAAACAGGCTCGCAGGGCTTGCTGAGACAGCTGCTCCAATCCAGCTCAATAAACATGTAGTGAGGTCCCGCCAGGGCCCGGCCCCGGGCCAGCTGCTGCAGGACACGTGTCTGCTGTCCACTGAGTGTGTAGAGCTGTCCCCAGCCCTGGCAGCACATGTGGCGCTACTCCCTCACCGTGCTGAAGAAGGAGCCAGTCCTTAGCCCTTCCCACTAACAGTCAGTGGGCTTTTTTCTTTTCTATGGGAACATGTCCTTGTTTTTCATTATGAACGTCATGGGAAAATCAGATTTACCTAGCAGAAATGTCATTTGTTATCCATGTATCTGTTTTGTGGGGTGAAGGCTCCCTAGCGGGTAAGTGACAAAGCAAGAGACAAGAGCTCCCCTGCCATGAGCCCCAGGCCCTCTCGGTGCTCTGCTTGGTCATGGAGAGACCTTGAACTTGCTGCTTTGAGGGCTCGTTAGCATGTAAACCAGCTATTATTAGATTTCCAAGCTCATATTTATGTTTTATTAATCTGTGTAATGAAGTTCCCTTTCTCCCGACACCATCAGGGAGGCATTTGCCCAGGAAGGCTGTGCCTGTGGCAGAGACTCATGGCTCCGGCCTATAACAAGGGCCATGTACATCTTGCAGCCTGGTGGAGGCCGTGGAACACCATCCTGCAGTTCTGGGTCCCCTGACAACTGAATGTAGCACCCACCAGCTCTCCTGGAAGGGCCTTCTCACTCAGAACCAACCTTCAGCTCAATTGCTTCCCACTCTGGAAGGATGCTGGGGAGCCCCGTCCAGAACCCCAGCCTACTCCCAGTCCAGCAGCTATTTCTTTCTTGTGTTTCAAGGATTTGCAGCCAGAAGCTCCCATTCCTTGGAGTCTCAGAGTGATCAGCTTTTCTGAGCTGTAGGTTTTGGAAAATATGGCTTTCTTGAACTTGGCCACAAAACCATTTGATTTTATAGGCCAAGGAGCCCCCTTGAGAAACAGGCACAGACAGGACCGGCGATTTGCCAAAGTCTGGTCTGACCTGCGTGAGTGTTTGCGGTGCCTTCCTCTCTGTGACAGTCCTCATGGTTTAGATAGATTTTTCTGCCTTGTTGCTCCAAATTAAACAATCACTACATTTTATTTAAACAAGTTTGTGTTTGAAGGGCACTGTGGTACATGAGGAAGATCCCTGGGCATTTATTAATTCATCTGTGTGAGTCTGTTCTCATGCTGCTAATAAAGACATACCCGAGACTGGGTACTTTATAAAGGAAAGACGTTTAATTGACTCACAGTTCAGCATGGCTGTGGAGCTGTCAGGAGACTTACAATCATGGTGGAAGGGGAAGCAAACATGTCCTTCTTCACATGGCAGCAGCAAGAAGAAGTGCTGAGTCAAAGGGGGAAAGCCTCTTATAAAACCATCAGATCTCATGAGAGCTCAATATCATGAGAACAGCATGAAGGTAACTTCCCCCATGATTCAATTACCTCCCACTGGGTCCCTCCCACGACATGTGGGGATTATGGGAACTACAATTCAAGATGAGATTTGGGTGGAGACACAGCCAAACCATCCATATCATCCATCCATCCATCATCTGCCCATCCTTCTCTCATCCACCCTATATCCATCCATCCATCATCCATCTGGAGTGGTGAGACAGATGAAGAGTTGCCCACCTCACAGAGTGTGCAGGGTCGTGGGGAGGGTGACAGTGGGTATTTTAGCTGGGGTTATCAGGGTGGGTTTCTCCAATCAAGTGTTTTGATCTGAGACCTGAAGAATGATAAGGCATCAGCCACTCAGGAAACAGGACAAACTCTGTGGCTTCTTCTTGCCCATACCCCGGGAGACCATTTTGAAGTGTTGGACTCTTTTCCCTCCTTGCCGTTGGTGTCACTTTTATGTCCTGGCTGTCCTCTCTCCCCTCCTCTTTGCTGTCCCTAAATCTTTGTGACAAGATGTTTAGAGGAAAGTGGTGCAGGGCTGAGACACAACCCAGGCCCCTTCCCTTGTCCTGCCCTCCATAGCAGGTGCATTTAATCTTCAAGGCTGCAGAATGGCTGCACTGCTTCCAGGTACTGCATACACATCCCAGGCAGGAAGAAGGCAGAGGGGACGGAGAAGCCATCTCACTTAGATTCCCTTCCCAAGGCCTGCAGGGTTAATCTGCAGGGAAGGCTCTGAGCTGAAGGGAGTTCTCAGCAGGGCTGTAGGTGGCAGGAGTTTGGGAATCACAGAGCCTGGACATCCAGTCCCTTCAAATCAGGCTTATGATTCACCAATGTCCCAGCTGCCTCTAACAAGACTCACTGCTCAGAAGACAAGCTGAAGAGCCCCCTGGAAGTGGCACATTCCCAGCAAAAGCAGCTCAAAAGGATTAGGAAGGAGAGGCAGCATGCATTCCAACCCTGTTGGGCTTCTGGCCCAAGGCCTGCGTATGTTTACAAGCCCGGCTCACACCTTTGTGATCTGTTGCTCACTGGGGCCGATGTGTCTTGGGAGCCACTGAATCTGTTAGGGACCATGTTTCTCCGGCATGGTCCTTGAGTTGCTGGCTTTGAGCTGTTGGCTTTGGAAGGGTTGGCTGGGCCCAAGCATTCACAGCCTGGGAACTGCACGTGAAGAGAAATGGAGCTTTGATCACAAGATGTGAAATTTGTCATCTCTTTCCCCACGTGGACATTCACTCAAGCCTCTCCCTCCCTGTTCCTTTAATAACATTTATTTTAACCAGTCACTTGTATCATTTTTCTTGATTCACTTCACCTTGGGCACTTTCATTATTTTCCTCACAAAATCAAGGCTCAGATTTAATTTCCCTCTCCCGTTCGATGGCCTGGCAGAGTGGCCAGGAGGGGGAGGAGGATGTGTGGAGGCATGAGGTGAGGGGCCCTGGGGGCCTCCGGCAGGAAGGGCTGTACCTTCCAAGGGGTGTGTGGGCAGGAGGGAAACGCTGCATCTGGGAGAGCGGGGACCCTCACAGGCAGTGG
Organism: Homo sapiens; assembly: GCF_000001405.40. NCBI lineage: Eukaryota > Metazoa > Chordata > Mammalia > Primates > Hominidae > Homo > Homo sapiens. Next base: position 3,982,013 of record NC_000001.11, read on the forward strand.
GTCGGGCTGCTCATTCCCTGTGGGTGGGTGGGGGGAATTTTCAAGCCCTTCTCCTGGGGTCCCTCCTGGGAAATCTTTCCCCAGAGTCTAGGCAGGCCCCTTCTGGCTCTCTGTCTGGCCAGGGTGCCTGCTGGGGATTTTGCTGAGACCCCAGAGGGGAGGTGTCCATGCCAGGGTCTGCCTGGGTGCCCAGAGCCTGTGGCCATTTGGAGAGCACTGGGCCGAGCGCCAGGAGACCAGGCTGCAGTCCTGTCAGGTGGAACTCTGTGTGACCTTGGGCAAGTGGTTCCCTGTCTCTGCACTTTCAGGAAGTGAGGGAGCTGGGCTTGGTGGCCACGGCTCTGTGCAGCTTTGCAAGTCAGCATCGCTGATGCTTCCAGGTGCTCCATCTCTGTGATGGGATCACAGATTCAGCAGGCGTGCGGGGACCTGGGGACCTGGCAGTGTTCCTTTGCACTGTTGAAGCCACATGCCTAGATTTCCCCACAGGGTGGTGAATGAGGCCAGCCCGGCGTGAGCCAGCGGCCAAGTTCCTCCTCTGTCTGGAGTCTTGTGGGGCTTGGGGAGGCCACAGCATCCCCTGTGGGTCTTCCTTTCCTTTCAGGTCTAGGCGATGGCTCTCAGGGAGGGGGTGGTATTGTAAGCCCTCCTCCCAGGAGACATTTGGCAATGTTTGGAGCTATTTTCAGTTGTGGTGCGTGTGTGTGTGTGTATCCAAAATGTCAATAGAGTCCCCTACCCAATTTGTATGTTGAAGTCCTAGTAATCAGGATGTCAGAGTATGACTGTATTTATAGTTTTTTCAGAATTAAGTTAAAATGGGATCATTAGGGTGGGCCCTAACCCATTATGATTGTGTCCTTATAAGAAGAGGGGATGGAGACACAGACACACACAGAGGGACGAACCTGTGGGTACAGGGAGAAGATGGCATCCGCAAGCCAAGGAGAGAGGCCTCAGGAGAAACCAACCTGCCCGTGCCTTGATCTCACTTCCAGCCTGCAGGACTGTGGGGCAGTAAGTGTCCGTGTTTAAGCCGCCGGGCTGTGGTGCTTTGCCATGGCGGCCCTTGTAAAGCCAAGCCAGTGATGGCATTCCAGGAGTAAAGACAGGATGGCTGGCAGAGCAGGCTTCGGACAGAGAGTGACTCCTGTTGAGGGGTGTGGATCTTTCCCACCGCTTGGCTTCTCTTCCCCTTCTTGCTTTCCTTATTTTTAAAATTCCTGTTTTAAGATTGTCAGCTCCATGGGTTGAAGCACTGGTATGGGGAAGAGACGGGCTTATGGGGTTTTGATTCCAACTTCCTCTCTGCCTCCGCTCTGGGTGGCTCTCGGACCCCGAGGCTTGGGGTCTCTGAGCTGGGGGAGCTGTCTGGGTGAGGCGGTTCCTGCCAATGTGGTTGAGGCTCCAGGAACTTGAATTCCTAGCATCCCTTCCCATGGCAACCACAGGCAGTGGCTCACTGAATGGCAGCAGCTTCTGAGGTCCCAGCAGGAGGGGACATGGCGAAGAAAACAATCTGCAGTTTCCCCACAACGAGAGGGCGGCAAGCAAGAGGGAGGAGGAAGAAGAAGAGACCCTGGGGGGTAAAACCACCTGGATCACGGGAAAAAGAAGACCAGGAGCAAAAAGAATGTATACAGTGTTCAGTCCCATTTTTATAAAAAAAACTATAGAAAATATTGAAAGAATCGACTCTCAGACATCATCATGATTATTACAGGGGTATTATAGCTGGACGGTGGCAAGGTGTATGAGCTGAAGGCGTTTTTACATCTCTTTTATTTATTTATTTTGAGACGGAGTCTTGCTTTATTGCCTAGGCTGGAGTGCAATAGCGAGATCTCGGCTCACTGCAACCTCCGCCTCTGGGTTCAAATGATCCTCCTGCCTCAGCCTCCTGAGTAGCTGGGATTACTGGTGCGTACCACCACTCCTGGCTAATTTTTGTATTTTTAGGAGAGACGGGGTTTCACCACATTGCCCAGGCTGGTCTCGAACTCCTGACCTGAAGTGATCCACCCCCGCCTTGGCCTCCCAAAGTGCTACTATTACAGGCATGAGCCACTGTGCCCGGCTACACCTCTTTTAAAAATGATCTAAAACATATTATTTTTGTAATAAGGATAATATAATAATAAAAAGCCTTGCTTCTCTCCAGGGAAGAAAGGGATAAGGGCTGCCCCTTTGGCATCAGCCGCCTGTGCTCCTGTCCCCTTGTAAAGCCGTGGGGACTTGAAGAGGTCACACCAGCTACCCAAGCCTGTTTCTTTGGCTGTGAAATGAAGAAAGAAAGAGCACTTTATCCTGAGGTTTAAAGTAAGGATTCCAATGAAGTCATATCCGTGAAGTACTGGGCACACCATCTGCCCTCAATAAATGTTAGCTATTTTTGTTGTTATGACATTTTCCGGCCAGAACCATCCCTCAAGAAGAGGAAGTCTTGCTGAACAACCTCTCAATGAAACCAGAGTGGTCAATTCTGCTCTTCTTTTATTAGAAAGTGATTCTTCCCTTCTTGTTTGGAAATGGGTTTCAGGGAAGCTGCCTGCGAGACAGAGACACCCCAGCCCCTCTTCTGGCTTGTCTGAATGAAGCTGTTTGACTACAGCTCCGAGAGCTGGCCCTGCAATGGACTCCTGGCCAGGTGTCACAAAGAAAGAACACCTTGGTCTCTCCCATCTAAACTGCTGGAGGGACTGCATTTGTGTTTTTTTGGGGGGGCTACCCACCAGGACAAAGTCATGAGCTTGAGGCTGGGGAAGCACCCGTGAGCCGGCGCGTTACCGCGGTCAGGGGATCTGAGGCCCTTGTATGATCAGGGAACACCAGTTCCAGAGACGTCCAGAAGGAGCGGGGAGAGAGGAAGGTTCCACATTGCTGACCTTTAACTTTTGTTCCCACTTCTGCCATGGAGGCTAATTGTTACGTTTTCCTTGCTGAGCAGCGTTCGGCTTCCTACACCCCGGTGGCTTCGCCTGTGCCTACTCCCAGTGCTCGCACGTTTGGCCTAAAGCAGTTAAACCTCTGAGCTGCCCAAAGACCTTGTAAGAATGAGAAACTGCTCCATGGTTTATTAAAAAGCAAACAAAAAAACCTTCCACAAAATAACAGCAATAAAAAAAAACCATTTAAAGTGATGTCCCTCCCTTCATAGGATGTAAGCTCATATTTAAACCATATATTGCTCCAGCAGGGTCACAGGTGGAGGTCAGGTCCCTGCCCCAGCCTCTTCCCATCCCTGGCCGGTGCCTGGCGGCCCCACTTTCACCTTTACTGTATCTTCTGGGGCTTTGCAGAATGGTCCTGTAAAACAGGACAGACAAAGCTCCCAATGGGACCACAACTGTAAGAACAGTGAACACTCTAGCTGAGTGTGGTGGTGCCTGTAGTCCCAGCACTTTGGGAGGCTGAGGTAGGAGGATCGCTTGAGCCCAGGAGTTTGAGGCTGCAGTGAGCTGTGATGGCACCACGGCACTCCAGCCTGGGTGACAGAGTGAAACTCTATCTTTAAAAAAAAAAAAATCTATATCTATATGTATATCTATATCTATATAAAGATATATATCGATATATATATAGGCCAGGTGAGGTGGCTCGTGCCTGTAATCCCAACCTGGGCAACATGGTGAGTCCCCGTCTCTATCAAAAATACAAAAAAAAAAAAAAAAAAGCCAGATGTGGTGGTGCACGCCTGTGGTCCCAGCTACTCGGGAGGCTGAGGTGGGAGGATCATCTGAGTCTGAGAGGTGGAGGTTGCAGTGAGCCCAGATGGTGCCAATGCAGTCCAGCTTGGGCAACAGAGGGAGACCCTGTATCTCTCTCTCTCTCATATATATATAGACAGAGAGAGAGAGAGAGAGAGAGAGAGGAGAGAGAGAGTTTATAGATAGGGTTTCGCTCTGTCACCCAGGCTGGAGTGCCGTGGTGCCATCACAGCTCACTGCAGCCTCAAACTCCTGGGCTCAAGCGATCCTCCTACCTCAGCCTCCCAAAGTGCTGGGACTACAGGCACCACCACACACAGCTAGAGTGTTCACTGTTCTTACAGTTGTGGTCCCACTGGGAGCTTTGTCTGTCATATATATATATATATATATATATATATATATATATATATATATATATATATATATATATATGTATTTAAAAACATAGCGAACCCTCCAGCTCTTTCACAGGGGCTGCTCAGATGTATTCATCACTGTACGATTTGAACTTCAGGGCCTGAAATCACTGCAGCTCTGAGTTTTAAAGCAGTTTGTGGTGGAAGAACCCCTGTCAATTACCCACGCTGTGTCGGAGGGGCCAGTGCAGTCTTCTGATGTGTCTTTGGATTGAATGTTGGTTCAGATCACTTTCCAGAAACTTCTGGTGCCACTCCAGGCAGAGAAATGCAATGGCAGAAAGCGTCCCCGACCTGGGTCCCTGGAGTCTCCGTGACTTTCCCCGCCATGACGGGTAGAAGCAAAGTGTCCCTGTGAGGCAAGGTGCACTCACCCACCCCAAGATTGTTTTTCGTTCAGACCCTAAAGCTGACTTCTTGTTCGAGGTTCGGAAGTGATGAACACATTTTACGAAGCAAAAGTTGACATCCCGGGTGAAAACACAGGCCACCTTTTTAAAGGATGCCTTTGCAGTATCGTGCTGTATCTTGATAAAAATTCACTCTCCTTGGCTCCTGGGATGGGGTGCAGTCTCAGGCACCCCTGAGCCTGTCTATGCCTGGGGCAAATCGCCACCCATTTGTGGCCTACGTCACTGTCGCCCCTGTGGATGCTCCTGGGGCATGGTGTGTTAGGAGTCTGGGTGGGGGGTTCCTCAGGCGGCCATCTGGGTGCTGGCTGGGCCTGTGCTCCTCTCTGGAGTTCGGAGTTTTCTTCCAGCCTTGTTCAGGTTGTTGGCAGAATTCAGTTCCTCGGGGCTGTAGTGCTAAGGTCCCTCTTCTTGCTGGCTGTTGGAGGGGCTGCCGTCCACCCTGAAGACTGCCTGCACATCCTTGCCACGAGGCCACCATGGACAGCTCGCAGTGGGGTTTTTGCTTTCTTCTAGGCCAGCAGGGCACGTCTCTCTGACTTCTGTCTCAAGCCTCTAGACTCCCTTTTAAGAGTTCCCCTGATTAGCGCAGGCCCAAGCAGGACACCCTCCCTTTGAAGCACTCCGTTGATTAGGGACCTGATGACATCCTCACGCATCCCTGTGGCTGTGTGACGTGACATAATCCTGGGGGTGATGCCCCCTCGCCTCCTGGGTCTCCCTGCACTTGAGGGGGCCACCATATGAGGGTGTGGGGCTTGGGGGCTGGCCTTAGAATTCTGCCCACCACAATCCCTGGGGTGCCTCGTGTGGGGGTAAGGGAGGGGTTCCCCTGTACATGGAGGTGAGGGAAGGCAGGGCTGTGCCTTGTGTGGGGAGCATGTTCAAGTCCCCATGTCGGCCTTTCTCATGCAACCTGAATTGTGGGTTGCCCTGGCCTCTGGACCCGTGTGTCCTGGTGCTTCTTCATGAGGGATCAGCGCACACATCTGGACTCTGCTATGCGTCTGCCTCCCAGTAGAGGAGGTGGCTGGGGTTTGGGTTTGGACTCTAAGTGGGCTGGAAGTTACTGGGGAGGCTCAGAGGAAGGTTTCCTGCAATGCATGGCTTGATCCAGTCTGCAGGGATGGGTGGTGTCTGTCAGTGAGAGAGGAGGGGACAGGTGCCCCAGGCTCAGAAACAGGTGGCCCAGGCTTGGGGACAGGTGATCCAGGCTAGGGACAGGAGCACCAGGCATGGGGACAGGTGACCCAGGCTCAGAAACAGGTGTCCCAGCCTTGGGGACAAGTGGCCCAGGCTCAGAAACAGGTGGCCCAGGCTTGGAGACAGATGCCCCAGGCAGGGGGAACAGGTGCCCCAGGCTCAGAAACAGGTGGCTTAGCTTGGGGACAGGTGGCCCAGGCTCAGAAATAGGTGGCCTAGGCTTGGGGACAGGTTTCCCAGGCTTGGGAACAGGTGGCCCAGGCTTGGGGATAGGTGCTCCAGGCTCCAGGACAGGTGGCCCAGGCTTGGGGATGGGCTGAGCAAAGGTGCTGTGAGGGGTCGGGGATGGGACAGTTCCCCTGGGGTGGATGGGAGGGCCCCTGGCTCGGGTGGTCTCTCCTCTGGTCATGGTGCATTAGTATCATAGTGTCACCCTGGGGAGGGGTCTCTGTTGGATGGCACACCATGTGGTGTTCCAGAGACTGTCCACGAGTGCCCTCTGCCAGGCTCCAACACTTTCCCTAAATACTTTGAATAACTCATTTTTAAAAGTAATGGGGAGGCTACTCTGCTTGTACAATGAGTTAAAGCAGCCCCGTCCAGGGTTCCGCGGTGGTGAAAGGGCCGTGAGCATGTAAGGAGGGAGCCTGTGCTTGGGTTCCTGGTGAGTTGCCCAGATGCAGTTAGGAATCAGCCAGAGATACCTTTTTTTAAAAAAATTAAATTCATCAGGATCATGCTGACTGTCCAGCCTTCAACACCACCCATCAGCCATCACGTACCTGCGGAGGGTCCCCGTGGTACCAACCTCAGCCTGCTTTTTGCCCTGAGCTCTCCTGGGAGAAGGAGCCAGGGATGGGGCAAGAGAAGGTACCACCCTGGAGCATGTAGTGTCGTGGCACCTTCACCTACTTGCCCGGAACCTTGGCCCAATGATGCCCTTCCTGTGAGGTGCGGTTTCCCACTCATAAGATGGGGATGGCATGGACCTCAGAAGGATGTTGGATACAAATGTAAAAAATGACACATTGTCAAAAACAAGCATTTTTTTTTTTTGAGATGGAGTTTCGTTCTTGTTGCCCCTGCTGGAGTGCAGTGGTGCGATCTCAGATCACTGCAACTTCCCCCTCCCGGGTTCAAGCGATTCTCCTGGCTCAGCCTCCCAAGTAGCTAGGATTACAGACATGCACCATCACACCTGGCTAATTTTTGTATTTTTAATAGAGATGGGGTTTCACCATGTTGGCTAGGCTGGTCTCGAACTCCTGACCTTGTGATCTGCCCGCCTCAGCCTCCCAAAATGCTGGGATTACAGACGTGAGCCACCCCGCCTGGCCAAAAACAGCATGTTTTTTTGTGTGTGTCAAAGAGTTTAATTCATGAAAAGAAAACAGCTTACAATAAATCATTTAAAAAGCACGCTTACATTTACCTTTATACCTGCTTATGTGCACCTGTGCGTTTTGAGTCCATAAAGGAAGAAGCATGCTCCAATGATACATTCTCAGTGTTTCTCTGTCATATGCTGCCATTCACTAAAATAACCTGATTATAATGCATCTTATAGAAAGCTTGTTTACATTTGCCTTGGAAATAAAAACCTGTACTTTAAGTTCAGGGTGCATGTGCAGGTTTGTTACTTAGATAAACTGATGTCATGGGGGTTTGTTGTACAGATTATGTAGTCACCCAGTGATTAAGTCTAGTACCCATCCATTATTTTTCCTGATCCTCTCCCTTCTCCCACCTTCCACCCTCTGAAAGGCCCCAGCATGTGTTGTTCCCTTCTGTGTGTCCATGTGCTCTCATCATTTAGCTCCTACTTACAAGTGAGAACCAGTGGTTTTTTGTTTCTGTGTTAGTTTGCTAAGGATAGTGGCCTCCAGCTCCACCCATGTTCCTGCAAAAGACATGATTTCATGCTTTTTTATGGCTGCATAGTATTCCATGGTGTATATTTAATGTATTTTCTTTATCCAGTCCATCATTGATGGGCACTTGGGTTGATTCCGTGTCTTTGCTATTCTAAATACTGCTACAATGAACATATGCGTGCATGTGTCTTTATAATAGAATGACTTATATTCCTTTGGGTATGTACCCAGTGATATGGTTGAGCTGTGTCCCCATCCAAATCTCATCTTGAATTGTAGTTCCCATAATCCCCACGTGTCATAGGAGGGATCAGGTGGAGATAATTGAATCATGGGGGCGGTTTCTCCCATCCTGTTCTCATGATAGTGAGTGAGTTCTCATGAGATCTGATGGTTTTATAAGGGACTTTTCCCCTTTTGGCTCAGCACCATTTTCTTTCTGCTGCCATGTGAATGACGTGTTTGCTTCCCCTTCTGCCATGACTGTAGTTTCCTGAGGCCTCCCCAGCCATGCTGAACTGTGAGTCAATTAAACCTCTTTCCGTTATAAATTACCCAGCCTTGGGTATGTCTTTATTAGCAGTGTGAAAACGGACTAATACACCCAGTAATGGGATTTCCGGGTCAAATGGTAGTTCTGTTTTTAGCTCTTTGAGGAATCACCACACTGCTTTCCACAATGGTTGAACTGATTTACACTCCCACCAACAATGTATAAGCATTCCTCTTTCTCTGCAACCTCACCAGCATCTGTTATATTTTGAGTTTTTCATAACAGCCATTCTGACTGGTGTGAGATAGTATATCATTTTGGTTTTGATTTGCATTTCCCTAATGATCAGTGAGGTTGAGCTATTTTTCATATGTTTATTGGCCACATGTAAGTCTTCTTTTGAAAAGTGTCTATTCATGTTCTTTGCCACCTTTTCAATAGGGTTGTTTTTTTCTTGTAAAACTGTTTAAGTTCCTTTTATATGCTGGATATTAAACCTTTGTCAGATGCAGTTTATAGAAATGTTCTCCTATTCTGTAGATTGTCTGCTTACTCTATTGGTAGTTTCTTTTGCTGTGCAGAAGCCCTTTAGTTTAATTAGACTCCATTTGTCAATTTTTGCTTTTGCTGCCATTGCTTTTGTCATCTTTGTCACAAAATCTTTGCCCATTGCTATGTCCAGAATGGTATTGCCTAGGTTGTCTTGCATCGTTTTTATAGTTTTAGGTCTTACATTTAAGTCCTTAATCCATCTTGAGTTGACTTTTTTTGTACAGTATAATAAAGGGGTCTAGTTTCAGTCTTCTGCACATGGCTAGGCAGTTATCCAAGCACCATTTATTGAATGGGAAGTCCTTTCCCCATTGCTTGTTTTTGACAGCTTTGTCAAAGATCAGATGGTTATAGGTGTGTGGCCTTATTTCTGGGCTCTCTATTCCATTCCATTGATCTAGGTGTCTGTTTTTGTATCAGTGTCATGCTGTTTTGGTTACTGTAGTCCTGTAGTATAGTTTTAAGTCAGATAGTGTGATGCCTTTAGCTTTGTTCTTTTTGCTTAGTATTGCCATGGCTATTTGGGCTCCTTTTTGGTTCCATATGAATTTTAAAATAGTTTTTTCTTAGTTTTGTGAAGAATGTCATTGGTAGGTTGACAGGAATACTGTTGAATACATTGCTTTAATGATATTGATCCTTCCTATCCATGAGCATGGAGTATTTTTACATTTGTTTGTGTCATTTCTGATTTCTCTAAGCAGTGATTTGTAGTTCTCCTTATAGAGATCTTCCACCTCCTTAGTTAGCTGTATTCCTAGATATCTTATTCTTTTTGTGGCAATTGTGAATAAGATTGCATTCCTGATTTGGCTCTTGGCTTAACTGTTGAAAAACAAGGATTCTTTTTTTTTTTTTTTGAGAGAGAGAGTCTTGCTCTCTCAAAAACCCAGGCTGGAGTGCAGCAGTGCCATCTTGGCTCACTGCAACCTCTGCCTCCAAGGTTCAAGTGATTCTCTAGCCTCAGCCTCCCGAGTAGCTGGGGTTACAGGCATGTGCCACCATAACCAGCTTTTTTTTTTTTGTATTTTTACTAGAGATGGGATTTTGGCATGTTGGCCTGGCTGATCTTGAACTCCTGGCCTCAAGTGATCTGCCTGCCTTGGCCTCCCAAAGTGCTAGGAGTACAGGTGTGAGCTACTGTGCCCAGCTGAAAAACAAGGATTCTTAACAAAGTTTACCTTCATATTATTTCCTGAAGAGGCTGGTGTCTTGCAGTGATGCTTTGGGGAGAGGTGATGTCATGGGGGAGATGATATCATGGGTGAGGTGATGCCATGGGTGAGGTGATGGCATGGGGAGGGGATGTGTTGGGGAAGTGATGCCATGGGGAGGGGACGTGATGGGGAAGCGATGTCATAGAGAGGTGATATCATGGGGAGGTGATGCCATTGGGAGGGGATGCCATGGGGAGGGGATGTTATGGGGAAGGGGTGTCATGGAGGGGTGATGGCATGGTGAGGTGATGTCATGGGGAGGTGATGCCATAGAGAGGTGATGTCATGGGGGAGGTGATGCCATAGAGAGGTGATGTCATGGGGAGGTGATGTCATAGGGGTGATGTCAAAGGGGAGATGATGTCATGGGAGAGGTGATGTCATGGAGAGGTGATGTCATGGAGAGGTGATGTCATGGAGGGGTGATGTCATGGAGAGGTGATGTCATGGGGAGGTGATGCATGGGGACGTGAAGTCATGCGGAGGGGATGTCATTGGGAGGTGATTTCCTGGGAGAGGTGATGTCATGGGAGAGGTGATGCCATTGGGAGGTGATGTCATGCAGAGGTGATGTGATGGGGAAGTGATGCCATGGGGGAGACAATGTTGTGGCAGTGGTGATGCCATAAGGAAGTAATGTTATTAGGGAGATGATGTCATGGGGGTAAGCCATTGGGGAGGTGAAGTTGTTGGGGAGGTGATGTTGTTGGTGAAGGATATGTCGTTGGTGGAGGCGGGATAGTGGTGACACCTGTGTGCAGCCACTGAACGCCTCATGACTGTGGGATACTGAGCTGTGGCAGGAGACTCCAGGAGGGGAAGGTGGGCTCTCGCCTCAGCATGGCTTGCCAGCAGGCTGTGCCCAGTCCCAGCTACAGCAACTCCATAGGGACTGAGGGTAGGGCCGGGCAGGTGGGACCTGGGGTGGTGGTGGGGGATGCTGCACTGAGTCCTGCCGCAGCCCCAGAGCCAGGCCCTTTCTGTGCTCCCTTTCCTTCCAGTGAAACAAAGTGGAGAGCTGGAAAGCTGTAAGTTTCGGGGCCCAGACCTGGACCCAGACCTATCTGCCTTCAGCCTCAGCTTTGAGCAGGCAGGGGCTGGGATGAGCGTGCTGGGGTGCATTTAGGCTGGAGGTTGGCTGCAGACACTTGGGAGGTGCATAGCTGGTGGGACGCCAGGTGGGTGTCAGGACTCCTGGAGGCCTTGAGTGTCGGACAAAGGAGTTTCTGGGCAAAGTACTCTCTGGGTCTTAAAGGAAACCTCCTTTGTGCTACCAAATGGAGTGCTTTTTCTTTTTGGTCAGCACCTAGTGTATTTGTCAGTACCATATTCTAACTGGAGTTATGTGACTCCCTGGTGCCGTGGTCCAGAAGGCATCATTGTTACCTGTACTGACTCTTCCTAAACATCAGGCATTGCAGCAACAGGCGATTCCTCTGCTGCTCCTGTTTCCTTGTTTTCAACTTGGAAAGTAGCCCTTTGGAAAATGACAATTTTGCTCTCCATTCTATACGTGGGGAAACTGAGGCTGAGAGGCTTAGGAGCGCGGCCAGCTGTCAGCCAGCGGAGGCGACCTGGGAGGCCCTCCCTGTCTGGGAGGCTTCTCACCATTGCTGCCAAGTGGACAACTGCTTAATGTATTTTCCCCAAAGCTGAATAAATGGGCCTTTACAGAAATTTAGTAGGTGAATAAACCACAGATGAAAAATCAAACACTTAGAAAAACCATTTAACGTTTTTATTTACACCATAGTGAAAATACCAGCTTGGTTTGGGATCGGGGAGCTGTTACATAATTTATGGCCACAAAGCCAATTCCTAACATAACATACTCTCAAGTTTTGCAGGTCCCCGAGGCGCCCAATTTATATTCCGTTCTAACTTGGAGAGGATGAATGGCAGGCGGTGGCGGGGAGGGAAGGGTGCCTTCCTGGGAGCCGGGGAAGGGACGGCAGCCTGGAGGAACGGGAAGGCAGCTTCGGCATGTATGTAGGGCAGGAGAGTGGCTTATAACGGAAGGATTGTAATTTATTTTGACACTGATCATCTATTATTCAGCTAGAGTAAAAATAAACCTTATTAGCCAGGAAAATAGATCCCTTTCGTTACGCCCACGCAACGCCAACTGCAACATCACAATGATGATCAGGACAATAGCGGAGTTTGCTCAAACATCTTATCAGGCACTTGAAGAATCAAATCCCTCGTTGGGAAGAGATTTGCAAACACGCAAGTGCATCTACATAATATGCTTAATCTCTCCCTGAGCCCTCTGAGCTCCCAGAGAGGGAACCTGCGTCCAGGAGGCAGCCCCGCCTTTTCCTCCCAGGTGGGGCCTCGCTGTTGGGGACGCTTCATCTCCGCACTGACGCCTCTGTTCCACACCAGGCCTGTGCCAAACCCTTTCACACATAACCCCCCTTATCTTCCTCATGACTCCCCAAAACAAGTATTGTTGGCCTTAATTTTGCAGATGGTGGAAGCAGATGCACTGAGGCTGGGGATGTGGCCGCAGAAACGCTAGCTATGGGCACAACAGGAAGCCCTCCAGCCCCAAGCCCAGCAAGGTGGGGACCTTGCTGACCCCTTCCTACAGTGGGTTGAGAGTGTTCTCCCAAATCCATGTCCACCGGGAACATCAGAACAGGACCTTTCTTGCAAATAGGGTCTTTGCAGATGTCATTAGTTAAGACGAGGTCATATCAGACTAGGATGGGCCTTAAATCCAACGACGGATATCTTTTTTTCTTTTAATTTTTAAAAATAGGTAGGATCTTACTATGTTGTCCGGGCTGGCCTCCTGGGCTCAAGCACCCACCTCAGCCTCCTGAGTTGCTGGGATCGCAGGCACATGCCACCAGGCCTGGCTATGGGGTCATTATAAGAAGAGAAAACAGACACAGGTACCCAGAGGAGGCCACACAAGGGTGGAGGCAGAGACCAGGTGATGGATCTATCAGTCACAGAACACCAGGGATGGCTGGGGCCCCAGAAGTTGGGGAGAGATAGGTTTTCCCTCAGAGCATCCAGAAGGAACCAGCCCTGCCCAGCTTCAGTTCAAATTTGTGGCCACTTGAGCTGTGAGATAGTAAATGTCCACTGTTGCAAGCCTGGTGGCTTTGTGGTCTTTCGTTAGGGCAGCCCCGGCCATGTAGACGTTCTCTGCTCCACCAGCCAAGGACGAGGCCTCCCAGGCTGCCTTTGTTCCTGGCTTCTCTCTCCTGAAAAGACAAGAAGGGATGAGGGGGAGGACCAGGTATGGTGCCACCAAGCAGAAAGTGGTTCTCCTGGGGGCTTTTTGAGTAGGGCTGCATGGCCCTGGCTTTGAGTGTGCAGTCCTGGTGAGGCCAGCACCTTGCTGTGGGCACCTGGGCCAGTCATGTGCCTGATTCTCAAGGGGCTCTCAGGTCGGCTTTGACCTCTTGAAGGTACAGGCATGGCTCAGTTTGCAGCCATAGCAGCGAGTGAGACAGGACAGTCATGTCCTGAACTCTGGGTAGCTGCTGCAGAGGCCAGACTCTTCAGGGTCCTTCCGATCCTCGGACCTCATGTGTGTGTCTGCGGGAGCCTACAGGGCCACTGTGAGGTCACTGTCACACCGTGGGGTGATTGGGGTAAGTCAGTGATTCCTGTCCCCATGAGGCTGGCTCGGAGGAGGCCAATGGACCCCCGGTCTCCATTGGCTGTCAACCTCTGCAGAGGCCGGACTACTCGGGGTCCTTCTGACCCTCGGACTTCATGTGTGTGTCTTCAGGAGCCTGCAGGACCACTGTGGGGCCACTGCCACCCTGTGGGGTGGTCCGGGTAAGTTGGGCGGTCCCTGTACCCCTGAGGCTGGCTCAGAGGAGGCTGATGGACTCCCAACCTCCGCTGGCTCTCACCCTCTGCTCCTTCCAGGGAGCCGAGGAGCATGGACACCGTCTTCTCCTTCCAGCAGGCACAGGTATGGAAGGAGACTGAGGCTGGTCTTGGATGGTGAGTGTGGAGCTCACAAAGCTCAGGGGGATGCTCAGGGACAGGGCAGGAACCCAGAATTGTCATTTTCTCCTGCCCAGCTACTGGGGGAAGCAGGCTGTGGAGGGCCAGATACATCCTTGAGAGGCCCCATGTGGAAAAGAGGATGGTGGGCAATTCAAAACAAAACTATCTTTTTAAAAACGATGTAAGACTTAGAGACACCAGACAATAAAAACAGGTTCTTTCTAGAACTTTCTGACTACCAAGTTGTTCAGGCGCGCCTTCTTGGATTGTGCTGAAGTTTGTGCCTGGCCCGTCTCTCTGGTCACCTGGCACCAGCTTGCCACTAGGAAGTGACTCGAAGACCTTGTAACTCCTGCTTCCACCCGAGGGAGCTGGGGTCCCTGCCTGCATCTCCCCCTCATCCTCTAACTCAGTTTTATAAAGAGACGCAGAGTTATCATCCATTCCCCATCCTTGCATGCCAAAGCTTTCTCCTCCAAAGTAGGACTTCTGGGGAGAGACAATAGCGGCCATGGAGGTGGATGAAGTGGTCAGAGTCAAGGTCTGCGGTGGAGCTGGAACTGGGGTCTTAATGTCAAGGATGCCTCCTTAGGGACAGCTGGTGATCGAGCTGGCATTTGGGAGCAGGCATCTCTCTGTGCCTGCTCTCAGTGGCCCTGGGCGACTGCCTCCTTGGCAGGCCAGCATCTGCATTTCCCGCTGCTGTAACAAATGACTGCAAACTGCGTGCCCTAAAAGAATAGAAATTCATTCTCCCTCTGTTCTAGGGGCCAGGAGTCTGAAATCAAGGTGTCTGCAGGGCCGTACTCCCTCTGAGGCTTGTGGGGTGGAGGCATCCTTGTCTTTCAGCTCTTGGTGGCTCTGGGCTTTCTTGCTTTATGGTTGCGTAGCCCCAATCCCTGCCTCCACCTCTGTCCTCTTCTCTTTTGTCTCCTAAGGACACTTGTTATTGCAGTCAGAGTCCATCTGGATAATCCTGGATAAATCTCATCTGGAGATCCTTCACCAGATCACATCGGCAATGACCTGTTCCCCAAATAAGGCCCTGTGCACAGGTTCTGGGGGTAAGCATGTGGATATATCTTTTCTTGGGATTGCCATTCAGCCCACTACAGTCTTGAAGTCACGTGGGGTCCAGGTCCTGATGGAACCCCCTAGGGCCCTTGACTGTCATGCACGTTCCTGGGCCCCACCCTAGATTTGGGACACAGCGATGGTGTAGGATGGAGTGATGGCACGGCATGGAGCCATGGTGTGGGACAAAGCAATGGAGCGGGACTGAGCGATGGTTTGGGATGGAGCAATGGTGTGGGAGGGAGCGATGTTGTGGCATGGAGCGATGTTGCTGCAGGTAGTGATGGTGCGGGATGGAGTGATGATGTGGGATGGAGTGATGGTGCGGGATGGAGTGATTCTATCGATGGAGTGATGGTGTGGGGTGGAGTTGTGATCCTATGGAAGGATGCTATGGGATGGAGTGCATGTATGGCCAGCACTCACATCTGTGTGCCCCAGCCTTCAATGGGCTTTAAGAGTGTCACTTCCTTAGTTCTTATCACAGCCCCGAGGGGGAGGCTCTGCTATGTTTACAGCCCCAATTCACAGATGAGGCACCCAGCAGGCAATTGGAAGTGCCAAGGCCACTGAGTCATAGCAGAACTGGGACTGCATTGGCTCTGGAGTCAATGCAGGATTGAAAAGGAAGCCGGGCATGAGTTGAGTCACTTTGTCGTGACCACCAGGGAGAGGGATGCTTTGAGGCTGGTTGGGGGCTTTGTGTGTAAAAACACAATGGCCTATTATCTGTTTAATTTTTTTTTTATTTAAAAAATTAGAGAGGGTCTCGCTGTGTCACCCAGGCTGGCCTCAAACTCCTAAATCTGTGGTGTCCTCCAGCCTCAGCCTGTTGAGGATGCAGTTTTTATTTATTTATTTTATTTTTGTGAGACAGGGTCTCGCTCTGTCTCCCAGGCCGCAGTGCAGTGGTGTGATCACGGCTCACTGCAGCCTCGACTCCCTGGTCTCAAGCAATCCTCCTACTTCAACCTCTCTAGTAGCTGGGACTACAGGCATTTGCTACCGCATGGTTAATTTTTTATTTTTTGTAGAGTTGGGGTCTTGCTATGCTGCCCAGGCTGATGTCACACTCCTGGGCTTAAGCAATCCTCTTGTCTCCACCCCCCACAGTGCTAGGAGTGAGCCACCATGCCTGGCCCAGTTTTTAATGCTTGGACATCTCCAAAATCAGGACATATCTTGTAATTGAAGACGTCTCACCATAGCGGCCAGCCGTGCAACCACTGGGCCTGTCTGTGCCTGAACAACACACTGGCCTGCCTTTGCCTGAACAAGACAGCCTTAGTCTCAAAGCTTGCAGATGGGTGTGGCCTGGTAGAAAATTCTCAAGACAACGGCGGAGCACGCTTGCCCCTAGGAGACCAAGTGGCCGGAATGTTGAGAATCAGCCTTTCGCAGAAATCCCCTAAGCGGGAGGCAGCAGGCTGACTCCATCAGCCCCAGGCAGGCTTCTGGGCCCTGCAGCTATGGCTCTTCATCCTTTTACATGTTCTTCGAGAATCAGCTGCACCCTGGATGCTTCTGACAGCTCAGAGGACATCAGCATGAGGACAAGCACAGGGCTTGATGGCTCGGAGGGAAATGGAGTTGGAAGATTTGGACTTAATGTGCACACATTTTAGAAATATCTTAACAAATTTTATTTTGCTGATATCTTTCTTTTTTGTGTGTGCCAAAGTGATGGCCAGTACAAATCCATGTCTAATTAAGTCCAGAAGAGCTCCTTCAATAAGCGTAAGATGAAAGTTATGAGTGATAAGAAAGCGTCATGTCAGTTTAATTGGCAGCATTTTCTCTTTCTTAGTGGTTCATAAAATAAGGCAGTGCTTTGCTATCGACGGTGTCTGAAATTCTGTGAATATTCAAAGTTAAATCTCATGCTGAACAGCCACTGTGCGCAAGGCGGGTGACGTGTGTGCTGTGTGTGTTCGTTCATCTGATGCTCATGACACTTTGTCAGCTGTGAGGGAGGAGAGGGAACTGGGGAGCCCCGGGGATGGGAGTGCAGTGTGCAGTTTAGAAAGTGGGGGGTGGTCAGGGGTGGCCCCTGGGAGAGGTTTGAGCCAAGACAGCAGGTGGCAAGGGGGTCATGCCTGAGCCTGGGAGGGGGGTCCCAGGTCCCAGCAGTTCTGTTTATTTTTTATTTTATTTTATTTTATTTTTTAAATTTTTGAGACAGAGACTCACTCTGTCACTCAGGCTGGAGTGCAGTGGCACCATCGGCTCACTGTAGCCTCAGCCTCCCGGGTTCAAGTGATTCTCCTGCCTAAGCCTCCTAGTAGCTGGCATCACAGGCATACACCGTCATACCTGGCTGATTTTTGTATTTTTAGTAGAGACAGGGTTTCGCCATGTTGGCCAGGCTGGTCTCGAACTCCTGAATTCAGGTGATCTGCCTGCCTCGGCCTCCCGAAGTGCTGGGATCATAGATGTGAGCCACTGCGTCCGACCCCCAGTGGTTCTTGGGAGGCACTTGGGCGCAGGGCCCTGAGCTCCTGGGGCACAGCAGTGGCTGTGACCGCCATGAATCAACCAAGCGCTCTTGAGTCTGCGTTGCCCTGTGGCCCTGGCTGAAGCCAGAGCCGCCCAGAAGGACGTGCCACAGAGAGGGGAGGGGCCACACTGCCGACGGGGCGGGCATGGAGTTGCAGGATACGCCACAGAGAGGGGAGGGGGCCACACTGCCGACGGGGCAGGCCTGGAGTTGCAGGACGTGTCACAGAGAGAGGAAGGGGCCACACTGCTGACGGGGCGGGCCTGGAGTTGCAGGACATGTCACAGAGGGAGGAAGGGGCCGGACTGCCGACAGGGTGGGCATGGAGTTGCAGGATACGCCACAGAGAGGGGAGGGGGCCACACTGCCGACGGGGCAGGCCTGGAGTTGCAGGACGTGTCACAGAGAGAGGAAGGGGCCACACTGCTGACGGGGCGGGCCTGGAGTTGCAGGACATGTCACAGAAAGAGGAAGGGGCCACACTGCCGACGGGGCGGGCCTGGAGTTGTCCACAGGCAGGGGCTTTAATCTTCAGGCCTGAAGATGTTTGCGGTTTTGAGATGAAAGGGAAGGAAGGGCACGGATCACGTTTTCTTTGTGGTCCCTTCTTTCACCCATGGCCCTCCGGTCTCCTCTGGGGAGCAGCGTGTGCGGGCTCTGCCTCTGTTGGCTGCAGCTGCTCTGAGTCCAGGGGGCTGCGGCCAGGTTCTGGTGAGGACCCTTCCCGGTGCAGCCTTCTTGCTGCGTTCTCACTTGGTGGAGAGAGGGAGAGGCCGCTCTCTGGGGGCCCTCTTTATAAGGGCCCTAATCCCATTCGTGAGGCTCCACCCTCATGACCTATGACTTCCCAAAGTCCCCACCTCCTATTACCATCGTTTTAGAGGTTAGGATTTCAACATATGAATTTGGGGGGCCACAAACAGTCCAAAACAGCTTCTACCCTGCTCTGTCTGACACCCGGGGGGCAGGGGGCACCAGCCCACAGTGCCCTCCCCGCCGGCCACAGCCTTCCCTGTCAAACGCACAGGTCTCCCTAATTGGGTCCCAGCCTCTCTCTTCCCATGTCTTGGCGTGCTGGGGTAGGTTGAGGGCTGTCCTCGGGGCTGGCTCTGTGGGGCAGGGGCCTGAAACAGCCAGAGCCCCACTTAGATGTTTCCTGTGTGGAGGGGCCGGACCCTCTGCAGGCTGCTCTGGGGGTGAAGTGACCAAGGCCACCTCCAGGACCATTGAGTGCCGGGCACTGGCTCGGGTGCTCTGGGGCCCCTGATTCCAATCCTTTTCCCTTGGTCACTAACTGCTTTCCAAGAGCAGGTGGCAGAGGGGTAGGAGACTCACACCCTTGGGCCACGTGGTTCTCTGGCTCTGCTGGGGCTTGAACACATCGGGGGTAAGGGCTCAGTCGCTTACAGCTCAGGGTTTGTTGTGCATTTTCACGTCTTGCCCTCCCCAAGGACAGTCACATAGGGACCACTAAGCAAGCGCTGGGCACAGAGGAGGGCTGGACACACAGGAGATGCCCCGTGGCCTTCAGTGACGAGAGGCCGTGTGAAGGGCCGTTCACTGGGGCAGCTTCTTCATTGGTGTAGTTGGTGGATTCCGTGGGTCCTGGAGGTACCTGGGGGATTTGACCAAATCAGCACAAGCCCCAGCTGCCGCAGGCAGCAGTGACTGCATACTCCACATGCCCTCGTGGCTGGCTTGAAGACCTCCAGCTGCTGGCTGGGGAGGCAGCGCCTTCCGAAGGTCACGTGTGCAGGAGCGACAGGGCATTGCTGTGTGGCTCAGGGCGGCAGTGAACAGAGAAAGCTTTCGATATCCATGAGCTGAGTGTGGAGGAAAGAGACACAGGACGGGGGTGGGAATGCAGGGGGTTCATCGCGACTGTCACTGGTGGAACACCTCCCCTGGGACTCCACTGGTCTCAGTCCCAGTCTCCATGGCCTGGATAACAAAATGTTACTATGTGGAGTGTCAAATAGATAAAATCCATCTGTTCCCTGATACTGTCCCCCAACCTGGGCCCTAAAGTTTTTTAGGATGGTGCGCAAAGCTCAACCTTTGAGTGCGGATTCCGGAAGGGCTGGCACAGAGGCTGCTTCACCTGGAGCGTGGGCAAAGCATCGTTTCAGAAGTGTCTACAGGTTTTTATGTAACACTTCCGTGTTACATGACTCTCTGGTCATGTGGTACAGTGCCTCCACCAGGGCCGCCAGTGGGCACTCTGATGGGTACAGTGCCTCCGCCAGGGCCGCTGCTTTCAGTGTCATCTATGTGGATGGTGCCCCCAAAGTTGTGCAGTGCTCCACCTGGGCAACTACCCATGGCACGCCTGAAGATTAGAGTGAGGAGTGGAAGGGAGTGGGATTCAGGATGAAATAATGAAGACTACTCCCTGTATTTTCTTGACAGTGGCACACCCATGATCTAACCTGCCTTATCCTCAAGAAAATTCAACTACTTCTGGGTCAGCACCTGAGTGTTCCCTGAGGGCCAAAGTTAGAAAATCCAACCATGCTCAGGCCAGCTGAGACGGGAAACTCCCATGCCCACCTCACAGCACTGTACCCATCACAGCCTCATCTCACTCAGCCTGGCTGCCCCCCACCACCTGTCCAAACAGCCTCCCTGCCACCACCCCAGACCCCGGGTCGTACTGCCACAGCCTCCCTCTCCCTTCCAACATGAACACCCTGAGAAGCACGGGCTGGCACCTCCAGGGCAGCTACATTGCAAAAGCGCTTGACCACAAAAGCCCACGTTCACCGAAGTGTTACATGACCCGCTCAGCAGAAAGCTGGTCCTCACCCATGTCATGTATGCAGCCCCCAGGACATGCGTCTGGGGGATGTCGGGGCCTCCTTGTGCAGTAGGTAGTTCCAGGTTGTGCTGCGTGAGGAAGGGGTGCCCCTGGGGGCAGGGTGAGGAAAGGTGACACCTGAGAGGCAACTGCTCTGTGGCCTCGAGCTCGCTGCTGGATGTGGGGAGTCGGCCATGGGGACCAGTGCCTCTGGACTCCAGGCCAGGCCATGGGCACTGGGGCACAGCTTCCTTTTCCATGACAAGGACCAGTTCCCTTGGAGCATGGCTAGCCCTGGCCTCTCTGACCGTGCCACTGCTCATCCGATCCAGCAGGGTCACTCTGTGTGATCGCTGTGGTAGGAGCAAGGGGACTCAGCTGAAACCAAAAATTCCTCCTAGGCTGAGACGTTTGGTTACTGTGGTGGGCAGAATAATGGCCCCCTAAGTTGTCTGCGTCCCAATTCCCAGAGCCAGTGGATATGTCACCTGGCAGGGCAGAGGGGGACTAAGGTCGTAGATGGAGTTTAGGTTGCTCATGAACTGAACTGAAAATAAGGAGGTGGCCCTGGATTATCTGGGTGGCCCAGAGTCATCACAAAAGTCCTCACATGGGGAAGAGGAGGCAGGAGAGGAGGTGAGAGAAATGCTGTGCTGGCCTGACTGCGGATGGAGGAAGGGCCGAGCCGGGGGATGAGAGTGGCTGCTGGAAGCTGCAAACGGCGAGGAACAGATCCCCCCAGGGCCCGCAGAGGGAGCGCAGCCCTGCAGACCCTTGCTTATAGGCGAGGGGGCCCTGTTTCAGACTTCTGACCTCCAGAGCTACGAGGCAATACTTTCATGTTGTTTTAAGATGCTAAATTTCCAGTGATTTGTTGCAGCAGCAGTAGGAAACTACATTAGAGCGTTCCTTTGCGTCTCAGCCGGGCATGGTGGCTCAAGCCTGTAATCCCAGCACTTTGGGAGCCTGAGGTGGGTGGATCACTTGAGGCCAGGAGTTTGAGAACAGCCTGACCAATATGGTGAAACCACGTCTCTATCAAAAGTACAAAAATTAGCTGGGCGTGGTGGCATGTATCGGTAGTCCTAGCTACTTGGGAGGCTGAGGCAGGAGAATTGCTTGAACCTGGGAGCCTGGGAGGCAGAGGTTGTAGTGAGCCGAGATTATGCCACTGCACTCCAACCTGGGTGACAGAGCAAGACTCTGTCTAAAAAAAAAAAAGAGTTCCTTTTGTCTTTTGAAGTTGCCACATTAAGGAATGAAACAACACTGAAGTTTGTTATGGTCCATAAAAAAAAAAAAAGTCTGGCAGGCATGGTGGCTTACGCCTACAATCCCAGCACTTTGGGAGGCCAAGGCAGGAGGATGGCTTGAGTCCAGGAGTTTGAGACCAGCCTGGGCAATGGAGTGAGACCTTATTTCTACAAGAAAAAGTCTTTGGGAGGCCGAGTTGGGTGGATCACTTCAGGCCAGGAGTTCAAGACTAGCCTGCCCAACATGGCAAAACTCCATCCCTACTAAAAGTACAAAAAAATTAGCCAGGCATGGTGGCACACACCTGTAATCCCAGCTACTCGGGAGGCTGAGGCATGAGAATCGTTTAAATCTCAGAGGCTGAGCCTGTAGCGAGCCAAGATGGCTCCACTGTACTCCAGCCTGGGCGACACAGCAAGACTCCCTCTCAAAAAAAAAAAAAAAGTCTTAAGAAGTTTATAATTACAAACATCTGCTATTCTATTTATCCTTCCATCAGCAGGTAATAGCAACGCTATTGATAGCAGGCCAGGCCAGGAGGCTGGAACCAGGCCGCGGAATTGCGTTGTACCTGGGCTGAGCCTGGGTGTGGGTCGTTCCCCTTGCTGGGCCTCAGTTTCCTCATCTGTGCAAGGCTGGGAGTGAGGCTGGTCCATCCCTGCTTCAGCCTCTCAGGAGACTTGTCGTCTGAAGTCACTGGGACTCCACGCTCTGTCTGAGTGTCTTGGGGGACACGGAATCACTGCAGGCTCCTGAGGGCGGGCAGCAGGGGCTCCAAGCCCAGCCCTCGGATGGGCAGCCAAGCACCTTCTGCACTGGCCGCACACGGACTTCGCTGTTTAACCTCGTGCTCCTCTCAGATGAAATCCTTGCTCCAATGGGGCCTGCCTGCTCCGTGTGCCTGGAATGTTCCACGTCCCTCCCTGCCCCCTCTGCCTTAGGTCTTATCTGCCCCGTGCCTGCCCCGTCTTAGTGCCAGCTCAATTCCCTCATCTTCCACAGTGCCAGCCACTGAGTTCTGCTTTCCTGAACCTCACGCTCTCTGGCTGCCCCATATCCAGCTGCTAATCACGATAGGGATGTAGCAAGGCAGTACACGATGTTCCGGAATCTTCCCCTTCTCACCTTCAAAAGGAAAAGGGAGGTGAGGAGGTCTTCTCAGAAGGAGGAGGAGGCTTCCCAGCAAAGCCTGAAGAACAAGGGTGTGTTGAGGCCGAAGACGGGGTGCAGGCAGGATGGGCTGCTCCTATGCCTTGAATGTCTGGGGCTAAGGGGCCAGTGTCTGGGGCTCATGCTCTGCCCTGAAGCCACCAGAGGCAGAGCCCAGGCCACATGACCTTGCGTCTTGGGAGCCTGTGTACTGCGAGTCCCTCAGGGAAATAGGAAGGGCACCGGGTTTCCTGTCTCAGGCCAGGGGCACTGCACAGGCTGGGAGCGGTGGGCTCACGGCAGGCACTGGGCGCTAGCTCACTTGTTCACCTTGGAGCATTCACGGTGGGCTCTTCCACTGAACACACAGCAGCCTGCGGGAACTGGAGCAGCAGCCTCCTTCCTTTCCAGGGGACAGAAACCCAGGCACAGAGGGGCTAAATCAGCCACTCCAAGTCACACAGCTAACAAGTGCCAGAGTGGAGACTAAAACCTCAGTTGCTGCCAATGCCGGTGTCCTTAGTTTCTGCTGGGCATCTTTCTCTGTTTTGGACACAAGGGGCTCTGTGCGTCGCGGAAGGTTGGTCGGGAGCAACACAAGTTCCTCCCTGTGTGTGTGCAGGGCAGACAGACACATCCCCTGCCAGCCAGGACCCCGGGGAACAGGTCCTAGAAGAGCTGCCACATACCACAATGGAGGAGAGAGGGGAGCACGCTTCCCTCTGCAATGTATTTGCAGAATTAAACATTTGAATAGGTGTGGATAATTCACATTACAGAGAGACCTGCTGCACACGAACAGGTAGGGTGACTGCTGAGTGGCAGTCCTTTTCGATAGGGTTTGGGTTACAGCAACAGGAGGAGACCATTTCAGAGGAAGAGCAAGAGGAGTCCAGGCTGGGCATGAGGGAGGGGGATGTAGAAGGCAGGGCAAAGGCCTCACCTGCCCAGCTCAGCTGGGGCTGTCTGCATCCCCTGGAGGTCTTGGTAACGCAGGGGTGAGGGCCATGCCGGTAGCCGGGAGCTGTCTCCTGTGCTGTGGCCAAGTGGACCATGTGGAAATGCAACAGGAAGTCCCAGGCATCCCATCATTTTTCTCCACCTTGTTGGAGCAGCTCCTCTGAAGGGAGCCCCAGAGCCCTGTGCTGATGGGTCACTCGCTGCCTTCTGCAATTTCTTTTTCTTTTTCTTTTTCTTTTTTTTTTTGAGATGGAGCCTCGCTCTGTCGCCCAGGCTGGAGTGCAGTGGCGCGATCTCAGCTCACTGCAAGCTCCGCCTCCCGGGTTCACGCCATTCTCCTGCCTCAGCCTCCCGAGTAGCTGGGACTACAGGCGCCCGCCACCACGCCCGGCTAATTTTTTTGTATTTTTAGTAGAGACAGAGTTTCACTGTGTTAGCCAGGCTGGTCTCGATCTCCTTACCTTGTGATCCACCTGCCTCGGCCTCCCAAAGTGCTGGGATTACAGGAGTGAGCCACCGCTCCTGGCCTGCCATCTGCAATTTCTCCTGTTTTCTGCAATGACGGGAGGCTGGAGGCAGTGCCCCTCTAGAGCCCACAACCCCACAGCCCCTGGGCCGGGAGCTCACAGGGAAGTCTATACTTCTTCCAACTCCTGCTGGGGCCAAAGAGAGGGTCTTGGGCTACAGGGCTGCCCCATCTGTGCTGACTCTGGGGCCACCTCTGGTCCCTGGGTAGGGTGTGGGTACTGAGCAGAGCTTCACAGACCCAGTGATTCAGCCAGGGCTTGCCCGCTTGCAAGACCCCCACTTCAAAATGGAATTGGAAAGGAGGGTGTAACTAATTAGTGCCGTTGGGAGTTCCTGAAGGGCTCTGGGGGTGGCCCTCCAGGCAGGGCTGGACTCATGGGTCCAGGCGATGGCCTCAGGACTCTCTCTCCTGGACAGTCCCTCGCCTGGCTCTGTGGGCCTTTGCCTGGCCTCTCTCGCTGTGGCCTGATGCTTCCCTGCAGCTTCCAGCTCCTGTTCCTCGTCATCTTCAAGAAGGGCCCTGCCTGGCTCTGCCTGGGTCCCTGATGCACTCATTATCTACAGCTGCTCACAGGTTACCTGGTTTAGAGCAACAGACATTGATGGTCTCTCATGGTTTCTGAGCTCTAGAATCTAGGAGGGACTTAGCTGGGGGTTCTGCCTCAGGGTTTCTCACGAGGTTGCCATCAAGCTGTTAGCCAAGGCTGCCTCGTCTGAAGGTTCGACTGGGGCCAGAGGGGCTGCTTCCAGGCCCACTCACTTGCTGTCGGCTGGGCCCAGGATGCAGCTCCTTGCCTGATGGCCTCTCTGTAAGGCTGCTTTACAGCATGACTGCTTGCTGTCCCCATAATTTGAGAGTGAGGAGAGAAAGGGGTGGGGAGAGAGAGACAGAAAAAGGGTAGTGAGACAGGCAGAGAGAGACAGAGACAGAGAGATGGGGAGACAGAAAGAGACAGAGAAGCAGAGACAGACAGAAAAAGGGAAGTGTGAGAGACAGAGAGAGACAGATACAGAAGGACAGAAAAAGGGAAGTGAGAGAGACAGAGAGACAGAGAGACAGAGAAAAAAAGGGAAGTGAGAGAGACAGAGAGAGACAAACAGAAAAAGGGAAGTAGAGAGAGACAGAGACAGAGGAAAAAAGGGAAGTGAGAGGCCGGGTGCAGTGGCTCACGCCTATAATCCCAGCACTTTGGGAGGCTGAGGTGGGTGGATCACAAGGTCAGGAGATCGAGACCATCCTGGCTAACACGGTGAGACCCCATCTCTACTAAAAATACAAAAAATTAGCCAGGCGTGGTGGCGGGCGCCTGTAGTCCCAGCTACTCGGGAGGCTGAGGCAGGAGAATGGCGTGAACCTGGGAGGCGGAGCTTGCAGTGAGCCGAGATCGTGCCACTGCACTCCAGCTTGGGTGACAGAGCTAGACTCTGTCTCAAAAAAAAAAAAAAAAAAAAAAGGGAAGTGGGAGACAGAGAGAGACCAAGAGAAAAAGGGAAGTAGAGACAGACAGAGACAGAGAAAAAAAGGGAAGTGGGAGACAGAGAGAGACAAAGAGAAAAAGGGAAGTGAGAGAGACAGAGACAGAGGAGACAGAGAGAGATAGAAAAAGGGAAGTGAGAGACAGACAGAGAAAAAGATACAGAGACAGAAAAAGGGAAGTGAGAGAGACAGAGAGAGACAAAAAGAGAGAAAAAGGAAGAGAAAGACAGAGAGACAAGAGGGAGAGACAGAAATAGGGAGGTGAGGGAGACAGAGACATAAAAAGAGGATGAGACAGAGAGAGAAAAAAAGAGGAAGAGGAGAGTGACAGAGATAGATACAAAGAAGGAAACCACAGTCTTTTTATAACCTAATCTCAGAGGTGACGTCACCCTTTTGCCAGATGATCACACAGACCAGTCCTGATGCCATGGGGAAGGAACTGGGCAGGAGGTGTGAATACCACGAGGTGGGGTCACTGAGCATCACCTTGGAGGCTGGCCACCCACATGCCCAAGCTGGACCTGTCCCTGTTTCCAGCCCCAGTGGCTCCCCTGTGCCTGCAAAGTGGAGGTCACATGACTAGTACCCCTCACCTTGGATCACATGAAGAGAGGCCTGGCAGTTCTCCCCAGCGTCTGACTGCGGGTGATGGCGTGACAGACTCTTATCCGATTGCTGTCATTGAGTGTGACTGGAGGGAACATTCTCTGTTCCCGTTTCTATTTGCTAAGATATTGTTGCCCGTGCGTTCTCTCTGTTGTTAGTGTTGAGTTTCTCAGGCTTAGCTTGGAAACTGTAGCCCCGTCTAACTTCTCGTGTAGGATACTGACGTGCCTCCCTTAACGCTGCAATAAAGAAAGCTGTGCTTGGAAACGTCACCGCTAATGAAGGCATCTTCCAAGATCCTGGACTCCAGAGAGTCTGGAAAAGGTCACTTTTGTCTTAAAAGTGAGCTGTAATTCTGATAAGTTGTCTTCATAATGTGTTGAAGTGGCAATAATATTTGAACCAACATCTTTGCGTAGTTGTCTTACTTCATAATGTGTTGAAGTGACAATAATATTTGAACCAACATCTTTGCGTAGTTGTCTTACTTCATAATGTGTTGAAGTGGCAATAATATTTGAACCAACATCTTCGTTTTCTTAAAGGTATAATATTTGTTATTTTTCTTTATTAAGCCAGAAGAAAGTCATTAGAACATTTTACTTCTTCCCCAAGAATAAAGGAGTAAAAAAGACAGAAAATAATCCTATGATCCTGTTGGATTTTTAAAATTTAAGCAAAGTGACGATCTAATGATTTTTAAATGAACAACAATAATTCTATAAGGAAAGTTGATTTATTCAATTGTAGGAAGCTCATTCCTAAGCTGTTCTATCTGAAGGGTGTGTGGAGACTCCCTGTGGCTAAAATCAGACGGTCCGGGTGGCGCCAGGTGCTTCTCCATGGCTGCAGTTGGCAAATGGCGTTTCCATGCCGGGGAATTCTGGCCAAGCTCTACTGTGTAGAATTTGAGGGATGTGATCAGACAATTGTTTATCTTTTGAAGTGGAGCCCAAACTACCCCTGTTCATAAACAGTTGGTTTCCTGTAGTGTCTCTCTGGAGGTATGGAGACATTTAATCCCACCAGGAATTTTGATTAAATTCCTTGCCTGTACACCGGGTTGTCAACCTCACCAACAGCACCCATGCATCACCAGCCACAACGGTGTCTCTGCTCCCTGGCTTCTACCAAAAGCCCAACAATTGCTTTTGAAAGACAGATGATTATTTGCAGGATATGCAGTCCGTCCATGTCTCTGGGTACCCTGAAGTCTACCTCTGGAGGAAGAAGTCCACGTGTCTAGACCACGGGACCATGCATGTGCAAAGATGGCTCCTCACTGAGCAGTTTCCCGCTGTGCCACTGACGCCTGCGGAGGCCTTTGTAAAAAACAGCTGCAGGCAGGGTGTCCTCCCGCCGTATTTCTCCATGAAAACAGTATTGAGAATTATATTCCTATTTTATCACACAGCATTCCCAGGTCAACTGCTACAGAATTTTCTTTTTCAGGAACGCATATGCTGCCTCCTTTCTGATAGGGAGACCCACCCACCTGTTCACCTCTCTGCATGTGGTCTGCGAGCGGGCTTGGAGCCACATCTGAAGCCTCACCTCTAGGAGCCAGTTTTGTCTCCTCCTCGTCCCTGCTTCTTATCAGTCGTGGTACTTTTCTCTTGGGTCCTGACCCTCCATTTCAGTTGGTGTTTTTCATCTTTGGGAAGCACCCAGGCATGGGGGCAGAAGCTTGGGTTTTAGATTGGGCTGGGCTGGGTTCACATCTCAACTGTGTGGCCTCAAACAGGTGACTTGACTTCTCTGAGCCTAACCATTGCCGGTTTCCATATTTTATATGAAGTGAGCCCTATTTTGCAGGTCAGGGAGCTGGGGCCTAGCTAGGACCCAAAGGATTATTCCAGTTTCTCATAAAACAAGTACATAGCAGTTAATATTTGCCATAGGGTACACAAAAAGATTCATTGATTGCCTTCCTATTTTTAATCTTCAGAGAAAGACGGATGGGATTTCATTAGCTCAGGGTTGAGAACGTTGCCTCTGTGTATTTTTGGAGATGAGCCTTCCGAAGCAACAGGGGCTTATGCTGCCTGAGAACTGGGGTGTCAACCAGCGTTCACTCCCAGACTTACCAGACAGTAGAGCCTCTCCCATAAAAGGCACATCGGAACCCACTTCGGACAATGCTGCTGTGGGTTATGGGTCAGAACTTTAAACAAGAGGTAGGGGTGGCCTCATCCCTTGGGGCTGCTGTGTGCGAATGACCTGGAGGAGGCTGTGGTGGGGCCAGGCAGGGCCAGTGGGCTGAGCCACGCATCAGAGTAACCGGCCACACTTTAGAAAGGAGATTCCTGGGCCTCTCCCTGGCTGCTGTGGTTCAGCAGGGGCGGCGGGGACCCAGGAGCTCCCAGGTGATCTGACTCCTGGGGAGCAGGGTTTGTATAAGCCCTGGGCCTGTTGAGGTCAGGGCCTGGTGACCCTAATTCCTTCCAGACCTGGATAGGGGTCTAGTCCAGAACCTGCCAGGGATGGTTTGTCAAATCTGTTACTCTTCTCCCAAGTAAACCACCAGGAACAAGACACTGTTTTAAAAATTGTTACTTATTATCCCCTTTGGCTTATTTTTTTTTCTTTCAAAAGCGGCTGGATGGCAGAGGTGATAAAGCTGGGAAGAGAGGCATCCTGGAAGGGCCCGTGTTATGAAAACCCAGAGTTTCACTCAGATCGACAGCTGCGTGGGGGCCGGCGCTCCCGGCAGTGATTGAGTTACCCTCAGCAGCGGGGTCCCGAGGTCGCAATCCCTGCTGGGGGAGTGATTGATGCCGGACTCCAGGGCCCACCTTGGGTGACCCTGGGATGTCAATGAGTGACCGCTGATTCTGGGCCACTTGGTTCTGGGCCACCCGCATGTCCAGAGACCTCAAGGTGGGCCGACGTCCAACCAGCGAAGCAGAGCAATCCTTTTGGAAGCTTCTCTCCACGGGGGGCTGGCTGCTCCTTCATCACTCCCATCTGAGGGCTTCTGCTTGCAGCCGTCTGTCACGCTGAGCAGCTCTGTGGTGGATTCTGTGCTGCTTGCTCTGTGTCTATTTTGTCAAGATCGCCAGTCTCTCTGGATTCTCTCCTCTGGGTTGGCCCACGCTCACTCATCCGGCTTTGGAAGGACATTTATCCTCTAGCTTCCTCCAGGAGGGGGATTTGTCTTAGAGAGTGGCACTTTCTCTTCCCTCCCCAGCCCCTCGTGCACCTTCTGCAGGGAGGGGAGTCCCCTGGTGCTGAGAGGAGAGGTAGGAGAGCCAGGTAGGGCCTGTGGGAGCCCAGCAGAGGTGCCCTGGCCACCTTGAGTGTCTGAGACTCACGGTCTATTAAAAATGGAAAAACAAACTGGGCACCGTGGCTCCTACCTGTAATTCCAGCACTTTGGGAGGCTGAGGCGGGTGGATCACTTGAGGTCAGGAGTTCAAGACCAGCCTGACCAATGTGGTGAAACCTTGTCTCTACTAAAAATACAAAAGTTAGCTGGGTTTGGTGGTACACACCTGTAATCCCAGCTACTTGGGAGGCAGAGGCAGGAGAATCGCTTGGACCTGGAAGGTGGAAGTTGCAGTGAGCAGAGATTGTGCCACTGCACTCCAGCCTGGGTGACAGAGTGAGACTCTTGTCTCAAAAAAAAAAAACAAACAGAAAAAGAAAAAAGAAAAAAAGGAAAAACAACAAAGTTAGCGCTGAGCAGGGTTTCAGGATTCTAGACCTGGTTTAAAATGCATTGCATGGAATAACCTGTTTAATCTGCAAGTTAACTCTCTGATACAGCGAGTGGTATTATCACAATTTTGACAAGATAAAGGCACAAAACAAGATTTAAGATTTTTTTTTTAAAAAAGGACAGACACCCATTAATTCTAAATAATTAAAGATCAATTCATTATGTACACATACCGTTGACCCCTGAACAGCGTGGGTTTGTACTGGCTGGGTCCGTTTATATGTGGATTTTCCTCTGCCTCTGCCACCCCTGAGACAGCAAGACCAACCCCTCCTCTTCCTTTTCCTCCTCCTCAGGTTCCTCAATGTGAAGACGACAACGATGAAGATCTTTATGGCTGGGTTCAGTTTTGGTGTCTCAACACCCGTAATCTTAGCACTTTGGGAGGCCAAGGTGGATGGATGGCTTGAGCCCAAGAGTTTGAGACCAGCTTGAGCAATGTAGTGAAACCCTATCTCTACAAAAAACTAGCAGGGCGTGTGCCTGTAGTCCCAGTTACTCGGGAGGCTGAGGTGGGAGGACCTGAGCCCAGGGAGATTGAGGCTGCAGTGAGCCCTGATTGCGCCACTGCACTCCAGCCTGGGAGTGCGGTCTCAAAGAAAACCCAGTCTCAAGAAACAAAACAAAACAACCCAAAAAAGATCTTAAGATGATCCACTTCTGCTTAATGATCAGTGAATATTTTTCCTTATGATTTTCTTAATAACATTTTCTTTTCTCTAGCTTACTTTATTGTAAGAATATAGTATATACTTATAAAACAGATAAAATTTGTGTTAACTGACTGTTTATGGTATTGGTAAGGCTTCCGGTCAACAGTAGGCTGTTAGTAATTAAGTTTTGGGGGAGTCAAAAGTGTAAAGCAATACACTTTATGGGGGCAGAGCTCCTAACCCCAGTGCTGTTCAAGGGTCAATCTAATTGAACAGCCTCTAAAAATATCAAGCAATACTTACAAATCCAGGGAGAAAAACATACATCAACAATTGTAGTTGGAGCTTTTAATGATCGAACAGAGAAAACAGATACTGAAGTCTTGATCAATACAATGAGTAAGCTGAAGATATGAGATATGTAGAGAACTTACCATTCATCAGACAGAGGCTATGCCTTTCCCCCATGCACGCACACACCATTTACCAAAATAGGCCAGACACTGAGCCATGAAGGAAGTCTCAATAAAGTTCTAATAATTAATACAAAATAAACTGCATTCTCTAATCACAAATCAATGACATTAAAATTAACAAAACAATTTTTTTTAACAACTCCAATATTTTGGAAAGTAATTAATATATTTATGGATAGCCCTTGGAAATGATCAAGGAAATTAGGAAGTACATAGAGTGTAACACGGTGAAACCCCGTCTCTACTAAAAATACAAAAAAATTAACTGGGCGTGGTGGTGGGCACCTGTAGTCCCAGCTACTCAGGAGACTGAGGCAGGAGAATGGCGTGAACCCAGGAGGTGGAGGTTGCAGTGAGCCGAGATCGCGCCACTGCATTCCAGCTTGGGCAACAGAGCCAGACTCCGTCTCAAAAAAAAAAAAAAAAAAAAAAAAAGAAGTGCATAGAGTGAGTACTCTACTTATGTGAGCACTTCCTCTATGTATACGCAATGTGACCTGCCCAAATCAGTGACATGCCTTCGGGCAAAGCCAAGGTAGCTCTTAAAGGGATATTGAAAGATTATAATGCGTTCATCAGGAAACAACAAATGGGAAAAACAAATGAGCCAGCTATTTAGCACAAGCAGCTGGAAAAAGAGCAAGAGAGCAACACCTATCCAACTCCACTCCCAGAAAACATAAGAAAGGAGCTGAAAAATATAAGAGTAGAAACAGATAGAATGAATAAAACCTACAGAGGATGAACAAAATCAAAATCTGGTTTAAAAAATTTAATATGCTAGACAGACTTCTGGAAAGACCAATAAAAATGGGATCTGGTGAGGGCCTTCTTGCTGCATTATCCCATGGCAGAAGGCAGGAGGGCAAGAGGGGGAATAAATAAGATAATTAATTGGTATTATGCATAGGCATATTTAACAAATTTGATACTTAGATGACATGGATGAATTCCTTTTTTTTTTTTTTTTTGAGGCAGAGTTTCACTCCTGTTACCCAGGCTGGAGTGCAAAATGGCACAATCTCTGCTCACCGCAACCTCCGCCTTCCGGGTTCAAGTGATTCTCCTGCCTCAGCCTCCTGAGTAGCTGGGATTACAGGCATGCACCACCATGCCCAGCTAATTTTGTATTTTTAGTAGAGACAGGGTTTCTCCATGTTGATCAGGCTGGTCTCGAACTCCCAGCCTCAGGTGATCTGCCCACCTTGGCCTCCCAAAGTGCTGGGATTACAGGTGTGAGCTACCGTGCCTGGCCGGACAAATTCTTATAAAAAGCATAAAATGCCAAACTTGTGAAAGACAAGACAGATAACTTGAATAGATGAATGCATGTGAAAGAAGTTAAATGGCAGTCAAAGGCACCAAAAAAATCCAAGTCTGGATAATTGTTTTCGGAGATTTCTATAATATTTTCTAGGAATGGTTAATTTCTATTTTATACAAGATATTTGGAAAATTAGAAAATGAATGGAAACTGTCTGGCTCATTTTGTGAGGCTCATGTAATCTGGATTTCAAAATCAAATAGGGACAACAGGAATTAAAAAATATATAGACCCATTTATTTATAAATGGAGTTTTAAAAATCCTAAGTAAAATATTAGTTAATTTTTTTTAAAATTAGTTAAAAGAATATTAAGAAAAATAAGTGATGAAGTAGAGTTCATCCAGGAATATCTAACAATCTCTCAATATAATTCACTATTGTAATAGATTAAAGAAATATATTTTATCTCAATCAATGCAGAAAAAGCATTTGATAAATCTCAGTATCAATCTTCATCTGTTTTGTGCTCTACAACAGAATACTTGAGATTAGGTAATTTATGACAAACAGAAATGTATTTTCTCACAGTTCTGGACGCTGGAAAGTCTAAGGTCAAGGTGCTGACATCTGGTGAGGGCCTTCTTGCTGCATTGTCCCATGGCAGAAGGCAGGAGGGCAAGAAGGGGATGAACTTGTCCTTTTATAAAAACACGAATCCCACTCAAGAGGGATGAGCACTCATTGCCTAATCACCTCCAAAGGTCCCAGACCTTTTTTTTTTTTTTTTTTTAAAGATGGGGTCTCTCTCTGTCACCCAGGCTGGAGTGCAGTGGCACAATCTTAGATCACTGCAACCTCTGCCTCCTGGGTTCAAGTGATCCTTCCATCTCAGCTTCTGGAGTAGCCGGGACCACAGGTGTGCTCTACCACACCCAGCTAATTTTTTATTGTTTTGGTGAAGATGGGGTTTCACTGTGTTGCCCAGGCTGGTCTCAAACTCTTGAGCTCAGGTGATCTGCCCAACTTGGTTTTCCCAAAGTGCTAAGATTACAGGTGTGAGCCACAATGCCTAACCTGGTCCTACGTCTTAATACTGTGTCCATGACAATTAAATTTCTTCCTTCCTTCCCTTTTTTTTTTTCTTTTTTTGACAGAATCTTGCTCTGTTGCCCAGGCTGGAGTGCAGTGGCATGGTCTTGGCTCACTGCAACCTCCGCCTTCCAGGTTCAAGTGATTTTCCTGCCTCAGCCTCCCGAGTAGCTGGGACTACAGGCATATGCCACCATGCCCGGCTCATTTTTGTATTTTTAGTAGAGACAGGGTTTCTCCATGTTGGCCAGGTTGGTCTCAAACTCCTGACCTCAGGTGATCCGCCCACCTCAGCCTCCCAAAGTGCTGGGATTACAGGTGTGAGCCACTGCGCCCAGCCTGAATTTCAATATGAGTTTTGAAGTGGATAATCATTCAAACCATAGCAGTACTAATCTGTGATAAAACATTTTTTTTAAAAACCGTGAATTCTACCTAACACCATATACACAGCTGGATTCTAGTTAAATTAAAGTCCTAGTAGCAAAAGAAAAAGTTAAAAGAATATACAGGAGAAAAATCTTTGTTACTTATAAGCAGGAATGTCTTAAATAAAAATCTGAAAGCACAAACCATAGGGTAACACATTGACACATTTCATTATGTCAGAGTTAGAGATTTTTGTTAAATGAAAGACAAGATGGACAAAGTTAATGCACAGCTGAACAAATGAGAAAAGATATTTGCAATGTTAATAGTTGATGAGGGATTAACAAGGGACTCCAGCCAATCAAAAAGACAAGGAGAGCAACCGCAGCAGAAGAATGGGCAAGGGATACGGACAGATGACAGAAAGAAAAACCCCAAAGCTAGTATGCATATAAAGAGAAGCTCAAGGTCATTAGTAATCACACACATGAGAACTAGAACACAATGCCACTTTCCAGCTGTTGGACTGGCAAACAGTCCAGCTGTTGGACTGGCAAACAGTTAAAAAGCTGGTTAAGCCAAATGTTGGCCTGGATGGGTTCTGCAGGCAAGTTCATGGTGGCTGATGGAGTGTGGATGCTTCAGCCTTTCCAGAAGGATCTGGGGCTCCTGATGCTATGATCCAGAGGTTACGCTGCTGAGTATACAACCCAGAGGCATTCCATGGGATCTGCCGCGGTCCACGGGTTTGAGGCTGTTCCGTGTGGAGAACGTACGTGGGAGAGCATTGGAGGCAGCCGGGTGCCGGCCATCAGAGAAAGAATGTGCAGGTGAAACGTGGCTGATCATGCTGGAGCCACGTGCAGCCATGGGAACCTGGATCAAATGTGCCCCTGCCACACGGGTGAGACTTCAGAACCTAGTGGATTTTTAGAGAGAAAAAAAGTCAGGAGAAGAATGAGGTATATAATGCAATACCATTTATGCAAACAAAACATACACACAAATAAGACTGCAATGCCTATTTTGTAAGAACATGAAATGCAGAAGCAACTACTCGGAAATCAGAGCAAAACTGTTGCCTCCAGGGCGAGGGGAGGAGGTGAGAGTCAGGGGAGGGGAGGGGTGAGAGTCAGGGGAGGGGAGGGGTGAGGGGCAGGGGAGGGGTGAGAGTCGGGGGAGGGGAGGAGGTGAGAGTTGGGGGAGGGGAGGAGGTGAGAGTTGGGGGAGGGGAGGAGGTGAGAGTTGGGGGAGGGGAGGAGGTGAGAGTTGGGGGAGGGGAGGAGGTGAGAGTCGGGGGGAGGGGAGGAGGTGAGAGTCAGGGTGGGGAGAAACGGAAAGGAATGTGTAGACAACAAAATGACCTGGGAACCTTGCAAAGATCCATGGTGAAAATACGCTACAATAGGATAAATATGTGATTAACTCCACCCTCTTCATCTGTGGTCTCAAAAATAAGCAAGCAAACAAGCAGATAGAAAACGAAAGCAAAAAGAAAAGCTCTGAAACAGAGATATCAAAATGGTGGTAGATTTAATATATTTACATTGAGCAAATATAAGTTTTTAACAAAAAAGATAATTTGAAGGTAATTTCCACATTTCATGTTCCATATTTCCATAGCAATTTATAAGCTAATTATAGGATTTATTTAAAAATAGTAATTCTGAGAGCACTATAGGGGTATGGCCTGAGAGAGGGACACAGATTTTGAATCTCCTCTAAATTCTGACAAAATATCTCCAGGACTATAAATATTCGGAGGCAACATCAACACTTTAACTTTGGAGACCTTTGTAAATGTGAGGCCGGGACCCAGTGGCGCCCTCTGCCTCTGCCCCATTCCCCTCCCAAATCCTGTGTCCCCACATAGGCTGAGACCATGATGTGGGAACCTGGTCTGGGTGGCTTTGAGTACCTCTGTGTGGCAGTGTGGGAGGTTTGGACCAGGAGGAAGCTCTTTCATTGAAGAGCTTCTTCTCATGGCAGTCACCACCCCATAGATGTCGCAGGTCCTGAAACGCTGCTCTTTGTGGAATCTGGATGGGGCATGGGGACCTGGGAAGACCAGTGGCAACGACACAGGACTGGGCGAGTTCTGGGATGGACAGAATACTCTGTCAAGCCTTGAGCCTTAACACAGCCCCACGAGGTCAGTACTATGATGGTTATCATCTTTACTGCACAACTAAGGAAAGGGAAGAAAGGTTAGAAATTTGTCCAGGGACACAGGGCAAAGATATGGACTCAGCAGCATGGTGGCAGTGGCCGCACCGGTAGCCGCGCTATGGTGCCTCTCAGAGGGGAGAGCCATGGCCGAGTTTTAGTTTCCAAACTGGAAGATGGAGGCGTTTAGCAACTTCCTCTGAGGCTTGCACATTGAAGCTTTGTGCTTCCCTTTGCAACAGATCTTGGCTAAAATTCATGTATCCCTGCATGCACCACCACTTGGGCACATATCTGCACACACACACACACAACCACACATGCATGCACGCACACATACACACACATGCACACACATGCACATCACTCAGCTTGGGGATAGTGTTGAGCACAATTCAGGGATCTTGCTTTTTTATTTTTTGTACTAAGATGCCGTAACCTTGACAAATTATTTTATTAAGTTTAGTATATTTGATCAAGCACAACCAAACCCAAGAAGATGAATTATTAAAATGGAGGTTTACCTTCTATCATTTAGGGCTATTGTTCGACAGTCAGAGTGCATCCAAGTCAGGGCTCTGCCAGAAATGAAGCACGGCGGAGCCACCAGTTAGTATTTTTCTTGCAAAGGATACCAGTTCTTCACCATCCCTGCAACAATCTCTCATCTCAGCTTCCTGCCAAGGTTTCAGATCTCAGGGAGACACAGGCTCCTTGGCACGCACTGATAATCACAGAGCCAACTTTGGAAGTCATGGATTTCTGAGCTGGTCTTGCGTAGGGCAGGCATTTGCCTTTGGCTGAGTGGCGT
The DNA here is from genome assembly GCF_000001405.40 of Homo sapiens. Lineage (NCBI taxonomy): Eukaryota > Metazoa > Chordata > Mammalia > Primates > Hominidae > Homo > Homo sapiens. Next base: position 4,018,765 of record NC_000001.11, read on the forward strand.
GAAAAATGTTCGTGGGCGAGTGGTGGGCCGAGCGCCGTGTGTGTGAACATACCGTGTCCATGTTCTTCCTGGCTGCATGCTCCACCTCTGGCTAGGATCAGGTTTGCCCTGAGTCAGCAGGAGCCGGAGCATGACACCCGCATGTTTCAGGGATGGCCAACAGCGTCTGTTCCAGTGGATTCGTGGCGACTCCTTGAGCTGAGAAGACCGGGGCACATCCACGTCCACATTCCCCATTGGATGTCAGGCCAAGGGCAGGATTGGGCAGATGGCACCATGCCCTTGTGTGCGAGTCACGGGTGCGGCCAGCACGTGGCCGCCATCCTGCTGTGTCCTGGAGTGCTCCCATTCTTCCCTGCTACAGTACATCCGTGCTTCTCACGAACATTTGCCCACCACTGTCCACCTGGCAAGCCTCTCTGGGAGGGTTTCTGGAAGGATCCTCTCCCCTCCTCACAGTGCGGTTCCTCCCACAAACCGGCCTCATCACCCCCGCTGCCCATCGCCCATGCCCCTCCCAGCTGCCTCCTTGAGCTCCTGGCGCCCATCGTGAGCCTTCTGTTCACACGCCCTCCTTCCCGTTCCTCTCCCGCCCCATCTCACACTCCCACTCCTCCCCTTGCTCGCTCAGCCTAGATCTACTCAGCCCTCGTGCATCGCAGTCCATCCGTGAGTGAGTCTATGTTTTCTAAATGATTTGCTTGTGAAAGTCCTGGTTTCCTGGTTTTCCAGCCCTGATCTCTTCCTCTCAGGGCTCAGCCCTCGTGCATCGCAGTCCATCTGTGAGTGAGTCTATGTTTTCTAAATGACTTGCTGTGAAAGTCCTGGTTTCCTGGTTTCCTGGTTTTCCAGCCCTGATCGCTTCATCTCAGTGCTTTACCCAGGTCTTGGTGCTGAGGATTCCCACCGGGATTCCTTGTCCTTGATGCGACAGACACCTCTCCTTGGAGAGCCTGATTCCTGGGCGGAGGTGCCTGCCTGGCCCCTCCACTGGGCGTCTCATAGGAACCCCAGACTCCGCAAGACTCAACCTGCTTTTGGTCCCTTCAATCTGTCCCGCCCCCGGCCTTCCAGTCTCTGTAAATGGCACCACATCCTACTCCTCTGCTGGCGCCCACACGCTAGGACACGCCCTCAGGTCCTCTCTGTCTCTCCCCAACACATCAAGCCCCCTCTCTGTGACCTTCACACTATGTCTGTGGTCTACAGGTTAGGTCTAGAGGGTGGGGTCTGCTTGTTCCCTGTCCTGTCCCTGTGGCCCCAGTGTTGCCTCCTGACCATGCGCCTGTGTTGGCTGAATGAGTGAGTCCAGCCTCTTCTCTCCAGCACCAACCCCCACTCCTTGCAGGAATCTCCTATGTGGTCACTGACAGTGGATCCAGAAGCCCCGTCTCTGCCTAGTGTCCTTCCTGGCTTCTTGTTGCTTGGCAGGTGAAATCCCAGCTGGTCACCTCACCTGGTGTGAGCCCAGCTGCGCCTTCTTCCCCATACCCTGTGCCTGGTGTCTGTCTTTTAGTATGCCCCGTGCTCCCCTGCCTCAGAACTTTCCTGGGGCTCTCTCCTCTGTTCATGGCTCTGGCTGTGGCTCTCTCCTTGGCTCTGTCTGTGGCCAGCTCTTCCTCCCCAGGCTGAGCTTATCATCACCTGCTCAGAAGGCTCCCTGAGCTCTCTCTGGAAGTGGCACCTCCCTCCTCCCCCTCCACGGTCATTCTCCATCACCTCCCCACCAGTTCCCTTCATGAGCACTTAGGGCCTGACCTATCTGTGTAGTGGACAAGTGCCATCTCCCTCACTTGAGGTAAGCCCCATTGAGTCAGGGACTGGATCGGGGCAGCTTGCACGCTCAGTGCATGGGGCCAGCAGACATCAGCTGGATGGGCGAGGTTGGGACTGGGCCTCCGGTTCTCTGTAAGGCACGTGGTGGACATGCAGAGGATGACGGCCCATGACTAATAGGGATCTGACTGAGATAGAAGCTGCTGCCCCTGCCCTGCCCTTGTGGACAGTGCAAGGGCAGAGAGCAAATTGTGGGTTGAGGAATTATGCACTGAACCTGTGCACGTTCTAGTACAGAAGGATCTCGCTCCCAGGGCTGAGCTCTCTGAGGCTAGCTCTCTGACTCTGTTATCTTGGCCATGGCCTCCCTGCCTGCCACTGAGGATATCCAGCTGATGTCTGCTGGGGGCGAGGGAGGCAGAGGATGGTGGACTCAGGCGTCATCTGGAGCCTGTGAGCAGAGCCCCCCAAGATGACAGACACTCTCTTTCCTGGCCTTGGCTGGACTCCAGCTTTAGAAGGCTGGGGAGGGCCACTGTAGACATGGCCGGGGTCCTCCTAGCAACCCTTGCAGCCTGGGAGCAGGGGGTCGAGGGAGGCAGGGGATGGAGTGAGAGTGAGGGTGGCAGAATTTCACCCTGACCTGCAGTCAGGAAGACTGATGAGAGAAAATGCGTGGACAAGGGTCATGCCTAGCCCCGGGCAGCCCGGAAGCCATCAGGAGAGTTCTGGCACAGACAGAGACTGGGAGAAGTAAGCTGCATGGGCAGACGGGGGCACGGGGCGACCTGTGCAGGGCGGGGACCACGCTTGGCACCCATCTGCTCCTGCCTCTCCCCACTCAGCCTGGAGCTGTCCCGAGATGCTTGCAGCTTTGATCTGAGTGGAGACAGATGCTGCCCATCGGGGACACAGACCCATCCCCGTTGTCCGTTAGTGCCAGTCCCTGGGCTCTGGGTGGGCAATGCCAAGTGAAGTTGAAGCTGGCTTGCCCCCTTTTATTTCTCTCTTTCTTAACTCAGGAAAATGTATTTCAAGGGCTGCATCCCTGCAAGGAAACTGGAAATGTGGGAGATGAGCAGTCTGTGTGTGTTCGCCAGCAAGTCCCTTGAGACCGAGCTGACCTCCCCAGGGCAGAGCCAGAGAGCCCGCGGGGGCCTTGCCTGGCCCACATCACAGAGTGGACCTAGCTGCCCAGTGAGGAAATGGGTGGCAGGGGCTCAGGGTCAGCCTGCCTGTGTGCTAGCTCTCCCCCAGGCCCCAGAGGAGGAGTCTCCTTCTTGTTGTCTTGCCTGAGATGGAAGCTGTATGAGTCAGGCTTCTCTGGAGATGAACCAATTGGATATAGATATGGAGAAAGAGAGGGAGAGTGCTAGAGAGATTACAAGGAATTGGCTCATGTAATTGTGGGGCTGGCAAGTCCAAAAAGTGGTACTCAGCAGGCTGGAGACCCAGGGATGAATTGATGAGACTGCAGGGAGAACGCCTCCTCTTTGCGGGAGCCTCCATCTTTACCATCACCTGATTGGACAAGGCCCACTCACACTCCAGAGTCTGCTGGTTTAAATGTTAATCACATCTTGGCCAGGTACAGTGGCACATAATTCCAGCGCTTTGGGAAGCTGAGGCAGGCAGATTGCCTGAGTCCAGGAGTTCAAGACCAGCCTGGGCAATGTGGCAAAACCCTATCTCCAGAAACAAAAGAAGTTAATCACATCTGAAGAGTCCTTTCATAGCAACGTTGAGACTACTGTTTAACCAAATGTTTGGGTACCATGGCTTAGCCAAGCTAACACATAAATTAACCATCACAGGATCACACCCCACCAAGACCAAGAATGTGGGAGAATCCTGGGGCTCCCCTAGGGTGGTGGGAGACACGCTATCCTGTGTCCTGAGAGGAAGGCACCCTCCTCCCTTCTGGGGTCTCAGCCACACTCGGGGCTGGTTTGCTTTCACCATCACAGTGTCTGCTTCGAGGGCGGATCTTCAAGGACAGGGATTAGGATGGATGCGGGGTGGTGAAGGTGCTGGGCTGCAGAGGCAGGGGGTTGAGAAGACAGTGCGGAGTGTGAACTTCCATAGGTCTGGCCCCTTCCTGGGCCTCAGTTTCCTTTGTTGAACAAAAGCATCATGGCACAACTTTCTTTTGCATCTTGTAAGTAGGGCCAGGGGAGCTGCTGAACAGCCTGCAATGTCCAGGACAATGAAGAGGTTTTTGGCCCCAAACGTCAGTGGCGCTGAGCAGAGCAACCCTGATTTAGCGACTCCTTGTTGGTCCTGGCTCCCAGTGTGTTGGGGACGTGATGCGGGTGACTCTGCTGTGGGCTCACAGGCTCTGCTGGTTCCATGGACAGAAATAAAGTGGAACTTCATGCTGCTGGAACTCGGGCGGTTGTGCTGCGTTGCACCCTCCTCCTTTGCGAGCGGTGACCTTGAAGGCTGGCTTGGGGCCGTCGTGAAGGCAATGGGAGCCGGGTTGCTGAGGTGGAGCCCCGGGGAGCCTGCCAGAAGGAAGCAGAGGAGAATTTGGCCCTTAGGCTGCTGAGAGACTGAGGAGGAAATGGGGAGAAATGGAAAGGCACCCATAGGACTCATCAGGGAAGTGGAGGAGAAGGAAAGTCACTTTGGAGAGGGCACATGGTGGGCATTTGAACAGGAACTCGTGTTGTTGGAAACTTTCTCCAACAGCTCAGCCTGAACTGGTCCAGGGTCTCCATGAACCTCCTCTCCCCAGCTCCTGGCCTCCAGGCTCCTGTGTGGGCCCCTGAGCCCACCTGCCACTGTGCCCTGCAGCTCCCGTGACCCAGGGGCTGGCATGGAGGAGCAGGTGGGCCCTCCTAGCACCTGCCACACACTGGCTCCTGTAGCTTGAAATATTAATACTCTATTGACCTGAGTTTCTTTTGGCATCTCAAATTAATTTCATTTTATTTGGACCATGATGGAGTTTAACATAAGATAAAAGCAAACCTTTGCCAACCTCAGACAGTTTAATAACCAAAATATTTGATTAAAAATTTTAATAGTTTGGAAGGATGGAACATGTAGGATCGGGACAAATTAAGCCTCTGCCATTCACATTGATGTACATTTTTTCTGCCTGGAATGGGGAAATCTATTGTCTTACTACTTTTCCAAGGGAACCAGAAAAAAAATTAAACTCTTTAAAACAAGGTTTTCTTACAAAATGAACTTCCATTCTGACAGCATGCCTCTTCTTTATTTACTGGGAGTCACAGGTGTGCAGGGAGGTGAGTCCTCAGCCTCCACCGCCCTGCGCGGGATCTGTGTGTTGGTCTCCTGGGGCTGCTGTAACAGATGCCACAAACCAAGGGGCTTAAAGCAACAGGAATGTATTCTCTCACTGTTTCAGAAGGCAGAGGTCCAAAGTCCAGGCGTCCTCAGGGCCATGTTCCCTTGGAGGCTCCGGAGAGAGTCCTTCCTTGTCCCCTGGAGTTTCTGGTGGCTGTGGCCACATTGCCCCAACCTCTGTCTCTGTCTTCATGGCCTTCTGCCCCTTGTGTGTCTCCTCTGTGTTTCCTGGAAGGACACTCATCCATGGACTTAGGGCCCACCTGGGCAATCCAAAATAACCTCATCTTGAGATCCTTCACTTAATTACATCCACAAAATAAGGCCACATTTTCCAAATAAGGTCATAGCCACAAGTACCAGGAATTAGGACTTAGACATATCTTTTTGGGGCCATTATATTTCAACCCATTAAAAGCCTCATATCAACCTGGGAGGAGGGTGATCATTGAAGAAGCTGATTGTCTCTGGCCCAATGAGAAGGAAGCATGACCAGATTTGGGTTCCTGTGCTGGCGCTGTGGTGGAAAGAGCACCCCTGATCCTGGCTGGTGGGGAGGGCAGGGGGTGGTATGGACCGGATGTTTATGTTCCCCCAAAATTCATATTTGGGAGCCATAACCCCCAGTGTGATGCTATTAGAAGGTGGGGCTGGTGATTAGGAGGTGATTAAGGTTAGATGAGGTCATGAAGATGGGCCCCCATGATGGGATTAGTGCCCTTATAAGAAGAGACACAAGAGAACTTGTTTACTGCTCCCCTACCCCTGCCCAATGCCGTGCAAAGACACAGTGAGAAGGTGGCTGTCTGCAAGCCAAGAGAGAGCCCTGACCAGGAACTGACTGTGAGGAAGAAATGTTTAAGCAGCTAGTTTCTCGTATTTTGTTATGACGGTCCAAACTAAGATAGTGAGGTCAGCTTTCAGGAAGTCAGCACAGATGTCTTGATCACTCTCCAATTCTCCTTATGTCTATCTGTCTATCTATCTATCTATCTATCTATCTATCTATCTATCTATCTATCATCTGTCATCTCTATCATCTATCCTTTCATCAATCTGTCATATATTTATCTTCTATCTATTATCTATCATCTGTCTCTCTATCACCTATCTATCTTCTACCTGTTATCTATCATCTATCTATCAACTTCTATCTATATATCATCTATATATCTACTATCTATCATCTGTCTATCATCTACCTTTCTATCTTTTATCATCTGTCTACCTATTATCTGTCATCTATCTACCTATTATCTATCTATCATCTATCTGTCTACCTGTCATGTGTTTATTATCTATCTAGCTATCATCTCTATCTAGCTATCATCTATCTATCTATCTATCTATCTATCTATCTATCTATCTATCTATCTATCCATCCATCCATCCATTCATCCCTCTGTCTCAAGGGCTTGGAATGTATGTATCTTTGAACCAGAAGTGTTCCTCTTCTAGGAATTTATTTATCCTAAGGGGCACTTCAAACAGGCATTGAGCTGTACACTCTGGATGCCAGCTGCAGTAGGGTCTTTAATACTGAAAAATAGGAAAAGATCATGTCTAAAATAGGGGACTGGCTGCATAAATGAATTGGAGCCATAGGATATTTACTAACACGAACTGATACTTGCTGACTGAAACCATAGGATGTTTACTGACATGCTGCATTGCTCCATGAAAAAAGGTTGGAAAGGAGAATAGAATATAGGGCACCAATTTTACAGACAGGACTAGGCAGAGGAAGGGACCTGGCAGAAGAGTCAGATGTTAATAGCCTCTAGTTCTCAGGATCACAGGAGATATTTGTAAAATGTATGTTTTCTCTGTTTTCTGTTTTTCTGCATCTTTCAGGAGATGCTGATGAAGTCCTGGGATCCAGAGAAGTGGTTTTGGCCCCCAGAGAGCTCCTAGTGTAGCTGGAAAAAAAAAAAAAAAGAAACAGACACAAAAGACACATAGGCACCTATGTATAATGCCATGTGGTTGTCAGGAACAGACCATGGACAAAGTCATCGTGGCAGGGAAGGTTGGGCAGGATGTGGGAGGCAGGTCCTTCCCAGCAGAGGAACAGCCGGGACAAAAGCCTGGCCGTGGGTGCAGTTGTGCTGCGTTAGGGTGCAAATGTCTGGCAGGCTGGGGTGCAGAGCATGTATAGAGAGGAGAGGAGAGGGAGGCTGGGAGCTGGGTGAGGACAGAGACCACCATGGGGAACTGCTGAGTTCTTAAAAAATATATAGTAGACGATAAAAATACTATAAGTATAAATTTAGATGTGCAGCATGATATTTTGATACATATAGATAGTAAAATGGTTATGATAGGCAAGCAAATTAACATATTATCTCGCATAATTACCTTTTTTTTTTTTTTGGTGGCAAGAGCAAAAATCCTGAGCGCAATGCAGTATTATGAAGTATCATCCTCAGGCTGTGCACTGGACCTCTAGAGCTGTTCAGCCTCTGTATCTGCTTCGTATCCCTTGGCTCACATGTCTCCAGTTCCTACCCCAACCCCACCATGACCATGTTTTATTTTCTATCTCCTTTTTAAAAAAGGAGTAAAAAGGAGTAGCCTCCATTTTTTTTTTTTTTTTTTTTTTTTTTTGAGATGGAGTCTCGGTCTGTCGCCCAGGCTGGAGTGCAGTGGCACGATCTCAGCTCACTGCAACCTCTGCCTCCAGGGTTCAAGTGATTCTCCTGCCTCAGCCTCCCAAGTAGCTGGGACTACAGGCGCCTACCACCACGCCCGGCTAATTTTTTGTATTTTTGGTAGAGACGGGGTTTCACCGTGTTATCCAGGATGGTCTCAATCTCCTGACCTCGCGATCTGTCCACCTCAGTCTCCCAAAGTGCTGGGATTACAGGCGTGAGCCACCGCGCCCAGCCGCCCCCTTTTTAAAAAAAGATTCCACGTGGATACTGAGGACGGCTTGTCCGTGTCCCACAGTGGGGCTTGGTCTTCTCCCAGGGGGCCTTGGGAGCTATTGCGTTTTAAGTGGGTACATGACGAGACCGCAGCTGGGCTTTGGGAGCTCATGGGGTTCCGTGGAGGATGGAGTGGTAGGAGATGATTCTGGAAGCTGGGGCACCAGATTAGGGGCCAGGGCAGTGAGTGCTCCAGAAACTTCCATCCCTGGCACCGGAACCACACATTGCTTGTCTATGATGCCATGATCCCACCTTGGGGACAGGGGGCACTGTCATCTGAAAACTCTCCAGGCTACTATTCCTGATGGAGACCCCCATTTCCGTGGCGGCCCCTGACGCCGGCTGTCCTCCAGGAATAATCTGGGGTCCGCTGGTGCCGCCGTGGCTGCCGTTGCATTTATTTATGTCTTCAGCACTGTGGGGAGAAGTGGCACAGGCCTGGATTCCCCAGGGAGACAGTAAACTGTCAAGCTTGTGTTTATTATTATAACACGCATTTTGAAACTCCACAAATCTCCGATCCAGGGAGAGATGGAAATACATTAGCCTCAAAACATACTTCAAAATACTTCGGTCTCAAAAAAACCTCTCAAGTCCAGCAAATGGGTTCAGGGACCCAGGGAACCCAAATCGCCCTCAGCCCTTGTTGAGAAAATCACTTTCTGGTGAGCGATCGAAGCCACTTACTGCACTTTATTATGTTGCCTCAGCAAGATGGGTTTGGGCAGAGAAGAAAGTACAAGAATGGAGTTTAATCAAACTCGAGCCTGGCCTTGGGAATAGCTGAAAAGTTAGCATTAAAACAACAGCTGCAGGTGAAGCTATTTCGCCGGCTGCATCACCGCAGCCACCCCCTCTTCTGTCGGGCACCGTGGGAGGGTGGGGGCGGGGAGAGCATCGGAGTGGTGAAAAGAGGTGCGATCAAAGCACAGCCGGGTTTCTGTTCCTGTTTTCTGGTCCCTTCGCTGTTGAGTTTCCAGGCGCCCCACCAAAAGGTGTGGGGTTGCTCTGCTCTGCCTGAGAATCACCCTCCATATCCAGACCTGGAGGAGTGCCCAGGGTTGTTGAGCTTTGCTGGAGAAAACTGGTAGCTTAGGATATTCATGGAGCTGAGCTGGGGTTCCAAGGACACGATCCCACTGCAGGGTCCTCCTCAGCGTGCTGACAATGTCTGCGTAGTGGGAGGGCCAGCCCCAGACTCAGATGCAGTGGAGGCTGCTGTGCCTGATGAGTTTTTTTTTTCTTTTTTTCTTTTTTTCCGGGTCCCTCCAGCCCCAACAGCCTGTCCTGGTGCAGTCCTTCCCTCTGACCTGGCTTGAAATTTCTCCCAGGCCAAGGCAGTGAGCCATGATCCCAATTCCATGTCAGGGGCAAGAGTGAATTCTGGGTTCCGAGGCCTAACTATCTCGTCTTTCCACTAGCCCAGGAAAGTGAACTGCAAAACTTCTTTAAAAGGGTCCAACTAAGCAAGCCCTTCCTATCTTCAGAGGCAGCCTGTGAATGTGAATGTACGAAAGGAGATTTGCTTCTGCGGCATCCCAGGAGGCCATAGGGGCCATATCGGTTCTCCTCTAGATAGGCCAGTGGTTCCCTTATAGACGCTGAAGGAGAAGCTAATGTGGGGAGAAGAAAAGGTGAGCTTCTAACAGCTGAGGGTGGGAGTTTTCTTAGGGGAGAGAAAAAATTGTTTGAAAAAAACCTAAGTCATTCCTCCTTTTACACAATTAAAAAATTGTTATAGTAAAATAGGTTTCTTTTTAGTTTACAGTTCCATGAATTTTAATACATGTATAGACGCATAAAACTCCACCTTGGTTAGGGCACAGAACAGCCCCATCGTCCCACAAAGCCTCCTCATGCTACCCTCTGTGTCAGCATCTCCCCGTCATCCCACCCTTGGCCATCACTGATCTGTCTTTCATCACCATGGGTTTCTATTTTGGAGAATACCATACCCATGGAATCATGTTGCATGTCTGTTGCTGTTTGAGACAGGCTTCTTTCACTCAGCAAGATGCCTCTGAGATTCATCCAAGTTGTGGCTCAAGAGTTCCCTCCTTTTTGTTGCTGAGTAGAATTGCATTGTATGCACACATCAGTTTGTTTATGCATTCACCCGAAGGACCTTTGGCTTGTTTCTAGTTTCTGATGATTATAAGTAGAGCTGCTTTAAATATCTGCGTACAGGTCTTTGTGCAAACCTAAGTTTTTATTTCTCCAGGGACAATGCCTAGGAGAAAGATGACTGAGTCCTATGGTAAGTGTATGTTTAAGTTTATAAAAAAACTGCCAAACTGTCTTACTGAATGACTATACCGTTTTGTATTCCCGTGAATAATGATGAGAGCTCCAGTTGCTCCATGTCCTGCTGCTATTTGATATTATCATATTTTGACTTTAGCCACTCTAAAGGTATGTGGTTGCTGTGTTTCAAATGTCTCCTTCAAAACTCATGTGGAAATTTAACTGTTATGGTGGAACTATTAAGAGGTGATTGGGTCATGAGAGCTCTTCTTTCATGAACGGATTGATGCCATTATTGTGGGAGTGGGATCCTGATGGCAAGCTCGTTCATCCCACTCTGCCTGCTCTCCTATGCATGCTCTTTTGTCCTTCTTCCTTCACCTCTGGGATGTGGGATGACACAGCATGAAGGCCCTCATCAGATGTTGGCCCCTTGATGTTAGACACTCCAGGTTCAGAACTGTAAGAAAGAAATCTCTGTTCTTTATAAAGTACCCAGTCTGTGGTTTTCTGTTATAGCAGCCAAAATGGGCTAAGGCAGTGGTGATGTCTCATTGTGATTTCAGTTTGCATTTTCCCAATTAGTAATGGTGTTGAACTTCATTTCCTGTGCTTATTTGCCATCCACACAACCTCTTTGGTGAAGCACCTGTTTAAGCCTTTTGACCATGTAAAATTGAGTTGTTGAGTATTGAGAGTTCTTTATATATTCTCAATATAAGGCTTTTTTTGGATATGTGATTTATGCATATTTTCTCTCTTCATTCTTCTAATGGTGTCTTTGGAAGAGAAAACGTTTTGAATTTTGCCAAAATTTAATTTGTCTTTTTTTTTTTGTTTTGTTTTATGAATCATGCTTTTGGTGTCATGGCTAAGAACTCTTTGCCTAAACCTAAGTGGTAAAAATTGTCTCCTATGTCTTCTTCTAAAAGTTTACATTTCCCATTTTCCATTTAGATTTTTGATCCATTTGAGTTAATTTTTGTATAAAAGTGAGGTGTAGGTTAAGGTGTGTGTGTGTCTGTGTGTGCGTGTGTGTTTTGCCTATGGATGACCAATACCATTTGTTGAAAAGACCACCTTTCATTATTGATTTGCATGTGTACCTTTGTGAAAAGTCAGTGAGTTGTACTTGTGTGGTCCTGTTACATTGATCTCCGTGTTGGCCCACTGCTAATACCACCCAGTCTTGACTACTGTAGCTGAAGCCCATTAAGCCTAAATATCTGTAGGGTGATTCTTCCTGTTTCCATTTTCCTTTTCAGATTTGTCTTAGCTACTCTAGTTCCTTTTTTAACCAGTTTGTCTATGTCTTCAAAAATCCTACTGGATTTTTGTGGGAATTGAATTAAATTTATAGATCCATTTGGGGAAGATTGATATCTTTACTACATGAATCTTCCAAGCCATGAGCATGTTATGTCTCCATGTTTCGTTAAGTTTTTAGTTTCTTTTCTTTTTTTTTTTTTTTTTTGAGATTTTTGAGATGAAGTCTCGCTCTTGTCACCCAGGCTGGAGTGCAATGGCGCGATCTCAGCTCACTGCAACCTCCGCCTCCCAGGTTCAAGTGATTCTCCTGCCTCAGCCTCCCGAGTAGCTGGGATTACAGGCGCCTGCCAACATGCCCAGCTAATTTTTGTATTTTTAGTAGAGATGGGGTTTCACCATGTTGGCCACACTGGTCTTGAGCTCCTGACTTCAGGTGATCCACCCACCTTGGCCTCCCAAAGTGCTGGGATTACAGGCATGAGCTACCGCATCCGGCAGTTTTTAGTTTCTTTTGTAAGCATCATTAGTTTTCATTATACAGATATTGTATGTGTTTTGTTAGATTATTTTCAATTATCCTATATTTTAAGAGATTTGTAAGTGATATTAACTTTTAAATTCTGGTTTCCACATGTTCATTGCTGTTATGTAGAAGTATTATTGACTTCTTGTGTGTTGACCTTGCATCTTGCAAGTTTGAAAAACTTATTCTTCTGTTAGTTTTTTGGGGGTATAGTCACAGTTCATTCTACAGAGACAATCATATCATCTGCAGATAGGTACTGTTTTATTTCTTCCTTTCCAATCTGTTTGCATTTTATTTATTTTTCTTGCCTTATTGCCCTACCTAGTATTTCCACAGAATGAAGAATAAGAGTTATAAAAGTGGGCATCCTTGCCTTGTCTCTGATCTTAGGGAGAAAGCATTCAGTCATTTTTAATATGATGGTAGCTGTAAGTATTTTGCAAAATGTTCCTTATCAGGTCGAGGAAGTTCCCTTATGTTCCTACTTTGCCAAAAGTTTTATCATAAGTGGATATTTTCTATCTAATGATTTTTCTGCATCAATTAATATATGAATTATTTTATTTAGAATCTTAATGTGACAGATTAAAAATCCATTGATGGAATTTTGAAGATTGAACTAGCCTTGCATTTCCAGGATATTCTTTTAACACATTGCTGGACTCAGTTTGCTAATGTTATCTCAAAGAGTTTTGTATCTATATTAATGAGGAATATTGATCTGTGGGTTTTTTTTTTAATACTGTTGAGAAACAGTCTTTTATCAAGTAAAACACCTTGAAGCCCTCTTTGGATATGAAAGTTGAATCTCTGCATCTATTTTTCAGGGCATGGTGGGGATGATTGGATCATGTGCTGCCTAATTATAGGAGCAGAAATGGGGTGCAGGTTCATGGAGGTGATAGTAGTGGTGAAGGTGCAGGTTGAAGTAGGGGCTGGAAGAGAAAGGAGAGTTAATGAATGAGAGCAGGGAGGGGGTTGTGAGAGAGAGAGGAACCCAGCTATGGGCTGGAAGCTGGAGTATCCCAGGAAGTGGTGCTAGGGAGAGCTGGGTGTTTAGGCGAAGGTGCTCTTCGTAACAGGAATGTATGGAATCAGGCTTCAGCCTGCTGCTGGGTGGGGCTGAGTGTCACTACCTCTGCACCCTTAGCACCAGTAGCAACACCACATCACCCATAGCCTTGGGTGGGGTGGGGGGGGGGGGGCTTTGGATGCCAGGAACCAAGCAAAGAACCGAGCAAGAGTGGGGGGCCCTGGAGTGTAACAGGGATATTGCATGCCTGCTGGGAACTGCAAACAGGGGTGGAGAATGCAGTGGGGCCAGGAAAACCTGCAGCCCCTACCAAGATAAAACAAACTCTTTCAAGAGGGGAAATGTGGAGTTTTCACATGTTGAACCCGGATTTGGGTCTATATTTATTTAATGATTGAAAGACAGGGTGACTCCATAAAACTGGAGGACTCTGGGGGACATTTGGCAGCTCAGTGTGGGTTGTGGTGGTAGGGGGAGGGTCTTTTTTCAAATAAAGCATCCCAGGAGAGACTCTTCTCAACAATCCCCTGACTATGGTGGCTCCATCCCTTGCCATCCCTTTCCTGCTTCCGTGTTCTTATTTTGAGGCACTTGCCACTTCTTGCACTTCATTTTGTCTTTAGTTGTTTTACTGCCTCTATCTCCTAGAATGTCAGCTTCATGAGGGCAGGACTCAGTCCCTGCTCTATCCTCAGAGTTTGGGGCAAGTTCCTGGCACATAGCAGATTGCCCATAAATATTTTTTGAGTAAATTCAGAAGTGAGTGTCTCCTTCGGGCTGTCCACCTCTGGCATATCCTGGGCCAGGGGCCATGGGCTGGGTGGACTTGGGCAGGGTGTGGCTCCATGCCCACCCATGCAAGCCCTGCTGCTTGTTAGTGGCAGCTGAGCACATGGCCTGCTGCAGCCCCAAGTACCTCTCTCCCCTGACCTCTCCCAGCTCTCGATCTGACCCGGGCCAAGCCGACTGTGCTGTTCACTGCAGGGTGGGGCCAAATCTCCTATACACGGGTTGAATCATGCCTGCCAAAAGGACGTGGTGAAGTCCTAACCTCAGTACCTGTGAATGTGACCTAGTTTGGAAATAGAATCATTGCAGATGTCATCAAGGGGGGGTGCAAATCCAATGATTGATGTCCTTATAAGAAGAGGGAGATCTGGAGAGGGGAGGAGGCCATGTGAAGATGGAGAAGAGATGCGAGTGAGGCAATCACAAGCCAGGGAACTCCAAGGACGACCACACTCACCAGAAACCAGAAGAGCCCAGGTAGGATTCTTCTACAGACCTTCAGTGGGAGGGCAGTCAACACCTCGAACTTGGACTTCCAGCCTTCGCCTCCAGAACGATGAGAGAATAAATCTATGCAGGTGGGAGTGGGGCCCAGTGACCAGCTGGGTCTGTTTGCAGCCAGAGAAGAAAGGGCAGAGTGGGCAGGAGTCAGGCTTAGTGTCCTCTGTCCAGGCCAGGGAGGAGGATAGACAGGGGCCAAGGAAGCCCATAACAGCCACCAAGTGCCTGAGTCATCTCAGCGCTGGCACAGAGCGTCTGGCCCCAAGGGGACCCTGGCCGCCATCCCTCCGGCTTCCGCCCTCTATGATAGATAGGGTCCGGACTGCCGTGAGGACAGCCTGTGCTCTTCTGAGTCAGACCAGCTGCTTCTCAGCAGGGACCACAGCATTTCCCGTGGCTCAGCTCAGGACAGTAGCCGGGGCGCTTCTCCGGGAGTGTTCCTGGGAGGGCTTGGCTGGCACATAGCAGGAAAATAAACCATAACAATATATTGTTAAGTGAAAATAAAAGATGTAAATTATATGTGTAATAGGATAAGTGTTCAAATTAAAGTTTCACATGAATAAAAGGACAAAAAAAAAAAAAAAAGAAAATAAACCAAACACTCTTTTCTCTGCTCTTCTCTCATCACTTGATGCAGAACACTTCTGACACCAAGAGTGTGGGTTCCCCTGACCCCCAGCCATCAATTCAGATCTCCAGCAGACACCAGCTGGGCGTCCTCTAATGCAATTCTCACGCGATCTACCTGGAGTTTGTGTCAGACCCCGCAGGTGAAGGGCTCAGCCCCACAAGACTGCCCCATTCAGATGCTAATCATGAGTCTGAGCCTGCAGACCTTCTGACCGATGGCTGTAAATCAAGTTTCTGCCATCTGCTAGGACGGCTCACAGGACCCAGGGAAACTTGTTACTTACATTTATGGTTTATTATAAAGGGTACAGAGGGACAGCCGGACAGAGACGTACAGGGCCAGGCATGGGGCATGGGGCATGGGGCTTCCATGACCTCTCTGCAGCGCTTCACCCTCCAGGGACCCCCATATGTTTAGTAATTTGGAAGCGCTCCAAACCCCATAGTGGAGGGATTTTCATGGAGGCTTCATCATGTAGGCCAGATAGATGATTAACTCAGTCTCCAGCCGCTGTCCCCTTCCTGGAGGATAGTGAGGGTGGGGCAGCTGTAACCCCCCGTGAATATAACTCCATTGACCTGGGATCCATGCCCCCATCCCCCACAGCAGCCAAGCGAGACCCACCCAAGGAGAGGCTGAGCTCAGACACGCTTATCCCTGCTCCCACCTGGTGGTCTTTCTCTACCTGCCCTGGTAGCCAAAAACAAAGGTCATAATCTCTTGGGAGCCCTATGGCCCTGCCCACTGTCTGAGAATCCTGAATAGTTAACAGGTGTCTCTAGGGCAAGTTTGCACCCTCGTTATGGGATAGTAGCTGACGCAGTCTTGAAAGTGCCACCTCCTGGCTGGAGGCCAATCAACACGAAGCCAGTGCACTAAACAAAAACAACCAAGGACCCTTACAGAGTCCACCTCACTCCTCTGCTGCCTCTACTGGAGCAGATGCTGGTATCCACAGCTGCAAGGCCTGAAGACAGATCATATCACATCACAGGACTCTCTGCAGGCAGACACTCTCCAGTACCAGCCCGGAGCCCAGTAGCTCCACTGGGTGGCTAGACCCAGAAGAGCAAAAACAATCACTACACTTCGGCTCTCAGGAAGCCCCATCCCTAGGGGAAAGGGGAGAACACCACCTCAAGGGAGCACCCCGTGGAACAAAAGAATCTGAACAGCAGCCCTTGAACCCCAGATCTTCCCTCTGACATAGTCTACCCAAACGAGAAGAACCCAGAAAAACAGTTCTGGCAATACGATAAAACAAGGTTCTTTAACACCCCCAAAAGATCACACTAGCTCACCAGCAATGGATCCAAACCCAGAAGAAAATCTCTGAATTGCCAGAAAAAGAATTTAGAAGGTCGATTATTAAGCTAATCAAGGAGGTACCAGTGAAAGGTGAAGTCCAACTTAAAGAAATAAGAAACATGATACAGGACATGAAAGGAAAATTATTCAGTGAGATAGAGAGCATAAATTAAAAAAAATCACAACTTCCAGAAATCAAGGACGCACTTAGAGAAATGCAAAATGCACTGGAAAGTCTTAGCAATAGAATCAAACAAGCAGAAGAAGGAACCTCAGAGCTCAAAGACAAGGCTTTCAAATTGACCCAATCCATCAAATACAAAGAAAAAAGAATAATAATAATAATAATAAAACAAAGTCTCCTAGAAGTCTGGGACTACGTTAAACATCCAAACCTAAGAATAATTGGTGTTCCTGGGGAAAAGAGAAATCTAAAAGTTTGGAAAACGTATTTGAGGGAATAATTGAGGAAAACTTCCCTGGCTTTGCTAGAGATCTAGACAAGAAGCTCAAAGAACAAGAAGCTCAGAGAACACCTGGGAAATTCATTGCAAAATGATCATTGCCTAGGTACTGGTATTGTCCTCAGTTTATCAAAGTCAAGACGAAGAAAAGAATCTTAAGAGCTGTGAGGCAAAAGCATCAGGTAACCTATAAAGGAAAAACCAGAGTAACAGCAGATTTCCCAGCAGAAATCTAGAAGGGATTGGGGTCCTATTTTTAGCCTGCTTAAACAAAACAATTATCAGCCAGTAATTTTGTATCCAGTGAAACTAAGCTTCATAAATGAAGGATAGATACAGTCTTTTCCAGACAAACAAATGCCCAGAGAATTCGCCACTACCAAGCCAGCACTACAAGAACTGCTAAAAGGAGCTGTAAATCTTGAAACAAATGCTTGAAATACACCAAAATAGAACTTCCTTAAAGCATAAATCTCACGGGACCTATATAACAATAACACAATGAAAAAAAAAGTATTCAGGCAACAAATAGCACAATGAATAAAATAGTACCTCACATCTCAATACTAACATTGAATGTAAATGGCCTAAATGCTCCACTTAAAATATACAGAATGGCAGGATGAATAAGAATTCACCAGCCAATTTTCTGCTGTCTTCAGGAGACTCACCTAACACATAAGGACTCACATAAACTTAAGGTAAAGGGAGGAAAAATATATTCCATGCCAATGGACACCAAAAGTGAGCAAGAGTAGCTATTCTTATATCAGAAAAAACAAACTTTAAAGCAACAGCAGTTAAAAGAGACAAAGAGGGATATTACATAACGATGAAAGGATTAAACAGGAAAATATCACAATTCTAAATATATATGCACCTTACACTGGAGCTCCCAAATTTATAAAACAATTACTACTAGGCCTAAGACATGAGATAGATGGCAACACAAAAATAGTGGGGAGTTTCAATACTCCACTGACAGCACTAGACAGGTCATCAAGACAGATAGTCAATGAAGAAACAATAGACTTAAACTATACCCTACAACTAATGGACTTAACAGACATTTATAGAACATTCTACCCAACAACTGCAGAATATACATTCTATTCATCAGCTCATGGAACACTCTCCAAGGTAGACCATACGATAGGCCATAAAACAAGTCACAGTCAATTTAAGAAAATCAAAATTATATCAAGTACTCTCTTAGACCATAGTGGAATAAAATTGGAAATCAACTCCAAAAGGAACCCTCAAAACCCTGCAAATACATAGAAGTTAAATAACCTGCTCCTGAATGATCACTGGGCCAATGATGAAATCAAGATGGAAATGAGAATTTCTTTGAACTGAATGATAATAATGACACAACCTATCAAAACCTCTGGGATGCAGCAAAAGTGGTGCTAAGAAGAAAGTTCATAGCATTAAACACCCACATCGAAAAGTCTGAAAGAGCAAAATAGACAATGTAGGTCACACCTCATGAAACTGGAGAAACGGAAACAATCCAAACCCAAACCCAGCAGAAGAAAAGGAATAATGAAGATCAGAGCAGAACTAAATGAAATTGAAACAAACAAACAAACAAACGAAAATACAAAAGATAAATCAAACAAAAAGCTGGTTATTTGAAAAGATAAGTTGATAGAACATTAGCGAGATTAATCAATAAGAGAAGAGAGAAGATCCAAATAAGCTCAATTAGAAAAAAATGGGAGATATTACAACCGATACCACAGAAACACAAAAGATTATTCAAGGCTACTATGAACACCTTTATGCACATAAACTATAAAACCTAGAGGAGATAGATAAATTCCTGGAAATATACAACCCTCCTAGGTTAATCCAGGAAGATATAGAGTCTCTGAACAGACCAGTAACAAGCAATGAGATTGAAATGGTAATAAAAATATTGCCCAAAAATGTCCAGGACCAGATGGATTTACAGCTGAATTCTATCAGACATTCAAAGAAAAATTGATACCAATCCTATTGATACTATTCCAAAAGATTGAGAAAGAGGGAATCCTCCCTAAATCATTCTATGAAGCCAGTATCACCCTAAAACCAAAAGCAGGGAAGGACATACAAATATAGAAAACTATATATTTGTATGGCCAATATTCCTGATGAACATGAATGCAAAAATCCTCAACAAAATACTAGCTAAGCGAATCTAACAGCACATCTAAAAGATAAACCATCATGATCAAGTGGGTTTCATACCAGGGATGCAGGGATGGTTTAACATACATAAGTCAATAAATCTGATACACCACATAAAGAGAAAGACAAAACTTACATGATTATATCAATAGATGCAGAAAAAAGATTTGACAAAATCCAGCATCGCTTTATGATTAAAGCCCTCAGCAAAATCTGCATAGAAGGGACAAACCATAGGTATAAAAGCCATCTATGACAAACCCATAGCCAACATTATACTGAACGGGGAAAAATTGAAAGCATTCCTCTTGAGAATGAGAATGGAACAGGACAAGGATGCCCACTTTCGCCACTTCTATTCAACATAGTACTAGAAGTCCTAGCAAGAGCAACCAGACAGGAGGAAGAAATAAAGGGCATCCAAATTGGCAAAGAGGAAGTCAAACTGTTGCTGTTTGCTGATGATAGGATCATATGCCTAGAAAACCCTAAAGACTCATCCAAATAGCTCCTAGAACTGGTAAATGAATTTAGCAAAGTTTCAGGATACAAAATTAATGTACACAAATCAGTAGCCCTGCTATACACCAACAGTGACCAAGCTGAGAATCAAATCAAGAACTTAACCCCTTTCACAATAGCCACAAAAATATTGAAATACTTAGGAATATACCTAACCAAGGATGGGAAAGACCTCTACAAGGAAAACTACAAAACACTGCTGAAAGAAATCATAGATGACACAAACAACTGGAAACACATCCCACGCTCATGGATGGGTAGAATCAATATTGTGAAAATGATCATACTGCCAAAAGCAATCTACAAATTCAATGCAATCCCCATCAAAATACCACCATCGCTCTTCACAGAACTAGAAAAAAAATCCTAAAAATCATATAGAACAAAAAGAGCCTGCATAGTCAAGGTAAGACTAAGCAAGAAGAACAAATCTGAAGGCATCACATTACTTGACTTCAAACTATGCTATAAGACCATACTCACCAAGACAGCATGGTACTGGTACAAAAATAAGCACATAGACCAATGGAACAGAATAGAGAACCCAGAAAAAAGCTAAATGCTTACAGCCAAATGATCTTTGACAAAGCAAACAAAAACATAAAGTGGGGAAAGGACACCCTATTCAACAAATGGTGCTGGGATAATTGGCAAGCTACATGTAGAAGAATGAAACTGGATCTTCATCTCTCACCTTTTACAAAAATTGACTTAAGGTGGATGAAAGACTTAAATCTAAGACCTGAAACCATAAAGATTCTAGAAGATAACATTGGAAAAACCCTTCTAGACATTGGCTTAGGCAAAGACTTTATGACCAAGAACCCAAAAGCAAATGCAACAAAAACAAAGATAAATAGATGGAACTTAATTAAACTAAAAAGCTTCTGCACAGCAAAAGAAATGATCAGCAGAGTAAACAGACAACCCACAGAGTGGGAGAAAATCTTCACAATCTATACATCTGACAGAGGACTAATATCCAGAATCTCTACAAAGAACTCAAATCAGCAAGAAAAAAACAAACAATCCCATCAAAAAGTGGGCTAGGGACATGAATAGACAATTCTCAAAAGAAGATATACAAATGGGCAACAAGCATATAGAAAAATGCTCAGTATCACCAATTATCAGGGAAATGCAAATCAAAACCACAGTGTGATACCCTCTCACTCCTGCAAGAATGGCCATAATAAAAAAAAATAGATGTTGGTGTGGATATGGTGAAAAGGGAACACTTTTACATTGTTGATGGGAATGTAAACTAGTACAAACACTATGGGAAACAGTGTGAGGAGATTCCTTAAAGAACAAAAAGTAGAACTGCCATTTGATCCAGAAATCCCAATACTGCCTATCTACCCAGAGGAAAAGAAGTGATTATATGAAAAAAATTCTTGCACATGCATGTTTATAGCAGCACAATTAACAACTGCAAAAATACGAAAACAGCCCAAATGCCCATCAGTGAATGAGTGGATAAAGAAAATGTGGTATATATATAGCTACTCTGAGATAATACTACTCAGCCAAAAAAAAAAAAAAAAAAAAAAAAAAAAGTACAAAATAATGGCATTCACAGCAACCTGGATGGAATTAGAGACTATTATTCTAAGTGAAGTAACTTAGGAATGGAAAACCCAACATCATATGTTCTCATTCACATGTGGGAGCTAAGCTATGAAGACGCAAAGGCATAAGGATGATACATTGGTCTTCTTTAGGTGGTTCCAAGAAGGCCGAATAGGAAGAGCTCCAGTCTGCAGCTCCCAGCGTGAGCGACGCAGAAGACGGGTGATTTCTGCATTTCCAACTGAGGTACTGGATTCATCTCACTGGGGCTTGTCAAGACAGTGGGTGCAGCCCACAGAGCAGGGCAGGGCATCGCCTCACCCGGGAAGCACAAGGGGTCAGGGAATTCCCTTTCCTAGTCAAGGGAAGGGGTGACAGACGGCACCTGGAAAATTGGGTCACTCCCACCCTAATACTGTGCTTTTCCAATGGTCTTAGCAAACAGCACACCAGGAGATTATATCCCACGCCTGGCTCGGAGGGTCCCATGCCCATGGAGCCTCGCTCATTGCTAGCACAGCAGTCTGAGATCGAACTGCAAGGTGGCAGCGAGGCTGGGGGAGGGGTGCCCGCCATTGCTGAGGCTTGAGTAGGTAAACAAAGCAGCCAGGAAGCTTGAGCTGGGTGGAGCCCACCACAGCTCAAGGAGGCCTGCCTGCCTCTGTAGACTCCACCTCTGGGGGCAGGGCATAGCCAAACAAAAGGCAGCAGAAACCTCTGCAGACTTAATGTCCCTGTCTGACAGCTTTGAAGAGAGTAGTGGTTCTCCCAGCACAGAGTTTGAGATCTGAGAACGGACAGACTGCCTCCTCAAGTGGGTCCCTGACCCCCGAGTAGCCTAACTGGGAGGCACCCCCCAATAGGGGCAGACTGACACCTCACACAGCTGGGTACCCCTCCGAGACGAAGCTTCCAGAGGAACGATCAGGCAGCAACATTTGCTGTTCAGCAATATTCACTGATCTGCAGCCTCCGCTGCTGATACCCAGGCAAACAGGGTCTGGAGTGGACCTCCAGCAAACTCCAGCAGACCTGCAGCTAAGGGTCCTGAC
This sequence comes from Homo sapiens, assembly GCF_000001405.40. Lineage (NCBI taxonomy): Eukaryota > Metazoa > Chordata > Mammalia > Primates > Hominidae > Homo > Homo sapiens. Next base: position 4,040,878 of record NC_000001.11, read on the forward strand.
TGTTAGAAGGAAAACTAACAAACAAAAAGGATATCCACACCAAAACCCCATCTGTATGTCACCATCATCGAAGACCAAAGGTAGATACAACCACAAAGATGTGGAGAAACCACAGCAGAAAAGCTGAACATTTTAAAAATCAGAGCACTTCTTCTCCTCCAAAGGAACGCAGCTCCTCGCCAGCAACAGAACAAAGCTGGGCAGAGAATGACTTTGATGAGTTGAGAGAAGAAGGCTTCAGATGATCAGTAATAACAAACTTCTCTGAGCTAAAGGAGGATATTCAAACCCATTACAAAGAAGCTAAAAACCTTGAAAAAAGATTAGATGAATGGCTAACTAGAATAAACAGTGTAGAGAAGTCCTTAAATGACCTGATGGAGCTGATAACCATGGCAAGAGAACTACATGATGCAGGCACAAGCTTCAGTAGCCAATTTGATCAAGTGGAAGAAAGGGTATCAGTGATTGAAGATCAAATGAAAGAAATGAAGTGAGAAGAGAAGTTTAGAGAAAAAAGAGTAAAAAGAAACAAACAAAGCCTCCAAGAAATATGGGAATATGTGGTAAGACCAAATCTACGTCTGATTGGTGTACCTGAAAGTGACAGGGAGAATGGAACCAAGTGGGAAAACACTCTTCAGGATATTATCCAGGAGAACTTCCCCAACCTAGCGAGGCAGGCCAACATTCAAATTCAGGAAATACAGAGAATGCCACAAAGATACTCCTCGAGAAGAGCAACTCCAAGACACATAATTGTCAGATTCAACAAAGTTGAAATGAAGGAAAAAATGTTAAGGGCAGCCAGAGAGAAAGGTTGGGTTACCCACAAAGGGAAGCCCGTCAGACTAACAGCGGATCTCTTGGCAGAAGCTCTACAAGCCAGAAGAGAGTGGGGGCCAATATTCAACATTCTTAAAGAAAAGAATTTTCAACCCAGAATTTCATATCCAGCCAAACTAAGTTTCATAAGTGAAGGAGAAATAAAATCCTTTATAGACAAAGAAACGCTGAGCGATTTTGTCACCACCAGGAGTGCCTTACAAGAGCTCCTGAAGGAAGCACTAAACATGGAAAGGAACGACCAGTACCAGCCACTGCAAAAACATGCCAAATTGTAAAGACTGTTGATGCTAGGAAGAAACTGCATCAACTAATGAGCAAAATAACTAGCTAACATCATAATGACAGGATCAGATTCACACATAACAATATTAACCTTAAATGTAAATGGGCTAAATGCTCCAATTAAAACATACAGACTGGCAAATTGGATAGAGTCAAGACCCATCAGTGTGCTGTATTCAGGAGACCCATCTCATGTGCAGAGACACACATAGGCTCAAAATAAAGGGATGGAGGAAGATCTGCCAAGCAAACGGAAAACAAAAAAAAGCAAGGGTTGCAATCCTAGTCTCTGATAAAACAGACTTTAAACCAACAAAGATCAAAAGAGACAAAGAAGGCCATTACATAATGGCAAAGGGATCAATTCAGCAAGAAGAGCTAACTATCCTAAATATATATGCACCCAATACAGGAGCACCCAGATTCATAAAGCAAGTCCTTAGAGACCTACAAAGAGACTTAGACTCTCACACAATAATAATGAGAGACTTTAACACCCCACTGTCAACATTAGACACATCAATGAGACAGAAAGTTAACAAGGATATCCAGGAATTGAACTCAGCTCTGCACCAAGTGGACCTAATAGACATCTACAGAACTCTCCACCCCAAATCAACAGAATATACATTCTTCTCAGCACCACATCGCACTTATTCCAAAATTGACCACATAGTTGGAAGTAAAACACTCCTCAGCAAATGTAAAAGAACAGAAATTATAACAAACTGTCTCTCAGACCAAAGTGCAAACTAGAAGTCAGGATTAAGAAACTCACTCAAAACCACTCAACTACATGGAAACTGAACAACCTGCTCCTGAATGACTACTGGGTACATAACGAAATGAAGGCAGAAATAAAGATGTTCTTTGAAACCAACGAGAACAAAGACACAACATACCAGAATCTCTGGGACACATTTAAAGCAGTGTGTAGAGGGAAATTTATAGCACTAAATGCCCACAAGAGAAAGCAGGAAAGATCTAAAACTGACACCCTAACATCACAATTAAAAGAACTAGAGAAGCAAGAGCAAATACATTCAAAAGCTAGCAGAAGGCAAGAAATAACTAAGATCAGAGCAGAACTGAAGGAGACAGAGACACAAAAACCCTTCAAAAATCAATGAATCCAGGAGCTGGTTTCTTGAAAAGATCAACAAAATTGATAGACTGCTAGCAAGACTAATACTAGAGTTCTTTTTAAAGGTCTTTGTATATACATGAGAGATTGCCGGTTGTTTTCCCATTATCTATTCTCCCCTTCTTCCATATTAATAGGACTTTAGCCGACATAATTTCCCAGGCTCCTTTTAAATTAGTTGTGGCCAATGGAATGTGAACAACAAAAAAATTATATTTAGAACTATAGATTCCTATACTTTAAAATAAGAGTGTAGATTCCTATATCTCCCCTTTCCTTTTCCTCTCCCCATCAGCTGGAATTTTAATATGATGCCTGAGCTGGATAAGCCTTCTTAGATAAGAAGGTAGGAGCCCTGTGTGAAGGATCATAGAATCAGAATGAAGGAACCTGGGTCTCAGCTCCATGGAGTGAACTGTCAGTGAAACCTAGACTGTTAACACACAGACCGCTAAGTGAAAGAAATAAACTTTACTTAGTTTAAATCCGTCATTTTGGCCACATTAGAGCAGCCTAACTCATAGCCAGTCCCAGATGTATACATTATAATTTTTTAAAATTGTTTATTAAAGTAGAGACAAACCATGCTGATGCTGCTTCTCCTCTTCTTCCTCCTCCTCTTCCTCCTCTCCTTCTCCTCCTCCTCTTTTTCCTCCTCCTCCTTCTCCTTCTTCTTCCTTTCTTATTTCTTCTTCCTCTTCCTCTTCCCCTTCTCCTTCTTCTTCACTCACTCCCTTCCTTCCTTCCTTCCTTCCTTCCTTCCTTTCTTCCTTTTTTGAGATGGAGTCTTGCTCTGTCACCCAGGCTGGAGTGCAGTGGCATGATCTCAGCTCACTGCAAGCTCTGCCTCCTGAGTTCACACCATTCTCCCACCTCAGCCTCCCGAGTAGCTGGGACTACAGGAGCCCGCCACCACGCCCAGCTAATTTTGTTTTTGTATTTTTAGTAGAGACGGGGTTTCACCGTGTTAGTCAGGATCGTCTCGATCTCCTGACCTCATGATCCGCCTGCCTCGGCCTCCCAAAGTGCTGGGTTTACAGGCGTGAGCCACCGTGCCCAGCCTCTTTCTTCTTCCTCTTCCTTCTCCTCCTTTTCCTCCTCCTCCTTCTTCTTCTTTATAATTCTAACCCATGGAGCTGAATATAAGCATTCAGAAGATGGTGAAGCAAAGTTCTGTCGCAGACAACGTTTCCAAGAAACTTGCTCAAAGCTCTTGCTCAAAGGAATGTCAGCAGCCACCAGAAGTTGGAAAAGATAAGCAAAAAAATTCTCCCCCAATGTCTTCAGAGAGAGTGTGGCCCTGTGGACACTTTGATTTCTGCCCAGTAATACTGATTTTAGGCTTCTGGCCTCCACAGTTACATAACAGTAAACCTCTGTTGTCTTTAAAGCAATAAAAAAAAAACTTCTCACTCAAGAAATATTTCTAAGCCAGTTCATATGCTGCAGAGAAAAGGCTGAGTGAGCTGACTGGCGATAGCACATGGACCAGCTTTTATGAGATCCTTCTGATTGTAATTCAGTGTGGCTTAATAATTAAGGCTATAAGCTGTGAAGATGAAGTGGTGTTTTCATTGTGGAGAAAAGCATGGTCATGGTTTCCATAGTATGGGTACAACTGAAAGGGTGGAAAGAACAAATCAAGGAAAAGGAAAATCTCATCCACTAGGGTGAAGCGATTTGCTCATGACCTTCATATGGAACATGCAGGATTTGTAGGGAGTAATCAGAAAAGCATCTTTCATTTTCTCTATCAGTAACCCTTTAAATGTCCTCAGTGTGGGTTTTCCTCCCAAAATAGAAACTTGAGCAATCTTATAATTTTTCCAGTAATATCCAGATAATAAAAAGCCCTATTGTCTGAGAACACCTGGACACAGGAAGGGGAACAGCACACACTGGGGTATGTCTGCGGTTGGGGGTTGGGGGAAGGAAGTGCATCAGTATAAGCTAATGCATGCGTGGCTTAATACCTAGGTGATGGGTTGACAGGTGCAGCAAACCACCATGGCACACATTTATGTATGTAAGAAGACTGCACGTACTGCACACGTATCCCAGAACTTAAAATAAATTGTTTTTAAAAAAAAGAAGAAAAAAAGAATGATACATTGGACTCTGGGGACTTGGGGGGAAGGGTGGGGGCTGGTGAGGGATAAAAGACTACACATTGGGTACAGTGTACACTGCTCGGGTGATAGGTGCACCAGAATCTCAGAAATTACCACTAAATACCTTATCCATTAAAACAAACACCACCTGTTCCCCAAAGCCCTATTGAAATAAAACAATAATAAAAAAAAAATCTGGCCCCTCTTGGAAAGCTGCCTGGAGCAGGGAGAGGCTGCAGAGGGGACAAGCCCAGGGTGGGAGATGAAGGAAGTGGGAAGTGGATTCTGTCAGTCTTGGGTGGGGCGTGTTCTTGGCAAGGAGCAGAAGGCACTCAGGCTGGTGGAGGCAGAACCTTCCGAGGTCAGGCTGAAGCAGACCTAGGGCCCCTGAGGCAGGTCTCTCTCTCTCTCCTTTCAGCTTCTCCAAACCCCAAGTCTATGTGGCCCAACTTACCAGTGCCACTACCCTGCATTCAAAGTCCTGATTGTTGGGAGAGAGACCCTGATAGGACCAGCTTGGGGCGGGTGTTCACCTCTGCTACAGTGGTGATGGGTCACGTGGAGGGGTCACATGGTATGTGAGCCTGCCCTGCAGATTTTGGCCTTGCAGCCTTGATAATTGCATGAGCCAATTTCTTATAAAATCTATCTTTCTGTATACAGATGGTCTCCAACTTATGATGGTTCAAATTACGACCTTTTGATTTTATGATGATGGTGCTTTCAGCTGTGTACATTAGCAGTGAGGACCCACACAACCATTCTGTTTTTTACTTCCAGTACAGTATTCAGTAACTTACATGAGATATTCAATACCTTATTGCAAAATAACTTCACGTTAGAGGATTTTGCCTAACTGTAGGCTAAAATGCAAGTGTCTGAATACATTTAAGGTAGGCTAGGCTAAGCTACGATGAGAGGGAAGTTAGCTGTAATTAATGCATTTTCAACTTAATAATATTGTCAACTTACAATGGGTTTATCTGGATGCAGCCCTATCATAAACCAGGGAGCATTTGCAGTTGGCAACAGAATTCCTCTCCAGGAGGGAACTGTCTTTATTTGGGAAAATACCTGCATGAACTGCTGAAGGTGGAAGTGGATGTCTGAAGGCCCAGCAGGAGAAGGTTCTTTAGAAAGGATCAGGAATTTGGGGGCAGAGTGAGAGCAAGGAAGAGACAAGGAGAGGTTGGATTAGGAAGTCATGGAGGTTGAATGTTTGGCTCCAAGTTATCCATGTTCTGCAATGTGAAGCCCTTAGTGGGTACTCACCTCCCCATAAACCGAAGCGTTCTGCTCATGCAGCCATCGTGTGCCTACTTCCTGTGAGGACACTGGCGGGGGATGCTGCTCTTCCATGCACACTGATGAGGAGTAGAGAGGAAAGAGCACCCACAGATACATGTTGGAGACCAGGAGCTGCACAGAGGCAGGCAGCTCTCCTCTGCAGAGTGACTCAGGGATCAAGCCTTTTGTGGCTCCCAGGTCCAAGAAGATGCAGCCTCTTGGGATGTGAAAAGCATGGAGAGGTGTTGAGATTCCTTGTGAACACAGCTAGGGCTTCAGGTTCATTTTGTCTACACCAAAAGGGCAAGGAGCCCCCAGCTTACCTTGGTGTTGCAGGCTGTGGCCAACTGCAGCAGAAAGCAGCAACTCAAAGAGTGGAGTCGCCTGTGGGGGCCCCCTCCCTGCACCTACTCAGGGGACCAGGTGTTTGGGACCATGCAGGCAGCCACTTCCTGCCCCCACCAGGGCTGGGTGGTTCTGATTCTCGCTGTGACTCCTGCATAGCAGTGAGAAGCTGTTCTCTGCCAGCCTCGCATCCTTGTTACATTCCTCCCATAGCTGGACCTCCCTTACTGCCTCCCACAGCCCCGTCAGGTTCATCATTCTTCATGAGATCAAGACTTGACACTGTTTTAGGGCACACTGGTTCATGCTGGGTGGGCACTAGCTCCTCCCAGTTGGTTTTGGCCCCAACTCATTTCCTGCTGGGGGCTGGGAGCTGCTGGGCTGAGAGTGCTGGGAGCTGGGCTCGAGGTGGAGGCTCAGGGTCAGAGCCTGGCTTCTCTTTCCTTGCATGGGGCCTGGGTTCAGGGTTCTTCTTGTTTGAAGCAAGTGGGCTGGGACCAGAGCACAAAGGCTTCAGGATGAGGGACTGGTGTGTTTCCTGAACCAGGATCTGTGAGCAGGCAGGGATTGGGGGAGGGTGGCAGGGAGAGGAAGGGGAGGAAGGAGGAGGAAGGAGGGAAGAGGAGGAGGAAGAGGAGAACACAGAGATGGGGAAGGGAGGAGGGGGAGGAGGAGGAGGAAGGAGAGGCAGAGAGAGATGAGCAGCTCTGCAGCAGGAAGTCAAGATGATTAGGAGATGGGGTCTCATTCTAGGGTTTGAGCTGTCTACTTGGAGGGAGGAACGCTGTGGCTTGGATGATCCCAAACAGTGGGGAATCCGAAAGTCAATTATATCTGGATTTGAAGGAATTACATGATTATATTTGCTGCAGGTCGGCCTTCCTAATTATGATTAATTAAGCTAATGCTGGGCTCAGTTTGCCCTCCGAGGGCTACCAGGTGACGCCAGATGTGGGAATCGCTCCCCAGCTGACAGAGCCCAGTTGTGGTGGGTTTTCCAAGCAGCCTAGGACCCAAACTGCCTGCATGGGGGTGGGGGGTTGGGGGGGCAGCTCCCTCTGTTGCTGGGGGAAAGGGGCCTGGCTGGCTCTTCTCTTCTCCTCTGCCATGAAATGGCTGCTTTAGCTGCCTCCAGGTGACCGGGCCATCAGCCCAGTGCCCAAGGTGCCCAGTCTTGCAAGGTGCCAAGTCAGATGTTCAGTTCTGGAGCTCAGGCCTCTGAACCACGAAATTGCATTTGCTAGCTGCAAATGAACTGCTGTCCCACGGGGCCCTTCCTGAGCCCTGCAAGGATAACAGCAGCACAGTTACCCACTTAGAAGCTCCCTTTGGAGGCAGGCACTCTGTGTACCTTAGCGGGTGCCTGCCCACGTGCGGCCTCTGCCGGGGAAGTGGCATCTGATTTCCTCGCGTCAGCTGTGCACCCGGCATCTGGGGAGAGGAGGCAGCCGAGCACGGGAAACTTCCCATGCTGTTCTCCTTGGCGGGCAGGGAATAGAACTGGTCTGTCCATAGACATCACGGAGAGGTTGTCTGTTGGTGGGGGCTGGAGAGATGCCCGAGGGCTCCCAAGGTGATGTCTGGGCCATCGGGGGTGGGAGGTGACCTGGCGTCACCTCCTGTCCGGTGGGAACGCTGGCTTCAGGCTGGATTCTGGTTTACACCTTTCCTTTTGGTGAATGCCAGGGCATGTTCCAGAACAGCTGTTTGCAGGGCCTCACCTGGGGGCCACAGTGGTGTGTCCACATGACCCCTGAGCTCCTCACTGTGCACTTCCGACTTTTCCAGAGAAAGGGAAGGAAACTGTCCCCCCCGTACTCCCCCACTCCCCTCCCCATGGCAGGGATCTGAGTGGCCTCTGAGTGGCTGCCAGCTCCTCCAGGCCTGCAGTCAAGGCAGAGAACAGTGTCTCCAATGACTGCCAGAAGTCAGTGGCCAAATGGTGATGGTTCTGAGCAGTAATGAATTAACACATTGCTCCAATTTCTCTGTCAGTTTCTTATGTTCTGGGCCAGTCTCCACGGACAGAGGTGAGACGCCCCACCACACCTTCCTGTCTCTCTCAGCCAAATTGTCCCTTTGATGCTGGGCCAGGGCTTAATATACAGTCAAGGGACTGGAGCAGAAATTTCTGCTCAATGATTTGTGCTGTGATCACACAGAGGTGGCCCCTGTGTACCGATGGCTTCCCGAGTGTCTCGGGTATCAGCTGAAGCAGCTCGGAGCCTCGGGCCCAGCCTGGCATGGGTCTTGCCCTGGGAGCCCCTGGCTGTGCTGGGAACAGGGGATCCTCCTTCCCTTGGTACATTCATCTCACATCAAGGAATTTCCAGCTCCCTTGCTTGAAAATCAATTACTGAACTAAATTGCTCATGGACGCACTAGCATATCATAATTGTGCCACGCTGGGCCCGTGGTTATCCCATGGAGTTTGGGCCAAATTGTGAATTACATCAGCTCCTCAGAGGGGCTTCGCTTCTAATCAGGCCTTGGTCAGACAAACTTCTTCCAGAAAGGGTGCGTGGGAGTAGCTCTTGGGCAACTGACCAGGACGGATGCTGGACAGTGGCCTCTACTGAGTGGGGGTGTCCGTGGGGACCCCAGAGGCCGGGGGGCAGGCAGAGCATGTGAGTGTCCCATCTGGGCCACTGCAGCTGCGGCTGGCTCATGGGTGCCCTGACAGATGCCCTGGTCACAGGTCAGGATCTTGGCAGAGCCTCAAGGCAGGAGTTAGTTCTCCAGGAGGAGGAAAGGGAGGAAAGGAGGAAATCAGAAAAAAGGAAGAGGGATGAGGAGAGAGAGGGAAATAGGGTAGGGGAGAGAGAGAAAAAGAGAGAGGAAGATGGAGAGGGGGGAGAAGGAGAGAGGGAAAGAGAGGGGGAAGGAGGGGGAGAAAGAGGGAGGAAGGGGAGAGGGAGAAGAGAGGGAGAGAAATAGGGGAGAGAGGGAGGAGAGAGAGGGAGGTGGAGGAGAAGGAGAGCAGGAGAGAGGGGGAGAAGGGGAAAGAAACAGAGAGAGGGAGAAGGAGAGAGAGGGAAAGAGGGAGAAGGAAGGGGGAGAAAGAGGGAGAAGCGGGGAGAGAAGAGAGGGAGAGAAATAGGGGAGAGAGGGAGATGGGGGAGAAGGAGAGAGCAGGAGAGATGGGGGAAAGAGGGAAACAGAGAGAGAGGGAAGAGAGGGAGAGAGCGACGAGGAGAGAGCAAGAGAGAGAGAGGAAGCAAGTGAGGGAGAGAGAGACAGAAACAGAGTCAGAAAGAGAGACAGAGGGCGCGAGAGCAGGAGAGACGTGGGTGCATGGGTGGGGGTGGGTGGGGCTCTCTCAGGTCGGCAACCCTCCTCTGCAGAGAGACTGACTGAAAAATTACCCAGGAAAGTAGGCCAATGAGAAGGCTTTTAAAATTTTACTTTATTTTATTTATTCACTTTTGAGACAGGGTCTCGCTCTGTTGCTCAGGCTGGAGTGCAGTGGTGTGTGCAGAGGCTCACTGCAGCCTTGACCTTTCTGGACTCAAGCAATTCTCCCACCTCAGCCTCCCAAGTAGCTGGGATTACAGGTGTGCACCACCACACCCAGCTAATGGTTGTATTTTTTGCAGAGACAGGGTTCACCATGTTGCCCAGGAGGCTCTCAAACTCCTGGGCTCAAGCGATCCACCTGCCTCGGCCCCCAAAGTGCTGGGATTACAGGTGTGAGCCACTGCGCCTGGCTCCTCCCCTTATTTTTAAAGTCAGGAAGTCAATATAGAGGGCTCTTGAAAATCACAAAGAAAAAAGAAAAATACATTTTATTGATTCCCTGACTGAATCATTTTCCTCTGGAATCTTTTTCTTTCTTTCTTTTTTTTTTTTTTTTAGACAGTGTCTCACTCTTATCACCCAGGCTGGAGTGCAATGGCACAATCTCGGCTCACTGCAACCTCTGCCTCCTGGGTTCAAGCAATTCCCCACCTCAGCCTCCTGAGTAGCTGGGACTATAGGTGTGCACCAACACGCCCGCCTAATTTTTTGCATTTTAGTAGAGATGAGGTTTCACCTTGTTGGCCAGGATGGTCATGATCTCCTGACCTTGTGATCTGCCTGCCTTGGCCTCCCAAAGTGTTGGGATTATAGGCGTGAGCCACCGCGCCTGGCCTCCTCTGGAATCTTCACTGAGCACCTGCCATGGTGGGGACTGTTGCCAGCACTGGGTATGAGACCTCCTGGGAGCCCTCAGCTGGGCAGGAGCCTGGGGGATCAGAAAGGATCGAGGTTTGGAATGGAGCGCCGCAGCTGGTGCCTGGGCGGGGAAGAACACCTCACTGGACAGGTCGGGACAGTGTCTCCCAAACTGCAGATGAGAGGCAGGCAGCCCTGTAATGGGGTGGGGAAAAGTGTTCCAGACAGGGGAACAGCACGTGCGGGGACCCTGAGAGCTTAGACACGCAGGGATGGTGCCCAAACCCAGACTCTGAAATGGCCAGCGAGGCTGCAGAGAAGGGTCAAGCTCAAGTCAAGAGAAACTCACAGTGAGAAGTTGAGCCCGGAGGCTGCTATTCATTAAATTGGCAGTGAACAAACAATGTCACAGACATATTACCAGGGTGCTGGGGAGCAGGGAGTTCCGCAGACGGCAGGTGGGGTGAACATGGTGCAATTTCCCCTGCAGCTGGTGAGCAGCAGGCATCAAAAGCTACCTGGCATCCTCACTCTGGACCCAGCGCCTCTACCGCCAGTAATGTTCATTCTGAGAAATCCTCAGGGATGTGCATGGCAACTCGAGGGTGCTCCCTGCAGCATTGGAAACTGCGGCCAGTCACCTTGTCACCTTGTTTCAGTGAATGGCAGTATTTTTATCGGGAGACATGGTGAAATGTTTGTCCTATTTTCAGAATATATTAAGTGAATGAGTAGGTTATGGTATAACCGAGTTCAATAGGATCCCAGTTTTTTATTTTATTTTATTTTATTTTTTAAAAACGTGCATTTTCTCCTAGGACCAAAAGCTGGGAGGATAAACAGCAACACCCCAACAGTGGGTATTACCACCCAGTGGTGGTAAAATTATGGGAAATTTGAATTTTCCTCTGGTTTCTTTCGGTGTCACTTTGGTGATTAAAAAAAAAAAAAATCAGCCAGGCACGGTGGCTCATGCCTGTAATCCCAGCACTTTAAGAGGCTGAGGCGGGTAGATCACGAGGTCAGGAGATCAAGGCCATCCTGGCTAACACGATGAAACCCCATCTCTACTAAAAATACAAAAAATTAGCCGGGCGTGGTGGCGGGAGCCTGTAATCCCAGCTATTCGGAGGAGGCTGAGGCAGGAAAATGGCGTGAACCCAGGAGGCGGAGCTTGCAGTGAGCGGAGATCCTGCCACTGCACTCCAGCCTGGGCGACAGTGCAAGACTCCGTATCAAAAAAAAAAAAAAAAAAAAAATTCACTGGGCATGGTAGTTCACTCCTGTAATCCCAGCACTTTGGGAGGCTGAGGTGGGCGGATCATTTGAGGTCAGGAGTTTGAAACCAGCCTGGGCAACATGGTGAAACCCTGTCTCTACTAAAAATACAAAAATTAGCTGGGCATGGTGGCTCGCATCCGTAATCCCAGCTACTTGGGAGGTTAAGGCAGGAAGATCCCTTGAGCCAGGGAGGTGGAGGCTGTGGTGAGCTGAGATTGTGCCACTGCACTCCACCCTGGGTGACAGAGTGAGACCCTGTCTCAAAAAAAAAAAAAAAAAAAAAAAAAGAAAAAGAAAAAAATCAATAAATATACACATTTAAAAGTATGTTTGTTCTCAGGCCCGCTTCATCTCTTCCCGATGACTATTTAATCCCTGCCCTCCAACCCCAACTCAAGACCTCTCAAGTTCGTTTCCCATGTGGTTGCTGGCCTCATCTTTTTAACACACAGTGTGAAAATGGCCTACGCCACAAACACTGCTGCTCACTTCCCGCTACCCTCAGGGGCACCCCCACTCTGCAGAACCTGGTATTCAGTGCCTGTCACTACCCTACCTCCTTTTCAGCTGTTTTCTGGCAGATTCTCTATGATCCAGTCCCCAGGCTCAGCCCCCCTAAAGACCTCTTGCTCTTTTATGCGCCTCCATTTTTGTCCATTCTGCCTCCTCTTCCTGGAATGTTAAGCTTCATATCTTTCTTCTTGGGAACACCTACTCATCCTTCAAAACCCTTTTCAAATGCCCCCACTGTAAGAATATCCTTTCTGGTTTAAGCCCTAGGGCTCTCAGGATGTAGTCCCAAATTCTTTGCATGATTCCCCCATCCTCATCTCTCACCCTCCTGCCCCTTCCTTGTCAGCCCCCACCCAGCTCTGTTCCACACGCTGAACTTCTCTGGCAGGTGCCCAGCGCACCATGCCTCATGTACAGGCTGTTCCTCCCTGCCTGGAGTCCTCCTCTCTCCCCACCCCGTGGACTCCCCAGGCACCTCCTTGCCTGCCTAACTCCTACCCTTCAGTTTTAGCCTAAGGATCCTGCCCCTGGGAAGCCTCCCCTGAATCCCCGCTTGGCTTAAGGGTCTCTCGCCTGGTTCCTGCAACCACCCCCATCCTGCTGTGTTCACCATGTGGGACCACAGCTTTCTGTTGACTTGTCTGTTCCTCCACCAGAGTCCAGGTGAGCTCTGAGGGTCACGGCTGTCTTTGGATGGGGACGGACAGGATGAGGATGACGAAGACTTGCTTGCATGGCCCAGCCTCCCTCTGAACCCCTGAAGGCATCTGTACTGGCCCCCTGTCTCTCTTCCTGCAGCCCACTGAGGCACTGATGGTTCTCTCTCCCACTGGACAGAGCTTGCCCACAGTCAGGGACCCACCTGATTTGACTTCACCCAGGAGATGAGATGGAAAGTCCACACCCAGCTTGAAATCAGTTCAGACACCCGGGTGCCTGCCACCAGAAGCTCCCAGTTCATGAAAGGCTGCAGGGATGGTGCCCGCAGCAAGGCTGCACACCCCTGGCTTCCTAGCCAGGCACAGGAGGGGACAAGGTGCAGAGGGAAGGAGGGGCACTGAATCTCCAGGCTGCGGTGTGGACGGGGCCTGTTGGGAGGGCGCAGCAGCCACAGCCCTGGGGGCAGGTGTTTCAGTGAGTGCAGCCTGCCATCCCCCATGCCTGTCTGGCCTGAAAGTGCACCCAGAGCTGGGGTTGATCCAGAGCTCCTCACTTGCAAAAGGACTTTTTTTTTTTTTTCCAGCAGGACCTGGAGACTCAGGGATGGGATGATGCCCTTGGAAGCCATGAATATGCACCTTGGAATATCTGGAAGATCCAGGAAGATCCCAGCTGAGCCCTCTGCCAGTGTTTGCTGGGGAAGGAGCCTGGGTTTGCAGTCTCTTGGCCCCAGCTGCTGTTGGTCTTGCTCTGTGGCCTTGGGCAAAATGACCATCATCTCCAACCTCAGCATCCTCTTCCGTGGAGGGGCCAATGACCACACCCAAAGGTGATTCTCTCTGCATTGTTCTCTCTCGACTTTCTTTTTTTTTTGAGATGGAGTCTCGCTCTGTCACCCAGGCTGGAATGCAGTGGCACAATCTCGGCTCACTGCAGCCTGTGCCTCCCGGGTTCAAGCGATTCTCCTGCCTCAGCCTCCCGAGTAGCTGGGACTACAGGTGGGTGCCACCACACCCAGTTAATTTTTTTGTGTGTGTTTTTAGTAGAGATGGGGTTTCACCGTGTTAGCCAGGATGGTCTCGATCTACTGACCTCATGATCCACCCACCTTGGCCTCCCAAAGTGCTGGGATTACAGGCATGAACCACCGCTCCTGGCGTTCTCTCTCGACTTTCAACACCACTCCAATCCCAGCCTGAGGAAAGGCAGGGCTGACAAGTGCGGCGGGGCCATGTGCTCAGCAGGCTTTCAGCTCACCCCGGCAGTGCACGATGGTGCCTTGCTCACTCAAATAATTCAAAGATGAAGCCAGTTGGAAGTAATTGTTTAGATTAAACTCCATTACCCTTAATAAATAATTGACCTGTCAGATGTACGGCACTTACAAAGGAGCCTGCTCTTCTGCTCAGAATGAATGTGCTCGGAACCAAGGTTTACCATGCGGTTCCAGGCAGCTTCCCCACACCACTAATTACATTCAGACAGATGAGGCTTCCTGGAGGCGGGATGTGTGCTTGCAGGTGGAGCTGACCTCATCTGGCTGTTGTTTCTGAGCAGGTTCGAGTGGCAGAAGGGAGAGGCTTCCCTGGGGGTTGTGGCCAAAAGACCTTCCCCAGGAGCAGGGAGTCCCTTCCCCGTCATCACACAGGCTGCAGGAGCTCTTGGTTCAGCTGCCAGTTGTCTGTGACTCAGAGGGCAGAGGGTAGAGGTGAAGGGCTCAACACCCCCCAGCTCACCCTCTCCATGCCCGATGAGCTCTCTGTGCTCTTATAACTCATTGATGCTGGACAGCTGCCCAGACACACTCAGATACTGAAGCTGTCCCGTGGGCTTCCTTAGCGGAGGTGGGATTTGGCTTGTAGGTGACCTGTGCCGGGAGCCTGCCCTGAGAGTGAGGTGAGCTGTCTAGAGTCATAGTGCCCACCATGGCCTTGATGGCAGGTGGCCTCCCACCCAGTGCCACTACTGGCCTGCTGTCTGCCTCACCAGGCCCAGGTCATCACCAGTGACTTGGCCTGGTGGCTGGGATGGTTCAGGGAGGGAAGTGGCACCGTGTGTATGAGGCACAGAGCAAAGGTTCGGTGAGAAAGTGGAGGCTGACCCAAGCCTCTCCCCAACCCGTGGAGGTAGCGTCTCAGAAATGGCTGCTGGCAACTGCCGTGCCCTCGGCCAGGCTAGAGAAGCCGGCTGGCTGGACCCTAGCTTCTGTGGGTAACTCCCTTGGAGCCATGGGGGAATCGTTCCAGGTCCCGACCCAGAGTTTGGTGGAGCCGGTGGTCAGCCCTGCCTCCTGTTTCTCTCCCTGTCCCCCACTGTGTGTAAACAGCACCCATGGCAGGTGTGGTCTGCATGTCTGTGTCCCCGCAAAACTCATAGGTTGAAATCCTAACCCCCAGGGTGATGGGATTAGGAGGCGGGGCCTTTGGGGAGTGATGAGGCCGTAGGGATGGAGCCTCATGAATGGAATGAGAGCCCTTATAAGAAGAGGGGCTAGAGCGCTGCCTGGCCCCTTCCACCAGTGAGGACACAGTGAGAAGGCACCGTCTGCAAGTCAGGATGGGAGTGACATGGTTTGGCTCTGTGTCTCCACCCAAATCTCGTCTCAAATTGTCATCCCCATGTGTCGAGGAAGGGGCCTGGTGGAAGGTGATTGGATCATGGGGGTGGTTCCCCCATGCTGTTCTCATGATAGCGAGTGAGTTCTCAGGAGATCTGATTGTTTAAAAGTGTGGCACTTCCCCCTTTGCTCTCTCTCTCCTGCCGCCATGTGAGACATGCCTTGCTTCCCCTTCCCCTTCCACCATGATTGTAAGTTTCCTGAGGCCTCTCTAGGCATGCAGAACCGTGAGTCAATTAAACTTCTTTCCTTTATAAATTACCCTATCTTTATAGCAGTGTGAGAATGGACTAATACAGGGGCCCCTCCCTAGGAGCTGAATCTGCCGGCACCTTGATCTTGGACTTCCAGCCTCCAGACTGTGGAAATAAGCGTCCGTTGTTTGCAAGCCTCCCCGTCTGTGGTGTTCCTCCATAGCAGCTTGAATGTACTGAAAGGGCAGGGGTGGTGAGGGCTCGTTTTGCCTCCGAGGATCAGGACAGGCCAAGACTGTCCCATGGCCCTACCAGGCAGGACGTCTCTCTCTTCCCTGCGTCCGGACCCACAGGCCTGTCAGCCCTGGTGCATGCACTGGGGGCACAGAGATCTCTTCAGGAGGGGACACCCCATGTTCCTGGGAAAGCAGAAGGAGGCACCTGCATCTTGCTGGGCAAACATTGTGCTCAGAGATTTGCTTGTCAGAAACACTTTAGGTTAGTACCTGTCAGTGCTTTAGGGGCTGATGGTGATTTGCATATGTAGATGAGACAGTGCCATACTAAGTAATTTCACATACATCACTTCATTTGAATTTCACGACTCCTTGCCATGAGAACAACAATGATTATTTAGAAATTAGAGTATTTAATAACAGCAGCAATGAGATGACAATGACAATGATGGTGATGATGTGTGTCATGATGAACTGCGTGGAAGCCCTGTGCCAGGGGCACTATCGTCTGCACCTTGGAGGCGAAGTGACTGAAGGCAGTAGAGGAGAGGGCCTGCCCAAGGCCTCAGGGCCCAGGGCTGCCTTCCCACTGTCTTCATGGTGCAGGGGGAGCCCTCGTCCATCCTCACCATGACTGGCATACTGTAAAGTTAGGGCACCCCTGGACCCTGACAGCCCAGCCCTGTAGGGGCTGCCCTCACCGGCTCCCCTCCTACCAGGACAGGTGCACTGGGCAGGGAGGCACTCATTCCTACCTTCCACCAGCAGAAACAAACAAAGCAGCGGGTGAATGATCTGTGGCCCACTCCGCATAAATCAGGTGCATAATGTAGCTGCCCGGGCTTCTATACTGCAACATTCGCAAGGCAATTAGCTTGAAAACTGAATTGATGTACATTGATTTTTTTAATAAAGTTATTGTAATATATTCACTCGTTAGAATCTGGAGCTGAAAATAGACATTTTGTTTCTGATGACAGGCCCGTCCCTATAAATCACTGGGGATGGTAGAAACAACTCCTCATTCCACATCATCATTTCCTATTAGAACTGACATGTCCATCTCGGGCGATTTTTCATCTCCTATGTGAGGGATGGACACATTCCAGGCCCCTTGAGGCTTTTCTGAAGAAGACGAGGCTGTGGGTGATCGGCCTGGGAGGTAGGGCCTGGAGATGGGGAAGCTGTCGGTGGTCACAGCCAGTCCCTCATGGCTCCTGGGGCCAAACTGTTGGGTTCCATACCCTGGGCGGGGTCAGAGCACAGTCAAGATGGGAGGAGGGAAAGGTGATGTTCTGAGGCCCCCATGGAGTGGGAACACCCAGACATGTGTCTCGATCCCAGAACCACAGATGCTGGAAAAGTGAGAGAGCTCCCAAACTAGCTAGACGCTGCAGCCTGGAGGGCCCCGGTAGCCTCCCAGGAGAGCATCGTTGATCCGCTCTGCTCTGCCTTCAGGCAACCCTGCTGGGTGGAAATGCCTTCCACATGTCGAGCTACAGTTGGGTGTCCCTTTCTGCTTTTCAGTGGTGATCAGGGGAGGCCAAAGATTCTTCTAGAATCACCCACTTGGTGCCAAGCCCACATGGGTATCCTCCTGCTCCAGCCTGTTTTATAGAGAGCCCTTGGGGTTTCTGTGGAAGCTCGGGCTTCTCCAGCAAGTCCGAGGCTCCAGGCAGGTGACTGTTCTGTCCTGGGGTGGAACTGCCACCACCTTCCTGGACAGTGGAGGGACTCGCCGAGAAGGTGTGGTTCTGAATTTGGGGGCACCCAGCAAGTTCCCGTGTGTCCCGCCCACGCGGCAGTTGGGCCTGACTGACCTCTCTGAGGGAACATGGTGGCCAGTGGGGAGGAAAGTTCTGGACTAAGGAACCCAACACCCGCCAGGGTCCTCCCCCCGAAGCTTCAGAGATTCGGTGCTGCAGAACGGAGCACAAAGCCAGTCCGTGAGCGCTCACCTGTGGAGACACACCGAGGTCATCAGACATCCCCAAGGGGTTGTTGTCCCCAACTAAGAACCCATTTGACAGGTGTGTGGCCTGGCTCAGTTTCCCCAGATGCAGCGCTAGTGGTGAAGTTTTGCCAAACAAAATTCGTTAAACTTCACTTTCAGGGTGTACTGGGGGTGGGCGTGGAGGGAGGAGGAGGAGGGCGGGTTGTGGTCCCCGTGTCTGTGCGCCTTGGCTCATTGCTCCCCAACACTGACAGCCCCTCACCCCATTGTCGGATCTGTCCAGGGCTTCTAAGCCGGGGAGCACCCCTCACCTTCATGTCGGGACTCATGCCGCCCACCTGTGGACCCCTTCTTGGCCTCCAGGCCCCTCCCACATGTGGTTGTGGGTGGTGAGAAGGGGCCTCTGGCTGCAGTTGTGGTTTGGGGCCTCTCTTCCCCGGATGGCTCTGTTCCGGGGCAGTCACCACCTTGCTCTGGTTAGAGGCTGGATGGGAAGAAGGGCTGGTGGGGCTGAGGGGAGGCTGGCCCTGTCTTTTTGCCTCAGAGCTGGGCAGCAACTCCCACATGAGTATTTAGGGGAAATGCTGGTCCCTTGCAGAGAAGCACTCAGCACTCAGGGCTGGTTTCTGGACTCATGGGCCCTGGGGAGGGGCCAGGGGCCTGGTGACGGAGCCAAGCAGCTCCTGGAGACCTAGAAATGTCCCTGGGGAAGTGTCAAGTGGGCCGGGAGCTCAGGTGGTCTCGTGTCTAGGATGGGGACCTGCCTTGCAGCTGTGTGGATGTGGGGGTTCAGGGTGCCCCACCCTTCTAAACCTCTCAGGTTCAAGTGCATCGTCAGGCATGTGGTAACAGCTCCGATGCTGAGCAGCTGCCCTCGCCAAGTCTCCCTTCCTGCAGTTTGAGATGACAGCAATGCCCCGGGAGAGACCCCGTCCTCAGCACCAGGGCTGTCCATGCTCAGGGAGCCTGGGGCCTGCTAACAGGGCCACCAAGTCCCCACCCTTGTGAAGACCCCGACCCTAGCGGAACGGGACCTGCGCTAACACCCAGGCAGCCCGCGCTACCTGCCGCTCAGCTCTGGAGCCTCTCACGTCACGGACTTGGCAGCTGAACAACATGAAAACAATGCTATAAAGACACATGCACACGTGTGTTTATTGCGGCGCTATTCACAATAGCAGAGACTTGCAACCAACCCAAATGTCCAACAACGATAGACTGGATTAAGAAAATGTGGCACATATACACCATGGAATACTATGCAGCCATAAAAAATGATGAGTTCATGTCCTTTGTAGGGACATGGATGAAACTGGAAATCATCATTCTCAGTAACTATCGCAAGGACAAAAAACCAAACACCGCATGTTCTCACTCATAGGTGGGAATTGAACAATGAGATCACATGGACACAGAAAGGGGAACATCACACTCTGGAGACTGTGGTGGGGTGGGTGGAGCGGGGAGGGATAGCATTGGGAGATATACCTAACGCTAGATGACGAGTTAGTGGGTGCAGCGCACCAGCGTGGCACATGTATACATATGTAACTAACCTGCACATTGTGCACATGTACCCTAAAACTTAAAGTATAATAATAAAAAAAAAAGAAGTAAACTAAAAAAAAACAAATAAAAGGCAGCGCCTGCCGGGTAGAGAAGGGAAGGGTGAAATCAGAGATGGGGATGGGCGCTCCAGCACCCTCGGACCACGGCCAGGCCCTGCAAGCCATCCCTTCCTCTCTCTCCTGTTTCCCTTTCAGATCAAAGCCCTTCCCGGGAGAGAGAATCAGCCAAAGAGGAAGGTTGAAAAAGGAAAGGGGGAGGCGGGAGAGGGGTGGAGGCTTAGCACCTTTCGAGCACAGAGGCTGCTGGCGAAGGGGGAGAGGGTGTCCTTAAGAAGTGGCCAGAGGTGGGGCTGCCGTGGGGCAGGTTTCGCTCTCTCTCCTTCCAGGTCTCCATGCCCCTCTCGCAGGCCTGCGGCTCACAGTGATGTTAAGAGCAAAAAAACCTGTTGAGCCTCCCAGCTGGTATGGACAGGGTTTGAAGGAAGAGGGAACTCTTGAACCTGACGCTGCTGCTGATTGACCTGAGAGGGAGCTGAGTTTTCCAGGAAAAAGGAGGCGAGATGGGCAGGGTCGGAGTAAGTCCAGTTAAGGAACCCAAAGGAGGCTCTGGGCTTGGCCTGCAGAAGGATTGGCCGTAAGTGCGAGCAGGAGTTGGGGGGCATAGGGGCAGACCCCAAGGTTGCTGGTGGTCCTGACACTCCCGTCTGTTTCCACGAAGACCCTTGGACTTGCTGGGAGAGTCCCGGGGAGAGTCGAACTCCCAGTGCTCTAGGACACAGGCCCTCCTGAAACCACACCTAAACCTAAACTCTGGCTTTGGACCGAGGTCAGGGGAGCAGCTGGGCCCAGCAGGCGACATCTTCCAGCCTTTGGGACATGCAGGCTTTTGCCAACATATTGGACTTTGTGTGCCTCCTCACGGTGGTGAGTGGAATCACGGCCTCCAAAGATGTCCCCATCCAAGTTCCAGGACCTGGGCATATGTGGCCTTCCATGGCAAAGGGGCCGAGCAGATGTGCGCAAGGACCCTGAGATGGGAGAGCGTGCTGGGCCACCCGGTGGGCCTGGTGCAATCCCACGAGCCCTTAAGGGCAGAGAACCCTTCCCAGCGTGGTCAGCAGAGGAGGCATGGTAGGGGGCAGAGGCTGGGCGTGAACGTTGCAGGTGGAGGAGGGGCCACCAGCTCAGGAACACAGGCGGCCTCTAGAAGCTGGAAGAGGCAGGGACGTGGATTGTCCCCTGGAGCCTCCAGAAGGAACACAGCCCTGCAGACCCGCTGACTTCAGCCTTTAAGACTCTTCTCAAACTTCTGCCCTCCCTGACTGTAGGATAGTACCTGTGTGTTGTTTGAAACCACTATGTTTGTGATAATTTCCTACAGCAGCCACTGGGAACAGCCACTGGAATCACCTTCGCTGATTCATTCTTTCACCCACTCATCCACTCATGCACCCGGACCCGCAGCCTGTGCCCTGCCCTGTGCTGTGAGCACCCCGCACCGCGGGACCCAGCCGGCACCGAGACAGGAGGACGGGACTTGAAAGGAGTGAGCGAGGCATCTCCAGGGCTGGGCCTGGAGCCTCGTCCTGGGTAAGATGAGGGCCTTGCGGCCTCTTCTTGCGCCAGCCCTGCCCCCAGGAGCTGCCTCTGTGTCTCCCCTGTGTGGCCCGGCCTCTTGCCACCTGCCGCTGTCTCAGAAAATAGGCTGGGTGCTTTCTGGAGGCCATAATGACAGCTCATGGTTCAGGAGCAGCTTCCCAGTGTTGGTGCCTCACACCGGGTGTGACACACGCGCTGAGGAACCCCTCATTAGCAATGACAACCACAAAAACAAGGTGGACGGGGCACTGCGCAGTCATCCTCCTCTTACCCCTCACGGGGCCCCACAAATTATGGGTTGTGCTGCCCCCGCCACCAGGGTGACATGGAGGAGCAAACCCTGCATTGGCTCTGGGAAGGTTGAGGCGGAGGCTCAGGCTGGAGGCTGGCACCTGCGTTTTCATTACAGCAAAATCAGTATCCAGAGGTGGGAACCAGGGTTGGAGGGATGGGTCGGGGCATAGCGGGCCATCCTGAGCTCCTTGACCCAGCACAGAAGCTGACTAGGAAGAGACCCTGGGGCCAGCGGCACAAGCACCAGCTCAATGTCAGACCTGATCCGAGTTGGTTTCCACAGTCAGACACTGCTGCTGAGGGCAGGCCTGAATGACCGGTGGCGGCAGAGACAGCGGGATCTGGGGAAACGCCTGACAGAGAGGGCCCTGAGACCCTGGTTCTGGGGGGCAGTGTCTCTGAGGTGCCTTCCTGGAGTGGCTCAGGCTGAGAGAGGCTGAGCTCTTTCTGTCTCAGTCCATCTCTCTCCCCCCATCTGTCCCTCGCTCTCTCTGTTTCTCTCTGCCCATCTCTTTCTCCCCATCTGTCCCTCTCTCTGTTTCTCTCTGTCTCTGTCCCTCTGTCTCCGTCCATCTCTTTCTCCTCATCTGTCCTCGCCACTGCCCCCTACCCACTGTCTCTCCTCCTCCCTCTTCCCATCCCTCCCTCCACTGTGTGGACCAGCATGGGTGGAGCAGCAGGCTTCTCCGCTCAGCATACGCTCTGCCCACAGCGGCCGCTGGACACAGCCTTTGGGGCTGTGGCTGGCAGAAGTCTGTGGTCTTGGTTTTTTTCTGACTTTTCGTCCCCGCAGTTGTTCCTGTGGGGTTGGAGGCCGACCCACTGTGGACTTCAACTTGGCAGAGGTCCCACGAGACAGTGCCTTCCGGGAAGCCCAAGGAAGTGGCAACTTGGGATGTTCCCTGGTGTCCTGGGGGACATGTGTGGTGAGGGCCGTCCTCCTCTCCCCTGGCCTCACACCTGGGCGAGGCTTGGTCCCAACGCTCATTCTGTGACCTTTGTGAATCTTGCCATGGCTTGATGCCTGGTGGGGAAAGCTGGGACCACCCCAGGGGTTTCTGTGAAGCCTGAACGAGACTTGAACGCAGGTAGGGGCTCACCAAGGGCCTGGCCCACAGTGGCTGTGCCTCCGACTCTGGCGCTGGCTCTGGTCACTCGCTGTGGCTGCTCCGGCAGTAGCTCAGCGGATCCTTCATTCCTCCGGGCAGAGCTGGGCTCAGGCTGTCTTGCCTCCCAGGGCAGCCTCGGCCTCTGGCCTTCCTGTGGCCCGTCCATGGTCAGCTGTGGCAGGGCCCACGTTCAGCCCATGGAGGAGGAAAGGGCTCGGCCGTGGCTGTGCTTCAGGACCTGCTCCTGCAGCCCCGTGCCCTGCTGAGCCCCTCCTTTGTCCCCAGAGGGCTCGGCCCACCCTGCACACACCCAGGACTGGCCACTGGGCCAGCTGCTGCCGCCAGAGTCTCCCCTGGTTGTTGAGGATGCACAGCCACAAGAACCCCTTGCGTTTGGCAGCACTTTCACGTTCTCAAAGCCACACGAGAATGGCCCTCCAAGACACTGAGCAGGCATCATTATTGTGCCCATTCATCAGATGGAAAAACAGAGGTCCATGGCGGTCTGGAGTCACACAGACAGTGACTGCAGGAGGGGCCAGCCCGGGTCTCCCCACGCCTAAACCAGGGAGCCCTAAGAAGGAGTGAAGAAGGCATGAGAGGAAGGGGTCAGTGGTGGTCCCTGACCTGGGAAGGTGCCCCTAGGTCGGGCTGGGCTGGATGGACCTCCTGCCCATAGCCCCAGAAAGCCACCCTCAGGGCCTGGTATTCCCGCAGGGACAACCGGGTCAGTGACAGTTCTCTGGCTGAAGCAAAGAAACCAACCTTAGCTGAGAAAATGAAGAAAGGGGAGGGGGCAGAACTTACCGCTGGGACAACATGAGAAGCCTTGGGGTGGAAGAGGCCGCCGGAAGACCAGGCCCCAGAAAGAAAGGGGCCCAGAATTCTGTGGGTTCAGGCAGCAGCCTCCCCAGGGGCTCCAGCTTGAGGCATCCTCTGCAGGAACCCAAAATCCTGGGCAGGAATCAGGCTGGCTGCATCCCCACTCCTCGACAACCTGGGTACAGGTGTGCACTTGGCGGAAATGGAGGGGTCAGTTCCTCAAGAGGAGGATGGGGGGATCACTGCCTGAGGGGGGACTCGGGTGCTGCTCAGAGAAAACAGGCACAGACCCTCCCAGTAATCCTGGGCACACTCACAGTCACTCACTCTTACTCCCTCCCCACTCACACTCACACACTCACTTATTCACTCACACTAGCTCACTCACTCACATTTAGTCATTCACTCACAGTCACTCGCTCACTCACACACACACTTGCTCAGTCACTCACTCACACTCATTCACTCACACACACTTGGTCACTCATTCACTCACTCACTTATTGACTCACACACTCGCTCAGTCACTCACACACTCATTCACTCACACATTCAGTCACTCATTCACTCACACACTCACACTCAGTCACTCACACGCTCATTCATTCACTCATACTCACACTCATTCACTCACACACTTGCTCAGTCACTCATTCACTCAGTCACTCATTCACTCACTCATTTACTCACACACACTCACTCAGTCACTCACTCGCTCACTCATTCATTCACTCATACTCACACTCATTCACTCACACACTTGCTCAGTCACTCATTCACACTCAGTCACTCAGTCACTCATTCACTCACACACATTTACTCACACACACTCATTCACTCACACACGCTCATTCATTCATACACTCATTCACTCACACACTCACACTCAGTCACTCTTACTCCCTCCCCACTCACACTCACTTACACTCACTTATTCACTCACACTAGCTCACTCACATTTAGTCATTCATTCACAGTCACTCGCTCACTCACACTCATACACACTTGCTCAGTCACTCACATTCACTCACTCATTTACTCACACACACAGTCACACACACTCGCTCACTCATTCATTCACTCATACACTCATTCACTCACACTTGCTCACTCAGTCATTCACTCACACACTCACATACTCAGTCACTCATTCACTCACACCCATCCACTCACTCATTCACTCACACACACTCATTCACTCACACGCTCACACTTGCTCACTCATTCACTCACTCATACTCATTCACTCACAGTCACTCATTCACTCACTCGCACACATTCACTCACTTATTCACTCACTCGCTCATTCACTCACACACACTCATTCACTCACACTTGCTCATTCACTCAGTCACTCACACACTCACACTCATTCACTTGCTCAGTCATTCATTCACATACACTTGCTCATCACTCACACTCAGTCACTGATTCATTCACTCACTTATTCACTCACACACACTCGCTCAGTCACTCACACACTTGCTCAGTCACTCGTTCACTCACACTCACAGTCACTCATTCACTCACTCACTCACTCATTCACTCACACTCCCACACTTGCTCAGTCACTCACACACTCACATTCGCTCATTCACTCACACACTTGCTCAGTCACTCGTTCACTCACACTCAAGTCACTCACTCATTCACTCATTCACTCACTCACACTCATTCACACACACATTCACTCACACACTCGCTCACTCATTCACTCATACTCATTCACACACTTGCTCAGTCACTCATTCACACTCAGTCACTCACAGTCACTCATTCACACACATTTACTCACACACACTCAGTCACACACTCGCTCACTCATTCATTCACTCATACTCACACTCATTCACTCACACTTACTCAGTCATTCACTCACACACATACTCGCTCAGTCACTCATTCACTCACACTCATCCACTCACTCATTCACTCACACACATTCATCACACGCTCACACTTGCTCACTCATTTGCTCACTCACTCATTCACTCAGTCACTTATTTACTCACTTGCACACTCATTCACTCACTTATTCACTCACTCACTCGCTCATTCACTCACACACACTCATTCACTCACACTTGCTCATTCACTCACTCACTCACACTCAGTCACTCACACACACACTCATTCACTTGCTCAGTCACTCATTCACATACACTTGCTCATCACTCACACTCAGTCACTGATTCATTCACTCATTCGCTCACTTATTCACTCACACACACTCGCTCAGTCACTCACACACTTGCTCAGTCACTCGTTCACTCACAGTCATTCACTCACTCACTCATTCACTCACACTCCCACACTTGCTCAGTCACTCACACACACATTCGCTCACTCATTCACTCACACACTTGCTCAGTCACTCGTTCACTCACACTCAGTCACTCATTCACTCACACTCATTCACTCACACACATTCACTCACACACTCGCTCACTCACTCATACACTCATTCACACACACTTGCTCAGTCACTCATTCACACTCAGTCACTCAGTCACTCATTCACACACATTTACTCACACACTCACACTCATTCAGTCACACACACTCACTCACTCATTCATTCACTCATAC
The DNA here is from genome assembly GCF_000001405.40 of Homo sapiens. Taxonomy (NCBI): domain Eukaryota; kingdom Metazoa; phylum Chordata; class Mammalia; order Primates; family Hominidae; genus Homo; species Homo sapiens. The sequence goes on from NC_000001.11 coordinate 4,066,487, forward strand.
ACTCATTCACTCACACTTGCTCACTCACACTCATTCACTCATACACTCACATACTCGCTCAGTCACTCATTCACACGCTCATCCACTCACTCATTCACTCACACACACTCATTCATCACACGCTCACACTTGCTCACTCATTCACTCATACTCATTCACTCACAGTCACTCATTTACTCACTCGCACACTCATTCACTCACTTATTCACTCACTCACTTGCTCATTCACTCACACACTCATTCACTCACACTTGCTCATTCACTCACTCACACTCAGTCACTCACACACTCACACTCATTCACTTGCTCAGTCACTCATTCACATACACTTGCTCATCACTCACACAGTCACTGTTTCATTCACTCACTCACTTATTCACTCACACACACTGTCACACACTTGCTCAGTCACTCGTTCACTCACACAGTCACTCATTCACTCACTCACTCATTCACTCACACTCCCACACTTGCTCAGTCACTCACTCACACACTCATACTCACATTTGCTCACTCATTCACTCACACACTTGCTCAGTCACTCGTTCACTCACACTCACAGTCACTCACTCATTCACTCACTCATTTATTCACTCACACTCATTCACTCACTCACACACATTCACTCACACACTTGCTCACTCATTCACTCACACTGTCATGCATTCACTCACAGTCACTCATTCACTCACAGTCACTCACTCACACACATTCACTCACACACTTGCTCAGTCACTCATTCACTCACACTCACTTATTCACTCACTCACACTCAGTCACTCATTCACTCACTCATACACTCAGTCACTCACTCACACACTCCCTCATTCACTCACTCTCACACACTCGCTCAGTCACTCACTCACACACTCACACTCAGACTCATTCAGTCACTCACTTATTCACTCACTTGGTCACTCACACACTCACTTACATATTCATTCACTCACTGTCAGTCACTCACACACTCATTCATTCACTCACACACTCAGTCACTCTCACTCACACAGTCACTCATTCACTCAGTCACTCATTCACTCACACTCAGTCACTCACATATTCATTCACTCACTCACACTCACTCATTCACTCACTTGCTCACTCAGTCACTCATATACTCACTCACTCATTCAATTGTTCATTCGTTTGTTCACCAGACTCCTGCTGGTGGCCAGGAGCAGAGGGGCATGGAGGGGTGCACTGTCCAGGTAATATCAAGCTGGCATGGGTGGGGGTGCTGGGAGCCTGGGGAAGGGACTAAGGGACGGTCACTTGGGGACACGTCTTTCTGAGGTGAAAATGGCCCTGAGGAGCCCGAGGGACCCAGAGCCTAGTGTTCAGCGCCTCCCCTTGTGTGAGTTTGTGTGACAACAGGTGGTGGGGGCAGGTCTGGGGTCCTCATGGTGGCAAGGACCCAGGGATTCAGGGAGGGAACTCATTTTGCCCTGGATGATACCTACGCATAAGTCACAGGAGCCTGGGGCACTGCCCGCCCAGCCCGTGGCATCCCATTACCCCATCCCAGCACAGGGGCTACCAGGCCAGGAAACACTAGAATCCCATAGATAGCAAGAAAAATGTAGGAAGACCCCAAGCAAGCTTCCTGGTCATGAGAATGTTCAGTTGCAAGCTGTGTTATGGGCACAGGGAGAGGAAGGAGGCAAATGCCCTTTCTGAACCCTGAAAGAAACCGAGGGTCTGGAACAGGGCTGGAAGCCCAGAGTGGGCCTGGATGTGCTGCCTCCCACCTTGAACATCGAGCGTCTGCCACTGCTTCCGGCTGAGGACTTGGCTAGGTCATCAGGACCGCAGGGTCTCTCTGGAAGGGGAGAGGCTGAGACAAGGCACTTCTTGGCTGGGCCGAGGAGGATGCTTGCCCTTCACTTGCTGAAAAGGGGAACCCTCTGTTTACACTCTTGTGTGTATTCCAAGCTCGGTGTGCCCTTCCCATGTGCCAGGGGCTGAGAACGTTACAACCTCATTATAGAAAAGAATGTTCCCAGATTCCATTCATCTTACGAAAAGCGTCCCTGTTCTTGACATGCCGTGTAAGGACGCGCTTTTAAATGAAAACGAGGCTTTCAGCAAAAAACCAATCTGTTTAAAACAACCTGTGGAGTTATGAGAGATGTGCTTTTGACTAATGAGCGCAAACTTTATGCAAGCAGAGTGCTCAATTATGGATGAGCTAATTACATGGGCACGTCGTGTTTGGATTGCGGAGATGTCTCTACCTCTCTTCCTCAGACGAGGCTCCGGTCCGCTAGTGGTGATGATTAGTGAAACCTTGGTCTCATGTTATGTTGCTAGGCATAAATAATCACTTAATTTTGTGACTCAATCTCCATCAATCACATGGGTGTGCCTTAGGGGTTTTCTATCAGTGCAGGATGCAGGAACCCAGGAAGGATCCCTCGGCCTCTGCAACACCTGGTTGTGATGGGGCTCAGCCTGGAAGTGTGGTCTCTGGGTGTAGTGAGAGCTCCTCTTGGGAGCAGGCTGTGCTGGCAGAAGCTCCCTCCTTCCTGTCTGCAGGGTGGCTCTCCGTGAGCTCTGCAGGGTGGCTCTCCGTGAGCTCTGCAGAGGCACCCTGTGGACACCAGCTGAGAAGAGCAGGCCAGCAGATGCATTTTTAGGATCGAGAAGGTTGAGTTCTTAGAGTCCTTGAGCTTTTGTGCAGAGGCAGGCCTTCCTCAGACCCTGTCTCTTGAAGGTGATAAAAGCCCAGAGTGTTGTTTTTTAAAAAATTTTATTTCAGGGCTTGGTCATTGAGTTGCACTTCCAGGAGTATCTTTTCTTTCCTTTATTCCCCAGAAAAAGCAAAACTAATTGTCTTCCTTTCTTTGCTTACAAGGTAACAATAGCAACTAATTATGCAGTGTGTTGATGATGTCTGGGCATTGTGCTGTTTTACATATATAGTCTACTTTAATCCTTAGTACATTCATGTTGGTTGATGAGCAAATGAGCAAATTCAGGCAGAGAGGAGCTAAATTATTTGTTCGGTCTTCCAAAGCTACCGAGTATCCGAGCCCACAGTGGGATCTGACTGTTGAACTTCAAAGCTCACACTTATAACCACTTCATTGTGCCACCTGTAGAGCAGCTGAGCACCTACTGGCTGACCACGTGCAAAAATAAGGTCCTCCTTTTCCCCTCAAGCAACCTGTACGCTGGGGAAGAGGCTTCATGAATCCCAGCCACTGTAACACAACCTGGGTTGAAACGGTAATTAAATCTTCAAGGTGTTACCTGTAGCTTGATTCTACAAGTTAAAAAATATTAGCAGATTGTGTTTGCACTTTTGTAATTTGTAAATATTATTCACTGCATAGCCACATAGTGAACTATGATTTCTTTTTTCTTGTATGTATTTTTCCCTCAGAAAATTCTAGTTTCCTTTTTTTTTCTTGCATGGTCTATCATTAGCTTACCCTTAAATTCCTGTAGCCTCTCTGTAACAGTAACAAGTCTCTGAAATTTCATTAAAAAAAAAAAACAAAAAAACAGGCAACTCCCTCTGGGAATTCTTTTGCAAGCTCCAAATGAAGCAACTGCATCCCAGGATGGCTCGTCCATTAACATCTTGGGATAGCCTTCATCTCTCCCCTGAATTGGATCCTCCAATTTCTTACTTCTTTTTTTATGGTGGGTGGGGAGGAACTACATCCTTAAGTAATTTTTCTTTTTTATTAATACATGTCTAATTTTTAATAGTTTAGATTTACAGAAAAGTTATGAAGACAGTATGGTGTCAACTTGAAACGATCAAAAGGATCAGAATCCAGTTTTAAAGAGTCTATTTAAGCAAAAAGCTGGGAATAGCCATCCTGGAGACACAGACTCTGGAGAAATGGGGTCAGTGTTCTGAAATTAAAAGTGAAGGTATTGCTTTATAGGTAGAAGGCAAAGAAATTTAACAGGACTACAATATTTCCTATGCAAATCTGGTTTATGAGCTACAATAATTTAATTAGTTACAGTTTGTTCTCTTTTAACAGTTTGTTTTCTTGTTTTCTTTATATCTGATTTTCATTAACTTTCCAATTTAAAAGAGTGTATTTAACATTTCTTCTTAAGACAATGTGGTAGCCATGAATTCTGTGTGTGAGAAAGGTAAGAGAAGCTAATCTGTTATGAAGATCAGCAGTGAGAAAAGGAAGCCTTTAGTTATTTGCAACATTTTGCAAAACAATGTAGAGAGGAAGAAGTCTAATGTAGAATCAGAGAGAGGAAGGTTACAGCTGCCTCAGTTACAGCTGCCTGTCACATGACTCGGGCCCCATAATTACATTCCTTTGAGGCTCAAAATAATTTTGAATTCCAACAGCTTAGATTTTGAATTACTTATTTTCACAATAGGGAGTTCATATCTACGCTCTACCCAGTTCCTTTTATTAGTAACATTAATATGGTACATTTGTCACACTTGATAAACCAACATCAGTAGGTCATTTTCCCCCAGATTTCCTTAGTTTTTACCTAATGCCCCAGGATCGATTTCTATTCCAGGATCCCTTCCAGAATCCTGCATTACATTTAGTCATCACGTCTCCTTGGGCTCCTCTTGGCTGTGACAGTTTCTCAGACTTTTCTGGATTTTGATGACCTTGATAGTTGTTTGGCATACTGGCCAGATATTTTGTAGAATTTCCGTCAATGAGGGTTTGTCTGATGTTTTTCTCATGATTAGACTGGCGCTATGTAGTTTTGGAAGGAAGACTGCAGGGGTGAAGTGCCCTTCTCATTGCATTGCATCCAGGATGCCTATTCTCAACATGCCTCATTACTACTGAAGTTGACCTTGATCACCCGGCAGAGGAATGTGTGCCAGGTGTCACCACTGGGAAGGAAGGGGCTCTGTGGTGCCAATAGTCTGGCATTATTCATTCATTTATTCATGATTTCATCTATATAGTTGTCTATATTCTGCTTTCAGTTGACTTTTCTGGAAATTGCTCCATTTGGCAGCGTTCACTGGGCCAGGGACAGCCTGCAGGCAGCATGACATTAATTTGACTTTTTCTGGCTCTTTGGTGACCTTTGAATTACCAAGACTGGTTAATTCAGTCTTATCTTCTTTGATTGACATTTGATTCCTTCTCTACCATTTCTTCTGGTTGCCATTAAACAAATATTGGACTCTCAGCATGACTCATGTTAGGATGCAGTTGTATCAAGGCAGCAGCTCTGCATAGGAAGTGTTGCTCTTGCATATTGCAGGGTATTAAGTGATTTTATTCCACCTGGCATTAATCTCACACTGAACGCTGATGTTCCAACCATCTGGCCGCCATGAGGACAATCAGCTGAGCCAGCAAACACCGTCATTGCAGGGAGGCCAGGAACAGTGGCAGGGCCTGTCCCCAGCTGCTGCTGAGCCACTTCCAGGGCTCTCCTCAGAAGCCCCTCCCTTGGGCCCTCCACCTGGGCATTGCGGCGAGGCCCCTTTGCTTCCAGCGTGTGCTTTCCAGGCTGGACAAATGAACCTGTTCCCTGCAAAGACCCTGGGGGCTGGGTGGCCCTTGGGAGAGGGAGACCATATGGGGAAGCCAGTGTGTTTCCAGAAATATGATCTTGTTGGAATTTTCCCTACTTTAGAACACAGATGGGTTTCTTCTTGGTGCTGATCTAATTGATACTATTAGTAGCTAATGCTGCCTGAGCCCTTGAGGCGCCTGGCACTTCCCACGGCTAGCTCACCGTATCCTCCTCACAGTCTTATAGGGTAGGAACTACTTCTTGGCCCCATTTCTAGGGGAGAGACTGAGGCTCAGAGAGGAGGGAGCAGCTGCTGTCTGGGGAGTCTGTGTGAGTGAAGAACTGCTGCTCCACTCCAGGAGAGCCAGGAAGCACCTGCTCTGTGGTAGCTCTGGCATCCTCTATCCTGGCTATCTGTGGGGCTGTGCTGGCCCTTGCCTTTGAGAAACATGGGATCTGGGATTTAGGTGGGACTGGCATGTCCTCTTGGTGTGTTTCCAAGAGTGCATTTGGTTGGAGGTGGGCATCTATTTTTGTGGTAAGATGCAGCCAGGTGAGCAGGAAGGCAGGATCGGGCCATGGGGCTGCCTGAGATTGGCACGAGGCTCCCTTCAGAGCAGGTCATTTCCAGTGAGCCTGACTCTCTGTCGTGGAAAACAGCTGCTCTGGAGAAACGTGACAATGTCAGTGCATTCACCTTGTGGGGCTTCCACGTGATTTAAACAGTCCCGCTGACTCCAATTAGTCAACGAAAGCCCCACCTCTCCATTGAAGGAGAGAGAAATCCTAATGGATTTGTTCTCAAAGTGAGTAATATTGTTGAACATAGGGAAGTGTCAAAGTAATAAACACTTGAATAAATGTTGTGCTCTAGCCCGTCACTTCTGAAGCTGAAAACTAATTAGGACCCTCGGGGCAGCAGAGGCATGCAGTGTGGTGATTTCCCGCCAAGCCTGGGTCCAGATTCACCCAGTGTTGTGCTGACCTAGGCAAGGGCGGCAGACCACAGCCAGTGATGGCCCCACAAAGTGGAAGGAACTAGGAGGAGCAGAAGAAACTTCTCCGAGATTTATGAAACCCAGAGCACGGCAGGACAGAGCAGGGTCCCTGCCACCGTTCCTGGTGAGAGAGCAGGTCTCCCTGCCCTGCTCTGGAAGGAACAATCCCACAGTTCCTGAGGCTCAAACCATGGGATGGCTTTTCAGTGTCTCACTCCAGATTCTTGTGTCAGCTGCTTCATAGGTCACTCTCAGGACAGGGGAGATGGTGGGAAGACGAGGAGAAAGGGGAAAAAGAAGGAGAGTGGGAGCGAGAGGAGGAGCAGGAAGAGAAGCAGAAGATAAAGATAAGATGAAGAGGTGAAAGGAGGGAAGAAAGAAAAGGAAGGAGAAGGAGGAGAAAGAAAAGGGTAGAAAGGGGCAGGTTCAGGAGAAGGAGGAGGACGAAATAGTAGGAGGGGACAGATAGGGAGAAACAGGGAGGGAGAGAGAGGGGGGCTCTGTTACACACTGCTACCTTGTAGACTCACAGGCTTGGAGCAGCGTGACTTTCAGATGCTGAGTTACAAGACTTAGAAAGACTTCCTGGCTTTTGAGAGTGGCCTGATTTGCAGCTCTGATTTTTTTTTTTTTTTTTTTTTTTTGAGATGGAGTCTCGCTCTGTCGCTCAGCCTGGAGTGCAGTGGCGCAATGATCTCAGCTCACTGAAAGCTCCGCCTTCTGGGTTCACCCATTCTCCTACCTCAGCCTCCCGAGTAGCTGGGACTGCAGGCACCCACCACTGTGCCTGGCTAATTTTTTTGTATTTTTAGTAGAGACGGGGTTTCACTGTGTTAGCCAGGATGGTCTCGATCTCCTGACCTCGCGATCCGCCCGCCTCCGCCTCCCAAAGTGCTGGGATTACAGGCGTGAGCCACCGTGCCTGGCCCTGCAGCTCTGATTTTATGGTCACCCCTCACTGAAACCAGTGGGGGAAGGCAGGTCCTGCCAGTCCTCCTGTGAGCCCTGAGGGAAGGGGGATTCCCTTTCTCCGGCTGTGGCAGGTCCTTGGAATACTCTGACCCCTCTCACTCTTCTCAGCCCCACCCAGCACCTCTGTCTTCACCCGCCTGGTAGGTACCAGCTCACTTGGGTCCGAAGCCCGTGAGATTGCATTTTCCCTACACCAATGTTTTCATGGCCACTGCTCCCAGCAATAGGAGGCTGGCAATAAAAATAATTTATTGGGGGACTGTTGATAAAGCCCTGCTTATTGCAAACAGTAAATTAAAAGTGAGCACTTCCACCTTTATTTCACACCTAGGGAACGATAACCACTCACAGTGAACTCGAAGGAGAGGGAGAACGAGATATGGAACAATCGTTCAACTTCTCCCGTCTTACCAGCAACCTCATAAAAATTAAGGAATAATTTTTCAAAGAGATAAGGGCTTTAGGGACATGAAAATCAAAACAACCCAATTGTTCCTGCCCGGAGGAGGTACATGCAGGATGGGAAGGGATTTCTTTTCCCATTTTTAATTTGCAAGAACCTTGTAAACTACAAATTAAAGGAGCAATAGCAATTCAAAAGGCTTGATTCATTAAGCCTTTATTTACCCTTAATGCCTCCAAAGAAAAATAATTTGCTTTCTGAACATGAGTGATGGGCTCAGAGCTGACATTTTCCCACACAAATCCCCAGGCCCCTTTCAGGGTGAAGCTACTGTGTGCCGAGCAAAGGTGGTGCCTTACAGACTCTCAGGGCCCTGCTGGGTCCATGCTCTCAAGTGAGTGGAGGTACCCGGGAGACCTCTGTGAGCTGCCTTGAGTTGGGGGATCACAGCTTCTGGGCCCAGTCAGCTCCCAGGCCTGGAGACAGGAATGGCTGAGAGGGCCACTTGAGTTTCCTGCTGGTAAATCCTGGGATGGTTTCAAATTCACATCCCTTCTCCAACAAGCCTGATGTGATTCACCATCAGCACTCATAAAAGCACAGAGTAGGGGCCTGACAAATAGGTTTCTAAATGAATGAAAGAAGAAACAAATGAATGAAGGGACTTGGCACTCCATCACCCATTTGTACTGGGCTTTTGGGAAGGGTGGGGCGTTTCCATCCATACCTGGAATCATCGAGCCTGTTAACTCTTATTTTCTTTATTATTAATTTTGGTGGGTACATAATAGGTGTATTTATTTATTTATGGGGTACATGAGATGTTTTGATACAGGCATGCAATGTGAAATAAGCACAGTGAGCCTGTGAACTCTTAATGTTGAGGTCCTGGTGTGCAGGCCTTGGTGCGGCTGTGTTCATGGGCACCCATTCGGATCATCTGCTGAGCACTTTCTATGGGCCAGACATGGTGCCAGGGAAGAATCTTAACTGATAACTTCTGCAAACACCCTATTTCCAAATAAGGGCACTGTGGGTTAGGACTTCCGCTTATATTGAGGAGGGCAAAACTCAACCCACCATAGCCCAGAGAGCTGGCCAAGGCTTTGGTCTGGCCATGCCCCATACTTTACAGGAGGGAAACTGAGGCATAGAAGAGGGAATGAAAGCATTTGTCAGGGTGAGGGGTGGCTTTTTGAGATTCTCCCTCTCCATGAGCAGGAACCAGCTTCAGAGGTGCCAGAGGATGAGCCGACAGGGACTCTGTGTTTAATTCTCAGAGCACAAGCCAGTGTCACAGGCAGCGGCCAGAGTCCCAGAGACCCAGCCTCTTCCCACTCTGTGCTCCTTTCAGACACCTTGTGATGCTGCTTGGGGATAATTCAGAACTTCCTCAGCTCCCAGCTGGTGATAAAGCTGCCCTGGGTGAGAGGAAATTTAGCTTGAGGCAGAGGCAGAAGGTGAGCTTTGGGGGATCAGATAAGAACTTGGTGCCTTAGTTAAGTAAGGCAAAGGGAGTGAGGTGGTGCAACCTCTCTGGGTCTTGGCCTGCCCCGAACTCTTATCTGGGCCTCTTACCCATGCCTTTCCTGGAGGGGCTGCACACGCCTGGGCTGCCTCTCCTGGTCTTGCCCCACCCGTGCCCAGCCTTTGAGTCTGAGCACGCTCTCCCTCCAGTCAGCCCATGAGTGCTGAGGGCAGAACCCGGGCAGAGGCACCTGTGTCCACCATGGAGCCCAGCAGCAGGGACAGCAGAGCAGCAAATGAAGCCCACCCAGATTCGGGCCATGCCAGCTTCTTTGCTGGGTCTCTGTTTCTCCATCTCTGAAATGGGCATGGGAGTCACTTTCCCTGGAAGAGCAAATTAGGAGTTAGACAGAAGGGTGTGCTTTAAGCCATAAAATGCTGTGATCATCTAAGGAAACAGACCCTACCCCTGTGGGCATGGAAAGGTGAGGTGGGAGGCTGGGACTGTGGGGATGGGAGGGTGGGGTGCCAGGAGGGTGTTCTATCTTAGGAGGGGAGTGTCTGGGGGAGTGGGGTTTCTGAGCCCAAGAGCTGGAACCGCAGGGGTACAGCCACAGCCTTCACCCCTTAGGTGGGGCCCAAAGTCCCCACCCTAAAACACACTGTGAGATGACCCAGCGTGGCCCAAGGCCCCCAGGTACACAAGGACCCTCTTGTCAGGCAGGACATTCCAGGGCCCAGAGATGCCGCCGTGGGTCAAAGAAAAGGCCAGCCCTCTCTCTGAGAAGAGTTGAATTCTTGGTGGCCGGCAGTGGCTTCTCCGTGGACCTCACAGTGCTGTCATTGCATCCCAGGACGCTGGGATTGTCTTTGGGAGCATGGTGGCCAGGTGGAAGAGATGGCCCGCCCTGGATTCAGACAGAATCAGAGCTGCAGCTCCCCAGCTGTGGCTGGCAGCAGGGTGTTTATTCCCCGGAGCTTCGGTTGCCTCATTCGGAATTCGGTTCCCTTTCAGGGTTGCTGTGAGGGTCTAGTGAGGTGATGTATGTAAGTTCTCAGGCTGGGTGCACCCCCTTTCTTTCTTGGGGGTGCAGAAACCTCCAAGTGTCCCATTTAGGGCTCTCAGATGCCGAGGAGCGGTCTTGTCTCAGCAGCTCTGTCCTCCTGCTTCTGCCTTACATGTGATTAAGTTACCCCATTTGTTTTAAAGACTTGTCTTATCACCTATTTACAAGACTTATGGATTTCTCATTACTTCCTTTGATGGAACTCAGGCTAAAGTGCTTTCTGCTCACTCCATCCATGCTCTGCCTATAAAACACAACAGAATCATGGGCCGGGGAGGAGTGGGGCCATGGGTGGATGGAGGCTGTTGGGCAGCATCTGCCCACAGGTCTCGGGGATTTATTGCAGATGCTGCAGATGCCAACGCACCTCCCAACAGTCACCTGCAGACGCAGCCGATGCACCCCACACCCAGACCCAGTGAGACCTCCCAACAGTCACCTGCAGACACAGCCGATGCACCCCACACCCAGACCCAGTGAGACCTCCCAACAGTCACCTGCAGACGCAGCCGATGCACCCCACACCCAGACCCAGTGAGACCTCCCAACAGTCACCTGCAGACGCAGCCGATGCACCCCACACCCAGACCCAGTGAGACCTCCCAACAGTCACCTGCAGACGCAGCCGATGCACCCCACACCCAGACCCAGTGAGACCTCCCAACAGTCACCTGCAGACGCAGCCGATGCACCCCACACCCAGACCCAGTGAGACCTCCCAACAGTCACCTGCAGACGCAGCCGATGCACCCCACACCCAGACCCAGTGAGACCTCCCAACAGTCACCTGCAGACGCAGCCGATGCACCCCACACCCAGACCCAGTGAGACCTCCCAACAGTCACCTGCAGACGCAGCCGATGCACCCTGTACCCAGACCCAGTGAGACCTCCCAACAGTCATCTGCAGACGCAGCCGATGCACCCTGTACCCAGACCCAGTGAGACCTCCCAACAGTCATCTGCAGACGCAGCCGATGCACCCCACACCCAGACCCAGTGAGACCTCCCAACAGTCATCTGCAGACACAGCCGATGCACCCCACACCCAGACCCAGTGAGACCTCCCAACAGTCACCTGCAGACGCAGCCGATGCACCCTGTACCCAGACCCAGTGAGACCTCCCAACAGTCATCTGCAGACACAGCCGATGCACCCTGTACCCAGACCCAGTGAGACCTCCCAACAGTCAGTGAGACCTCCCAACAGTCACCTGCAGACACAGCTGATGCACCCCGTACCCAGACCCAGTGAAACCTCCCAACAGTCACCTGCAGACACAGCCGATGCGCCCCACACCAAGACCCAGTGAGACCTCCCAACAATCACCTGCAGACACAGCTGATGCACCCTGTACCCAGACCCAGTGAGACCTCCCAACAGTCACCTGCAGACACAGCTGATGCACCCCGTACCCAGACCCAGTGAAACCTCCCAACAGTCACCTGCAGACGCAGCCGATGCACCCCACACCAAGACCCAGTGAGACCTCCCAACAGTCACCTGCAGACGCAGCCGATGCACCCTGCACCCAGACCCGGTGAGACCTCCCAACAGTCACCTGCAGACGCAGCCGATGCACCCTGTACCCAGACCCAGTGAAACCTCCCAACAGTCACCTGCAGACGCAGCCGATGCACCCCGCACCCAGACCCGGTGAGACCTCCCAACAGTCACCTGCAGACACAGCTGATGCACCCTGTACCCAGACCCAGTGAAACCTCCCAACAGTCACCTGCAGACACAGCCGATGCACCCCACACCAAGACCCAGTGAGACCTCCCAACAGTCACCTGCAGATGCAGCCGATGCACCCCGCACCCAGACCCGGTGAGACCTCCCAACAGTCACCTGCAGACGCAGCTGATGCACCCCGCACCCAGACCCCGTGAGACCTCCCAACAGTCACCTGCAGATGCAGCTGATGCACCCCACACCCAGACCCCGTGAGACCTCCCAACAGTCACCTGCAGATGCAGCTGATGCACCCAGACCCAGGGAGACATGGATGGGAATCTGCTCCTATGGTTAGGGAAGTGTCCCTACGACCACCCTCATTTCTGACAGCAACTGCAGAATTTGGGGGTCTCTGGGACCACACCCAGGTTTGGAAATTCACTAGAAGGACTCACAGAACTCACTGAAAGCTGTTACACCCTTGATTAATGTTTATCATGGTGAAAGGATGCAGTTTAAAATCAGCTGAGGGCCCAGATATGGTGACTCATGCCTGTAATCCCAGCACTTTGGGAGGCTGAAGCAGGTAGATCACTTGAGCCCAGGAGTTCGAGACCAGCCTGGGCGACATACCGAAACCCTGTTTCTACAAAAAGCACAAAAATTAGCCAGGCATGATGGTGCATGCCTGTGGTCCCAGCTACTCAGGAGGCTGAGGTGGGAGGATCACTTGAGCCCAGGAGGTAGAGGCTGCAGTGAGCCATGATCATGCCACTGCACTCCAGCCTCAGTGACAGAGTGAAACCCTGTCTCAAAAAAAAAAAAACAAACAAACCCCAAAACATCAGCCGAGGGAAGAGATGTGTGAGGTAGCATCCAGAAGGTTCCAAGTACCGACCTTCTAATTGTTCTTGCCCTGTGGACTCACCATGGTAACACCTTGTATTAGTCTGTTTTCATGCTGCTAATAAAGACCTGAGACTGGGTAACTTATACAGGAAAAAGGCTTAATGGACTCACAGTTCCATGTGGCTGGGGAGGCCTCACAATCATGGCAGAAGACAAGGAGAAGCAAGTCACATCTTACATGGATGACAGCAGGTGAAGAGAGAGATTGTGCAGGGAAACTCCCCCTTATAAAAGCATCAGATCTCGTGAGACTTATTCACTATCATGAGAACAGCATGGAAAAGATTTGCCCCCATGATTCAATTACCTCCCACTGGGTCCCTCCCACAGTACATGGGAATTCAAGATGAGATTTGGGTGGGGACGCAGCCAAACCATATCACACCTCCCAGCAATGATTTGTGACAAGGCGCATGGAGCACGGCAACTGTGAGCTTCCTGGGCCTGGATGCCCAGAGTCTTCAGGGGGCCTTTTCATACAGACATGGCCTACTGACCTCAGTCTCCAGCCCCCAGAGGTTGAGCTGATGCCTCAAGGCCCAAAGTCCCCACCCTAAATCACACTGTGAGATGACCCCGCATGGCCCAGGGCCCCCAGGTACACAAGGACCCTCTTATCAGGCAGAACATTCCAGGGCCCAGAGACACCCCCTGGGGTCAAGAAAAAGGCTAGCCTTCTCTCTGGGAAGAGTTGACTTCTCGGTGCACACTGTCTCTTTCTCTCAGCTGTGACCTCATGGCTGAGGATGAATACATTCAAACGTGCTCCTTATATTTTCAGAGATGTGTATTTAGAGGAATTGGGTGAGCCCCGAGTCAGGATGAAATTTCCACCTGACAGTGCCTTCCAGAAGAACTGTCTTCCTCCTGACCATTGAGAAACTCCCCACCCTGGCCCAAGGCATGTTGGCCTCTCTTGCCCTAAATACAGTCAAGGGTTGACCTCCTCATAACAAAAACCTAATTTGTGTGAACTGTTTAGAGGGTCCAGGTGGTGGATGTGGATATTTCCACCTCTAGGCTCAAATGACCAAAGAAAAGGCTAGAGATGCCCAGTGGGTCGGAATGATGGGCTGCTGACTAGAACATGATGGAGACTATGGGTTAGCCCAATCTTTGTGATCTAGGGAGATAAAGACAGGCAGGGTCTTGTTGGCAGATTATTTGTGAATAATGTTCAGTGAGTGGAAAATGAATGGGTAGATGGTTCATTGGATAGAAGAATAGATGGATAGATTGAAAGAAGGAAGGAAGGATGAGTGGAAGAAGGGATAGCAAACACCACATGTTCTCGTTCATAAGTGGGAGTTGAACAATGAGAACACATGGACACAGGGAGGAGAACATCACACACCGGGGCCTGTCAGGGTGTGGGGGTCTGGGAGGGGGATGACATTAGGAGAAATACCTAATGTAAATGATGAGTTGATAGGTGAAGCAAACCAACACGGCACATGTATACCTGTGTAACAAACCTGCACGTTGTGCACATGTACCCCAGAACATAAAGTATAACAAAAAAGGAAGGATGGATGGTTGAATGGATAAATGGAGGGTTGGATGGATGGATGGGTGAGTGGAAGCTGGATGTACAGAAGGAAGGATAGATGGTTGAATGGATAAATGGAGGGGTGGATGGATGGATAGAAGGATGGATGGGTGGATGGTGGATAGATAGATGAAGGGATGATGTATTAGTCTTTTTTTGTTGTTGTTATAAAGAAATACCTGAGGCTGCTGGGTCATTTATAAAGAAAAGAGGCTTAATTGGCTCATGATTCTGCAGGCTTTAGAGAAAGTGTGGTGCTGGCATTTGCTCAGGATCTGGTGAAGCCTCAGGAAGCTTCCAATCATGGTGGAAGGCAATGGGGAGCCAGCAGGTCACATGGCGATAGCAGGATAAAGAGAGTGAGGGGGAAGGTGCCACACTCTTTTAAACAACCAGATTTCATGTGAACTCAGAGAGAGGCAACTCACTTATCACCAAGGGGATGACACTAAGCCATTCATGTTCCAATCACGTTCCCACGATCCAATCATGTCCCACCAGGCTCCACCTCCAAAGCTGGGGATTACATTTCAACATGAGACAAACGTCCAGCTGTATCAGATGGATAGATGGATGCATGTATGGAAGGATGGACAAGTGAGGCGGGTGTTTGAGCAATGTGATACATGGAAGGAAATTACCATGGGTAAGAAGCCCAGTGCTCTGGGGCCTTGCGGAGTGGCGCAGGAGCTCTGGCTGGCCAAGGTTGGTATGAGAATCGAATGAAATAGTGCAGGTGATGCACCTAGTGCAGTATCAGGCACAAGCTCGGCTCTCGGTAACAAGCAGCTCCTGTCTCCCATTTCCCCTGTGGGTTCACTGTGCCCACGTGTCCATGGGTCTGTGCTCCTGTCTCCAAAGGTCCCACTGTGAGCTCTTCTCCACCCCACGGTTCAGCCTGTGTCCAACAGATGTGCCCGTTGGGGCAGAGTGAGGGGAGGGCGTCCCCTCCAGGAATGCCACGCCTGGTCGTGGGGTGTCTGACCCCTCCACAGGGATGCTGCATCTGCCTTTAACTCAGCACTTGTTGTTTTGACTCCACCCCCTCCCACAAGCATCCGGAACTCCTCTCTGTGGCTGTGTACCAGACACTGTCATCCTCAGGAGGCTGCCCAGCCTGTTGGGCTGGGTGCGGACGGCCTTTCTTCCTGGATCTTCATCGCTCAGGAAATGGTGGACACAGTCCTGCCCCGACAGGCTGGACGCAGGGTTGGCCGGGGGCATGGTCCCTGTCCCTCCCTGAGGGAGTCTGTTCTTCCTGGAGGGAAAAACTGCCCCTGCTTATAGCCTTGGCCCCATCAGAACTTGCTTCCAAATATTCCCTTTGTGGGGCTGGGGACGCCCACTGGGCTGGGGGTGCTACACTGGCCTTGAAGTCCTGGCCACCTGCCAGGGTCAACATCAGAGCCCCTGGAGGAGGGGGCACAGGCTTGAAGGCTGCTGCTCCAGGACTGTCCTCCCGGCTGGCTTCCTCCATAGTCGGAGCACCGTCCTTTACTGGGGGAGGGAGGCTGGGGGTGTTGACTCACAGAAAATGTCTAATTGCCTTGTCCATCAGGCTCCTGCCATTGCCCTGGGACTGCCGCCGGAGTGAGAGGAATCTCGGCTTCTCCGGGGAAGCCCCGGTGGAGCGTGAGGAGCCTGTGATCACTGATCAATTATTCTTTATTAAGTGTATTTCCTGCATTAGTCATTTCTTTGCTGCTTCATTAGCTTCTTCTCAGCTTTCAGTGGATTGTGGGCACCACAGAGTACAAGATAATTTATTTTATTAGGCAATTTATTTTCCGGGTTCATTTTTAAAGGGCAATTAATCAATTTAAATGGAGAGGTGAAGAATGGGGACCCAAATACTCCTGGGACAAAAGTGACATTATCAACACCTTTGGGGGGAGAAAGCTTTGCTTTTTATTCTGACTTGGGAACAAATCAGGCGGGAGCAGGTGGAGCACCTTAGCATTGAGGATGGGGAGGGCTCACTGTCCCTGGACTCCAAGCACTGCTTCCTTGCTGCCCTGGAAGGTGGCAGCTGCAGCAGGAAGCAGAAGAAAGGGGCCTCTTGGGGAAGTGGGCAGGAGGGAGACTGAGGACCGGGGTCTGGCTGTTTTGTCATTAGAGTCTGTGCCAGGAGCCGGCCTCCTGGAGAATAAGGAAAATTCATGCAGCTGATCCCGTCTGTGAAACTGAAATCAGACTCAGACTCTCCCCTGTGCCTCGTAAATAATAAATAAAAACACATAATGAATATTTAACCAGAGAGAAACATGCTCTAAGCCAAAAGTAAACTGTCAATGAATGGTTTCATCTGCTGCATCCAGCGGGTTGCCTTTGCGTCCAAATTTCTATGTGGACCAGGGAGACGAGGACTGATTGGAAGCTTGTGCATTTCTCCCTGGGGTGGATGTGATCCAGCTCCACTTTCTGACTTCCAGCTTGCTGATTTCTGAGCGGCAGGGAACGATCTGGTTCACGAGAGGAAAACAATGGGTGCTCTTCAGGAAAGCAGGATTGTGCTAGGCAGATATCTTCTTCATAAGATGAGTTTCTGTGTGATTAATATTATTAACAATCGGCTATTGTGTAAAAAGTGTTAACAGCAGCCAGGAGTGAATGCTCCCCCTGTGTGGGGAATTGTGAACATGTGATCTCATTACACCCCTTCAAGCACAAAGCAGGTCTCATTCCTGTTTTGCAGCATAGAAGACGGAAGCCAAGAGAGGCCCTCTCGCTGGCCTGCCCTCAGGGCACTGGACTTGAACTCAGGCCTCTGCCTGTCCAGCTTGGCTGGTCTTAGGATGCTGTTCCCTTACGTCCACCACACATATGCTTCTGAGGAAACAATGCACGGCCCCGGCCGTAAGCGGCCCGCAGCCTTGGGCGAGATGGACATTTCTCTGTGGGTGCCTGCTGATGCCCTGGTGGACCCTGGTGGACCCTGGCAACTACTCTGTCTGCTAGGTCGTTGGTTGTTTCAGGACAAAAGCCATGAAACAACTTTGCTTACATGTTTCACAGAAATCACATGACGTCTTCAATAATCGTTAAAGGCTGGGCATGAACCACACGTCAGGGCTGGCTGGCTCCCTGGAGCGAAGTCCAACAGGGCGCCTGCTCGTGGGTTATCACATCCAGAAAGAATTGGCATGTTATTCTATGTTTGTAAACATTTGTGCTTTTTCTTACTTTTGCTGGGTGATGTAATCTGTTCCTAGTTCACAAAGATAGACCCATGGTTCAAAAGCAGTTAGGTAAAGCATAAAATTAGTGATACAAATGGAAACATAAACAGCACAGCTTAGAATAACTGAAACAATGTAAATAGTGTGTGCCTGATTCCAGTACAAATATAGAAAGCCATCCTGCAATCTGCGCCCCTGCTGGGGCAAGTCTAGGAAGATTTTGCATATGCAGCAGAAAGGAAAAGCTTAGAAAATTACAGCAGAGAATACCTGAAAGCCAAAACTTGCTGGGATAGTGACTCCATTGCTCTTTGTCACCAGGCTGTGATCCCTTACAAGACTTTCAAAGAGTGACATGACACCGTGGAAGTTTCAGAGCATTTTCCGAAGAGCAGAGTGGAGGCTCTCGTCAGCCAAGTGAGCTGTTCTTGACAAATGCTAAATTAGGTTTCCCAGCACAAAATTGATGAGTGATACATTTTGTCAACCACGAACAGAGAAGAGATCAGAACGAAGGTTCATAACTGCACAGCACATGGCAATGAGAGGTGCGTGTCAGGCTGCTGCTGAGAAGTTTGAAAAAACCAACTGCAAAGTTAAGTTGTCTATCATGCTGGGAGGGGATGGGATGATGATGGCAGCATTCCCTCATCCCAGGATGCCGTTGAACACAGCGTGTGTAAATGTCATTCCCAGTGTGTGTGCACATCAGCCCGCCTCTCGCTGCATGGCTGGATGAAGTCCCCCTTGTGGGAGAAGAGCTGAGGACACCCAGGTCCATGTTACAGGTGAAGAGTTTTTGCATGGCCAGTGATGCTTCTGTGAGTTTCATTGAAGACTTGAAAAGCTACATGTGGTCAGCCCCAATGGCGTGCCCACCTAGCATGTGCATCCTGATGGGGCTCTGGTGCACACGTCCCCCAGGGACCCGAGTGCTGACAGGCTCTGTTAGCAGGAGCAGGGAGTAGTTCTCACCACAGATAGTGAGGTTGAGACCAGGACCTTCATCTTTCCAGGGTTCCGAGTGGTACAAGGAAGAGGGCAGAGGGAAGCCACATTCCACTTTCCAATGGAAGCTGGGGGGACTGTGCTTAGACAAGCATTTGAAATGAGAGATGGACTGAAAATAGCTCTTCACCTTCTTCACAGACCAGGAAAGGTCATGGATGGGCAAGAGCATGGTTTGAAAGCCAAGAATAAGACACTGGAATTGTTTAAGAAGATGGTTCCATGGGAAATGGCTCCATGTTCCAGATTTCATTCTCTCTCTACTTGACACGGCTTTTTTTTTCTTTGCTGATTGGAGCAGGAAATCAATAATGCATATTGGAAATATTTAGAAACTCCATCCAAAGTTGCATTAGCATGTAAAGGATCTCTAGAGTCCAGTGCGACAGACAGCTCCCTCTATCTTTCCCCACATGTTGAGACACTTAAGTTCCCAGCCTTGAACAACCTGCCATCCCACAGAACTCTGAAAGTGGCTTCAGTGAGAAATTCTTCAATGCTGGTCTTCGCTGCCTGCGACTCCTGCAGCCCCAGATGGTGGGCCGGGATGGTGGGAGGGAAAAGCAAGCTGAGAACAGCTGCAAGGTTGTCTAGGATTCAAGTCATCTTCATTAAGCCAACTCTAGGGGGCCTGTGAGGGTTCACAGACACCATCTATCTCTCGACATTTTCACCATGGTCTTTAATCTTTAAATGCTATGTTTTACTCTCCTTTAAGGAGTTACCTGAGAGCTGTTGGTTGGTATGTGGGCCCAATGCCTGTTAAGTCATATATATACTGTGGGCCAAAGTTTCAGCTCCGATGGCTTGTGGTCAGCATTTGATGTCATGATGGACAGAGAGAGCATTTGTTTGGTGCCTACTGGGTGCCAGAAGCCAGTCCTGGGCTCCTGCCCCCAGGGAGGAGCCCCAGCCCTCTGCTCAGATGCCCCCTTTGCTTTAGCTGGAAGGATATGGGGAAAAAGGGCCTCCGCCAGTGTCTCTCTCACTGAGCATTCTCCCTGGGGTCACATCTCCCCTCAAACCTGATCTGATAACTATGTGACCATGGAAGTTTGCAAAGAGGGAGGCTCTGAAGAGGAAAGTGGGTTCTGACCAGCTGCAGCTGCAGAGGGCTGGTGGGCAGGGTGCTCCGGCGGGGGGCTCCGGTGCTCAGTGCTCCTGTCCTGTGGCCATTCTGCCCCAGAGAAGCAAAAAATCTGTATTAAACTCTGTATCGAAGATGAGGAAGAGAGACCTGTGTCAAACTCTGTATCGAACATGAGGAAGAGAGACCTGTGTCAAACTTTGCTGCCCTGTGCAGCAAGAGGGAGAGAAGCCTTCAGAGCACCTTGTTCCAGAGACTCCCCGTGGGCTGCAGGAGCTGGGCACTGCTGAGCTTTCTGCAGGAAGCCTTGGCCCCTTCTGGTGGAGGCGTCCTTCTGTTTTCCAGAAGGCCTCTGTCGCCAGAGCTCGGCTAGGGATTGCCGAAGGGAACTAAGTAATTAGCCCCAATTTATATTAATGACATTTTAGATTAGCTGCAGCTGAGCCTGGCCTCCGTCCTGCGCACTGGGGACCTAGATGTGAAGGGGAAATGTGAAAATGTAAATAAAAAAGCAAAAAAGACAAAATAATGGCGCCAGTTGTGTAAAAGGGAAAATGTGGGAGGAGGCGGGAGGGTAAGGGGACGAAGCTGGGAGCACCTGGAGTGGGTGCCTTGGGCTGCCCTCACACCCACAAGGGCCCCTCCCTCCTGGTCATCTGTGATGCCCCCACCCACATCACCTATGAGGGGCCCTGCAGCCACATTCACTGACCTCCACCCCATCCCCTAGTCGAAGGCGATTGGTGCAGGGGCCAGTCAGAGCTGCTCCCCACCCTGGAGTCCACATAAGAGCATGGAAAGGTCACTCCCGGCAGGTGGCCACCCCCAGATGGTGGCAATGGGTGCAGGCTCTGAGCCCTCTGCTTATATTTAAACCCTAACTCCACAGGGCAGGATCCTAGATCATCGTGTACTTTGGGTCCCTCTGCCTGTAAAATGGGGTTGATGACACCCAGCTGGGTGGGGCCTGTGGGAGGTTAACCTGGCAGGTGCTCAGCTCTGTGCTGGGCCCCAGGGCTCACTCTGCTGCACTGATGAAGCATCTCTCTCGTCTAGCACCCTGTGTTAGTTCACTGTTGCCTATAACAGAATACCTGAAACTGGACCTTTGTAAAGAAAAGAAATGTATTTCTTACAGTTCTGGAGGCTGGGAAGTCCAAGGCTGAGGGGCTGACATCTGATGAGGACCTTCATGCTAGTAGGGACCCCACAGAGCCCTGAGACTGTGCAGGGCATGGCCTGGCACGGGGCTGAGCGTGCTGGCAGGGTCTCTCTTCCTCGTCTTTGTAAGACCACCAGTCCCACTCTCCTGATAATCCATGAATCCACGAATCCATGAATGGATGAATCAGCTCATGGGGGCAGAGCCCTTATGACTCAATCACCTATTGAAGGCCCCACCTCCCAGCACTGCTGCATTGGGGATTAAGTTTGAGCACGGGTTCTGGAGAGGACAGATACTCAGACTGTAGCACAACCACTCAGCTGGGCTTGTGGTTTCCTTTCCAGGCTTATCTGTGAAGTGAATGAATGAAAGATGAGTAAATTAAATGAATGAGTAATTGAATGAATTAATCTGGGTAGTTTGCCTAAGGTTGACACCTAAGAAAGAAAGGCTGGGTGTGGTGGCTCACACTTGTAATCCCAGCACTGTGGGAGGCAGAGGTGGGAGGATCTCCCGAGCCTGGGAGTTCAAGACTGCAGTAAGCCTTGATCACACCACTGCACTCCAGCCTGAGGGACAGAGTGAGACCCTAGCTCTAAATAAATACAAAATAGAAGGGAAAAATTTTCCTTCCTCCCTCCCAGGTTTCCTGAGACAGCTCAGAACATTTGTCTTTCCAGTTTGTCCGTATCTGCAGCATGGGGGCAGATGCAGAGACTGTCATGAAATGGGGTGGGGGCGGCGTCTGGGACCTGCCTTGCTTCTCTCTGGAAGGCCTTTGCCACAGATTTGCCATTGGCATGGGTTGTCATTGGCATGGATTTGCTGTCTGTTCCAACAGAGATGAGGTGGACTCTGGGAGACAATGTGCTGGCCGAGAGCAGGGCAGGGCAAGGCCTCAGGCCAGGTCTCATGTCCAGGGTGATACCTGAATCCACCATCCATGGCTGTTTGCACAGTGCTGTGTCTGTCCTGCACTGCAGTGGGTGCTGCTATCAGATGCCATGAAAAAGACAAAGGACTACATTTTAGGAGGTGAACAGACAGCAAGCAAGTGACCCAACCAATGTCTGTGTGATGTTCACCTGCGGTGAGGGCTGAAGACCCCTGGGCTGGGGTAGGGGCATCTGACTGTCCTGGAAGAGAAAGGAGAGCAGCTTGGGAGAAGAGAGGGTCAGAGGGTGGGAGATGGGGATGGGGAGACACCTTAGGGAGAGGCCCCAAACTGGGGGGCTTCAGAGAATGGAAGCCAACGTGACCGTGAATGATGTGGAGACGGGGAGTCAGGGCCACCCGCCAACTCCTCAGGCCTGGAGGGAGTTTGCACTCAGTTTGAAGGACGGTGGGAAGCAGGGTCTTTGGGAGCCACGTCAGAAGCTGGTGGCCGCCACAGAAGAGACGCTGAGCCTCCCCTCTCCTCCCTGGGTCCTGGGGCAGGAAAGTATGGGGCTGATGGGGCCCCCAGGGGACCCCGTATCCGCCGATGCTCAGAGGAGGAGGCCTGTGGTGGCGGCAGCCCCGGCCCTTCCCGCATCCAGTCCCAGTCTTGGTCCTGGGGAGGCAGAGGCTGTTTTAATTTTTATTCTGTTCTTGTGTTAGTTTTCCGAGGTTGCCACAATGACTCCCCACAAACAGGGTGACTTAACACAACAAAAACGTATTCTCTCTCAGTCCTAGGGGCCACATGTCTGAAACCAAGGTGTGGGCAGGCCCATGCTCCTTCCAACCACCCTGGGGAGGGTCCCTGCTGCCTTTTCAGCCTCTGGTGGACCCAGGCATTCCTTGGCTTGTGGCCACATTGCCCGATTTCCACCTCCTTCTCCACATGGTGCTTTCTTCTCCTTTCACTTCCCTTCTGTCTGCCTCAAACCACCCTCTGCTTTCTCCTACAAGGACACCTGCCATTGGACTAAGGCCTATGGGGATAATCCAAAATGATCGCATCTCAAGATCCTTAGCCTAAGGACATCTGTAAACACCTGTGTTCCAAATAAGGTCACACCCACAAGCTCCAGGACTCTGAGAGTGGGTGAAAAGTGTGTGTCATACTTTGCTTCTTGAGGGGCCGCCCTGCAGCTCCCATCTGTGGTACTCAGAGTCCCAGGGCAGCAGGCTGCACTTGCCTCTGATGAAGGTTGTTTCTCTCAGTGGGATCCAGCAGCTTCCGCTTCCCCTGCTTTTTCCGGGATGGGGACTCTCAGGGCCTGGTGGGCAGCATGGAGCCGGAAGCTACCCCTGGTCCCTCTGGATCCAGAACATGTGTGCCTCCTGCACTTCCCCCACGGGAACAGCATCCCTCTAACTCCCTCAGAGCCTGGGCAGGCAATTCTGACCCTGACCCATTGTCCCACTTGAGCCCGGGAAACGGAAGAAACTGGATCTGGTTTGTATTCGAGGGCTCAGGTCAGGGGCCAGAACGGATGATAAGGGGGGAACCCAAGAAAACCCCCAGAAAGGATCCCCACCTCCTCCTGAGGAGCTGTGAGCCCCTCCCTCTGTACAGAGGACTCTCATGCTCCAGTAACAGCCTCGGCCCAGTGCGGTCACCCCGGCCCTGCCGACTCCTTGTAAGCCCCTTCCTTAGGCCGTGCACCCCATTAGAACAGACATGAGCCCTTGCTTGGGGCCAGAAACTGCTGCAGTCCTGCACTGGGTTTTGCTCCCAAACATGAAAACGGTTGTTACCATGCTGCCCACTGGTCCTCCACAACATGCAGAGGCCACCATCTGAGACATTCAGGATGGTTTGTTTCTCGAGCCTGTCCTGTGCTTCAGGGGCATAACATGTTGTCTGTTGTCCTCACCCCCATCCAGAATGGCGGGTGTGACTGTCCCCATTTCACAGGTGTGCATAGTTTACATAGCCGGTGAGTGGCCAGGTGTGTTCCTTCTCAGGTTTACCTGCTTCCACCCTGATGGGTGGTGGCACCCCTTCCTCAAGTATAAGATGGCAGGTACATTATTTGGGGAAATGCCTCCACAGGGGGAAATCGGGATGGACACCAGAGGCAGCCGGGGGCCTCCACCAGTGGGTTCACAGCAGCCAAGGCCAGCAAGGCACAGCCCAGCGGATGAAGGGGCTGGCCTTCCTGGTGCCCTGCAAGCTGCACTCCTGGTGAGTTGCTTGCCAGCTGCTGCTGCCCTGAGCCTGCTTCCTGGGTAGCCTTTCTGGGGCTCACTCAGCAGGTGGCTGCAGGGCACCCACAGGCTCAGTAATCAAGGCCAAGTGGCTTCAGGGAGAAGGCAGTGTCAGGAGGCTGGCAAGGACGATGGCCACGGTGAGTCCCATGAGGCTCATGGTGTTTCCCAGGCAAGGCTGACGGGGTTTGACTTGTCTGACAAAGGACCCTTGTCCCCAGCTGTGCTGCCGGGGGCTCTCGAGGAAGCTCTTTGTGTTAGCAGCTGGTTGCACCCCCTGCATGTGGTGGGGGACTTGCACACAGCAGCTAGGGGGGATTTGGGAGCCTCTGGAGTAGGTGGGTAAGAGGTGGAGGGGGCTGCAGATCTTGGGGTACACCTGCAGCCTCACCTGTGCCCATGGCCTGCCTCACCTGGTCCTGTCCTTCTCTTTCTTCCCCTAGGCCCTGTCTCTGACTTAGAGGTGATTGGCAGATGGGGCAGGATGCCTGTCAGTCATGGCCCACCCCACTGTGTTACTCCTCCTGCAGTCAGTTGGGAGCATGGCTGTGACTCTGGCCTGGAACCAGGCAAGAGGAAAGCCCTTCCCACTCGCTGGCTGCAGAGAGGCCACCCAGCAGAGCCAGCAAGGGTCTGTGATACAATGAGGCCTGGGTGACCCTGCTGTTCCGTCCCATCATTGCAGGGGCTTGGTGAGCTCCCCGGTTACTTGGATCCTGCTTCCCCCTTTGTAAAGTGGAAGGTGACAGCAGCATACACCTCTGAGGGTAGCACGAGAAGCCAATGAGCCAGGAGGGCAGGGCCAACACCCAGGATATTTAACAACTGGCAGCATCCACAGGCCTGGTGTCCATTGTCACCACTCTTCATTTGCAGAGGCAGGGAGCATGCAGACTGTTCATGGGGCCTTGGGACAGTGCTATATACCCACCCATGTGCAAGAGTATGTCAATCTTTTAGCAGTCTTGACAGTGGCACCGGGTCTGTACATTGTGTGTGTGGGAACACCTAGCACAGTGCCGGAACACAGTGCCAGTAAGAGCTCAGTGCTGGTAAGAGCTCAGCAAATGAGAGCTGCTGTCTGCCTGGGTTCCTGAGTGACTGTGTGGAGCAGAGCTGTCTGCTGATCGGGAATACTCACTGTGTGCTGTTGCTTAAGAGCTTTTGTTTCAGCAGTTTCACCTTTCATCTGAACTGGCACAAGCATCTGAGAGCCTTATCCTCTCACCTGAGAGTCACAGCCACCTTGTAGGCCGAGGGGGTACATATCATTGCTCCAGTGTCATGGGGGAAAACAAGACTGGAATCTTGATTTGTGCAGCTGGAGGGTAGAGAATGGGCTTCACTGTCAGAAACACCAAGGAAATACCCAGTTCATCCCGTCACTGGCTTTGAATCCAGTCCCAGAGCCCCTCAGAGCCTCATGTTCCTCATCTGTAGAATGGGATGATGATGTCTTTCTGGCTGTGGGGAGGGCAATGTGAGAAGGTCACGCAGGCGGCACCAGCAAACAACAGCTGTTCCTCGCAGCAGGGCAGTTGCATGATGATTGGCCCAGCCCTGCACACCCCACCAGGGCTGTGGGTCGGCCCCTCAGTCAAAGGCAAGCACTTGAGAACCAAGTCAAAAGCCAAGTGCAGAGCAGGCTCCTCCTGTCCCTTGTATCGCACGCAGGTGACAGCCTGGGTTGATTCACTCGCCTTCACTTCCTTAGATATAGACTCTTAGGCATTCTTTAAAAACCCCCTTGGCTGGGTGCAGTAGCTCATATCTGTAATCCTAGCACTTTGGGAGGATCACCTGAAGTCAGGAGTTCAAGACCAGCCTGGCCAACATGGTAAAACCCTGTCTCTACTAAAAATACAAAAATTAGCTGGGCATGGTGCACCTGTAATTCCAGCTACTCGGGAGGCTGAGGCAGGAGAATTGCTTGAACCCAGGAGGCAGAGGCTGCAGTGAGCCGAGAACGTGCCACTGCACTCCAGTCTGGAGGACAGAGTGAGACTCCATCTTAAAAAAAAAAAATCCAAACGTGAAAGATTCTTTTCTTAGCATTGAAAACATATCCATGAATCTATATTAAGAAACAGAACACAATAGACTCTTCTAGTTGAGAGAAGTCAACCAGACATTCCAAACCTCAGAAGCAGGTAATGGGAGCTCAGGAGTTATAATTTGCCACTAATTGTCACTCTGTTGCCTGCAGGGCCATTCTGCTGGTTCACTCCTGGAGAGAGGTCCAGAGTAAGCTTCTAATGACCAAGGAGACAGATTTATCCCACGATGTGGTGCTGTCTACCATCACGGAAGTAACAAATAAAAGAAGACAAAGAAGACAAGACTCCATTTTTCCCCCTCCCTCCATCCCCTCTCTCTCCTCTCTCTTTCCCTCTCCTTCCTTCCATCTTTCTCTCTCTCTGTTTCTCTCTTTCTCCCTCCTTTGCTGTTTCTGTGAACAAACTCAGTTCACCAACTAGTTTGTATTAGTCTGTTTTCATGGTGCGGATAAAGACATACACAAGACTGGGTAATTTATGAGGAAAAACAGCCACAGTTCCACATGGCTGGGGAGGCCTCACAATCATGGCTGAAGGTAAAAGACACATTTTACATGGTGGCAGGCAAGAGAGAATGAGAACCAAGTGAAAGGGGTTTCCCCTTATAAAACCATCAGATCTCCTGAGACTTATTCACTACCATGAGAACAGTGTGGGGGAAACTGCCCTCGTGATTCATTCATCTCCCGCCGGGCCCCTCCCACAACATGTGGGAATCATGGGAGCTACAATTCAAGATGAGATTTGGGTGGGGACGCGGCCAAACCACATCACAGTTATGACAGGTGTGTTGGGCCAGGCCCAGCATTCTAACTTGGAGATCTGGGCTGAGAAGTCACAAAAGTTCAGAGTCAGGCTGCAGAGAAAGGATGAAAACATGGGAAGATGGTCCTTCCCACGAGTCAACCCTGTTCATTTTCCACAGCCAGTTCTGCTGCTGGACTCTTCCCTGACTCCCTGTAGAAGGGCCTCCTTCCCACGCATTCCATGCCCCTCTCTTTCAGCAGTGTCTCAGGGGCTGGATGTGGGATGCAGATCCTGATGCAGCTACTCAACAGCTGCTGACCTCAGTTTCCTCATCTGTGAAACGAGAGTGATTGGGCCCCAGCTTCCTGGGATTGTGGTGAGAAATAAGTAGGATACTGAGGAGTCCTCCAGGCATGGGATTTGATTGGGACAGAAGTTCCATCCACCCAACCTCTCTTGTACCTTCCCTGTATTTGCCAGGGTGCAAACCAGGGACTTCACACTCCTGTGTCAATCATGAAATGTCTCTCCCCTCCTCCTTCTTCTTTCCAGCACCCACCTTCCTTCTCTGTTTGATCAGTGGTCCCGAGGGAGAGACTGCAGGTCTTGGGTGTGGGGAGGCAGGGAGCTGCAGGGGACTGGAAGGGTTTGGGAGGGGTAAGTGGGTGGGAACCCTAGGATCTGGGGTGGGCTAAAGGTGGGGCATGGGTAGGTGGGGCCAAGGTGGGGTCTGGCCTCTCACTGGGAGGGAGATTATCCATTTACTTATTCATTATTTGTTCAGCAAATATTTCTTGAGAACCTTCCAGGCACTGGGCACTGGAAGTCAAGGGAAGATGGGGTGCAGGCTGCCCCAGAAATGAAGACAGGGCATCCTCATGGATTTCTTCACCGAGGTGGGGGCAGGGACTGCAGAGAAGCTGGCTCAGTGGACCAAGGCACCTGAACACACACCTGCTGGGCTGTTAGGGAAAGAGCCCCCGGCCAGGGTGGACACTGGTGTCTCTCAGCCACCGCAGGCCGTGGGGGTGGGAGGTGAGGCCAGGGAACACTCGGGGCACAGACACGAAGCCCAGCCCAGCTTCACCTGCTCCTTCTCCAGCCCCTCTGGCCTTCACTGTATCCACCCATTTGTTGTCAGGCTGACAGTGACTTTAGTGGGTCAAATAATGACCCCACAACATTCTCATCTGCCTGGAACCATAGAGTATGAGCTTATTTGGGGATTGGGTCTTTGCAGATGTAACTGGTTAAGGTGCAGTCATACTGATTAGGGGGAGCCCTAATCCAATGACTGGAGTCCTTAGAAGAAGAAAAGATCTAGAAACACACAGGGAGAAGGCCACATGACTATGGGGCGGAGACCAGGTGCCGTTGCCTCAAACCAAGGAACATGGGACATTTCAGCAAACCACCAGCAGCTGGATGAGGCTGGGGCAGATTCTCCCTCCCAGCCTCAGAAGGAACCAGCCCTGTACACACTTGGATTGTGGACTTCTGGCCTCCAGAACTGTAAGAGAGGAAATTCTTGTTGTTTTAAGACACTCAGTGTGTGATACTTTGTAGAGAGGCACTGGCCCCCTGACATCCTGCCTCTATGAGCTGAGCATGTGCAGAGGCTGTCAGAGGAGCAGTCCGCGTCCCTGGGCAGAGGACCTCCCAGAATTCTGACCTATGGAAACTGTGAGACAGTAAATGCGTGATGCTTTTTTTTTTTTTTTTGAGACGGAGTCTCGCTCTGTCGCCCAGGCCGGACTGCGGACTGCAGTGGCGCAATCTCGGCTCACTGCAAGCTCCGCTTCCCGGGTTCACGCCATTCTCCTGCCTCAGCCTCCCGAGTAGCTGGGACTACAGGCGCCTGCCACCGCGCCCGGCTAATTTTTTGTATTTTTAGTAGAGACGGGGTTTCACCTTGTTAGCCAGGATGGTCTCGATCTCCTGACCTCATGATCCACCCGCCTCGGCCTCCCAAAGTGTTGGGATTACAGGCGTGAGCCACCGCGCCCGGCCTGCGTGATGCTTTCAGCTGCTAAATTTCTGGTAATTGGTTAGACCACATAGAACAATGAATACGATGAGGCACATAAACATTTCCTTAAGAATATTTTTTCTGTCTCTGTAGCTGAAAAATTGATGCTACTATGCCGGAAGCTTTTTCCCTGCCAGCCCCCTCCCTGCCCTGACTTGGAACACGAGTTCGGTGATGCTGAGAGTGGGTGAAATGTGTGTGTCATACTTTGCTTCTTGAGAGGCTGATTGGTGAGACAACTGGGGATTGGCTGGGATGACATCATCTTTTATTTATCAGAATTTCACACTTAGATGTCTGTAAATAAAACATTAGAGAAATAGTGTGGGTCTAATCACAGGCCAGAGGGGTCACTGTTCCCAGAGGAACCAATGAGCTCAGTGTGAGGCAAAGCTGCTGCTTCCCCAGGAAAGGACATTTCCCAGAGGTGGACACTCCCTCGGGTCCCAAGCCAGTAACCCTCCTTTCCACACCTGCCTCCTCAGAGGAATGGGACTGTGCCATCTTGGTACCAACTCCTGACACTCTCAGGTGGTAACCATGGGCAACACTTTCGCCCACTTAGATTTATTAGGAGAACCTGAGAAGCCCGAGAGCAAATGCAAAATCAAGTCACCAGGCAAACAGAACCAAATCAACGTTGTACTGGGGCAGAATCCCCTGGGAGAAGAAAGGGAGCTCAGGGTGGCCAAGAGGTCGGCACAAAGAATGTGAGGCAGCAGTTCCATCACCCTGGAATCCTGGGACCAGCTGCGGCCATTCACACATTCCTCCAGCAGGCTGAGCCTTGCTGCCCGTAGGTTGATGGGCCAGGTACAGGGTGGGTGGGAATGGGGGTGCATTGGACACCGTACCTGATAACTGGACTCTTGAGGTCCCTGAGTGAAGAGCCCACAGGGTAGTAGTAGCTGACATTTATGTAACCCTCTGTAGATTCTGTCTTGGTGTCACCTCTTTTATTGCTAATATTGGTAATTTATGTCTTATCTATATTTTATGTGAACAGTCTGACTAGAAGTTTCAAAATTTTGTTTACCTGCTCAAAGACCCTAGCTTCTAATCTCATCAATTTCTATTGTTTTTCTGCTTCTCATTTCATTGATTTCTACTCTGGTCATTATTATTTTCTTTTAGTTACTTAGGGTCTAATTTGCTATTCTTTTGCTGATTTCTTAAGGGGGAAGCTGATGTCAAAGATTAAAGGTCTTTCTTCTCTCTAAAGTAGGTATTTCAGTGCTATCAATTTTCCTCCAATTACTGCTTTGGTTGCATCCCACAATTTAGATAAGTTATGTTTAATTTTTATTACCAATTTCCAGTTTTTCTTTTGATTTTTTTCTTCAACCCATGGGCACTTTTGAAGTATATTATTTGATGTCCACGTATTTGTGAGTTTTCTTGATATTTTTTCTCTTATTGATTTCTAGCTGAATTCCACTGTAGTCGG
The DNA here is from genome assembly GCF_000001405.40 of Homo sapiens. Classification (NCBI taxonomy): domain Eukaryota; kingdom Metazoa; phylum Chordata; class Mammalia; order Primates; family Hominidae; genus Homo; species Homo sapiens. The sequence continues at coordinate 4,096,867 of NC_000001.11, forward strand.
AGAATGAATGTACTTTATACAACTTGTGTGTAGGGAAAAGCTCTTTCAAATGGTGCTTTTCCTCTACTCTCACACCACAACAACCGTCAACACAGAAGAGACTTCTGTGACCAAATGTGTGTGGGTTTTCTCCATGCATCAAGCAGCAGACACCAGCTGGGTGTCCTCCAATTCAGTTCTGACACTGTCTACCCGGAGATAGCACCAGATCCCACAGGGTGAGGGATCCATCCCACAGGACAGTCCCCTCCCCACCCACAGTAGCAAGTCTAGGCCTCTGGAAGTTCTGACCACCTGGCTTCAAGCTGGGGTTCTCACAAACCCTTCTTTGGATTTGATTGATTTGCTAGAGCTGCTCACAGAATGCAGAGAAACACTTGTGCTTACTGGTTTATTAAGAAGGATATTTTAAAGGATATAAATTAATAGCCAGATGAAGAGATACACAGGGCAAGGTCTGGAGGGGTCTTGAGCATGGGAGCTTCTGCCCCTGGAGTTGGGGCACACCACCCTCTGGACACATGAATGAGTTCTTCACCTTCCTGTTGGCCTCCAAGTATTCAACTCTCCGGAAGCTCCTGCACCCTAGTCCTCTTGGGTTTTTATGGAAGCTTCATGTAGTTAGCACTTCTTCCCCAGGGATAAGGTGGGACCCTTTTTGGGGAGAGTCTTAATACCCACAATCAGAAAGGTGGGGGAATATTAGAGTCGTGCCTTGGGGCAGGTGAAACGAGGGCAGGAGAAGATCACAGACTTTTTCTTTCCTGAGGCCTACCCCTGAGGCCCTGACACACCCAGCTTTATGGTAAAAGACAAGAGTTATGGGGCCAGGCGCCGTGGCTCACTGCCGTAATGCCAGCACTTTGGGAGGCCTAGGTGGGCAGATCACCTGAGGTCAGGAGTTCGAGACCAGTACGGCCAACCGTGGTGAAACCCTGTCTGTACTAAAAGTACAAAAATTAGGCAGGCATGGTGGTGCACATCTGTAATCCCAGCTACTTGGGAGGCTGAGGCAGGAGAATGGCTTGAACTCAGAAGGCGGAAGTTGCAGTGAGCCGAGATCGTGCTACTGCACTCCAGCCTGGGAAACAGTGAGACTCTGTCTCAAAAAAATAAAATAATAATAATAAAAAAAAGAGCTATGGGAGTTATGAGCCAAGAACCATGGACAATAGCCAATACATATCATAACACCATGTATTAGGCTATTCTTGTATTGCTATAAAGAAGTACATGAGACTGAATCATTCATAAAGAAAAGAGGTTTGATTGGCTAACAGCTTTGTGGGCTGTACATGGAGCATGGTGCCAGCATCTGCTCAGCTGCTAGTGAGGCCTTGGGCTGCTTACAATAATAGTGGAAGGCAAAGGGGAGCTGACATCGCATGTGGGGAATGTGGGAGTAAGAGAGAGGAGGGAGGTGCCACACACTTAAACAACCAGATCTCAGGTGAACTCACTAAGGGAGAACTCATTCATCACCAAAGGGATGGCACCAAGCCCTTCATGAGGGATCTGCCCCATGATCCAATCACCTCCCATCGGGCCCCATCTCCAACATTAGGGATGACATTTCAGCATGAGATTTAGAGGGGGCCACATCCAAACTCTATCGCACCACAGCTCGTATCTTTTGAAATCCATTGAAACTTGTTTTATAAATGAGACTATGGTCTATGTCGGCAAATTTTCCATGCGCACTTGAAAAGAGCATGCGTGGTGCTGTTGGGTGGAGTGCCTTTTAAATGCTAAGTAGATCAACCCAGGTGATAGTGTTACTCTATATCCTCATGGATTTTCTGTCTACTTGTTCCACCAATTATTGAGAAAGGGGTGTTGACTATAATTGCCATTTATCTCTCTCCTTGCAGCTCCTTAAGTTTTTGCTTCAGGGATTCTGAAGCTTGTTAATTAGGTATATGGATGTTTAGGGTTGTTATGTCACTTTGAGGAACTGACCTCTTGATTGTGATGAAATTACTGTCTTTATCCTTATTTTAGTATTCTTTGCTCTAAAATCTACTTGTCGGATATTTGTATAGCCGCCCCAGCTTTCTCATGGTTAGTATATTTTTTTGCATCCATTTAATTATAACTTATTTGTGTCTTTATACTTGAAATGAGTTTCTTGTAGGTTTCATATTGCTGGTGAACTCTTGCTTTTAAATTTTTAATTTGTACATGACATGTACATAATCTGTACAAAAGATTTGTACATGACTTGTATAAAAATTATACAAATAATTTTTTTATGATTTCTATACATAATTTGTCGTTTTCTCTGGTTGCGGTTTGGTTATGATATCCCTTGGTGTCATTTTTTGTCATGTTGCTTGTTGATATGGTTTGACTGTGTCCCCACCCAAATCTTAGCTTGAATTGTAATTCCCATAATTCCCATGTGTCCTGGGAGGGACCTGGTGGGAGGTAATTGAATCACGGAGGTGGTTTCCCCCATGCTGTTCTCGTGACAGTGAGTGAGTTCTCATGGAATCTGATAGTTTTATAAGCATCTGGCATTTCCCCTGCTGGCACTCATTCTTTCTCCTGCCACCCTGTGAAGAGGTGACTTCCATCATGATCGTAAGTTTCCTGAGGCCTCCCTAGCCATGCAGAACTGTGAGTCAGTTAAACCTCTTTTCTTTATAAATTACCCGGTCTCGGGTATTTCTTCATAGCAGTGTGAGAATGGACTAATATACTTGTACCTGGGGTTCATTGAGCTTCTTGGCAGTTTTCATCAAATTTGAATAATATTAGGCCAGTATTCCTTTACATGTTTACTATCCACCCTCCCTCTTATAAAAGTAAGACCCACAATTGCATCCATATTAGGCTATTGAAATTGTCTCATGGTCCATTGATACTTTGTATATTATTTTCAGCCCCCTTTCCATGACATTATGGGTGACTTATATTTCTATGCCCTGAAATTTATATATATATATAATTATAATATATATAATATATATATTATAATTATATATATTATATATAATTATATAAAATATATATTATAATTATATATATTTTATATAATATATATATTATAATTAATATATTATATATAATATATATATTATATATAATATATATATTATATATATTATATATAATATATATAATATATATAATATATAATATAATATATATATTATATATAATATATAATATATATAATATATTATAATATAATATATATAATATATAATATAATATATATAATATATAATATAATATATAATATATAATATATATAATATATAATATAATATATAATATATATAATATATAATATAATATATAATATATATAATATATTATAATATAATATATATAATATATAATATAATATATATAATATATAATATAATATATAATATATAATATATATTTAATATATTTATTAATTATTTGTTATATATTTATTAATATATAATATATAATATATTTAATATATTATAACTATATATTATATTATAATTATATATATTATATATATACAATTATAATTATATATTATATATACTTATAATATATATAATATATAATATATAAATATAATATATGTATTATATATATTATGCTATTGATCTCATCCAGTGCAGTTTTTCAGAACTGATATTGTAGTTTTCATCTCTATAAGTCTGAATTGGTATTTTTCCTTCTGTATCTGTATATACTGAGACTGTGTTCAGTCTCTTTCCTCTAGCTTCTTGAACACACGAGATAATGTTATAGCAACTTTTAATGTTTTCATCTACTAATTCTATAATCTGTGCTATCTCTGGGTAATATTTTCCTGCTTCTTTGCATGTCTGATAAGTTTTGATTGCATGCCACACACTTGAATTTTGCCTTATTGCATGCTGTATATTTTTGTGTTCCTATAAATACTCTTGTGCTTTTTTCCAGGATATGGTTGTGTTACTTGGAAACAGTTTGATCTATTTGGTCTTGCTTTCAAGCTTTCGTACGCGGGCTCAGGGTAGTGTTTCATTGAGGACTATTTTGCCCCAATACCAAGGCATAACCAAGGCATAGGACCTCTGAGTGTTCTCCCCTATGGCTCATCAATTATGAGGTTTCCCACGCTGGCTTGTGGGAGCAGGCATTATTCTTGATCTGGTTGGAGCTCTAGAATTGTTCCCCTCTAATTCTTTCAGGGTATTTTTCCCTGGCCTCAAGTCATTCTCTCACTGGCATCCATTGGCAAGTACTCAATACGAGATGTTAGGGAGACCTCAGCCAATCTGCAGGTCTCTGCTTTCTCTCTTGTCTCTGGCACTCTGATGCAGCCGCCTCTGCCTTCCTGGACTTTTTAGCAGAGTCTCCTCAACTCAGAGGCTGCGGGATCTGCCTGCATCCCCCTCCCCTGCTGCTGCCTGGAAACTCTGTCCAGGTGGTGAGCTTGGGCTTACACTCTTGTGTTTCTCATTTCTCAGGGACCACTGTCCTTCACTGCCTGATGTCCAATGTATTGAAAACTGTTGCTTCATATACTCTGTCAGGTTGTTTCAGCCAGGGTGTAACCTGACCCCTGTCACTCTATCTTGGCTGCCCCTTATACGGTACAGCATCTAAATCTCTGCTAGAAAATATCCTCCACCAGGAACTACATCCTGTGGGTCTGTACCTCCCCCAAGCCCCCACGCACCTTACTGAGCTGATTCTTCATGCATTTTTCCTGAAAGGCTCAAGGCGTCTCAGAAGTGTGGGGGCTGATGCCAGTCTTTTCTAAGTGTGAGATTCATCTTCCCATTTGCCTGACAGCCTCCAAGGGCTTCCTGCATTTTCCCCATGGTGTGGAGCTCTGACTCGAGTCTGACAGCCGCAGAGTGGCTGGAGCATCTGGTCTCACTGCCAGCTTTGCAAATGATGGGAGGCTGTAGCCAGGAGGATTTTCCTATATGTTGAGTGCCCTGAACCCCCATCAGCCTGTCTGTGCTTTTGATGTACAGAAGAGAGGCAGGTTTCTGAAGATCTGATTGCAGTGTCAAAGGTCAGAAACAGGAACACGCTGATGAAAGGAAACAAAACTGTACTAGAATTACTGTCTTCACAAACCCAGTGCTGGGGCTGCTGAGATCAGGAATGAATCATTCTCTCCCTTCAGACAGGCAGAGGGGCTGTGCTCACAGTGGTGATGCTAATATGCTAACCTTTCCTTCACTGCCAGTTCATGGGAGAGGAAAGGGGGAAGCTGCCAGCAATACCAGAGCCCCAGTTCTCACTAGGGTGTCTATTCCAAAGATACATGCCAGAAGCTGATCTTGCCCCTGAACTAGAGGTGCAGGCAGCATTGAAGCACTCCTGGATCTTGGAGGAGACTCAGACTGGAGTTTCAAAAGCCCCAGAGCCAGTGAACCTGGCAACAGACACATACACAATTGCATCCACAAAAGTGATGGTTTTCAAGCCCTCGCCTTCTAGGTTTTGTGGAAGCACAAAAGTTGCTCAGCAATGACACAGAGCACTGGGCAGGGCCAGCAGCTACGGGGTCCTTTCTGTGCACCAGACACTGGCCTGGGGCTTTCCTTTCCAGGGTAGGAAGAGTGTGGTACCTTGAAACTTTAAAAGGGATGTTATTCATCTCCATACTCTCTCGCTGTCATTCATCTCCATTCTCTCTCGCCATCTTTCCTTGCCCAAACTCCCCTTAGAAAGAGCCGGCCTGCAGCATCATCCTGATACCAAAGCCGGGCAGAGACACAACCAAAAAAGAGAATTTTAGACCAATATCCTTGATGAACATTGATGCAAAAATCCTCAATAAAATACTGGCAAGCCGAATCCAGCAGCACATCAAAAAGCTTATCCACCATGATCAAGTGGGCTTCATCCCTGGGGTGCAAGGCTGGTTCAATATATGCAAATCAATAAATGTAATCCAGCATATAAACAGAACCAAAGACAAAAACCACATGATTATCGCAATAGATGCAGAAAAAGCCTTTGACAAAATTCAACAACCCTTCATGCTAAAAACTCTCAATAAATTAGGTATTGATGGGACGAATCTCAAAATAATAAGAGCTATCTATGACAAACCCACAGCCAATATCATACTGAATGGGCAAAAACTGGAAGCATTCCCTTTGAAAACTGGCACAAGACAGGGATGCCTTCTTTCACCACTCCTATTCAACATAGTGTTGGAAGTTCTGGCCAGGGCAATTAGGCAGAAGAAGGAAATAAAGGGTATTCAATTAGGAAAAGAGGAAGTCAAATTGTCCCTGTTTGCAGATGACATGGATTGTATATCTAGAAAACCCCATTGTCTCAGCCCAAAATCTCCTTAAGCTGATAAGCAACTTCAGCAAAGTCTCAGGATACAAAATCAATGTACAAAAATCACAAACATTCTTATACACCAATAACAGACAAACAGAGAGCCAGATCATGAGTGAACTCCCATTCACAATTGCTTCAAAGAGAATAAAATACCTAGGAATCCAACTTACAACGGATGTGAAGGACCTCTTCAAGGAGAACTACAAACCACTGCTCAATGAAATAAAAGAGGATACAAAGAAATGGAAGAACATTCCATGCTCATGGGTAGGAAGAATCAATATCGTGAAAATGGCCATACTGCCCAAGGTAATTTATAGATTCAATGCCATCCCCATCAAGCTACCAATGACTTTCTTCACAGAATTGGAAAAAACTTTAAAGTTCATATGGAACCAAAAAAGAGCCCGCATCACCAAGTCAATCCTAAGCCAAAAGAACAAAGCTGGAGGCATCATGCTACCTGACTTCAAACTATACTACAAGGCTACAGTAACCAAAACAGCATGGTACTGGTACCAAAACAGAGATATAGATCAATGGAACAGAACAGAGCCCTCAGAAATAACGCCACATATCTACAACTATCTAATCTTTGACAAACCTGAGAAAGATGGGCAATGGGGAAAGGATTCCCTATTTAATAAATGGTGCTGGGAAAACTGGCTAGCCATATGTAGAAAGCTGAAACTGGATCCCTTCCTTACACCTTATACAAAAATTAATTCAAGGTGGATTAAAGACTTAAACGTTAGACCTAAAACCATAAAAACCCTAGAAGAAAACCTAGGCATTACCATTCAGGACATAGGCATGGGCAAGGACTTCATGTCTAAAACACCAAAAGCAATGGCAACAAAAGCCAGGGTTGACAAATGGGATCTAATTAAACTAAAGAGCTTCTGCACAGCAAAAGAAACTACCATCAGAGTGAACAGGCAACCTACAAAATGGGAGAAAATTTTCGCAACCTACTCATCTGACAAAGGGCTAATATCCAGAATCCACAATGAACTCAAACAAATTTACAGGAAAAAAACAAACAACCCCATCAAAAAGTGGGCAAAGGACATGAACAGACACTTCTCAAGGGAAGACATTTATGCAGCCAAAAAACACATGAAAAAATGCTCACCATCACTGGCCATCAGAGAAATGCAAATCAAAACCGCAATGAGATACCATCTCACACCAGTTAGAATGGCAATCATTAAAAAGTCAGGAAACAACAGGTGCTGGAAAGGATGTGGAGAAATAGGAACACTTTTACACTGTTGGTGGGACTGTAAACTAGTTCAACCCTCGTGGAAGTCAGTGTGGCGATTCCTCAGGGATCTAGAACTAGAAATACCATTTGACCCAGCCATCCCATTACTGGGTATATACCCAAAGGACTATAAATCATGCTGCTATAAAGACACACACACACGTATGTTTGTTGTGGCACTATTCACAATGGCAAGGACTTGGAGCCAACCCAAGTGTCCAACAATGATAGACTGGACTGGGAAGGTGTGGCACATGTACACCATGGAATACTATGCAGCCATAAAAAATGATGAGTTCATGTCCTTTGTAGGGACATGGATGAAATTGGAAATCATCATTCTCAGTAAACTACCGCAGGAATAGGGAACCAAACACCGCATGTTCTCACTCATGGGTGGAAGTTGAACGGTGAGAACACATGGACACAGGAAGGGGAACATCACACTCTGGGGACTGTTGTGGGGTGGCGGGGGGAGGGATAGCTTTAGGAGATATGCCTAATGCTAGATGACGAGTTGATGGGTGCAGCACACCAGCATGGCACATGTATACATGCGTGGCTGACCTGCACGTTGTGCACATGTACCCTAAAACTTAAAGTATAATAATAATAAAATAAAAAAGAATAAAAAAAAAAAGAAAGAGCCGGCCTGGCTAGGGTAGTTCCTTCAAATGCATCATGGCCCTCCCATGGCCTTTCTATCAGACGGTTTTCCTGCAAGACTCTCAAGGGGCTGACTGGGAGAGGCAGAGGACGGAGTGACAGGATCCACACCTCCAGCCCTTCCTCGGGCAGCCTGACTCCCATGAGCGGCTTCAAGAGTGTGGGGTGGGGCAGGCAGGTCACCGGGTGGATGAGGCACTCTCACCTCCGTGTGCAGGCTGCAGGGAGTCCTCCCCACCCCAGACTCTGACTGTTATTAGAGAGACCCGCCAGGGCTTGGGAGAAGTGGAGTGAAAATAAGCCTGGATGCCGAGGCCGTGGATGTTTGGTGCAGTCGAGGATTTTAAATAGCTGCAGACTCAACGGGAGCGGTTGTTGCTTCCTGGGAGAGCGGATGCTGGCGCCCAGACGGTCCTGCTATCCTCTCCCAGCCCAAGGCCACGTCGTCCTCAGGGCTGTTCTGAGCCACTCTTGTCCTTGCTGCCCTGTTTGCCTGGATGGTTCCCTGCATCCTTGTTGCTCCCTGACCTTGACTCTGCTTGCACACATTGAGTGTTTGCTATTTGCAGTACTCCCTGGGGTCAGGATCCCATGCAAGGGGCTATAGCACTGCTGCCCAGAAGGCCTGGGGATGGAGTCAGAATACCAAGACCCACACTCGCCATGGACGGGCTTTTCTGGGACTGGGTGGCCTTGCATCAGCAGGTTGACCTCTCTGGGCCTCTGTTTCCTCAGCTGGCAAGTGGGGCTGCAACCTTCTGAGAGCTGCATGGTTGTTAGTTGAGAATCAAATGACAGTTTGTAAACTGTGAAAGGAGGTTTACTGCAGATGCTAGCATGTGGCTAGACAAACAATACAAGGAAAACACCGCATATTAATTGAGCAGCAGCTAATCTTGAGAAACGGATGGGAATGTGTGCAGGGCACATAGGGCTGGCTCTAAATTTCTAAACCAGAGGCAGGATGGAGTCATGGGTCCAACCTACTAATAATCACTTTCATTTAATCAGTGCATACTATGTGCTGGGCACTGTGCACATGGCTTTATAGACCACAAAAGTTAGGATAAAGTTTGGTTGCATGTATCAGAAATCCTAAAATAGCACTAGCTTAAGTACATAGGAGCTTCAGGGGTAGGTGACAGAGGGCTGCTTCAAGGTTTTTGCTGTCGTCAGGGACCCAATATCTTTCTGTACTTCTGCCATGTCAGACAATACTTACATTCTTAATGTTACCTCATGGGCCAAGAAAGATGCTGGAGCTCCAGCCACCACATTCTTCTAGCCAAAGAGAAAAAGGAAGGGGTGGAGGGAGGAGGACAAAACAAGTGCACCTTCCACCTGATTTAGTTCCCTTTAAGGGACATTCCTGAAAGTCCCACTAATACTTCCAGCATTACAGCTGAAAGAGGGCCAGGAGGAGGGCACACCCAGATCCTGCACCCAGAAGTGACTCACATCACTCCTGCTCACGTTCCATCAGTCCGAATTCAGTCAGCTGGGAAATACAAGGTGTGCATTAGGGGGTTCACTGATGCCCCACATACAGCTGGGATGATGTTTCTAAGGAAGAAGGTGAGAACAAATGTTGAGCAGTGTCCTGGGAGCAGCTGCCACCTATAGGAGCTCATTCCACTCTCATGCAATCCACACAGAAGCACGTGCGTTGGAGCTTTTTTACAGCGAGGAAGCCAGTGCTCAGAGAGGTGAAGTGCTTCGTCCTGGACCACAAAGCTTGGCTGAGCCCAATACTGATCCACCCTCTGCTGTTACTGTAGGCTGGGCACACTGGGCAGGGCCCATCGAAGCACCACGGGCATGCCACTCACCTCCCTTCCGCCTTGGAATGCCCGAAAAGAAGCTGTGCCCTCCCTCTCTGGGGCTGTGGTCAGGAACAAAGGCCCAGGTATCCCCTGAGATGGGCCCGTTCTGGATCAAAGCAGGGAGGCCAGGCCTGCATGGTTGGAGGAACATTATTCTCAGAAAGGACATGAGGGAAGAGGACTCTAAGTACCCATCGAAGGCCTCCATCAGGCAGCTGTGAGGGGTGATTTCAGTTTTGCCAGCAGAGCTTGACCCCTCCAACTGTATCAGGAGCTGGGAGGGAGCTCAGCCTTCTCCCTGATGTATCTTCTGCAGTGGCCAGTGCCCGGACCCACTTGTTTCTCTGCACAGCAGCACAGGTTACAGTTTTGGGCAATGGTTCCCCTCCTTGGGAGGCAGCTGCTGGTCTCTGCTTCTGAGCCACATAAACATGGATCACATCTCCTGTGACCAGGGGAAGGACACCTTTGCAAAAGCACCCGAAGGAGTGAGCACCGGGAAATGAGAAGCCACCCACGGCCAGGAAAGTGGTCTCCAGTGAATCAGCCCCATCCACTCAGGCTCAGGAGCCGGGCACCACCTGCTGAAATGAACATCGCGGCTCGGCTCTGGAAACTGGTGCAGAGGTGTCACTGTCACCGACACCTTATTAAGTCTTCCCTGGAAGCCAGTGGGATCATGAGGTATAAATGACCAGGAGAGGAAGGGAACAGGGGCTCATGGCCATTAGGGTATTTGGGGTCTATGAAGACAGAGAGGCTGCAATGGGCAAGATCTCGGAAGGGTAGGTGGAGAGGGAGGGGGCATTTACAAGTGGAGAGGGTCTGGCATCAGTGGCCCAGCCAGGAGGACAGCTGGGTCACCAGCCTCACCTGTAGCAGGTAGGGCTGTTCAGGTCTGACCTTCCCGGCCTCTTCCCCTCCTCCTGGGCTTAGGAGCCTTCTGTGTGGCCAGGAGGGCAGCTCTCAGGGACCAAGGTGCTCCTTGGCACCACTTCTGTGTACCTGCCCTCGGTCCGGCACCCAGGCAGTGAGTTCTCTCTTTCAGGGGGCTCCCATTTGCTTCTGTGTTAGTGTCCTGGGGCAGGTAGAACAAAGCCCCACCCACCCCCCCAAAACACACACACACCCACCCCCCCCAAACACACACACACACACAGCGTGGCTTAAACAACTGGAATTTATTGTCTTGAGGTTCTGGAGGCTGGGAGTCCAAGATCAAGGTATGAGCGGGGTTGGTTCTTTCTGAGGATGGAGGGAGAATCTGCCCCATGTTTCTCCCCTTGACTTGTAGGCACCGTCTTCTCCCTGCATCTTCTCATGATCTTCCCTCTACGTGTGTCTGTATCCAAATTTCCCCTTTTTATACAGGCACCGGTCATATGAGTTAAAGTCCACTCTAATGACGGCATTTTCACTTCACTAATCACATATGCAATGACCGTATTTCCAAAGAAGGTCCCCTGCTGAGGAACTGGGGTTTAGAATTTCAGCGTATGAATTTGGCAGGGACACAGTTTAGCCTGGGGCAGTCCCTGAGTGGATTCCATGTGCCCCGGGGCGGGGGCGGAGTCTTACACATCATCTGTTGCAGGCACCTTACGAGTGCTCAGGAATTTGGAGCACAAGTCCCTCTAGGGGTAAAGGTCATGGGAAGATCTGGCCTGGTTCGTCCCTGCCTGTTTGGATTCATGCACGTGCAGTGCCAGGACATGCATCTGCGTGGTGAGTGGATTGGTTCCTGCCCTTCAGCTTCCTCTCTCTGGTAAGTGGGGCCCCAGCAGACGGTGGTGACTCCTACTTCCTTGAGGCCATTTCCCTTCTGCCCTCATTTTTCTTCCCAGCTCCCTGTGAAGCAGCCATTACCAAGCTCCCTGTAAGTGTGGGCCGCGTGGCTAAGGAGGCTGGAGTGGGCCTGGCTTGCCTCACCTCAGGGGCCTGCTGGATTCCAGCTCCCACATCCGCCAGGCTGGGCATCTGTTCCCGCAGCATCAGCGGGCAGAGCCAGGATACAGACGACGGCCTCCCCGAGGGCCTCAGCTCACACTAGCTGCCAGCCAGCCCTGCCTGGACTTCTAAAACAAGGAGCGCGTGTGGGCGGCTGGCGAGAGGCCGCAGAGGCTGGGCCTGGGGATTGGACATCTCCCATCATCTGAGGCCACCCGGCCAACCCCTCAAATATTCCCCAGGTCTTGGCCTCTCTCAGCAAGTGGGCGGGAAGACAGGGCAGGAGGAGGGAGAGGATGCGTGCCCGATGTCAGGGACAAGAAAGCACAGCACCAGCAGCTTTGGGGCCCCACGAGTTTTCAGATCTCCTTGTGCCCCAGTTAAATGGCTTTGCGGCTCATTACCCGGCAGCAGCAGGCTCAGCCTCGGCCTCCGATTGCCTGGGGCGGCTTCCTTGGGACCAGAAGAGGCTGTTCAGGGAATTAAATTCTGTAGAGAGGAGCAGTGAGTCTCTAAGAGTAGGAGTGCACTTTAAACAGAGTAAATAAACATTAATAAGTCGTAAAGAGCCTGGACTTCATGAGAAAATAGGGGCCGGCTGACGAGCGGAGTTAAACATAAGGTGGCTTTGGCCAAGGACTGGCTGACACAGCCGATGCTGAGAGAGGAGGGTTGAGCTTCCATGTGACCAGCCAGGCCTCAGGAGCAGGGACCTGCTGGACCCCAGCCTGCCACTGGCCCGGGGATCCTGGCAGTGGGAAGCTGGAAGTCCATTCAGACTCCAAGGTGAGCACAGCTCTGTGGGGTTGGTGGGGAGAATGGGGGAGTGCCCTGTGGAGTTACCGGCTGGGAGACTGCGGGGTGCTGGGACTCCTTGCAGGAAAGTGACACTTGGTGATGCCTGCAGGGAACTTGACTTTGCCCCCCGCCATCCGCTCGCCCTGGTGACAGGACGCTCACGTCCCTCTGGGCAGTCACCCCTCTCCCCTTCTCAGTGCCGATGCTTGCGGGGAGTTGCTGCTACTTCTGGCTCCAGGACCGGACATGGGACTGAGTTCTGGCCCCCCAGAGCATCACACTCATGGCCACAGTGAAGGCTTTGGAGTGGGCACGTGCTCCAGTCACAGTCGGCCAGATGCAGTGGGGCTGAGCCTCGTCCTCTTGGGAAGGGGTATGCATTTTTTTTTTTGTCCTGGTAGTTGGAATGTTAAGATGACATGAGCCTGAAGAATCAGTGCGACCAAGTGGAGTGGGGCAATGAGACCAACACAATGGGAAGGAAAAACCAAGAGCTGGAGAGAAACAGTTCTGCAGAGCCTGGAGGTAAGGCTACACCTGAAGCAATGAAGAAAGACCACCTCGGATTCCTCCTTTAAGCAAACACATAAGTTCCCTTTTTCCCTAATGCCAGTTGAGTTGGGTTTTCTACCACTTGACTTTGGAAAGGTGCTGATTTTTAATACAAGGCCAGGCTGGGACCCGTGTCTGTAAATGTGAGCTCATGTACGCACGTCTGTGTTAAAAAGGAATCAGACCCAGACCTTGTCACAAAACATATAATCTGGCTAGGGAGGCTAAATGTAGCCACGGCAAACCAATAGTTACCTCTCCCAGTAGGAAGTTCTGAAACCTCAGCGGGGACCCTCAGGGGTTCAAGAAGGGAGCGACTGTGGGAATTTAGAGAATTCAAGAAAGACCGTCTGGAAGAGATGGATTCTTGTTCCTGGATGGCATCAAAACCCTCTATTTTTGTTTGACACTCCTAAGAAACTTCACAAGGAGGAGTAGATCCGAGTCTTTTGATATTCTCAGCATGCTTATGTAATCCTGTTTAATTCCTGGCTCCAGCATTTTTCCTATGAAGACTCACTAAGGTTGAGCACTAGGAGAAAAGTCCTCTTGGATCATCTTAAAAGAAACAATCTTTTCTCTCCATTTTCAGGCCTTTGCATCAAGACCAATTTAAAAACAAATGCCCCATTGAAGCCTTCTCTGACCTCTTAGGTGAAGGGCAAGGTCTTCCTCTTCTGAGTTCCTGCCAAGCAAGAGGTTGAACCACGTGAAATATCTGTATGTTTTATCTGTACCTGCTGGCGTGGGAGCCTGTGGAGGGCCAGGCCCTGCCACGTATCAACTTCAATGCAAAGCAGCAGAGACTCACTGATGGCTTCATAGGCAAAGGGCTGTCCTGTGGGAAATATGTGTCTCAAAGCAGGTGACCAGGAGGGTGGGGCCTTCCATGGGCGGATGGTGTCTACACATTGGATACGTCTGCATTACTCAGAGACCGGACTGCCCCCCCAGACATCTAGCAACTCAGGTTAAATCCTCAGATACAGAGCAGATGCCCCTTTAGCAGGCTTTTCAGCATATCTTTGGGCTGGAGGGACTGTTCGAGAAATACCCTGGCGGCACATCATGTTTCTGTCCCAGAGACCTTTTGGAAACAATTAGTCTTCCTCCAAGACTAATTGAGCTGCAGACGAGTCAGGTAGCTAACACGACTTGAGGTTTAGAAAAGAAAAAACCTTTCATTAACATGTGGAAACTTCTAGGGCCCTGAAGAGGATGTGGGCAGAAACTCACATGAATGCAAGATCCTCTATTTTCCCAATGACTCCCTCCTGTAAACTGGGGACTCCTCTGGTGCATGGGCAGGTTTGTGTTCTTCGGGGATGTGGCAGATGGAATGGGCAGACTGAGGACCTCACAGCAGAAATATCAGGACATATTCAGGTAAAGATCCAGCAGAAGAGAAGATAAAGCTTCTTTGAAAGTAAGCCCAAGGGAAAACGGAATTCAATACAAATGAAAAAGAAGTTGATGAAAGTATGTGTCAGTCAGGGCAGCTGTTCCTTAAATCGAGATCCAAATGCATCAGAGAAAGGCTTCTGGGGGAGCCTTGACAAATCCCTCAAGGGGGAAGGAATTCCTAAAAAAAAACTCCCTGGCACGGGAAGGTTAGGGGCGAGGAGAGCATCTCATGAGGATGACTGGCTGGTGAGGAGGGTGAAAAATGAGTTCTGGCCCAGCCTGGAGCTCTGTGCCTGGGTCCAGAGCCGGAGGATGAAGAGGCTGCAGGAATGTGCTGACTGAGTGGGGAAAGGAGAGTTGAGAGCTTCTCCAGCCTGCTGTGTGAGTGGAATCCAACCTGCTTCAGGTTGTGGGTGATTCTGGGTGTGAAAGAGGCACAAGGAAGCCGTGGAGGGCAGAGAGGAGGACTCTTGGTGTCAGGAGGAGCTGATCAGCTTCAGGAATTTCTGAAGCAGATTGCTAATCACCAATGCCCACCTTAGAGGCCATTCTCACAGTCAAGAACAAGGAAGGGTGTGTGGCACGTTGCTGAGAAGTGCCTGTGTGTACCAGCTCTTGAGTCTCTGCCCCTCCTGTTCCTATCTCAACCATGCCCTGCCCTTCAGTGGCACACAGAGGACTCCAAGAACAACACTACCCCCTTGGCAATAGTTGATTTGTCCAGCAGTGAGTGCCTCACCCAAGCTAGGCCATCACATCCCTTCCATGGCAGCTTTGGATTTGGGAAAGACAGGGAAATTTGAAACAGTCTCTCTTTGGGTGGCTGAAACAGTAACACATCAAACACCAAAGCTGTTGAAGTCCAGAGTTTCTTCCATGAGGTCTGGGAAGCAAAAAAAGGACCAATCTGCAGCAGGAGAGGAGACTGAAACAGATGTGCGCAGAGAAGCATGAGGTATTTCAAGAGGTGACCCAAGCACTCTGACTCCTGGATCAAGCCGTTCCTGAAGCCCATCATAATCCCTGCTCTTCCCATTAACTCTTCCTTGAATTTGGTGAGATCCCTCAAGATCCTTCAAAAAACCCTCTTTTAGCTTTAGTGGGCTGGAGTTGGGTTTATTTCAGGCGTCACTTCAGAAGGGAAGGAATAAGTGGGGAGATGAAAACCTCTAGCGAACGTGGCTCCCTAGCTGACTCACAATACCCATCTCCCACTCTCCTGACTAAGATGATGCTTTCTTCATTCCATGTCTAATTCCTCTTTGGTTCTCAAACTTAGTCCAGTCACCTGGCTTGGAGATCTCAGAAAGCCTGTGCTTTGAGAAGCCAGGTGCTGCCCACTTGAATTTAAAGCTTGATCTATAGTGTCCCTGATCTTTTTCCCTGATCCAGGGCCCAGAAAACCTTTCAAAGAAAGATGCCAGAGCATGGGTAGGTTCTGTCTGTCACAGACAAACCTAAGGGTCCCTCAGACTGGCAGACTTGGCAGACTATAGCCCCATAGGTAAATGTTCAAGGGATGTATGACCTGTGGAGGAAGGACTTAGAGAACTGCAGCTGGGCAAAGGCAGGGAAGAATGTGGTTGAGAGCACAAACAGCCTGGGAGGCAGCATTTCAAGGCTGGGCAGAGAAGTCTTAAGCACACTTGCAAGAGGCAGGAGTTTGAGAGAGAAAATGGATTAACCTGAACAGCCCCCTCCAGCATGAAATGTGCTCATAAACAGAGTCAGCTTTCAGTGGAGCTCATGAGGAAAGGTTGGAGGAAGCCCCAGGGAAAGGCATTGCTCAGAAAACTTGCCGGCTCCCAAGGCTTGCAGAAGTCTCTCCTTCAGCGCTCAGGACAGCACCATCCCCTTTGCAACTGGCGCATGAACCTATGCTACACTCAGGAAATAGTTGCAAGTCCCTGGAGGAAGATGATTGGAATCCTTAACTGCCAGAGTTGGCAATGACCTTCAAGATAATAGAATCCAGCGCTTCAATTTTCTAGATGAGGAAGCTTAGCTGAGATGGGGGAGGTAACTTTCTCTGCATCATGCTCTTGGTTTGTGTCAAAGCAAGAACTAGAATTCAGGCACCTAAGGTTTCCACACATCTCCTGTCTCAATATGCCAAATGGATGCCCACTCATCATCCATCACCCCACACGCAGCAGCATGGATATTTACTGAAGGAAGGAGGATGGCCATTAAGAGTAGCAATGTGGGTTCTGCATCTGGTGTGTCAGTGACACTGAGTTGGGTAAGGATTTTTAACCACTTTTGACCTCAGTTTCCTCATTTGTAAAATGAAGGAACTATTACCTATACCTATGTAAGTTGGCTGTTATGAGGATTTAATGAGACCATGTCCGTTGAAAAGAAAAGTTACCCCCTACTTTGGAGGGGAGGAAACTGAGGTTCAGAGAAGTTTGGAAACATTTCCAATGACACTAGGGTAGCAAAGGTCAGAGGTCAGTTTGCTGTTGCTCCAAAGTTCCCTGAGTCATCGTTGATTTTTTTCCACTTCTTTTCTCTTTGTTGTCCAGGTTAGGTAATTCCCTATTGAGATATTTTCATGTTCCCTGACTCTTTTCTCTGTTGTCTTTCTTCTGCTATTGTGCCTGCCCAGTGAAGTTTTTTTTTATTACTGTGATTATATATTTTTTGGTTTTTATCTTCTGTTTCTTTACTGAGACTTCCTTTCTTTCTATTAGTTTCAAGAGTGTTTCCTCTTACTTGTGGGATAATTTTTATAGTAGATGCTTTAAAGTCTGTATGAAAATTCCAACGTCTGTGTCACCTTGGCATCTGTGTCTATTAAATTGTCTTTTCTCGTGGGTAGAGTTGTTTCTGGGTCTTTAGATGCTGAGTGATTTTGGATGCATCCTGGATATTCTGAATATGCATTATGGGTCTCTGGGTCATAATTAAATCTTATTGAGAATATTGAGAATCTTTGTTAATTTGGCTGGCTCTCATCTAGTTATGTTGAAGCCATCAGTTATGCCCAGCCTGCTGAGGGTCATGGTTTCAGCACCAGTTTGGTTTTCAGTCTTTGTATTTGGATCTGTCCTGCCTGTGTGCCACTCAGTGGCCAGCCTGGGACCCAGGACCTAGTCTGTCTCTTAGCTCAGATCTCAAAGTCCTTTTTCACAATGTATAGGATCAGATCCACACATGTGCAGCTTAGAAATAAGCCTAGAAGTTTTCCAGGCTCTCCCTCCTGCAATCTCCCTGGAATTTTCTGATTCCTTAGAACTCCCCTTTCAGCTTTATTTAAACCCTGCTGTGCCATGTACTTCCTGCAACTAATCCTTCCTGGAGCCAGAAGATGGGAGGACAAAGAGAGAATAAAAGCAATGGGGGTTTATCCCACTCTCTGGGGAGCACAGCGCCCACCTCCAATCAGAGAGGAAGCTTCTCTTGTCTTGAGGTTTTAGGCTCTTGTGGGCTCTTGCCCTTGCTCTTAATGTTGCTTCCACAGTGGGATTGCCTGGGGATTGGGGCATGAAAGAACAAAGGAAAGAAAAGAGAGGGAGATTTCCCCTGCTTTCCCTGAATGTTAGGGACTCCTTCTGCAAACCAGAGCTAGAGGGCTTTTCTGTAGCACCCTCTGTCCACATTATGTTGATTGTGGGTTATGGGGCTGTGTTGAGTCTAGACTGGGGGATACCTGAGGAAAATAAAATGGTAGCCTCAGTGTTGGCTCAATAGGGTGTTGAATCCTGGCCCTCGTCCTCAGTCTGCCTCAATCTGCGGCGGGGCTGCTGCCTGCATTCTGCTCAGGGCTCACAGCTGCATTCGGTGGAAGAGATGAGGGAAAAGTGTTTTCTCTGTTTACCCTCAGAGCTTGGTCTGGATGCAGATTTGCGTGACTTCAACATCCAGTTGTTCTCTGGAACCCTTGCCTCTTGTGTGTTCCCAGTGAGCCCCTGAGCTTCTCCATAGAAGAGGTAGGGGCACCAAAAATGGAATTGTCTTAGAGTGCCAAGGGCAGCCGTCAGAACACCTGCAACATTAAAAGTCTGCAGCCACTACCCGCCAGTCATAACCCGAGACTGAAACTGCAGCTCCTGCCCCCAAAGCTCCCTGTTAGGAGAGCAGAAGCTGTTGGGTAGAGCCACGCATACTCACGCTCGCAGGAAGCAGAAGCGAGAGGAAAGTTAAGCCCCAAGGCACACACGGCATTGATCAGACCCAGTGCCAGCGATGCAGATGCCCTTAGCCTGTCCGAGACTCTCCTGGCCACTCCGCAGTGGCCTCCGGTATTATTTTCTCCCAATTACTTATTTCCTCCGCTATTAGTTTCCTGGGGCTGCCATAATTAAGTGCCACAAACTGGGTGGCTTAGACTAGCGGTCCACAACCTTTTTAGCACCAGGGACCAGTTTCATGGAACACAATTTCTCCACGAATTGTGGGCGGGGAGATGGTTTCTGGATGATTTGAGTGCATTACATTTATTGTGCACTTTATTTCTATTATGATTACATTGTAATATATAACAGAATAATCATACAACTCACCATAGCATAGAATCCATGGGAGCCCTGAGCTTGTTTTCCTGCAACTAGGTGGTCCCATCTAAGGGTGATGGGAGACAGTGACGGATCATCAGGTATTAGATTCTCATAAGGAGCATGTAACCTAGATCCCTCGCATGCACAGTTCACAATAGAGTTCACACTCCTATGAGGATCTGATGCTGCCGCGGATCTGACAGGAGGCAGAGCTCAGGCAGGAAGGCAACCAACGAGAAGTGGCTGTAAATATAGATGGAGCTTTGCTTGATCACCTGCTGCTCACCTCCTGCTGTGCTGCCTGGTTCCTAATGGGCCACAGACTGGTACCAGTCTGTGACTCAGGGGCTGGAGACCCCTGGCTTAGGCGATAGACATTGATTCTCTCCCAGTCCTGGAGGCCAGACATCCAGGATCAAGGTGTCCAGGATCAAGGGAGGGTTGGTTCTCTTGAGGCCTTGAGGGAGCTTCTGTTCCGGGCCTCTCCCCAGCTGTTGGAGGCTGCAGGCATTCCTTGGTGCTCCTTGGCTCCTGGAAGCATCATCCCCATGTCTGCCTTTATCTTCTCATAGCATTCTCCCTGTGTGCACATTTGGGTCTACATCTCCCCCTTTTTTGTGGGGAGAGTGGAGTCTCGCTCAGTTGCCAGGCTGGAGTGCAGTGGTGCGATCTCCACTCACTGCAACCTCCGCCTCCCTGGTTCAAGTGATTCTCCTGCCTCAGCTTCCCGAGTAGCTGGGACTACAGGTGCCCACCACCACACTCAGCTAATTTTTGTATCTTTAGTAGAGACAGGGTTTCACCATGTTGACCAGGATGGTCGCTATCTCTTGACCTTGTGATCCGCCTGCCTTGGCCTCCCAAAGTGCTGGGATTACAGGCATGAGCCACTTGGCCTGGCCTACATTTCCCCTTTATATTAGGACACCAGTCACGTTGGATTAGGGGCCATTTGCAATGGTCCTGTTTCCAACTCAGATCACATTCTGAGGTCCTGGGAGTTAGGTTTTCATCGTATCTTTTAGGGGGACATAATGAACCTGTAACACCTCCCTTCATGCCCTGCTCATCTGAGGGCAGAGTGGGCTTTCATGCCACACTTCGCTTTGGGCTCAGCCATGGGACTTGCTTTGGTTAAAGAATATGAACCGCTGTGATGAGCCTGCTCCCAGCAGAAACTTTAAGTGTGCACAGGTGGTTTGGCCCTACCTGTCTTGCTCCTGAGAACAGTGAGCCCCAGGTCTGGGCACTCCTTCAGCCTGAGTTTTAGGAAAAGAAAGACACGCAGATCCCAACAGAGCCCAGCGGACAAGAGCAGGGCCGCAGCCAGTCTCAGCCATGGTGTGCGTGAGGAATAAACAACCAACCGCTCGTGGTCAACTCCTGAGATATTGGGATTGTTTGTCCCTGCAGCCGAAGCTGACTATTACTCTAATTACCTGCACAACTAATGGCCAGAGGGAACTACAGATGCTAGCTGAAAGCTGACATGACAAAAGTACTTAAAAACTCCATCACACACCTCAAAAATATTCTATTATTTTAAAATACCATTACTGCTAATAAGAGCTTAACGGCATCCACTTTGCCGTAATTTGATTAGAGATCCACATGGATTTACATATGTGAGACCTGACTTAATAATGCCTGTGAATTATTCAGAGGTGATTCCGCTGCAAAAGGCAGGGACGGCACGTCCTGCAGTGTGCCTCGCTAAGGGCCGGAGATTGCCTGGGATTCCTAAAGAGTAGGAGGTTCTGGCAGGGAACTCGAAAGGCACCAGGACATACGGCAGACCAAGGCCCTTTGTCTTGCCCTGGTCCTGAGCCATGACACTGTTCTAGGAACCCTATCATTACTGCCACCTCTTTGGAACTCATTTCTCTCAGTTGCCAGGGCGGCTTTGCTCTGGGGCGATTCAGATCTGAAGAAGGTTCATCTTCTAGCTCTTTGCCTCCAGGATTGCACTGGGAAGCCAGGCCTTTGATCCCACTGCAGAGATCCATCCAGAGGGCCTTTATTTGGACAGGGGTGATGTACGGGAGGGCTATGCACTGCTGGGTCTAAGTCGTGCCTGGCACACCGCATGGACTCTCAGGAAAAGCTCGGGAAGTGAGTGAAAATGCCTCTTACGTCTGTGTGTGCTCCTAGGTTCACAAAGCACAGGAGGCAGCACTTGGAAGTTTATTAAATCCTGCCTGTGTGAGCAAGATGCCCGGATGCCCCCCTCGTCGTGGAGGTGGCCTAGAAGGTGAATGGGATCCCAGGGCCATTGAGCTGGGACACCAGGATTCGAACTCAGAGCCCTCTCACTCTGAGGTCCTTCTGACAGCCATATGTGATGAGGAGATGGTGAGATTTTTAGGATACCACAAGGCCCTCCTGCCCATAGACTCTCCCCGCTGGCCCATGTGGCCTCTGTAATTCACACAGCTCGCCTCTTGGGTTCATGCCCTGAATCCACATTCTTACTCTACCTTTGCCATCCACAGACATTTTAGGAGGGTGGATCTGATTAGATGTTCACCACCCTGACAGGTTGGGAGGAGGATGGGGAGGTCCCGTCTGGGAAAGGAGGTAGGGTCGGGAGGTGGGGGGCTTCCCTTCCAGGTTGCAGAACTCTGCTCTGTGGTTCTGTGGCAACAGGGGACAGCAGAAGCTGAAGGCTCCTCGTGGGAACGAAAGAGGAAGATGAGACTGGCTGTAGAATGGAGGAAGGGGGCTGAGGGGGCATGGGGGGTGCCAAACCCTGAGGCTGTGAAGAGCAGAACTTCTGTGCCAGGGAAGGAGACAAGCCAGGTTCAAGGTCGGCTGGAAACCCCAGAGCCGTGCTGGAGGTGTCGGGATACTCTGCTTCTAAGGAAGGTGGTTGAGGGAGCTGGACAGCCCTGAGTGGGGGCTGAGCACTGACCCCCTCCTCACGGGTCCCGGCTGCTTCTCAGCCTGGCTCTGAGGGCCCCACTGCCTCATCCCATGCCCCCACCCGGTGTCCTGACCTAAAACTGCAGGGCAGCTGTGCTTGCTTGTGAATGAAGCCAGGCTGAGTTATTTCAAGAGCTGGCAAGAGTTTCCAGCACCCTGGCATCCAGATGGTCTTGAAATCGCTGATCAAAACCATCGGATAATGCACCAGTCTTAGAGGTGGTGGTGGTGGGGGGGCTTGTTAGGTAGAAGGACCTGGCCTTTGGAGTTGCAGCTGACCAGGAATGAAGGGGTTAAGAGAAATCACACCTCCCACTGGGAGGGCCCACTGGGGTGATTTGCAAATTAGGGCCAGTTCTCTTCTGTGTCTGCCCTTGATCTCAGGGTGACTTGTAGGAAGTGTTTTCTTGGCTTTGATTCCAGAGAGGTGTCAGTCGTGGACTCCTGTGCATGGTGTCTGCGTCTCCTGGGCCCAGCCTCATGCCCTGTCCTGGGCAGCTCTCCATCCACCGGAAGGACAGACAAGGGAATCGGAATGACAGTGTATCCAGGGAGACAGGCAGGAGGAGGGGCTGACTGAGGGCCCTGCCCAGGAACCTGTTGCCTCCAAAGACTCATTACAAGGAGCAGTCATGCAAGGTCCCCACCCCGCTCCCTGGAGAAAAGCAGGTGATGGAGGTGTATAGGTCAAGCTCAGCTGCTGCAAGGAGGAAAAAGTAGTGAACTTGGCATCGCGACTTCCACAGAAGTCATTTGCCTCCTGGGTTTCAGCTCCCCAGGGAGGTTCCTTGGGGATGAAGGCTTGGTGGAGACAGATGACTGGTCCTCTTCCTAGTTGCCTCCTTGGCATGGTACACACAGGAAATGCAGAGTGAGCATTGTCGGGGTGTCGTCACGGGGCTGTAAAATGCTCTGTCTCCGAGGTTACAGGACTGATGAGATGTGAACCTTGGGGCAGGACCCTAGAGCCCAGGCTGTGGCCCTGGGAGGAAGCCCCATTGGAGGGCCGTGGAAGATGGCTTGCTCAGCTCTGCCTGGTGGGTCTGTGACCATGCTGGAAGTCTGGGGGCTGTGGTAGATTCCTGAAGCTGCTAGAACAAATTACCACGACCTGGAGGGCTTAGAACCATGGAAATTGATTCTCTTACAGTCCTGGAGGCCAGAAGCCTGAAATCAAGGTGCAGGCAGGGCTGGCTGCTGGCCTCACCCAGCTCCTGGTCTCTGCCTCTGTCCCCACGTGGCTTCCCCCATGTGTACCCCTATGTGTCTGTTTTCTCTTCCTATAAGGACACTGGTCACGTTGGGTTAGGGTCCACCTTCATTCAGTTTGACTTCGTCTTAACTGATTACATCTGTGAAGACCTCATTCCCAAATACACTCACATTATGGAGTTCCAGGTAGATGTGAATCTTTGGGGGACACTGTTTTTTTTAAAATTATACTTTAAGTTCTGTGTGCTGGTTTGTGGGGGACACTGTTAAACCCAGTTAAAGGGGGCAGGAAACATGGGTTCTGACAAGCAGCCATGGATGCAGTCTCTTGTGACTTGACTTGTTCCTGGGCTTGTGTTTGGGTACTGGAATCAGAAAGTCCATTTTGGGGCTTCTTCCCAACTCTCTCTGATGGGGGCCCATCCCTTGAGCCCACACGTGCAGGCCTCAGGGTGGCTCAGGCAGGAGGAGCCTGGGATTCTCCTCTGTGCACGGAGCTGGCACTGGCTGCCGGGCTGAGCTGTCGGCCGCATCAGAATGTGTTTGGATCATGTCACTGAAGGCTCCTCTTTGAAACGTCTCAGGGAAGATCAATGACTAATTCTCACACGAGAGAAGCCCTCGCTCAAACACCACCCTTTGAGCTTGATAGTTCTCCACTCCGGCTTTTATGATCCAGATTAGTTTTCTTGAACTGTGGAATACAAATCGATACATTTCAGAGAAGTGTGGCACTGGTGGGACCCTCGGCCAAGCAGTCTTTTAAGCAAAAGCAGTACTCACCATTTTAGACACTTGGCAAGGCATCCGTGGCAGGAGGGCCCCTGGCAAGGGATACGGACTGACGGGGGCCCGATGGCAGACTTGATGGGAGAAGAGCTGTCCTCAACTTTTAATTGAGAAAGTGTCCAGGCCTGCTGGCCTTGCAGGTGGCCATCTTTCCATTTAGCAGGAGAAGCTGGAGGCTCAGCCCTGTGTTCCTGGGAGGCTAATTTGTTTGGACAGAGTAAAGGGATCTGAATTCAAATGTAATATATTTGAGATTAAAACCTCATGATGCCCCTTTGCAAACTCCAAGGCAGTCCCTGAGCTTGCTCTGAGCATTGGAGAGGGCAGGGAGGCCAACTAGAGCTGTGGGCTTGGGGAAGTGCTTGCAAGTTTTCTGTCTGGCTCACAGCAGGTGAGCTGAACCCCAGTGCTGCGTTTTGTCTCAGGAGTGTGGAGCGAGCTGGAAAAGTAGGAGTAAGTGGCCGTGAGCCTGGCACAGCAGCCGCCCTTACTTCCTGATTTGCAGAAACACAGTTTTGAGCATCCGAGGCCTCTCTTGGAAGATGTGTACTTCGTCCTTACACACCGTTTCGAGTCTGATGTGGTGAGTTATTATTTTCTCAGAGCAGGTGACTCCCCTGGGAATGTTTTAGAAGATGACTCTGCTTCTTATACTGAGAATGACTCTGAGAACTTGGAGCCAATCTCCTGGCGGGGGTGTGGTGGGGGAAGAGGCTCCTTGGAGCTGAGTGGATGGATGGAAAGAAACCCAGCGAAGGGACCCAGCTCCAGGACCCCGCTCTGCTCTCCCAAATTAGCTGGATGGCCTTGGGCAAGCCACTCGTCCTTTTCACGGCTCAGCTCTGTCATCTGTACCAGGACACCGGCCCTCCCTTCTGAGGGTTGCACGGTCCCCATGATCAGCAGTGGGGCCAATGCAGCTACACAGTCACCAGGTACCCGGTGCGTACCCTGTGGTTTCTGCATCTCCTTTGTGACAAATGGCCCGGACGCTGGAGGAAACATCGATTCTTCTGTGATGAGACGGGGGAGATGCCAAGTTTCTGCTGCAAATGACAACTGCAGGCCGGGCCAGAGAAGAGCAGGATCACCAGAGGAAGGCGAAGGCAGCCACGGCTGGGGCTGTGGTTTGTTTAAAATGTCCAGGGAAATGGATCCTGGCATCTCACTTTGCAGACATTTATTTTCAGAAGGCCATCTCTGTGCCGGGCTTGGGGCATCAGCAATGGACATGATGGATGTGCAGTGGGACCTCTTGGGGGTTGACAACAGGCAGAGGTAAGGGGCCTCTACTATGTGACCAGTATAGCGACCTCCTCCAGGCCTTGGAGCTGCTGAAGAATCAGATGTGCACTTCCCGAAGGGCCCGGGAGGAAGCTGCCCTCTGAGACAAAGGAGGAGGGTGGCGCATGTGTGTGCCTGGAGCAGCCCTGGCCGGCAGCTCCCTATGAGCCGAGAAGCTTCCAGGCTGGAGTAGAGTGTGATGTTCCTTCAGATTCTCTGTTTGGGAATAGGGAAGCCAGAGGCTTCCGGGGTACCCTCTCAGCCATGGGCACGATACTGGCTGCTGTGTGGGTTGGAGCAGCAGCTCCAGCAGCTGCCAGAGCCCCGGGCCAGCTGGGGAGGCGGGAGAAGGAGGGCAGCCTCCATTGAGATCCCTTGCCCCCACCCTTGAAGCAGGCGCTGAGGCATCTCTGTCCAGCTAGTTCCCAAGACATCACCTGTTATGGACTTAGCTGGGTCCAGAAGGGCTGACACCTGCTCATGAGAGCAGGTCCTTAAGGTTCTGGCTGGGTGGCTGCTGCCTGGGGTGTGAAGAACCTTGCAAAGATGACTCTGGAGGAAGACGCAGAGACCACTGTCTGCCTGTCCTAGTTTGCCTCCATGTAGTGACCATGACCACAGCGGCAGGTGCAGACTTTGTGTGAGCCTGAGGTGCACACTCCATGGGCAGGGAATGGTGGGGTGGCAAGGATGGGCCACACGACCCTCTCCAAACCTCCCTAAAATGGAAGGACTCTGCCTCCTGCCAGGAGATGACAGAATTCCTAGTTTGGAGCATGCTCCCTAGCCTGGACCTCCATGCAGGCAGGCTGGGCTGTTGTGCTCAGTGATTTCATACCTGGGATTCTGAATCCCATTATAAAGGGAGCTCGGGTGCATGAATCACCCTTAGTGAGGGCCACCAGGATCATGACCCATTCTCCGTGATACTTTGGCCATCAGGAAATACCTTTCTTTGTGGCGAGTGTCTGACATTTTGGTGCTGTTTGTTCCAGCAGCTAGTGAGTGTTTCTCTGACTAATACATCTCCCCATACCCTGCCTTTCGGAGATGGCAAGAGGGAGTCAAGGAAGATGAAGTGTCCAGTCTCCACAGCCCTGAAAGACCAGGAACAAGACCTGGTCTCATGATCTTCACTGGTCTGGAGGGAACTTGGGGTCGGCTTTGGCTCATCCATATTTTAAACAAGTTGTAGCTTCCCTGAGCCTCAGTTTCCTCAATTAATGGAAGGATATATATCTATCTTATTCACTCTGAGTTTTGTCTAAAAGAAGTTAATAGAAAAATGCAAAGAGGAAAGTAAGAAGGGCCCCCAAGTTGTCCTTGGAAAATAGCAGGTTAGGGATAGAGGGCTGGCAGTGCCACAGTCAGAATCCTCCTCCCACTGGAGCTCCGGGTACACGTGAGAGATGCCCCAAACTGCCAAGCCCCAGGGGGGCAGCTCAGGCCAAGGCATCTTTAATCTATGAGTCACTGTTCTGTCAGTCACAAGTAACTATGATTATTCCAGACCAGTTAAACACCACTTGTACTTTAATGTAGCCATTGAGTCCAACACTCTTAATTATTCTTCAAAAATTTAAAAGGCGCGGGCCAGACGCGGTGGCTCATGCATGTAATCCCAGCACTTTGGGAGGCCAAGGCAGGCAGATGACGAGGTCGAGAGATCGAAATCATCTGGTCAACATAGTGAAACCCCGTCTCTACTAAAAATACAAAAATTAGCCGGGCATGGAGGCGGGCGCCTGTAGTCCTAGCTACTTGGGAGGCTGAGGCAGAAGAATCGCTTGAACCTGGGAGGTGGAGGTTGCAGTGAGCTGAGATTGTGCCACTGTACTCCAGCCTGGTGACAGAGGGAGACTCCGTCTCAAAAAAAAAAAAAAAAAAGGCACACTGATGATTTCTGATTTCTGATTGGTCTATATGAAATCTCAAGGAGCTGCTCAGGTTTTGAGAGGCCGATGGCCACACTGGGTCATCCGGGGAGCCCCTGGGATATCCTGAAGAATAATGGTGTCAGAGTGGGGTGGGCTCCTTCTCCCAGCTCGGTGCAGAAGGAAACCCAGGGAGCGCCCACTGAGCTCTTTTTTTTTTCCTTTTCTTTTCTTTTTTCTTTTTTGTTTTGAGACAGGGTCTCTCTCTGTCGCCCAGGCTGGAGTGCAGTGGTGCGATCTTGACTCACTGCAACCTCCGCGTCTCCCAGGTTCAAGTGATTCTCATGCCTTAGCCTCCCGAGCAGCTGGGATTACAGGTGCCCGCTATGACATGAGGCTAATTTTTGTATTTTTAGTAGTGACAGGGTTTCACCATGTTGGCCAGGCTGGGCTCGAACTCCTGACCTCAACTGATCCACCCACCTCGGCCTCCCAAAGTGCTGAGATGACAGGCATGAGCCACTGCGCCTGGCCCCATTGAGCTCTTGAAGGCTGTGACTTGAGGTTCCGGGACTGTCTATTCAGAGGAAGACTTGTGGGAGAGGAAGGCCTCCATTTTCTTGTTCATTTGTTTACTCATGTGGCATCCACCAGGGTCTTGGCCCTAGACTGGGCCCCATGAAGACCCCAGGCTGTCCCCTCTCTTGTGGTGATGTCAGGCTGGTCGGAGCAGAGGCAGCACCTTTGGTGTGGGGTGAGTCACAACGCCTTGCCCTGTGCCTCCTGCTGTCATTCATGTCTTAGGACAAGCCAAAGGCTCAGGTGGCTGCAGGTGTTCTGGGGACAAAGAGCACTGTAGTCTGGAAAGCTTGGGAGCTTTGCTAGGGGCAGGAGCCTGAGCTGGGCTTTTGGAATGGTTAGAAGCTTACATGGAGGTGGGGAAGGGTTTCTACCCAGCTGCACCGTGAGGAAGGTGAAGCAGGTGTGGTGTTCTGGAAGGAGGGTGTGGGAACACATGAGCCAGCATGGACAGGGGTGTGCGGGGGAGGTCAGCTGGGTGACACTGTGGATGGCCTGAACTCCAGGCTCAGGAATTTGGACCCCTACGTTCTAGTCTCAGAAACCCTTTGTACTTTTAAAAGTTACTGAGGTTCCCACAGAGCTTTGGTGGGTGTGGATTATCTCTATTGATAATTTCTTCTTTACTGACAAAAACTGAGAAACTTACAACTCATGTACTTATTAATTCATTAAAAATAACAATGATAGGCTGGGCGCAGTGGCTCATGCCTGTAATCCCAGCACTTTGGGAGGCCAAGGTGGGCAGATCATGAGGTCAGGAGTTCAAGACCAGCCAGGCCAACATGGTAAAAACCCATCTCTACTAAAAATACAAAAATTAGCTGGGCGTGGTGGCACATGCCTGTAATCCCAGCTACTCGGGAGGCTGAGGCAGGAGAATTGCTTGAAACCGGGAGGTGGAGGTTGCAGTGAGCCAAGATCGCGCCACTGCACTCCAGCCTGGCGACAGAGCGAGACTCTGTCTCAAAAACAAAACAAAACAAAACAAAAAGATGATAATAATAAGCTAATTACAGGTTTACATAAATAACAGATTTCAATAAAAATAATTATAGACCACCCCCCCCCCCCACCACCACCAAATAGTGAGAAGTGAGGCTTTGTTTTACCTTTCAGCAAATCTCTGTAATGTTTGGTTGGAGAGAAGGCAGCTGGATTTGCAAAACTCCTTCTGTATTCAATCTGTTGCAGTATGTTGTTTTGTTTAAAATACATGAAGAAAATATGGCCTCACACAGGTATGTAGTTGGGGAACAGAGGGGTATTTTAAAAGCTTTGTTAGATAATTGCAGATACTGTTCTTTATGCTAAACTGGAAGTCAATAAGCAGGAGTTTTCTAAAGGTTAGTTGCAGTGGGAAATTGGAAAGCCCTGTCAGTAATTTTTCCTTTTTCATTCAAAGAATAGATTTTTAACCCACGTGTAATTTTGAAACATCACACCACGGTCATCTGGAAAATACCGTTCCACTGCGTTTTGCAGATCTTCCAAATGCTAACACATTTCTTCATTCAATATCAAGCATCACATTCAATAATATCAGCACGTTCTTCATCGCAAAAGCCTTTAAGTGCTGGGAAGCTGTCGAGCTCCCGGCGGTGGATACGAGTCTTCCAAAATTCTAATTTCTCCTTGAAAGTCAGAACTCTATTATTGGCAACAAATATTGTCAGTTGTTTTCCTTGAAGTGACAGGCTCACTTTATATATTTTGAGAAAATGTCTGCCAAATACCCATGTCTGAATAACCATAGTTTGTCTCTTAGTTATTCTCTCAAGGAAAAACGGTATTTCATAAAAAGCAGCCAGTTCAGCTCACAGTTGTTTCACAGGGCTCAAGGGTTTTCTCCGAGACAAACATTCTACTTTGGTTTGCACCAGGAGTGTTTTATACATAGTTCCCATTTAATCACACAGAAGATTAAAAAGATTTACATTAAAAAGATGTAAACTCAGGGTTGAGATTTAATAAAAATAATAATTTTTAGTGCTCCCTTGAGGCCAGTGCTGTTGTGGGCTAAGCCTGCCTCACACACGGCATGGCACGTTTATTGCTCACAGTACACACACATGACAGGCTGGCAGGGTCTCTGCTCCACAGGCCACTCAGGGATCCAGGCCGGTGGCAGCTCTTCCAGCTATGGCTTCACTACCTGGGACTAGTGGGCTTCTTGGCTGTTGATATGGTTTGGATATCTGTCCCTGTCCAGATCTCATGTGGAAATGTCATCCTGAGAACTGAAGGTGGCGCCTGGTGGGGGGTGACTGGACCATGGGGGTGGGGCTTTCTCGTGAAGGGTTTAGCACCATCCTCTTGGTGCTGTCCTCATGATAGTGAGTGAGTTCCCGTGACATCTGGTCATTGGAAAGTGTGTGGCGCCTCCCCCAACTCTCTCTCTCTCTTGTTCCTGCTTTCACCACGTGACATGCCTGCTCCCCCTTTGCCTTCCACTGTGACTGGAAGCTTCCAGAGGCCTCCCCAGAAGCTGATGCCGGGGCTATGCTTCCCATACAGCTTGCCGAACCATGACCCAATTAAACCTCCTTTCTTATAAATTACCCAGTCGAAGACATTTCTCTATAGCAATGCAAGAACAGCCTAATGCAGTTGTTCCCTGGGGAAGACAGTGCTGAAGGGCTTTGCATACAGGAGTGAGACATCCCTGCCAGAAGCGGTACGCTTCACGCCAGCTCACAGCCCGTTGGCCAGAACGCGCCACTTGGTCCACCTAATTGTGAGGGCGGCCGGGGCTCCTGGAGGGAGAAGTGCTGGGTGTGAGAGAGCACACTCGTCTCCCCACCCATCCCCCTGAGTTGCTGGCCTCCCGTCCACCAACCTCCTAGTCCTCTCCTCGGGGAAGCCTGCTGCGCGCCATCCCTCCCCATGCTGGCTCGTCTCTCTCTGAGTCATGCTGACTCTAACCGGCCTTTCACCGTTTGTCTCTACTGTTCATCTTTGGGTGGAGTGCGGCTCACTGTGAAGCTTCTCTGCACTCGCTGGATGAACGAAGGAATGAACAGGGAGATTTAGGTTCTTGGTAGCTGGAACCTCCTGTTTCTAGATCCTGCCTTGTTTCTCCCATGCAGCCCTTCAGTGTGGGTTTTCGTAGTGGCCTGGACGTCTTCTCTAGGGAGGGCCCACCGATTGCCGTGGCTCGAGGCCCCCGGAGACCAAAGACCGGGCGTGGAGCAAGAAAAACAGACGATGGAAACCTGCACCTCGTCCCCAGCCCTGCCACTGACAGCGTGTGGCTGTGGAGGCCTCTGTTTGCCCTCTCTGTGAGGGAGGAGCCCGCTGGAAGGCCTCCTGAGCCCGTCTGGTCCCTGCCATGCCATGGGTCTGCCTGGTGAGCCTGCAACGGGGATTTAGTTTTCTGTGTCGGGGGTGAGTTTCCATCAAAATAGCCACATTCTCTCACCAAGACTCCCTCATGGCCCTCGGCTCTGGGAGCCACCTTTGTCTGCGCACTGCCTCCCTCTCTCTTTGTCTCTGTTTCTCTCTCTCTCTCTCTCTGTCTGGCTCTGTCTCTTTCTTGCCCTGTCTCTGCTTCTGTCTGACTCTTTCTCTGCCTCCCTGTCTGTCTGTGTGTCTCCCTCTCTGTGGGTCTCTCTCTGACTCTCCGTCTCTGTCTCTCTTTGTCTATCCCTGTGTCTCTCTTTCTGTCTCTGTGTGTGTATAGACTTATTTGTCTATTTATGATGACATTCCATGGATGCTCCTTCCCCCAGACGGTGCGAGGCGTGAGGCACCTGGGCTGCAAGGCCTGTATTAGAACAAGGTCTCTGTGCTGCTCAGGTGAAAACCTCTGGAAGAGCGGATGCTTCTGGGAAGGCCCCGTAAGAAGCCGAGGAGTGCGCGGGTTCTCCACGGCTGCCACGGAGACTCCCGTGGAAGTGTCTGTGTGATGCCGTAAAGCCGGAGCCTGTCCCTTCCCTCCTGTGCCCCTGAGGGCAGTGCCCCAGGGATCATGCTTACAGGCTCCCCGCTGGGCATCCTCCCTGCCAGGCCACGCCCGACCATTCCCACACCAAGGCCAGAAGCCCCTTGCTCTGCACCCTCCTGGGGAACCCACCCAAAGTGCCTGCTGCACGCTGTCCTTTGGGGTCGCTAGCGTGCCCTTGCCCCGCGCCAGAGGCCTGGGTCTCGTGAGAGGGTGGCGGGGCCAGTCGGGACTGGTGTGGGTCTCTGTGAGCTGCAGGAGCCCCTCCTTTTGTGTCATTTTCTGCTCCTGCCCAGAGGCTGTGATGGGGTTTCTTTGTTGCTCAGCTCAGAGTTGGGGGCTTGGGGGGCTTGAGGGCCTAGGGGATTGAGCCCCGCACCTGGAGAGCGGCACATCCTTCTGGTGTCCTGAAGACGGTTCCTGTGGGGCTTCCACAGGAGACACGCTGTGTTCTGCTGAGGATGGGTGTCCGCCACCAAGCTGTCTCCCTCGAGCTCTGTTTTTTGTTTTTTCTTTTTGTTTTTTATTTTTTGAGATGGACTCTCACTCTGTTGCCCAGGCTACAGTGCAATGGCGTGATCTTGGCTCACTGCAACCTCTGCCTCCTGGATTCAAGTGATTCTCCTGCCTCAGCCTCCTTAGTGGTTGGATTACAGGCGTGTGCCACCACGCCCAGCTAATTTTTGTATTTTTAGTAGAGACGGGGTTTCACTATGTTGGCCTCCAGCTCTTGGGCCTGCTCCAGCCCAGCTGAGCACCGGCAGCCACTCCTTCCGCAGTGCTTTCTCCTTAAGCCAGGTTCCCTGTGTTGGAGGCAGGTCCAATTTGGGTGGGGAAAGGCATTGGTTGGCTCAGGGGAGCCATGGCCAGGAAATTCAGACCCTGGGTCATGGAGACCCTTGGCCTGTGAGACCCCCTTCAGAGCTAAACCCTCAACTTAGAAACATCTCACAAAAACCAGCAGTGGGAGTCTCAGTCCCTCATGGCATTGGGGTCACCAGCAGGAGATGCAGACCGGGAGCCTGGTGATCCCTCTGCCCCACATGGTGTTGGTGTTGTCAGCAGGAGATACAACTGGGAGCCTGTTGATTCCTCTGCCCCACGTGGCGTTGGGGTCCCAGCAGGAGATGTGGGCCGGGAGCCTGTTGATCCCTCTGCCCCACGTGGCGTTGGGGTCCCAGCAGGAGATGTGGGCCAGGAGCCTGGTGATCCCTCTGCCCCTCGTGGTGTTGGTGTCACCAGCAGGAGATGCGGACCAGGAGCCTGGTGATCCCTCTGCCAGCCCAGGCGCAGGTGCACAGCGAGTTCTCCTGAGTTCTCAGGGACTGTCGCTGCAGCTGCTGCAATATCACAGGGATGAGTTCCTCAGAGAACGTCATCACCCGTGAAGCCTGTTACAGATGTGGGACACATGTATCATCATGAACAGAAGGCTGGGGCAGAGAGTGGTGAACCACGGAGGAACAAGGCTGCCGT
Organism: Homo sapiens; assembly: GCF_000001405.40. Lineage (NCBI taxonomy): Eukaryota > Metazoa > Chordata > Mammalia > Primates > Hominidae > Homo > Homo sapiens. The sequence goes on from NC_000001.11 coordinate 4,130,199, forward strand.
CTCCTGTTCTTCCAAATTATTCCCTTCTTGGATGCCAGCCACCCTCAGGTGCTGGCCTTACAGCTGTGAATGAGCCAGGCCTGGCCCCTGCCTGCACAGAGCTCTCCATCAGACAGGGTGACAGCCTGACACGGGTCATGACCTGGTGATGGATGCCAGGAGAGGGGAGACTGGAGGGCTGGGGTGGAGGCATCTCCTGGGAGGCACCAATACCAAGAGCTGCAGGGAGGCCTAGAGCCAAAGCCCATCTCCTTCCTCCCGTCCCTTGATCTGGGTTTCTAGGCTGCTAGGAGACATGGCATGGGAGAGAGTTTCCGAAGGTGTGGAGTCCCCTGTGCTGGGGCATGTGTCTCCACTGCAGATGTGGACTCTCTAAGGAAGCCACAGGAAGGAGAGACTGGGTTTCTCAAACTTGAGCTTGCAGAATATTCATTTGGGAACCTTGAATGGCAGGGTCCTAGGACTCAGCCCCAGCGACCCTGGTTCTGAAGGGCCAGGTTGGGTCCATGGAAGTTTGACTTTTGGCAGGTATTCCAGGTGGCCTGGATGCAGGTGAGGTCATTTGAGGACAAGGCTGGTCTGGAGCAATGGTGCTTCCTACCACCTTACTGGCTGCAGGTGTCGTGGGTGAAAACCTGACCATCCATGTCCACTGGAGGGACTCTGCTAGCTTCTGGCATCCTCTGTTTTCATGTGGCCTGTTTTGCAGTAGGGGAGCTGAGACTTGCAGAACCATTATGTGGCTTTTGTCTACACTGTGGCCTCTTTTTGAGGTTTTGGGTTAAAACATTTTTTGTGTGCAGAGCTGGTGCCAGGCAGAACTGGGATGGAGATGCTGCCTCAAATGTGGTCTGTTTATTTATCTCAAGTTTCTACCATCCTGCCAAAGGGTGCCCCTCAAAACAGGTGCACACACACAGCCGCTGGATTCTCCAGGGTCCTCTGAAGTCCAGCTCTCCAGTGACTTGTTGCTCTTCTTTTTCTCTGTTACGTACATGAGGAGCACATTGTAACTGTGCAATAAATGTCTGTTGGTGATGGAGAAAGAACCCAGAAGCTTCACGCCTGCCCGTTGCCACGCGAGGTGTGGTGTAAGCAAGGCCGGCGTTGGTGGCTAAGCCAGAAGCTCAGTTCCCATCAAGAATGGGTGTGTGTTGGGTCCTCATTCTTGACTTCTGCTTAATCTCAGCATTGCCCACATTTATCACAGTTGTTCTTTTAGTTCAGTTCCAAGCAGCGTCAAGCTGAGTATAAGGTTTTTCTGGCACCCGAGGAGGAGAGGCTCAGACCAGCAACGAGTTTCAAGGAATGATCTTCAAGCTCTGAGTTCATTTCCAAAAAGATGGATTTGTTTTTGTTCCTGAGCCTCAGAGATGATCTGTTGCTGCTGGCACCCCCATTTATTGTACCTGTTTCGGAAATATACTGTGGCTTATCAGAGGCTAAACCAGGTGCTGGAAAACCTATGTGTGAGGTGTCCTCGGATCGCCCAGCCTGGGGAAGGCCCCCTGTCCCCCAGAGCTGAGCACTGGGCCTCACCAATTCCTCCAGGTAGTTATTACCTATCAGCTCTCCCTACCGCAGAGCCCATAGTGGGCCTTGTTCCCTGATGCCCAGGGCCTAGATGGATGTGAAATGTTATCAGCAAAGATGAGCGTTTCAGTGAAATAGCCGAATGTTCTTGAGGATTGCACAACCAAGGAGATATTTTTTCCAGATATGTTTGGGGAGAAAGGTGAGGATGAAGAAGAGTGAGAGAAGATGTCTGACTTCATTTACTGTTTTAGAAGCTACATGACAGTAAAAGATGGATCCTGCCCAGGTGCTTGGGACCAGGTGGGAACTGCATTTTTATGCAGTGGGGAGAGTCATGGGATAAGGAAACGTTTTCTCTTTTCTCCGTGTCAGCAATGTAACCCTTTCCCCACCTTCTCCATCCTTAACGTCTCATCCGCTCAAAAGACTTAACTTTCATTGAGTTTTTGTAAATCTTTAAAAAGTGTTCTCCTCCCTCACTCCCCATGTTAAGTTTATCTTCTGGCCGGGATACGGGGAGGATTCATGTTTTCTCAGGGCTGAAATGGAATGATCCTTCAGATCTCAGGAAAGGAGAGAAGCTGAGGTGCCTGTCAGTTTTCGGGGTGTCTCTAGAACGAGGCTTCCTCTTGGTTTGAGAAGGGCTGACTTCCAAGCCAGGGACTCCTTAGCCTCCCCTCCCCTCCCCTCCCCGCCCTCTCCTCTCTTTCCAGGAAAACAGTCGTTTGTAAAGCCCGGTCTCCCGCTGCTGCCCCCACCCCGACCTGCCCTGCCTTTGAGATGTCCCGTGGTCTAACAATGGGATCTTCTGAAAAGCCGTGTCCATAATTGAGCCTGAGCGCAAGGGACGATCCGGTCCACGGAGCTCGCCGTGAGATTCTCCCCGCTCTCTGAGCCCGCTCAGGGGGGTCCACGGCTTCCAGGCACCATTTTCCTCTTTTGTTGTCAGGGTTCGGCTAATGAGCAGCCTCCTTAGCCCATCTCTGCCCAGATGTGGCCTTCAGGGCTCCCCGAGATGGGGCCGGGCCTCATGAGTCACTCACAGCGACCCGGGGCGCCGAGTCCGTTCCTGCGGCCGAGCAAGGCCTCGGAGCTGCTGAAGGGGCATTCATCCTCGTTTTATGTGGGGAAAGCAGCGAGGAGAAAAGGCACGCTTGCAATTTAATGTAACTAAATGTCATTCCGCACCCCCTGTATCGCCGCTCAATCGAAAGCAACGGGGACTGGGGCTGAGGGGTAAAGATGGCGGCTGCCTAACCTGATTCATAACCCTCAGCGCCTGTTTATCATAAAATCATTTACGGCTCCATAAAACGTGTTCATTTGGGCGGCGGTGATGTATGTCTTTGATTTAGGAGCTGACACTTCTGCCCAGTGGCTGCCCAGCATGGGCTCTGCGGCCCCGAGAAGGGACGGGGAGAATGATCACACGGGGGCAGCGGGGCGGCGGGCTTGTTGATGGTGACATGTTTGGGCTGGCTGGTCTCTCCTCGGGGAAGCCTCCGGCCGGGAGGGAGGGAAGAGGAGGCCTGGGGCAGGCCTGGGGCAGGCCTGGGGCACGGTGGAGCCGTGTGGGGGGTGAATTAGAGGGAACCCTATCTGAAGGCTGGGGGCTCTCCCAGAATTCTGCCGTTTATTTAATAAATTCTTAGCGTGATTTCCCTCAGAGGAACTTGGCCGCTTCATGCGGGTCTGTTACCCTGGGCGCATTATTTATTGAGCACCTGCTGTGTCCAGGATTGTGTGATGTGCTGGGGTAGGAAGTCGTGTGCAAGGCAGATGAGGGTCCCGCCTGCAGAGTCCTCCCCCAGCCGTGGGCTCCGGCCTTAGGATTCCTGGACGTGTCAAGGGCAGATTCGAGGAGAAGGGCACAGCAGGCGTCTGCAGCCCCCATCCCACCCTCTTGCCAATGCCCTTGGGTAATCAGCCTCCTCACTCTTAAGCGGGGGAGGCACCTGGCCGACCGCCACAGGACAGGGTTATGCATGGACGAGTCTCCAGGAAGAATGGACGTGGAAGTAGAAGTTTGGGCATCCGGGGGTGGGCGGTGGTGCCGGAGCATCACAGCAGGGCCTTCCATCTCCCACCGGCAGGAACACACTCTCCAAAAATGAGCTCTGCTCCCCATCTCCAGAGCATCCTCCCGGCCCACTCCTTCCCTGGCTCTCCTTCCTGATCACGGGCTTGTTTTTATGAATTTGAAAGGTAAAAAGCCAACGCTCCATGGAACTTCATGTTTTCTCCACCCCCATAGTTTATTAAAAAAACGAAACACCCAGTAAATCATTTTTATGAGCAATTAAGTACCCTCTAGTGCATACATGGTGGGCTCAGCTGACAAATGGATTGACGACCCAGGCTAGGGGCTGAGCTGGTCTCCCCCGGTTCTGCCCCCACCCCCACCTGATCCCTTACTGCTCCCCTTGGCGGCCGAGGTAAGTGTTTCCATTCGTCAGTCTCAGGAGGAACGATGGTTTATGTTCTGGGCATGAGCGCTTTTATTTGCCATTATTTTCTCCTCTCCATGAGAACTGTTGGTTCATAACTTCTGTTATTGCAGAATATTATTTACAGATCTCAACCTAAGGGAAGCCAGCTGGGGGAATATTTGTTTGCACGGCTCCCCTTCCCCCAGACTCCCTCCCAAATCTCTAAATAAACTTTTCTATTGATTCTGGAGGGAAACATTCATCAGGCGTTGTCATGAGAGCAAGATGGAGAAGCTGATTTCATTCCTGTTTTTGGAACATTTACTCTTCATTTCGTTGCCCTGAGGATGAAGCACTCTCATAGATGGCCCCAAACACTTCCAGGCAAGACCCACTTGAGAGGACCAAGGAGCTTTCTCTCCAGACAGGTGACTCTAGAGCCTAATTCTTTGCCACCCCAGTGGGTTTCCAGATTTGTCCAGAGATTGTGACATTATCCAAATGATGTTTATTTGATGGACTCATTTGCAAAGTGCTGTCTGTCAAGGTAATGCAGAGATCATCCTTTTAAACCCAATATCAAAGCCAGTGTTCTGACAACATTTTCCCTGATGTTTAAATGCATTTATACAAAGAGTCTTACAAGGGCCCAAATTTAAGTCATCCATGTGATAAATCACCTTTGCTTAAAAGAATAGAGATGGGCGATTGGGACTTATCCCTGAAAAACCGAGATCTGTGGCCGAGGTAGTCCTATAACACTCTGGTTGTATGAAATCAGTCACCAACAGGGAATTGTAGCTCCAAAGCCTGCTGATAAATGTTTCCTTTTTAATCTAAAATACTCCTTTGTAGCAACCACAGTTAGTAACTGGAACCACCAATTGTGTCCTCAATGTGGAAAAGAGGGACTGGCATGGCGTGGAAGCTCCCAATTCATGAGCTCCGACCCCGGAGTTTGTCTGTCCCTCCTCTGCCTTCTCATCTTCACCAAGATGGGATGCTGTGGGTAGGTGGCCACAATGGACATCGTCCAGTTGGTCCTAACCAGTCAGTTCCTGTCTTGAATTCTGTTTTGGGAAGTGAGATGAGGACATAGAAGGGGTCACATCATGTTGTGGCCAACTGAACTACTGCTGAGGATTGCAGTGTGTCCTGGTCCACACCAAGAGATGCTCACGGAGAGTCTTCTCTGAGTCTCAGCATCCCCCAGGCATCAAGCATGGCCTCTGCCTTGCAATCCCCAAGGATGCACTGGTCATTCCTTAAATGCTCATTGAAAGGATGGAAAATGAATAAATGACTTCTTCATCTCCAAAGTATCAAGGTGGCTGCTCCCTTCCCACGTTTCCTTCCTAAAGACAGAGGTGGACAAAGACTCAGTGTCCTCTGTGGGGGCTTTTATGGGGGTCCATGGACATTTATTTGCAACCAATACTTACAAACATCAAAGTGGGTGGGTGCTGTAGTTTCAGGGTGTCCCTCAAAGTTCATGTGTTTGAAACTTGATCCCCAGTGCAACAGCATTGAGAGGTGGGACCTTTAAGAGATGATTAGGCTATGAGGGCTCTAGCTTCATGAATGTATGAATACCCTTATCTTCAGAGTGGGTTAGTGATCATGGGAGTGGGTTAGATATCATGGGAGTGGGTTAGATATCATGGGAGTAGGTTAGTTATCATGAGAGTGGGTTAGTGATCATGGGAGGGGGTTAATTATCATGAGAGTGGGATAGTTATCATGAGAGTGGGTTAGTTATCATGGGAGTGGGTTAGATATCATGAGAGTGGGTTAATTATCATGACAGTGGGTTGGTTATCATGGGAGTGGGTTAGATATCATGAGAGTGGGTTAATTATCATGACAGTGGGTTGGTTATCATGGGAGTGGGTTAGTCATCATGGGAGTGAGTTAGATATCATGGGAGTGGGTTAGTTATCATGAGAGTGGGTTAGTGATCATGGGAGGGGGTTAATTATCATGAGAGTGGGTTAGATATCATGGGAGTGGGTTAGTGATCATGGGAGTGGGTTAGTTATCATGAGAGTGGGTTAGATATCATGAGTGGGTTAGTCATCATGGAAGTGGGTTAGTCATCATGGGAGTGGGTTAGTCATCATGGGAGTAGGTTAGTTATCATGAGAGTGGGTTATTCAACATGGGAGTGGGTTAGATATCATGAGAGTGGGTTAGTAATCATGGGAGTGGGTAAGTGATCATGGGAGTGGTTTAGTTATCATGAGAGCGGGTTAGATATCATGAGAGTGGATTAGATATCATGGGAGTGGGTTAGTTATCATGGGAGTGGGTTAATCAACATGGGAGTGGGTTAGTCAACATGGGAGTGGGTTAGTCAACATGGGAGTGGGTTAGATATCATGAGAGTGGGTTAATTATCATGACAGTGGGTTGGTTATCATGGGAGTGGGTTAGTTATCATGGGAGTGGGTTAGATATCATGAGAGTGGGTTAATTATCATGACAGTGGGTTGGTTATCATGGGAGTGGGTTAGTTATCATGGAAGTGGGTTAGATAACATGGGAGTGGGTTAGTCATCATGGGAGTGGGTTAGTTGTCATGGGAGCGGGTTAGATATCATGAGAGTGGGTTAGTTATCATGGGAGTGGGTTAGTGATCATGGGAGTGGATTAATGATCATGGGAGTGGGTTAGTTGTCATGGGAGTGGGTTGGTTATCATGAGAGTGGGTTAGTTATCATGAGAGTGAGTTAGTGATCACGAGAGTGGGTTAGTTATTGTGAGAGTGGGTTAGTGATCATGGGAGTGGGTTAGTTATCATGTTATCATGGTGATGAACTCCTAATGAAAGGATGACTTTGATCTCCTTCCATCCTCTCCCTCTCTTGCCCTCCTACCTTTCTACATGGGACGACACCTTAAGAAGGCCCTCATCAGATGGGGGCACCTTGGCCTTGGACTTCCTAGCCTCAAGAGTTGTAAGAAATAAATCTCTGTTCTTTATAAATTACCCAGTCTCAGGTATTCTGTATGGTAGTACAGCATGGACTAAGCCATGGGAGATAACTTATTCCAGTTTAAGAGTTCCCTGGAGCATGCACTGTGCAGTGGGTATGTGGCCGTCATGGAGCATGAGATGTTTGTTCACTGTAAGCAGCATGTTTTGGTTAGGGAGCTGCTGTGTGCTGTCTCCTCGGCTTGGGGCTAATTGTAGTCTGAATTTGAGGCTTTCTTTCTGCCTGCTCACCTTGAACTTTTACTGCACTGCCTGGTTTTTGGGTCCCAGGAAGCAGTCTAAATAATTTGTATATACGCTGCCTTCGGCAGCACAACAACCTAAATAATTTGGACTCCAGGAAGTCCCTAACAATTCTTCTTGGTGTTATTGCTATTGTTATAAGCAGAGCCTGGCTACTGAGTGAACAATGGCCTAAACCAAGCCCTAGCTTGAGTCTCAAAGTTCAGGGCACGTGTCCAGCAAAGCAGGCTGCAGCTGAGGGTTGCTGGGATGCCCCTGAGGGTTTGGTGATAGCTGAGGAGAGGTCGTGGAGCAGACAGCGTTCTATCTTGCAGAAGCCCAAAGAACCAGATGGGCCCCAGCTCCCAGAGACCTCTCCCTCTCCTCTGCCTGACTTCCTTGCCTCCTTGCCTGGGCCTGAGCTTCCTTCACCAGCCCCTCCCTTACGTGGGGTCTGCTCCCACTTCCTCCAGAAGCCCTCCCTGCATCTGCCAGGTCTGGGGAGGGGGTCTGCCCTCTGACCTCTCCCGTATTACTGCTGACCCCAGCTCCTCTGCCCAGGCCCTGTGATCTGCCATAACCTGCCTCCTCCTGTTCCTCTCATTACCTGCCTGCCGGCCCTTCCACACCCCTTCCCTTCCCCACTGTTCCTGCTGGCTGCACACTCAGCTACCCCCTTCCACCAGCACTTTCTGGAGCTCCTGGGCCCTGCCGGACCTCTGACTCAGCCTCTGGGGCTGGCCCAGGACTGTCTCCCTTGACCCAGCTCATTCCCCACTGCTGTTTCCTGAGTCCCAGGGCGCTGTTTCTGGTTCTGACCTCCAAGCCACACCGCCACCTTTGTGCTGAACTAGAAACAGTGAAGATTCCCAGAATCTCGGACAGCTCCGCCCCCCTTGCCCTAAAGAACTGAAAGTGGAGGAGTGGGACCGCCTTGTTTTCCACTCTGAGCCTTCCCCCTCATCACTGAGCTCTCAGAATTTTCTGGACTCCGAGAGTCCCTCAAGGACTGACTCTGGACAGCGATGTCGGGGTGTGGGAGTTCTGCCTGCAAGAAGCTCTGCAGAGAGATAATGAACCAAACTGTGGTTTGAATAATAAAATAACACTTAGCGAGAGTAAACCAACTGCCACCGAAATGCCAGTGAATACGTACACACGCAAGTTTAGTACAAATGCTGAAAAATACCCTCTTCTCCCCATTCGAGATGGCATGTGCCCTGAATGAAACACTGAACCCAGTCCCTCTTTTCAGCCCCTTGACACCCTGCTGGAGCCCCTGGGGAAGGAAAGCGTTTTCTTCCCAATTTCCTACCCTGGGAAGGGGTGGTTTCCAGAGCTGGGTCTTTAGGTAAGAGGTGGTTTCCTGGGCTGGGTCTCTAGGGAAGGGGTGGTTTCCTGGGCTGGTGCTGCATGCGGGTCGTGGGTCAGAGCTGTCTTTCCATGTATGGTTTGCCCACTGTCTGTATATTCAGCCTCTGGTTTCTGAATCCCTGAGCCTGAGTTTTACCCACTAGTGGAAAGGGCAGAGGATGTGAGTGCTCTTCAGACCCCAACACCTGCATATCTGACTCCCTAGGCTGTCCCTGACTGAGAGCCCAGCCTGAGACTTCCACACTCAGATGTGCGCGCTGTGCACAGAGTGGACGCCTCGACCTGAACCTCTCTCCTGCAAAGCCTGGCAAACCACATACTATGGTGCCCCAAGAATGCAGCAGACACATCCTTCTCGCATTCATGAGGCTCCACTGAGACACTGGGCTCAGAGTCACAGGAAGGAAACAAACTTTGTGAAAATCAGAATGTTGAAGCCACTCCCTGGAGCCGGGAGGGCAGGGACTGTCATTGCCATGTGCACACGCAGGAGCACAGGTTTCATGCAACATCCTCACTCTGATAGAACCTAAGGGGTATATATACCTGGGCCCTAGGATATTAGCAAAGCAAATATATTTTGAGCAGCATTTCTGCCAATAATGGGGTGACAGGATGAGTCACCCCATTATTGAATCTGTGGTTCATACAGGAGGGGCAGGTGGCACTTTCCTCCCTATTTTCTCTCTCCCTGCTTCTCTTTCCCTCAATTTCTCTGTGTTCCTTGGCCAGGGTGTAGCTTTAGCCCTAAGTGTCCACTTAATTTCATTTCTACTCCCCACTCCTCCAAGCCTGGCTGCTATCCTCTTGGCTCCAATCTGGTTTGGGGGCCGGTTTCAAGCAGAGAAAAATACAGTTCAGAGGTGGACAGTGCATCAGGTTGCCCTGGACACAGGTAGTGACTCATCTGGCACCCTTTAAACCCACCTCTGGGGCTGACTATGAAGCCCCTTGCAGGCTTTGCAGGAGCTCATTCTGTTGCTCAAAGAAATGGATGAATGAATGGAAGACCAAGGCCAAAGGCCAAAAGAGAGACAGGGGGACAAGGGGGCTGCGGACAGGGAAGTGGGGATGGGGCGGGGGTCACTTATCTCCTGGCTGTCCCCGCTGGCGCTGGCAGGCAGCCTGAATCCGACATCCCTGCGGGTGGGCAGGTGAGGCTTGGTGGGAGCCTCTTTTCCCCTTTGTGCGTGGGGGGGTCCCTTTCAATCCACAACTCCTTGGTTTGGTGTATGGTTTCTATGGCTTTTAAATTTTTTTTCGTAAGATGCCCTGGCCTCCACCAAACTCCACGCCATGCTCCTCTCTGCCCTTCCCATTTGAGAGATTCAGAAAATTCCATTCATTGAAGCAGGTGGAGGTTTATATTTGGGAGGAACTTTCCTTTGGTGCCCTGACACCACTGACACTCATATTTGTCGCGAAATGTAACTTTCTCCTAGGATTCCCCCTCAAGGGCTCCCATGGGCTCCTTTCATCCCAGAGGACAGGAATTAGACTGGTCAACAATTAATGCAGTCAGAGAAGAGCAAGGTAAAGGAACCCAGGCCTCAGGGAAGGTGAGAATGGGAGCGGAGCCCGCAGGCCCAGCCCACGCAGGATGATGGAGAAGGCTCAGTCCCACACCATGGCACACCAAGAACAAAGCAGGCCCAGCCTTCGCTCACCAAATGCACGATGGCAGGTAACCTCGGGTCACACGCGGAACTAGGTTTCCAGCATTAACGTCATGGCCACTTCCTTCCACTTTCGCCGAGACCCTGCAGAAACGAAGATCGTTCCTTGCTTTACCTTCTGGCTCTATACCTGGGCCCCTGAGCTGCAAGGGGCCTTGGGAGCCAGCCCCTCCTGCCAACCCAGGTTTGAGAGAGCCCCTGCATCTGAGCCCCCTGATCCAAGCCCACAGCAAGGCCAGTCTCCCCAGTGCAGGCAAAAGTCCATCCACATCGTGGAATGTGTTGGAGGGATTCTTTTTGTGGGCAATGAGGTTTGGGGTGGGAGATACAGGGAAGACATAAAACAGGGAAAGAGTCCCATAGGAGGCCACAGCACATCTCAGGATAGCACTGTTCCCTGTCATAGATAGGGCCCCTCAGAGTGCAGCACAGCTCCCTCAGCTGAGGAGCCTTCGGGGTCTCTGCTCCTCCTCTCCCTAGCTTCCGAGATGCTAGAGCTGGGGGATGGGGCAGGGGCCCTCCTGTTCTTTCTGAGCCAGGGACAGGAGGGTGCAGGCACCGTGCGATGGCCCGTGAAGTTCCAAGGGCTGCCCTTCCTGCCACGCTTCCCACCCAACCTTGCACGCTGTAGGGCCAGGGGTCAGGATGTGTGAGAAGCTGGGGTGGGATGTCCTCCCTGCCATGGGCCCCGGCCACCCCAGTGGGGTTTGATCCTGGGCTGAGTCCTCCCCTGTGACCTTAAGAGTCGTGGGCCACCCAGTTCCTGGTCTGTGCTTTCCAAACTGGGTTCCACATGTGCTGGGGCTCACAACTGCCAGTAAGTGGGTTCCCCAAGGGCCCCAGCTGCCTCTTTTCTAGGTTTCTCTTTAGGGGAAGGAATCTCCCATTCCAGGGAGACGGGACCCCAAAGCCTGGGCAGAGGATGGGACCCCAGAGTCTCAGTGGGCAGCTCAATGTCTCCTTTGGAGAAAGCTGTCTCAGAGAAGAGGGCTGCTGGTAGCCTGGGAGTTGGGAGGTTGGGAGAGGGAGGCCCACGTCTGCTCTGGGCTCCACCCCCACCCAGCCTGATCATCTCTGTCTGTGAGGCTGGGCCTCACCCTCCTCACCCGAGAAACCTTCATCCATCAGCTGGTCCACTCCACTCCCAGCTCCCTCGTGACCTCAGGCCTGCCCCAGGGACACTCTTCAAGTGAGGGTGGTCGAAAGAATAAAGGACCTCAAAGATGTCTACATCCTAGTCCCTGAACCCTGTAAAGATGTCACTTACATGGCAAAAGGGATTTTGCAGATAAGATTAAATTAAGGGTTGGAGACAGTGGATCATCCTGTTCTACCTGGTGGGCCCAGTGGAATGAGGAGTGCTTCTAAGAGGGAGGCAGGAGGGATGGAGTCAGGAAAAGGAGCAGGGATGGTGGAGTGGAGGGTGGACGGATGCACCCTGGAGATGGAGGAGGGGCCACCAGCAGCAGAACGTGCGCAGTATCGAGGAAACGGTGAAGGTGAGACGCGGACACCCTGGAGCTCCAGAAAGGAAGGCAGCTCTGCGGACTCCTTGGTTTCATCCTCGCATAACACATTTCAGACTTCCAGAGTTGTAAGAGAATACATTTGTGCTGTTTTAAGCCACTAATTTTGCAGCAATTTGTGACAGCAACCACAGGAAGTGAATATGGCCAGGATCAGAAATTCCAGAGGAAGCTGGGCTTTCTGATGCTGCCCAACTCTATCCTCTGTCCAGGCTCTGACTCTGGGCCCTGGCTGAGGTGTGCAATGGGGGTGCTGCTGCTGTGTCCTTGCTGCACCCAGTGACCTGCGAGAGAACCTTCCTCCAGAGGGAGCCGACTTTAGCAGCGTCTGGTTTACCCTGGAGCCTCCAGGTCCCCTCTCGGGGTACAACGAGCACTTTGCCACCCTCCTGGTAGCCCTGCAGCCCTGCCAGCAGAGCCTTCCCATTTCCATTTTTTTTTTTGAGATGGATTCTCCCTCTGTTGCCCAGGTTGGAGTGCAGTGGCGCGATCTCGGCTCACTGCAACCTCCGCCTCCCGGGTTCACACCATTCTCCTGCCTCGGCTTCCCGAGTAGCTGGGACTACAGGCGCCTGCCCCATGCCCAGAAAATTTTTTGTATTTTTAGTAGAGATGAGGTTTCACCGTGTTAGCCAGGATGGTCTCGATCTCCTGACCTCATGATCTGCCCGCCTCGGCCTCCCAAAGTGCTGGGATTATAGGCGTGAGCCACAGCGCCTGGCTCAGCCCTTCCCATTTCCATCCTGGCTGCCAGGAGAGATGGGATTTCGTGACCCATTGCTCCGCTGATTTTCCCAACACATTATTGAGATGCTTCAGTGCTCCAAGCCAAAGTCACAACAAATATCCTTTCCCCTCCCCCGATCATTTCTCCAACTCACTCTGGCTCCCGAGGACTTGGTGCCATTGGGCCCAGGAAGAGTGAAGTGGCTGAGGAGCCCTTTACATGAGTGTAGGGAAAGGCAACCACAGCCTCCTTAGCTGCAGGCAGGTGCAGACAGAACACAGCACGAGAGCCTGCATGTGTGTTTGCGTGTGTGTGTGTGTGTACACACAGACACATGAATGCTGACGTATGTGTACATACATGTGCATGTAAGAGTGTGTGTGCATGCCTGTGTGCATGTGTATGTGTGTGTCTGGTGTTGTCACGGGGAAAGCATGGGAAAACTTCTCTCATCGGTTTCTGGCCTCTTGTAGTCACAGCACAGACCTAGTTCTCAGGTGGAATTCTGCCCCTGGATGTGATGACCTCCTGGGCGTATCATCTGGGCCTGGCTTCTATTGGCTGTGGCATGGGGTGAAAGCTGTCATTGTTACTCTATTTCACAGAGTCCTTATCCCCAGCTAAAGAGTCTTCAGGGTCAGATTCTTAATGTGATTATTCTGAAACTCCAAGTCAATGACTTATCTTATGAAAACCTCTGCTACCCACAGGTTACTGGAAAAACAAGCAAAATCCTTCTCTCACTCTCTATTAGACCTAAGATACATTGATGCTGTTTTCACAGTTCATGGTTCAGGGAAATTTACATTTGATTCCTTTCAGAGAATATAAAGGTAGCTCTTACATAAGAAGGAGTAGGGCTAAAAGAGATGTTGGTATAATTTAAACACTTAAAATTGCAATTTAAAGAAAGACTTTAAATATTTTGGGCCTATGACATCTAACTGCTGACTCCCAGGTCAGTGAATGGGGCTGGGCAGAAATTTTGGGAGCGAGATAGCAGAATGTACCAACAGAAGGGCCCAGTGGTGAGCTGGCATGTCATACTTCACACATAAATAGACTATATGAGCCATTTATCTTCTCATATATGCATCATCCACTCAGGATTTGGTATCAACAATATAATAAACCCCATCTTTTATGTAGGCATTTCCTACATAAAATAAACCTCTTTCTACTGAACATAGTTCAGGAAATTCATGGTCATTGGCTTTGTTATCCTTTTTGTGTAACTCACTGTGTCGAGAGAGAAGCATTGGCAGCCAGGCTGTCCTTGGAATTGAATTTACTTAATGTGAGCCACCTGGTCTCCTCTCCTTGGGATGCCAAGAGGAAGCGTCACCTTAGCACTCTGGCCTCTGCCCTTGGGCACCCAGGAGAAGAGGGGGCCTTTTGGTTTGCACAACACGGAGAAGGTGTGCAGGGCTGATCGATGGAGCAGCTGCCTAGGTTGGAATCCCAGTCAGACCCTTGCCAGGTAGGCAGCCTTGAGCAAACATAAGCTCCAATGTTCTCATTTGCAATTATTGTCCCTATGTCATAGGACTGCTGTTGGGGTAAAATGAATGAATATGTACAAAGCATTGAAAACAGTGTGAACACTTAGTAAATGCCCCATGAATGTTGGCTGGGTGTTGTCATCACATGATCACCATGATCATCGTTACCACTACCACCACCATCACCACTATCATAGACACCGTCCTTACTTTCATCACGGTAATTACTATCATGATTACCACCGTCATCATCACCATCATCATTACATCATTGTCACCATCACCACCACCACCACCATTATCATCACCACCATTCTTACTATCATCACTGTGATCACCATCATCATTACCACCATCACCATCACCATCATCATTACATCATCATCATCATCACCACCACCACTACCACACCACCACCATCACACCATTATCATTATCATCACCACCACCACCACCACCACACCACCACCATCACCATTATCATTATCATCACCACCATCCTTACTATCATCACTGTGATCACCATCTTCATCACCACCAACACCATCACCATCACCATCATCACTACCATCATCACCACCATCCTTACCATAATCACTGTGATCACCGTCATCACCAATACCATCATTACCATTATCATCATCACCATCGTTACCATCTCCATCATCACCATCATCACCATCACCACCACCATCATCATCATAATCGTCATCATTATCACCATCACTATCATCACCATGACTCTCATGGTGGATCCCTTGGCTTAGTAGTAGGCACAGAGAGGTTTAAGGAGCTATGACTAACAGAAATGAAAGTCAGAGTGGTTGTGCTGGAAATAATAAAGGAAGTATTAGTACTCTTATTGGGTGCTATTACCATCGCTATATTATAGACAATAAAGAAGCTGAGGCAGAGAGAGGCTGTGAAACCTGCCCAGCATCACACAGAGGAGTCAGTATTTAAACTGGGAAGTCTTGATTAAACTCCTAACCCTGGAAATGTTTAAATCCTGGAAGGAGGATGGCTTTGTAGGGTGACTACAGAGTCCTCAGACACTAGTGAGATGCTTTGAGTAAGTGACTTAAAGTCTTTGAGCACTGAAAGTCTATGATTTCATGAACACTATGGAATCATAAGTCTATGATTTTATTCAGGGAAGTGAAATAGAGTGAGTTGAATCAAATATTTTGAAACAAAGGCTTGGATGCTCCAGGGGAGAGATTGGACTATTAAAAAATAGCAAATGGGATTTAGTTTTCAACACTGACATGCTGTCTGTGGTTGGGCCAGGCCCCGCCCACCTGAGCTGCCCATAGAGCTGTTCCCAGAGTGCAGAGATGACTGACTGCCTGAATCACATTTCTAATGCTTGTCTAACTGTTTCTCGTTTGATTCTTCTCTTATTGGAGTGTTGAGAGCTACGACGAGCCAAAGCTCCCTTTAGGGCAGCAAACCCCAGGAAAAACATAAAACAGTTCTCGGCCTGAATTCAGGATAAATCCTGTCCCCCTCATTATAAAATACCTATTATGTCCCTTTATCTCCAAGTGAGCAGCGTTATTTCAATTTAACAGTGTGTGAGAAATGTCCCACGATATAATAAAAAGATCAAGCATGCACTATTTAATGTCAGAATGACAGATGCTTCAATTAGGCAGACAGGACTATTTCTCCCCAAAATAGATAAAGATGAAATTTTTATAAGATTGTGCTGTTTGTGTTTATGGTATGGTACTGTTACAAGCTTTCATTACAATATAAATTAAAACAAAAACTCTTATTTCAGTGGAAACCGACCATCTTGCTAATAATTTTGCAACTCAGAACCGCTGTTTATCAAAGCCCTCGGTCCTCTCACCTGGGAAGAGAAGTCTTCACAGACCTGAGGCATCATCAGGTAACAAATCTCACTCCGACATTCAGAAATCCTTTTCCAAGAGAGACAGAAAGGCATGTTTCAAAGTTATCGTTTGGTCGAAGCTTGTGGATATATTTTTGACATGTGAACTTTTCTTTTCTCCTTGGTCTTGATCTCAAGTCACCGGACAGAGGATACTCAATGGGTGATTGCAAAGTCTGGGTGGGGGCCGGGGCACTAGTTTAGGTTCTGTCACTTGTCTGTCCCTCACCCTCAGCAGGTGCAATTGCTGCAGCTCCACTCACTACCAGGCCTGCCACTCTGGAGCCTCTTGGCCATCTGAGTCTGTAGCTCAAAGATTTCAATGTTTCTTTAGCATCCTCTAACCCACCGTGGAGGATTTTCTCAATCAATCCTATCACTACGAAAGAGACGTTGGTACCATTGACAGCCATGTATTCAGTTTCTAAAGCTTAATTTCTAGTCACTCCTCCGCTTTCCATTTTAGGGTTTTATATTCTCCAATCGCCATGAGAACACATCTTTTTTTTATAAATGGGAAAATGCATCATCTCTGTAAAAACATTTGGAATTACATAACCAAATGTCTGGTTCCAGGAAAATGATGGGCTGAGGTAGCGTGGCGTGTCCCCTACTAAAAATGCACAGAAATAACAGGTGAACTATAACCTTTCAACAGATACACAGTGTGGAGTATATGAATGCACGCCTGCACACACACACACACACACACACGCACACATTTGGAATGGCCCTGGGCTAGAAATTAACAAGGAACAGGAAACGCTTGAGCTGTAGGTGCCTTAAATGGAGTAGTGAGACTGGGAGGGCCTGGAAGCTGGATTTCTGAGTTGTGATGTTCATTAAGGGACTGGTATGAGGCCTTGGGCCCTGCTGAGGTGGGTGGTGCAGGGTGATTGAAAAATGGAAACTCCTGTTTCCCCTATGAATCTGAAGATCAAATTTATACTGCCAACATGATTCTTCTTTTAAAAAAATTACAAATGAATCTACCACAGAAATGGTATATTCCATGGGAATCTTACAAGCTCCAAGTTCCGAAAGTTTTCCTCTAGAATTTGTCTTTGTTTTCATTATAGTGCATCTTCTTCTATCATGACCAGAGGGGTATCAGCCACTTGGGACCTGTTTCTTAGCTTGGGATTTACTGGCTTCCCCCAAGAGTTCTCCCTTGATCGCCAGCATAAACTCAGCTTCCAGTGAGTGCAGAGGCTGTCTCTGATTTCTACCCTGGGTCTCTGCCCAGCACAGGGCCTGATACCTGGCCGGTCCCTGGTGTTTGGTGGCGGCTGCTGAGTGAGGATGTGGAGGAATCACCGTGGTTCCCTGTGTGTGCCCCTTAGTTTCCCTTCTGGGACGCTATCCCCTGGTTTAAACAGCAACTTAGGTCGAATGAATTAAAACAACTCGAGGGAGGAAATGTAGTGGAGAACACCTTTCATCCAGTTAAAAATTTTAAAAACGTGAATAGCTGTTTGAAGACATTTTTCCCTCCGTGCCGTGAGCCTGGCTCTTTCTCCTCTGCGAGCAGGCTGTGTCTTGACATGGAAGGCGGGGCTGATACTTTTAAACAAAGGACTTTTAATAAAGCAGATTCATCATTCCAAGGGCTTCTGTTCCAACTGTCAGGCCTACCGTCAAGAGAGGGAGCGGTGGCGCAGAGCTTCTAAAGCGCTGGTTTCACAGGAGATACAAAGAGATAATTAGAACCACGGGTAAGAAGATCATAGAGCGAGACACCCAGACGAGGTGGGGGAGAGAGGAGCAGTGAGACATGGGTGGATTTAGCCCTCAAAGTCACTGGGCCATGAAGGGGGAACAGGAGCTGCGTGTCCCCACCTGCCCCTGCCTCGCTGGCCGCACCTCCCTTCGCTGAATCTGCAGCCGGGGAAGACGAGGTGGGCAGGAGCCATTGTGGAATCTCTACCCCCACCCCATTTTTTTTCCCTAAAAAGTGGTTTATTTGGCTGGGCACAGTGGCTTATGCCTGTAATCCCAGCACTTTGGGAGGCTGAGGTGGGCGGATCGCCTGAGGTCAGGAGTTTGAGACCAGCCTTGCCAACATGGTGAAACCCCGTCTCTACTAAAAATACAAAAATTAGCTGGGTGTGGTGGTGGGTGCCTGTAGTCCCAGCTACTTGGGAGGCTGAGGCAGGAGAATCACTTGAACCCAGGAGGCAGAGGTTGCAGTAAGCAGAGATGACATCACTGTACTCCAGCCTGGGTGACAGAGCGAGATTCCATCTCAAAAACAAACAAACAAACAAAAAACTGGTTTATTGTGCTGGGTAGCTTCTCCCTTCTCTCTGCTTGATATTAGGTGCCAGACACAGTGCAATGTTCCTCATTCAACACAAACCTGTCCCATGTATAGAAGAAGAAAGCACAGATGCCCACAGAGGCCCAGCGACTTGCGCCAGGCCTCACAGCTACCAAATGGCAGGGTGGGACTGGGAGCTGGCTCCAGCCTACTGAGAGGACAGTCACTGCTCAGGGCCTTTAAACGTACCTAAAGGTCCCCTCTCTTGCTTTTCTTCTTATTTTCTATGTCCAAGGAGTTGCTTGGCTGGGCACCAGCTCCAAATGGAGGCCAGGGCATTCCAGAGAGAGAGATAAGCGGAAGCCCATCGGCCAGGTGGAGAGTGCCCCCTCCTCGGCAGGATCCTCCAGGTGGAGAGTGCACTGCAGGAGAGAGGGTCTGTGCTCAGCTATGATCTGCCGGTAGGGTGGATGTTTCACAGCAGAACCTGCTCCAAGACCCAGCTGTGCATGGTGGGGTCGGTTCTGCCCTGTGCCCTGGAACCGCCCTGTCATTCATGAAAGAATCCCAGCCTTGATGTGGGACAGTTCTGCAGCCTCCATCAAGGTGGCAAATAGAGCCCCAAACCATCTCGCTTTATTTGGGACTGAGGGGGTTCCTGGGATGCAGGACTTTTTGTGTTAAAACTGGGAAAATGGGGCTGGGCCCGCCCTTCCCCTGTTTCCCTGTTGCCAGAGCTCATGGTCCTTATGAACCGCAATGGTCAGGTGCTGACAGAGCCTAGGCCAGCTAAGCAGGTCCCAAGTTAAACACCTGCTCCTGGAATTGACCTCTCCCATACGGACTTCTGCCAACCATAGATGTGGTTTGATGTTTTCTCCTTGAACCCCATTAGGCCCCAATTTTCACATGACGCTGGAGCATAGAGCCGAGAGGGAGGGATGCCACACACACTCAGGGACTCGGTCAGGGACTTGGTCCTGGGTGGCAGAGGCTGCAGGACTGTGGGAGGGGTTGGTGTGGAGTCCTTGCCACATCCTCACAGCTCCCCCAGGGGTGCTCCTGAGCCTAGTGCCCGCACACCTGTGGCAGAGGGGTGGAGGGCTCTGAAGGTTACACGTGTCACACTCAGCACCATGGGCAAGCCACAGTCCTGAACCACTCACCTCCTGAGCTGAGCCTGCAGCCTGGCAAGGAGTGGCGGTTGCAGAGCTGACTTTCAGAACCTGAAACCTTTGTTAGTGCCTCCGAACCCCAGGCACCAGGTGGGCCTCCTGAGCCATCTGAGGCCTCACAGGACTGTCCAGAGGGTCCGAAAGTTCTCCCGGACCTGGAATCCCCATTACCATCCTACCGCCCAGACACCGTGGAATAGCGTTTTGTTGCAGCAGTTACTGAAACTGCAATTTGCCCTGTAAAGATGGTTGTTTAGGCTTGTTTTATTTAGCTATGTTTGCCTACGAATCAGCTCTAACGGTATTCTATTTAATTTCCCTCTCCCAAATAGCATGACGCTTAATGTAAACCAATTACTACAATTTTGCTTTCTAAGAAATCAGGAAATGTAATCAAGGAGATGCAATTTGTTTGCTTTTCATGAAATACTAGGGTGCGGTAGCAACAGAAGTGGCAGGAGTGGTCTTTGGAGGGATCAGAGCATGCATGTGTGAGCGTGTGTGTGCGAGAGGTGAGTGAAGCCGTGTGTGTGCATGCATCTGCATGTATCTCTCCACGTGTGCCTCTCTGGGTCTGTGTGTGCGATGTGTGCATTTATCCTGAAAGCTGCGCACAGGCCTGAACCATGAGAAAGCCCAGTCCGCTTACACAAACCCTGAAGTATTAAGAGTTTCACAAAAGGCTGACGGGACAGACCTTCATTCACAGACACGTAGGGCTGACCCGGGAGAGGAAAGATTTGCTTATGGCCAATTGACTGCCCATAAAGGTTGATTGGGCATAATAAGAGGCATTTTATTTTGAATCTCTTTCTCATTGTGAATGATAATCAGGCTCCTGGGGACAGAGGTGAGTGATCTAACACAGAACAGTGTCCAGGGGGCAGCATGAGCACCAAGAAAAGCCTGGAGAGTGGGGGAGGAGGCTCCCTCTCTGAGGGCCACCAGGTCAGAGCTGCCCGAACACCCTCTGGTCCCAGCGTCAGGGCAGGGCGACGTCAGGCTGAGTGAGACAGGCTCTTTCCAGCAGGTAGTTCCCTCTGCGCCCACAGACTCCTGGCTCCGACTGCTGGTTCGCTGGTCTCTCTCCAGGATGGGCAGGGATAAGACCTGTGAGGGGTTTGGGGACTGTGTCCTCCAGCTCTTAGGCCCGAGGGTTGTGGCTGGCCAGCAGTTCTCACCTTCATCCTCCAGCCTTGGATTCTGACCAGAGAGTGAATTCTCTGATTTCTTTCCCTTCCTTGGAAATCTCCTATAACCTGCATAGCAAAGAGGTCTCCTCCTTCCAGGCTGCAAAAATGGGAGCTCAGAGACTGGCCCAGAGGAAGCGGCAAGAGGGGACGGGCCCTCAGCTGGGGGCTCTCCAGGGTCTGCACCACACCAGGTGCCTGGTGCTCTGGAAGCACAAGGTCCCCTCTGTGAAAGTCACTCTTGTCAATCCCCAGGAGGCTGGGGCAGGTCTTCAACTTTTTTCTGTTTAACTCTTTTTTTAAAAGGAAAAACGTTTACTTTAAAAAGTAAAATTTATGTAGCATACAATTCACCATTTTATTACACTTTTAAAATTTATTTTTAATGGACAAATAAAAATTCTTCATACAATGCACAACATGATGTTTTGATCTGTGTATATTTGTGGAATGGCAAAATCAAGCAGCTTAACACATGTGTTATGAACTGACCGTGTTCAAGCGGACAACTCAGTGGCATTTGGTGCATTCCTTGTGTCACCATCAGCTCTCTTTAGTTTCCAACCTTCTCATCACCTCAGAAGAGACCCCGGATCTATTCACTCCTTAACTCTTTAAGGCCTGGATTCTTTCCTTTAAAAACTGATGTGAGGCCGGGCACAGTGGCTCATGCCTGTAATTCCAGCACTTTGGGAGGCCAAAGTAGGTGGATCATGAGGTTGGGAGATCGAGACCATCCTGGCTAACACGGTGAAACTCCATCTCTACTAAAAATACAAAAAAATAGCCGGGCACGGTGGCACGTGCCTGTAGTCCCAGCTACTCGGGAGGCTGAGGCAGGATAATTGCTTGAACCTGGGAGGTGGAGATTGCAGTGAGCCGAGATTTCGCCACTGCACTCCAGCCTGGGTGACAGAGCAAGACTCCATCTCAAGAAAAAAAAAAAAGAAAAAGCTGAGGGGAATGAATGTTGTCTTCAATTTCCTTTATTATTTTCATCATAAACGCCTTTGCACATGACCTGAAGGGTCTCACTCCGCTTTCCAGTGGTGCCTTCTTAGAACCTCACACTCAGCCTCCAATTTCTTTTCTTTCTTTCTTTTTTTTTTTGTGACGGAGTCTCACTCTATCGCCCAGGCTGGAGTGCAGTGGTGTGATCTCGGCTCACTGCAAGCTCCGCCTCCCGGGTTCACCCCATTCTCCTGCCTCAGCCTCCTGAGTAGCTGCGACTACAGGCACCCGCCACCACGCCCGGCTAATTTTTTGCATTTTTAGTAGAGACGGGGTTTCACCGTGTTAGCCAAGATGGTCTCAATCTTGTGACCTCGTGATCCTCCTGCTTTGGTCTCCCAAAGTGCTGGGATTACAGGCATGAGCCACTGCGCCCGGCCCCCCAGCCTTCGATTTTCTTCTGAGTCTGGCTGGGGCTCCAAGGTAGTGACTCCTCAGGAGACACTATCCAGCCTGTAGCTTCAGGGGACTGTAGGGGACTTGTGGGGTGGGGGCAGAGCCTACAGGTGCACTCACCTGGGTCCACGTGTTCCTTCAGGGAAGGCTGTTGAGTTCTGTGCATTCAGCAGAAAATAGGGCACAGCAGTGGGTTCTTCACAGTGATTTTCATGAAGATTGAAAAATGGGACTCACCCCGCTGAGTGCCAGGAACATACGAGACAATGGATAAGGTGCAGTCACTGTGTTGGAGGATTCAGTGAGAAAGCCTACGCGTGCTTAGCACACTGTGGGGGATCTGAAACATCAGCCTCCCTTTCCCCGTGGGGGCGTGGGGCTTCCCTTACTTGGTCCTGGTTACCCCCCACGGGATGCGGGGCCTTTGCATGCTCCCAGCAACCTCCCTCGACACGATTCTCCACCTTTCTACAGAGGCAGTGATGTCCCTGTGGGGCTCACGCCCAGGGATGCCTCAGAAATTCCCAGCTGGTCACAGCTCCCTGTAACCCATAGGCCCTAGCACCTGCACACTGCCTCTCATGTTACTCGCAGCGTGTTTCAGAATGGACGCAGAACCAGAGACAGAAAATCTCTCCTCTGAGCTGCTTGGTGTCATTCCCCCAGGATGCCAGGAAAGCCTGAGCCCAGTGCTCCAGTGACAGGCCCCCTCCCCAATCCAGGAGCGATAGCAGACACGAGGGGTGATGGGGATGCGACAGCCCGTGGCAGCGGGGCCCTGAGTCACTGTCCTTTAGAGCAGTGTCTTGTTGGGAAAGGAGGGCTGGGATTTGCCTGAGGGGGACTGAGGAACAAGGTGCCTGTGAAAGAGGAGTGGGGACTCAATGCCAGCCCCCACCATGCAGTCCCCATGTTACAGCGCAGGGTGAGCGTTCATTCCGGCCTTTGCTTCTCACCCTTCTTAAACAACTGCCCCAGAACCTGCACTCTGGGGACCAGAGAGAACTGTCCACATTCCCAAGACCCCCTGGAAAGGGGAGGCAGGGCTTCTTCTGCACTTGGCTCCCAGGGAGACATGAGGACGAAGGTAGGGTGAGGACCAGAGTCCCTGCCCCAGGGCTGGGCATCAGGCTTGGGGACCAGGAGGCAGAGGAACCATCAGGGATGGTCTAGGGAAAGGGAAGCCACCTCACAGTGCCAATACCCCCTCTTGATGCAGTTTTGCTGCTCTGGGCTGTTTCTGCTGCTCCCCCCACATCGGCAGTGGTGCAACCTGGATGTCCTGCCCTACCCCGACATTCCCACGTCTTGCCCCGGCCCACTTCTCACGGTGGTTCCGGTTCTCCCAGTGTGTTATCGCACAGCTGCTCATGGGGTCCTCAAGGGAGGTGGGAGAGCCTAACCCAGCAGCCCAGTGCATGGAACAGAAAAGGCACTAGCATCCCCATGAAGCAGGATGCTGTTCACAGAGCTCTGGGCCAGAAGCTGCTCTGGGGGACCAATGAGGCATGACCAGATGCTGGTGGTCGGCCATGGCTTCAGCCTCAGGCTGCTGTGACAGAGTGGTACACTGGGGACTCAAACAACAGACATGAATGTCTCACAGTCCTGGAGGCTGGAAGTCCAAGGTTGGGGTACCGGCATGGCCGGTTCTGGTGAGGGCAGAGGGCTGTCTAATTGCTGTGTCCTCACGTGGCCGAGAGTGGAGACAGAGGGGCAGCAAGTGCTCTCATGCCTGTTCTTATAAGGGCACTGATCCCATTTGTGTTAGTCAGGGATCTCCAGAGGAACAGAACCAATAGGAGAAATGCAGATAAACAGGAGAGGGGATTTATGAGGGGAATTGGCACACACGACTATGGTGGCTTACAAGTCCCATAGAAGGCCGTCTACAAGCTGGAGATGCAAGAAAGCCAGCAGTGTGATTCGGTGTGAGTCTGAAGGCCTGAGAATGAGGGGAGCTGATGGTGTGACCCCCAGCGTGAGGCCAAGGGCTGGAGGCATCATCTCAGGGGGTGTGGGGCTTGAGAACCAGGAGCTCCAATGTCTGAGAGCAGAAGATGTGTGTCCCAGCTCCAGAGGAAAGAGAGAATGAAATTGCCCTTTCTCCACCTGTTGTGCCCTCGTGATCCTGCATGGACTGGGTAACGCTCATCCACATTGGTGGAAATGGATCTTCTTAATGCAGTCTGCTGACTCAAATGCTTTTGGAAACACAGTCACAGACGCACCCTGAAATCATGCTCTACCAGCAACCTGGACAGATACCTGTTAGCCCAGTCAAGTTGACACAGAAAATTCTCCATCACGCCATTCATGCGGGCTCCACCTTCATGACCTAATCTAACACTAACCTCACAAAGGCCTCAGTGCCTCACACCGTCACCATGGGGATTAGCGTTTCAACATATGGGTTTTGGAGGGACACAAGCGTTCAGTTCCTAGGAGTCAACCAGGCACCAGGGCCAGTGGCTAACATTTCCTTTCCCATATAAAAGATGCTAGGATTCCACTTTTCCAGCCTTGGCACAATAGGAAAAAAGGAAAAACAAACAAACAACACCTCCTCTTTTAAGAAGAAAGCGCTAAATTCAATGATTCTATCTCAATAAGAAGGAAAAGTTCACTTAGAAGATTTTCTCTTGTTATTGAGTCACATCTCCAGGTGGCTGCTGCCTAGACTCTCAACCACAGTCATTTGGGAAAAAATCAGTCCTGTGCACTCAGGGCTGACACTATTGTCTTGTCACCTAATTTTTCTTTCTTTCTTTTATTTATTTTTTTTTTAAAAGATTTATTTATTTATTTATTTAGTTTTTAACAGGCTCCATTGCCCAGGCTGGAGTGCAGTGGCACAGTCACAACTCACTGCAGCCTTGACCACCTGGGCTTAAGCCATCCTCCCATCTCGGTCTCCTGAATAGCTGGGATCACAGGCGCCCACCACCATGCTGGGTTAATTATTATTATTATTATTATTATTATTATTTTGAGACGGAGTCTGGCTCTGTAGTCCAGGCTGGAGTGCAGCGGTACCATCCTGACTCACTGCAACCTCCGCCTCCCAGGTTCAAGCGATTCTCCTGCCTCAGCCTCCTGAGTAGCTGGGATTACAGGTGTGCACCACCATGCCCGGCTAATTTTTTTGTATTTTTAGTAGAGGTGGGGTTTCACTGTGGCCTCGAACTCCTGACCTCAAGTGATCTGCTTGCCTTGGCCTCCCAAAGTGCTGAGATTACAGGTGTGAGCCACTGGGCCTGCCCACATTTTAAAAAAATTATTTGTAGAGCTGGGGTTTTGCCATGTTATTCCAGGCTGGTCTCAAACTCCAGGCCTCAAGTGATCCTTCTGCCTTGGCCTCCCAAAGTGCTGGGATTACAGTCATGAGGCACTGCACCCAGCCTGATGTTTCGTTTGATGCAATTGTCTCACTTGTGAGTCACAGGTTGGACTTTACAGAAGCCCTCAAGGAGAGTCAGACTCCATACTTAAAAAAACTAGATTAGGTAAAAAAGACTTGGATTCTACGAAATCACTTCGGTTGTCTGTGATTGTCGTATAGCAACTATTTTCCATGATCAAAGTATTTATTTATTATTTATTTATTTAGAAAACCTCTCACTTTGTCACCCAGGCTGGGGTGCAGTCACACGATCACAGCTCCCTGCAGCCTCAACCTCCTGGGCTCAGATGATCCTCCCACCTCAGCCTCCCAAGTAGCTGGGACTACAGGCACCCACCACCACACCCAGTTAATTTTTGTAATTTTGTAGAGACATGGTTTTGCTGTGTTGCCCAGGCTGGTCTCTAACTCCTGAGCTGAAGCGATCTGCTCCCCTCAGCCTCCCAAAGAGCTGGGATAAGAGGCCTGAGCCACTGTGCCTGGCCCAAAGTATTTATATTTAGAATATTTACATTCCATGACCCTGGGTCCTAATCTATTCCTCAGATATTAAATAGCTTCTCAGGCATTTGCTGGAACAAATCGCATGCAAATCACTTTGGACTGTGGACCCTGGAAGCTGCCTCTTGAGTGTGTTGGGGCAGTAGGAAGATTCTGAAAGGGCTTTTTGTGAGCAGGCACCAGCCCAGTGGGGAAGAGGGTTTGGGGAGAGCTTCCCGTGGGCCACATCCAGTGTGATGCCGCCAGATGAGACCCCAGGGGTTTTGACCCCCAGGGCCATAGGTACATTTGAGGTGGCCACCTGCGTCCTGGCCTCTGGAGCCAGGGAAGAGCTCAGAGACTGTTTCCTGACTCCGACCAGGCCTAATGTCCGCTGTGGTCCCAGTGCAGGAGGCCGGGTGAGACGGCTGTGCTCACGGGCCCCTCCCTCATGGTGAGCCTGCTCTCGCGAATTCTAGCTGGGAGGCAGGAGGGGGCAGAGGGGAGTGCTGGGAGCTGTTCAGGTCCTTGCACGGAGCCCAGAGACCAGGCAGTGTCTTTGGAACCAAGACAAGTGTGGGAGTGTCTAATGAAAGCAGAGACCCCCAGCTTCACCCATTCCACAGTGGCACCCCCACAATGCTCTCTAAGGAGGTGCCTGGACCTGCCACTCTTCCTATTTCATCTTCTACGTGCTCCCTCCTGCTGCCTTCCCACCCTCCACTAAGACTGCTCCCCCAGCACTGTCACCAGGCTGCCATGTCCCCTGGTCAGTCTGCATCTCAGCTAATGATGTCACTCCTCCCTCGTGGCCTCCAAGGCCCATCATTCTTGAGGCTGCCCCTACCCAAGGGCTCTGTCTGGGGCTGGCGCCTGCCCTAAGCTCACCTGTGCTGCCCAGGCCTCCAGGCCTCTCTCTCCTCTGCCAGCCCTTTCTCCCCAGTGACCTCATTTGATCCTGCGATTGGCAGAATAATGGTCCCCAAAGATGTCCCCATCCTAATCCCTGGCACCTGTGAATACGTGATCTTACGTGGCCAAAGGGACTTTGCAGGTGTGATGATGTAAAGGATGCTGAGACGGGGAGAGGACTCCGGATGATCCGGGTGGGGCTGATGTCATCACAGAGTCCTGGGAAGGCACAGAAGAGGGGCAGGCGGGTCAGAGGAGGAACTGTGACAATGGCAGCTGGCTGTGGGTGCTCGTTTTTCCTGCAGGAGAGAAGGGTGCCCCTTGAGGCAGGTCTTCTGCAGAGTGGACCTAGGATCCGGGGCTGTTGCTCTCAGCAAAGACTCCATAAAGAGACTTCAGGGCTGGGCGTGGTGGCTCACGCCTGTAATCCCAGCATTTTGGGAGGCCAAGGCGGGTGGATCACTGGAGGTCAGGAGTTCGAGACCAGCCTGACCAACATGGTGAAACCCTGTCTCTACTAAAAGTACAAAAATTACCTGGGCATGGTGGTGGGTGCCTGTAATCCCAGCTGCTCGGGAGGCTGAAGCAGGAGAATCACTTGAACCTGGGAGGTGGAGGTTGCAGTGAGCTGAGATTGTGCCATTGCACTCCAGCCTGGGTGACAGAGTGAGACTTCATCTTAAAAAAAAAAAGAGGCTTCAGGGGAAGCGCCATCAGGACCCAGTGGCTGGGGACAGGTGAGGGCTACTGCCTAGGGTGCCTTGGCACAGCCAGCACCCAGTGGAGGTCGCAGCATTAAAAACAGCACGGGCAACAATGCTGGAAGGCGGGATGGGCAACTGTCGTCCCATTCTGAGGTACCGGGGGTTAGGACACTTCACTTTTCTTTTTTCTGGGGGGAGACACAGTTCAGCCTATAACATGGCCTGTTTCTTGCAGGTTTGCTAGTGCAGGTGATGTCCCTTCTCATTTTCCTCCAGAGCTGGGACCCCTGGATAAGGAAGGACACCTGGGAGGGAGGCGACAGCCAGGAGGGCAGGGATGGCCTGGGACCCCCATCCCATAAGGATGTGCCCAGTGGAAATGCCCTTCCCTTCTCCTCTCCAAGTAGCGGGGGACAGATCCTCGGGATGTGAAGTTGTCTGAGGTCCATTCTAACTGGGTTATTCCCCGTCCATCTCGTCAATAGCACCATGAACCGGTGCAGGAATTGTAAGTTTCATTGTGATGTCTTGGTGATGCAGCTCACACCAGAAGCCTGCATCTGATAGTATCACCGACACCCTCCAAAGACAGCAGCTGAGGACCCGCTGTGGCCTCTGCTTCTCTTCTCTCCTGATCAAGGCTGGGACTTTTATCCACCTGTTTCCCAGCAGGGATATTGATCCGAGGCTCTTTTTTTCTCATCCCTTCCCCCACCAATGCCCCAACATGGGAGGGGCTGTCTCTGCCTGCTGCATTTAGGGTTTGCTGTCAGCACAGCTAAGGGGAACTCTGGAAGGTCCCACAGTTTGTTTGAAAACTCTCTTGGAGCCGGGGGCTGTGGCTCACACCTGTAATCCCAGCACTTAGGGAGAAGGGGCGGGTGGATCACTTGAGGCCAGCAGTTTGAGACCTGCCTGGGCAATGTGGTAAAACCCCATCTGTACTAAAAATGAAAAATTATCCAGGTGTGGTGGTGGATGCCTGTAGTCCTAGCTACTCGGGAGGCTGAGGCAGGAGAATGGCTTAAACCCGGGAGGTTGCAGTGAGCTGAGATCTTGCCACTGTACTCCAGCCTGGGCTATAAAGGGAGACTCTGTCTCAAAAAATGAAAACTCTCTCGGCTTTGCATTACCTATCAGGAATCTAATTGGAAGTAGCCGAGCTTTCTTTTTAGGAAGTCAGGGTCAGACAGGCTGTGCTCGGGAAGTAACTAACTAAGAAGCGGGCCGCTGGTCTGTCAGCAAGAGTGGGGCCAGAGGGAGGGCCCCTCTTCTTCAGGCTGTAGAAGATGCTCTGTGCTGCTTCCTGGCTGGAAGATCCCAGGTAGGAACCCCCGGATATTTACACCTGGAGATACGGAACACAGACCTTTCCCTCCATGTGCTGCTGAGCACGGCTGCTCTGCGAGGTGGGCATGAGGGCCTGGATCACACGTCGGCGGAGATGAGAAAAGTGAGAGGCAAACCATCCCTCGCTCTAGTCTGCATCCTTGGCTCTGAGCTGAGGGCAATCAGATTCCAAGATCTCCCCAACCTGTGCCCCACAACCAAGAAGACATCAGAAAGGCTCAAGGTTCTGACTCTTTCTGTGCCCTCCCTCTTGTTCTCACTCTGCCTTTGCTGAAGCCGCTGGACTCACGGGTGAGTCTAAGGGACAAAGGGGCTCTCCTCCAACAGCAAACAAACTGCCCTCCCCTGCACTGATCTCAGGAGGACCCGCACTTCTGGCGGTGCTTCCCCGGCCAGCTCCCAGCTCCGGCTGCAGACTGGCTCTGCCCCTCCAGGAGGTTCCCTGAAAATCAGCCAGGGCTGTTCATTTTGTTCACGCTCTTGTCTTCCTGTCTTTAGCCCTAGAGAATCATCTTCATCTTATTCAGCCAGTAGCTGCACCTTTTGGATCCCTCCTTTCTAACCATTTAAAGTATTTCCAAATTGTTGTATAACTCAGGGAGAGGGTTGGAGGGGTTTGCCATTGAGAACTGGGGATTAGGGAAAGAAAATACCCAAGGAAAAGGTGGGCTATTTTTTTTTCTCCACAGGGCTTTGAAACCCTTTGCTAATCATGAGAGGAAACAGTTTGCTGTTCTTATACTCATTCCATGTCTTTTCAAAGCCACCCACACTGGGACCCTCGATATCTGGCCCCAGGAGCAAGAGTATCCCCCAAGGAATGGGAAGAGAGTGGAGGGCAGTGACCAAGGGGTGGGCCCGATAATGAGAATTTAAATTTTGATTGCAGGAGCAATGCCTGCAATAATAATGATGGAGAAGGACCAGGGTGTGAGCCCTGGAGAGCCCTGCCGGGACTCAGCAGGCTGGGCGTGGTGGCTCACGCCTGTAATCCAGCACTTTGGGAGGCCGAGGAGGGTGTATCATGAGATCAGGAGTTCAAGAGCAGCCTGGCCAAGATGGTGAAACCCCATCTCTACTTAAAATACAAAAAAATAGCATGGCATGGTGGTGGGCGCCTATAATCCCCACTACTAGGGAGGCTGAGGCAGAGAACTGCTTGAACCTGGGAGGCGGAGGTTGCAGTGAGCCAAGATCTCGCCATTGCATTCCAGCCTGGGCAACAGAGTGAGATTCTGTCTCAAAAAAAAAAAAAAAAAAAAAAAGGAGATGGAGCGAGTCTGGCCTCCTGGGGGAAGAGGTGCCTTTCCCCATGGCGCAGGCAGGGCTCTGACGCTGACCTCAGAGCAGTTCTGAGGAGGGGCAGGGGTCCCCTTGTGCAGAGTGGACAGTGTACGCTGACAGCCTGGGCTTTGTGGTGGGCACGGGTTGGGTGTGCAGGGCTGGCACAGGGACCATGGCCTTGGGTCCAGCTGGGTTTGAGTTCTGGGGGCAGTGGCCACGCAGGCCAAGGGTCATGTCTACCCTCTGCAGGGTCTTGCTGGTGCCCTCTGGGTCCACACAGAAGCCTCTGGGGGGACTGGAGACGGGTAGGGGCAGGGGGCAGCTGATCTCCAGAGAGTGAGTCCAGGCTCTTATTTCTCAACAGAGAGAGAGAGACAGAGACAGACAGAGACAGAGATCGTTTGATCGATTTTAAGGAATTGTCATATGATTCACTCGACCATGACGTTTGCACATCTGGAATCTGCTGGGTAAGTCGGCAGGCTGGAGATCCAGGGAGGAGTTGATGCTTCAGTCTTGAGTCTGAAATCTGCAGGCTGGAAGCGGAAGTCCCTTCTCCTCAGAGGACTCCAGTCTTCTTTCTTAAGGCCTTTGCCGGATGGGACGGGGCCCACCTATATTACGGAGGGGTATCTGCCTCACTCAGAGTCCACAGAATTTTTTTTTTTTTTTTTTGAGACAGAGTCTCACTCTGTCGCCCAGGCTGGAGTGCAGTGGCGCGATCTCGGCTCACTGCAAGCTCCGCCTCCCGGGTTCATGCCATTCTCCTGCCTCAGCCTCCCGAGTAGCTGGGACTACAGGCACCCGACACCATGCCAGGCTAATTTTTTTTTGTATTTTTGGTAGAGACGGGGTTTCACCGTGTTAGACAGGATGGTCTCGATCTCCTGACCTCGTGATCTGCCCGCCTCGGCCTCCCAAAGTGCTGGGATTACAGGCGTGAGCCACCGCGCCCGGCTCGAGTCCACAGATTTAAATGCTCATCTCATCTAAAAAACACCCGAGCAATGGGCACCGTGGCGCAGCCAAGCTGATGATAAAATGAACGATCACAGCCCTCCCAGGAGGGCAACTGCACGGGTGCCTCCCTCGCAACAGTCCAGACCTCGGGGGAGCCTCTCCTGCGGAAACGGCCCTCGCTGCTGTGCTGCCCTGGGTGCTGTTGTCCGGGTTCCGGGTGGGGAGCACCCCAGAGGAAGTAGAGCAAGCCCGGGGACCTGGGGGGCGCCCCGCCTGCCCCTGGACGTTTCGGCTGCAGGAGCCGGGATCTGCGCGGGTTTCTCTCGCTCGTTACTGACAAGAAACCGGAATTGGAATTCTGCCCGGAGCCGTCTGGGATGAGGCTGCACGTGTTTCTTTCCGTCTGCAACACAGAACCACACAGCTGGAGCAGAGGTGCATATGGGGGGTGCTGGGGGTGGGGATGGGGGTTCACCAACTTGAGAGGCCCCTGGGTGTCCGGCGACCCGAGTCCCACCCACCACCACCAAACCTCATGGGGGCGGGGCATGAGCCATGCGGGAGGGGACGCTCTCCATGGGCCCCCAGGAGGCTCCGTGGTGAGTGACAGACAGTCTGCTGTAAGTAGATGGGTCAGGGCACACTGCGTAAGAGAATGGAGAGAACACACTATGTGTGTGTGTGTACATTGCAGACACTCTTGAGATAGTGCTTAATGACAGTAAACTTTACCCAGACAGCAGCTTGGCTCATTATCTCGGTTCTGTCTCTGCCTCAAGTCACTCATGCAGGTCAGGAGATTCCAAAGGGCCGCTTGGAGGGAGAAGGGACATCTGTATTAGCTTCTCAGTTTTGGACCAGGGGCTGCCGCCCAGCTTTCAGGGTGATCCCGCAAAGATTAGATAAGGCAGACACCGGTGGTCCTCAGCCCGGATCTCTCTGTCTCTCTTTCTCTTTCTCTATTTCTCTCGCTCTTTCTGTCCCTGCCCCTGTGCCCTTGAGCCCTGGAACCTACCTTTCAAACAAGGATCAGGGTTACCCGGGGACATTCACCCAGCAAAACGCAGGGACAGCAGAGATAGAAGGACGCAACTGTGATCCAAATGCTTGTGGGGTGTGTGGAAGACGGACGGAGCCATAAGACAGAAGTAATGCCTGAGGCTGGGAATGCCGAGATTGACTGCAAGGCATCCCCAGGACCAAGTGATCTGAACCAGAATCTCGGCTGTGTGCTGGGATGGGCTGTGGAGCCCTGCTGTCTCTTACACCTCCATTTCCTCAACTGCAACATGGGGATGATGACTCTGAGTTGTGAGTTTTGAAGGAGACAGTGCCAGGGACAAGGTCAGAGATAAGGACTGTCATTATTTCTCAGTCTTACCTTTCTCTTCTATTAAATGGGGATCATATCTACGGGAAGGGCTGTTGTGAGGAGGGGGATTATTTAACGTGCCTCCTGAAGCACACTGATGATGAAAAGGTCTCTTTTTCCCTCCCCTCCTCTCCCCTCCTCTCTCTTTCTTTCTTTCCTTCTTTCTTTCTCTCTCTCTCCTTCCTTCCTTCCTTCCTTCCTTCCTTCCTTCCTTCCTTCCTTCCTTCCTTCCTCTCTTTCTCTCTTTCCTTTCTTTCTGATGGAGTCTTGCTCTGTCGCCTGGGCTGGAGTGCAGTGGTGCAATCTTGGCTCACTGCAACCTCCACCTTCCTAGTTCAGGCAATTCCCTTGCCTCAGCCTCCCAAGGAGCTGGGATTATAGGTGCACGCCACCATGCCCAGCTAATTTTTTTGTATTTTTAGTAGAGACAGGGTTTCACCATGTTAGCCAGACTGGCCTCGAACTCCTGACCTCAGGCAATCCACCTGCCTCGATTTCCCAAAGTGCTGGGATTACAGGTGTGAGCCACCACATCTGGCCCTTTTTTCTTTCTTGACACAATCTCACTCCATCACCCAGTCTGGAGTGCTGTGGTGCAATCTTGGTTCACTGCAGCCTTGACCTCCAGGCTGAAGCAATCCTCTTGCCTCAGCCTCCCGAGTAGCTGGGACTATAGGTACACACCTCCACACCCAGCTGGGTTTTTAAATTTGTTTTGTAGAGAAGGAGTCTCACTTTGTTGCTCAGGCTGGTCTCAAACTCCTAGGCTCAAGCAATCCTCCTGCTTTGGCATCCCAAAGTGCTGGGATTACAGGCATGAGTCACTATGCCTGGCAATGAATAGCTTTAATGATCTATTCAGTGCAACATGAGGATGAACTTTCTATCCCTCAGCACGATTAAACATGAACAAGTACCTCAGGGCGGGCTGAGGTCTCTGTGGCTGAATGTCCAGGGTGACCAGTGGTTGGGAGCATCAAGGTACTGAGGCAGCCCACTTTTCACGTTCTTCCAGGGGCACCGTTTTGGGGCAGACAGGGTTGGAGGAAAATCACAGAGTGGCTGAGTGTCAACGCTGCCCCTTTAGGGTCGTCCCCAGGTGCTGCCCTCCACCCAGGCTCCCCAGGCAGTGCCCCCAGTCCCAACTCGATTTTCCTATTTTCTGATCCATCCTGGAATCCTGGTCTTCCACTGCTGATGGGATAAACCAACTCAGATTTGGGCTTTTCATTTTCAACCACATTTTGAAGCGTACCTGATGATGTCTAAGGCTGAAAATGTCGCTCCTCCCGAAGGCCTCAGGGGACCCCGGAGACGTGGGCACCTTAACCTATGGAGCGAGATGACTTCTTGGCAGGCTGTGAGGATGACTTGCTCTCAAGGGTGTCCTGTGAGTTTCCCTCAAGAGCAGTGACACCTGTTCTCTGGTCCTCCTTGTTGGGTGGAGAGAGGTTAAACTACGAAGAAAAGGCATTGCACTGAAAAAAGCAAAACAAAACAAAACAAAACACAATAGCATCTCCTTTGGGGCTGGTGTCTGGAGGTGCTGCAGGTGGAAATGGGAGCTGCTGTGTGACTGAGCAGGGCTCCTTCTGTCACTTGTCTTGAAGTAGGAGAAACAGAGGACTGTGGCTTCTGTTTCCATTTTCACTATTTTTCCCTCAGCGTCTTCCGACAGGCAGAGTGCATGCATGGGGAATGTGGACACGCTCCTGAATTTCTGCAGAGAATGCTAGAACATGAAAAGCTGTCACTAGTTTCTAAAGGAAAATAAATGGATTTCAGCCTCCTGGTGGCCCCCGGCTTTTCCTGCCCTCCCCATGAGCGCTTTCGCACTTCTCTTCATGCCTTGTTTTCCGGCTGTTCCCTGCGTTTCTAAGAGGGTTGACCCCAGGGTGGAGCAGCCTTCATCAGTTGGTTGTTTCTCTCAGAAGCATCACAAAACCAACAGGCTCCTGCCACAAATATTTCAACTCAAACCATCTTCCTCCTCCCACAGGTGTCTTCTCTTGCTTGCTTTCTTTGTCCATGGCTAACATGTGGAAGCCACACACCTACCTGTCGGCCACCTCTACCTGGCATTCTCTAGGAACCTCAGGGGTGACCTGGCTCAGTGACTGTTATTTTTTTTCTCCTGCACCTATGCCTCCCTTGGGGCTCCCCAGCTCAGGACCAGGCCATGGCGTCAATCTGCTTGATTAAGCTTCACCTTGGGGCATCCTGGATTCCAAACTTTCTCTGCCATGGTGGAGTCTGTGTCTTCAATATGTTCCAAATGCATTCACCTTTTGTCACCCCTGCCCCCATGGCACTGGCTCACTTAGCCCCCCTCCACCTTGTCTGCACTTTTGAAACAATCTTCTAGCCCAGCCACCTCTGTCTGTCTCTTGCTCCAAACCATCCTTTACCCTGAAGCTATAGTGACCTTTCAGAAATACACATTTCATCACGTGCTGCCCGCTTTATTCCCTTTCAGCAACTCCATTGACTGCTGGTCGCAGTCCAAACCTTTAGCATGACCCGCAGGATCCAGCACCTCTCACCCCTGCAGGATCCCTGCACAGCTCCACCCCTGCACAGCCCCTCTGCAGGGCCCCACCCAGGCCCTGCCCTCATGGCCTCTCAGCTCTGCCTCTTTGGTCTCAGCTCTGGAGCTCTGGCTTCTGCAGCTTCAGACACACCAAGCTCAATTCTGCAAATATCCTTGTTCCCTCTCACATCAGGTTCTGCACCTAGGATGCCCTTTGCACCCTTCTCCTCCCTGCACCTGTTTGTAACTCCACTGGACCGTGTCCCTGAGCCCCAAGTCCTGGGAGATACCGTCCTGCCAGCTCTGTAGGACAGAGATGCTTTCCTGCCCCTGACTGCTCCTTTGGGCTCCCGTTCCTCCCAGACGGCTTCTGAGGTCCTCCAGCCATGCCTGTTCTTCCGTGAGGGTCTGACCCCAGCAGGCCTCCCAGGGTCACTTGCCTTCAGAAGGAGCACCGAGCCCTGCAAATGCAGCCCACCCTGCTGGAAAATGTACCTAAGACCTGTGGTCGAGCCCAAGACTGCCCCTCCTTGTACTTCCCTTGAGTAGCTATTAATTTACACAAACCTCCCAAGCCTAGAAACTTTCTTTGAAAGTTTGTGCATCAGATGAAATCTTGTCATCGGGACTGATTATTCTGCCAATCCGTTTCCTTGAAACAAACAAACAAAAAAATAAACAAACGCTTCCAGACCCAGCCCCCTTCCTGCTTCTCAGGCCTTGAGTATGGAGCCTTCCTGGGAGATGATCTGTAATTTAGTCCTGTGTTCTTGGCAAACCGACTTTTTAGTGCCGTTAACTGTCTTCTCTCTTCTCTATCACGTTGCTCCAGATGTGAAGTCTTTTGATGGCGGAGGCGCTGCCTTGAGCGGACACACGCCTCGCCAGCACATCCTTGTTTAGAACGTCAAGAACCCGCCACGTTTCTGCAGGTGCCAACATTTTATCTTTAATGTTTCCAGACAGATTAACACTAGTCAGGGAAGAGTCAGAAAAGCCTGTCTTTACCCTGGAATTCTCGGTTGAATTATTCATGGCAAAGAACTCTTTCTGAAAACATGTCACTCACATCCACACTGGAGGTTAGCAAAGGTTTCACATCTGGAGCTCTGCACTGGGAGGCCCAGCTGGTGCTCTTTGCCCTTTCTGAGGCTTTCCTCAAGTTCGGGGCTAATGTTCCTCCTCTCTCGGGCCAACCCTTTAAAGACCCTGCCTGTGCCTGGTGAGGGGTCCCAGCCTAGGGCAGTTGCTCAGGTTGTACACTGCACCAGGTCGCCTGGCTGATTCTACCCCTTACCCACCTTGCTCAGCTTTAGGCCCTGGAAGGGGCTATCTGCCCAGAGGGGGACACTGTTTTCTAAGTGGTAAAAAAGCACCCGATGGACCAGCAGTGTCGCAACTCACGCCCAAGCTGCTCCGAGTGCCTAGCTTGGTGGGGAAAGGTGTGGAGTCACCACCTCCACTCTGCTCCTTCTCCAGGTGTCTGTCTGTCTTTGCTGCTGTCTTGGTGACTGTCCTCTGCCCCCCTGGCCTGGGCCTGACCACATTTCTTGCCTCCCACTTGGGTTCCCCTTCCTCTCTCAGACTTTTCCTCCCTGCCCTAGCCTGGCATTTCCTCCAGGCACCTTCCCTTTCCTGAGGGTCCAGCTTCCCTGGACTCTTCCTTTGGTTCCATTCCAGATCCCCCAGTGGAAGGCTGTTTGTTGGCTTCTGCCCCATCCTGCTCCTCCCCCAACTCCTCCAAGCCTTCCGAAACCACTGCTTTTTGCACATAAATCACAGCCTTAAAATTAAGCCGAGCAGTGCTAGGCTGACAGCCTGTGAGCTGATGCAACCGCACCGAGTATGCTGAGCCTGGTGGCATTCAAGGAGCTGCTGGTGTTAAGATGCTCTCTGTGGGGCTTGAGGTCGTGATTCATAAAGAGGGGTGGACAAGAGGGTGGAGACTGGAGATGACAGTGTTTCCCACCCTGAGATGCAGGAGCCATCCTTGGCAGGGCTCAGGGCCTGGAGTTGTCTGCTGGATGGTGGTCTGTGTCCCGTACTCATTTGGAAGAAGCACTCTGCTGCGTCCTCAGTCTCCCGCCAGCGGCTTTGTGATCGCTCTTCTGAAGATCTCCTTGTCCATCATTTTCTCAGTGCGCAACACCCCAATTCTGCAAACCAGAGACCTGCCAGGATTGTTGAGTGCCCCGGCCACCCCGGCTCTGCCCTTGAGGTCAGAAAAGTTTGAGGCCTCTCGGTTTGGGATCCAGTCCCGCTGCCTGCTGGCTGTGTGGATGTGAGCACGTCGCGTTCTGGAACCTCATTGTCTCACCCTTGTCAAACCATGGGCAGTGCCATTTACTGTGCAGGCTTCAGAGGATTAACTGAGGCAGTAACTGTCACATGAATGTTAGCTGTTGTTATTCTTCTTATTATGATGTTTTTATAAATACACAATTACCCAAAGGCTCTGTGAGCTCATTTTCGGTCCTAAGAAAATCTGACATCAAAGAGCCTGCTAGTGGCAGATGCCAGGAGACATGGCAGACGACAGCCTGCCACTGCAGAAGAAAACAAAACGGCTTCACGGCAGCTCCCAACGGTGCTCTCTGTAACCACACAAGTGCATGTGCACAAAGTTCTTTACTCATCTAAGAAGAAGTCAATTACTTTCCAGGATTAGGGAGGCATGGAAGCGGACCATCTATATGAGAATGGTTTCCATCCACATGGGTCAGATACAGTCTGGCGACTGGAGGGCACGGTGGGTGATTCTCTCACGTGGCAGGTGCACGCCCGTTGCCTTTGCAATGGGCTTCTGCATGTGTACTTTAACCTACTAGCTCTGTGACCCTGGGCAACATGCTTAACCTCTTTGAGCCTGTATTAGTCAGGGTTCTCTGGAAGGACAGGACTAATAGGATAGACGTATATGTGAAGGGGAGTTTATTAGGAGAATTGACTCACACGATCACGAGGTGAAGTCCCACAATAGGCCATCTGCAAGCTGAGGAGCCAGGAAACCAGTCTGAGTCCCAAAACCTTGAAAGTAGGGAAGCCCAGGAGCCCCTGGCAAACCACTGGTATAAGTCCAAGAGTCCAAAAGCTGAAGAACTTGGAGTTCAGTATTCGAGGACAGGAAGCATCCAGCACAAGAGAAAGAGGGAGGCCAGAAAACTCAGCCAGTCTATTCCTTCCACATTCTTCTGCCTGCTTTTATTCTAGCTTCGCTGGCAGGTGATTAGATGGTGCCAACCCAGACTGAGGGTGGGTCAGCCTCTGCCAGTCCACTGACTCAAATGTTAAGCTCCTTTGGCGATACCCTCACAGACACACCCAGGAACAATACTTTGCATCCTTCAAATCAATCAAGTAGACACTCAATATTAGTCATCAGAGTCTGTTTCTTCAACAGCAATATTGAGATGATAATAGCCCTCTATGACTTTCTTAGGTTGTCATAGTCAAGTACCACAAGCTGGATGGCTTAAAAATCACAGGAATTTATTATCTCACCTGCCCAGGAGGCCAGAACTCAGAAATCAAGGTGTGGGCAGGGCCATGCTCACTAAGAAGCCTCTGGGGGAGGGTCCTTCCTTGCTTCTTCCAGATTCTGGTGGCTCCTGGAATCCCTCGGCTTGTGGTAGCATCACTCCAATTACTGGCTCTGTGGTCACATGGCCAACTCCCCCTTGTGTGTCTGTCTCCTCTTCTTAGAAGGACACTAGTCATATTGGATAAGAACCTACCTGAAGACCTTCTCCTAACTCAGTTGCATCTGCAAAGACCCTAGCTCCAAATCAGGTCACACTGAAAGGTATGGGGGGGTTAGGGCTTTAACATACCTTTCTGGAGGGACACAATTCAACTTGTAACAGGTCTCCACCTCCTGGGGCTGCTGGGATGATTGGTCAGGTGGCGTGTGCTAAGCATATGTGGCCCCTGTTAGGTTCCTAGGTGGTCATAATTAAGTATCTTGAGCTGGGCAGCTTAAAAATCACAGGAATGTATTCTCTCATACATATTCTCTCATACACTGTTCATATGTGGCCATAGGAACTGCTCAACACATTTCAGCCATTGAAGCAATTATTCATTCTTCTTACCTGTCTACATTGTCAAGGAAGTTCTGCAGATACAGAAAATGAAGAAGACTTTGCCAAGACGAAGAATGGGGAAATGCTGCTGAACAGTGGGTCACCTGAGCTCTTTGCAGTCCAACACCAACCATTCCATGCTTCTTCTGCACACAGAACCAGATCCGTGCCTTCTTTATGATTCCTGCTAGTGTCACATGAACTCCACCCAAAATCAGAGAAGCAAGACCCCTACATCGCTTATACCCTGCTCACTTAACACAATGATTGAATCACCAGCTATATGAGTGCAGTGTTACGTGGAGAAAAATACATAATTACTTAGACACAGTCGTTGTCTTCAAGGAGCACAGGTCTGTCTACCTCCCACAAGACATATGGCCGTGTGAGGAGAGCCTGCTAGAGAGAGAAGCAGGTTCTGCAGATCTCAGAGGGGTCACGTCTGCCCAGCTGGAGGCTGGGTCCCATGAAGAAGGCAAAAGAAATACACACCATCCTTAAGGAGCTTTGACTCATTCATTCCACATTTATTTATTTTCATTTATTTCTTTTTTGAGATAGAGTCTTACTCTGTCACCCAGGCTGGAGTGCAGTGGCATGATTTTGACTCACTGCAACCTCTGCCTCCCGGGTTCAAGTGATTCTCCTGCCTCAGCCTCCTGAGTAGCTGGGATTACAGGTGTGTACCACCATGCCTGGCTAATTTTTGTATTTTTTAGTAGAAATGGGATTTCACCATGTTGGCTAGGTGGGTCTTGAACTCCTGACCTCAAGTGATCCACCCACCTCGGCCTCCCGAAGTGCTGGGATTATAGGCATGAACCACCGCACCAGGCCCCTTCCATATTTATGAAGCCACCACTTAGGCCAGTCCCGGGGCATACAGTGACAAATCTTGAACTAACAGGAGCGATGAGAACAGGGGGAGATGAAACAGCAGAGAGCTCGATGCAGGCACTGGAAGAGACTGGTGCTCCCAGCTGAGCTGGGCCAGGTCAGGGCCAGGGGAGGCCATGCTCTCTCTCTTGGTCTGGAAGCCCATGCCCCGGCCCTTCTCCCCAACAGTGGCCCCTCTTCTGGCCAACAGGTGCCAGCAGGCAGTGTGACCCTGTTTTTGTCTCACCTTCAGGTTTGCCCAGAAACATCCCCAGGCTTCCAAGCTTGCTTCACTAAGTTAAACATCTTTATTCTGCCTCCTTTTGCAGCCATTCATTTTAATCATGCAAAGGTCAGCTGTCACCGCACAAATGTTAGACTTAATTTGTTTTCTTGATGCACGTGGTATCCGTGATAATGTGGCCCAATTTTTCGTCATTTGCCAACGGGGAGCTGCAGTGGGTAGGGGTGACTCACAGACAGCTGAGGGTGAGACCGAGGAAGGCTGTCTGGAAACCTGTACAGGAGAAGGGTTTGATTTGGGGCAGGATGTGCTAATGGCATCGAGTCCCAGGAACATGACTTTAGTCCTAAGAGTCCGTGGCTTGAGAGCAGGAGCTCCTGAGAATCGCTCGGTTATTCCACGCATCGGTTGTCCCTCAGGTAAGTGGTGAATGATGCCTCAGCAGCCTTCGCTTCTACTCCTAGAGCAGAGCTTTGCATTTCGACGGCCGTTCTTTCACCATTTCAGAGACGAGAGCTGCTCAAGGAGGCCAATCCTGCCTCCTTGTCCCTTCCTGGCCCCCTCTTCTTCTCACCCTTCTCCTGTCTCTTCTATCTCTTGGTCTGCT
Source organism: Homo sapiens (assembly GCF_000001405.40). Taxonomy (NCBI): domain Eukaryota; kingdom Metazoa; phylum Chordata; class Mammalia; order Primates; family Hominidae; genus Homo; species Homo sapiens. The sequence goes on from NC_000001.11 coordinate 4,170,922, forward strand.
GGAAGTTTCCAAGTTGCAGACTGAAGTGGAGGCCTTGAGGTCTCTCAGCAAGCTTTTCTACTTACCACGCATTTTTCTGCTGTGGGAAGATCCCCAGAGAGAGATGTTGGAAGCACAGCCCAGCATTGCTGTGGAAACAGAGCTCACCCGTCTGCGCCCCAGCAGAATTGCATCATTTACTGTCTGTGCGGCAGCCCACAAGGAGAAATAGACTCAGAATGACAATCCGACACTCCCACGGGCTGCGTGCCACTTTGCGGTACACCACACACCAGCACGGAGAGGGGTTTGGTGCAGGGGGGACAGGGTGGCGTGGAGAGTGCTTCTCCTCATTAGCAGATGCCGCTATGTCTTTCTATGCAGCCCCCACTGGACGTCCTGCAGCTCCTTAAACTCAACGTGTGTGGAATGTAGCTCATCCTCTTGTTGAACCCACCTCCCGGGCTGACCTGTCACCATTGCCCGTGTCGGCCCTCAGCCACACGCTCATCTGTGTTCTCTTCTCTGTGTCCCCATCAGCTCCATCTCCAGGGCCTTCCCAACGCCTTCCGGTCCACGTGCTTTTCTCTGACTCTACTCTCTCCATCATGGCAGAAGCCTGCATTTGTTGCCTAGATGGTGTTGATCCTTTCCTGACTGTGGGTGTGACAGCTAGGTTAGTGTCTCTCACCCAGCCTGGACGGCGTTCTGTGCTGGGAGGAGTTAGGATTGCTGGCGTTTGTTACCATTGCCCCTGCACAGCTCTCATGCCTGGCACATGGCCCACACTCTTAGCTAAACAGTTGGCTGAGAATAAATGAATGGTGAAGCCATGTGTCCCCCTCTGCTTGCTGCCTTCCCTTTCCAACACATCAGTAGCCACGACTGCCTCTGCGGCTGGTAGGTCACTGCTGTCTGAGCCCTGCCTGGGCCAGGAGCCATGCGAGGCATTTCACCCACATGATCTTTTTAAATCCCAGCACCAACTCTAACGTGCTAAAGCCGATTGTTTTGTGCTGCCCATTTTAGAGAGGAAGCTTGAGCTCGCGAGGGGCGAAGGGACTTGCTTCAGGTCACACAGCTCGTCAGGGTCTATCCCCACCCCAAAGCCCAGGCTCCCAGACATTGGGTCTTCCCTGCCTGAGAAATCCCAAGGAATCTTTCTCCCCCAGGGGCTCCTGAGTTCCAAAGCACTGTCAACTGGAAGGTCAAAGTCTTGAGCAGGAAATTTGGCCTGGGTGGGACCTGCCTCACGAACGTCCTCGCTTCCTCCGACCCCCTACCCCCAACCAGGGCAGCTCCCTCCTCAGGAGTCTCCCTGAGCCTCCCTGGCAAACCTGGTTCTCAGGTCGCTGGGCTCCTCTCCTGATCGCCTGTTTGCCTGCAGCTCCCACACCTCCTCCACCCTCATGCGACTGACTCATCTGTGACCCCCCGGGGAGGCGTCACTGACTGCCCTGCAGAGCCCCTCCCCCGGTGCCTCGGTCACCCACCACCCTCTAAGTCCTGCCCCTTCTCTCTTCCATCAAACCCTCAGGAAGGTGCTCAGCAAGAGGCCCCTCTGAAACAGGGGCCTCCATGGTATTGAAGAGTTGCTCAGCCACGCAGGAGAGACCCAAGGAGAGAGTTGCTAAGCTCTCCTTGTATCTCTGCCTCTCCCCCGGCATCCAGTGCTGTGCTTGGCAGGTGCAGGTGCCCACAGAATCTCAGAGAATAAGCGAGTGAATATCTCATGTTTCAGGGGGAGCACTAAGGGGTGCGGAGTAGACTGTGACACCTGCAGTCCAAGAGTGATTGCTTAGCGGCAAATGTCCCAGTGTGCCCAGAATAGCATCTTGTACACTGCACCAGATGATGGAGTCACCTGCTAGTCATTGGGGAATGAAGCCAAGAAAAATGGGATCGGGTAGGAGGCCCTCTCTGTCTCCCTTTGCACACCTCTCCCCCTCCCAACTCATGGAGCAATGGAATCCATCCCAAATTAGCACTGTGCCATGCCAGGCACCGGCATCCTAGTGGCAGCAAAGTGTAAGGTCTCCGGCTCCCCACCCCAGTGAGACTGGCTAGCTGTGTGACTTGGGCAAGTCACTTAACCTGTCTGTGACTCCTCTTCTTGAAGAATCCCAATAGGCATTAGCACTTCAAAGACTCAGGTACAGCCTGCACTAAAGAAAATTGTATTTGAAGACTTCAGGTTTGAGTGTGTGTCTTCCCTGCAGGACTTCTCAGAGCCTTTAATGTGCAAATATGTGCTATGGACTTCCAAAGGGGGATGCTGCAAATATTTGATCACAGATCACTTTTGTCTTGGCGCCTCTCTGTTTGGGAAATTGTGATCATCACAGGGGCAATGGCAAGTCCTATGTACGGGGCACTTGCTGTGCGTGAGTCTGCATGCTCAGCATGGACACAGATGAAGTCTTTGATCCTCATAGTCGCCCTGCAGGGGGTGCTGGCATCTCGTTCGATTCACTGCTGAGGTTACTGAGGCTTCCACTCAATGCCACATCCTCAGCCCCAGTGGAGGCGAGAGTCCCATGCAGGCAGCCTCTGTGCTTGGCCCCGTGTTGCACGTGGCTCTCGGCTGAGGAGCTCAGCCACTTCACCCTGGGCTGATCTCCAGACCTGTCTCTCACCAGCGTTTAGCCTGAGCCCTGATCTGTGTGGTCAGCAGCATTCCCAGTGCCCTTGCAGGGTGTCTCCTGCTCCCCAAACAGTCTAAGCTGGATCCTCTCTCTTCCCCTCCTCCCATCCCTACAAATCATCTTTGTCCCCCTCCTTTCTGATCTCAGTGAAGGGTGGACCTGGACTAGTTTCCTGTGGTTGCAGAAATAAAATATCACAAACCTTGTGGCTTGAACAACAAAAATGTGTTCTCTGGCAGTTCTAGAGGCCAGACGTCCAAAATCCAGGTGTCACCAGGCACTGGCTCTCCCTGAGGCTCCGCAGGAGGGTCCTTCCTTTTGTCTTCCAGCGTCTGGGGCTTGCCAGCATCCCTGGCACTCTTTGGCATGTAGACGCATCACTTCAAGCCTCTGCCTCTGTTGTCACTGGTGTTCTGCCCGCCTCTGTGTCTGTTTCCGCTTCTTAGAGGGACGCCAGTGCTGTTGGATCAGGGCCCACGCTAATTGGGTATGAACTCATCTTAATTTAATAAATCTGCAAAGAGCCTATTTCCAATAAAGTCCCATTTCCAGGTACGGGGAATTCAACATGTCTTTGTGAAGGACACAAACTTCACCCAAGTCATCATCACTATCTTACACCCAAATTATCACCACTGTCCCTTGATGGGTGCTATTTCTCTCAGAAACCATTTAGAGGCTCTCTGTGCTCCCAGCGCTGTGGCCTCTCAAAGCTGGGGGTGGGACAGAGAACAAGACTGACAGAATCTGTGTTCCTGATGTCACCCATGTCGGGGGATGAACATGCTGATTAGGAAGTGATGGGAAATTCAGGACCGAGGGGTGGCAAGAGCCGGGACGAAACACGGTGGGGCACAGGGAGGGAGAATCGCAGTTGGCGCAGGTTTGGGTGTCAGGAAAGTTCTTCCTGGGAGTGAAGAAGAATGTCCCCGGCAGTGGAACTGTCTTGACTTGGGAATGGACTCCATGAACTTGGGGCACAGTGGGCACCTGGGAGAGGCAGGAGGCGGACAGAGGAGGTGTGTTCTGGTCCTGAGCCCAGGGGCCTGGGAAGAGTGTGGAGTTTATTCCAGTCTGGATGAGGGGTGCTGCAGCCGGGATAGGATTCTCTGGCTTGCTTATTTTGAAAGAGAGCCCGAGGCTGTGGTTGGGAGGACTGGGTTGAGGAGGGCAATAGCGAGAATATGGAGGCCTGGGGGAGGCTCTCCCCAACATCCAGAGTGTCATGGTGGTGGCTGGCATGCAGGGTGCTGTGTGGGTGTGTGGAGAGGCTGGATTCAGGGGTACCTCTGGGGGTGGAGTCCCCCAGACTTGTCCACACTCAGAGCTGCCCCGTAGGTCTGATGACCTTCCAGGCTCTGATCTAAGAGCTGGGTACTGTTATCATCCTCACTCTACAGATGAGCATTGTCTGCGCGAGCCGTGAGGCCAGAATTCAGGCCCAGGCAGGCTGGCTCCAGAGGCCCTGCCCTTCACCGAGGCCATCGTGATGGTGAAGGGCCGGGGAGGCTTCTAGGTTCTTGGCCTGCTGCTGAGTGATGGTGGGTACTACAGATGGAATGTTGTGTCCCTCCAAAATTCATATGTGAAAATCCTAACGCCAGCGTGAGGGTCATGAAGGTGGAGCCCCAACAAATAGGATGAGCCCCAATGAATGAGATGAGCACCCTATAAAAGGGACCCCAGAGAGCTTTCTCGCCCCTTCCACCATGTGAGGACACAATGAGCTCAGAAGCCGGCCTCACCAGACACCAAACCTGCCAGTGCCTCAATCTTGGACTTCCTGGCCTCCTGAACGGGGAGAAATACAAGTTTGTTGTTGAAGCCACCCAGCCTGTGGTATTTGTGTTATGGCTGCCTAAGTGAACTGAGATATGGTGCCGTCAGCAGAGCCAGGGAGTTTTTTTTTTTTTTTTTGCCCGTCTCAGTTTTTAATCATGGCAGGGCCTCACGTGCATGTGCACACACACACTGAGGCTTCTGATCTTGTTGAAAGCTGTGATGTTGACAGGCTGCACATGCTCCTCAAACTTGGTGATCTCCTCTTCCAGCAAGTCTGTCCCCAACTTGTCGTCCTCCATCACACACTGAATCTGCAGCTTCTGGATACCGTAGCCCATGGGCACCAGCTTGGAGGCCCCCCAGACCAGCCTGTCCAGCTGGATGGAGCGTGCACAGGCCTCCAACTGGGCCATGTCCGTCTCATTGTCCCAAGGCTTGACATCCAGGAGGATGGAGGACTTGACCACCAGTGCTGCCTCCTTGTCCTCCTCACCGTCACTGCCAAACAGGTCCATGTTATCGTCCTCATCATCCTCTGCTGGTGTGGCTGGCTTCTTGGCTGGGGGCTCCACATGACTGAAATCTAGTCATGCCACTCTCCCCCAAATCAGAGAACCTTCAAGCTGAGAACCTGCAGTTCCTCCAGCATGTGTGCCCTCTGACCTCCGACCCCTCTGAACCCTGACCTGACATGGTGCCCTCTGACCTCCGACCCCTCTGAACCCTGTCTACTCTCCTGTCCCCAACTCTACCCCAGGCAGCCTGACTTCTTGTCATTCCTCAATGGCTGCAAATGCCCTCTCTCACTTCTTGGCCACTCCCCACCCTGACCCTCTGCCAGGAATACCCCACCTTCCTCCCTCTCTATTCTTCTCCTGACCAACTTGTAAGCCATAAATAAAATTTTAAGGCCCCTCAACCATCTGAATGGACTTCCTCCTCGGCAAGGGCACCCTAAAATGTAACCTGAAAGACTGGTTCAGGCCATGATGGGAAGTGGGGGTCAGACATGCCTCATTCTACCCCTCCCTCCGGCATTAACATCAACACAGACCTTAAGTCTGTTAAGAAGCATTTACAGTCTATTGTCCCTGAAGTCTGCTGCCTGGAGGCCTCACCTGCATAATAAAACACTGGTCTCCACAACCCCTTATCACAATCCAGACATTCCTTTCTATGGATAACTCTTTCAACTAATTGCCAATTAGACCAATTTTAAATCTACTTATAACCTGGAACCACCTGCCCTCCCCCACCCTTCGAGTTGTCCCACCCTTCTGGACTGAAATGATGTATTTCTTAAATGTATTTGACTGAAGTCTCATGTCTCCTTAAAATGTATACAACCAAGCTGCACCCGGACCACCTTGGGCACCTGTTCTCAGGATCTCCTGAGGGCTGTGTCACGGGCCATGGTCACTCATATTTGGCTCAGAACAAACCTCTGCAAATATTTTACGGAATTTGACTCTTCATCAACAAACTCCTGGACATCCTCTTATCTCAGCAGAAAGGCCACTTCCTGCAAGCAGCCTTCCTTGATCCTGAGCTGGGATCAGGTGCTCGGGGTTCATTTTCTCCTGGTCCTCATTATCCCTGATTGCATTGTCTCTTGTCTTTCCTCTGTGAGGACAGGGTGGGGACTCTCTCTGTCATCCCAGAGTACCCCATAGCCTGAGGGGAGGATATTTGCCCAGGTGTGGCTCTCAGACCCCAGGGTTGTGGTTGGCAAACCTGCTGACTCTCCAGGGGCTGGCCCAGCTGCATCCGCAGGGAACACTCAAGGGAAGGTTGGGCTAGAATCGCACCAGGGTTGTTTCCATGGTGTCACCTCTCTGCTGTGTGAGCTTGTGGCTGTGACTTTGCCTTCCTGAATTTCAGCTGCCTCACTTCCAAAACTGGGTACCCCAATCACCCTGATTTGATTACTATGCATGGTACACATGCACCCAAAAACTATGCACAACGATTTTGAATCAATAAAAAAAATAGAATAGGTCATGCTACCCCTTTCTCAGGGCTGCTGGGAAAATGAAATTAGTTATGTAGATGATTGAACCTGCAGCTCCACCCAGCCGCTTGCCCTCTTCCTAAAGCTGGAAACTGGGGCCACCAGGATGGACCTGAACATCTCCTGCATCCACCTCTGTAAGATTCTCCCCGGGCCTGAAAGCTTAAGGGGATGAGTAGCCCCTCCATTCTCAGGCCCAGCTCCAAGGTCACTTGTGTCATCAGCGTGCGCCCGCAAGATAGCAGAAGCAGGAAGAGAGCTGGCCGGAAGACGCATACCCCTGGAGATCGAGAAAGAGGCCATCCGGGTACAATGCAGCAGTTACATCAGACTAGGACACTTCCTGTTTACAGGAAACTATAAAACTTTTGCCCCATCCTCACTTGGTGCTGACGCCATGTTAGGCCTCAGCCCACCTGCACCCAGGCGCTCATTAAAACAACATGTGGCTCCACACCGCCTTGTGTTGTCTGTTGGCTCGCTTGCTCTTGGGGTTCGAACTGATACAAGAACCTTACAGTCTTCTCCTCTGCTGAGCCCTTTGCTGAGCCAGGTGGCTCTGCTCTCTGCAGCTTCCAGATTTGAGGGGGAGGTTTCTCCTCCTTTGCCTGGGACGAGGTGGTGCTCCTCCCTCGTGGACGGTTACCACCAGACTTTTGTCAAGCCGAGGACCTCACCCTGGGATGTGATGAGCAACCTTTCACGTACGTCCGTGTGAAGAGACCACCAAACAGGCTTTGTGTGAGCAACAAGGCTGTTTATTTCACCTGGGTGCAGGCGGGCTGAGTCTGAAAAGAGAGTCAGCAAAGGGTGGTGGGATTATCATTAGTTCTTACAGGTTTTGAGATAGGCGGTGGAGTTAGGAACAATGTTTTGTGGGCAGGGGGTGGATCTCACAAAGTACATTCTCAAGGGTGGGGAGAATTACAAAGAACCTTCTTAAGGGTGGGGAGATTTACAAAGAACCTTCTTAAGGGTGGGGGAGATTGCAAAGTACATTGATCAGTTAGGGTGGGGCAGAAACAAATCACAATGGTGGAATGTCATCAGTTAAGGCTATTTTCACTTGTTTCGTGGATCTTCAGTTGCTTCAGGCCATCTGGATGTATACGTGCAGCTCACAGGGGATATGATGGCTTAGCTTGGGCTCAGAGGCCTGACACAAACCTCTTCACAACCAACGCTTTCCTGTGTCCATTCCCAAAGAAACAATTTCCATCACTCTGAGTCCTTTTCAGAGCTGAGCAGGTGTGGCACATCTGTCTGCACATAGCAGGGCCCGCACACTGACGGCTGCAGAGGAGGACAGTGGCCAGCAGTCCTCTTAAAGGGTCATCTACTGACAGATTCAGGAGTCACTGACATCCATAAGAAACTGGTTTTCCTTTCCAGTTGGCCATGGTCCTCACCTCCTGGGGAGCCTTGGGCCCTTCTGGAGTTGGTGGTCCCTTGCAGGAGGAGCTGCGAGCTGACGGTACCCTCTGGTGGAAGAGTGGAGCAGAAGAAGGTGAAATGGTTAGAAGGTGCTGCTATGACTCAGAGTGTGGTCTCCTGGAGGCAGCAAGCAATCCCAAAGGCAGAATCCATCTTGCTGACAGGCTGAGAGCAAGGTCAACCCTGCACTGCTCCGAAGTGACTCGTCTGACCTGTATAATTCTTCCATTGGTGACACCCGCAGAATATGAATTCACTCAAACGGGCAGATGTGGCTGAGAGAGTCCCTTTTCCAAGGACCGGGATGACATGAAAATGGTTTTGATGTTCTCATTCTCGACGATTGAAACCTTGATAGGGAGCATCCGTCAGGCAGGTGGGCAGTTGGGCGTGCCCTGCCTCAGTCTCCCTGCCCCTCCTCCACAGTGCTCTTATGTCTCACAGCTCTCGGAGTGGCCAATCTAGTCAATAGCAAGTGTGGCTGTGCTGGGAAGGGTTCTTGACTTGCAATGTGGTGGATGTACAGATGAGTCTCTGAGTGTGAAATGTCTGATGATGATTGTATTAGTTGGGATTTTCTAGAAAGACAGAACTAATAGGACAGATGTATATATAAAGCAGAGTTATTAAGGAGTATTGACTCACATGACCACAAGCTGAGGTCCCACAATAGGCTGTCTGCAAGCTGAGGGACAAGGAAGCCAGTCCGATTCCCAAAGCTGAAGAACTTGGAATCTGATGTTAGAGGGCACGAAGCATCCAGCATGGGAGAAAGATGGAGGCCAGAAGATTCAGCCAGTCTAGTCTTTCCATGTTCTTCTGCCTGCTTTTCTTCTGGCCGCGCTGGCAGCTGATTAGATGGTGCCCACCCAGATTGAGGGTGGGCCTGCCTCTCCCAGTCCACTGACTCAAATGTTAATCTCCTTTGTCAACACCCTCACAGACACGCCCAAGATCATTACTTTGCATTCTTCAATCTAATCAAGTTGACACTCAATATTAACTATCACAGTGATGATGGCTTGATTCCCTGGGCTGGGCTGCTGCCTCTGTCTCCGCCTTGTCTGAAAGCTTGCTGGCTTCAGACACAGCATAGTCCTGGGATGTGGCTGGGAGGGTGGCTTGGGCCAAGCAGGGAGACTTGGTCGGGGTGTGTGGTTGTGACATCCTTGCAGGAAGCTTTCTTGAGTCACGGATGGAGTCTTTTAGAAATAACCTGTGCATGTGTGTGTGTGGCTCTGGTTTGCAAAATGTATTGACATCACCAGGCTTTAATTAGCTGTGCTGTGCTATTGGGGACTTTGTCACTGCCACTTTGCAGGCTACAAATTACCACTTTGAGTCATTAAAAGCAGGAGCAAAAAGTAGTTACTGGTGTTAGAGCTGGAAGGGGCCCTGGGTCACCTCATCCAGTGATCATCAGCCCCAGCCCAGGGAGGAACAGGACTGGCCAAGTCACAAATAGCTAACAGCAGAAACAAAACAGGCTCCTGAATCTGTCCTGAGCTGCATCCACTGTGTTGGGCTCTGCGTCCTGGAACATCAGTTCCCTGTCCTCAGGAACACAGGGGCCCATGCACGGATCATTCCACACATTCTCTAGGGCCCACGGAGGATGAGCACCAGGAGCACTGACCACAGAGGCCAACATTGCCTTCATCCCCACCCCCGGCACCCCACTCTCTCTCGCTGGACCAGCCAAGGAATTGGAATTCAGAGACTGTGTCACCTGAGCCCACACACCTTTGTGAGGCTCCTGAGTGTGGGTGTGAAGTGTGGTTTTGATTTGCATTTCCCTGATGACTAATGGTGTGCAGTATCTTGTCATGAGCTTATTGGCCATTTGTATATCTTTGGAGAAATGCCTGTTCAATCCTTTGCCCATTAGAAAGAATATACTTTATTTTTTAGAGCAGTTTGTGGTTCACAGCAAAATTAAGTGGAAGGGACAGATAGTTCCCATCCACCCCCTGCCCCGACATGGCACAGCCTCCTCCACAGTGAACATCCCCCACCAGGGGTGCACTTGTTACAATCAGTGAACCCACAGTCGAGTTCATTCTTCTTTTTTAAACATTTATCTTTTTAAAAATTTATTCTCATTGTATGTATTTAAGGTATAAAGCACATTATTTTGCTATACATAGTGAAATGATTATTACAAACAAGTGAACTTATCCATCACCTTCCATAGTTACTGCCTTCTTATATTAATAAGAAAAATAAAACAAAATAGTGTTGAAGTGTTGGGGCGGCGAAAATTTTTGGGGGGTGGTATGGAGAGAGAGAATGGGCGATGTTTCTCAGGGCTGCTTCAAGCGGGATTAGGGGCAGCGTGGGAACCTAGAGTGGGAGAGATTAAGCTGAAGGGAGATCTTGTGGTAAGGAGTGATATTGTGGGGATGTTAGAAGAAATGTTTGTCGTATAGAATGATTGGTGATGACCTGGATACAGTTTTGGATGAATTGAGAAACTAAACGGAAGATACAAGGTCTGAATAAAAGAAGGAGAAAAATGGGTTTTGACTAAGAATTGGGAGGACCTAGGACATCTAATTAGAGAGTGCCTAAGGGGGTTCAGCATAATTACTTGCTTGGTTGGCAAGTTTTTGGGCTCTATCTTTGAGTTTTTTTATGTTGTCATACACCAGGCTGGACTGATTTAGGTAAAAACAACACTCTTCATTTAAGAATATACAGAGTCCTCCTTTTTCAGCAATGAGTAAGTCAAGGCCTCCGTGGTTTTGGAGGACAACTGCAGCTAAAGAGTCAACTTGGGCCTGGAGGACTGATAAAGTTTGTGATATGTCTGTGATGCTAGCAGCGAAGTCATTAGAGAGGATACAGAAGGTCATGACAGAGGTTGAAATGCCTGCTATTCCAGTACCGAGAGCAATAGTGGAGGCAGAAAGTCCTAAACTGACCAGCAAGGGAATTAGTGGAATAGCTTTTTTTTGTCGTGTCGGTGTCATGAGGGGAACAGGGAGGTCTTCGGTCCTATTTGCAAATTGAATTTTGGGGGTAAGGAAAACTAGTGTGCATGTGCCTGTCCAATTAGCAGGTAGACCTATGTAGGTAGAGGATCCACAGAGGAAGAAGAGACCTTGTGCGAGGCAAAACTGGAGATTCAAAGTAAAAAGGTGAGAAGGAGTGCTGAAAGCGGTGTCTTGTACCCAGACTCCTAGGGATCTAGCTAGGGTGGCAGCCGTCAGAGGTTGTAATGGGGACTGATGGGGTAACTATGTAGAGGGGGAGGTTCAATTTTCATGGTGTATAAGAAAACGTTGAGTATTTATGAGCAACTTTTCACTGTTATTTTCAGGGCTGGGTGTAAGTAAACAAGAAGAGGGCCTGGGAGGAGAGTCTGATAAGCAAGGTAGACAAGGAAGGAGTGAAATACAGGGTAAGTGTCTTCCTGAGCAATAATTACGCTAACGTTTTTAAGTTTGTCAATATTGATAGAGGACTTGTCTGTAATATGGAGCTGGAATGCTCCAATTGTTTCAGTGATGTGTGTAGTTGGGCTTTGGAGATGAAGAGTAAAGGAACATTGAGAAGGTGAAAGATTACCTAGGGGAATTCTAGTGGGTCTTTGCTGAGAGAAACATAAAGGAGCGGCCACAGGAATAGTAGTTTGTGTTGTGAGAGGTCTAAATATGGGGGGAGTAGAGTTAATATAAGGAGAAAGGTTTTTTAAGTAAGTGTGGAGGAGGGCGGCTGCTTGCTGATGTGAAATGTCTTGCGAAGTCTTGCTGCACCTGTTTAGAAAGTAAATGAGTTCTTCAGGAGGGTAAAGGTGAGGGCTATTAAAGGAAGTTCAGAGGTGTAAGGAGACAGGAGATGTAGCCTAGTCTGCATGTAAGGCGGGGACAGCTGTGTAGGCGCTGGGAGAAAGGGAAATGCAAAACCAGCAGTTGTTCGCTAAGGAGGGATTAGAAGCAGCTAGGAGAGAATGGGTAAGGTTGATAGTGTGGTGGAGATAGCTGGGGAGAGGTAAAGGGTGGCATAAGAATGGGAATGAGAATAAGAGTGAGTATAAAAGTAAGGAATAGAACTTCATCAGGGTGGAAATACTGGAGGGTGCCTTGCCAGCAAAGATCATCTATCCACTCTAAGAGGGAGTTAAGAGTGGTGGTTTGGGGATAGCACCAAGAGATATCAGCTGTGATGGCTTGAAGAAACAGTGTAAACTGGCAGTGTAAACAAGAGTAGGGCATTTATAAGTAGTTGAGAATAGAGAATAGGAGTATGACTAGACAGAAGATAGCAGGGATGACTAGTTTTTCGGGGCTCAGCCTAAGTGGTGGGGGTGACTTCATTAAGCCCTGTTGCAAAAAGTAGGGTAAGGATGAACAGACCTAATAGAATGAAGGGATGTATTAGGCTCATAAGGGTTATTACTGTTCTTCAGAAATGCTAGTGAGTTTAAGGGAAGTAGGGGAGAGTACTTGTGACTTCCAGGAGGAAGAGGAGGGATTAGGCTGGCTGTCTGATGGAAACAACTTTATTCTGGAATGGTGAACCTAGTGGGGAGAATCCTGCAGGTGGACGGCAGTTGGGGTACTATAGATGACTAAGTAGGGTCCGGTCCATTGAGGTTGTAGAGTTTGAGGGGTCAGATTCTTAACAAGAACGGATCATCCAGCTAGGGTGTCTTCATAAGGCTGGGGATCTGGAGTAGGCAAGAGAAGATTAGCAGCCTGGCGAATTTCCTATCTAGCCTGTTGAAGGACTGGAAGATAGTCGCCTAGAGGGCTGGTGTCTGGGATGAGGTTGGAGCCAAGCAAGAAAGAGCATCCATATAAAAGTTTAAATGGACTGTACCTTGTAGCATCTCGAGGACAGGCTCTAATTCTGAGAAGGGCAAGAGGTAAAAGTACTGTCCAATCCTTTTTTAAGTTGGAGGTTGAGCTTGGTGAGGTGTGTCTTTAAAAGACTATTAGTTCGTTCTACCTTTCCTGAAGATTGAGGACGGTAAGGGATATGAAGTTTCCACTGAATACCAAGAGCCTGAGAAACTAGGTGATTTGACTAGTAAAGGTTGGTCCGTTATCAGACTGTATAGAGGTGGGAGGGCCAAACTGAGGAATTGTCTGACAGAAGGGAAGAAATGACTGCTGTGGCCTTCTCAGACCCTGTGGGAAAGGCCTCTACCCATCCAGTGAAAGTGTCTACCTAGACTAAGAGATATTTTAGTTTTCTGACTCGGGGCATGTGAGTAAAGTCAATTTACCAGTCCTGGGCAGGGACAAATCCTCGAGCTTGATGTGTAGGAAAGGGAGGGGTAGTAGAATAGCAGATGGAACACTGAGAAGTGATTTCTTTGAGGATAGATTTTTAGGATGGAAAGGAAATGAGAGGTTCTAAGAGATGGGCTAGCGGCTTGTAACCTACATGGAAGAGGTTATGAAATGACGACAGAATAGAATGGGCCTGTGAGGCTGGAAGGAGATATTTTCCTTGGTCTAAGAACTATTTGCCTTGTGTGGGAAGAGATTGATAAGTGGAAGTTTCAGCAGGGGAGTAGGTGAGAGTGACCGATGTGAAGGAAAAAAACTGGCCGTGAGGGACAGAAGTTGGAAAGCTAGCTGCTTGTCTAGCCACCTTATCAGCATAAGCGTTGCTTAGAGCAATGGGATCTGATGCCTTTTGATGACCTTTGTAGTGAATGACTCCAGCTTCCTTTGGAAGTAAAGCGGCCTTGAGCAGAGTTTTTATTAAAGAGGCATTAATGATGGAGGACCTTTGCATAGTGAGGAAACCTCTTTCAGCCTATATAACAGCATGGTGGTGCAAAATATGAAAGGCATATTTAGAGTCAGTATAAATATTGACGCGTAGTCTTTTTGCAAGAGTGAGGGCTTGAGTTAAGGCAACTAATTCAACTTGCTGAGAGGTAGTGGAGGGGGGCAGAGCGGTAGCCTCAATGATAGATGTGGAAGATACTATAGCATAGCCTGCGTTTGCTGGTGAGTGGTGATTAGGCCTGGTGGAACTGCCATCAATAAACTAAATGTGATCAGGGTAAGGAACAGGAAATAAGGAAATATGGGGAAATGGGGGGAATGTCAGGTGGATCAGAGAGATACAGTCATGAGGGTCAGGTGTGGTATCCGGAATAATGTGGGAGGCCGGATTGAAGTCCGGGCCAGGAACAATGGTAATTGTGGGAGACTCAACAAAGAGTGAGTACAGCTGACGGAGCCAGGGAGCTGAACGTATATGTGTCAGGTGTGAGGAAGAAAACAGATTTTGGAAACTATGAGATCTGTAGAGAGTGAGTTGAGCATAGTTTGTGATTTTGAGGTCCTCTAAAAGTATTAGGGTGGCAGCAGCCACTGTGCGGAGACATGATGGCCAGCCTAAAACAGTAAGGTCAAGTTGTTTGGACATAAAGGCTACAGGAAGTGATCCTGGTCCTTGTATAAGAATTCTGACTGCACAGTCCTGCACTTTGGCTGTGTGTAATGAAAAGGGTTGGGATGAGTCAGGGAGAGCTGGGGTGGGAGCAGTCTCTAAAGCTGTCTTCAAGGAACAGAAAGAGGAGTGGGGAAAGGATTTAGGATCTATGGAGTCAGCTAGGTTTCCTTTTGTGAGTTTATGTAATGGTTTTGTTATGATGGCAAAACCAGGTATCTAAAGTCAAAAGTATCTAACCATGCCTAGGAAGGAAAGAAGTTGTTGTTTTGTAGAAGGTATTGGGGTTTGAGAGATCAGCTGGACATGATTGGCAGGGAGATCATGTGTATTTTTATGAGAATTATGCTGAGATAGGTAACAGATGAGGAAGAAATTTGGGCTTGACTGAAGTAATGGGGGCTGTCTGTGAAGCCTTGTGGCAGTACAGCCCAGGTAATTTGCTGAGGCTGATGGGTGTCAGGGTCAGTCCAAGTGAAAGCAAAGAGAGGCTGGGATGAAGGGTGCAAAGGAATAGTAAAGAAAGCATGTTTGAGATCCAGAACAGAATAATGGGTTGTGGAGGGAGGTATTGAGGATAGGAGAGTATATGGGTTTGGCACCACGGGGTGGGTAGGCAAAACAATTTGGTTGATAAGGCACAGATCTTGAACTAACCTGTAAGCCTGGTCTGGTTTTAGGACAGGTGAAATGGGGGAATTGTAAGGGGAGTGTATAGGCTTTAAAAGGCCATGCTGTAGCAGGCAAGTTATAACAGGCTTTGATCTTTTTAAAGCGTGCTGTGGGATGGGATATTGGCATTGAGTGGGATAAGGGTGATTAGGTTTTAATGAAATGGTAAGGGGTGGATTATCAGTCGCTAAGGAGGGAGTAGAGGTATCTTATACTTGTGGGTTAAGGTGGGGAGATATAAGGGGAGGAGGTGAAGGAGGCTTTGAACTGGGGGAAAAGGTGGCAATGAGGTGTGGCTGTAGCCCAGGAATAGTCAGGGAAGCAGATAATTTAGTTAAAATATCTCAGCCTAATAAGGGAACTGGGCAGGTGGGGATAACTAAAAGGAGTGCTTAAAGGAGTATTGTCTAAGTTGGCACCAGAGCTGGGGAGTTTTAAGAGGTTTAGAAGCCTGGCTGTCAATACCTACAACAGTTATGGAGGCAAGGGAAACAGGACCTTGAAAAGAAGGTAATGTGGAGTGGGTAGCCTCCGTATTGATTAAGAAGGTGACAGACTTACTTTCCACTCTGAGAGTTACCCAGAGCATCTGTGATGGTCTTGTAGGCTTCCGAGGCGATCGAGCAGTGTCAGTCTTCAGCTGCTAAGCCAAGAAGATCTGGGAAGGAGTCAGACAGCCTTGGGCCAGAGTTCCAGGGGCTCTGGAAGTGGCTGCCAGGTGAGTTGAACAGTCCGATTTTCAGTGGGGTCCTGCACAGATGGGACACGGTTTAGGAGGAATCCTGGGCTGTGGGCATTCCTTGACCCAGTGGCTAGGTTTCTGGCACTTGCAGCCAGCTCCTGGGGGAGGCAGGCCTGGAGAAATGCCTGGCCACTGTGGTTTAGGCATTTGGAAGTTCTTGTGTGCTGGAGATGTGGCTGGGGTTTGTCTCACAGTGGAGGCAAGGAATTGCAGCTCAGAAATGTTGCTACTTGGCTGCCTCTACTGTATTATTGTACACCTTGAAGGCAAGGTTAATTAAGTCCTGTTGTGGGGTTTGAGGGCCAGAATTTAATTTTTGGAGTTTTATTTAATGTCAGGAGCGGATTGGGTAATAAAATGTATATTGAAAATAAGACGGCCTATTGCCCTTTTAGGGTCTAGGGCTGTAAAGCGTCTCAGGGTTGCTGCTGAATGAGCCATGAACTGGGCTGGGTTTTTCATACTTGATGAAAGAGCCTAAATGCTAACTGATTTGGGAGAGGTCAGATAAAGAAAAGAGAGCATTAACCTTGACTATGCCTTTAGCTCCAGCCATCTTTTTAAGAGGAAATTGCTGGGCAGGTGGGGGAGGGCTGATCCCGGAACGAAATTGTAAGCTGGACCAGGTGTGAGGAGGGGAGGTGATAAAAAGATCATAGGGTGGAGGAGCAGAGGCTGAGGAGGAATTGGGACCTAGCTTGGCCTGGGGAGGAGGGGAGAGGTCAGATGGGTCTGTAGAAAAGGAAGATTAGAAAGACTCAGCGACACTTGGGGTTGGGACTGAGGGGACAGGCGGGAGGGAAAGAAGGAAGATTTGGGATGAGTTGCATTGGGCACAGAGACTACGGAGGGACCGATGTGTAAAAGAATGCCTGGACGTGATGGCTTGGCTTGGGTTCAGAGGCCTGACAGTTACCTCTTTTTTGGTGTGGTGAGGGTACCTAAAATCTACTCTCTTAGCAACTTTTCAGTATATTATTACTAACTATAGGTATTAGTTGTTCTCACACTGCTAATAAAGACATACCTGAGACTGGGTAATTTATAAAAAAAAAAAAAAGAGGTTTAATGGACTCCCAGTCCCACATGGCTGGGGAGGCCTCACAATCATGGCAGAAGACAAAGGAGGAGCAAAGAGACTTCTTACATGGCGGCAGGCAAGAGAGTGTGTGCAGGGGGACTCCTCTTTAGAAAACCATCAGATCTCATGAGACTTATTCACTACCATGAGAACAGGGTGGAGAAACCACACCTATGATTCAATTATCTCCCACTGAGCCCCTCCCTCAACACATGGGAATTATGGGAGCTACAATTCGAGATGAGATTTGGTGGGGACACAGCCAAACCACATCACTATAGCC
Source organism: Homo sapiens (assembly GCF_000001405.40). Classification (NCBI taxonomy): domain Eukaryota; kingdom Metazoa; phylum Chordata; class Mammalia; order Primates; family Hominidae; genus Homo; species Homo sapiens. The sequence goes on from NC_000001.11 coordinate 4,187,968, forward strand.
CTCCCACTGTACATCTCCTACACTTATTTATTCTAACTGCAAATTTGTACCCTTGGATCTCCTTCTTCCTTTCCCTGTCCCCTATAACCACTATTCTACATGGTTTCTATTTTTTTGATGTTCTTAAAGATTCTATATATAATTGAGATAAAAGAGTGTGTTTCTTTCCGTGTCTGGCTTATTTCGCTTAGCATAATGTCTTCCATGTTGTTGCAAACGGTAGTATCTTCTTTATAAAATAATATTTCCTTGTATACATACACTACCATTTATTTTTTATAACTAAATTTATTTTAGATTCAGGAGTACATGTGCATATTTATTTCATGAATATATTTCATGCTGGGGGGTGGGTGGGGGGCTTGGATTTCTATTGTACCCATTACCCAAATCGTGAACATGGTACCTGATAGGTAATATTTCAACCCTCATGTTCCCCCCCACCTTTGGAGTTCTCAGTTTCAATTATTTCCATCTTTATGTCCATCTTACCCATTGTTTAGCTCCCACTTATTGGTGAGAATCTGCTATATCACAATTTCTTTCTTTTTTTTTTTTTTGAGTGTTTTCACTCTTACTACCCAGCTGGAGTGTGCAATGGCACTATCTCAGCTCACTACAACCTCTGCCTCCCAGATTCAAGTGATTCTCCTGCCTCAGCCTCCTGAATGGCTGGGATTACAGGCACCCACCACCATGCCTGGCTAATTTTTGTATTTTTAGTAGAGACAGGGTTTTGCCATGTTGGCCAGGCTGGTCTCCAACTGCTAACCTCAGGTGATCCACACACCTGGGCCTCCCAAAGTGCTGGGATTACAGGCATGAGCCACTGTGCCCAGCCACTACAATTTCTTTATCAATTCCTGAATAGACATTTCTCCAAAGAAGACATAGGGTTCAGTCTTGATATTATACATTCTATGGTTTTGAACAAATATACAATGATGTGTGCCACTGTTATAGTATCACACAGAAAAGATTCACTGCCCTGAAAATTCTCTGTGTTCTGCCTATTTATCTCTTCCTTTCCCCTAACCCAGCGACCCCCAGCCTTTTTGGCACCAGGGACAAGTTTCTTAGAAGACAATTTTTCCAAGGACTGGGGTGGGTGGGGGCGGGGGATAGTTTTGGGATAATTTCAGTGTGTTACATTTATTGTACACTTTATTATTTTTAGATTGTAATATATAATGAAATCATGATACAACTCACCATAACGTAGAATCAGTGACAGCCCTGAGATTGTTTTCCTGCAATCAGACGGTCCCATCTGGGGGTGATGGCAGACAGTAACAGATCATCAGGCATTAGATTCTCATAAGGAATGCAAAACCTAGATCCCTTGCATGTGCAGTTCACAATAGGGTTCACGCTCTTATGAGAATCTAATGCCGCTGTTCATCTGACAGGTGTAGGAGCTCAGGAGGTGATGTGAGCGATGGGGAGCATCTGTAAATGTGGAAGAAGCATCGCTCACTTGCCCACAGCTCACCTGATGTGCGGCCTGGTTCCAAACAGGCCATGGACTGGTACTGGTCTGTGGCCCCAGGGGGTGGGAGACCCCTGCCCTAATGCTGAAGGACATTTTGGTTGCTTCCACGTTTTGGCAATCATGAATAAAGCCGCTATAAGCATATGTGTGTAGGTTTTTTTGTGGACATAGGTTTTCAATGCCTTTGGATAAATATCAAAAAGAACAATTGCTGAATCATATGGTAGGAATATGTTTCATTTTGAAAGAAAGTACCAAACTGTCTTCCAAAGAGGCTATACCATTTTGCAATGCCACCAGCAATGAACAAAAGTTCCTGTGGCCTCACATCTTTGCCAGCATTTTGTATTGTCAGTCTTCTGGATTTTGGTCATTCTAGTAGGCCTGTGGTGGTATCTTATTGTTTTAATTTGCAATTCCCAAACGACATACGATGCTGAACATCTCTTCATATACTTATTTGTTATCTGCATATCTTCTTTGATGAGGTGTCCATTCAGATATTTTGTTCATTTTTAAAATCAGGTTGGTTTTTTTTTATTATTGTTGAGTTTTAAGAAGTCTTTGTATATTTTGAATAATACTCCTTTATCAGACAGGCCTTCTGCAAATATTTTCTCCCAGTCTACGGTTTGTCTTCTCACTGACTTGGCAGTCTCTTTTGCAGAGAAGTTTTAAATTTTAATCAAGTCTAGCTTATCGATTATTTCTTTCATGAATCTTGCTTTTAATGTTTTGTCAAAATAGTAACATAGGCAAAGTCATCTAGATTCTTTCCTATGTTACCTTCTAGAAGTTTAATAGCTTTGAATTTCACATTTACATCTATGATCCATTTTGAGTTAATTTTTTGTGAAGGGTGTAAGGCCAGTGTCTAGATTCATTTTTTTCTTTGTGTGTGGATGTCCAGTTGCAACGTTTGATGAAAAGACTATCTTTGCTCTGTTGTATTGTCTTTGCTTATTTGTCAAAGTTCAATTGACTATATTTATATAGTCTGGGCTTTCCACTCTGTTCCATTGATCTGTTTGCTTGTTCTTTTGATACTGTACTGTCTTAATGACTGTAGCTTTGTATTAATAGTATATCTTGAAGTTAGATACTGTCAGTCTTCTGACTTTTTGTTCTTTTGTTCTCTTTGTTTATGAGTTTATCATAAAACAGTGTTTTCCTTCAATATTGTGTTGGCTAATCTGGATCTCTTGCCTCTCTGTATAAACTTTAGAATTAATTTTTTGATAACCACAAAATAACTTGCTGGCATTTTGATTGGGATTGCATTGATCTAGAGATAAAGTTGGGATCTATAGATAAAGTTTTTTATCTATAGGGTATTAGGTATTTCCTTTCCCCCAGGTTGATTAGGTTCTGATAGAAACTATACAGGTTAGGCTATGATAGAACATAGTCATTAGTATTGACACCTTGACAATATAGAGCCTTCCTGTTCATGAACATGGAGTAACTTCCCATTTACTTAGTTCTTTGATTTCTTTCATCAGAGTTTTGTAGTTTTCCCCATGTAGATGACACATATTTTGTTAGATGTATATTTCTGTATTTTATTTGTGTGTGTGTGTGTGTGTTGCTAATGTAAATGGCATTGTGTTTTTAATTTCAAATTCTACTTGTTTATTGCTGGCAAAAAGGGAAGTGATTGACTCTTGTATACTAACCTTGCATCCTACAACCTTGTTATAATTGCTTATTTGTTGATTTTTGAAAAGAATTTCTAGGTAGATAGTCATTCTGCCTGCAAACAATGACAGTTTTATTTCTTCCTTCCCAATCAGTATACCTTTTATTTCCTTTTCTTGTCTTATTGCATTAGGTAGAAATTGCAGCATAATGTTGAAAGGGAGTGGTGAGCGAGCACATCATACCTTTTTGATCTTAGCAGGAAGGCTTCTATTTTCTCACCATTAAGTACCATGTTAGCTTCAGGTTTTTGCAGATGTTCTTTATCAAGTTGAGTAATTTCCCCTCTATTCCTAGTTTGCTGAGAGTTTATCATAAAACGGTGTTAGATTTGACAAATGCTACTTCTGCGTCTATTGAAATGATTATGTGATTTTCCTTTAGCCTGCTTATTTGATGGATTACATTAATCAATTTTCAAATGTTAAACCAGCTTTGCATACATGGGATAAGTCTCACTGGGTCATGTGTATAATTATTTTTATACATTTTTGGATTTGATTTGTTAATATTTTGTTAAGGATTTTTACATATATGTTCATGAGAGATATTGATCTGTAGTTTTCTTCTTTTCCTGCAATGACTTTGTCGGGTTTGGGTACTAGGGTAATGCTGATAATGACTTTGGAAGTTTTCTATGTGAGCTTGAGAGGAAAGTGTATTCTATTGCTGTTGAATGAAGTAGTCTATAAATGTCAGTTACATCAGTTGATTGATGGTGCTATTGAGATCAGTTGTGTCCTTACTGATTTTCTGCCTGCTAGATTTGTACACTTCTGATGGCAGAGTGTTGCAGTCTCCAACTCTAACAATAGATTAATCTATTTCTTGTAGTTCTGTCAGTTTTTTGCCTTGCATATTTTAACTTTCCGTTTTTAGGCACATACATGTTAAAGATTGTTACATCTTCTTGGAGAATTGACTCTTTTATCATCATGCAATGCCCCTCTTTATTTTTGATAAGTTTCCTTACTCTGAAATCTACTCTGTCTGAAATTGATATAGCTCCTCCAGCTTTCTTTTGATTATTGTTTGCATGGTATATTTTTTCTATCCCTTTACTTTTAATATATGTGTGTCTTCATATTTAAAGTGGGTTTCTTGTAGACAATATATAGTTGTTTTTAAAAAATCTACTCTGACAATCTGTCTTTTAATTGCTGTATTTAGATCATTGATGTTTAAGTGATTATGGATACAATTGGACTAATATCTATCATATTTGTTACCGTTTTCTATTTATCACTCTTGTTCTTTGTTTTATTTTTGTCTTTCACTTTTTTCCTGCCTTTCATGATTTTAATTGAGCATTTTACATAATATCATTTTAATCTCCCAGCATATAAATTATACATTTTAAAACTTTTTTTAATAGTTGCCCTAGAATTTGCAATTTATATTTAAAAGCAATCCAAGTCCGCTTTCAAATAACACTATACCACTTCATGGGTAGTGCAAGTACAAAATATTCCTAATTCCTTCCTCTCATTCTTTATATTATAACAGTTGTTTATTTCACTTATACATAAGCTATAATCACTGAATACATTGTTGCTATTATTTTGAACAAACTGCTATCTGTGAGATCAATTAAAAATAAGAAAAATAAAAGTTTTTATTTTACTTTCACTTACTTCCTCTATAATACTCTTCCTTTCTTTAAGTAGATCTGAGTTTTTGATCTATATTATTTTCTTTCTCTCTAAAGAACTTCTTTTTGCCCTGTCTTACAAGGCAGATCTAGCAGCAACAAACTCAATTTTTGTTTGTTTGAGGATGTCTTTATTTATCTTTCATTTTTGAAGGATAATTTTGCAGGATACAGAATTCTAGCCTGGTCATTTTTTCTCTCAATACTTTAAAATACTTCAGTCTAGTCTTTTCTCGCTTGCATGGTTTCTGAGAAGTCAGATGTAATTCTTGTCTTTGCTCTTCTACAGTTAAGGTTTTTTATTTCCCCTTCTGGCTTTTTTCAAGATTCGTTCTTCATCTCTGGTTTTCTGAAGTTTGAATTTGATATGTCTTTGTGTCTTTTTTGGGCATTTATCTTGTTTGGTGGTCTCTAAGCTTCTAGGATTTGCGGTTTTGTGTCTGATGTAAATTTTGGGGAAATTCTCAGTCATTGTTGCTTCAAATCTTTATTTCTCTTTTTATTTTCCTCTGGGATTCCCATTACATATATGTTATACCTTTCATAGTTGTCCCACAGGTCTTGGTTTTCTGTTGTTGTTGTTGTTGTTGGTTTTTTTTTTTTTTTTCAGTCTTTTATCTTTGGTTTTCAGGTTTGGAACTTTCTATTGACATGTTCTCAACCTGAGGATTCTTTCCTCAGCCATGTCCAGGATATGAATGAGCTTATCAAAGACTTCTTAATTTATGTTACAGTGTCTTTGATTGTTAGCTTTTCTTCTAGTTTTTTTCCCCGTAGAGTGTAACCTCTCTGCTTACATTACCCATCTGTTTTTGCACTAATATGGTTTGGCTGTGTCCCCACCCAAATCTCATCTTGTAGTTCCCATAATCCCAACGTGTGTGGGAGGGACTTGGTGGGAGATAATTAAATTATGGGGGCAGCTACCCCCATGCTGCTTTTTTGTGATAAAAGGGAACAGCAGTGAGTGAGTTCTCATGAGATCTGGTGGTTTTATAAGGGGCTTTTCTCCCTTTTACTTGGCACTTTTCTTTGCTGCCACCATGTGAAGAAGAACATGTTGCTTTCTCTTCTGCCATGATTGTAGTTTCCTGAGGCCTCCCCAGTCATCCTGAACTGTGAGTCAATTAAACCTCTATCCTTAATAAACTACCCAGCCTTGGATATGTCTTTATTAGCAGCATGAGAACAGATTAATACATGCGTGTTTTCTACTTTTTCCAGTGGAGCCTTATCCTGTTTCTCATAGTTGTTTTATATTTTCAGTCTCTTAATTTCAACATTCCTGCCATATTGAGTCTAGTTCTGATGCCTGCTCTCTGTCTTTAAACTGTTTTTTCTGCCTTTAAATAAGACTTGCAATTTTTTTGCTGAAAGGCAGACATGATGTGCTGAAGAAAAGGCACTGAGCTAAGTGGGTTTTAGTGATGAGATGGTGAGGTCAGGGGAGGGGAAGGATTCTATAATCCTGTGAGCCAGTCTCAGCCTTTTGGTGGGCCTGTGACCCTGGGCTATGAACTTCATCAGTGCTTCTAATGGAGCATTTTATATAATATCATTCTTCCCTTAGGTGGAAGAGGATGGGGGGTGGGGTGGGGAGTACTGGAGTTGGGCATTTCCTTTTCCCCAGGCTGATTAGGTTTTGATGAAACCTATATAACTTAGGCTATGACAAAACAATTTCTCTTGAGGGTTGTTAAAAAAAAAAACCCAGAAAACTCTGATATATTACAGATTGGTTACTTTCCCCCTCCTTCCTTCAGAAAGTAAAATAGAATTTTTCTTTAATCTTCACTATAAGAACCTAATAGAGTTCCTGGAGGTAAAATGCTCAATAGTGTGGAGGCTGCCCGAGGTGTAATTCTCAGACTCGTCCACACTGAGCCTCCAGCAATTCATCCTTTGCAGTTTAGGGTTTCCTTTCCTGGCACCAGTTCCTGCAGGGGTTTCTGCTCTAGTAAGTTCTGGTTTTCTGTGTTGGCCTGCTGTCTCTCTCCAATTTGGGGGACAGTAGTTTGCCTTGTGATCTCACTTCTCTGATGGATCTAAGAAGAGTTGTTGATTTTTCAGTTTGGTCAAGTTTTCACTTGTTGTTAGGAAGGGGTAGTAACTTCCAAACTCCTTATATGCCAATGGGAAATCAGAAGTCTATCTTCTTTGCCCATTTTAAAATTGGTGTACCTATCTTTTCATTGTTGAGTTGTAAGTATTCTTTATATGTTCTGGATAAAAATATCCCTTATATAGATGTAGGATTTGCAAATATTTTCTGCTATTTTGTAGGTTTTCTTTTAACTTTCTTGATGGGATTCTTTGAAACACAAAAGTTATTAATTTTGATGAAGCCCAATTTATCTATCTCTTCTTTTATTGCTAGTGCTTTTGGTGTTGCGTCAAAAAAAATTCTTAACACACAGCATAAGCATGAACTTTACTGCTATGTTTTCTCCTAGAAGAATCATAACTTTAGTTCTTACATTTATGTCTTTGATCTATTCAAGTTAATTTTGCATATGATATGAGGTAGGGGTCCAATTTTATTCTCTTGCATGGGAATATACAGTTTTTCTAGCACCATTTGTTGAAAAGATTAGTCTTTAACCATAAAATGGCCTTGATACTCTTGCCAAAATTAAATGAACATAAATGTGGGGTCCTATCTTTAGCCTCCTTAAACAAAACAACTATCAGCCAGGAATTTTGTATCTAGAGAAACTAAGCTTCATAAACGAAGGAAAGATAAAGCCTTTATCAGACAAACAAATGCTTAGAGAATTTACCACTACCAAGCCAGCACTACAAGAACTGCTAAACGGAGTTCTAAGTCTTGAAACAAAACCTTGAAATACAGCAAAATAGAACCTCTTTAAAGCATAAATCTCAGGGGCCTATAAAACAATAACACAAAGAAAAAATGAGGTATAAAGACAACAACAAGCACAATGTATAGAATAGTACCTCACATCTCAATGCTAATGTTGAATGTAAATGGCCTAAATACTCCACTTAAAAGATGCAGAACGGCAGAATGAATAAGAATTCACCCACTTTGAGAGGGTGAGGTGGGCCAATCACGAAGTCAAGAGATCCAGACCATCCTGGTCAACATGGTGAAACCCCGTCTCTACTAAAAATACCAAAAATAGCTGGGTGTGGTGGCACGTGCCTGTAGTTCCAGCTACTCGGGGAGGCTGAGGCAGAAGAATCGCTTGAACCCGGGAGGCAGAGGTTGCAGTGAGCTGAGATTGCAGCACTGCACTCCAGCCTGGCAACAGAGTGAGATTCCATCTCAAAAAAAAAAAAAAAAAAAAAAAAAAGAATTCACCAACCATGTTTCTGCAGCCTTAAGAGACTCACCTAACACATAAAGACTCACATAAACTTAAGTTAAAAGGATGTAAAAAGATATTCCATGCAAATGGACACCGAAAGGAAGCAGGAGTAGCTATTCTTAAATCAGATAAAACAGACTTTAAAGCAACAACAGTTTAAAAAGACAAAAAAGGACATATAATGATAAAAGGACTAGTCCAACAGGAAAATATCACAATCCTAAATATATGTACACCTAACACTAGAGCTCCCAAATTTATAAAACAATTACTACTAGACCTAAGAAATGAGATGGTTGGCAACACAATAATAGGGGAACCTCAATACTGCACTGTCAGTACTAGACAGGTTATCAAGATAGAAAGTCAGCAAAGAAACAACGGACCTAAACTATAACTTAGAACAAATGAACTTAACAGATGTTTACAGAACATTCTACCCAACAACTGCAGAATATACACTCTATTCATCAGCACATGGAACGTTCTCCAAGATAGACCATATGACAGACCACAAAACAAGTCTCAATACATTTAAGAAAATCAAAATTATATCAACTACTCTCTTAGACAACAGTGGAATAAAATTGAAAATCAACTCCAGATAAACCCTCAAAATAATGCAAAATTATGGAAATTAAATAATCTGCTCCTGAATGAACACTGGGTCAACAATGAAATTGAGACAGAAATTTTAAAAAATTTTGAACTGAACAACAATTGTGATACAACCTAGTAAACCTCTGGGATACAGCAAAAGTGGTGCTGAGAGGAAAGTTCATAGCGTTAAATGTCTACATCAAAAAGCCTGAAACAGCACAAATAGACAGTCTAAGGTCACACCACAAGGAACTAGAGAAAAAAGAACAAACCAAACCCAAACCCAGCAGAAGAAAAGAAATAACAAAGATCAGAGCAGAATTAAATGAAATTGAAACAATAACAAAAAATCATACAAAAGATAAATGAAACAAAAAGCTGGTTCTTTGAAAAGATAGACAAAATTGATAGACCATTAGCGAGATTAACCAATAAAAGAAAGAAGGTCCAAATAAGCTCAATTAAAAATGAAGTGGGAGATATTACAATCAATACTTCAGAAATACAAAATATAATTCAAGGTTACTATGAACACCTTTATGTGAACAAACTAGAAAATCTTCAACCCTGCAATAGAAACTCTGAAAAGACCAATAACAAGCAGTGAGATTGACATGTTAATAAAAAAATTGCCAATAAAAAATATCCAGAACCAGATGGTTTCAAAGCTGAATTCTATAAGACATTCAAAGAAGAACTGGTACCAATCCTACTGACACAATTTCAAAAGATAGAGAAATAGAGAATCCTCCCTAAATCATTCTACAAAGCCAGTATCACCCTAATACCAAAACCAGAAAAGGACATAACAAAAAAAGAAAACTACAGACCAATATCCCTGATGAACATAGATGCAAAAATCCTCAACAAAATACTAGCTAACTGAGTCCAACAGCATATCAAAAGATAATCTATCACAATCAATTGGGTTTTATACAAGGGATGTAGGGATGGTTTAACATACACAAGTCAATAAATGTGATATACCACATAAACGGCATAAAAAAAACCGCATGACTACCTCAAAAGACACAGAAAAAGCATTTGACAAAATTCAGCATCTCTTTATGATTAGAACCCTTAGCAAAATTGGCATAAAAGGGACATACTCTAAGGTAATAAAAACCATCTATGATAAAGCCACAGCCAACATTATACTGAATAGGGAAAAGTTGAAAGCATTCCCCTGAGAACTGGAAAAAGACAAAGATGCCCACTCTCACACTTCTATTCAACATAGTACACAAGTTCTAGCCAGAACAATCAGGCAAGAGACAGAAATAAAGGACATCCAAGTCAGTAAAGAGGAAGTAAAACTGTTACTTTTCACCAATGATATACTCATATACCTAGAAAACCCTAAAGACTCATCAAAAAAACTTCCTAGATCTGACAAACGAATTCAGTAAATTTTCAGGATACAAAATCAATGTACACAAATTAGGAGCACTGCTATACACCAAAACGACCAAGCTGAGAATCAAATCAAGAACTCGACCCCTTTTACAATAGCTCCAAAAAAAAATAAAATAAAATACTTGGGAACATACCTAACAGTATTAGTCCAGTTTCACACTGCTGATAAAGACATACCCAAGACTGGGCAATTTACAAAAGAAAGAGATTTAATGGACTTATAGTTCCTTATGACTAGGAAGGCCTCACTATCATGGTGTAAGGTGAAAGGCAAATCTCACATGGCAGCAGACAAGAAAAGAGCTTGTGCCGGGAAACTCCCATTTTTAAAACCATCAGATATCCTGAGACTTATTCACTATCATAAGAACAGCACAGGAAAGATCCACCCTCATGATTCCGTTATCTCCCACTGGGTCCCTCCCACAACACGTGAGAATCATGTGAGCTACAAGATGAGATTTGGGTGGGGACACAGAGCCAAACCACATTACTAAACAAGGAGGTGAAAGACTTCTACAAGAAAATCTACAGAACATTGCTGAAAGAAATCATAGACAACACAAACAAATGGAAACACATCCCATGCTCATGAAGGGTAGAATCAATATTGTGAAAATGACCATACTGCCAAAAGCAATCTACAAATTCAATGCAATTCCCATCAAAATACCAACATCACTCTTCACAGAACTAGAAAAACAATCCTAAAATTCACATGGAACCAAAAAACAGCCCTCATAGCCAAAGCAAGACTAAGCAAAAAGAACAAATCTGGAGGCATGGCATTACCTGACTTCAAACTATACTATTGAATATAAGGCCATAGTCCCCAAAACAGCATGGTACTGGTATAAACATAGGTGGATACACCAGTGCAACAGAATACAGAACCCAGAAATGAAGCCAAATACTTACAGCCACATGGTCTTCAACAAAGCAAATAAAAGCATAAAGTGAGAAAAGGATACTCTGTTCAACAAATGGTGCTGGGATAATTTTCAAACCACATGTAGAAGAATGAAACTGGATCTTTATCTCTCACCTTATAAAAAAATCAACTCAAGATGAATCAAAGACCTAAATCTAAGGCCAGGAATCATAAACATTCTAAAAGAAAACATTGGAAAAACCCTTCTAGACATTGGCTTAGGCAAAGAGTTCATGAGCAAGAACCCAGAAGCAAATGCAACAAAAACAAAGATAAATAGATGGAACTTAATTAAACTAAAAAGCTTCTGCACAGCAAAAGAAATAATTGGCAGAGTAAACAGACAACCCACAGAGTGGGAGAAAATCTTTGCAAACTATGCATCTGACAAAGGGCTAATATCCAGAATCTACAAGGAACTCAAACAAATCCATAGGAAAAATAACAAAAACAAATAATTCCATCAAAAAGTGGGCTAAGGACATCAATACACAATTCTCAAAAGAAGACATACAAATGGCCAACAAACATATGGAAAAATGCTCAACATCACTAGTCATCAGGGAAATGTAAATCAAAACCATAATGTAATACCAACTTACTCCTGCGATAATGGCCATAACTTAAAAAATCAAAAAATAATGGATGTTGGTGTGGATGTGGTGAAAGGGGAACACTTTTACAATGCTGGTGGGAATGTAAACTAGTACAATCACTATGGAAAACAGTGTAGAGATTCCTTAAAGAACTAAAAGTAGATCTACCATTTGATCCAGCAATACCACTATTGAGTATCCACCTGGAGGAAAAGAAGTCATTATAGGAAAAAGACACTTACACATGCATATTTGTAGGAGTCCAATTCTCAATTGCAAAAATATGGAACCAGCCCAAATATCCATCAGTCAATGAGTGTACACACCATGGAATACTACTCAGCCATAAAAAGGAATGAAAGCTGGATGGAGTTGGAGACCATTATTCGGGGTGAAGTAACTCAGGAATGGAAAACAAAATATCATATGTCCTCACTTATAAGTGGGAGCTAAGCTATGAGGGTGCAAAGGCATAAGAATGATACAATGGACATTGAGGAATCAGGGGGAATGACGGGATGGGGCTGAAGGATAAAAGACCACATATTTGTTACAGTGTAAACTGCTTGGGTGATGGGTGCACCAAAATCTCATAAATCACCACTAAAAACACTTATCCATGTAACCAAACACCACCTGTTCCCCAAAAACCTACTGAAACTTACAAAATGAGCGGACATATAAATAATTATTTCCGGATTCTCAACTCTGTTCCATTTATCTCTGTGTCTATCCTTATGCCAGTATCACACCATCTTGATCAATGTCACTTTGTAGTAAATTTTGAAATTGGGAAGTGTGAGTCCTACAACTTTTTTTTTTTCTCAAGATCGTTTTGGCTATCTTTCTATATGAATTCCTTTCTATATTAGTTTTAGGGTCACCTTGTCAGTTTCTGCAAAAGAAAAAAGCAGCTGGGGTTTTGATAGAAATCATATCAAATCTATAGATCAAATTGGGGATTATTGGCATCTTAATAATATTGTCTTCTAATCTCTGTACTTGAGATGTCTTATTATTTAGTTAGTTCTTTAATTTCTTTCAATAATGCTTGGTAGTTTTCAGTGTATAAATCTTACACTTCTTTTGTTAAATTTATTCCCAAGTATTTTATTCTTTTGATGCTGTTGTAAATTGAATGGATTTCTTATTTTCATTTTGGATTTTTCATTGCTGGTGTGTAGAAATCTAATTATTTTTTGTATATTAATCTTGTATCCTGCACCTTGCTCAACTTATTAGTTCTGATAGTGTGTGTGTGTGTGTGTGTGTTTGTGTGTGTGTTCCTTAGGATTTTCAATATACAAAATTATGTCATTTACAAATACAAATAGTTTTACTTCTTCCCTTCCAGTATGGATGCTTTTTGTTATTCTTTTTTTGCTTAATTATGCTCAGGACACCAGTACAATGATGAATAGAAATGCTGAGAGTGGACCTCTTGTCTTGTTTGTACTTTTATTTGATTTGCTACTAACTGCGGATTGAAGGTCTAGACACTGTGAAGTTTATGGTGGTTATAGGTTTTTGTGTAGTAGAGGGGTATCCTGCAGGATGCTAACTACTTTTGTCCCTAAGCTAGCTAGTTTATTCCAACTCTCCACCCACCAGTGCTTCTACTACCCCCATATGGCTCCTCATTCATGAGTAGATAGATCTTTCAAACATGTTCATTCTCCACTTGTACAAGAGTGCTGTTTTTTCACCCTTTAATGCTATACTGTGACATAAGGACAATTGCACAACACACATTTTGTTAAAACCCATCATCTGTGCTCCATGCCATTGGCTAGAACTCAGTCACCCAACCCCACATCAATGCAAAGGAGGGTAGACTATGTTATCTACATGCATGTGGACTTGGAATCTAGCATCAGTCCCTACCATACGACAAAACCCTCTGCTCAGAAGTTTGGGAAACATAACATGGGTGAAAGACTCACCACTGCCATCATTCCTCTTTCCTTCCCAGTTTCCACCTTGAGAGAGAAGCTCTACCTTTGAAAATGTCCAGAATAGCACATGGACCTCCAACATATTCTGTCTTCCTGTCTAGGCTCAAACTATTTCTACTCATAACTTCTCCTTTAAACAACTTCAAAACACCACTTAGCTGTCTGACTGCAACAACATTCTTGAAGCAGGGGAATACTCCTTGGCTTCATGCAGTGAGGTGGCCAAGGGTCTCCATCTTGGTGCCTTGGAGGAAAAGGCTTTCTGCTCTGGTGGGTTTGAATAGAAGTTTCCAGGGAACTTGCTCTCCATTGTCACCAGTTCAGGGAGCTGAGCCCCTTCCTGGATTTCCTTCAAGCCATTCATCTCAGCACCAGATAGAAGCAACATTGAATAACACTTCTGGGGCCAGGGTCTGTGGGGAGCTAAGTGAGCTCAGAAGAGACATAATCCTACAGAATGTCTCTAGAAGGGGCTTTGAAGTCTTGGAGTCACTGAACAGACATATTTATCTTAGTCCATTTTGTGTTGCTATAACAGAATACCACAGACTGGGCAATTTATAAAGAAAAGAACTTTATTTCTTACAGCTTTGGAGACTGGGAAGTCCAAGAGCATGGCACCAGCATCTGCTCAGCATCTGGCCAGGGCCTTCTTGCTGCATCATCCCATGGTGGAAGGTGGATGGTCAAGAAAGCACAGGGGAGAGTCAGAGGAGAAGAGGCCCAAACTCATCATTTTATCGGGAGTCCACTCCCATGATAACTAATCCATTCTTTTGATAACTAACCTATTCCCATAATTAGGTATTAGTCCTTTTCACACTGCTACAAAGAACTGAAACTGGGTAATTTATAAAGGAGATAGGTTTAATTGACTCACAGTTTAGCATGGCTGGGGAGGCCTCAGGAAACTTGCAATCATGGCAGAAGATAAGTGGAAGCAAGGCACCTTCACAAGGTGGCAGGAAGGAGAACGAACACAGGATACACTACCAAACACTTATGAAACAATCAGATCTTGTGAAAACTCACTCACTATCATGAGAACAGCATGGGGGAAACCGCCCCCATTATCCATTTGCCTCCACCTGGTCTCTTTCTTGACATGTAGGGATTATAGAGATTATGGAGATTATAATTCAAGATGAGATTTGGGTGGAGACACAAAGCCTAACAATATCACATTATAATGGCATTAATCCATTAATGAGGGCAAAGCCCTCAGGACTTAACTACCTCTTAAATGTCTTGCCTTTCAACACTGTTGCATTGGGATCAGGTTTCCAACATATGAACTGTGGGGAACACATTCAAATCATAGCAATTTCCCTTTAGGGGACATGCCCAGGAGTTTTTCTGTTGGAGACACGTGCTGGTGAGGACACATGGATTCTGGGTTGACTCTTTTGATGGATTTTGAAGATTTGTCTATCTCCATTGTATTAACAGGCCTCCTGGGACAGAAGAGGCACACTGGCCTGGGTGGGTGTAGATGCAGCCTTAGGTGGCCATCTGAGCTGCTGCCATCTGCTCAGGTCCTATTCACCATCCATGTCAGCATCACCAGGGTCTGCCTGCCTCTCTGTGCCCACCAAAAGGAGCCTTCTGAAGACATCTTGAGGATCTGGGTTGTTTCCACTGCTATGACTGCACCTGTCACCCTTTTCCTTAAAGCCTCTTTGTCCCTTCTTGGTGTTCTTGTTCCTCTGCTGAAACTTACTCACTTTAAGCTGTAAAGATCTATGTTTCTTCTCTGTCCTTGAGGTCATCTCTGGTCACATCTATGAGTTAATCATAATCACCATCACATACTAGATCTTGGGTGTATTCTCCTAATCAGTGGATTTATATGAAAGTGCAGAGTAGTCTTGACCTAATGTTCCCAAGAAATCTCTGAGATGTTACAGATAATCAGAAAGAATTTTTTTGTAAAGGAAAACTTGCAACTTATTGGTGAAATTTCACAGGAGGCAGGAGCCACACCAGGACTGTGACACTCTCTCCCTTTGCATCCCCACCTTGCTTCTCCTATACTAACTTGGTAGCAGAGAGCAGACCAAGGAAAGCAGAAGATGGCAGAGGAAGAGATGGCTCCAGGTAGCAAATGCAGTGAAAATCACACCCCAAGGCCAATCTATGGGCAGGTTGCCATGAACCCCACTTATTCCTCTAGCAAATACATATTGAGCACCTGCTTTGTGCCAGGCCCTGGAGACCCACCAAACAGAGAAGAATCTTTCTCCACATGGAGTTAACTTTCTACTGGAGAAGACAGACAACGAACAGGTCAAATAGATAAAATGCATTATAATTTAATGTTGATAAGTCCGAAGAATAATGGATCAGGGAAGAGGGACAGAAAGTGTGGATGGGGGGATGCAATTTCAGAAGGTGTTACCTAAGAAGGTGGTATTTGAACAAAGACATAATATTTGGGGAAGTGAGCTATGTGGATGTCTAGGAGAGGATGTCCAGGCATTGGGGGCTGTAAGGGCAGTGCCCTAAAGATACAGAGGAGGCCAGAATGATAGGGAGGGGCAGTGGTCACTGGAGTAGCAGGAGATGGGGACAGGAAGGTCATGGAGCAGGTCACATAGAGCTGTCCATGTGGGTCCCTGAGTGAGATAGGAGAGGATGTGTGCATGGGGTGATGTGATAGAACTTACATCTTATAAGGCTCTCCCTGGTTGCCCTGATAGACCACAGAGGGCCTGGGAAAGAGGGATGTCCATTAGGAAGCTGTTGCAGTGATCCAGGTGAGAGCAGATGGAGATGTGGGTCATAGGGTTTTAGTGCAGGTGGTAAGCAGAGAGTGGATGCTGGATATATTTGTAGAGTCAAATAATCTGCTGATGGGTTGGATGAGGGGTAGAAGCAAAAGGTAGGAGCCAAGGACAACTTTTGGTTTCAGCACTTGGAAGAACAGAGAGGTGATTTACTGAGATAATAAGGAGCATAGAATGAGCTATTTGGGGACTATTACAGATTTGAGGCATTTCTTAGAAATCCTACATGGAGATGTCATGTAGACCATGGGAGGTTTGTATCTGGAATTAAGGGGCAAGGTCAGGGCTGGAGATATTAATTTGGGAGCCATTGACAGATGGAAATAAAAGGCATGGGAGTGGATGAGAGCATTAATCATAACTGCTGACATTTATTGAATGAATCCCATGTGCCAGACACTGCATTAATTTCTTTACCTTTATCAACTCATTCAATTTGTGCAACCATCCTATGTAGTGGGTGTTCTTGTTTGTCCTTCTTTTTACAGGTGAGGAAACTGAAGTGTAAAGAGGTTACATAAGTTAGCTGAAATTCTTAAAGGTAGCCACTGTTGGGGTGAGATTTTAAATCCAGGCAGAGAACTCCTGAGAACTATCCAAGGCTGAACTGAGGGCAGCTCCCAGCCTCCAGCCAGGAAAAATCCAGGCCCTCAGTTCTACAGCAGCAAGAAAATAAATTCTGCCAACAACCTGAGGGTGTGCAGAAGCAGATCCTTCCCCAGTCGAACCTCCAGATGGAAACACAGCCCAGTCCAGCCAGCAAGTTGATTGTTATCTTGTGTGAGACCCTCTCCCTGTCACAACTTGCATAAAATATTTTTCTTTGCTTCTTTTATTCTTTCAAGCAGCACTTGATATTCATTTTAAACTGGCTTTGCTGCTCAACAATGTTTTGTTTGGGAGTGGTGTGTGCATGCATATATGTTTTCTAGAGATATGTCAGATTGTGGAAAGTACAGGGAGCATGGCGTTAGGCTCTGTGCACAAGGTGAGAAGTTCAGCCACACCATTGTGTTTCTCTACACAACATCAAGGAACCAGATACCAGGCCTGGATGAAGCCCAGCCTTGGAAATTGGAAGATGCCAGCCCCCTTCAGTTCCTTAAACAAGGATCCCTGGATTGTAATCTCCACAAGAGCAGGGCATGTCTGCCTCATCTATCATTGTATCTCCATTGCCAACCTCAGTGCTGAATATCTGTGGGGTAAATGAAAGCATGGGAATTTGAAGAGCCACCCATAGAAACTGTTTCCTCAAGCTATCCCTCCTTTTCAGTGTTCACAGAACCCATACTTTGCTCAGAAGATTTTAAGTTTCCATCACAGCTGATGATGGAAAGTTTGGGCACAGCATGACTTTGTCTTTTGTTCAGATCTCACACAAGGCTGCAGTTGAGTTATTGGCTGGGGTGTGTTCTCATCTGGAGGTTCGACTGGGGAGAGATCTGTTTCCAAGCTCTCTCAGGTTGTGGGCAGTTGGGACTGAGGGCACAGCAGTTTGTTGGCTGTTGGCTGGAGGCTGCTTTCAGGTTCTAGAAGATGCCCACAGTTCCTTGCCAGGTGGGCACCCTCCACAGGGCTGCTTAAGGTATCAAGCTAGCCAGGAGAATCTCTGGCACCAATCTACTAAGACAGAGTGTTTTATTTTTAATTTTTTTAAATTTATATAAATGTATGGGGTATAGGTGTAATTTTCTTACATGAATAGATTGTGTAGTGGTGAAGTCAGGGCTTCTAGAGTATCTGTCATCCTAATAACGTATATTGTGCCCATTAAGTAATTTCTCATCATCTATCCCCTTCCCACCCCCTCACACTTCTGAGTCTCTATTACCTATCATTCCACACTCTATGTCCATGTTCTCACTTATAAATGGGAGCACATTATTTAGCTTCCATTTGTAAGTGACAACATGTGATATTTGTTTGTTTCTGAGTTGTTTCTCTTAAGATAATGGTCTCCAGTTCCAAACATGCTGCTGTGAAAGACGTGATTTCATTCTTTTTATAACTGGATGGTAATCCATTGTGTACATACACCACATTTTCTTTATCTCTTCATCCATCGATGGACATTTAGGTTGATTCCACATCTTTGCTATCGTGACTAAACATATGAGTGCAGGTATGTATGTTTTTGATATAATGATTTCTTTTCCTTTGCGTAAGATACCCAGTGGTGGGATTGCTGATTTGAATGAAAATTCTATTTTTATTTCTTTGAGACATCGCCATAGTATTTTCCACAGAAGTTGTACTAATTTACATTCCCTTCAACAGTGATAAGCATTCCCTTTTCTCTGTGTCCTCATCAATTTCAAAGTATTTTATAACCGAATCATAGGAGTGACTTCCCATCACCTTTCCTGCATTCTACTAGTTAAAAGCAAGTCACAGGTCCCTTCCACACTCCAGTGGAGGGGACCCCACAAAGATGTAGACACCAGGAGCTGGGACCCTGCTAGGGAGCATAACTTCTGCCAGTTGTCTGGGGTCATTGAGGGGATCATCTCTTTCAGGAAGGTTCATGGTTTCCTGTGCTCATCTCCATGTTATGTTGGAAGGAGGGAAATCTCTGCTACTCTGAATTCAGAGGAGGGGTTTTCATGGACATTTTTGGGGTTGAAATCAGCCAAGCATCTCCTGTAGGCACTGAAACCAGACCATTGGCAGTCCAGGTCCCCAGGAAGCTGGCATGCTCCTGGAGGAGACATATGATAAACAACTAGATCAATACATAGAGATCATTTCAGCTAGAGATGATGTGTGAAGGAAATAAGCAGAGTGATGTGGTACAGATCGACAGGCAGGGGCAGAGCCTCCAGTGGAGTGATAGGCGAGGCTCCTCTCAGCAGGTGGCACATGACCCGCTCTGTGTTGGGGGGCTTTGGAACACATCCTTTCCTGTCTCTCTTGCCCCTTCCAGTTGTGTCATTCAGCCTCAGCAGCAGCAGGAGAGGCTGATCTGCCGCCAAGCAGTTGACATGATTATGCAAGTCTTTCAGCAAATGAGCTGTCTTTTTTGTAGTCAGTAGTCAGGACCCCCAGGCTTCTATGCCACCCATGCCTTTGGATTTCTGACACATTTCCTCAACACTAGCATGTGTCCAGGGTCCTCAGTGCCACAGTCCCTCCTCTTGGGAGACAGGTTTCTGCTTAACATTTTATACATCCTGGAAATTTAAATATTTTTCAAGAGGCCAAAAGAAGAACAACCGTAATAAGTGAGTGTTTGGTGAAGAGGTGCCAGATCCAGAGAACATGGCTGGTAGGGAGATATTAAGCCAAGGAGCCCTCTGACAGCTCATCCTGTACCTGGCTCACATTGTCCATACTGGCTATGGACAGTCTGTGTTGGAGGGAGCACGCTCTGTTCACCCTACTTACCCTGTTGGTGCAGGAGGTATCCCCCACCCTAAGTTGTGCCAGGTGGTTGGACCTTCAATCCCTGTCACTGAGAGGTGATCAGGGGCTCATCTCTTTTATGAAGCTTCACGGATCCACAGCATTTATTAGCCACATGTACTCATCACCCAGGGCCGTGCAGGGACCATGTACTCGGGAGCAGAGGGAGCTGGCGGGGGCTATGGGAGGGGCAAGCTTTGCAGGGACAAGAGGCTGGTGGGTGGCTTCTGGTCCCTTGGGAGGATGGGATTGGCTTGTTTGAATAATTTGTTTTTTGTTTTCATTTTTTGAGACAGAGTCTCACTCTATCACCTAGGCTGGAGAGCAGTGGTGTGATCACGGTTCCCTTCAGCTTTGAACTCCTGGGCTCAAGAGATCCTCCCATCTCTACCTCCTGACTAGCTGGGACTACAGGCATGCACCAACACCCCTGGCTACTTTTTAAATTTTTTGTAGAGATGGAGTCATGCTATGTTGCCTAGGCTGGTCTTGAACTCCTGGGCTCAAGCAATCCTCCCGCCTTGGCATCCCAAAGTATTGGGATTACAGGTGTGAGCCACTGCACCAGGTCTTGTTTGAGTAATTTTGTGGGCTGACAGGGAGGCGTAGCTTGAGGATCAGGTGGGAGGCTGCTGGTCTCGCTGATAAAGGAACTGGCCAGGTGGGGGCCTTTCCTGCGGGGGTCAGGGCACAGCTGGTAAGAGCTGGGAATTCAGTTAGGCCCCTGAGGTGCAAAGCTGCTGAGGATGTACATGAACTTTCAGGCTTCACACTACAGGGGGTTTATCACTGTAGGGAGGTTAGCAGCATCTCCAGCCCCTTCCCCCAAGATTCGAGTACCCACCCCCCATTATGACAACAAAAAATGTCTCCAGGAGAGGTGGGGGCCAAATATGATTTGGTTGAGAACCAGTGGTCCAGGTTGACCATATTCTGGAGTCAGCACTTGCAGCTAGGTGGTCATACCCATAGGATGCTTTTGGGGGCTTGCTGCTTCCATGAGGATGATGTAAAACTTCTTTATGGTGGCTCCCAGGAGCCTCTGCACCATCACCTTCGCCACTTCATCCACCATGTCAGTTGCGTGAGTCCCTGGCCTCACCTGATGGGGCTATTCATGGTCCTAAACTCATTACAGTTTTTCCAGTTTCAGACCCCTGCTCCTGTGAACCCCTCTAATCCATCTCCCCCTCTCCTGCTTCCACCGTTCACCGAGCTCCTGGTGACCCACCAACTGTACGCTAAGCCCTTCTCCCTTGAATTCACATTGTCCATTGCCCTTCTCGCCACAGAATTCATGGTTAACGAAATTTCACCTACTCCTTGAGACAGAGCCTCTGAATCAGAGGCCTCATGACTGGATTGTCTGTTACTGCATAAATACAGAGACCCACGGGGTGTCAAGTCTTGTCTTAGATGCTGGGACCACAGAGTGTTGTGGCTGACTGTTTATTTGACACTCTCCTCCAGTGGATAGGCCATGAGGTGCTGGAAGTCAGGGACTGACTGGGGCATGTTTTTCTCTCCTTGCTGTAGTAGTTGCTCAACAAATTCTAACTGAGTGAACAAATGCTCTGTCTTCTGCAAACCTTGGCTGTGCTGCCCCAGACTTCTCTGCCTTCTCTTCCTTTCTGCCTGGAGAACCATTTGAACATCTCACTCTCTTCTGAAGCCCACCACAAAATCCTTCTGCCAACCTTGTTTTCACTGGGCATTTGCAAATGCCACTGTACTGTCTTTCATAGTACGTAATTGTGTACATGATTTCTCCTTACTGAACTCCAACTTCCTCATGGGTAGCGTATTAGCCAGGGTTTCCTAAAGGAACAAAACAAATAGGATAGATGTATACATGAAGCAGAGTTTATTAGGAGAATTGATCACACGATCACAAGGTGAAGTCCCACAATAGACCATCTGCAAGCTGAGGAGCAAGGAAGCCAGTCAGAGTCCCAAAACCTCAAAAGTAGGGAAGCCAGCAGTGCAGCCTTCAGTCTGTGGCTGAAGGTCCAAGAGCCCTGGCAAACCACTGGTGTAAGTGAGTCCAAAAGCTAAAGAATCTGGGGTCCGATGTTTGAGGGCAGGAAGCATCCAGCACGGGAGAAAGATGGAGGCCGGAAGACTCAGCAAGTCAAGTCCTTCCACATTCTTCTGCCTGCTTTATTCTAGCTGTGCTGGCGCTGATTAGATTAGGCACCCTCACTCTCGGTGGGTCTGCCTCTCCCAGTCCACTGACTCAAATGTTAATCTCCTTT
Organism: Homo sapiens; assembly: GCF_000001405.40. NCBI lineage: Eukaryota > Metazoa > Chordata > Mammalia > Primates > Hominidae > Homo > Homo sapiens. Next base: position 4,210,085 of record NC_000001.11, read on the forward strand.
GACAAGGCCCTCACACCCAGGAACAATACTTTGCATCCTTCAATCCAATCAAGTTGACACTCAGTATTAACCATCACAAGGTGGGACAAGGCCTTATACTTCCTTAGGTCCCAACAACCTGCAGCCTTGTGCCAGGCAGGATGGCTGAGCCAGTGCCCACCTGGGGGCCTGCCCTGTGAGCCTCACTCTCTTTTCTCTGCTTGTCAAGCAACTGGTGTAGACTCAGAAGTTTCTGGACCCCTCCCAGCTTTGTGATTTTGAGACTCTGTCCCTGCTGCAGGAAGGTGTTTTGGGCCCTTATTCAGTTGCTGCATGACCCTTTATATGGGTTTTTGTGTCACTTTGACTGTTTTTACGACAAGATCCTGCCAGGGCTAGGATGGGAGCATTTGCATCTAGGAACTGGCATGATGTGGAGCTTGCTGAGCTTGATGTTTTCCGGCTTGCCCCCGATTTCAGCCTGCCTTTTTGGCGGAGGTGGCTTTCCATGAGCACCCCGGCTGGGTAGTAATTGTCCTGGAGCTGCCTTGTAAACACAGTTAAGTTGCCATTAGGTCTGGCTGCAGATAAAGCATCTAAACCACAAATATTCTATTGATTACTCTCTGTTATGGGTAATGCAGGGTTTTCCTTCTTGTTTTTCCTATGACTGAAAAGAAGAGTTGCTGGAAACTAAAGGAAGCTTTATTGTTCTTTCCCTAAATCAATGCTGTTGCTTTATATAAAATAAAGGAGAAAAAAATAACAGTCTTGCAAACATTTTTATTTGCCAAGTTAAGCTGACCTCCAGGGACACAGGCATTCTAGCACTTAGAAGCCAACTCTCATTGACACTTGTTTGCCAGAAGTTTCTGGAGAAAACTGTTTAATAAAAGCACCCAACAAACAAGACCCATTCAATTTTCTCCAATTATACCTGGAGAGTAACTTTTGCTCACTCCATAGTTTTCCTCTTTGCCTCGGGTCTTTTTAGGGCTGGTTTAAATCAAAGCCTGTACAGGAGAGAAGAAAAGCTTCATGATCTCTTTGCTGAGGGTGGCTTACAACAAATTAGAAAGAAATGGAGGCCGAGGCGGGTGGATCACGAGGTCAGGAGATCGAGACCATCCTGGCTAACAAGGTGAAACCCCATCTCTACTAAAAATACAAAAAAAATTAGCCGGGCGCGGTGGCGGGCGCCTGTAGTCCCAGCTACTCGGGAGGCTGAGGCAGGAGAATGGCGTGAACCCGGGAAGCGGAGCTTGCAGTGAGCCGAGATTGCGCCACTGCAGTCCGCAGTCCCACCTGGGCGACAGAGCGAGACTCCGTCTCAAAAAAAAAAAAAAAAAAAAAAAAAAAAGAAATGGAATATTCCCGTAATATTCAAACGGCTTTATTTGGCCTTACGCATTAGCAATTATGTTACTTGATTTCTCATAGTGCAGGGCTGTGGGAGCCATCTTCCAGAAATGAACCCCGGGTTTGGTTTGTTTACTTTTGACTGAGATTCAGGTTTGAGTTCAGTGCGGACCTTAGGAAGAGGCTGGGCTGCTTCCAGTCCCTTAGCTGCTTGCATCAGATCAAGTACTAAGGTGAAGCAGGTGGCTCCTCGGTGCTAAATTTAAGGAGGCGCTCACTCTTGGGGCTGAGCGATCAGTGACCCTGCACTCCTCTGAGACTGGAGCCTCCTTAAAAGTGAGGAGCCTCCTCACCTCCCTTGCCCCTGTCCTGTTCCTCCTCAGTCTGAGTTTTGGAAGGGATTCATGGGAGTTTGATTGACTGGTTAATTCAATCTAGTCTGGTTTTGCATAGACCAACCATTGACCCTTGGGATGTGCAAATTACTGGGAGTGGGTAGAGAGAAGGGCCTTTCTCCTAGGGCATTGTGTAGATTGTGGGGTGAAATTAAAAAAAAACATAACAATTCCTCTACCTATGTTCGGGTTGAATTGGGCCTCCTTGCCTCAGATTCCTGTGCTGAAGTTCTAAGCCTCAGAGCCTCAGACATGACCTTATCTGGAAGTAGAGCTGCTGCAGGTGTCATCAGTTAGGATGAGGTCCTGCTGGAGAAAGGAAGCCTTCATCCCTAAGGACTGGTGTTCTGATAAAAAAGAGGAAATTTGGACAGTTGCACACACAGGGAGAACAGCATGCAAAGATCAGAGTGATGCTGCCACAGGCCAAGAAGCTTTCAGAAATCGAGGGAGTGTATTTGTCTGTTTTCATACTGATGATAAAGACCTACCTGAGACTGTGTGATTTATAAAGAAAAAGAGGTTTAATGGACTCACAGTTCCTCGTGGCTGGGAGGCCTCACAATCTTGGCAGAAGGTGAAAGGCTCATCTTTTTTTTTTTTGAAACGGAGTTTTACTCCTGTTGCCCAGGCTGGAGTGCAATGGTGTGATCTTGGCTCACCAAAACCTCTGCCTCCTGGGTTCAAGCAATTCTCCTGCCTCATCCTCCTGAGTAGCTGGGATTATAGGCATGCACCACCATGCCTGGCTAATTTTGTATTTTTAGTAGAGATGGGGTTTCTCCGTGTAGGTCAGGCTGGTCTTGAACTCGTGACCTCAGATGATCCACCCACCTCGGCCTCCCAAAGTGCTGGGATTACAGGCGTGAGCCACTGTGCCCAGCCAAAAGGCACATCTTACATGGTGGCAGACCAGAGAGAGAATGAGAACCGAGTGAAAGGGGTTTCCTCTTTTAAAACCACCAGATCTCGTGAGACTTATTCACCACCAGGGGAACAGTATGGGGGAAACCCCCCCCATGATTCAATCATTCCCCACCAGGTCCCTCCCACAACATGGGGGAATTATGAGAGCTACAATTCAAGATGAGATTTGGGTGGGGACACAGCGACAGCATATCAGGGAGCATGGCCCTGCCCAGGGCTTGATCTCAGACTTCTGCACTTCAGGACCACGAGACTATAAAGTCACATTGGTTAAGCCCCTGGTTTGTTATGACAGGCTTAGCAAAGTGACACAACACATTGATCCAGAAGCATCTCCGTGTTGATCACCAGGCAGTTTCCGCTGTGGTGTCTCTGCTTCTAGTGGGCTTCTCATGTGGCTGTGCAATTTTGTTGACTGTTCTGATTGTACCGTAATTCATGTCTTTCATGGTGTTGTCTTTGATGGCTATCCTCTCAGCGGGAGATGTTCCCCTGATGTGTGACCTGGAGTGGGGTGAGGCAGCCCTGGCTGGTTGGAGACCAGGCCTCACAACCCCCTGAAGCTGTCCTGGTTTGGTCCACACCTCATGCTTGGCTGGTTTATTCCTCAGAGGCGAGCAGTTTGATCTTCTCAGCCAGTTGCTGGATGTTTTTCTCCCAGTGATTGTTCGGAAATGCCAAATCAAAGGCAAGGTACACGCAGAGGGGGCTGCATCTCATGCTAATTACTAGCCAGCGTGTTTACAGAAAGCTGCGTTAGGGAGAATTTCCTCCCCTCATCGCTGGGCTAGCGGGGCTCAGAAGGCATAATGAGAAGGCTCAGCAGTGGAAATAGCAGCATTTGCATTCTTCTCGGCTGTGATAATGTAATTCGGAACGCCCAGTTGCTGATGAATGCCACTTAAAGTTCATGCCTGTTTTTGTCACTCTGTGCTAACTTGAAATTGAAATTGGAGAGGAGACACTTCGGGCCGGGGGTTGGGGATGGAATTCAGTGTCCACGGAAACGACTTTGTGCTCTGATCAACTCCAGTGAATGGAGCTCAGAAATGCCGAGCAGACCTCCTGGACCCTAGGGTGGGAGTGTCCTGCCATTTATCAAGACATGCAGCCCTGGCCCTGCCCCTCGCATCGCACATTCCTTCCATTTGCATCCATGTGGGACATTTCTCCGGATCTGGTTAAACTGCACTTGATGGTTTCCTTCCGTGATGACCTGATGACCACCAGGGGCTATTTTGTGTTAAGGTTGTCCTTTCTGTGCCGCTTAGGGAAGGTGATCTTTGGATTTCTTTCTTCTTTCTTCCTTTCCTTCCTTCCCCTTCACCTTCCTTCCTTCCATCCTTCCTTCCTTCCTTTCTTCCTTCCTTCCTTCCCTCCCTCCCTCCCTCCCTTACCTACTTCCCTCCCTCCCTTCCCTCCTTCCCTCCCTTCCTTCCCTCCTTCCCTTCCTCCTCCTCCTTCCTCCTCCTCCTCCTCCTCCTCCTCCTCCTCCTCCTCCTCCTCCATGATCGCTCAGACTCACTCCCCCAGGCTGGAGTGCAGCAGTGCCATAACAGCTCACTGCAGCCTCAACCTCCTGGGCTCAAGCAATCTTCCCACCTCAGCCTCCTGAGTAGCTGGGACTACAGGCATGCACCACCACTCCCACCTAAGTTTTGATTCTTTTTTTGTTGAGACAAGGTCTCACTATGTTGCCTAGGCTGGTCTTGAACTCCTGGGCTCAAGTGATCGATCCCCCCCCACTTTGGCCTCCCAAAGTGCTGGCATTACAGTATGAGCTACCACGTTAGGTTTGGATATCTTGCAAGTTCCAATTTTTTTCTCCAAGTCAGTCTTGGAGACAGTCAGACTGATGAGTAGGTGGACAAGCATGACTGGGAAGGAGTCAAGGCTACCCAGACACGCCAAGGCTCCTGGGCCTCTGGACCCCGAGGCAACCACAGATAGTTCACTTGGTGGCTTCACTCCCATGGAAAACTAGTTTTACTTTTTTAAATGAGGGGAAGGAGAATCTCAAGACACAGATGATTGACACTGGAAAATCAGCCTTTGAAGAATCAAGAGTCAGAAAAAATAGCAGTTGGAGCCAGGTGTGCTGGCTCATGCCTGAAATCTCAGCACTTTGGGAGGCCAAGGAGGGAGGAGCTCATCCAAGGTCACACAGCTTCAAAGTGATGACATATGGATTTGCTTCTGGGTCTGTGTCTGTCTCCTGCGGCGGCTGTCAAAAATTGCCATGGACTGGGTGGCTTCAAACAGCAGAAACTTACTTTCTCACAGCTCTGGTGGATACGAGTCTGAAATCACGGCGTTGGCAGGATGATGTTCTCGCTCGTGGCTCCGGGGAAGAATTCTTCCTGGCCTCTTTCAGTGGCTGGTGGCTTCCAGCAGTTCTTGTTCCTTGGCTTCCAGCGGCATCGCTCCCATCTCTGCCTCGGTTGTGATGTGACCGTCTCCTCCCTGTGTGTGTCTGTGTTTTCACCGGTCAGTGGATCCAGAGCCCATCCTAATCTAGTATGACCTCATTTTAATGAGATTACATCTGCAAAACCCTCCTTCCATATAAGGTCACATTCTCAGGGGCTGGGGTTGGAACTTCCATAGCTCTTTTCGGGGAACACGACTTAACCCACACCACCACTTAACGCCTCCAGCACATGGCTGTCAGAGGGAAGTTTGTTTGAGAACACAGTGGCGGTGCTAGAATGAACAGACCTCCTGTGCAGCCGCCGCCTAATGTCTTAACCACGGATCCAGAAACACCTCCCCTCCTGATGCAAACAGGAGAGGCAGCAACAGCTCACCTGCGAGTGTGAGATATGGTGGGAGCTGTTGTCATCGTGTGTTGTGAAAGACACATTGTGTTCACAAGGGACCTGGATGCAATGACCCCCGTGAAGGTGATCTCGCTGGAGCGAGGCAGCCCCTGCCCACTAGCTGGTTTTGGGCTGGAGATGGACCCAGGGCTCACATGCTCCTTCATACCCGACACCTGGCCCAGAAGAAGTGTCCAACTTCCCAGAACATGATGCTGGTGACACCTCCAACCAGATGCAGGGCTCTGATCTGTTTGGACCTTGCTCTCATCCATCGCCTGCCTCACCTTCACCTGCCTCACCACCTCCCCCTGCCTCTCTCTCCACCTCCCCCTGCCTCTCTACCTCCACCTCTCTCTCCACCTCCACCTGCCTCTCTACCTCCACCTGCCTCTCTATCTCGACCTGCCTCTCCACCACCCCCTGCCTCTCTCTCCACCTCCCATTGCCTCTCTACCTCTACCTGCCTCTCCACCTCCATCTGCCTCTCCACCTCCACCTGCCTCTCCACACCTCCACCTGCCTCTCCACCTCCATCTGCCTCTCTCCACCTCTACCCTCCTCTCTTTGCACCTCCCCCTGCCTCTCTCTCCACCTCCACCTGCCTCTCTATCTCGACCTGCCTCTTCACCTCCACATGCCTTTCCACCTCTACCTCTTTCTCCTTCTCCACCTGCCTCTCCACCTCTACCTGCCTCTCCACCTCTACCTGCCTCTCCACCTCCACCTGCCTTTCCACCTCCACCTGCCTCTTCACTTCCACCTCACCTCCCCCTGCTTGGGCCTCCCTTGACCCCCACCTCCCCTTCTCTCATCTCTCCTTTTCACAGTGAAAGTCTTTCATGCTTCCCACCCAGTTTTGCATGAGTGTAGAGGGCTGGGGACCTGGGGCTTGGAGAAGAGGAGGTGATGGGTGGTGGGATAGTGCTGGCTCTTTCCCAGTGGGGAGACTCAGGAGGCTAGGGTCCTAATTCTGTGTCTGCCACTTGCCAGCATGTGGTTCTAGGGAACCTTCATCCTGAGCCTTAGTTTCCTTACTTGGGGAACAGGTTCCTGTGACCTTCTTTGTCCAGCCTCTCAGGGTTGCTCTGCAAACCCTCAGGTATCATGGTGGATCCCCCAGTGATCCCGTAAACCATGTGGATGGACATTAGAATCGCCCAGGGGTTTTGGAATGTCCCCATGCTCAGGCCACGCCCAGACCCATTAAACCCGAATCTGCCTGCAGCATTGTTTGAAAGAACCCCCGGTAATTCCAGTGAGCATCTGAGACTGAGAATTATGGCTGCAAACCCCAAAGCCACAGACAGACACAAGGAGATTGTCCAATACCCTCCAGCTGGCAGGAAGGTGTCATCTGCAAAAGGCCTGGGGTAGGGAGGGGCTGTTGGAGAGAAGGTGCCCTGGAGAATAAAGCCCTGTCCCCAGGGACCTGAAGGGGATGAATGGTGACCCCCAGAAAGATATGTCTCCCTCCTAACCCCTAGAACGTGTGAATGAGAACTGATTTGGAAACAGCGTCTTTGCAGATGTAATTAAGAATGTTGAGATGAAATTCTTATCTACATAATAATTCTAGATTATCAGCAGGGATCTTAAATCCAATCACGAGTGTTATGGGTAGAACCTCCATTCTCCAAAAAAGATGTGTTGCAGTACTAACCCCCAGCACCTCACAATGGAAGCTTATGTGTAAGTGAGATCTTGTAAGTGAGATCTTTACAGAGGTAATCAAGTTAAAACAAGATTGTTTGGTGGGCCCTAATCCAATAGGACCGATGTCCTTACACAAAGGGGAATTTTGGATATAGAGACATACACAGAGGGAAGATGACGTGGGGTGCAGGAAGAAGATGGCATCTTCAAGCCAGAGATCACGTGAGGCTGCCAGGGGCTGTGAGAGAGGCCCAGACACTCACAGCCCCAGAAGGAACCAGCCCTGCCCACTCCTCAATCTCAGACTTCTGGTCTCTAGACTATGGGAGAGTAACTTGTTTTAAGTCACTCTGCTTTTTGGCACATTGTCACTGCAGCCCTAAGAAAGTGGCTCAAGTGTCCTCATGAGATCACAGAACATGGAGAAGCCGGCCAAGGAAGACGGAAGCAGAGATTGAGGTGATGTGGCCATAAGCCAGGGTATCCCAGGAGCCACCAGAAGCCGGAAGAGGCAGCAAGCATCCTCCCCTAGAGCCTCCGGAGAGAGCACAGCTTTGCCCACACCTTGCCCACACACTTCTGGTCTGCAGAGCTCCCACAGAATAAATTTCTGTGGTTTAAGCCAAACGGTTTGTGGGGATGTCATGACAGGAAATGAATCCAGGATGTTTCCTGCAGACCAAGAGTGAGGGAGGGCGGGCGGAGCAGTTAAGGCTTGGGGTTCACTGGCTCTGCCGCCGAGAGCCATGCATGTTGGAGCGTATTAACCTTTGTGTGCTGCAATCCCCCTCTCCTGGTTCCGCCTGTGGCTGCAGGGCAGATGATGATGGATGGTGGATGATGATGGACACCTGCACTGGTCAGCCTGGGTCACCGTAACAGCACTGCAGGCTGGGTGGCTCCAACAGCAACTGACCGTCTCACAGTCAGGGAGCCTGGATGCCCAAGATCAAGGTGTCATTTGCAGGGTGGTTCCCCCTGCAGACTGTGAGGGAGTGGCCATTTCACGCCTCTCTCCAGCGTCTGCCGTCTGCTGGCACTTCCTGGCAGTCCTTGGCTCATGGCTGCATCGCTCCAGTATCGGCCTCTGTCTCCACGTGGCTGTCTTCCCTTTGTCTCTACATTCTCTTCTGACAAGGACACCAGTCCTGTTGGATTAAGGCCCACCCTCATAATATCAACTGGCCTGCATTTGCAAAGACCCTATTTCCGAATAAAGCACAGTCTTTTTTTTATTGTTTGGGGGGACACAATACAATCCATAGAGAGCCTCTCAAGCCTGTAGTGAAAGCTCAGGAAAAGAATGGAGGGAAAACACTGAGCGTGCGGTCACCCCGCAAGCAGAGCAACACCAGCGCCATCTGCCCACCTGTGGCGCCACCCTCCCTGAGCCCACGGGACGCAGCCCTGCTCTGGATGGGCCAGTCTAGAGGTGGTCTGTCACCTCTGGGCTTGGCCAAGCTGAGAAAGAACGAGAGGCGGGCTGGGTGCTCATTACATGGTGGTCCTTGATGATTCCGCCCACCATAGAGCACCGGTTCCCCAGGCCCGATGACTTAATTTTCTCCTTCCCGTCCTTCCCCCTCCTCTCAGCTTTCTGGGGCTCCTTGGCTCAGCTCTGCTCTAGCCACTGAATTCCAGTTTGTGGTCTGAGAGTCCCATGCCTGCCCTATGCTTCCAGATCCATTTTCCCATTTGCTTTTTCATGAAACCGTGCACAGAAAGCGTTTGGATCTCCATTTCTACAGCAGCTTGGGGATCGGCTGTGTTCCTGGGGAAGAGGTGGCAGGGCTGAGGTTTGCAGCCTCATTTTTCCAGGTGTTTTGTCTCCCTGAGAATCTGGTTCCTCCCATGAGACTGCGAGATACTCTGGATTCTAGAAAACCGTAGGTTAGGTTTGCAGGGCGGCTGCAAGAGACACAGAAGCCTCGTTTTCCATAACACCAGCCCGGGGCACAGAGCATCCTTTGCGCTGAGAGCTCAGGATGAATATTTTCTTGGAGCTTCACCTCCCCTCTCTGTCCTCCTCTCTCACGCAGGAGCTCCGGGGGCTGCTTCTGTCTTGGTTCATTTGTGAAGGATATCTCCAGCCAACGGGCTCCGGTGGGAGGCAGGGTGGATCGTGCCTTCCTGTGTAGGTATGAGCCTCTTCCCCAAGATGGCCTGTGACCTTCAGAGCAGTTAAGAACTGAGGGCGGCTGGGCGCACTGGCTCAGGCCTATAATCCCAGCACTTTGGGAGCCTGAGGTGGGTGGATCACAAGGTCAGGAGTTTGAGACCAGCCTGGCCAATATGGTGAAACCCTGTCTCTACTAAAAATACAAAAATTAGCTGGGCGTGGTGGTAGGTGCCTGTAATCCCAGCTACTTGGGAGGTGAGGCAGGATAATTGCTTGAACCCGGGAGGCGGAGGTTGCAGTGAGCCGAGATCGAGCCACTGCACTCCAGCCTGGGCGACAGAGCGAGACTCTGTACCAAAAAAAGAACAGAGGGCTTAGGAACAATCACTGGGTTTTATTCTACATAAAATAAGCAAGGTATGGTGACGTGACTCTAAGTGCAGTACCATCGATGTCAGGTCCAGGAATAATTGATAATTCTCTGTTTTACATCTGTCTCATTTACAGACCTTATCTCCTTTACTGTTTGTGGGAGCAGCTCTTGGGGAGGGATGAAGATTGCTCTGGAGGTCACAGCATGGTGGCAAGAGCCGGAGGGATAGCTGCACACCCAGGCTGGAGTCTTGGCTCTGTCCCAGCCTAGGTCCTGACTGTGGCCAGCTCGCTTTCTCTCTAGGCAGGTCTTCTGTTGGACGGACAGTGCATTGGTGGGGGCTGGGTCCAACCCGGACTCTGCCCTTTACTGGCAGGTCGTCAATCTCTTGGAACTTTCATAACAAATGACCACAATCTAGGTGCCTTAGAGCAACAGGAATTCATTCTGTCACAGTTCTGGAGGCCAGATGTCTAAAATCAAGGTGTTGGCAGGGCTCTGCCCCCTTTTTAGTAGGGATCAGTCAATAAGGTGAGACTTTGGTTTCCCTAGAACCCTAAGTCAATTCGATATTCTTTTGATAAAAACCCTGAAATGATTTTATTCTTCATAAGGAAACATGTCAACATTAGAAGATGGGAGGAGTGAGGGGATACAGGCCTGAGCTTTAGAGTAGAAAAATTCAAGGATTTATTTTCAAGGGGGATCCTTCCTGCCTCCCCAGCTCCGGTGCTTTGCCGGGAGAGTGTGTCCTTCCTGGGCTCACAGCTCCGTCACTCCCATCTCCATCCTCATCATCGTCCCTTGGCGTCTCCCTTGTGTGTGTCTGTCTTCCCATGGCTGTCTTCTTAAACGGACGCCCGTCACAGTGCAGGTAGGGCCCACCTACTCCAGGATGACCTCATCTCTTTACTAATTACACCTGCAATGACCCTATTTTCAAATGCGGTCTCATTCTCAGGCACTGGGAGTTGGGACTTCAACATATCTTTTTTGGAGGGACAGTTCTACCATGACAGTCATTTGGGGTAAGGGAACCTTTCCTGGCCTCGATTTCATCCTCTGTGAAATGGAGACAGTCATGGTGCCCACCCCAGAGAGTTGTCTTGAGAATTAAAAGAGTAAACGGATGTGCATCTTCCTTAGTGATGCTACGTAAGGTCGCTGTTACCCGTTCTGCAATCTGGAGTTCTGGGACTGGAAAGTTACCGTTCCAGTGGCTTCACAGAACTTCAAAGTGGCCACATGGATGCAGGAAGACAGCCCTGTGACCCTACACTGATTAAAGGCACTGCTTACCCATCATGTCCCTTTGATGAGGAGAACATGGGGCAATGTGCTAATCTTTTAAATACATGCGATTTTTTGGTGGATTATCTTTCAATACCGGGACTCAATGGAAGAGAATAAAGAATGAGAAGCTCCTGGCTGGTTGAAAGGTTCAGGCTCCTACCTCTGAATCTCCCTGCCTCATTAAAAAATCAAATAATTCTAAAAATACCTGGAAGGGACACAGGCAGCTCTCCCCAAGGAGCTCCAGGGCTGGTGGCTGGCCTTGACCTCCAGTTTTTAGCCATTTCCAGGAGGAATTGGGCCCATCCAGCTCTCAGATGTCACCGAGAACAGGGTAAGTCCAGGTGCCTTGTGAACTACGCCCAAGGGCGCCTGTGTATTTGCTCATTTGGGAGATAACAGAACACAAACAGGCTGCTGACTTTTTATAGTAGCCACATTTGCTAGCGAAAGAAACTCAAGCTTCCATTTTATTTCCATTATGAGCTTTGGTTTGATTTTTTTAAAGCAGTCACATCTGCTAGCAAAAGAAACTCAAGCTTCCATTTTATTTCCATTATGAGCTTTGATTTGACTTCCCAAGTTCTTTGTTGTTGCTGTTGCCTGCGCGGTGCCTGACCTGTGATCTGAGCCCATTGTCCAAGTCAGGCTGTCAGCACTAAGCCTGTGAGGCATTTGTATCATTCGCCAAAATGTCTTCCACCTGCATGTCTCCCACTTCTGCTCACAGGCGAGAGTTCACTTCTGGGCCTGTTTAATTTAGAATTGGCCGCGTGACTTGCTTTGGCAATGAAATGTGAAGTGTTTTATTTTTTTTCTTTTGAGATGGAGACTTGTTCTGTTACCCAGGCTGGAGTACAGTGGTGCGATCTCAGTTCACTGCAACCTCCATCTCCTAAATTCAAGCAATTCTCTGCCTCAGCCTCCCTAGCAGCTGGGATTACAGGTGCCCGCCACCATGCCTGGCTAAGTTTTGTATTTTTAGTAGAGATGGGGTTTCACCATCTTGGCCAGGCTGGCCTTGAACTCCTGACCTCGTGATCCACCCGCCTCAGCCTCCCAAAGTGCTGGGATTACAGGTGTGAGCCACCACGCCTGGCCAAAATGTGAAGTGTTTAAGTGCTGGCTCTCAAAGCTCCCGCCCTCCTTTCCCCACTGTGGGGATCTTGGAGGATGTGTTGATCTGGGTGGCACCGCATTGCTCAGCCAGTTGAGAGGACAGTGGCCCTGGTGGAGCACAGCTGACCTGGCATGAGTGAGCAATGAACTTCAGTAGGGTCATGTCACTGATGGTTTTGGGTTCTTTGTGACTGCAGATACCCTGGCCTATCTGGATAGATGCACTGATTTTATGTATTTTCCAGAAGAGGTATATAAGTATGGAACCCCAGAAAAAGTCAGGAAATCTGACATCTAACTCTGATTTCACGAGGCCAGGGTAGCCACATGACCGCCTGTGGTCGGCAGAATAAGAGTTCCCCAGAGAAGTCCCCGTTCTAATCCTGGAAACCTGTGAATGTGACCTTTCATGGCAAAAGGGCCTTTGTGGATGGGACCAAGCTGAGGATCTCGATGGGGAGGCCATCCCGGCTGATCCAGGTGGGCTCAATGTCATCACAGGGTCCCTCCAAGGGAGGCAAAAAGGACAAAACCAGAAAAAGGAGCTGTGACGATGGAGTGCAGGAGGAGGGACGCACTTTACAGTTGAGGGAAGGGGCTGCCGGCCACAGAACGGGAGGCCCAAGAAGCTGGAAGAGGCAAAGAAATGGATTCTCCCCAGAGCGTCTGGAAGGAGCCAGCCCTGACAACACCTGGACTGTGTCCCTGTAAGACTCAGTGCAGACGTCTGAGCTCTAGGACTTTCACCCAATAGGTGACACGTGTTGTTTTAAGCCACTACCTTTGTGGTAAACTGTTACAGCAGCTGCGGGAACCGAATATGCCTTCCCTTTCCAGGCTTCTGAGCCCAGGAAGGTGTGTGTAGCCTGATTTAACGGTGAACCCAAAAGTATCTGAGACAGGTTTTAATTGGTTTAGAAAGTTTATTTTGCCAAGGTTAAGGACGCACCAGTGATACAACCTCAGGAGGCCCTGATGACATGTTCCCGAGGTGGTCGGGGCACAGCTTGGTTTTATATATTTTAGGGAGGCATGAGACATCAGTCAGTACATGTAAGGTGTACATTGGTTTGGTCTGGAAAGGCTGGACAGCTCTAAGCTCAGAGAGGGCTTCCAGGTCATCAGTAGATACGAGACAAATGGTTGCATTCTTCTGAGTTTCTGATGAGCCTTTCACTGAATACACAATTTACAGGAATCATCACTTATACCTTAGTCTGGCTTAGTGAAACAAGAGGGCAGAGGAAACCACCAGTTACGCATTTGTCTCACGTGAGCAGAGGGAGGACTTTCGGTTCTGTCTGTACCGGTCCACAAGGAATTTCCTTGCGGGGAGGTACTGACGGAGGTGTGTAGCTTTCTTCATAGCTCTCTTATTTAGGAATAGAATGGGAGGCATGTTTGCCGAGCTGCAGTTCCCAGGTTGACTTTTCCCTTTGGCTGAGTGATTCTGGAATCCCAAGATTTATTTTCCTTTCACATAACATACTCCAGTTGTGCAGGCATAACTTAGGGGGAGCCTGGGATCGTCAAACCGATGCGGAAACCCCTCTAAAAGAAAAGCACAGCTGATGATACACTTGCATATATTCATGCATTCGATTTGCTGATGGGTGAAGTTGAGCAGTCCACAAAATCATGCTGAGATGACTTCTCTGAAGTCATGGGCCCCTGCGGGGGCATATACATACATATCTATATATATATTCTTTTTCTGGTGGGGGGAATTACATTGAGTGGCTTATTTGGGAATTCATCCAATAGCACACTATTTTCAAGGCCCCTAGTGTTAAAGGTTGGTTTAGGATTGTAGATAATTTGAACTCTTCCCTCCCTTAATGAATACTCATGGGCTGGGCGAGGTGGCTCACGTCTGTAATCCCTGCACTTTGGGAGGCTGAGGTGGGCAGATCACCTGAGGTCAGGAATTTGAGACCAGCCTGGCCAACATGGCAAAACCCCATCTCTACTAAAAATACAAAAATTAGCCGAGCGTGGTGGTGCGTGCCTGTAGTCCCAGCTACTCTGGATGCTGAGACAGGAGAATTGCTTGAACACTGGAGGTGGAGGCTGCAGTGAGCCGAGATGGTGCCACTGCACTCCAGCCTGGGTGACAAAGTGAGACTCCATCTCAAAAAAAAAAAAAAAAAAAAAAGGAATACTCATGAAGGGCCCCAGGAGTGGAGACCTTGGTTTTAATAATTACTGTCATAATTGCTGGTAAGGAACCCCCCCAGGAGCCTTTCTGATTTTCTTCTTGCCTCCCCATCCCGCTGTCTTGGCATCTCTGTCCCCCTACATGTAGAGACCTGAAGGGCGACCACTGAGAACTGGATACAGACATGGCCTTGAGGTTGGGAGGTAATGAATGAGGGTGGGCAGGGAGTCCTGGAGGATCCAGGCCAGCGCGTGAAGCCACGACATCCCCATGAGCACACGGAAACAGCCTGTGTCCCGCAGGGCCATTGTGTCTGATGGGGAATCCTGCCTTGGATTTTGGAATTTTCTCACTTGGGTGATTTCAGGTGTGAGTGCAGGTAATATGGGCACACAGAGTTTAAGATGTCTTCATAGACACACACTCTGGGATCATGCAGTGTTTATTATACTGAACTTGCAAGGTGGGTATCTTTTAATTAAAGGCAAGTTCCCTTCCCCTTCTGAAGCCTACCCTGACAACACGATGCTGCTGGTGGGTAGTGAGGAGGTAGAAAGTGACAGCTGCTGGTCCTAGGCGGCCGAGTGACATCACCAGGAAGGAAGCTCAGCTGATGAAATCCTGCCTTTGCTTCAAAATGCATTTCACCACAGTATCCAGCATGCTCTCAGGAGGCCAGGGTCCAATTCAGCCTTCCTCCTTGCAGGGCGAAGCCCATCTGAGATTTTAAGTGAAAAAGCAAACATGTTTTAAAAATAATGGAAATGGTGGTGCGGACCTGGGCAGTATCCTGTTGGGGGTCGTATTAGAATCGTCAGCAATTCTAACAGGTGCAAGATGTAATTAGATGCCCGATGTTTGATCGTTCCATTTCATTCCATCAAAACTGCATTATGAACTGAGGGACGATTAGTGACAACTGACAGAAATGGTGTGGAGGCATGGCCTCAGCCCCTGGCGGGAGTCTGGCCCCACGCATCTGTCACCAGGTAGGGGCCTCTTTCTTGGTGCTGCTGGCCATTAAAACAGTGGACATGCGGCTGCACTCACGTATCCGATTCCAGCTGGCTTGACTCCAGTGGCTAATGACACCACAATGGTGAGCACCTCTGTCACGCTAGACACTTTTTTTTTTTTGAGACAGAGTATCGCTCTGTCGCCCAGGCTGGACTGCAGTGGCACAATCTCAGCTCACTGCAACCTCCGCCTCCCGAGTTCAAGCAATTCTCCTGCCTCAGCCTCCCAAGTAGCTGGGATTACAGATGTGTGCCTACATGCCTGGCTAATTTTTATATTTTTAGTAGAGACAAGGTTTCACCATGTTGGCCAAACTGGTCTCCTGACCTCAAGTGATCGGCCCACTTCAACCTCCCAAAGTGCTGGAATTACAGGCATGAGGCACCACGCCCGGCCAAGCTAGACACTTTCTACATGCATTTTCCTTACTTACCCCAAAGCTCTGGCAGGAAGGGGCTTGCTCAGGCTCCTCCACGAATGCCCTCTAGCTGGCTACCTCCTTCCTCCTCTTCCTGACTGGCACCTCTTCCCTGGACCATCATGGTAACCTTGCATCCTCTCCTACCAACTCCCAATTTGTTCTGCTCCCTGCAGCTTCAGCAAGCCTCTATAAAACTTGATCCCTGTTAAAATGCATCACTGACTGTCCATCAAACTTACATAAAAAAACCAACAACGGGGCATGAGAGGTTATCAGGTTCTGACTACTTCCTAATATCCTTTTAATTATAAAATATTTATTTACTTATAAATTTATAATTGTGGGTAAGATACACATAAGATACAATTTACCATTGTGACCATTTTTAAGTGGCATTGAGTACATTTGCATTGTTTTGTGGCCAATCTTTTGAGCTCCTCTTCTTCTTCTTTTTTTTTTTTTAGATGGAGGGAGTTTCACTGTGTTATCCAGGCTGGAGTGCAGGGGTTCCATCTCTGCTCACTGCAACCTCCACCTCCTGGGTTCAAGTGATTCTCCCACCTTAGCCCCCTGAGTAGCTGGGACTACAGGTGGCCATCACAACGCCCGGCTAATTTTTGTAATTTTTTTTTTTTTTTTGTAGAGTTGGGGTTTTGCCATGTTGGCAAGGCTGGTCTTGAACTTCTGGCCTCAAGTGATCCCCCAGCCTTGGCCTCCCAAAGTCCTGGGATTACAGGTGTGAGCCACCACACCTGGCCTTCTGAGCTCTTTTCATTTTGCAAAGCTGAAACTCTGTACCCTATTAAAAAATGTTTTAAACATGCAAATGTGTAGAGAATGGATTTTAACAACCTGCACCAGGTTTTAGCACTCTGTACTCGTGCTGACCAACTGACTGCCATGCCTTCTTAATTCTGCATCCATTAAACACCCTATGTTTTTGGGTGTTTTAAAGTTTAATAAAATGGTATCATGTATCACCCTAAAATTTAGTTTCTAAACTCAACATTAGGTTTTTAAAGATTTTCCCATATTGATACGTATGTTTTTATTTACTTCAGTGACTACATAGCACACACACCATTTTATAAAAATGTCACAATTTCACACTTTATTTACAATATTTGCTAATCTGTGGGTGGAGAAAATTTAATTTTTGTTTTAACATGTGTTTTCCTGATGACCTGCAAGGTTGAGCATCTACATCTACTGAGACATTTAAATGTTTTCTTTTTCAATTGTAAATATTAATTGTATTAAAAAATTTTTGGATGCTGAAACATTCTTACATCCCAGGGACACTTTTTTGTCATGAAATATAAAACTTTTTTTTTTTTTGAGATGGAGTCTTGCTGTCACCCAGGCTGGAGTGCAATGGCACAATCTCAGCTCACTGCAACCTCTGCCTCCCGGGTTCAAGCCATTCTCTTGCCTCAGCCTCCCCAGTAGCTGAGATTACAGGTGCACACCACCATGCCCAGCTAATTTTTGTATTTTTAGTAGAGATGGGGTTTCACCATGTTGGCCAGACTGGTCTCGAACTCCTGACCTCATGATCTGCCCTTCTTGGCCTCCCAAAGTGCTGGGATTGCAGGCGTGAGCCACCGTGTCCGGCCATAAAACTTTGTAAAAAACGCATTGCTGTTCTTCAAACATATTTTAAAAGATTTTTATATTTATATTTGAAATTGGTCTGTAGTTGGTTTTCAGTTTTGTTATCAAGTTTGTACTACTCTTATACAATAAGTTGGGCAGTTTTCCTTCCTCTTACATATATTTCTGTAATAGTTTCATTATGTTTTTTGAGAGCTTGGCATTACCCATCCTTCAGTTTGTTAAAAATTGCCTATAAACTATTTCTCATTGGTGCTTTCTGAGGGAGGAAGGGATGCTTCTGACAATCGATTAGTTCTTTAATTGATATTGGCTTGTCTAGATTTTCTATCACTTTATTAATTTTTTAAACTAAAAATTATTCCTTCCAAATTTATTGGAAAACCAATGAAACTTTTAGAAGAAAATAAGAGAAAATATCTTCATGACCTCAGGGTAGGAGAATTTCTTAAACATGATATAAAAATTAATGGTAGCAATAAGGGTGCATATTGATAAATTTGGCTGCATTAAAATTAAGAATGCTTCTTCATTAGATGATATCATGAAGTAAAAACACCAAGACACAAGATAAATCTGTGTCTAGAGAAGAGACTTGAAAAATAAACTAAGAAAGAAATAGTACACAAAGAGCTCCTGAAAAGTCATCAGAAACAAAGGCTTGAACTGGCATTTTCTAGAAGGGGAAGTGCACCCTTCGTCACCAACACACCACCTCTTTCAGCACCCACACGCCACCTCCTTTAATACCAACACTGCACCTCCTTCTGCACCGACACGCCACCTCCTTCTGCACCGACGCGCCATCTCCTTCTGCACCCAGGCGCCACCTCCTTCTGCACCGACGCACTGAGACAGCCAAGGTTCCCTGGAGAACCTCCCACGGGCCTGCACACTGGGAGAAAGGGGGTGGAGCCACGGAAATTCGTGCCACGTGCAGAGGGGAGGAGCCCAGTCCCTTGAGTTCCTGTGTGGCAGGGTGGGAGCAGGTTAGCAGGCTTCCTTCTTACTCTGCTGAAAGCTTTCTGTTTTTCCTTTTTCGCCCAATAAATTCCATTTTTCTCACCCTTCTATGTGTCTGCGGGCCTAATGTTTCCTGGCTGTGTGACTAGAACCCATTTTTTAGTTGAACTAAGGAGAAAGTCCTACAACAACACCACCTCCTTCTGCAGCGACACACCACTTCATTGGTGATGAGGACAATGCAGTTTCTAGCAGCGGCGGGATGTGCTTTTTCTCAGGCTGAGTTTTGGATTGGTGAGGATGCAGATCAAAGGGCCCTGGAGTCTGTCGCTCATCTCAGAGGCAGTTGTCACATCTGGCATCTTCTGGTGTGTGAGGAGAGAGGCTGTCAACATCCTGGGACCCCGAATCCCCTGAGGAACAATTTGAAGAGCAGCTGGATCATCAGTGAGCCGGGAGACCAGTGAGGGTCCTCACGGCAGCGTTGTCCACACAGGAGGACGCCCGAGGACACAATGGGAGCAAGCAGAAGTGTCTGGTGGCACATGCGTGCAGAGGGTTGCTGCTGCAGTCACGATTTTCATGGAACAAAAATGCCACCTGCACAGTGAGGGTGTCCGCATCCCCGACCCTCTCATTTCTCTGGGTGTTCACCGCTGCAATCATGCAAAAAGAAGATATAGAAATGACCAACGAACATGTGAAAAGATGCTTAACATCACTAATGATCAGGAAAATGCAAATCAAAACCACAATGTGATTCTACCTTGCTCCTGCAAGAATGGCCATAAAAAAAAAATAACTGATGTTGGCTTGGATGCTGTGAAAAGGGAACACTTTTACACAGTCGGTGGGAATGTAAACTAGTACAACCACTATGGAAAACAGTGTAGAGATTCCTTAAAGAACTAAAAGTAGAACTACCATTTGATCCAGCAATCCCACTACTGGGTATTTACCCATAGGAAAAGAAGTCATGTGAAAGAGATACTTGCACACGCATATTTATAGCAGCACAATTTGCAATTGCACAAATATGGAACCAACCGAAATGCCCATCAATCAACGAGTAGATAAATAAATTGTGGTATTATATATGTGATGGAATACTACTCAGCCATAAAAAGGAATGAAAGAATGGCATTTGCAGCAGCCTTGATGGAATTGGAGACTAGTATTCTATGTGAAGTGTCTCAGGAATGGAAAAGCAAACATCGTATGCTCTCATTCGTAAGTGAGAGCTAAGCTATGAGGATGCAAAGGCATAAGAATGATACAATGGACTCTGGGGACTTGGGGAAAGGGTGGGAGGGGTTGAGTGATAAAATACTACAAATTGGGTTCAGTGTATACTGCTCGGATGATAGGTGCACCAAAATCTTACAAATCACCACTAAAGAACTTACTCATATAACCAAATACCACCTGTTCCCCAAAAACCTATGGAAATATACATATTTTTAAAATAGAATATTTACTGGACAAGAACTGTAGAAGAAGAAGCCAAATAATTTCTGTTTTCCAGTGATGTGATGACGTCCCTGCAAAACCTTAGAGAATTATTGTTAAAAGTCACAGCGCAATGAAGGGACCCTGGAGGTGAATTCATGTCTTGGGGCTGCCATAATCAAGAACACAGACCAAGTGGCTTCACAGAGATTTATTGTTTTACAGCTATGGAGGCAGGTAGTCTAAGATTAAGATGTGGGCAGGCTGGTTCCTTCTGAGGCTGTGAGGGACCCTCTAGCCCTCTGTCTCAGGCCTGTCCCCTGGTTTCTGGGGGTTGCTTGCAATTGCTGGCCTTCTTTGGCTCTGAGCATCACCCAAATAGCCACCTTCATCTTCACGTGGCTTCCTCCCCTTGAGTACACCTGGGTTCAGGTTTCCCTTTTTTTTTTGACGGAATCTTGCTCTGTCACCCAGGCTGGAGTGCAGTGGCGCAATCTTGGCTCACTGCAAGCTCCGCCTCCCGGGTTTGTGCCATTCTCCTGCCTCAGCCTCCTGAGTAGCTGGGACTACAGGCACCCGCCACCACGCCCGGCTAATTTTGTTTTTATTTTTTTTAGTAAAGACGGGGTTTCACCATGTTAGCCAAGATGGTCTCGATCTCCTGACCTCATGATCCGCCTGCCTCAGCCTCAAAGTGCTGGGATTACAGGCGTGAGCCACCGCGCCCGGCCAGGTTTTCCTTTTTTATGAGAAGGCTGGTCATATTGGGCTGGCATGAACTTTACTCTAGTAGGACCTCACCTGAACAAATTACAACTGCAATGACCCTATTTTTAAATGAAGTTTACACATTCTTAGGAACTGTGGGTTAGGGCTTCAACATATGGATTTCAGGAGGATGCAACTCAGCCTCTAACCGTAGGGTAACAGGGTACAGAAATAATATGAAAAAATCAAAGATGGGGAAAGCCCCCAAAACTGCATGCCAAAAGAAACAAAGGAATCCAACTGCATTTCGGCTAAATGATGTCACCACAGGACTAGAATTATACAACCTCAGTTCAGGGAAGGAACAGCAAACTACCTTGACCTTGTCTCAGGAGGTTTGATTTCTGGGGTGGTAAGAGTATAGCAATTTTGAAATCATTTTTATAATTATTTATTTATTTATTTATTTGAGATAGGGTCTCACTCTGTCACCCAGGGTGGAGTGCAATGGCATGATCTTGGCTCAATGCAACCTCTGCCTCCTGGGTTCAAACGATCCTCCCACCTCTGCCTCCTGGGTAGCTGGGACCACAGGTGTGTGCCACCATGCCTGGCTAATTTTTTTAATTTTGGGAAGAGATAGGGTTTCTTCATGTTGCCCAGGCTGGTCTTGAACTCTTGAGCTCAAGTGATCCAACCCGCCTTGGCCTCCCAAAATGCTGGAATTACAGGCATGAGCCACAGTGCCTGGCCTTGAAACCATTTTATGTGTATTGTGGGACTGACTGGATGAGTCAATACGCTGATGTGGTGGGAGAGAGGATTTCCCTGTGACTGAGGGAAAATAGGGGCATAGAGTCGGGGAAGGCGTGGGAACACTGTAGGGCTGGATGGAAATTGTTTTTGAGGATGAACCTGTCGGAATTGTATCAGAATACCATGGAGGCATGCTGGAAAAACACGGTGGAGGTTCTCACTGGCCAGATCCAGGGCAATGAGAGCATCACAATAAATAAGAACACCAGTGGATTATAAGTCCACACTGATAATAAATAGACAAATACATAGTAATAAATATATAAGTCAGTGAAGGAGAAGAGATGTCTCTTCCTTATTGTAAAATGCTGGCTGATAAATACAGAGGAAGTTACGGGAAAATCATTATTTTGTACTGACTGGTTTGGGCAGAAATCACCCATGAATGCTGAACTGAAACGGTGGGGTTGGTGAGGACCTTTGTGTGGTCTCAAAGTGTTTTTCCTCGGAGGAGAAGCCAGACAACACCTTGGCAGCTGATCCAAGCTGGTACCACCAGTGAGAGAGGCCAGTGGGCACTGCAGACTTCTGAAGGTGCCTCGTGGAGGTAGTGTCCTGGCCGGGCATGCATAACTTGAATCTGAGCACCAAGAAACACCAGGCAAACCCAGGGTGAGGACCATCCGAGAGAGTCACTGCTTGTCTTATTCAAAAACATTGGTGTCATGAAAAACAAGATTAAGGAGCTGTTCTGGTGATGGAGACTAACGAGACAGAAGAATTCAATGTCCTGTGTGACCTGAACTGGACCATGCACTGACAGGGGAGATGCTATAAAGGACACCACCAGGGAAGGCAGCAGCATTGGAATAGGGGCTGAAGATACGATCAAGGTATGTGCTGATTTCAAACTCTCTGCATTTAATAACTCTACTGTGGTTATGTAAGAGAATATCCTCTTTTTTAGGAAAAGCACACAAAGGGGCATGATGTGTGCAACTTGTTCTCAATTAACTTATATATACACATGGGGGATGAGGTAGAGTATAGCAAAATGTTAGAAACTAGTGAATCTGGGTAAAGAGCAGATGGGAGTTATCTGTGTAGTTCCTGCGGCTATTCTCTAAGTTTGCAACTATTTCAAAATAAAAAATTTAAAAATTCACCATGTTCAGGGCCGGGCGCGGTGGCTCACGCCTGTAATCCCAGCACTTTTTGGGAGGCTGAGGCAGGTGGATCACGAGGTCAGGAGATCAAGACCATCCTGGCTAACACAGTGAAACCCCATCTCTACTAAAAATACAAACAATTAGCCTGGTGTGGCGGTGTGGACCTGTAGTCCCAGCTACACGGGAGGCTGAGGAAGGAGAATGGCGTGAACCTGGGAGGCGGAGCGTGCAGTGAGCCAAGATTGCGCCACTGCACTCTAGCCTGGGTGACAGAGTAAGACTCCATTCCAGAAAAAAAAAAAAAGAAAAAAAAATTCACCATGTTCAGTGAACAAAGCAAGTTACAGAAGAACAGAATGAGTCCGTTGACGTACGATGAAAAAACCTGCACAGTGACACTGCACCTTGTTTAGAGAGTCATTCAGATGTGCTAAAGTATCAAGGAAAGCAGGTAGTGAGGCTCTCAGAATTAAGGATGATGTGGGCTTGGCAGGGGTGCGGAGGTGATACAACACGGAGGGCTCACTCAATTATTGGTGATGTTTCTTCAGTCGAGTGGTGGCTGGACAGCATTTGCTTCTTGACTGTTCTTTAGGCTATATAGATAAATTAAACATATAAATCTGTACTCCTTCGTATGCATGGCTTATTTCATAATATGTTTTTAAAGCCAAGAATGAATGTAAACATATTACCCCTCTAGCTCCATTTTGTTGTAACAGATGAGGAAGCCAAAGCTCAGCGAAACTTAGAGATTTGGCAGGGTTGGGATTTGAACCCAAGTCTACTTGGTTCAAAGCCCTCACTGCCCTGTGAACAGCACTTCCTGTTTCCTCTACCTTACAAAGGAGCCCAAGTGAAGACAGTACAAAGGAAAGGCATAAACCTCAGTGGGCACTAAGCTGTTTGAAATGGCTCAACTTCTATTTCTACTCTCTCTCCCTTTGCAGGACCCTGGGGAGCCCATGGCCCTAGGCCGATCTGGGGGCTCTCTCACTTTGATAGATGCAGGAGCAGAAGGGATTCATGCCCAGTCCTGTGTTTTCTGGCACCTTTCCCAAGTTGACCAAAGGGATTTTAGGGTAGATATTCTCCCCACCCCAAATTAATTTAAGTTAAAAAGTAACACCTGACAAAGAGGGTGAGACGTTGGAAGATCAGGCAAACACTACTGGTGCTCACCTTCCATACCCCAACTGTTGCCAGCTCCTTCGCCTGATGCTGCCGGAAATAGCCTGAAAGAAGCTTTGAGTTCACCTGGAAAGCGGAAATAATTGTGGCTCCCCTGCTGGGACTACGATCAAATGGCCAGATGGGCCCACATCTGTCATGATTTGCTCTGTGTCCCCTTGTCCTTGTACCAATGTGGGTCAGTTGAATAACACCAATTTCATTTTGCTTTTCCAGATCCGTAGGGAGTTTCTTGTGGAGATGTCTTTTTATCTACCGGGCCGCAGCCTTGCTTCTGTTAATTATCAATTTTTGGTCCTATAAATAATTGGTTTCTAATTGGTATTTGTTTTCAATGTTTGGCGTGGGCAACTGTCAGACAATTTGATTCAAATTCCCTGCAAGTCAGTTCAACTTGTCTGATGTGTTTTCTTCTGTTCCCTTATTCCCTAGTGAAAACACATATGCATTTGAAAATAAACACAGGTGTTGGAGGAGATGTATTGAAATGTTCTCTTGTGCTTGACAGCTGTGCTTTCTGTAGAAATCATGCAATTGTTTCCCCTGTAATTGTGCAAGCTTCCTCGAAGCTTCCGAAGTATTAACACTTGAGTATATTATTATAGAAACTTAGCATGGAAATAATGTATTATCAGCTGTCTTACAATATTACTAAAAGCTTATGGAATTGTAATATTATTCTCGAAAGTCTCTTGGAATAAAAACAGATGATCTTTCTCATCAAAATGTAATCCTTGTTGGGATAAGCAACTTTGTGAGAAATAATACCCTTCTGTAAGATACTTGGGCTTCTTCAAATCAGCCACCTCAGTCTGTTGCTGATAAAATTAAATCCTTGCAGTTAAATTGTGGAATCAAATCATGGTATCATGGTACTGGACTGCATTTCCTGGGGTTTTTCAAAGACAGAGTTGATTTCATGTATTTTAGAACTTCTATTTGTTTGAAAATAGCAGCAGGAAGGGAGGACGGTATTTCTCCACTTAGCTGCATTCACTGTCAGGAAGAAAGAAACAAATAAATCAGAAACGAGAGAGGTCAGAGAGACACAGGGCAGAGTTCGGACCAACTCGCCCCATCACAATGTCCCTTTGGGCCTGTCTCCCAGAGACTAAATGTATTTCTCTGGCTGTATTTTCAAAATGTGGGAAACTTGGAGAAGTGCCTTTGGCTCTTTGGAGGAAAGATAAAATAGAAATGTAATTTAAAAAATAGTGCATAGGTTCTGAGACACCTCCTGTGCAGAGCCAGGGCCAGGAGCTGCTGCAGGTTCTATGGCTTCCAGATAAGTGGGTGCTATGATCAGAATGTTTCTGTCTCCCTAAAATTCATAGGTTGACATTCCCACCCTCAAGGTGTTGATGTTAGGAGATGGGGCTTTGGGGAAGTTACTAGGTCATGGGGGTGGAGCCCTCATTAATGGGATTAGTGCCCTTATAAAAGAAGCCTAAGAGAGACCCTTCACCTCTTCACCATCTGAGGATACAGTGAGAAGGTGCAACATATAAACCTATGAATCTGCCAGCACCTTGATCTTGGATTTGCAAGCCTCAAGAACAGAGAGATAAATTCCTGCTGTTTATAAGCCACCTAGTTTATGGTATTTTGTTATAATAACATGAACTAAGACAGAAAATTGGTACCAGAAGTGGGATTCAAATCCACAGAGATCTAATCTATTGTGCTCAGTCCTGCGGGGGGAAGAATGATATCAAAGTGGGGGGTCCCACTGCCTCACACTGTCTCACATCATGGGCTCCACTCCCCACAGTTTGTTGCTACACTCCTTGGACACTGCAGCTACAACTCTGGTGGGCTTAGCAATGTGTACCACACCCAGCAAAGCTGTGGGGCATGGCTGCTTCTATCTAGATGATATGGTTTGGCTGTGTCCCCACCCAAATCTCATCTTGAATTGTACCTCCCATAATTCCCATGTGTTGTGGGAGGGACCTGGTGGGAGATAATTGAATCAGGGAGGTGGTTTCCCCCATACTGTTCTCATGGTAGTGAATAAATCTCATGAGATCTGATGGTTTTATAAGGGATTTCCCCTTCAGCTTGTCTCTCATTCTCTCTTGCCTGCCAATATGTAAGAAGTGCCTTTTGCCTCCACCATGATTATAAGGCCTCCTCAGCCATGTGGAAGTGTGAGTCCATTAAACCTTTTTCTTTGTAAATAATCTCGGGTATGTCTTTATCAGCAGCATGAGAACAGACTAATACACTAGATTTGAAAGGATGTCTTGAAGAGTCTTAGGGCTGAAGTAGAGAGGGTGGGGGCACCACTAGAATGATGCCCAGTGGAGCCATGGGTGCAGGGCCACTCAGAGCCATGGAACTCAATCCCCTGCATGGCAAAGCTTTGGTGGTGGAGCCTCCACTCCAGTGTGTCCAGAAGATAGACCCACAGCTGCAGTTGGCCTGGAGGGCAGAGCCTGGAGCTAAAGAAGATCTCCCTTGAGCCTTAAGTCTTTGGACTTGCTCAAGAGCTGTCTCTCTCTTCTCTCCTGTTCCTCCCTTTTGGAATGGAAATGTCCATTCCGTGGCTGTCCTACCACTGTATCTTGGAACCACGTGGTGCATTTGATTCCACCAGTTCATAGCTGGAGAGGAATTTGCCTCAGGATGAATGGTGCCTGGAGTCTCATCCATATCTGATTTAGATTATATTTAGAGAAGACTTTGGACATTAGACTTTTGAGTTAATACTGGAATGAATTAAGTCTTTTGACACTACTGGGATGGAATAACTGTATTTTTCATGGAGAAAGACATGAATTTGGAGGTGGGTGCAGGGTGCAATGCTTTGGTCTGAATGTTTATATCCCTCCATATCCATATGTTGAAATCCTAGCCCCCAGTGCAACGATGTTAGGAGGTGGGGGCTTTGGGAGGTGATCAGTTCGTGAAGGTGGAGCTCTCATAAATGGGACTAGTGCCTTTATAAAGAGACTCCCTACTGCTTCCACCATGTGAGTATTCAGCAAGAAGATGCCATCTGTGAATCAGAAAGCAGGGCCTCACTAGAAACAGAATCCGCCAGCACCTTGATCCTGGTGCTGGGATCAAGAACTGTGAGAAGTAAATTTCTCTTATGTATAAGACACCCAGTTTATGGTATTTTGTTATAGCAGTCTGAATGGACTAGAACAGTGGGGTTCTTAAAAATTTTTTTCTGTTTAAAAAAGTCTAGTTTGAAGAGGTATACATGCACATGATCTAACTTAGAATCATACAAAGGGTACCTGGAGAGAGATCAGTCCCCCTCACTGTTCCCCAGCCTCCCAGGTGCCTTGCGATTCTCTTCCCACATTCTTGGGTATCAGCCTTTAAGGAAGTTGGGATAGCCAAGCACGCATTCTGTGGACTTTGATTCTGTGCCCACTTTGCTCCCACTCAGTGGTGTACCACAAGTCTTGTGCTTCTCTTCTCATTTAACATGGCCTTAGAGGTCTTTCTGAAGCTAAACATGTAGAGGCACATCATCATTTCATTGGTGACAAAGTAGTCCTTTATGTGGCTGTATCCTGACCTATGCACCAACCCTTTGTGGATAGACATGTGGATTGTTTCCTGCACCTTTTGCTCTTAGAAACAGTGCTGTAATGAAGGGCCTTGTACACACAGCATTTTCCATCCTTGGGTGAGTACACTCTAAAGGATAAACACCTAGAAGCACATTTCTGGTTAAAATAAGCTGTGCCCTTTTCTGTGGCCAGCTGATCTTCATAGAGGTTTTCCTGGTCCACGCTGTGCCAAGCACACCTTTGGGTAGTGCTGTGTGCTCATATTTTGGCCATTGCTCATCCGATAAGGGAAAATATACCTCCCTGGACCTTTAATTTTTGCATTTCTCTGATTAAAAGTTAAGTTGAAAGTCGTTACACTTGTTTAAAAAAAGTGTGCTTCCTTTTCTGTGCACTGTTATTTCCTATTCTTTGTCTTTTTCTCTGGGCAGTTGGTTGTTTTGTTACGATTTTTTTGGTGCTGCTCATGCATTAATGAAATTAGCTCTTATCTGTAATATGAGTTATATCTTTTTCCTTCCTTCTTATTTTCCCTCCCTTCCTCCCTCTTTATCATTTCTTCTTCCTCATCTCACTTCCCCATCCTTTCCTTTGTTACTTTTTATATTTGCAGTTTGTTTGTTTTTTGACTTTTGTGCTCTATGGAAAATTTATATTTGTATATAACCAAATATTGTTTTATTTGATAGCCTCTGGACTTTAATGTATTTGCTAAAGTCTTTTCTGTTGCTGTAAGATTATGAAAGCAATGATTATTTTCTGTTCTAACACTTTCTTAACATATACATCTTTGATTCACCTGAATTTACTTTAGTGACATATCAAAGGTAGAGATCTAGTGCTTTTCTGCCCCACCAGAGGACTACTTACTTGCCCGCAGTCCTCACTCTCTGGCATTTGGGTTGGGCCCAGTGACCAAGTTGGGGCAATAGAAGCTGAGCAGAGTCCTGTGAGCTATTTTAAGTCCTGGCCCTTCAAAACTTGCCCACACTCTCAAAAGCTTCTCTTTCTTTGCTGTGTCAAATTTGTATATCATGAATTCCAAAGAGGACAGTGGGAAGATACAGGAGGCTATCTGACCCACACTGGACTGGGTGTAAGGGAAATGAGACCCCTGTGTGGCAGACACTGAAGACTGTTTTCAAAATGCCATTTACATCCCACCCATTTACATCCCACCCATTTACATCTAACCCACAGTGCATGAGAGCTTCACAAGCCCCTCTGCCTTGCTGTATTGGCCTGTTCTCACACCGCTAATAAAAAGATACCCGAGACTGGGTAATATATAAATGAATAAGGTTTAATTGATTCACAGTTCAGCATGGCTGAGGAGGCCTCAGGAAACTTACAATCATGGTGGAAGGGGAAGCAAACATGTCCTTCCTCACTTGGCGGCAGCAAGGAGAAGTGCAGAGCCAAGAGGGGGGAAAGCCCCTTATAAAACCATCAGATCTTTTGAGAACTCACTCACCATCATGAGAACAGCATGGAGGTAACTGCCCCTATGATTCAATGACCTCCTACTGGGTCCCTCTCATGTCACATGGGGATTCTGGGAACTACAATTCAAGATAAGATTTGGGTGGGGACACAACCAAATCATGTCATTCACAAACATCTGGGCTATTCTGTTTAATTTTATGTTACTTTATTTTTGTCATTCTGGTGGGGACATAGCTGTATCTCAGTGTGGTTTAATTTATATTTTCCTGACTAATGAATATGATCAACTGTATTATATTTATTTGCCATGTGTGTCTGCCTCATGTTGAAGTGCCTCTTCAAAGCTTTTGTCAATTTTCTATAAAATTGCCTTTTTCTTGCTCATGTTTAGGGGTTCTTTATATATTCTGGAAATGAGTACATTGTTAGATGTGTGTATAGCAAGTAGCTTCCCCCACTCTGTGGCTTGGATTTTTTTTTTTTTTTTGAGACAAGGTCTGGCTCTATTGCCCAGTCTGGAGTGCAGTGGCATGAGCTGGCACACTGCAACCTCTGCTCAGGCTCAAGCCATCCTCCTACCTCAGCTTTCCAAGTGGCTGAGACTACAGGTACACCCAACACCATGCCTGGATAATTTTTGTATTTTTAGTAGAGATGGGGTTTTGCCATGTTGCCCAGGCTGGTCTCAAACTCATTAGCTCAAGCAGTCTCCCCACCTTGGCCCCCCAAAATGGTGGGATTACAGGTGTGAGCCAACATGCTTGGCCTAGAGTTTTAATCTCTTAATGGTCTTTTGATAATCAGAACTAACAGAACTTCTTAATGAAGTCCACCGTATCTTTATTTTTCTTTTTGGTCGGCAGTTTTGTTTTAAGAAATCTTTATCCATCCCAAGATTAGATTCTCTTATGTTTTCTTTCAGATACATTGTTATTTTACCTTTGGTATTTAGAGCTATAATCCATAGGGAATTGATTATTCTGTAGTGTGAGGCAAGGGTCAAGATACTTGTTTTCCTAAATGGGTCCACACTGACCCATAACTCACGTGGCCGTGTGTATGGGGGTCATTTTTTGGACTCTCTCGTGTGTTCCATTCATCCATTTCTCTCTCCTTGACGTGGTACTCCATTGTTTTAGTTACTGTGGCTTTACAGCAACCTTAATATCTGATAGAGAAACATTCCAGTTTTATTTTTTGGCAAGATTATCTTGGCTATTCTTTCCCATTTCATTTTTTAAAATAAATTTTAGAACCCACTTATTAATTTTCACAAAGGTTGCTTGGATTTTTGATTAGGATTGTAAATGTGCAGACTATTTGAGAATTATCATCTTGACAATATTTAGTCTTCTTAATCATCAACTTAGTCTGTCTACCTATTAAGACTTTCTGCTATGGTTTGGATATGGCTTGTCACTGCCAAATCTCATGTTGAAATTTGATCCCCAGTGTAGCAGTGTTGGGAGGTGGGGGCTAATGGCAAGTGTTTTGGTCATGGGGCAAATCCCTCATAAATAGATTAATGCCCTCTGATATGGGTAAGTAAGTTCTCTCTTGCATGGGAATAGATTAGTTCCTGGGAGAGGGGGTTTAAAAGAGTCTGGCTTCCTTGGTTTCTCTCTCTTGCTTCCTGTCTGTGATGGTTAATATGAGTGTCAACCTGATTGGATTGAAAAATTCAAAGTATTGTTCCTGGATGTGTCTGTGAGGGTGTTGCCAAAGGAGATTAACGTTTGTGTCAGTAGACTGGGAGAAGCAGACCCACCTCAATGTGGGTGGGCACCATCTAATCAGCTACCAGTGTGGCTAGAATAAAGCAGGCAGGAGAAGATGGAAGAGCAGACCTGGTGGGTCTTCCGGCCTTCACCTTTTTCTTGTACTGAATACTTCCTGGCATCGAACATCAGACACCGAGTTCTTCAGCTTCTGGACTCTTGGATTTACACCAGTGGTTTGTTAGGGGCTCTCGGGCCTTCAGCTACAGACTGAAGGTTGCATTGTTGGCTTCCCTTCTTTTGAGGTTTTGGGGCTCAGACTGATCCACCACTGGCTTCCTTGTTCCTCGGCTTGCAGATGGCCTATTGTGGGACTTTACCTTGTAATTGTGTGAGTTAATTCTCTTTAATAAACTCCCTTTCATATATAGAATATATCTATATTCTGTCCCTCTAGAGAACTCTAATAGACTCTCTTTGCACATGCCCCTCCTGTTCCACTTTTCACCATGAGTGGAAGCAGCCTGAGACCCTCACCAGATGCAGCTGCCCAATCTTGGACTTTTCAGCCACCAGAGTTATGAGCCAAATAAACATATTTTCATTATAAAATCACCCAGCCTCAGATATTTTGTTATACAAGACAAAATGAACTAAGACATCTTTGAAATTTCCCTTGGTAATATTTTTTAAGATCTTTTTATAAAATTATTTACAATCTTATTGTTAGGTTAATTCCTAGTATATTTTTGGTTCCATGGTAAATAATATGATCTACAATTTTATTTTCTAATTTCTTTTTTGCTCTTTTATAGCCATACTTTTGATTTAAAATATATATATGTGTGTGTATATATATATTTTTTTGTTTTGTTTTGTTTTGTTTTTTTTGAGATTGGAGTCTCGCTCTGTCACCTGGGCTGGAATGCAGTGGCATGATCACTACTCACTGCAACCTCTGCCTCCCAGGTTCAAGCAATTGTCATTGCCTCAGCCTCCTGAGTAGCTGGGATTACAGATGTGCCCCACCATGTCCAACTAATTTTTGTATTTTTAGTAGAGATGGGGTTTTGCCATGTTGTCCAGGCTGGTCTCAAACTCCTGACCTCAGGTGAACCGCCCACCTCGGCCTCCCAAAGTGCTGGGATTATAGGTGTGAGCCACCATGCCCAGCCTAAATATTGGTTTTACATACAGGAACTTGTTAAACTCACTTTTCATTCCAATTGTTTGTTTGTGTCTTCTTCTGGATTTGCTACATACACAATTATGTCACCTGTGAATAATGATGGTCATATTTTCTGCTTTCCAATCCTTTTATCTTTTATTTAATTTTCTTGACTGATTGCAATGACTAAGACTTTAGTAGAACATTGAATATAAATGGCGGCATTGGGCATTGTACGGGGTAGTATCTCATTTCCAATATTGAGGTGAAAGTTTTCAATATTTTATCATTAAACATTATGTTTGTTATGACATTTTTCTTTTGGGCAATATTTATCACATACCAAAATTTTCCTTTATTTCTAATTTTTTAAGGGTTTGAATTTTATTAAGTGCTTTTTCTGCAGGCACTGAAATAATCACGTGGTTTTTCTTCTATTAATATGGAGAATCACACTGAGTAATTTTTGCATGCTAGTACATTTTTGCATTTTTGGGATAGACGCCGCTTGGCCATGGTGTATTATTTATGTATTTCTGAATTTAATTTGTTAGTATTATGATTTGGGTTCTTACATCTAAGATCATGAGAGAATTGACCAATATTTTTTATTTCTTTTACACTGCGGGATATAAATTTTACGCTATCCTTAAAAACAAGTTGGGGAGCGCTTTTCCTAAATTTTCTTTAATTTCTTCTGAGAGTTGTGTACAATTGGTATCATTTCTTTTTTAAATGTTGTAATTATTTATCAATAATACTGTTTCTTTTTGAATATTCTTTGTGGGCAGTTTTAAAGAAAAATATTAATTGAAGTATAATCTACAAATAATACAATTAACTCATTTTAAGTGTACATTTAGATGAGTTTTGAGAAATGTATGCATGTGAATAACTGCAATGAAGATATAATATTTTTATCATTCTGAAAGGTCTCCTTATGCTCTTTGAAGTCAAATCTACCCCCTCTTGGCCCAGGCAACACTAATATGCTTCTGTCAGGAAAGATTAGTTTTGCCTGTTCTGTTACTTCATATAAATGGACTCAAACAGTATGTAATATTTTTTGCTTTTACCCAGTACATCATTTGAGATTCATCTATGTTGTTATGTGTATTGTTTTTTCCATTTTATTGTTGAGTAGTATTCCATTGTATGAATCTTACACAGTAGTATTCCATTGTATGAACACACACAGTTGGTTTATCCATTTGCCTGTTGATAGATATTTGAGTTGTTTTCAACTTTTGGCTATTGTGAATACAGATGTTATGAACATTTATGCCAAATCAACTCCTTTTGTGGTCATAGACTTTTATTTCTCTTGGGTAAATATCTAGGAGTGAAATATTTGGGTTGTATTGTAAGTATATAGTCATTTCTTAAAAAACTTGCCCAGCAATACTGCAATGTGGTTGTATCACTTTACCTTCTTGTTAGCATGAAGGAATGTGTGAGTTGCTCCAAGTGCTTGCCAATACTTAGTATTGAGAGTCTTTTAAGATTTAGTAAATATGTCCGTGGTGTTAACACTGTGGTTTTCATTTGCAATTCCCTGATGACTAACGAAGTTGAGCTTCTATTTCTGTGGTTAAATGACACTCACTTATCTTTTTTGTGGAGTGTTTTGCTATGGTCTGAATGTTTGTGTCCTGCTAAAATTTATATGTTGAAGCCTAGTCCTCAATGCAATAGTATTAAGAGGTGAGGACTTTAGAGGATGATTAATACCTTAATAAAAGAAGCTAGAAGGAGCTTATTTTCACCCTGCACCATGTGAGGACACATCTAGAAGATGTCATCTGTGAAGAAAGGGCCCTCACCAGACAACAGGTCTGTGGGTACCTCGATGTTGGACTTCCCAGCCTCCAGAACTGTGAGCAATAAATTTCTGCTGTTTATAAACCACCCAGTTAAAAGATTTTGTTTTATCAACTTGAATAGACTAAG
This sequence comes from Homo sapiens, assembly GCF_000001405.40. Classification (NCBI taxonomy): domain Eukaryota; kingdom Metazoa; phylum Chordata; class Mammalia; order Primates; family Hominidae; genus Homo; species Homo sapiens. The sequence continues at coordinate 4,243,382 of NC_000001.11, forward strand.
ACATATTTATTCTAATTTTGTACTCAATTTTTAAAAATTTGATTTTCTTTTCATATTGAGTTGTGAGATCACACACACACACACACACACACACGATTCAAATCCTTTGTTAGATATATGTATTGTGATCCCCCCCCTGCCCAGATTACTTCTTGTATTTTCCTTTCCTCAATAATATTTTTTGAGGAGCAGAAATTTGAATTGGAATAAGTCCAATTTATCATTTTTATCTTCTATGACTTATGTGTTTTTGCATCTTATATCAGAAATCTTTGCCTATGACGAGTTGATAAAGATTTTCTTCCGTGTTCGGAAAGTTTGTAATTTTAGGTTTACATTGAGTTTTGGATCAATATCAAGTTAATTCATCACCAGCAGTTGGAATTGTAAGTTTTTAGACTTTAGCAATTCTAATAGGCTTCCAGTAGTACCTCATCGTTGTTTTAATTTGCAATTATCTAATAAGATATGATGCTGAATATGTTTCCATATGTTTAATTTTCATCTGTGTATCTTCCTCAGTGCTGTGTCTGTTAGAATTTGGCCCACTGCTAAATCAGGCTGTTCATTTTTTAACTGTTGAGTTTTAAGAATTCTTTGTGCATTTTGGCTAACGGCTCTTTATCAGATAAGTTTTGCAAATATATTCTCCCACCTGTGGCTTGTCTTTTCATTCTCTAATAGTGTCTTTTGCAGAGCAGAGGGTTTTAATTTTAATAAAGTCCAACTTATCAATTTTTTCTTGCATAGGTTGCACTTTTGGTGTTGTATCTAAAAACTGACCTCAAACACAAAGTCATCTAGATTTTCTTCTGTGTTATCTTCTAGGAGTTTATAGTTTTGAATGTTACATTTATGTGTATGCTCCATTTTAAATTAATTTTTGTGAAAGGCATAAGTTCTGTTGTCTAGATTTTTTTTGACATGTACATGTTCAATTGTTCCAGCACCATTTCTTTTTTTTGTTTTTTTAGCTCTTCCTATTGTGTTTTTTTTTTATTTTTTATTTTATTATTATTATACTTTAAGTTTTAGGGTACATGTGCACAATGTGCAGTTTAGTTACATATGTATACATGTGCCATGCTGGTGTGCTGCACCCATTAACTCGTCATTTAGCATTAGGTATATCTCCTAATGCTATCCCTCCCCCCTCCCCCCACCCCACAACAGTCCCCAGAGTGTGATGTTCCCCTTCCTGTGTCCATGTGTTCTCATTGTTCAATTCCCACCTATGAGTGAGAACATGCGGTGTTTGGTTTTTTGTCCTTGCGATAGTTTACTGAGAATGATGATTTCCAATTTCATCCATGTCCCTACAAAGGACATGAACTCATCATTTTTTTATGGCTGCATAGTATTCCATGGTGTATATGTGCCACATTTTCTTAATCCAGTCTATCATTATTGGACATTTGGGTTGGTTCCAAGTCTTTGCTATTGTGAATAGTGCCACAATAAACATATGTGTGCATGTGTCTTTATAGCAGCATGATTTATAGTCCTTTGGGTATATACCCAGTAATGAGATGGCTGGTTCAAATGGTATTTCTAGTTCTAGATCCCTGAGGGATCACCACACTGACATCCACAATGGTTGAACTAGTTTACAGTCTGACCAACAGTGTAAAAGTGTTCCTATTTCTCCACATCCTCTCCAGCACCTGTTGTTTCCTGACTTTTTAATGATTGCCATTCTAACTGGTGTGAGATGGTATCTCATTGTGGTTTTGATTTGCATTTCTCTGATGGCCAGTGATGGTGAGCATTTTTTCATGTGTTTTTTGGCTGCATGAATGTCTTCCCTTGAGAAGTGTCTGTTCATGTCCTTCGCCCACTTTTTGATGGGGTTGTTTGTTTTTTTCTTGTAAATTTGTTTGAGTTCATTGTGGATTCTGGATATTAGCTCTTTGTCAGATGAGTAGGTGAAAATTTTCTCCCATTTTGTAGGTTGCCTGTTCACTCTGGTGGTACTTTCTTCTGCTGTGCAGAAGCTCTTTAGTTTAATTAGATCCCATTTGTCAATTTTGGCTTTTGTTGCCATTGCTTTTGGTGTTTTAGACATGAAGTCCTTGCCCATGCCTATGTCCTGAATGGTAATGCCTAGGTTTTCTTCTAGGGTTTTTATGGTTTTAGGTCTGATGTTTAAGTCTTTAATCCATCTTGAATTAATTTTTGTATAAGGTGTAAGGAAGGGATCCAGTTTCAGCTTTCTACATATGGCTAGCCAGTTTTCCCAGCACCATTTATTAAATAGGGAATCCTTTCCCCATTGCTTGTTTTTCTCAGGTTTGTCAAATATCAGATAGTTGTAGATATGTGGCGTTATTTCTGAGGGCTCTGTTCTGTTCCATTGATCTATATCTCTGTTTTGGTACCAGTACCATGCTGTTTTGGTTACTGTAGCCTTGTAGTATAGTTTGAAGTCAGGTAGCATGATGCCTCCAGCTTTGTTCTTTTGGCTTAGGATTGACTTGGCGATGTGGGCTCTTTTTTGGTCCATGTGAACTTTAAAGTAGTTTTTTTCCAATTCTGTGAAGAAAGTCACTGGTAGCTTGATGGGGATGGCATTGAATCTATAAATTACCTTGGGCAGTATGGCCATTTTCACGATATTGATTCTTCCTACCCATGAGCATGGAATGTTCTTCCATTTCTTTGTATCCTCTTTTATTTCATTGAGCAGTGGTTTGTAGTTCTCCTTGAAAAGGTCCTTCACATCCCTTGTAAGTTGGATTCCTAGGTATTTTATTCTCTTTGAAGCAATTGTGAATGGGAGTTCACTCATGATTTGGCTCTCTGTTTGTCTGTTATTGGTGTATAAGAATGTTTGTGATTTTTGTACATTGATTTTGTATCCTGAGACTTTGCTGAAGTTGCTTATCAGCTTAAGGAGATTTTGGGCTGAGACAATGGGGTTTTCTAGATATACTATCATGTCATCTGCAAACAGGGACAATTTGACTTCCTCTTTTCCTAATTGAATATCCTTTATTTCCTTCTCCTGCCTAATTGCCCTGGCCAGAACTTCTAACACTATGTTGAACAGAAGTGGTGAGAGAGGGCATCCCTGTCTTGTGCCAGTTTTCAAAGGGAATGCTTCCAGTTTTTGCCCATTCAGTATGATATTGGCTGTGGGTTGTCATAGATAGCTCTTATTATTTTGAGATACGTCCCATCAATACCTGATTTATTGAGAGTTTTTAGCATGAAGAGTTGTTGAATTTTCTCAAAGGCCTTTTCTGCATCTATTGAGATAATCATGTGGTTTTTGTCTTTGGTTCTGTTTATATGCTGGATTACATTTATTGATTTGTGTATATTGAACCAGCCTTGCACCCCAGGGATGAAGCCCACTTGATCATGGTGGATAAGCTTTTTGATGTGCTGCTGGGTTTGGTTTGCCAGTATTTTATTGAGGATTTTTGCATCAATGTTCATCAAGGATATTGGTCTAAAATTCTCTTTTTTGGTTGTGTCTCTGCCCGGCTTTGGTATCAGGATGATGCTGGCCTCTTAAAATGAGTTAAGGAGGATTCCCTCTTTTTCTATTGGTTGGAATAGTTTCAGAAGGAATGGTACCAGTTCCTCCGTGTACCTCTGGTAGAATTCGGCTGTGAATCCATCTGGTCCTGGACTCTTTTTGATTGGTAAGCTATTGATTATTGCCACAATTTCAGAGCCTGTTATTGGTCTATTCAGAGATTCAACTTCTTCCTGGTTTAGTCTTGGGAGGGTGTATGTGTCCAGCACCATTTCTTGAAAATACAATGTATGCTCCATCAAATTGTCTTTGCTTCTTTATCAAACACCGGTTGATTGTATTTGTGTAGGTCTATTTCTGGGTTTTTTATTCTGTTCCATTGATCTATTTGTCTATTCTTTTGCCAGTGTCATGCTGTGATAACTGTCAGTTTATGCTAAGAGCTAAAGTTGAGTAGTGTCAGTCCTCCAACTTTGTTCTTATCCTTCAGTATTATATTAGCTACTCTAGTCTTTGCCTTTCCATATGAGATTTAGGATCATTTCTAATTGCAGTGAATCTATGGATCAAGTTGTGACAAATTTAAAAGAAGTGACATCTTAATGATATTGAGTCTTCCTATCTATGAATATGGAATATCTCTCCATTTATTTAGATGTTTTTTGATTTCTTTTACTAGAATTTTGTAGCTTTCCTCATACAGATTCTTTACATATTTTATTAGATTTATACCTAAGTATTTCATTTGTTGGGGTCTACCATAAATAGTGTTGTTATTAATTTCATATTTCAGTGATTTATTGCATCTGTAAACAAAGACAGTTTTATTTCTTTCTTCCCAATCTGTATGCCTTTTGTCTCATTTTCTTGTCTTACTGTATTAGGTAAAAGTCCTAGTACAATGTTGAATAGGGTTGGTGAAAGGAGACATCCTTACCTTGCTCCTGATCTTAGGAAAAAAGCATCTAGGCTTGTCACAATTAAGTATGATGTTAGGTGTTGTAGATGTTCTTTATCAAGTTGAGGAATTTCACTTCTATTCCTAGTTTGCTGAGAGGTTTTTTTTTTGTCGTTAAATCATAAACAGGTGTTGGATTTGTCCATTTCTCCCCCTTTGTAAAAATTTTTTTTACCTGTACTCTATTGAGATGAGCACATAGTTCTCCTTCTTTAGCTGTTGATATGATGAATTACATTAATTGATTTTTGAGTATTGAACCAGCCTTGTAGACCTGGTTCTCACAATGTGACATGGTTTTTTGACTTTCTGATGGCGTAAAAGTGATATGCATTTAGTAGAAATCTGTTTTTCACTTTCAGTGTAGTATTCAATGAATTACACAAGATATTCAACACTTTAAAATAGAGTTTGTGTTAGACAATTTTTCCCAACTATAGGCTAATGTAAGTGTCCTGAGCATGTTTATGGTAGGCTGGACTAAGCTGTGATGTTTGGTAGGTTAGGTGTATTAAATGTATTTTAAATTTATGATATTTTCAACTTGCAATGGGTTTATCAGAACGTAACCCCATTGTAAGTTGAGGACCATGTGTATGTTCCTGAGAGATAGTGGTCTGTATTTTCCTTCCTTGTAATATTATTGTCTGGTTTTGGGGCAAAGGTAATGCTGGCCTCATAGAATGAATTAGAAGATACTCCCCCTGCTTTTATTTTTTGGAGGAGATTGTAGATAAGCGGTATAATCACTTCCTTAAATATTGGCTAGGATTTACTAGTGAAGCCATCCGGACCCAGTACTTCCTTTTTTGGAAAGATATTAATTATCAGTTCAATTTCTTTAATAAGCATAGGCCTATTCACATTACTTATTTCTCTTTGTGTGGGTTTCAGTAGGTTGTGTCTTTCAAGGAATTGATCCATTTCATCTAAGTTATCAAATTTCTGGGCATTGAGTTATTTATGATTTTTGAAATTATCCTTTTAAAGTCTGTGGTATCAATATTGATGACTCCTCTCCCATTTATGACGTTAGTAATTTGTGTTTGTTTCAGTTTGGTTCCTTTAAAATGGAGAGTACCTTTTTAGTGATTAGGAGACACACAAGATGGAAATAAAGAACTTTTTATCTTTCATAGGTCCTAGAAGTTTATGGCACACCCAGAGGCCACATGGAGGTCAATGAGCACCTGGAATGAAAGACAGTATAGACCTGGCATGTCTGCCTTTATTGGCATCCAGCGGGGTGGTCAGAGCATGAGAGCAAGGGATCTGAGAAGACTGAAATATTTGAAGCTAACATGCATGAAAAGAAGCTTTTGCCACTTGGGCCTAACCTAACTTTGCATTTAGTTCGGCATCTGGGTGTGTGTGTTTTTGAAAGAGGCCCAGCAGTGAGTGAGAGGGAAAAGAAAAGGAAGTAGTTGCGACTCCAGGTTTAGGTGGTTAGCTAGGGGCACAATGTGGTATCTGTGGGCCCATATCAAGACAACAAAATGGATGCTGAGACAGCAGAGTAATATTAAGTCTCAATGTTGTTTCTTCTCTCTGTTTCTCTCAGTTAGGCTGGCTAGAGATTTTTGTGTATTGATCTTGTATCTGGCAACTTTGCTGAACTCTCTCTCTATATTAGATGCCTTATGATTGTCTATGAACAAAGGTGTAGATATGCAAATAGAGATAGTTTTACTTCTTCCTCTCCAGTCCAGATGCTCTTTATTTCTTTTCCTTGAATGAGTGTCATGTCTAGGACTTTCACTTACAATGTTGAAAGGAACTGGTGAGAGCAGACAGCCTTGCTTTCTTCTGAACTTAGAGGGAAAGTATTTAGTCTTTCATCATTAAGTACAATGTTACCTGTGGATGTTTTTGTAGGCACCCTTTATCTGATTGAGGTAGTTTCCTTCTATTCCTGGTTTCTTGGGTGTTTTTAGTCATGAAAGGGTGTTTTATTTTGTCAAATGCTTTTTCTACGTATATTGAGATGAATGTTGCAGGTGGTCAGCAACTACCTAAGCTGGTTACATGGGTGGTAAGAAGAATTTACCAAGGCAGTTATAGGTATATAGGAAGGCAGATTTATTAGAGAAAGTATGAGAGCACATTGCAAGGAAGCAACAGGCAGGTCAGCAAGAAAGGAGCTGACTGCAAAGAGATGAAGGCTTGCTGGGGGATTTTATAGGATGGTGCTTGTGCTGTGTGCTGAAGAAGGCTTTGTGTAGTACTGATAACACCAATGTTGCATGAGTTAACTTGCATTTTTCTGTCAGCCAAGGGACAGGTAATAGCTGAGTGCAGGATGATTGTGAATTATTTGTGCAGGAGGGCTATGTGTACTGGACCATGAAGAAAGGTAGACTTACAGCTTATCTGCTTTCTTTTCTTGCTTTTCCTTGGTCCTACCAGCCTGACTCCTTTTTCCTAATTAGGATTTCACAGTGAACATGTGTTTTTCCTTAACTCTATTAATATGTTGTATTACATTAATAATACATTGCATTCACATGTTAAATCAACCTTGTATTCCTGGAATAAACCCAACTTGTTCATGGTATATAATCCTCTTAGTGGTTACCATTGGGATAACAATTAACATGTTAACTCAAAATAACTTAGCTCGGATTAATACTGACTTAATTCCCGTTATGTAAAAAATATAGCTCTGTTTTCTCCCTGTTTCTTTTTGTTATTATTGTCATAAAAATGATACCTTTATACATTATAAGGCAGTTAACAAAGCTTTGAAATTTTTTTATATAGTTGTCTTTTAATTCTGATAGGAGAAGAAAAAGAGGTACAAACAAAAATTTATTTATATTGTCTTTATATTTACTTTTGTAGTTATCTTTATTGGTGTTCTTTATACTTTTGTGTGTGGATTTGAGTAAGTGTCTCATTTCAGCCTGAAAGACTTCATTAATATATCTTATAGGAAAGGTATGCTAGCAGCAAATTCACAGTTTTTGTTTATTTTGGAATGCCATAAGTATAGTTTTACCTGATATGGAATTCTTATTTGACAGTCTAATATATTCAATGTTATCCCACTGCCTTCTGGCTTTCTTGCTTTTTAATGCGAAAAAAGCTGTGAAAATCCCTTGAATGTGATGTATAACTTTTCTCTTGCTCCTTTCAAGATTCTACTCTGTTCATTTTGTTCTGTCTTTTTTTACAGTTTGTACTTGAGTTTTGATGCTTTCTATTGCTATTATCTTTGAGTTTACCATTTTTTTCCTCTTTATGTTTTTACAGTGTCTATTCTGATTTTAAATCTATCTGGCAAATTTTCCACTTTTCTATCTTAGATTTTATTTTTTATCTTCCCATTCTCTGCTAATTATGTTCATATTTTCCTTTACATCCTTCAACGTACTAATAACAGCTGTTTTAAAGTACATGACTGACAATGACAACATCTTCATTTCTGGATCTGTTTCAACATGACTGACTTTTTTGCAATTATTACCAATTTTTTGCTTTTTGTCCTGACTAGGAACTCTGGATCAGTTCCTGGGCTTTGTGAATTTCATACCGTTGAGTGCTGGATTTTGCTGAACTTTCTAAGAAGAGTGTTAGACTTTGTTCTGGCAGTCTGTTAATGACCTAAACCTTGGAGGCAAGCTGTATCCTTTCAAGGCTTGTTTTTTAATATTTGGAAAGAGGATCTAGTTTCACCCTACCTCTAGGGTGCTTACCATAAGGGCACAAGTTTTCTGCATTTTTCCACTGAATAACCTGGGTATTCAGTGAGGACTCTTCACTTTTGCTAGTTGGAATCCAAATTATCCCAGCTTTTTTTTTTTTTTTTTTTTTGATAGAGTCTTGCTCTGTCACCCAGGCTGGAGTGCAGTGGCATGATCTCAGTTCACTGAAACCTCCATCTCCCAGGTTCAAGCAACTCTCCTGCCTCAGCCTCCCGAGTAGCTGAGACTACAGGCATGTGCCACCATATCCAGCTATTTTTTTTTTTTTTGTATTTTTAGTAGAGAAAGGGTTTCACCATGCTGGTCAGGTTGGTCTTGAACTCCTTACCTTGTGATCCGCCCACCCCAACCTCCCAAAGTGCTGAGATTACAGGCATGAGCCACTGTGCCAATTTCCCAGTTTTGTGTGAGTTTAAGTTTGCCCAGTTTTTCTTGTCCAATCTTGTGAAGTTTCCCACTGTGCATGTGAGGCTCAGTTTCCAGTCAAAGACTCAAGGGGATTCCATGCAGGTTTTAGGAACTCTTTCTAGGTAAAGCATCTCTGGCACGTGGCCCATGTGTTCTAGCTGTCTCAGCCTCCCTCAGACTCTGAGCTCTCTTCGTTCAAGGCAATGGCACTGCTGTGTTGTTCTGGTTCCCCTCCTTACTCAACAGCATGGGAAGAAACTCTAGTCAGAAAACCAGGACATTGTTAGCATCAACTTGCTTGTCTCTCTCCTCACAGTCATGTGCTGCCAATATCTGAAAACAATTGCTTCATATATTTTGTGTAGTTTCTAGTTTTTTTTCAATGGCAGGGCAATTTTTATCCTGGATATGCCATCAGCCATCTTTTGAATTTTAACCTACCTGTGATCTCTCTAAAACGCAGATCTGACCATGTGATATCCCTTCTAGAAATCCTTCAGACTTCAGTATTTACTACTGACATAAAGATCAGGCCCCTTGCCTTTCTTGTGGCCTCCTGGAACCAAGTTGTAATGGTTAATATTGAGTGTCAGCTTGATTGGATTGAAAAGTGCAAAGTACTGTTCCTGAGTGTGTCTGTGAGGGTGTGGCCAAAGGAGATTAACATTTGAGTCAGTGGACTGGGAAAGGCAGACCCACCCTCAATCTGGGTGGGCACCATCTAATTAGCTGCCAGTGTGGCCAGAATAAAAGCAGGCAGGAGAACATGGAAAGGCTAGATTGGCTAAGTCTTCTGGCCTCCATCTTTCTTTCATGCTGGATTCTTCCTGCCCTCAAACATCAGACTCCAAGTTCTTCAGCTTTTGGACTCTTGGACTTACATCAGCACTTTGCCAGGGGCTCTCAGGCCTTCAGTCACAGACAAGGCTGCACTGTCAGCTTCCCTATGTTTGAGGTTTTGGGACTCGGACTGGCTTCCTTGCTCCTCAGCTTGCAGATGGCCTATTGTGAGACTTCACCTTGTGAGTGTGTGAGTCAATTCTCCTAATAAACTCCCTTTCATATATTCATTTTTCCTATTAGTTCTGTCCCTTTAGAGAACCCTGACTAATACACAAGTGCACCCCTCTGTTACTGCACATTTTATCCTGAAGGGTATCACTGACTTGCCTATCTCCCCTCACTCACAATAGACTGAAGCACCCTAAGGGCAAACTATAGCTGATTATTTCCAAGATCTTAGCACTGTTGTTGATCTACAGAAGGTGCTCAATGCTTGCCTTGTAAATGAATTATTACATCAATTAACAAAGGAATACATTCATAGCTATTTTAGGTAATATGTAATATTAATTAGATATGCTTATGTGCTAGAAAGTGTTCAAAATAATTTTCATGTGTTATCTCATTTAATCCTCAAAACATCCTAATGAGACAGATACCATTGTTTTACGGAAAAGATAGTGACTTGATCAGGCCTTCACTGACTGAGTGGTGATTCTAAGATTCTATTTTGGGCAGTTGGACATTAAAACCTGTGTTCATAGCTGTATATCACAGTCTATTTCTCCAAAATAAAATTTTATAATAGTCTGGGCACAGTGGCTCACGCTTGTAATCCCAGGACTTTGGGAGGCTGAGGCAGGCAGATCACCTGAGGTTCGGAGTTCGAGACCAGCCTGACCAACATGGAGAAACCCTGTCTCTACTAAAAAATACAAAATTAGCTGGACGTGGTGGCACATGCCTGTAATCCCAGCTACTCGGGAGGATGAGGCAGGAGAATAGCTTGAACCCGGGAGGCGGAGGTTGCTGTGAGCTGAGATCACACCATCGCACTCCAGCCTGGGCAACAAGAGTGAAATTCCATCTCAAAAAAATAAATAAAAATAAAATAAAATTTTATAATAAAATCTAATATAAAAACCTTATAGTAAAATACCATCATTGTATTTTTCTGTTAGTTCTTCTTTGTCAGAGGAACAAATCTTCCCAAGAAGACCCATGGAGAACACAGAGAATGCTGCCAGCGTCCCAAAGAGCAATAGACAGGCAGTTTATCCATTTAATTTTTCCAGGGTGAGAATGGCCCTGGTGATTCATTCTGTGCTCTCATTAGAGCAATTATCCAGCTAATAGCCTTGATTTGGATTTGGCCAAGGCAGTCACTGCAGCTGGAGCGCACCAGAGAACAAACAGATGGACTGCAAACAGAGAAGCCTGAAGGAGGCCTGGGATTTGATCTGACAGTCGTGGGCAAGGAGGCTGGTCCCGGCTGTTCAGCCCAGCCACACTGCATTTATTGATGGGACTTGCTCCTCTGTGCCCTTCCCTCTCCTCCCTACTGATGTCAGCATAGAAGGATGATTACAAGGTTCCAGTAAGGTGACCCCTAAAACTTGGAAACAGTGGAAATGAGGCTGTTCTCTGTGAGGCCATCTATGCAATTATTACATCTCAGGCTGTTATGGCAGAGATATGCAAAGTCACCTAAGTGATGGAATTATTCCCAGGCCAGCAAATCTTGACTGCCACCCAACCATGTTGTTAAAGTAGCTAAAAATAGGACATTTCAATCAGAAAGGGATGGAGGTTGGTTAATGTTGCAACTGCACAGCTCAATTCTGTTTCCCTCTCTCTTTGACAAGAGTTGCTCCAAAGAACACTTCCCAATAATAGCCTCGCACTTGGTCATTGACCTCTTCAGTGATGGTGTTTCTGATTCCCAAGTTTGTAATTGGAGTGGGAGTACTTGGGTTGGTTAAAGCCTCCTTTTGCTCCATGGCCTTTGTGGTAAGAGCTATTATAGTGAAGAAGGCCAAGTGGAAGCCTCTAGAATGCTGACCTGCTCTGGTCAAGACAATGAATTAGAACCAGATATCAAATCCCAGTGGGAATGGCAGCTACCCTCAAAAACCTAAAGGACACAGGGATAGTTCCCATTATATTCCCATTTAATTCACTGATTTCATGCACAAAAACCAGATGGATCCTGGAGGGTATTGGTGGACAACTGCAAACTTGACCTAGTAATGGACCTAATTGCAGCTGCTGTGCAGGGGTTGGTACCTTTACTAGAGAAGAATAGCACAGCCCCAGGTGGATGGGGTGTGTCATCCATCTGCTGAGTGTGGTCTTTTCGCCCCTCATCAGGAGGAAAGAGAAGAAGCAGTTTGCATTCCCGTGGGTGGACCACAGTAAACATTTTGGTCTCATCTCAGGCCTGTTGTATCTCCTGCCCTGACATAATATAGCCCAAAGGGACTTGGACCATCTGTATTTTCTGCAAAACACCACATCAGCCCCAAATATCACTGGCATCACGCTAACTTGAACTGAATGAGCTATCAGTAGCAAGTGCATTTTGTTCTCGGTAAGATGTATGTACTCTAGAAGGTGGAAGGAAAGCCCTGCCAAACTCTGGAGGTCTACCACATCAGCAGTGCCTCAGTCTCTAATGGTCTGAGTCGTGCCAAGATAGTCCCTCTAAAACAAAGAGCAAGTATTTGCATCTCACACTTCCCACCAGTAAGAAGGAAGATGAGGCCTCGCCGGCCTCTTAGGTACAGGCGCAGCACATTCCTCACTTGGGATACTTTAGTGTTCCCTTTTGGCGAGTGGTGCATAAGGCTGCCAGCTTTGAGAGGGGTCTGGGGTAGGAGAGGGGTCTGGGGTAGGAAAGGGCTCTGCTAAAGATCCCGATGGTGGTGCCAGCACTTGCTACCAGGGCCATATGTCTGGGCAGGCCTTATGATACCGGAGGTATCTATAGTGGAAAATATGCCAAGAGGAGTTTAGGGCAAGCTCCAACAGAAAAGTCCCCAGGGCGTCAGAACAAGGACGCACCATCTGCAGTGGGAGGCTGTTTCCTTCACTCCAGGACCCCCAGGGGCTTCAACAGTGTCAGGCACAGAGGAAGTCCCCACTGAGTGTCTGCTCAGGGAGTTTGTGAATTGAGTGAATGAAAAATACCCACTAAAGCCCAAGGTCTCTGTGCTCTGGCTTTTGCCTGTCTCTTGATCTGATTTCTTGCCACTCTTCCCAGCTCCTGCCCTCAATATGCAAAGCTCACTGCTACTTCCCAGCCTCCCAGAGCCCTTGCTCTTTAGGGTCCCTCTGCCTGGGACACATTCTTCCTGATGCCACATGGCCCCTCTGTCACTTCACTCTTCAGAGAGAGGTCCATGAACCCAGGTTGAAATTGAAGAACCATTACTCCTCACTTCCTCTATTTTTTCTTAAAGCAACTATGGGCAAGGATTTACTTTATTTGCTGCTATTTCCCAAGGTCTTACAACAGTGTTGGGTACACAGTCAGTCCTCAAAATATTTGTTGAATAAATGAAGTAAGTTTAAGGGTGTAACAAAGTTAAACAAGTCTCTTTACTGCAAGCTTGCTCAGAGACTTTAAATGCTATATGCATTCATCAGGAATTTCTAAAGGGGAGATGCAGCAACGAAGATTCTCCAAAACTCATTTTATTGTAGAACTGTCTTTGCCATCTCTTAGGGCATTGTACTGTGGGCTACATTTTGGATATCTCTGAACTGAGGTAGTCTCAGCCTGCAAGAGGGACACTCTCAGGAGAGCGCCAAGCTGTCCTCTTTGGCAGTCTCCCTCGGCACCTGCCATCTGCTGTTTAATATTCTCCACCTGCACTTCCAAAATGACTCCAGACCAGAGCTCATTTCGGGTCCTGTGTACCCCAGGATGTCTTCCCTGGCTATTCCTCCTCCCAGTGACCTGTCACTATGAAGGGACTTTGATGATGAGAAGGAAAGTGATTATAGGGGCCTCCTCAATACTTTCATGCTGCTATTTCACCTATGCACTGCTGTTTAGAGTAAATGTACGTGTGAGTTTTATACTGAGATGTCAGGTTCCTTGGTGGCAAGAACCAGGACTTATTTTCATTATAGGTTTGAGCAAATGATTGTGGAGGAACTATTGGAATGAATTACCCTATGGACAGCCTAAATGGTTAAAACTTCCATTGTTTTAGAATTTTTTTTTTAGATGAGGTCTCATTATGCTTCCCAGGCTGGAGTGCTGTGGCTATTCATAGGTGCAATCACAGCATATTACATCTTTATACTCCTGGACTCAAGTGATCCTCCTGCCTCAGCCTCCTGAGTAGCTGGGACTATAGGTGCACACCACTGTGTCTGTCTTTTTTTAGGAAATTTTTACAAGCTCTTGGGGTATTATGGAGAGGGGATTTCATAGTTAGGACTGAGACATGCTCAGCAGAGTTTGGGCTGAGAGAGCAGGCAACATGAGCAGCCTGGGGCTGGGGGTGATGTTGGAAAGGGTTTCCCTGAGCTAGCCTATGGCAGGAAGAGTCACAAATGGGGAACCAAGGCAGGTGCACATATTTGTCACATCATTCAGAGGGTTGTTAGATTCAGAAGTTGGATGGATAGACAGGGGTTCCAGGAATCAATATGGTATACTGAGAATTGCAGAGCAGGTGCAGAAGAACTTGAGGCTCTGGGCAAACCCACTGTATTAATCTGTTCTCATGCTGCTACAAAGAACTGCCCAAGACTGGGTAATTTATAAAGAAAAGAGTTTTAGTTGACTGATAGTTCTGCATGGCTGGAGAGGCCTCAGGAAACTTAGAATCATAGTGGAATGGAAAGCAAACATGTCCTTCTTCACATGGTGGCAGGAGAGATAAATGCCAAGTAAAGGTGGAAAATCCCCTTATAAAACCGTCAGTTCTTATGAGAACTCACTCACTGTCATGAGAACAGCATGAGGGTAACCACAGACAGTAAGGTGCTGCTATAAAGATACTTGAAAATGTAGAAGTAATTTTGGAACTGGGTAACAGGCAGAGGTTGAAACATTTTGGAGGGCTCAGAAGAAGACAGGAAGATGTGGGAAAGTTTGGAACTCCCTAGAGACTTGTTGAATGGTTTTGACCAAAATGTTGATAGTGCTGTGAACAATGAAGTCCAGACTGAGGTGGTCTCAGTTGGAGATGAGGAACTTGTTGGGAGCTGGAATAAAGGCGATTCTTGCTATGCTTTAGCACAGAGACTAGTGGCATTTTGCCCCTGCTTTAGAGTTCTGTGAAACTTTGAACTCGAGAGAGATGATTTAGGTTACCTGGTGGAAGAAATTTCTGAGTGGCAAAGTGTTCAAGAGGAAACACAGCATAAAATTTTGGTAAATTTGCTGCCTGATGATGCAATAGAAAAGAAAAACCCATTTTCTGGGGAGAAATTCAAACCCACTGCAGAAATTTGCACAAGTAATGAGGAACTAAATGTTAGTCACCAAGACAATGGGCAAAATGTCTCCAGGGCATGTCAGAGACCTTCACAGCAGCCCCTCCCATCACAGGCCTGGAGGCCTAGGAGGGAAAAATGGTTTCCTGGGCTGGGCTCAGGGCCTCCCTGCTATGTGCAACTTCAGGACTTGGTGCCCTGTGTCCAAGTTGCTTCAGCTCCAGTGCTGACTAAAAGGGACCAAGGCACAGGTCAGGTCATTGCTTCATAGTGTGCAATCCCCAATCCTTGGTGGCTTCCATATGGTGTTGAGCCTGTGGGTGCACAGAAGTCAAGAATTGAGGTTTGGGAATCTCTGTCTAGATTTCAGAGAATGCATGGAAACACCTGGATGTCCAGGCAGAAGTTTGCTGCAGGGTTGGAGCCCTCATGGAGAACCTCTGCTAGGGCAGCATGGAAGGGAAATGTGGGGTTGGAGCCCCCACAGACAGCCGCCACCGGGGCACTGCTAATGGAGCTGTGAGAAGAAGGCAACTGTCCTCCAGACCCCAGAATGATAGATCAACCTACAGCTTGCACCATGCACCTGGAAAAGCCACAGAAACTCAATGACAACCTGTGAATGCAGCCAGAAGAGGGGATGTACCCTGCAAAGCCACAGGGGCAGAGCTGCCCAAGGCTATGGGAGACCACCTCTTGTATAAGCATGACCTGGGTGTGAGACATAGAGTCAAAGGAGATCATTTTGGAACTTTAAGTTTAATGACTGCCATATTGGATTTTGAACTTGCATGGGGCCTGTAATCCTTTTGTTTTCGCCAGTTTCTTCTATTTGGAATGGGTGTATTTACACAATGCCTGTACCCCCGTTGTATCTAGGAATTAACTAACTTGACTTTGATTTTACAGGCTCGTAGGCAGAAAAGATTTGCCTTGTCTCAGATGACACTTTCTACTTGCACTTTTGGGTTAATGCTGGAATGAGCTAAGACTTTGAGGAACTGTTGGAAAGGCGTGATTGTGTTTTGACATGTGAGGACATAAGATTTGGGGAGGGCCAGGGGTTGAATAATATGGTTTGGCTGTGTTCCCACCTAAATCTCATCCTTAATGTAGTTTCCATAATCCCATGTATTGTGGGAGGAACCTAGTGGGAGGTAACTGAATCCTGGGGACTGTTTCCCCCATGCTATGCTCATGATAGTGAGTGAGTTCTCACAAGATCTCATGGTTTTACAAGGGTTTTCTCCCCCTTTGCTAGGCACTTCTCCTTCCTGCTGCCATGTGAAGAAGTTCCCTTTCTTCTGTTTCACCTTCCACCATGATTGTTTCCTGAGGCCTTCCCAGCCATGCAGAACTGTGAGTCAATTAAACCTCTTCTCTTTATAATTACCCAATCTCAGGTATTTCTTCATAGCAGACTAAGAACTAAGAATGGACTAATACACCAGCCCACAGGTGCCTTGGTGTGTGACTGTCACTGCAGTTGGGGGCCAGCTGTGTGGGCTGGAGCTGAGTAGGTTTTGTGAGAAAATGTGTAAACAAACTGATTTCTTTTTGGTAACTCCAGCACATATTTGTGTAAGGGGGTGCTTGTCAGCTGAGAGCTCAGACCAGCGTTTTTAAGATTGTGTTCTGATAAGGCTCACAGTGACTTTCCCCAAGTCTGTTCTCATCAGAGAAAAATGGCCCATCGTCACAGGGATGATGCCTGTGATTCCTATTATAGATGAAATGTTTGGGGAATGTGCCACTGGGTAAGGCTGTCAGGGGTATTTCTTGCAACTTTAAGTGGATCAGTTGGTAATAGATCTTCTTGGTTAAATCCCAGCAATTGCTGTCACACAGGACTGACTTTACTTTCTGACCTGCTACTTAGTAGCTGTGTAGACTTGGACAAGTGATTTAATTTGTTAAACCTCTGTTTTCTCCTATAAATGATGTAGGATTAGATGATGTTATGATTATAATATGCATAGCACCATTATTATATATATTCTTATCCTAATCACCAATATCATGACAGTTCATGTCTGTTGAGCTCTTACAATGAATATTTGTTGAGCAAATAAAATGAGTTTTAAATATTGTGGTATAGGAAAAACAGGGTGGGAAGGTCAGGGACAGGGGTTCTTTTAAAAGGGCAAAAAGAAACCAGGCTTGGAAAGAGTTGGGAGCTGGCTAATACAATTAATTGAATTATTGAACTAGTGATATAGGAACCTTTTTGTAAATAATCAAATAAAGGAGCTACTTATCTCTCAGACATTCCTTCTGAGCTCATTTTCCTAATCCTGGATTATATTCTTTAGATATTCCTTTACTGAGGGTCTTCTCAGTTTTTGTTTGTTAGAAAGCATCTTCATGTCATTGAATTCTTCACAATTAACAGTTATTTTCACTCTGTAGCCTGGTGCTTTCCACTGCCTTTTGTCTTTGCTATGGCTGTTGAGAAGTCTATTGTGTTTTTTAGATAAGCTGTCTTTTCTCTTTGACTGCTTTTCAGATCTTTGTCTTTGATGTTTTACAGCTTTGATATAATTAAATTTATTGAATCCTCTTTCTCCCATTGCTTTGCATGTTTACATTTCATTTCTTTTCAGTTATGATATAGTTTGGGTCTGTGTCCCTACCCAAATCTCATATCAAATTATAATCCCCACTGCTGGGAGTGGGGCCTGGTGGGAGGTGACTGGATCATGGGAACAGTTTCTCATGGTTTAACACCATCCTTCTTAGTGCTGTCATCATGATAGTGAGTTCTCCTAAGACCTGGTTATTTAAAAGTGTGTGGCACTCCCCCCTTCCTCTCTTCTTCCTGCTCCAACCATGTGATATGCTGGCTCCTCCTTTACCTTCCACCATGATTGCAGTTTCCTGAGGCCTTTCCAGAATCTGAGCAGATGCAAGCATCATGATTACTGTACACCCTGCAGAATCATGAGGCAATGAAACCTCTTTCCTTTATAATTTGCCCAGTCTCAGGTATTTCTTTATAGCAATGTGAGAATGGACAAATGCAATTTATTTCCTCAACAAATATTTGCAGTTTGGCTCCCTGTTCTGAGGATATGGGATTCCAGCTCAATGGCACTTACATTCTAGCAGGGAATATAAGCATTAGACATAATAAATAAGTAACTTAGCTCATAGAATAAGCTAATTTAAACAGTTTTGAACAGTGTAGAGCAAGGTATGGAGGAAGTCGTATGGGTTCATTGATAATGATGATAAATAGGTGATGAAAGTCATTGAGAAGGTGAAATTCTGTTACCAAAAAACCAGCGATTCAGTCTACATTCTGCTGCTCACTGCACAGAAAGCCAATCACTGAGACAATAAGTATTGCCAGGGAAGAAGGCTTTAATCAGGTGCTGCAGCCAAGGAGATGGAAGATCAGCTTTAAATCCATCTCCCTGACAGACTAAAATCAGGAGTTTATATAGCAGGGAAGAGATATAACTACATGCAGGAAAACAGGAATGAAGAAGGGATAAGAAAGAGGAGTTGGTCAACAGGAAGCCTGTAATCCCTTTGGCAACTATGATGGGTGAGGGGGTCTGTCTTCTCACTGTCCAGATGTAGTGATCTGGTGAGTTACGGTTACTTGATAGTATCTGGGAAGCCTGATGGTTGGTTTCCTGAGAATAGAACTCAGTTAGGACAAATGTAAGTTTCTCAAGTTTTAAGATAGGGAGGGTCAATTTCTATGTTTATTCAAAAGAAACCATAAACATTAGTTGTATGGGACAAAGGGGCTGGTTCAATTTGAGCAAAGAATGAACTTAATTGTACTTAACTGTAACATTTTTGCTTTCACACTTGACTTATACAGTCTGGAGGGAATCGGAACCTTGCTCTCCACCTGTTCAATACTAGGACCACATACTCTGTCTCTACCTACTCTCTCTTACCTCACGTTCCTGTTTTCCAGTGCTTTTGTTCAACCTGGTTTCAATGCCCCTGAGATGCTCATTATGGGGGCCTCTGCAGGGACTCCAAATATAGCATTGTTCTTTCCCCCTCAGGCTCTGAGGAATTTCTGAAATAAAACCAATATCAGGATTGAGGTCAAAAGATCACCTTCATTGCTGTGGATGGCTAACCTGGAAGATGGAGCTCAAGTCCCAGAAAGAGGCAGGCCTGCCTCCTTGCACCTATGCTTTTCATGCTTGTGTGGTGTGAGTTTGCTCTCAGGGCTCTCTTCCCACTGTCTTTTCTTTCCTTGATTTTTTTTGTTTTGTTTTAAGGAGCAGAGAGTTTAATAGGCAAGAAAGAAAAGAGAAGGCAGAAAAAAGAGGACCCCCCATATACAGACAGAGTGAGGGGGGGGGCTCCAAAGCTGAAAGAGGAGGTCCTCAAGTGTGGTGGACACCAGCCAGGTATATATGCAGAGGCTGGAGGGGGCAATGTCTTGTCACCCTGGCTGGAGAGCAGGTTTTTGTTTAGCCTACATTTCTGCTGAACTCCTCAAACGAGGCTCTCACTTCCAAGACTCTGCCTTATGTAGTGTTCATGACTTCACTCCTGTCTCTGTGTTGGTTACAGAAGCCAAGATGTACTCCTACCCCAGCTTGCAGGTGCACACATGTGTATACATGCATACAGAAAGACATATGCACAGACATGCAAACACATGCACACACACACGTGCACACAGTAACACATGCACACACATTCACAGACACAAACATGCACATATAGACACATGTACACATGCACAGACACACACACGCACACATATAGGCACACACAGACATACACAGATACATGCACATACAGCTCCCCAGCCACCCCCACACACACAGACACATAGACACACACCCTGGGAGTTGTGGCCTCAGCTTAGGTGCTTACCATTCTGGTTGTCAGTTTCTCTTATTCTTTTTTAAGCCCTCGGAGTTTTCTCTTACTCTCTGGAGAGTTCAGCTGTGTATATAAAAGCATGCTTGCAGATCTAACCAAGCATTTCTAGGGATTTGCAGTAGGAGGATTTGAAGTTATATAGTCTATCACATTCCTGGAGGTGGAAGATTGGGTGATTTTTAAAAACACTCCCCACACTATTCTGCACCTTGCTTTTCACACATCACATGATGTCTCAAAATTATTTTCATACAAGTGCATAAAACCCACTTCCTTTTTCTTAAGTGTTGTGTAGTATTCCTATATCTTAATTCATTTACTATTTCCCTTTTGTTGCACTTTGAGATTTTTTCCAGTTTTTCAATATTAAAAACAATGATACAATAAGCATTTCATGCGTGTCCACATGCACATTTTCAGGGTTTCTCTATGGTAGAAACACAGATAAGAGTTATTGGGTTAAATAGGCTGT
Organism: Homo sapiens; assembly: GCF_000001405.40. Taxonomy (NCBI): domain Eukaryota; kingdom Metazoa; phylum Chordata; class Mammalia; order Primates; family Hominidae; genus Homo; species Homo sapiens. The sequence continues at coordinate 4,263,511 of NC_000001.11, forward strand.
CCATGTCTAACTTAAAAGCATTGGCAAAGCTTTATCCAGACAACATCAGTTTCCACTCTCACAGATGATGTATGCATGAATTCCCTTCACTCCAACTTCAAAAAGGCTTCTTCATCCTTTATGTTGTAGAGGGATAATGGCTATGCAGAGAAAGAAAGTGAAATCAGGGTACAGAGGGAGGCAGGAATACTATTTTGAAAAGGCTTGTGAGGGAGACCCGAGGGAACAAGGGAGGGAACCCTGCAGATATCCTGGGAGGCATGTCAGGAAAGAAAACAGAAGTGCAAAGGCCCTGGCACAGGAGTGTGCCTGGGCAGCAGGGGTGGAGAGAGAGAGGAAGGGAAGGGACCAGCTGGAGACATGGTGGGAGCAGATGGGGGTGGGCCCTGGGGTCTCAGTGCAGATGGGGTGGGCCGGGGTGGTCTCTGTGCAGATGCTGGTATGACTCACAGTGAGACAGGAAGCCATTAGAAGTCTAGGAGCTGAGATGGGGCAACACTGGCTTTTGTCTTGGGAGGGTTATTCTGGCTGTTGTACTGAGAATGAACTGTTGGCAGATGTGGGCAGAAATGAGGAAACCAGTTAGGAGGCTCCTGTGGAAGCCAGGAGGCACATGGTGACATCTCAGACCAGGAGGAGATCAATGGAAGTGATGAGAAGTGATTGAATTAGGGATTTATTTTTAAGACAGAGTCAACAGGATTTGCTGAGAGATAATGTGTGTGTGTGTGTGTGTGTGTGTGTGTGTGTGTGTGTTATGTATACAATTATTTGTATACAGAATAAGAATTTCATCCAACACAGACTGTCAAACTGGGAAGGTGTGTGTATGTGAGATAGATGCATAGATAGATGAATAGATGGATGAATGGATAGATAGATACATAGATAAAGAAATCGATGGATGAATAGGTGAATGGATAGATACATGGATGGATGGATAGATACATAGACATAGATAAACGCATAAATGGATTGATAGATGATGGATGAATTGATGGATGGATAGGTGGATAGATACATAAATATATGCATGGATACATAGATAAGTGGGTAATTGGATAGATAGATGATGAATCAAAGAGTGGAAGGGTGGATAGGTGAATGGGTGGACAGGTAGATACATAGATAAAAGTGTAGACAGATAAATGCATAAATGGATAGACAGGTGATGGATGAATGGACAGATACACAGATATATACATAGAGAGGTGCATAGATAGATAAGTAGATGCATAGGTAGGTAGACGATGAATGTATTAATAATAGATAGATGGACAGACAAACAGATAGAAAGAAAGCAAGGTAGATAATGCCTTTCAGAGAAAAGGAGAGAGAGCGAGAGGAATGCTGGACCAGAGTGTTGGGGGTGCAGTTTGATGAGATGGGGAAGAAAATGAGAAGTGGGTTGGAGTGTACTAGTCTGCTCAGGCTGCCATAATCCAAGACTGGCACAGACTGGGGGGGCTTCAACAACTGAAATTTATTTCCCACAGTTCTAGAGAACAGACACCTAACATCTAAGATCAAGGTGCTGGCAGATTTGGTTCCTGATGAGGTCCTCTTCCTGGACCTGGGGATGGCTGCCTTCTTGCTGTGTGTTCACATGGCATTTGTTCTGTGTGAGTGGAGAGCTCTGACGCCTCTTCCTCTTCTCATAAGGACTCCCGTCCTATCTTGACAGGGCCTTGTTCTTCCGACTTCATTAACCTGAACCACCTCCTTAAAGGCTGCATCTCCAAATATAGTCACACTGGATTTAAAGCTTCAACATATAAATTTTGGGGGGATATAATTCAGTCCATAATATTGGAAAATCAAATTTATTTTTGTTACATTAAGTTTGAGATGTCTATTAGATCATCAAGTGAAAGTCCGGTGGAAAGCTGGCTTTATGAGTTCAGGAGACAGGGATGGGCTGGCGATGTGAATTTGACAGTTGACCATATGAAATTTGTGTTAAAAGCCATGAGAGAATCTAAGAAATGGACCAGAAAACAAAAGAAAAGAATGGAAATATGATCCCTGAGGCATGTGAATATTTAGAGGCAGGCCTTTCTGTGGACAGACACTAGCCACGGAATTGGCTGCATGTAGAATTAAACCCCAACCCCCTTCTTTTTTTTCGGGCTCTGGAGAAACCCCTTACATTCCTGAGAGCTCTGCCATGTCTGTAGTGCCATGATTGTGTATTCACCAGGGACTTCTCAGGGACTGTGGTGGAAGCATTTCAAGCTATTTAGCTTTATCTTCAGCTTCAGCAGATGTCAACCACAATGCTTCCCAAAGTGGTGGTACTTATTTATAATCCCACTTGCAGCTGCTATTCTTTAAAAGAAGCTGGTGTAGGAAGAAGGAAATGGGAATGTTTGGAGAATCTTCCCCCACTCCCCCAAGCTCTGGATGGGGATGGGTTACTCTGAGGTCATGGGGGACTGAGTTCACTGCAGGACATGGACCCATGCCCATCTTCTTTGACAAACAGGCTGCTGTTTGGGGACCTACAAATATGCCTTTTATACTCTTGTTCTGGATCAGGAGTTCTCCACCTCAGCACTATTGACATGGGGAACAACATGGTCCTTTGTCCCCGGGGGCTGTCCTGTGCATCATAGGAGGTGGAGCAGCAAGCATCCCTGGCCTCTACCCACCAGATGCCAGGGTCCACTCCCAATCACAGCAATCAAGCATGTCTCCAGACTTTGCCCAATGGACCCCATGAAGCAAAATAACTTCTAGTTGAATCTACTGTCTGGTGCAGACCAACCAGGTTCCCAAAGCAAGAAAGTTGCAGATCGCTCTTATCTACATAGGATGAAAAATGTGAGGACAGATGCCAGACTCACGTTGAAATTTAATTACCATTGTAACAGTACTAGGAGGTGGGACCTTTAAGAGGTGATTAGGCCATGAGGGTGGAGTGAATGGATGAATGCCATTGTCTTGGGAGAGGGCTCCTGATAAAAAGATGTGAGTTCAGTCCCCTCTTCTCTCTCTGTGATCCTCTCTTTGCCCTTCTGCCATGGGACGATGCAGCAAGAAGGCCCTCACCAGATGCCAGCACCTTGATCTTGGACTTCCCAAATTTCAGAACTGTGGGGAAATAAGTTTCTGATTTTTATAAATTACCCAGTCTCAAGTATCCTTTCGTAGCAGCACAAAACATACTAAGGCAACAGATTTGTGCAAAACCTCCTAATATACTAAGGGGGCAAACCAATTGCACCCTGAAACCACAGATCTCTGTCTCATCATCGTGTCTCCTTTCATTATAAAATTACACAGTATACACCACTAATTACACAAATCATCATCTGTTGGAAAAAGCAAACACAGCAATCATGGTTTAATAGAAATTAAAATAGTTTACTCTCATCAAATGATTACCTTGCCATCCAAGGCAAAAATGACAACTTCTGGCATGAACCCAGCCCCTATTTACAGCTGACTCCTGAATTGATGGTGGTTGTCTTTTAATACGAATTATTTGTATACAGAATAAGGATTTCATCCAACATAAACTATCCAACTGGGAAGGCTTAAAACTGGAATCTTTCTACACAATTAACCAGCCAAGGGGACATGCATAGAAATAAGATGTTGGAAACATTTACCCTGGGCTGCTGGGGGCAGAGTGGGCTGCCAGGCAGTCAGTGGTGAAGCCGTCCAGGCCACTGCCCCCAGCTTGGGGACAATTAAATGATCCTTCCCTTTGCCATTAGCCACAGACTCAGCTGCTGAGGGCTTAAATGTTCATGAGAAGATTTGCGCGGATCCACATGGCACCTTTGCAGGACATCTCTCTGAAGGGTGCTTGTGAACCTGTGCTTGGTATTTTTTTTTTTTTCACTAATTCCGGGCCTCTCCCTCTTCTGCCTCTGAGGTTCCTTGTTAGAAGGAGTGGGAGCCACGCAGTGGGTGCCAGGAGAGAAAGCCTGTACCAACCCATGGAACCCACTTTGCTCACTAGGCTGGGACCCCAGGGGACCCAGCAGGAGCAACAGGGCAGCGGTAGCCCGTGACTTTGATGTTTGCCTGTCTTCACTCGCTGTCTTTGTTCTTAACGGAAGCTGCTTCTCTCACTTCTCTTGTGGTTTTTAGAAAGACCTTGAAGCAAAGATCAGAAGAGCTGGTTCCTGGTAAACCATTAACTGGGCATTTATTATGTGAGCAGGTTGTTGCTGAGTCAGGCCAGCCTTCCTGAGAGGCATGTGAGGCAGTGTTTGGGGTTTGCTGGGTTAATATTCTGGCTCTCTGTCTCTGAGCCTGTCTTCTCATCTGTGATGGAGAGGAGTAATAGCTCTCTGGGAGGCCAGGGTCCCGCAGGGAGCAGGCTCCATTGCAAGGCTCAGATGCAGGGGCCTTTGCTGAGCTGTTGACAAGTTACAGGAGCCAAGAGCTCAGGGAACCCAGAGACCACGCAGGATGGGCAGTGGGTAGCACACTAGAGGCTGATGGGGTGCGGGGAGGAGAAAGCACTCCTGGCATCCCGGACTGAAGGTGCCCTGCAGAAGGGACAGAGCAGCTGCCGAGAAGCCACACCCAGGCAGAGACAGAGAGGGTCAGAAAGAACTGATCTCTCTTTCTTCCACTTACCGTGGCCTCCTGGTGCCTCTCGCTGGCCAGAGGTGCAGGAGCCTGGGTGATGTGGTCTCAGGGGTCAGCCTGCAGGACACAGGGAGGTCAGAGGACAAACCTGGGGGCAACATGAACAAGCAACCCCATCTCAGGCAAGGTGACCACAGTGACCAAATGGAGTGAAGTGCCAATCACAGAGGATGTCTTAATCAAGGTGAGCTGTGTAGCCTCAATGTTCCTTGCAGGAGTTAGGGACACCACCTTACTGCCCCACCTCTCAACTGTAAACAGGAAAGAAAGTCTCCTCCAATGCTGCTTTTGACTCAGCGAGCCATGGGAGGCGAGGGTGGAAGGGAGGTCTGTGGTGAAGAATTTGTAGGTGCAGAATATCTCGTCTCCTGTGTCGGGAAGTTCTGCTGCTGGTGTTCCCCGTTCCACTCCACGCCTTCTCTCCTGGCAGCGCAGCCACCTTCCGCTCCTAACTGAAAATGAGGACGACATTTGCAAATATCAGGGGGAGGCCTGTGCAGGCCAGAGCTTGCTTGATAGTGGGCCTCAGGTGACATGGCTTCGACGTATTTGCCTACCACCCCTTCATCCCAAGAGACCCGTCTCAGACCTGAGTCTTGGGTGATCTGTCCCACTGGCTCAGGCAGCGGCAGTTTCGATGAAAGGGAGTGCAAGCCAGCCTCCAGGAGCTGAAGTTCCAGCTCATCAAATGCCTTGGGAGACCAGATTTGTCCCAGGGGCCTTCTGCAGGCGGTAGGGCCTGCTGGACACTCATAAATGCTGTAGAGTGTCAAGCGGCTAATTGGGAGTGAATGTCTCAATTCATCAAGTCACGTTTGGTGCCTGTGCACATGGCTGGGGATAGAAGAAATGGATATCTAAAACCCTGCTGCAGTCCATAAGGGGCTCTCCATCTTCATGGGTGGCAAGGCCAGGCGACATGGCCAGTGCCCAGTGGACAGAGAGCTCCCAGTGGTCAGGGAGAGGAGAGGCAGCCAGGGCCCGGCTGCTGGGGTGCGGGAGCTCCTGGAGAGGTGAGGATATTTCTAGAGGATATTAAACAAACAAGACCTGGGAGCTGTCTCCAAGGCTGAGAGAATGTTCCAGCAACTCACCCGTGGAGGGTCCCACATGTGCAGTCCCGTGCCCTCCCCACAGGGACACAGAACCAGCCGTGCGGCCAACATGCCGCGCCACACTCTCCTGATGAGGTCTCTTCATCTTTCAACCCATCCCAGAGATTGCAGCTCTCTTTTCTCAAGCCTGTGTTTATTTTTTGTGCTTCTCTTTCCTCAAGAACAGGATTTAAAAACTGAATTAATGTAGCAAAATTCCATCACAAAAGCTTTGAAGCAACAATTTTCCAAACGCCACACTGAGAAGGGCAAGAGGAACCGGCGCGGCCCCACTGGCGGCTTTATTATCCAGCTGATCGCTTGCTAAGTGAATCTCCACTGCATTTTTCTACCCGGGACACCCAGCTGACAGCAGCTTTCTACCTCTGTCTTTGAAGCTTAATTTACAAAGTGCCATCTGACATAGCTAAGATTTGGCTTTCTCTTTTTAATTCCCTTCCCTCTGGTTTTTCAAAAAAAGTGGGGGAAAGACTTAAAAGAAAAGCTGCACAGGCAAAACTAATGAATAAATAAAGAGCCAGGACGAACACATGGACACAGGAAGGGGAACATCACACACCGGGGCCTGTTGTGGGGTTGGGGGGAGGGGGAAGGGATAGCATTAGGAGATATACCTAATGTTAAATGACGAGTTAATGGGTGCAGCACACCAACATGGCACATGTATACATATGTAACAAACCTGCACGTTGTGCACGTGTACCCTAAAACTTAAAGTATAACAACAACAACAACAAAAAGAGCCAGGACAGCGGCCCCAGGTCTGGGCTTCATCATACATAAACAAAGGGGTTTCGGCGGAGGAGCCTCAAATCTTTCCTGCTTCCTTTGTCCTGGGGTTCGGGGTGATTTGCTCAGTCATGGCTGCACCTGAGCTCTGTTAGACGTTTTCTTCAATTAAGTGTTCGTTTTAGGATGAAAAGAGCCGCAGCTCTGTCAGTTACGCCTCCATATTGATCGTGTAGAAATTGGCTGTGGGTTCAGCCATTTGGCATTTGATTCATTATTTTCAATCAAGCAGCTTGTGTGTCAGGCTATTAAGGTAGCCACAGTCTCCAGGGCCTATGCATGATCCAGTTATTTCCATTATTGAGACACAACCCAAATTAACTGAACCATAAATGTTTTCTTTTAGTGGGCAGCTGGGGAAGAATGCATGGAAATCTATCAAGAGTTTCATTTTCCATGGAAATGTAACATAGTAAATGGAAACCTCTTAGTCCTCGGAGAGAAGCCCATGGACCTAGCACTGGGGTCTTTGAGGGGACCCCAGCCCAGCTTTTCAGTGTCTCAGGAAGGGGTGATTTTGAGAAGCTGATATGTGTAATGCAACAGAAAAATACTGCTACTCGTGTGCTGGGTGAGCTGAGCATTTCCAGGCGCAAAACAAGTGTGCAGCCTCATTCAGAGACACGTATCACTTAGGGCTCTTTTTTAGGGAGGTTATAGAAAGCCCAGCTCCCGATGTCATCTGGCTTAAGGAAAAAGGCAGTTCCTTGCCTCACAGGGCAAAACAGCCCCGGGAGAGCCCTAGCATCAGGTGTGGTTTGATCAGGGCTCGCCGTCACGCGGTGCCTTGGTTCTCCATCTCTATTCTTGGTGTTGGCGCTGTTTTCAGGCAGCCCTCCCTGTGCTGACAACTTGGCTGCCGGCAGCTCTCAGCCTGCATCTTTTCCATCTTGAATCCGTAAGAACAAAATAAAACAGTTTCTTCCAGTAGCTCCTGCAGAAAGCTAGAAGAGACTTCTTCCCAGGAATCTTCCGAGATGAACCTTGATTTCGTTGGCCAGGCAGATTGCATAACTGTTTACAAATCAATCAGTGTAGCTATGGAGATGGGATATATGAGGGGCTAACACTGCCCATGGTGGGTGGGGCCTTGGAGCCTGGGGTGGCATCAAAGCTCTCAAACCCCTCTGCTGACGATGGAGGAGGACAGTCAGAGACTACAGGAAAGAGAAGGGGCATGGAGGCCGCTGTCCACATGGGTGTGCTCTCCTGCTCAGTGGGCAGCCAAGACAAATACCCTCAGAGAAAACAAACAGCTCCCCTTGTCCTCATCCCCTAGTCCTGCAGGAGCTTCATTTCCAGGTGGGAAAGCCACAACCTTCCCCAAATGTTCAGCAGCACCTGAGCCAGCTCTTCCCCTTCCTGCAGAACTGCACCGCCCTTCTCTGGGCCGGCTCCCTCACTCTGGGCTCCTACACTTAGGGCTCTAGCCAGTGTCCCACCTGGGCATTTCCACATCTAGTGCCCTCCCTGATTGCCTCTGGGCTGGCACAGGGCTGCCGTCATGAGCCAGGACCATGGGAATCATTGTTCTGGTTTACTTGCATAGTTTCAGCTAACTTCCCCCGGTACAAGTTAACTTAAATGTTATAAAGCATTTTAGAATCACATAAATCCATATTTTGTAATAAAAATGCAAATGATACAGAGGTGACTACCTCCCCCCTCCCAGATCACTCCCTCCCGACTGCCTCTGGTCCAGTTAGATGTGGGCGGGATGAGCAGGAGAGGGCCCTGCTGGAGAGGCGCAGTGGTCAGAACTGCGGTGGATGGGCTGTGAATGGCCCCTACTGAGAGAGGCTGCAACATCAGGTGGGAAAGGCTGGGGGCCAGGCAGGGCTTAGTGCAGGGGCTGGAGCATGCAGTCTGCAGGGTGGACCCTGAAGGAGGATGGAGCCTCTCTCTGGGTCAGGCTCTGTGACCTTGCCTTCCACCTTCTCAACTGCAGTGTCTGTAAACCTCTTCCAAGTGTGACTTCCCAAAGCTTGCAATCCATTGCTCCCTCCTTTCTTCTTCCTTCCTTCTTCCTCCTACTCTTTCTTCCTTCCTCCATTCCTCCTTCCTTCTCTTCTTCTCCCTCTCCCTCCCTCATTCCTTTGCCCTGCTCCATCCCAGGGCATTAGTGTACTTATTGTGGCTAGTGGTGAGTGGGAAGACATTGCTGGGTTAATAGCTGTAATTGTTGACTCATGGACAATCAATCGCCCCAGCAAGTCCACAGTCCTGAGTGACTGCAAAGAGCAGCAGTGACCGCTAGGCTTGGCCAGCAGCAGATGGTCCTCTCCTCTCACGTAACCTGGGAGGTAGGACCGGAGGGGCTTCTTGGATGAAAAAAGGGCAGGCAGTCCACTCTGGGCTCAGGGCAGGGTGGCTGGATTTAGCATTTTATCTGGCAACCTCATCTTAAGGCCTAGGAGGCTGCAGCCTAAAGGTCCACTTGACAATTCCATCTTTTCCTCCATGGTTAGCTTTGCTCCCTGCCTGGGGACGGGACCTAGAAGCTCCTCAGCCCTTGTGTCCTCCACCGCTCCATGCCCAACCTCACTACTCTAGGGCAGAGTGAGCAGGTGCTTCAGGAGGGCAGGGGTTCCTGTGTCCTCTTTTCTTCTTTGTGGCTGTAGTTCCTGCATCCAGAGGGTTGTCCCCCGTGGCAGTCACCCAGCAGATATTTGCTGAATGGATGACTGAAGCATCTCTGATGGTGCCCGTTCTCTCAGCTCTCTGCCTCTGTCCAGCACCTGCTCCTTTCCTGACTGGATCATTCCAACAGGAATGGGCCCCAGCCTATGGACACATAGAATTTTGTGTTGCCACTTTTCCTTTTGGCATTTTAAAGGTGTTCTTCTGTTGAATTGCCTCCATAGTTTCTGGTAGATGTCTACAGTAATTGAAATTATTTTTTCTATGTCTGTGACTTATTTTTTAATCTCCGATTGCCTTTAAGATTTTTGTTTCATCTTTGTTTTTAGCAGTTTGATTATTATGTGCCTGGCATGGTTTTCTTTGCATTTATATTGTTTATGATTTTTGCTAAACTCGAAAATGTCAATTTATATGCATCACCAAGTTTAGGAAGTTGTTGGCTATTATTTCTTCAAATTTTTTTTTCTGCTTATTCTTCCTCTAGTCTCCAATTACCTATATTTTAGAGCCAGTCCCCAAGGCTCTGTCCATTTTTCTTCAGTATTTTTCTTTTTATTCTTTAGACTGGATGATTTCTACTGATCTGGTTTCAAGTTCATTTACTTATTAACTAATAATTTCCCTGTTGCTATGAAACCCATCACTTACGTTTTTATTTCAGATACTCTAATTTTTAGTTCCACCTGCTCCATTTTCTCTGTTTATACATTTTCTACTTTTCTGCTGAGAGTTCCTTTCTCTCCACTTGCTGTCAGCATTTCCTTCTGCCTCACGGAGCATGGTTGTGCTAGCTGCTTTACAGCCTACCTCTGTTAATTCCAGCATTTGAGTCATCCTGGGTCTGATCTCTGTTGATTGTCTTTTTACTTGAGAATTATCCCCCCTTTCATGGTTTTCTTGTGTGTTGAGTAATTTGGGGTAGCACCTGGACGTTGTGAATGCTGTGTGTGGAGATTCTGGTGTTTGTTACATTTCCCTAAGGAGTATTATTTTGTTTTAGCAGACAATTCACTTGGGTAGATGCAAACCACAAATTCTGTTACCTACAAGTAGTGGCAGCTCAGATCTTGGTTCTGTTCCTTTTCCTTTTTCTTTAACTGAGTTGTTTTCAGATAAAGAGAACAGTTCAAAGGTCAGTTGGAGACTTTGGGTCGAGATTAAAGGCAGACTCTGGGGCTCCCCTTCTCTGGTCTTATCCTTCATGAGCTCCCTTCTCACTCCCCAGCATCTGTGGCCTCCTGGGCTGTGTCTCCTCCTAGCCAGAGAGATGGCGGGTTCTCTATCAGGGCTCCAGCGGCACCAAGCCCTGCTGGAATCAAGGTCTTTCTACAGATCAAAGCCGTGCAGATGGGAGACTTGTCACAACTGGTCTCTTCTTCTTGCCTTTGTTCACTCTCTAAAGGCTTTGAGAAGTTTTGTTTGTTTTATTTTGGGCTGGAGTTTATCGTTCTCCTTCCTCCCCCCCCCCCCCCTCCCTCCCTCCCTCCCTCTCTCTCTCTCTCTCTCTCTCTCTTTCTTTCTTTCTTTCTTTCTTTCTTTCTTTCTTTCTTTCTTTCTTTCTTCTCTCTCTTTCTTTCTTTTTTTTTTTTTTGACAGAGTCTTGCTTTCTCACCCAGGCTGGAGTGCATTGGCATGATCTCAGCTTACTGCAACCTCTGCCTCCCGGGTTCAAGCGTTTCTCCTGTCTCAGCCTCCGGAGTAGCTAGGATTACAGGTGTGCCCTACCACGCCTGGCAAATTGTTGTATTTTTAGTAGAGACGGGGTTTCACCACGTTGGCCAGGCTTTTCTCCAACTCCTAACTAACCTCAGGTGATCTGCCCACCTCGGCCTCCCAAGGTGCTGGGATTACAGGCGTGAACCACCACACCTGGCCCGTTTATAGTTATTTTCCATGGAAGCATTAGTCCACTGGGAATGTATTCTACCATATAATCTCAATAAATATTTAATTCGGTCCACTTACTTATTTATCTGTTTACTTATTTACTTTTTGGACTCCTTGGGGCTGGGGATCTATGCCTCTAGTTCTGCCAGGATAGAAATGGGGCAAGGAAGGGGAGGGCTGAAGTGTAAAGTGGATGAAGTGTCCATCAGTGCCTGAATCTCTGCTTCAGAACAGCGGCTTGGGTTTTTTCTTTTGTAGCTATTTTATATATGGACATTTCACGTAGGATTTCATTGTAAACTTTTTATTGGCTAAAGTATATTTGAAAATCATTTGTCTAAATATTCTCCAAGTTCTGATGCTCGGAGGAACTCTGGCTTCTGGGGGCTTCAGCCATGTGTGTTTAGAACCCTGGTTCTTGAACCAGACTGACTTGTGTTTGAATCCCAGTTTGGCACGTACCAGCTGTGTGACCTGGGACTCATTCCTTACCCCTACTCCACCGCCATTTCTTCATCTTTAAGATGGAGATAATTATACCACACTTATAGAAGGGTGTGAGCACCCAGGGAGATAGGGCACATTTAGCCTTCAGCAGAGGCGTCACGTATGGCAGTCGTGTGTTATGGACTAAATGGTTGTGTCTCTCCAAAGTCCATGTGTTGAAGCCTTGACTTCCAGTGTGATGGCATTTGAAGGCGAGTCCTTTTGGAGGTAATTAGGTCATGAGGATGGGGCCCTCTTGATGGTATTCGTGCCCTTATAAGAAGAGATGCCACAGAGCTTTCTCTCTTCCCTGCTATGCGAGGACGCTCAGAGAAGGCAGTCAAGCCAGGACGAGGCCCTCACCCTGCTGGCACCCTGGCCTTGGACTCCTAGCCTCTAGAGCTGCACGAAGTAAGTGTCTGTGGTTTAAGTCCCAGTCTGCACTACTTGGCTATGGCAGCCCGAGATGCCAAAGACAGTGTGAATGCTATTGATTAGTAGTACTCATTAAAGTCAACACAGATACTTCTGTGAATAAAAGCTAATGTACTGGAGAGCTTGATGAGATCTAGGGACAGCATAGAAAGCCCCCTTCCCTCACTCTGCAGAACAGTTGCATCCATGTGACCCTGAGACAGAAGCCCTCTGCTCATTATCAAAGATGTGACAGCTGCCACTTGGTCACTTTAGAATCAACAGTCCTAGGCCCCTTATTGACAGCTCCCGGCTCCCCCAGCTGGACTGGCCAGGGGGATTGCCTCTCTTACAAATCCCCTCCAGGATGCAGCGAATAGAAAACTTGCATTTAGAAAAAGGATGGACCAGGATTCTGGGTGTGAGGGGCATTATCCATTGTACAAGAGGGTTTCCGGTATGTCCCATCCTAAATATCTAGCTTCTTTTAATGCCCTTACAATAGATTCATTGTAAGGATTTGAGCGTTTTAGGGAGTAGGTCTAAACTGAAGTCTGCTGCCCTGTTGTTGGAGTCCCGGCGTATCTGGAGGTGAGAAGGGCACTGCCCTCTGAGCAAATGCCCAGTGAAATTGCAGAAGGAGGTGGGTGTGGGGTGGGGAGGAAGGAAAAGTCATGCGGGCCACTTGTCCCATCGGGCGGCTTCACAAGGTCATCATCAAATGTGATTTTCCAATTGCCACCTCGTTGCTGTGGGCACAAATGGAACCCGAGATTGTTGGAAATCTATATGAAAGTCCTGTTCCGTGTCAGGCTCCTAACAGCTTTTCCTTGTCCCTCCCCTGAGCGGGGGAAAGCGAACCCGACACAGCACAGGAAGAAATGTTTTGGTTTGGTGAACGTCTTTAAATTTTCTGTAGCTTAGGGCTTTGTCCTCATTTGCAAAGCAGGATTGAATCTTTGTGTGGGTGGAGGTGGGGTGTGTGGGGAGGAGGGAAGTCAGGATTTAGGCTTAACAAAGAGACTCCCAACTGAGGCTAACCCAGTGTGGCCCACACTCTAAAGTATCCTGACAACTGTCAGGAACCACCTAAGGCTCCCTAACATGAAAAAAGACTTTTTCTCCCTGGACTCAAGAGCAGGGTTGGGATTTGCTTAATTTCAAGGCTGAGTTAACCCCTTTTTGCCCATAGAGGTCCAGGATCTGTGGTCTGTTAGTGTTAATTCAAGTATAGCCTAAAGCTGTCTCCTCACATATTTTAAGTTTGACCTAAATGTTTCTCTGTTCATGGTGAACTATAACCTAAATGGACTTGTAAACAGACTGTAGCCTACTCTTGTGCCAATCACCGAGTTTTGGCCCATCAGAGGTGGCCAGCTGTTCAAATCGTGTTCAAGAAGGCAAGTGCCAACTTGTAACTAATCTAGCTGTTTCTGCACCTCACTTCTGTTTTCTGTACATCACTTTCCTTTTTCTGTCCACACATCTTCTTTTGCCATGTAGCTGTGCTGAAGTCTCTGTGCCTACACCGGCTTGGGAGGCTGCCTGATTTGTGCATAGTTCTTTGCTCAGTTAAACTCTTCTAAATTTAATTTGGCTAAAGTTTTTCTTTTAACAGCAGAGAGGTAGAAATCTGATCAGCAAAGGTCTTTGATTAGCACTTTTTGCTTATTTGTTTGTTTTAAACAAGATCAACCCGTGTTTCTTAAGATCAAGTGGTAGAAAATACTCTTTGCAAAGTTATAGCTCTCCTAGCAATGTGTGCTTGCATGAGTGTGAGTGTGTGTGTGTGTGTGTGTGTGTCTTATTTCACCCTTTGTTGCCACTGTTGATGTCTTCAAAGCAACTGAAGTATTCAACTTTTACAACTGCAGGGAAAGGGCCTGGCATCTGTGCCTTGGTGGAGAGTCTGGGGGAAGGCAGGTCCAGAACCCAGCAATGGGTATGATCCTGATCTGGCCTACTTAGATTGGGAAGGCTGAGCTCCTGAGGCAAGTCAGGGCCCTGAAGCGAGGAGGAAGAAAAAGTAACTGGTGGGTGAGAAGTCAGAACGTGTCACCTGGACCAGACTCTCAGAGAAGTGGGGCTCTCAAGAAGGGCTGCTGAACTTCAGATAACTCCTTGAGGCTATTAGTACCTCAGAGGCCGTCAGTAAGTGGATGATGAATGAATGAATGATTAAATGAATGAATGAGGCTGGGGACTCTGCCACACTTACCTGTTTATTCCCCACAGGTCTTGGCTCAGGGCTGGGTACAGAGAAAGTGCTTGGTAAATGTTGAATTAATTACAGAATTGTTTCAGTCCCTCAGGGAATTCAGAATTCCACAGGCTTTGCCATCCTGGGGGCTATGCACGTGCCTCATGCTGCAGCTTTGGTTTCTCTAAAGGAAGCTAGTCCAAGGTCTTTCCATCTGCTCTGGAGCTGTGGAACTTGTAGAAGAATCCTACCAAGCTGATTTACCCTCAGGCAAATTTGAGCCTTTTCTTCACAAGTCCAACTGTGAATACTTGTCTGTACTCAGATTCATTTTCTCTTACTCTGCTGGAGGACTGAAGCCAAACTGATATAATGACTCATAATAAATAATTTATGACGGTGGTGGAAATACAGATGTTATTCTTCCAAAGTATGCAGATACAGAAAAGTTTTTAAGTCTCAGGAAAGACTTGTGGGGATATTTTCACCACTTTGACCATAGGTGGAAAAAGATTTCAGGGCACGTTTAGCAGCCATGAAGTCATAACATATAAGGTCATGCCTTAGGTGGCCCAGAGCTCTTCCTTCAATCTGACTTAAACGGCACACCCTATGTCGATGAAGCCAGACAAGCACATTGAACTCCTTTAACACTCACTTCTGAAACTGGGCTTCACTGTGGAACTTGGGAGGGACTCCACCTGAACTAATTCTCCTCTAGGCAATTTCATTGGAACAAAGTTTTATGTGGCAAATAATGAGCAAAGCAGCTGTAAAATCCTAAAGGAATGAAAAATAATTTTTAAAGAGATGCTGACATCTCTTAGAAAGAGAATATCACATTGATTCCTTCAATAACTATGAGAAACATGCATCTGTAGCATACATTTTAATAGGCATTAAAGACATTTTAATGAGAAAACAATTTAAAATTTGGTAAACATGTCTTTTGTTGATACGCAGCAGAGCTTTTTGGGGGTTAGGGGGAGGGGCTGGGGGCTCATTAGGTCCAGGTTGCTTTATTAGGTGCTCTGTTGTTCTGAATATTTTAGCAGCTGAGGTTCAGACTTGGGTGCCTGCAGACTTGAGTGTGATTATAAATAGGCTGTGATGTTGACAAAGAACCTGGGCATCTGTTTCAGAGATGGGCTGATGTTAAACCCTGGCACACTGCATCCAGTAGCCAATATCAGATAGCTCAAAACACTCATTATTCCTTCTCAAAATAAATGGCTTGAGAAGGAGGCAACACAGGCTGAGGATGTAATTTCATGAAAGTCCAGGCGTGGTCAGGGGGAGAACCATTCAAGTTACTTGATGTGGGAGAGTGACCACCCTGTAGGGCTTTGACTTTGGAGGCTCCTTGAGCTGGAATTTCATCTCTTGGTGCAGCAGAGCTCACTCTGGCAGGGAGAGAGGAACACCAGCTAATAACCCCAAACCATGCTTGTTCTCAGGCTAAGCCAAGTGAACATGGGACACAACCATTGTTTCTGACTGGTTTTACTCACCTAATTAAGGGACAGTGAATAATAATAGCTCAGTTATTCAGCTCTTACTCTGTACCAGGCACCATGTTCAGGATTCTACATGGGTTACTGTATTAGTTTTCTATTTCTTCAAAACAAATTACCATAGAAGCTTAAACAACACTCACTTATTATCTTACAGTTGTGGGTCAGGAGTCCAGGCATGGCTTAGCTGGGTCCTTTGCTCAGGATTTCCCAAGGCTGCATCAAGGTGTCACCTCATTTGGGTTCTCATCAGAGGTTCAACTGGGGAAGGATCTGCTTCTAAGTTCATTCAGGTAATTGTCAAAATTCATTTCCTTGCTATCGTAGAATGCACGGTGACTTTCTTCTTCATGGTTAGCAGGAAAGAAAGGATGTGTTGCTTGGAGACTTTGACTTCAGGGAGGGTCCCTGTCCCTTTTTTGAAGCGCTTATCTGATTTGGCCAGGCCCACCTAGGGCCTTTTGATTAGCTCAGAGTCAACTGATTAGGGACATTTATCACCTCTGCAATGTCTCTTCACTTTTGTCATATTCTATTGGTTAGAAGCAGGTCATAGGTCTCACTCATACATATGATGTGTGTAACAGGCCCAGGGCTGCTTGATGAACACATTGTCCTGATTAGAGTGTCATGACCAACAGCAAAATACACTTTGAATATTTTGGATCACACAAAGGCATGGATATTGGGGGAGTGGGAATCAAGGAGTCACCCTAGAGTGCCACATTGCTACCACAATCGGCAATATCCACCAAAACCCTATGAGCTGCTTATAGGTTCATATGCTGCTGTTCTTCATTCTTCTTTCTACCGACCAGGGAGCTGAGCCTTGCAAAGATAAAGTGGCTTGTCTAAGGTCGACCAGCTAGACATTGGTTAAGTCAGAATCCAAACCTAGAATGTCTGCTTCCAGAGCCCTTGCATGGTAATATCCTGCATTCCCTGGTGAGAAATTAATGAGGCAGAAAAGTCCTGTGGGAAAGGTCATGGTGGCTCTATCATGTGAAATGTATATTATAAAAACAATAGATTGAATTTGCTCATTTGCATAAACAAGCCCTGAGTGAATGTTGATTCCCACCCTGATTATTTTCATGATTTTATTTTTTTGGCTACAGGAGTAGAGTTCAACAGAGTCTCTGGCTGGTGGAAACACACAATAGCTGGAGTGACAGCACATCATAGGCATCAAGGTTAACCACAGCTTACATCCAGATCTAGAGGCAGCACAACTCAACATGTATTTTGCTGTTGATTATGACATTGTAATCAGGACAATGTGTTTGCCCAGCATCCCTGGGCCCGTCACATACATTATCTCATGGAGTTCTCCAAGCATTCCTTGGAACCTGTCTATAATACCCATGTTAACAATGGGCAAATGGCAGGTTACCGGGTTGAGAGACTTCTGCAAGTTCACCCAGCTTGAGAACAGCCAAGGTGAGATTTAAGTTCAAGTCCAGGGGTGGGCCCACAGCTTAGTTTTTGTATGTAGTTATCATGATGAACTGCATTCTATGGCAAGCTGGCAACTTGTCTTTGCTCACATGGCACCTGAATCTCTGAGGGCAGGACCCGCCCTGGTACCTGTGTGCTGCACAGATCTTGTTGCCTAGCAGCACTGGCCCTGAGTTCCTGGCTTATCATGGAAGTGCTGTTGAATAGGCTCTGGGATTTTGTGAGTTGAGAGTCTTTAGAGACCTATGAACTGCACATACAGCTCCATGCCCTGAGGCCTCACAGCCGTCCAGACTGAGGGTCGAGCATCTGAGGATCTGAGGGTCCACTGCACTGAGCAATGGCAGGGAGGTCATCTGGAAGGAGAGAAGAGCCTCAGCTGTGCACTGATGTGGGCTCATGGACCAGGTCATTGATTCACTTAGGTTTACTTCCTGGGAGTGTTGGGTATGGGTTGGGAGTAGATGTGCCCATTGGCATAGGCTGGGTGGAGAAGGGCCTCCCCTCTCCTCTGCTACAGCCATCCCTTTGGAGCTTGGCCTCATCTCCTTCACTGCTGTCATAAACACTGGGCCTTGGGCAGGTGGGTCATGGAGCGGAACTGCAGAACCCATTGGTGTGGGCTGGGCCAGGTCACTTGTTCACCCACTTGACCTCATAGTCCTGTCCTGTGATGGCATCTGTCTGGCTGGCTCCACTCTGTGCTTCCCGGATCCCTAGGATAGATGCTGAGATGGGTCCCAGACCCCCGAGACTGAGCACGGCCCCATCATTCTCAGTTTCCAAATCTCTTTCCTAGACAAGGATCCAACATTTTCTTGCCTTTCACCTGCAGGAAATTAGGACCATTCATAACTTAAGAAATCAGGCTGTTACCGCCCCACTCCCAAAACACCTCCCTGAGTCCTGTGCAGGCTCAATGAGGTCTTTGAGAGAGAGGGCACTGAAAATGCAGTGAGTCAACTTCAGAAGAAAAATGGAGAGCTCACCAGAGATGCATTTTCATGAGAAGGAATATTCAAGGAAGAAAGACTTCTGGAATCCGTAGAACCATGCCCGAGGTCTACTAGAAAGCTCTGTGAATCACAAACACAGTCAAATAGTTTTATGACTGATCTAATGCTTTTGACAGGTTGCTCCACAGAGCTGCTGGACTCACGAGCTATTGATAACTGTACTTCCAGAAGCTAAATTCACCAGTTACACACATTTGATAGGGAACATACTTTTCTCTTTCTTGCTTTTATATTCTTTTTCTCTCCTCCCCTGCCTAAATTTTGTGTGCTCGAGAGACACAGATGCAAACATCACAGAGAATTAACAGCATTTTGGGAGGTGACTTGTGTATCCAGCCTTATGAATGGCCCCAAAGCAATCTTGCTTTCTTGATTCCTGTGTGCAGATGATTCACTGATGCTCACTCTTGGCATGGATTCTATTAACTTCCATCAGCAGCGTCCCAAGTAGACTGCAGATCCTTTGGTGCCCGGGATTTCTGTCTTATCCTTCTTAGGAGCTGCTACAGCTCCAAGTGTAACATCTGATGCACAAAGTGTGCATAAATATTTGTTGGTTGGTTTAGATCTGAAATAGGAGTTTGGAGAAAGGAGCAGCCTGCATTAGGTGAAATAGTCTAAAATTTCAACTCCTTCATATGATGCAGTAATCTGTGAGATGTCCAAGCATCTTGTGGGGGACATTTCTAGAATGTTCTAGAATTTCCTAGAATATTACACACCCACAGAGTAATGAGCAGAGCAGATCAGATCATCAGATCTAATCAGAGAGGGGATATGATGATCCTGGCAGTAGACTGACATATGCTACCTCTCATTCACCACAAAGGGACACACCCTGCTACTTGGCCCACACAGCATCTGTTTTTCCCCCTTTCTCACTCACAAAACCATGGTTCGTTTGTAGTGACATGTGCCCAACTAAAATGACAGCTCTCCCAGATTCCCTTGAGAATAATGATGGCCAGATAACCCAAGTATGATCAAGGAGATCCAAATGAAAGTTACTGGAAAAAGCAACCCTTCCCAAACAAAAATTAAAGGCCTCACTGGAAGGAGGTTATTTGCTCCTCATCCTTTCACCCTTCCCTTTTCTTCCTACCTGGAAACTGGGAGTGATGGCTGGAGGCACAGCAGCCATCTTGGGGCAATGAGCATAAAAACCATAGTAATGATGATAGAGCAGAAGAGGGAAGAACTGAGGTCTCGTGTCGTGGTTGACCATCCTACCAGCTCGGGACTGCCTATCCCTGCTGCATGAGTTAAATAAACACCCTGACAATTACAGCCACTGTTAGATGGTTTCCTGTTATTTGCAGCTCCGTGTAGTTCCCATGTGCTGCCATATGGGTGATACTTCATATTCTCCCCATGGGTTGGGTATTATTATTATTTTTTATTTTATTATATTTTGAGATGGAGTTTCACTCTCGATGCTCAGGCTGGAGTGCAATGGCACAATCTCAGCTCTCTGCAACCTTCACCTCCTGGGTTCAAGAGATTCTCCTGCTTCAGCCTCCTGAGTAGCTGGGATTACAGGCATGCACCACCAAGCCTGGCTAATTTTGTATTTTTAGTAGAGATGGGGTTTCTCCATGTTGGTCAGGCTGGTCTTGAACTCCTGACCTCAGGTGATCTGCCCGCCTTGGCCTCCCAAGGTTCTGGGATTACAGACGTAAGCCACTGTGCCCGGCCTGATTGGGTATTATTAATCATGTTTTGCAAATAAGAAACTCACAGCTCAGAGAAGTGATATAACATGCCTCTGATCACAGAGCTTGTGGGTGACAAACACGGACAAGCATGTCTTATTCCAATGCCTCCATTCCAAATATTCTTTCTGGTTGTGAAGAAGGGGAAAAGAGCTGAACAAGAGGTCCGTTCCTGCCTGCAGAATCTCAATTATCATTGGGTAACTTATTCAATAAGTGTTATTATACTTAAGCTCTATCTGTGGTGATGTTCCCATAAACAAGAGGCCCTTCCCTGTAGAATCTTCTAGACTGAAGGGCTCTCCTTCTTTCTGGAGATCTTCCTCAGGGCAGGGATTTGTGTTTTGCTGTTTGCTAAGGGAGGTGGCTCCCTCACCCCAGTTCCCACCCCACCTCTCTGACCCAGGTTCCCAGTATTCTCAATGGAGCTGCAGCACCTCTCCCCCTCCATGGTCAACAGGGACCAGGGAAAGTTTAATGCATTTGCCACCTACTGAACCATGGACACCAATTGTTGTCAGGACAAAGTTAACTCGGGTTTTCAATTAAAAAGAACACTAGGGATCAGCATCCAAATGCTGATGTAGCTGCCAGGAAGAAAGTGATGTAGATCCAGCAGAGTAGGAGTGGCTGTGGCTCTCGCAGGTGCATTTATAAGGAAGTCTCCTTCTACATTTGTATGTTGTCCATGGGTGGTGTCTAAAGGTTAGAGATAGGAGCCCCCTATTCAAATGGTGTGGCTATTGTAGAATTAAGGGGAAAGCAAACACTCAGTGAGTGCGTACTCTTCCTTGGCTCTGTGTTAAGCACAGTAAGAGGAGGTGTGTTGCCTCCTCTTACCCCATGACAACACCATGGGGTCATCATTACTGTGATTGCCAGTTTAGAGGCAAAAAATAATGGGAGGGCCAGAGAGGCCAAATGACATGCTCGAGGTCCCATAGGAAGATGGGCCAGAGATGCTTCACCAGAGCCTCTTCTTTTGTCTCTGGGCTGGGGAAAGGGAAGTCTGAGGCCATTGTAGGAAAGGCAAATGTGTCTCTTAACCATTTGATGAGCATCTCTGTTAGGTGTTCAGGATATAAAATTAATAATCGATGTCTCATTACTGGGTCTATATCCAAAAGAAAATAAATCATTTTACCAAAAAGATAGATGCACTCCTATGTTCATTGCTGTGCTATTCACAGTAGCAAAGATATGGAATCAATGCAGGTGCCCATCAATGGTGGATTGGATAAAGAAAATGTGGTACATATACACCATGGACTACTACACAGCCATTTTTTAAATTTAAAAAATAATAAAATCGTGTTCTTTCCAGCAACATGGATGGAGCTAGAGGTCATAATCCTAAGCAAATTAATGCAGGAACAGAAAAGCAAATACCACATTTTCTCACTTATAAGTGTGAGCTAAGCATTGAGCACACATGAACATAAATATGGAAACAGTAGACACTGTGGACTACTAGTGGGTGGAGGAGTGGGTGGGTTAAAAACTACCTATTGTCTGGGTTCAGTAGCTCACACCTTTAATCCTAGCACTTTGGGAGGCTGAGTTGGGCAGATTGCTTAAGTCCAGGAGTTTGAGATCAGCCTGGGCAACATGGTGAAACCCCATCTCTACAGAAAAAACAACAACAACAACAATATAGCTGGGTGTGGTGGTGCACAATTGTAGTCTCAGCCACTCGAGAGGCTGAGGTAGGAGGATCATTTGAGCCTGAGAGGCAGAGGTTGCAGTGAGCTGACATTGTGCTATTGCACTCCAGCCTGGGCGACAGAGCGAGACCCTGTCTCAAAAATAAATAAATAAATAAATAAATAAATAAATAAATAAAATAAACTACCTATTGGGTACTGTGCTCATTAGCAGGGTGACCAGATCCATACTCCAAACCTCAGCACTATGCCACTTACCCATGTAACAAATGTGCACATGTATGCCCTGTATCTAAACTATAAGTTTGAAATTAATAAAAAAAATCTAGCCTCCTTCTAGGGGGAAGCTAAATTGAGTGAGGAAGTGATGAATTCACTGAGAAAACAGGTCAGATATTGTAGAAGAAAAGATTCCCAAGCCGCTTGCTTATGACCCCATCAATTCCAGCAACGCTTACAACAATCCACTTCCCCAGGGTAAAAAGCTCAGCAACTTTTCGAGACCAGTGACGCTGAAGATTTCCTGAATGCCTCCAGTGTGCCAGGATTTACTCAGATTAACTCACTCCTTACAACAATTCCAAGAGGATGCTCTCTGCTTAAGTTGCCCCCAGGATCAGATCCTGAGATAACGATTCAAGTGCAAGTTGATTATTTAGGAGAGGAATAGAGAACTGATACAGGGGAAGGATAGTGTTATAAAGGGGATGTTGTCAAGCCAGCTTGACAAGGGTGATATCTGGAGTTTAATCCCACAGGGAACCTCTGAGAAATGAGTAGAACACAACACTGTGGTTTAATGTGTAATTTACTATGACGGTGACGGTGATAATGATGGTGACGAGCATCGTGTTGGGGGTGCAGGTGATGATGTGGAGATGATTTCTTTTCTAAATATTGAAGTATATTTTGCATTTTGATGGGGTTTCTGTCTCTACAGAATAAATTCTTGGTCATTAAAACCCAAATAACCGGAGATGACTGCATTTTTTAAATTTTTAAATTAAATTTATTTTTTTCCAACTTTTATTTTAGGTTCAGGAGGTACACATGCAGGTTTGTTACATGGGTAAATTGTGTGTCTTGGGGTTTGGTGTAGAGATTATTTCATCACCCAGGTAATGAGGATAGTACCTGATAGGCAGTTTTTTCATCCTCACCCTCCTCCCAGCCCCCACTCTCAAGTAGACCCTGGTGTCTGCTGTTGCTTTCTTTGTGTCCATGTGTATTCAATGTTTAGCTCCCACTTATAAGTGAGAATAGGTGATGTTGGTTTTCTGTTCCTGGGTTAGTTTGTTTAGGATTGTGGCCTCCAGCTCCATCCATGTTGTGGTAAAGGACTTGATCTCATTCTTTTTTATGGCAGTGTAGTATTCCATGGTGTATATGTACCACATATTCTTTATCCAGTCCACCATTGATGAGCATTTAAGTTAATTCTTTGCCTTTTCTATTGAGAATAGTGCTGCAGTGACATAGGCATGCATGTGTCTTTATGGTAGAACAATTTATATTCCTCTGGGTGTATACCCAGTAATGGGATTGCTGGGTTGAATGGTAGTTCTGTTTTAAGTTCTTTGAGAAATCCCCAAACTGCTTTCCATGGTGGCTGAACTAATGTGCATTCCCACCAGCAGTATATAAGCGTTCCCTTTTCTCTGCAACGTCACCAACATCTGTTATTTTTTGACTTTTTATTAATAACCGTTTTGACTGGTGTGAGATAACATCTCATTGTGGTTTTGATTTGTATTTCTCTAAGATTAAACATTTTTTCATATGCTTGTTGGCTGCATGTGTTTTCTTTTGAGAACTGTCTGTTCATGTCCTTTGTCCATTTTTTAATGGGATTATTTGTTTTTTTGCTTGTTGATTTAAGTTACTTATAGGTTCTGGATATTAGACCTTTGTCAGATGCATAGTTTGCAAGTATTTTCTCCAATTCTGTAAGGTGTCTGTTTACTCTGTTGCTAGTTTCTTTTTTGTGTAGAAGCTCTTTAGTTTAATTAGGTCCCATTTGTCAGTATTTGTTTTTGTTGTAATTGCTGTTGGTATCTTCGTCATGAAAATCTTTCCCAGTACCTATGTCCAGAATGACATTTCCTAGGTTTTCTTCTAGGGTTTTCATAGTTTGAGTTTTTTTTTTTTTTTTTTTTTTTTTTTTTGAGATGGAGTTTCGCTCTGGAGTGCGGTGGCATGGCCTGGGCTCACTGCAAGCTCCGCCTCTTGAGTTTTAAATTTAAATCTTTAATCCACTTTAATCCACCACTTGATTTTTGTGGTGAGAGGAAGGGGCCAGTTTCAATCTTCTGCACATGGATAGCCAGTTACTGCAGCAACATTTATTGAATAGGGAGTCCTTTCCTCATTGCTTATTTTTGTAGACTTTGTCAAAGATCAGATGGTTGTAGGTGTGTGGCTTTATTTCTGGGTTCTCTAACCTGTTATATTGGTCTATGTGTCTGTTTTTGTACCAGGGCATGCTGTTTTGGTTACTGTAGCATTATAGCATAGTTTGAAGTTGGGTAGTGTGATGTCTCCAGCTTTGTTATTTTTCCTTAGGATTGCCTTGGCTATTCTGACACTTTTATGGTTCCGTATAAATTTTAGAATAGTTATTTCTAATTCTGTGAAAAATGTTGATGTTAGTTAGATAGGAATAACATTGAATCTATGAATTGCTTTGGGCAGTATGCGCATTTAAGCAATATTGATTCTTTCTAGCCATGAGTATGGAATGTTCTATCTGTTTGTGTCATCTCTGGTTACTTTCAGCAGTGTTTTGTAATTCTCATTGTAGAGATCTTTCACCTCCTTCGTTAGCTGTATTCCTACGTATTTTATTTTTGTGGCTATTGTGAATGGGATTATGCTCTTGATTTGGCTCTCAGCTTGGATGTTGTTGGTGTATAGAAATGCTCCTGATTTTTGTACTTTGATTTTGTATCCTGAAACTTTGCTGAAGTTGTTTATCAGATTTAAGAGCTTTTGGGTAGAGACTTTGGAGTTTTCTAGGTATAAAGTAATATCATCTGCAATGAGAGATAGTTTGACTTACTCTCTTCTTATTTAGCTGCTTTTTATTTCTTTCTTTTGCCCATTGTTCTGGCTAGGACTTCCAGTACTACGTTGTGTAGGAGTGGTGAGGGTGAGCATCCTTGTCTCAAGGGGAATGCTTCTGGCTTTTGCCTTTTCAGTATAATGTTGGCTATGGGTTTGTCATAGATGGCTCTTGTGATTTTGAGATATGTTCCTTCAATGCCTAGTTTATTGAGGGTTTTTTAACATGAAGGGATGTTGAATTTTATCAATAGTTTTTCTGCATCCATTGGGATAATCATGTAGTTTTTGTTTTTATTTCTGTTTATTTGATGAATCACATTTATTGATTTGTGTATGTTGAACCAACCTTGCATCCCAGGAATAAAGCCTACTTTATTATGGTGAACTAGCTTTCTTGTATGCTGTTGGATTTGGTTTGTTAGTATTTTCTTGAGGATTTTTGCATCTATGTTCATCAGAGATATTGGCCTGAAGTTTCTTTTTTTTGTTGTGTTGCCACAAGATTTTAGTATGATAATGATGCTGATCTCATAGAATGAGTTAGGGAGGAGTCCTTACTCCTCAATTTTTGGGACTAGTTTCAGTAGGATTGGTACTAGCCCTTCTTTATACATCTGGTAGAATTTGGCTGTGAATCCATCTGGTCCAGGGCTTTTCCTGGTTGATAGACTTTTTATTACTGATTCAATTTCAGAACTCATTATTGGTCAGTTCAAGGAATCACTTTCTTCCTGGTTCAATCTTGGGAGATTGTATATTTCTAGGAATGTATCTATTTCTTCTGGATTTTCTAGTTTGTATACATGGAGGTATTTACAGTAATCTCTGAAGTTTTTTTCTTGTATTTCTGTGGAGTCGATGGTAATGTCACCTTTTCATTTCTGATTGTGTTTATTTGTTTCTTCTCTCTCTTTTTTCTTTATTAGTCTAGCTAGCATTCTATCAATCTTCTTTCAAAAAACACACTTTTAGTTTGTTGATCTTTTATTTTTTTTTCTGTATTTCAATTTCATCAGTTCAGCTCTGATTTTAGTTATTTATTTTCTTCTGCTAGCTTTGGAGTTGCTTTGCTCTTGTTTTTCTAGTTGCTTTAGGTGCAATGCTAAGCTGTTAATTTGAAATTGTTTCAACATTTTGATGTGGGTGTTTAGTTCTACAAGTTTTCCTCTTAACACTGCCTTAGGTGTGTCCCAGAGATTCTGGTTTGTTGTATCTTTGTTTTCATTAGTTTCAAATAATTTCTTGATATCTGCCTTAATTTCATTGTTTACTCAAAAGTCATTCAGGAGCAGGTTGTTTAATTTACATGTAATTGTATGGTTTTGAGAGGTCTTCTTAGTATTGATTTCCATTTGTATTGAGAATGCGGTTGGTATAATTTCAGTTTTAAAGAATTTGTTTAGAATTGTTTTATGGCTGATGTTGTGGTTGATTTTAGAATATGTGCCAAGTGCAGATGAGAAGAATGTATATTCTGTTGTTGGGTGGAGTGTTCTGTAGCTGTCTGTTAGGTCCACTTGGTCAAGTGTTGAGTTCAGGCCCTGAATGTCTTTATTAGTTTTCTGCCTCAGTGATCTGTCTTGGACTGTCGGTGGGGTGTCGAAGTCTTCCACTATTATTGTGTGGTTATCTAAGTCTCTTCATAGGTGCCTATGAACTTGTTTTATCAATCTGGGTGCTCCAGTGTTGGGTGCATATGTATTTAGTATAGTTAAGTCTTCTTGTTGAACTGAACCTTTTATCCCTTCTTTGTCTTTTTTGATCAATGTTGGTTTAAAGTCTGTTTTGTCTGAAATTAGAATAGCAACTCCTGCTCTTTTTTTTGATTTCCATTTGCTTGGTAGATTTTTCTCCATCCCTTTACTTTGAGTCTGTGGGTGTCATCACATGTGAGATGAGTCTCTTGAAGACGGCATACAGTTTGGTCTTGCTTCTTTATCCAACTTGCCACTCTGTGCCTTTTAAGTGGGGCATTTAGCCTGTTTATGTTAAAGGTTAATATTGATATGTGCAGATTTGGTCCTGTCATGATGTTGTTAGCTGGTTATTATACAGGCTTGATTGTGTAGTTGCTTTACAGTGTCAATGGTTTATACAGTTAGTGTGTTTTTGAGGTGGCCAGTAATGGTCTTTCATTTTCACATTTGGTACTCCCTTAAAGACCTTTTGTAAGACAGGTCTGGTAGTTATGAACTCCCTTAACATTTGTTTGTCTGAAAAGGATCTTGTTTCTCATTTTCTTATGAAGCTTAGTTTGGCTGATATAAAATTCTTGATTGAAATTTATTTTCTTTAAGAATGCTGAATGTAGGTCCCTAGTCTCTTCTGGCTTGTAGGGTAGGGTTTATGCTGAAAAGTCTGCTGTTAGCCTAAGGATTTCTCTTTGTAGGTGACCTGTCCCTTCTCTCTAGCTGCCTTTAATATTTTTTCTTTCACATTGACCTTGGAGAATCTGGTGATTATGTGTCTTGGTAATGGTTGTTTTGTATAGTATCTCACAGGGGTTTTCTGCATTTTTTGAATTTGAATGTTGGCCTTCCTAGAGAGGTTGGGGAAATTTTTATGGAAAATATCCTCAAATATGTTTTCCAAGTTGCTTGCTCTTTCTCCCTCTCTTTCAGGGATGCCAATCAATCATAGGTTTGGGCTATTTACATAATCTCATGTTTCTTGAAAGTTTTATTTATTCTTTATTCTTTATTTTTGTCTAACAGAGTTGAGTCAAGGAACCAGCTCTTGAGCTCTGAGATTCTTTCCTGAACTTGATCTATTCTGCTGTTAATATTTCCAATTGTATTATGAAATTCTTATAGTGAGTTTTTCAGCTCTATCAATACAGTTTGATTCTTTCTTAAAATGGATATTTCATCTTTCAGCTCTTGCATCATTTTATTGCATTTCTTGGATTCCTTGGATTGGCTTTCAACTTTCTCCTGACTCCCAATGACCTCCACTCCTACCCAGATTTTGAATTCTATGTCTATAATTTCAGCCATTTCAGCCTGGTTAAGAACCATTGCTGGAGAACTAGTGTAATCATTTGGAGGTTTGAAAAAAACACTCTGGCTTTCTGAGTTGCCAGAATTCTTGCATTGCTTCTTGTGGTCTGATGTTTCTTTAATCTTTAAAGTTGTTGTCCTTTGGATAGAGTTTTTGGATTTTATATTCTTTTATGCCCTTGAGGGTTTGACTGTAGTAAAAATTGGGTTCAGTCGAATGGCTTCATTTCTGAAAGATTCTGGGGGGCAAGGCTCAGCTTAGCACTCCTGGCTGCATGCTGAAACTCTGGGAGGCTATTATCAGGTCCATGGTTTTGTTCTCTGGTCCCTTAAGGTTAAGCACCTGCTGGACTGGAGGGGCTGACTCATTCCTAGTCTGCTGGCAACAGCACTCTGCTGGAGGTCACTGGCCAAAGCACTTCAGTGGGGCAGTGGCAGCAAGGTCCATGCTGATGTGTCCATGCCAACAGTGGTGGTGCATAGTGAGGTACACATGCATAGGTGGGGGTAGAGCTCTAGCGGGGGCAGGGTGTCTGTGCGTGTGTATGCCAGTGGGGCAGGGTGGCAGTGTCTGTGTAGGGACCTTTTTAAAAAATTACCTGCTATTTAAACAATAAATAGGTAAATTCACACCAGGTATATTCTGGAATCAGTAGAAGTTCAGAGTGATCATTTATACCTCCCATAGCGTGTCTTGTAGGCTATTAATCCCAGTGAAAGCAGACATCAACACCACCAAGCTTCTAGCATGGTGGCTGACATAGTGTAACCTGCAGTGAACCTTTGCAGAGTGAAGGATGAGTGTAGACCAACGTATTCAGTGATGGCCCTGTGAAAGCACAATGGCCTTTTGTATTTAAGAAGTGTTAAGTTCCAGTATAGGTATGTTTTAGTTTTTATTTTGCATTTTTTTTCTAAATTTTTGTATTAGATTGGAGTACAACATATGTATAGTAAATTGTGTAAATCACAAATGTATGGCTTGGTGAATTTTTATAAAGTGCATATGCCCATGTGACCACTACAGAAGTCAAGGTTTGGGGTGTTGCCTGCACCCTGGAAGCCTCTTTCATGCCTGTCATCTTCATTATTCCCCAAAGTAACCCCAATGAGACTTCTACCATCACAGAATAGTTTTTCCTATTTTTAAACGTCATTTAAATGAATCATGTGGTTTTTACTCTTTTGTCTGGTTTCATTTGCTCAGTGTTATGTGCCTGAGATTCATTCATGCTTTTGCATATAGCAGTACTTCATTCTTTTCCATTGCTATACAGAATTCCTTTGTATGATGATATTACAATTTATTTATCCATTCTACTGCTGTTGGACATTTGAGTATTTCTAGCTTTTTGTTATCACAATAAAGGTGCTATGAACATCCTTGTGCATATCATTTGGTGGATACACGTGTTCATTTTTCTTAGGTATTTACCTAGAAGTGGAATCTCTGGGGCCTAGGTTAAGAGGGTGTTTAGCTTGAGTAGGTTCTGAAAAACATTTTTCCAGACTGGTTGTGCAAGTGTGTACTCTGCCAGTGTTGTGTGCCCGTCCTAGCTCTGTAGCTGGTCTTGTGTAGGTTCAAATCTCATTCTTGCTGCTTCTGAGCTGTGTGAAATTGGAGCTTAGAAAGGTTCAGTAACTTGCACCTTGATAACTGTAAAATAAGAATCCTAATTTGTCTACTTCATCTATGCAGAATGAATGCGTTTAAATATATAGAAAAAGAGCATACTTTAGTAAAGTCCTGGCTTCTGGTGCATGCTCAAGAAGTGATAGCTGTTATCATCCCTATTAGTATTTATCTAGACTATTTAGTGCAACAGACTTATCCACGCTACACTTTTCCAAGAAAATGGAGACTTGGTATGACTGGGTTATTTCATTTTGATGTTTTACAAGCATGACGAAGGACGTGACCTGAGGCAGAAATGGCAGGTCTGAGAACTGCATGCCAGAGATCATCCTCCCAGGAACTGTGCAAATTATCTCGCGCAGTGTTATTTTGTAGAACATGGATTTTTCACGAAAGCCTATCAAGGGTAGAGTAATTATTCTCTGTGACGGAAAACATCAGTCAGCTAAGATTATCATTCTAGCCAAGCATGTAACTAGGATTAAGGAAATATGCAATTGTGAAAGATGCTCATGAGGTCGAAGGTTTTTCTTTTTTCACACAGTTGTTAGGGGCTGCAGATAAGTGATTGTCTTTCCAGCTTCACTTCCTCCAAGTCCTCCCCCAAGCCCGCTTGCCAGAACATGCTGGACTTTTCTGCATCTCAGGGTCTCCACTGGCAACATCTCTCTCCTTCTCCCCTCCCCAGTGAACTTCTTTCAGTCCAATCGAGAGGCTGCACCCCACAGTAAACCTCCCTCTTACTGCCCCCTGAGCTACCAAAGTAATTCATCACATCCTCTGTTACACGGGTGCCATTACACCTTGAACAGCTGGGTATCTTTGCTTCCTCCGGTCTTCTAGAAGCTTCTCAAAGCCAGAACTTTTCAAGGTTCCTGTTTGTTTCCTCTGCTTACCCAATAAATAGTTGATGAGTTAATTCATTCACAGAACACAAAATAGGGCCTCTCTGTGACGCCTTCTAACTCTAAACAACTGCCTTCTTCCACTGCAGTATTGAGTGAAAGCTTCTCCACCATGGTTGATGCTCCAGGCTCTTTAGAGAGGCCACGCAGGGCAGTGGCAGGGAGCACGGGTGTCAGGTGCAGACCCGGTTGTTGCACACTGGCTCTATCGCTTATGAACTGTGAGGTCTTGGTCGGGCTGGCTACCTGCTCTGGACCACAATTCTTCATCTGCGATCCCTAGGGGGCTACCATTAGAGACACAGCCACATCCACGATAAAGGGCACCAGGGTTCTGTGAATAGGGAGGTTGAAAATCTGCTCCAAGTCACCTGTGACAAAGGGCCTTTGGGAACCAGGTTCCACCAGAAGACAGTGAGAGAACTGAGGGCACCGCCTGTAGACACTAGGGGAGTATTTGGGGGCGACAGTGTCTGGGAACCTATGAGAGGTTATACTTGGTTAATTGCCAAGACCTGTGTGGTAAAAGGATGAAAAAAATGGAAATTAATCAAAAGAGCAAAAGAGAAAATGTTGATGTTTTGGTAGATGTCCAAACTCTCCTTGCTATTTTTGCCCTGACATACCTGAAATATGTTGATTTTTCTAAAAGGTTGGGATCAGAGAGACTACGTGACATTATCTGGCTTCCTGCAATGGACGTTCAACTTCAGGTTCTCAAAAGTGCCCTGTGAAGGGCTGTGTGAGCCAATGTTTCATTGACTTTCCCATTAGTTCAACATGTAGTCTGTTATTTCCATGTGCTTATGAAAAAAGATTCTCTAAATCATATTTAGTGCTAATTGTTTCCCTAGGTCTAAATTAGTGACAATAGGAAAAATTAGCTAATATTTTCCTACTTGGAGGAAGCTGTGTAATAACCTCAGACATGAGTGAGCCCATGGAGGCAGGAGGCCTCTAATCCCTTTTCCACACAGCAGCCAGGAAGGGATGAGAGCAGAATCCCCCTGGGAGCCCATGTGCAGACTGGGGGCCAGTGTCCCTGGCCCTGCCCTGCTACAAGTGCAGAGGCATCCATGCTGGTCAGGGCACCCCCTTAGACCTAGGAGTCAAGGGAAAATGTTTCAGGATTTCACAAGCAATCCGTAGCAATTCCTTCAAAGAATATGAAGACACATTTCCACAACTGATAAAAAGAAAACCAATTACAACACAAAAGAGAACTGCAAAACCAGCCTTACTCAGCCTTCAGAGAATCAGGTGACAACTGGCAGATACCAGCTCCTGAGCCAGGACATCACCCAGAGGAGCAGAGACATCAGCAAATGCCTCTTCCTGGGTAGGGAGCCAGGGGGGCTAGTGGGAGCAGCTCTGGGTCTCCTCCCAGGGCAGGTTGACTAGGCTCCTCTAAAAACAGTACCACGTCCTTGCCGGTACCTTTATGACCTGGTTGCCCTTCTCTGGGTGGGGACCTGGCAGGGTGACCAACCATCTTGGTTTGTCCAGCACTAAGGGGGTTTCTGGAATGTAGGACTTTCAGTTTTAAAATTCAGACAGTCCCAGGAAAACCCTGGGATGTAAGACTTTAGTGCTGTCACCTGGAAAGTCCCAAATAAACAGGAGTAGTTGGTGGTCCTGAGACTGGGTGGCTCATTTTGCTTTCATGCCTACCCTGGCCACTCCTAGGAGGCTTGGCACAGGCTCAGACCCTGTGTGTCTTGGTTCCTTAACAGCTTGGGGCCTGGCATCCTCACAGCTGTCCCCTGTTCTCCTCCCAGACTCCCAACTGATGCCTTCCAGCCTCTGATCAGCAGGGATGGTCCCTTTGTGTGGTACCCTGTGTGGCCGAATTCCACCCTTCACTCTGAGCAGAAGCCACTGCTTTGGTACAATCTGTTGATTTCAAGGGAGGCATCCAAGTCAAAATAAGGATGAGCAGAAGCCCCTCCCTCCATTGAAGCCCCCATCTCCCTACATGGCTCATTCAACCCCATTCCATTCACAGCAGATCCTCTGAAGGTGACACCCCTCGAAAAGAGCAGCTGGGTGGTGTGGATGGAACAAGAACAGGAAACAGAAATGAAAATCTGCTGAACTCTCTCTGTGGCTGCAGCACCTCATCAATAATCTTTTCAGACCCTGCATGAATTGGTTCATCTCTCTGAGTTTTCAGGCTCCTCGTCTATAAAATGGGTCAATAAGTGTGCCCGCTTCAGAGGGGTTTGTAAGAACAGACATGTGAAGCCCCAAATGGAGAGTAAGCACTGTAACAGGGCTAGCTGTTCTCATTATTGTTTTCACTTATTCATTCATCCAGCTATCCTTCTGCCTATCTATTCATCCATCCATCCATCCATCCATCCATCCATCCATCCACATCCATCCATCTGTCCACCCACCCACCCATCAGTCATTCCACTTATTCATCCACATACTCATCCATCTATCTACCCATCCATCCACCCACTCATCAACTCATCAACTCATCCATCCATCCATCCATCCATCCATCCATCCATCCATCCATCCACCCATCCATCCTCACATCCATCCATCCATCTACCCACCAATCCATCTACTTATCCACCCATCTACCTATTCATCTATCTACCCATTCATCCACTCATTCACCTATCCATCCATCAATCCATCCATCCATCCATTCATCCATCCACACATCCATCCATCTATCTACTTATCTAACCACCCACTCATCCATCCATCCATCCATCCATCCATCCATCCATCCATCCACACATCCATCCATCTATCTACTCATCTAACCACCCATTCATCAACCCATCCATCCATCCATCCATCCATCCATTCATCCATCCATCCATCCACACATCCATCCATCTACTACTCATCTAACCACCCACCCATCAACCCATCCATCCATCCCTCCATCCATCCATCCATCCATCCATTCATCCATCCATCCATCCATCCATCCATCCATCCATCCATCCATCTATCCATTTCATGAATATTCACCAAAAGGCCGTGTTCCAGGGACTGTTGGAATAATTATGAACAAGACAGACAAGATTTCTGTCCTCACAGAGACTATATTTTAGTTGGGGGACTGTATTAGTCCATTCTCACGCTGTTATAAGGACATAACTGAGACTTCCTAATTTATAAACAAAAAGAGGTTTAATGGACTCACAGTTCCACATGGCTAGGGAGGCCTCACAATCATGGTGGAAGGCAAAGGAGGAGCAAAGGCATGTCTTACATGGTGGCAGGCAAGAGTGTGTGCAGGGGAACTGCCCTTTATAAAACCATCAGATCTTATGAGACTTATTCACTATCATGAGAACAGCACAGGAAAAACTCACCCCCATGATCCAATTACCTCCCACTGGGTCCCTCCCATGACACATGGGGATTATGGGAGCTATGATTCAAGATGAGATTTGGGTGAGGACACAGCCAAACCACATCAGGGACTAAAAATAAACCAATAAAAAGAGTTACTTCAAGTATGGTGGATATTAGAAAGGAATCAAACAAAGCCAGGAGGGGGTGTGACAAACATTCTTCTAGATGTACTGAGAACAGGAAGACCAAGAGGAACTGCTTGGGAAGAATGGGGGATGGGAGCCGCACGTTCCAGATTGTGGGGCCACATGAGCGTGGCCCTAGGTGGAAAAGAGGTTGGCGAGAAAAGGAGGAATGAGGAGGAGAGAAGAAGCTGATGCTGTTGTAACTGATGGGCAGAGGGCCCTGGTCAGGAGGTGATCCATAGGCAGACCCTCAGGTGTGGGGGTGCTCGGGTGTGTTCTTCTGCAGTGGGAGCTTTGTGAGGTTGCCACACAAAGGAGTGGCCAGATCTGAGTTGCTTTAGGAAGATTCTAGGTGGAGAATGGACTGGAAGAGGCAGGTGTAGATGTGAGGGGGCCAATGAGGAGGGTCCTGTGGTCACATGGAAAAGAAGGGTTGGTTCCCTGGATGAAGATGTGGCATGGAGACAGAGCAGCAGGCTTGAGATGGGGTCTGAAGGGGAGGGATTGGAAGTGGAGGCTGAGGAAGAGGACGCTGTCAAAGGTCACTCCCAGTTTCCAGGCCAGATGATCGGTGGGTGGAGCTGCCATTGCCAGGGGCCAGGCTGCAGCGGGCTGTGTGGAAGAGCTTTGGGGAGCATATGGTGGGCAAGGAGCATTCACCCCGCCTTGTGCTTTCAGGAACCCAGAGACCTCCAGTGGGGACGTCAAGTGCCCAGGTGGAAATGTGAGTGGACGGTCCCCTCAGGTGAGGTCTCGGGCAGGTGTAAGGGTGGGTCGCGAGCCTGTGTTTATGATGAAGGCACCTCAGAGATGTCTGTGTAAGGAAGCGCAGTGTACTCCACATGCGCCATGCCAGTTGGGTGGGCTTATCCCTCCTGCAGTTTTACAGCCCGCTGTGGTGGTGTCTTTTGAAAGGGGCCGGTCAAGGGGGAACCCATATGGAGAGCTGCACAATACAGCAGTGCAAGGGCATTGGAGGGAGGGAGGGAGGGCTCCTGAAGGAAGTCCCTGTTCAGGGAGTCTGAAGGCCTCCAAGCATTGGGATGCAGGGTCATCCTCCTCCAGGCAGTGGTGTTAACTTTCGAATTCACCCAGCCAAGGGGCAGTAGGAGGAGCCCCCTCCCCACAACAATTGCTCTCGGCTGCATGATTCACAACATCAGGGAGAGAACCAGGAGGCGTGCACCAGGCATGCACCCATGCACTTGGCATGCAGCGTGCAGGTGTTGTGGCCTCACCAGCATGTGGGCTTAGGACCCCCAAACTGGCCCTGCTGAGGAGGGGAGATGGCCATGAGGATGAGGGACTCACCTCCTCTCCCCAGGAAACATGATAAGAGAGACAGCTCACTCTGAGGCAGAGCTGACAGCTCCCTGCAGACACCATGAGCAAATCCCTGAGCCGTCAGGGAAACAGGCCAGGACCACTCTGCCATACATGGCTCCTACAGGGAATGTGTTCTGAGTTCCAAGCACTTGCTGACACTGCATTTGCGGCTGAGCATGGAGTGGGTGAATGAGGAGGGGGTGGGCATTATCTGTGCAGGACCTGGGATGGTGGGGAAAGAAAGGACGTTGCTCGTGTGTCTCCTGGGACTGGGCCTCCAAGATCCCCCGCTACCCGTGGCAAGGAGTGGGACTGGGGAGGGGATGGCCTACAGCTCGCCCTTCAGAGTATACATGGAAATAATTATGTTACTGAGCAAACATCGCCCCAAATAAAAGCAATGAATTTGTCCTACGGAGGATTTTATAGGGAACATGAGCTAAAGGCAACATTCTAAGTGGTTGTCAGGGGAAAAAGACAATAAAGCCTGCAATTAGGTATCTAAGACTCTTCCAAAATGCCAAATCAGATTCTTCGAATTCCTAAAGATTTCTAATGTCCAATTCTGACCTGCTGGGCCAATGCGAATGTCCCATCGATGTTAAATGCATCTCCCTTCTTATCTCCAGGGAGTTTATTTTCACAACAGATGCTCCCAGAAGTGATAAATACATGGATTGATTTTTCCACTTGTGTTTTCCAGCCGATTGTCTTTTCAGAAGAATGATAAAACATTCTGGGACAACAATCCCAGTCTCCTGAATTACTCCAATTGCCTGAAGTTGTCTTTATCCAAGCAGGTTCTCTTCCCTTTTGTGGTCCTGGAGGGCTTGGGACTGGGGAAAGCTGCTCCCTGGCCTGCAGATTGCCGATTGCTAGACCAGGTGGCCAGGACTTCATGGAGCATCCTGGATGCTATCATGCTTTCTCCCCTGGCAAAGATGGCCCCGCTCTACTCCAGACTAAACAAGGGCGGAACACACCCTACCTCCCTTGGATTGTGCCCCTAGGCCCCAGGATTTGGGTCATTTCTCTCCCAGGCCATGCTTTCCCGACCCAATGCCTCTGGCTGGATGTTAAAAGCAACAAGTCAACACACACATCAACCAAGAGGACTTTATTCTCCATCCTGCCTGATAAATCCTTTTGCCTGGGGCTTCATCTTTGAATTAGTGTCTTCTGGAAAAAAAGAAAAAAGCAAGCAGAAGCCTGACCAAGCAGCTGTAAACAAGTCATTCCCCATTTGCGGTGTTGGGCTACAGCTGAAGTTTCTGTCTACACATCGGGTGGAGGGGGAAAGGCTGATGGATGGAGTTGGGGGAGAGTGGGGCGAGGCCAGGTCAGGGAGTCCAAGTGGGCCCTGCCTGGGGTGAAACTTGCACCCTTCTCCTGGAAGAGTCAGCGCGGCTCATCCTGTCCCTTCCTCCTTCCCTCTTCCAGAAATATGGCTTTGCCCGAGGTTCATGGCGGTCCACCCTGACCACCCTGCAAGGTGTGTGCATCATGTGGGTGACACAGTTGGGGACAGGTGTGTTGTAATGAGGTCAGGATTTGTTTTAATCAGGTTTGGTAAGATACACAGACATGGAAAAGACCTGTGAAGGAGGAAGTTCGTTATACTCGCAGATCCCTGGAAACAGGAGGCACCGTGTACCAGGTGGGGCCACGTGGGGAAGCACTAGTGTGGGCCAGGAGGCTAGCGGGGAGGAAGTGGACAGCACCACTGTTCCTATTGTTTCTGTGGGAACGAATGGGTGAGGCAGTGTAGGCGGGCTCAGGAAAGGCTCGTGTGGATAATTCCTGCTGGCTCTGGGGAGAGAGGCTGGCTCTGGGGAGAGAGGCTGTCCCTAGCTATCTGGCACCTGGCCTGGGGTGACTAGGGCAGGTGGATGGTGGCCCTGGGGGGAGACCCTGATAGAGGAGGTGGTGGGTTGTGGGCTCTGGGTGGGTTGGTAGGAAAGGTGGCCTCCCAGGCCATTCCTTTACTACCTCTAGGAATTGGCCAGCCCTGGGAGGGGCAGTTCCTCCAGGGTCAGTAAGACCCCAGAGGTCAAAGCGTCAGAAACACAGAAAATTAAAAGCATGGTGGAAGATTGAAGAAATATAGCATCATCTTCCTTTCACCAAGCATACATGACAGACCAGGCGTTTTTCAAATATTCACTCACTTAATTTGTGCCATAGCCCTGAGAGGTGGGAATTATACCCGTGCACAGACGGAGAAGCTGAGGCTCAGAGAGCTTCAGTGCATTGTCTGTGGTCATGGAGCTGAAGTGGCCCCAAGGGGTCTGTACCAGGTCTGGTCCCTGACCCTCACGGGCCCCAGCCAGTGACCCTCACCAAGGCCCTGGATGGGAAATTCTGTCTCCCGTCTCCTGCTCAGGCCCCATCCCTGTCCCACTAGGGACTGAGCAGTGCTAAATTGATTGATTGATCCATTGATCAGTTCATTCCATGATAGGCACTGAAGGGCTTCCAGTGCTGGGTTCAGATGACAGCCACTCAGGGAAACAGAGGCGGACTGTGAAAGAAACAGACCCTTGCCTGCTAGTGCTGGCAGGGACCCTGGCCTGTAGAAATAGGTGGCGTGGCCTCCACGGAAGCCAACACATAATCTGTTGTTAGATAGATGTGTGCTTTTAAGTGCAAGAGAATGGGATTGTCTCATTCATGGGAAGCCAGGCGTGGATGTGATGCAGATGTCTTCCCTGCGGGCTCTGCCTCCTGCAGGTGTGGCATAGATGGATGGGCTGTGTCGGGAAAAAAGGCACCTGAGGCCTCTGAGGCACAGCTGGGGCTGAGCCCGTGGCTGCTAGAATCATTTCCAATCTCCTCCCATTTATCACCTGGCATCGGCATGTTCGAGTATTTATTTATTGTATGTATTCATGTTCTGGAATTTCACCCTGTGTGCTGTGGGAACTTCCCCCCTCCCCACAATCCAGTGAGAGAAAGGGCAGTCCCAGGACTGCTGGCCTTGGGGGCAGGGCACCCACAGGGTGTGCACGGGGGCTTCCGGTCTTGCATCTTGTCCTGAGCTGCACAGCTGAGTTAGGACGGAGGAAAAGCAACAGGCCTTGCTCTCCCCTCTGCCCCGAAGCAATGCCTGGGCCAGGACCTCCTCTCAGCTTCCCTTCAGGAACCACCTCCTGGCCAGAGTCCTTCCCACAATGGGGACAGGGGCAGAGGCTCAGGAGGGGCCACAGTAGCTGCTCTGGGGTGCGACAAACCACTGATGTCACTGCTGGTCACTGAGACAGAGCCGTGGCCCCTCTGGATGAACACTGAACCTTCAAGGGAAGGGACTTGGGGATGCGGAGCTCTGGGCAGGTGGGGGCATCTTTTGCTGAGTAATTCCGCAAAAACCCCAGCCCCCATGGCTGTGTGCAGAGAAATCTGTATCTGTAGTAAAGATGGGATTTCACCATCTTGGCCAGGCTGGTTTTGAACTGCTGACCTTGTGATCCACCCGCCTCAGCCTCCCAAAGTGCTGGGATTACAGGCGTGAACCACCACGGCTGGCCTGCACCAGCCACATTTCAAGTACTCAGTAGTTAGATGTGTAGTGCAGAGAATGTTTCCATGGTTCCGGAAAGTTCTATGGGGCAGCAGGGCCGTCTATACCTCACTTACATAGTAAGTTTATTGTTTATATCCTCAACTGGAACATGAGCCACCCATGAGGACAGAAATTATCATCTGGTTTGTCCACAGCTATGTTTCTGGCTCTAGAAAAGTCTCTGGCATCCAGTAGACTCTCATAGGTGTCTTTCGAAAGGATGACCATGCAGCTGGGATGAGCTTAGACCTGCCTTCAAGATGCTCCCCTTCGTGTCCCTCCACGTCCCCTGCAGCACCCCTGCAGTAACACTGGACAGACAGCCCTCATTTCTGCAGGGCCCCATGGGTGTTGCTCTCCCAGTGTTCAGCAGACCTCCTCCTGCAGTGGTGATGGGGCATCCCTGCTGGCCAGAGGTTAGGTGTGGCTGTGGGACTTGCGTGGCTGGTGTGTAAGTGGCAGTGACCTGGCTCAGCTCCAGGTGGAAGCGCAAAGGGCCAGGGTGTGATTTGCTTTCCTTTGCTTCCCTGGGCCACTGCCATGTGGCTGGCATGACCCAGATAGGGGCTGCTCCATTGTTGGCAGAATGGGATCCCCTGCCCTGCAGACTCACAGTGGAAAAGTGGAATAAGAAATGTCTCTCATGTCAAAGCCACTGAGATTTGGGGGATGTTTGTTATGCACCTCAACCTAGTCCTCCATGACCAGTACAAGTGCTTACTCTGAGCCCAGCACCAAGAGCTTCCACACTGTGAGGGGCATTCTCTGGTGACCAGTCCCATGGCAGGTGGGTAAACTGAGGCTCACAGAGTCTCGGTGATAGCCTAAGGTTAGATCCTTGTGCTCCTCCTGCCTCTCCCTGCTGCTGCTCCTCCATGGCCTCATTTCCTCATCCGACTACAAGCTCCAAGCCGAAGTAAGGTCCGTGTTGTAATCATTTCTATTCTATTCTATTCTATTCTATTCTGTTCTGTTCTGTTCTGTTCCGTTCCGTTCCGTTCCGTTCCGTTCCGTTCCGCTCCGTTCCGTTCCGTTCCGTTCTGTTCGATTCCGTTGGATTCCATCCCATGCCATTCCATTCCATTTGATTCCATTCCGTTCCATTCCATTGCATTCCATTCCATTCCATTCCATTCGAGTACATTCCATTCCATTCCATTCCATTCTACTCCACTCCACCCGACCCCACCCCACCCCACCCCACCCCACCCCACCCCACCCCACCCCACCCCACTCCATTCCATTCCATTCCATTCCATTCCATTCCATTCCATTCCATTCCATTCCATTCCATTCTTCCACATCCCCGGAGCTGCACTTGAGGCTGGATTGCATGAGGAGCTGGAAGCAAGTTAGAGGACATTCAGGAGCTGCAGTGAGGGCTGCTACTGCAGCCAGTTCCTGGCCGGGGGCTGGCGTCTCCCTCCACTCACTGTGGGACTGGCAGATATGACACCCCAGCTGCGGAGGCTGCCGGGCGCTGGGTGGGGCACAGTTGCAGAAGGCTGTGGACTCTCCCACTGGGGGAGTTTCTTTCCCTGGCACCCACGTTGCCGTTTTCTGGTGCTCTTTTTTTTCACTGGATTCCCATGGACTCCGAGGGGCAGTGGTCTCAACTGCATATTCTTCATGCACAGACTTTGCAGTGCCCCTTGTATCCCATTAGTTCTGACCTGCCCTTTTTCTCTCCTTCCCCTTCCCTTTCACACACTAGGTTAACATCACAATTCAAGACTAGTAAACAGTCTGCATCCTCAAGCAGTATCTTTTCTGCATTCTGCTCTTGGATGGAGTGAAAGCATTCATTATCAGCTTGATGTTTAAACATTTCCCCCTTCCCTGGCACTGAATCTGTCAGCATCAACACTCACCCAGGAAGCATGCAGGTTCCCTCCGTGGCTGTGCTGGTCTCATTCCCAGTGAATGGGGACTTGGTCAGGCCTGGAGTGCTCAGATCCCCCCGGGGATGTGGGGATGTGGCACACTTTGCTTTGTAAAGTCCACCGAGCCATTGCATGCCCCGCTCCCTTCTCCACAACCTGGAATACTCTGAACATCCACCTGAGGTCCCTCAAAGTAGGGACTGGCCTGAGTGAGCTCCAGGCAGGATGGCGTGTTCCGAGCAAGGAGAGAGAAAGCTTGTGTTCTTCGAGATTTTCCCCAAGGCAGGCTGGTGTCCACTGGAGCAGGCCCAGCCCCCACCTTGCAGTCTTCCCATCCTCAGAACATCTCTTCCCCAGGGCCTCATGGGCTGAGTATCCCCAAGGGCAGAGAGTTTCCTTTCCCTCATTGTGGAAACTCCTGGAGAGCTCCCTGATGGTCTGATCAAAGGACTCAGCACTCTGCAAACTGCACAGGTGCACACAGTTGCCTAAAGAACACAGGGCTTTGTGGAACCCTTGTGCACAGTCACTGGCCTGCAAAGGATGTGGGGCTTTGTTGGGGTCCTGTGGCCCATCCAGTGAGAGTTCCCAGTCTACAGGGATCACATCCAAGTGTAGGACCCTCTGCCTGCTGTTACTTTCTGTTCATCCATCCCCCAAATCCCACACTTGTGTGAGGATGTACACGTGTGTGTGTGTGTGTGTGTGTGTGTGTGTGTGCATGGCCAGAGTCCAAGGGGAAAACATGCAAAGACACCTCAGCTGAAGACTAGAATAATTGTACATTACCCACCCCAGCTGCAGGAGGTGTGCTCTGGATGTGGAATTTGCTTCTGTGACTAAGATGGGAGGCGAGCCCCCGACAAGCTGGCTCCCCACCTGAGTGGACTGTGACTCAGAACCAGGCATGGAGGAAAAACATCTAGCCCAGTAGAGTGGGCAGTCTCCAAGGCTGTCAGAAAGAACCCAGGATGAATCTTCGCCACCCCACGGCTTCCTCTTCTTCCTGGCTCCTGCAGACATGGAGGCTGTTGTTGGGGAGGGCTCTGGCCACCTGATCTGTGGCTTCCATATCTGTCGTGGGATTTGAAGGCCTCCAGTGATGTGGCAAAGAGCAAAAGGGAGGAAGAAAGGGGCCTGAGATGCTTCCCCCAGCAAGGTTCCTGGGCAGGGAAGCTGTGGCCCTGGGCTTCCACCTGGCTGAGCTGTGAATAGACGGAAATGGAAGATGAGGGAATTGAGGGAGGACCTACTGTGGTGGTCACAAGGCCAGGCCCGAGGCAAGAGCTGGCCAAGCTCCCTGCTTGGGGGAGTGGCCAGGATGCTATGGGGGAGGGAGAAACTGCAGAGAATTGTCCCCTGGGGCTGGGTCAGGGTCCAAATAACTTACAGGATCATAGGAGGGCTGAGGGTCCAGGCTGGGTGTCCAGGCCCCAGCCTCTAAGTCCCTCTGCAGCAAGGAGAGCCAAGGCATCCCCATCTGGTGATGATCAGAAAGGTGGGTCCATGGCGGCCAGCTCCCGTACCAGCCTCTAGTCTGTGCCACAACATGGCCCTCAGGCTCTGCTGCCCTCTAAGCTGACTGAGGACCACAGGATCTAGACATCTGACCAAAGCACCAAATCTCTCCTAAATCTCCCTCTGAGCCCTGGTCAGGCAGGGGGTGCTCAGACCAATGCAGGGCACACAAGCCCCAAACTGGGGCTTAGCCTGGGAGGGTTTTTGGCTTCATTCAGGAAAGAATTCAAGAATGGCTGGTGGTGGACGAAAACATCTTTATTGAGGCCGCCACATTCCAGCTCCATGATTGAGGCCACCACATTCCAGCTTCATGACTGCTCCTGCAGGGCTGGGCTACCCCACAGGCACTGTGCTGGGAGCAACAGCGCAAGGACAGCACTGCAGGTATATTTA
The DNA here is from genome assembly GCF_000001405.40 of Homo sapiens. Lineage (NCBI taxonomy): Eukaryota > Metazoa > Chordata > Mammalia > Primates > Hominidae > Homo > Homo sapiens. The sequence continues at coordinate 4,305,814 of NC_000001.11, forward strand.
TACCCACTGTTAGTTACATGCAAATTTAGGGTCAGATTATGCATACGTTTTTAGAAAAATGGTAGTAACTTCCTGGTCATTGGATCCTTGCTATGGAAAGGGGAGGTAATGTTCAGGTGTTGCCATGGCAACAGTAAACTGACATGGCACACTGGTGGGCATGGCTTATGGAAAGTGGCTTCCAACTCGTTTTTGTTTTAGCTAGTCCTCAATCTGGTCTGGTGCTTGAGCCCTGCCTATGAAGTTGAGTCCTGCCTCCCACCTCAAGACCACCCAGGCGTGCAGGGGTGTGGAAACCTGCAAGGGGGTTTCCAGGCCTCACAGTGGGGATGCTAGGGAGAAGGTGCCAAGCCATGGGCTTGGGTCTTCCTGCCCTGCCAGGCAGAATGGATGCTGAAGCAGCTGATGGGCTTCATGCATGTATTAGTCTGTTTTCATTCTGCTGATAAAGTTATACCTGAGACTGGTAATTTATAAAGAAAAAGAGGTTTAATGGACTCACACTTCCACATGGCTGGGGAGGCCTCACAATCATGGTGGAAGGTGAAAGGCACATCTTACATGGCAGCAGACAAGAGAGAATAAGAACCAAGACCACCACCCTTATAAAACCATGAGATCTTGTGAGACTTACTCACTGCCATGAGAACAGCATGGGGGAAACCGCCCCTATGGTTCAATTATCTTCCATCAGATCCCTCCAACAAGACGTGGGAATTATGGGAGCTACAATTCAAGATGAGATTTGGGTGGGGACACAGCCAAACAATATCAGTACAAGTGCAGCAGACGCGGTTCTCAACAAAGTGCCTGGTCTCAAGTGACCCTCGAGGTGCACCGGAGAGCAGGCAGCATCCACAGGATGGGAGTGGAGGAGCCGAGGTCCAGGCAGGCCTGCAGAGGGGAGGTGACGAAGCTGGGACTCACATCTAGGCTGTGTGCCTCCCAAGCCTGCAAGCCTTGTTTGGGTGCCATATTGACTGGCAGTGGAGGTGACATCCTCACCACAGAAGAGGCGTGGAAGAGCCATAGGGCCTTGGGAATGGCAGTCTGCCTGGTGGTGGGGCATTTGTCTGGGCACTGGAAAATAGGTGGCCCTTTGCATGCATGGTTAGCAGGGACCTGAGAGGGCTGGCAGGAGTGCCAGGCATATTTTATCAGCTCTTTTGAGCTGCCTGTGAAGTGCGATTGACAACTGTGCCACCTCAAAGGGTAGGAGGGTCAGATAAGTGAGACAGGCAAGAGCTTCAGTACAATTCCTGGCATGTGATGTGAGCTCAGGAACACACAACAGTTCCTACTGTCACTATTATTGTCAGAATTTGGCTATTTGGAGATTGGTGCAGATAATTAAGCACATATAAAATGCTCAGCACAGAAATAAAAGCTCTTTGTTTCTGACAGCTCAGAACTGCCTGGTGTGGACTGGGCTGATGTGGGTTCTTTGCAGAACTGGCTGGCCTCAGAGCAGGGACACTAGTGAGAAGTGTCTGGTTCAGGTGTGGACAGCCCAGAGAGGCTTCTCAGTCCCTTCCACCAACATGGGGGATTCCAAGCCCCTTCTGTGTCTGCCCTTCTGAAGTCTCTGCCCTCTTTTTAGAAGCAACACTGTCCTCTGACTTGAACCTGGTGTTTTTTTCTTCTTGGCCCCAGTGAGCTATGCCAGGTGGCCACAAATGCAGAGCCTTGGGTGTCCCTCTCATTCCTAAGGAGAGGCCTTTTCCCTGTAGTCTCTGCATGTGCTGGGCACCCTGCCAGAACCAACATCTCTTTCATCTTCCCCTTCCAGCTCCCTCAGTGACCAAAATGGACTTTTCTGCAGAATGTGGAGACTCAAGGCTTGCCCAGTGCTGGAGCAGAGGAGAGGCTTCCCTGGATACCTCTGCAGGTGTCATGAGGGCTGCTGTCCTGTCCTCACAGCCGAGATGAAAGACCTCCAGTGATGCCAGCACACGCCCAGGGGATTGAGGAGGTGACATGGGTGAAGAACACTCATTGGGGTAAAAGAGAAAAACATGTACAAATTGCCCTTAATGGAAGCCAAACGCTCACTTGGTGCTTGGAACCACATGTAAAAGTGACCCATCAAAATTCAGGTGTCGAGGAGGTGGCTGCAGAGATGCAGGCTGGTGTTTTTCCTGCAGGGATGGCCACGATTTGGATATTTCAAAGAAAAGAGAGGGGGAGTCCATTGAGCCCAGAGCCCTCTCTGCTGTCACTGAAGCTGTCATCTCCTGGTCCCCAGGCTGGCGGCTGCCCTATTTCTTTCCCCCGCCACCAGTGTGACTAAGCATGTTCAAGCTGAACTCCTCCCTAGACAGCGGCATGTGTGGCCATCTCAACGTCTCAATTGCCTGTAAAGAGAGATGTGTCTCTCCCGCTTCAAACCACAGTGGCGTCTTTGGGGTGTGAATGATGGATCAAAGTCGCCTTTCTTCTGCACCCCTCTCCCTTTCAACGGAGGCAGCGTGCTTACATGGCGAGCGTTGTTTTTTAGCCCCTCAGGTGTGCTTGGAGGAGGCACTGGCTGGGCTTCCCTGCAGGAACATCAAGTCTTTTGGTGACTCACCTGAGCTTGACAAATAGCCCTGTCTGCCCCGATGACAGGGGCCCGGGTGCTGGGGAAAGAGCAGCAGGAGTGACTGACAACAGATAGGTTTTCCTTTTCTGAGTCAGAGTCTGCTTGTGGGGAGTGGATGCCAGAGAACATGGAAGCCAATTAAAGGCCATTGAAAAATTGGGTTGCAAGAAAGCCCCCTAAAGACAGGACCTGTTACAGCTGGCAGGTATTCTGGGATGTGGGGATGGAAAGAACACTTTTCTGCAGTAGCCCATGTTGGGGCTGTGTGGCCGTGGCCATGGAGGGCAGACGCAGCCTCTCCACGAGGCCACCCACACTCCAGTGACGGTCACACCAGAAGGTGGGCTCAGCTGGAAGGGACTGGGGAGAATGTGTTGGGCAGTTTATTCCTCACTTTTTGGAAAAGGAACTAGGGATGTCACGGTTGCTCTGGGTGTCCAGGATGGGGTGCATGGAGTGGGAGCCGGGCGGGAGCAGTGGCTTCTTTTGAGCGTTACGGTGTCACCAGCCCTGCCCTCTCCCTTCCCATAGGACCCCTGTCTCGGCTCCCTCTCCTCTGACAGGTTCCTAGCTCGGCCCTCCAAGACCATCCTAGGTGACCAGAGATGGCTTCTTGTTCCTGTAGACCTTCAAAACCAGCCCTGGCGGGCAGGGCAAAGGGCAGGGTACAGTCACAGCCTGGGTGGAGTTCAAGTAGAGAGTTTTCCTGGAACCAGAGAGACTCCTGGGGGAGACTCCCAGCAGAGCTGGTGGCCACTGCCAGGCTATGCTCTCGGACATGGCCCCTGGCCACCTGTGGCAATGTAAATTTAAATTCTCATAAAAAAGGATGAGTTCATGTCCTTTGTAGGGACATGGATGAAGCTGGAAACCATCATTCTCAGCAAACTATCGCAAGGACAAAAAACCAAACACCGCATGTTCTCACTCATAGGTGGGAATTGAACAATGAGAACACATGGGCACAGGAAGGGGAACATCACACACTGGGGCCTGTTGTGGGGTGGGTGGGGGCAGGGAGAGCATTAGGAGATATACCTAATGTTAAATGACGAGTTAACGGGTGCAGCACACCAACATGGCACATGTATGCATGTGTAACTAACCTGCACGCTGGGCACATGTACCCTAAAACTTAAAGTATAATTAAAAAAAAAAGAAAAAAAAAAAGAAAAAAAATTCTCATGAATGCAGTTACATAAAAAATTAAATTCCTCAGACACAGGAGTCACATTTCAAATACTCAGTAGCCACGTTGTGAGCACTCATCCACTCAGAAAATTCCATTAGACACTGCTGCTGTCTCTAATCTTACTCCTTTCCTGCTTACAACTTCCTGGTCAGCACCTGGCCAGGGCTACCGTCCTTTCTCAACCAAGCTGAGACCCAGAGGTTTCTCAAGGACTGGTGATGACACTGTCTGCCTGTCACTGAGTGTCCCCGGGGGGCTGCATGACAGAGCAGACTGCATGAGGGACAGACAGCAAGAGTGGCTCTTTGGGTGTCTGGGGGTGGGGCCATGACCTCTCAATGGATTTGGGGTAGGAGGGGTCCAAGGAGCCAGGGTCCTACGTCCCACTGGGACCCACCCAGAGGAAGGAGATATTGGAGGTGTCTTGCTGGTTCAGGATGCTTGCTGGCTGGGGCTCAGGGTGAGGCATGGAGCCAGTCCACCGTCTCGCTGGGACAGGTGGCCCGTCCCAACAAGAACAACAAACGTGTGGTCTGTGTTCCCTCAACCGTGTCCCTGCTGCACCTGGGCCAGCCACTGGCTCCCTTTTGAAACTCCTTCCTCCCCAGGGGCCTCCAGTGTCCCAGCAGTCCCTCTAGGAACCCTCCTCCAGTTCAGCTGTAGGACAGGGTGGGAAGCTGCCTGTTCTGGGGGGCTCAACTAGTGGTCCGCCTGAGAGTGAGTGGGACAGTCCAGCACGCTGCTTATTGTCAAATGCCATCAACAGGGCAACAGAGGAACTCTACTACAGCCATTCAATCCAAGGACACTTGCTGGGGACGGTGTGCACCCCAGGCATGGGCGTGGTGTGCTAGAGCTCCCAGTCTGGAGGGGGAGCGAAGCTCACACAGCCCTGTGGAAGCTGTAACACCCAATATTCACCTGACCCATTGTTCTGTAGGCCAGCACATCTCCTCCAAGCACCTGGTGCTGCGCGGGGGCTGTGTTTCTGCACCTTGGCCGCGCAGAACATAGCCTTTTCTGTGTTGAGAATCCCTGACCTGTGCTTCACCTCTGGAGCTACTGAGGCTTTTCCTGTTTGCATCTCAAGGCCTTGGGCAGGCACAGGTGGCACCTTTGGGAGGTGACAGCAATGGTGGCCAGGAGCGGGGCAGGGAGCAGGGGTGGTATTAGTGGGAGAACGGGCTGGGCTTGGGCTCACATCCTTACTCCACTTCATCTCTGAGTCTGTTGCCTCACCTTTAAAATGGGCAATCATAGTGATATTGCTGGCTGCTGTGGGATTCACACAAAGAAACAGAAAGCAGCCCAGCACCTGGAAGGAATGTGGAGGCTGACAGCTTGGTATCCGCATGTCTGCCTTGGGTTTTGGTTCTGCCACTGTGCACAGCTCGGGGGATCTCAGGGGAGTCACCGAGTCTCTCTGGGTCCAGGAAAACCCCTTGCTCCAAGGGCTTATGATAACACTACCTGGGGGTAATGCACACAGGCATGTTGCATCGTGCCAGGAAAAGTTGAGATGCTTAAGAAGGGGTAGATAGCTTCTGTGCTAGAATGATTCCTTCCTGTGTTCTGTTGTTATTTGCATACCGTTCTTCAGTTTGTTTCTAAGTTATTTTTTATTTTTTTGAGACAGAGTCTCTCTGTTGCCCAGGCTGGAGTGCAGTAGCACGATCTGAGCTCGCTGCAACCTCCGCCTCCTTGGCTCAAGCGATTCTCCTGCCTCAGCCTCCTAAGTAGCTGGGATTGCAGGTGCCTGCCACTACACCTGACTCACTTTTTCTATTTTTAGTAGGGATAGGGTTTCACTGTATTGGCCAGGTTGGTCTCAAACTCCTGGCCTCAAGTGATCTGCCCACCTCGGCCTCCCGAAGTGCTGGGATTACAGGCCATACCCAGCCTGTCTGTAAGTTATTTTAAACAGTGCTTTATGGGGGCATAGTCTCAATACTGTAAAATGCACAGTTTCAAATGAAACGTTAGTTGAATTTTGACAACGGAAACTTACCCAGATTGAGTGAACATTTTTATCATGCCAGAAAGACCCTGCCCTTGGCAGCCGTCTCCCCTCCCGACCTCCTCTGCAGGCAGCCATTGATCTGGCTTTCATCACCTTAGATTTGTCCCGCTTGTTCTTGAACTTCATAGAAATGGAATTGCACCGTCTGTAGTCTGTCTTGTCTGGCTTCCTTCATTCCACTCATGTTTTCAAGACTCATCCAAGTAGCTGCATGCATCAGCCATTTGTTCTTTCTTTTTCTCCTGCTTTCCTCCCCTTCTTTCTGAGTAGAATTTCATTGAACGGATATACTACAGTTTGTTGATCAATTCTGTTGTTGATGGGCGTTGGGGTTGTTCCTAGTTTTTGGCTACTACAAATAAAGTTGCTATGAACGTACATTCTTGGACAAGTATTTGGTGGGCCTATTTATCATTGTTATAGACCTAGAAGAATTGCTGGATCTTAGGGTAAATGTATGTTCAGCCATATAAGAAACTGTCAAAAAGCTTTCCAAAGTGGTGTAACCATCCCCACACATGCACCAGTAACGGGTAAGTATTCCAGCCTACCCACACCGTCGCCAGCTCTGTGGTTTTCGGGATTTGTAATTTTTGCCATTGTGGTGGTGTGTAGTGGTGTGTAGTGGTTCTTTACTGTGGTTTTAATTTGCATTTCTCTAACGGTCAGGGATGTTGAGCAACTTTTCCTGTGGTTGTTATGCATTCTGTTATTTTGTGTACTTGAAATAAGGTAGACTCAATCTTCCGACTTTATTCTTTTTTTCAATCATATCTTGACCACTTATTCTTGTTAAGTCTCTTACAGATTTAGAGGGAAGTTATCTCTTTATTATTGATTTGTGATAGACTTTTACATATATATCCAGGGTGTAGGCTTTTTGTCTGACATATATATTACAAATAACGGCTTTCACTCCATGGCTGATTTTGGTGCTGTCCTTTGATGAACAAAAGGCCTAAATTTATAAGAAATTGGTTTTTTTCCTTTAATGGGTAGAGCATTTGTGTCTTAAGGGATTAATTTGTGCCCCAAGACCTTAAAGATCCTCTTCTATGTTTTCTACTAGAGATTTATAGTCTTAACTTTCACATTTAAGCTTATGACCTATATTGAATTAATTTTTGTATATGGTATAAGGTAGGAGTGAATGATTATTTTTTCTCATGTAGATGTGCAGTTACTTACATATAACTTATCGAAAAGACGTTCCTTTGCCCATGGAATTGTTTTGGTGCCTTTTAAAAAACTAGTTCACACACACACACACACACACACATACATGCACAAATGCACACACACTTTTGGAGTCACTGCTCTGTTCCGTTGATCTATTTGTTTAATTCTTTTACTCATACTACACTATCTTAATTACTATAACTTTATAGTAAATCTTGAATTATGGTAGATTAAATCCTCTGACTTTATTTTATTTTTTTCAATAAGACCCTATTTATTCTTAGCCTTTTAAAATTTTCATTTAAATTAACTTGTCAATTCCTAACAAAAATTCTGCTGGAATTTTGATGAAAATCACAGTGAATCTGTAAGTCAACTTGTGGAGAATTGACTGCTTAGTAGTATAAACTCCTCCCATCCATGGTCTCTCTCCATATATTTAGGCCTTTAAAAATTTCTCTTAACACCATTTTGTGGTTTTAAACATACCAGTTTTATACACTTTTAAACTTATCATAACCGTGTTTATGGTTACACTTTTCCACAGGCTGTACAGGTGGCATGGCTGGGGAAAACTCAGGAAACTTACAATCATGGAGGAAGGTGAAGGGGAAGAAAGTACATCTTCATGTGGCCACAGGAGAGATAGAGGGAAAGTGCTACACATTTTACAACAATCAGATCTTCTGAGAACTCACTATCACAAGAACAGCAAGGGGGAAGTCCACCCCCATGATTCAGTCACCTCCCACCAACACTGGAATTACAATTCACCATGAGATTTGAGTGGGGACACAGAGCCAAACCATATCATTCTGCTCCTGGCTCTTCCTAATGTCATGTCCTTCTCACATTTTAAAATGCAATCATCCCTTCCCAACAGTCCCCCACAGTCTTAGCGCATTTCCACATTAACTCAAAATTCCAAGTCCAGTGTCTTATCTCAGACAAGGCAAATCCCTTCCTCTTATGAGTCTGTACAATAAAAAACAAGTTAGTTACTTCTGAGATACAATGGGGGTACAGGCATTGGGAAAATGCTCCCATTGCAAAAGGGAAAAATTAGCCAAAATAAAGGGGCTACAGGCCCTATGCAAGCCTGAAATCCAGCAGGGCAGTCATTAAATCTTAAACCTCCAAAATAATATCCTTTTACTCCATGTCTCACATCCAGGGCACACTGATGGAAGAGGTGGGCTCCCATGGCCTTGGGCAGCTCCTTAATGGGCTGACATTGAGTGCCTGCAGATTTTCCAGATGCATAGTGCAAGCTGTCAGTGGATCTACTATTCTGGGGTGTGGAGGACAGTGGCCCTCTTCCTACAGATCCACTAGGCAGTGCCCCAGTGGGGACTCTGAGTGGGAGCTCCAATCCTACATTTCACCTCTGCACTGCCCTAGCAGAGGTTCTCCATGAGGGCTCTGACCCTGCAGCAGACTTCTGCCTGGATATCTGCTCATTTCCATAATCCTCTGAAGTCTAGCTGGAGGCTCTCAAACTTCAACTCTTGCCCTCTGTGCACCTGCAGGCACAACACCACATGGAAGCTGCCAAGGCTTGGGGCTTGCACCCTCTGAAACAATGGCCCCAGCTGTACCTTAGTCCCTTTTAGCCACAGCTGAAGCTGGAGTGGTTGGGATGCAGGGCACCATGTCCTGAGGCTGCACAGAGCAGTGGGGCCCTGGGCCTGATCCACAAAACCATTTTTCCCATCTAGGCCTCCAGGCCTGTGATGGGAGGGGCTGCTGTGAAGGTTTCTGAAATGCCCTGGAGGCATTTTCCCCATTGTCTTGGCTATTAACATTTGGCTCCTCTTTACTTATGCAAATTTCTGCAGTCTTGAATTCCTACCCATAAAATGGATTTTTGTTTTCTACCACATGGTCAGGCTGCAAGTTCCCTAAACTTTTATGCCCTGCTTCACTTTTAAATATAAATTCCAGTGTCAGATCATCTCTTTGCTCATGAATATGAGCATACACTGTTAGAAGCAGCCAGGCCATGTCTTGAATGCTTTGCTGCTTAGAAATTTCTTTTGCCAGACACCCTAAATAATCTCTCTCAAGTTCAAAGTTCTACAGATCCCTAGAGCAGGGGCACAATGCCATCAGTCTCTTTGTTAGAGCATAGCAAGAGTGACCTTTACTCCAGTTCCCAATAAGTTCCTCATCTCCATCTGAGACTACCTCGTCCTGGACTTCACTGTCCGTATCACTATTAGCAGTTTGGTCACAACCATTCAACAAGTCTCTAGGAAGTTCCAAACTTTCCTTCATCTTCTTGTCTTCTTCTGAGCCCTACAATCTGTTCCAACCTCTGCCTGTTACCCAGTTCCAAGGTAACTTCCACATTTTCAGGTATCTATATAGTAATCCCTGACTCCTGGTATCAATTTTCTGTATTAGTCCGTTCTTTCACTGCTATATGGAACTACCTGAGACCGGGTAATTTATAAAGAGAAGAGATTTAATTGACTCACAGTTCCACAAGCTATACAGGCGGAATGGCCTCAGGAAACTTACAATCATGGCAGAAAGTGAAGGGGAAGCAAGCACATCTTCACGTGGCCAGAAAGAGAAAGAGAGAAAAGGGGGAAGTGCTGCATACTTTTACAACAACCAGATCTTGTGGAAAGTCACTATCATGAGGACAGCAAGGGGGAAGTCCACCCCCACGATTCAGTCACCTCCCATCAGGCCCTTCCTCTAACACTATAATTGTAATTCAACATGAAATTTGGATGGGGACACAGCCAAACCATATCACAGTTTAATCTTTTTCATCAAGAATCCTCATGGCTTGGACTTTGAGGTCATTGTTTGGCAAATATTTGCTCCTCTTCCCCTGTACTGTGAGTAGAGGGTACTTCCTTGCCCATGTAAAGTTGGGGTTGGCCACAAGACTTCCTTTTGCTAAAAGAAATGTGGTAGACCCAAGGCAAGCCAAGGCCATAAATGAGCTCGTGCTGTTTGGCTTCTTGCAATCTAGGGATCCTCATGGGAAGGGCTTCCCATGAAGCGTGGGCTTAGAAATGAACACATATGATTGAACTTGCATCCAATGTACAGTCTGCAGTTAATTCACCTGCATGAAGCAGAACATCAGAGCCACACATCTGGCTCTGCCTAGGTCAACCAAACCAACCAAACCTAGGTCAACCTGCGAAGCCATGAGCATCAGGGTATGTGCTAATTGCTGTAAGGCTCTGAGTTTTGGGATGGTTTGTCATGCAACATTTCTGTGGACATTGCTATTGCTGACAAATACAGCCACCATAGGATTAATACTTCTATTAGGCATTCAAAGCGATATGTCCTGGGGGAGTGAGGGAGCTGTATGAATCTGGAGGAACTTATAATCATGGGAGACATCAGCACATAAATTTGTGGGCCTGGATGAGACCACCAAGGCAGAGTGTGCATAGAGAGAAGACAGCTGGATTCAGAGCCCTGTCATGAGGGCTAGATGAAGAAGGTCTAGAAGAGCAAGCAGGTGAGTGATGGGAAAAATAGGTATGTGAATCTTTGCAGTCTCGAAGAAATTATTTCATAAAAGAAAAGGTGATCAACTGCATGAAAATTAAAGAAGCCCACCCCATGAGAACAAGCAGAGGCTTTCCATTCAGAGCTTGCTGTAGCAAAGGAGTTGACCACCATCACCTGCTTTTGGCAAAGACTCAAAGACAGGCAGAGGGATGGGAGAACTTTACAGTGGAAAACAGAGACAGCTTCAGGTGCATCCTGATTGGAGGCCATTGGCCTGGAGGAGCAGAAGGTGGGCTGAATAGATAGGGGCAGATGTCTTCTGTGATGGGTTTGGGGAACATAAGGGGCTTTCTCTACTTGGCCCTAAGTTGGAAAAGAGGCAAAAATTAGGGAAGCTGCAGTCATTGGCCAAGTCCTGACTGTTCTGCGCCAATGGCTGCAGAGCTGATGGGTTGGAGTGCCCTGGCTGTTTGTCTGTTCAGTCCCTCAACTGTATCAAAAGCTGTCCAAAGTTTGAGCAAAATGAGAAAAGAGCATTGGCAATGCCTGATCATTGGTGAGCCAGTGGGCAGTGGGAGGAAGGGAGCCTGGATGTGAGATAGAGAACACAGAAAATGGAGGGATGGCTGCAAAGGGGAGCAGTGTGAGTGGGTGGTGGCTGGAGGGGAACATGCAGTCAAGGGGTTCTGTACTTCTGTAGCCATTACTTTGGAATGGGCTATTCCAGCATATGTTTAGGCAGATGGGAATCATCCCCCAGGGAGGAAGAAATGGAAACGGCAAGAAGGAGAAGGAAAAGTGAGGATAAGAGAGGTGGGATTCAGAGTGTTGGGGGAACCTGGAGTGGGTTGAATAGGGCACCCTTGGAATCCATGGCCTCCCAGAACCTTAGAATGTGAGCTTATTTAGAAATAGTGTCTTTATAGATATTATTAGTTAAGGACCTTAAGATGAAATCATGCAGGATTATAGGATAGATAGAACCTTATAATGACTAATGTCATTATAAGAAGAGAAGACACAGAGAAGAAGGTGAGGTGCCGATGGGGTCGAAACTGGAGTGATGGTGTCTGTAAGCCAAGAAACAGCTAGGATGCAGGGATGGAGGGCTGCCACCAGGAGCCTGGGAGAGGCATAGCACAGAGTCTCCCTGCAGCCACCAGGAGGAACCAGCCCTCCCACACCTTGGTCTTGGACTTCTGGGTCTCTAGAATTGTGAGAGAATAAATGTATGCTGTTTAAAGCCACCCGGTTTGTGACAGTTTGTTATGGCAGCCCGATTCTGTCTCCCTCCCTGAATCCACCGGTGGCCCGGGTAGGAGTTAGAGGGGGAGGTGCCTTATCGCCATTGCTCACCGCTTCTCCTCATCTGTTGGGAAAGTGGGAGAGGAACTGGGTTTTCCAACATTTCATTTAAATCTGACACCAACTGGAGTTAGTATAGACTCAGAGTAGAGGACACAGTCCCACAAGACTGTCCCCCACTGCAGATACCAAGCACAAGTCCCAGGTTGTGACCTGTATGTACTTCTGATCCACCTGCATAAATGACCCCCTCCTTGGGTGTGAGAATTTACTACTAAGGCTCACAGAACTCAAGGAAACACTTACTTAGGTTTACCAGTTTACTGTTTAATAAAGGATAAGATAGATGAAGAGGGGCACAGGGCGAGGTCCAGAGGATCCCCATGCAGGAGCTTCTTTCCCTGCAGAGTTGGGGTGCACTCCCTCCCAGAGTGTGGACGTGTTCTTGTTCACCAGCCTGGAAGTTTCCCAAACTCTGCAGTTCAGGGATTTTCATCTCGTAAGCACGATTCATTATGAACTCCATCTCCAGCCTGTCTCTCCTCTCCACGCTGGTCTCTTGAGTGGCCAGCGCCCATCCAGGAACCCACAAAAAGTCACCTCATTACAACAGAAGACACTCCTGTCACCCAGGAAATTCCTAGGGATTTAGCAGCTCTGTGTCAGGAAACAGGGTCAAAGACCAAATAATAGAACAAAAGATTCTCCCAGCACCCCTGCTGCTCAAGAAATTCCAAGGGTTTTAGGAGCTGTGTGCATGGAACAGGGGGCAGAGACCAAATATACATATACATATACATATACATATACATATACATATACATATACATATACATATACATATACATATACATATACATTACATATACATTACATATACACATACACATACATATACTAATACATATACACGTGTGTTTATGTATAAATATATATTTTATACACACACACGCGCACACACACACACACTTTTTGAGATGTGGTCTCGCTCTGTCACCAGGCTGGAATGCAGTAGTGCCATCTCGGCTCACCGCAGCCTCTGCCTCCCCGGTTCAAGTGATTCTTCTGCCTCAGCCTCCTGAGTAGCTGGGACTACAGGCATGCACCACCACGCCCAGCTAATTTTTGTATTTTTAGTAGAGATGGGGTTTCACCATGTTGGCCAGGATGGCCTCCATCTCTTGACCTTGTGATCTGCCCGCCTCAACCTCCCAAAGTGCTGGGATTACAGGTGCGAGCCACCACACCTGGCCCAAATATACATATTTTTATGATGTCACAGCCACAAGGAGAATTTGCTGGGCAGGCCCTGCTCCTGGGGGAGGCCCGCCTGGCCTCGTGTGGGTTGAATCTGGGAGAGGATTAGGAAGCCCACACAGCCCCCATCTCGGCTTCACTGCCCCGTTGGCTCACTCTGCTTGGTGCCAGCTGTCACACTTGAGGTTTTGTTTCTTGGGCGATTCTAAATGTGGTGTCCCTTATTGGTCCCCAAAGCTATAGCACGAGGAGGGTCTGACACTCAGGGTGGGGAGCCTGGTGGCTGCCACCTAGACCACTCTGCCAGTTGGGGGCTTCCCCGAGCTCCCCCAGGCAAGTCTGGAGCTTGGGGATGGAATGGTGAGGGTGGGCTCTGGATGGGACCTTCCCCCACTAGCTCACCTTCTGTTCCATCTTTTATCCTCTCCAACCAGTGTACCTCAGCTTACTTTAACCTGCTCCTGTATTTCATTCTCTGGGCTTTTGCTCCAGCTGTTTCTCCCAGCTGGAAACTTTGCATGCATTTCTTTTCATTAAAGCCCAGCTCGAACCCACATCATCCAGAATGCCCCTTCTGCGCCACTGCATCCCCCGCCCCTGATCACCAGGATGCATACTGCACCCGCCGGCATTCACTCACCCTGGCCGTCTCTGATTTCACAGCTGTAGGCAAACATGGCAAAGATCCTCAAGGCCCTTCTTTTGTGTGGAAGTAATGAACTCTGTCAGGGAGCAAACTGTGGCCAGGGTTTTCTTAGGACCCCTGAGGAAACTTGTTCCCTCCTCAGTCCCTACCTAGTATGCCATGGGTTTCTACAAATGCTGGCAAATGCTTGCGAATGCAAATTTCCCTGACTTTTCATGGAATGCCACTTGTCAGCCTCGTGGAAATTTGGAAAGCATCTCATGCAGGCAAATCAACTGCCTGAATCTCAGTTAAAAACAATTCTGCATGTTAGGGCTGGTCTTGTAATCAACACTGCCCAGACCTGCCTCTATGCAGTCCCCAGCAAGCCCACTTCCCACATCAGCTTCTTCCACATTGTTCTGCATCTGTTGAGGATAAAGGATGAAGGGCGTTCATTTCCTGGGGAATTTTCTGCAACTTCCAGAGCTTTGGTCTGCAAGTTTCAGCCACCAAATAAAACAATGATATTTGGGACAACTACCCCCCACCTCTCCCCTTCCACCAAGTCAAAAGAGGATCTTGCTGACAACTGTGTGGAAAGAAGCAAGTTTTGTCCCCTAGACAGGTAACGGGGCTGAGACTGCCTCCTGGCCATTGCCGCCTGTGGCTGAGTCCTTGTTCTTCAACCTCTCAGGAGTGAGTAGGGGATGCAACCCTGAGTTCATTCAGTCAACAAATATGTATTGACTATTTCAAGATGACTAATTATCCAGGTGGGCCCACAAGTAAGGCAGTTTCCTGGTACGGGAAACTTTGAGTGCCCAACCTGGGAAATTGCACCCAAACCAGGCTTAGTTGCTCACCCTAGAGAGTTATAGCAGGTGGGGGGCTAGGGAGGCCCTCCCCACAAGGAGCTCATAGTCTATGGAAAAAGAGAGATGTGAAAATAAGTAGCTCTCAACTTCCAGTTGCCATCTGTGCTCCTAGAGAAAAGTTGGTTTGTAACTGGGGCCATGTAATGAGAACTATCCAGTCAGTACTCAAAGGTTTCCCACGGGTCCACAGAGTCAGAGGCTCCCCCGGTGCCTGTGTGTGTGCATGTATGTACGCATACCTATGTGTGTGTGCCTGCATATGTGAGCATGGAGCACATCCTCCTGGTTCATTATTTCACAGAGGTGAGGGAGTTAATTCCACTGCCCTGCCCTGAAAGGGAAAGAACTGGGAAGAGGAGCTCAGCTTCCAACCTGCCCAGGAGTGATCCCTGATTGGAAGGGATGTGTGTGTGTATGTGTAGCTCTTCCCTTCCTCTCCCATACCATGGGGGCTGGCCTGGAGAGTGTGCCTTGGTCTTCCTTCCCACTGTGCTACTGTGCTGTGGGAGCTGATTTGGGGAGGGGGTTGCAGTCGCCTTCAGAGCTGGCAGCTTGTTGGGGTGTCTGTACAATTCGGGAGCCCCATTGAGGCCACACAGCTGGCTTGGTGGGTCTCCTAGCTTTTATCAGGGATACCTACCTGACTCCTGTCTTTCTCAATTGATCTTTCAAATGTTGGGTCAGGGAAAAGGGATTGTATTGGCCTCTTAAAACCTCAACATGAAAAAAACCAAAAACTCAAATGTAAATTATCTGTTTGGAGTACACAGAGGGAAATCTTGTTTCTGACCCAGAACCTTTGTCTGAGCCCAGAGGTCCCTGAGAAGGTGGGGCTGGTGCAGGGTGATGCTGGTTGGTTGGTTGAGGGGGTAGAGCTTCTTGGGGTAGAGCTTTTTTTGGGGTTGAGGTTATTTGGGCCTAAGGCCATGTATTCATTCTCATGCTGCTAATAAGAACATACCCAAGAGTGGGTAGTTTATAAAGGAAAGAGGTTTAATTGACTCACAGTTACGCATGGCTGGAGAGGCCTCAGGAAACTTACAATTATGGTGGAAGGGAAAGCAAACATGTCCTTCTTCACATGGCAGCAGCAAGGAGAAGTGTTGAGCACAGTTGGGGGAAAGCCCCTTATAAAACCATCAGATCTCATGAGAAGTCACTCACTATCATGAGAACAGCATGAGGGTAGCCACCCCCATGATTCAACTGCCTCTTACCATGCCCCTCCCATGACACATGGGGATTATGGGAACTAGAGTTCAAGATTAAATTTGGATGGGGACACAACCAAACCATATCAAACTGAGGTGTAGCTGGTTGGGGGTGGGGCTGTTTAGGGTGGGGCTAGTTGGAGTGTGGGTTTGGTTGGGGGTGAGGCTGGTGCAGGGGTGTCCTCACTAATATAACTTTACCCTTGCTACCTCCTGGGACCTCCTGGAGAGCTAGGGCCACATTTGAATATCTTTATCTCCCCTAGGCCAACTGTTTCTGAAACACAGGAGGCATATGATGTATTTTGAATTATTATTCTGGAATTTTAAATGTTTTCTTTGAAGTCATACAGCCATCTGTCAGCCTTTTTTTTTCTCTCTCTCTGTTTGTCTACCCTTCTGTCTCTGTGTCAGCATCCCTGGAGGTCAGAGCAGGGCAGGGGAGGCGGTGTACCCTTCCATCCTCACAAGGCTTTGGGCCAAGTGAAACCCCCTCCCTCGGAGGCCCCCCTTCTGGGACTACACCTTCCACCTGAATCTTGTGCCAGCAACAGAACTTCTTCCTGCCTTTCCAGGGGGCAGTAACTAGGTTTGCATCTGATGGTGGTCAGTAAAAGAGATAAAGGACGCAGGGCCACTGTTTGGAAAACAACCCATGGAAGGACCCCCCACCCAACCCCATTGATTCACCTACCTCTCCAGCCACCCACCCTCCTTCCCTCATAATAATCTCCTCCCAGATGAAGGAGCTTTCAGAGAGCCAAAAGGGAAGGTGGAAGACACAGTCTCTTTTGGTGGACACGGGGAAGCAAGATGAAAAAAACCACAGGACCTAGTAAGGTACCGTCAAGATCCACCCAGCCACCTCCCCTCCCACCAGAAGTGATTGAAGCCCCTCTTCCTGGCTCTTAGAGAACCGCAGGGGACCCGGAGCAGACAGCAGGCCTTTCTGATGCTTAAAGTTTTAGCATTTAGGACAATGCCCTGTGCTTATCCTCTGTACACCCCTAGCTTCCTGGCCATCTTTGGAGTTCATTCATTCATTCATTCACTCACTCATTCAACAAATCTCCACTGAACATCAACAGTGTCACTGGCACTGCTCCGAAAGCAGGGGATAAACTGATGAGCAAAACAGACCAAACTGCACCTCCAAGGACCTTTTAGCCAGGGGAGGAGAGTCTGGCAGTTGGAAAGCGTGTCCACAGTCCCCAGGGAACCAGGAACCACGTCCTGGGGAGCAGGGAGCTTGTGGAAGAACTGAAGCTCAGTAAACAGGTGACTGAGGTGGGGGCACCACGGGGTCAGAGTCTGCAGGGCAGTCACCGCTGGACATGGTTGAGGAATAACGGAGGAGACTCCAGGCATGAGCGAGTAGGGGTACTTGTGACACAGGTGGTTCAAAATCAGCATGGAGCGGGGACTCAGAGCAAGGGTGTGAGCCGTCAGACTGGGCCCTCCAGGGGTGACTTCGTTCCCTATCTCCTTTCGCGTCTGAGCCCTCCCCACAAAACTGGTTCTGCTTGGCACCCTGCCCTGTGCCTGAAGCTAAGCCTCAAAGTGGCCTCCTGGGCTGGAGCCAGGGGTAAGGGAAAATCAAGAATTTGACTTTGAAGCAGGCAAGGGGCAGGGAAGCAGCTGTGTACAGAAGTGTGGGATTTCTTCCTTTTCCTTGCATCCAGCCCTTCTTGCTACTGTCTGGGCACACCCCAGGCATCTTGGTGCAGCCCACAGGGCCCTCTGGAGCCTGGTCCCTGGAGACCCTCTGTCCCCATCTCCTGCCACCCAGTGATTCCTTCATCACAGCCTCTGCCTGTTCAGTGTTCTGCACCCAGGTCTCAAATCCCATTGCACTGCCCCCCAGAACCTCATTAGAGTACAGGTCTCCTGCAGGAAGCTGTCCTCTGTCCTCCTGCTGAGGGTCCCTACTGCTTTAGGGCCCACCGTAGTATTTCACAATCACTTGATCTCGCCTATCACACTATTGGCTTCTTCAGGGATGGACCCAGCCTTTTCATCTTGTGACCCCAAGATTTTTCCCTGTGTCCTGCATGGGGTTGGTTCTCCAAATAGGACTGCGGAGGGGATATGCAAATATCAACCAACCTTTGAAGCACGCTTCACTAAATAAAAGGAGTGGGAAATGGCACTGGGAAAATGAGTATCTTGGGGGATTGAGCCAAAAAGACATCAGAAATCAGCTCCAAGAAGGAGCCAGGAAAGGGATGGAGTGGCTGGCCTGGAGTGGCTGGCTTGGAGTGGCCTAAAGTGAACAGATTCTGTAAGCCACAGCCACAACTCTGCGTTTATCTTTATGGTGAATATCAGGCACCTGAGAAAGGAGAAGGCGCTTTGTAAGTCTCTTCATTTTCCCCTCTATTTTTAGCAAGGTAGAATTGTTATGGATTTAATGGGGGGAATAAATACTGCCCTTCACCATCCCAGGTACTAGTTCTGTTAATAATTTTTCAAGCGGAGAATAAAGAGGAGCCGTGTAAAAATAGTTACATCCTAATTTGGCCTGATTTCAAATTATCTAATTAGAGAAAGTCCGGAGTTTCTTATTTTTAAAAGTGTTTACTCAGGATATTTCCAGCTAGTGGGGGAAATGAACAGAAGAAGTGCAGGGCAGGGCACAGCAAGGTGGGTCTGCGGCGGCGATGACCTGGAACGGCTGAGGCCAATCACAGGAATCACCCAGAGGATGCCTGGGGACCGGTCAGGGGCGCCCGTTTCCACTCAACCCACAGCTAACTGCGGCAGTGACACCACGCTGATTTGCTTCATTGAAGATGAACATTTATGATACCAGCACCTCCTACAACCTTTTCTTCATTGTTCTGTGTAACATGGACCATTTTCTCTCCAACGTTGCCCTTCTTGAGAGAAGGGTGATAAATACGTTGAAGCCCAATTGTCTTTATTATTCACAAGGTGAAAGTCCTTTCCTGGTACCACTGTCAGGCTCTCCACCTCCAAACATCAATCACTCTCCATCCCCACCCTGCCCGTCTTCCAGGTCATTAGTGAAGGGCTGTGTCTCCTCACTCAGCCTCAGAGTCAAAACTCGGCACTGCAGCGTGCTGGTGTCTGGCCCCGCGAAAGTGGTGAGAGTGATGTGAGGATGTGTGGCCTCATGGTTAGACGGTGGGGTGCTGAGCTCCATGCATCGCTCTGTGTGAGTGGACGGACCCCAGAGAAGGCAATACAGTAGGGAGGCTGTGGCCACAGTGTGGTGAGGTCATACTGACTGTTCCCTCAAGCCCCTAGAAGCTGGTTTTGCAGGATTAATCATCTAACTTATTCAACAAACCTTCATTGAACACCCATGTGGTGACTTAGACTGAATCACAGTGACCGAGTCCTGTCTTTACAGGGCTCACAATTGTCTGGGAGAAGGTGGGCAGAGCAAAAATTCATAAGAAAACAGGACAGAGTGGAGGAGCTTGACTACGGGACAGCTTCAGATTGGGAGCGGGATTCAGAGGAGACATGTCAGCAGGAACTCGAATGAGCAGAAGGAGGTGGCCAGGGAGATGCTGGGTCCTTCTCTGAGGTTGAGAACTTCATGTGAAGCTTTATGGTATACTTGGCGTTTCTTTAATTTTGGAGGCACAGCTCAGATCCGAGTTGGAATCATATCTCTGGAGCAATCAGAGCTCAATACAGTCTCCATCTCCTGGGCTCAAGAAATTCTCTTGCTTTAGCCTCCAAAGTAGCTGGAACTACAGGCACATGCCACCTTGACCAGCTATTTTAAAAACATTTTTGCAGAGCTGAGTTCTCACTATGTTTCCCAGGCTGGTCTTGAACTCCTGAGCCCCAGCGATCCTCCTGCCTTGGCCTCCCAAAGGACTGGGATTACAGGCATGAACCCCATGCTCAGCCCTCTCTCCTCTTTCGTTGTGAGACCTTGGGCAAATCCCAGCATCTGCCTGGGTCTCAATCTTCTCACCTATAAAATGGGTTTAATGGTCTCGTTTGCTGAGTTGCCAGGTCTATTGCAAGAATCAAATGAGTGGAAGTGTGTAAAATGCTCGGCAGTTGGCAAATCCTCGTGAAGGATAACATGTCCTGGGTCAGTCCCCAAAAGTAGGCCCTGAGATAAGGACTTGGGTCTTCCAGGAGAAACCAGTAAGAGAGTTGATGTGAGAAGAACATGACTTAAAAAAAAAAAGGGGAGGAGCACAGGGACAATTTTGGGCAAAATCCAGCCTCAGGCTGCCCCTGCAGGGAGCTCCGGGGTGTAGGTTGTCCCTCTGCATTTATCCCTATTAGAAGCGAGAGAGCTGTGCTGTTCTATTCCTGCACCGGCCAGCCCTTGACCTAGGCAATTGTGGGGTTGAAGTGGAGGTTGAGGGGGAAGAAAGTAAATTTCTGGACATTCCGGCTCACTGATTTGTAGGAGAAGCAGTCCCAGCAGCCTTTGGTGTAAGCCTAATATATGTGTATATATACATATATATATATATATATATTTTTTTTTTTTTCGAGACAGAGTCTCGTTCTGTTGCCCAGGCTGGAGTGCAGTGCTGTGATCTTGGCTCACTGCAACCTCTGCCTTCTGGGTTCAAGCGATTCTCCTGCCTCAGCCTCCCGAGTATCTGGGATTACAGGCGTGCATGACCATGCCTGGCTAATTTTTTGTAGTTTTAGTAGAGACGGGGTTTCACCATGTTGGTCAGGCTGGTCTCAAACTCCTGGCCTCAGGTGATCCACCCACCTCGGCCTCCCAAAGTGCTGGGATTGCAGGCGTGAGCCGTCGTGCCTGGCTGTAAGCCCAATATTATGTGCTACCTTAATATCTGAAATGAGAAGGCCTCAAATGGCCTAACAGCAAGCTCCCTGCCCCGATTCTACTCCCCCAGATAAGACCCCCCAGCCAAACCACACCCTTTATCTTTGCCTGTTTATCCTGGAGGAGTGTGCTTCAGTTTCTTGCCAGATGCAGGACTCTTGAAATAAGGAAATCACATTCTCCCATGGGAATCAGGGGATTCAGTCTTTTGATACAGCAAAGGCCACCTCCCACAGCCAGGGCCAGTTCACTCTGTACCCAGTGCAGTCTCTGTGTGGGCCTCTGTGGGCAGGGACCCCACACCTGGGCTGTGAGTACACGACACTGTTAAGCTGCTACCATTTCATCCGCCCAGTGTCAGGTGTGTGTTCAGCCAGCCCCATAACCCTAGGATGGGAATCCTTCCCCCAACAACAGGGGGAAGAGGTCAAGACATAGCTCAAACATTGGTCCTCTGAAGAGGGTCTCAGGTATGGGGCTGTGTAAGCAAAGCCCACAGATGCCAGGATGTGCACACGGAAATGGCACGGGGATCTGGGCAGAGCATTAGTGGTGACTGCTCCAGCTGGGCGGACCCAGCAGAGCTGGACAGTGTCAGGCTGCAGGGCTCCCATCTTGCCTCGTGATGTGGTTTGGATCTGTGTTCCCACCCAGATCTCCTGTTGAAATGTAATCCCCAGTGTTGGAGATGGGGCCTGGTGGGAGGTGATTGGATCTGGGGGTGGGTTCTAGTGGCCTGGTGGGAGGTGATTGGATCTGGGGGTGGGTTCTAGTGGCCTGGTGGGAGGTGATTGGATCTGGGGGTGGGTTCTAGTGGCCTGGTGGGAGGTGATTGGATCTGGGGGTGGGTTCTAGTGGCCTGGTGGGAGGTGATTGGATCTGGGGGTGGGTTTTAGTGGTTTAGCACCATCTCCCTAGGGCTGCTCTCATGATAGAGTTCTCAGATGTGGTTGTTTAAAAACATGTGGCACCTCCCTTTTCTCTCTCTTGTTCCCACTCCTGCCATGTGAAATGAGCTGCTTCCCCTTTGCCTTCTGCCATGATTGAACATTTCCTGAGGCTTCCCCAGTCACGCTTCCTGTGCAGCCTGTGGAACTGTGAGCCAATTATACCCCTTTTCTTCATAAATTACCCAGTCTTAGGTATTTATTTACAGCAGTTCAAGAATGGATTAAAACACTTTCCCTCCGGGTCTGATCTCTGGCTTTGGGTGCATTGGCCACCCTTCTCCCCACACTGCCCACAGCCCTTGCCATGAGACTCCATCAAAACACCTTCCCTCTAGGTCTGATCTCTGTCATTGAGCATGTTGGCTACGCTTCTCCCCCCATCACCCACTGCCCTTGCCATGAGACTCCATCTTGGTGCTCCCACCACGAGGCTGTGGCTTTATTCTGGGGAGTGTGCAGCTTCTGTGTTTCTTCCAGCTCAGCTGACTTTACCTTTGAAAGATAGGCACGGTGTCTGGAAGACAGCTCCTTGCACCTTTCCTGGGACCAGGGAGACAGTGATTGCTGAGTCTTCTCCATCAGATCTGGAATATGATTGTGAGGGTTGTGGATTGGAGGTGGGAGGTTGGGATTGGCCACAACAGGCCAGCCCAGCCGGAGGCCATGCTGTAGCTACAGTGACCACCAAGATCTCACGTTTGTCAAAATTAGTTGCATACCAGGCATTGTGTCCAAGGGTTCACCTGCCCCATCTCAGGTCTTCCTCAGCACCCAGAGCTACCAGATGTTAGCATTGCCTCGAAAACAGGTGCACACTGGACCTCTCAGGGTGGAGCCCAGTCTGATGACTCTGAAGCCCGTGAGTGTGACTGCCACACTGCTCCCTGCCCCACGGTCCTGCCCTCTCCCTTACAAACACACCCAAGAGTTTCCCAAGGGGAGACTAGACCCTTCTGATTCCATTCAGTACAACAGAAATTTAATGAGCACCTGCAGTGTCTTGGAGATGCTGCTTGGCACCAGGGCCACACTCAGAGGGGAGCCTGTCCAGAATAGATGACTGCTGTGCAATGAGACAGATGCCAAGACAGAGGCTCACCTGGATATGATGGGGTCACCAAGGTGACAGTGGCACCTGCTCACCCCTGCCCAGCTTCTGGGATGGGAGTCAAGACAGGGATTTCCAGGGAGGGAATCTGGGCAAGCCCAGGAGCACTAGTGAGAGGAGCAGCCCCGGGTGTGTGGAGGGCACCTGGCCTGGTGTGGTCAGAGCTGGGTGGGGACCACTGCGGAAGCAGAGGGAGGCATAGATAGGCTGGGGAGGAAGCTGGGCTGCGGTAGGTGGGAGGAGCCACTGGTCTGTTTTCAGGGAGATAAGTGGTTCAGACATGAAGAACGGCAGCGTCTGATACAGCCTCTGTCCCAGTGGCTGTGAAGGGCCACAGGTGGTGCAAATGGTCTCACCTCCATGTCCCTAGGCCTCCTGCACACATCCCGCCTGCCTCACCTGTGCCTAGAACCCGGGTCCATGCCTGAAGCACATGTCCTGTCTGCCTCACCTGTGCCTAAAGCCCAGGTCCATGCCTGGAGCACATGTCCTTCCTGCATCACCTGTGCCTAAAGCCCAGGTCCACGCCTGGAGCACACGTCCTTCCTGCCTTGCCCTACAGACCTAGAACCTGGGTCCACGCCTGGAGCACATGTTGCTGTGAATGCCACTGGTCACACCCTCACCCATGGATGGCAGGCTGGGGGTGTTGTGTGGGCTCACAATTCTCTCCCATGGGGGACAGCTCAGAGAAAGGAGAAAGAAATACCATTGGGGGGTGGGGCAGGTTTGCCACAATCCAGGTGAGAGGTCCGGGTGCCTGGATGGAGGTGGGGCTCAGATCAGAGGATTTCAGGGGCAGATTGGCCACAGGTGGCAATAGTCAGATGGGAGTGTTAAGAAGAGCGAATAATTGAGAAAGCTACATCCCAGGACCTGGGACCGGAGATGGGGCACACGGCAGGCACAGGCACCAGGGGCCAGGAATGGAGCCTGAGGCGTTGATTGAGGCTCTGAAGGGAGACTTCCTTCCCATGGGGTAAGGAGAGCCATGTGTCCTACAGCCCTCGGCAGTGAGAAGGCGAGTCAGGGCTCTGGTCCCTCGAGGAACAACATGGCCACTCTGTCATTTCCAACCTCATGGAAAACCCTTCTGTGAAAGATTGAATCCTACATTTAGCCTCGGCTAAGGGACAGCGTGGACCACTGTTCAATCATCCTTCAGTTTGGAAGGCCCTGGAGGCCTCCCAGCTTCCTCCCCAAACGCAATCCCCATTTTCCAGGGCCGTAGGGAAGTGCTGCTTGGTGGGGGGCAGGGGCCACGCGGGACCTGAGTACTTTCTGCTCGGCTGCATGTACATTTCATTTTCCTTCAGAGCATATGCATTTCACTAATGGGGAGATTTTAAGTGAAGACCTTATTACTCCAGTGAAAATAGTGGCTGTGTTAGGGTGGCGGGATTAGCAGGTGCCTGTGATGTCTTTTAAATTCCTGTAATAATGCTACTGCCTTTTGCCTTTTCAATTACGATTTTTGCAATGCATGACAGTAAAAGATCATGTAGGGCCGTGCAAGCCTTCTGCCAATCAAAAACCCTTGGGGGGGGGGGGTGGTTAAGACTGCCACAGATAAGGGGAATTCTGGTGAAATGCAGCCCTGAGCCTCCACGAGGCCCCATCCTGGCTGTATTGGGGTCTCTGCCAAACTCCCATCCTGCAGGAGAACAGAGTGAGGGCTGCCTGTGCCCAGTGGTCTAATTGTGTGTGAGCAGGAAGCTGAGACTGAGTGTCACTCGCAGACGGGGACCTTTGTCACTTCGAAGATGGCTTTTGCATTGTGGAAAGCAGGCAAGCCAAGGGCAGGATGTGGGGCAAATAATAAATTTCAAGGAATGAGGGGCCGCTCCCTGGTGTCCCTGGCATGTTCTGCAGAGCCTGGGTCTAGGGAGGGAAAAAGGAGCTGAGAAACAGAAAGAAATGATAACAAGGAGGAAAGAAAGGAAACAAAAAAGGGGAACGTGGCCATGCTGCAAGGGGCTGAAGGGTCCCGTCAGAAAAAAATGAAATGAATTAAGGAGAGCTGTGTTCCAAATACTGCAAACTTGGGAATGAGAGATGCGGTAGGAGGAGGAGAGCAAAGGCAGGCAGGAAAGGAAGTGAGTCTGGAGTCATTCTGATGGGGTCCCACGGTGCCCAGGCACCTGGTCAACCCTGTTATCCTGGACGCATCTGTGAGGGTGTTTCTGGATGACATTAGCTCTTAAACCAGCAGATGCCCCTCCCCTGGGGTGGGCGTCATCTGATCAGCTGAGGCCCAAATAGACCTAAATGTTTCACCCTCCCTGGAGCAAGAGGGAATCCTTTTCTGCCTCAAATGGCCTTCAAACTGGATTGTCGGCCTTTTCCCTCTCTTCGGACTCTGAAACATCGCGCTTCCTGATTCTCAAGCCCACTGGCCCTGGGACAGGAACTCAACCAAGAGCTTGCAGCTCTCCTGGGTTCCCTGCTGGCCTGCCCCACTCACCTTGCAGCTCCTGGGACCTGCCCGCCTCCATAATGGTGGGAGCCAGTTCCTCATAATAAATCTCTTTATAGATCTCTATATGTCCCCCCACAGGCTATGCTTTTCTGGAGAGCCCTGACTAGCACAGGAGGGTGGGAACTGCCAGGGAAGGGAGCTCTTAGGAGTCACAGTGTCTTTGTCCTCTTGAGGATAAGGAACGGGCCTCCAAACAGAAACTGGGAACCTTGTTCTTCTTGGGAAAACGGATGCGCACTTTTAATATTTATGAAGTAGGAAAATAAAACAAAAGATGAGTCAGAACATCAAGCCCAGAGATGAGAAAATTAAAGTACATAAAATATTGATCCATTTGGCTGGGCAGCAGGCGGCCGTGCGTGTGGTGGAAATGCTGTTTCTGGGCGTAGTTATCCCCCTCCCTTCCCATCCACGAGCTCCAGCAATTTAGTTAATGGGAGCCGAATGCAGAGTTCATTTTTCACATTCCATTAATGTTTCATTTCTAATACTCTTTTCAGTATAAATTTAAAAACAAAATAGAAATTGTGTCTTGATCATTATTCTCTATTAAGGGGAAAACGCGAGTGCTTCTCAGTTGCTAATCAGGACCCTTCAGGGGGGCACAGCTCCTGGGACAGTGTCCTGCTTCCAGGCCTTCTCCTCTCCTCCTGAGCCTTCCAAACACACACCTGCCACGCCCTCCCCGCTGAGCCCTGCAGCTCCCACTCTCAGCACGCTGCCCCGAGGTGCTTTTGGGATGTGGGTGCTAAACCCCTATCCCAGGAGCAGCCTGAGACCCAGTGTGATGCGCACGCTGCGTAGTGCACACACGTCACAACTACAGCACACACGTCACAACTGCAGCACACACGTCACAACTGCAGCATGCACGTCATAACTACAGCACACACGTCACAACTACAGCACACACACGTCACAACTGCAGCACGCACGTCACAACTGTAGCACACACACGTCACAACTACAGCACACATGTCACAACTGCAGCACACACGTCACAACTGTAGCGCACACACGTCACAACTACAGCACACACGTCACAACTGCAGCACACACACGTCACAACTACAGCACACACGTCACTACAGCACACACACGTCACAACTACAGCACACACGTCACAACTGCAGCACACACGTCACAACTACAGCACACGTCACAACTACAGCACGCACACATTACAACTGCAGCACGCACACGTCACAACTGCAGCACACACGTCACAACTGCAGCACACATGTCACAACTGCAGCACGCACACATCACAACTACAGCACACACATCAAGCACCAGAGGCAGCACAGACGGCAAGTCCCCAGGGATGCCCCAGGAAGGCTCCCCTGGGGAGCTGGGAAGGGGATGGGAGCAGGCCAAATGATGCTTTCAAAGCCTGTTGAGACGCTGAATCTACAAATGGGCAACAACCAGATGATAGAGAAAAGAGAGCTCTAATCCACGACCTGCAGCACCAGCCCAGGAAACCCCTTCCCTAGAGACCCAGCCCAGGAAACCCCTTCCCTACAGACCCAGCCCATGAAACCCCTTCCCTAGACACCCAGCCCAGGAAACCCCTTCCCTGGAGACCCAGCCCAGGAAACCCCTTCCCTGGAGACCCAGCCCAGGAAACCCCTTCCCTGGAGACCCAGCCCAGGAAACCCCTTCCCTGGAGACCCAGCCCAGGAAACCCCTTCCCTGGAGACCCAGCCCATGAAACCCCTTCCCTAGACACCCAGCCCAGGAAACCCCTTCCCTGGAGACCCAGCCCAGGAAACCCCTTCCCTGGAGACCGAGCCCAGGAAACCCCTTCCCTAGAGACCCAGCCCAGGAAACCCCTTCCCTGGAGACTAGGCCCAGGAAACCCCTTCCCTGGAGACTCAGCCCATGAAACCCCTTCCCTAGACACCCAGCCCAGGAAACCCCTTCCCTGGAGACCCAGCCCAGGAAACCCCTTCCCTAAAGACCCAGCCCAGGAAACCCCTTCCCTAGAGACCCAGCCCAGGAAACCCCTTCCCTACAGATCCAGCCCAGGAAACCCCTTCCCTAGAGACCGAGCCCAGGAAACCCCTTCCCTACAGACCCAGCCCAGGAAACCCCTTCCCTAGAGACCCAGCCCAGGAAACCCCTTCCCTAGAGATCCAGCCCAGGAAACCCCTTCCCTAGAGACCCAGCCCAGGAAACCCCTTCCCTAGAGACCCAGCCCAGGAAACCCCTTCCCTAGAGATCCAGCCCAGGAAACCCCTTCCCTAGAGATCCAGCCCAGGAAACCCCTTCCCTACAGACCCAGCCCAGGAAACCCCTTCCCTAGAGATCCAGCCCAGGAAACCCCCCTTCCCTAGAGACCCAGCCCAGGAAACCCCTTCCCTACAGACCCAGCCCAGGAAACCCCTTCCCTAGAGATCCAGCCCAGGAAACCCCCCTTCCCTAGAGACCCAGCCCAGGAAACCCCTTCCCTACAGACCCAGCCCAGGAAACCCCTTCCCTAGAGACCCAGCCCAGGAAACCCCTTCCCTAGAGACCCAGCCCAGGAAACCCCTTCCCTACAGACCCAGCCCAGGAAACCCCTTCCCTGGAGACCCAGCCCAGGAAACCCCTTCCCTACAGACCCAGCCCAGGAAACCCCTTCCCTAGAGATCCAGCCCAGGAAACCCCTTCCCTACAGACCCAGCCCAGGAAACCCCTTCCCTAGAGACCCAGCCTCCAGAACTGTTAGAACGTAAATGTCTGTTGTTGGAGGGGCCCAGGAAGGAGGAAAGGAGGGAGAATGTGGTCTCTGGAAGCTGAGAGAAGAGGGGATTTTAGGAAAGTGTTGGAGAAAAACGTGTTGAATGGTGCTGAGAGGTTAAAAGTCAGACAGGGACTATAAGGCATCTGTTGAATCTAGTAACAGCCTAAGTGACCTTGGCAAGCTGAGAATCAACAGAATGAGGAAGGTGGCATCCAGGCCAGAGTTGGAGGGGGTGAGTGGGAGGTGACAGATGATAAAATGGGGCAGCAGCTCCCCCAGGAATCTCACTGTTACCCCATTCACAAATCACGAAGTCAAGGTTTCTCAAGGTAAAGCAAGTTGCCTGAAGCCAGGCTCAGAAAGCAGCAGAATGGGAATTGAACCAGCCCTGCCTTCCATGCTTCAGCCATAGCACTGAGAACAGCACCCCATCAATAAGGCTCTTGATGTGTCTGGGTGCCATGCTCTTGGGAGCCCTTGGCTGTCTGGGCTAGAGCTGACTAAGCATCAGTGCTGGAACTGGAGAGGGACATCCATCTGGAGCCCCAGGGTTCAGCCAAGCCAGGGGCCTAAGGCAAAAGGAGGCTAGTTGGGAGGAGGGAGGGATTGGCTTTGAGAGGGGATTGGGATCCAGTACCTAGTGTTGGAGAGGTAGGGGGAGAAGGGATGAGAACCTCTGTTGTGGGCCAGCCCTAGTGGGCAGCCAGGCTTTCCTCTTCCTTGTGGCCCTTGTAGGTTGTGGTCTGAGTGAGCAGGGCTCCTTGAGTGGCCAAAACAGGGTTGACTGCCTGAGAAGTGGGGACCCAGCTCTCTGCTCTTGTGCCTGTTGGTAGTGGCTTGGAACATGCTGCTTTCAGTTGGCTTAATGGAACATGCCCTCTGCTTCACATCACATCCTTCTGAGGGTGAGACGATGCTTATTTTCTCTTAAGGTTTCTAAGTCACAGGGTACATTCTCCCATCTATGGGGAGTGCTGGCAAAATGTGATGCCCCCCCCACCCTGCACAGGAGCCCACTCCAGCAGCACAAACATAATTACTCCCTCCAGCTCTTTTTGTCCTGAGCTGTTCAGAGGAGAAGTGAGCAGAAGGTGGCTCAGAGAGGCCAGCCTTTCTCCTTGCTGCAATCCTAATGATAGCCGTGGCTCAGAGGCCTCCACACATACACTCTGGTCACATTCGGAGTCCTGCTGGGCTGTGATATATCCTGACTTTACAGATTAGGAAACTGAGGCTCAGAGAGTTCAGAATGACCCGACCCTGAGAATTACTGCTATTGCTTCCCAGGGAGAAGGTCTTTCTGTCTACAGGGGAGCAGGAATGAAGTCGTCCTTTGAACAGTATACAGTGAGTGGTCTGAATTTTGCTCCTAGAGACATAACCTGGAGCTTCTCATGCCACTGCTCTCAACTCCTGGCTTTTCCTTTGGAAGAAGAAAGAGACAGTGAGGTAGTGAGGTGGAAAGAGCATGGGGCTGCAGTCTTGCCTGGCCATGGGAGGATTTGATTATCTCAGTTAAGTGAGGAATCTCTGAATCTCTCGTATTCGGTTTCCTCAACTGCACAATGGAGGCAGCAAAGCAAGCCCAGGTGAACTTCCAAATGAAGGCTGTTGGCAAAGCACTTGAAAAAGTGCCGTGGGGCAAGGATTATTTCTGCCATGCCATGAAGGTTGAAGGCGTCTTTCTTCATCCTGGCAGCCCTTGTTTACATCAAGGCAGAGCGTGTCCTGGATGCACCTTCTGTGTCTGTCTCCCCACCCATGTGGCCTGGAAGTGGCCCTCCCTGATCTCTCAGACTGCAAGTCTAAGACTCAGTGGTCTCAGAGCCATGCCTGGGCTGCTTCAGTCTATTTTTTCCAGTCCCACTAGCCCAGAGGGTCCCCTCAGCTGTCGGTGAGTTTACATCTTGGACAGGCATCCATTTCCTAGGAGCAAAAATCATTTAACGGCTCTAATCTCCAGTCTGCTGGTTTCATTATTTAAACCAAAATGAAATGTGACCCAGGGTGAGAAAAGAGACCAAGTGTGCAGCTGAGAGCCATAATGAGACATTTACAGCCTAGCTAGGAGATGCCGAGTCCCTTCCCGAGAAAGGATCAAGAGTCCCCCCAGGGTGGGAAGGAGACATAAATGACTATTGACAAAGCTAGCCAGTGGGAAATCTAACAATAATGGTACATTTTGGAGAGAACAAATCAACTCCCATGTTATTCCGATTACAGTAGTCCAGAGCTGGAGGCCTGGCATTTGCAGCCTGCCAGCTCCTGTCACACCATTCTCATTACCAACCCAGGAGGACTCTTCAATCAGCCTCTAAGAAGAAACCCGGGATGTCCTTCCCTTAAACCAAGAGGGCAGGGTAGAAAACTGCTTGGGAGGGGACATGCCCCTGTAAAGGAGGGAGTGCTTGGGTGGCCTGAAGAGGCTGACCCCAGGGCATAATGCGTGGGCCTCTGCTGTTGCGTCCCTACACATGGCAGCAAGGTGGTGTGGAAGGGCTCCAGAGATGGAGTGGTGGTTCCTCCCAAGTGTGGGGTCTGAGGAAAAGAAGGGCAAAGCTAGGAGTCAGGGAGGCTGGGGAGGAGGAGGAGATAGAGAGATATTTCAGCCTCCTACAAAGCTGATATGAGTTGACCCCAGCTTACCTTGCCACCAGACTCTGCTGCTGACCCTTTAGTCTAAATGGCCTTTAGGAATCCTCCACCTTCCCAGCCTTTATTCCATACCTACCTCATTTAACCTGCCCAATGTGCTTCCCCATCCCTCTTTCCTATTCCAGTATAGCACATCTTTTAGAGACCAGTTCAATCTCTAGCATCTAGGACATAACAACTATGATAATGTTGGTGATAATGATGGTGATTTTAGTGGTAATGTCAACGGTAACGGTGGTGATGATAATGGTGATGGTGATGGTGATGATGGCAGTGATGTGATGATGATGGTGATGGTTATGATGATCATGGTGATGATGATGATGGAGATGATGATGATGGTGGTGATGATGATAGAGATGATGTTGATGATGGTGATGGTGATTATGGTGGTGATGATGGTGATGATGGTGATGGTGATGATGGTGGTGATGGGGGTGATGATGATGGTGATAGTGATGGTGATGATGATGGTGATGGTGGTGATGATGGTGATGATGGTGGTGATGATGATGACAATGATGGTGGCGGTGATAGTGATGAAGACAATAATGATAGCACCTGCTGCATGCCTGACACTATTCTTGCCAGTCGTTACGTGTATGAATTCTTTGAATCCTTATAACTACCCTGTGATGTGGAGGCTTGTTAGCATTCTTAGTTTACAGGTGAGGAAACTTAGGCCAGTAGAGGTTATTGTCCATGTTTACCTGACTCCCCACTCCAATGACCTCTGTCATCCATTGGACATTTCTGCAGTGGTGGCTCTATTTCCCTTTCTGATGTCCAGAAGCATTACTTATGTCATCTGTGGCCTTTTCTCCCTGTTTATCTCTGCCTTTCACCTGGCTGGGCCCTCCATATGTTGTCCGCTCTTGTATCTGCCACTGTGCCGTGCAGGTGATTTCCTGCATAAAATATTCAACAAACACATGGCGATGCTGAGTAGAGGAGTCAGAGAGACAAGCGCGGTTTCGGGAAGCAGAAGTCAGCAACTAATGGGCTATGCAGATCCAGCAAGCCCCCAAGGACTTGGGAGAGAGCAGATGTGGGGCTGGGTGGGAAGAGGGGGCTGAGTGCAGGGTAAGGGGCAGCTGCGTGCTGGAATTGCTCCTGGGGGATGGCACCTCTGAACATTCACCCCTGGAGAGAAGTGTCCTTTCCTGCTTTAGAACCCAGCCTCCACCTCACTGGCCTCCCTCATGCTCCAGTCAAATGAACTATATTTGCGTTTATGTTTCCACATCCTAAAAAAGCACTTGTGAAACACTTCAGCGTCTCAGCCCCTGGGGACACCAGGACTTCTGAGAGAGACAGACTAGAACCATTTATTTTTCCTTCCTAAATGCCATGGGCAGCTCTCTATGACTGAGCTGACAAGGCTGTGTCTTGTTAAGCATCACAATGCAGAGGGGGTCAGGGATGCCAGGCAGGGAGGAGAGATGGAAGGGGCATGGGGTCACTTCTTTGGGGACACTGGTGCAGTATCACTGTGATTGTGGGTATCTAAAACCAGTGGGACAGCAAAGACAATTAGGTTTTATTTATTTCACACACTCTTAGAGGCACCTACGCACCAGACGCGCTTCCTAGCTCTTTATAACATTAACTTGCTTAATCCTTATGATAACCCCATAAGGAAGATGCTAACATCAGCCCACCTGACAAAAGAAGAAACTTGTCCCAGAGTGGAGAAGTTGCTCCCCAGGGCTGCAAGGCTGTTGGGGGCAGCGGTGGGTTTGCTCCAGTGTCTCCAGATCTGGCCCATAACCACACTCGGGGTGGCCTAGCATATATTTTAATTACTTCAAATATACTTTATGCTTATTATTTTAAATTCAAGCATAAACATCCTTTTACTAAAGGGACAGTGCCTCGAAACACAAAGAAAGGCCCAGAGGAATGTGCAAATGAAGGAGTGTCGAAGCCAGGAGGGCCCCCAGCCTAGCTCCTGTTACCCTAAAGAAGGCAAAACCCATGGGTGAGTTCTGCAGGAGCTGAGGCCAGACCACAAGGCGGGAAGAAGGATGGAGCCCGTGACTTCCTCCTAGAAATGAATACAGGAGGCTCTGGTAGCCTGCTCAGATAGGACAGGTGAAAGGGACAGGACAGGGACCAGGCCAGGTCTGCTCCCAAGTGAGCCCCACCCATCCCGTGACCTCCAGTGACCCTTCCTCTTCTTCCAGGGTCACATTTCACAGACCCAGCCTCATATGGTTTGGCTGTGTCTCTACCCAAATCTCATCTTGAACTGTAGTTCCCATAATCCCCACATGTTGTAGGAGGGACCTGGTGGAGACAATTGAATCATGGAGGCTGTTTCCCCATCCTGTTCTTGTGATAGTGAGTTCTCACAAGAGCTGATGGTTTCATAAATAATTGTATCACGAGGACTGTTTCCCCATCCTGTCCTCATGATAGTGAGTGAGTTCTTACGAGATCTGATGGTTTTATAAGGGGCTTCCCCCTTCCCTGGACACTCATTCTCTTTCCTGCCACCCTGTGAAGAGGTACCTTCTGCAATGACTATATGTCTCCTGAGGCCTCCCCAGCCATGAGGAGCTGTAAGCCAATTAAACCTCTTTCTTTTATAAATTACCCGGTCTTGGGTATTTCTTCACAGCAGTGTGAGAACAGACTAATACACAGCCCTTGGTGTGGGTAGACATGCCTGTGCTGGGAAGGGGCCATGAGGCCCTTTTATTTAACATCCCATTGCTCTGAATCCCTTTGTTGGGCCCCATGGAGCAGAGCACTCTGGCTCCCTAGGCCTCATTGCACGGCCTCTCTCTCTCTCCTGTTCCTCCACCTTATGCCCTGTGGACGCTTCCTGATGCCTCCCTCAAAGCATGAAGAGAGTTTTCAGCCCACAGGCTGTGACCTGGTTGGAAACACAGACTCAATTCCCTTGGACAGAGGTGAGCACAGCCTGTGGGAAGTGCTTGGGCAAAGATGAGGGGCTCAGGCTTGGAGGCTTAGGCAAGATGGGAAGTAAGACAGGAAGGGGTCTGTCTGGGAGGCTTCCTCACATAGAAGCCTGGGGCTGGCAGGACATTTTTGGGGCAGGGCAGAAGTGGTGAGACCACACAAGGAGGTGGTATCTGTCACAAGAAATGGGTGGAGGACAGAATTCAGGGGAGCAGGTGGAGGAAGAGGAGGCTGCGGTGTTGACCGGAGGTGAGGAGAGTTACTAGGAGGCCAGGGGAGCACTGTGCATGGGAGTCCTTGGAGAGCTGGGGCCCAAAGGGGGGTGGCCACAGGTCCAGAGGGCCCAGGGGCTTTTGACATTCAGCTGAATAGCATCTTCCCAAAATCCACGATTCCTTGGAACCTCAGATTCCTTATAAAACCATCAGATCTCGTGAGAACTCACTCACTATCACAAGAACAGACTTTATTTGGAAATAGGGGCTTTGCAGATACCAATAAAGATTTGAAATGAAGTCACGCTAGATTAGGGTAGGCCCTGAACCCAATGGGAGTGTCCTTATGAGATACAGAAAAGGACACAGAAACACACAGAGGGGAAGCCCACATGAAGACGAAGGCAGAGATGGGGGTGAGACATCTACAAGCCATGGAATGCCATGGATGGTGGGAGCCACCAGCAGCTGGGGAAAGGCAGGGGATGGATTCTTCCTCTGAGTTTCCACTGGACTTCTGGCCTTCTGGAGTGTGAGAAAGTACATGTCTAGTATTTTAAGGCCTCAGTTTATGGGAATTAGGGCAGCCCAGAAACCTAATCCAGTGGTCACTGGTCGTCTTTGAGAAAGGGCTTTGGCTCCCGAGGTGGGAGTGTTCGGTGATGGGTGGAGAAGACCTGGATACAGCAGGCAGAGATGGGTTCTCAAGGACCTCAGTGGTGAGGGGAAGGGAAGGGATGGGGCAGCAGCCTCGAAGTCAGGTGGAGAGAAGCAGATAACTTTTAAGGAAAGGGATGGAGGCCACAGGGGAGGGAGTTGGGGAGAGGTATCAGAGGCTGCCTTCAAAGCCAGGCCCTGGGGGGAGGATGATTGAGACGTCCTGCAGGACATGTGCTGAGGCTGGGCACGTCAGGAGGGCTCTTGTAGCCCTGATGCCTGCATGGCCTGGCACCAGCTGGAGCTCAGTGGGTGTTTGAAGAATGAGGCGAGGGCAGAGATGGAATCAGGAAATGGGTGGAAGGCCCTCACTTCCAGTTGAAAAGGCCACAGGTTTATTCTGCAAGATCTTGGAACTGAATCAGGAGCCTGCACCCCAGGGCATTGAGCTGAGTGAGGAGCCAGGAGGGCTTTTATGGCTTGGAGGACTGTCCCCTCCCATCCACATTGGTGGAGGCCATTAACTTTCAAACTGGGCTACACCAGAATCATCTTGGGGGCTTATTTAAAATGCAGATGCCTGGGCCTTGCCCTCAGAGATCCTGATGTAGGAGGCCTGGAGTGCGGCCCAGGAATCTGCATTTTATCAAGCACATTCAACTGATCTTGACACAAAAATTTCAGGTGGGACCTGGGGGAAGACGGGGCACATTCAGCTACCCTTTGAGCAGTTTGAGTGTCATGCAAGTTTTCTTCCCTACATGGCCCTTGAGTCCTTACATTGCTGCTGTTTCCTGGAATCTCAGCCTCAAATCTGTGAGGTCATGTGTGTGGCTTTAAAAGCTCCCGCTGCCCTGTTTACCTTAGTGGTTCATGGCAAGAAGTGGGGGATGCATTTCTGGGAATGCCTGGCCCTCCTGCAAACATGCAGAAGAGTCAGAGGTGACTCTTTTCTTTTTAAATTTTGAGACAGGGTCTTGCTCTCTTGCCCAGGCTGGAGTGCAGTGGCACAATCACAGTTCACTGTAGCCTTGACCTCCCAGACTCAAGTGATCCTCCCACCTCAGCCTCCCAGGCAGCTAAGACTACAGGTACACACCACCATGCCCAGCTAATTTTTGTATTTTTGGTAGAGATGGGGTCTCACTACATTGCCCAGGCTGGTGTTGATCTCCTGGGCTCAAGCCATCCTCCCACTTTGGCTTTGGCCTCCCAAAGTATTGGGATTACAAGTGTGAGCCACTGTGCCTGGTCAGAGGGGACTTTCTTTACTCCTCCAAACATTTTGTAAAGACTGAAGATGGAAAGGTGGAAGGAGAGAGCCGGGCCGGGCACCACTCCGCAGGGAGGCCTTTGTTTGCCGACTGAAAGGGTCAGAGGCCCTGTGCTGGACTCTGAGAAGCCATGTCAAGCACACACATTTTTCTTTGAGAAAGCGGCATGTGGCATGCGGCAGGGGCCTGTATTTAATAACACAACCCTCACATGAAAGGCAGGGGAGATGTGGATAGCTCCGTCGCTGGAGAGCTGTCTAATCCTGATAAATGCAGCATCATCCCTCCCACAGTGAAAAGTCCCTGCATTAGATTAAACATATCAATCCTGTGTGTTACCTTCTCTTGTCTGACAGCCAGCACCTGGACGGCCTCTGGCGACCTGCCTTCCATGGCCCTATGTGGAAAGTACATGGCTGAGCCCCAGATTCCAAGTAATGTCCATGCTCCAGCCCTGGGGAAGCAGCACCGAGGCTGGACACTGTTGCTGAGGCAAGGCTGGGCAGCTGCCCTGGGTTGGTAGTCGGTCACAGCTCTCCGAGAGCCCTGTGATGCTTTGAAGGAAGAATGTGTGTTTTTGTAGCACACGCTGTTCACGCCCCAGCAGGCCAGTGCCCCATTCCTGAGCCTTCTCAGGGGCAGCCCAGCCCTCTCCTCTGGGACTGTGCAGAGATGGAGGCGAGAGAAGTAACACAGCCTGGACCGGGAAGGTAGACTGCTGTGTGTCCCCGCGGATTCAGGCGGCTCTGATCCCACCTGATAGGTAGACAAGAACGCACTTGGCAACTAGTAGCCACTCACCTGGTACCCGGGCCATGTGGACCTGCCCTAGTGTGGCCTCGCTTACTGCCCGCCAGGGACTCTCAGTGCCTCCCCTTCCTGATGGTCCTGCCTGCCCCAGGTAGGGGGGTCCAACTCCAGAATCCCCCTCGGAGCCAGCCTCTCAGGGATTCAGGTGCCTTTGACCGGGGCCCTGCTTGCAAGGGAAGGATGGATGGGGAGGAGATGGCAGGGCAGGGGCTGAGGAAGAGGTGGTGTCTTCAGGAGAGAGCCTCAGTCTGTCCTCCAGGGAGCCCTGGAGTGGGAATCAGGAGGGGGTGACCTGCCCTCATGTAAGGCGGCTCCCATCAGCCAAGGACAGTTCCTGGTCCAGGGCCTGGTCCTGGTCCAGGGCCACATGCCTTCTCTCATGCTGACCTCTGCATGGTCCGAGAGGGGAGGGCTGGGCTGGTTGGGCACCTTGCAGAACAGTGTGTGTGCTCACCCTATGGCGGCATCACGTGAATGGAGCAGCGAGGAAGGAGCAGCTGGTACGTTAGAGGCTTTGGTGAGACACTCACGTTCCAAAGGCAGGAGCTAAACCCAACAAAGACTCCAGGGCTGGGCCTGTCAGTGAAGATTTCAGGGATCCAGAGGTCTGGGCCATGTCAAGGCATCCCCTCCAAAATCAAAAATAGGTGAGGGCACCTCAAACCTCTTACCACTGAGAAAGGCGCACGAATCTCGGTGGGCAGAGCCCAGAGCAAGGCATGCTTCTGCAGCAGGTCCAGGCTGTGCCGCAGGCCAATGACCATGGTGAATTCATCCGAGGCCTGTGGTGCTGGTTGACAGCCACTGCTCAGGAGCCTGTGACCCACTGCGCTCCTCAGAACAGCTCCCTGCAAAGACCATCCCTCCTCATATAACCTAGGTGAGGCTCACAGACACCCCCACCAGTTTACCCAGGACAAGTCCAGACACAGCCCCTCTGAATTCCATTTCTTTGCCTCACAGATGATTAGTGGAACTGTTTTGTCCCCACTGATAATTGGAACAAAATGCTTGTTAGTGAAACAGTTCTGCTTCTCTCCCACCCCAGGCCCTGAACTCTGGCTTACCCTCAGCCTGAACCCATAGACGGCCATCCGGTCTGAAAGCAGGCTGGCCTCAGGGTCAAATGTTCTCTGATCCATTGTCCCACTGAGCCACCTCCACCTTTTCTTCTCACCTCCCACACCAGTCCTTTCTAATCCCATAAAGAAAAGCCTCTTTCTGCCTAACTTTTGGGATGCTTTCAGGTCTCATGGTGGGAGCCTTCTCCTCACTGCAACAGCCCTCCCCCACTGCAGTAGCCCCTCCCCCACTGCAATAGCCCCTCCCCCACTGCAGCAGCCCCACTGCAATAGCCCCTCCCCCACTGCAGTAGCCCCTCCCACTGCAGTAGCCCCTCCCCCACTGCAATAGCCCCTCCCCACTGCAGTAGCCCCTCTCCCACTGCAGTAGCCCCTCCCCCACTGCAATAGCCCCTCCCCCACTGCAATAGCCCCTCTCCCACTGCAGTAGTCCCTCCCCCACTGCAATGGCCCCTCCCCCACTGCAATGGCCCCTCCCCTGTTGCAATGGTTCCCACTCCCTATTGCAAGAATTCTTCTGAATCCAGTCTCTCCTTAGTGAGTCCAGAGTTATGCTTTTGTTTGAACTGAGCAGGTGCCATGAGAGAGCTCTGGGGAAGGGGCTGATGGTCTCTTCTGGGGGTCAGTGGTTTCCCTGCACTTGTGGACATCAAGGCTCTGAGAGCTCAGGTACCTGCCTTAATGAGGCCCTGCCCCACCTGGGTGGTCTGTATTAGAGACAGTGACTGGGATGGAGGGGTTGGAATCATGGGGTTCACTGCATCCACTCCATCCAACTAGAATCCGTGGAATCTGGAACCTCCCTGCTTTCCGTGATGATCCTAAACATGAACACAGTGAATCATCCTCAAGGCGCAGCCCCTCGAGTCATCTTATTCATGGCAGAAACTCTGAGTCCAGACGGAAGACACCCAGAACAGCATTTTCCCTTCTTGAGTTAGCCCCGTCCATCCAGGGTCCTAGTGAACCTTCACTAGCATTCAGGGGAACTACCTACTTCAGATCATG
Organism: Homo sapiens; assembly: GCF_000001405.40. Lineage (NCBI taxonomy): Eukaryota > Metazoa > Chordata > Mammalia > Primates > Hominidae > Homo > Homo sapiens. The sequence goes on from NC_000001.11 coordinate 4,344,240, forward strand.
GCACAGCCCGCTTGATTGCATCAGCTCATGTCTCTTTCAAGTTCCGTTTTCTCCTAGTCCACTGACTTCAGGCTGAAGTCACAAATCTTGCAGAGGTTTACAGCCCTGCCCATGGCTCCGTTTGCAGCATCCCTGCAGGCTGGCAGGGGTGGCTCCGAAGGCCGAGGGGCTGAGGAGAGATGATTCCTGAGCCTGAAGGAAGCCGGCCAGAGCCCCACGTAAGACGCCGCAGAGGCCACCTTGGGGGTGGAGAGGGCTGCCTGATGGATGTCATCTCTGAAAGCCACAGCGAAACTCAGGCTTGCTTTGAAATTGTCCCCAGGAGAATACTGGGAAACCCGCTGAGGGCCTCTTATCCGACAGCAGCCTGTGAGGCCTCATGTTATAATGGTCATTGTAACCCTCCCTTACAAAGGGGAAAGTGGAAATAGACTCATCATGCCCTCGCATGTGTTAGGGGAATGAAAACTATCTCGCCTTTTCCCTTCTTCTCCTTTTGAAGGCTCCAGGTAACCCCACTTCTTCGAGGAAGCCTCCTTGGTCAGCTCAGCCTGCACACTCCTCCTTCAGATACCAGTGGCAGGAGACGCCTGGGTAAAAATCAGGAGTGCAGAGCCCCAGCCCATCTTCTTGTCTTGGTTAAGGCAGACACAAAAAATAGGTCCACTTTCTTGATTTCACATGCCCCTTCCCACCTACTGTGCCTGGCCTGGTGCTGTCTGGCTTTGTAATGAGTGTTGGTCTCTGACTTGACCTTCTTTCATCTCTGCTGGAGCTTGTCAGGCAATATCCATGAGCATTTTCTGAGTGTCTTTAGGGGTGGTTATTTGAAGGCACTGAGAATGTCAGGCTGAGATCTTTAGTAACCTGCCAGCCTTTAGTAATGTCACCTCCCATCCCACCCGGACACCCCTGCGTGCGTGCCTTCCTCCCTGGGCTCTCTGCTTGGTGCTGGCCTGGGGCTGTCAGAGGGGATCTACTCCTATTTTTTATTATTATCATTTTCTGCAGACGGACTGAGCACTTCATAAACATTAACAATGACAAATCACCAGCCTCAGTGACACCACAATTACATAATGATAGTCATTACCCAGTGGCTGTTTGATGCGCTGAGCAGCATCGGCCGGCGGTCCACTGCAGCCAGACGCAGATGCTGGAACAATAGCCATGAGCGAGGAGAGGGCCGGAGCCCAGCCAGGAAGGGAGGCCACGTTGGCGAGGGTCTCGGCCCTGCACTCTGAGGGGTGTAGGCGGCAGAAGGGAAACTCAAGGTCACTGTACGAGTTCCTGTGGCTGTCTTATCAAGTCACCACCAACTGGGTGATCTTAAAACAACAGAAACATATTCTTTTGCAGTTCTGGAGACCTGAAGTTTGAGGTCATGGGGAAGGAAGGGTGGGCTCCTTCTCAGGCTATGTGGGAGACTCAGTCCCCAGCCTCCCAGGCTCCATTGCTGCAGGCCGTCCTTGGCCCTCTTTGGCCATCCTTGGCTTCTAGATGCATCACCCCAGTCTCTGCCTCCAACAGCACACGGCCATTTCTTCCGTGCCTCTGTGTGTCTCTCCTCTCCTCACAAGGACACCAGTCACTGAATTAGGGCTCACTCTAATCCACTAGGACCTTATCTTAACTTAATTGGATCTGTAAAGGCTTTATTTCCAAATAAGGTCACATTCATGGGCTCTAGATGGACATGGACTGTGGGGGGGCACTAGCTCACTACAGTCACTGACTGATATGGTTTGGCTCTGTGTCCCCACCCAAATCTCATCTTGAATTGCAATTCTCATCTGTCAAGGGAGAGACCTGCAATCCCCATGTGTCGAGGGAGGGAGGTGTTTGGATCATGGGGCCGTTTCCCCCATGCTGTTCTCCGGACAGTGAGTGAGTTCTCACAAGATCTGATGGTTTATTAGGGTTTGGAAGTTCCTCTTTCCTTCCTCTCTCCCTGCTGCCTTGTGAAGAAAGTACTTGCTTCTCCTTCGCCTTCCACCATGATTGTAAGTTTCCTGAGGTATGCCCAGCCATGCAGAACTGTGAGTCAATTAAACTTCTTTCCTTTACAAATTACTCACTCACTCTCAGGGAAGTTCTTTATAGCAGTGTGAGAATGAACGAATACACTGAGTCAAGATTTATGCCAGGCACTCTGGCTCCCGGCCTGAACCTTCCCCAGGAGACCACACTGCCTCCCAGACACTCAGCTCACTCCGTTCACACACTGGCCAGATGCACTGAATGGTCTTCTCTGCTTTCCAAATTCTGGGGTGGACAGGGCTGAGGAAGGGCCCTGCTCATCTCCTTGCCTGTGGTTGGCCTCTGAGTTTGAGGAAGGAAGATGCAATCTGTTCCCACCAAGGGTGCTGAGGAGCCTTTTCCTTGAGAATCATGGCCAAGACAAGGAGCTGAGCCCAGGAAGCCGGGTCCAACCTGTAGGAAGGATAAATACATAGGCAGGCAAAGGAGCCAAGGATGGCCAGCTATCATCAGATGCAGGAGCTCCTTGACCAAGCATCCAAGTCAGAAAGTCTGTCTAGCAGCTGAGTAAATGACCAAGAGCTCCCAACAGCTGGGAGCTGGCCTGGCTGTGTGGGGTAGGCCTTCGTATTCTGTTGATTAGAAATGGTTTAACAGCGTGTTAATATCTGACAAGGCCACCATGTCAGAGCACAGCCAAAAATGTCCAATCCACAGAATAACCAATCCCCCTGACCTGACCAATATGAATGACAGCTAATTCCTTACCAATTGCAGCTTTGTCCTCACTCCATTGTTCTGGCCTTCTCCATGCAAATATTAAGATATCCAATTATTAAATTATCTCCACTTCTTGACAGCATCCAATCCAGGGCAAAGTTCCAAATTCCTCCCACAAATCACCTAATACAAGGTCAAAGCTCTAATCAGTTCTTTCAACCCCAAATCCCCTAATATAAGGTCAAATCTCTAATCAGTTTTTTCCTCCCCCAAATCACCTAATACAATGTCAAAGTTCTAATCAATTCTTTCCTCCCCAAATCACCTAATAGAAGGCCAAAGCTCTAATCAGTTCTATCCTTCCCCAAGTTACCTAATACAAGGTCAAATATCTAATCAGTTCTTTGTAACACGCTGTTATGAAGACGCTCCATGGCTTTCCATGGTGTGTGGTCTCCTGCATTGCAATGAGACAGTAAACTTAACTCTGTTTGACATTAAAAGTGTGTTCTTGGAGGTTTTGGTGGCAGGATATTGACACAGGAAAATAATCATAGCTACCAGTATAAGCACTGTCTGTGCCAGGTACTGAAAAAGTGCTTTACATACATTATCACATCCTCCTCCTCATCAAACTTTGGAGTACTTACTCTAAGAGGGGAAACTGAGGCACAGAGGAGCCTGGTTCTTGGTTGTGCATATCTATGCCTGTGTGTGTATTTATATCCATATTCAGTTGTGCCCATCTGCACGAATACCTAGTTGCATGCCTATTCGTGTAGCTCTATCTGTATCTATATTTATGTCTATGTGCATATCTAAATCTATACTGGGTTGTGTATATCTATATCTATATTTATATCTGATTATGTATGCATATCTGTACATTGATCTATATCTATGTATTTTCAACTTTATCAGATGTTACAGAGGAGGGAACAGAGGCATGAAGATGTTGTATAACTCACCCAAGGCTGTCCTATTAATCAGTTGTCGAGTTAGGTCTTGCATCCAGACAACCTAACCCAGCATCCACCACAGTTCTGGACAACAGAGCACTGTGTTTGTGTCCCCAGTGCTGAGAGCTGTGCCTGCACAAAGTAGGTGTTCACCAAATATACTTTTGGGATGAGTGAGTGCAGGCATGAATGAAAGAATCCACTGCTGTTGGAAGTGTAAATTGCTACAACCCTTAGGAGAGTAATTTGACAATATTCAGTAAAATTGGAAATACTCACATTCCACAGCTCATGACATCACTCCTGGGATATAACTAGAGAAACATTCACACACCTGCACAAAGGCACATAAAAGAGTATTCGCTGCAGTACTGTTGTGCTCATGTGGGCTGGTGTGAAGTGGAGAGGAGTTTGCGGAAACACATGATGCATGTTCCCCAGTGGGGTGTCATGTCATACCACAGTTAAAATGGATACATTCCATCGATATTTACCAACACGATGGATCTCAGAATTAATAATATTGACATAAAAGCAAATTACAAGAAGATAAATAACATAATAATGTTATTTGTGTAAACCTATAAGTACTTCTAACAATACCATATATTATCTGCTTGTGTGTGCGTGTGTGTGTGTGTGTGCATGTGTGTGTGTGTATAGAAAAAGAAAGAGAAAAGAGAGAGGGAGAAAAAAGATGGAAGTAGAGGAGAGAGACAGAGAGCATGAATCAAAACATGGATGGGAGGAAATTCCAATCTCAGGTGGGGCAGAGAGCTGGCACCTAGAGACCCAACTCTTTCTGCAATATATTCATTTAAAAAATGGGTTTGAGACCAGCCTGACCAACATGTCAAAACCCTGTCTCTACTAAAAATACAAAAATTAGCCGGGCATGGTGGCATGCACCTGTAATCCCAGCTACTCAGGAGGCTGAGGCAGGAGAATCGCTTGAAACTGGGAGACGAAGGTTGCAGTGAGCCAAGATCGTGCCACTGCACTCCAGCCTAGAGACAGAGCGAGACTCTGTCTCAAAAAAAAAAAAAAAAATGGGTCGGAAGTACACACATAGTGACATAGGTCGCACACAGGGTGCAGGTGCATGGTGTCTGTCTTTTTTATGTTTTAAGTTTTTCATAACTAAAATTGTGTAAAAGAGAGAAAGAATGAATTAGAGTTTGCTTGACTAAGAGGAGAGGGAACAGTGTTCCCATTCATGCTGCTTCTGTAGGGGGCCGGGCAGTAGGTTGAGAGGAGGCTAGGGAGGCACGTGGGGCCAGTCCTGGCCTGGAGACTGACCGCATTAAGGATTTTTATTTTATATGAAATGAAATGATTTCTGAGCAGAAAGGGAAAGGGGATGATTTGCATTGTGTAAAGTTCAGTCTCCTTCCAAGTGAAGACAGGTTACAAACTGTATTAGTATTTGGTGGCTGCTGTGACAAATGGCCACACACAGGCTCAGAACAGAAGTTTATTCTCTCGCAGTTTTGGAGCCAGGAGTTCAAATTCAAGGTGCTGCAGGTTTGCACTCTCTTCTATGGCTCTAGGGAAGGATTTCTCCTTGCTGCTTCCAGCTTCTGGTGGAGGGCAGCAACTCTCACTCTTCCTTGGCTTGTAGCTGCATCTCTCCGCTCTGCCTTCATCATGCCATGGCCGTCTAACCTCCGTATTTATCTGTGTCTGCATCTCTTTCATAGAATCATGCCAGTTAGAATGGTGAGCATTAAAAAGTCAGGAAACAACAGATGCTGGCGAGGATGCGGAGAAATAGGAATGCTTTTACACTGTTGGTGGGCGTGTAAATTCATGCAACCATTGTGGAAGACAGTGTGGCGATTCCTCAAGGTTCTAGAATCAGAAATACCGTTTGACCCAGCAATCCCATTACTGGGTATATACCCAAAGGATATACATATATAAATCATGCTACCATAAAGACACATACACACTTATGTTTATTGCAGCACTGTTCACAATAGCAAAGACTTGGAACCAACCCAAATGCCCATCAATGATAGACTGGATAAAGAAAATATGGCACATATACACCATGGAATACTATGCAGCCATAAAAAAGGATGAGTTCATGTCCTTTGCAGGAACATGGATGAAGCTGGAAACCATCATTCTCAGCAAACTAACACAGGAACAGAAAACCAAGCACCGCATGTTCTCACTCACAAGTGGGAGTTGAACAATGAGAACATATTGGACACACGGAGGGAAACATCACACACCAGGGTCTGTTGCGGGGTGGGGGACTTGGGAGGGAAAGCATTAGGAAAAATACATAATGTAGATGATGGGTTGATGTGGGCAGCAAACCACCATGGCACGTGTATACCTATGTAACAAACATGGACGTTCTGCACATGTATCCCAGAACTTAAAGTATTAAAAAAAAAAAGAAGGAGATCTGTAGTTTAAAAATAGTAATCACCAAGTTTAATCAATTAAAAAATAAATATTCTGTTAATTTAACAGAAAAAAAAAGAATGACATCAGCTACTGTATTTAGGGCCCATCCTAATGGATGATATAACCACATCTTAACTAATTACATCTCCAAAGACGCTATTTCCAAATAAACTCACATGGTAAGGTTCTGGGTGGGCACGAATCTGGGAAGACACCCTTCAACCCCGTGCACAGGGATCAGAGGGCAAGCAGGAGAGTAGCCCCTGGGTTGTCAGGGTCCAGGAGAGCTGACGGAAGCTCAGGGCAGAGCGGCAGTGGAGCTCTAGTGGAGCCAGAAGTGGGGATTCTAGAAGTATTTGGAAGTGGTTCGGCCACCACTCAGTGATGCACTGGATGTGAGGGAAGAAGAGGCATCCGCATGAGTGGGTATCATGGAGAGTTGACCCGAGGGCAGTGGTCCAGGCAGTACCTCCTTTCCTGGGGTGAGCTCACCATTCTGCAGGGACACAGGTGAGACCACCTGGAAAGGCAGGGCCAAGTAGGGCTCTGAGGACCCCTCCCTCCAACCTGCATCTCCAGGCAGCATCTCACCATCGAGCCAGGTCTTTACTGGGTCCTGCCTGAGGTCCAAGGAAGAGCTTGTTGCCTCTGGGATTGTTTCTAGAACCATGTTTTTGTGTCAAGTGTTCAAGGGTGATGTGAAGCCTGGCCTCCCTTTGCTGGCTTGGAAAATAGGAGTCTGTGTCAACTGGCGGGGCTGGAAGTCACAGTTAGGGGCCCACACACCCACCCAAAATAGCCCTGGGAAGTGGTAGGTGGGGCCCGGAAGGCAGCGGCAGGAGGCTTGGAAGTCAAGCCTGTTATTGACACAAATGAGCAACTACACCCAAGAGGCAAATGCACAGCTAAGGCCAGAGCAGCCAGGCGGGGGTGGGGGGCAAATTGCCCTTGAGGAGCAATTCCTGCCTGGGGCGGAGGAGATGGGGGCTCCATGGGGTCACCTCTAGCTAATAAGGAAGAGGAAACCAGAGTGCTTCTGAGAAGTCCTGCTGGCAGGTGGCCCGGTCCCTGCACCCAGCGTCCCAGGCCACCCCAGCCACTGCTCACTCAGTCCCAGAGCTAGACTGTCTTGGCTTCAACCGATGGGAACACCATGTGGACTGACTGAAGCCAGGAAGGGGCTATACTGACTCACATATGAGTGTGGCTGGATTTGGGCTCAAACCAAGACAACCCGTGGGCCTGGTCCTCTGCTCTCTGTGGCAGCCCCACTGGCGTCAGGCTCGCTCCTGCATCTGGAGCAGCCCCAGGGACCAAAGGGCTCTTTTTCCTCCACAGCTCGAGCTGCATCCTGGGGTTGATGGGCACCAACCTGGTTCAGGCTGATGTGAGTGGATGCGGTGTGGGTGTGTCTGCTGGGTCAGGTGGGGTCAGGTGGTGTCCTCTCCCCATGACTTACTTAGAGAGGGATTGGGGCCAACCAACCACCAGGTGTTTCTGGAGGCAGGGCCAGTGGCTGCCAAGCCAGCAGAAATCACAACTGTTGGTTACACCGCGCACATCTTCTCCCAGAGACGGAAATCCCACTGGACGTTTCAATGGAAATCATTTAATATTAAAAAAATAGTTAACTAGGGGCTGGGTTTGGTGGCTTATGCCTGTAATCCCAGCACTTTGGGAGGCCATGGCGGGTGAATTGCCTGAGGTCGGGAGTTTGAGAACAACGTGGAGAAACCCCGTCTCTACTAAAAACACAAAATTAGCTGGGCATGGTGGTGCATGCCTGTAATGCCAGCTACTTGGGAGGCTGAGGCAGGAGAATTGCTTGAACCTGGGAGATGGAGGTTGTCGTGAGCTGAGATCATGCCATTGTAGTCCAGCCTGGGCAACAAGAGTGAAACTCTGTCTCAAAAAAGAAAAAGAAGGCAAGGCGCGGTGGCTCATGCCTGTAATCCCAGCACTTTGGGAGGCCGAGGCAGGCGGATCATGAGATTGGGAGATCGAGACCATCCTGGCTAACACGGTGAAACCCCGTCTCTACTGAAAATACAAAAAATTAGCTGGGTGAGGTGGCGGGCGCCTGTAGTCTCAGCTACTCGGGAGGCTGAGGCAGGAGAATGGCATGAACCCGGGAGGCAGAGCTTGCAGTGAGCCGAGATCGCACCACTGCACTCCAGCCTGGGCAACAGAGAAAGACTCCATCTCAAAAGAAAAAAAAAAAGAAAGAAAAAGAAAAAGAAAAAGAAAAAAATAGTTAACTAGGTATAAAAATTGTTCCTCAGTAACAGGAAGGCAAACAGAGAAGAAAGTGAATGCAGAAGCTGCTTGCAGCCCCCAGGGCTGGGGGAACACAGGGAAGAGGCTGGACTAATTCAGGTGAGGCCTTGGAGAAGCGTCCGGGCTCTGAGATGAAGCCCCCTGCTGCTGCCAGCCCTGCTGCGGACCTGCGGGCATGGCTCTTCAGGGTGAGAAAAGCTGCAGCCTGGTTGACCTTATGCTGTCGGGGAAAGGAAGGGCTGTGGAGTGAGACTGGCAGGAAGGGGGAGCATCCAGGCAGGAGTCACCCACCCCCTTGGTTCAGAGCCCATGGACCCATCATCAGAGCTTCCAGGAGCTGCAGGTGTGGCAGGGTGGGAGTTGGGGGGCTGGGCCTGGAGTTTGCTGCCTCCGGTGTTACTCTCCCCTGTAGGTCTGTTCTCCAGACCTTCCCTCTCAGCACCAAATGCTGGCCCCATGCATCCCTCCTGTCAACCCTGTCTCTGTGTCTCCTCTGCTACCGATTTCATTCCTTCTGGTTCTAGGCTGCAGCTGGCCTGAGTGTCCCGCCTGCCTCTCTCCACCCCACCCCTCTTCTGATGGGAGCCATGCTAGCAGCTACCTCCTGACAAGCCCAGCATCCTCAAGGCCTCAGCCTCATTAGGTTTGTTTCCTGCTTACACTGGTCCTCTTGGAAGGAGTCGCTGGGGTGCTCTGTGCCACACAGCCAGTCAGGGCCCCAGGCTGAGGGAGGCTCCGCCACCTCCAGCACGTGGTCTCCAGGTTTAGCACTTGGGTTTGCTAGAGACACGCTAAGAAAGTAGCCCAAACAGGGGGACCCAGAGCCAGATGAATGCGTCCCCTCACAGTTCTGAGGTCTGAAATCAAGGTGTCTGCAGAGCTGGTTCCTGTTGAGGGTTGCAAAGGAGAATCTCTTCCAGCCTCTCTCCTAGCTTTGGTGTGTGTGTGTGTGTGTGTGTGTGTGTGTGTATACATGTAGATATATGTGTGCATGTGCATATATGTGCTCACATGTGTACATGCGTGCACCTGTGTTGTGTGCATGTGCATATCCATATAGGTGTGCGGTGCACATGTGTGTGCTTGTGTCTGCATGAATATGTACATGTGTGTACATATGCATGTGTGTGTGTGCATTTGTGATGTGTGTGCACACGTGCCTGCAAAGACTTCTCCTCCCAGCTCGGGGGCCTTGGTCTGTCATGCTGGCTGCCGGTAGCTGGCCGTGAGAGCTGCAAGCTCTGCAGTCAGCACAGAAGAGGGTCCTGCCAGCCCAGTGAGGAAGGGCAGGGCTCTGCTTCCATCATGTTGGAGAGGACCTCACACATCGAGTCTGGCTGCTGAATGGCCAGTAGGGATGTGGCATCCTGGAGCAGTGTCACTTGCAGACACCTTAGATACTGGCAGCCCTGAAGCAGCAAGGGCACCAGTTTTTCTTGAGGTTCCCTGGAGTTTGGAGGAAGGCCAGCGAGAGGACACTTAAATCCACAGAGTCACGTCTGCCTCACAAGCTACAGGTAGACCCTGGGCTGCCTGCACCTTGGAAAAAGCTCTCCACGCAAGCCCACTTCCCATGGATAAGGCTGATACTTTGTTCTTGGGTCTGAGTGCAACGTACCAGCCACTTATCATTTTGTTTGGATTTATTCCAGGCACTGGCGGGTGCCGGGGGAGCTCACTGCTAACCCTACCCACCTGCTGGTGTGTCAGGGTTGATGACCTCAGAGCCAAGAGGCAGTTCATCTCTAGACATTTTCATTGGCAGAATTTATGCAGCAGGCACCTCTTGCACACTTGCTCCTTGGAGGAGGGCTATGGAGGCATAGTACAGGCCCTTCAGGAACTCAAGTCCACCGATGATGGTGGAAATAATAACATCCATGTTTGAAGCAGCTGCCAGCCCAGTGGCTAAGAATGTGGCCTCAGGAGCCAGGCTGCCTGGGCTCCCATCCTGGGGCCACCATGAGAGCTGTGTGACTCTTGGCAATAACTTCACATCTCTGTGCTCTGTTTCCTCCTGACATGGGGACGCCTACATTCTGGGGATGGTATAGGATTCCATGAGTTAGTCACCCTAATGTTCTCATAACAGTGGCTAATGCACATAAGCACTCTATAAATGTGGGCTGTTACTCCTAATAGTTGATATTTATCAAGATTTTATTATGTACCGGGCACTCAATGAAGCATTTTACATTTCTTATATCATGTGATCCTCAGAGCAAGTCGATGAGGTCCATGCTGGTGGGTGTCCAGCCTCAGGGCTGTGCTGGGCCTCAGCCTCTCCTTGGTGATTTGTAGCTACAGAGCTGCCTGTATAACCCCACAGTCTGCTGTTTGTTAACCACATAAGAGTGCCATGGTGCTCTGTGCCTGGTGAGCACAGGGATGCTGAGCAGAAGGTGCTGGGCTGGGGCCTCTGAACCATCGTGCCATGGTGTGCTTTCTAGCAACGGCATCCTCCAGAGGGGGAAACTGAGGCTCAGCACACTGGAAGAGCTGCCTATGGCGGCCCCAAAGCCAGAAGGTGGCAGAGCTGGGATTTGAACACAGGCTTGAGTCTGTATGACACCAATGCACCTGGGCTTCAGCCACAGCACTGCTCCCCTGCCCACCTTGCCTGGCATCCCTGGCCCAGCACTCATATGGCTACTAGGCCACAGTCACACCTTGGGATATTGACTGGAGGGAGAGTAAGTGGGAGATGAGTACGGAGAGGATGAAGTTCCATCAGGATGCTTGGTGCTAGCCCTTGTTCATTCAAACACAGATGGAGATAATGCCCATTTCCTCAACATAATCGCCGTGGAAGGTCTAGGCAAGGGGCTAGGTGTGCGGTACTGAAAGAGATTTAGAAATACAATCTTATCAGAAGATGCAAAATCCTTCTAAAACACCCCAAGCGGAATTGATTCATGACGCAGCTTTCAGAGGCTGCTTAGTGAAGGCTTGCTTCCTGGCTTTCTTAAGAATAAGCAGGTGCGTGCTGACAGAATGTGCTCCCAGGAGAGGCACGGGGCAAAGCCCACCTGGCCACATGGGCACATCCCTTCCCACTGCAGTTCAGGAAGGGAACCAGGCAGGACTTCAAGGAGTTGATGGAGAAACAACCACATGGCCAGAGGCTGATGTCAAAGGGGTGTGGAGCCTGACACGGGGCAGGTGCTCACTAAGTGTGCGCTACAGAGTCTGGTGTGGGCAGGGGCTCACTGGGTGTGAACTATGGAGTCTGGTGTGGGCAGGGGCTCACCAGGTGGGCATTACAGAGCCTGGTGTGGGCAGGGGCTCATCGGGTGTGACCTGAAAGGATGGACAAGGTCAGGGACTTCTCTCATCCAGCAGACTCTCCACCCTCTCAGCCTTGGAGGGACCCTGTGTAGCCCCCACCGCATGGCTTGTCACCCTCCCATGACAGCATGACCTCCCTCCCTCTGAGGCGCTCAGGGCCTCCTGGGCCTGTGGCTCCGCCTCCTGCATGTGACAGATGGGTTGGTATTTACTCTTCACCCCATTTCAGTGCAGTTTACCTTCTTGCAGAGTCAAAAGGAGCAACACGGGGGTATCCTGAAATGAAGCAAAAGCAGGTCAACTCTGAGAAATCACAGGGGCGTGGCTGACTGTGAGTGGGAGGGCTTCATCTGGTGTCGCAAACCCCCTGGGATCTGCTGAATTGCCTCTTTCTCACGACATTGCATCTTCTTTTGAGGAGAGGGCCGGGGATCTCTCTTTCTCAGTTCACCCCCTGGGCTGCTCAGTTCCTTCTGCCTGAGCCCCCTTACCCTGCAGCCTCACAGAGCTGCCCCTTGTGTCTCCTGTACCTCGTGGGGGGTGCAGCCCACCCCTCTCATTTGCCCCTGCAGCCCGGGGGCCCTGCACACAGCCATAGCCACGTGCTGCATGGGAAGCAAGAGTCCATTGAAGGTCCCCTTGCCTAACCTCCCATCCTTCCGAGGAAAAGCCCGTCTGGCTGTTATCGCCCCAGTTTATGAGTCCGGCCTGCTTTTGAACATCTCCCCAGTGGATGGACTCACGATGGGTGCGTTTTGCAGAGGGAGACAGGAAGACCCTGCACAGCACCGCAGTGTCACAGCCCTTGGGGAATCTGCCCTCATGGCGAGGAGGCCGCAGGAGCATCAGTGGGTGGTGCTGGAGGCGGTGGGGCCAGTGCCACGTGTGAGCAGTGACTGCTTGGGAAGAACTAAAGATGTGAGCCAGGAGTCGGGATGGAGAACGAGCCCTCTGATCAGCGACCAGCATGGAGCCCTCTGGCCTCCCTGGAGATCCCTGCTGACCCCATCCACCTGGGGAAGCCTCCTTCTCCCCCCTCCTCCCCTCGGGCACTCAGCAGTGCACTTCTTCTCAGCGCGGTCACCTCTGCGGTCACCAAGGACACCGACCTGCAGGGCAAACGCTGCAGCAGAAGCTCCTGGCACACTCCAGGCATCTTTGCCCCTTCTCTGGGTCCTCATGCAGACAATTCAGCTCTGGAGGAGGGACAGACAGAGAGAGAGAGAGAGAGAGAGAGAGAGAGAGAGGGAGACAGAGAGAGAATGAGGGAGAGAGAGAGAGAGTGTGAATGGGAGAAAGAGTGTGAATGAGAGAAAGAGGGAGAGAGAGAGAGTGAGAAAGAGAAAGAGAATGGGAGAGAATGAGGGACTCCAGGGGAAAACCATCTCCCTTCTGGCTCCCCTATCTGCTGAGAGCTCCTTCCACTCAATGAAACCTTGCACTCATTCTCCAAGCCCATGTGGGATCCAATTCTTCTAGTACACCAAGGCAAGAACCCACGATACAGGGAGTCCTCTGTTCTTGCGAGAAGGTAGAGGGTCAAACTGAGCTGATTAATACAAGCCTATAGATGGCAAACTCAAAGAGCGCCCTGGAACACACGCCCATTGGGGCTTCAGGAGCTGTAAACGTCCACCCTAGACACTGCTGTGGGGTCTGAGCCCCACAGCTTGCCTGTCTGTATGCTTCCCTAGAGCGTTGAGCAGCGGGGCACCAAACAAGCAAGCCCCACCCTCATCACACTCCCTGCGAGGGGGACAAGGGAACCTTTCCCATTTCATTACTTGCTGTAATTTTTCTATTTTAGCATTCGTTATTGTTAATCTCTTGCTGTGTGTAATTTGTCAATTAAACTGTATCATAGGTGGGTACATGTAGGGAAAAACGTAGTGTATATAGGGTTTGCTACTGTCTGTGGTCTCAGGCACCCACTGGAGGTCTTGAGAGGCATTCCCCACAGATAAGGGGGACTCCTGTCTTCACTAAGGTGATCATTGCTGCTGGGGAGTACAGTGCCCTAAACCGTCTGTCGGGAGAGCCATGAGATCAGCCGAAGTGCCCCATGTGGACAGGCCCCTGGTGCTCTGGGGTAGAGGAAGCATGCTTTCTGCAGGTCAGAACTTCACTCATTTGGAAAAACACGGCTCTCAGAATTACAGAGGGAAATGCTCTCAGTGTACCACCTGCCGCCAGTACCCGAGACACACACAAGTCACAGCGTGGATTATTCTGGGCTCCCAAACGACACAGCAAGTCATGGTGGCATTTTCCTCAGCTTTTGCCAAGTGTAATTAGGCCACAATTAGGTGGGGCTCTGGTCACGGGCTTTTATGAGTAAATCATATTGGATCACCACATGAGAGGCCACGAGAGGCCTGGGGTGAATGGGCTCATTGCTGGGAAATGGAAACAACTGTAATAACAATAAATCTAAGATAAATGTTATATCCTTAAAAACGCAGACATAGCAATGATTAATCTTCTAACGCATTGGGGGAGCTCAGGGAGGGAGTAGATGGGGAAACTGAGGCTGGAGTTAGCAAAAGCCCCTTTCTCTCTGTCTTTTCTCTCTGGGAGGGTTGGAATCATGACGCAGGGTCTCCCTAGAATGTTTCTTAAATCACAGCAGACAGCAGTGTTGGTAACAGGAAGAGCCGGCTGGCGAAAGTGGAGTGGGCTTGGGGAGCAGGACTTGGCGCCCTGGACCAGCACCATGCAGGACGACGGAGCAGTCCCATGCCTGGACACACAGTTTTCATCCTGCCTGCAGCGCAAACAGACGCTTCTCATGGAGTGCAGTAGAATACCAATAAGGAAATCATCAACATTTTGTGTGACTAAGAAGAGTCACAAAATTAACTTGCATTTATGTCATTATTTTTTAAAAACGATAGTGGCCGACATGGGCATAGCTCTTATGAAATGCTGGCTGCATTTTTATGAGCTTTATAGAAAGCAACCATAATGGGAGGAACAGTGTGACTCCAAAGGTCTATGTCCACCCAGAGCTTCTGAAGGTCACCGTATTTGGAAATTGGCTTTTTACAGATGTAACTAGTTAAGATGTGATTAGACTGGATTAGAGTGGATCCTAATCCAACGACAGAAGAGAAGAGGGAAGACACAGTGGGAGGAGGCCCCGTGAAGACAGAGGCAGAGGCTGGAAAGCTGCATCTGCAGACCAAGGAACACCAGGGACTCTGCCTACAGCACTGGAGGCTGCAAGAGGCAGGAAGGATGCTTCCCTAGAACTTCCCGAGAAAACGTGGCCTGCTGACACCTGGATCTCAGGCTTCCTACCTCCAGAACTGGGAGAGGATCCATTTGCATGATTTTCAGCCACCCAGTTAGAGGTGCTTTCTAGGAAGCTGAGAGGGGAACACTTGACTTTCACCACTGCCCTAGAAGGAAGGTGCTGTTATTTTCACCGAATGTGCTTTTGTGTTCTTTCTCCTGTTAGATACCTGCTGGATTCTGTGGGCACCGCCTGATGGGTATTTACGACTTCACCTGAAAATGGGACTGACTAAACTTAGAGAGGTTGAGTGGTTGGCCCCAGGTCACAGAGCTTGACTCAGTACAGAGACCACTTTTGAAGGATACCCTTGTGGATCCTCCCACCCCTACCCCATGTAGCGAGGCTCTCTTACTGGTGAGTGCCCTCATCCTCAAAGAACACAGGTAGGGAAGAACCTGCTGAATGTGGCTTTGCTTTCAGTAGGATTATCCACGCAGCTCAAAATTGCCCGATGGTAACTGACAGTTTATATTATGGAGGTTGTTAGTACAATTTACTTCAAGGCAGGTAGGGAGGAATCTATGGGGGGATGGTCAGCTGCTCCCTCTTCTTCCCGCAGCGCTTGAGCAGCACCCACATCTACAGGGGGTAAACTTTGCCGCAAAGCCTGTGGTTGTCATTAAAATAGCATTGCGCATTTAGCAATAACACCAGGCCTTTGTACTAATGGGAATGTTGCCAAAAAAAAAAAAAAAAAAAATAGAAAGAAAGGAAGGAAAGAATGCACTGTGTGGACTCAGGAAATGGAGAGATCCTTTGGATAATCTGTGAGGAGCATTCTTAGTCTCTAACCAAAGACAAACTAAAATGCAAGGATTCAGAGGAGAGGAAAAACTGTAAATTCTCAGGTTAGATACTGTCCTTATAGGCAACCTGTCGGGGCAGCTTGTCACGTAGGGTTGAGGCAGATGGGGGCCTGAGGGGTGGGTGTCTGGGTGTAAGGAATGTGTTTGGAGGAGGGTGGGTGCCGCTGGAGGGCCTGGGGCAACTTCTTGGCCACCTTCACACCCGGTGCAGCAGAGCCTAGCTCAGGACCCAGAAGGAAGGGTTTTACTAAGCGCTGTCTCCCTGGCTCAGCCTGGGTGCAGACCAACAAGAGCTGATGGAAAGCTCTTTCAGGATTGCACCAAAGATTCTCCAGTGCTGCTGGCTTCTCCCAACTCCCGCCATTTTTGGCCCATTTCCACGTTCCCCAGATGGCCAGAAGGTTCCAGGTGGCCTCCCATCTACCTGGGTACTCTCCTGCCTGACCCACCTGTAGCATGCCGGCCTTGCCTCCACCAGTAGCTCAAATGAAGCACAGAACAACTTTTCTGGACTCCAGGGTACTTAGAACATTCTCCAAAGCCCTCACCGCTGTCTGCAAAGTTCACCAGCCTAGTTTCAGGGACCAGCAGCACCAGTACCCTGGGAGTGGGTGAAAAATGCAGGTGCCCAGGCCCCATCCAGCCCTGCTGAGTGAGAACCTGCATTTCTACAAGGTCCCAGAGGCTCCTACATGCTGGTGTTTGAGGAACCCTTGCACCCTGCCTGCCCCTCTGCCATGACCAGCCATGCACCTCCTGCAAGCCACACCGGTCCCAGTTTCTGAAATAGAAATGCTCCATAAATGTAGAATAAATGATAGAATAATAGGATTCTTCACTTCTGTTCTCAGACACACACTCAAAAGAAGTGCGTGGAGGTCGGATTCCATCAGGACAAGAATTGGGGCCATTGTCTTGTCCCAGGGTGGTCAGGGCAGGCAGCTGCAGCTATGAAGTCTCCCCCCAAAGCCCACTACCCACCCCCGGATCATCCTGGCACTGCAGCCCACAGACGCTAGCCTTCCTTTCTGTTTAATCCCAGCCTGGGTTCATTTAGCTGTTTCATGTAATTGGATTAATCATGTGGGCTTAGACCAGTCTACTCAGACCAGCTTCGTCAGAGCTCAGGGTCAATTTTAAGTAATTATATTTCCCCAACTTCATTTCCCATGGACATTTCAATAGGATTTCTCTGCCCATTGCTGGGAGTTGTAGTGTGGCATGTTAAAGGATCACTCAGCAGGGTGCCCCTCTCCCTGTGGGGGCTGATCTGGGTCTCCTCAAAGGTCTCAGGTCACACTGCCCCGGAATGAGCCCTGGGGTTCTGGCTCACAGGGACTCGCTCTCTCATCCCTGGCCCCTGGGCCATGGCTTCTGCCTTCTTTGTGTCCTCAAGGCTAATTCTGCGGGCAAGACCTGCTCTGTGCGCCCCTCTTTTCTGAGGCTCCAGGCTGGGATGGGTGCCCTCTGCCCCTCAGTGCCTGCTCTCAGCCTGCACTGACACTCAGATGCCCACTCCCACAGTGGATTGAATGGTGGCCCCGTGTTCTAACCTCCGGAACCTGTGAATGGGATCTTAGTTGAAGAAGGAGTCTTTCCAGATATAAGCTAAGAGCCTTGAAATGAGACCATCTCAGATTCTCAAATGGGCCCTAAATCTCATGACAAGTATCCTTATAGGATACAGAAAAGAAGAAGACACAGAGAGGGGAGAGAGATGGCTGTGTGGAGACAGAGACCGAGATGGGGTGATGCGGCCATCAGCCAAGGGTCATCGGCCGCCAACAGGAGTTGGAAGAGGCAGGAAGGATCCACCGCTGGAGCCTCTGGAGGGAGTGTGGCCCTGCCCACACCTTGATTTCAGACTTCTGGCCTCCAGAACAGTGAGAGAATAAGTAAGTGCATGTCACTGTAAGCTACCGAGTTCGTGGTACTCTGTTACGGCAGCCTGGGTAATGGATACGTCTTCTGATGATGACCTCAGGCTCTGTGGGGCTCTAGCCTGTGTGTGCCTTGCTAAGGTCAAAGTCACAGTCAAAGGGCGGGCATTTGGAAAAAGAGGTTCCAGGCACAGCTGGGGGAGAGGGGAGATGGACACGGAGGAGTGGGGAGCACCTTAGTCACCCCCAAAGTTACATGGCAGGGCAGAGAAACCCCCAGTGCAGAAAAGAAACGATTTGAATAAAGGCAACTGCGTGCCCTCCTTTGGGGTCATCTTGCAGAGATGTCCCCGGCTGGCCCTGGGCTCAGACCCAGCAGCATTTTGGGAATGAGAAAGGGCACCCTGGACAGGGTCTTGTGAAAACACAAACATCTTTCCTGCCATGAGGGGCAGCCCCAGCTTCCTTCCCTGTTGGCTGAGCCCTGCCCACACGTGACTTTAACCTGGCACAAGGGTGACTTGAATGCCACTGGGAAATCACCTTGGGAGCTTGCGCTCTTCCCTGACTTGGGAAAAACACAAAGCCCTGTACAGTGCTCAGCGGAGATCACAATGTGGTCTATTCCTGGGCTCCGCCGGCCTTTGAGTCTAGTATTGATTTTACTGGGGCTTGTGGTCCAGAGGTTGTGCTGGGTGACATCTGAAGCCTCTTGCTGGAAGGTTTTGGAAGCTCTTTAAGTCCTCACTCTGTGAACTTAATCCAAGCTCTCTCCGCAAAACTCTCCTCTCTGGGGCAGAGCAGGTCAGTGGGAGGCTGCAGGGGGTGTTGCCTTTCTGCGATTTTATTTTCCCTTCGAGGATGAGCTCATGAGACTACACAAATTCCAGGGTCATCGTAGGGATTTAGCACTTCCAAGTTAGCCCAAAATGTGACACTGGGGGACGCTCTAGTCCCATTCAGGACGTGCTTGAGCAGTCGCCTCCAACTCCCAGCGAGACTCAGTGGGGCAGCCAGCCCGGGGCGATGGCCACTCACACCTCGCTGTCCCGCACAGGGAAGGAAGAGACTTGGGTCCTGGTTTGGGTTGGACATGGATGCCGAGCGCATACTATTTCCGCGATTTTGGCTCGGATCACCACCCTGGTATTTGTGTTGCTATTTAAATTAACCTTCTCTTAATTCATCAGCATAATATGGGCATAAACTAGAAAAGAAAGAGATGTCTCTGAACTCCGTTTCCCAGCAGGCTTCGAGAGACAAGTATCCTACCTCCCTTCCCCAGGCCAGGGCAGGAGTCTCGGTTGTCCTGGAAGGTCTCACACTTGTCCACCTGTCAGCCACTGGAGTCTGCTATTCTCTCTTCCAGAGTCATTCCTTTGGACTAAGCACCTGGCCCCCCCTCCAACCCACCCTTTTGAAAGCTGTTAATTTTACTAGTGATCTATGTTCATTGAAGAAAATTAGGTAAGGCCCTGTTAAATGTAAATATTTTACCTGGGATGTCTGCCATGTGAACACATTTTTATCCATTATCTCCCTAATGAGGAATCATTCATTTGATTAAATAGCTGCCCGTGGCTGGGCCAATGAATTTTACTGAGTGTAAGTAACATTTATGGGTTTTTTGCCACAGCCTGGGAGCTAACAGGGATGTGTGAGACAATATCTGTGACTGCTGCTTGTCTCCTTTCTTCTTTAGTGATAGATTCCCCCAAATTTTAGCTGCACGTAGGATGACCCAGAATAAAGCCTACATTTTCTAACCTCTTTTGCTGCTGTACGTGGCCACAGCAGCCCGTGGACTATAAGTAGATGTGGGACATGCAGCTTGGAGATGTGGCTATGAAGGGAGATAAGCATTCCCTTCCCTGCTAGCTGGGATGTGGATGCGATGACTGGAGCTAGAGCAGCCATTTTGGACCACAAGGTCATACTGGGAGAGGAGACCATGTACAGCAGAGCAATGAGAGGTGAGGAGTTGTGATCTGTGGCATTTCACATGGCAGGGCCACTGAACAGCCCTGGAGAAAGAGAAACAAGCCTATTCTTGTCTAAGACTCTGCTACTTTGGATTTTTCCATGAGGTGCAGCTGGAATACCTCCTAATGAATAACCCTAAACCTAACTAGCCCAACACCATAGAGCTCCCCAGGTGCCCAACTTTGGAGGCCGTTTGCTAAATTATGAGCATCTTCAGTACTCAGAACTACACCGGTGCACAGTAAGCCCTCTGTGAATAGTTTTTGGATTAATGAATGAATGAAACTAATATGGTTTGGATCTGTGTCCCTGCCTAAATTTCATGTCAAAATGTAATCCCCAGTGTTTGGGGTGGGGCCTGGTGGGAGGTGATTGGTTCATGGTGGGGGGGTCCTTCGTGAATGGTTTAGCACCATGCACTTGGTTCTGTTCTCATGATAGTGAGTGAGTTCTCAAAAGGTCTGGTTGTTTATTACTGGGTATATACCCAAAGGAGTATAAATCATGCTACTATAAAGACACATGCACATGTATGTTTAGTGTGGCACTATTCACAATAGCAAAGACTTGGAACCAACCCAAATGTCCATCAATGATAGACTGGATTAAGAAAATGTGGCACATATATACCATGGAATACTATGCAGCCACAAAAAAGGATGAGTTCACGTCCTTTGCAGGGACATGGATGAAGCTGGAAACCATAATTCTCAGCAAACTATCACAAGGACAGAAAACCAAATACCGTGTATTCTCACTCATAGGTGGGAATTGAACAATGAGATCACTTGGACACAGAGCAGGGAACATCACACACTAGGGCCTGTCAGGGGGTGGGGGGCTGGGGGAGGGATAGCATTAGGAGAAATACCTAATGTAAATGATGAGTTGATGGGTGCAGCAAACCAACATGGCACATGTGTACCTGTGTATCAAACCTGCATGTTGTGCACATGTACCCTAGAACTTAAGAGTATTAAAAAAAGAAAGAGTGTATTTCCTCCCTCCTCTCTGTCTTCCTCCTGCTCTGACCATGTAAAGCCTGCTGCCCTTTCACCTTCTGCCATGATTGTAAGTTTCCTGAGGCATCCCCAGAAGCAGAATCCTCTTCCTGTACAGCCTGCAGAACTGTGAGCCAATTAAACCTCATTTCTTTATAAATTACCCCGTCTCAGGTATTTCTTTATAGCAGTCTGAGAATGGACCAATACAGAAACAAATGTCAGAAATTTTAGTCTGGCCACCAAACCCTCTTTTTCAGCTGGATTATTTTTGAATGTGTATATATGTAAGTAATATATAAATATAAATATTATACAAAGCTGGGTCCTTTTGAACAACTTTCTGGCTCATAGACAATGAAATTGTGGCCCCAAGAATTGAAATGATGGCACAGCCTGCGAGGGACAGTGTAGGGTCAGGATCTGTCCCCAAAGCTGAGGGAATACTCTGTCCCCCTGGCCATGTGCCTATCCCTGGCTGCTGGAGAGTGGTGGTGTTTCCCTGGCCTGACTCTAGCGGGGCTGTCCCTGAATTTCCCCCTGGCCCTTGTCAGCTCTCTCTCCTGACCTGCCCCCGACTGGTCATCGAATTGACTTCTTCTCTCCCTCCATTCCAGGAGCTCTTATCTCTAGCTGTTTCCTGAAGCACCCTAAATAGGAACAGGATGGGGCAGGGACAAGATGCTGGAGTCACATGGTGACCCGGGCAGTGGACAGGCTTCAGAGAGACTTCAGAGTCCTCTGGGACCAGGAGCCTTGAGTGGGTGGGAAGATGCAGAAGCAGAGAAGCCAGCTATGACGGGCGCCTGGGCACCCCTCCCTTTGCTACTACTCCACTCTCTCAGATTGTCCCATGGAGCTTGGTGGCCCACTCTTCTGGCCACACTCAGATGGGCATGCCAGGTGCCCACCCACTGTGACCAGCAAAGGCCCCAGGGCCCAGGTGTTACGGTGCAGCATGACCGGCAGATGAGGGATCCAGAGGGCTTCTTTGCTGGTGGGGGTGAAATTGGGCTGAGGCCGTAGACGAGGGGGCTATGGACTGTTTGTCTTCCCCAAATGCATATGTTGAAATGTAACCCTCAATGTGAGGCCTCTGGAGGTGGGTCTTGGGGAGGGAATTAGGGTTAGCTGAGGTCCTGAGGGTGGGGTTCCCTCAATGGGGCAAGTGCCCTTACAGAGGAGGACGCCCGAGTCCTGGCTCCATCCACCACGCGAGGCCGCAGTGAGAGGGCACCCTCTGAAATCCAGGAATCAGCCATCACCAGATGCCACACATCGGCCTGCACCTTGACGTTGGATTTCCAGACTGCACAGCTGTGAGAAGGTGCATTTCTGTTATGTAAGCCCCACAGTCTACGGTGTTTTGTTGTGGGAGCCCGAGTGGACTAACACAGTGGAGGACCCAGAGACAGCAGTGGGTGGAGAGTATCCAGGCAGAGCCACCCCCGCTGCAGAGGGCCCGGGGCAGGGACCCACACGGAGGGCCCAAGGAAAGGAAGACGGTCGCTAGGCCCAGCCTGCAGGGACACAGGTGAAAGGGCTCAGTGTGAGTAGGGACAGAGAATGGCGGTTGGAGTGCATTATGGGATATGTGTGGAGTGAGGATTTCACACAGGTGCAGGTGAATTAGGACCTCTGCAGGTGGGCTTGGGAGCTGTACTTTACAAAACTTTGTTATAGGTTAGATAGTATCTCCCTGAAATTCACAGGTTGAAGTCCTAACACCCAGGCCCCATGAATGTGACCTTATTTGGAAATAGGGTCTTGATAGATGCAATAAAGTTAAGATGAGGCCAAGAGAGTGGGCCCTAATCTAGTGGGGCTGGTGTCTTCACACAAAGGGGAGGTTTGGTTACAGACACACACACAGGAAGAGGGCCACGCGAGGACAAAGGTAGGAACTGAAAGGATGCTTCCATAATCCAAGGAGTACCAAGGATTGCTGGCAGCCACCAGGAGCTGCGAGAGGCATGGAACAGATTCTTCCTCTGAGCCTCCAGCAGGCCAGACCTTGCTCTTGGGTTTCTGGCCTCCAGACTGAGAGCATGCATTGCTGCTGGTGAAACCTCAGCCCTGGTGCTTTGCTGCAGCAGCCTCTGGATTCTCATATGGGCCCCTCCACAGATTCCAGCCTGGGAACCCGGAGAGCTCTGGGAACCATCAATGCGTGCTTGAAAGTGTCACCCTTTCTCCACTGTCCTCAGTCTGCAAGAATACTTCAGCTCCACAGTGAATCCACAGTCCTGGGAATGACATGACACGGTGGGACTCTGCCCTGGGCTGGCGAGAGGGGCCAGCTGGCCCTGTGTGTCCTTGTCCCCTACCTCCGACGGCTGCTGGGGTCACCTGCAGGATCTCTGTGTGGGACACTCCTGTTACATTAGTTGTCCCGGGCACATGAGACACCACTTGAACACCTCCAGGACAGACATCACATCTTCTTTTGTGTCCTTCAGGCATATGGTGTTGTGTAAGGCGACAGGGCTGCCAAGGCATCACGAACTCCTCTCCATGGTTGAGGCAGCTTTCCGCAGCTCAGGATGCCGCTCACTGCGGCGGCTGTTAACAGATGGCCAGGGGAGAGGTAGGCACTGGCAATCAAGCTTCGGTGCTGAAAGTGTGGCCCAGGCCTCATGTTCCCTTTCACGCTGATGCTGATCTGAACGTAGCCGGCGGGAGCTGCTCAGGCGGTGGCTGCTGTGAACTGGGTCCCAAAACAATCCTCCAGGAAGAAAGGCTGCAGGGAGGACCATGTGGGTGCCTGTCCCCATCCTCCCCACCCCCACATGTAATTCTAAGTGCCCTTTGTACAGGAAAGGGCTTCTGAGTGTTTTTCAGAGGCCACCCCCTAGTGGGCTCAGAGTTCCTAAACCCCATGCCTTCCCAAGGTTAAACATAGATTGCTGGGGTCCCTTCCTCTTTGGGGGGCCTGAGACACCCCCCCATTGCTTGGGGATAATGGCTTTTTCTTTTTTCCTTTTCCTCAGCTGCTAAAGGCTCCTAACTATATCTTCTTCTATCACTGTAATCAAAAATGAACTTTAAGCAACTTTCTTTCAGAGTAATTTATTTAGCCTTGCAGACAAGCTAATTTACAGAGGAGCAAATGTCATGGGTGCATCCTGGACTCCTTGTTTCTGTTCTTGGAAGACTGGTCTCAGAGAGCGGTGGGTTTATAAGCAGGTGCACAGAGGTCAGTGGGGGTGACGGAAGAGGGTGAATAGGATGCTGTCTGGGAGAATGGAGAGAAGGGAGGATGAATTTTATGGTTTGGCTGAATATTACTGTTTCAAGACGTCTCACTTTTCCTCTCAAATGGTAAAGGCAGGCTCAGAGAGGAAGGCAGGGAGATTTCTGAAAGGTCAAAGCCATAAAAGCAAAAAGACCCTAATTCAGGGCTTTTCGTGTTTCTAGAACATTTTATAAAAGTCAGGAAGGAAAATCTTCTGCCTCCCTGGAGTCCTTTGGAACAAAGGAGCCGGGTGGTAGGTCTTGGTGCCCAGTTATTCATTCATTCAATCATTTCTTTTTCCCAGCAGGCATTTCCTGGCAACTTATAAGCAGCAGCTTCATGTGGTGGTGTAAGATGTGGCTTGGTCCCTGAACGTATGGCCTTGGGCAAGGTAGCCTGTGACCCTCGGTTTCCTCATTTTTTAAATTAGTGAATGGGTTGGCCAACATTTTTTGAGTTAATTGCTTCACATGGACCAACATCTTGTAATCCTTATAGCAAATCTGTGAAGTAAGCACTATTATTTCTTCCATTTTATAGGTGAGGAAACAATGGTTCTTCACCATTTTATAGGTGAAGAACAAGGTTAAATAACTTACACCTAAAGCCACATAGGGGTAATTCGACACATCCACACAGCTTGATTCCAGAGTTTAGGCATGTCTTGTGTCAACCAGTGGGACATTATTTATAAAACTAGGGCAGTAATGCCCACTTGAGAGATGTGTGGGTGAGTTGCATGGGGGTGGGGGGCAGATTATAGGAGATGATGTGTGTAAAGTATCCAGGACAGGCCTAGAAGAGTCAATAGTTGATGAATGGTGGTGATGGTGATGTGATGATGATGGTGATGGGATGGTGATGGTGATAAAGATGACAATAACGGTGATGAAGATGATAATGGTGATGTCAGTGATGATGGTGATGGAAGTGATGGTGACTATGATGATGATAAGGACGGTCATTATGACAAAAGTATTGTGATGATAGCGACGTGATGGTGGCGATGATAATGGTGAGGATGGTGATGATGATAATGATAACGGCAGTGTTGTGATGAAGATTATAGTGATGGTGATGATGATGATGGGGATGGTGGTGATGATGGTGCTGTGGTGAAGATTAGAATGGTGATGATGATGATGATAACAGTAGTGTTGGGATGAAGATTATAGTGATGATGGGGATGGGGATGGTGATGGTGTGGTGATGATTAGGATGGCAATGATGATGATAACAGTAATGTTGGGATGAAGGTTATAGTGATGATGGTGATGGTGGTGATGATGGTGTCATGGTGAAGATTAGGCTGGCAATGGTGATGATGATGATGGGGATGATGATAATGTGATGAAGATTATAGTGATGGTGATGATGGGGATAGTGGTGATGATGGTGTCATTGTGAAGATTAGGATGGTGATGGTGATGATGATGATGATGATGATGGGGATGATGATAATGTGATGAAGATTATAGTGATGATGGTGATGATGGTGATGGTGGTGATGGTGGTGACGATTGGGATGGTGATGATGATGGTGTCGTGGTGAAGATTAGGATGGCGATGGTGATGATGATGATGATAACAGTAGTGTTGGGATGAAGATTATAGCGATGATGGGGATGGTGATGATGATAATGTTGGGATGAAGATTATGATGGTGATGGTGATGTTGGTGATGATAATTTATCATTACATGCGAGGAAGTGCCAAATCCTCTGGTAGTTGCCCAGGATGCATAAATGGAAAGTACAAGCCCGATCACAAGGACTTAAAGCCTAGTGAAAAGCAAGAAAACCTAATGTCCACAAAATCTATTGCAATAAATGCATGACAGAGAAAGACAGCTTGTGCCACATAGATGGCCATGAATGTGAAGATAAGTTGTGAGATTGGGATATGTGTTGGAAGCAAAACCAGCGATGTGTGTTGACGAATTGGATATAAGGCAGGGTTTTTCAACTTTGGAACTACTACTATTTGGGGCTGGATCATCCTTTGTTTTGCGAAGTGGTCTTTTGCACTGTGGAATGTTTAGCAGCATTCCTGGCCTCGGCAAGCTAGATGACAGTAGCATTACCTCCCCAGTTACGACAACAAAAATTGTCTCCAGATCTTGCCTGATGTTCCCTGGGGGGCAAAATCACCCCAGTTGAGAACCACTAATGTACAAAAAGAAAGAAATTGGGGATGGTTCTCGGGCCTTTGGCTTGAGGAAGTGGGTGCACAGTGATGCCATTTGCTGGAAGGGAAATTTTGTCTGTCTTATTTATGAGAGTGTCCTCAGCACCTAGAACAGTGCCTGTCCCATAGTAGGTACTCAATGGGTATTTGTTGAGTGAAAGAATAATTGAGTGGGGAAGATGGTAGAATAATAGTTGTGTGTGGGGGAGAGTGGAAATAGATGGTGTTGCTTCAGGCAAAGTGAGTTTGAGATTGATTGGACATCCCACTGCAAATACTGAGCTGTCAGTTGAGTATATGAGACTTCATGGGAGAAGTCAGGAGATAAATCTGGGGGGTCATCAGCACATCCATAGGATTGACAGCAGTGGGACCATCTGAGGTCTCCTAGGGCAAGAGGGTAGACATTGAAGGGAAGAGAGCCTGGGAAAGAGCTCTGGAGTAGTCAGACACTTAGAATTCAGGGAGACAATGAGCAATGTGCTTGGGACACTGAAAAGGAATAGTCAGAGAGGTCAAGATCGGACAAGGACAGGGAGATATCATAGGAGTCCAGAGAATAAAGTGTTGATTGGAAAGAATGGACCACCCCATTGATTGCTGCTGAGAGAACAAGTTGGTGAAATCAGAGAAATGCCCATTGGAATTGGTAACATGGAGCTCAGATGACTTGGACAGAAGTTGATTTAATAAAACAGTGAGGAGAACAGGCTATTTGGAATGAGTTCAAGAGACTTCAGGCAGTGAGGCACTGGAGAGGGCCTGTGAAGTTTTACTGTAAAAATTCTCAAAAAGTGGGGTAGTAAGTAGAGACAAATGTAGGCTGTAAAAGAAAAAGAATTATTTGCACACTTGTTAAAACAGCAAGGAAGACTTCACTTAAGGCTATTGCAATGGGGGAGAGAGACTGAGCTCAACCCTGAGTACAAAAGGGACCAGTGGAGATTTATAGCCAACAAAGAGGGTGAGGCGGGGTCAGTAGATAGAAAATTACTAAGGGGAGACATCAGGGTGAGGGGATTCTGGTTAAACTGGATGAACAAAACGGGTGAGGAGATTCTCTCCAAACTGACCTAGCAGGATTCTTGCTAAAGGCAGGCCAAGGTTAAGAAGAGGGCTCAGGGCAACCTGGATAAAGTTTGATCAAGGAAGAAGACCTTGTCAGGGGTCATGGGCAGGTTTTTAAAGAAGGGAGATAGGGAGCATTTGGTATGCTGATGGGGGTGGCCCTGTGGAGAGAGGTCTGCCACCCTGGTGCTAACCCCAGTGGGAAGGATGGCAAGGCAGGTCAGAACCTGGCACCAGGCTTTGGACGGTTGCTCTAGCCTGTTCCAGAGGCCATAAAACTCTTGGCTGTTCATAAGGGAAGCCGCAGATGGGCTCTGCTCCCTGCTAATCTCCTCATCATAAATTTGGCTTTTAGGACAAGCTGCACTAATTACCACATTGCTCTGCCCTGGCTCTCTGTGAGGCTGTGGCAGGGCTGCTAGTGGGTTTACTAACCCAGCACAATAAATTGATCACTGACACGGTGGTACTGGGCCCAAACAAGAAGACAGAGGCTCCTGCACCCCATCAGGAATGTCCCTGCACCCTTCCTCCTTCCAGATTGACAGGCATTACCTGTTTTCTTTTCTGGACGCGGGGGGAGTGGCTGCAGCCAAGAGATATCTCTTCATTCACCTCTGGGTAAGGAGAGAAAGGCCTTAGGTGACCTTCCTCATCAGTCAGCTCAACCCTTGCAGAATCAATGGTCACAAGATCGAATTGATCCAAAGGTTGAATCGTACTCTTGACAAAGGCTCCAGTAAAAATGTGCAGTTGGAAGGCTGCTCGTCCGGTGTCAGCAGTGAGTGTGAAGCCTTAGTGAGGTGTCTGGCACCTGATCAATGCTCTGTATACATTTGCTGCTGTTTCTATTTTTGTTTTTGTTGTTTCTGTGAGTCCATCACCTGACTCCAATGGTATGAGATAGGTCATTTGTCAGCACAGTTCCCTAATATTCTGCAGCCAACAACTTCAGTCCTCATTCACCTTTTCCTAGGATTCTAGAGGCCATGGTTAAGGGCAATGAGGAAGCAGTGGGGTTTGTGGAAAAGGATCAAGCAAGAAGAGGTGTTTGGGGAAAACTAGTCTAATGGCGGAGGTCAGAATGGGTTCATGAAGGAAGTGAAGCAGGGGGCTCATCCTCCTTCTCTTGTCTGGCCATTAAGAAGTAATAATCAAATGATGCTTTGTAGAGACCTTTCTGTATCTGAGCAGTCCTACTCAGAGGGGACCATATCAAGAGTGGATGTGAGATGAGGACATCACCATGTCCTTTGTGACACATGCACTAGACCCAGTTCAGTTGCACTGCTCCCACTTGCCATCCATCCACCCACTTGCTCATCCAACTGCCCCAACCACCACTATCCACCCACCCCCACATCCACCCATCTACCTACTCATCCACTCATTCACCTATGTACCCACCCATAAACCCATCTGTCTATTCATCCATTTAACCATCCATCCGCCCACCCATTAACTCATGCACCCACCTACCAACCCATTCATCTATTCATCCAACCACTCATCCATCCACCCACTCATCCACCCATCCACCCACCCACCAATCCAAACATCTATCTATGCATCTATCCCTCAATCAACTCATGCACCCACGCACAAGCCCATCAATTCATTCAACCATATACCCATGTATCCATTCACTTGCCCATCCATCTACCTCAACCACCCTTCCACCTACTCAATCCCACATCCACTCATCCATCCACCTATCCACCCATTCACCCATGCACTCACCCACAAACCCATCGATCTATCCATCCATCCATCCACTCACTCACCCATCCACCCACCCATCAATTCATGCACCCACCTACCAACCCACCCATCCATCCATCCATCCATCCATCCATCCATCCACTCATCCATCCACCCATCCACCCACCCATCCACTCATCTATCCACCCACCAACCCATGTGTATCTCTTCATCTACCCACCCATCCACTCATTAACCCACCTACCAACCCATGCATATTAGTTTATTCTCACATTGCTATAAAAATACTTGAGACTGGGCAATTTACAAAGAAACAAAGAAAAGAGGTTTAATTGGCTCACAGTTCCACAGTCCATACAGATTGCATGGCTGGGGAGACCTCAGGAAACTCTCAATCATGGCAGAAGGCAAAGAGGAAGCAGGCACATCTTACACAGCCGGAGCAGGAAGAAGAGAGAGAGGGGGAAGGTACTACACACTTTTAAACAACCAGACCTTGAGATAACTCACTCATTATCATGAGAATGGCACCAAAGGGGAAGTCTGTCCTGTGATCCAATCACCTCCCACCAGGCCCCACCTCCAACATTGGGGATTACAATTTGACGTGAGATTTTGGCAGGGACACAGACCCAAACTATATCACCATCATCTATCTATCCATTTACCCACCCACCAACTCATGCACCCACACCCAAAAACCCATCTGTCCATCCATTTACCCATCTATCTACCTCAACCACCCTTTCACCCACCCACACGCCCCAACCCATCCATTCATTCATCTACCCATCTAACCACTCACTTATCTTCTATCAACCAGTCTACACACCTATCTGCCCTCCCATCCGTCTACCTATCAGACTATTCATGTATCTATTTAACCATCCATCCATCCATCCATCCATCCATCCACCCACCCAGTTATCCATTCAGCAATGATTGTTGAGCCCATTCTGTGTGCGAGGCAGAACATATATGGTAATCCACCTTCTTTCTCATGAAGTGCTCACTTATACCCAAAGGATCACAGCAGTGTGCAAAAGCCAAACCAGAGGTATGCACGTTGCATTATTCTAACCCTGAGGGGGAAGTGCTTATATCTGGGGAGGTCAGGAAAGGCTCCTTGGAGGAAATTTAACATTGAAAGGAGCATGGCAATTAGCCAGGCAGAGGCAGGGTAGAAACATTTACAAATACAGTGGGGCAAGGAGCCCAGGGTTATGGGGACAGGGGAAGTTGCAGATGTTTGGCTACATGGCTGGACCACCAGGTTTGTGTGAGTTTGCTGGAGTGGTGAGCTGGTGAGTCTCAAAGGACACTGCTGAGTTATGTCATTGTGTCTGGATTTAATCCTGAAGACAATGGGAGCTACTGGTTAATTTCACAAAAGGTATGTCATGATCTGTCTTGTGCTGTGAAAGATTGCCCTGGAGAGATGAGACCTTTCCATTACCAGGGCCAGAGCTGGAAGTGAGAGGTGGGGGGTAATCAACCAGATGAGAAGATCAAGTTCTGCAGCCATTGTTGAAATCAAAATAGTCATCATCACTGTCACTATCATCATTCTCCCTATGTGCCAGGTACTGTCCTATGAGCTGGGCATGAGCTCCCTCATGGAGGCTTTCCAATGCCCCACAGGTGGGTACTTTTATTGTCCTTATCTTATGTCCAAGGAAATGAAGGCACACAGATCTTAAATAAATTGCCCAAGATTGCCCAGCTAGTAAGAGACAGGGCCACTTCTAGCTGGACAGTGGGACCCCAGCCTCCTCCTCTTGGTCAAGATAGGGTGCTGTGAGGTAGGGAGAGGGGAAGAAAGGCTGGCCCATCTGAGAACTAAGTCTCTAATTCTGGATGCCATTCCTGAGGCTTTCTCCCCCAGGAGGGAGGCTGTGTTAGTCCATTCTTGCATCGCTGTAAATAAATATTTGAGGCTAGGTAATTTATAAAGAAAAGAAGTTTAATTGGCTCACAATTCTGTAGGCTGGACAGGAAGCATGGTGCCAGTGTCTACTTCTGATGAGGCATCAGGGAGCTTACAATCATGGCAGAAGGTGAAGGGGGAGAAGGTATATCATGGCGAGACAAGGAACAAGAGAGAGAAGGTGAGGTCCCAGACTCTTTTAAACAACCACATCTCACCTGAAATAACTCATAGACTAACTGAGCAAGAACTCACTCATCACCAAGGTCTAAGCCATTCAGGAGAGATCCATCCCCTTGATCGAATACGTCCCACCTCCAACACTGGAAATCACATTTCAACATGAGATCTGGAGAGGATAAACATGCAAACCATATCAGGGTATATCTATGACTGTGAGCTTTCATTAGGCTTGACAAGAAAATGGACTAAATCAGTGGAAGTTGATGGAAATGGAGCCCCCAATCCTCGGCTTACTGCTGGTTAAGAATCTCAAAGTGCATTGGTCTGTTCTCTGCTGTTTGTTCGTGTTGTTGCAGCTCTTGAAGACAACCAGTCCCTGATTGGGCTCTGCCCCAGTGAAACCCACGAGTGTCCTAGCAGGATGGTCACCTAGGATTTTGATGGTGCCACACACAGAGAACCCTGAGGACTGAGGCCATGGAGCAGGAGGAACTCTAACATGCTGTGGGGGTCATACAGAATGACTCCAATACTCTGGTAATTTTGTTTGGCAGGTTTTATAAAGTTCAGCCTGCATCTTCTCTATGACCCAGCACCCCATTCCTAGGGATGAAGGATTTACTAGAGAATGAATATGTATGCCCACCCAAAGATGCATGGAAATGTCCATAGCACCTTACTCAGTCACATTAAATGAGAAACAACCCAAATGTGCATCAATCAGGTGAGAAGAGAAGAGGATTGTGGTGCATCCATGCAACAGTACACTCCTCAGAAATAAAGGAGAAAACTATGACTCACACTACAGGAATGAATTGCAAGAGCATGGTGCAGTGAAGGAGCTGGCTTAGAAGATTGCCTGCTGTGTGATTTCATTCACAGGAAATTCCAGAAGATGGAGAACCATCTATGGTGGCAGAGAGCAGAACAGTGGTTTCCTTTTGGGGGCGTATTATGCTACTTAGTGGAAAGACAACATGGGACCTCTCTGGGGTGCTGGAAATGTTCTCTATTTCCCTTTCTTTTCTTTTCTTTCTTTTCGTCTTTTCTTTTCTTTTCCTTTCTTTTCTTTTTCTTTTTTTTTTTTCTCACTCTGTCGCCCAGGCTGGAATGCAATGGTGCGATCTTTGCTCACTGCAAACTCCGCCTCCTGGATTCAAGCAATTCTCCTGCTTCAGCCTCCCAAGTAGCTGGGATTACAGGAGTGCACCACCACACCTGGCTAATTTTTTGTATTTTTAGTAGAGACAGGGTTTCACCATATTGGCCAGCCTGGTCTCAAACTCCTGACTTTGTGATCTGTCCGCCATGGCCTCCCAAAGTGCTGAGATTACAGGCATGAGCCACCGCACCGCACCTGGCCAATGTTCTCTGTTTCGATGGGGCTGATGTTTATATGGGTATGTTTATTTGTCAGAATTTATAATTTAACCTTTGCATTTTACAGCCTGTAAATTATACTTTAAAGAACAACAACAAAAACCAAAAAAAACAAAGAAAACAGGGAGGAAGGAAGGAAGGGTAGGAGGCAGGCAGGGAGGAGGAAGGAAGGAAGAAAAAGAGGAAAGAGGAGACCCCAGGCCCATCTTGGGTGGGTGTGCATAGTCAGACCTGCTGGTGTGGGACCTGCTGTGTGTGTCCAGCTGAGACGGGAATTCTCAGGGCCTTTTCCATAGGCCCAGGCCTCCAAATCACACTTGACTGATGAGCGTGGTTTCTGAGTGAATTCCAAGGCAGCCTAGGATGGAGATCTGGGAGACAGGAGCAGGCGTATAAGAGGTGGCCATGTGCCCTGAGGTTCAGCTGAGCTGTGGGGAGCAGTTGTCCCCTGTTTTGCAAGCCCCCTTGTGCTGCGAGGACATCCTGGACTGTGTTTATACCACAGAAAAGGGGGTGGGTGTGCCTGGTTCTGTGTGAAGCCACCACCCCATTGCCCTGTATCATTCCCAGGTGCACCTGAACAAGGTGAGCAATGAAGCCTCCGTGTGCTGAGACTCTTACCAGCAGGAAGTGGGTGCCTGGGTTGGACAAGTCAAGGAGACCATTGTGGGGTGGCGGCCGGAGAGCTCATGTCTATAAGGGCTTGTTCCAGGGCTCGGTGGAGAGTTGTTTGTGGGTGATCTCATTAGCCTCTCACCCAAAGAAGCTGTGGATGTACAAGGTCAGTGACAACTTTGGGTCACACTGCAGCAAGTGGCAGGGTCAGAGAGAATTCCAGGTCCCTCACATGCCAAGTTCCATGGTCTGTACTTGTCACTATATGAACTCAGGGTCCAAGATGTGTGCATGAGGAGCCACATGGACTGGGGACATCTCAGGAGGACTAAGCAGCTTCCTCCAACCCGGGAGTCCTAAGGAGTGCCCGTCGCATCCCTGCCTGTATGGAGAACTCCCTTCTTTCCTTCTAATGACAATGGTCGTCCTCGAGGGAGCCTGTCTGAAAGCAATGACTCACCTGGAGTCAAACTTCCTGGAGACGCAGCCGAGCAGACCCTCCAGGGTCCCTGGTCTGTTTTGAATTTACAGACACTTTTCATTTTCCCAAGTGGAGTCAGGGCTGTTTTGCTCGGAAGCATAAACTTCGAGCCCCGCTGTTCATGGCAAAAGGAGAGTTGAGGATTGATGCCCAGCCCAGCAGAGAATGAGGACAAAGGAGTAAAACGTGAACGAACACTCAGCTAAACTAGTCCCTGCCCAGGGAGCCAGACCAGACGAAGCTGTCGATTCAGGTGCCCAGGATGCCTGGAAACACCTGGATTCTCCCGATTTTATTCAAAAGCCAAATGCGTTTGCCTACAGAGAACAAAAATAAATCTTTCTTCTGGTAAAGGAGGAAATTAGCAAGTGCCAAGTGAAAACACATTTTCTCTTTCCCTGGACTTGATTGGATGAGACCATGAACAGGCAAAAGGAGCCAACAGGCCTCCTGGCCCCAGAGCTGCATCCAGGTGGGAGCTGTTGAGGCCTCAGCTATAAAGGGAGATGGGAGGAGAGGAGGATGAGTCTCTTCCCGTGACCTTGAGAGGTCACGATGCCAGGGCTGGAGGCCATTGTGGCTCACTGTAACATTTCCAGATGTTAATGAATGTTTCAGGAGTGATTGTGAAATTCGCTAAGTGAAATTTATTTCCCTTTGCTCTGACTTTAGAAATGAATGTCCCTTGTCTCAGCAGGACTGGCCCTGCTGTGCCTTGCTGGCTGTAGTGCGAATCCACAGACTTTCCACTGAGTGATAGCTGATCTGAGCATAGTCATGCAATGTCCATCACTCATCAATCTCCTGTCTGAGAATCTGTTCTGCTGAAATGATCATAGATGCAAATAAACATTTGTGTGCAAATCCATTAATAGCATCATTACTTAAAATAAGGAACAAGTGGAAAAACCTAATAATTAGAGGAGACATTGATTGTGGCTCATTGACATGATGGATTATTGTGCAGCTGCATGAACAATGTTTTGAATAATTTTTTATCACAATAAAGAAACATTTTCCCAACAAAATACCTAGTAAAAAGAACATATGGCCAGGCATGGTGGCTCATGCCTATAATTCCAGCACTTTGGGAGGCTGAGGCTGGAGGATCCCTTGAGCCCAGGAGTTTGAGACCAACCTCAGCAACATAGGGAGAACATGTCTCTACAATTTTTAAAAAAATTATCCAGATGTTGTGGTACATGCCTATGGTTCCTGCTACTCGGGAGGCCAAGGTGGGAGGATAGCTTGAGCCTTAGAGGTCAAGGCTTCAGTGAGCTGTGATGCTCCAGCCACTGCAGTGAGCTGCTATACTCCAGCCTGAGCAACAGAGCAACCTGTTTCAAAAACAAAAAGAAGAAGAAGAAAGAAGAAGAAGGAGGAGAAGAAGAAGGAGAAGGAGGAGGAGGAGGAGGAGGAGGAAGATATACTATATGATCTATACTGAGTATTACACCTAAACACCATGTTGGTTGTCTTTGTGCGGGTTGATGAGAAGTTTGAGCTCCATCCCCAATCTTTACAGCATTTTTCAAATTTCCTTAAATGACTGTATATTGATAAATGAATCAATATACATTGATTGTCCAAAGCACAACATTGGACAATCACAATGTTTGTCCAAAGCACAATGTTGTGGAAACAGGATAGGTCATTGTTGCACAATTTTCCCTCTTGACTTCTTCTTTCTCCTGTCTTTTCTCCCGAACCCTCTGATGGGGTTGGAAACAATGTCACACATTAAAGTAATAATATTTTGGAATCAATGTTCTAACCCTTCCACCCCCAATTCTCCTAACAATTTGTGGTCAGTTTCTCTTCTCCCCACATTCTCTCTTCTCTGATTATCATTAGATGTGGGGCCTCCAGGATCTGGGCTCAGGGTGGCTGTCACTTTTCACTTTGAGTAGTCAGGTATTGGTCAAAATGCAAGCATAAGGGATGGCTTTTGGGCCCTGACCAATGATGCTGAATTTTCCAAACCGAAAGGAAGAAAAGAAAGATGACAGTGCTGTCAGCACCCAGCTGAAAGTGGTGAATCGACATTTCCTGTCTGTGTGTGTCTTTGTGAGAACCCCGTGCTCATCTGTGGTTTCCTAACTCAGGCAGATAGATTTGCTTTACGGGTAGTTTTCCCTTCAGAAAGAGTCTTCGGTGCCTTTGTGTATCCACTGCAATACTTTGCAAAACAAAATACACACACTGGGCACTTTAAACAATAAAATTGTGTTCTCCCACAGTCCTGGAGGCCATAAGTCTAAGATCAAGGTGTGGGCAGGGCTGCTTCCCTCTGAGGCCTCTCTTGTAGCTTGAAGGTGGGTGTCTCCTTCCTGTGTCCTCTATGTGTGTCTGTGTCCTAATCTCTTCTTACAAGGACACCAGCCAGATTGGATGACTGCCCACCCTACTCAGTGTGACCTTATCTTAACTAATGACCCTGCAATGAGCCTATTCCCAAATAAGGCCACATCCTCAGGTACTGGGGCTTAGAACTTCAACATAAGACTACGGAAGGTTCATAATTCAACCCATAGCACCTGAAATTTGTGTTCTGTTTCTTCAGCAAGCATTTTAGCAAATTTACTTTTGGCAGGAAAAGATTGTTATTTGGTGGGAGGCCAAGGTGGGTGGATCACTTGAGGTCAGGAGTTTGAGACCAGCCTGGCCAACATGGTGAAATTCTGTCTCTACTAAGAATACAAAAATTAGCTGGATGTGGTGGTGCATGCCTGTAATCCCAGCTACCGGGGAGGCTGAGGCAGGAGAATCATTTGAACCCAGGAGGCTGAGGTTGCAGTGAGCAAAGATCATATCATTGCACTCCAGGCTAGGCAACAGAGTGAGACCCCTTCTAAAAAAAAAGATTGTTATTTGAGTGTTTAAAAAATTAACTGGTCACTCTTTGAGGTTCTCTAAGAAGGTTGGGGAGGAGGGGTTCCTATTTTAGAATAATTGTGGTAAAAATTAAGAACTCCAAAGGAAGGTGAATGTTCACAAAGCTCATCACTATCTTGCAAATAGTTGGTGCTGAGTAACTGCCCAATGAATCATCAAGTCATGCTACTGAGAGCTCTTTATTGATGGAAATTGTTTCAGGCAGAGTCATTCTCTGGCATCAACATGACGTCATTTACATCCACATCTTTATAAATGTTCAATAACTTTACTGTCACAGGTTTGTCTTACTCATCACCTTGGATGCACAGAAAATATGCTAGACTTTGATGTATTTTACAGTACATTAGTTTGAGTGGGAACTCCTCTGAAGCAACTCAAATCTAGCTCTTACTAAATTTAAACATTCCTACAAAGGGGCTTTCACTTCTGGATGCAGACGTTTATATGGCAAATATTTATTTTGTTGCAATAGGGTTGCAAATTGTGATAACTGTGTAACGAAGACTATGCCCCCACTTCTTCAGAGGTCTGGCTTTTGTCCTGGCTTCTGCAAGGTGAACTCTAACTATTGGGGGAACCCATCCCCAATATTTCAATGTAGGTTCTTTCTATTTTCCATAAGTGTTGGCCAGTTGAGAAATAAAGAGAGAGGGTAAAAAGAGAGGAATTTTACAGCTGGGCCGCTGGGGGTGACATCACATATTGGTAGGACCATGATGCCCACCTGAGCCTCAAACCAGCACGTTTTTATTAAGGGTTTGAAAAGGGGAGGGGATGTAAGCACAGGGAGTAGGTACAAAGATCACATGCTTCAAATGGCAAAAAGCAGAACTACTGATAAGGATCCAGCAAAGATCACAAGGCAAAGGGCAAAAGCAGAACTACTGATAAGGGTCCAGCAAAGATCACAAGGCAAAGGGCAAAAGCAGAACTACTGATAAGGGTCTATGTTCAGCGGTGCACGCATTGTCTTGATAAACATCTTAAACAACAGAAAACAGGGTTTGAGAGCAGAGAACCAACTGGTCTGACCACAAATTTACCAGGGCAGAGATTTCCCCCACTCTAATAAGCCTGAGGGTACTGCAGGAGACCAGGGTGTATCAGTCCTTATCTCAACTGCATAAGACAGACATTCCCAGAGTGGCCATTTATAGACCTCCCCCGAGGAACACATTCCTTTCCCAGGGTATTAATATTTTATTATTCATTGCTAGGAAAAGAATTTAGGGATATCTCTCCTACTTGCACGTCCATTTATAGGCTCTCTGCAAGAAGAAAAATATGGCTCTTTTTGCCCGACCCCACAGGTAGTAAGATCTTATGGTTGTCTTCCCTTGCTCCCTAAAAAATGCTGTTATTCTGTTCTTTTTCAAGGTGCACTGATTTCATATTGTTCAAACACACATGTTTTACAATCAGTTTGTACAGTTAACACAATTATCACAGTGGTCCTGAGGTGACGTACATCCTCAGCTTAGGATGATAACAGGATTAAGAGATTAAAGTAAAGACAAGCATAAGAAATTATAAAAGTATTATTTGGGAACTGATAAATGTCCATGAAATCTTCACAATTTATGTTCCTGTGCTGCGGCTTCAGCGGGTCCCTCCATTCAGGGGTCCCTGACTTCCCACAACACTAATCCTTTGGAATTTCCCAAGTGATAGGAGCAGCAGTGTTGTTTATGGGGACCTCTGCTCATGGTGTGGCTCAGGGCAGGCCCCTCAAGACTTTATGTGGATGAGATGACTCAAGATGGGGGCTGGCACACCAGAAAGACCAACCATGTGATTAGAGTGTGTCTGCTTTGGGACATGGGAAATCAACTCCACTTCATGGAGGGAGGGGAGGGCTAGAGTTTAAGTTCAGCCACACGACCAGTGGTTAAGTCCACCTTGTATTATCCCATTGTCATGCTGCTAATAAAGATATACCTGAGGCTGGATAGTTCATAAAGGCAAGAGGTTTAATGGACTTACAGTTCCACATGGCTGGGGAGGCCTCACAATCATGGCAGAAGATGAAGGAGGAGCAAAGTCACATCTTACATGGCTGCAGGCAAGAGAGTGTGTGCAGGGGAACTCCCCTTTATAAAACCTTCAGATCTCCTGAGACTTATTCACTATGACGAGAACAGCAAGAAAAAGACTCACCCCCATGATCCAATTACCTCCCACCAGGTCCATCCTACAACATGTGGGAATTATGGGAGCTACAATTCAAGATGAGTTTTGGATGGGAACACAGCTAAACCATATCACACCTCAGTAAAACCATAGATGCTGACACTCAGGTAAGCCTCCTGGGTTGGCCATACTTGGCACATATTTTCACAAGTCCCTTCTGGGAGAGGAAGGAGAACATGTGACACCTCCCCATGCAGGGCTTCCCAGATGCCCCAACTCTGTGTCTCTTTCTTTGCTTGTTCTAATTTGTATCTTTTTGCTGTCATTAGAATGTAATTGTAACCATAGCATTGCCCTGAGTTTTGTGATCCACCCTCTGACATGAGGGTGCCCCTGGGGACCCCTAATCTTGCGGCTGATGTCTGAAGTGAGGGCAGCCTTGTGGGGACCGTTGCCTCAGCCTGAGAAGTTTGGCCAAACTCCTTTGCGATAATTCATTGAATTCATCTTTTTTATTTGCTCACACATTTCATTTCTTACAATTTATATTTAGGTTCATAAAATTTAAAAAAATTTAATTATAAAGCATTGAAAAGAGACATTTAATTACCATGTCAGACTGGCCTCCATTCCATATGCACTGATCCGTAGAAATATTAAACTAACGTTTATTCAAGACCTGCCTGCATCAGGGACAGTGGGAGGTGGGGGTCCATGCCAATTGGCATGAGGCATGGCCCTGACCTGGAGATTTCAGAGCATATTTCTGTCAATCTGGAACCACTGCACAGTCTATTAATATACATTATAATATATGTTATTTTGAATCATGCAATTGTTTTTATTTATACTTATGGGTTTCCAGTCTATTAATGCCATGCCCAGATGTGCGAGGAAATCCAGTTCTTCTCTCTAAGTGTGTGGCTTACCTCCCTCATTCTACCTTGCTGGGTAGCTGGTGGGGGTTTCAGGATGGGATGAGTGGGAAGGGAGGAGCAGGTGGGCTATTCAGAGAACTTCGCCAGTGATGGGTGAATTTGGGAGAAAGATCAGCTGCTTATCTTTGCGTTTGCCTAAACATGAAGGGGTTGTGCTGTTGTCCATGCTCCACTGTGTGCTGACTTTCCCTGGGGGTTTGAAGGGCCACCTTCAAGCTGGGGAGCCTGTTTTGATTGTTTATCTAAACTGCACTCCCAACTGACTTTACCAGCAGCCAAGAGCTGTATTTTGGTCTTTCTGTCTCTGACACATGCATTTTCCTCTTGAACCATTCCTTCTGAACCTGAGAAGTATGACAGGTTGAATAGTATCCCCAAAGAAGATGCATTGGAGTCCTAACCCCCCATACCCTATTTGGAAATAGAGTCTTTGTGAGTTCCCTAATCCAATATGACTGGTATCCTTATAAAAAGAGAAAT
This sequence comes from Homo sapiens, assembly GCF_000001405.40. Classification (NCBI taxonomy): domain Eukaryota; kingdom Metazoa; phylum Chordata; class Mammalia; order Primates; family Hominidae; genus Homo; species Homo sapiens. The sequence goes on from NC_000001.11 coordinate 4,384,097, forward strand.
TTGGACACAGACACACACACACAGGCAGTACCCCATGTGAATAGAAAGGTAGATGGGGGGTGATGCTTCTACAATCCAAGGGATGTCAAAGATCGTCAGCAAACACCAGAAGCAGGAGAGAGGTATGGGGCAGAGTCTCCCTCCCAGCCACAGAAGTAGAAGCTCTGCCAACACTCAATGTTGGGCTTCTGGACTACAGGACTGTGAGAAAATACATTTCTGTTGTTCCAGGCCACCCAATATGTGGTATTTTGTTCCAGCAGCCCTGGGAAACTAATGCAGGAAGGTAAAGAAAGGTGAATTATGTTGCTCTGTAAAAACCTCAGTAGTCTCTTTACCTAAGTTTTGGGTCTGATTTTGATAAAGAATTGAGGCTTCCATGGTGTCCATGCTGGGCAGAGTCATGGACCTTCTCACCAACTCTTCTCCCCCTCAATACCCTAGAGCAGAAAGGCCACTGGACACACCAACTGCCCTACACTTAACAGGCAGCAGGAGAGTCCCCTTCACTGGGGAAGATGCTCAGTGTGACCTTTGGGCTTGGTCCTGCTGTGTTCTACAAGATAAGACAACTTAGAAAGTCCCATTCTCAGGGCAACATCTAGGTTTCACTTGCCTTGTTTTGCTGAATAGTTCTAATAAACTCAGTTCCAAGACAAAGTGTTGATGCATGGGCTCTTTATTCCCAGAGCCTGGGTTCCTCAAGGCAAGAAGTCTCGTGGCTCAGCCTTGGAGGTAGAAGGCTGCAGAACAGGATGTCATAGGAGATGCAAGCGCTTGCTAGATGTTTGCATGTATGGGTAAACATCTGAGCACCCTCTTGGCAGCCAACTGCACCAGGACGATGCACAGCAGCCCACCCGCACATCTCCACTTTGTGTATTTGTGCTTTGAGAAGTATGTACATTAGGATACTTTTGAATGTGTATTAGTCTGTTCTCACACTGCTATAAAGAAATACCTGAGATGGGGCAATTTATAAAGAAAAGAGGTTTAGTTGGCTCACCATTCCACAGGCTGTGCAGGAAGTATGGCTGGGGAGGCCTCAGGAAACTTACAATCATGGCAGAAGGCAAAGGGGATACAGACACGTCTTCACATGGCCAGAGCAGGAGGAAGAGAGAGAGGGGAAAGGTGTGACACACGTTTAAAGAACAAGATCTCATGATAACTCACTCACTGTCATGAGAACAACACCAAAGAAGAAGTCTGCACCCATGATCCAATCACTTCTCACCAGGACCCACCTCTAACATGGGGGATTACAATTTGACATGAGATTTGGGCAGGGACACAGACCCAAACTTTATCAGACTGCAAATAAACGAAGCCCTGAATAAAAAGCGTCAACATAAGATGTTTGTTAACTCACAAATGAGAAGACTAGGGGCAGAGTGGTTCTATGGAGTCTGCAGTTTCAGTGTCATGATGGCATTATCGAAGGCCTGGAAGATTCCTGTGTTTTGCTCTTCCATCAGCGACACCCAAGCATGTCACCCTCCAGGGTGAAGCATGTCTGCTGTAATTTCAGGCTTCACAGGCAGACCTAGGTCCCCCGTGGCTCATATTTAGTTTTATTTTTCAAACTAGGGAGGAAAATGCATCCCCTGTGCCCACACCACAGCAAGTGTTCCTCAACTCCACTGGCCATAGTGGATCACCCTTTGTTGCTTAGACTGGCCCTTGGCCAGGGGAAGGACTAGTTCAGACCAATCACATTTTAGTCCCAGGGGAGATAAAGTTTCCATCTACCCAGTCACGTGGCTGCAGAGACTCTGCTGCATGAGGAAGCAGAATGGCCCTTTTTGGGATTGGAGCTGCAGTGTCTGCAAAGAAGAAGTCATGGTGACATGTCTTGGCCAGGACACAGGACAGAAATAGGTGAACAGGCAGGTGTAGCAAAAGCATTCAGAGTAGAGTCTGTTTTAGGATTTAGATCGAAGATCATGATCTGGGCCTTTAAAGGTCTGATGTGGCTTGGCTGTGTCCCCACTCAAATCTCATCTTAAATTGTAACTCCCACAATTCCCACTTGTCATGGGAGGAACCTGCTGGGAGGTGATTGAACTATGTGGTCAGGTATTTCCTGTGCTGTTCTCTTGATAGTGAATGAGTCTCATGATATCTGAAGGTTTTAAAGGTGGGAGTTTCCCTGCACAAGCTCTCTCTCTTTGCCTGCCACCATCCATGTAAGATGCAACTTGCTCCTCCTTGCCTTCCACCATGATTGTGAGGCCTCCCCAGCCATGTGGAAATGTAAATCTATTAAACCACTTTTTCTTCCCTGTCTAAGGTACATCTTTATCAGCAGCATGAAAACAACAGACTAATGTAAGGTCCAACAGCCTTTTCAGAAAGCACGCACAGTAATAGGGTTTTTGTTACTTGCCACCCAAAGAATCCTACTCTCCACAATGCATTGTTGGAAGGATACTGGAGTCCAAAAAAGAGTGCAGAGCTTTTCCAAGAAAGCAGAGCTTTGGGGACTGGAAACAGGTTTTAATCACTGTCAAAATTCTCTCTTGTTCTCATTCATTGCTGCTTCTTGACTTGGTTCTCTCTGACAGGACATAAGCATCTCTATGGTCCAAGGAACAGAATCAGAAGCAGCCTCTGAATTCCATGGCTTCAGTTCCTTGGCACAAGATACAGGAATGTCTCAGTACCACTCTGTGCCACAGACTTGGTGGCTTACACAACAGAAATTTATTCTCTCCTGGTTCTGGAGAGCAGAAGTCTGAGGTCAAGGTGATGACAGGGTCTGTTCCTTCTGAGGCTGTGATGAAGAGTCTGTTCCAGGCTCCTTTCCCAGCTGCTGGTTGTTTGTGGGCACTCTTTGTTATTCTTTGGCTTGTAGAGGCATCACCCTGATCTCTATTTTATCTTCAAATGGTGTTCTCCCTGTGTGTCTTTGTGTGTGTGTATACGTCCAAATGTCTTCTTTTTATAATGACAGGAGTCACATCCAAATGTCTTCTTTTTATAATGACAGCAGTCACATTGAGTTAGGGGTATACCTACTCTAGTGTGACTCCATCCTAACTTAACTACAATAATTTCATCTGCAAAGACCCTTTTTCCAAAGAAAATCACATTCTGAGGTTCCTGGAGTTAAAAATTGTACATATAAATTTTGGGGGACACAGTTCAACCTGTAACATGCTCCAATAGAAAAAATCCCAGGAGAACTCTAACTGACGTTGTGTGCTCACCCACATCGCCAGGGAACCACGGTCTTTAACCTGGAGTTGGAAGGGAACAGTGTTAGAGAAAATAAACCACTGAGCAATCAGGGGGCACCTGGAGGCCATGGTCCTAGGAAGAGAAACCCTTTCCAACTCCGAAAGAAGACAGAATTTCATGGAGATCACCACCCTGGACCTATCTATGACTGTTCTCCAGAGGCCCACACCAAAGCCCTCCAAGCTTTGTTCCTTAGGCGACACTAGGGCTCTGGGTGGGGTTGCTCACCCCTCATCACATGCCATCTGTCTGTTCTCATGCTGAATGAGGATGGGATGGCATATCATCCTGGTGGAGATGAGAGTGATGACCCCACCAAGGACTCAGCTGGCGACTTCCTGATATGAAGGTAGAGAGGCCCAGTACCCAGTTCCTCTGGCTTGTCCTTCTACCCCAGGGAGGGTGTGGGGTCTGCCACTGCCAGGGGATGAGTGATGGGTGGGGCAGATGCTCTTCTACGTTGGTCTCTGGAGCAGCTGCACCCAAATTGCTCTTCAAAAATACAGATGTTTGGCTCTTATCTGAAAAGGGTCTGAGTCCGGACCCAGGGCCCAGGGATTGCTAAGTTTTGGAATCTCCCCTGAGGAGCTTGACACTTGACCATGCCTGGAAAATGCTGATGTCCTGGAGCAGCATGAGTGGTGGGGTCAGGGGGCCCAGAGGACAACGTCCCTGCCTCTTCTTGGCTTCCTGACCCTGGACAAGGAATGGCAGCAATGCTGGCCGCTGATCTCCTATGGCTTCTGCTGCTTGTTAATTTCTTCCTATGTCTCAAGTGCTTGACCTTCCCCAATCCATGCCGTGAAGAAGGTGCTGTTGACAGGCAGGATAGCAGTGACGGAGGGTGTGGCCTGGACCTTGCTGGCTCAGCAGGTGACCTTGGGCAGTTTCCCTTGACTTCTTTGTGCTTCAGTTTTCTCATCTGTACAGTGGGGATCAAAATAATAGCATTGGAAATATCACCAGGTTATTTGCAAGAATTAAATACGTATGTATTTCACCTAGGATGGGGCCTGGGTTCATTTTTGCTATTTTGTGTTAATGTATTTGTTTTGTGTGTGTGCTCTTGTGCATGCCTGTGCCTGTATGTGCACATGTGTGCATGCATGCATGTGAGCATATGTACCTTTCATGTGCCAAGCACTGTTCTGGTGCAAAGATGCAGTCATGAACAAGAGACAAAAATTGCTGCTTTCAAGGAGTTTATATTCTTTTGGGGGAGACAGAAGATGAGCAACATGGAAAAAGAAACTATACAATGTTTTCCATGTTATGAATGCTGTGGGAAGATATGGACCCTGGCGGAGGGTGGGGCTGGGGACGGGGCTGCAGTTCACTCTGGTTTGGTTAGGAAGTGGAATGGGGGAGGTGGGCGTGGAGGGGAGAAGTGGGAGGTGAACATCAGTCAGGGCAGGACATGTTATGCTGCTGTAACACCACCACCCAAAACCCAGGCCCTCCTGCCCTGAAGACTTATTTCTTCTCCATTCTATGTGTTCATCCATGTCAGTGTGGCTCTGGGCTGTGTCATCTTTCGTCTAGAACCAGAATGATGAAGTTACCTTTCTCCAGAACATTTCTGAAATCATGGTAATGAGAACAAAAACTGCACCATGTGCTGGCTCTTAAAGCTCCTCTGCAGCTGGGAAACAGGTTGCTGCTGCTCACGTGTCATTGGGTGGACTGGACCCGAACTAACTAACTTGACATCAAATGGGTCAGGGAAGCCTCCTCCTCCCCTGAGGAGGGCCTCTGCTGTGTGAACAATGATGCAGCCCACCAGCAAAGACTGAGGAGGGATCTGAGAAGGTGAAGGCTGGAGCCACTTTGCAATTGTGGGAACTGAGGCACACTGAGCTTGGTGACTCACCAAGGGTCACTTGGCTGTGAGTGTTGCTGGCAGAGCCTTGGTTACAGCCAAGATCAGTCCTCCATGTTCAGAGCAGGACCATTAGCGCCTACGTCCCCTGAAACTTCTGAGCATCTGAGACTATTTGAATGTGCCCCCTTTGAATCTCATGCTGAAATGTGATTCTCGATGTTGGAGGTGGGGCTTGCTGGGAGGTGACTGGATCATGAGGGTGAATCTGTCATGAATGGATTAGCACCATCCTCTTGATGATGAGTGAGTTTTTGCTCAGTTAGCTCACTTGAGATCTGGTTGTTTAAAAGTCTGGGACCTCCCCTATCTTGCCCACCTCCAATTCTCTTCCTGCTTTTCTCTCCATGCAACACATCTGCTCGCCCTTCACCTTCTGCCATGATTGACAGATTCCTGAGGCCTCACCAGGAGCAGATGCCAGCACCATGCTTCCCATACAGCCTGAGAACCATGAGCGAATTCAACTCCTTTTCTTTATAAATTACTGAGTCTCAGGTATTCCTTTATAGTGATGCAAAAACTGCCTAAAACAGTGTCCTTGGTCTATAAAATGGGCTAGCTGTGATGACCGGGCAGGGCCGTGGAGAAGATGGAGGTTCACTGCACACAGTGGCACCTGCTTAGGGATGCTATATTTTTATATCGTCTTGGCTGGGGATTTCCTCCTTGATTTTCTAGTGAGTTCTCTTCAAAGTGGCCCTTGTCACAGAACTCTAGGCTATGGATTGGCATCGTCATTCTCCCAGTTGGCACTGCCTGCTGTCCAGCCCCTGCAGGCCACATGGAAGCCGCCTTTCTCTCCACACCAGCCAGTCCTTTCCAGCACAGCTCCGAACTCAGTGCGATTGGCAAGGCGAGCTGGCTGACTGACTTTTGGGATAGGGCCACACCAAGCCTACGCCCAGCAATGCCTACACAGGTCTGGCAGGCTGGCTCTGTGGCTCCAGGCATGTGGGCAGGATGGAGCAGGCGGGACAGGGGTTGTCTTTTCTTAATCACCTCCCCTGGTGCAGCCGGCCATGCTGGACTGTGGTGACCCCAGAGCCTGGCTCCCTGGTTGGTCTCCCTTTCTCCTGTGCCCTCCCCGCTACTCCACAATCAAAACTTGCCTAAGAAACGTTCCCTCCGAAACATTCCCACCTAAGTCAGTTTTCTCAGCTGTCTCCTCTAACCAGCTGTGCGGTCAACTAGAGTCCAGGGCTCCCTGCAGGTTAATTGAGAGCGATTCGTCGGCCTCCCTGCCTCCTTCTCTTGCCAGAGTGCATCTCTGCAGGGGACTTAACACCTTATTCTAGAACTATGAAAGGTGGGGTCTATAATGAGTAAAAGGAGGACCATAAGAGGTGTCTTTTGCTGGGTTCTACCCTCAGCTCTTCGCTTGGATTGTCTCCTTTAACCATTCTGCAAGGTAGGACCTATTGCCCCCATTTCAAAAAGGAGGAAGCAAATCCCCAAAGACTGTGTCACCTGCCCAAGGAGTGGGACTGAAGTGGCCTGGATTCAGCCTCAGCCACACCTCTCTGGGATGCTATGTCCCTAACAACTGTGCTGGGATTCCTAAAACGGGGCTTTCTAAGTGACTTAGGTCATATTGACAACTTGCCAAGACCCCAGGCTTTTTCTTATCTCACAAAACAAAATTATTTTGCTCCTCCCAACCATTGACTCTGCTGTCACTTGTCCTTCCCCCACCCACATTTGTGGAATCTTTAAGAATCCCTCCATCTTGGGCACAGGCCCAGGGGTTCCCAGAGGTTGCAGTGAGCGGAGACAGTGTCCTGCCCTGGTGACTCAGTCCATGCATCTATCTTCTTAACCTCTCAGCCTGTGGGCTTTCCACCCTGGTTGCCCTCTGGCTGATATCAAGGGTGCTGGTGACTGAAAATGGACAGTTCTCCCCTTGATCTCTTCCTGGGAAGACGCACTGAGCCACTGGTATATCCTCACTCTCTCTAACCATTCTTTCCTGTGTCCACTGCAAAGAAGTCCAAAGCCCTTTTGGAGCCGAGATCCTAGGCCCACATCAGGGACTGGCAGCTGCACCCAATCCCTCAAGAGCCTCCCAGTTTTGCCCCCTGCCTGCCCTGCTAGCACTTACGTGGACTTCAGCCCACAGGGCCTACACTTCCCAGCTTGCTGATTGGCTATGTCAGAGCAGAGGGCCAATGCATGTGCCCCACCATGACCTTTGCACTGGACTGATGACTGGTCAGTCATGCTGTGTAGCCAACCCCATCTGTTGGGCTGCAGTGGACAGTCCCTCATCTCTGTGCCATTGGTGTCGTGAGTGCTGACACTCTGTGGAAAGTCTTGATCCTAGAAATGGCCCAAGATTGGGAACAAAGTGATATGGTTTGGCTGTGTCCCCACCCAAATCTCATCTTGAAGAGTAGTTCCCATATTCCCCACATGTTGTGGGAGGGACCCAGTGGGAAGTAATTGAATCATGGGTGTGGTTACCCTCATGCTGTTCTCGTGATAATGAGTTCTCATGAGATTAAGGAGCTTCCCCCACTCTTCGCTCTGCACTTCTCCTTCTTGCTGCCATGTGAAGAAGGATGTGTTTGCTTCCCCTCCACCATGATTGTAAGTTTCCTGAGGCCTCCCCAGCCATGCTGAATTGTGAGTCAATTAAGCCTCTTTCCTTTATAAATTACCCAGTCTTCGGTATGTCTTTATTAGCCATGTGAGAATGGTCTAATACACAAAGTAAGGATGTCCCAACTCACTACTCCTGTCAACATCATACTGGAAGTCCTAGCTAATACAATCAGAAAAAGAAAGGCAATAAAAGGTATACAGATTATGAAGAAAGAAATAAAATTGTCTTTGCTCACAGGTGACATTATCACTTAAATAGAAAATATGAAAGAATCTGAAAAAACGAAAAAAAACAAAAACCCTCCTGGAACTAATTAGTGATCATAGCAAGGTTGCAGTATACAAGGTTAATATACAGAAGTCAATTGGTTTTCTATGTACCAGCAATGAACAAATGGAATTTGAAATAAAAAACACATTACTATTTACTTTGGCACCCTCTAAAATGAATTATTTAGGTGTAAATCTAAAAAAAATTGTACAAGACCCAAATGAGGAAAGCTACTAAACTCTGGTGAAAGTTATTAAAAAAAAACTAAATAAATCTTGCCCGTGCATAGATAGAAAGACTCCATATCATCAAGACATCAGTTCTTTCTACCTTGATCCATAGAGTCAATGCAATCCCAATCAAAAGCCCACAAGTTATTTTGTAGATATCAGCAAACTGATTCCAAAGTTTATATGGAGAGGAAAAAGACCCAGAATAGCCACCCCAATATTAAAGGAGAAAAACAAAGTCAGAGAACTGAAATTACCTGACTTCAAGATTTACTGTGAAGCTGAAATAATCAAGATAGTGTGGTCCTAGTGAAAGAATAGACAAATAGATCACTAGAACAGAAAAGAAAGCTGAGAAACCATCCCACATAAATATAGTCAAGTGATCTTTGACAAAGGAGCAAAGTTAAAATGACCAAGCAAAGATATAATCTTTTCAACAAATGATACAGGAATAATTGGAAATCTATGTGCAAAATAATGAAACTAGAAACAGACTGTACACACTTCACAAAAATTAACTCAAAATGAACTATAGTCCCAAATATAGAATGCAAAACTATAAAACTCTTGGAAGATAATATAGGAGAAAATCTAAATGATCTTGGATATGGTGATGACTTTTGAAATACACCAAATGCATAATCCATGAAAAAATAATTGATAAGGTAGACTTTATTAAAATTAAAAACTGTGCCTATAAAGACATGTCAGGAGAATGAGAAGACAAGCCACAGACTGGGATAAAATATTTGCAAAAGACACGTCTGATAAAAGATGTTTATCCAAAATGTGCAAAGAACTCTTAATACTCAACAATAAGAAAATGAGAAAATGAACAACACCTTATGTAAAAAAAAAAAAAAAGCCAAAGACCTTAACAGATACTTCACCACAGAAGGTATACAGAAGGCAAGTAAGCATATGCAAAGATGTCCAACATCATATGTCATTAAGAAATTGCAAAATAGTAGACACCACTACACACTTATTAGAATAGCCAAAATCCAAAGCACTGACATCACCACATGCTGATGAGGCTGTGGAGCAACAGGAATGCTCACTCATGGCTGGCAGGAATGCGAAATGATGCAGCCACTTGGGAAGGCAGTTTGGCAGTTTCTTACAAAACTAAACATTCTTACCATATGATCCAGTAATCACACTTCTTGGTATTTATCCAAGGGAGTTTAAAACATGTTCACACAAAAACTTGTGCACAGATGTATATGATAGCTTTATTCATAATTTCCAAAACTTGGAAGCAACCAAGATGTCCTTCAGTAGGTGAGTGAATGAAAATATCTGTAGCATATCCAGACAATGGAATATTATTGAGTGCTAAAAAGAAATAAGCTATTAAGCCATACAAAGACATGGAAGAATAGCCTTAAGTACATATTACTAAGTGAAATAAACCAATCTGGAAAGGTTGTGTGATTTGAACTATACAACATTCTGAAAGAGACAAAACGATGGAGATCAGTGGTGGCTAGGGGTTTTGGGAAGGAAGAGACAAATAGATAGAACACCAGTCTGGAGGATTTTTAGGGCAGTGAGACTTCCCTGGATGATACCAAAATGGTGGACATGTGTCATTCTGCACTTGTCCAAATCCACAGAATGACCAGCACCAAGAGCAAACCCTGGACTCTGGATGATAGTGGCATGTCAATGCATGCCAATTAATTTCAGTAAGTATACCACTCTGGTAGATGATGCTGATCATGGGGGAGGCTGTGCAAATGTGGGTATGGAGGGTACTTGGAAAATCTCTGTACCTTCTGCTCAGTTTCGCTGTGAACTTAAAATTGCTCTAAAAATAAACTTTGTAGTTAAAAATAGGACTTTTTGGAGTGATGGAAATATTCTATATCTTGATGGTGACGGTGTATGCATTTGTCAAAACTCTTCAAAATGGGGAGGTTCATTTAATATAAGTTATATTTCAAAAAGGCTGCTTTGAGAAAATTAGAATTGTCCCTCAAATCTGCTTCCCTGCAAAGGCAGCATTTTTACGTGCACTGTGTTTTATGATTTTGACTTGGCTAATCATAGAAAAGGATGAGGTTTCTACAGTTGATGTGGCAGCTCTGAGCTTGGGGTCTGTGTACTAACTGCATCATCAACAGGATCGGAAGCTCCAGGGGCCCACCAGAGTCATCATGGGCGTGGGATTAATGTGTGTGATCAGCATCTGCCCAGACGCGGCCCATGTGCCAAGGGGAGAGTGAAGGAACAGCGGGCACCAATTGAAAGGCTGGGGAACAGGGGCCTGGCAGAGTTTCACCCTCTGGCCAGTTCAGGGCAATTCAATTGAGTTCAATTCAGCATAGGTTTGCTGAGGCCAGCTATGCAGACCCTGCTGCCAGAGCCGGCGAGGGAAGCAGAGAGGATGAGAACATCCTCCTTAAGCGGGTGGTCTGGGAGGCAGACATATACTGGGAACAATGGTTTGTAGCTGGGGGGTCCCCTTTCATGATCTGTGTTTTGGAGTGTGGGGCAGAGGAGCTAGGGATCTCTAACTGGGGGAACTGAGGGCAGTTCCCTGCCACGGCGTCTTTATCTGGGTCTTGGTGTTGGGCAGGTTTCCACAGGTGACAGTACAAGAATGGCAAACCAGGAGGTGGAAAACTCGGAGTAAGGGATGTGCTATGTGTGAGCATACCTTGTGTGAACAAGGTAAGAAAAAACAGCAGAAAGAACCAGAAAATGGACCAGCATCTTGGGGCTGACACCAAGGTGTCCCCAGGGGAGCGGGAAAACCCCCTCCCAGCCTTCCTCCCTATCACGTGGTGTGTCACCTGCTCTGCTGGTTTTTTGGTCTGAATGTCTGTGTCCCTTCGAATTTTGAAGTCCAAACACACAAGGTGGTAGCATTAGTGGGTGGAGCCTTTGGGAAGTAAGGAGGTTATGGGAGTGGAGCTGCCATGGTGGGATTAGTTACTTATGAAAGAAGCCCAGAGAGCTTCCTCACCCCTTATACCACGTGGAGACTTAGTGAGAAGGCACTGTCTATGAACCACGAAGAGAGTCCTCATCAGGAACTAAATGAGTCAGACCCTTGATCTTGGACTTGCCAGCTTCCAGAACCATGAGCAATACATTTCTATTGTTTATAAACCACTCAGTTTATGGTATTTTGTTATAGCAGCCTGAACAGAAGAAGACAGGGGCAAAAACTCTCTTCAGTGTGTGGAGCTGACCCTCCAGCTACAGAGAAAAGAGTGGGTCCCAGACTCACTGAGCACCCCTGAGGGGCAGTAGGCTGGGGCCCTACCTATGCTGCTTTATGCCAAGAGTGTACTTGAGACTACAGGGATGCACGAGGCTGTCTGATGCTGTGAACGGCAAAGTTGAGCTTTGTCTCATGAAGACCACCGGGCTGTGGGATGTGAATGTCCCGGAGCTAGGGAGTTCTTGCACCAGAGAAGGCTGGAAGTCAGTAGAATGGAGCCAGGTGGTGACACAGTAATAAAGGAAGGGGACAGATGCACGGAGCACTTCAGAGGTTGAGTGTATCATTCTTCAGCGCAAGTTGGACAGGAGCCATGAAGGGAGGGTAGCATGGATCTTTCTAGGACTCTCAGCCTGGGTGACTTGGAGAATAATTAACAATAATAACTACATGTGACTATTACTGAGTGCCTATGTGTGCCAAAGTAGTTGTACAGAATGCTTAGATAAAGAATTCTAATTTTAATCTTCGCAAATCCTCTAGGTGGGGAAGGCTGACAAAACAGTCTCAGGGAGGGTAGGTGTCCCGCCCAAATATCCAGGTGGGACTAGAATTCAGAGCCTCCACTCATGTTTGTCCACTCCTGTCACTCAGCAGGGGTGATGTTCCAGGCTTGAATCTGGGTGCAGAGATTCTGGGTTTCAGATCCAAGCTGGCAGTCCCGAGAATGACCCAGCAGGTGGCTTGAGAGGAGTGTGGAGCTCAGGAGGCAGCAGGTGCAGCAGAAAGGGGACTGGAGGACCATGAATGTGTCCCAGTGGAGAACATGGCAGAGGCAAGGGAGGAGGCGGTGAAGGGACCTTGGAGGAGCTGTGCAAACACAGACTGCTACCTGGTCCCCTCTGCTACCTTCCTGACCTCCCCTCCCCTCTTTTTCAAACCATTTTGTCTCTCCTTTCTCTCCATTTCAAGCTACTAATTTCCTTAAATAAACTGTAGCTTAGACATAACATTTCACCAGTGAAAATTAAGCACAAAAACTCCACCTGATTTTTTTTCTTTTAAGAACTATCCAGATCTAAGCAAAACTGGAGCTTTGATTTATAAAATCACTCTCCCGGGCACACAGAAGGAAAGATGCAAATGAAAGCTACTGTTTGTAGTGAACATGCTGAGTACATGACTACAGTGTTCCTTCAGCCAGGCGGGATGCAGCTGGCTGCAAACATTCACGAACCACTGGAAGGGAAGACAGGCAGAACAAAGGGCTGAGGCATGGGGCGAAGTCTGATGTCTTCATTCCCTCTCCCACAAGAAGCAATCGCTGGCGAGTGCCGCGGGCCTTTGCAAGACAGGAACAGGCCAGGGATCCAGGAGGGCGCAGGAATTTGGAAAGTAGTTAATATCAATTTTTTCATTATATGCTACTTTCCCTAAAGCAGAGCTGCCTCAATGTGCTTTGGGGTCCTCAACTCCCTTGGCTATTTAATATAAGAACCCTACATTGAAATTTGGGTGGGAAAAACACTGAACTACACGAAGAGAAGTTACATAAGATTGGCAAAGTGAGCAGCACAAATTGATAAGCAGCTTAGATGGGGCCCGCCAATCAGCTGACGTCCTCCAGGGTCTCCAGGTGACCTGGGTTCTTCTAGGTTCACGGTGGGAGCTGGAAATGTTCCTGCCCAAAGAGATTCGGAAGCAATTATGGGAAAAGTCCTCGGGGAGCCGAGGGCATGCTCATGGGGTTCAGGAACACCCCACTCACCCCCTTTACTCTTCATTGTCCCAACTTCAGCAAAAGCTCAGGTTTTCTTTAGCTGGAGCCAGGGCCAGGGCAGGTGGGAACCAGCCAAGCACCACCCCCACCTCCACAGCCCTGGGCTTCTCACTCCTCCATTCAATTTCTGTGCAGCGACTAATTACACTTGACTAGTTGCCAAACATCCTATTTTGGTGCCTGAGCTCATATGACTGAGCTGTGATAACAAGGCTGTCTTTTTTCACACCAACTGAGTCATGAATAATGATCTTATATAGATATTTTTGGTGTGGGTCAGAATTTTGTTCTGTTTCTAAATGTTCCATTTTTCTTCCTTTTAAAACCAGAGTGAGGCTTGAATGGTAGGCAGCTAAGCCTTCCTGAAAAAGGGTCAGAGACAGCTTTGATGCCAGGGTCTGCGGTCCCCCCTGGGAGCCAGGGCATCCCTCTCCTCACTCTTTTCCCTCCTCCAAACACAAACTTCCTACAAAACCAATTTTATGTGCCAGATGTTCCCCAATGCTGCAAATCTCGGTTCTGTGAGTGACATTGATTGAAAGACATGATATCAATCACAACATTTATTAAGTATGTAAAGGAGTAAGCAGCACTAAATTAATAACTTCTGAGACCTTGGGGCCCCAAAATAGCCAGCAGATAGGCCTCGGGGAAGAGCAAATGAATCAATGTGATCAATTATTTGTCATTTACTATTTAAATAAGCCCCGGGGATAACATTAACATTGCAGTCAAAGTTGCATAAGCCTCTCAGTAATATCTGGAGTTATTATTTTGGGAGAAGGTCAGTCTTTTATTCACGCCAAACTTCTAAATTCGAATTATAGATGGCACTTGATCCATAGGAAAGGAAGCGGAGTGAGGATGCTGGAGGAGGGAAGGGTGCCCAAGAGGCAGCGGACAGGAGGGAAGGAGGCTAGGCTGCCTGGAGTGTGTGCTCCACAGCCTGAGGGTGAAGAAACTGCTGGGTAGAAATGAAGCCTTCCAATGTGTGACTTGGCGAAGGTGGATATTTGAACACAGTCTACGGTTGACTGAGCAGCTCAGATTGTTCTAGGGAAGCTTTTCAGAAAGCGTATGAGCCTTTTTTAGTATTATTTTTAAAGAATCGGGTTGTTAATGGCAACCATTGAAAGGATGATTGAATAACTGCATGATGCAAGCAGTGTGCCGCCGGGCCTGGAAATGAAATGGGAGCGTCTCCATGGCTGTAGAGGTGGCATTCCAACCTCTCGTGTGTGTGTGTGTGTGTGTGTGTGTGTGTGTGTGTGTGTGTGTGTCTGTGAACATCGGTCAGGCCCTTCTCCCCTCTTCCAACCTCAGTGACTGAGAAAGAAGTACGGCTCCTATGGACAGGTTACCCCTAGGGCTCCAGTGTCCTACTCGTGGGGATGTTTTGCAACCCCCAAGAGAAGCACCCTTTGGATAAATATTTGTGAGCATTGAAATAATCTTCAAAACGTGTCCTTTTTTCCCCCCAGCCCTCTCTAGTTGAGGGCATAACATTCAAGTCCTTTTGCCATCTCACCTAACCTTGTATTCAGCTTAGCAGCAGTGTGTGCTTTGGGTAGAAGCTCACACAGGGGGATCTCCAAGAGCTGATGAAGCAATCAATCATTTGGCTTCCAGAGTTCTCTTCCAGTGCTGGGGAGAATCGGCAATCCCCCCTTTCCCTGCAGAAAGAACATGGTGCTCTGAGTTCCTGGGCCATCGTTCTCCCTGGAGGGGCTGCTGAAGCCACAATGCTCTGTTCAGTCTTCTCAAGAATTGGCAAGAAAGAGCCTTGTGCATTGAAGGCCACTGAGGTCATGTCCTCCTGGGTCTGCAGGGCTTTCCTCAGGAGACAGGACTTTTCCAAAGCCTTGGACCCATTCTCCAAGGTAAGCAAAAGCAGCAGAAAGAACCAGAAAATGAACCAGCAACTTGGGGCTGACATCCAGGAGTCCCCAGGTGAACAGGGAAAACTCCCTCCCAGCCTGCCTCTCTATCACGTGGTGTGTCACCTGCTCTGCTGGTTTCTTGGTCTTCTTTGGATTGGGAATGCATTTGAGGAGCTGGAGAAAGCACAGTCCTGCTTGACTGCTGCCCCTAGACAAACTCAAAGGATTCCACAGTCATGTCCACGGCACCTTGGAAACTTCTAGGGCAGCACAGCCCCCTGGAATGCTCCAGGGTGATGGGAACATTCTATGCCTCTATTGCCCAGTGCGGAAGCTACCAGCCACATGTGGCTATGAGCACTTGCAGTATGGCCAGTGTGGCTGAAACACTGACTTTCCAATGGTATTTAATTCGGAATCCTGGATTCAGGTCAGTGACCTTTGGCAAATGAAGAATGACAGTAGGTTCTTACGTGTTCACCCAACGGCACGTTGACCTTCACTTTCAGCTTAGGGGCTGGGAGCAGGTGGGCTTAACAAAGGAGTGTGCAGAGTGAGGGTCAGGGATGATGCAGGCAGCCATGTTTGTGCAGCATCTCATCCCTGTCCCTGTCACTATCACCATCATCAAAGCAGCCCCAAGTTCTAACTAGCCCCTGGGCGGAGTCTTCATCTCTGGGTCCTGATTTTCTATACAGGAAGCGGCTGGACACAAATTCATCTACATTTACACCTACTTGAAGGTGGGAACCAAAAAAAGCCAGACATTGCAGGCAGCCTGTCCATGCCCCTGACAGTGGTGATGGGGACTTGATCGGCTGTGCTTCCTTTTGGAGGCAGTCAGGGATGGGCATTGTGAACAAACAGGGCAAGGTCCTTTTTGAACAACACTGAAATTTTATGACCCCAGGTCCCCCCAGGAACTGCCTTTTCTTGGGCCTTTATGAGGAAGAGAGGGACTTCTCTTGTGAGCTTTTCTAGGAGATGTAACTATCTTTGAAAGGAAAACAATTATTTAAAAGGAAAATGCCTTTTACCAACGTCCAGCTCTAGAAGCCTATGAACTAATTACCATGGGAAACAGGCCCTCCAGGTGGCATTTTAGAACAAAGTTAGGAGTGACTGTCGCTGGCAGTTACCTATAGTGATGAAATGGGACAGTTCCCTTATCCCCCTTGCAGGACATCCGACAGGGGTGTGGCCCTCTCCTTCGGTCACTCGCTGCTCAAACCCCTAGGGGAAGCATGCAGATGGGCAGCTGCAGAGGCCGTGGGGAGCACTTCTGGACTCTGGCCCCACGGCAGCCTCTAGGGGTGGGTGTCTTTGACTCCCAAAGCCCAAGTGGGCATGTGTTACCAAGCCCTTTTAGATTTGCTGTTTGCAGACAGCTTGTGTGTTAATCAGCTCAATGAACCCTCTGCCTTATCCCAAGAGCAAGGCCAGTGTGACAGGCTTCTGTATTCTGAGTTCTTGCCCAACGTATTGAAAAATTGGATCACATGTAAGCTTGAGGGATGAGTGCGAGGTTTTACTGAGCGGTGGAGGTGGCTCTCCGAGAGACGGATGGGGAGCAGGAAGTGGGGGATGGAGTGGGAAGGTGGTCTTCCCCTGGAGTTGGGCCGCCCAGCAGCTGTATTCTTCTCCCACCGCCCTCGGCTGAACTCTCCTTGGCGTCTGGACGTCCTTCCCCATCCCTCTTTCTCTGCCATGTTGTTCCGTTGTCACTCGCCTGCTGGTTCTGACGTTCAGCCGTTTGTGTGTGTGTCCGCTAAGGTCTCGGGTCTATATGGGGGAAGGATGGGGAGTGTGGCAGGCCAAAAAGCAAATTTTTGGGTGCAAAAACTGAAGTGCCTGTCCTCATTTAGGGCTGTGGCTCTTCAGGCTTGAGGGTGGGGCTTTTGCCTGGGAACTGCCCTCTTCTACCCAGTATTTCCCTGTCCCCTGTCCATATCAGTGACACCTGCCTCCATGTGATGTGTCTGTCCTTCTTGAACAGAGCTTTCAGCCCTGCATCCCAACAGACATTTCAGAGGTCTGTTCTCCCAACACAGCCCCTCCTCTCCTTGCCAGGGCACTCAGTGTCTCTGCTCTTGAGGTCAAAAGCCAAGAACCCAATTCAGAGGACACTCTGCTGTGATGTCTCCCAGGGCTGCTCCTGCTGGTGGGAGCCTCACCCCCCTGGGACCAGCCCCAGAACCCCAATACCTTCACACAGCCCTTTCCCTCCATGGGTGTCGCTGGCCCTAAAACTACTGCCACGTGTGGCTCCTGAGTCTTTTCATGGGGGTCAGAACATTTCCGCCATGTAGCTGCCTCTCCAGAGCCAGGGACAGCCTGTCCTCTGATTGGGGGTCACCATGGGCCACCCCTGGAGCTCGTCTTTGTGTTGCCAGCACCAGGCGGCACCTTCCACTGTACTCTGGGCTTTTGGGTCCCTCCACAAAGCGACATCTTGATTCTACCCTCTCCCGTGCCTCCTGCTAAGAGCGTCAGCCTTTCAGATTGGGTGGGATTGTTGGGGATGGTGGAGGCTTAAGGCAGCGAAGAAACATGGGCCTTAAATGGGAGTTTGGAGGGGCTAAGAAGGACTTAGAGGCCCTGGAGACCCCAGATTCCAGCTCTGCCTACTTGACCATGGGGCAAACCCATCCACTGGGTCTACTAAGAGCCCCTCCCTCCCGGCACTGTGGGGAGAGCTGAGGAGTTGATCTGTAAAAGCCCTCAGCCCTGCTGTGTTTGGAAAAAACTCTCCCCAGATCTGAGTGCCACATTTATCTTTTATTTTTCCACAGGTGATCAGAGTGGTGGAACTTCCTTCTTCATTTCCCCTGCCCCTAAGTCTACACTAGAGTAACCCCTTGAAGATTCCTCACAAATAAACACCTGCCCAACCTTGACAGTGAGGTTCACCCTTGTGTTTGTTGGTTATCCCACCTGGGAAGGGACCCTTCCCTCCTGTGGCGGGGGGCAAAATGGAACTCAGTTTGCCTCCTCTTTGGGGGAAGGGAGTGGATAAGAGGATCATGGAAGTACATGTGAATTAATTAAATTAAATTAAATTCAGATTTTAATTAAATTTAATTCACATTTTAAACTAATTAAATTAAGTCACATTAAAGTCAAATTTTATTCAGCCAAATTTCTCTTAGAATAAACTCAATCTTTTTTGAGGTCAGTTTTAAGATGATCAACTATTGGCCAAGTATTTGTTGACTTCCTCAACTGTTAACAATACTCTTCTAAGGTGTTGAGATGCAAAATAAGCTGTATTTTACCTCCAGCTGACAGGAGGATGAGTTCTCCCTTCCTTTCCTTTTATTTTTTCCCCTCTGAGACAAGGTCTTGCTCTGTTGCCCAGGCTGGCATATAGTGGTGCGATAGTAGCTCACTGCAGCCTCAAATTCCTGGGCTCAATCGATCTTCCTGCCTCAGTCTTTTGAGTAGCTATGACTACAGGTATGTGCCACCATATATGGCTAATTTTATTTTACTGTAGAGACAGGATTCTTGCTGTGTTGCCCAGGCTGGTCTTAAGCTCCTGGCCTCAAGCAATTCTCCTGCCTCAGCCTCCCAAAGTGCTGGGGTTACAGACGTGAGCCACTGTGCACAGCCCTTTCCTTTTTCTTGAAGATGACATAGCTAGGCCAAGGAGCCAAGGTTTAATTAAATGCAAGAAGTAAATCCAGAACAACGTAAGATGTCCAATTGTGTGATGGCGTGGAGTCTGTTTCCCACAGCGCAGCAGTAACCCCATCCCTGGGGCATCTGGGCACAGCTGGTGCACAGCAGGGACAAGACAAGCAGGGTGGTCTAGAGAGTATGGCCTTCTCCCTGGGAGGCTGTACCCAGTGACCAAGACCAGCTCTGGTTCCTGGGCCTGGGCCTCATGAAGTGGCCCTGCTTCTTGGGGGAACTTACACTGTCTCAGATTCTGGGCCCTAGGCTGACCTTTCTCTCACTTTGGAATTTGGTCCAGAGTTTGAAATTGGCATGATGTGAATGGAATATGAAAGTCTCCTGCAATTCAGCCATATAAGAAGGAGAAAAAGAAAAGAAACAAATGAAAACTTCCTCATAATCCTCATTCCTTAAATTTGGGCTGCACATAGCAGTGACTTTCTACCAGACACTGTGGTATGGAAAAGGGGAAGAGTCACTGCCTGGTGGAGAAACCTGACAAACACTCCTCCACCAGGGAAGCATTAGGGTCACCACAACAGTGATGCCTCAGGTGCCCTGGGTCTGATGCGATGAGAATAGCAACTTCACCTCTGGGGTCTTCCTTCCCTAAGACTCATAACCCCAGTCCAATCATGAGAAGATCATCAGACATCAGACTAGAGGGACATTCTATAAATGCATGTCCAGTCCTCAAAACTGTCAAAGTCATAAAAAAACAAGGAAAGGCAGAGAAATATTGCTGAGCAGAGCCTGAGATGTGACGACCAATGGATGGGATCCTGGGAAGGTTAAAGGATATCAGGTAAAAGCTAAGGAAATCCAAGTAAGGTATAGATTTTAGTTGATGTATCGATATGGGTTTGTTAATTGTTACACATGTAGCACACTAATGCAAAATGCTAGCAATAATACGAAAAACTGGATGTGGTGTATATGGGAACTCTCCAAAATGTTTTTGAAATTTTTCTGTAAAGCTATAACTATTCTAAAATAAAAAGCTATTAAACATTTTCCCTCCTTTTATCAAGAATAGTCAAATTCATAGAGACAGAAAGTAGAAAGATGGTTGCCAGGGGCTAGGGAGTGGGCACCAGGAATTAAGGATTAATGAGGACAGAGTTCAGTTTTGCAAGAAAGAAAAGCAAAGCAAAGTCCTGTGGATAAATGCTGGTGCAGACTGCACAATAAAGGGAGTGTAAATGTTATTGAACTGCATACATAACGAAGGTTAAGGTAGTAAATTTTTTGTTATGTGTGTTTTACCATGAATAAACATCTTTTTAGGTTTTGACATTTGATTATTATTTTTTTTCTTTTTAAGTTCTGGCATATATGTGCAGAACGTGCAGGTTTGTTACATAGGTATACATGTGCCATGGTGGTTTGCTGCACCTATCAACCCGTCATCTAGGCTTTAAGCCCCGCATGCATTAGTTATTTGTCCTAATGCTTTCCCTCCCCTTTCTCCCAACCCCCAACAGGCCCCAGTGTGTGATGTTCCCCTCCCTGTGTCCATGTGTTCTCATTGTTCAATTCTCACTTATGAGTGAGAACATGCGGTGTTGGTTTTCTGTTCCTGTGTTAGTTTGGTGAGGCTGATGGTGAGACAGTGTGCTGATTCCTCAAGGATATAGAACCAGAAATACCATTTGAGCCAGCAATCCCATTACTGGGTATACGTCCAAAGGATTATAAATCATTCTACTATAAAGACACATGCACATGAAGGTTTATTGCAGCAGTATTTACCATAGCAAAGACTTGGAAACAGCCCAAATGCCCATCAATGATAGACTGGATAAAGAAAATGTGGCACATATACACCATAGAACACTATGCTGCCATAAAAAAGAGTGAATTCATGTCCCTTGCAGGGACATGGATGAGGCTGGAAACCATCATCCTCAGCAAGTAAACATTTTTTTAAAATGTCCCTCTTCAACTTGCCATTGCAGCCTTGGCCCCTAGCCCCCTAGTGTGTGCCATGGAGTATCTTGAAAGCCTGCCTACACCTGTCCTCCCAGCTTTGCATTCCTTTTGGGTCGTGCAGCTCAAGAGCAAGACTCTGCACTCAACACTGCCATGCCTTAGGAAAACATGTGTTGACCACACATCTCTACTCCCACTTCCCTGTGGACTCAACACCCAGTGGTTTCTGCCTGGTGCTGAACAGCTTCTCCCAGGCTCCTAAGGAGCCCCCAGTGGACAGATGTGTGGCTGTCAGCAGCTGATCAGAAGAGTCCTCTTGTAACACAATTGGGGAGAATAGATTTACTGCCTTTGTAAACATTTCTGATTCCTCCATGAACGTTTGCGAGCTGGGCGGATGGTGATGACTGATTAGTCGTGTGTGCTGGGCCCCCTGTCCTGGCATGGAAAACACACAGGTGCTGTCCTCCATGCAATTACCCTTCACTGCTTTCCAGCGGTGACTTATTTCCACCGATAGCGCTCCCCTGGCCGCCTTCCCTCCGGGTGACAGCTCTTCACCGTGTTATGTGGCAGACTTCCTCTGCGCATGATAAATAGTCCTCATTTTCTTCCCAACAGTCCCACAACCAATAAAAAGCAATAAAAAGTGAAATGACACACAAATTGCATCCCCAAAGGGCTGTAAAGGCCCAAGATGTTGCTGCATGCAATGATCAGATGAGATTCTTTGCCTTTAAACAAATAACCCTCATTAACAAAGAGAGATATTCAAATGAGGAGGAGACAGGGCCTTGGGGGGCCTGGGCAGGGCAAGGAAAGGTGAGTGGGCTGATGCCAGCCCACTTCCAGGTGCTGGAGGCTCCAAGTGCATGTAGAGCAGATCAGGACGCTTCTTTGGGATGATGGCAGATGACCCAGAGACACACCTGGCAATTTTGTGCCATAGCAAATGGCCATGTCATTGCTCTGGGTTTTGGGTTAGTGAAAATGATATTGCTGCAGCGTTTTAGAAGCCTCAGGAAGCACTGATCTCTGGTTTGTGTGTGCCATAATGATCAGATGTGACTGTCCCCTAGAATCTCCCCAGGAACCTTAACAAGAACAGATGCCCAGATCTTGGGCTTAGCGATTCTGATTCTGTTGCTTTTGGAGGATGCCAGCATCTCTGTTTTTAAAGGGAAGTGCCCCCAATATGCAACCAGGTTAAGAGCTCTGGGAAACCCAGGGTCCACACCCAGCATACTGGCAGAGCCTGGTAATGTTCAAAGTTCTCCATTCTCTAAAGTGATGGACTATCAGCTCCTCTCCCTCCTGGCACCCTACTCATGGGAACATGCAGGCTTTCCTGATTAACCAGAGAGGAGGAGGAGGGAGGAGAAAGCAGTGAATTCTGCCCAACTACCTATACCAGTTTAACTTCCTCCTACCTACTGAGTGCCAGGTACCTGCTCAGTCCCCCTTCACACCAGCCCTGTGTGGCATCACTGTCCTCTTGGTAAAGATGAGGAATTAGGGCAGCAGCAGGAACCCAGGCTGCTCCCCACCCCTGCAGACCACACCTGGTTTGGAATTGGGGTCAATGATTGGGTATGAGTGGATGCTGATGGGAGATGCTAGAACAGTCTACAGAGCTGGGCATTTGCAGAGTGAGCAGCCAGGGAGGCTTCCAATGAGAGCCAGGCGTGGAGGTGGCTCTTGGAGGCTCTCTGTGCACCCATAGGTGGGCTGGCTGGAGGAAATAACATGCTAGAAAGTGTAGTGTTTGAGATAACAGTTAGGAAATACCAAGTTGACAAGTGGAGTCACCACAGTTGGTTTTAAATGTGAACAATGTCTTGCCTTTACCAATATCTTATCTTTGACAAAACGCTTTTCTAGAGTGAGGGGCCTGAGTGTGCATTAGCATAGGAGGATCCCTACTTCACCTCTAATCTTTCAGAGGGAAAAGAGTACGGTAGGCTTTTGAGCTATAGGACACACATCAGCCCCAAGCAAGCACCGAAAAGAGCAGGTGTGGTTGCCACCTCTGGTGTGCCCCGCCCTCTCTGGGACGCTCATTTTCCTTCTGTGAGCTGCAAGCAGGGTCCATTGTCCTGGGTTTGGAGATGGCTGCATTTGCACCATTAGAGGTGGTCTTGCCTGGAGTCCTTTGCTCGCACCCACACTGGCACTTATGGCTGCATCTCCTGCCTGCCAGACAAGTCTATCATCCCCAGGAGGCACAGAATCATCACTCACTGTCACCCCAGCAGGGCCCCAAGGGGCCAAACAGGCAGGGGCCTCTAAGCAGAACCAGGGAAACCCAACACATGTTGGTGAAAGGCAGATCCTAAAAGTAACCCCAGAGAGACTTTGGCTGCCAGCTGCTTCCGAGGGAGTCATGGTCGTGCCTTCTGACCTGTCCAGGCCCCAGGATCAGTTGAGCCAGACGCCCAGCATTACGGTGACTCTGACAGCAAATCCACGTAATTCCCTAGGCCAGGAGAGAGACAGGAATATTTTGAAATTCCAAGCAGGGTTGAAACAAAAAGACAGTTCTGGGTATTTATTTTTTATTTTTGAGACAAAGTCTCACTCTGTTGCCCAGGCTGGAGTGCAGTGACATAATCTCAGCTCACTGCAACTTTTGCCTCCCGGGTTCAAGCAATTCTCCCACCTCAGCCTCCCAAGTAGCTGGGATTACAGGTGTGCGCCGCCACACCTGGCTAATTTTTGTATTTTTGTAGAGACAGGGTTTTTACCATGTTGCCCAGACTGCTCTTGAACTCCTAGGTTCAAACTATCTGCCCACCGTGGCCTCCCAAAGTGCTGGGATTACAGGCTTGAGCCACTGCGCCTGGGCCTTGGTATTTCAGCTGACAAGGATCCCGCTTAACCAGGGTCCCTGGAACCCAGGCATCGGGTTGAGTGAGGTTTTACTCCCCACGGGCCAGAGAGAGAAGCCAGGGAAGACTAGAGTCCAGCAAGCATCACGTGGCCTCACTGGTGTGTTGAACACTTGGCAGTCACTAATATTTCAGCCTTAATCATGAAAGCTGGACTTTTAGATGGGTATCAGGCCACCTGGGGTGTCCTAGCTGAGAACATGAAAACAGATGTGAGGACCGTGAGGACAAAACAAGGCTGAAACAGTGAAAACGTCTGACACCAGTGAGGGCTATGGTCGAGTCACGCCACTTTCATCTGGGTGACTTTAAAGTTCCCCTTTAACAGGACCGTAGACGGCAGGGATTCCACCGTGCGTAGTGTGGATGCGCCAAAATCGGGATGCCGCTGGCGGGCGTCAGCAATGGGTTAGGCTATTTCTGGTGCAGACCAGCTGGTTCTCCCAGCCTACCCCTGTGACGTGGGCTCTGCTACCTTCCCTGTCAACATCATCAGCGGAGGCTTTGTATAATTTACTCATTCATTCAGTAAGCATTTACATATCTCGGTAACATTTCCTCATTGGATTTAAATTGCTGGAGATTGTTGTCTCCGTTGGTGGGCCCGTAAGGAGACTAAAACAGACTCTGTCCCATTTTACGGCTAGTGGGCAGAATGGGAGGAGGCCACCCATCCACAACAGGGAGAGAAGTGGGCTGTTTACGGAGTCATTATGATGAGCCCTGCACAGTGGCAGGCAGGTGCCCTGCGGTTTTGAATGTTTTGCTCCACCCTGTCGGGTGGGTGTTATTTCTTCCCATGGCAGGTGGAGATATGGAGATGGGAAAGGTGGAGCAATCTGCCCAGTCAGGACTCTGACTTTGCTCCCTTTCTTCCCATATATGAGGTTGCCCCTGTGCTACACACACACACACTGTAGACAGGAAACACCCTATGGGTGCTGTAGGAATGCTGGCAGAGCCCAAAGAGCTCACCTGTAGATCAGCACAGCCTGGAGATAAGGCACAGTTAGGGCATGAGCTGGCTCGGAGAGGATGGGCAGGGTTCAGACAGCAGAAGAGACATTTCTGCTGTCCAAGCATCAGGCACCTTGCCATTCTGTCCACAATGGGAAGGCCGGAAGGGAATTGCCGAGCAGGAAGAGAATCGCGTTCTCATTGTAGCCAGAATGGCAAGACTCAAAAGAGAGTTGGGAGAATGTGGGCCATCATTACAGAATGGCACGTGGCCTGGAGTCCACCTCGCATGCAGGGAAAGAGCAGAGAGCAAGATACAGAGCCCTCGGGGTCATTCTGCACAGTTCAGGTGCCCTTTGGGGAGCCTGTGTCCTGGAGAGGGCAGATCACCGTGCATGCATCCATGCTGTACAGGTTTATAAGATCCAGACATGGCTCTTCTGCAGAGGCACCAGCCCCTGAGGTGGCTGAGACCCCAGGTCCCAATTCCTGCTGCTGTGCCCTTTGCTTGATAGATCACTCTCCACAGAGCTTCCCACGGAACCCACCGTCTCGCCTCACCCAGGACTTCACACTTGCTCTTCCTCCTTCCCAGAATGTTCTTTCCCTGAATCTTAACACAGCTGGCACCTCTCATCTTTCCCCTCCTCAGACAGGACTGGCCTGCCCACCCCCACCTAAGGCACGTACTTTGTGTCACAACAGCCTTTTTAAGTTTACCTGTGTCTCATCTAATAATCATCTCACTATTGTTTTAACTTGTATTCCTGGATGCCTGGGGATGCTGCCCAGCCATGCATGTGTTTATTGGCTGCCTGGAACTCCTCCACCGTGGCTTGCCTGTTGACAGTCTTTGCCCGTTTTAATGTTGGGTTGTCTTTTTCTTATGATTTGTAGAATTTCTTCATGCATTATGAAAAGTATTACTATATCTTATAATCACCAGTCTCCTCCCCTAATAGTTATTTCTTTTATTTATGATGCCTTTTGTCTGTGGTCACCAGCCATACAGAAGTTATAGTTAGATACAGTCAACTGTGATAACCTTTTCCCATGTGATTTCTGCTTTGGTCTTGTTTAAGAAATCCTTTCTGATGTGGTATGCTGAAGGTGGCCTATCATTTCTTCCGATGTGGTATGCTGAAGGTTTATTTTCCATGTTTGGTTTCAAATTCACTTAGGGCTTATTTCTGTACATGAGGTAAGCATCTATTGTATTTTCTTTCCATATGGCTGGACATTTGTCCCTGCACAATTTATTGAATGGTCCCACAGATTTGTAATGCCTTCCATATCAGTTAGGATAAAGATCTACTGTGAGAAACACAAAGCCCCAAGATAAATGGCTGAAACTAGATAGAAGTGTATTTCTCGCTCATGTGTGAATCTGGGGCAGCCTTTCTTGGGCCAGTCTGCTGGCTCTGCCAGGAATCCAAGCTCCTTAATTCCTAGGGCATGACTGGAACCTTCATGGTCCAAGATGAAGTTCTCACCAACCCCTGAGTTTCCAGGTAGCATCATGGAGAGAAAGAGGGAAGGAGGGTCAAGGACAGGTATCAGCTGTATGTATTCTAAGCCACCGTCCAGCATTTCTACTTCTTCTTTTAGCCAGACTTTTTTTTTTTGCAAAGGATTTGGAAATTCTAAGTAGCCCATTCTCAGACTTAGAGTGGACATCCAGCAGTCTCTACCACATCTTCCGTATCTTATGCCAAAGTTATATATATGCAAATATATATTTCTGGATTTTTAATTCTGTTCTGCATATCTAGTTGCCTATTCAAATACGATAGCCCTTAATTACCATGGATACATCTTGACAGATAGAGCAATCTATCTATAGACAGTGATGTGTCTTGGATATTTGTCCCACCCAAATCTTATGTTGAAATGTAACCCCCAATGTTGGAGATGGGGCCTGGTGGGAGGTGTTTGGGTCACGGGGGCGGATCCCTTATGGCTTGATGAGTTCTTTGAGATCTGGTTATTTAAAAGTATGTGGTACCTCCCCCTACCTCACTCTCTTGCTCTCTCCCTTGCCACGTGAGACGCCTGCTTCCCTTCGCCTTCTGCCATGATGAAAGCTTCTTGAGGCCTCCGCAGAAGCCGAGCAGATGCCAGCACCATGCTTCCTGTAAAGCCTGCAGAACCATGAGCCAATTAAACTTCTTTTCTTTATAAATTACCCAGCCTCAAGTATTTCTTTATAGCAGAGCAAGAATGACCTAACATAGATAGAATGGTGGAGATGAGCATCTACCACTTTCTGTCTTCCCCCCCGCATCTTCCTGGTTCTTCTTTTCCTCTTCCATATGAATTTTAGTGAGAATTGGTGTATCAAGTACGACAGCACTTTTGATTGTGAATTTTATTGAATTTCATTGAAATTATAGATACATTTGGGGAAGTATTGACTTATTTATGGTATTACCCCTTCTACCTATGAAGACAGTAAATCACTCCATTTATTCAGTCTTCTTTTATGTCCTTCAATAATATTTTATAACTCTCTTTTCTAGCTCATCTTTCCTTAGATTTATTCCTGGGTAACTTACAGTTTTTGTGGTTTGGGTAAATCTTTTTTTTTTTTTCTATTACACTTTTGGACGGGCTTTTCTTAACATACAGAACGACTTCTGATTTTTGTATATTGATTTTGAATCTAGATTCACTTACTAGTTTTAATAGGTAGTAGAATGTCTTTGGAATTTCTCTGTTGACAGTCTATTCATCTGCAAACCACGTCATTTTGCCTTTTTATCCCAATCCACATTCTGTCAGTTCTGTTCCTTACATTGAATTGGCCAGCACCCGCAGAAAAGTATCAGGAAGGCACTATGATAGCAGTATTCTAGAAAGTTCCTGATGTCCTTATCGTTTCGTGACTCTAAAGTTTCGTCATGAAACTCAGTGTTTGCTTTTTCTCCTTCTCCTCAGCACCTTTTCCCCTCCCCTTCCTCCTCCTCTTCCTTTTGTGTTACTCTTTATCAAATAAAGGATGTCTTTGTCTTTTCTCTCTCGTTTCGGATTTCCTAGGAGGTTTCTGGTTTGTCAGCATTCTGTTTTGTTTGCTTCTCTTACCGGCCGCAAATCTGTACAGTTCTGCAGCAACCTCAATTCTTGCCTCCTCAGAAGAAAGAATTCGACTGAGGGGCATAAGGCAGAGGGAGAAACTGAGGCAAGTTTTAGAGCAGGAGTGAAAGTTTATTCAAAAGCTTTAGAGCAGGAATGAAAGGAAGGAACGTACACTTGGAAGAAGGCCAAGCGGGTGACTTGAAAGATCAAGTGCGTGGTCTGACGTTTTGACTTGGGGTTTTGTACGTCAGCATGTGTCCAGGGTCTTGCGTCCTTTCTTCCCTGACTCTTCCCTTGGAGTGGGCTGTGCACATGCGCAGTGCTCTGCCAGCGCTCGGGAGAGGAGCATGCGCAGTGTGTTTACTGGAGTTGTGCGCATGCTTGCTTGAGGCATTTTTCTCTTAACCAGCGCAATGTACTTAGGAGGTCATGCGCCGGTTAAACTCTGCCATTATGCCTCTTACTGGGCATGCTTGAGCCCACGGGCCCAACTCCTGAGATCCCATTCGGAAGCTGCTGATCACCAGTTTCAAGTGTTTCTGTTTATTGGGAGACTGCCTTCCTCTGGCACTGGCAGTGACCAATTATTATTTTAGAGAGACTGTTAACGGCCTGACCATCACCTGATGAATATCAGGAATGTGGCCTGACATTCCTGGTGTGTGTGGTGTGGGGTACGAGGGGAGCTCTCTCCTACGCTGCTCATGTCTGACTAGTTGGATTCTGCAGAGTGGAAGTGGGAAACTCCTTCTGACCCTGGCCACCTGTCTCCATGTGAAGGCAGATCCATTTGAGTGACAGTCCGAGGCAATACCTCAACTGCCTCTCACTTCCCAAGACAAATAAACCCACTTGACCTTGATGTGCTTTTTGTGAATACATTGTGAGATTGGACTTTCGGATATTTTATTTAGAATTTCTGCGTCTATATTCTTTGGGAGGTAGGCCTATAATTTTCATTTCTCATCATGTCCTTGCTCAGTTCTGATATCAAATTATACTGGCATCAGAAAATGAGTCAGGTATTTTATTTGCTTCATCTATTCTGGAACAATTTGTATAAGAAGACAATTTTCTGTTTCTTGAGGCTGTTGTGAAACTCTCCTTGAAAAATCACCATAATCTAGTGTCTGAATAATTTTTATAAATTTTATCTAAAAACCATTTCTTCTAGGTGTTCAAATTTATTGTCAAAAAGTTGTTCATGATAGTCCTATGATTTTTAACCTTCCTTTTGCATCTCTTTTTATGCTCCTAGTGATGCCTTGTGCCTGCTTTTTTCACCATGATCTGTCCACTCAGTTGACTATTTTTCTTTCATTAGTTTCCAAAGAAATATCTTTGGTTTTATCAATCAGCCATATTTTGTTTGCCTTTTCTGTTTTCTTAATTTCTGCTCTTATCTACTGTTGATTTTCTTCTCCTTCTTATAGGCTTACTCTCTCTTATTTTAGTAGGTTCTCGAATTGAATGATTAGCTCATTTATTTTATAACATTTTTAAATGCATTAAAAGCTATAAATTTACTTAAAGAATTGCTTTAGCTATGTCTTATGAGTTCTGACATAAAGTGGGATTTCTTTCAATCAATTCTAAATATTTTGTTATTGTTACT
This sequence comes from Homo sapiens, assembly GCF_000001405.40. Lineage (NCBI taxonomy): Eukaryota > Metazoa > Chordata > Mammalia > Primates > Hominidae > Homo > Homo sapiens. Next base: position 4,413,307 of record NC_000001.11, read on the forward strand.
ATGATTTTTCTTTAATCTGTGAATTATGTTATATGTAGTTTTAGTACATCTTTCTATACATATTTGTAATAAGTGTTTGTCTGCTTTTAGCATTACTCTTTTAAATGGCATATAGAAGGATTTTTAAGTTATCTAATTAGTCTCTGTCCGTGATAGGTAATATTGTCACATTTATTGTAAGTATTGGTATATTTATTTCTGTCTATTTTTGTTTTTTATAGATACTAGCTTCTATTTTCTCTATGTCTTGACTTGTTGTTTTTGATACAGCTTTTCTTATATCTTTTTTCCCACCAATTTGGAAGTTATTATAGTATATCTCTCCACATATTTTAGCTGGTAAACTTAAGTTGTTAACATAATAACTGTCTATTTTTCTAACAAAGTCTAAAGTTATTTGACGTTTCCCTCCTTTTCCAGTTTTCCCCACCGTACATTCTTGTTTTACATTTTAATTCAATACTCTTAAATACAAATTTCCAATTAGTGGTTAAACGCATTCAGCAAAATACTTTTATTATTATTTTTTTGCTCAGTATTATCTTTAGCAGACCACTCCTTCCCCTTTGGTTCACTTTTCTTCTTGTTGGAATATATCCCTCAGTAGCTTTCTCTGCAACCATCTGAGGGTGGTAAATCATGTTTTCTTCTAGTCCATATTTTAAAAATATCTTGGCCTCTTTTGCCCTCACTCTTGAACAATGGTTTCACAGGGTGCATCAAATATGGCATTTGCAGTTAGTTTTCTTGACAGTCTGAGGCTATTTATTCATTGTCTTCTAGCATCTACTGTCACTGAGGAGACATTTGTTGCCAGTCTCATGGTCTTTCTTTTGTCATGATATCTCTTTTCTTTTTGGTACCTCTAAATATTTTATTTCATCTTTCTGCACTGCAACAATGTTTCATCATAATTCATGTATACTTATATATATATACATTCATGTATATATTTATCCTGCTCAGCACTCCAAGTGTTTCATTAGCTGAAATTTCCTGCTTTTTCATTGAATCTAGAAAATTTCTAGCCATGCTTACTTCAAATATTGTTTATTTGCCATTCCCCTTGTTTTCTCCTTCCTGTGTGGCAGAATCTCAATTTCTTTTCCATATCTCTTAACTTATCTCTCATAAGATAAGATTTTTTCTCCGTCTGCTGCATTTAGAAGGAGCTTCACAACACTATCTTCCAGTTCACAAATCTTTCTCTGACCAGGTTCATATCCATTTGTAATTTTAAAAAGTTCCAGCCTGGGTGCAGTGGCTCATGCCTGCAATCCCAGCACTTTGGGAGGTCGAGATGTGTGGATCACTTGAATCCAGGAGTTTGAGACAAACCTGGGAAACATGGAAAAATCCCGTCTCTACAAAAAATACAAAAATTAGCTGGTTGCAGTGGCACACACCTGTAGTCCCAGTTACTGGGGAGGCTGAGGTGGGAGCATCACCTGAGCCTGGGAGGTTGAGGCTGTAGTGAACTGTGATCACACCCCTGCACTCCAGCCACCTGGATGACAGAGTGAGACCCTGTGTCAAAACAATAAATAAATAAATATATAAATAAATAAATAATGACTGTATGTTTTACTTCCAGAATCTTGAACTGAGCTTTGAAAAGTGATCTGTTTTTAATTCATATCCAATCATAATCTTTCCTTATTTTTCATATATTTCTTTCTTTACATCTTTGAGACCTTTAGATCTTTGAGACCATAGGGTATTCTATAGACATCTCGAGGTTTCCTGTTGTTTGCATTTCACTGGTGATGAATGTCTTAACTGATAATTGTCGCTTTAGTGTGTAAATCTTCTTCATGATGTTCAGAACCTTCTATTGAGTGGGTCTCTCTCTCCCTTCTGCCCTCCACCCAACCCCATTTGGTGGTTTCCCAGGTGCTTTTTCTCTGCCCCTGAGAATCCTGGTCAGAACCACATTGTATTGGAGGCCCCTGCTCCTGCCTGTCAAGATCCTGGGGAGAGCACAGGTGCAGTCACAGGGCAATTGGCAGCTTAGCCCAAGTCTGGACCACGTGACTGCTCTGCTTCCATTGGGACCGGCTCTCCCCGGCCTCCTTTCACTCGCTCCAGGTTTCATACATGAATCTGGCTGGGGTCTCCTGCCATGTGGGGTGCCTGGGTCCCTGTCATTTTCAGGAGCCAGATCCCTGCCACTTCCAATAGACTCTTGCCCTGGAGCCCTGCATGTCCACAGCTCTGCCTCCTCCTAACAATTGCCTCTATTGCAGGTACACGGAGCGCCTTCTTTTCGTTTAGAGCATTGGTAAGTACCTAAGTATAAATTCGATTGACCTTTGCTGTGTTGGAGAAGAGAGGACAGTTCCAAGTTTGAACTCAGTTGCAAAGTTTCCTAGCAGTCCAGCCCCACATCCCCCCAGGGCTTGGCTCACTGGAGATGTCTCTGAGTAGGAATGAACAAAGCAGAGTCGGTTCCTCCAATCTCATGTATTTTAGTATTTTAGGGTACTAAGAGTCTTCTCCCTCTGAAGTTATAGAGAGGGAGCTTTCCAGTGCAAGGAAGACCCAGGGCACAGTCTGTTCCTGTAACCCCAAGGCCACCAGGAGTCTACAACCAGGCTCCTTATCCAGTGGGGGGAGTGGAGCCTGCAGGAGAAGAAGGCAGGACCCATCAGAGGCCTGATGGAAACAGGGTCCCCAGCACAGCTGTGTGGGGGGCAAAAGCCATGAAGGGAGATAGTGAGGCTGCTCTTGGGTGGGCTGGTGATGCCATCTTTCCTAATGAGATGTTAAATGAAGTTATGGCAGACACAGACTCCACTGATTTGGGAAAAGATGATCAATGAATTCCCATCTTCAAGTGCACTTATTAGCTGCTGCCTGACATGACAGACTGAAAAACTTAGAGATGAAATTAGTGGTGTTGGTGTGTCATGACCCAGCTCAGTCTGAGTGGATATGCGTGTGTGTGTGTGTGTGTGAAAGAGAGAGAGCGAGCATTTTCTTAAATAACTAAAATTCTCTCGCAGGTGTCTCCACATTAGAAGCATCCTATGTAGCTGTTCTGCTTGCAGCTGCCCAAGTCTGCCTGGGCCTCCTGCATGAGGTCATGAGTCTTAATAAAGCCACTGACCCACACATTTGGAATCGTACTGACTTTTCACAACTAACAGCCAACACATTGCCAAGAAGCAATTCAATTGTTGAGGATATCACATCATGCCAGGGAAAGAGAGATGGAATTCAGAAAGCCTGGGATATTGCAGGTAATTACTAAAGCGTGTAGTTTATAGATCAATTTGCTCCATCTACTCAAATCCAAATAGTCTAGGACCTCAACTGCATGAAAATCTCTGTAAATATTTGTGTTAAAAGCCCCTTGGTAAACATTCCCTGTGGTGCATTTGGAGCCCAGGCAATAAAAGATGTTTTGTTTCAGTGCCTTCTTCCCACGATTTTAAAAGGAAATGGGAGAACTGTGCAGTCACACTGACATCCCGCATCCACGCGGAATCTGCTCAGCCACGGTGGAGCATCCATTGGTGCACCGAGGGGGATGGCAGGGGCCCCAACACACAACACGATTTATATCAAAGCAAGGAGTGGCCAAGTTTTCTCTTTCTAAAAATTCGGTTGCTTTAATTTCATGTTTAATGTGGCACAGACCCTATCCTATAAAGAGGGCGTGAACAATTGAGCAGCGTTAGACTGCACTGAGGTGATAACATTGATTAAACAAAAACGGTACCTGTAATCCCAGCACTTTGGGAGGCCAAGGAGGGTGGATCACAGGAGGTCAGGAGTTCAAGACCATCCTGGGCAATTTGGGGAAAACCCGTCTCTATGAAAAATAGAAAAATTAGCTGGATGTGGTGGTGTATGCTTGTAATCCTAGCTGCTTGGGAGGCTGAGGCTGGAGTATCACTTAAACCTGGGAGACAGATGTTTCAGTGAGCCAAGATCACGCCACTGAACTCTAGCCTGGGTGTCAGAGCAAGACTTGGTCTCAAAAACAAGTTAAAAAAATTAAAAAAATAAATAAAAAGAGGTAGACGCGAAACTGCAGTTACGGTGACCAATAGTCATCCGTGTTCACGTCTCTTTAAAAATTTGTATTACAAAAATATGTGTATGTATATGGCCTCTACTGAATTGAAAAGACCTGACATTGATAATGCATTTCATAACGAATATAATTTGATGATGTGATGAACATAATGCATCCCTAATAATCTCATGATTCTTTCTTTCCCTCAGCAAATAATTTTAAGCTTAGGTCATGTGTTTTAAACTGTGTTGGAAGCAGGGGCACTGTGGAGAATGTGCAGAAAGAGCTCTCTAACCGCACTTAATTTTCATTCTAGTGAGGGGGGCTGGTGGCTTCAAGAAACAAGTCAACAAAGGAGGTTATTTCAGGTTGTGATCATTGCTAGGGAATAATCACAAAGGGGCCGGGCAGTGACAGGTGTGTGCGTGGGGTGAGGCAGCTCTGAACCCTTCTCTTCTCCATGGCAGGTTCTCTCCATTCTCTCTCTCAGGACCCCCCATTCTTCATTCATGAGGCTTATCATCATTCTCTCTTCATGAGCCCCATGTGGACAGGGGCTTTATCCATCTCCTTTGCTTGGTCATCTCTGGGTCCAACATCCAGCCTGCCTGTGGCCGTTAATATTCTGCATGAAGGGATCAGTCTACACACAGAAACTTTGGCTGCCTGGTCTTGTTTCATGATGACTCTGGAATTATCATAATCCCATTCTTTTTAATTATTTCCACCATTCTGCTGTATGCAGTTTATGTTACAATTATACGTTGGCAACTAAATCTTTAATTGTCCTCTACTCATTTCATGGATCACTAGGAACCTTCCCCCCCGCCAACTAAATTACTTCTCAAGGGCAGGGATATGTCTTCAATTTCTTTATTACTCCTCACCATCAACGCATTTGAGCACTAATGTCTGGGCCGAGCCCAGTGCTCCATCCATACTTGCCGACATTGTAGAATGTGTATTATTCCCTGCGCAGTCAGTGGGGCTCTGCCGCTGGAAGAGAGAGGAAGCTTGGATAATTGAAATATCCCCATCTCAGACATTACTGACTAAGGTTAGGTAAGGGCAAGTCAGACTGACTTTCATATCTTGGGGTTTTATTTCCTGCTGTTTCTTGTATGTATTCTTTCAGAAAACCTTAAGAAGGAAAAGTCTGGGCCACAGAGAAAACAGGGAGGTGAAGAAAGATTCTCAAATATTTTTCTTTAGAAGTCAAGAGTTTGCTCTAATCAGTTTCAAGAAACAGCAACAACAGAACCCAAAGGCCATGATGAATCTGTTATGTCCTCTCTCCCTCGTCCCTCCTCCTCCTTCCTTCCCTCCCACTCTCCTTCTTTTGGACACAATCAGCTCCAAATGGAATAAACAAGGAAAATGATGCTTAGGTGGGTTCCACAAACACTGACGTGCTGATCACCATGAATGTGCTGGAAATACAGGATGCACAAGGTCTCCAGGAGTTCATGCCTATTGGACTTGGCAAGTGGACGAGGTGGGTGTTAAAGAAGGAACAATCTTAGTAGCTGCAAGTGAGATGGAGCACACATATTTGGATGGAGTGGGTTGAGCCACTTAAACATGGCGGGTTGGGATTCAAGCACAGAGAGCCCTTGGGTTCTCTACCAGGACAGTCATCTTCTTGCTCCTCTTATCACCTCCTTCAGGCAAAATTGTTCCCTTTCTTCATGCTCTGCCCTGCCACAGACCTTTCTCTAACACCTGAAAATGACTGGTCTTGCCTTTAGTCTTTTTTAGTCCTTATCACGCAACAAAAGATTGGCTGCTATTTTATCTCCTCTTCATTCAGAGTGAGGCAGTGTGGCAGGGTGGATGGCCTATCAGTGTAGATCAATAAGACATGGCCTTGACATTTACCGGCTATTAGATCTTGGCTGAGTTACTCAATGTCTTCTGACTTCCATTTCCCCTTCTGCTAAATGGAAACAGTAATTACCACCCACTGGGTGAGAAAGAAGATCCAGTGGGTTAAGGTTGGCAAAGTGTCTTGCAGATTAGAGAGGGCTCTCTGAATGTTAGCTAGTTATCATGACTGTGGGTTGGTTTCTATCACCAAGGAGTCTAAAATGTAGTTATAGAGGCAGAGTTCTATTTTGTGCTCCCTTTCTGTTCTAATGAGTCTGTACTATTAGGAGAACAGAACAGGTGGACATTTTTTGATAGATGAGTATAGGATATGAATCTATTCCACAAACATTTATTAACCAAACACCTGCTACAGAGGCCCTCTGTTTGACCCTGCAGACAACATAAAAATGAGGAAGACAGCACCTCAATATAGTCACTTTCTTTTTCCTATTTTGTCTGATGATATTTGTGGTTGGCAGAATAATGCTCCCCCAAAGATGTCTATGCCCTAATTCTTGGAACCTGACATATGTGACCTCACATAGCAAAGGAGAATGAAGATTGCAGATAGAATTACGGTTGTTCAGCTGACCTTGAGCTGGGGAGAAGATCCTGAATGACCCACGTTGGCCCAATGTAATCTTTAGGGTCTTTAAAAGTGGAAGAGGAAATCAGAAGAAAGAGTCAGAGAGAGAGAGAAGCATGAGAAAGACTTGGCCCAATGTTGCTGGTTTTAAAGATAGAGGGGGCCACCAGCTCAGGAATGTGGGAGACCCTCAGAAGCTGGAAAGGGCAAAGAGGTAGATTCCTCCCTTTTGTCTCCAGAGGAATGCAGCCCTGCTGCTGATGCAGGATGTTTTACTCCTTTGCTTAGCTAGGTCTGGGTTCTTGTCTCACAACCAGGAAGAATTAGGCACACAGACACTCAAAGACTGAGTGGAATAGACTTTATTAAGCGAAAAGAAAGCTCACAGCAAAGAGAGGGTTCCTGAAGGCAGGTTCTCAGTTGCCCCCTTCGCAGCTGAATACCAGGGTGTGTGTGTGTGTGTGTGTGTGTGTGTGTGTGTGTGTGTGTGTGTGTATATATATATATATGTGTGTATATATATATATGTATATATATATATATGTATATATATATATATATATATGTATATATATATATATATATATATGTATAAGGCACGAATTCCTAGTGGCTCCACCCCATCAACCCCTTGTGCATGCGGGCCCTTAGTCCACTGTGTGCCCCACTGTGCAAGTTCCTTTATCTGCACAAAACGTCTGGTATAAGCACCTGTGGGACAGGTCAGAGGTTCTCTGGGGACCCTTCCCTTAATGTCTGCCTAAAGCAAGCTGGCTAACTCCTTTCACTGCCACCTTGATTTCATCCCAGAAAGACCCATTTCAGACTTTGATCTCCAGAACAATGAGCTAATAAACGTGGGCTATTTTCACTACAAGTTTGCAGTAATTTATTATAGGACTGATAGGAAAAAAACCACAATACTCATCATGCTCTTCTTTTCAAACATTTATTTCATTCAGCCAATGTGTATTGAGTGCTTACTTTGTATCAGCCATGGATAAGTAATCAATATGAAATGTTGGCTGGGGACCAGACATAATTGGTCCCTGCCCTCATGGAGCTTACAGTCTAGCTGAGAATACAATGTTAATCAAATGGGGGGAGATTATCAATTGTCATGAGGGCTGAACAGGATGGGTACATAGCTCATGTCTTCTATTATCCCAGGCAATTTAGCAATGTTTCAGAAAATCACCCTGAGCCCACCCTGCCAGCCCTCATCCAGCCACTTCCTCTTCCAAGGATGAGAGAAAGGCAGGGACATAGCTGGCAGCAGAGGCCACCTTGTCCCCAAAGTGCTGGGGGACCTGTTCATCGGAGTGAAGCAGTTGACCAACTGCCCTTGACATTCCACCTCTGACCCTTTCGAGGCCAGATTGGTTGGCCAGGCTGCCTCCTTCTGTCTGTTTTTTTTTTCTGCACTGTCAATCAATAGAAAAGGCATCAGAGACATTTAAGAAGCACAACTAATCAGTGAAGCATTCAATTAATTAGGCAATCATTTTTCTGCACTTGATTTTCATTACAGTGAGTTTATTTTCATTTCTTGTGTAGGAAAAAACAGGTGCTCACATTTAGCTTCATCAGCTTCCTGTTGCCGTTGGATTCACGTATTATTTTAAAAATAGGTTTATTTTAGGGGAAAATGTGACCTGGGAAAACCCACTCGTATTTACTCCCCAAGGTTGCTGCTTTTGTTGTGGTGTTGGTGGTGTTTCTCCCTGCCCCCCAACACTGGGATGGTTTAAAAACATAAGTGAAGCTGTATCACATTCCACCAACCGTTGCTGAAGCCTTTGTTCCTTCTCAAAAGTTATGCCTTTTCCTTTCTCAGAGAGGAAAGAGGCCTAAATTTACATTTACTAGGAGCCTCTGAAACAGGTTATCCTCAATGTAGGTGGTGGGTAACATTATTTCCTAAAAGGCAACTGTGTTCACCCACTGACAGTTTCCAGGCCCCTCCCAGGGGGCTCAGAACTGCTGTAAACCCAGACCCAGTGGCATAAGGCTGGACGTGAGCCCAGCTGCAAACCCAGAATAATGACCTGCATACACACATTTCTCACTGCCTCTAGGATCAAATCCCCCATTCCGAGGCTCTCAGATCCCAGGATGAAAATGCTGCTGCCTGAGTTGGAATTGTCCTCGTGGTGCAAATAGCAGACTTAACAACATTCATGTTAATTACTTTTCCTGAGTGTCATTCTAAAAGAAAGAAATATACCAGTCTGCTTTCCGTTTTCAGATGATGTTGGCGGTCTTGTCCTCCAGCCCAACTACACTTGTGAGGTCTTTAAAGCACAAGTGAAGATAGTTAAGCTGCCCCTCCCCATCTCTCCCTCTCTTGTCTATTTTTCCTTTGTTTGTGATACGAAGGGTTAATGTAAAAATAGATGTTCTGCAGGCATCATAGAGTTCCTCTTTAGGTTCCCATGGAAACCGAGCAGCGCAAGTATGTGAAGAATTTTTTTAAGTTAGCCCAAGATTTTGTCCTCCAAAGATTTAGGGTCATTCTGCCTTGTGGTTTGGGGGCATTTTTTTTTAAAGTTTTTTTTAAGTAATTAATAAAATAACTTCACCTTCCCTCCATCCTCCCCAACCTACTCACAGAGCATTCTTTTATTTAAAGTGTCCAACACAAAGGTTATTTTGTGACATTTTGAATAATGCAACCCCTTAAGGGTATTTTTTTAAAGTTCTTTTGCAACAAAGTTTCTCCTCCCCAACCTCAGAAGACGGAAACAAAAGAGACATTTATTTCGTTCGATTTAAAGTGATTTGGAATTGCTGCTGGGGTTAGATTATGGGAAATTGCCCACCAGGGAAACAAACTTGGTCACCACCCCTGAACTGCAGTGATGACGTCCCATGGGGACACACAAGACAAACAAAATACTGAGAAAACCGAGGTTCTCACTCTGCCCACAGAGGGAGCTCCGAGTTGCAGCTGCCTCTTTCTGCTCCTTTTCAGTTCAGATAAATTGCACTTGGTCAACGGAAATGTCCTAAGGGCACTGCAGCTGCAGCTGGAGAATGAAGAAGACATAAAATTAGGGCTTTTGTCACTGTCGCTTGATTTCATTAAAGGGCATTAGTTCTCGGCGAGATATATGGGGTTGGAGAGGACAGGAGCCAGAAGCTCCCAGTGCAGCAGCAAGGCTGGCCCACGTGAGCACCTGGAGCATCATTTCTGCTGCCACATGCTTGGGCTGCCCCACCCCGCCGTGCCCTGCTCAGCCGTGCCCTGCTCCATCTCCCTCGCCAGGCCTGAGACCGGCCCCCAGTGTGTTGTGACTCCTGAGGTCTCTCAGCTCTCCCTCAACCCCCAGGAGAATTGCTCTCCACTCCAGAAGCCGCCTGATGGGGAGGCTGACCCCTCTCCAGGACTGACTGATCCAGGTACAAAGGGTCCCCTTGCGGCAGTGGTGGAGCACCCTGTACAGCAGTTTGGGCTCTGGGCTCTCCTTTGAGATCAGGCCAATGCCTGAGTCATCCTGGCTTGACAAGGTGGGATGAAGGTCTCCTCCACCTCCAGGTTCCTTCCTTCCCTCCTTTATAGGTTTATCCTGACAGTAACCTCTCCCCAGGTCGGAAGACCTCTCAGGCTCTGTTTCTAGGGAGGCTGACCTGCTGACAATGCTCCTAGCTGGATTTTGTAAGGTAAATATACCCTTTTATATGGGTTGAGTTATGTCCCCTTAAAAGATGTCAAAATCCTGACCGCTAGTATCTGAGAATGTGACCTTATTGGAAATCGGGTCTTTGCAGATCATCAGGTTGACAAGAGGTCACTGAGGTAGGCCTTACTCCAATAAGAAATGTCAAAGGTCAATGTCAAAGGATAAATCAAGTGTGTAAGGTCAATGCCAAAGGACAAATCAGATGTGAAAGGTCCATGTCAAAGGTCATATGAAATGTGTAAGGTCAATGCTAAAGGACAAATCGAATGTCAATGGTCAATGCTCAAGGTCACAAGTGTGTTCCTGACAAGGTCTTTCTCATTGACCAAGCTTTTGTCTGTCTTGGCCACCCCCAGTTGCAGCCCAGTTGCAGCAGGAGCCCTGCTGAGTCCACAGTGAGAGTCCCTGTCCCTGGGTCTCCTCTTGGTGGTTCCATCCACCAGCTCCTCATGGGCCCCCAGACTACAAATCCCAGGTGTCTTCATTGCATTTGGCATTGATCTCAGTCTCCCTCCTCCATTGCAGCGGTCTTGAATAAAGTCTTCCTCACTGTTTTAACAAGAGACAAGGTAATGTTCATTGAACATCTTATACAAAGAGGAAACCTGGCACAGAAGTGGACATGCACTCGGAGGGAAAATGCCAAGTGACAATGAAGGCAGAGATCAGGTGATGCATCTGCAAGCTGAGCAACATCAGGAATTGCCAAAAACCACCAGGAGCTGGAGAGGCCTGGGACAGAGCCTCCCACGGAGCCTCAAGGGAGCCAGCCCTGCCCACGCCTTGATCTTTGACGTCCGACCTCAAGAACTATGAAAGAACCCATTTCTGTTGGTGAAGGCTCCCCGTCTGTGGTCCCCTGTCCTGGCAGCCCTAGGAACCTGACCTCTGGTCCCTCTGCATCCCTGGCATCACTCTGCCTCCCTCTCTTTTTCTCCAGTGAATCCAACACACTCTCAGTGAGACAGCCAGGTGGCAAGGGGTTCTCGGAGAAACTCCAGCCGGCCTGCTCGCTGGGCATGTACACTGGAGTGGAGCCACAGAAGTTCACGGTGTTTGCAGCAGGGAGGAGCCTGGCCACTCCTCTTCCTGGTTGGAACCTGGAATTTATTTTGTGAGGCGGGAAGCCTATACTGGGGAGACTCTTGCTCTGCTGAGTCCCCATTCCCCCTTTATTTTCCTTTTTGCCCAATAAATCCTATTATTCTCAGTCTTCAAATTGTCTGTGAGCCTAATCTTTCATGGCCATGTGACAAGGACCCCGTCATTAGCTGAGCTAAGGAAAAGTCCTGCGACATCAGAAGGCTGAGTCCCAGGTCCTTTGTTCCAAGAGCTGAGCTTCCTCATGGGATGTGGGGAGGGGGGTCAGCGCAGGTGATCGGGAGGACTGAGGCTGTTGGAGGGGGACCCCAGAGGGAGGCTTCAGTGGCTGCATCCACAACTGGGCCACCTGGGCATCCTTCTGAGGCAGGTTTCTCTCCACGTGCATGGCGTGGCCCTTCCACACAGCTGTCACAAGCTAGGAGGCTCACATGCTCTTGGGATTCTCGGGACATCATGGGTCCCTGAGGGTGGCGCAGGCTGAGGGTGTGCTCCCCCGCCGGCCTGGCACAAAAACAGTAACATTAACATGCTTCTCCAGACCAAAGAGGCTGCTCTCAGTGTAATCAATGATGGCAGGGACTTCGAAATGTGCGTTTCCAGTGAACAACAATGTTTAGCCGCATGTAGTCATCAGGCACACCTAACTGGCTCCGGAAAGTGTTATGTTGTGAATTAAGATGACTGACGGAGAAATGTCAGTTTTATTAACATTCTTCCTTCGGACGATAATTTTATGTCTATAAGGATGAATTACAAAGGACTTAATGAAGGCGTCAGTCCAGAATGATGGGGTCCTTTTAGCAAAGCCTGCTTCCTTTCCTCGCTCTGTGTGTGGAGGTTTGATCTCTGCGTGGGGTATGGTTTCCACGTGCTGGACATGATTGGGCAAAAAGTCAACAAAACAGGCTGCTTGGCTTCAGGCTGACTGTGTAAAAGCCTCACCGGCTCAAGGAGGGATCGTCCTGGGCCCGACGGCAGCGAGTGAAATAGCAGCAGCGTTGCCATGGAAGATGGTTCCGTGGCACCCAGACATCAGCAGTGGGGCTGATGGGACTCACATCCACTCCATCACGACTTCATCTCCCAGGAAAGTGTCCTCCGGAGCTGGGAAGGTTCTTCCTTTGCCTCAGTCCCCGTTTCCTGCTCGTGTTCTGCCCAGGAGCCTGTGCAAAGGGCCCGTTGCCTCTCTCCGGCCCCTTGTGATGACTCCTCTCTGGGAAGTCCCCCACTTCCCGCACATTCCACTCTAGAAATTCCTTCTCTCTGCAGCGATCTGGTCATGTTTTCAAAAGGTGAGGTGCATTTTCAATTCTCAGCTCGCACCTAAGCTTCTGGCAGCTTTCAGGTGCCCCTAAAAATGGCATCCAAGGCTTCATCCTAGGCTACAGCCCCGCCCCCTTTCCGCCTGTGCCTCCTCCCACGGCCCCACCCACTTCCCTGCTGTGCCTCTTCCCACAGCCCCACCCCTTCCCGTGCTGGGCCTCCTCCCATGCCCCGCCCCTTCCATGCTGTGCCTCCTCCCATGCCCCGCCCCTTCCCGTGCTGTGCCTCCTCCCATGCCCCGCCTCTGAGCTCTTGCCCTTGCTGTCCCCTCCCCCCGGCATACCGTCCCCCTGGAAGCTTCCTTGCCCTCTCCGTTGTGTTGTGAGGTTTGAGTCAGGATGTCATTTATGAACAGGCCTGCTCTGAGCTCCCTCCTTGAGCTCTCCCCACCTGGTTCCGTGTTCTCACCTGCAGATTAGCCACTGCTGAGATCTCCTGCATGGACTTCCTACTTATGGAGGATCTCACACATGCTAGAAGGTTTCATGGGGAGGCCCTGGCTGCTCTGTCCAGGGTCTGGAGCAGGGCAGGTGCACAGCAAGGCAGCTCACTGCACGGTTGTTTGCGGAATGAAACGACTTTGCCAAAGCCATGGCCGCAGACATACGATGCTCTAAACATGTTTGTTATAACCATGTAAACACGCTTCTTTAGAAAAGCTTATTTCTTAGGAAACCTCTTTCAGTTTCTGTGGCAACAACTCAGATATTCCTGAGGTCCAGAAATGCGGCTGCTCTGCACGCTGGTCATGGGCCTCTCCTCACCTGCCCCCAGGACGGGAGCATGGGCTCCATCTCTGGGCCTCCTGAAAAATGAGATGTCGACTTGAGTGGCCTCCGACCCTGTGAGGCTGATGTCATCGCTCACCAGGCTGAAGTTCAGCCAGGCACTGAACCTTTCTCAGGCCCTCAAATTCAAACCCAGACCAACCTGTCACTCTCCTTTCCAAAGCATGGGCCACTCATCATGATCAAATGTCCCCTCTTCAATCTACACACTGCTTGGCATTGCCTGTTTGACTGTGAGAGACTCTGTGTCTGTGTGCATGCAACTGTGTGTGTATGTGAGCGTGTGTGACATTGTGTGTGTGTGTATGTGTGAATACAAGGAGGAGTGAGTGACTAAGAATGTGTGTGTGGGCATTTATGTGTGTGAGACAGAGTGGTGAAAGACTGCAGAGGCTAAGTGTGGGTGTGTCTGTGTGAGTGTATACAAGATGGGGAGTATGTGAAGCATGTTGGTGTGTGAGTGTGTGTGAGTGTTAGAATGTGTGTGAGTGTCAGTGTGACAGTGTGAGTGTGTATGAGTGCGTGTATGAGTGTGAGAGTAAAATTGTGTGATGAGTGGGTTTGAGGTGGTGTGCAAGAGTGTGCAACAGATTGTGTGTACAAGATGCAACAGAGATAGAGTGCATATGTACATAAGTGTGTAAACATGTATATGATATCCATGCATATATATATGGTGTGTGCCTAAATGTGCAGATGATATATAGTATACTTATGTGATATGTGTGTATAAACATGTATGTGATATAGATGCATGTATATATTGTATATATGTGACATGTGTGTAAACATGTACATGGTATAGATGCATATAAATATGTGATGTGTATGTATACACATGTATATGATGTGTGTGCGTGTGTGTGTGTCTTGGGAGGGCCTTGCTAGTCAGGGTGTAGTTAAAACATCAGCTGGGATCCTCCACCTACACAAAAACAAGGCAGTCAAAGGAGAACTTCACGTGGCTTGATGTCATTTCAATGAATGCAGAGTAGTGTTTATCTCTGGGCCAAATTCAGAGGCAGGGGATGGGTTTCAAGAGGGGCATGCACATGCAAACACACACACATATACACATGCATGCATGTATACACACTTGCATACACATACATACACATATACACACATGCACATATATACACGTACACACATATGCACACATACACGTGCATACATGTGTATGCATATATGCACACGCATGTGCACACACACATGCATACACACATACACTCATGCATGCACACATACATGCACATATATACACAAATACACATGTATGCATAGATATACACATGTATTCACACATATACACATACATATATATACATGCACACATGTATATGCCACATATACAGTTACATACACACATACATATGCACACATATACATACATATACACATACAAACATATATACCTACAGACACATATGTCTATACACATATAAACATACACTGATGTGTACACATATATACATGTATACATATACACACATATACACATACACACAGGTGTATACACACACATATATACATACATACACACAACACGGGAGTTTCACCCATATTGTTGATACTGTGGCTTTGAAGACAACTGCTGGTTTCAGTGTTTTCTACTTGAATATATGGCATTTCACAGTAAAAGCAGTAACCGAGCTCTTGTTAACAAAATGAACACTCCACATTTTTCAATTTTAATTATTTTGAAAAATCCAGCCCTTTTGTTGAAGGTACTTACAGGTGGCTTAGGTTCAGCTTCCTTTTTTACCCTCTGCTGGCTGTTTGTACTATGCAGAAATATCGTAGGAGAAAGAGTATCTACTGTCTTTCAACTGCACCTTGACTATATTCAGGTTTCAGTAGAATCCACATTGCGAAGTTATCTAGGCTCAATGAGATCTGATCATTTCTGCTCCCTCCTGCACCCCGTCAGCAAAGAGCAGGATTTGGGACCTCAGTTATGCAAAGTAGGGGCCTGGTGAAGACTGTGGGGTTTACAGACTGTGGCAGAGTCTTGCCATACACGTGGAAGAGAACTAGAGTTTTTTAAATCTGGAATTTCATAGCATAAGGCCCCAAGCTTTTAATTGCAGGAAGTCTCAGTGAAATAGTAGGAAAAAAATTATAACAATAAGAAACATATATTTGGTCTCTGTCCTCAGTTCCTGGCACAGAGCTCCCCAAATCCTTGGAATTTCCTGAGTGGTAGGGGTGCTGTGAGAAATCTTTTGTTCAAATGTTTCATCTTTGACCCTGGTTCCTGACACAGAGCTTGTAAATTCTTTGGCATTTCCTGGGTGACTGGAGCATCTTTTAGTCTAATAAGGTGACTCTTGAAGGCTCCTGGATGGGGCATGGTCATCAGAAAGATTGAGCCAGGATTAGGAGCCTGGAACTTTCAGCCCCATTCCCTTCCTCTGGGAAGGAAAGAGGGGCTAGATATTGAGTCAGTAATCCATCAGGCCTATGGGATAAAGTCGACATGAAAACCCCTAAACTATGGGGTTTGGAGAATTTCCATATGACCAAACATGTGGGTGCGCCTGTAGGGTGCAGCTCTGTAGAGAGAGCATGGAAGCCCCACACCCCAGCCCCCATGCCTGGCCCTAAGCACCTCCCATCTGGCTGCCCCTGTGTGCCCTTTGGAATCCCCTCTATTGGCATAAAATGCTAGTGAACATAAGCATGTGTTTCCCTGAGTTCTGTAAGCCATCCTAGCAAATTAATCGAATGGGAGAAGGGGTTGTGGGAAGCTCCAATTTGTAGTCAGGTCAGACAGAAGTTGGGGGCAAGCAGACTTGCAACTGGCATGTGAAGTGTGGGCAGCCTCTGGGACTGAGCCCTTCACCTGTGGGGTCTGATGCTACCTCCAGGTAGGTAGCATGAGGATTAAATTGAACCGGAGGACACCCTGTCAGTGACCCCTGGAGAACTTCTTGGCGTGTGGGGGAAAAGTCCCACTGGTCTGGTGTAGGAAGTGAAGTATGGGTAGCGGTGAGAGTAAGAGCCTGACTGGTTTTGCTTCTCTGTTTGCTTCTCTGTGGCCTCATACAGAGTCCCTGTAGAAGAGAGCCTGAGTTGGGTGCAGCATCAAGGGCTCAGGTGCATGGTTGATAAGCCTGTAAGAATGAGGAAATCCACACCTTCCCTGCTGTGCTCTGAATTTCTGTGCTCCTCAAAACCTCATATGTTGAAAGCCTCACACCCAAGGGGATGGAATTAGGAGGTGGGGGTCTCTGGGAGGTGATTACATCATAGAGACTGAGCCCTCATAAAGGAGATGAGTGTTCTTATAAAAGAGACCCCCTGGCTGGGCATGGTGGCTCACATCTGTAATCCCAGCACTTTGGGAGGCCGAGGCAGGAAGATCACTGGAGCCCAGGAGTTCAAGACCAGCGTGGGTAACACAGCAAGACTCTGTCTCAAAAAAAAAAAAAAAAAAAAAAAGAGACACGTAAGACCTGCCTTGCCCCTTCCACTGCATGAAGACACAGCAAGAAGGTGCTGTCCATGAACCAGGAAGTGGGTCCTCAGCACCACTGAGTTTGCCGGTGCCTTGATCTTGAACTTCCCAGCTTCCACAAATGTGAGAAATACACACTTTTGTCGTCTATAAGACACTAAGTTTATGACATTTTGCTCTAGCAGCCCGAACAGACTCGGGCCTTCCACCACGCATTTTTCTTAAGGAGGTGAATGTAGTCTTTGCCCTTTGAGCTGGCAGCCCTAGTTTGAGGGTGATGGACTCCCATAGACAGCACATCACCTGGTGTTTCCAGGAAGGGCCCCGGGGGGTTTCTGGCTCCTTGGGTATTGTGGCTCACTGTTAGAACCCTTCTCTCAGTAGGAGGATGAGACACCTTTACCTGTTGCCACCAAATCTCAGAGCCTTCCTGATGGAGAAGCTGTCTCCTCCACTAGAAGCTGGAGGTGGGCACGTTGAGGGGACAGGAGTGGATCTGGCAGTTGTCTCACTGAAGCAGTTCCCAGGAGCAGCACCATTCTGGAAGCTGGCCTCCATCCTCCCAGTGCCATGAGAAAGGCCAGTCCCAGGCTCAATGAAGAGACTTGTGGAGCAGCCCCACATGGCCCGAACTGGAAACAAACCTCTGCGGCTTGGGAGCCACTGGGATTGGGGGATTGTTTCTTACTGCAGCCTTTTAGTGAAACCTGGCTCCCATTGGCATGTTGCCCCCAAATCCTCCTTTGGGGACTTCAAGTCTAAAAATCCTCCTGAGCAAGAACTTGGGGCCTGTGTGGATCCAGGCACTGGATGTTTTCACAAGAGAAGCAGTGGCGAGAACAGATGCAGACCACGACACCCGTGCTCCTTACTGAGATGGGGATAGCATCAATAAGGAGGTGCCCAGTGCACATTTCTAGTCTGAAATATTTATGGATTGGCACATACCCTAGAAAGAAGCTGTCACAATCGGTGGCATGTGCTGGAATGCTGGCAGGACAGAATGATCAGAAACCAAGCTTAGAAACAACCCTGCTCACTGGCTTTCTTCCTGGCGAGTTATTGGGGCTAGTCCAGCCCTACAGCTCTCAGCTTCAACACTGGCATGTCTTGTCCTCCCTGCAATAACAGACAGACCTGATCCCTGCAAGATGGCCAGGACGCTGTCACCAGCCATCTCAGCCCATTCTCCCTCCAACCCTGGCAGGTTGGTAGGACAGATCTTACCCCTGTTTTAGACACGAGGGGCTGGAAGTGGGGGAGTTTAAGTGGCCTCTTTCGTCCAGGTGACAATGAAACTCTGATGATTACAAATCCCACATTATTGACATTATATCTGTGTCTTTCAATGTGCATTTTGCAGAAAACTACTTATGTGGATTATAAAAGATATGCTTTAAATACAGGACATATGTTTAAAAATATGGGGAATGCTGGGCTGCATGAAACTGATGCTGTCACCCCAGGGAGTCTCAGAGCTTTGCTACGCGATGGTGAACTGTGGATCTCCAGGCAGCAGCAGCGATCCTGTCACTGGTTGAATTTGGGTCTCAATTCTGCCCTCCCCTACAGTCGTGTCCTGTCTTGGTGTGGTGGCTGACGTGTACTTCCTTCTGCTTGAGTTGGAAGTGGCCACATGACTAGCTTCAGCTGTTGGAATATTCCAGGACATGACCAAGCAGGATCTGAAATATGTTGTGTGATTGGCTTTGCCTTCTTTCACCATAAGAAAAGATACGTGGACCAGGCGTGGTGGCTTATGCCTGTAATCCCAGCACTTTGGAAGGCCTAGGCAGGTGGCTCACCTGAGGTTGGGAGTTTGAGACCAGCCTGACCAACATGGAGAAACTCTGTCTCTATTAAAAATACAAAATTAGCCAGATGTGGTGGTGCATGCCTGTAATCCCAGTTACTCAAGAAACTGAGGCAGGAAAATCACTTGAACCTGGGAGGCGGAGGTTGTAGTGAGCCGAGATCATACCATTGCACTCCAGCCTGGGCAACAAGAGTGAAACTCTGTCTCAAAAAAACAAACAAACAAAAAACAACAACAACAAAAAAGATACCTGAGTAGCCACTGATCCAAGCCAGATGAAAGGCCCGCAGGTAAGATGCGGACCCCACCAGCTTGCCACCCAGCCCAGCTAAGGCCAGTCTGGACAGGCCAAACTCCTGCTGGCCTGTGGTCGTGTGGGCGGTGGATATTACAGAGCTTGAGTTCCAGGGAGTTCTTCTAGACAGCAGTCTTGTGGCAGTAGCTGACATATTGTGCTGTTTTTTTCTCTCTTTTTTGACCACAGAATCCTTTGTTTGGTGAGTAGCTGCAGAACACACTTGGGGTATATCCAGAAATCTATCCTAAGACTCTGCCAGAAAGCATGTTCATAGCATGGCCAAGGCATTTACTGTGAGTGGATGGCCTGGCAGAGGCAGGGAGGGATGCTCACTGCACATTCAAGCCTCTTGCTTATTTCTTAAAAAATCCACCTCTGCAAATTTCATACAAAAGGGGATAGGGTTAGACCAGGGCCATTGAGCACACTTTCCCTGCCTGAGCACAATGCGTGCATCCTTCATGATCAGCATTCCTGTTGTGTGATGTCATGGCCTGTAGAAGAAAGAGGTGGGCAATGTCCATCAGCTGAGAGGACCCTATCAGGGTCATGGCTTCTCGGAGCTAAGGTGCATGGCCCTTGCCACAGTGCTTGGCAGCAATTAGCCAATCCCTTCATCCCTGGGGATCACCACCATGGGTGGTGTGGTCACAGGGTTGGATCTACTGTAATATTCATGGGGCTCTGAGGTTGGTCTTGTGGTTCTTCTTCTTTAGGACACAAATATGCATTCATGAAATGAGATCATCTTTTTCTTAGACTCCCCCTTATTTACTGTAAGACCCTGTCGAGCTGTCACTCAGGGAAAAGAACCTGAGTTATCTCCAGGGCCTTCAGACTTTTGCTCAGATCCTCAATTTGGATGAAAAGAGAAAAAGAAGAGCAGTTTCCAGTGTGACGCATCTGCAGTCCCATGGGGAGAGGCTGCTGGCTTGCTCCAAAAGGGACCTGCTGGGTGCGGGGTGGAACATTCTGGTGGGTTCTCAATTTGCTGCATCCCACGGCGTGGATCCCTGAGGGTGAGGCATCCATGGGTACTGCTGCGTGTGATGGGAACATGGGGATGTGCCATCTCCCGCTACCTCTCCCAGGTGCCCCCTCATGTCTTCCTAATGGAAAACAGCCGTGGGATGTGTCTTCATGACATTGGGATGGCCACACAGAAGCAGGTCACCAGGAATGGCAGTGCCTCTGAATCCTGGTGCAATTGGACCAGAGAGTCAGTATCTCCCAAATGTATGGGAAAGTCCCCATCCCAAGAACAGATCAAGAAAGTCTTTTCTGACTTTTGCCATGGTAAGAAATTGTGAAAGAAGCAAGCCCCAATAACTCAAAGCAGATGAAGTGTGACCTATCTGAAATTTGTAATCCTTCAACCCTATTAATCCCCTGGCATTTTCTTTCCTTCCGGCTTAAAGGGAGGTCGTTTTTCAACCTTTCCAAGCACCACTGGACTTGCAGTGTCCCCAGGCTTTGGGATTAGAAGATGCAGGAGGAAGGGAAATGTCTTCTCTGGCTTTTGGCCCTAGCTCTTAAAGAGGCAGCAAGGGTTGACGTCCACCTCCAGGGCACTGATATTTCTCATTATTTATATCCAGTGGCAGGGTAGAATGTTGGAAGGAAGACAGAGAGTACTGAATCCCTTGTCCTGAAAAAATTCTGTAATATAGGAGCAGCCAGTTGACTTCCCTGTGTCCTTATCCCTCTGTACACAGGACAAAACAGGCCTAGGAGGGCAAGAGAGTGCTGAGAAGGGCCTGGGTGGGCAGAGCATTCCACAGAACCAAGGGAACACTCTTTGTGCACAAAGAACCTCTGTAACGTTTCCTTGCTGCTTTTTTTCCCCCTTCAAAATGAATTTGTCCTGTTTTAGGAAAAGGCACTTAAGGTAAGTCTAACTTTTTCTTGATTTATTTCCTAGGTAGGATCCGAAATAAATGAAAACAGGTGCGTTGTTTGCCAGCTCCTAGATAGCAGATCTTGAAGCTTGAGAGACCTAAATTGAGGAAAATCGAAGATGCAGAGCAGTTAAATGCCTGGCCCTTGCTAGCCGGAGGGGGAACATGGACAGATAGACAAGCCAGAGGTCGGCAATGATAACCTGGGGGACACAACCAGCTCTCCCCTGCATTTTTTCCAATTGTGGTAAAATACACATAAAACTTAACATCTGAGCCACTCTTTTTTTTTTTTTTTTTTAAGACAGAGCCTCACTGTCACCCAAGCTGGAGTGCAGTGGCGCCATCTTGGCTCACTGCAACCTCCGCCTCCCAGGTTCAAGTTGATTCTCCTGCCTCAGTCTCCCAAGTAGCTGGGATTACAAGCGCCCACCACCATGCCCAGCTAATTTTTGTATTTTTTAGTAGAGACGGGTTTTCACCATGTTGGCCAGGCTGGTCTTGAACTCCTGACCTCAGGCGATCTGTCCACCTCGGCTTCCCAAAGTGCTGGGATTACATGCGTGAGCCATCGCGCCTGGCCCTGTTTTATTTTTTGAAAGGGAGTCTCGCTGCAGTGTCCAGGCTGGAGTGCAATGGTGTGATCTCGGCTCACTGCAACCTCTGTTTCACAGGTTCAAGTGATTCTCCCACCTCAACCTCCCGAGTAGCTGGGATTAGAGGCCATGCCACCACATCTGGCTAATTTGTGTATTTTCGGTAGAGACAGGGTTTCACCATATTGGCCAGGCTGGTCTCAAACTCCTGACCTCAAGTGATCTGCCTGCCTCAGCTTCCCAAAGTGCTGGGATTGCAGGCATGAGCCACCACGCCCGACCCCTGAACCACTTTACATGTACAATTCACGGGAATTAAACGCAAATGATGTTGTGCAACCATCACCACCCTCCATCTTCAACTTTTTGTATCCTACGAAATCAAAACCCTGTCCCCTTAAACACTCACTCCACAAAGCCCTTCCCCGAGCCCCTTGCACCCGCCATTCTACTGTCTGTCTCTATAAATGTTATGACCCTAGAGAGCTCCTATAAGTGGAATACTACAGTCTCTGTCCTTTTGTGATTGATCTCAAAGTTTATCCATTTTGTGGCAGGTGCCAGGGCTTCTGTTTTAAGGCTGAGTAATTTTCCGTGGTGTGGATGGACCACATTTTGCTTATTCATTCATCTTTCTCAGAGGACACTTGGGCTTCTTCCTCCTCTTGGCTCCTGTGGGTAATGCTGCTGTGAACACGGGTGTGCAGGCAGCTCTTCAAGACTCTGCTTTCCACTCTTTTGGTATACACCCCGAAGTGGGATTGCTGGATCGTTGGATAATTCTACCTTTAATTTTTTGAGGAGCTGTCATACTATTTTCCATAGCCTCTGCACCATTTTACAATTCTCACCAACAGCACATAGAGTTCTGATTTCTCCACATCCTCACCAACACCTGTTATTACCTGTTTTTTTTTTTTTCCATAGTAGCCACCCTCCTCCCCCTGCATTTGCCAATAAAGTTTTATTGGGACATACTGGGACACAACCACACCCATTCATGTACATATTGCCTATGGCTGCTTTCCCGCTATAGTGGCAGAGCTGTGTCATTGTACAAGACCACTTGGCCCACAAAGCCTAAAATATCGATCAGCTTGTCCTCTACAGAATAAATCTGCCAGCCCCTGACACACACACACAGATTCCTCAGTAGAATTCCTGGATTTGCAGTGGCTTCTAAGATCCCCCAGTGTAACTGAGAGTCATGTGAAGAAACTGTGCTTGATTAAACCATGTCACATTGTGTACATACATCAAAATATAGCATTGAGCCTCATAAATATACACATTCATGATCTGTCAATCAAGACTATTGTTAATACTAATTTAAAAAGAAGAAAAAGGAAGTCAGCTGTCAAAACTTTTCGCCATCAGTCTCCTGGGCCGATGACATGGCTGACCTATAAATGAATGAGCAGGTCTTAGCAGGGGCTATAGTTTCCCCACTCTGTGGCCTCAGTCCATCCCAGTCTCCCACAGCTATGGACAGTTTCCAGAGAGCTGGGTATGAGGGGCCACTATAATTCCATCAACCCATGGGCACAGGAGGCAGTATTGTACACCTCCCACATCTACAAGACTGTCCCCAGCAGGCTCCCTCCCCATGGCTGTGGTTTCTCAGAGGACCTTCATCAGGAGTGAGGCCCAGAGGCCACCCCTTAGCACACTTTTGTTTCTCTCCTCCCTGTCTCTTCATTTTTCTGTTGCCCACTGTGATTCCTGGGTCTCTTGGCAGGTAAACTACCTGAACCCAAGTCCTGTCTTTGGGGAGGCCCTTGGGATAACCAGTCTAAGAAGCTAGTACTTATGAGGCACTTACTCCATGCCAGGTTCTGGGCTAATTGCTTCCATGTGAATATTATGTGTGCCATTTTTCCACATAAGCACCTTCACCCTGAAAACATCTTTCCTGGGCAGGCAGTGATAGCAGTGGGGGCAGAGGCAGGTTTGCTGAAGCCTGAAACTTGTTCAATTTTGAATGCTCTCTTTAAGAAAAATTATGCTGGGACATTCGTATTTGTTTAGAGTGGGAAAATACATTTGAAAAATTACAAATTTTAAAAAGCTGATAAGTGCCACAAACAAACAAATAAAAGGTATATCGATAACATTGTTTTATTTAACCACCTGACACAGCTCTGACCTGGTGCCCCACATCACAGCATGGGATGAGTTGGCCCAGTAGATGATTAGAAAGTTTGGGGGGGTCATTCTTCCATGGGTACCCTAGCTGTTATGGGCTGAGTTATGTCACCCCAAAATTCACATGTTGAAGTCCTAACGCTCAGTATCTGGGAATATGACTGCATTTGGAGGTAGGATTTTTAAAGAGATGAATAATTATGGTGGACCCTCATCCAGTAGGATTGGTTTCCTAATAAGAAGAGGTCAGAACACAGACACACATGGAGGAATGACCATGTGAGAACACAGGGAGAAGACGTCATCTACAAGCCAAGAGACCTCAAAGGAAGCCAACTGTATTAGTCCATTCCTGCATTGCTGTAAAGAACTACCTGAGACTGGGTGGTTTATAAAGAAAAGAGGTTTAATTGCCTCACGGTTCTGTAGGCTGTACAGGAAGCATGGCTGGGGAGACCTCAGGAAACTTACAATCATGGCGGAAGGCGAAGGAGAAGCAGGCATGTCTTACACGGCCACAGCAGGAGGAAGAGAGAGAGAAGAGGGAGGTGCTACCCACTTTTAAACAACCAGATCTCATGGGAACTCTATCATGAGAACAGCACTAGGGGGACGGTGCTAAACCATCAGAAACCACCTGCGTGATCCAATCACCTCCCACCTGGCCCCACCTCCAACACTGGGGATTACAATTCAACATGAGATTTGGATGGGGACTGATATGGTTTGGCTCTGTGTCCCCACCCAAATCTCATGTGGAACTGTAATCCTCACATGTCAGGGGAGGGACCTGGTGGGAGGTGATTGGATCGTGGGGGCAGATTTCCTATATGCTGTTCTCGTGATAGTGAGTGAGTTCTCATGAGACCTGATTGTTTAAAAGTGTGGCACTTCCCCCTTTTCTCTCTCTCTCCTGCCGTCATAAAAGATGTGCCTTGCTTCCCCTTCATGTTCCACCATGATTGTAAGTTTCCTGAGGCATCCCCAGCTGTGCAGAACTGTGAGTCCTTTAAACCTCTTTTCTTTCTAAATTACCCAGCCTAAAGTAATTCTTTATAGTAGTGTAAAAATGAACTAATACAGGAACATAGATCCAAACCATATCACCAACCCTGCCAACACCTTGAGCTTGGACTTCCAGCCTCCAGAACTGTGAGACAGTAAGCTTCCATTGTTTACGATGCCCAGTCTGTGGTACTTCCTTCTGGCAGACCCGGGAAGCTCATACACTAGCAATAATTAGCCATATGGAGAAGTGGCTGTGATTGCAGGATCCATCCCATTGACTCAAACTAAAGATATCCCCAACTCAACTTCCTCTTGGTTGGATCCCCAGCACCCATGGCCACTCCACCAATACCTGAGCCAAGGGTCAAAGGTCTGTGTGACACAGACTCTAGTGGAAGGAGATGGCTATGAGGATCCCTGAAGTTTCATTTTCGTTGGCCTCCTGGTGAGTTCTTCAGCCATCCCAGCCCAGAGGCCACCTTGGCTTCCATGTTTTCATGAGGTCTTGGTACCTTGAAGGAGCTAGTCCAATGTGGATCACTGCAGGACTCTCTGCCGTCGTGGTGAGGCATTTGGTCAGACATTAGACATAACACAGCTGTGCTCCTCGACTCAGCTGATGTCATCCTATCCCTAACCAGCTCTGGCCACCCACTTGCTCAAAAACCTCCAGGGTTCTTCTAGAGTCCTCAGTCTTTTCTGATACTCACATAATTTATGGGATACCCAAAACATGATGGATGTTACAAAAGCTATGGTAGAATTATAGAAGTATAGTTACTGTAAGACCTACAAAATGAGGGAAAAGGAAAAAGGATGGTTTTAAAAGATGGAGTGAAACAGGTCTGAAATCCCAGAGCATAGGAATAAGATTATTGTAATAACCACAGCCTACACATTTGCATTCTACAAAGCACTTTCACAGGCTGAGGGTGTAAACAGATTTCAAAAAGCTTTGCTTAAACTCATTAGGCCTGGGAAGACTATTAGAATATCCCCATCATGTAATCTCTGTTTTACAGCTCAGAGAGATCAGATAACTGCTCACCATAGAGAAGCTCCTCGAGAGACTAAGCCTGGATACAAATGTTGGCCTTCTCACTCCAAATCTTCTTCCTGCATTCCCACAACAGGCTCAGCGGGGCATCATGAGACAGAAAAGCAAATGAGAAAGGTAGGTGGGACCACTAGTGGGTGGAGAGCTGACTCCCAGGCGGACACAACTGGAGCACTGAGGTGGGGAGGCACATTGGACAGGAGCTGAAGCCCAGGGGGTTGATCACATCAGGGACTCATCAGGGAGCCATTTGTCAAATAGGGTTTGGATTGAGGAATTCAGCATTGTCCAGCTGGCCCTCCATGCCCGCTGCCTGAGCACTGAGTTCACCTATGCCCCTCCCTGGGCAATATCAGGAAATCCAGACTTCTCTCTGGACCACTCTGCTGGGCTCAGGAACTGCAATGCTCTCAATGATTCATTGGAGATGTCCACAGGGTGACTCACAGACCTTACAACTCAACACCCCACCACATCCAAAATGGAAGTCAACTTTCCCCAGTCCCCGTGGGTGCCACCACCTTCTCCTTTGTCAGTGGGGGTCCCTGTTAGAGAATGACACTATTATGCAACCCAGGTCATAAGGGTGGTGCCCTGATGCTTATAAGAAGAGACATCAAAGAGTTTATCTCTCTCTCTCTCTCTTTCTGTATTCTTGCACCAAGGAAAGGCCATGTGAGGTCACAGTGAGAGGGCACTGACCCACAAGCCAGGAAGAGAGCCATGACCAAAAACTAACCATGCTGGCATCTTAATCTCAGACTTCCAGCCTCCAGAACTGTGAGAAAATAAGTTTCTGTTGTTTGAGCTGCCAGGTCTGTGGTCTTTCGTTATGGCAGCCTGAGCCCACTAAGACATTTGGGTTATGAACATCTTCCATTCCCACGTTCATGGTGGTGTCTCTTATATGATTATTTTTATAAGATAATCTTACAAGAAATCTTCTATTCAAAAGTGGTCAAACATATCAACCTTCTGTTTTCTGGTTTGTTTTTTTCATCTTGTTTAAAAATCCTTTCCTATCTGATGTCCTGTGAATTGTCTCCCCTGTTTTCTTTGGAAAGATATTGCACTACTGGCTTTTTATATTCAGGTGTTTAATCCATCCAAAATGTATTTTGTGTACATGACACAGAGGAGCACTTCTTCTCCAAGCCCGGCATTTCTGCCCATTGGAGAGAGCTCCATGTGGGCGATCCTGGAAGCCTCTCTCCAGCCTCTTTCCTTCACCCCAGGGAAGTTGAAACACTCACTGGGTTGGCAAACCTGAGAGACAGCGTTTGTTCAGCAACTTCTTTTTGGCTCCCATAAGCTAGTTCCCTGCACACTCTGTGCTCCTCCTGGATGGACCCATCCTTTGTAGAAAGGAGGCCCTGCCCTGTCCGAGTTCCCTGGGACTGGATGGGAGCTCTGGCCATTTCTCGGGGGCAGTTAGAAGAACTCATCACTATGCCGACCCCCATCCTCCATCTCAGCCCTACCCATAATAGAGGTGAAGTTGTAGACTTCTACAACACCTTGGTCCTAGAGTTTGTTTTATGTTTCCATGTGTTCAGAAGCCAGGGGAGAAAAGGGTGCTGTGTAGTCTGTCCCCTCAAAGATCCCAACAGGAAGGGGTGTAGTGGTAACGTGTCCATGTAATTTCATCAGGAGGAGATCGTTCTTACCCCTCTGGTCTAAAACTGTAACCTCTCAGTGGGTTCACCTTGCCTGCTGCCCAGACAGAGCCAATTGATTAAGACCGGGGAAGTGCAATGGAGAAAGAATAATTCACGCAGCACCAGCTATGTGGGAGACCAGAGTTTTACTATTACTCAAATCAGTCTCCAAAGCATTGAGGGATCAGAGTTTTTATAGATAATTTGGCAGGTAGGGGCTTGGGAAGTGAGTTTTCCTTGCTGTTTTCTGTTCCTGGGTGGGTTGGCAGAACTGGTTGAGCCATTTTACTGGTCTGGGTGGTGTCAGCTGATCCACCCAGTGCAGGGTCTGCAAAACATCTCAGGCACTGATCTTAGGTTTTACAATCGTGATGTTATCCACAGGAAGCAATTTGGGGAAGGTTCGGATTCTTGGAGCCAGAGGCTGCATGACCCCTAAACTGTGATTTCTAATCTTGTAGCTAATGTGTTAGTCCTGCAAAGGCAGACTGGTCCCCAGGCAAGAAGGGAGTCTTTTCGGGGAAAGCGTTATTATCAATTTTGTTTCAGAGTCAAACCATCAACTGAATTCCTTCCCGAAGTTAGTTCAGCGTACACCCAGGAACGAACAAGGACAGCTTAAAGGTTAGAAGCAAGATGGAGTCGGTTGGTTCTGATTTCTTTCACTGTCATAATTTCCTGAGTTATAATTTTGCAAAGGCAGTTTCAAAACGGTGCGTCTGTCCTAGACCGGCTTCCCAGATGCAGGTGGATTTGTGTCTGGTGCTATCTTTGGTGCCGGAGGTCTATTTTTCTCCCATATTTCAATCACTGGAGCTTCTGTCTTCTGTCTCAGCATGCAGTAAGGAACATCCCGACCTTTCCTTTTTCTTCCCCTTTAAAATACTCTTGACTCTTCCCAAGTTTTTATTCTTTCATACAAATTCCAGAATAGGTTTGTTAAATTTTTTTAATTGAGGTTTTTATTGAAATTGCATTGACTTTATAGATTAATTTGGGAAGGATTGGCAATTTCTATGACATTATATCTTTTTTCTCCATTTAGGTTTGCTTTCATTTTCTCTTACCAACAAAAGTTTGTCATCTCTGTGAACACCTTGTACTTCTTTTGTGGGGTTTATTTTCAGTAACTTGTACTTGTTTTCCAATTGCAAATGATATTTTTAAAGTAATATTTTTTGTTATTGGTTGTTGCCAAACTACAGGCATGTTAACAGTTTTGGGGGTTTGCACCTCATAACCAGAAGCTGTGCAGAGCTCTATTATTTATACTGAGTTGATCTCTGTTCTCTTGGGTCTTGTGCATTGTCAGTCATAACAGCTACGAATAATGATGGTTTTTGTGTCTTCCTTTTAAACCCTTGTAACATTTATTTTTGTTTTTCTTGTCTTACTGTGCTGGTCAGGACCTCCAGCACAAAGCTGAATACAAATGCACCTCCTTTTCTTGTTTCTGATTTTGAAGGGGACTGTTGCTGGCATGTTTCCATAAAATGTAATGTTTGCCACATGTGTTCTGATAAATATATTTGATCACTGTGGCTTTCATGAACCACAGTAAAAAACAAAACAAAACAACCTTTTGACTCCGTGACTAGTGCCCATGTACCTGTGTAAACAGACGTATACCTGAAACAGACACGACCCCAGATGTTACTTATCCTGCCTGCATGACACTTGCTCTGGCGGTTTCTATTCTATTCTATTCTTTCTCTTACATGAAATATGCTAAATTCTATGATTTTTCTCATATCAAAAATGATTACAACTCTAAAATGCATGGCAACCCATAACTTGAAAATAATGACAACAGCAACAATAGCATTGCTTTAGCAGGTTAAGAAGATGAGGAGATTTCTTCTACTTGTAGGAAATTTATTTCATATTGTTTTTAATCATGTATTGGCTTGTTGGGAAGCATGAGAGGAACAGACGGGTTAAGGATGACTCCAGGGATCTGGTCTTGGGTCCCTGGAAAGGTGGCATTGTCCTCTCCTGAGACCGGCACTAGGAGGGAGATGCCAGGCATGTGAAGTGTCCGTCAGCCCTCCAGGTGGAGGTGGGAGCAGGCAGTGTGCAGGAGCCTTGCATGAGGGGAGAGGCTCAGGCTGGATACAGGTCCTGTTCTGTTACTTCCTATGACTTTCATTGTTTTAACCACACTTGTGTTTTCTTGCAGGGCCCCAAGCTCATGCGCGCTCTGACCCTCTTGTATGCTTTCACCCACTTATGGGAGAATGGGTCCTCACATATCTCGAGAAGGTTAAATGGAGACTCATCTTCATCATGGGTTTGGATTCCCTTGTGAGGCTTCCACGGACATACGGGGAGGGCTTCTCCAGAGAGGGTTTGGATTTGCTGCTGTCAAAGGGAGGCATCCCTGGACCACATTAATAATTTGAAGCCGAACTGCAGACCTGCACGTGGCACAGCTCCAGGCTGTTTGTTGTTGGGGCAGATTTTTATTTTTTCATCCTGAACCCAGGTAGAGGTGTCTGCATTTCCTCATCTCTCCCCATACAGGTGGTGTCTACAGCATCTCTAAGGCTGCCACAACTGACGCAGCACTTTTAGTCAGGGGTCTTGCCTCTGAATCCCCAGTTGCATGGATTCATTTGCTGTTGACACTTTGGTGTTAAAGCCCAAGTTCTTGTTTACAAACATACCTTTCCACTTCATCTACCTACTTTACCTGCACACCTCACCTCCTCACCTCACCGTCTGTCTCACCTGTACATCTCACCTACCCACCTCACCTGACCACTTTACCTGTGCACCTTACCTGCACATCTCACCTCCTCACCTCACCTGACCACTTCACCTGCCCAAACCACCTCCCCATCTCCCCTGTACATCTCACCTGCCCATTTCACTGGCATACTTCAGCTCCCCACCTCACCTGCCCATCTCACCTGCGCACCTCACCTGCCCACTTCACCCTGGAGCAGCAGCCTTAGCTCAGGGCTCACCATATTTGCTTTCAATTCTGTCTTAATGCTTGAGACCAGAGGGTGTCCTTTCCTCCTTGGGTGCTCATATATGCACTTACAATAGACTTTTGTTATCTTTTATCCAGCATAGCTGGGGATAACTTTGAGGTCTTTGGTCTGCCATCTTGCCAGAATCACAAGTCCTCCAGAATAATCTGTCTAAACACAAATATGACTGCATGATTCCCCTGCTTAAACTTTTCTGGATTTACCCCTTCCCCTCAGGATAAGGTTATTACCACTTTTTGGCCACATGACTTGTGCTGCTCCCGACGTTGCATGAGTGTGAATTTGAATCTGGACCCTGCTGCTGGCTCCTGGGCCTCAAGTTTTCCCCTCTCTCTGAGCTGTGTTCACAGTGTTCATCATCTTTTAGAATGATGCATATCATTCTGGACCCAGTGTTTTAACAGATGCCAGCCATAGGTGTAAGAAAGCACACATTCAGAAAATGAATGTTCAAATTGAATAATAAAACATCAATAAGCTTATGAACAATAAATAATTTCTACCGTAGAATTCAAGGACTTATGTTTTTGTCATGTGCTTTTCTTCAACCATGGCATATTTTAGTTGCTTTTCTCACGGGACTAGCATGAGGCCCAGCCACCTCACAGCTGATGTCACTGTATGATGCAGATATGTGTGTCCATAGCAATATCGGGGTTCTAAAGCTGTCCCATGAGATCGCCTCCCTCTGCTCATCCAGACACTGACCTAGGGGCTGCTGTGAAGGGGTTTGACAGACATCATTAAGTTGACTCATCAGCTCACCTTAAAACAGGGAGATGCCCTGGAGTATCTGGGTGGGCTCAGTGCAACCACATGAGCCCTTCAAAGCAGAAGAGCAGCTCACAGAGATGTGGCGAAAGAGCTACCAGAGAAAGGTGAAGTGTGAGAGGGATTTGACTTACTGCTGCTGGAGGGGCTGTGTGGAAGGCACGAGAATGTGCTTGTCCTGGGAAGGGATTCCCCGATGACAGCCAGCAAGGAAATGAGACCTCAGGGAAGTGGAAACTGCGGGGTACTACATTTGACTGACAACCTGAGGGAGCTTGGACATGGTATCTTGCTCAGAGCCTCCAGAAGGTCAGAGCCCAGCCCAGCAGACACCTTGATTTTAGTCCATGGCCCCGCTGAGGCCACCTGTGCCTGGACTTCTGACCCATGGGATGATAAGACAGAAGTGGATGCTGGTACAAGCCACTAAGGGAGTGGCACTTTGTTACAGCAGCAATAAGAAAACCAGGACATATACGGGCATGCTGGAATGATCTCTCTTTTTTTTTTTTTTTTTTTTTTGAGATGGAGTCTTGCTCTGTCACCCAGGCTGGAGTGCAGTGGTGTGATCTTGGCTGACTGCAACCTCCGCCTCTGGGGATCAAGCAATTCTCCCGCCTCAGCCTCCCGTGTAGCTGGTATTACAGGCAGACACCACCACACCTGGCTAATTTTTGTATTTTTGGTAGAGACAGGGTTTCACCATGTTGGTCAGGCTGGTCTCGAACTACTGACCTCGTGATCCACCCACCTTGGCCTCCCAAACTTCTGGGGTTACAGGCATGAGCCACCGTGCGCAGCCTGGAATTATCTCTTATAGGTTATGTGTTGTACGTCATATGCTGCTAGTGGAATGTGTATTCTATAGGATATAGCATTTATCATACACCAAATGATTTGCACACACATACATTTGTGCTGCTCAGATGCTATCTCAGCCATCTGCTTCCCTTCTCCTTCTTTCTAGTCATCTTGGTTTTGGTGGAGGGAGGTGGGATGTGCAGTGAGGAAGCACAGCTGCAGGGTACACCTTGGGTTCATGTGTGGTGCATAAGATAACTTCATCCACAAAACCTTTTTGAATAACACAAACAAACAGATGACAACGAGAAGGCAATCGAGTGTATAGGTTTCTCTCCTGACTTTTTTTGTGAGATGGTTTGCAGGCGTTGGTTAGGAAATTAAATGCGGCACGTCTTTTGCCTGCTGAGTTGTAGGGAGAAAGTCTCATTTACTACAAGACTAAAAATTAATTAGAGGTTCGCAATTAGATATTAAACCAGTAACAAATTAAATGTAAATGATGAGGTCTATTATTAATAAAGATAAATCCAGGATAGTATAAAATAAGTGGTTATATTAGAATTCTTTTTTTTCCCTGAAAGATCACTGCTTTCCAACAACACTAGAATGTTGGTAGCACATGCCATAAACAAGCTGCTTTTCACTCCTATGACCGTGACACTGGTGTCTCTACTGCCCCAAAGGGCGCGCTCTGATTTCTTCCTTAGCTTGGTCAGTTCCTCTGCATCCTTTAAGGTTCTGTCCAGATTCCCCCTCCTCCAGGAAGTCTGTTCTACCTGGTCTTGTGGCACTAAGACTTCTCCTGCCATGGTGCCCTGGTCTCCTCTGCCTCCTCTACTAGACCAGGGGCTGCTGGAGGCAGGGGCAATTGTATCTGTATACAATATACCTTTATCTTATTGATCTTAGTCTCTTCAGAGCCCGATGCTGGGAAACAGAGGCCTATTGCCTGAATGACCAGCCCTCTCATTGCAAAGTAATGACATGAATATGTAATTGATTATCTCAACCAGGCCTGCAGAGAGTGAAGAGGGTGTATGAGTAACCTCAGTGGGACTGCAGGCCTGCCCTTAGACCATCCTGCTGGCTGGCAGGAATCAGGTCTTGGATGGGGGTCAACTGGTCACTTTAGCCATTCCATAAAGACAACAATGGGATATTAATCAATCATGGTGATACCTTTGGTAAAACTTTCCACACTCATTGGATTGGAAATACACAGCACTAGCTGACAGAGCAGGAGCATTGCCATCTTGGGCAAGCCCCTCATTCTAAAGTTCACCTTAATAAAAAACTGCCTCAATCCAAAGGGCATCAGCCTAATGGCTAAGGTCAGCATGACCATAAACCACAAGTAACATCTCCAGCCAGAAACATTCCAAACTCCTCCTTGACCAGAGACATGCTAGCCCCAAATAAACCCCCCTCCGGGCCGGAAAGATGTAGCCCCAAAATAACCTCCCCTCCTCCCAGAGAGATTCCAACCCCACCATAAACTTCTCCACACACGTAAACATTCAGAGCTTGTGATAAGCCCCCTCACCCTAAAACCAATACATACTCTTAGTCTGTAAGAGAAAGCACTTCTGACCGCAATGGGCCAGGAGCGCCTGTCAGGTTTTACATAAAGGAAACCTGTCTTTAACTGCCAAGCCGCGTTTCATGCTTCTTTCCTGTCTTTTACTCTTCCATTAGTACGTTGTTTGTTCAAATTTGCTGCGATCCACTGGCTGGTCACATCTCAGCATCCTGTCAACCTGTAGATCACAGGTTGGCAGACGATCACTCATGGGCCAAATCCGTTCATCATCTGGCCCTCCTGCCCAGTTTTGTAAATAAATTTTGTTGGAACACAGCCCTGTTCACTGGTTTACATATTATCTACACAGCTTTCAAATCACTGTGGTAGCGAGGTTGTGGAAGGGAAATAAATCTTGAAACCCCAAAATCACTAAGCTAAAGGGAAAAGTCAAGCTGGGAACTGCTTAGGACAAATCTGCCTCCCATTCTGTTCAAAGTCATCCCTCTGCTCACTGAGATAAATGCGTATTTGATTGCCTCTTTTGGAAAGGCTAATCAGAGACTCAAAACAATGCAACCATTTGTCTCTTATCTACCTGTGACCTGGAAGCCCCCTCCCTCATTTAGAGTTGTCCTGCCTTTCTGGACTGAACCAATGTTCTTCTTAGTTATATTGACTGATGTCTCATGTGTCCCTAAAATGTATAAAATCAAACTGTGCCTCAGCCACCTTGGGCACATGTCCTCAGGACCTCCTGAGGCTGTGTCATGAGCGTGTGTCCTTAACTTTGGCAAAATAAACTTCCTAATTTGACTGAGACCTGTCTCAGATATTTGGGGTTCACAAGGTTTTGTGACAGGGACCTGTGTGGTGACAAAAACAGAGAACATTTACTAAGTAGCCCTTTACAGGAAGAGGTTGCAGACTCTGTTATAGATGTCATGAACTTCTGGAAGCACAGAAACGGTTCTTTTTCTATATTTCCAGTCTAGAACAGCTGAGCCCACTGTGATCAGATGCCAGCAAAAGGCCCTGGGCTTAGCAACCACAGTGGATACTGATTAGATACAACAGCCTAAGCAAATCACCTGCTCATCCCTGTCTCAGTTTTCTCATCTGTCAAACACAGATAATGCCACCTTCCCTGCCTGTCCTAGAACCTGCTGCGGTAGTCAGATGAGGTGATACAGTAAATGCACTCTATGCCCTGTGACATGCTCTGCAAATCCTCAGCCTGCTGTCCCAGAGCACTGCAGCACTGGCCAGAGTGAGCCCCAGCGAAGGGGCGTGCAGGCCTCCCAGAGAGTTCAGTCCAAATGGGGAACTTTCCCCAGAACTACACTTAAGAGCCCTGGATCCCAACCACAGAGACTGAAAGTTTTCAGAAATCCTTTGTCCAAGCAGTGTTTCTGAATTTCCCGGTGGCTGAAATTCCCTGCGGGAAACAGGGCTAATTGTGAAATGGCTTTGGAGTTAGACGTGCAGTTACTCTCAAAGAATGAGGCGGGATTTGCATTTGAAATGCATGGTGCTGACTGTGACTAGGAAAGCTTGGAGAGGTTGCTTTTAAGACTTCTAGGCTCTTAGTGCAGTCTCCAGTAATTTTCCATCTCTGAGATGCTCATCACCCGCTGGGCCCCTGGAGAAACTGTCTCTGGCAGCCCCCGACTTGCTGGCGGGTCTAAAGAGAATTATTGGTTCCGAGATGGGAAAAAGCAAGCCAGACCAAAAATAAAGATGCTTTGGGAGGCGCACACAAATCATCTGTGAAGAATTTCAAGTCTTTTGAGGGAAAAATTAATGTATAAAGGAAAAAAAAGATGTCCAGCCACCAGAAGTTGCTTTCTCCCTCCATCTCCAGCCACATTTGCATAGAAAGTAAGCTCCCCAGTAATGCTTTAAGAGGAATACAGATTAACATGGGATTTGCATACTTTTTGTGCATTCCATTTCCAGAGATGTTTAAATGAATTGCTTGATTAAGCCTTAGTCAATTTATTTTTTAATTTATTAGAATTTTGTTAAGTCACTAAATGTTTTCAAGGTGGAGAAGAACATCTAAACTTGGAATGGAATAGAGACTGTTGGAGGCATCTCATCTGTCCATCCCTAGCCCGTCAGCCTCCCTTGCAGAAGGAAATTTATTTTATTTATTTATGCTTTAAAAGTTGCATTTCAGGTTCAGGGATACATGTGCAGATTTGTTATGTAGGTAAATTGCGTGTCGCGGGGGTTTGGGGAACAGATTGTTTTGTCATCGGGGTAATAGCATGGTACCCGATAGGTAGAGTTTAGCTCCTCACCCTCCTCCTGCCCTCCACCTACAAGTACGCCCCATTGCTGTTATTCTGTAGGTATCTTGAAACTATGTATGACCACACTTGATCTCTTGATGGCTGGCCCGGAGTGCAGCAGAGTGAACTGGCTGTGTACCAATTACAGGGTTCCCTGCATGAATTTCAATCCACTCTCTGACATCGTGACCTTCACAGTAACTCACTTCCCTATGCCTCAGTTTCCTCCTTCATATAACATGACAGAATGCACTCACCTTGCAAGCTGTTGTGAGGAACGAGTGGGAAGATCCAGGTAAAAGGGCTAAACAGAAGCATCCACCTTGTGCGAGGCACTGTGCTGACCTCATCTTTATTCCACTTAACATCCCTCACCCACCCATAATGGAGGAGACTGGAGGCGGGAGGACATGGGCTATGGATCCCTGTAACCCCAAAGGCTGGCACACAGGAGGCCCTCAATGAACTCGGTGAGGTCGAAGTGTGCAGGCACCACATAGGTTCTCACCTACAGTGACTCAGAACCTTGGCATTGAGGTCACATTTAACCTGAGTCTCGGCTGGGCGTGGTGGCTCAGGCCTATAATCCCAGCACCTTGGGAGGCTGAGGCAGGCAGATCACCTGATGTCAGAAGTTCAAGACCAGCCTGGCCAACATAGTGAAACTCCATCTCTACTAAAAATACAAAAATTAGCTAGGCAGGGTGGCGGGTGCCTGTAATCCCAGCTACTCGGGAGGCTGAGGCAGGAGAATCACTTGAACCCAGGAGGCAGAGGTTGCAGTGAGCCGAGATTGCGCCATTGCACTGCAGCCTGGACAACAAGAGCAAAACTCCGTCTCAAAAAAAATAAATAAATAAAAATAAAAAAATAACCTAAGTCTCCTCGGAACCAAAGCTGCCTCAGAGAGGGACTGGTGGCTTCCTACAAAGCCAAATGGCATTAATTTTATTTATTCACTTTTTTAATCGACAAATAAAAATTGTACATACTCATGGTGCACAACATGATGTGTTGAGATATGAATGCATTGCGGGACAGCTCAGGCGAGCTAATTAACATATGCATTACCTCTGTGAAAACTGCCTAGTCAAAGTGGAGTCACTTGTGTTAAAAACCCTGACAAATGGAGCCAGGGAAGGCCAGGAGGGGAGGTTCTTATGCACGGATGCCTGCAGACAAAGCCATCACAAAAGACTCTGCAAACACCACAACCCTGCACAAAGGCCATCACAGCCTTACACACAAAAATATTTCTGCATGGACATCTGCTCAGCAACTGCCTGTCCCCAACCTGGACTGGCATCACTCATGTTACTGATCCTTATAGACAGGGATAATTATCTCGAAGCAATTATATGATCCTCCTCATTTTTTCCCTGAAAAACCTTTGTCTTCCTGTTTCTCCCTGAATACACATGTAGTTTGCTATGGCACGTATACTCCCATTGCAATACTGACTCCCAAGTAAATGTCATTTTCCTTTAGAGAGCCTTTCTTGGTTATTTAGGTTGACATCTCATACACTTATTCCTTTGCGAGTACACTCGAAGTCTACTCTCTTAGCAATTTTCAAGTCTACAGTGCGGTGTTATTAACTACAGTCACCAGATTGTTAGGTAAATCCCCTGAACTTATTCTTCCTGTCTAACTGAACTTTTGTATCCTTTGACCAATGTCTCTCTGACACAGTCCCTCCCTAAACTCTGGTACCAAGTGGCATTAACTCATAACTCCTGATTGCCTGGAATGGGCTTAGGCATCATACATCGCATGCACCTTGGGCCTGTTTCCTTTAATCGAGAATGACCGT
This sequence comes from Homo sapiens, assembly GCF_000001405.40. Classification (NCBI taxonomy): domain Eukaryota; kingdom Metazoa; phylum Chordata; class Mammalia; order Primates; family Hominidae; genus Homo; species Homo sapiens. Next base: position 4,450,823 of record NC_000001.11, read on the forward strand.
GTTCAGTGCTGTCCATGGTAGGGTCTGGAGCATTTGCTGACAGTGAGGCTGTGGGCTCCTTGACGAGGACTTGGCCTTTCTTATCTCTTGTTTGTGTGGTTTTTCATGCCCTTAGAATTTGTCCAGCAGTGGGGCTGGGCACACATCACATGCTTACAATGTGGTCATTAAATGGGGTTCAGCTTCATCAGCAGGTGGGAGAAGATGGTTTGGGAGTAGGTTAGTGGAGAGCTGGGGATGGGGACTCTCCTGGTCAGTACAGAGCTAGAAGCTGACCTGGAGCTCCCATCCATTCCTGCTACCTGCCATGGTGCCAAGACGAGGCCAGTGAGGTGTGGAGTGTGTGCGCCGGGCAGCCCCTGCCCTCCCAGCTGCTGTGCCCACACTGGTGCCCGCTCACAGGCCTCCCTCCAGCTCTCCAGCCCCTTCCTCCTTCCCAGTCCTTCACCACCCAGTCAGTGATGAGGTTCCTGTGGAGTCCAGCCTTGGAGCTCTACTTTTCTCATGTAACACGACACCCTGTAACCCCACCCAACCCCAGGTTTCAGTTATACATCAGACATAACCAGGGTAGCCAGAAATGAAAATCCCTCCAGATGAGAACAAGCAAAGGCAATTTATTCAGAACTTGCTGTAACAAGGGAGTTGGCCACCACTGCTTGCCATGGCAGAGACTCAAAGACAGGCAGGGGAGTGGGAAGCCTCAGAGTGGAGAAGGAGAGGCTCCAGGTGAGGCCCGACGGAGGCTGTTGGCCTGAGGAGATGGAGGCAGCCAAGAAACAGGCGTCCTGTGGGATTGGGGAGGGGGCATACTTGAAGTTGGAATATGAGTTGAAAATGGGGACAAAAATTAGGGAAGCCATTAGTTACTTCTCAAATGCTGGCCACGTGGGACTTGTTTCTGCCCTTGGTGGTCAGAGCCGCGTCTCTGTGTACCACCTGCCTGTTGTTCATTTCTGCATTCAGTCTTTCTGCTCATATATTAGACGTCTACATTGCCTGGCCACTCAAGATTCTGCCAGGTCCCCATCGCCTCCCCTCAGCTTCATGTGGATGGCCTGCAGGGGCCTTACAGCCAACGTCTTCTGCCATCTTTTCTAACCTTACTGCTGTGGTCTGAATGTGTGTGTCCCCTCCTAATCCCTATGTGAAAATCCTCATCTCTAAGATGATGGTATTAAGAGGTGGGGACTTTGGGAGGTGATTAGGTCACGAAGGTGGCGCTCTCGTGAATGGGATTAGTCCTTTCTCAAAAGGGGCCTCAAGCCTTTTGTCCATTTCAAAAATATTTTCTTATTTTGCTGTTGAGCTATTCGAGTTCTTTATAGATTCTGGATATGAACCCCTTGTCAGACGCGTAGTTTGCAAATACTTTCTACCATTTTATAGAGTTTTCTTTTCACTTTATTGTTTTCTTTGTTGCGGGGAAGATTTTTAGTTCACTGTAATCCCATTTGTTTATGTTTGCTTTTGTTGCCTGTGCTTTGTAGGTCTTATTAAACAAACACATAAACTAAAACCATATCCTCGCACAGGCTAACATCATGCTGCTTTTCCCCAATGTTTTCTTTTAGTAGTTTCATAGCTTTGGGTCTTACATTTAAGCCTTTAATTGATTTAGAATTGACTTTTGTATATGGTGAGAGATAGGGGTCTGGAAGACATATGAATGGACAACAAATATATGAAAAAATGCTCAACATCACTGATCATCAGATAAATGCAAATCAAAACCACAGTGAAATATCACTTCACCCCAGTTAGAATGACAATTATCAAAAAGACAAAAAAAATCACTAACGCTGGCAAGGATGTGGAGAAAACAGAACTCTTTTACCTTGGTGGAGGGAATGTAAATCAGAACACTCACTATGAAAAACAGTATGGAGGTTTGGAGGTTCCTCAAAAAATTAAAAATAGAACCACCATATGATCCAGCAATCCCATTACTGGGAATATATCCAAAGGAAATGGGCTAAGTATGTCAAAGAGAACATCTGCCCAACCATGTTTATTGTAGCATTATTCACAATAGCCAAGATATGGAATCAATTTAAATGCCAATCTAATGATGAATGGATAAAGAAAATGTGGTATATAGAAAATAGAATACTATGTAGCCATAAAACAGAATGAAATCCTGTCACTTGTGGCAACAGGGATGAACGTGGAGAAAATTATGTTAAGTGAAATAAGCCAGGAACAGAAAGACAAACACTGCATAATCTCACTCATATGTGGAATCTAGAAAAGTTGATTTTATAGAAATAGAGAGTAGGGCTGGGCACTGTGACTCACGCCTGTAATCCCAGCACTTTGGGAGGCTGAGGCAGGTGGATCACGAGGTCAGGAGATCTAGACAATCCTGGCTAACATGGTGAATCCGTGTCTTCACCAAAAATACAAACACAAAAAAATCAGCCTGGCATAGTGGTTGGTGCTTGTAGTCCTAGCTACTTGGGAGGCTGAGGCAGGAGAATGGCTTGACCCTGGAGGCGGAGTTTGCAGTAAGCCAAGATCGTGCCACTGCATTCCATCCTGGGTGAGAGAATGAGACTCCGTCAAAAAAAAAAAAAAAGAGAAAGAAATAGAGAGTAGAATAGGTTATCAGAGGCTGGGAAGTGTGGAGAGAAGGGGGACTGGGAGAGGTTGGCCAATGGGTGCAAAGTCACAATCAGATAGGAAGAAGAAGTTCTGAGGGTCTGTCACACAGTAGGGTGATTACAGAAACTAACACTGTGTCGTATATTTCAAAATAGCCAGAAGAGAAGATTTTGAATGTTGTCACCACAAAGAAATGATAACTGTTTAAAGTGATAGACAAGGTAATTGCCCTGATTTGATCATTAGACTATGTATACATGCATTGAAACATCACAATGCACTCCATAAATATATGCAATTAATATGTGTCAATTATAAAGAAAAAAATTAATAAAACAAAAGAAGGCTCCAGAGAGCTCCCTTATCCCTTCCACCTGAGGACACATAGAAGATGTCATTGATGAACCAGGAAACAAACCCTCACCAGACAGGGAATCTGCCACACCTTGACCTTGAACTTCCTAGTCTTCAGAACTGTGAGAAATAAATATCTGTTCTTTATAAGCCACGGAGGCTGTGGCATTTGGTTGTAGCTGCCAGAATGGATTAAGTCACAGCCCCTCATCCTCAGTGCCTGCATCTCAGTGAAGGCCCCACCCTCCATCTCTTGCCCAGGACAGGTGCTCTCCCCTGCCCCCGCTCCCAGCCCTCCCACACCAAGCCACTCAACACCAGGCCCTGTTGATGAATCCTCCTCCCAAATAGCTCCCAACCCCATGCCTCTCTTCTTGCTTGCTGCCTTCATCATCACCCAGGAACCTGCTCGCACCTCTCACCTGGGCCACCAGGGTTTCCCTGCCCCAATCCAGCCCCCTCCAATCTAGTCTCCCAGCTGCAGTTGAAGGGACCCCCTCAAGTGCACACCTGACCATGATACTGTCCTGCCCTCCCTCTGAAGACTTCAGCCCTCACGCTGGGCCACTCTCCCGGCTCAGACACTTCACCCATAGAGGAGTGGAAGGCTAGGGGGAGGAGAAAGGGCTCCCAGAGGACCCCCTTCCCCACCTGTCTTGGTGTGGATGATGACTCCTGCCCTTTCTCCAAGTAGCAGCCTGGGTCACCCTGTGGGAGGCTCCACCCCATGGCGTAAGCCCCCAGCCCTCTGCTCTGCCTTCGGGATACTCAGGAGATGGCATTATGGTGACCCATCATAATGCAGTTAGGCTGCAAGGTCCCTGTGCTTGAGTCCCAGGTGAGTCTTGCTCACCATGGAAGCCCCAGACCCAGCATGGGATCTGCATGAGCAGCACAGGGGGGCTCAGGAAGAGTTTGTTGAACAAATGGAGACCGTTTTTACCACCACACACTGAGACTGACACCTCTCACCTGCCAGGGGTACAGCCAGGACTGGGGGAAGAGTATTTAGAACAACAGGCACATTGCTACCCCTTGGTGAGCCGGGCACCAGGAATACGACTTCCCACATCAGGAGAAGCCTGTGTGTGGCGTGCCCAGAAGCCCACAGTCTCTCCACAGAGTCACGAGCAGCCACTGGAGAACCAGTGGAGAGTGTGTCCTAGAGAAGAAGAAGGGACAGCACAGGATTAGGGGGCAGGGAAGAGCACCAGATTAGGAGCCTGGAGACTTGAGTCCAGCCCTGGCTATGCCATCATGACCACGAGGAAGCAGATCAACTCCAAAGACAGGGTATCATCTGCCAGACAGATGGGTAGGGGGAGCTAAACAAGTATAGGATTAAAAACTCCTCTGCCTCCAAGAGTGGTGGCTCACTCTTGTAATCCCAGCACTTTGGGAAGCCAAGGCGGTCAGATCCATTGAGCCCTGGAGTTTAAGACAAGCCTGGGCAAAATGATGAAACCCCTTCTCTACAAAAAATACAAAACTTAGCCAAGCATGATGGTGCATGCTTGTAGTCCTAGCTACTCGGGGGGCTAAGGTGGGAGGATCACTGGAGGCCAGGAGGTTGAGGCTGCAGTGAGCCATGATCATGCCACTGTATTCCAGCCTTAGTAACAAAGTGAGACCCTGTCTCAAAAAAAACAAAAAACAAACAAACAAAAAAAAAACCCTACTGAGTGTTTGTGGGTGATAGATGATTATTATTCCCCTTTAGGGTGCGGATACTGTTATTATTTTGCTTTGGATTTTTGTATGCAGGTAAAATTCATGTGACATACAATGAATCATTTTCAAGCATACAGTTTAGTGGCATTTAGTACATTCACGATATTGTGACCATCACCTCTATCTAGTTCCAAAACATTTCATCCCCCCAGAAGAAACCTCGTACCCATTAGCAGTCACTCTCCATTCCCCTCTCCTCACAGCCTCTGGCAAGCACTTATCTAATTTCTATTTCTAAGTGGTTCCCTGTTCTGGACGTTTCAAAGAAATGAAGCTGTACAATGTGTGGTCCTTTGTGTCTGGATTCTTTGGCCTGGTATAACTTCTCAGGGTTCATCCTTGCTGCAGTGTGAACCAGAACTTCATTCCTTTTGTGACTGAGCAACAGCCACCAGATGGAGGGGCCTCAGCGTGCTGCTCCTCTCAACCAATGATAGGCATCTGGGCTGCTTCCGCCTTTTGGCTTTTGTGCACGGTGTTGCAGGCATTAATTTTGTGGTAAAATAAGGTCTAAGATGAAGGTGCAGCAAGTTCCTGCTGAGGCCCTTTGGTCTCTGGGTGCTCATAGAGAGGAAGCAGAGATGTTCCAGTTCCCTAACCTCTCTTGATGTGGCCAGAGCTTCTTTCCTTGTTTGCTTGGGACATTGGTCTTCTGCATCAGGTGATATTTAAATGATATGGTTTGGCGGTGTCCCCGCCCAAATCTTATGTTGAATTGTAGCTCCCATAATTCCCATGCGTTGTGGGGTTTGGCGGTGTCCCCACCCAAATCTCATGTTGAATTCTAGCTCCCATAATTCCCATGCGTTGTGGAGGGACCTGGTGGGAGATAATTGAATCATGGGGGCAGTTTCCACTATACTGTTCTTGTGGTAACAAATAAGTCTCATGAGATCTGGTGGTTTCATAAGCAGACACCCCTTTCACTTGGCTGTCATTTCTCTCTTGTCTGCCGCCATGTAAGAAGTGCCTTTTGCCTTCCACCATGATTATGAGGCCTCCCCAGCCACGTGGAACTGTGTGGCCATTAAACCTCTTTTCCTGTCTCGGGTATGTCTTAATCATCAGAGTGAAAACAGACTAGTACCGTCATCCTGCCTCAAAAGGATGCCTTGAGACCTCTGACTTCTCCCCAAACACCTTTCCTCAGCCACAGAAGCTATCACCTTGAGTACAGTAACTTTCCCAAGGTCACAAAATTCTCTTTCCCAAGGTTACCTCGTTCTTTGTTTTTTTTTTAGACAGAGTCTCGCTCTGTCACCAGGCTGGAGTGCAGTGGTGCAATCTTAGCTCAGTACAACCCCCACCTCCCAGGTTCAAGCAGTTCTCCTGCCTGAGCCTCCCAAGTAGCTGGGATTACAGGCACGTGTCACCCCACCCAGCTAATGTTTGAATTTTTAGTAAAGACGGGTTTCACCATGTTGGCCAGGATGGTCTTGATCTCTTGAACTCGTGATCCACCCACCTCGAACTCCCAAAGTGCTGGGATTACAGGCTTGAGCCACCGCGCCTGGCCGGTCACCCGATTCTTTAGTGGCCAGGCTGGGATGGACTCGCAACACTGATTGAGCTCTCACTTGAGGTCAGACTTTGCACTTGGAGTGTTCATAAGATATCTCTTTAGGAACCTGCTCTTAGGGCTCTGTTCATGTCCTCTGCCATGACAAAGCTACTCTGTAGACTGCCTTTAACCCATGACAATGGGACCAAGGGTGATTAATTATCAGCCCTTCATTCCTGAGCTGGTCCAGAAACAATTAACATGAACTTTCTGGGGATCCTGAAAACAAAAAGAATCCCCTCAACAACCACTTGTAGCCACAGATGGTCCACAGCTCTTTTATTGGTGATAACAATGAGAACACAAGTCCCAGACTTGCGAATGTAGGTTTAAGGCTGGGTGTGGTGGCATGCACCTGTAGTCCCAGCTACTTGGGAGGCTGAGGTGGGAGGATCACCTGAGCCTGGGAGGTGGAGGCTGCAATGAGTTATGACTGTGCCGTTGCACTCCAGCCTGGGCAACAGAGGGAGATCTCATCTCAAAAAAAAAAAAAAAAAAAAAGAAAAGAAAAGAGAGTGTAGGTTTCAAACGGGTTCTGTCACTTAATGTGTAGTTTGCTGTTAGGGTTCTTACTGTTATAGGCAGTATCAGAAGGTGACGAGGGCCCCGTGCACAGGAGATATCCAAATAGAGGTTAGGGGACTGCCCACCAGGTGTGCTGCACTGAAGGAAGCAGGGAGAGGCTTTGCCCGGTTGCCCTTTGAGGAGGGTATTATTTGAATCCACTTTTTTTTTTTTTTTTTTTTTTGAGATGGAGTTTTGCTCTTGTTGCCCAGGCTGGAGTGCAATGGCATGATCTCAGCTCACAGCAACTTCTGCCTCCCAGGTTCAAGTGATTCTCCCACTTCAGCCTCCCAAGTAGCTGGGATTACAAGCCTGCATCACCACACCTGCCTAATTTTTGTATTTTTAATAGAGACAGGGTTTCACCATGTTGGCCAGGCTGGTCTTGAACCCCTGACCTTGTGATCCACCTGCCTTGGCCTCCCAAAGAGCTGGGATTACAGGCACAAGCCACTGCACCCAGCCTGAATCCACATTTTGAAAATGAGAAAACTGAGGCACAAAAGTTAAGTAACTTGCCCATGGCCCTGAATTATGTACCCAGTTTAAGGGGTATTCAAATCTTTCTGTTTCCAGAGCCCATTTTCTTCATTGATAATTGTTCCCTGCCCACTAACCGAGATTATAATCTCACATACTGTTTTAAAATCTGCTTTTCCATTTAACAAATATATCATAAATATTTTTCCATATATTTGAATATTCTTCAACAACATAATTTTTTAAAGCTGTGTAGTATTTCATCATATAGCTGTAGTATAATTCATTTACCAAGCCTCTACTCTTCAATATTTAGGGTGTTTCCTATCTTTCCATGGTTATAAATATTGCTGGGAGAAATATCGCAGCAGATAAATCTCTTTGCTTTTCTGTGGTTATTTCCTTTGTGTACAATCTCAACAGCAAAGTTGCTGGGTCAAAGAGTATTCCGCACCATTTTAAAACTATTTCCTAGGTGCACTGTGAATTTCTTATGATCAAAACAATTTTGAAACCTGCAAGAATTAGTATATAAAGATAGTGTTTGCTGAACCAGGTGTAATAATAAATTAGACTTCTGTTTGCACTTGAATTGCAAAACAAATGAAGGCAGCAGTGGCTAATAAACTATCATTAGAGATTGGTGTATTTTACTAAGGAAAAGGTATGTTAATAAAAGCATGATTATTGTCATTGATGGTGGTTGAACTGGCATTACCTGAGAATGAGATGATGATGGAAATAAATCAATTTCAGGTGGTTTTAGACAACACGTGCCCTGTACATGCAAAACTTTACATACCCTTCTCATTTGATGTTCCCAGAAAACCTATGAGTTCAGTATTATTGCCTCTGGCAGAGAATGTTAATCAACCCTTCGGCATCTATTTCATGCCTTTTCTTTTTAGCAATACAATTCTGCTTTCTCTGAATTTTAACAGGGCCTCTCACTACGCAGTTGGAGATTCTGTTCCCAGCCTCCTTTGCAGCTAGATTTGGTCTCTGGACTAAGTTGTCATCCTTGCAAAGTGACCAGAAAGTGGTATATTGCCACACATTGTATGTCCTTTCCTTCAAAGAAAATCCTGCTTTGTGCTTGTTTCCTTCTTTCTTCAATCATGCGTATTGTGATGGGGTTTGGTGAGCAACTTTCAACCATGCAGAAAAGGATGATTTCCAAGAGTATTATTCGGAGCTAGGTTGAGAGAAACCCTAGTCCTGACTGAGCTCACAAAAGGAGGCCACCTACCTGTGGATGTTATGTGAGCTAGGAGCAAACATCTCTCCTGTTGAAGCCATTGCATCACGGGTCTTTTTTGTTGGAGCAGTTGAACCCATTTTACAGATGAGGTTAACTGAGGCTTGGTGAGACCCTCTAAGCAGTAAGATGTGGGATTGGATTCCAATCAAATGGTCGGTCTGACTTGGGAGTGCACTCTTGGGGCTCAAACCCACTGCCTTCTCCCTAATGATATCAGTGAGTCACACCTCAAAGAGAAATCAATGAAAAGACTGGCCAAATTCTAACCATTTTAGAGCAGTCTGGAAATATCAATGAGGGCACCTTAGGGGCAGGAATCAGAGACACACGGTTTGACGGGAAAAAGAAGGGCACAGCCACGAAACCCGTGTTTGAGTTCTGCCTGCGCCACCCACCTGGGGAGGTTGTTGGGCTCCTCAGAGCATTGTCGACTTTCTCTTCTTTAATTAGGAGACAATGACACTGACGTTGCACACCTCTATGAGGATTCAATAAAATAACATGGCTAAAGGGTTTAGAGCAAAACCTGAACCTAGAGAAATGGTTTAATAAATGAAGCAAACATCGCTTCTCCATCCAACCAGAAGGCCACTCTGTGATTTCCCTGTGGAACAAGCTAACCCCTCTAACAGCACCTCCCCAGGGCAGGTCTTGGGCACTGGTCACCTGGGCCCAGGCTGGCTCCCATAGGCAGAGAGTGTGCATAGTTGGGCCACCTGTACTCAAGAAGTGCCAGGGTCTGGGCTGGCCTGAGAAGAGGCATCAGCACCCAACAGCCAAAGCCACAGGAGCTGCTGCAAGGTAGCTGCAGATGGAGAGAGTTCAAGACCGGGCTGTGTGTGCATCTGCCGGGCTGTGTGCACATCTACCTGCAGGCTCACCCACCTAGACAGGCTCGGCCACCCTTGCATTCCCAGTCCATCCCACCAGCCTGGGAACAGAGCTGGGAAGGAAAGCAGGTGCCTGCTTGAGGCCCCTCTGGCCAGCCTGTCCCAGCCTCATCCTTGAGGTCCAAGGTCCTTGAGACACTCGGGGAAGAAGATGCAGAGAAATGGTGGATGAGGCGGAAAAGAAGGCCAAAGGAGGAGGCCATCCTATTACCCCGTCACTATTTTTCATGGGGTATAAAACAGGAAAATTAAAATGAGTGTGGTGCTAGTAGCTTAATGTAATTGAATGCTTAAGAAAAATGAAACTGGGGACAGGGATAGTTAGGGAACAATTTTAGAGACGGCTGAGTGGCAGGAAGGATCCCCGGCTCCTGTGGAAGAAGCCGTCCACCTTGTGAGATTCACGTTCTCTGCAACCCCAGTGCGGGGGCAGGTGCTGAGGTCCAGGGAGTCAGCGGGGCAGAAAGCACAGGCTGCCCTCAACCCCACCGGAGGCTGGGGAGGGCCTTGCAGGGTGTGTAGGAGGAGAACCAGACTGCGGCAAGTGCAAAGGCGTGTTCCCAGGATGGGCAGAATGTTCCGGAGGGCAGGGACCAGATGCCAGGAAGTGCTGCTTCTGAGAGCCAAGCCCCCGAGTCAGCTGGCCTAAAGGAGGCAGGAAGAGGGGGCGAGGAGGAGGCCGTGGGCACAGCCAGGCCAGTGACCCAGCAAGCACACAGGCACGGGGCCTACCGCCTTGCCACGGGTTTGCAAAACAGTTTGGGGGAAAAAATGGTTTTAAAATGTATGAGAAAACTGTAAAATCGATAATAACGATACTTTCAAAACCAAATAAGAATTTTTTTCCCCAAGAAATGTGCAAAGCAAAACGCACCCCGACGGATGGACTGGTCACACCTTTGGTGGAGGAGACGGAGCAGTGAGGGAGGAGCAGCCCAGGCCGAGCGAACTTCAGGCTGTGGTGGAGGGATCTGGCTTCTAGGTGAGGTGCTTGTGTGCAGTGATGGAGCTACTTTTTTCAAACTTTCAGACGCCAGCATCCTCATCAGAAAACGGGGATGATAAAATCGGTGAGGCTGTTTGAAAGCCAAACTTAGTGAGACTCAAGTTCTATGTGAGTGTCCAGCCCTCTTATTATTAAAATAATAATAATAAGCTCTGCTTTCAGCCCTGGGGACCGCGGAGCCCTTCAGTCTTCTATCTACTGTGGGCAACATTCCTTATCTCTTTCTAGAATCTTCCAGAAAGGACATCCTTTGACGGTTGAAGCCCCCCTTCCCGTAAACCCACATGCAAAGGTCAGATGAGCAACCAGTGTGTGGGTTACTGCAGCACCGTCTGGGGGCCACGATGTGGGCAGAGCCTCGGAGAAGGACACATCAGTTCTGGGGATGCGCTGGTTCATGCATCGTTGTATCCTGCTAGGAAGGTATGACCCCAGAAATGGCCACAAAATGGCCACAGGAGGGAAAGAAAAGGCAGAAGCCCAAGGTGACAGTGTGTGTGGGCAGCTGGCCAGGGAAGGCCAGAGACAGCCGTGGTGCAAACTGGATGGTGCCCAGGCCAGGAGCAGCTGCCGCCTCCCTGCTTCTGCCTGGCCACTGCAGCTGGCAGGAGGCTCACAGATTCTAAGTCTACCCACCCGTGCTGCTTCTCTGCCCGGGCCCCTGATGGTCACAGGGACCTACGGGCCCGGTCAACCTTCCTGTGGGAAGAGGGGTCTCATCCTCCCCCATAACTGTGTGCCCCAGTGTGGCCACGTAGACGTCCCTGCCAGTCCTTGGCCTGCCTCAGGGCCTTTGTACACACCCTTCTCCTCACCTGGCCTCTGCTTCCTGCAGGCCGCAGCGAGGCTCAGTCCCTCACCCCTTCAGGTCTTTGCTTAGAAGCCCCTTCCCAGAAAAGCCTTCTCGGTTTGGCCCATTCCAGAAGGCAACTCCCCTTCCCGGCACGCCATGCCCCCGCCACCACTCACTTTACTTTCCTTCCTAGGACCTTGTGAACATAACATACATTCTAGTCATTTATCCTGTCCTGTCTGGCTCCCTGATAAAACATCAGCTCCATGAGCACAGAGAGTTTTATCTCCTTGCCTCCATTTTGTTTTTGGTTTTTTTGGTTAACTTGTGTTTCTCCAGGATTTAAGACTGTGCATGGCACATACTAGGGGCTTAAAGATGCCTATAAAAGGACAAGCACCCTTGACCTCTTGTCTTCGACACAGATCCTGTTCTTCTAGATCCTGTGGTGGAGATGCCTTCAGCAATCTGCAGGGATGATGGTGACCATCAGTTTGCTCCTCCTTGGAGAGGGGCCCATGGTCTGTGTTAACACACATTTCCTGGGTATCGGGAATTGCCACCCATGTTGGCATCATCAGAGTGCTGCGGGACTCAGAGCCAGCTTCAGAGAGGAGGAGCTCCTTGGAAACACTGATAACCTCTGGCCTGGAGCAAACGCCACCCACACTCGTGCACACACGCAGGTTTGCTCAAGAAAGGATCTCAGAGGTCGTCTTTCCTCCGGCCCTTCTCCTGAAGGTCACATGCAGAGCGGGAGCCTGTTTGTGGCCCAGAGCTCTGTGGCCACACCAGGCAGCAGACAGACAAACTCAGGAAGGGCTCTGGGGGGCCTGGGCACCCTGGCAGAGGGTTGAGTGGAAGTTTCCAACCCCACAACACACCATGCACCCCTCTCAGCAGGTTCCCTGTAGTGACTCACCTGGGCCCCTGCCCACAGGCTGATGTGCTGTCGAGCCAGGCGCGGGCATGGAGGGGGAGCCGAGAAAGGGCAGTGCTGGTCTGGTGGTGGTGGAGGGTGGGGCGCAGCCCGAGGAGGGGACTCGAGTGTTGATGGAACGCAACACTCCATCAGGTAGGAGGTCAGGTAGGAGGTGTGGAATTCTGGAGAGAGGCTCATGGCCACCAAGGCCCCTTCCAAGGGCAAAGTCTGTGAGTTAAAAATAGGCCAGGGCTGGAGACCAAATATCCGGACCAGGGAGGATTCCAAAATAGATTGGAACAAAGTAGCGTCTGGAGCCTACGGCCGGGGAGGCCTAAGGACTTTCCGGGGTCAGGAACATGCTCTTCCCAGGCTTTGGGCTGCTCCAGGCCCTCTGAGTCCATCAACCTCACTGCCTTCATCCATTAACCCCTTCCTAGCTGGGGCTGGTGGGTGAGGAGGACATCAGAGACCCCAGGACAGCCCCCACTCCCACAGTTAGTGCTCGCTGTACTGTAGGGCCCCCAAATTCATGAGCAGCCTTGACTCTTAGCCTCCAAGGACCCCAAAGGCCTCACTACGAGTTTCCTGCTCTCACCAGATATGCGCCCCCACCCCGCCGGAAAGGTTCCCACCCACTAGTTCCCCTACCAGCCCGACACACTGCACCCTGTCCAGTCTTCAGCCTCACCAGGTCACACCCCTGCCAGCCCATGGTATAATTCAAAGAAGCCACTCACATCCTCCCCTGCGACCAGGGTCATCCCACCCTCTTGTCAAGCACCACAGAGGCTGCCTCCCACAGTCCTGGCCGGTGCCATCTGTGCCGCAGTGTGGGCCCCCATGGCCCTGCTTGGCCTGCAGTGCCTGCCCCCGCCCTGGGCTGAGTACATATGACTCAGAAGCCCTGTCGGTCTCATCTGTCCACAGTAGGGTGTTGCGTGTTTGGTCATCCCTGTGACCCTCGGGTGGGAGTCCCTCCCTCCCAAACAGGGTGAGGAGGAGGTTCTCAGAACAATTTCGTAGGTGAAATCCACAAAGGGAAATAGAAGTTTGCTGACAGCAAGACTGTTCTCCTGACCAGCTGTCTCCAAGGAGGGCCAGCAGCCCTGGAGTGAGGAGACAGAGCTCCCTCCTTCCCTCCAACCCCACTGTCAGCCCGGACTTGCCCCACCCCACAGTGTCAGGCTCTGCACACCCTGGTCTCAGCTGCTCTTGCCCACTTGACAGTGAGGCTTTGGGGTCAGGGACTGGGTTCTGTTCACATCTCTGTCCTGAATCCTAGCGCGGGGCCTGACCCTGGGCTGTTTGTTGAATGAATTAGCGAAAGAATGATGAGTGGGGAAGGAACTGTCTGAGGCCAATCCAAACGTCCATCCAATTATACCTACCACTCTGGTCTCCAGGGTCAGATCGAAGCCCCTGAAAAAAATCCTTCACAACAGGAAAGGCCAGGAGGGGTTTGCATAGCTTTTCTTCCAATTTGCTATAGGGTTTTAAAAACATACATGCAAATAAAAATAACTGAACACACTGTGTGTCCACAGTCTGGGCTAAGGAAGGCAGACGGTGGAGGTTTGGTTGATTGTTGATGCCTCTGATGGTCCTTAAGCACCATCAGCTGCTACAGTGAGGAACTGTGAAGGTGAGGTGAGGAGGGAAGGACTCTGGGCCTCCACCTCCAGCTTCAGGCCGGAAGAGACAACAGCTGAGGCCGGTGTGAGAAGCAGATTTCAGGAGAACAGGTCAGGCTTTCTGCTAACCCAGCAGTTTGCATTTTCCCTGATAACAACAAACAGCACATGAAAGTGGAAGAAAAATACCAGAGCATTCATTTTTCTCCTGCTTGGGCCAAAGACAAAGATGCAGGGTAGTTCATGACCAAAAATGGCCTGGGAATTACCAGTGCATTTCTTGCCTAGTGGTCGATGAGGCGCCATCAGCAACATTCACTATTTTGGATGATAGAAGCTAAACGCTGCATGTTCTTGAGTACATGCAAAAGAAAACTGACCAGTAAATCCAATCCCAGGTTGATATGGTCTGGCTGTGTCCCCACCCAAATCTCATTTTGAATTGTAGCTCCCATAATTCCCCTGTGTTGTGGGAGGGACCTGGTGGGAGATAATTGAATCATGGGGGTGGTTTCCCCCATACTGTTCTCATGGTAGTGAATAAGTCTCATGAGATCTGATGGTTTTATAAAGGGTTTCCCCCTTTTGCTTGGTTCTCATTTCTCTCTTGCCTGCCACCATGTAAGCTGTGCCTTTTGCCTTCCACCATGATTGTGAGGCCTCCTCAGTCACGTGGAACCATGAGTCCATTAAACCTCTTTTCTTTATAAATTACCCAGTCTCGGGTATGTCTTTATCAGCAGCGTGAAAATGGACTAATACACAGGCGTATACCCAAGAGAAGTGAAGACACATGTCCCCATGGAAACCTGTCTGAGAATGTTCATAGCAGCCTGACTCATAGGCACCAAAAGGTGAAAACAGCCCAAATATCCATCAACAAATGAGTGGATGAACAAAATGTGCCATGTCCAAATGGACTGTTATTTGACAGTGGAAAGGAATGAAAGACTGACACTCAGTACAAGGAGGGTGAACCTTCAGGACACATCACGCTCAGTAAAAGATACAGAAGCCGGCCGGGCGCGGTGGCTCACGCCTGTAATCCCAGCACTTTGGGAGGCCGAGGCAGGTGGATCACGAGGTCAGGAGTTTGAGACCAGCCTGACCAACATGGTGAAACCCTGTCTCTACTAAAAATAAAAAAGAAAATAGCCAAACATGGTGGCACGCGCCTGTAATACCAGCTACTCAAGAGGCTGAGGCAGGAGAATCGCTTGAACCCAGGAGGTGGAGGTTGCAGTGAGCCGAGATCGTGCCACTGCACTCCGGCCTGGGTGACAGAGAGAGACTCCATCTCAAAAAGAAAAAAAAAAAAAGATCCAGAAGCCTGACATGGACAGACACAAAAATGCATGGCTCCTTTTATATAAAAATGTATGATTCCATTTATGCACATTATATAAAGTGCACAGTGCACATAATAGGCAAATTGATACAGAGAGAGATAGATTGGTGGATGCCTGAGGCTGGGGGCAGAGGGTGGGCATGGGGATTGGGAAGTGAAAGGTGAAGGGTGCAGGGCTTCTTGGTGGGGACAAAATGTTCAACATTGATTGTGGAGATGGTGACGTAAGCCTGTGAATGTGTAGAAAGCCATTGACTTGTGCACTTTAAATGGGTGAATTATATGGTGTGGGAATTGTAACTCAATAAAGATGTTTAAAATAAAATAAATCAAGGACTCCCAGAGCCTACATCTCACCCCACATTTCCACTTAAGCAAAGGAGAAGGTCCTGCGCCTGTGTCCAGCTTGAGTCCAGCCCCGTGGGTGGCCCACGCACTGTCCCTCACCACTTCTTGCTGATGAACAGAACTGATTTGACCCAGGGTGGTCGTGGACTCGGGTACAAAAACTTGCTTGGCCAGATTCTGTGGCAACCTGCGGTGGCCAGGTGACACATCTGACTACAGAAGGCAGCCGCTGGTACACAGACGGGCCCCTCTCAGGTCATCAAAGAGTCAGTTGTGGGGAAGGAGTTGGCCCATCTGCTTTTCTTCTGCAAGAAACATGGACACAGTGACAACCTTTCCCCAGCGCCCCATGGACACAGTGCCAAGCTTTCTCGCTGCCCCATGGGCACAGTGTTAACCTCCTACTGCCCTGCAGACACAGTGCCTACCTTCCCCCCACTTCCTCATGGACAGTGTGTCAACTTTCTTCACTGCCCTGTGGATGCAGTGCCAACCTCCTCTACTGCCCCATGAGTACAGTGTCAACCTTTCCCATTGCCCCATGGACAGTGCTAACCTTCTCCTACTGCCCCGTGGACATAGTGCCAATCCCCTTTCACTGCCCCATGGACACAGTGCCACCCTCCTCTACTGCCAAGGGGACACAGTGTCAACTTTCCCCACTGCCCCCTGGACACAGTGCCAACCTCCTCCCACTGCCCCATGTACACAGTGCCAACTTCCTTCACTGGCCTTGACTGAAATAACCCACAGGATAACCCATCCATCTTTGCTCCTGGAGGTGGGCTAGTTATGCTGAGATTTGGGGTTCTGGAAACCTGGAGACCAGGAGTACCCACATTCTGCTGCAGGCCTCCCCACTCCTCCCCATGGAGTTTTGGTGGGAGAAAGGAGCACTTTAAGGACAGTGGCAAACGAGAGCGAGGTGATGTGACCTGGCCTTGTGGAGCTCCGTCTTCCTCTCTCCTCTCATAACACACCCAGACCCACTCTATGTGTAGGAGCAGCAGAGAACGGAGCTGCCTGACCACCCACAGAGGGGCTGCAGGGGAGAAGGGAGTGGCATGGCTAGGTGTCCTCCCTCGGCTGGCCGGGGGCAGTAAGCAGGGCTGGACAGACTGTACCTGTCTCCCCTGGCTGGAGGAAGGGAAAGGCCGGCGGCTGCCTTTCCTAGTCTGCTGAATACACTCGCCAGCCATCGCCCTTCCCTGTCTGAGGTGTGGGTCATCCATGATCACCCCCAGCCCAGGAGGCCCCTGGGATTCCTCCCAGAGAGGCCATGGTGCAGAGGCCATAGTTGGCTGATAATGTCATGTCCTGCCTTGAACCTGTCTCTTCCTCAACGAAAGGGGAAGCAGCAACTGGAGAGGTCATAGCTCACAGCCCTGTAGAGGCTGGATTCCCTGAGTGAGGATCTTTGTGGCTTTAGAGCCAAGTGTCAATGGCTCAAATCAAAGTGACAAACACTCTTTCTGCGACCGGGAGCTAACATTAGGACCCCTGCAGCCTGTCCTCTATTTTTTATTTTATTTTATTTTATTTTATTTTTTGAGATGGAGTCTCACTCTGCCACCCAGTCTGGAGTGCAGTGGCGTGATCTCGGCTCACTGCAACTTCCACCTCCTGGGTTCAAGCGATTCTCCTGCCTCAGCCTCCTGGGTAGCTGGGATAATAGGTGTGTGCCAGCACGCCTGGATAATTTTTGTATTTTTAGTAGAGACAGGGTTTCACCATGTTGGCCAGGCTGGTCTCAAACTCCTGACCTCAGGTGATCCACCCACCTAGACCTCCCAAAGTGTTGGGATTACAGGCGTGAGCCACCACACCAGGCCCTGTCCTCTATTTTAATTTCCGCAGCTCTTTGAGTCTCAGTGGTCCCAAGCGATGCCCAGGACTTGGTCAGGAGGAGAGGGGCTGTTTTTGGGAGTCAGTGCTTCCCTTGGATTTGCAGTGGCAGGAGTCCCTTCCTCGGTATATTACATGCTATTCCCCAGGACCTCAAAATGAGGTTATCAGGGTGGGCCTTAATCCAATTTGACTAGTGTCCTTACAAGAAGAGATTAGGACACAGACACACAGAGAGAGGTGACCCTGTGAGGACACAGGGAGGAGAGAGCATCTGTGAGCCAAGGAGAGACCTCGGGAGGAGTCAGCCCTGCCGACCGACACCCTGATCTCGAACTCCGGGCCTCCAGGACTGCGGGAAGTGAAGTTGGTGTGGTCTAAGCCCAGGCTGTGGAGCCTATTATGGGGCTGTGTTGCCTGCTCCTGTGTTTGAGCCTGCACTGCACGGAGGGTGTCCAAGGCCCTGCAACGAGTCACAGGTTCATATTGTGACTGTGTCACCAGCCCCATCTGGGAGTGGTCCTGCTTTTGACCCATCATGACTTGGTCTCCTGAGCAGGAGACAAAGCACCTGACTTCAAGTAAACAGCTGCATTTGTTTTCTGTGGCTGCCATCATAAAGTGCCACACGCCGGGTGGCATAAACAACTGCCTTTTATTTTCTCCCCATCTGGAGGCCAGAAGTCTGAAATCAAGGTGTGGATAGGGCTATGCTCCCTCTGAAGGCACCAGGGGAAGAGGATGCTTCCTGCCTCTTCCAGTTTCTGGAGGTTCCAGCAATCCTTGGCGATCCTCCACGTGTGTCGGCATCTCTCCCATCTCTGCCCCATCATCACATCATGCTGTTTGTGTCTCTCCTCCTCTTTGTACAAGGACAGCAGTCACATTGGACTAGGGCCCACGCTAATCCAGGATGAGCTCATCTTCACTTGAGTATATTTGCAAAGATCCTATTTCTAAATCAAGTCACAGGCCCAGGTACTGAGGGTTAGGACTTGAACATGCCATTTGTGGGACACAATCCAAGTCCTAACAACTGCCAGGTGGCCTCATCAGCACTTGGGAGCAAGGACTCACCTTGTCCATCAGGGAGTGCTGGGCAGACTCAAGTCACACCCTTGCTGTCTGCAGTGCCAGAGGGCGCCGGAAGTGGGGAATCCATCCATCGTCCATTACTGGCCCTGGAGGCACAGTGCCTTTCCTGTGTGTGCCCTTCCCATTAGGCTAACAGGAGTAGTCAGCAGCGGGAGGAGGAGGGTCCACTCTCCCCTCTACTGAGTAGATGAGAATGATGTATAATAAACACATGAATTATGAATACGTAAATGATGCTTCTGAAGTTTTAGGAAAGAGATTCCTTCCTTTTACAAGTAGAGCTGCACAGATCTTACTGCACTCATTGGTTTGGGAAGACTCTGGTTATAGACTCGATGCAAATGAACAGATATTCCCAGTTAGGGAGGTACAGACGTGTGCATTTCAACAAAACAGGCCTCCCGGCTTTGCTCCGTACCGGCTCTGGAATCCCCTCAACCCACTGAGTCCAGCTGCAGAGGCAACAAGGGGGCAGTGTTTCCACAGAGGGGAAAGGAGGCATGCTCATGGCCTTGGTGTGAAGAGACAAAAGGCTTGAAGTCCATCTGCCACAGGCCTCGAAGTCAAAACAAACCTCACGAAAGATTGCGTGTTGCTTGTACTTTGTCTGCATGCCATCCCCACCTACCGCATTATTCACACGGACTGTGTACTACATAGTTGGTGAATTGAAGGCACAAGCTACACAGGGCCCTGACTTTTGTGAAACCAAGAAGCACCGGTGAATGAAGCAGGTGGGGTTTGGGCCTGGAACGAACCTGCCATTGTCTGCATTCTCAATTCCTTAGTCTCAGGTTGGGTGAGTTGCAAGTGGACGCTTGGAATGGAAGCCACTTGCTGCATGTTGTAATTTACCACTGGAGCCGCCGATTCATAATTCAAATGTTGCTGCCCTAAATTACACAGGCATTTTGAGCTGAGTGAAGATGGGAGATCTGGGTCCTTTAAAGAAAACCCATAAAGTCCCCACTGCTTTCCCATCTTATTGAGTTCTGCTCTTGAGCAACTTCTCAGCTCCCTGAGAATAGCATGTTTTGAGTAAAAAAAGCGACAATAAAAATGAAAGAAGAAAATTAAATATGAAAATTTAATTAAATCCCTCTTTGATCGTTCTCCCTAGAATTGACCAGAGGGGCTGCTGCCATTCAGCCACAAATAAGATAACCTTGCTGGCTAATTAGGAGAAGGAATTGGCCTGCAAGGTGGGAGGGAAACGCGAGTCTCCGGACCCTATAAATATTTGAATGAGCCATTTTGATGGGAGCAATATTTTATTCTTCAATTGTTTGCCACTCCTCTTTGCAGAAGTCTCAGAGGTATATAAAGTATTCTTTGTACTTCCTTTAAGGTCTTCTGGCTTTTGTACAGAGGTCCGGGGGCTGTCCGTGGCATGAAGGGCCCCAGTGCCTGCACTGCCAGCTTTGGGTCTTATTTTCCAGGGCTGGAGGAAAACTTTCCTTTTTAAACCAGTCCCATCCACCCCACTTCGGGGAGCTGCATTGCTGATGTGGGATGACACAAATAAACAACAGAAAAACAATAGTCACAAAGGGTCTGGAAGCCACGCCATCTGCTTAGGGACATTAACACAGCCCCTGCGCTATGTTATCTCAAACAGGACTGAGTCACCTTCTCAATAGATGGAGCTCAGTCCAGTGTAGAGCGTGCATACCCATGCACACACACACATGCACACTCACAGAGACACATGCACACACATGCACATATAGACACGCATATATGCACACACAGAGATACACATATATACACACAGACACAGCCACACATGCACACGCACAGAGATGCAAGCACACACATGCACATACAGGCACACACATATGCACACGGACATGTGCACACACATGGAGACACACATATATATACACACACACAGACACATCCACACATGCACACTCACAGAGACACATGCACACACATGCACACATACACACACAGAGACACAGTACACACAGACGCACATGCAAATGCACATGTACATGCACACATGTTCACACACAGAAAGATGCACGCATGGCCAGGCACGGTGGCTCACGCCTGTAATCCCAGCACTTTGGGAGGTTGAGGTGGGCAGATCACCTGAGGTCAGGAGTTTGAGGCCAGCCTGTCCAACATGGTGAAACCCCGTCTCTACTGAAAATACAAAAACGAGCTGGGTGTGGTGGCACAGGCCTGTAATACCAGCTACTTGGGAGGCTGAGGCAGGAGAATCGCTTGAGCCTGGGAGGCAGAGGTTGCAGTGAGCTGAGATCGCGCCATTGCACTCCAGCTTGGGGGACAAAAGCAAAACTCTGTCTCAAAAAAAAAAAAAAAAAGATGCGCGCATACATGTGTATGCACACACGGAGTGATTCGGTTCCCAGAGAGTATCTTCAGGAAAGTGCTGCAAACCTTTGTGGTTTGTGTGCTGTGACAAATGTAAAGGTCCAATGTGAGTCCTACATTTTAGGAAATACGCTAACTTAACCAACTTCGGGAGTAAAAAGGCCCCCAAAGGGTAGATACAGCAGAGCAATGAAGCTTGGTGGGGTCAAATCCAGGAAGACATCCCTGACTCAGGCAACAGCAGTGTGGAATTTGTGATGGTATAATTTATAGGGTGATCAAAGTCTTCCCTTAAATGATTTAGGAGAAAGTATTTTGCTAAGCAGATCATGTTGCAAAAGATTTCAGGGGCATTGTTTAAGTTATTAAAAGAATCAATTGTTTCCTAGCCTTTTGGAAGCATTGTTTGCATATGATTACTATAATATTACAAATTATTTTAAAACATGGCTTCAGGGCTCTGTGTCTCTGAACAATTTTATTGGACAACTTCTTTGTTTCATTAGTTTAAAAATAATATAACTAGATTTTTAAAATTTCTTGAAAGCCTACCTTTTATCCCATTCAGACTGACCTTTCTTCATAAACTGACTGGAAGAAAAGTATTCCAGTTATTTCTAAGCCAAACAACCCCCAAAAATTAGTGGCTTAAAACAACAGCAACTTAATATTCCTCCTGATTCTCTGGGCTGACTGAGCTATTTGGTGACTGGTTACACCTGGATCCACTCATGAGCGTGGGCTCAGCTGGGTTGGGGGCTCAGCTGGGACAATCCCATATGACTTTTCATCCTTCTTCCTGGCCTGGGGGTCTCAGGAAGCATTTCAAGAGGGCAAAGGTAGAAATTGCAAAGCGTGTTAAGGCCAAGGCTCCTGTGATGATTTATTTTATGTGTTAACTTGACTGGGCCACAGGGTGCCCCCCAGTGTGGGTGGGCACCATCCAGTTGGTTGAGAAACCAAATGGCCAAAGGGCAGAGGAGGGAAGAATTCGATCTCTATCTGTCTGACTACTTGAGTTGCGACATTCGTCTTCTCCTACCCTTCGACTGGCTCCCTGGTTCTCAGCCCTTTGGGCTCAGACTGGAGCTGCACCTCCAGCTTTCCTGAGTCTCCAGCCTACAGGCGGCAGATGAGGGGACTCGTCAGCTTCCATAATTACATGTGCTAATTCCTCATAACATCTCTCTCTCTCTCCGCACATACACTGTATTGGTGGTTGTGTTTCTCTGGAGAACTCTGACTAATACAGCTCTGAAACTCGTACATGTTATTTCTACAACATTCTTTTATTTTTCTTTTTTTTAGACAGAGTCTGGCTCTGTTACCCAGGCTGGAATGCAGTGGTGCAATGTCTGCTCACTGCAACCTCTACCTCCCGGATTCAAGCAATTCTCTTGCCTTAGCCTCCCAAGTAGCTGGGATTACAGGTGCATGCCCCCACCCTTGGCTGTTTTATTTATTTATTTATTTATTTATTTATTTTTGTATTTTTGTAGAGACAAGTTTTCACCATGTTGGCCAGGCTAGTCTCAAACTCCCAACCTCAAGTAATCCATCCGCCTCGGCCTCCCAAATTCCATGCTGGAATTACAGGCGTGAGCCACCACGCCTGGCCCATTTCTACAACATTCTATTGTCTAAGCAAGTCCCAGCCCCCATATTCTAGGGGAGAAGAAATAGACTCCAAGTCTTAATTAGAGGAGGTACAAATAATTTGTGGCCCTATTTAATTTGCTACAAAATATTAGTGAAGATCATTAGTTCCTCAGTGAAAAGAAAACGATGTGATCATTTCCTTTCTCTGGAAGGTAGACAAGATATTTTTTAAAAACTTGTCCCAGCACCTCTTTAACAGCAACACAGAAAAGAGTTTGGATACATTTCCTGAATGAGCCAGAACATGGGTTTTTAAAACAAAACTTTAGTGTTTAAAGTTTTAAAACAAAACTTGAATGACTTAAAAAATCGGTCATTTTTGTATGAAATGAGCCTCCATGTCGGTTCTTGCCCCAGATTCCTTCCCAAATACTATCAGAGAACTCCAGGGTAGAGATAAGTTGAACTCCTGCATCTCTTAGACATCCACTTGGGTCTCTGTTCCTGAAATTCCCTCCTGGATTCGTGACCACGGAGAAACTTGGCTAAGACCATGAGTGGGCTAAGACGCTGATTCGTTTGCTCAAGTTGTCATAACAAACTACCGTTTACTGGGTAGTTTAAACAGAAATTTCCGTTCTCACTGTCCTGGAGGCTGGAAGTCTGAGATCAAGGCATTGGCAGGGTTGGTTTCTCCTTGGCCTGTGTGGCCATCTTCTCCCTGTGTATTCTCACAATCATGCTTCTGTGTGTGTCTGTGTCCTAGTCTCCTCTTCTTATAAGGACACCAGTCCTATTGGATCACAGCCCATCCTAACAACCTCATTGTAACTTAATCACCTTTGTAAAGATCTCATTTGCAAACAGCCATATTCTGAGATACTGAGGTTAGGACTTCCACACATGAATTTGGAAGGGAGGTTGGCATAATTCAGTCCATAACAGACATAGTCTCCTCTCCTGGAAAAAGTAAATTAGTAAACACTGCATCCTTCTCTCCTTAGACTAGAAAACACACTTACAGTGTGGGGATGGAGCCTGCAGGGTAGGGTGGGAGGGTGTTATTTTAGGGAGTTAGGAACAGGGGGACTCACATCACTCCTGGTGATGACAAAGTGAAGGCTATGAAAGCTAGGTTTCTGGTTGACAAGAAGCAGACTTCTACCTCCAGTCTCTGGGTTGTGTAAGGTTTTTTTTTTTTTTTTTTTAAAAACTTTATTTTGAATGGCTTCATCAAAGGGATGACATTGAAATGAATGCGTTCAACTTTGAACAAAACTTAAAAGAACTTTGTTAAATGTCAAAGCGAAACAGAGGAGAACCAGAGCTAACAAATAGAGGATTGTTTTCTCTGTTTCCCTCCTGAATCTGGTGCTCACTGTCCTCGCTCACAGACTTTCATCCTCCGATATCAAAGACGCCACAGGACAGCAAAACCCTTTATAAACATTAATTAATTCTCGCAACCCTCCTGTGAAGTATGGGGATCATTCATTTTTCTCTTTTAAAGAGAAGTCCTGAAGCCAAGAGGCTAAACGACTCACCTGAACGGAAGTCACCAGAGAGCATTAGGAAATTGAGTTTGGTTTGAAATTGGGTATGGAAAATTTATTACATGTTCCAAGAAGAGAGAGGAGAGGCACAAATCTTAGTCAAAGGAAATTGTTCATTGAAGACATCAGGTGGAACAAATAGTGCACGTGAGGCTCGGGAGTCAGATGGATTTGGGGTCTGAATCATCAAAGGGATTTGAAAACACAATCTAGTTAGCAACGCTCCCATGGCCTAACCTTCCAGGGTCATCTGGCTAGAACAGACACCACCGAATGGTACTCAGAATTGAAAAACTCAATCCGAGGTGATGACGCTGTCAGGGATGTTACAAATCGTAGTGATAAAGGCTGTTTGGAGGGTTCATTTTAGGGTGAGCTCAGACCTCAGGTGCTTCATGGAATGACAGGTGATTAGACAAGAAGCAGAGCTGCTGCTGTCCTGGGCCTAGAGCTTCACATTGCAGCTGGAGAGCAGCTACTCTCTGTCCAGTACCTTCTACCTCCACCTGAGGACCAGGGGTTAGCAGGTGGCTGTGACCAAGTCCCCTCCCAGACCAGAGCTCTTCTGAGAGTGAGCTGGATTCTCTGTCAGGACACTGACAAGAAAGCAAAAGTCTAACTCAGTGGCTTAAGCAAAAACATCAATGTGCTGGCTCACGCATCTGAAAAGTTCAAGCAGTGATGACTTTGAGGCTTGGTGATGCCCTCGGCCCGAAGACCCTGCTCAGCTCTGCTGCCCTCTCTATTCTCTGACAACCTTTTCCCTCATGGAGACACAATGTCTGCTGGTTCTCTGGAACTTGCTTGTCTTCTGTAGAGGCATTTTAGTACACAGGTGAAGAGCAGGGACACCAGTCCCCAGCCACTGCTGAAAAGCTGTGTGATGTGACCACGGACAAGTGATTTAATCTGTCTGTGCCTCCATTTCCTCATCAGGATAAAAGGAGTATGAGAGAATCTTGCTCAAAGCATTGTTGGGAGGATGAAATGAGCTAATGTGTATTAAGTACTTGGGATGGTGAGAAGCGGTACTCTAGAAAGTACACTTTGGTCAGCTGTTAGTATCATTAGGATGCTGTTGGCTGTTCATCTGAACTAGGAGTCCATTAGTGACAAGAGATGACAGGCATCGTCTGTGAAGCTCAAACATTGTTTTTACATAAAACTGTCGGCTGACAGGGCTAAAAATGTGGGTGCTGGGGTAGGCTATCTGCCATCAAAGTGGCCCAAGTTTGCCATTTCCCCATTCTGTGGCCTCAGCTTCTCCATCTGCTAAGTGAAAATAATAGTGCCTACTTTACAAAGAGGTTGAGAAGACTTAGTGACTTTCTGCATGTGAAAAGTTTAGAACTGCATCTCCTTCATAGTAAAAGCCCAACAGTGCTATTAATGACAATTTAAAGCTTTCCTATATATACAAATTTATGTGTGTGGCTGGAAGAAATGAGTTATACTTCCCTTGTTAGTGCCAGGAAGTATTTGTTTGTACATTCATGGCTGTGGAATTACTCTGAGTAAATTTACTCCTGTGCTGAATGCTGAGCCCACGAAGGAGGAAGTAAAAGACTCTCCCTGTTCTTCAAACTAATAATAGTTGACAAAGTGAACACTTACTGCATGTCAGACACAATTCTAAGTCCCTTGTCAATGACTTTTTATCTCTCATATTATGATTTTTATTCCATTTGGCTCTTTCTTACAGTTTCCATCTCTCTGCTGTAATTCCCCATCTGTTCATGCACATTTCCTACCTTTCCATTATATTTTTAAATATATTAATTATAGTTATTTTAAAGGCCCTGATAGTCCCAAAAGTCAGATCATCTTTGGGTCTGGTTCTGTTGACTCTTTTGTCTCTTGAAGGTGGGTTGTTTTGTTCTTACTTATGTGTGTGTATCTCATAGTTTTTAAATTAATTGCCACATGATATGCATACAAGATAGAAACTGAAGTAAATAGTATTTAAACTCAGAAATAGATTTTTTTTTGGTCAGGCATTACTGTCAGGGATTAAGGAAATTTATGCAGGAGTTGAGTGAGAACATTGCTCCCAGTCTAAAAACTAGGAAAAGTCAGATAATCTAACAAAATCACACGCTTCAGTGAGCCCATCAGAGAGCTGAGGCAGCAAGACAGCCAGGTGAGCTGAGTCCCAAAGGGTGGAGAGTTCATTGCCATGGTTACCTTCAGTGCATCAGAGACTTTAAACCCCTCCATCCATGGGCTCCACCTTCAGCTCTCTGCCCATCTGTGTTACAGAGGGGATATCCCTTTCCGTGTGCTGATTCCTCCCCCAGTAGTAGATTGTCATTTCTTGTCAGGCATACAAAATGGTAGTGTGGGTATGGGATGTTCTTTCTTCTCCTACTCCAGCCTCAGTCTTAGGCATGCACTCTGAGCCTGGCCCTGGGGTTGATGTGGGGGTTCTCAGACCCTGCTCCTCCTCTCACCATAGCGTGTACCCTGTCTTATATATGTGGGGGAACTGGGTGGGAGAGAGTCTCCCATCCCTCCCCTGGGGATAGCAGAGCTCTGATATCTGTTCAGGATGCTGGGTCTTGTCCAGTGTCTTTTCTGCCTCTCTCTCATGGACAGATGGCTGTAGCTTCCCTTCTCCCCTCTGTGGGGGTCTACCTTTGTCTGAGGTTGGGCTGGATGTTCCCCTTCTCCTCCCACAGAGCCCAGGGCTTTTGCAGCAGGAGTGGAGTGGGTGCCTGGGTACCACCATGGGGAGATCCTCTCCTGATCTCTTGCCCTGCCTCAGTGTCTCTTGAGAGCCTCCCCACAGTAAGGACCCTAGAGAGGAGCTTGTGGGTGAGTAGAGACATCCCTAGTGTCTGGTACCCCAGGAAGTCTACTTTATCATGCTGGCCCATACCCTGTCTTTAAGAATTTGTTAAAATTTTAGCTATTTTCTTTTCACTTTTATGATGGGCATCTTTTCCTCCTGTACTTTGCCAAGATAAAACAGCCATGGGTCCCATCTCTCTTTGGAGGATCTCTCCATTCTTTGGAATTCAGCTTACTCATCTGTCTTGCTGCCTCAGCTCTCTGATGAGCTCACTAAAGTGTGTGATTTTGTTACATTATCTGACTTTTCCTAGCTTTTAGACTGAGAACAATGTTCTCACAAAGGTTTTTCTTCCTTAATCAAAAGCAGAGCTTTTCACAGATGAATACTTTCAACCCTCTCAACAAATCTATGAGGTGGCTATCCTTAGCATTTCTGTTTTGCAGATGGGGAAACTGAGGCACAGACAGTTATAATCACTCGCCCCAAATAATCAGGCTCTTATGAGGTGGAGCCCAGGCAGGGTGGCTCCTGGGGGCATACACGGCTTAACACTATACCATGTTGCTTCTGTGGAGGCCTAAAAACCAACACGGGAAACTTAACCAGCTAAAACTGTTAAACAAGCTTAAACCGGCAGAGAGGTTACAGACAAGGGACTAAAGCAACCCAGGGAAGTGCCAATAAGCTCCTCCAAACACATGCATTCCTGTGTTTCCATGAGCTTCAGCCAAGCAGAGGGGTGGAGAGATCAGCCTTAGAAGCTCCAGTCCTGGGTTCAAGACCTATCAACACCTCTTAGTATCTGTGTGACATCAGGCAAGTCATTAACCTTTTTAATTCTTGCCACCTCATTTACAGAATAGAAACATTAGTATCTTTAAAAAAACCATTTTATTTCCATAGTTTTGGGGTACAAGTGGTGTTTGGTTGCATGGTTAACTTCTTTAGTAGCGATTTCTGAGATTTTGGGGCACCTGTCACCCAAGCAGTGTACACTGTACCAAATATGTAGCCTTTAACCCTCATCCCCCTCCCACGTTCCCCTCCAACTGAGTCCCCAAAGTCAATTATATCATTCTTATGCCTTTGCATCCTCATAGCTTAGCTCCCACTTAAAAGTGAGAACATATGATATTTGGTTTTCCATTCCTGAATTACTTCACTTAGAATAATGGCCTTCAGGTCCATCCAAGTTGAAAGGCCACTATTTCATTCTCTTTCATGGCTGAGTAGTATTCCATGGTGTAAATACATCACATTTTCTTTCTCCACCCATTGGATGTTGGGCATTTAGGCTGGTTCCATATTTTTGCAACAGAAAATTGTGCTGCTATAAACACGTGCGTGCAATTGTCTTTCTCATACAATGACTTTTTTCATTTGGGTAGATACCCCGTAGTGAAACTGCTGGACTGAATGATAATTCTACTTTCGCTTCTTTAAGAAATCTCCATACTGGCTTCCATAGTGGTTGTACTAATTTACAACCCCACCAGCAGTGTAAAAGTGTTCCTTTTCACCACATCCATGCCAACGTCTATTTTTTTTTTTTTTGATTTTTAAATTATGGCCATTCTTGCAGGAGTAAGGTGGTATCTCATTCCAGTTTTAATTTGGATTTCCTTGGATAATTAGTGATGTTGAGCATTTTTTCATGTTTGTTGGCTGTTTGTTTGTATGCCTTCTTTTAATAATCCCACTTTTTTTATGGGATTATTTGTTTTTTTCTTGTTGACATTAACATCTTTATACATGAGTTGATTAACTTCTCAGACAAATCTGGCACATAAAGAGCTCACAGGCAAGTATGATTGTGCTTGTCGTAACTGTTATTTGTATCTGTGTGTGTGTGTGTGTGTGTGTGAGTGTATACAATGTCCTCCAGGCCCAAAGATAAATGTAAATAGACTTAAATTCTCTCCAGATGTGACAGATCCACGCTGGTGATGCCAGTACCACTGCTTTGTGAATAGCTCACGATAGGTGTGGTGAATTGTTCATTCAACAATTATTTCTTGAGTACACTCCAGGTACCCTGAACTGTAAGAGGCACTGGGGATATGGCTGCGAAAAAGGCAGAGATGACTTTCCCTACAAAGCATATACTCCAGCAGGAGAAACAGAGAGTGAACTGATAAACACATAGTTAAGGTGGCCTGGAAATTGATAAAAGTTGCCAAGCAAATAGAAAAGGTAAAATGTTGGAGGGTCACTGGGGTCAGGGTCAGGGCAGGCAGAACCTCTTAGCAGGAGACGTCAGGAAAAGGCAATCTAAGGAGGATTTTGAGCTGAACCTCAAATAGTGGAAGGCAATCCCTCGGCTCCCCCACTTGCTCAGACACGTGGACCCTGCTGTTTCTCAAATGCTCCAAGTTCATTCTTACCTCGTGACCTTGGCACTGGCCATGCCCTCTGCCTGGATGTCTGGGTCCTCACACCGCTGAATGGCTGCCTTCTTTCTGTCACGCAGGACTTAGAGTCACCTCTTGGTGAAGCCCTCCCTGACTTCCCCACCAAATAGTCTTTCCCCACACCCTGGGCTTCCCACATTAGCTTTGCCATTTTATTTTCTTCACAGCAGTCTTCACTATCTGCATTTATCTTGCTTATGAATTGATTTACTTGTTTATTGGCTGTCTGGCACCCTAGGAGTTAAGCCACATGGGAGGACAACCTCATCTCTCCTTTTACCAGTGAACTTCCAGTGTAGAGCTTGTGTGCCACACTGGGGATGCCTGATAGGTCTCAGTTAGACAAATAACCTGACACATGCTGCGTGGGTAGCACTGCCAGTGGATGTGGCTAATGGAGGCTGATTTGGCTCAGATGGCTTAGGTTAGTAGGCGGGTAGGTTGGGGGACACTGATTGGATGAATCCAGAACATCAGACCACAATCACCTTCTCCCTTACCAGAGGACATGGCAAGCTCAGTGTGATCTTGGAGAGATAGTGCTCAGAGACACTTACCATTAAAAATGACAACAAAGCCAAAATAACAAAGACAAGCAGAGAGCCAGAGACCAGAGGGCCTGCAGCGCATCCCACCAGCCAGTCAGGAGCAAGCGTGCCCTGGTTCCCCAGTGAGAGACTGAGCCATGCTTGGAGGAACAAGGGCCGCCTGCTGAGACATGCAAGGACATGAGATTATCTTTGCCTGGGTTGAAAATGACAGCCAGGAACTCATTCGTAGCTTGGTGTTCCCTTGGACAAGGCTTCTCTAGGATAAAGCCTGTCAGACGCTCCCAGAAGTGGTAGCATGTGACGAAGAAGTCGGGGTCCCTTGGGTCCTACAGACCTGGAAGAAAATGGCTCACACTTGCTGAGGGCTCACATTTGCTGAAGTCAACCAATGGGGGCTGACTTCTCAGTCATGAGCCCCCGTTGGGAGTGAACAGAAGTGGGGCTGTGCTGGCTGAGCAGCCGCCATAGCTAGGCATGTGTTTCTGTTGGGGCTAAGTTCCAGGTTTATGACATGAGACCCATTCACGAGATGCCCAGTCCTAGATACGGATATGTCACATGCCTATAGCGTGACTGTGCTCATTAAGGAGCAACTTGAAGATTTGCATACTTGATGCTAATGAGAGCCGCAGAGGACCCACCTTTGAAACACTCACCAACACAACGAACTAAATATACCCATCAGAGGTTTCGTCTTCTTCCAATTACATATCACAATAAAATGTCAGAAGAAATAAAAGGAAGCAGATTTCTGATATTATTACTTTGAGCTTTCCTTAGTTATACTCCCTTGAAGCATGACATTTACTGGGGGAAAAAAAGAATAGAAGGAGGGGTGACCCAGGATGTGTTGTTTACCATCTTTATCTTCAGGGATTTCGCTTTAATTCTTTAATCCCCCGTGCACGCTTGGAGTCTGGGCTCCGGTTCTGGAGAACTTCTGCTGCACAACGAAGCACGCTGACACGCAGCGACTCACAGCAGACGTGTGATTTTGCTCATGATTTTGTTGGTCAGACATTCGCGCGGGGCTTGGCTGGGGGGCTGTCCCTGGTGGATGGGGCCAGCTGGGCCACCTCAGTTCCACATCCGAGCCCTGGCGTCCCCAGACCTTGCTCTCTCCCCACGACTGCAGCCTCCAGGGTCTCTCCAATGGCTGGGCACCCTCAGGGTGTGGCACTGCCCGGGTCATGAGCTCCACTGCATGGCGTCTGGCTTCCCGCTGAGCCGGGACTCCAAGGGTAGGTCTAACGGGAGGCCCAGGCAGCAGCCTCCAGGCCTCTAATGATCCTGCCTGGGAGCTCCGGACCTCACTCTGCATGCCCAAGGGGAGGGACGTGGATTTCACTGCTCAATGGGACGTAGCAAAGAATCGGCACCACCTTTAAGCCCACAGGGTGAGGCTCCCCTCCACCTGCAGAGGGACAGAGCCTGGAAAGGACAGTCCTGGTGGTTTCCTAGAGATCATGGGGAAAATGGCCCACTCTGGTGGAGGGACAGAGGTGGGGTGGCCCCTCTCAGGACACCTCTCAGTCACGAGCCACCTCCAGAAACCAATGGGAGCTGACTTCTCAGTCATGAGCCACCCGGGAGTGAATAGGAGCTGACTTCTCAGTCATGACCACATCTGGAAACCAATGGGAGTTTACTTTTCAGTCATGTGCCACCTGGGAACCAATGAGAGCTGTCTTCTCAGCCACATGCCTTGTCTGGGGCCCATCTGGAGATGACTTTTCAGTCACATGCCACCTCTGGGAGCCACTGGGAGCCAATGGGAGCTAACTTCTCAGTCACTTGCCACCTGGGAGCCAATGGGAACTATCTTCTCAATCATTTGCCACCTGTGGGGAACATTGGGAGGTGTCTTTTCAGTGATGTGCCACCTCTGGGAGCCAATGATAACTGACTTCTCAGTGACATGTCCCCTCTGGGAACCAATGGGAACTGTCCCTCCTGTCACAGGCCCTGCCCCTCCTCAAGAGTGACCCTCCCGCGATCAGGACGATGAGAACGGCTTGCTCTCTGGCCCTTTCCATGGCCTGTGCGTCTCTGTGCTGTGTGAGGACCCCCGTCAGGGAACTGGCTGCTGCTGCCGCTGCTTCTCCCCAGGAAGCACTCCCCGAACGCTGTCCTGCGTGGCCACCACGTGCTCCTCCCTGCTGCAGCCCTGCCCTCCCGCCGGGCCTGCATGTCCAGGACCGCCCACGAGATGCTCGCTGCCCTCCCGCAAGGCTGGGAGTCGACACAGTGGGCACGGAGGGGTATGGGGTGGGTCGGATCAGAGAACTCAGGAGGTAGCTCTGCCCCCATGCCTTCCTCTGACCTTAGGCTAGCACCTCTCCTCTCTCCGCTCGGCCTCTACACCTTTAAAACAGGAGCGAAGTGTTCGATCGAGGCCCCTGGAGACCCAGTGCAACACGGCAGTAGGTCTCCTAGCAAGACGCCAGCCTCGTGCTGGGGAGAAGACGGAGGGAGCTGGAGCCCAGCTGCCCTCTGCCCACTACTTCCCCTCAGCCGTTGCCCAGAAGGGCTTTGTCTCACTGCTCCCGAGACCCTGTGCCATATTTTCCCACAGCCACTCCCAGACTCACACCCAAAGAAATGGCTGTGGTGCACCCTGGGGCTTGAACAACACTCAGAAGATTCAAAAACTCAGCACAGACACAAATCTCTTACAGAAAACCAGATAGGCCAAGTCTTGGAGCCGATGTGGCTGTAAGCCAAAGTGCAGCAGAGTGTAAAACGCTGCCTCTCTCCAGTGGAGAGGGTCTCTCTGGGAGGAAAGAAATGAGGATCTCGAGGCATGAGCTCAGAGTGCATCCCTGAGGACCAAATTCCCACTCCCACACTGGCTGGGGCTCACCTCAACCTGTCCCCTCACAGCCTTGCAATCTGTAGCTTCAGAGTCGCTGCTGTGCACCAGCTTGGAGGTGCCCACAGGAAGGCAAGGCCCACCCCTGCCCTTGGGCCTGGAGACCAGCAGGGGAAACAGGCAGGAAGACAGGTGGTTTATAGAATGCCACGAGGGCTCTTCCAGTACAAAGGAGGGCATCTAAGCCAGTCCCGGGGGGCTGGAGGTGTGTTGTCTAAACTAAGCCCCAAAGGCTGAGTCCAGGGCACTTCAGGAGGGGGAATAGGGTCTAGAATGAGGCCTAGGTCCTGCATTTGGGGGGTGGGCCTGCTCAGTGAAGGGGCAGCAGTTCAGGGCATCTGGAGCCCCAAGTGAGGGTTGGCAGGCGGGGAGGAGGATGACTTCTGGGGCACTGCTCTGGGCCAGGAACTGGGCACTTATATCCAAGCCTTGTCTAGTAATGATCGAGGTGACTTGATTTGAATTATTTTCTGTGTGATGGAGCTGTCTTTATGGAGTGTCTGGAAGCCCATTCCGCCTCTGCAATTCAATTAGCAGAACTGGAACAACAGAACCTGCCTCCCTCCCGCCCATCTCTGCTCTCGGGATGCTCAAACCAGATCATATATGAAAAGATGCTGAAAAATGGCCCGATGCAAGGGTGAAGGAGGGAGGTCTGCATGCCACTTCCACCCAGGTGCCTGGCCAGGATGCTCCTGGTCCCCCTTGGCCTCCCCTGAGCTGTCCTCTCCCCCATTACTTTATGATAACTTGTCATGCTCCTTCTCCAACCATCTGGAATGTACAACAAGAGCATCAGAAACCACACCTACCCTGAATGCTGGTGTTGATTCCTCATGCCCTTTTCCTTCTCCTTCTTTAAATCGAGATCCCTTGGAATAAGCTCGTTCCTTCTTGGCACCAGTTAGGCCCATTTTCCTACTAGTTGGGCTGTGGCCATTTGATCTATATAAGTAAATCCAATTTAGCTGATTCATCTCTCCTGTTTAATTTCTGTGTTAACATAACAAGGTTATACAACCGAACATGAGAGGCCAGGGAACAGAATTTATAATCTATAAGTGACAGTTATGGTTTTAAAAAAAAAATTCCTGAAGGAAACTGGCTGAAAAGGCAAGATTTCAGACAAAGATTTTGTCTTATAAGCTAGAAAGCTTCCTGCTTGATTTAGATATAAAATCAAAACTATTGGCATTTAACAACCTCTGTTTAAAAGTCAGGATTGACTTACAAATAAGACCCTGGCATGGTCAAAAGGATTTCGCAGAATAAATATATCATCTAGCTTTATTGATTGGGGAAGGAGAGGAACACGGTAGAAGCTGGGGCGACAGAGATTTCTGTGCTAGTGGATTTTCCCGAATTGGCTGTCTTGTTCTTGTGATTCTACAGAATGAAGCCTGTCGGTTGCCCACTCATTCCTTGATGCTTTAGGGCAGGGCCATTTGTGGGGTTTCTCAGCATCCTTTGGTTCGTTCAGAAGGCTCTGGCTCATTTACATTCTGGGTCTCCCTTAACACCAAAAGAGGAAAACACACTCTTTTCCTGGGTGGGCCTGATCCTTGGGTTCTGGGGAGTTGCCTGCTGATGTGGAAGTGGCTCAAGTCTTCCCTCAAGACCTTTGAAGGTCTTCTACACTTAAGTGGCATCAACAGCAGATCCTGGATTTGCACCTGTATTGGGCAGTGAATGACGTGGTCTTAGACACTTTACGCCTCCTTGGGACCTTGGTTTTCCCAATGGGAAAACAACCCTAAACTAACTTCTGCTCCTCCATAATTTCTTTCATAATTTCTCTGTGATGGAACAAAGCTAAACGAAGCCTGGAAGTCACACAGACATGTTAGGCTCTGAGGTGAGGCCAAGCTGAACTGATTCCCTTAGGATTCAGCTGTTTTTAGACCAGGGCAGGAGGGCAAACCTGGTCTTTACTTGGGAGTTTGATCAGGAGCTCCACACCCCAAGAACAGAGGAGGAGGACTTGCCTCCCCTCTCCCTTGAGGAAACCACTTTGCAGAGCCCCCTGAGAAGAACCAGACTGAAGAAGGCTGGTATTTAAACGTTCTGGAGTGGGAGAGAGGGGTTGTTATGGCAACAAATTGCTCTGAATCTCTGAAGAGGCTCAGCCCTGGTGAAACGAGGGAGGTGCAGGAGATGCAGAGGATAACGTTTCAGAAAAAGCTCTACCCAGACAGGCATCACACATTTGCATTTGGCTGGAATGTCTGACGGCTGAGAGGGAGGAAGGGGAGTGTTTACAGATTGCCTTTAGGGTGCCAGTGGAGATCTTGGCCTCCCAGACTCACAAGCAAACCTGGTCCTGCCCTGCCCTGTGCTGGCCTTAGGGTGGGGCTGTGGGGAAGGTGTAGAGCGTTGTCGCCCAAATCCCCTGGTGGTGGGCTCCATCCTCCACCCAGTTCCACATCCCTGAAACTTCTCAGCTGATGCTGCCTAAGGAAAAAAAAAAAAAAGAGGTGTAACCATCCTCCCTCCCTCATAGAGTTAACAAGAACACTATAGGAATCAAAGCCTTCGCATTTTTAATGGGTACAGGGTTTTCTTTTGGGGTGATACAAATGCTTTGGAACTTGAGAGAGGTGATGGTTGCACACCATTGTGAATGTACTAGATGCTGCTGATTTGTGCTCTTGAATACGGTTCTTTTTATGAAATGTGATTTCACTTCAAAATAAAAGTTAAATAAAAGTCCCTGCAGCTGTATGCCCACTCTGGGCTGCTGCCGAACCCTACTCTCTTGACCTTTCCACCCTCGAGGCCTCTCCTATGTGGCCTATCTTCCTCCCTCCCTCAGGCTGCGCATCCAATCCCATTCTTCAAGACCACTGAGAATCCTAGTCTCTGAATCTTAAATGGCACCTCCAGAGTGCCTGTCACTGGGCTTTATCAGAGTGACTCCTGAATCCTCAGCACCACCCCACAATGTGCCATCCCCATCCCTGCCTTAGCGGGCACTCAGAGGTGAAGTGATGGCCAAGTGCCTACATCTGGGTGGTGGGTGGCACTCAAGCCGGGACGCTTCTCACCAGGATCCACTCACTGCATCCCCCACACCGCACCACATGGCCGTGGTCCCACCACAAGCTCCCATGGCCACTGGGACTCAAAGCAAACTGGCCAAATGTAGCCATTCCCTGAAATCCCACCAATGAGCGGCGGGTCATCCACGTGACCCATGGTCCCCAGCTGACTGCACCACATGCTTCGCGTGAAGACTTTTGCCTCCCAGCTTAGCCTGACCTTGGCTTTGGCCGTGCCTGGGCAGAGGGTGCAGGAGGAAGAGCCAGGCCCGGTCATGAGAGTGATGCAGATGGTCCATTGCCACCTGGACCGTCAGGAGTGAAGGTCTGAAGGGGCTTGGCAGGTCCCAGAGAGGGGAGACAGAAAGGAAGCAGTGAAGAAACAGGAAAGATGTGCGGAGAGGAGGGGGAGTGGAAAACAAAGGGAGGAAGAGGCGGTGGCTGCAGTGCAGGAAGCTGCAGGTCCCATGGGACAGCTCCGCGTGCCCTGTGCGTTCACCTGGGAGGCTCCTGGAAGGCCGTCTGGTCAGTGCCTCCAAGTCACATTGTTCTCATCTGTGTTATAACCGCCCAAGTCAATATCCACAGACTTCACAACGACCATCTACGGAGGCCCTGGCCTGTTGTCCTAGGCTCTGGGACTGGAAAGGAAGCAAGATGGACCCAGCCCTGCCCTCGTGGTGCCAGCTCTTTGGTGAACATGAGGCTGCATGAGCTCCTGGAGCTGCTGTAACAGATTAATATGAGCTGGGTGGCTTCGAACAAGACACTCACTGTCTCACAGCACTAGAGGCCGGAGGTCTAAAACCAAGGTGTCTGCAGGGCCACGTTCCCTCTGGAAGCGCGGGAGGAGGATCCTTCCTGCCTCTTCCAGCTCCTGCTGGCTCCAGGTGCTCCTTGGATGTGGCCACATTGCTGCAGTCACTATCTCCTTCTTCACACAGCCTCCTCCCTGTGTCCCTGTGTCCGTGTGTCTGTGCCTTTGCAGGATGTTCTACTCTCTGTGTGTCTGTGTCCAGATTTCCCTGTTTTTGTAAGGACACAAGTCACTGGATTTGGGCCCACCCTAAAGACCCTGCTTCCTGATAAGGTCACAATCGCAGGTTCTAGGGGTTAGGACTTGAAGATATCTTTTGTGGGGACCGCACCTCAACCCGCAACATAGACTTTAATCTAAGAATTTTTAATAATAATAATAATAACAAGTTTGAACCTGAGAGAAGTGAGGTGAGGGCAAGGCTATTGGAAGGCTAACTGTCTGAATGAAGGATTCAAACAGAGGCCTGACCCCAACAGAGGAGTCTGAGAGTTTCCCCAGTGGAAGGGATATTTGAGTCGTGACCTGAAGGACCAGCAGGAGTTGGCCGTATGGAGGAGGGCGGGCGGCACAGGATGAACTTCCTAAGCAGTGAGAAGGGCGCATACAAAGGTCCCGTGGCAAGAGGAAGCAATGTGGCACAGCTAGGAAGTTCCAGAGGAAGGAGTGAGGTCACAAGAGGTATCAGTGAGGCCAGAGGCTGTGGACAGAGGTCAGGTCTGGCCAAGCAGGGCTGGGGTTGGGCACTAGTTTTAAGAAAAATAAGAAACCATGTGTGTCATTGGCTTGGCGGCCTTCATAGAGGCCACATAACAGTGCTGTTGCTTTTCAGGTGACAGTTCTGGCAGGTAGATACCTGGAGGTGTCAGATCTCTGTGCTCCAAGAGGTACCTGGAAACCCATGCTCCTTCCAGCTTGCTGCCAGGCACTCTTGATGTGCGGTGTGGACCTGGTGGGCCTGCTGGAAGCTGGCCAAGTCTGCAGTCTAGCTGGCCGGAAGGGGAAGGAGGAAGCCAAGGGCCAGCAGTTTCCTTGGGAGGAAGGAGGGGAACCTGCTCACATACCTTCTCCTCATGTCCCGCCAGCTACGACCCAGCTGCCCTCTGCTGTAGAGGAGGCAGGGACTGTGGCCACATGCCCGGCTAGGACGAGGGGAATCCTAAGGGAAAGGGGGGGCAGGAGAAGCCAGTGGCTGCACAGTCACTGAAGGTGTGAGGCAGGGGAAAAATAGAGGGGAGTGGGGTGGGGGCAGAGAAGTAACCCCTGGATCATTGGAAATGGTCACACTGATGGCCCTTTGGAGAGAAGGGTTTGGGGGTGAGGAATGGGCCCCGAAAGTATGCAGGGAGAGGGTTGAAGGGGCCATGGCAGTCGTGCAGGGAGGGAGATGCTAACTCAGCTCATCACAAGGACAGAAGTGGCAGCTCTGGGAGCCTTGGTGGGGAGCCCACATGACTCAGTGCATAAACAGAGGAGGGTTGTCTAGGATGATGCTGGTCCTCTGGCTGGGGCTCCCTGGGAGGAGCCCAGGCCCCGTGAGGCGTCAAGGAAGGGCCCAGCCATGGAGCTGGTGGGGAAGCTCATGGAGTCTGAGTCTCCTCCCTCGGACCCAAGCTTCCGGAGCTCCCCTGTCCTGACAAATGCATCCTTGTCAGTGGGCTTAATTCAAGGGGGATGATGACTGGTAAGAGGTTAGCACCCAACATCTGGGCAACATGGCCCCTACTCTGGACTTGGGGTAAATATTTGGAGCTAATGCTCTCACTCTTTGGCTCATCCCTTGCTATCAAGCAATGTGAAATCGCTTGGTGTGCGGGAGTCCAGAGCACAACAGAGCCCATCCCAGCTGGGAGGCTCGCCTGCAAGTTCAAGTAAGGACTTGCTGCCCTCCAGCACAGGAGGCCAAGCTTGGATCATTGAGCCTCCCACGGCCACCAGGAGAATGGGATCAGGAGCAGCCAAGCTACCCCGAGACCTTTTCCTTTTATCTCCCTGCAAAGATCCATTCACTCTCATCGATCAAAAGAAACACAGCACCAAGTTAGAAAAGTCCAGTAACTGGAGTGTAGCAGGCTGCAAATGAGTCCCTGTCCACTTCCCTTCTCAGGCGCCAGCAGCATAATTAGGTTATTCCCAGGAGATGAGACCATCTCTAAGCACCACGGGAGGGAGGCTACCTGGCACGGCTTGAGAAGCACCAGCTCCGTGTCATGAAGCAAACTCTGGGGTACACTTGACCCCTCAGCTCTGTTCTCCTAGGAGCTCAGTGAGAGGCAGAGGGTGGGTCTGTGTGGCTGTGGGTTTGAGGACCGTGGCTGCCTCTATCCCCTCTCAGGTCCAACTCCCCAGGGCACTACCTCTGAGAAAGCCAGAAGCCACCTATCAGCTGGAGCCTGGGCAATCAGGTGCCAGGGCAGGTAGTCATGACGCCCCATTGGTGGGGCTGAGCACTGAGGGCGGAGTGGAGGGCTGGGTGGCTGGAAGGCAGGGGGCTGCCAGGCAGGGAAGAGGCCGCTGAGCAGCTGTCAAAGCCACCCAACAAGTGCTTTCCTGGTTGGAGTGGGACGTGGAGTTCTGGCCCAGGATGAACATGACTGAGAGAATGTGAGAGCAGGGTCCTCGAGTCTATTGCAGACGATGACATCTGTGTCGAGAAGAGTAGATGGATGTGTGCTCTTCTTCTGAGACAGGTACCAAATGACACTGTAAGACCATGGCTTGGTGTATGGCCTCATGATAGTTTAAAAGCTAATGAGGGCACCCTTAGGATGTGCTGTAAGTGACTTTGCTGCAGCAACTTTCTTTTTGTTATTATTATTATACTTTACTTTCTAGGGTACATGTGCACAAATCAAATCAAAACCATCTCACACCAGTTAGAATGGTGATCATTAAAATGTCAGGCAACAACAGATTCTGGAGAGGATGTGGAGAAATTGTGGTTTTGATTTGCATTTCTCTGATGACCAGATGATGAGCATTTTTTTCCTATGTCTGTTGGCTGCATAGATGTCTTCTTTTGAGAAGTGTCTGTTCATATCCTATGCCCACTTTTTGATGGGGTTGTTTGTTTTTTTCTTGTAAAGTTGTTTAAGTTCTTTGTAGATTCTGATATTAGCCCTTTGTCAGATGGATAGATTGCAAAAATTTTCTCCCATTCTGTAGGTTGCCTGTTCACTCTGATGTTAGTTTCTTTTGCTGCTGCAGCAACTTTCAAATCCTGAGTCTAGAAATCTACCAGCATCTCCATGCTTCTTTCTCCCAACCCCAATGTTTTTTACTTCTTTAATAGACTTCAATTTTCTGAATGTGTTGATATGTTTCCTATCTATCTCCCATGCTAGAAAGTAAGTTCCATGGGGGCAGGGGATTCTGTGGTCTTATTTGCTGCTGTGTTCCCAGATCACTGCCTGGCACATAGTAGCTGCACAATAAACATTTGTTGAGTGAATAAATGAATGTCGGATGGAGGAAGTAGCGTATCTCCTACACAGGCAGACTCTAAGTGTGACAAGACTGCTGAGCTAAATACAAAGCACCCAGTTGTATTTGAATTTTAGGAAAATAGTGACGAATACATTAGCATAAGTATTTCCCAAATACTGCATGGGACATACTTATATTAAAAATTACTTTGTTGTTTATCTAAAAATGCAAATTTCACTGGCTTCCTGTATTTTTATTTGCCAAATCTGACAGCCCCAGCTTCTGTCATATCCCCTTGGAACTTCTTCTCTCCTGTCACCTCCTTTTTCTTCTGTGTCATCCTCTTTCTTTTTCAAATGTGTCAGTCACATGATCACTCAATCATTCTTTGGGTCATGGTCTTCCCTTGGTCTCACACTCCCTTCCAGGTCTCTCCCTTCTCTCTGCTTCTAATCACACACAGTCAGGCTTTTCTGCAGGGTGGTCCTTCTGGAACCTTCCATTTTCACATCCACTTCCCCAAGGGTCACTCTGGTCAAGGGAAAGCAGGACCCTCATGACCCAAGCCCCCAGTCCTGCCTGTGTCCTGACCTCACTCCGCAGCTCAGCCCCGTGAACTCTGTTTACTGCTTTCCCCCTCTGGCCTCCATGATGGCTCAGCCTCCACTGTCCTACCTCTCTGGGCACTTTTTCTTGGTCACCTTGCTGGTTTCTCTTCCACTCTGATCCTAAACATAGGAGGCCTTCACGGCTGGGGCCTGGGGCCTCTTTTCCCTATGCACACCCTTGCCTGAGGGCACTTTGTCTATTACCATTGTTGAAACATCCACAGGCTGACAGTTCCTGGATTGACACCTCCAGCTTCCATGTCCAGATGAATCCACTCAACCATCTACAGGACATCTCCCCTCGAAGGTCTTGCAGGCTTCTCAAACTCACCGGATTCATAACTAAACTTTCAAAGCTTAAAAGACCTCAGTGTCCCCATCTCAGATAATGACACGAGGGTTCCCCAGATGCTCCAGTCAAAAGCTGAGTCATGCTTCACTGTACCTTTTCCTCATACCGTACATCCAATTTTTTTCACCTGTGTGCAGGAAGAAGAGCAGGTCTAGGTGCCCAAACCCTGCACATTGCAAAGAAAGCTCTGGCTCTCGACCTGCTTGTGGGAGATGCCCTCGGAAATCCTGGTAGGAGTGTCTTTGTTTACCTGAGGCATTGGACCACATGAATAGTCTTTGCAAATAATGCTACTGATGGTGGGGGCCTGGGCAGCATGGTATCAGTTTGACCTCTGGAGAGGCTGACACTGAGTGATTAAGGTCAGTCATGTGGATGCTCCCTGCTTCCATGACTGAACCCCAGCCAAAACCCCAGACTACATAGCTGGGCTGAGCTTCCTTGGTTGATGATATTCTATGTGGGTTGCCACATGTCATTGCTGGAAGAATGAAGCATTATCACCACAACTCCACCGTGAGGACAACTGGAAGCTCTGTGCCTTATCTCCCCTGGACTCACACCTTTGCTGATAATAGTCTGTATCTGCTCACTGTCATAAACCATAGCCATTGACTATAACAGCTCTTCTGAGTTCTGTGAGTCCTTCTAGCAAATTGGTGAACCTGGGAGTGGTCTTGGGGAGCTCGACAACAATACTCAGGTCTGCCTGCATCCTTCTGCCCTATCAAGT
Source organism: Homo sapiens (assembly GCF_000001405.40). Classification (NCBI taxonomy): domain Eukaryota; kingdom Metazoa; phylum Chordata; class Mammalia; order Primates; family Hominidae; genus Homo; species Homo sapiens. Next base: position 4,492,356 of record NC_000001.11, read on the forward strand.
CAGAGCTCATGAGCAGATGCCGCCTCTTGTCTTATCTGCATGTGAACTGTGGTGGCTTTCCGGTCTCTGTGGGGCGTGGACGGCTGCCTTCTTATACAACGATAGCAACAACCTTGCCATGACATTGCCCCACTTAAACCTTTCAGTGACTCCCCATTGCCCCTGAGGTGGAAATCCAAGCCCACATGGACCTTGACCTCTGGGATTTATTTGGTGCCCCTCTTCCCCTCTCAGCATGACCCTGGCGCAGTTCTCCCTTTCCTGCCTGCATTACCTTCCTGTGGCTGCTATAATAAATTACCACACACTGGGTAGCTTAAAAATAGAAATGTATCATCTTGTAGCTCTGGAGATTGGAAGTTCAAAGTCAAGGTGTCTGCAGGGCCGCGTTTCCTCTAAAGGTGCTAGAGAAGGACCCTCTCTGCCTTGTCCAGCTCCCCTGGGGCTTCCCTGGGGCTCCTGATCCTCTTAGCTACAGGACTCATGTCAGGCTCTGTCATCCCACACCTCTCCTCTCCTCATAAAGACATAGGAGGAGTTAGGGCCCACCCTGTGACGGTGAATACTGAGTGTCAACTTGATTGGATTGAAGGATGCAAAGTATTGTTCCTGGGTGTGTGTGTAAGGGTGTTGCCAAAGGAGATTAACATTTGAGTCAGTGGACTGGGAGAGGCTGAGCCATCCTCAATCTGGGTTGGCACCGTCTTATCAGCTGCCAGCGCAGCTAGAATAAAGCAGGCAGAAGAACACGGGGGGACTAGACTTGCTGAGTCTTCTGGCCTCCATCTTTCTCCTGTGCTGGATTCTTCCTGCCCTTGAACATCAGATTTCAAGTTCTTCAGTGTTTGGACTCTTGGACCCACACCAGTGCTTTGCCAGGGGCTATCAGGCCTTTGGCCACAGACTGAAGGCTGCACTGTCAACCTCCCTACTTTTGAGGTTTTTGGACTTGGGCTGGCTTCTTTGCCCCTCAGCTTGCAGATGGCCTATTGTGGAACTTCACCTTGTGACTGTGTGAGTCAATTCTCCTAGTAAACTCCCTTTCATATATTCATCTATCCTATTAGTCCTGTCCCTCTAGAGAACCCTGACTAATGCACACCTTAATAAAAAATGTCATCATCCTGGCCAATTCCATCTGCAAAGACCCTATTCCAAGTAAGGTCATATTCTGAGGTTTCAAGTGGATGTGTGTTTTTTGGGGACACTGTTCAACCCCACCACACTGTCTTTGAATACATCAGGCTGCTTCCCAGCCCAGGGCTTATGCCTCTGCAGTGCCCTCTGCCTGGGACCCCGATGCCCACATCTCTGTGTGGCTGCCTCTTCTTCTTCTTCTACACTTTGAGCTTAAATATCCCTTCTTCTTAGCAGGTCCTCATGGCTCCCTCCCTCTGCACTGTTTCCAGCACCTGCTGCCCTCAGTGCATTTGCTGAAATGCTCTCTTTATCTTCTGCCTGCCTGCTCCACCAGGCTGTTCCTTCCGTCAGGGGCTGTGTCCAGTGAGGCCCTGGACCCACAGTGCTCAGGTTCAAACCTGACCCTTCCCCATCCCATAAAATCCTGCGAGCACTTCTGTTTTTAAAAGCCAATGACACTTGCTGTTATTTGCAAATAATTAGTACATGTGAGCTTTTCAGAGATATCTAGAATGTGGTCAGAAACGCACAGATGTTGGTGTTCCACAGAGCAGGGGCCATGTCTCCTCTGTGCACAGCTGGTCATGGACAGCTGGGCCCACAGTAGACACTCCCAGATATTTGCTGAATGAAAGGATGGAATTTGAGTGGGGGAATGCGCCCGGCATCCCCGAAAGGGCTCATCTGGTGTTGGCTCTTTGGGACAGCTTTGGACCTCAGCTCTGGGTGGGGAGGGGCCCACTGGCCTCTGACCAGAAGGTCCAGGACATATGCCCTCCGTGGGCTTGTCCAGATGGCAGCATGGTCTCCTGACCTGCTGCAGGAGACAGCTGTGAGGCTTGCAGCCTGAGGTGGCCTGGCTCACGTCTGGGACCAAGGCACTGTCAGTCACTGATGTTTATAACCTGAGGTTGGAGCAGAATCTGGGATGTGACTGGGTCCTCATGCTGGGACATCCCAAATCCAAGCAGGATGAAAGACAAGGGGCAAAGCTAAGGTCGCACCCCCACGCAGGCCCCCTGCAGCCCCTGGATGGGGGGCTGCCCCTCCCTTTTCTCCTCTTTATGGGTTTGTAACTCTGGGTCTAGGCTCTGAAAGCCCAGAGGCTGGAGTTCTTGTCTTCCTTCCCCTTCCAGGCCCCAACAATTTCCATCCCTGCTCAAAGACGGGAGAGTGTTTCCCTGACCTCGTCCTGGGCAGTCTGCACCAGGAGCTGGGCAGGGAGCTCAGCCAGTGGGGGAGACACGTCCAGCCACCAGGTGGCCACAGAGCCCTCTGAATGCCCGACCCACGCCCCATGGCCCCTCCTCCTCCCTTTGCCACTTGGGACTTGGGGAGATGGCAAATGTGACACCAAGACAAATGACTCCATTTTTTCTTTTCCCTTCGTTGCCTCCAGCATGTGAGATTATTTCAGTTTCAAGGATGGGTACTGGGGGAGGCTGGGGGTGGACGGGGAACCTGAGGGTGCAGAGTGGGGTTTGTCATGCCTGTCTTCATCTCAGCGGCCCCACTCTGAGTGGCCCTATCTTTGCCCATCTTGATTCTTCTCAGTCTTTCAAGCCAGGCTGAACCGAGCCTTTCCTGACTCCCCCAGTTAGAAGGAATCAGCCCTGTCTCTATGTTTCTGCAGATTTTTGAAAAGGAACAACTGTCCTTGTACAAAGCCCAACAGACCTCCTTGCCTTTTCCACCAGACCCTCGGGCTCTTTATTTACTTTGCCTCCTTCTGCCCTTAGCGGGGTGTGTATGTGGAGGAAGGCAGCGTTGGGGAGTGGGCAATGCAAGGAATGGAGCATGGAGAAGGGGAAGGAAGCTGTGCATGGATTGATGGACACGCAAAGAACTAACTAACACAGGGCTATTTTACGCATATACACATCGTATCTTACTATACACAGCCTGTGTATGTGTACACAGTGGCTATTAGGTATTACACACACGTATGCATATAAAACACATATAGCATACAGTGTCTATTGTAAGATGGAGAACATAGCAAAGGGTGCTATACAGCATAAGAAGGGCATAAAGGAGCTGTGTTTATGTACTTGAGACTCAATACATTCCTTTCAAATGGGAAGAACAAATAAAAGAGGATGTTGATATTGGGACCAGATGCTGGGAAGTTGATGAAACATACACTGTGGGTAAACAGCAAGTTGTCATCACTCTGTTGACTTCCTCTGTCACTGATGGATTGTTCTGGAGGTCGCAGGACTCATGATAAATTGCTGGGGCTTGTCACTCACCAGGTCTGGGTTGGGCAGCAGCTTGGGAAGTAGGGAGAACGCAGAATGCTTGAAAAGCCATCTTGACACATAAGTGTGTGACATTCTCCCTAAGTGAGGCTCCCTCCAACTCCCAACTGGGGGAGGGAGAGCTGCCTCCCAGCCCCCGACAATGCAAAATGAAAAAGCGAAGAGTGAGGTCGTCCTGGAGGCGGAAGAATTTCTCCACTGTCAGAATGCCGGGTTTGCACCTGTTGCTCAGAACCACTTTTCACCTTCCGTCTTTTGCAGTTGATGTCCCAAGAAGTACCATGGAGCAGGTGTTTCCTGTGCAGGCCAGAAAAGGCGTGAGAACATGAGGCGGTGGAGGGGCTGTCCTGATGTGGGCGATGCCAGTGTGTGCACAGTTGCACATACGTGCACATCCAAACACACATTCACATGCACACACGTACTCATACATGCTCACGTACTCAAACATGCACTCACATACACAGACACATAAATGTATACACTTTCACATGCACACACACACTTGCTTATACATGCTCACATGCTCACACTCACACAAACATGCACTCACATAGACACATATACATATATACACATTCACAATATACACACCACTCACACATACACTCACTCCTATGCATACACATTTATATAATATACACACTTATTTACACAGGAACACACATACACATTCATATACCCTCACACATATACACACTCATATACACAGAAACATGCACACACATTCATATACATGCACATACTTCCACGTACACTCACACTCACAAACACACACACTCACTTGCATATGCCCATACACTCACATACTTACACGTATGTGCACTTACATATACAGACACAACTTACTCACTCATACACACTCACAATATACACACACGCTCACACATACATACTCATATATACCCACTTGCATGCATTCACACACACATACAGTCACACCCTCACTCAAACAAATGCACGTTTGCACATGCACACACATATACACCCCCTGTACACTCACACACATACTCACCTATTCTCCTGCACATGCACACACAGACACACAGACTCACACACGTGCACACTTTCACTCACACACATGCACACTGTTTTTCTCTCACACACACATGCACACTTTCACTCACATACATGCACAGACACTCTTTCTCTCTCTCTCTCTCTCTCTCTCTCTCACACACACACACACACACATGCATTCCCTCTGGAGACGCAGTGGTGCGGTGCAGTGTTGAATTTTCTTCTAGAGAGCAAAGAGGGACCAGGAAGAGACGCATCTGCAGGCCAGTCGGCTGCCTCCTCGTGACAGTGACTCCCCGTGCTCCCAAGCCAGGAACAGAATCGTGATGCTTGGGAAATGTGCATGCACCCTCAGCAAAGCTTCCTGAAACCCAACTATTTTGGGGACCCCATTCTCCCAATTAAGATTGTTTTCCCTTCCATGGCCCGTGAATGTGACTCACCATCCTGGAAAGTTGTCAGCTTGCTGTAAGGGCCCTTCACCATCTTGGCCTTGGTAATGACAAGATGAATTCGTTCTGATTTGGAAGTTGTTGCTCTAATTTTTGCACCCAGGCCCATGTTATCGCTCCATCATGGGTTCTGGAGCCCATCCAGCCACGGGATTTAGTCAGGTGCACTGACTAAATCAGAACCCTGACACTGGAACCGGTATCCATTGGCAGGAACACTTGAGAACGCCTAAGCCAACTTGATTCTGTTTCCACTGCAACCCGTCTCACCCTGGCTCTCGTGCTGCAATTCAGTTCTTATACTCACACCTGGAGTTAGCACAAGGCCCACAGGTGGAAGGCTCGGTCCTCCACGAGGCTGCCCTGATGTCAGACACCAGATGCACTTTGAGGGTCCCCAGCTGCCTGCACTTCTGGCCAATTGGTTACAAATTCAACACTTCTCATGACACCACAGGTTTGATAATTTATTTGAATGACTCACAGCACTCAAAAAGCAGTATACTTATGATTAGAGTTTTATTTTAAAGGATGCAACTCAGGAACCACCCAATGAAGAGACACAGAGGGCAAGGTCTGGGAGAGTCTCAAACACAAACCTTCCATGGCCTCTCTCTGTGGAATCAGGGGCCACTCTCCAGGCACATCAGCATGCTCAGAAAGCATCTGCGTCCAGAATTTTTATCAGGGTTTCATGATGTGGCCATGGTTGATTGAATGCTTGGCCAGGTGACTAAATGCAATCAGCAGCCCCTTCTCCCCTCCCTCCAGGCTGGCACCACCAGGCTCAAAGCCCCAACTCTCTCATCACAAGATCAGCCTTTCTGGGCCATGCATGGTGGCTCACGCCTATAATCCCAGCACTTTGGGAGGTCAAGGCGGGTGGATCACCTGAGGCCGGGAGTTTGAGACCAGCCTGGCCAAATGACGAAACCCCGTCTCTACTAAAAATACAAAAATTAGCTGGGCGTGGTGGCAGGCACCTGTGATCCCAGCTACTTGGGAGGCTGAGGCAGGGAGAATAACTTGAACCCGGGAGGCAGAGGTTGCGGTGAGCCAAGATCACACCATTGCACTCCAGCCTGGGCAACAGAGTGAGACTCCGTTTCCAAAAAAAAAAGATCAGCCTTTCTGGTGACCAGCCCCCACCCTGCACCACCTCATCTTGTTATCACCAATGCACTTATTATTCAAAAAGTTAATGAATAACAAAGACACTCCAATTATTGGGAAAATTCCAAGGATTTAGAGTCTTCCTTGGGAACTATGGACAAAGGCTAGTCAAATTCTTTATGATACAACATTTTCTTGGGAATCCAACTAAAGAACACAATCAATGATTTGATGTGGAAATGGCAATTGGAAACAGCACATGCAACAAAAACTCCTGCCACACCGAGTGAAGCCAACTTTGCATCCAGCCTCACATCTTGTCTCTAACAGCAGGTCTAAGCACACTTTGCCAGGGGTCTGGTTACTTTCACTGAGTCAACCCCAAGTGCCGGGAAAGAACTCCAAACTCCCTTTAACAGCATGGCAGGACTCCGGGGCTCATTCATTAATCAAAACTCCTTCTGGACCATTTATTTTTAGTATGACAACTTCTGTTAGTTAATGGTCTGAGGTTGGGTGTGAGTTACATTTTCCCCTCAGATAATCTCTTAAAGCTTGGTGAATGCCTGAGAGATTTGATATAAAGGAATATTTAAGCAAGTCCACAATAATGGCAGGGGGACTGAGAGAGAGGACAATGGAAACATTTTCACTTTGCGGCTTCCATTTTTTTTTTTTTTTTTTGAGACAAAGTCTCGCTCTGTTGCCCAGGCTGGAATGCAATGGCACAATCTTGGCTCCCTGCAACCTCCACCTCCCAGGTTCAAGCAATTCTCCTGTCTCAGCCTCCCAAGTAGCTGGGTTTACAGGCCAGCGCTACCACGCATGGCTAATTTTTTGTATTTTCAGTAGAGATGAGGTTTCACCATATTGGCCAGGTTGGTCTTGAACTCGTGACCTCAAGCGATCTGATCCACCTGCCTCGGCCTCCCGAAGTGTGTAGCTCCCCTTAAATACTTGTGTCTGCCTACAGAAGCCCTCATATCCCTGCTGCTGTTTCTCGCTCACGCCCTCTGACCCTTTCCCAAATCCATAATGGTTCTTTTCAAAGAGTGTTAACAAGAACCACTATAAGATAGAGACCTCAGAAAAAGCCATGGCCTCCAGGAATCCAGAAGCACCCACAAAATATGTGATGAGCATGTTCAATGATCAGGATTAATTTAAAGTAGGGCTTTGGCTGCCTTTTGGAATAGCCCCTTCTGTCTCTAGAGATTTTCAGGTGTCCAGTCTAGAGCCTTTGAGTTTCCCTTTCAAGTTCCATTTCCTCAGATCTTCTCTCTGAAGACCCCTCCTGCACACCACCCTCACATCCTCTCCCACCCTTACTGTATCTTATTCTGCTTCCAATTACTCATCACCATTTGGATCGAACCTGCCTTCAGTTTGCTTATGTCATGTCAGCATCATAAGCTCCACGACAGCCTGGCTCTGCCTGTCTTATTTGTCTCTGCATCTCCTGCAGCTAATGCGTGTACCAAGAAGAAAGTACAATGAAATATCTCTGTGGTTCTGCAATGTTTGGTGTCAGTGCTCACTGGTTGTGGTGATCTGGCTGAAACTTGAAAAGAATGTCTCTCTTTAAGCAAGGTCAGCCTAACCGGCCCAAACAAAACTGGACACGACATCCAAGGGCCCCAGGACATATCCAGCATCCCTTCCTCAGAGGTGGGCCCACATCCGGGCAGATTTTTTTTTTTTTTTTTTTTTTGAGACGGAGTCTCGCTCTGTCGCCCAGGCCGGACTGCGGACTGCAGTGGCGCAATCTCAGCTCACTGCAAGCTCCGCTTCCCGGGTTCACGCCATTCTCCTGCCTCAGCCTCCCGAGTAGCTGGGACTACAGGCTCCCGCCACAGCGCCTGGCTAATTTTTTGTATTTTTAGTAGAGACGGGGTTTCACCTTGTTAGCCAGGATGGTCTCGATCTCCTGACCTCATGATCCACCCGCCTCGGCCTCCCAAAGTGCTGGGATTACAGGCGTGAGCCACCGCGCCCGGCCCCGGGCAGATTTTAACCTTGACCTTTATGAACTCAAAACAATGGCCCTGCCCTTTGAATTTGATGTGAGCAAACATAAACTGAGGAACTAATCGCCAAGTGCAGCTACCGGGGAGCGGGGTCATGGCGGTGCCAGAAACAGAGGGGCAGCTGCTTCCTGTGCCTCTTCGCATGTCCCTTAAACTTCTCAAAGGCACCTCAGACTCAGCAGGTGCAGGTCCGAGCTCAGGATTGTCACTGTCCTTCAGCACAGTAACCGCGGCCCCAGATGATGCCATTTGTTGGCTGGTGTATTGGTTCACTGTCTGTGCTCCCCATGAGCAAGTAAGCTGGTGGAGCTTGGTCATCGCTCTAGTCCCAGCTTCCAGAGCCATTCCAGGCAGCAGGCCCACATGCAGGACGCATAGCCAGACGGAGGAGGGACCCCCATCCCACCTGCTGTGGTCATGTCCAGGGAGCCTTCTCCAAGGAAGGCTTCATCCGAAAGCCTGGGATTCCTCTGAGACCTCCTTCTCCCTGATCCACCATCTTATTTGGCATCTGGGAAAGGCAGCCCTCTGCCTCATAGATGGTGCCTTCTTACAGCATCAAATCCTTCCCACCAGCATCCTGAGCACCCCTTCAACTCAGCCCACACTACTCTGTATCTCCCACCATCCCTCAACCCAAGTTCTCCCAGCTCTTGTCTAGAGATTGCATGACTTTCCTAATTGCTTCATGAACATTCATCCTGGCCTCCTTTCTTCCCTTTCCACAAGATCGCCACCTCCTACATTGGGATATGCCTCCCCCTACCTTGGGATATGGGGGGGGTCATGCATAATTTGTTCAGATTTAGAACAAATTCTGAGATAAACAGGGAGTCAGGCAGATGGAGACCAAAATGCCAGCTTCATCACACATGGATGCAATGAAAATGTGACTTTGGGGAAGGATGGCAAGGGGGCTCCCTAATAGTGCACCCCAGAACAGTGACTCCCCCAGTCGTGGGTGGCCTGAGCAACTGCAGATCTCCACCATGGGGGCACAGCCTCTCCCATTCAACAATCGAAACCTGGAGAAGCAGATCGTACTCAGAAGAGTGAGTGAGTAAAGGGGGTCAGGAGGCATATTTGTCCATTTGGGCTGTGATAACAAAAATACTGTAGACTAGGGGCTTCAATAACAGACATTTCTTCTCACAGCTCTGGAGGCTGCAAAGTGATCAAAGATCAAGGTGCTGCTGGCAGATTCCGTGTCTGGGGAGGGCTCTCTTGTTGGTCTGTAGACAGCAGCCTTCTCACTGTGTTTTCCCATGGTGGAGAGAAAGCTCTGGTCTCTCTTCCACTTCTTATGAAGACACCAATGCCATCATGGGGACCCCATCCTCACAACCTCATCTAACTCTAATTACCTCCCAAAGGTCTCACTTGCAATTACCAGCATACCAGCGAAGTGAAGTTAGGGCTTCAGCATATTAATTTTAGGAGGGCACAATTTAGTCCATAGAAAAAAGCCCAAGGGTTTTGAGAAATAGAGACCTTCCACATCAGCGTAGAATGGTGGCAGTGGGGAGTCAGTGTCCACTCAACACTCTCTAGACTCTTCTTAAAGTCATTCAACGACAAAGCCAGCCCTGCCTCCTTTCCATTACCACCCCCTTTCACAGTCTCTGCTCTCCTTGTGTGGCCTTCTGTTGTCTCTCATATTCCTTGCACTCCACTTTGCCCGTCCTTGCACCCTGACTCAAGCCCTCAGCACATGTTAGCTGTCCTGCCTGGCACCCTCCTTGTCCCCTCTCCCCAGATCCTTTCATTCTTGAGATTTCTGTGTGATTATGACTTCCCCCAGCACCCACCCCCTGGACCATCAGCAGCCTCCATCATACGGAGCCCCTCTCAGTTGCGCCTGCACTCTCAGCCGTGGCATCTTTTACACGTTGTCATCTGTCGATTTTCTGCTTCCTCCATGAGACCTCAGACTCCATGGAGCTGATGTCAGGCTGTGTTTCTTTGTTCTAGTGATGCTCTTCATTGTGTCTGCAGGCCTGACACAGAGTAGATGCTCGAGACGTAGACCTCAAAGAAGTCAGAGTCCGGGAGACAGCACTGCCGTGTACACAGCCTGACTGTGACGCCAAGTTGCAGGGGAACATAGAGATGTGGGCAGAACTCTGCCTCGAGGGGTTGGGGAAGAACATTTGAGGAGGAAACCAACACTTTTATTCCTGGCGACATCTCATTCTGGGGCCATCACTGGAGGTGCAAAACCCATTATTTCCTAAGGCAATGGGGGTGTTTTGTGCTTTCCTGCACCGACATTCACAAACCCCTCTTCCTGCTCTGTCATAGCGCCTCGTAAGACCTTCTCCCTCTGCCGTTCCATGGACCTGCAGCTCTCTCTCTTGGATGAAAGTTTAGAGTCATTTCCAAATGTGCAGCAATCACAACGCAGTGGCTCTTTTGCAAAATTTGTAAAATTTCAAATACGTTTAGTCTGGGCGAGGGTTCCTGAGAGGTCCCGCCGTTGGCTTTTCTCCATGTAGGGACTCTGTTTTCCTTCAGCCTTTAATATATTTCTCCATGTAGGGACTCTGTTTTCCTTCAGCCTTTAATATATTTCTCCGTGTATGACAAAATGTGGCCTCAAGGACATTTTAATTCTTTTGTAACAGGGTTTTTTTTTAATAAAACCTAGTTAAAAGAACTCTGAAAATCTAAATTCCCTCAAAAACACATGTCTCTGAAAGGCGCTAGTAGCAAAACAAAACAAAATGGAACTGTCTATGCCCAGACCTCAGTTTATGAATACTGCTTCCCACTAACAGGGCCCAGCACATCATGGAGAAGTGGCCGATTCCAGGTATGGGGCAGGGAGAGTGCTGGGGGCCTGGACCATTCTGCTGTGTCAGCAGCCAGCAAGCAAGCACAGGGTCCATGGACAGGTCGGACATGGTGGCTCATGCCTGTAATCCCAGCACTTTGGGAGGCCGAGGCGTGCGGATCACTTGAGGTCAGGTGTTCGAGACCAGCCTGGCCAACATGGTGAAACCCCATCTCCAATAAAAATACAAAAAATTAGCCAGGCATGGTGGTGTGCACCTGTAATCTCAGCTACTCGGGGGGCTGAGGCAGAAGAATCACTTGAACCCAGGAAATGGAAGCTGCAGTGTGCCGAGATCTCACCACTGCACTCCAGCCTGAGTAACAGAGTGAGACTCCAAAAAAACAAAGAAAGAAAGAAAGACAGAAAGGGCCCAGGGACAGCCTGAGGGGTCCCCAATGGCCCAATGTGGGATGATGTATCAGAAGAATAATGCTGGGGACAGATGAAAAGACACTGAGATTTAAAAGAAACTCCATTGTCTGTAGTGGTACCCAGAAAGGTCTGGAAAAGGGTGATGAGTGAACAGTTTTTTCTAGAAAAAAGAAGTCTCATAGGTCATGGAATCAGAGAATGATAGGTTAGAATGTGCCTGTTTTGCAGCCACCATTGTAACACAACAGGCAAGCAAGGCCATCAATTGATGTTGAAACTTTTGGGTAGAAGCTGCAGGTTGCCGTGGGCTGACTTGTGTCCAGCCCCAAATTCACATGTGGAAGTCCTTACCCCCAGCACCTCAGGAGGTGGTATATTTGGAAAGAGGGTCTTCAAAGCAGTCATTAAGGTAAACGAGGTCATTACGATGGACTCTAGTCCAATAGGACGGGTGTCCTCATGAGAAGAGGAGACCAGGACACAGATCCACAGACGGAAGGCCTTGTGAAGACACAGAAAATAGACAGCCTTCTGCAAGTGAAGGAGAGAGAGGCCTCGGGAGAAACCTGCCCTGAAACCCCTTGATCTTGGACTTCCGGCCTTCAAGACTGTGAGGAAATAAGTTGCTGTTGAAGGCCCCCGGGGTGTGGTGTTGGCTCTCCAGCTGCCTGAGCTGACTCATAAACAGTGTCTCACTCTCACGAAGCACTCCCTTCCTCACCCATGGAAAAGGTGTGTTTTGATGGAGAGGTCAGATGAGCATTATTGATGGAAAAATCAGGTGGGCACCATTGGTGCAGAGATCAGATGGGCACCATTCTGACCCCTAATGAGACAAACCAGCATCGTGTGCACTGAGAAGGACTCAGGATCTGGACAAAAATGGTTTCACCTGAATTTAATTGTGAGGAAACAGACAGATCCCAGTTACGAGGCATTCTATAAAACAACTGTCCCAAATGCTTCCAAACGTCAATCATTAGACATAAATAAAGTCAAAACTAAAGCAAGGGAACTGTTCTAGAATAAATTAGACAAAGGAGACGTGTCCATGAAATGCAATGCATGAGCTTTGATCAGATCCTAGACAGCGAAGGCAAGCTCTAACAAACATTAGGAGCCAGACTTGGAACATTTTGATTAGGACCCTATACAAAATTGATATTATCACACTAATGCAAAAGGTCAGCATGGTAAAAGCAGTGCAGCTCTGGGTGGACCTGGGTATTCCTGCTCGGAACTCGAGTCATTGCACTCTGAGTAGGTGGCGTTTGCATATGTGTTCATGACTTAACTGTTTATTTCGGGTTCTAGCAACCTGAGGTTGCAGAGGTGAGACTGCAGTTGTTTACTGACCATGGTCTCCTGGGGAATGTGAGCCACAAGGTGCTCGGGCCAGGCGGGGAAGATGGCCAAGTTGTCCCGGAGGTATCGTCTCACCTGGTAGGTCCTCAATTTCACCCTTGGGGGCTCCCAAAACTAAAGACAGACCCTCCTGAAGTCCCTGAGGACTCCTCAGACCTCCAGAAGCAGGCCCTGTGCTTTCTTCTAAAGGAGGGAGGGTTTCCTTTTCACATTTGATGGATGGAGCCCAGCACCCCCATAACCAGGGCCAGAGACCTAATTTGCAGGGCTACAGTGGACTGAATGTTTAGGCCCTCTCAAAATTCATATGTTGAAATCCTAACCTCTAAGGTGATGGTATTAAAAGGTGGGAAGTAATTAGGTCATAAGGGGGACCCCATCATGAAATTCATGCCCTTATAAAAAAGGTCCAAGGAAGCTAGCCTCTTCCACCACATGGGGATGCAGTGACCAAGAAACAGGACCTCACTAGACACTGAATCTGCCGGCGCCTCTACCTGGAACTGCGAGCAATACGTTTCTGCGGTGTGCTAGCCACCCGGTCTATGACGCTCTGTTAGGGCAGCCAGAAGAGACTAAGCCAAGATTCCAGTGCAAAATGCAAATGCAAAGGACCATCACAGCGCAGCCTTAAACCAAGGGCAGGTTTAACCCTTCTGAGCATGGAGCCCTCAACCGCACAGGTCTTGAAGCCCGTCCGGGCCACTCACCGAGCAACTCCACTCACATTCCCTGGTGGGTGTCTCTTGTCCTTCTCCTCACATCTCCATGAGATAAGGGGCATGCGACAGAGCAATGAGGAGGAAGCCGCATCCAAACCAGCATCTCTCCACCTTCCTGACTTTAAAGGTCTAAAGTGTGATAAAGAAAATGAAGTGACAAATGGCAAGAGATGGAAAAAAGCCACTCAGCCCCTAGCAGTTGCTTCTCAGGGACCCTATGCCTCTCATGCAAGAAATATCAGTTAACCTCCTCCCCTTAAATGTGTTATGAGCCACTGTTCCTCCCCAGGAAAATACAGAACAGAACACCTTGAAGACAGCTCCCCTTGAATACCTTGTCAAATCTAGACCATCGTCACCACGACAGCTTTGGCCACAGGAATGCACATCTCTGCCGAGGATGCTTGGTCCAAGGGTGTGGCGGAGAAAACGGGAGGGATAGCAGGTAAATTGCTGGCAATTTTGCTTCCTGCGATTTGCATATCATGAATATTCAGACATCGCTCCTCCCTCTCCCCAGCCTGAACATTGATGGAGACCAGAGGAAATGGATGCCGTGCTCCATAAGACTCAGAGACAGCACCGTCTGAGCCTCCCCAACCGTGTGCACGACGTGCAGGCTCATGGGTGCTCTGCTCCTCAATAAGTGACAGGTGCTCCAGGCTGGCAAAAACGTCTCCTTACTAGAGCTGAGACATTACATTCTGGGACAAGTGGCCATTTATTTCTGCCAGTAAAGGAACATTTTCTTAAGTGAGTCTGCATCAGGGGCTCAGATATTGACTAAGCGGATGTGACCCCCTGAGGACCAGGTGTTTCTTTCTTAACAGATTTTCTCTTGCTGGAAGTATGTGTCTTTGACTACACGTCCAGGGAACCAAGCGAAGGGATTTTGACTGAGGATTAAAGAGAGGAGGACTTGAGCTTTCAGAATCAGTTAGAAGTTAGCACACAGGCTCCTGGCAGTGGACCCACAGGTAGGGAAGGAGCTGGTGGTCAAGGCTTTCTTGCTGGGAGCTGGAGGAGTCTGCCTTTCTTTTTCTTTATTTTTTATTGTGGCAAGAACACAACATGAGGTCTACCCTCTTAACAGAAGCAGATCGCTGGGACTTACATATTGCGTAACTGGAACTTTATGACCATCCAACAGCAACTTCAATTTCCACTGCCCTCGCCAGCCCGGGCAACCACTCTTCCATTCTTTGTTTCTCTGAGTTTGACTATTTTACATACCTCACATCACAATATCTAAGATGTGGAAAAAACCCTAAATGTCCATCAATGAATAAATGGATTAAAAAATGTGATCTATACTTACAATGGAGCTTTAAAAAAGATGGAAATCCTGTCATCTGTGGCAAAGTGAGTGAAGCTGGAGGACACGGTACTAAGTGATGAGCTAGAGCAGAAGGACGGAACCTGCGTGAGGCCCCTGTAGGGAGGTGACTATGTTTCAGCAGCTGCTGCCTTGTTTGTCCTGCGTGGGTCTTTGGAAGATGGAGCTGGCTTGGTTCACCCCTCACTGGCATGCAGAGGAAATCTTAGCTTACAGAGAAGGAAGGGGTTTCAGGAGGCCAAGTTGCCTGGGATGCAGAGTGGATGGACCATCCACCCAGGCTCCCAGATAACTCTTTTGTGTTCAGCAAAAACTCTGCTCAGACAGTGCTTTAAGGGTAAAGACTTTGGAGACTTTTATGAGTGTTTTCCCCAAATCTGTGCTGAGCAAGGCTGATTCCTACCGGCTTCTGCTCAGTCCATCTAACTCTGGCAGGGCCACCTTGCCCAGAAGAGGAGGAGGAGACCCAGCCTCTATCAGGCAGCGGGAGGCCACAGAGGGCAGAGTGTTCAGAACCAGCTCCTTTGGCAGCTGCATTGTTTCTTTGGCACTTCACGGGACTGAAGACAAACCATCTTTCATGGGGAGGACAGGCAGGCACATTTGGGGGCATTATCATTCCTGGCGGGAGGAGAGATATTTGCTTGCCAGGTGGAGAGCAGAGCGGGTGACTCTAGGCATCTTGCTCTTTTCAGCAGTGTGTCTGAAAGGAAAGTCACAGGTACCATAAACTGTGGTGTCAGGACTTTCTGCTCCCAGCCCTTAGTGCTGATGCGACACAGCCGGCAAGAAGTGGTGAATTGATTAGAGTCAAATTTTCAATGGAGACACAGAGACTGGACTCATGGTGATAAGAATGCCTTTCCTTTTAGCAACTTTTATCGGTTCAAGATGATTTCACAACCATTGCCTCCTCGGAGCCCCTTAACATGGCAGGGGGTTAGAATATGAATTTTCACCCCGTGTCACGTGGGAGCAGCAGACGTCTGAGCTTTCTTGCCTGGGGTCACTCACAGGGACGATGGCCTGGCTCTCCTAAGTCTCAGAGCTACCTTTTGAGCCCCTCTCTGCGGTCAAAGGCCGGGGCTTTGAAATCTGCAGTGCCCCTATAACCAAAGGATTATAAATCATGCTGCTATAAAGACACATGCACACATATGTTTACTGCGGCACTATTCACAATAGCAAATGTCCAACAATGATACACTGGATTAAGAAAATGTGGCACATATACACTATGGAATACTATACAGCCATAAAAAATGATGAGTTCATGTCCTTTGTAGGGACATGGATGAAGCTGAAAACCATCATTCTCAGCAAACTATCGCAAGGACAAAAAACCAAATATCACATGTTCTCACTCACAGGTGGGAATTGAACAATGAGAACACATGGACACAGGAAGGGGGTTGTGGGTGGGGGGAGGGATAGCATTAGGAGATATACCTAATGTAAATGATGAGTTAGTGGGTGCAGCACACCAACATGGCACATGGATACATATGTAACAAACCTGCACGTTGTGCACATGTACCCTAGAACTTAAAATATAATAAAAAAAAATCTATATATTAAAAAAAAAAAAAAAAAAAAAAAAAAAAAAAAAAAAGAAATCTACAGTGCCCCGAAGGCACTCCGTGAGTCAGGTCTGTAAGAGGCAGAAACCCACCTCCAAGCAGCTCGGGCCAGAAAGGAGCTTGTGGGAAGAACACTGGCTTGAGGCAAACCCACAAAACCAAAAGGCCAGGCCACATGGGGCCCCCTGGGACCTCCTGCCTCTCTCGTCTTGCCCCCAGGCCCATGTGGATCGTTTCATGTTTTTTTTTTTTCTTTTTCTCCCCTCCCCTCCCCTCCCCTCCCCTTCCCTCTTCTCTTCTCTTCTTCTTTTCTTTTCTTTTCTTTTCTTTTCTTTTCTTTTCTTTTCTTTTCTGAGACAGGGTCTCACTCTGTTGCCCAGGTTGGAGGGCAGTGATGCAACCATGGCTCACTGCAGCAACTTTGATTTCCCAGGCTCAGGAAGATTCTCCCACCTCAGTCTCTGAGTAGCTGAGACTACATGAGACTACAGACACATCAGACACATGCCACCACACCCAGCTCATTGTGTGTGTGTGTGTGTGTGTGTGTGTGTGTTTAGATAGGAAGTGTGTGGATCATTTCTTTTTTTTTTTTGACTCATCTGCTGCTGGCAGGCAGGGTCGTGAGTCAGGGTGGGAAGGCTCTCTATGAGGGGGACACTGTCCCCCGTTTTTTCTCTCATTTGCTTCTCACAGCCAGCTCTGTGAGAAGGGTGGGGAAGGACTCAGAGGCTCAGGCAGGTGAAGGAACTGCCGGGGGGGCACACACCACAGCAAGCAGGGCTGGCCCGAGGAGTCAAAGTTTCCTTCCTGAATAGAAAGTCCAAGCGGCCGTCTGTGCCCCAGCATTGAGAGAATCCCCTGTGCACAGAGCGCTGCACCCTCAAAGTTCTTGACTGCAAGGAAAAGAAGCTCACTCAAAGTGGCTCAGATTGGGGAGGTTATCCTCAGTGTTGGGAGTTAACCCGTGCATGTGCCTGGGAGTTGAGGGGGCTGGGCCAGGGCCCTCAGGTTCACTGGGCGTTTGCATACTTCAGGCCACCTGGCTCCCCCGGGCTCCTTTTGCCCTCTCTGCTTTTTGCCTTTGCTCCCCCAGTACTGTCTGCTTACAGCTTTGCACTGAAGGAGACTCACTCCTGCCTTCCCCGTGCTTACCAGCGGCCATCCCTGCATCCTCAGCTTGGACTCTGGAGAAGGTATCGTGCCAGGCACTGGCCAGGTGACTGCCTTTGGTGGCCTGAGTCTAGGCAGGCAGGAGGAGTCCAGGACACAATACAGCTGCCTCTGCTGAGCGGTGGGGTAGGGAGAGGGCTTTAAGAGAACAGGCCCTGAGAAGGAGGGTGGAGGCCTCAAAATCTCCCCCTGACACCCACCATATGCCTTGTGGGTGAAACCCAGGCCTTCCCCAGCCTTCCTCAGATCAAAGGAGCTGCAATACCGTCATCACCACCCATCACGTTTTACTGGGAAGAATGCATCATTCGAGGGCAGGTCGTGAATGCAGCCAAGTTCCCTCCAAATCGAGGTGCACCAGCCTTCCAGGGAGCACAGGTTTGGTGCTTATCACTTCCATGAAATGACACTAACTGAAAATACAGAGGAATTTAGGACATAGCCAAGACAAATTAATGGATTATGAATTTATAATAGAATTGCAGGCTTCTTTGTAGGGCCAGGGGAATGTAGCCACACTTTGGTATTGATTTCAAAGCATAGCCCTGAATTCTCAACACCCTGCCCTTGTGTAACTCTCAGAGGGAGGCTTGTGTTGATGTCCTGATCCTGCTATTTTTATGGCCCTGAGCTGAGAGAGGTGTGAGAAAAGCTATTGCAAGCCAACAGAGCTTTCACACTTCCAGGACAGCCCTCGCTGTCTGTGTACTGTGCAGGCAGAGGGCAGAGAGTATGTGTCTCCCATGAGAACTTGGAGACGCCTTGCTCATCAGAGGAGCTGCCAAGAGCTGGTGATGGCATGAATGAGTTCTGGTGCAACTTGCCTTCCAGCTCCATGAAGGAGGCCTGCCAGCCCCCCACATTCCTACACAATCGCTGTTTCTGGAAAAGAACTGAAATGGCACAGCGGCCTTAACCACAGAAAGTTCTGATCAAGGTCTCCACAGAACCAGCTGGGGAGGAGGCCTTCTTTGATGTCTTTCAGAGCCCTGTGGGGTGTGTCAACCAAATCTTCTCAACCTCAGCACTGTTGATGTTTGGGGTGGGAGGCCTCTGTTGAGGGGGCTGTCCTGTGCACTGTAGGAGCTTGGCAGCATCCCTGGCCTCCCGAGAGTGTGACAACCTAAAATATCTCCAGCCACTGCCAAATATTCCCTGAGGAGCAGAATCATCCCTGGTGGAGAACCACAGCTAAGTCTCTCTCAAAACCGACCTTAGAGGCAGATATGCAGGCTGTTTGTCTAGTCACAAGGTGTGGCTTACACAATCTAGAAGCTTCTTAAAATCCTGAGTAGTGGCACAGACACTTTAACACTTTAACCATCAGGCAATCCAAAGGGCCCTACCGTGTTTTGGTGGAGAGTGAATGAGAACTACTGACTCATTCCCACTCACTCAGGCAGAGAATGAATGAGACCTCCTGACCCAGGTGATACTCTTAGGATCCACTCCTCAAAGGGAAAAGAAGCCAGTGGCTGTTATCAGGGGTCATGACTTCCTAAGATTGTGTCTGCATCCAGTCAGGAAGGACAGCATCTTAGCTTCCTGGTCATCTTCTCACCATTTGCATTCCCCAAACCAGTTCGATACCATCCAGCCCGTCAAGAGGCCTGAGTCCCAGAGGACACACAACATCCCTACAGTCCCAGGTGAGATGCAGCCGATGCCTGCTGGGGGTGGTCATGCCCTGCTCTTCTCTGCACCCCTAGAGGGGCAACCAGGACCTGCTGACATGCAGAGGCAAGCAGCTATGGCAGAGTCAGACGGAGGCACCCGATGGAGCTGTGGGACGCACACATCTGCGGGGCTCCAGGGAAGGTTCCCCCCGGGAGCCTCGTGCGGAGCGATCAGCCTGGCCAAGGGGACAAGGAGCGCGGCAGTGGGTGGAAGGGAGGGCGGGGAGGCGATGGGTGTGGAAGGTGGTGTCATGTAGTCCACTGTTGCAGGGCCCTGTTTAAAGTAGGGTGGCCAAATGCAGAACCTGCTTGGTTCTGCAAAGCCTGCAAACTGAGAATGGTATTTACATTTTTAGCTGGTTGAAAAAGTAAATCAAAAGAAAAATATTCCGTCTTGACACATGAAAATTCTATGAAATTCCCCTTTTGGTGTCCATACCTAGACTTCGGTCGGGACTAGGCGGCGCCCATTCATTTGTGCATTGTTGACGGTGGCTTTCAACAGGAGGTTACGTTGAGCCATACCGGGCTGCCGGGGCGAGCCTCCAATCCTCCAGTGTGAGGCTGGAGGGTGACTCTGCAATGGGAATCACTGGCATTTGCCACCCAGGCAGGGATCTGGGGAAAACAGGGATGTGGGGAGGAATGGCCGGTGTGGAGTGTGCAGACGTCTGACCAGAGTTGAGAGACCAGAGATGGGGAAACCCCTTAGGATTTGTTATTGCATTTTGGGGACCCTTTCGTGGGGTCAACATCTTACTGGTCTTCTCAGAGCATTGTGGCCATCCACTTCCCAACTAGTGAGGAACTTGACCGACTAGGATGCCTCCATGGCAGAGCCTGTTGCCCAGGTGGACCCAGGAGCTCAGCGTCCCCCGACCTGGTACCTCCTCAGCTCAGCTCACCCAATGCATGTTTGCAGGAGGAATGGGAAAGAGAAAGAGAGGGGAAGACAGAGATGAGGAGACAGAAAGAGACAGAGAGGCAGAGGCAGAGATGAAGAATCAGAGAGAGAAAGAGGGGGAGGGGAAGAGAGAGACATAAGAAACAGTGATGGAGAGACAGACAGAAAGAGACTGAGAGGCAGAGGCAGAGATGAAGAGACAGAAAGAGATGGGAAAGGGAGGAAGGGAGAGGGAGACGAAAAGAGGGCACTCACAAGCAGTTGCCCACCTCCCAGGAGGCCCTGCTGGCTCTCTTCCCCAGGAACCTCCTCTTTCTCTCATGGCAAGTCTAGGCCACAGCAGCTGTGGCTGCCGTTAAATCATAAGCCATATCCCATAAGTCTCCTCCACGTCCCTCCAATGCCCCCGTGACTGTTCACCCCTCCCCGATGTGCTTCCTCTCTCCCCAGCCCAGGCAGTTTCCAGAACCGGCTAGGTTCTGTTACGTAAAATTAATTAGGTTTCAGGGCCAGGAGGGGCTGGGGCCTCATCCAAGAACCACAGAGGAACATCATCTTGCTGTGTGATTCTCATGGCTGAGGGATTTCCTGCTTTTTCTCCTAACTCTTTTGATAGATTCCTCTGGGCAGGAATCCCAAGAAAGGCCAAATGCTGTTAGCAGACAGATGGGAAAGGGTGGGGAGAGGGAGGACAGGGAATGGAGGCAGCCCGTGGGCTCCTTTTTCTCCTGAAAACCTGTTTTGTTTCCCTCCACTCCCTGCCCTGTCCTGGGGGCCTGGCCATGAGTCCTGGGAACAAAGCTGATGCCTGGAAAGAGGGGGCAGGCACACTGCCCTCCTGCCCTGGTTTTAGCCCTGCAGAGGGGAGGAGGGTGGCCAGGAGTACAGTCACGGAGGGAGAGTGTGACGACATCCCAGGGGGCACTTCTCAGGGAGCACCGTCCCCCACATTTCCAGCCTTTGGGGTCCCATCTACCTCATGAAATCTCACCCCCATGCTCCTATCCTGGTGGGCTGCTGACCCAGACAACAGAGGTGAGGGAGTGAATTAATCCATGCCTAGCTAGAGGGGTCACAGACCATTCAAGGTGGACAGGAACCAAACCACCCATCTGCCCCACTTCCCTTCAGATCAGAAAAGTGAGGTCACAGCGGAGGAATTTGCCAGATGGACAACCCAAGATGTGCCCCATCTGGGCCTCTGACTCCCAGACCTGCGCTGCAACCTAGCATCTCACTCCCACCGTGTCTGTACAAAGCTGCCCCCAGGGCCCTGCCTTCCCCTCCTCCCACCCAGCCTTCCCCTCATCCACTCAGCTTTGGGGAAACTCCGTGATTTCTCCTTTAGGATGCAGGTACTAGAACCCAAGAATCCAGAAGACAGCCAGGCCCCTCTCCCCCAAGCAGGTCCCGTTTTGTGTGGTGTGAGCTGAGCTGATTTCTGTTCATGCCTGATGATGAGGGAAAAGCAGGTTTGACGATCTAAACGCAATTTGCATATAAAGCTACGAAGTGGAGCCGGCAGACTTTCTATTACCCAGTCAATAAATGAGCTCTTTTCCCAGCAATATGGCTTTCTGTAGGGAGAGCAATAGCCAGTGTGGGGAGGGAAACCAGGCTCGGCTCCAGGGAGGCTGCTGGAGGGAATTCTCCACGGCCCTGCTGCCTGGCATGAGGAGCTGGCCTCCTGGGCTGGGAAAGGTGGCTCCTTCTTGAGGGGATGACAAAGCAGAGGCCTCTCCCTTGATCCTTGGGAGCAGGAGGTGGTGTTCTGCTCCTGCAGCCTCTGTCTCCTCCGTGGGCATCCAGAACCCAAGGGTACCAGGCCTGTCCTGGGGGATCTTAGGAAATGGGTCTAAAGCCAGGACTTCTGTGGCTTATCAGGCATGCCAAGGTTAAACCTCTATTAAGGGTGTTCCCATGGTCAGGGGTGTGTGTGTGCCAGTTCCCATGGGCACGAACCATGCTGGGGCCTGAAAGGCAGCTCAGGCCTCTGGATTCTCCTCAACTTTCTCCAGGAGAAGACCCAGATGGGCCTTCCCCTGTGCGCTCCCAAACCCCCACCCTGGCCTTAACAGCCCCCGCAGGGCCACTGCAATGTGAAGAGGAAGGGCAGTAGGCTTGAGATAGCCCCTCTCTCTACCCGCATGTCCCCACCATGTCCCTGAGATAGCCCTGCTCCCTATTTGCATGACTGTGTCATGTCTTTGAGATAGCCCTCCTGTCTACCTGCACATCCCCACAGTGTCCCTGAGAGAGCCCTGTTCCCTCTCTACCTGCACATCCTTATCATGTCCCTGAGATAGCCCTGCCCTCCACCTGCACTTCACCATCATGTCTCTGAGATAGCCCTGCCCTCTACCTGCAGGTCTCCATCATGTCCCTGAGATAGCCCTCCTGTCTACCTGCACATCCTTATCATGTCCCTGAGATAGCCCTGCTCTCTCTACCTGCACCTCTCCATCATGTCCCTGAGATAGCCCTGCCGTCTACCTGCATGTCACCATTGTGTCTCTGAGATAGCCCTGCTCTCTACCTTCATGTACCCACTGTGTCCCTGAGATAGCCCTGCTCTCTACCTGCACATCACTATTGTGTCCCTGAGATAACCCCACCCTCTACCTACACATCTCCATAGTGTCCCTGAGATAACCCCGCTCTCTACCTGCATGTCACCATTGTGTCTCTGAGATAGCCCCACCCTCTACCTGCATGTCACCATCATGTCTCTGAGATAGCCCTGCTCTCTACCTTCATGTACCCACTGTGTCCCTGAGATAGCCCCGCCCTCTACCTGCACGTCTCCATCGTGTCCCTGAGATAGCCCCGCCCTCTACCTGCACGTCTCCATCGTGTCCCTGAGATAGCCCCGCCCTCTACCTGCACGTCTCCATCGTGTCCCTGAGATAGCCCTGAGATAGCCCTGAGATAGCCCTGCCCTCTACCTGCAATGTCTCCATTGAATCCCCACATTACAGGCGAGTGGAATGCACAGTCTGTAGCCATGAGTGGCATGTTTGTGAATGGGCTGCCTTGGAAACGCTCTACAGAAGTGGGAGGTTGTTCATTTCTACTGACGGAGTTAGAGGTAGCTGGACTTACAGAGAAAGTGTTGGCTGTCTCTCTGTCCAGAGGTTGCCGCCCTTGGCAGAAGGCTGGGGAATGCCCCCCAACGCCCAGGAGCAGAAACAATGGAGAAGGCCAATGATTGGTCCAACTGCATTGCTGTGGGAAGAGAACAGTGACTGCACCACCAAGTTAAAGGGCAAAGTATTCCCAGACCCCAGCTCTCTGCCCTGAAAGGATATGTTCACCCCTAACTCCTGTGAACCTGTGAAGGTGACTTTATTTGGAAAAGGGTCTTTGCAAATGTAATGAAGTAAAGGATGCCGAAGTGAGGTCATCTTGAATATAGGGTGGCTCCTAAATCCAACAACGAGTATGCCTCTAAGAAGAGGGGAGGACAGACGCCACAGAGAAGATGGCCACGTGATAAAGCCACAAGCCAAGGAACTCCTGGAGCCGCCAGAGCCTGGAGGAGTCAGGAAGGAAGAGCCTGCAGAGGGATCGTGACCTGCTGACCCTGAGTTTCAGGCTTCTGGCCTCTAGAACTGTGAGAAGATAAATTTAATTTCTAAACACATATTCCAACCAAACTTTGACGTAGGCTCCTCAACACCCTGGCCCTTTTCCTTCCATATATGACAACTTATCTAAAGAAGGGGTCAGCACGCTCTCTCAGTCACGGGCCCGGCAGTGAACACTCCAGGCCTCGCGTGCGGTGCAGCCCCTGTGGGAGTGGCTCCACTCCAAGTCGTGGCACAAAAGCAACCAGAGGCCACCTGGATATGAACAAGCGTGGCCGCATTCCAGGGAAACTTTATCTGTGGATGGTGAAATTTGATTCTTATGTAATTTTCACCTGCCACAAAATAATATCCTTCTTTTGACTTTTTTCCTAACCATTTGGAAATGTAAAAACCATTCTTAGCTTGTAGGCTGGGCAAAAACAAGTGGTGGGCCGGGTGTAGCTGCACCACGGTTTAGTGACCCCTGAGCTGGAAGAATCACAAGATTAGAGCGAGTGAGAAGGAGGGAGCTCCCCGCGACCTCCTCCAGTGCCTGCACTCGCCTTGACTTAAATACAGAACATTTTTAATGCTGAAGAGCCTAATAACAAATAGCTTGAGACAGATTGGAAATAGCTTTGGATGGAAAAGTGAGGCATATTGATTGCCACTTCTTACGAGCCGTCTTTTTTTTCCCTCTATCCACACAATGCAAAGCCTTGCTGTTTTTAAATGTGAAGTGTTTCTCCCAAGAAAGCCTGCAGGCACCTGTCCTGGCTCCAGTGCTTGCTGGCTGGAAGTTAGGTGCAGCCTGCTGCTCTGCGATGGCCGCGAGCCTCCTGTGCTGTCTGCTTGTGCATGTCTTGATCACAGAGCACAAGTCTGGGGACAAGGTGGGCAGAGGGTTATCACTGATAGGTGAGGTGCTGGCTGAGTCCCATCAGAAGCCCGGGACTGGAGTTAGTTGCCAGAGGAGGCAGCTCGGTGGAGCAATCCTTAGGAAATGATGCTGATTTTTCAGCAAAGCACAAGACTGTCGCAAGCAGGATGGCCTCCACGCTTGCTCCTATTTACAAAAAGTTTGTCACAAAAGTGAACACCATTGCAGAACGGGAAAGACGTGCAGCTCTTTCCAGACACATGCTCCTCAGATTGCCCCAGTCAGCTGCTTTAAACAAGGTAGATTAGAAACGGCACTTTATATACGATGGAGGTGAATGCTGACGAAGACATCCTAACAGGACAGAGAGTCTAAGAAGCAAGAAAGGCAAGGGTAAACATTCTAATCACTTCCACCAATAACGCGTTAATCATTCATCCTGAGAAAAGCGCGGTGATTCGGTCAACGCCGAGCATGTCGCATTAATCCATTGATGAATCAGACCCCCAACCTCCACTAGGGGCGAGCCCCGTGGCTTCTTCAGGCAGCTCTGTTGTGGACAGTTCGATATGTTTATATTAATTCCTAAACACGGAACAAAAGCTTTATTAAGCATGCATGAAGTGTCGCGTTAATTCACGCAGGCTGCCCACTTGTGGTTCCCTGAAATCATCGTCCACTTTGCAGTGCTTAACCCAGACCCTGGCCCCTGCTGCTGCAGCTATCTGCAGGAGCCAGTCCTGGACAGGGCCCTGGGTCCCCTGGGAAATAGATGGCCTGTCCCTGCCAGGCTGGAGCCGACAGCTGGGCAGAGCCAGGCTTCCCATGGTCAAGGCTGCTGACAGCTTTGCAAACCTTTGGGTCACAGGTAACCCCTCTGGGGAGCAAAGCACTTTGCAAAGGCTCTCTGACATCGGAGGAGATGGGGCCACTGGGATAAATCATCCTTAGGAGAGACACATGTGACAGCCTCTCACAGCAGGTGGCTCTAATGAGCTGACCTTGGCTTCTGAGGCCAGCATGATCTGGACTCCTACAGGAGGAGGGCCTTCAAAGGATCTGCCCAGGAACAGTGGTGGGAATAGAAGGGAAGGCAAATGACAAAATTCCATCCATGTCAGTTGCAGAGGACCGTGGTCTTTGCAGGAGCCTGCTCTGGGGTGCTTTTGCTCACTCAGCTTCCTGCTCTGGCTGGGAGTATCTGTTGTGGGGTCCGTAGGCTTGCCTGATGAATTTTGTCTCTCCTTCTTAGCTCATCTCCACACAGCTTCATAAATGATCTCAATAGGCCTGTCCAGCCTGTCCAGCCTTGCTTCTCAAGTATTCTCTGCAGTGGGCACCGTTCCCTGGCGTGATGACATCGTCACCCTAGGGATTCCCTTTGGATCCGTTCTACGTGCTGGTCCCCCGTGAAGTCTTCACGCCCCTCCCTCAAAGGCATGATCAGCTCTGTGTCCACTGCTAATGGCACTCGGTTATGGAGAATCACCAGGAAACAGGGCAGGGCATGTCCCCTCCAGCCAACCCTCAGCTCTGGGAGAGCAGAGGTGGCAACTTCTTATTTGAATTATCTGTTGTAAGAGCCAGTGAATAGCTTTTCTCCTGGGCCATCATCTTGTGATCTGAACAGTCAGGTTTGGGTTGGGAGAAAGTAAAGTTATATGGAAACAGATAAATAGAAGATCAGGGAAATTAAAAAATGTCGATGTTTCCTTTTTAGAGAGAAGAGTTATAGGAAGAACATGAAATTAACTCAGGGGAGAAGTTTCAAATTAGGGGCACAAAGACAAGACATCCTCTTCTACCACCTAGCTTCCTCCCTGATATTCTGTTGGCCCTGGCCAGGGGTACCCTGATGTCACTCTTCTCTGAGTGAGGCTCTTCAGGCTGGGATGCTCTGAGCTGTGAGGAGTGCTTGCTGCCGAGGTCCTTACTATAGAGCTGGAGTAAGGTTGAAAGCCAAGTGTTGCCTTCGTGTCCAGGCATGGCCTCCCCAGCCTGGGCTGAACGAGGAAGGAGACAGGTATGCGCGATGGAGACGTAGAGTCAGCGCCTGGTGTCTACCCCACAGGACAGGTCAGTGCCAGAAGCTGGGGGCTGCCAGATGTCTGACTGCAGTTCTGATTGCTCTCCAGCCACCCCTGTGTTGCTGAGTGGAACAGAGCTTTGTGGGAGTGGAAGGGGTTGTGAGCTGAGCTGTGTCCCTCAAAAAGATAAGTTGGAATCTTAACCCCCAGCATGTCAGAATGTGACCCTATTTGGAAATAAGGTCTTTACAGAGGTAATCAAATGAAAAATGGGGTCCTTAGGATGGGCCCTAATCTTTGGGGTGGGCCCTAATCCAACATGACTGGTGTCCTTACAAAAAAGGAGAAGTTTGGACAGAGGCAGCGATGTAAAGACACAGGGAGGAGTCAGCCACTGAATGGGAGGGATGCATCGTGTTGATGACAAGCAAGATGCTGAGGGCTGCTGGTAACCACCGGAAGCTGGAAGAGGCCGGGAAGAACCACCGTGAGAGCCATCGGCAGAATGAGGCCCTGCAGACACCTGGATTTCAGAGCTCCAGCCCGACAGCTGCGGGAGGGTGAATTTCTGTTGTTTGAAGCCACAGGGTTGATGCCAACGTGTGGCAGCCCCAGGATTCTATTGCAGATTGGGCTGCAGGGACTGATCAGACTCTGGTCCCAAACAACTGTGTCTGGGATGCTGTGGAAATTCAGGGAAAAGGCAGACAGCTTAGAAGAAAGTGGTGCTGAGTGGCTAAGACGGTCTCAGAGGATAGTCCAGAAAAGAGAGCTCAGAGGAAGTGCCCCCACACTGCAAGCCATGTGGGGAGGCAGAGTCTCTCCAGCCATGGTGGCTGGGGAATGGCCAGGAAGATGCAGCATGGGTGTTGGATTTTGTGCTGAATCTTCTGGGCTATGCATGTACCGGGACCACCAGCAAAGCTGGGGAGTGGATGACACTGGTCCTGAGTAGGCTTCCCTAGGACTTGGATGGCCACGCACAGCCCTGGGACCCACTGCTGATCCTGACACTTGAGTCTGCTGGTGAGGACTGGGCCTTTCAAGAAAGGGAACACTGGACTGAACAAGACTCTCTGTTGAGGGTGTGGGCACCCTGGCCCAGAAAGCCCGCAAGTAGAGATTGACGTTCATTCAGTCATGATGAAAAATGAAATCCCTAACACATATTAAATTTAAATCTGACACTTGCACCCCTGCCCCAGGCCTGCCCTGACCTGGCACCCATGCACCGTTCTGTGAATGATCTTAGTCAAACGCGCATGGTCAGTCAGTTCTGGAGGCTCATGATTTCTGATTAAGACATCTTTCATCAGCTGATGTTCGTGGACATTTTCCTTCTTCAGGAGCAGGTGAACCTCGGAGAGGGCTGGGCTGACTTGGGGAGACAGAAGAAGAAAGCACAGTGCTGCCGGGGTGAGAAGCCCTCAGCCAGGGGCCCAGCTAGCTCCTCACAGCCCCAGAGGTAGCACTGAGAGTCTCCATCCCAGACAACCCTCAGACCAGAGTCACCAGAGCAGAGGGACCCATGGCTCAGGGACCCAGGGTCACCTGCTTCCCACCACACATGGCCCCACCATTTCCACCACACACAGACCTTCCACCTCCACCTTATATGACCTCACCATCTCCACCAAACACAGACCCTCCACCTCCACCATATATGACCCCACCATCTCTACCACACACGGAACCTCCACCTCTACCACACACAGACCTTCCACCTCCACCACACACAGACCTTCCGCTTCCACCTTACATGACCACACCATCTCCACCACAGATGAACTCTCCACCTTTTCTACAAACAGACCTTCCACTTCTACCACACACAGACCCTCCAACTCCACCACACATGACCCCACCATCTCCACCACACACAGACCCTCCACCTACACCACACATGAACCCTCCACCTCCACCATACATGACCCCACCATCTCTACCACACATAGACCCTCCACCTCCACCATACACGGACCCTCCACCTCCACCACAGACAGACCCTCTACCTCCATTACAAACAGACCCTCCATCTCCACCACACATAGACCCTCCACCTCCACCATACATGACCCCACCATCTCTACCACACACAGAACCTCCACTTCCACCATACACGGACCCTCCACCTCCACCACAGACAGACCCTCTACCTCCATTACAAACAGACCCTCCATCTCCACCACACGCAGACCCTCCACCTCCACCATACGTGACCCCACTATCTCCACCAGACATAAATTCTCCACCTCCACCACCATATATGACCCCACCATCTCTACCACACACAGACCCTTTACCTCTACCCAACATGGACCCTCCATCTCCACCTCCACCACACAGACCTTCTATCTCCACCACACTGGGAGCCTTGGTTTCCCCAATACTTTCATGGTTTGGTGACTCCATGTTAAAACCATTGCCTGCTATTTCTGCCAATGAACATGAGAAAAATCTTTCTACATACAAACTCAACACAAAAGAAATCTGAAACCCATTTGTTGCAAGAACTTTAAACTTCTTTGTGAATCTTTTGACCATACCTAAACTCACCTGCCTTTGAATCATGCATTCCTGGAAGCCCACAAAAAGGGTTTCCTATTCTGGACCATTAGTATTCAGCCAGGTCTCTCTTTTGTTAGCAACTGATTTTCAGGGAAACATTGGCAGGTTGTTAGAAGAAGAAACTTCAGGAGTGTATAAATGTCACTTATGGAGGGAGAAAATACACGAGGCCTGTTTTGCCAATCAACTTGCTTTTGAGTGAGCTTAGCTATGACCTGGATGGAAAAGTAGAGTTGCCTTTATTTGTAACAATACCACAAGTCTTGGTAGATTCCATGGTCCATTGTCCCGGGTTATTGTGGTTGATGTAGGCATGTGCTTCTGTACAAGTGACAGATATCCAACAGGTGTAAGCAAGAATGGAACATCATTGGTTCATTCATTCATTCATTTAAATATAATCATAGTGCTCCTACTCTATATCAGGCATGGTTCTAGGCATTTTAGGTGGAGATGTGAATGAACCCAAGCTCTGCCCTCTTGGAGCTAACATCAGAACCTACAGTCTCATCATAGAAACATCTAGACACTCTAGGTAAGGGGTTCAAATGGATTAGAGGACTCACAAGCTTTCCTCTTTCCTGTCCCAGCCTCTCAGTTCTTCTTACAGTTCACACAATTTCACCTGAGTAGGGTCTCATAGGAACTGCTTTAGTTACCGTCCAATCCTGAATCTACCACACTGGCCAGGAGTAGAGGGTAAGAAGAAAAAATACTCTGATTGGCCAGCCTGGGTTATGTGTCCATCCTGAAAGCTGAAAGTAATCCCTATGGCCTGTAGGAAGAAGTGAAGGTGAGCATGAAGTGAAAAGGAACAAGCTGACTGATCAGGCCTGACTCATAATCTACACCTGAAATCCACGGTTCAGTCTGTGTACCCAAACACATGGTTCCAAGGATTGGGTGAAGGAGAGGAGGCTTCCTAAGGACCATGTGAGTTGAGTTCCTTGCAAAAGGGGGAAAGGATGCTGGCAGACACAAATCAGCTGTTAATTTTATGTGTCCACTTGCCTTGGCTCTGTTGTCTGGTTGTTTGGTTAGACAACAGTCTAGATGTTGTTGTGAAGTTATTTTGTAGATAAAATTAACATTTAAATCAGTAGGCTTTAAGTAACTCAGATGACCTTCCATAATGTAGGTGGGCATCATCCAATCAGTTGAAGGTCTTCAGAGAAAGACTGGGGTCCCCAAAGAGGAAGGAATTCTGCCTTGAGGCAGCCTTCATTCTTGAGCTGTAACATTGACTTTTCCCTTTGTCTCTACCCTGTTGGAGAGCTAATCCCCATAATCACATGATCCAATCCCTTAAAATAAATCCTATAAATCTTATCTCTCTCTCTCTCTCTCAAATCTATCTATCTATCTATCTATCTATCTATCTATCTATCTATCTAATCTATCTATCTATCATCTATCTATCTATCTATCTAATCTATCTAAATGCTAATTTCATCTATTATCTATCTATCTATCATCTATCTAATATAACTATCATCTATCTATCTATCTATCTATCTATCTATCTATCTATCTATCTATCATCTATCTATCATCTCTCTCTCTCTCTCTCTCTCTCTCTCTCTCTCTCTATCATGGGGAGGTGGGGAGAGAGAGACAATGAGAGAGAGAGAGAGAGGTTACCAAAGCCACTGTGTAAGGCTGCACAGTGCGTAGGCTGCCTAATCACACTTAGGCTACAATTTGAACAGCACTTTGTGGGGGTTGTGCAGTGTGGATGTCCTGTCTGGTTCTGACCTCAAAGATATAGTTTTGTGGATTGCTTAAGCTCTCATTTTCCCCTCCAGGGTGACCTTGCCCCAGGCCCTTAGCTTCTGCTATATACCATTAAAGCATCCTGCTCTTACCAGTTAGAATGGAAACAATTTACTGCTTAAATAATTTATCCAGATTCCGCACAGCCAGTCTTTTGCAGAGATTCATCTGCTAATAAAGAAAATTGATTTTAGAAGCCAAAGTCAATACGAAGTTAGGGAAACATTCGGTTATTTGCATGTTCCTGTCCTGAGATTGTCTGTTAATTTGTCTGGTGAGAATATCAGCTGGGGCACACTTTACTGCAAGTCATTTTTCATTTATTATTTTTCAGGTACCATTGCAGCGATCTGTCCAAATTTGGAAGGGGCAATGGATGTGGGGATTTTATTAGCGATTTATCAATAAAAGTGAAGATTTCTTTCCTCAGGTGTTCACTCTAGGAAATTACTTGCTAGTTTGTGGATAAAATGGCCTGAATTTCAGCAGGGTCCAAATGAGAGGGTATTTTTGTTGGATCGCATTCAAGCATGAGCAGGGAGCTGACTTGAATATTCACGGTGCGTTTCCATGCATCTGTTCTAATAATGGAGACTCATTTGCATTTAGAAAAAATGATTTGCATATAGACGATTAATGTAATAAGGTATCCAAAAACAATTTTCCCCTTTGAATAAGCTGCCTTGTAATTTTGTTCACTTAATTCACTTCCATACTAAGCCCTCTGTTTACAGATAATGAAAAGGTGAATTTCAGCTGAACCAGAAGGAATTCACAACATTTTGGTTACAGAGGCTTCCTTGTATTGTTGTTCACCCATTTCAGGAAAGCACACGGGGAGGGCAAGGGGGCTGTCCACTCTGCCTAGCGGAAGGGTTCTCAAACTCCAGCATGCATCGGAATCGCCTGAAAGCTTGGTAAAGCACATTGTCCAGCCTCATCCCCAGAGTACCTGAGTCTGTAGGTCAGGGTGGGGGCCAGATAATTTACATTTAAAACAAGTTTCCAAGTGATGTGAATGCAGCTGATCCAGAAACCCCACTCTGAACCACACATTCTTCAAAGACTATTGGTGAAACGTCATCGCCCAAAGAACGGGTCCAGATTCATCAATGGTCATGAATGAATCATGGTGAGTTACACTCCCCGAAGAAGCGTCTATAAGCCCTTAATCCTGCGCAGGTGATAAGTAATTTAGAAAATCACAACTGAGCTTTCCAATGTGGTATTTCATTTCTTTTCTTACTTTTCCCTCTTCTGGTGTGTTGAGAAAAGCTGATCAGTGATTCCCTTTGCCCCAGTCCTTCATTAAGATGGAACCAAAGAATGGAAGGATGAACATCATATTTATCCTTCCAAATCATTTTCTCACTTTTCTCCTGTTCCAGTCCCCACCCTCACAGTCAACATTCTGGGGAAAAAAATGTACTCATGAAGATCAGCTGTGCTGTCAGGACCGTGGGTTAGTATCAGGACACACACGGGAGAAATCAGAGGCATTTTCATGGTGGGTAGAGGAGGAGGGAAAATAAGAGTGCCAAATGCCATCCACTGTGGATTGAAAATTAGGTTGATAATGATGATGATGATGATGATGGTGATGATGATGACAACGATGACACAAATTAAAGTAGATTAGCCCAGGCAGCGAGGGGCTCTAAGGACCGGGTAAGATGTTTATTCTGATTGATCCTGCACCGAAGGGGCAGAGATTTGCCAAATGCTCTCAGAAAGAAAAAGATGAATTACAAAATGAGCTCCTGTCTTCATCTGGCTCTCAGTCACATGGGGGTGACCAGATGAGCTGTGAAAGCAAAGGAGGGCTCATTTGCTGACCAAGGCTGTCACTGGCATGTGTTTTCATCACAACAATATTCTGCCTGGAATGTTCTTCCTCTCTATCCCAGGCTAACAAAATAATACAAATTCTCTAAGAATTGGCTCAGACCCCACCTCCTTCAAGGAGTCTCCAAAACTGGTTGCTCCAGGAACTCTCAAATTGATTCGGATTACTGTCTTAGGCCAGAGGTGGGCAAACCATGATGCATAGACCAGCTGTCTGCTTTCAGAAGTAAAGTTTTATGGGAACATAGATATGTACATCATTTACATATTGTCTAGGTTGCTTTCACAGGACACCAACAGGGTTGAGTAATGGTGACAGAGGTCATCTGGCCAACAAAGATGAAAATAGGTACCATGTGGCCCTTTAAGGAAAAGCCGCCCCATCTTAGGCAGCCTGTCTTAGCAACGTCATGATTACTGGCTCCTCTGTGGGTCTCATCCACTGGGTTCCATGCTCTTTGAGACAGGGAGCATGTCTTGGTTGTCCTTTTATCCCCAGTGCTGCATGTGATGCCAGGCATCCAAAAGGCCTTAGTAAACGTTTGCTAGATCAAAGCTTGTAGCACCAATGGGTGCCACAGGCTTATCATCTCATTACACCAGGAGAAGCTGTCCTTTTTCTGATTGTTGGATGCTACACAAGGCCTCTGCGGAGATGGGCCCAGTGCACGGCTCCAGGACACACAGACACTCCCAAGAATCCAGCCTCATTTGATGTTGGAATTTGAGGGAGGCCATCACCTTGAAGCCTTGGTAATCACCAAGACTGGGGTGAATGGAGACCTTGCCCACCCAGGCCTGCCCCTTGACCCAAGAATCTGGTGATAGCTTATGGGCAAGGCATCCCATACACATCCCTTAAGAATTGGCAAGGAAACCAAAGATGAGGAAAGTATTAATTTTATAGGTAATTCTTGTTATTCCAAGAGTTCTGCTCTATAAAGTTCATGGACACTGAATTAGCAAACACTGAGCCAGTGATCCTAGAGAGCATATAGGACTAGGCCCCCTAGGAGCCTCGGGACACCACATTTTCATCAACCAGTCAATACCTAGACTTGTTTTATGTGTTTCTGCTTAAAGATGCCTGATTTAATACACGTTGTTGATTCATCAACATCGTACTGGTGGCCCACAGCACTGTAACTCATGCCTGAAGGAAGCTTCTCTAACATGTGTTTTCTCCATAACACACATCACAGCCTCCTTGTGCTTTAGAACACAAGACAGCCAGCCCTTCAACAGTGCTTGTGGCCATTTGAAACAGCAAAGCCACTAACAGAGAGCCACCAAATGCGAAAAATGTGGAACTAAATAGACCACAAAAAGGACACTCATTGACAGTATGAAAGTTGAAACAAAGAGACAGAATGCTTTTTTGTTCAGCCACAGCTGGGAATCCACACACGAGGTGACTCCACATTTTCACCCCTCTGGGAGTGACCATGAAATCACCTCGAGTTGATGCTGGGGTTACAAATAGATTTTAGTGAGTAGGCAAGTTTGCAAATACAGAATCCATGAATAATGAGGATTGACTGTGTGTTTTTACGCATCAAGAGAGGCATCAAAAAGAAAAATACACACTCCATTGGACTCCCTGGCACTCACTTCACGGTTTAATAGTATTCTTATTTATAGTCCCATGTGGTAAGATGGAATCCCTTTTAAAGGTCAAAATCAAGGGGAAAGCACATCTTCTATTTTAGCAATAAGTGCTGTGCATCTTTTGGGGAGGCTCCTAGGCTCCCTCCCTGTTTAAGTGTGTTTCAGCCTGTAAAATGGGGAAAGGTTACTGATCACCCTGGCTTATTTACCAGTGACAGAGTTTTTAGAAGCAGTGAATTAAAACATAGTCATTGTAAAGTAAAGGTCGCCGTCTACCATTCCGTTGTTAGTGTTGTAATCCCTCAGAGAGCTTGGGAGATTGCCAAACCCCTACATTTCAGAAAAACAGTCATTAAATTTTGGCTCTGGTACCCATTTTCACGTAATTCAGTTGTTAATTTTTGCGCAGATTCTAGCTCCAAATCGGCCCCTGGGAGCCAGCTCCAGAAATGAAGGAAAGCAGTGCCTATTGGTGGCTCAACTCTTCCGCATGGGAATTTGGTAACAAAATTATATATGCAGTTACCTCGGAGCCAGAAATCCCTCCTCTAGACATTCACCCTGAAATTACCCTCCAACAATGCAAAAATAAACATGCACAAGATGCTTTATTATCAGATAGCTTGTGACAGTGAAATATCAGGAACAACCTCAATGTTCATACCTAGGATGGGTTTAATCAACTATGGCATATCCACAGGATGGAGCAATATACAGCTGTCAAAAGGATAATGATGCTTGTGGGCGAATATGGAGCGATTTCCGGGATACATTGCTCAGTGTAAAAGAAACAAGCTTCAAAGGAGCATCTATAATATGCTACCATTCGTGTCAAACTAAAGATGTGAATGGTCCTATTTCTGGGAAGGCTGTGCTCTTGCTGGGCTGTCAGGTGGCTGTCCTCCTGGCTTGGTGCATGTCACCTTGAACCACCTTGGCACAGCCGGTTCACTGGGGCTGTGAACCTGAGAACGTGAGCCAGGGCAGGTGTCTTCCCTCCCTAGAGTCACTGTAGCCCCCACTTCCCTGTCACTCCCCAGACATCCTGCTTGCCTTTAACTGTGGAATGAGCATGAAAGCTGAGCATTTTAAACCTGATCACAGGCTGGAACACAGGGCTACGTGGCCTATAACTTTGAAATGGGCTGACGGCAGAGTCCAGGAAGTTAAAAAATTAATGAAGAGTCCTGTGCCCCTCCTCCTTGCCATCTTTGAGAGCATCGGCTCCTCCCTTATATTTAATAAGCGAGCAGCTGGTTTGCGCAGCTCGCCAGCCCTTTGCAAACATCGCCTCTTACGATCTCCCCGCGTGAAGGGCTGGTGCTCCTCCTGATTGACGTGTCAGCACAGAAGTGCAGCCGGCAGAGGCCCCCGTGTGTGTGCACTTGCAGCCTGTGGGTGCCGTGTGTGCAATATCACACATGCACATCCTTTCCCCACACAGAGCACCGAGAAATGTTGGGGCCAGCCAGGTCCCAGGTGCCTTCCCGTCTGGGTGGCGTCACACTTAGAACCTCGCTGGCTGCCCGTGCTTGGTTTTCTCCGGTTATGCACCAGCTCTCCTTTGCCAGCCTGGAAAGCTGCAGCTGGCTCTGCTTCCTGCATGAAACAGAAATGACTGGAAGGCAGAGAGAGGCGGTATCCCAGAGGCCGCACCTCTTTCTTTCCTTTCTAAAGTTGTCTCAGATTGGAAGGAATGTTTCTTAAGCCCTTTTGGGGGTGAACAGTGGGAAGCGGGGTGCAGTGGAGGTGAGGAAACTCGAGTAGCAGCAGGTCCTCTCTTCCTCGGTTGGAACAAAACAAGGTCTGTAGGAGGCTGTGAAATATGATTAAATTGTTGCCAATCAAAGTCACCTTGGCTCCTCAGGACCCACCAAGGCCATCCTTCAGGTAAACAATAAAGCCGGCATTCTCTGCTAGACCAAGTTCAGGAATCTGCAGCTATGAAGGTGATTGATGACAGAGTCTTGGGGACAAGGGGATGCTGCTGGAGGGACCGAACAGGAGTCAATTTTCTCAGTGAGGCAGAGGGGATTCTCAGGAGGGCCCTGGGCCCAAAGCCCTTGCGCACTGCTGGGTGGTGGACACAGCTCCCACCCACGGTCTCGGGGGAAGGTGCCACTCCCATCTCTGTGTCTGCTTCTGGTAAAACAGCAGAGCGCCATGAACCTGGGAAGACGCCACATCCTGCTGCCTCCTCTGTCACCTGTCACCTGTTGCAGCTTCTGGCCTGTTATGCGTGTTATACCGTTGCCTGAGCCCCTGTCCCCCCACCCCTCCCAGGGTTCGTGCTCATCGGTGGCCCCATTTCCTGGCCTCAGGAAGCCCCCAAATCAACCCCTAGTCCCAGGGAGGATTTCTGGATAAAGAAGGGTTTCAGGTTCTGCTGGCTGAGGAGGCTTGAAGAAGAAAGAACACAGGGAGGCCGGGCGCGGTGGCTCACGCCTGTAATCCCAGCACTTTGGGAGGCTGAGGCGGGCAGATCATGAGGTCAGGAGCTCGAGACCATCCTAGCTAACATGGTGAAACCCTGTCTCTACTAAAAATACAAAAAATTAGCCAGGCATGGTGGCACGCACCTGTAATCTCAGCTACTTGGAAGGCTGAGGCAGGAGAATCGCTTGAATCCAGGAGGCTGAGGTTGCGGTGAGCCAAGATCATGCCACTGCACTCCAGCCTGGGCAACAGAGCAAGACTCTGTCAAAAAAAAAAATACAAAACAAAACCAAAAAAAAAAAAAACACACAAGGAAAAAAGGAACCCCAGGGAAACACCAGGCTTTGGGATGACAGCAGCCCGCCCAAGCAGACACACCAATGGTGAAATGGAAAGGCAGAAAGATCAGACCCACAGGTGGTGACATGGAAAGGCAGGAACACCTTGAAAGCAAGTCCATGATCCTCCTCGGATGCCAAGCCCAGGTGCTGGTGACTGAAATTCACCTTCCCATGCTCTGTCAATTCTGGGACTGCTCTTTGTTCGTTTAAAGACCCAACAATGACATCAGTGAGGTCATCAAGGGTGCACAGAGTCTCAATACTCCTAGGAAGCATGAAAACCCACAGCTATGTGATCTGCTTGATGGACGGTCAGAGGCCACGGCCCTCTTCCCGCCCCCGTCGGGACTGCACACCTGTCATTTCATCTCTGCAGGTAGCCCGGCAGCACCGCACTGTGAAGCTCCAGGCTCCTGGGTGACCTGCAAGGGCACATTCAGGAGCTCACAGGATAAAGCAGCAAGGATGGCTGTTTAACTCCACGCTATTGTTTGGTTTTGTTAGGTTTCGCTCTTGTTAGGTTATTGTGAAGATGCAAATGACTGTCTCGTAGTGGGAAAATACAGTCCTTAAAGAGGCATGGGAAATCATTGTGAGATAAACAGTGATGTTGAAACCCATGCAAGTGTCTGAGCTTCTGGTGGTTTAGAAATCAGCTGGCAATTGCTTTTGCTATTGATTTCTTCCGGCAAGGGCTGCTTTGGAGAGCCTTGCACACACAGCGAGAGCCATAAAAGGCAGGTGAAAAGGTTGAGGATTTAAATCCTGAGTAGAAAACTAAAGGCAGCTTTGGAGCAATTGCTATGAAATTTGTAAGCAACAGTTGAAAATGGGCACCTGGAAAGCGTTTTCCAGATAGGGGCTGTCGGGTAATGCTGAATATAAATGACCAACTTCCCCAGACAGCCCTGTGCTTTTGTTAGCGCACCACATATCTGGAAGCTATTTTTAAAAATCACCTTTGTGCTCACAAATTTGCTGGCTAGCAGAAGCCAATCTTCAGTCCAAAGGTTATGATAAATCCAATATTTAGTTGGAAGTTTGCAAAATACCCTCCTTGTGGAGTCAATTTTTTCATTCTGACTGGCTAAGTCAAGGTGAAAGCTTACCTTTCCTGATTGGCAGGTATCTTGTGTGTCTAATTATGGATCTGGTCTCAAAATCAGAAGGGTGCCAGGAAACAGGATGGCATTTAAAGCGATACTTGGGCTGGGCACGGTGGCTCATGCCTGTCATCCCAGCACTTTGGGAGGCCAAGGCAGGTGGATCATCTGAGGTCAGGAGTTAGAGATCAGCCAGGCCAACATGGCGAAATCCCATCTCTATTAAAATACAAAAAAAAAAAAAAAATTAGCCAGGCGTGGTGACGTGCGCCTGTAATCCCAGCTACTTGGGAGGCTGAGACATGAGAATCGCTTGCACCAGGAGGCAGAGGATGCAGTGAGCTGAGAATGCACCACTGCACTCCAGCCTGGCTGGATGACAGAGTGAGACTCTCTCTCAAAAAAAAATTAATGAAATAAAAATAAGTAAAGCAATACTTGGAGTGATCACAAAACTCAAGCGAACCTGGTGCCTTCCTTACCAGGGGATTTGTTGATCTCCTCAGGAGGGAGAAAGGACTGATTATAGCCCTTCTGGGGGTCTCTGTCCCTCCTGAAATCCCAGCAGGAGATAAACATTCCAAAGCAGAAGCTGGCTACAGGCCTCAGTTCAAAGAAGTTACAAAGGATCGGATGTGACCCCTGACAGCAAGACATGCCCAAACTTGTCGCGTGTCATTGATCTGAGATGGGTCCTTCTGAGCCCACTCTTGGGTGGTCCTGGGCGTGAGGCAGCCCTGTAGCCTGCATGGGCACATTCAAGGGTGCTGCTCAGGCCTGCCTCTCTGCACCCCGGAAATCGTGTGTCCCAATAGGTTCAGGATATAACACTAGTGATGGAGAAAGTCCCTGTGATGGTGACTTTTATATACCAACTTGACTAAGCCACAGTCCACAGGTATTTGGTCAAACTCTACTCTGAATGTGTCTGTGAAGGCATTTTTTGGTTGAGATAAACATTTAAATCAGTAAGTGGGCTTTGAGTAAGGCAGATGACCCCCCATAATGTGGTTGGGCCTCATCCAATCAGTTGAAGGCTTTAAGAAAAAGGCTGAGGATCCCCTAAGATGAAGTAATTCTGCCAGCAGATGGCCTTTGAACTTGAGCTAAAACATCAACTCTCCCCTGTGTTTCCAGCCTGTGGGCCCATGATGAAGATTCTGGACTTGCCAGTTTCCATAACCACGTGAGCCAATTCCTTAAAACTTCAGCAACCCCTATACACCACACACACACACACACATACACACACACACACACACACACACACACATCCTATTGCTTCTGTTTCTGTACATAGTCCCTAAGGCTTATTGGGGTTTGAGCTGTGAAAACAAACCCCTCCAAAGACCACAGGCCTTTATAAACCACCTTTCCTGTGAATCACATAGAAGTGGACACCACTCGTATGGACATCACTCAAAAGCTGTGATAGAAGCTCCCTCCGTGACTTGATGAGGAGCAAAAGGATTTAGCTCCACTGCTCTGCTTCATCTCTGGGCAAGGATTCAGGTCTCGGCATCAGGACTTCTGATCAGACAGGTAGGACAGCAGCACAATTTGCTGACTGAACGTTCTTGGACAAGCTGCTTAAGCTCACTCAGCCCCAATCTCCTCCTCTGTAGGACAGAGGTAATGGTACTTCTTTCACGAGGTGACTGTGGTGTCCACCCAAGACACTCTGTGTATGGCCTCTAGCCAGCAATGTAACCTGATGACATTGTTGTTCCTGCCATGCACTACTAAATTACCTGCAAAGGTCTAATCGAGTTCATTGCAATGGATCATTACAGAGTTTTCTTATTTAAAATGAAAAAGGGGTCCCTGTAGCATAATTCCGCTGCAAGATGCTGCCTGGTCAGCAGCATAGCTATTGAGAATGCCAGAGGTGTTTGCAACCCACCCTGGGGCTTAAGCAAGCCTCGACCCTTAGGGCTCTTCCATTCCGGAAAAACATTTCGGCACCAAGGAGACATCCCAAGGAAAGCACTAGTTTAAAAATGTTGCCTTCCATCAGCTTCCCAGTCTTCATCTAAAACACAAAGATGCCAGAGGCATCAGTGGTAGAAACCAAATTGGGAACATAAAATGAATGTGAGAAGGACATTTGAGTAGCTTAGAGAGAATTAGGAGCTGTCCAATCTTTGACTGCAAAATCAAAGCCACAACTTTCGACTCCAGGACACCAGAGTCACAGCAATCATTTGGGAGGGCTGGGGAGAGAAACTCATAAAAAGTTGTTGCAAATTGTATTTATTCCTTCTTTAGCCAGAGAAGTCTCATCTGTGAACATAAACTCATTAGCAGAGTGATGAGCAGGACTTGAAATGCAGCCTGCGTTCATGCTATCTTTAACTCCTCATCTTGGACCGAAGCAATGAGACAGAAGGCAGAATATAGTGCATCTTCCCTTCTGCTCAACTGACCATGGAGAAATAGGAGGAACTACATAATACAGGCTGAGGTGGGGGCAGGGGGCTTGGAGAGAAACCCCTAGCAATGGGATGTGTATGCCAGGGAGCCGCTGTCCCAAAATCTGAGATGACGCACCACTGCAAGACAAGAAAAACCCTGTTAAAAGAACATATGACGTCGGGCATAGTGGCTCATGCCTCTAATCCCAGCACTTCGGGAAGCCGAGGCAGGAGGACCACTTGAGCCCAGGAATTTGAGACCAGCCTTGGCAATATGGCGAGACCCCATCTCTACAAAAACATAAAAAATTATCCAGACATGGTGGCACATGCCTGTAGTCCCGGCTACTCAGGTGGCTGAAGCAGGAGGATCACCTGAGCTCGAGAGGTTGAGGCTATAGTGAGTCAAGATCATGTCACTGACACGTGAGCACATGTGGAACCCAAAAGACAATATCCCAAGCAAGGGCAGATGCTTCTAATGTTGGCTTCCTCTACCAGCAAAAGAATGATGTTTCTGGAAGTTAGAAAACTCTGGGGTCAAATGCTGGTGCATCCAGACACGACCCGGGATGTAGAGCACATCACTTAGTCTCTCTGAGCCTCAGTTTCCTCTTCTGTAAAAAGTGGCAGTGATGACTTACCTCATAAGGTAAGTCGTGAGGAGTGGACAGGGTCTCCCATGGAAAATGCCTGGTGTATTGTCCATGCCCAGCATGTGAGTTTCACTAATACGTAGAAAAGATCATTCAGCTTTAATTCCTATCATATTGGTGACCTGACTACAGAATCTGGTGGCTTTGAGTGGTGCTCTGTGTTGTCCCAAGGTTTATTCAAGAATGTCTGGGAGAAGCAAAAAGTGGAAGCTCCCCACCATGAATTAGAACCCAAAGAACTCCCTATTCATTCACCTTCTCTCTATTCATTCACCTTCTCTCTTTCATGTGAGATTTTGTTTGGGGCACCGCTTGGAGCGAGCACTTGACATTGTCTCAGCTCCTCCAGGTGCTAAGCTTTGCACAAGGATACCCTCTTTCAACAGATGGATAGAAATAGAAAACACTGGTGACACACTGTTGGCTTGCTGTGGGGAACATTGCTGGTGGAAATGCAAAATATTATAACCCTATGAAGGAAAATTTGGCAAAACCTTATTAGCATTTCCCCTTTGACCCAGGAATCCACCTCTAGGATCTATCCCAAAAATTCACTGGGAAAATCATGAAAAGACATGCACACGAGCTGAACCAGCACAGCACTACTGGAGAGGGCAGAAGGCGAGGGGCAATCCCAATGCCCATCACTAGGGACTGACCGATGACACCATGGTACTCTCACTTATGTTGCAGCTGTAAAATGGAATGAGGAATTTTTTTTCATGGCTCCGAAGCAATCTCCAGGATGCAGAGTTAAGTGAAAACAGCAAGGTAGCAAGTAAAAACAGAAAAGATACATATTTTTTTCATATTATGGTTTCTTCATATGTATGAGAAAAAAATATATGTATAGCATGCATATTTGATATTTGCATGTCAAAAGGACACAGGAATCAACCTGAAAGAGTTACCAAAGCTGGAACAATTTGAGTGACAAATAATGATAGTATTAGATTATAGTCCAAATACTAAAACAAATATCCATGAGGTTATACTGATATGGATAAATGATTCAATCAATCAATCAATCATTCAATGAGATAAAAGGAACAAGTCTTCCTTAGAAAGAAAAACATCCCAAGTAATAAATACAGATGTTACCCTCTCCAGGAGCTGGAACTTAATTTCCCTCTCCTTATGGATGAGGTAGACTTAGTGACTCATATGCAGAGAATAGAGTATGGAAAGGAGAAAATAGTAACTGCAGTGGAGAAACCTGATAGATACCATCTTAGCAAAGTGACTGAGGTTAACATCACCAATGATAAGTCATCTTTGTATCATGCACCTCCTGATATGATGTGATATGGCATGGCTGTATCCCCACACAAATCTCATCTTAAATTGTAGCTCCCATAATTCCTAAGTGTCATGGGAGGGACCTGTGGGGAGGTAATTGAATCATAGGGGCAGGTCTTTCTTGTGCTGTTCTCATAAGAGGGAATAATTCTCATGAGATCTGATAGTTTTATAAAGGGGAGTTCCCCTGTACACGTGCTCTGTTGCCTGCCACCATGTAAGACATGACTTTGCTCCTCCTTTGCCATCCACCATGATTGTGAGGCCTCCCCAGCCATGTGGAACTGTGAGTCAATTAAACCCCTGTCCTTTATAAATTATTCAGTCTCAGGTATGTCTTTATTAGCAACATGAGAACAGACTAATACATTATGTGACGAGGACACCTTACCTCTGTAGTCTTCTTTCCCTAAACTCACAAGCCCAGTCTAATTGTGATGAAACACAAGACAAGCCCAAATGGAAAGGCCTCCTATAAAATTCCAGGCCAG
The DNA here is from genome assembly GCF_000001405.40 of Homo sapiens. Classification (NCBI taxonomy): domain Eukaryota; kingdom Metazoa; phylum Chordata; class Mammalia; order Primates; family Hominidae; genus Homo; species Homo sapiens. The sequence continues at coordinate 4,535,343 of NC_000001.11, forward strand.
CGGACTTGGAAAGTGTCAGGGCCATGAAAAATAGTGAAAGACGAAGGTAACTACCACAGACTACAGGAGACTAAGGAGGCAGGATAACTGACTGCAACAAGAAATGATATCCCGGGCTGGATTTCAGAACAGAAAAAAGGATATTAGTAAAAAAAAATGGCAAACTTCAAATAAAGTGTGCAGTTTATTTAACAGCATTTTATCAGTATTAATTTCTTAGTTTTGAAGAATGGACCCTGGTTAAGTAGGATGTTAATAGCAGGAGAAGCTGGGTGAAGAGTGTTCAGGGGCTCTCTGTACTATGTCAGCCATTTTTCTAACTAAAATCATTCAAAACAGAAATTTAAAAAATATTTTTATTTGTTATTTTTTATTTAATAACATAGTGGAAGGGTAAAACATAAACTGTAACAGAAAATGGTGACCAAAGAGACATTGAAACAATAGGTTAGTGGGAAGAGCCATAGAACCAAATATTTGAATACACATTGTTTTGTAGACTTGACTTTGTAATCTTTTATAAATATTTTATGTAATTTAAAATAAATTTGAAACCATAAAAAGCATGTTTAACTAGATATCCACATGCAAAAGAATGAAGTTGACCTCTGATACCACATAAAAATCTCAGCATAAAATGGATCAAATGCCCAAAGCAACTCATAGAAATCTAAAGCAAAAATAAATGAATGAATTTAACTATGCATTGAGTTGAGTTGCATGGAACCCAACCATGGAATCTTGCCATAGAAAATAACTAGTTTAAAAGACTTTCAATGAATTGGATTATAAATCCCTAGTAGACTGCAATCTAATGTAAAATAAATGTGGAGATATTTGTACAGTTTTCATAAATCATACTTTGGGTGGTACTGTTGTTTTTCCGAGATGGTTATATGTGCATTGTGAGATAAAAGAGTAAGCAAGTGTGTTAGTATTCTGAAAACAGGACTTTCACTGTGGGAGAAATAAAATATAGATGTAGGACCAATGATGCTTAGTAAATATTTCATAGTTCTTACTTTATATTAAAAAATCCATATAAATAATACATTTTCTGATTAAAATGTTTCCTAAATATCCATTATTTCATAGTGTCCACTAAAAGAACTGAAAATGGTGACACACCCGCAAGCAGCGAGCACTCCCAGCACTCAGACTATGGTCTCTACCTACCATTAGAGGGACTAGGGCTCCTTAAATAAACAGTTGATTTCAAATATGAGGCAGGAAATGAAAAAGATGTGCCCAAGTCACCTTTCATATAGAATGAAAGGAGCTACCAAAGACTACTGGGGTCATATAACCATCGTCATCATTAAAGTAATTGTAATAATAATAAAGAAATAATGCTCAAGAGCCAATTTGAATAGATTTATTTCCCAATGGCCAAGAATGTAATAATTTGATCATAATTAAGAATAATAGGCTGGGAGCAGTGGCTCATGCCTGTAATTCCAGCATTTTGTGGGAGGCTGAGGTGGGCAGATCACCTGAGATCAGGAGTTCAAGACCAGCCTGGTCAACATGGTGAAATCCCATCTCTACTAAAAATACAAAAATTAGTCTGGCATGGTGGTACGTGCCTGTAATCCCAGATACTCAGGAGGCTGAGGCAGGAGAATTGCTTGAACCTGGGAGGCAGAAGTTGCAGTGAGCCGAGATTGAGCCATTGCACTGTAGCCTGGGCAACAAGAGTGAAACTCCATCTCAGAAAAATAAATAAATAAATAAAAAGAATCCAATAGGGAAAACACATTTCAGTTCCATATATCAGCAATAAAAATGAAACGTAATTTAGACTTTTGTTGCTTTGTAAACGGAAAGTTTAAAAATGCTTTTTAAATCCAGGAATACATCTAATAGTAGTTGTATAGGATTTAATGGAGAAAATTACAGGAGATTTATTTTAAAACACTATAGAAAACATCATCAATGGGTCATGCTTTATAAAAATAAAAATTATCTCCAAATTTATAATGTCATTCAATTCCAATCAAAATTTCAATTTTTTGTAATGAGAAAATTGATTATCTCATTCTATACTAAAAATGTAAGAGAATAATGAAAATGACTAAAACATTCTTGAGGAAATTAAACAAGGTGATGTGGGATGTGTTGGGGAGATTGCCATGTCAAAGCATATTATAAAGGCATAGTAGGAGGCCAGGCACCGTGGCTCACGCCTGTAATCCTGACACTTTGGGATGCTGAGGCAGGTGGATCACCTGAGGTCAGGAGGAGTTTGAGACCAGCCTGGCCAACATGGAGAAACCCCATCTCTACTAAAAATACAAAAAAAAAAAAAATTAGCCGGGCATAGTGGTGAGCACCTATAGTCTGAGCTATTCAGGAGGCTGAGGCATGAGAACTGCTTGAACCTGGGCAGCAGAGGTTGCAGTGACTTGAGATCGTGCCACTGCACTCCAGCCTCGGTGACAGAGTGAGGCTCTGTCTCAATAAAAAATAAATAAATAAACAAAATAAAAGCCATAGTAGGAAACAGCAGTATTAGTAAAAGACTGACTGAATTGGACACAGTGCCCAGAAACAGATCCATGCATGTGTGAAAAATTAAAATATGAGAAAGATGTTACTGTGGGTCAATGGTAGAACAATGGATTCATCAATAAGTGGAGGTGGAACATTTGATTGTTCTTATAGGAAACAGAATACAGTTAGGTCCCGATCTCATTATCTCATGCCACATTCAATATTCAATTCTAGTTGTGTAAAGCCCTAAATGAGAAAAGCAAAATAATTTAAATTTAGAAAAAAATTATGGGACTACCTTTAATGTTTCACAACAGGGATATATATTTTTAAAGAAGACTAATAAGGCAAAAACCACAGAAGAAATAATTGCTAAATACAAGTACATTAAATTAAGAAAGAAAAAAACTTTTTGGTAACAGGAGATACTATTTTAGAAATGCAAAAGTAGCCACAGGTCAGGACAATTAGGCAAGAGAAAGAAATAAAAGGCATTCATATTGGACAGGAAAAAGTAAAACCATCTCCGTTTGCAGATGACATGATTTTGTGCAAGAATATCCTGAGAAATCCATAAACAACCATTAGAGATAATAAACAAGTTCAGTAAGGCTGCAGAATACAAAATCAATACACAAAAATCAATTGTGTTTTTATATGTTAGCAATGAGCAATCCAGAAAGAAAACAAATAAAACAATGCCACTTACAACAGCACAAAAGAGAATAAAAGACTTAGGAATAAATTTGACAGCAGAAGTATAAGCCTTGTACATTGAAAACTATAAAACATAATTGAAAGAAAATGAAAATCTAAATAACTGGAAAGATATCATGTGACCATCGATTGGAAGTCTCTGTAGTGAAGATGGCAAACTTCCTAAGCTGATCTATGATCTGCAGATTCCACACAACCACTACCAAAACACTAAGTGGCATTGATTGATTGATTGATTGATTGATTGATTGTAGAGATTGACAAGGTAATCCTAAAATTCATATGAAAATTCAAGGAAATCAGAATAGCCAAAGCAATCTAGAAAAGTTTCAAAACTTACTACAAAGCTGCAAGAATTAAGACTGTGTGGCACTGGCATACAATAGACACAGATCAATGGAAGAGTACTGAAAGTTCAGAAATAAACTCAAGCGTTTATGGTGAATTGATTTTCAATAAGAGTGCCAAAGCAAATCAATTGAGGACATAATAGTCTTTTTAACTAACAACGCTGATACAACTGGTTATCTACACACAAAAGAATGAAGTTGGATGCATACCTCACACCATATACAAAAAATAACTCAAAATGGATCAAAGGCCTAAATGTAAGAGCTAAAATGAGAAAGTCGTTAGAGGAAAATATAGGCATAGATCTTGGATTAGGCAATGGTTTCTTAAAGTATAAGCAACAAAATTAACAAATAAATTGGAGCTTACCAAAATTAACAAATTTCATGTTTCATGTTTTGAAAGAATAAAGAGAAAAGATGGCCCAGAGATAGTGAAAAAAACTTTAAATCTAATATCTGATAAAGTTATAGTATTCAGTATATATACAGAACTCATGGTTCAACAATAAAAAGACAAATATAATGAGCAAGGGATTCAAATGGACATTTCTTCAAAGAAGATATGCAAATGGTCAATCAGTACATGAAAAGATGCTTGATCTCCTTACTCATATAACGAAATATTAGCCACAAAAAGGAATGAAGAGCTGATACATGTTACAACACAGAGGATTCTTGAAAATATTATGGTAAGTGAAAGAAGCAAATCAGCAAGACCATATCGTGTATGAATCCATTTCTATGAAATATCCAGAACAGGTTAAATCCAAAGACATAGAAAGTAGATTGGTGGCTTCCAGGAACTGGGGGAACAGGGAATGGGTCATGTTTGCTAATGGGCATGGGGTTTCATTTTGGGGTGGAGAAAACGTTCTGGAATTAGATAGTGGTTATGGTTGCACAGCCTTGTGAATGTGCTAAGTGCCACCGATTTGTATTTTAGTTTAGTTTAGTTTAGTTTAGTTATTTTTTGAGATGGAATCTCACTCTGTCACCCAGGCTGGAGGGCAATGGCGCGATCTCGGCTCACTGCAAACTTCGCCCCCCAGGTTTAAGCAATTCTCCCACCACAGCCTCCCGAGTAGCTGGGACTACAGATGCATGCCACCACGCCCAGCTAATTTTTGTATTTTTAGCAGAGATGGGGTTTCACCATGTTGGCGAGGCTGGTCTAAAACTCCTGACCTCAAGTGATCCACCCACCTCAGCCTCCCAAAGTGCTGGGATTACAGGCGTGAGCTGCCTTGCCTGGCCTATTTTAAAAGGACGAATTTTCTGATATGTGAATATATAGATAGACTGGGAAACATATTTGTAAGAGGCAACAACGAAGGACTAATATTTAGGATATCTAACGTGTGATAACTTTGAAACATGAATAGAATAGGAAAACGAACAAAGTGTGTGAATGGCCAATTCAATAAAAAGAGAATAAGGATGGCCAATACATCCATGATATAAAACAATGAGAAACCTTGCACACTGCTGGCAGGAATGTAGGTGGTGTAACCACTGGGAATAGCGTTTCAGTACCTGGTGAGATTGGAGATGCAGACTCTGTGGCCCAGCGATTCTATTCCTAGTTATGCAGCCCAGGGAATAACTCCTATAGCTCAAAAGAAGACGTGTAAAAGAATTCATAGCAATTTTTCTTGCAATGGAAAAAGATCAGAGAAACATCTAAAACGTCCAACCACAGGAAAACAGATATATGTATTAGCAAGGATACTATATCCATGAGCATAAATGAATTAGCACTACAATTTTCAAGAGAGGTAGACTTCACAAATATGTTGAGAAAAATATTTTAAATTAAAAGAAATAAAAAATGCAAGTTGTTGAACAGTGTATCCAAAATAATGTTGCTCATACAAAGGTCAAAACGGCCGGATGGGGTGACTCGCGCCTGTAATCCCAGCACTTTGGGAGGCTGACGGGGTCGGATCATTTGAGGTCAGGAGTTCTCGAGACCAGCCTGGTGAACATGGTGAAACCTCATCTCTACTAAAAATACAAAAATTAGCTGAGCGTGGTCGCCGGCGCCTGTAATCCCAGCTACTCAGGAGGCTGAGGCACGAGAATCTCTTGAACCTGGGAAGCAGAGGTTGCAGTGAGCCAAAATCGCACCACTGCACTCCAGCCTGGGTGACAGAGTGAGATACTGTGGGGGAAAAAAAAAAGAAGGTCAAAAGCACATATAGCAATAGCAATACATATGGATGTGTATATATGAGGCAAAGGAAAAGAGATGCATGTACATAAAAAAGCCAAACAGAATAGTGGTTACCTCTTACAGAGAGATAGAGATGTGTGACTGGGAAGGGGGGCCAGGGAGATTTAATGACATTGATAACATGTTATTTCTTAACCAGGGTGATGGGCACATGAGCATATATTATTTTGTTCTTTATATCTTATTGTATATCTTGAATATCATGTAAGAATTTCTAAAAGAAAAAAAAATTAGAAACAGAGCATGATGGCTCACATATGTAAACCTAGCACTTTGGGAAGCCGAGATGGGAGGATTGCTTGAGCCTAGGAGTTAGAGGCCAGCCTGGGCAACATGGTGAAGACCTGTCTCTACAAAAAGTACAAAAATTAGGTGGGTGTGTTGGCGTACATTTGTAGTCCCAGCCACTTGGGAGGCTGAGGTGGGAGGATTGCTTGAACCCAGGAAGTCAAGGCTACAGTGAGCCATGATTGTGCCACTGCACTCCAGCCTGAGTGACAGAACAAGACTCTGTCTTAAAAAAAAAATATTAGAAAATATAATTTTGAAACTCTTTCATCAGAACATCAAATTATAAGATATCTAGGGCATAAATATAAAATATGTAGAAGAATTAATCTATAAATTTAATGGGATTCCAAAAGGCCAACAGGATATTTTATGAAAGTTAAAAACTGATTATTGAAATGATATGGAAGGGTATTTTTAAATGGCCAAGAAAATTTTGAAAGAGCTGAACAAGAATGGGTGGCTGGCCCTATCACAGGTACAAGTTCATTATAAAATTATAGAAATAAAAACTATGCCATTGGCAGAGCTATAAGAAATTAAAGCAATGAAACAGAAACCAGAGGCAAGGGATGAACAGATATGCACATCTCTAGATAGAACTTGGTTTGACAGAGGTGACCTTAAGTTTGTATAAGAAAATCAAATTTGTACCTCACAACTGTACACATAAATTGCATATGAGTTAAAGTTCTTAAATGTGGAAAATAAAGCTTCAACATTTTAAAAGAAATGAGGAAAGGATATCACTTGGAGATAGGGAAGGATTACTTAAAGAGGCATAAAGGCAATACTTGTAAAGAATCCTAAGAAGCCAAAAAAAAAGTCTGTATAAAGGAGCTTAACATCGCTAGTTAATAACATCCAGTAATAAAGGGGATACATTCTGAGAAATGCATCATCAGGCGATTTCATCACTGTGCAAACCTCATATCATGTACTCACACAAACCTAGATGGTACAGCCTACACACACCTAGACCCTGTGTACAGCATGCTGTTCCTAGGATATAAACCTGTACAGCACGTGGCTGTACTGGATACTGCGGGTCATTGCAACACAATAGTATTTGCATATCTAAACATAGAAAAGATACAATAAAAATACAGTATCAAGGATAAAAAATGGTACATCTGTTTAGGGCACTTACCGTGAATGGAGCTCACAGGACTGGACATTGCTCTGGGTGAGTCAGTGAGTGAGTGGTGAGTGAATTTGAAGGCATAGGATATTACTGTTCACTCCTGTGGACTTTATAAAGGCTGAACACCTAGGCTACACTAAATTTATAGAAAACGTAAAGCAATTGTGCTACAGCATTACAATGACTATGCTGTCACTAAAGGGATAGGAATTTATAATCTTATGAGATCACCGTTTTCTATGCGGTCTGTCATTGGCTGAAATGTTGTTATGACATTGAATACACAACTGTATTAAGTTCAGGAGAAAAGAGCAACATCAGTCAGTTTCGAGGAATGAGAGGAAGAGAGGCACCCGGTGGAGGGAGAGACAAGATAAAGGCGAAACCCGACCTGTGGAATCCTCACCTTTTCTTAATCTTACCTGAGTGCAGGGGGCATCTGATGAGCAGAGACCTCCCCATGTCCTGGTTGTTGGACCCCACCTTATGGTGGTGACATCATCATGAGAAAAGAACATGTAATCATGTGACCTATGATTAAAGGCAAGGCCATCCATGATGTGGTTCTAGTCTCCTGCAGGGGTGGGCTTCAAGGGGGCAGGAGAGTCCTAGAGGAATTTGAGAGGCACTTGGGCCATAGGAAGTATGATGTGTGGCAGGATTAGTGTTTTTCTTGAGACTCTCCTTAAGAAATCACCCAGGCTTTGCTGATCTTTTGCTTTCTCCGCCTTGCTGGTGTTCGAGTGCACATGGCGAAGCAGGTGGTGATGGAGCCATGTTTTCTTGCCTTGTGTCTGGTGGCCTGCTGCTTAGAGGGGGTCCCCAGGCATCAGAGACCAGGGCAGTCAGAGGCTCAGAAGGAACCAGCCCTGCCAACACCTGGACCTCAGACTATCACAGTCAGCCAGAGCTGTGAGAAAATAAATTCCTGTTGTTAAGCCACCCAGTGTGTGGTAATTTTTTATGGCAGCCCTAGCAACAGAATGTACTTATTATATCATCTATATCTACATCTATGTCTGCCTGCATCTATCCCTCTACCTGTCCACCTACCTGCACCTGTGCCTGTATTTATACCTACGCCTGTATTTCTGTTGGTCTATTATATCTCTATCTATCTATCTATCTATCTCTCTATCTATCTATCTATCTGTTGGTCTATCTACATATCTATCTATCATCTATCTATCTATGTGTCTATCATCTATCATCTATCTATCTAATTTATCGGTATATCTATCTGTCATCTATTTCTCTATGTATCCTCTATCTAGCTACATATCTATCATCTGTCTATCCATCAATCATCTATCTATCTATCTACTGATCTATCAATCTCCAACACAAATTTCTGAGTGATGAAAGGCAGTGGCAGAGTGAGTTATACTATAAAAATGGAATTCATGTAGAGTTAACAGTTCACTTAAAGTTAATAGAAAGGTCATGTTTCTGCTTTGTTGGGCCAAAAGATTCTGTCACCCTTTCTAACTCTCCTCTTTCTTCTCTGTCCCACATCTGTCCTGGAGGGACACCCTGCCGTCTGTACCTTGGAAACACAGGCAGACATTGGCCACCTTCACCACCGTTCACCACTTTCCCACTTTCACCTAGTCTGTCATTCAAACAGAAGCCAGAGCAATCCTGTTAGACCTAGACTCAGACCCCTTCACTTAGCCTCCAAGAAGAGAAGACATGCAGCCCCTTTATTCTGAACAGTGAACTCACAGGACAAGAGCCGAGGGCCATCTGGCTGCACTTCCTCCACCCACTTCCTAACTCTTTCCCCCCCTCAGGAGGAAGTGCTTCTGCAGAAGAGGAGACAGCAATGGACAGTGTGAGAGAGAGAGGTGAAGAGACACAGACAGACAGAGACAGAGAGACAGACAGAGAGACAGAGACAAAGAGACTGAAAAGATAGAGAGGACAGAGGCAGAGACAAAGAGAAAAAGAGAGACAGAGACATGGAGAAAGACAGAGACAAAACAGAGACAAAGACAGAGAGAGAAAGACAAAGAGACAGAGAGAGGTAGAGAGAGACAGACACAGAGAGACAGAAATAGACAGAGACAGAAAAAGACAGAGACAGAAAGAGACAGAGAAGACAGAGACAGAAAGAGACAAAGACAGAAAGACAAAGAGAGACAGAGACACAGAGAAAGAGACAAAGACAGAGAAGATACAGACAGAGACAGAGAGACAGAAAGAGACAGAGAAGACAGAGAAGACAGAGACATAGACAGAGAGAGAAAGACAGAGACACAAAGAAAGATGGAGACAAAACAGAGACAAAGAGAAACAGAGAGAAATAGAGACAGACACACAGAAAGACAGAAATAGAGACAGAGACAGAAAAAGATAGAGCCAGAGACATACAGAGAGAGACAGAGAGACAGAGAGAGACAGACATGGAGAGAGAGGGCAAGCCTTGGGGAATGGGAAACCAGAATGCTGCCCACAGTGAGGGAATCTTTGGGTTGGCTCCGCCCTTGGACTTCTCTAATACAGAAGCCAGACAAATTTCATTTTTGCTTAAACTGTTTTGAGTGGGGTTTCTTCCACTTTTATCTGAAACCACCCAGTATGAAGCTTTCGTTGGACCACAGTCAATGCATGAAGGTATGTGTGAAATTGAATTGTACTCACTATTTCCAAAGACAATAAATATGAAGAACGAAGTGCTTATTTATCAAACTATTTTCTTGGTGCCACAGGTCACTGAATGCTACACGATGAATGTCTCATCATATCATTGTCTCCAGAGTGCCTGGAAGACTTTTGCCACTTCTCTGGGTGTTTTTCTCTGGTGCGTGCAGAATAGGGGTACTGTGGTTGCTTGTGATCTCACAACCCCCTTCCAGATCCTGAGCAGCAGGAATTGCTTAGAAGTAGATGTACTCTTGCTTACCCCTTTCCTCAGATCACTAATGGGGTCGTATCTCAGCCAAAGGCAGGACAAAGAGCAGGCCGAGTGTGTCTGCGTGGGTGGGGTTTGGGGAGAAGTTTCTGTGAGGGAAACAGTGAGCAGGGCCGCTGAAGCAAGACCCAGAGATGTGCCTCCTCCATTACCTGAATCCTTCCTGGATGCTCACCAGGGCAGGGACCCCTGCCTTCTGCCCACATTGAATGGGTAATGGCCAATCAAGAGAAGTCTGTGCCCATTCACTGTCCTGGGCTGCCATGGAGTCTCTCTCAGGACCCCCCAGCCATCTGGATTTTCCCACTCAAAGTGGGACCACCACATGTTGATTCTTGGATGCCTCTTGTATGGCTGCCCTCATCTCTGCCATGGCCACAGGTACCAGCTGCTAGACCCAGACTTCCTGCTGTCTTCAGCCCAGTTCATCCAGGTTCTCCAACTTTCCACTGGCTGGTGATAACACCCCCGGGGCCCAGCAAATTCCATAGGTGATGAGTAGCAGCTCCCAGTTTTGCAGGTACTACAACTTGGCCATTGAAAAGCATGTCCCTGGTGGGCAGCCAGGCTGTGGAGAAGGCCCACACATTTCCCCAAACAAAAGAGGCTGACCTCTGGCCACATGAGGAGAGAAACCTGCAGAATCATGGCTGTAGTGTTACCAAATATTAAAGGAAGGTGCCCAGAGGACAACAGGGGCCTCAGAGGAGGCCATGGCTGCTGCAACCTTGGATGCTCTCTGTAGGGACACTCTACTAACAAAGCTCTGTTGTGCTTGTGGCCAAGAATGGAGGTCACTTTTTGCTCTCTGCAACTCAGAAAAGAGAGTCAGTCAATCCATGTTGCCAAGGGTGTGTATGTATGTGTTGGACGGGGTGAGGGTAGGGGGAAGGAAAGATAGAATAAATCTTTTTGTCTTAAGCGTGAAGAACCATATGGGCACGAAGAGGCCTGTTCTAGGGCAGGTGAAAAGCAAACATTTTTTGCCTGTGTTCAAAGGTGAGAAGCAGAGAGGTGAGGCTGGGGGCGGAACTGGGTGTCAACTCTCAGACGGGGTCATAGTGGATGACAGCTGAATCCTGCCCTGTAGTCTTCTGAATTTCACATCTTCCAAAGCAGGAGGTAGGGGATGGTGATTAAACGCCCTGAGAATCGAGACAGATACCATAAAAATCATCTGGATACAACTTCATTCTATTAAAGCAAATAATTGAAGGGCCCACGCTGTGTTGCCTCCCAGTCTTGTGTGCATACATCCTGTCTTTCATCTGTGCATCCACAAATGCCTTAGGGATAATGGCTGTTATAAAAATGAAGAATTGCCTAGGTGGGTTCTTTTTTAAAAAATAAAGGAAAGATCATTGTAGGCATTATTTTCTTGAGGGACATGCAACAGAAAATGACAACTGGCTTCTCCAACTTTGCCAGGTGTTTCTTTTTTTTTTTTCTGTTTGGTTTTGTTTTGTTTCTGAAGGAAAATGTTCACAAGCACCGACATCTCCAGATTTGCAGAAAATTAATTCTGTAGATGATGTGGAAACGATAGCCTATAAAGTTAATGAGATATTACTGAAGTCTGGATAAACAATTAGCAGTATTAGCTGGGAAGATAAACCAGGACCTGTTGCCATTGAACAGAACTGCAACTAATTAAATTGAAAATTACAGCACAAGTGTGTGAAAACAAAGGCGAATTGAGCGGGGGCTGAGAATTAATGGAGCTAATATTGCAAAGGCAACACTGTTATTAAAAATGAAAGGGAGGGTGGTGGTATTAAAACCATTCATTTCCCCCTCCCACATGCTCCACTGGATTCTGTGTTAATCATGGCATTTCTCAGTTGTCCCTATGATCCCGGTGTCTGGTTTTGGCCACTCTGTAGGTCTCTGAAGATTCTGAATTTACAACTTTTCATGTACATCCCCTGTGTAGCGGTAGTGCCCACTCAAGTGAAGTGGTCCCTTCCTGACCTCACAGACCATCCACATGTCCCTGAGGCATAAAACTGGCTTCCTTGTTTCTGGGCATGAAGAGCTATAGGCCTCCCTGGGAAAAATTAACTGCATGTCACATCTCGGCATTTTGTGTTAAAATTCGAGAGCCCCACAGCCCATCTCTCAGGCTCAGGGTGTAAAGCTTTATTTATCCCTTTTAAAAAATTTTCATTTACAGTCTTCCTATTTAATAGTTTTGCTCCTCTTTCTCCTTGTCTTGGAGAGCTTGGAGCATCCTAGGAAGGCTGGTGGGAATGGAGTCTGGGTGATCCCAGAGGTGAATGGATCTTTCCACCAGGCGGAGACCTGGATTGAATGGGGTGAATGGCCTGAGGGCTGCTCCGGTCCCATCTCCAAGCAGGTGGAGACTGGGGGAACCACATATCTCTTTGTAAGATCCAACATTAGCTGTAACCAAGACAGGAGACAAAAAAGGATTTTGCCCCCTTTTTAAAGCATATCCAAGTGTTCTGAGGGCTCTGCCGTCTTCTGCACCTGTACACTGAGGGGCCAGGAAGTCATCCCCCTTCTATGACAGCCATTCTCACGCACCATTCATCTATGTGGTGCCGAGGACTTCTCCCTAAAGCTGTGTACCCTGCTCTGCTGACAGAGAAAAAGCCTGCTCCAGAGGGGAATAGACATTGCACAGCCTCACGCAGGCGGCTGGATTGCTACAGAGGTTCTGAGAAAACTAGAACGGTCAGCCCAGCAGCCTGAGAAAGAACCCGCCATGCTTGAGAATATCTCTGCTGCCCACAGGATTTCCTGGAACTGGAACTAGAGACACTGAACTCCCAATAGGACTTCTTTTCCAATATGCCAGGCTTCCCCTACTTGGGGAATCTTCCGCTACTGGGCAGATTCCCTCCCTCAGGGCCCCAAGAGTGCTTTCTCTTTCACTATAAAATGAGGGCATGGGTGGAAGGTGGCGTTCTCTGAATCCCGAATCCTTGAGAATAGACCACTTAATTTTGTCCTCATTGTATTCTCTAGCTGGACATATCACAGGGCTCAATGGTGGCCCTCAACAGTTATTTAAATCTGTGACATTTAGCTTTCTTTTTAGACCAGCTCAGCTCTGTCTCCTATAGCTGCTCCATTTAAGAAGAGAGCAGCCCCAGCTCCTTGCTAAAAGATACGTTTAGAGCCTCTGCCTCCCCCCGTGTCATCCCTGCCACGGATAGTGGTTCTCTGTCTTGCTCTATCATTAGACAAAGGTCAACTATTGACAATCTGGCTAGAGAAGAAGCATTATCAAAGAGGCCAATGGACGGAGCTGCCATGTTTGATGCATACAGTCTCTTTGATCGATCACAACATGAAGGCCTTTGCTTCAGGCACTCTGCTCTAAAGTCTGGCTGGATTTTCTGCAGGAAAGTAGAACTTATTTGGGAAAACATTGGAGGGGCATTTGCTGCTCAGCAGTGGCCTGCAAGATAGGTTGAAATCTCAACCCACACCAGTGGTGAATGAGTAAAATACCACAAAGGCCATTCAACTGGACATCTCTTTACTATCCAGCAAGGACTCAAAGGGCAGTAGGACTGTGTGCTGTGAATGTCCAGCTCCCAGTAGAACCCTCATTTTTCCACAAAGAACTGGGAGTTGGCGCTAACTGAGCCCCAACCCAAGTTATCCTACACAGGAAGGGAGCCAGGTGCTGGGTTTTCAAGACTCAATCCTATACCCAGTTACACTGCACAGAAGGAGGATGATCAATTAGCCTCATTAGTAACTTCCCTATCAATACAGATATGGGTTCCAGAGACACCCATCTAACCAATAGCTGATGACCCTATTGATTAAACAAATTCGTATCATTTCAAGTGAAAATAATCATCCAAACAAAATACCAGAAAGAGCTAGACTTGAAAATCTTTCAGCAACTTATCACACATGAGAATAGAGCTGCAGAAAAGATTTTAGTGTAAATACTGTAATTCTGCCAGCAATTAAATAACCTCAAACTGACTCATTATCTTCAGAGTAACATGTTAATAATTTAACTGACAAACATTTCATAGGTTAATTCTGAAAAGAGTTAAGCATAGATAGATTTAATTGATCTCATATTTACACTAGTTTTTGCGCTTTTAACTTCAAATGATTTTTTGAAAAGTCAAACAGCGAATAGACATGCCGCATAAATGGTGAAATGACAATGTCATCTCGAAATCATTTGGGGAGAGGAACTCCATGATAGCACATGAGGATGAAAGAAGACAAAAGTCACTGCACATAGCTATGGCAATGGTGTGTCACACTTAGGTGGGAAGGGGTCCTCTGATGGGAAAATTAGGTATCCATCATTTTGCTATCCCTTTAGTTCATTTAAAAATTGGCAAGTGTGTTATCTTATAAGATGTCTCTGGGTGCTTTCTTCATATGTGCATGTCTTAGACATGCTATGTGCTTGTAAATGGAACTGGTGTTCAAACAATGATTCACAGTATTCAGGGTAAAAAGTTAAATTGGACCCTTTGACCTTGTCTCAGAAAAGCATTTAATATGTAGTCCCAAACTGTCCACTCTTCAATATGACCTACTCCAGACCCTGGAGAAAGAACAAGTGCAGCTTTAATTGTTATTCGAAGATGTACCTGGTATCATATTTCACCTAAATGCTTTCAGCACTAGGTCCTTTGGACAGCTCCACAACAGCACAAATGTTCCTCTCCCGGAGTAGATAATTCCCTTCTCCAAAAGTAGATTCTGCCATCTCCCCCCTTATCCTCAGGGTGAGCCTCTGCCAGAACCCAGTGGGGTTCCTGTCTTTCTCCTCCTGGTTTTATTAGAGAAAACTCCAATATGCAAGCTGGACCGCACCTTCCTACCCCCAGCCCTCACCGTACTTCAAAGTAGACATGTGATCAACAGCCCCTGATCCCATCTCTTGTCTTCATTTGTTTCAAGAAAAAGATGGATATTGGCTCCTAATTAACCCACCTAACCCTGCAGTTTTTAATATCTTTGCTTTAGTGAAATTCTAGGTTAAGGTTAATGATTGAACTCTGCTTCTAAGCATGTTCTTTCAGAAGGTAATTCATGCATATGAGAGGATGGGTATGAGGACATAACATGCCTGGGCCATAGGGTCACGGCAATTTGAAACAACTTTTATCAGGGAAGAGGGCTGGAGTTTGGGTCAGATTCTCAGCTAATTACACACTTTATTCTGGGACTGATTAACATTCAGAGTCTGCCAAAGCTGCAGGGGAGAAAGAACATGGTAAGAAGAGGTGTTTGAACTAAACCCTCAGATGTCTATTGCATAGAAGGAAGCCTTATGCTTAGGGATGGATCCAGCCATGACTCTAATTTTCCTCTGTGAGCTTTAAGAATTAACCTTTTCATTGAGAGCTCAAGAGTGAGTACTGTTGAAGGAGAAGAATGTCACGGTGTGGTGAGTGGAGGCCAAGACAGCCCTGGGTGTGTGGCTTGGCTGCTTCCTCTGAGAGGCTGAGGAGATGGAGGGTTTCCACATAAAACCCCCCCAATTAAAAATTCCTCCTGTTCTTAACAATACTCAACTCCAGCATAGATACAAGCATCATTTCTTGGCTGTGTTAATTTTTAATAAGCTAGTTGCATCCAACCTAATCATGCCACTGAGGGCAGTTTGTATATTTTACAAGCACAAATAAATCCCTTCCCAGTCTGCAAGCTCCTTGGTGGCCGTTTGCAAGGGCCTTTGGGTAGCATCTTTAAACTTTCATCTCCTGTAGGCATCCCTGACTTGTAAGTACCATTGTTGCTCGAATAATTGAATCTATTTAAAGAAATGAAGTCAATTAACTTTTCAGTTTATGACCAAGAAATAATTTCACTGTGTGTAGTCAGATTCTGCTAAGTATCTGGGGAATCAATTATTGTTTAGAGCTCAGAAAAATCCAAACAGGATCCTAAACTATATTGGGCAGCCCCTACCGTGGCATTCAGCATGGTCACTTTGGAGCCTGGCCTTGATGGTGAGACACCAAACATTGAAAACACTACAGAGGTAACATCTTTAAGCTAGAAACAGATTTTTTTTCCTGCCAAAATCCTCATGCAAAACTTGTGATTTGGATATTTCTGCCTCTATGCTCTAGCTTGCACGTAGTTCATTTTTTCTGACTTGGTGGACCTTGCTTCCTTCTGTAAGAAATGCAATACCCACCTAGGTCTCTCTTTAATCTTGTTTTCTTTCTCTTTGACTCTATGTTCACATTTAGGTATAAGTAATGAATGAGACGTTTTTAAAAAGTGAGATTTTGTGGGGATTTGTATTTTTAATAGGAAATTATATCTGAGAATATAAAGAATAAAATGTGGGCCATTGGAATATTAGGCTTGATAACGAGCTGAGAAGAGCTCTACAGACTGCTGTGGGTACCAGCTGAGCTCCCTGTGGGCTGAACCCACAGATTTTCCTCCTTCCTCCGACAGTGGTTCACAGCACGGGCAAGCGTCTGAGAGGGGTGATGACTAAACCCTCTGTACTTTCTCACTCCTTGAAGCAGAATTCATCCTCTGATGTCAACAGAATGTTCCCTTTGACAATGCCACGAGAAAGGAAATGCCAAGCCTAGGGAGGGTTTTCCAGTGAGCCATGAAGACCCACTTTGCTCCAAGCCACTTACCTTCTGGTTTCTTCCCAGGTCCCAGAGTTGCCCCTTATATTAGTCCGTTTTCATGCTGCTGATAAAGACATACCTGGGTCTAGGAAGAAAAAGAGTTTTAATTGGACTTACAGTTCCACATGGCTGGGGAGGCCTCAGAATCATGGTGGGAGGCAAAAGGCACTTCTTACATGGGGGTGGCAAGAGAGAATAAGGAAGGAGCAAAAGCAGAAACCCCTGATAAACCCATCAGATCTCTCAAGACTTATTCACTATCACGAGAATAGCATGAAAAAGACCAGCCCCCATGATTCAATTACCTCCCTCTGGGTCCCTCCCATAACACATGGGAATTCTGGGAGATACAAGCCAAGTTGAGATTTGGGTGGGGACAAAGCCCAACCATATCACCTGCACCACAATCCCACACTGCCTCTCCCTCCTGTTGCCAGTTCTCAACACTTGAGTGACTTCTGTGTCCCAGGGACTGTGATGGGCACTGAGGATGGAGTACTGAGCGAAGGCTGGCATGCTCCTGGATGCCACAGAAGAAACTCTGGAGGAGAAGAGATGTGAATCCAGAAGCACACTTATCTCTGCTGTCTCTGCCTGCCCCTTGGCAGCCTTCTCAGAGTGCACCTCTTGTCTGCCCATGCTGTCGATGTTTATGTGCAGGGTCCTCTACTCTTTTTACTCCGAGCATGTGATCGAGGTGGTCCATGGTCTTCCTCTCTGAGCACTGTTATTTCATTTCACTATCAATTCTATGCCCATGAATCCCACATCTGTGTCTCTTATCTACCCATCCTCTCAAACTCCAGATGTGTTTCTAACACTTTTGAATAGACATCTCCACTTGCATGCCCCATCTGCTTCTCAAACTAAACATGCCCAAACTCTACTTAGTCATTTATGAACATGCTGCCACCAGTTGCCCTGCATTCAAACTAAAGGCATGGGTGTCACCCAAGTCTCTTCCCACTCACTCTTCTTGTATCTCCAATCCATCACAAAGATGCCAACTTTACCCCCTAGGCCTCTTACATTTCATTTCTTTCATTCTTATTCCTTAATAGATATGTTTGTTCTCTCTGCCTGTTCTTTTTCTTATTCCTCCATCTTTGCTTGTCTATCCCACCCTAAGCCACTAGACAGCCTTCACGAATGGCACCTCCTCCGTGAAGCCTTCCTTGAATCTACACCCCCTGTAATCTTCTCTTTATATGAACCTATCATCTCTTCCTCCTCTCTTGACACATATTTTTGGCCTTCTTATATAAGAATTATTTGGGCACCTGTTTTGACCTGCCTACTATTTTCCTGAGGAAGATCATGCTGTTTTCATCTCTGTGTTCCCCTTACCTATGGCAATCCCTGGCCCATGACTGTTATGTGAGCAGCAGGCAACACTAGGCTAAGACCAGGGTCAGGAGGCTCTGTAGAGGAGAGGAGACAGCTGCCCCAGCTGCCTCACTGTTCTGAAGAGACACTGAGGGGAGAGCTGGCATTCTGGGGTGGTCCAGCTGCTGTATTGCATCTGGCTGCTGCCTCCGGCCCTATTGGCTGAGATTGGAAGAATGTAATCCTGGGGGCTCAGAGCCCAAATCTCTCCATCCCATCTTAATACCATAAAGATTACCCTGAAGCACAACTAGGTTTGATGTCACAGGGATCATATGGTGACGTGCAAAAGCACCCAGGGCTAATGCATTTAACTGTGGCTTGGACTGACCAGGCAAGAGTAAGCCAATTGCGAACCAGTCCTCAGGCAGGTGAATCTGGGGTAGAACAGGCACTACACTGCAAAAGAGGCTGCAGCCAGGAGTACTGAAGCCATGAAGGCAAAATCGTGGTCCACACTGGGGCTGCCTTCCCTGGCTCTAAGATCTTCAGGTCCAAGAGGATGGAGTCACTGCTTTCCTTTATCATCCATGGTGAGCTACAGCCAACTAGGGGGCATGTCAATGGCTCCTCTCCTGCAAGGGGAACTCGAGGAAGGGTCCTACCTGGAAATGCTTTCTGGAAAAATATGTTCCAGAAAGATGCATGCTTTATGAGGCTGGGGTCATCAGGCAGCCCCAGGCTGGTTTAGGTTTGGGATGTTGAAAAGGTCGTGTGAAAGGTAGCTCATGCATAAGGCAAGGTAACATTTCCCTGATCCTGGGATTTGAGCAATGTTCATCTCCCTCTATCTCTGAGTCTGTATACATGGTGAAATTATTTCTTGGTCATAAACTGGAAGTTAATTGGCTCCGTTTCATTAAGTGGCTCTAATTATTTTAGCCCCAGCGAAGGTTCTGGTGATAGTTACTAATGAGGGTGCTCTTCCTTGTCTCCAGCCTCGGGGACCCTGCTGGCACCTTAGTGGCCTGCTTGAGTTGATGCAGCTTCGAAGCAATAACTAAGAGGCCCTGGGGGGATGCTCAGGCCAGGGAGGAAAAGAATCAACAGAACTGCGGCCTTGGGAGCAATTGCCTGGATGAAGGCATTCATGTACCTCCTGGCTGAATTAGAAATGGGTTTAGAACTTTATCCAACAGCATAAACCAGTGCAAGGCATTCTCAGCAAAAGGGAGAGGCAGAGGGCCGTGGCTGGGGATGGGGCCTAGAAAGGGCCGGCGGTCCGCATCTGGTGACGATCTTGGGGATTTGGTCCAGAATCGAGGCTCCTGGGAATTCGTAAGGTTGGCCATGTTCCTGGAAGGGACACAGAGCCATGTCCTAAAGACTATTTTCTCTTCATTAATTTTATTCAAGAACCACCTATAAGCCTGTAAATGAATAAATGATTATACTAAGTGAATAAGAGAGTTACTGAGAATTAACTATTCTCACATGTCTCATTCACAGGAGAGAATTTTTTTTTGTACGGTTGACAATGTTGTTTGGTGAAATAACTAACTGACACTAATTTTTCCATCCTGAAACTAATTCCTCAAATCCAAAATTTCAGTTTATTCTTAATCCCTTACTCTTGAGTCCAATTGATGATGCTTAGATTATGGGAGTATTTTGAGGTATCTCATTCTTACATAATTTGAAATATACTTAGAAATGTGTTAGAAGATATTGGAGAGAGTGGGGTGTGTATGTACTTGTGTCTCAGTGGCTACAATAACTATTTTTACAGCATGAAATGGCACTAGTGACAGAATGAAGGATGAGACGATGATGCTGATAATGGCAATAATGGTAGCTATTGGGACCTCTGGGCACACTGTTATGATTCTTCCTATCCCAGTCCCCCATCCCCTGGAATACGCCACAAATAGAGAAATAACATAAAGAAAAATGAGCCAGCCGGGTGCGGTGGCTCACGCCTGTAATCCCAGCATTTTGGGAGGCCGAGGCGGGCGGATCACGAGGTCAGGAGATCGAGACCATCCTGGCTAACACAGTGAAACCCCGTCTCCACTAAAAAATACAAAAAAATTAGCCGGCCGTGGTGGCGGGCGCTTGTAGTCCCAGCTACTCCGGAGGCTGAGGCAGGAGAACGGCGTGAACCCGGGAGGCGGAGCTTGCAGTGAGCCCAGATCGCGCCACTGCACTCCAGCCTGGGCGACAGAGCGAGACTCCGTCTCAAAGAAAAAAAAAAAAAAAGAAAAGAGAAACAAGCCATTGGAAGATGAAATGTGAGCACATCACCGGCAGAGGTCAGTCTAGAAGATGCAGCTCCAGTTCCAATAGCCTCAAAGCCAACCGCGTCAAGTAGATTTGCCCACCCAGCTCAGGACTCCTGTGTTTAATCGTGGAGGAGCAGAGAGCATGTGCTCTTCCAGAGACAGCCTCAGTTTTATCACCCCAAATTTACCAATGAGATAGGTCACACATCTTCCTGGGGAAGAGAAGAGGGCATAGGCGCAGAGAGAGGTCAGGGGTTACAGACGGAAGACCCCTCTGCGCATGGAAGGAAGCATTCTGGCGAAGGAGTGTCTACCGAAGCCAGGGGACAGCCAAGTGCCGCATTACTGCTGGGACTCCGTTACTTCTCATTTCACCACGGCCTAGATGTAGGTGTCATTGATCCTGTTTTAGAGATGAAGAGACTGACATGGTCAGAAAGTTAGATGACTTGCCCAAGGTCACACAGCTGGGAAGTGATGGGATGGGGCTTGAACTCAGGCATTTAAAGCCTTGAGACTTTCTGGATCTTGAATGTTTCTACCTGAAGATTGTGCAGAGCTGTGATTCTCAAAATGTGGCATGAGGACTCCTGGGAGGTCCCTAGACCCAGTGGTGGGTGGGGGTCTTCAAGGCCAAAACTGTTGTCTTCCAGATACTAAGATGATTAAGATATTACTTGTCCTCTTCACTCTCATTCTCTCTGGGGTGGAGTGGGGAGTTTCCCAGAAGCTACATGACATGGACTGTCACAATGAACCAATTGTGATTCACTGGAGAAGCAGCTATGGATTCATCTGTCTCCTGTTAAACCAGAGATTCAACAGATTTGCAAAATTTTTGATATAACACCACTCTTCTCATTAATTTTTTTGTTCCATAAAATATAGTTGTTTTAGTAAAAACGTTTATATTACTATGTAAAAAGCTCATATGTTTAATAAAAAAATATGTTTTTAATTCTCAGTTTTAATTTCTAATATGATAAATAAGAATAGACATAAATAAAAACTCTGGATCCTCAATTTTTTAAATAACTTATAGAAGTCCAGAGACCAAAAACTTCGAGACCCACAGGTATAAATCCCTGCATAAAACCTATGGCCCTGTTGGGCATTCACTTCTGCTCAGGCCTCCAAGAGATGAGTTTAGTCACCAGCCAACCAAAAGCAAATTTTGAAGAGTGGATTTCAAGAAGGCAGAGAGAAAACCTGGGATTTATTTTTTTTATTCCTTTTCAACTTTTATTTTAGAATCAGGCAGTACATGTGCATGATGCTGAGGCTTGGAGTAAGAATGAACCTGTCACCCAGGTAGTAAGCATACTACCCAGTAGGTAGTTTTTCAGTCCTTCCCCTGCCCTTCACCCCCACTAATAAATCTCAGTGTCTATTATTCCCTTATTTATGTCCATGTGTACCCTATGTTTAGCTTCCACTTGTAAGTAAGAACACATGGTATTTGATTTTCCATTTCTGCATTAATTTGCTTAGGATAATGGCCTCCAGCTGCATCCATGTTGCTGCAAAGACCATGATTTCACTTGCTATAGCTACATAGTATTCCATGGTGTATACGTGCCACATTTTCTTTATTCAATCCATCATTGATAGACACTTGGATTGATTCCATGTCTTTGCTATTGTGAATAGTACTGTGATGTACATAGCATGTATCCTTTTGGTAGAAGGATATATTTTCCTTTGGGTATATACCCAGTAATGGGATTGCTCTGTCGAATGGTAGTTCAACTCTCAGTTCTTTGAGAAGTCTCCAAATTGCTCTCCACAGTGGCTGAACTAATTTACATTCCCATCAACAGTGTACAAGTGTCCTTTTCTCTTCGACCTTGCCAACATTTGTTATTTTTTGACTTTTTAACAAAACCATTCTGACTGGTATGAGATAGTATTTTATTGTGGTTTTTATTTGCATTTCTCCAACAATTAGTGATAATGAGCATTTTTTCATGTTTGTTGGACCTCTTGTATGTTTTCTTTTGAGAAGTGTCTGTTCATGTCCTTTGCCCACTTTTTAGTGGGGTTATTTGGTTTTTGCCTGTTGATTTGTTTAAGTTCCTGGGATTTTGTGTAGCCTGTGTATCTCATAAGTGCTCAGGAAAATCTTAACAAACATCAAGTTTTTCTTTTTTTCTCTAAAAAATCATTTGTGAGCTCTGTGAAGATACAACCCTAAACCAGGAATTTCCCAGTTTAGAATGGAAGCACACACTTGGAAAATTTACTTTGTGCTTTCTTCACCTTTAACATGGTAAATGGATATTCAGGACTCAGAATTTACTCTGTTCACTTTGACCTGAACAAATCAAGCCCTCAGCTGTATGGCTTGTGGTGATGCCCAGCCCCTTTGGAGAAGCCACATGACCCATGAGCTACAGAGGAGACTCAGTTGGTCACGGTTGGACCTGGGCCAAGTCATGACCACGCAAGACCCCTTTATGTCAACAGCCACTCCTTTTGCTTCTCGGGCAGCTGTGAGAAGTGATGATGGGACTGGTGATGAGATTCAGGCGGCTCTGGCAAAGCAAAACCAGTCTCTTGCATGCGGCCAAACTCTTTGCCATTTTTTTTCTCTGTGGAAGATAGAGCTGGAAGGAATCTTGCATATTGGCTTGGTCCAAGACTCTCATTTTACTGGAGAACAGCAGAAACCATAGGAGTGAAGCATCCAACCCCTGGTCTCCACCTACTGCTGTTTAGAGTGGTGCCTGAGAATGCGAGGGAAGTGGGGAGTTCTCAGAGAGCCTTTGGGCTCCAAGCCTGCACAAGAAGCTTCCTGGGGCCCAGAAGATGTGTGCCACCTGGAGGGAGGGTCAGGGCTTGGTCCCTGCAAGGCTGATTCTCTGCACTCACAGACTGTGCCTTCTGCTTGGTCAACTGTCTGTTGTAGAGCGTTGATCCTGCATCCAATTTAGTGACTTAATCCTGTGTTCTCTCTCCATGGCCTGGGAGTTACTTTAATTATGTCTCTAATAATCTTTGTTTTCCAACATCTGGCATGAATCCTTAGTGCCTGCTCATTGAGTGAGTGCATAAATCACTTGACAATGGTTTAGGATCTGTTCTTCACTTAAATGGGATGGGATGGCATCATCAAAATATCCGGCCCTCTTAATGAATGCCAAAATGACTTCTGGCCTATCTAAGAGATGTCCTCCCTTCATAGTAGATGGCATGCCCTGCAGTGTCATCAATTGTTGTCAAAACTTATAGAACAGGGTAGATTGACTTCAGGGGGTTACTTTTTCACTGACTGAAGTCATGGGAAATTAGGATCAACCAAAGGCTCTTTCAGGTCATACGTTCTAGGGTTTTGTGTCCTAAACTCATTTTGTTCAACAATATTTATTGGATGTCTACAAAGCACCAGATCCTGTGCTGCAGACCCCCACACTCAGAGCTCAGGGTCTTGCTGGGACAATCGGACAAGCAATGGCAGTCTAATCCAGTGGGATGAGGGAGTAAGAGGCCACGGAGGAGGAGCAGATAACCTGGTGTGGGAAAGGCTGTCCACAGGATGAGTCACTGAGCAGAGACCTGAAGGACAGGTCCAGGGGAGCTGGGAGGAAGGCAGTGGGGTGGGAGAGGGACGAGACATCTGAGAGGAAGGGGCTGCTCGGGTAAGGCCAAGAGGAAATGATACCTCACCATGTTTGAGGACACTGGATGGAGTGCTGGGCTCCCTGTCCAGCTGGGCAATCAGTCACCTCAGCACCTCTACTGCCATTTGTCTTGTCTCTGAAATGATGCACCATATGAGGGACCCATAGGGAGGGGTGAACTAACTTCTTCCCACCTCCATAGGTTTTCCTGGCCAACATCCCCAGTGCAAAACGTCTTTCAACCCATCTCATTCTGACCCCCCAAAATTAGAAAAAAGAGCTGAGCTAGACACAATGCAGTCGCAGGCATGGACTGGGACCGAGATCTGACTTTGCATTCTGGCAAACTGGCATGCCCACTCCTGGCTCCATCAGCAGTTGGCCTGAAATTTGCTGTTTCATGCGAGCAACCCATCTATCAAGGACAGGACAGTTTTGACGGTTATGAGAATATGTGAAAGTGCTGTTTGGATGATATTAAATGGAGCAAAGTAGGTCAATATTTTCTGGAGTAATGAACTTGAGTTTAATCAACATATCATAAGCAAAATTACGTGAAGAAGCATAGCAAGTTATTATTGCTGTATTTGGTTATTTTACTACTTAATCTTCTAATATATGCACATAATAATAAAATAATTTTACTGTGGATAGAACTCATTTTTCTACAATCATGCAAGTGTATTTAACAGCATGTTAATAATGCATCATGCTATATTTGTGAGGAAATGTTTTTAAAGTTAGACCCCTTTGGGGACATTGGGCCCCCATGTTCTCACATCCACCGACAACATGGTGGCCTTGCCCACATAGTAGATGCTTAATAAAAATGGGTAGGAACGTTAATAAGTTTAGGAGTGTGACTGTTTCCAAGATCATCAGCTATACATGGACCAAGGAAGGGCTTCTTATTGGTGTGTGGTTTTTCTGATACAGAACAACCCTCGAAAATTGGAAGATAGTTCTATCAATCTCAAGGAAAACAGAATGTGTTTTAAAGAGGTCACTTTTATCAAGCTGGAGATCCTTCTCTATGTCCCTCATCACTCCTGCAAACCTTGGAAGAAGAGTTTGAGTGAGGCAAGGAGAACATAGAAAGACTCAGCAGCTTCCATGTGGGAAGCAAGTTGAGAGCTTGTGCTGAGGAATAAACTGGTGCTGGAATCAGAGCCAGCCCTCCTTGCTGGGTGGCTTCAGGGAGGTTACTCACCCTGACTAAGCTTTCACACCTGCCTCTCAAGGTGGAGTGAGGGCTAAATGAAGGCCTTCCTGGAAGTGCCTATAGCAAACATTGCTCCTGCAGATATATTATTATTATTGTCATAGTCATTATGATCATCATTGTCATAGTCATTTTCATCATTAGGGCCTGAGGGGAGGCATCCCCATGCCGAATATGCATTTGGTCCCCTGAACCTGATGTATGTTCTTTGGCCAAAACAAAACAAACTGACTGAGCCATCTCTACTCTGACCCTGTGAAGTCAGAGTCTGGCACCATTCTGTAGCATGAGCTCCTGTCTTTCTTAAGCCCAGCTGTTTCTTACACAGTGACATCCCAGGTGCCCTGGGGTTTGGGACTCCTGGCAGGAGAGAAGAGAATGAACCAACCCATTCTGAGAAGTCAGGCATTGTTATGGCCCTGGAGATGGGTGGTGAAGGCAAAACCATGTGTGTGTGTGTCTATGGATGCCTGGATTCCTGACCGCAGTCAGCATTGCCCATCAATTCCAGGTCAAAAGAAGGAAAGGGCTGGGTCCCATGGTCACCAAGCCCTTGCCGCTCTGCTCTTCTTGTGAAAGTGACCTTCAGAGTTTCATCAGCTGATAGCAGACAGCCAGATTGCCCTCTAGTAAAGCCTAGTTTAAGATCAGTTTCAGGAATTTTCTGGGTGTTTTTATCTTTGCAGTGAAGCCATAAAAGCCCTCATAGCAGCTGGGCAGGCTGCAAAGTTGATGCTTCCGAGTGGCTCATTAGAGTGTAATGGCATTCCTGAGAGTAGATGTTGCTGCAAGCAGCAGGCAGGAAGCTCATGCGGCAGCAGCCTGATGGATACTCCGCGTCAAGGGGGTTCTGGCGGATGCGTGGCAGGCAGGCAGCGGCTACACTCCATGGGCGGTGCTGGGTTGCGAAAGGGGCTGACAGTGCTGCTCTCCGGCAGAGGGGTGGGGGCAGGTGCATGCACATTGCAGATGAAAAGGTGAGGGGTCTCAGTGGGTGTGATGGGAGTTAGACAACAGCACTGTTTAGGAGGTGGTTTAAAGCTTTTTCTCTAATTTAAATTGGGTAGTAAATTCTGACCCTAACATGAGTATTGTATCTGATGGGATTCAGTTTGGGGAAAAATTCAGTCTTGAAGTCTAGCAAATTCCAGTTTCGGTCTCAACCTTTGGGTCATCTCGAGGCCTCAGAGAAGGCAATCATTTTGAGACCCACTTTCTTTTCTTAGGACAACCCAGACAGATGGGACTTCTCATGATCCCTTCCTGTGCGGCAAACCACTCTAACACTTCGTGGTTTATTATAACAGCAATTGTAAGTTATCTCTCAAAGTTTCATGGATGGACTGCGCTCAGTGGAGCGGTTTTCATCTGGAATCTCTCTGGTCATGTCTAGATGGGGGCTGCATCTTGAGTCATCAAAGGTTTGGTAGGGCTGGAAGGGCAAACTGGCCTCTTCACTTACATCTTAGGCACCAAATCTGGGCTGGCAGGAAGGCTGGGGCGGGTGGGGCAGCCTGCTCTCTCCATGGCCTTTCCATGGGGGTGGCGTGGGCTTCCTTGCAACGTGGCCTTCTCAGAGTAGTTTATTTCTTTTCTTTTTCTTTTTTTTGAGACAGAGTCTCACTGTGTCACCCAGGCTGGGGTTCAGTGGCATGATCTTGGCTCACTGCAACCTCTACCTCCAGATTCAAGTGATTCTCCTACCTCAGCCTCCTGAGTAGCTGGGATTACAGGTGCTCTCCACTACACTCAGCTAATTTTTGCATTTTTAATAGAGATGGGGTTTCACCATGTTGGCCAGGCTGGTCTCACTCTCCTGATCTCAAGTGATCCACCCACCTTGGCCTCCAAAAGTGCTGGGATTACAGGCGTGAGCCACCGTAGTTGGCCCGAGTCGTTGATTTCTTACACGGCAAATGTCTTCCCAAAGAGTGAGCATTCTAAGGTGATGGGAATGGAAGCTGCCATCTCTGAAGGCCCTGGCCCGGAAGACAGCACCGAATCACCCCGGCCATTGTCTACTGGACAAACAGTCACAGAGCCTGCCCAGATTCAAGTGGAGGGGCAAGGAGTTTTCCTCTCCGTGGGAAGAGTGGCAAAGAATTTTTGTGGCCATCTTTAATTCTTCTCTGCATTGAGAAAATGATATTTTCCCCCAAATGCTGCTGCATGAACAAAATGAAGGACAATTTGTAGAGCATCTTGCTGAGTGCCTGACACATACCGGTGTTCAGTAAATACCCATTTCCTTCTCCTTCGGCCCTTTGTCCTTCCCTAGGCCACTTGCAACTGAGATGCTCTTAGCAACAGCGGAGCCAAGAGACCTGGCTGGCCCTCCCTTCCCTGAGGGATGGGAAAGTCAGGCCATCAAAGTTTCAGGTTGAGATGGTTTTTCTCAACCCCATCTGCAAGATAGAAACCCATGGGAGACTTGTTTTTATTTATTTTGTTTTATTTTGATTTTTACTTTTTACTTTTGAGTTGGAGTCTCATGCTGTCACCCAGGGTGGAGCAGTGGCATGATCTCAGCTCACTGCAAACTCCACCTCCCGGGTTCAAGTGATTCTCATGCCTCAGCCTCCCAGGTAGCTGGGACTATGTGCCACCATGTCTGGCTTTTTTTTTTTTTTTTGTATTTTTAGTAGAGATGGGGTTTCACCATGTTGGCCAGGCTGATCTCAAACTCCTGACCTCAAGTGATCCACCTGCCTTGGTCTCCCAAAGTGCTGGGATTACAGGTGTGAGCCACTGTGCCCAGCCTATTTTTTTAGAGACAGGGTCTCTCTCTGTAACCCAGGCTGGAATGCAATGGTGCGATCATAGCTCATTGCAGCGTTTAACACCTGGGCTCAAGTGATCCTCCCTCCTCAGCCTCCCGAGTAGCTGGGACTACAGGCACGCACCACCAAGCCCGGCTAATTTTTTATTTTTTGTAGACATTGGGAGGTCTCCCTATGTTGCCCAGGCTTGTCTTGAACTCCTGGACTCAAGCAATCTTCCTGCCTCGGCCTCCCAAAGTGCTGGGATTACAGATGGGAGCCACTGAGCCTGGCTAAAATGGGAAGCATTTAAACCCTGTCAATTTTTGCCCTAAGCCTAGGGCTTCTCATGAAGCCCTAGCTGTTTGACATGAGGCTCCTTTATGTTTCTAAGCTTTCTTCCCCAGGCCACTTCAACGCTGGCAATTGAGGGTTGAACACTGGGGTTCTAGGATACCATGTTCATGTGCCAGGGTGTGGCAGGGAGAGGACCTAGGAGGAGGTCAGTAGGGATGGTGGCACGGAAAGAATGTGAGTTACCCACAAGCGAAGTCCCAACCAGGCCACTGCTTACAGTCACCAGGGGGTGCCACAGCCCTGGGCTCCCTGGTACCCAACAGCAGCTGGAGGGCATGGACAAGGTCATGCCAAGGTGAATCTTCCCCCATCTCCCCGCCTCCTCCTGTGAGCAAGGAATGAACTTTTCTTTTCTAAAGATTTAACACCTCATTCATAAAAATAAAATGGTTACATGAGACCCCCTACTAGAGAGAACACCAAGTACATTTGGTTCCCATCAAGTCCGAGGGCGAGAATGGATATAAATAGTTGGCTTTTAAGAGGAAACTGCTGAGCAGGTGCAAATACTCCCCGTACCTTGGAAGTGTCTGCTGAGCCTTATTACTCTGGGTAATTGGGGTTATGTGCCGTTGCTCTCTCTTACGGCCAAGGTTTCTGTTTCTGAAGCTGGTGCCTCCAGGATGAATTAGCGCCCGCCCCTTCATAAGCAGTGAGCCATCCGTCAGCCAGTTAACCCTTTATGCACCCAGACAAGGAGAGTGTATCCTAATCTCCGCAGCTTCCCCTCTACCCAGGGAACCCCCATCCTGCCCACCGCAGCTGCCCAAGAGGGTGAAGCCTGGCTGGGCGCGGTGGCTCACGCTTGTAATCCCAGCACTTTGGGAGGCCGAGGTGGGCGGATCACCTGAGGTCAGGAGTTCAAGAACAGCCTGGCCAGCATGGTGAAACCTTGTTTCTACTGAAAATACAAAAAAATTAGCCAGGCGTTGTGGCAGTCGCCTGTAACCCCAGCTACTCTGGAGGCTGAGGCAGGAGAATCACTTGAACCCTGGAGGCAGAGGTTGCAGTGAGCCGAGATGGTGTCACTGCACTCCAGCTTGGGCAACAAGAGTGAAACTGTCTCAAAAAAAAAAAAAAAAAAAAAAAGAGGGTAAAGACCTGAGATCTGAGCACATGTAAAAGACAGATGAATCCCGTTGCAGGAAAAATGTAATTTTTTAGGAGCAGAAAGGCAAAGAGTGGAGCGCTGGGATCAGTTAATACATGACTGGCTTGATCTTCCTGACTCCCCAACTCACTTTTCAGATTGGAGCAGGGTTTCAGACAGCCAGTTTATCTGAACAAAATTACTCAGTTCTTCACCCACGCCTAGATTGCCAGTTCAGTGATGACCAGTTGATTTATTACAAAGAATAGAAAACTGATCAGAAGAATTGTCTCTTATGTAAGATTTTCCTCCTACCGAGGAGTTTGTCATTTGCTTTCATTCTCTTGATTGATCAAACCAGGCCTCCATTTGAATCGCCTGCAGGGACTTGGTGGAATCAGCAGAAGGGGCAACATTCTAACATTTTTTGAAAATCAACATCAGTCTTTGAGAAAGTCTCTGATTTATACAAAGTCTCATAGAGCCTCTTACCCCTTTTTAAATAGTTAATTTTTAAACATACTAGGTTTTATTAATTTTGATTATCCATGCTGTGAGTAGCTAATTTGTAACCAACTGTGTGACCTTCCATTGGCCTCAACTGCATAGACATGGAATGTGGATTTTTGCATAAACCATCTGTATTAGTTTGCTGCCATATCAAAGTACTGCAGACTGGGCGGCTTAAACAACGAAATGGACAGTCTCACAGTTCTGAACTCTGGAAGTCCAAGATCAACGTGTCAGTCAACAGGGCTGGTTCCTCCTGAGGCCTCTCTCCTTGGCTTGTAAATGCCATCTTCTCTCTGGGTCCTCACAGGTTCGCCCCTCTGTGTGTCTGTTTAATAAGGATGTCCATTGATTGGGTTATGGCCCACTCTCGTGACCTCGCCTTTACTTGATGACCTCTGTAAAGACCCCATCTCCACATACACTCATGTTCTGATGTACTATGGGTTAGGACTTCAATATGTGAATTTTGGGGACACAGAGCAGCCCATCACACCCCTCAGACCAGCCCCAGCATCCTGCCTCGCATTGACACCTGACACAGAGGCTGCAAGGATCTGCAGCCAGGCCTGCGGGGGGCTCCTCATCTCCGCCCTCGCTGTGGCTCTGGCAGCTGCTGCTGACTTGGTTCAGGAAGGGGATGCCCCTCCTGATGATGACCTTCGCTGCCTCTCCACTGGGTTATTTAATATGGCAGGTTTCCTTTCCACCTCCCACAGCCGTAAACGAAGACAGATTGCTCCTCTCACGTTTAAGGGCTTTTGAATATAGAGTAGAATTGATCTTATATATGGGAGAGGTAACATTCCTTGAACACACCAGCATAAGATTGTATTTGATGACAAGGCCCCTCGCTCAGTAAATTCCTCCTTCCAGGGAGATCATAGATGGACGTGCTCCCATATGGAGGTGAGAACATAGCAGAGATAATGTTTAACTATTTTCCCAATGGGTCTGAGTTAAAATTCTATTTTCCTAATCATTTACCAGAGATTCGCTGCCTCTTAGTGAAACACAGTTTAGCAAGTCACATAAATCAGATCTGTTGGTAGTCTCTAAACTCACTGACTTCGTTGTTTTTCTGTGTTGTGAGCCTCAGCCTGCCTTGCCATGCATCTCCCTTGCTCAAGAACCTTCAGTGGCTCCCCATTGCCTCTTGGATCAGACCCAGGTTGTTGTCCCTCGCCTTGTATCCTATTTCCCTCTCCTGCTGCAAACAGCAACTTCCTTGTCGGAACAGACCAGCTGCTCACCACCCACACACTCCCCCACCACCCTTGAGAGCTCACGTTCTCCACTAAGCTCTCCCCAGCTACCAACACCTTCAGAACACAGTAAATCTTCTCTTGAGTACATTTTTTGCGTGTATATGAATCTAAACAAGATTCAACTCTGAGGTTGCAGAAGGTAGAGGAGAGTGAAGAAATGGCACTACCAAGTTCATTCTTGTTGGGCTTCAACAAGAGATAATTTTTTTTTTCAGGCCACAACATGGCATTCTACCTTACCAATCATGGTTTTGAAATAAAGGCACTGTTTATTTATCCAAATGCTCAAAATATCTCAATCTGCAGATTTCTTTTTACCTCTATGAGATTCAATTCAGTTCTCTTATTGTTCTTTCTCTCCTGTGATCCTTGGGGTGGGGGAGGGGGGCTTGCACTGGCATGAAGAGGAGACAGCACTGGTCAGTTGACTCACTGAGTGACACCCTGTCATGTCTAATTAAACTACAGGCTTTGTGGACGGCTTAATGGACGTTCTCTGCAGATTTCTCTGGCTTCTGCTTTTCCTGTACTTTTTTTGGACTTGTTTTTGCAAACGGCAGTGTCAGGTAGGGCATGGATTTGGGAGCCAGAAAGCCCAGGTTCAAATCCTGACTCTGCCACTTACTAGCTATGTGGCTTTGGGCAAATTACTCAACCTCTCTGTGCCTTATTTTTTCCAGTTGTAAAATGGAAGATAATACTAGCACCTCTCACCGAAGATTGTTGAGGTGGGTCCAGAACTGTGACACTTACATCCGGGCAGTTTACTTATCAGGACTGAAATGAAGGCACTCGCCCCAACCTAACTTTACTATTTGTGCCGAGAAATTCTTGCCAGGAAGATAAGGCTGTAAATGAGTAAACCACAGAATTATTACCCTCAGCGACAACCCCAAAATCTGTTTGGCAGCACCATAGTTGGCTCCTCTGGGCAAGCAGCCCCATTCTCAGGACAATAGATCGCTAACTGGGTGGTATGGTTTGGCTGTGTCCCCACCCAAATCTCATCTTGCATTGTAGTTTCCATAATTCCCACGTGTTATAGGAGGGATCTGGAGGGAGACCATTAACTCACGGGGGCAGTTTCCCTCATACTGTTCTTGTGGTAGTGAATAAGTCTCATGAGACCTGATGGTTTTATAAGGGGAAACCCCTTTGGCTTGGTTCTCATTTTCTCTCTTGTCTGCCACCATGTGAGACATGCCTTTTGCCTTCCACCATGATTGTGAGGGCTCCCCAGCCGCATGGAACTGTGAGTCCATTAGACCTCTTTTTCTTTATAAGTTACTCAGTCTCAGGTATGTCTTTATCAGCAGTATGAAAACAGACTAATACACCGGGAAAACCCAATTATTTATCAGATGATTGTTTACTCATCAAAATTTCATCCAAGACGCTTGCCTGGCTATGTCCACCGATCCTAAACCATTATATGGCAAACATCCCAATCAGATCTGTGTATTGAAAAACCCATCTCGAGCTACCCAAACCCAGACCCCCAAAATCTATATGCGTTCCCCCTTCACCTCCCTGTGACCTCTGTCAAGGTGGAGTTCTCCCCACTGCACTGAGCAATGAACTTGGCCTTGCTTGATCCACAGGTTACTATGGTGCTGTTTGGGAAACTTGGGAGTTAATGAGATTAACTGCATGATCCTTCATTCATAATATCTAAGAAACACTTTGTCAATGCTTGGTGCATGCAGGCAATAGGAATTAGTTATTCTTCTAATAC
Organism: Homo sapiens; assembly: GCF_000001405.40. Taxonomy (NCBI): domain Eukaryota; kingdom Metazoa; phylum Chordata; class Mammalia; order Primates; family Hominidae; genus Homo; species Homo sapiens. Next base: position 4,568,268 of record NC_000001.11, read on the forward strand.
TGTGCCTCGAAAATCATTTGGGTGCATAAAAACATGTATTTTACTCTCTGTATTTCATTGTGGGACCCACCTCCTGGTCTTCACTGCAACTTTCTCCAGCACCAGATCAGACCTAAAAGCATCAAATAGCTTTTAATGCTCAAAAATGGCTGCAAGTGAACAAGCAAAGACAAAGAAGATCTGTCACTGGAAGATAAAATAAAAGCACTTGTCAGAATTGCAGCTGCACTGTTGGGGCCTCCGTGGGGCATTTTTAAGCAATGCAAGAATCTGACAGCAGTTCTCAGCCTCTAACCATAAGCAGGATCCATGTTGAACAGTAACCATCATCCTTATCACTGCAGTGGCTCTTGTGCAGGTGAAGAAGAGCACGGGCCTCTGTGCCAGGCCAGCATAGAACTTGGGGTAGGAGGACTTTAAAGAGAATATTTCCTTGTCCCTCACCAGCCACCCGTTGGAGATTTTGATACGCCCCACCCCAGCCTGCTCGACAAGTTTTACAGCGGAAAACTCAGTAGGAAGGACAGCACTTTTGTATTTTCTTCTCATTCCCTGTTTTCCATGGGATCTTGATGTCAATTTCAGTTTTTGCCACTCACCAGGGTACTTCTCAGGAACATGACCTTCATGCCAACCAGTGGAGACAAGAGCTCACAGAGCCTTCCGCAGGATGAGAGCATAGGAAGGACCCACTGGAAAGGCAGGTATGCAAGCATTCCAGAATGTTATCTTCTTCCACCTTTTGTAATCTCTTATATTTGGATGTCAGTTCCTTTTGGTACGAGCACCTCAAGAGCATTTCATGATGGATGGCAGGGTAGCAAAAGAAGACACATTGCATGTACATGGATGCACACGACTTCTGACCCTGTGACACTTTTCGCAGTTTGACCAACAATATTGATTTTTGTCTGTGCTGCTATTTGATGCTTTTAGGTCTGACCTGGTGCTGGAGAAAGTTGCAGTGAAGACCAGGAGGTGGGTCCTACAATGAAAGCCAGTTGGCTGGGAGACTGATTGGTAACAGAGGGAGGCCAGAGCTACTCGCTTACCAGGGCTGATGCCTCTACACCGAAATCGTTGTGGTGATGGGAGTGAGTGAGAGATCTCTTTTCTAATGGATGACCCCAGTTCCGTTTGGAGAGGGTATTTGAAACTACTTTTCCAAACTACTTGGCTTGGTTTTCTTTCTTTTCTTTTCTTTTTTTTTTTGGCCAACACAACTAAATTACCTTTTTTTCCCTCCGAAACAAATTTTTTTGGAAAAATACAACTACCCCCATTTCCTTACACGCCCTTCCCTAGCATACAAGCTGGTGAACTTCTTTTGAAATTGATTTAAAAAGTAGGACACGGTGCCTTGTTAATAAGCCATAGGGAGAGCAGAAATGTTGACATTGGCTTGAAATGTCAAGCCCCTCAGCCATTTTTATTTTAAACCTCAGACCCCGAAGGAACTGTTCTGATTTTCCTCCCTGCATCTGCCAGAAGAGGGTCCTTAGGAAGGCCACCATGGATGTCAGATGAGCTCTCAGCCCCTCAAAGGCCTCCTCTCAGCTCATTTTGCTTGGAAACTGGCAAACACTCATTCGTATGCATGCCACTAATCTGAAATTTATGATAATTCGGAGATACAGTGAATGGAAGGTTTAGCTAAACAAATTTATAATGCAAACAAGATTGCAGGAGGGAGGCTGAACTTCTTGTAGTTAGCAGCTGATTTCCAAGGACCGGAGGACCCCATTTATGTGATCTATAATTGACTTGCCAATTACCAATCTGTCTTATCTGCTTTTCTGCTAGATTGAAAGGCGGGGACCTCATGTAGGCTGGGACCAGCCTGGTGCTTAATGCTCAAAGATATTTGCTGATTGAAAAAATGAGTATGTTTTAGTAAAATAAGCGCCCCAGGGGAAACACTTAGTTTTGGTGATTCAGTATGCTATTTGACAAATTAATCTCTATTTCTTTTAAAACACGCTCTATTTTAGACTTTTCACTAATCTAGATTATTCGTTCTCAATAGGAGTAATCTTGCCCGCCCCCACCCCGGAGAAACTTGGCAATATCCGGAGACATTTCTTGTTGTTACAAATTAAAGGAATGGGGGAGGTCCTGGCATAGTGGGTAGGGACTGGGGATGCTACTGAACATTCTACACTATACATGGCAATCCCCGCCCCTGCAAGGTATCATCTGGCCTCAATGTCAATGGTGCTGAGCTTGGGAAACCCTGACTAGGGGGCCTTCTTCCAGTTCACCTAGACAAGGGAGCTTGGGGTGTGTGAGTTTCTGGTTAGAATTTCCGTGGTTTTCAAGTATTTTGGCTCTTGAAGTATTTTGTAATTTCTGCTGTCTGTCCATCATCTCGGACTCCAGGGGTTTCATGAGACAATGAAGAGGAAAGCTTACTCATGACCATATTCCTGCAGATGAGCAGGCCTAAAGGGGGAAAGGAAGGGACCTCTTTTGCTGCCAGTGAACTCCAGCATCCATTGAGCAATCTCATTTTTACCACCAGGTGGACTTCCCCTAGGCAATGGTACCTAAAAGTGGTGGGCGTTTTTCAGAGCCGCTCTGTCCTGGACAAACACCAAAGGGACCAGAAGATGAACAAAAGCTGATGCAATGCAAGGATTAGAGCCCTAGAGAAAGGAGGGTCTGAAATTGCTCCTAATTCCTGGCATTCCTGGCATGAAGCAGAGGCTGAATACATTATCCCCTTGTGTTGATTGGAAATTTGTTAACTTTTGCCATCTTTTTCTGTCTGTTTGGCCAAGGATTTCATAAAACACAATTTCGTGGCTATGAAAATGTGCTTGAGAATGTGTCCCATGGTGATGACTTGGAGCATATCATGAGGGTGCAGAAATACAAAATGAAGTGGGGGGGTCTCACCTTCTCCAAGAAGCTGAATGATCAACCCACTTGCGGGTGTGCATTCATCCCCTGCTCCCAAGCAGGTGGAGACTGCTGTGGGACGTCACGCTCTGCATGGTGATAAGCTTTGCCATCGTGTTTACCCAAACAAGAGGTCAAGAGCATGGTTTTGGAGTGAGACAGAAGTGCAGTCACACCCCAGCTTCATATGTGTGTTGCCCACATCGCACAAGGAGCCACTTCAATGTAGCACACCTCATTTCCTTAAAATGAGGATAATAATGCCTGGCCTTTCTGGTTGTCATGGCGATGGAGATAATGTGGGTATAATGCTCATCCAGATGGGTGTCTGCCACAAGGGAGGCCCCAACAGCGATGGCTGCAAACCCTTGGAGGTGGCATTGCCAAAAGCGGACGTCAATAGATGTAATGCAAAAATAGTGTCTTGTGTTCAAAAAAGGTTGGGAAATACTGAGTGAAAGGTAAGCAGGTTTCTTTTTCTTTCTTTTTTTTTTTTTTTAACTGTAGGACTTCTCAGAATCATTAATATGCTAATGTAAATTAAGGCTCTCCAAGAGAGATAAATAGTGGGCAGCATTTTCCAAATGTATTTTATTCATTTCACATAATTATTATGTTCATATATATGCAAAACACTGTTTGAGATGCTCAGGATGCTGCAGGAATAAGACAGACAAAGTCTGCTCTCTTGTAGGTTTCATCCTAGCGAGCAGATAGGAAGGGAGGGAGGGAGAAGGGCAGGAGGGAGGAAGGAAGAAAATACATTAGGAAGGGAAAGGTCAGTGCAGAGAATCAAAATGACTTGAGATAAGGGGTGGCCACCTCAGCTGGGAGGTCAAGGCAGGACTCCCAAGATATTTTAGCTGAGGACTCTGGGACCCAGATGCCACCAAGGGGCAACCAGGGCAAAGAACATTCCAGGTAGCAGAAGCAGCTCCTGCAGATGAGCTGCAGCAAGAATGAGCATGATGTCTTCAAGGAAGAGAAAGAGAGTGACCGGCAGGTGTAGAGCAGGGGAGGGGAAGAGTGGCAGGAGGTGGGGTCAGAGAGGCAGGAAAGCCCCAGTCCTGCAGGATTTGATGTGGGTTTGAGAAGGATCCCTCTGGTTGCTCTGTTATGAGTATCACAGCAGGTGGGCAAGGTGGAAGCAGAGAGACCATCCAGAGGTTGCTACAGAAGTCCAGGTGGGAGGCAACGGGGGCTTGAGACAGCGGCAGCAATGGAGGTGATGAGCGTGCATCTCCTAGAGATGTGGTGTTGTTTCAAATACACAGTTTCTACTTAAATGTTTGTTCATACAGAATAGTGCACAAACCATAGGCACACAGCTCAAGGAATTATCAGGAATTGAACATGTCCACGTGTGCCCAACCCAGCTCTCCAGCACACCTTCCCAGCCTCAACCCATCATCTGGATTCTGAGGGTAACCAGTATCTCAAGTTCTAAGCCATAGAGTAGGGTATGCCTCTTTTATAATTTGTATAATGGAATCATACAATACGTATTTTCCCACAAGTGACTTTTTTTGTTCAACATGGTAAGTGATTCGTCCAGTTGTCAATTGTAGCAAGAATTTACTCGTTTTTGTTGCTGTATAGCTTTGCGTTGTTCAAATATACCACGATGCACTTTGCATTGGAGATTTGGGTTGATTCTTATTTTGGCCACTATGAGTAAGGCCGTTAAAGTATACACTCGTTTCATGTACACCTAGCAGTGGAATTTCTGGGCCACCGGATACGCACATTTCAACTTCAGAAGATACTATCCAACACTTTTCCCAAGTGGTTGCACCATTTTATGCTTCCACCAACAGGCTAAGAAGTTTTCAGTTTCTCCCTACTTGGTATTGTGACTTTTTAATTTTAGCTATTCTGGTCAGTTTATAGTGGTATCCTCTCATGATTTTAATTTTCATTCCCTGGATGATTAATGAGGTTGAGCATCTTTTCGTGTTTAATGGACCAATTTGAATATCCTCATTTGTGAAGTGCCCATTTAAAACCTTCGGCCCATTTTTCATTGCATTTGTCTTTATAAGTGCTTAATATGTGGATGTTTATTTTTTTAAGTTCTAGAATTTCATTTTGATTTATTTTCACAGTTTCCATTTCTCCGCCAACATTCTATATCTTGTTCTTAAATTTCCTGAACATATTAATCACAGTTACTTTAAGGTCTGTGTCTGAAATCTCAACATCTGTGAATCACTGTGGGCTTGTTTCTACTGTCTGTTTTTCTCTTGGTTTTTATTTAATTCTTGCATTTTGTTTAATGCAATAGGACACTGAAAATAGGAGGTGTTTAACAGGGCTTCCTGTGATGGAAAGGTCCCGAATTTTAATTTTGTTCCCCTAACACTGTGAGATTACCAAGCGCTCTGTTAGCCTCTCAGCTTCCTAAACACCACTTTCTTCCTGGTTTTTCAACCTCCAGACTTCTGCTCATAAATCAGGAGCTGCCTGCACAGAGAACACAGCACTACATGGGGCTCCTTCTCTGTTTTTCTCCTTGCTGGAGGTGGGGAGGGAGATGACCTAATCAGGCTGTAACCAAGCCCTTGCAAGTCAGGATTTATGGTTCTGTTGCTGCTGTTGTTCCTCCTCCCATTCCTTTTTGGAGGTCTGGGGGAGGCCAGTCTACTGATGGTGGCTCTTACGCCCAGGCTGCAGCCCTTCCTGGTCTGAAGTTGACACCCAGCGTGCTTGCTGGAACACCTCCTCCTCCTGGACAGCCAGGTCCCTCCTGGACAGCCAGGGCATCTTTCACACCCACTGTCTGCCCCAGGAGCTGCAAACAGCTCTACTCATCTTCTTAGTCTCTCTGCCACCCCATTTTTTTTTTTTTTTTTTGATACAGAGTATTGCTCTTTTCGCCCAGTTTGGAGTGCAGTAGCACAATCTTGGCTCACTGCAACCTCTGCCTTCCGGTTTCAAGTGATTCTCCTGCCTCAGCCTCCCAAGTAGCTGGGATTACAGGCACCTGCTACCATGCCCAGCTAATTTTTGTATTTTTAGTAGAGACGGGATTTTACCATGTTGGCCAGGCTGGTCTCGAACTCCTTGTGATCTGCCCACCTCAGCCTCTCAAAGTGCTGGGATTATAGGTGTGAGCCACCACACCTGGCCTCTCTGCCTCCTTTTGTCAAATCAGCAAATGCTTCAAGTGGAAAAGTCAGGCCACAGCCCTGGCTTGCCTTCTGGAGTGAACCTGTCTCTGGGATCGTGGTCCCACACTTCCCTGCTATCTCCGTTGCTGTCAGATGCCTTCAAACAGACGTTTTTGGCTTGAAAATGTATTTTTTTCTAATTTCCTACAAAAAGACATTTTTCTATATAAAATTTTCTATACTAAAGTTGTTCTGTATGAGACGTCCTAAAGAAGCTTGTCTATCATCTCCAGATGTGGAGCTATGTTGAAAGGAGAGCCAACAAGATAACATAAGAGAGTGTGTGGGGGGGTGAGAGAAAGCAGGGAGTCAAGGATGGCCAAGGTTTGTGGCCTGAGAAACTGGAAGGATGGAGTTGCCATTCCTTGAGGCAAGTTGGAGCAGGATTTGGAGTTAAATTTTGGACATGTTGAATTTGAGATGTTGGATCTCCCTGCAGAGCTGTGGACCAAGCATTTGGATATTAAATCTGGAGTTTGGGTGAAGGATCCTGGCGGAATTTGCAAATGTGCACACATTGAGCCTGCATTGGGGCTGGAATCTGGACTTTCTGAGAGGGTCTTGCCTGAAGATGTAAATATGGACTCATTGGCATGTAGATGTTATTTTAAACCATCCAACTGACTGCATAGAGAGTGGATACTCTTGAGAAAAGTACCAAGGTCTGAGTTCTCTGGCTCTCTGGCTTTAAGAAGCTGCATATAAAAGTATATAACATCTAGTATCCTGTATCTTGCTTAGTTACTTAACATTATACTATAAAATAAAATGTTAAAAAAAAAGAAGCTGTGTAGATGAAGAGAAACCTCAAAGGAGGTGAGAAGGAGCAGGCGCTGATGCAGCAGAGAGACCAAGAGCATGTGCTGTGTTGGAAGCCAAGGGAAGAAAACCACCAATGAAAGAAGAGAAATCTATTTTCACAAAAGGTGGCATCAAATAGGGAGAATGTGTTACTAATTTCTGGGACCCTCCAAAACTTATAGGTCAATCAAAGAGTGAGGAGCTGACAGAAGAGTTTGAGCCACAGCTTCCTGCGAGACAGGAAAAATCTGGAAGAGTGAAGGGTCACAGGAGTCAAGAGGAGATGTGTTCCAAGGAGGAAGTAAGACAAAGTGAGTCAAATACACCGAAATTCAAACAAGATCAAACCATAGCAGCACCACTGTCTTTGCAATTTGGAGGTGACTGGTGACTTTAACAAGAGTAGCTCAGTGGAATCATCAGTGGGGACAAATGCTCCTGTCTACGACTCCGCTCTTCCACTCTCCACGTTCCCTCTGCCTTAGGCCAACACTGTGGCTGGGAATATCCTTTACTTGGGGTCATATTTCAACCCTTCATTCCCGAGGGATCTGAGGCCTTGGTGGGACTGCCCATCAACAACAGCTCTAGTTTCTTTATTACCATTGGGCTTAGTAGTACTAGTAGGCACCAGGGGATCCCCTAAATCCCATTCCCCTCCTTCCCTTCACTGTTTATCATTGTTCCTGTTTGATGGTCAAGATCCATCACTTGAGCCAATGTCATAGTTTTTTTCTGGTAGCTTAAGGAACACAAAATGTCTTTGTGAATGGTTACTTGATTCTACTTGGCCCTTTCTATAACTGTAGGTCTTTTTTTATTTTTATTTTTTTTTGAGACGGAGTCTCGCTCTTTTGCCCAGGCCAGAGTGCAGTGGCGTGATCTCGGCTCACTGCAAGCTCCGCCTCCTGGGTTCACACCATTCTCCTGCCTCAGCCTCCCGAGTAGCTGGGACTACAGGCGCCCACCACCACGCCCGGCTAATTTTTTGTACTTTTAGTAGAGATGGGGTTTCACTGTGTTAACCAGGATGGTCTTGATCTCCTGACCTCGTGATCCACCCGCCTCGGCCTCCCAAAGTGCTGGGACTACAGGCATGAGCCACCACACCCGGCCAACTGTAGGTCTTATTTCATGGATCAGAAAGGCATTGTGGGGATTTTGCTGTATTTCTTCCAACTAGAAATGTGCTCAGAAATTACGTTGGTTCAAGGTGCCCCTGGACCTACCTTCAGAACAGGGATTAGTGCAAAATTCCATGCGTCATGTGACACTCATGATCCCCCAGTCTAACATGAACCCTGAATTACTGTGAGCTTGGTCCATGTCCAACAATCCCTGAGTCTGAGTCTGAGCACTTGCCTTTGCCCAATGCATAGACAACTTGCTAAAAGGTTGCTGGTTCTTTTTGGAGAGAGCTAGGAGGATGATACACATTTGTGAGGTTATCCCCAGATTGATTCTCCAGGGTGTGTAGCTAGCTCCTAATTCAAGAGATCCTGGCTCTATGGACTGACTTAGTTCAGAGAATTTGGTGAACGCCTGCATCATTATGGCTCATTTTAAGTTCTGTTCATCAGGGCTGTACCAGTTGAACAGGCTTTTTTTGGAGCATTTTTATGAAGCCACATTTTTATGAAACTACATTTTTATCATAGCCATATTTTGAAGAAAGTAAATCTATTATTATTTTTTCTCTTTTTTCTTTTTTTTTTTTTAAATTACTTTAAGTTCTGGGATACATGTGCAGAACGTGCAGGTTTGTTACATAAGTATACGTGTATCACGGTGGTTTAGTGTACCTATTGACCCAACCTCTAAGTTCCCTCCTTTCGCTCCCCACTCTGCAACAGGCCCTGGTGTGTGTTGTTCCCTTCCCTGTGTCCGTGTGTTCTCATTGTTCAACTCCCACTCATGAGTGAGAACATTTGGTGTTTGGTTTTCTGTTCCTGTGTTAGTTTGCTGAGGATGATAGCTTCCAGCTTCATCTATGTCCCTGCAAAGGACATGATATTCCTTTTTATGGCTGCACAGTATTCTATGGTATATATGTACCACATTTTCTTTATGCCTATCACTGATGGGCATTTGGGTTGGTTCCATGACTTTGCTATTGTAAATAGTGCTGCAATAAACATACGTGTTCATGTGTCTTTATAGTAGAATGATTTATATTCCTTTGGGTATATACCCATTAATTAGATTGCTGGGTAAAATGGTATTTCTGGTTCTAGATCCTTGAAGAATCCCCATACTGTCTTCCACAATGATTGAACCCATTTACACTTCCACCAACAGTGTAAAAGCATTCCTATTTCTTCACAGCCTTGAGAGCATCTATTGTTTCTTGACTTTTTCATAATCACCATTCTGACTGATGTGAGATGGTATCTCATTGTGGTTTTGAGTTCCATTTCTCTAATGATCAGTAATGTTGAGCTTTTTTTCATATGTTTCTGGCTGCTTAAACATCTTTTTTGAGAAGTGCCTGTTCTTATCCTTTGCCCACTTTTTGATGGGGTTGTTTGCTTTTTTTCTTGTAAATTTGTTTAAGTTCCTTGTAAATTCTAGATACTAGACTTTTGTCAGATGGGTAGATTGCAGAAAAATTTCTCCCATTCTGTAGGTTGTCTGTTCACTCTGATGATACTTTCTTTTGCTGTTCAGAAGCTCTTTAGTTTAATTGGATCTCATTTGTCAATTTTGGCTTTTGTTGCAATTGTTTGGGGCATTTTTTCATGAAGTCTTTGCCCATGCCTATGTCCTGAATGGTATTGCCTAGGTTTTATTCTAGGGTTTTTATGGTTTTGGGTTTTACATTTAGGTCTTTAATCCAACGTGAGTTAATTTTTCTATAAGGTGTAAGGAAGGGGTCGAGTTTTAGTTTTCTGCATATGGCTAGCCAGTTTTCCCAGCACTATTTATTGAATAGGAGATCCTTTCCACATTGCCTGTTTGTGTCAAGTTTGTTGAATATTAGATAATTGTAGATGTGTAGTGTTATTTCTGAGGTCTCTGTTCTGTTCCATTGATCTATGTGTCTGTTTTGGTACCAGTACCATGCTGTTTTGGTTACTGTAGCCTTGTAGTATAGTTCGAAGTCAGGTAGCTTGATGCCTCCGTCTTTGTTCTTTTTGCTTAGAATTGTTTTTGCCATACAGGGTCTTCTTGGATTCCATATGAAATTTAAAGTAGTTTGTTCTAATTCTGTGAAGAATGTCAATGGTAGTTTGATGGGAATAGCATTGAATCTATAAATTACTTTGGGCAGTATGGTCATTTTCATGATATTGATTCTTCCTATGTACGAGGATGGAATGTTTTTCCATTTGTTTGTGTCCTCTCTTATTTCCTTGATCAGTGGTTTTAGTTCCCCTTGAAAAGGTTTTTCACGTCCCTTGATAGCTGAATTCCTAGGTATTTTATTCTTCTGGTAGCAATTGTGAATGGGAGTTCATTCATGATTTGGCTCTCTGCTTGTCTATTGTTGGTGTAAAGGAATGCTTGTGATTTTTGCACACTGATTTTGTATCCTGAGAGTTCGTTGAAGTTGCTTATCAGCTTAAGGAGTTTTGGGGCTGAGACGATGGGGTTTTCTAAATATAAAATCATGTTGTCTGTAAACAGAGACAATTTGACTTCCTCTCTTCCTATTTGAATACTTTTATTTCTTTCTCTTGCCTGACTGTCCTGGCCAGAACTTCCAATACTACGCTGAATAGGAGTGGTGAGAGAGGGCATCCTTGTCTTGTACTGGTTTTCAAAGAGAATGCTTCCAGCTTTTGCCCATTCAGTATGATATTGCCCATTTACAATTGCTACAAAGAGAATAAAATATCCATGATATGATATTGGCTGTGGGTTTGTCATAAATAGTTCTTATTATTTTGAGATATGTTCCATCAATACCTAGTTTATTAAGAGTTTTTAACATGAAGCGATGTTGAATTTTATCAAAGGCCTTTTCTGCATCAGTTGAGATAATCACGAGGTTTTTGTCTTTGGTTCTGTTTATGTGATTGATGTGCCTATGTTGAACCAGCCTTGCATCCCAGGGATGAAGACGACTTGATTTTGGTGGCTGTTTTTTGATGTGCAGCTGGATTCAATTAGCCAGTATTTTATTGAGAATTTTTGCATCAATGTTCATAGGGGATATTGGCCTGAAGTTTTCTTTTTCAGTTGTATCTCTGCCAGATTTGTAATCAGGATGATGCTGGTCACATAAAATGAGTTAGGGATGAGTCCCTCCTTTTCAATTGTTTAGAATAATTTCAGAAGGAATGGTACCAGCTACTCTTTGTACCTCTGGTAGAATTCGGCTGTGAATCCGTCTCATCCTGGACTCTTTTTGGTTGGTAGGCTATTAATTACTGTCTCAATTTCAGAACTTGTTATTGGTCTATTCAGGGATTTGACTTCTTCCTGGTTTAGTCTTGGGAGGGTGTATGGGTCCAGGAATTTATCCATTTCTTCTAGATTTTCTAGTTTATTTGTGTAGAGGTGTTTATAGTATTCTTTGATGATAGTTTGTATTTCTAAGGGGTCAGGGGTGATATCCCCTTTATCATTTTTTATTGTGTCTATTTGATTCTTCTCTCTTTTCTCCTTTATTAGTCTAGCTAGCAGTCTATCTATTTTGTTAATTTTTTTCAAAAAACTAGCTCCTGGATTCATTGATATTTTGGAGGGTTTTTTGTGTCTCTATCTCCTTCAATTCTGCTTTGATCTTAGTTATTTCTTGGTTTCTGCTAGCTTTTGGATTAGTTTGTTCTTGCGTCTCCGCTCTTTTAATTGTGATATTAGGGTGTCAATTTGAGATCTTTCTAACTTTCTGATATGGGCCCATTTAGTTCTATAAATTTACTTCTTAACGCTGCTTTAGCTGTGTCCCAGAGATTCTGGTGTGTTGTTTCTTTGTTCTCATTAGTTTCAAATAACTTCTTGATTTCTGCCTTAATTTCATTATTTACCTAGGAGTCACCCAGGAGCAGGTTGTTCAATTTCCATGTAATTGTGTGGTTTTGAGTTTCTTAATCCTGAGTTCTAATTCGATTGCAGTGTGGTCTGAGAGAGTGTTATGATTTCAGTTCGTTTGCATTTGCTGAGAAGTGTTTTACTTCCAATTATGTGGTCAATTTTAGAATAAGTGCCATGTGGCACTGAGAAGAATGTATATGCTGTTGATTTGGGGTGGAAAGTTCTGTAGATATCTATTAGGTCCACTTGATCCAAAGCTGAGTTCAAGTCCTAAATATCCTTGTTAATTTCTGTCTTGCTGATCTGTCTAATACTGACAGTGGGGTGTTAAAGTCTCCCACTATTATTGTGTGGGAGTCTAAGTCTCTTTGTAGGTCTCTAAGAACTTGTTTTATGAATCTGGGTGCACCTGTATTGGATGCATATATATTTGGAATAGTTAGCTCTTCTTATGGAATAGTTTCCTTTACTATCGTGTAATGCCCTTTGTCTTTTTTATCTTTGTTGGTTTAAAGTCTGTTTTGTCAGAGACTAGGTTTGCAACCCCTGCTTTCTTTTCTTCCCATTTGCTTGGTAAGTTTTCCTCCATCCCTTTATTTTGAGCCTATGTGTGTCTTTGCATGTGAGATGGATCTCCTGAATCCAGCACATCAATTGGTCTGGACCCTTTATTCACTTTGCCAATCTGTAAATGCTGCCTATTTTGTTCTTAGAGTTCCCAGTATCAGTTATCTGCCCCTGATGATTTATTTACATCAGAGTATTTGGTTATATTTTTGGTGCCTAGGTTGTAAGTACATCCACTTTGCACATTCACTTTGCCTGGATGGTATTCAGGTCCTCTGCCTCCCAGGACCCTAGAATTCATATTTAAATTAGATAGCATAATTTAATGGTAGCAACTTCTGCATCTTCAGCCTAAAGACAACTGTTGTTGTCACCATTCTTTTTAAAGATTCAGGTGCTTCCTTCAACAAAGAATTTATTTCTTTTTTCTTTCTTTCTTTCTTTTTTTTCTTTTTTTTGACAGAGTCTCACTCTGTTGCCAGGCTGGAGTGCAGTGGCATGATCTTGGCTCACTGCAACCTCCACCTCCTGGGTTCAAGCAATTCTTGTGTCTCAGCCTCTGGAGTAGCTGGGACTACAGGTGCCCGCCACCACACCCAGCTAATTTTTGTATTTTTTGTAGAGACAGGGTTTCACCATGTTGGCCAGGATGGTCTCGATCTCCTGACCTCATGATCTGCCCACCTTGGCCCCCCAAAGTGCTAGGATTACAGGCATGAGCCATTGTGCCCGGCCCAAATAATCTCTTAATGCCTTGGCAAAGGGAGTGTTCTGAGCCCTCGTGTAGAAAATAATTTGGGAGTGAGTGAGTGAATGGGAAATCCACTCCAGTATTTGAATCTTCCTAGTCTTAGATTTCTTCCTCTATAGTAGTCAAAAGAAGGCTGGGCCTCTGGTGAATTATTGGGTCAGGGTCTATTCAACCAACTCATCAAACAATCACAATTTTCAGAAGTTTGACCTAGCACATTGAAATCAAAATCTCTGGTACCAGCGCTCATACTGGGAAAATAAATCAGCCTGTTCAGTATTGTGTTCTCCCCAGCTTGTACGAGAACCTCAGGATCTAGCACCCTTCCCGTTTTCTCATCCCTGGACATTATCCCTACCCTTAGTTTTGTGACTATCAATTGCTTACTATTCTTTAGGCATTTACCATGTTTTAAAATTACCAGACAATATACGGAATATTTGTATGCTTTTAAACTGATGCATAAGTGTTTCTGTATTTTATGTCGCTCTCTGGGTCCTGGTTTAAATATCCAAGATTAGAGTTGTGATATAATATTTTTCTGATACAAATAAATGCAACCTTGCAGTTCTTTCAGTATGTTAGTTTATAATTGTTCCCGCCATGGACAAACTAGGTTTTGAGTCTCGTGAAAGGTCTGGAGAAAAGAAGGGCATACTCGGGCCTGGCTGACTCTCACAGTGGTTGTTGGTCAAGACAATTACAGTATCTTCAAGAAGGCAAGAGTCCACTCCATGAGAGAGGGAATGTGGGCTTTTGGCTGTCAGGGAAGCTTATGGGGGTTCAGTGGCCCAGGGTCCTCTGATTCAGCAGTCTTCTCCCATGTATCGCCTTTCCAGTTCTTGGCTCCAGTGAGGACGTTATTGCTGAGAATTAGATGCTGAAGTTGGCACCATCAAATAACTAGTCCTGGATGCATGTCACTAGTAGCAGCCATCTCACTGCCTCAGGAACTCAAGTTTACCATGGTCACCATGGCCTTGGAGAATACTCACCTCATCCTTTTTGTGCATCACTCGCTCTCAATTCTAAAAAAGGAGAGAACATCTGATTGGCAAAGCCTAGGTGATACAAATATCTGGAATTCTCATCTTTTGTAATGGGAAGTAACTCTGCTTGCTGTTAAGATTCACAGAGGTAGGAAATTTTCCAAGTGTAGGAAAGGCAAAGCAAGGCAGCCAAAAAGAATGGCAAATGTCTACCACTTCCCAGCAAAATTGAGACTGTGTTTTCTTCTCTTGCTGGTGAAAATAATTTTTAGATTTTAATTTTAAAAAAGCAAAAATTAAAATTTCATAGAAAGATCCTGATGTATTTGGTCATGATGGTGACAAAGCCCAGAGAGACCCACAAGCTGGGTGATCTTTCATCCATCCAAGTCCTTATTAACTGAAAATTAATTATATGGTGTGCATCCTGCTGAGCCCAGGAATCCAGGAAAAATTAACCCAGAAATGGTCACAGGCTCTCTATGTGGAAAGATATAGAACAAATAAGTGGTACAAAGAAACACACAATTGAAAATATCATAAGAACAAGGAAGAAAAAGTATGTGTTGTTACAAGACTCTAGAATAGAAATCTAAACTTGTCTTGAGCTCATCACCTCTCTCTCTCTCTCTCTCTCTCTCTCTCTCAACTCTCAGTAAATAATCACCAGCTCCTGGAGGGGCTCGTGGGTAGGTATGGAGAGAGATGAGCAATGGTCTACACAGATGACAGAACATATCCACATCCCTAAGGTAGGAAGAGACTCAGTAAGTTCTGGGAAAAACTAGCTGAGTATAACACAGTGAACCAAGTAGACAGAGACATATTGTGGAGCTGAGAGGTAGGTTCTAGATATTTGAGATAAAACCAGGGAAGTGATGAGGAGCACATGGTCTATTTGTGGTCTCTTAGCAGCTTTGGAGTAAACCAGAGTAAAAGCAACCAAAACAGAGTCCAAGTCAGGGTCCTTCCATCCTCAAACCAGGCTCCAGTGGTCTGCTCTAGCTCAGGCGTGATTAGATTTGCATTTTAGAAAGAAACTTTGGCTACCACATGGAGAAATAATGAGGAGAAGCAAATGAGAAGACCGCCCAAAGCAGCAGTTCTGGCAGGAGATGGGCACTGGGTCTCCTAGTTGGTGGCTGAGTGCAGATGCTGGCAGGATGTCCTGAAGGTAGAATGGAGTGCATAATTCTGCAGGTGTGATGTATCTTCAAATATTAGAAAAGCAGGAACATGCTGAGAGCGAAACAGAAAAATAAATCAAAAAGAAATCAAAAGATTTATTTCTAGAGTATATAGAATACTATAGTTCTGTTGTTTTGGAATCTTCCAACCCTGTGCTCTTTTGGGGGCCACTTCTTGGAGTTTTAGTCAGGATTCTCCAGAGAAAAAGAACTGATAGGATGTGCATATATATATATATATATATATATATATATATATTTTTTTTTTTTTTTTTTTTTTAAGGAATTGGCTCAGGCAATGGTGAAGATTTGGCAAGTCCAAAATCTGATGGAGGAGTCTGGCGGGATGGAGACTCCGAAAAGAGTTGCAGTTTGAGTCAAAAGGCAAGCTGTCAGTGAGCTAGGAAGAGCCGACGATGTTGCAGTTCAAGTCCAAAGACCCTCTGCCAGCAAACTTCCCTCCTGCTCGGAGGAGCTAAATCTTTTGTTCTATTTAAGCCTTCACCTAATTGGATAAGGCCCACCTGCATTATGGAGCTCATCTGCTCTACTCAAATCTACTAATTTGAATGCTAATCTCATCCAAAAACACTGTCACAGATACATTCAGAATAATATTTGGCCAATATCTCGGCCCAATCAAGTTGACACATAAAGTTAACCTCCACAAGGGCTGCATCTGAAATCCTAGATGGGAACACTTCGGAGAGGTACCAGCAGGTTCCTCGACTCACTCCTAGGGCCCCTTGTGCTAAGGCTTTTCTGTGGCTCTCAAGCCATTTCCAGGAATTGAGTAGAAACTCTCTCTCTCTCTCTCTCTCTCCCCACCCAAACAATATTCCCTGAAAGCTATTAATTCCTGCAAGCAGGAGCTCAACTCAAACAAATGTTTCTATAAATGGCCAGTCAGCAATGGGCGGCTTGGGAGATGTGGCATCTTGTCCCTGGGGACCTTCAGTAAGAGAATGCAAATCATCTGTTCCGTTGCGTCTAGCCAGGGCACCCACTGGCTTATGCAGGAGCCTGCGCCAGATGTTTTCCTGAGGTCTCTTCTTGCTCAAGGATCTGATGACACCAACTCTTCATTTCTTCTGAATCAACAGCTGCTGATTTCATTCAAATAATCTAATTTGAAATTCTGTTTCTGGAACACAGACAGCTTCATCCGCCCAGGCAGAACAAAGGAAGTGGAACAGGGGCCTTAATAGGAGATATTTTGAGTGTTTTCAGACATAGAAGTCAACAATCTGTTCATTCATAAGGGCTCTGACCTCTTGTTTTGAAGGAAAACAGGAAAAACAAGCTGGGTACAAAGAACATAAATATTTTACTTTCACCCATTCTCCAATCTGGGCTGAAACAGGAAACAAATGTCTCCTCTCCACCTTCCCCACCTCCAAACACATCTGTGAGAAGCAACGTGGAGATCAGATGATGGAAGTGGATTTAAAAAGTAATTTGCCACTTTTCAAGAAATATAAGTTGCAGATGCATCTATTCATTTTAGGGAGAAGAAGGGGGGTACTCTGGGATTCTTAGGGGAGCTTTTGGGAGAGACGGCATTGTCTCCTTCCCATGTGGATGTGTGGAGTCAGCCAGGAGGGAAGGAGGCATGGTCACGGGAGAGGAGGGCAGGCAGGCTCTGACAAGTGCATATTGGGGTCTCGGTGGAGATGCCCAAAGGATCTACCCCACAGGCAGTGAGAGTCTGGAAACGCACGGTTGGAAGGCTGCACTGAGCTTCACATCGGGGTCTGCGTGAAGCGCCCCATCTCCTGCCCCTGGTGGCGCAGCTCGGTACTGCCTCTGCGTCTCCTCCCTGGCGGGGTGACTGCGGCAGCCCCGGAACTGCCTTACCACAAAGGCCAGAGGCACGGTCTCATCCCATTGCAGTTTCGGGTTCTTCTGGGAAATTTCCAAAGGAAGGACTTTCCAAAGGACTTTCCCAAGGAAGGTCTTGGCCGGATCAGGGATGGTGACCGGGACAGCACAGCTGGTCCCCGCTGAGACCAAGGCAAGGGTTGGTACTGTGAGCTACTTAAAGAGGTGAGATTATTTAAATCCTTTTTGTGGGGAAAAAAAACTGAGACAGGTTTTCCCATGATTGCAAAAATGTCACATCACTTTTTTAAAATCAAAAATTAAATGTACATGATGATAATATAGAGGGGATTGCTGCCCCTTGGCACCAAAGTCATCCAACATGACCTGGTCCTAGAAGAGGAGGCAGCTGCCACAAGCACAGCCGCACCCACATCCTTGCTCCATCCCCTGTCTGGAATCAGGAGAAGGGCTTCCTTCCACGCTGCTTCCTCCCTGGGGATGTCTGTGCAGGAAGCCTAACTATTCCATTAAACCGGCAGGGGCCTTGGGAACCCGCCATGAATCAGGCTTGTTGTCGGTACCAGCCACGAGGATAAATAATGACCCTCTTTTCAAGGAGAACACAGTTTTGCAAAGAAAACAGATGCATGTTGTATTGTCATTTGTAAAGCAAAAGGGAAATCAAAAATATGCTGGAGGAAGCAGAGGAGGACTGACCAGGCTTGTGGGAGGGTGCTGAGGAAGGCTTGCAGGAGAGGGAGCTTCAGGAGAGAGGATCAAGGGAGTCTAAGGGGATCAGGAACTCCCTGTAAAGGCTCAGAGGACAGAAGGAAGACTGTGCATTGGATGCTACTGATTCAGGAGGGTGAAAGGGATCATAAGAGGTGAGATGGAAACTCAATTTGGAGGCAGAATGTGAATACCCTTCAAAGGCAGACAAAGACGTTTAGACAGCAGAGCAAAGGTAGAGGCCCATTCCCCTGATGCAGTCATTTGGAACACCGGGTTGAACTTCTGTCCAGCAAGGCAGAGATGAGAGCTGAGTAACGGGACCTGGCCTGGGAACAGAGGGTCCACCTGTGGGTTCCTGATTTCCCAGCACTAGACCATGAGAAGTCTTGAGCAGAGATCACCCTCAGCATCCAGAGGTCCTCAGAAGGGCACATCCAATGTTGCTCATTTATTCACTCATTTATGAATTCATCATTGATACAGTAAAGCCCAGCAGACCTACATTTCCCTTAGAGGAATTCAAGCTGTGTGAGCTCAGTGAAGAGGAGGGAGACTAAGAGAGGAGGCAGGCACGTCCTCCCGAGAGAGAGAAACGTAGCCTCAGTGGTGAGGTGGCCCCTGCCCCGCCCCATGCTCTGCCAGAGAGGGGCTTGGATCTGCTGCCCCCAGCCAGGCCACCACACTCACATTTTGCATCTGGCTGGATTGGGAGAAACTTCTTGTTCAAATGCTCCTGCTGTTTTTATAGCACAGTCCCTTGAATACATGCCAACTGCTTTATCTAGACACCAAACCACGTCAATAGACCAAACCAGGCTGAGTGAATGTTTTAGACCTTTCAGGGGGATCTTGACTGCTAGCACCTCTTCTCTCTCAGCCAGTTTGGGATATCTACATCCAGGCAAGAAGTTTCCACATTGTCCCCAGTGTGTGACTGACCACTTTCGGGGATGAACAGGTGTGTGTGGCACAGTCTCAGGCCCCAACTCCACCCACGAGGGCAGTGGCCACACCCACCAGAATGGTGCCATCCAAGAGGTTAATTCTTGATCCTACAGTTTAAAAGGTGGCAACTGATGCTTCCTAACGGGATATCCTTTCCTTTGCCTTCCTTCCCTTATCCTCCAGCATCCAACAAAGGCAGCCAGATGGGCTCAGTGGAAATGATGTGGCTTCAGAGTGAGTTCTTTTTGAAAACTTCTAAATGGCAGGGTTGGCGCTGGGCGTCACCCCCATTCACCCAACCCCGGTACCTTAGCTGAGCCCAGAAGAGTATCATTTGTCAAATTTCAGGCTTAAGCTAACAGGGCCAGAATGAAGCTGCAGGACCCAGAAGTGCTTTAAAGACCAGAATAGATGCATTTCCCTTTAAGCCCTGAAGCTCTGCTGGAGCATCACTGTTCTGTGCGGGAGACGCGCAAGGGGAGAAGACAAGGCACACACGTGATACCTTTAAGAGTAAACAAGCTTTATCCCACGTAAACGGCAATGCAGATATAATAAGAAAATTAATAAAATAAGCAAATTAAAATAAGCAAACGACATAATAAGCAAATGATATAATAAGCAAATTGCAATGGGAAGGGGAGAAGGGAAAAGAGATATATATATTTACACTCTCCAGACTATGGAGGATTCACCATCAGACTGGGAAGCAACAGCCTGGACTCCAGAGTCGGCCTCTCATCTGTGCACAGAAGAGGAGAGGTCTCATGAAGCTTTGGCACAGTCTAAGGCCCGAGCTCTTTTCGTAACAAGTTGTTTGGCATGAGGCCCATTCACGAGGGCCCTTTACAACTGGGCTCAAGGAAGACAAAAAGGTCAACTTGTTTTTGCAATTTGTCTATTGTTTTTCAATAACTAACATATAGGAATAGATTGAAATATAAATTTCTCTGAAACAGCACTGGATGGACGCCTCAAGCGGCTCACACAATCTGTTCCAGGACTTGGTGATCATTGTTGGTGTCCACGTTCAATTGAGTTCAAATTTGGTATTTAACTTTTCCTCCACATTCGGCCTCCATTTAATACTCAGTTATAGGAAAATACCCTTACAGATACATGGGGAAGGCATAGTTGATATAGGTTACAGATGCAGTATAAGCACAGAATTAAAAACACAATTAATAAAAACCACACCCAGCATGGCTTTGCAAGGAGAGTCATATTGTGAGAATTGTCAGGGATATACACACAACATTCAGTATGCAGTAAGGTGCAAACCCCTCCTTGGACGGCGGTAAGCATATCTAATGCCATTCCATGTTGCAACACAACAGTATGCAGCTGAGCAAATTCATCTGATAACAATGTAAGTCCAGTGCTACTATCATTAAGAGCCTTTTCTACGTGAAAACTTAATATTTAAATTTGTTGCTGAAACAGGATTGCACCGGCGGCAGGGGAGAATATTGTGATAGGGTACCACCACCAGGGAGTCTGGCACATCCGCAACCAGCGGTGTTTGTAAGCATCTAGATTACTGGGGAGGGGAATATTATCCCAGATGGTGAATGGAATTAATGGCCACCCCCAAGTGCATCTTCCCGACCAATGTGGAGGCAGGTATCACCACCTGTAGGATCCACATACCCAGCGGGTCCCCCAGGGAATAGGAAGAGTTCTACTACAATTGTATTGCTGTAATGTGTAATTTAAGTAACAAGAGTGCTGTGTCTCATTTGGGCTTAGGAAAAAATAGACAGTTTAGTTTGGTTAAAAAAGTCCAGGTTGGATTACAAATGTTATTATCCTGTACCCATTGGCATTGGCATATCCATTCAGAAATGTTAGCAGGGATGATTCTCCGAGGTAGCCCATTCCTGGCGGCCTCCGGCAGCTTGATGCATAGCCAGTGCCGACTGCAGTTGGCTTCCGTTGCAGCAGTGGCTACCCAGTTGTTGAACTCATTCCCAGCCTCAGACATGATGACCCAAGTACTGATTTCTAGCAGACAGATTATTCGTAATAACAAAACTGGAGGGGAACATGACATTGTTTTTCATCTTTAGGAAACTGTATTATGCCTTCATTTTTTGCTCCTATAGCTACAAGGTCACCAGCCTTAGGGGCGGGACCTGATGGACACTGCACCCATATTTTGGCTCAAGGTTTTAAGTTGCCCACCCACTCCGATGGACCCAAATTTTCCGGTTCTATATGTTGTTTCTATTGGGGCAGAAATTTCCTCAGGGGTTAATTGTTGACAAGGTACCACTAACAATTGAGCAACCCACATCTGCGGATTTATAGCAAAAGAATCTGGAGTGGTATTGTATAAAATGAGCTTTAACTCTCCCCAGTAATCACTATCAATTATACCACCATACCTTATAATGCCTCTCATTGTAAGGCTTGAACGTGTTGTAATCCATTCATCCGCATTCAAATTTGCAGTTATGGTGGAAGTGTTGGTCTGTTGATCTGCCTGCTGATTAAATAGTCTGTTAAGAGAAAGCAGAGATGCTTGAGCATCAGCATGGAGAACAGTGATAATGGTGGTGTGCGCCAGGATCCAGATATCTTCCCAGTATTGTTTTCCCCAAACCTCTTTATTCCCAATTAACCATTTGTTTCATTGCCATTGGGGCATCCAGGTAGTAAGACCATTTGCTACTGACCAAGAGTTGGTAGACATGTGACAAATCCCTCTGGCCTCCTCCTAAATAGCTTGGAGGACGGCTACCAATTCAGCCAGCTGGTGCTCCCACCGCTTCCTTCGTCAGAACCAGTGAGTTCTAGGGGAACTCAGGATCCAAGTCATAATCAAAAAGACATCATGGTTGAAGCAAGGTGCTCTGTTTCCAGCAAGGCCCAATAGCAAGCTAACAGTTGATTTTTGAAAGGGGTATAAGCTTTGCCGGCCTCTGACATCTTCTGGTTCCAAAATTCCAAAGATAGCTTATTCCCATCTTGTTTCTGCCTAAGGCTCTTGTTAGCATATTGATCTAGGACAGTTACTTGCAGTTCTTTTTTTTTTTTTTTTTTTTTTTTTTTGAGACGGAGTCTCACTCTGTTGCCCAGGCTGGAGTGCAGTGGCACAATCTCGGCTCACTGCAAGCTCCACCTCCTGGGTTCACACCATTCTCCTGCCTCAGCCTCCCGATAGCTGGAACTACAGGCACCCGCCACCATGCCCGGCTAATTTTTGTATTTTTTTTAGTAGAGACGGGGCTTCACCATGTTGGCCAGGATGGTCTCAATCTCCTGACCTCGTGATCTGCCCGCCTCAGCCTCCCAAAGTGCTGGGATTACAGGTGTGAGCCACCGCGCCCGGCCGTTACTTGCAGTTCTACTGGCCCATCCCGTAAGGGCCATAGATCCAGGGCCGGTTGCACTGCTTGTTTAGCCTGTTAAAAGCCGTGCTCTCTTTCTCTCCCCAGCGAAAGTCGTAGCGTTTTCTAGTGACAGCATGCAGAGGTTGTAAAATGTTACCCAAGTCGGGAATATGATGTCTCCAGAATCCAAACAAGCCAACAAATGTTTGGGCCTCCTTTTTAGTGGTAGGGGTTGCAAATTCTAGTATTTTAGCCTTAGCCTTTGGTAAAATAAACTATTTCCCTGCATTCCATAGAATGCCAAAGAATTTTACAGTTTGTGCAGGTCCTTGAATTTTACTAGGGTTAATTTCTTATCCTTGAGATAGGAGCTGGGTTTTTACCTGCTCCAAGCCCCGGTTGACTAGTTCTTCAGTTCTACCCTGACTAGGCCACTTGGACAGCTGCTTTCTTCAGCAATAGGCTGACAGCTTTGAGCTTGATCAGTCAAGACATAGGCCTGGCATTGGGCCAGGGCCAGTCTGGAAGTCAGATTCACGTTTTCCTTTTCCAGCTTACATTTCTCTTGAAGCAACCAGTTTCTATCTTGACATATCAACTCATAAGCAGTAAGCAAGCACCTTCCATGCCAGGAAATTCCCTCAGCGTCCCCTTTACCAACGGGATTCCCTGCAGAGCCTCACACACAGCCAATGGTTCAAAATGCACTAATTTACACCCACAATTTTCCCAAAGGCCAGTTCCCTTGGATCACTCAATGGCCAAAAGGGAGAACCAGGGGAGTTCCCATCCCAGGATATGGGAAGTCCACAAGCTCCCAGCCCGGTCCTTGCAGCCGAAAAATGGCATGCATTCGCTTTCGGATCCTGTTCCTGATGCCAAAAATGTTCTGTGGGAAACGCGTGAGGGGAGAAGAAAAGACACACACACAATACCTTTAAGGGTAAACAAGCTTTATCCCACGTAAATGGCAATGGAGCTGTAATAAGCAAATGATATAATAATAAGCAGATTGATATAATAAGCAAATTGCAATGAGAAGGGGAAAAGGGAAAAGATATTTACACTCACCAGACTATGGAGGATTCACCGCCAGAGTGGGAAGGAACAGCCCGAGCTACAGAGTTGGCCACTCTTCCTTGCACAGACAAGGAGAGGTCTCATGAAGTTTTGGTGCGGTCTGGGACCCTCGCTCTTTTTGTAACAAGTTGTTTGGCATGAGGCCCAGTCACGAGGGCCCTTCGAGACTGGGCTCAGGGAACACAAAATGTCAGCTTGTTTTTGCGATTGTCTATTGTTTTTCAATAACTAATGTATAGGAATAGACTGAAATAGAGATTTCTCCGAAACAGCACTGGATGGATGCCTCAAGTGGCTCACACAACCTGTTCTAGGACTTGGGACCATTGTTTGTGTCCATGTTCAATTGAGTTCAAATTTAATATTTCACTTTTCCTCCACAGTCACCCAGCAAGGTGATCCATGCTTGCAACCAGGACAAAACAAGCATGCAGTAGGCACCCAGTTCCCAACAGCATCTCCTGCGTTTCAGCAAAACCGTGTCAGGTTTTCTACTGAACCAAGGGGGCCTCTTTCCCCAGAACCAGTCCTGGCCACTTTCATCTCTGAACAAGGACTCTTGGAGATGCGGCACTAGAAACACGCATGCTGTCTTGGTTGACCAAGATCAGTGGTTCTGCCATCCACAGGCACCAAGTAGCCTTGAGTAAATCCTCCGAAAACGGGGAGCAGTAGAGGTGGGGCCAACGCGTGACGATGGGCCTGAAATTGGCACCCATTCTTGGGGAGCTTTCACGTGGGTTTGGGATTCCGTTGATGCCGCCCTGCTCCTCAGCAGCACTGGGAAGCCGCTGAGTCTCATGCGGGCTGTTGGGTCCTGAGTGCTGCACGGCCCTGCAGAGGGGCTGCTCTCTGAAAGCTGCCCTGACCCCTCCCTCTGCCTGTTAGGTCCTGAAAGCAGAGCCAGCCAGTCACCTGCTTGTAATGAAAGCTTGTGTCTCCAGTCCTCCAGTTTTGCTCTGACAAGGACAGTTTCAGAGCCCCAAGCTTCATGTTACCAAGGAAGCATTTTCTCTCCACTTGACTCCAGGTGCCCTGTCCTTGTCACTGAGGGATCTCTCACCACAGGGCAATGAAAGAGGGGTAAAACTAGGCCTCCAGGGAAAGAGGGGGAAAGAGAATGGGGCAATCCATGATGGGAATTCCAGGGCGGGCATTCTAGGGAGTAATCTCTCACTGCCGGGTGAGGCAGCCTTCACACCGGCTGCTTCCTCTGCCTAGATGCTGTCACCCAAGCTTCTCTGTAACTCCCACCTGGAGACGCTCCCTCTGGTCTCTGCTCCAGTGAGACCTCCCCGTGGCCCTATTTAAATGGCAGCTTCCCTCAGTGCCACCGCATCGTCCACACCCCAATGCCCCTACTCTGTGATTTATTTTCCGCTCAGCACCTGTTAGCCTGTCGTCCATGCTTTGTGTTGACTCAGGTTTTGTTTGCTGGTCTCCTCGGGCTCCCCCTGGAATGTGAGCTCCGTGAGGGTAGAGTATGAATGACTCTTGTTCTCGCTGTTTTTCCTGTGCCCAGAACAGTGCCTGCTGCTCAGTCAATGCCTGATGATGGAGTGAACAGATTTCTGCTTTCTGTGGCCACCTCTGGGCCACAGAAAGGCCCAGAGGTTACAAGCAACCTCTGGTCTTTGAAGAAGGAGCAAAAGGACAGAGAAGTATGAAAAGGAGCCCCGTTTGGATGCACCCACTGAGCACTGAAGGGGAGGACTCTTAGGTGGCCCCATCCTTTGCAAACAGGCTCAGTGGTTCTCCCGCGCTCACCCCAAGGCCCAGAATCCATGCATACATGTAGGGTGGGGCAGGCCGGCTCACGCTGACACGTCCAGCCTCTGCCCAGCTCCTCTGCTGGAGTCTCTGCAGGGAATTTGGCAGAGCTTGGTCATTCCTTCACTAATTCAGCCGTTGTAGAAAAGCCACCCAGTTAACAGGTCTGAGCCATTTCCTCTCATCCTGGGGACTAGAGGTGACTGCCACTTTGAGGCCAGTTAAGAGTTCTTGGCCCTTCCTGGAAACCCTGCACTGCTGGGAAGTGGGTGGACACACACTTCTGAGAATGAATTCCAAGCGAATTTTCCCATCATTTCTTTCCCCCTAGCAGTGCAAGGCTGGGGCACACAGGGAGAGAATGTCTCTCTCACATGTCAACTCCCATGGTCTCAACTAGGCCTCGGGGGAAAGAGAATGGGGCATTCCAGGATGGGAATTCCAGGGTGGGCATTCCAAGGAGTAAGAGGAATTCTGGGAAGGAGGACACTCGTGATGCATGCATGGCCCATCCAGAAGGTCCAGGATCATCTCCCCAGCCCAAGCCTTTAATCACATCTGCGAAGACCCCCCTCTTCCTATAGAAGGTGACACGGTCCCAGGTTCTGGGAATTAGGACACAGACACCTCTGTTCAGCTGACCACAGCCACTGGGGGACCCACTGTTGATCCCCCATCCATTCTGATAAAGGCTTTCATGATGTCAGAAACCATGAACAGCTCATCTCCTGATCCTCCACTGCGAGTTTGTGAGCATCTTAGGGGCGACATCTGAGGGTCCATCCTGGTGTTGATGTGTCATAGGTGTGGGGGCCTGGTCTGAGGCTGAACGCGCAGCAGGACCAGCCTCTGGCCCTCCCCAGCTGGAAGGGGGGAGTTTTGCACATCTTGCTCTATAGCTCACTCTCCCCTGCTGCTCCCACTGAGGCAGTGAGTTCCAGACTGCTCTGGGGGTTACAAGCAACCTCCGGTATTTGCAGAAGGAGAAAAAGGGCAGAGAAGTATTAAAAGGAGCCCAATTTGGATGTATCCACTGAGCACTGAAGGGGAGAACTCTTAGGTGGCCCTGTCTCTTTGCAAATAGCCTCAGGCACTGCAGGCCCCTGAGGCAGCCCCCAGCTGGGACCCTCACTCAGCTCAGCTCAGCTCACAACAGGTAGCAGAGCTGTGCCGACCAGGTAGCCTTGCCCTCCTGGGAAGACAGGGACACCTGCACGAGCCTGAGCCCTCTAGTGGAAACAGCAGCCATCGGCCATCAGGCCTCTGCAGGCACCTGGTCCCTCCTGTTGTTGTCTGCACAGCCTGCCCCTCCAGGCCGCCCCCACGCCTGGGTTCTGCCTGCACGCCCAGGCTCAGTGGGGAGGAGTGAGCCCAACAACTGTTTCCCAACCCTGTGCAGACAGAGCCCTGGCATCTCACCGTCCCTTCCAAATGCCAGAACCCGCCCTGGGCACCCATGCCCTGATGGGTCCCAGCCCCGGGTGACGCCCTCCTTGCATGGAGTAGGGACCCAAGCATATGCGGAAACACTGTGGCCGGGCCCAGGCTCTCTCTCAGTTTTGACACTGTTGCAGGCCTGATGACCCTTGGGGACACAGTCTCACTGGGTGGCAAGATGTCCATTCAGAATAAAATAAAATTAAAAATTAAATTAAAACTCAACAAGCTCGTGCACATGCAGTCACCTGCATATTTTGCAATTCGGAGAATAACAGGCGGTTTTCCAAAATCAAACTTCAAGAAACATGTCCCACATCATCCCCAACATAACCATAAACCTCACTCAAAGGAATGGCAGTCCCACTGGAACGCAAGGCCCTCCGGGTGGCTGAGTCAGTGTGCTCTGTCTCCAGCTCCTAGAAGGAGGCCTGGCTTGCAGCAGGTCCTCCATAAACATCATCTGGAATCCAACCTTGGGATTCTCCAGCATTTGTCAGCCACCCCACCTCTTCCCATGGATCTCTGGGCCTCCAATTTTCCTTCTGCAAAATGGAGCTTACACTCACGAACATGCTTGTGTTTGCAAAAGGAGTTACCAGATGTTTAAGAAATTCTGGGTGCCAATTAACAAGATTCTAGCTTACGGCACCAAGTGAGCAGTGCCACATCTTAGCACCAGCGGCTGCGTTTGCTCCTTCGGTGCCTTCACGTGTGTGCGATGGTGACTCCCCAGGCAGGGATTCCAGACAGAGATTCCAGTCAGAGATTCCAGGATTTCCATAAACCCCAGCCACCTGTGTGCTGCAGGCTTCTCCGGAGTGCATGGAATATTCATTCCACAGGTATTTATGGAGGACCTGCTGTAAGCCAGGCCACCTTCTAGGGGCCGGGGACAGAGCATACTGACTTGGCCACCCTGAGGGGCTTGCGTTCCAGTGGGACTGCCGTTCCTTTGAGTGAGGTTAATGGTTATGTTGGGGATGGTATGAACATGTTTCTTGAAGTTCAAAGCTGGTGCTGTGAGCAGCGGGTCCTCCGAGAACAGGGCTGGAGCCAACTTGCACCATTGCACTTCCCATGACGCTGGGCCTGGGGTCCTGATCTTGAGAATCTACCATTTATACAGTGATGTACAGGCAGTCCCCTCTGGAGCCCTCTATCTGGGCAAGGCCTCTGCCCAGAGGAGCCGGCTGAGGACAGAGTAATTTCCATGGGAGCATGGAGGCTGGCTGTCCTCTCTGTGAGACTTGCTGGGCCCCACACAGCTGGGGTGCTGGAGGCCTTTGCTGGGGCTTTTGAACATCAGGGCCCAGGGCTGCCACGGCTGGGTGTGGAGTCCTGGGCAGGCTCAACGCATCATTTATTCCTCAACGTCCCCCATCTGGAGTGGGGGTCTTGGACTTCCTCCCATCTCAAGGCATGTGATAACTAGGTGTGGTCAGCAAGTCACCCTGCAACTGTGATGTCCCAGCCACCCACTACAGTCTGAGCTGGGCCAGTGGGCACTCCCAGGCTCAGAGGACATGGCTAAGGAAGGGTCCACAGGACACTGGCACAAAAGTGCCTTGAAGTAGCCCACATTGATACTACCAGGAAAATCACTCAAAAGCCCCCGACTTACTACACTTAGTAAAAGCTGCCAGTGTTGCAAGCACACTGTGAGTGGCGTCCTAGAGGGTCCACGACACAGAAAGCTCTCACTGAGCAGCGCTTCCTCTGAGAACAGGGCTGGAGCCCGGCTTGCATCATTGCACATCCCATGTCACTGGGCCTGGGGTCTTGGTCTTTAGAATCTGCCTTTTACACAGTGATGAGCAGGCCATCCCCTCTGGAGCCCCCTCGGCCAGCCCTGGCATTGCTTGTTCCCCGACTGTGGTGCTGTGTCCTGGGCACTCTGAGGATTCCCTTCTTCTTGAAGGGTATCAGAGCCCGGTGGGGTCAGCCACCTGTGCGGAATCCTCTCCAGACAAGTCAGCTCTGGTGCAGAGGCGGCTCGTGGCTTGTGGAACATCAGAAGACAGAGGAGCCTCCTGGGGACTGAGCTCCAGCACCAACAAGGCCGGGCCCCTCCCAGCAGGTTCCCACATGGCCTTCTCATCAAGGGCTCCTTGGAGGAAACCCAGCTGTGTGCCGACCACAGAGAACCTCGCTCAAGCTAGGAAAGTTCTTGGACTGCTTAATAAAATCGCAATGTTTGTTAATAAAATCATACTTTAGTTGCCCCGAGGGACGTATGATTTAAATAAATGTTGCAGGTGGGTATTGTTGATTTAGAAATGACTTAAACGTCTCCAGCTCTGGGACTGGCACCAGAACACAGGGGTCACCAAGCACCCTGCCTTTGGAGTGTTCCCGAACCGGCAGGAGGGAAGGGACAGGTCCATGCACAACCCCTCCCCAGGGACTTGTATTTGGGAGAGACGCATCTCCCCCTTCCCATCTACCAGGGTAACACGTGTGTGGATTTCCTTCCAGAGTCCTTTTTCACAGTCACCATTTCACAATTATGTCATCAGATTTTCTAGGCAAGACCTTGTAAATCACTACATATTTACTTATCAAATAGTAGGTATTTGAATACCTGCTATCTAAATACTAGCTGTACCTCATATTTAAACTTATTAAACACTGGGTATTTAAACTTGCTTATCAAATCCTAGGTAGCTGAATACCTACTTATTTCAATACTATCTATACCTCACATTTAAACTTAGCTATTAAATATTAGGTGTTTAATTTAAACTTACGAAACGCTAGGTATTTGACCATCTCACGCCAGTTAGAATGGTGATCATTAAAAAGTCTGGAAACAACAGATGCTGGCAAGGATGCGGAGAAATAGGAATGCTTTCACACTGTTGGTGGGAGTGTAAATTAGTTCAACCATTGTGGAAGACAGTGTGGAGGTTCCTAAAGGATCTAGAACCAGAAATAACATTTGAGCCAGCAATCTCATTACTGGGTATATACCCAAAGGATTATAAATCATTTTACTATAAAGACACATGCACACTTAAGTTTATTGCAGCACTATCTCCAATAGCAAAGACTTGGAACCAACCCAAATGCCCATCAATGATAGATTGGATAAAGAAAATGTAGCACATATACACCATGGAATACTATGCAGCCATAAAAAAGGATGAGTTCATGTGTTTTGCAGGGACATGGATGAAGCTGGAAACCATCATTCTCAGCAAACTAACACAAGAACAGAAAACCAAACACTGCATGTTCTCACTCAAAAGTGAGAGTTGAACTATGAGAACACATGGACACAGGGAGGAGAACATCACACAACAGGGCCTTTCGGAGGGTGGGGGCAAAGGGGAGGGAGAGCATTAGGAGAAATACCTAATGCATGTGGGGCTTAAAACCTAGATGATGGGTTGATAGGTGCTTCAAACCACCATGGAACTTGTATGCTTATGTAACAAACCTGTACGTTTGGCACATGTAAAATTAAAGTAAAATTTAAAAATTTTTACTTGTAAATTATTACAAGTAAAATTAGCACATGTAAAATTAAAGTAAAATTTTAAAAAATAAATTTTATAAAAAAGAAATCCTAGGTATTTGAATACCTAGTGACTAGTAGGTATTTACTTCCCTAGTCCCTAGTAAATTACACATCACCTAGTAAGTTGCAGGCTCCAGGCAATATGGGAGAAGCTATAAACACGTGGGTGCTTGGCGGTGCAGTAGATCCCCTCCTCCACTGACTAATCCACTTTCCTACGCCCATCTTGTTGTCCATAACGAAAACCCAAGCCCTAACAAAATTCCAGTGATTGCAGGAAGCTGTCAGTAACCCGTGGGTTCTTTACTCCTATCTGCCATGGGTCTGCTGTGCTGAGCACTGAGAAGGCAGAGGTCGCGTTGCAGAGAGTAGGGGCTGCCACGGACAGCTTTGGGACTGAAGAGAGACATGGTCAGGAGCTCCAAAGGAGGGTATAGTGTGTCCCAGAGGAGACAGGCTATGTGGCCTGGCTGCAGGGGCCAAGAAAGTGGGGAGACGGAAGACTGGCCATGAGCTGGAGCAAGGCCCTGGGAACTGAGGGAACATCTCATCTTTTGCTGAAGGCGCTGTTGGAAAGGCCTGGAGAGAGCTGCCACCTGAGCTCCAGGGCAGGGGGCTGGAGGTAGATTTGGCTGAGTTTGGCTGGGACAGGGCAAGCAGGGGAGGCTCTGGAGCCAGAGAGACGGAGGTTGTGCTACCACCAGCTGCACATCCTGGACCAATGGCTTCACCTCTGAGCCCACCCGAAAAGGAGAACTTCAAGAAACATGTCCCACATCATCCCCAACAGAACCATAAACCTCACTCAAAGGAACGGCAGTCCCACGGGAACGCAAGGCCCTCCGGGTGGCTGAGTCAGTATGCTCTGTGAGAATTGCAGAGGGACAGAGAAAGTTTGAGCCCGGCCGGGTGCGGTGGCTCACGCCTGTAATCCCAGCACTTTGGGAGGCCGAGGTGGGCGGATCATGAGATCAGGAGATGGAGACCATCCTGGCTAACACGGTGAGACCCCATCTCTACTAAAAATACAAAAAAATTAGCCGGGCGTGGTGACGGGCGCCTGTTGTCCCAGCTACTCGGGAGGCTGAGGCAGGAGAATGGTGTGAACCCGGGAGGCGGAGCTTGCAGTGAGCCGAGATCACGCCACTGCACTCCAGCCTGGGCGACAGAGCGAGACTCCGTCTCAAAAAAAAAAGAAAAAAAGAAAGAAAGTTTGAGCTCATCCTCCATTCCCTATTATGAAAGGCTCTGAAGGTAGATAGTTTAGAAAGGGCTGCCTCGGGCAGGGGGCTGCATAGAGCGATGAGTCTATGGTGACTTGTGTTTTACGTGCCCTTCAGCGTTTATGAAGCTGGGGTGCCACCGTCTCGTTTTATTCTCACCAGTGCCCTGTGAAGAGAACCAGGCAGATTCTCCGATCCCTGTGCTATCCACGAGATGTGTGGCGTGCACAGTGATTCGTGACTTTTCGCACAGGATGTGTCAGGAGGGAGATGCTCACAGGGTGTTTGTCCTGGAACGCTCCCACCTCTTCCCTGCCCAGCTCAGCACCGTGGGGACAGGAGTGGGACACGAAGACAGAGGTCACTTTTGACGGGGGCTTTAGCTGGGGTCTGCTGAGTGCATCTGTGGGGTGGGTTTGGGTTTCTGCCTCTGGGACTTGCCTGAAGCGAGGCGTGTGCACGATGCTTGTGATTGTTAATGAAGCCTCCTCAGCGGTGTCTGCGACTCCCTAACAGCCTGTGGGTGCAGGCTTGGTGCTGGTGAGGGTGACGTGGCAGCTTCCGCCTCTGCAGGGTCGGCCGGCCTGCCCCTTACCAGCCGCAGGACCAGCCGGGAGAAGGCTGGAGGCGGGTCCCACTGCCTGAGGGCCTGGGTGCAGCCTCACTGCCCCACAAGCAGAACCAACGCCTGCGAGCTCCTTAACAATGCGCGGTGTGGGCCACCTGCGAGCTCCTTAACAATGCGCGGCCCCATGCCGGACCTACTGTGTTCCGACAGAATCCGCGGCATAGAATCAGCCCTGCGCCTCCAGAGCCCAATCCTAATGCCCCCACCTGGAAGGGGCTTCTGTTGTCCTGGGACCAGCTTCAGAATGGCAGGTGATGAAGCCAAGATCCGCGGATCCACCGAGGGTCAGGGGCCCGGCCTGAGTCGCTTGGCTGGCGGCAGCTCTGGAGTTCAGCCACAGTGAAGCTCCCTCCTGGGATTCCAGGACCCATCACAGGGCCTAGCTCGGAAGATGCGCTGCTTCCGGGCTTGCCAGCGTGTGGAGCATTTCACCGGGGATTTCTAAGATCGTGTGGCTCTTGCTTAGGTATGATTAAGACGTCTCATAAGATAAACTCTCACAGAGGAAAGAACACGTCTCCTCCTCCCCTTGGGGCCAGGCTTGGGTAGAGGAGGTACAGCCGCTCCTGGGATCTTCCCATGTCCCGGGCGGTTCTCCAGTGCCTGAGGCACAGACACCAGCCCCAGAGCCCCCACCTCAGCCCGGAGCCCTGCACAGGGCCTGCAAAGAACATGGGGGTGATTATTGCGGCGATACCTGGTGCTGAGACTCACCAGGTCTCACACAAGCATTAACTCTATCAACCCTCACAAAAGCCCACAAGGAAACTGGGGCTCAGAGAGGGTGATAAATGTGCCCAGGGTGGCACAGCAGGCACATCCAACCCAGGTCCTGCTGGTTCCAGGGCACACTGAGTCTGCTCCCCACCCCCAGGCTCTGCTCAGGATGGATGGGTGGGAGCTCTGCCCCTCCCAGCCCTTCTGGCCCAGGGAAAGGTTTCTCTGGCACCAGCAGCGTGGCTCTCGGCCCCTCTTCAGTTCTGTCTTCTTCCAAGCTGCCCACCTGTCATCTCTTCCCTTCCGCCCTCTACACTCGGAGTGGAGCCTGTTTCCAGCCTGCAGTCAATCACGTGCTGCTGGGTGCTCACCGTCCTGGGTGGGTGAGTCCGTGGCTCCTTGGAGGCTGGGTTGGTGATCTTTCCTGACTGTGGGTGCTGGCCGTCCTGGGTGGGTGAGTCCGTGGCTCCTTGGAGGCTGGGTTGGTGATCTTTCTGACTGTGAGTGCTCACCGTCCTGGGTGGGTGAGTCCGTGGCTACTTGGAGGCTGGGTTGGTGATCTTTCATAGCCTTTCTCAGAACAAGCTCAGACATGAGAGTGGGGCACAGCTCTGTTGGTCCAACCAAGTTGAGAAAAGGCAAAGAAAAGTAAATGGACAACACTCCACCCTTGCTGTTGCCCAAATCATAATTTTCATGCATCAAGATGGCTGTGGGGTCCTGAAGTCACTTGGAAATATGAAAAGGGAGGGGACAGATGCAAAGAGAATGCAGGCACATGAGTGGTGAGATTGTGTCCTCCCCGAGCCAGTGTCCCTCTGGATTCAAGCCCCAGCACTGCCATCCCTGTGGTTGTTGAAGGACACCCACTGCCTTCTTCCTGTCCCTGCAATTAATGAAAACAAATGCCACCTGGAGCCCGATGCTGTCTTCTTTTGGACTCGGCTGCCCTGGAAAATCAGCTCACCCCCTTCCCTGCCTTCTCCTTTCTGACTTCAAACAAATGGACAAAATCACACCCTGCTGCTTTCTGATGAACCAAATTCCCCGGCACTAATGGAGTGATTTCTGTTCAGTTCCCATCCATCATATTCCTGCCAGGTTCACTGGCTGCTGATGGAAACATGCAGTGGATGTTACTGTCAACACACAGCTCCAAGAAGCTGAGAATCAGGGGTCGGCTCTTTCTAGGATGTGACCTGGAGCAGCAGAAAGGAGTGGCACTCCCTACTCCCACCCAGCCTGGTGATTCAAGGGTCTCGGCTAAAGCTGTTCAGCCCCAGGGCTGAGTGTGTTTGGGGCTGTGACACCCTCTCTCTGGGCCATTTGCAGTCAGAATATCTTCCCATCTGGGGCTGCTTTGTCCTGGCAGGCCCAATAATGCACCCATGCCTGAGTGAGAGCAGCGGCTGCTGCACGGCAGCCTGACCTGGTCTCACCTTGAGGCAGGTGTACTCTAAGCTCCCAGGACCTTGACAGACACACACTATTCTCCCTTAGTGAGTTCTAGGATCCCCAGGCAGTCTCACTCCCCTTCTGAAAACAAGGGCTCCCAGGTAACCAAACAATCACCCCAAAACAGGCATGCATTTCCATCTGTATCTTAATTCCACACAAACAGTAGAATTTCTACAGGACAAAGAGGCTATAGAGATTGGAAACAAAGGGACAGCCTCTGCTGCCAGCTCATGCTCCCCCACCTCACCACTCCCCTTTCACAGCAAAAGCAAACTAAGTGTCAGACAGTGCCCTACACCCTGCCCCCAGCCTTTGTGCTGTAACTAGGCATCATCCTGGATAAGTCCAGGCCTCCATGAAAGAACTCTCCTGAGGACGAATGGTTTTCTTTCCCTTAGGTGGACATCTGAGTAGAGGCCCTGACAGGAGTCAGGGCGTGGCACCTAAGGCCAGGCCAGGCAGGTGCTTTGACTCTACGGGGGCACCAGCCCAGTGCGTTCTTGATGGACACTGTATCCTACGGCCGGCTCGTCTCTCTGCTTTATGTGTTTTCAGACTTGTCAGCCTGGTAGGTTTCCAATTGTTTTTAGCAGTCTTCTGTATGAAAGAAAAGGAGCTGCACCCAACAGTGTCATAAAAACCCGCGTATCAGCTGGCAAAACGCAATTCCTTCTAAAACCCGAGAATGATTTTCTAGATGGCTCATGGCAGAACCTTAACAGAAAGAAGCACATAGATACAGACAGCAAGAGGGAGATTCATGGAGTGAAATAGCTTTCGTGAACGTGGGCACAGGAGAATGAAGGTTGGTGGAAGCTGCCCTTCTGGTGGCCTTGGCAGAGAAACCAATACTAAAACTCGGGGAAAGGAAACACCTCCCATGAAAACCTTTAAAAAGAACACTTTGTTTTCGATGGCATCTGTGTTCTGACAAACGGCTGAGCACTGAGCAGGCCAGATCAGTTCGTTTTGCAAATTTTATTTTAAGTAATTGAGTCATCTAAGGATGATTTACCAAGTGCCTCTCGCATGGGAGTTTCTATACAAAGCCCTGGGCAACCCAGGGTGGAAGTTGCCAGCCCTGCCTTCAAGGAGCGTGGCTGGGCTGCAGGCATGCATGGCCTGAGGGGAGTCTAGCATTCTTCTGTAGTCAATTCTTACATCAATTTGTAAGAATGTTGAATACAGGTGTAGCTTGAAGCAGGGCTCAGTCACCCTGGACAGTTTCCAGTTCTCCCCTACACCCAAATGGCTCAAGCTGGTGCCCAGAGATAAGAACCCGGAGGCATCTCTTCTGCCCAGCACTTTCCTGTTTGCTTCCCTTAAGCGGACGATTCAAGCATTTGCCCATGATCTTAAAGTGACTCACACCCTGTTCCTTATATATACTGCCAGTTGCCACGTGCTCTCTCTCTGCCTGACTATGTCTCTGCCTGGGAGGACAGAGAACTGCCCTCCCCAACTCGCTGCTCCCTTCTTGCCCAGGATTTGTAAGTAAAAAGTCTTCAAACTTGTTTCCTACCGTGGTGTGCATTGAATTTCTGCCTTCCATCGGAGGATCTAGGGGCTGTCCCAGGCTCTGAGATGCCAGAGAGAACGCAAAGCCAGGCTCCCAGCACCCGAGCAACAGTCAGGCAGGCATAAACTGGACACGGCTCAGACAAAAGCCACCCGGGCATCTACCAGAATGACCAAGTTCCCCATGAGGGACGCCTGCTCATGGGTCTGACAGCCAGGCATTAGCCCGTCCACCAGGTAATAGAAGTTTCCCATGAAAGGTGAACTGTGAACACCACGTTTAGCTCCCCTTCATTTTCCATTAGGGCAGGATTGCCAACTGTTCTGATACTGAAACCCCAACTTGGCTGGTGGCTTGCAAAACATTTTCAACCAGGAAAAGGCAAAAAATAGAGTCAGCAGCATCTCTGGCGTCAGAGCCAAACTTGCCTCCGGTGGAAGGTTTCAGCCATGATCTCCAATCACACTTCGTTGCCTGATTCTCTATGCTTACAGTGCAAGCAAGGAAGAGGATTGGAAGCACCATGTGAGGTGGGCACAGCTCACAACCTGGAGGGTCTCAAGTGACGTGTTCGGCCCATGACCCATTAGCAATGTTATAGGAATCTATTTTCTGGTTAGAGGTTGGGTGGGTGGACTTCTAAAGGTGCAATGAGGATTCTTGTCTGGGAACAATTCTCAGTCTTGCTTGGTATCAGATGCAGCCTTGGGAGCTGGGACATTCCAGGGAACTTTATAGTTGACTGCAGAAAGGGACCATTCGGAGCCCCGCCGGGGACAACTCCCCACATTCCTAGTACCCATTCAAGGTCAAGTAAGTACTACCCCTGGAGGGGTTTGCTTTCATGTTTTTCAAAGTTGAATCATCTTCTGTCGACAGAAAAATGGCAGAATTCATTGTCCAACTCTGGCTGTATTTTGGGGGTGTCTCCCTAACAGGTGTTTGCAAAGATTTTCAGGTTTAGAGGAGTCACATAGGAGAACAACAGGCAGCTCTGGTTTTGCAGTTAACAAATGCACAGGAACATAATTTGGAATCTCTGTATGTATACATATCTAATTATAGTAACATAATACAAAAATATAATATTTAATATCTATGTTGATGCAAAGGTCGGAGAAACCTTTGAGCCTGCTGGTTTACCTTCCAAACTTAATGTAATAACCCTCAGGAGCATTGCAAGGGGACTTTGAAACTCTGGGCTCCTGCTTCTGGGCTGCAGCCTCCAGACATCCTCTGTAGTCTGTAACATAGCTATTGGGGGCGTAAGGGGTGACTCCAGCCATTCCAACATGTTTAGACTATGTTAATGATGAGGTGAGGCTCTGTGATCGGGAAAGTGACCCCTCTGGCTATCACATTTCTTCGGGAGCCTTTGTCCTGGTCCCAGAGGCTGACCAGACCACTGAAAAGGAGAAAACAGGAATGTTAATTATGTAGCTCCCATGCTACCCAGAGAATTTACTGAGCAAGAACCCAACAACTGCTTGGGAAAATTGAGGGCGCGTGCCCTTGGAGAACAAGGTTCTTTTGCACATTGCCCATACCGGTGCTTACAACAGACCTCACGGCTGGAAGAATCTCAAGCATGACCTGATAATAACATGCTCTTAGAAACGGGGGCTGAAATGACTGATGCTCTGCCAAGCAGTGGGTTAAGTGGATTCCAGGAATTGTTCCTGATTCTCAGCAGCAGCAACCTGCCTGGCATGTGGTCAATTCCATCCTCATCACTAAAACCTAACCTCTTCAAGGTCACCAAGGACTTCCACGTGGCTGAATCTAAGGGACGTGTCTGTCCTCATCATGCTCAACCTTTCTGCAGTATTTAGCACAGCAGGTCATCCTTTTCTCATGTCACCCCTCCCTGGGTCACTTCCTACCCCCCTGGCAGCTCCTCCCCAAACTACTTTGCTGTCTCCTGTTCCTCAGCTCAGTCTTTAGAGATCAGAGCACCCCATCTCCCTCCTGACTCCTTCTCATCTCTATCTCCACCCATTCTAACTTCATCATCCAACCCCATGGTTTTAAATCACCCCATGGACTGATGATTCACAAATGTCTCTCTCCTCCCTGTGGCTCTGGTCTCACACATCCAGCTGCTTGCTTGACTTCTCCACTTGAAAAAGCACCATACATCTCAAGCTCAGCATGTCCCAGGGACAGCCTGGTCTCCTGCCTGCCCTGGCATTGTCCCTCACTGTTCTTCCACCCTTCAATGAATCTGACCACCCCAAAACTCGGAAATCATTCCAGATACTGTGTTGTCTTCTCCTCCCACACTCAAATCCTCACCCAGCTCTGTGGCTCTCTGGCTGGGTCACTGCAAGGCTCGAGATCCCTGTACCTGCTGTATCTGCTGCACTTCCCCCATCGTGGGCCCATCAGAGTCCTGGATTCCTGCAGTAGCTCCCACCCATCTTCCCACGGCTTTTCATGCCTCAGAGCCTGCTCTCGACAAGGAGCCAGAGTGGCTTCTGTTTGGCTTCTTTGTTTTTAGTGTAAACCAAATCCATCGCTTTCCTCCTTAAAATCTTTCCATAATTTCCTGAGTTCTTAGAGCAAAACCTAAGCCCCTTAGTGTGGCCCACAAGACCCCATGTGGATGGGTCTCTGCTGGGGCATTTTCCTTGTCATGCCTCTGCCTGGTAGGTTCTTCCCCACCCTTAGCACATCATGTCTCACCAACCGGCCCCTAGGGCACCCCTTCTGTCCACCTCTCTAAAGGTGTTTTACACCTGTGCCTGCCCGTTGGTTTCCTTGGGATGCAACAACAAAGCACCTTAGCCCAAAGGGCTTCAACAACAGAACTTATTTTCCCACTGCCCTGGAGGCTGGAACCTGAGACCAAGGTTGGCAGGGTTGGTTCCTCCCAACATTTCTTTCCTTGGCTTGTAGACACCATCACCTTTCTCTGTCCTCACATGGTCATCCCTCTGTGTGTCTGTATCCTCATGTCCTCTTTTTATAACGATGCCAGTCAGGACCCACCCTAATGACCTCATTTTAACTTAATGGCTTCTTTACAGATGCAGTCTGCAAATATACCACTTTCTGAGCTCCTGGGGTCTAGGATGCCAACAGGTACAAGAGGTACAGCCCAGACCACATTGTCCTGACCCTCCACATCTCATCTCTCTGCTTCTTTCTCTTAAGTAGTCACTACGTTTTAGAATGACCTCGCTCTCTTTTTATTTTTTCACCTTTTTTGTTGGCTGTCTCCCGGGATGGATATTTTGTTTGTTTGCTTGTTTGTTTGTTTGTTTGTTTTGAGACAGAATTTCTCTCTTGTTGCCCAGGCTAGAGTGCAATGGCACAATCTCAGCTCACTGCAACCTCTGCCTCGGAGGTTCAAGTGATTCTCCTGCCTCAGCCTCCCAAGTAGCTGGGATTATAAGCAGGCACCACCATGCCCAGCTAAAAATTTTGTATTTTTAATAGAGACGGAGTTTCACCATGTTGGTCAGGCTGGCTGGTCTTGAACTCCTGACCTCAGGTGATCCACTCACCTCAGCCACCCAAAGTGCTGGGATTACAGGCATGAGCCACTATGCCTGGCTAGGATAGACATTTTATGAGGCTTTTCTGCTAGTTTGCCAAGTCCTCACCATCCATACCATGGAGGCTGCAATGACATCTTCTACAAATACTTGGGAAAGTTCCAGAGGAGAGGGGATTTCAGTGGAGAGGATGAAAAGTAGGAGGAACTGTTCTGGTTATTATTAGTCCCATGGAAAAGATGGGGAGGGCTCAAGGGCCAGAATCGCTGAGATGCCCAGACGTGGGCCATTCTGAACCCAAAGCTCATCACTTTCTCCTCTTCTGTCCCTGCCTGTAGGAATGGGCATTGTTGCTTCTCAAGCTCTGGGCAAAGGAGAAAAATCCCTGGTCACCTGTGCAGAACAGACGTGAGTGAGACTCTTACAAGGCCACCTGCCCAGCCCTGGTGGCTCCTAGTCCAGGACATGGAAAAGGGGCTGCTGCCCAGAAAGCCAGGAGGGCGAGAAGACCTTGAGAATGTCCAGAACACTGAGAACTGGATTAGGACCTAGAGGCACTGGGCCCCTGGAGCCTCAGAAGGATCAGATCCAGAAATGGAATTGTGCTGTCTGCATCCTCTCCCGGCCAGATCAGTGCAGAAGTTTACTCTGTGAATGACTCTCCTCTATCTGCTGTCAAAAACTACCACCTACTTGATGGCTTTAAACGGCAGAAATTTATTCTCCCACAGTTCTGGAGGTAAGAAGTCCAGAATCAAGGCATCGGCAGGGCCATACTCCCTCTGAAGGTTCTGGGAAAGGGTCCTTCCCCGCTTCATCCAAAGCGGACTCCTGACATTCCTCACAGATGGCCACATCACTCCAATCTCTGCCTCTATCATCACATCGCCTTGTCCTCTGTATGTG
The DNA here is from genome assembly GCF_000001405.40 of Homo sapiens. Lineage (NCBI taxonomy): Eukaryota > Metazoa > Chordata > Mammalia > Primates > Hominidae > Homo > Homo sapiens. The sequence goes on from NC_000001.11 coordinate 4,608,211, forward strand.
TTTGTCCCCAAACTCCCTCTGCCTCTCTCTTAAAAAGATACACATGATTGCATTTGGGGCTGCCCAGATAATCTAGGATAAGCTCTTCTTTTCAAGATCCTTAGCCTAATCACATTTTTTGCCATAAAAGGGAACATTCTCTCTTCTGTCACATAAGGTGGCATTCCTGTGTTCTGGGGATTAGGATGCAACCTGTCTCTCTGGGGCCACCTGTCAGCCCACCACACTGTTTTATGAGTTTCTTAAACAAACAGGTGCCATCTCTTGTGTAGATCAAGGGAAGAGCCTCTGCCTGTCTCACAGGCTGGGCAAAACCGCCCATAATAGCAGCATGACATTTGAGGTGGCTTTTCGGCTTGTCACAGGAATATTCTCAATATGAAAAGATAAGACCTTGGCGTTGGTGGGGAAAATAATGCTTCTGTCTTTCAGAGCAGGAGTGGCACAGAGCGGCCCTCTGTGCTTGAGGAGGGGAGGTAGTGGTTGTACTACAGAGGCTCTGTTGCTGGGTGGTGAGACTTCCCCAGATGAGGGTGAGATCAGGATTCAAAAAAAAAAAAAAAAAAAGAGCATGAAGGAGAGGACCTTAGGGGCCCAGCAGTTGGATAGAAACCAGGAGGCATGAAGCCCCAGAGAGAAACCAAACAGGGTCCTCTTCTCCCTATCTCCACAGTGGGGTGAACCAACCTGCCTGTCACACCCCACCAGCACACATGCTCTGCAGTTCTTCAGTGAGCTCACAGTTAACCTGTGGGTGCCTGGGAGAAGACACAGGTGACAGCTGCCCCTGCCTCGGGCCTCCCAGGGCCAGCCCCCTTGCTGCTCCCTCTGCTGTCCCTGGGCACATGTTGTCAGCATGAGGCTCAGGTAGCCACATCTCAGGGCCCGGAGTACCACTTTCCCTCCTCCCATCCTCCCTCCTGGTCCAGCTAGCATGTGCATGGGCTGTCCATAGGGAAAAAAAAGCCCAGATTAGAGATATTTTAAAATGAGTCAGTTTACCCCACCCAGGGGTAAGGAGGACCAGACCTCAACAATCCAAACCTACTTCCTTCTGGAATGTTTGCTCCCCTGAAGGACTGACAAGGTGAAGCTTGCCCCATTTTCCTTGTTAGGAAAACAAAATGCAAATGAGTTTTCTGAGGATTACTTCTGAGTATTAAGAGTCTTACCTAACATTTTAGCACACACAGGGAAGAGTAAGGGATGCATAGAGGGTGAGCTGAGAACCAACCAGGCAAGTCTTCAACTCCATCTTCAGTTCTACCCCGACCCTCCTTGTGACCTTAGGCCAGGCTGTAACCACTTTGGGCCTTTTGTCCTTTTAAACCTGTAGCGATGAAGCATGGTTTGGTAGAAATGAAAAAGCATGAGTTTTAGAACCAAACAGAATCACATTGAAACACTACCCAGTCGTGTGATCTTGGGAAAGTTTTTTTTAACTACTCTAAACCTAGTTCCTGAGCTGAAATAGACAGATACTATGTTCCTCATTGGGTTGTTATGAAAATTGGGAAAAGACACCTGAAAATGTATAGTCTAAACCCTGGCACATAAGCACTCAAAAACAGTGCTCTCTCCTCCTTTCCTGACTGGGACCAAGAACTAAACAACAGAAGTGAGTAGGTCAAGTTCAGCTCCACCCTTTGAAAAGTGATTTCATGGTCTTAGCAGTAAGGAGCTAAATATTTGCTTCTTCATCAATAGGAATTCAATGTTTATAAACTTTGGTAATTTAGATTGAAGGGATATGTAGTACATTAAAATGTCACTCAGAAATAATTTATATTCCCCAATCCATTAATATGAGGCATTGAAATGTCTAATTTTAAATGCTGCCCTCTAAATGCAGCCTTTGATGATCAAACTGGCCAGGCAGGATCAAGCCATCTGTGAATTCCTGCAGTGGCTTTTCTGTAGTAAGCTGAATTGTAGTTATGTAGCTTGCATCTCTCTTTTTCCAGCAGTACTTGAGCACTTCAAAAGGGGGCTAAATATTTGGCTATTTGAGCTGTGAGGGAGCCTGGGGAGGGGTCTGGGATGTGTTCACTGAGTGGTTGAGGTACAGATTTTTCTGCACTGACATGCACATTTCGTACTCCTGCCCAGCCAGATGTGTTCCCTTGCTTGTTGTGGAGGCTGTGTCCATTAGGAATCCACTGGTCACAATTCACCATGACCCACTTTAAACTGGCTGAAGCAAGGCAGGGCATTTGGAAGCCCAGTTAACTCCACTGTCTGGTCCAGGGGTGGGAAAGCCTCAACACCCACAGCCCAGTTATACTTCTTGATGAGTTCCCTAAATGCAGTAACAACATAACTCAATTGTTTGGCTTGAAACAACAGGTGTTGTCTCACAGTTCTGGAAGCCTGAGATCTGAAGTCAAATTGTGGGCAGGCCCATCCCTCCTCCAAAGGCCCTGGGGATGGCTCCCTCTGAGTCTCTCTCATAGCTTCTCATGGCTCCTGGCAATCTTTCTTGTTCCTTGGCTTGTGGCTGTATTGCTCCCATCTCTGCCTCATTCTTCACATGGCCGTCTTTACAGTGAGCCTCTTTGAGGTTCTTTTTATTCTCATAAGGACTCCAGTCATATTGCACATATAGCTCACCCTATTCTAGTATGACCTCATTTTTTTGGAGACAGGGTCTTTCTGTGTTACCCAGGCTGTTGTGCAGTGGCAAGGTCTTGGCTCACTGCAGCTTCGACACCCTAGGCTCAAGCAATCCTCCCACCTCGGCCTCCCGTGTAGCTAGGACCACAGGTGTGTGCCACCATAGCTTTTTTTTAAATTATTATTGTTTGTAGAGATGATGTCTCACTATGTTGCCCAAGCTGGTCCCAATCTCCTGAGCTCAAGCAATTCTTTTGTCTTGGCCTCCCAAAGTGCTGGGATTACAGGTGTGAGCCACTGCCCCGGCTGACCTTGTCTTAACTAATGACCTCTGCAAAGACCTCACATTCTAGGTTCCAGGTAGGCATGGATTTCAGGCCCCACAATTTGACTCATGCCCCACTCCACCTGATTGCGCTTGACCGCTTCTTCCTGCTTTCAGGTCTCATTCTGAGGCTGACTCTCCTTTCACCAGTGCTAATGACTATCGACCCCCTGGGCCAGTGCTCTTCTCTTCCCCTGCCCATCCTGTGGGAGAGACTGAGCTCTGGTCTGTCTCACCCCTCCCAGAAGGTGGTGAGAGGTCCCTCGAGTGGAGCCAACATAGGCCATGTGCCCTCCTGTGCATGGATCCCTGGGGCCAGGGCCACAGCCATGGGAAATGCTGATCAGCTGAAACCAGGAAGGCCCCCAGGCTCCTCGAGAGAGAATGAAGTGGGGGTCCCCAAAGGAGATGTGGGTGCCCTTTCCCTAAAGGAGGAGGGAAGATGGTGCCTGCTACAGAGAGGGAGAGAGTCACTGTTAGAAATACCATGACAGGAGAATACGCGTCATCCAGCTGCCGGGGCTGAGGCAGCCCCACACTCGGCCTCCCTGTGCAGCTGACAATACCCCAAGTCCAACGGTGCTTAAAAACGCTGAATAATTTAAATGGCAATTCCGGGGAGCGCTGCCAGCAGAGACAATCAAATGACACTCCATGTCCCGCCCACTGCCCCCTCCCGGCCTTGCCCTCAGCGTCTAATCAGGGACCGGGTTTTGTCTTTCTGCAGGCCCAAGGCGGGTCTCCTGTTATCTGCTCAGCTTTGTTCCCGATCACAATCTGTAGCACTTTCCTCCATTTTCCCAACAAATAAAACTGGAGGCAATGACCTGTCATTTCCCCAGCATTCAATTAGAAGGGAAAGCAGTGGTGGGAGGTGGGCAATCTCCTCCCGCTCCTCCACACAAATGTGCCCTGGATCCCTTCAGCCAGCCACAGTGGCTCTCCTGCAAGGACACAGTGAGTGAGAAACCAGAGACGGTTCCCAGGGTCACCCGGGCACAGGCCTGATGGGGTCCATGATAAGACAGACATGGAGTCCAGGCGGCCTGCGGCCTGGGTTCAGGTAGGAGGCTGCCCCTCCCCGTGCCTCTCCTGCTTCCTCTCCCTCCCCTCCTCGCCACCCCGCCTCCTCTCCCCTTTTCTGTTAATCTCTCTGTAGGATCGGTACACCATGACAGCCGCCTTGACTACCAAGGTCAGAATCTTCTCAGCAGAGCCTGGTGCTCCTGGGCATTCCTGGGCTGCCAGGGTGTGTATGCTTTTCAGAAACAGTCAGGAGCACACCTCCGTCCAGAAGCCCATATCAGGAAGGCTTCCCCTGAGGATGCAAAGGGCTCCTGGGCTGATGTCTCTTTCTTTTCTGAGGGTTCAGTACGATGATCCCATCCCCTAGACACACCATCACCATCAGAGAAGCTTGCAGAGTCCAGGGATGGGGTTGGGGTCTCTCCTGGGAGGGTCTTTCCCTGTGCCTCCTGCCCCACCAGCCCCACAAAGGATTGTGGGGCTCCATGGCATCTACACAGGCCCTGGTTATCCGCAGGACTCTAGAACATGGACTAGTCCACGTGCTAGTGGCTTTCATTCCGACTTCTTTACACCTTCATCCTCCCGAAGGATTCTCCTATAAATTGATAGAAAGATAATGTTAAACCCAGGCACCTGAGGGAAGGGGAAAATATGCTAAACGGAAACACACAAATTGTCAGGTGCCCAAGTGGAGGCAGTAAATTCACAGTTTCGCTGTAAATCGGGTCTGTGCTTTGCACTTTACATGTAATTGTTAAATTGCTCTAAAAATAAGTAACCGATAAAATGAATAATGATCCAATTTGCCTCATCCACGACTCGGTTTGAACCGAGTGCTGACACAGACACCATCGCTTTTACACTCACCATTTGGCAGCAGCAGAGAAAAGGCTTTTATTCCACTAAGTTTGCGATCCACTTAAACAGTAGAGTAGTTAGATTCTGAAGTCAGCCTGAGACTCTCAGAATTCACATCCAGCCCTTGGCACTGGGCCCATCAGATCTTCTGGGCAGAGCCTGCAGCCTCAGAAGACCTCCCTGCTCAGGGGCTCTGTCCTCAGGCTAAGCCCTGCTTGGTCCCGTCCCTTGTTACCATGAGCCTTGCTTTGAATTAGTCTTTCCTTGTTCATATACCATGTGTTTCCTTTACACTGATTGGGCCCTGACAGAAACACCAAATTATCTGGACGCAGGAGAAAAACCCCCAGACAAACTTTTTATTGGCAGGCTTTGCAACATCACATCCTTCCAGCTTTCAATAGGGGCTCGGTTTCTAGACCATCTGCCTCAGTCCCCTTCTGCCACAGTTCCACCCTGGGACTTTTGCGGGGGCTTTTGGGTGCAGCAGAGGCACAGTGGGGCCTGGAAACATTAGTGCCTGGTTGCACCTGAGCCTGACATGGTCTCCACCATGCTCCCTGTCTGCAGAATGAGAATAACCGCTAAACCCCACAAAGCCATCCTAGGGATGAGGTCAGGCCATGTGCACACGGGGGCAGGTGCCCGCAATCACTTAACAAGGCTTAAACAAGCTCTTGCCATTCTGACTTTGACTCTGCAGGACCAATTTTTACTTCCTGTGTGAACTCAGCCCCGGCCTGTGGAATGCAGGGCCCCTGTAAGTGTGGGTTCAAAAGAGAGGGAACATGGTCCTCTGCCTCACTCCATAAGCTCACGGGCAAGCCTCCCCATGAAGAGACGATCCAGGTGCGACACAGGAGGTGCAAACACAGCGACATGCATTCCCGCGTTTAAAACACATGCTCCGCCGGGCATGCGGACGAGAGCATCTGCCTGGCTCGGGTGTGGCAGAGGGGCAGGATCTCCAGGAGTGACCAGGCTCTACGGAGGACGGAGGGCCCTGAGGGCAGCTGGGGAGGGCAGGCATGGGGGAAAAGGGACAATGTGAGTTAAGCCCTCTGAGTGGGAAACAGTGACTCGTTGTAGGAGTGTGTCCGGTCTGCAGCTGGGACTGAGGACTTCCTAGGCTGCAGGGGAGAGGCGGCGTGACCACGGGGACTGAGCTCAGCCTCCACGGTCCAGGCACTGGGGAGCCATGGAGGAGTGAGACACAGAGCAGCAGCAGAGTCAGACTGGACCCCAAGGAAGAAAGCTTTGAAGAGGGCAAGTGGGAGGCAGGGAGACCGGTTGGCCGCCCACAGACTGGGCCAATGCAAGAGCTGATGAGCCCCGAGCCGAGGCCAAGGGGGTGGAAGTGGGGACGAGGAAGACAGGAAGATATAGTTAGAGGGCAAATCTGCAGAGCTGGCCACTGAGAATCAGGGTGAGGAGGAGACAGGATGAGGCAGATAAGGATCTGTGCTGGAGAACAGGCCATCTGTGATCTGGAACGAAGCGTCCCCTAGATTCTATGAGGCAATTGTGCAAACTCCCGCTCCTCGCTCTTCATTCAGATTCAGGCTCCTGTTCTCAACCTCACACAATTCAGTTACCTGGGAAAGGAAGGTGTGGCCTCAGGCCCCAGGAGGTCCCCATTCTAGTAGAGCAAACAGACAAGCAGAAGGGTGTCTAGAGACCCAGCCCATCCCTGAGTTCGGGTGGCACCCTCCTGTGGCTCTTTGGGACTCAGAGCAAAGGCCTCTTCCCAGCTGGGCAGTGACGGGCCCTGTGGAGGGGAGTGCTGTTTGAAATGAGTCTGGGGGAACAGACAAGGTGAACTGGGGAAAGGAGATGCTGGAATGTTCCTGGCAAAGAGAGCAATGGGGAGGGCAGGAGGGGGACATTCCAGAGCGGTGGATGAGGGCTGAAGGGGACAGGTCACACTGCACGGGTTGGAGGGGACTGAGAGTTCTGGGCCCATGGGCAGGTGGCTGGGGGACGCTCACATGGGCTGGCCTCGAGACTCAGGCTCCTGCTGCTATGTAGACACGGGCTTGGGTCACTCCTCAGGGGATGGTTCAAACTGCTGGCATCGTCCTCTGGGCCACCCCGTCATAGCTGGGCTTCCCCAGTGTGGTGCCTGGGGACAGACTGCTGGCAGGGCCCGAGGAATGGACAGGGACCCCCGGCCACCCAGATCCTGTCCCAGAAATCGTACCGAGAGCAGACCAGGCGGCCCTGCCAGCCGGCACCTGCCCCGCCTCCACACCCCACACCTGGCTGCGCGGGAGCCACTCAGAGGCTGTTTTGATTGGCTCATTTCAGCGGAGCTCATTATTTTTACAGGGAACAATTTCTAACCATTTTCCTTGTCTCTCAGGGCGGTTGCTACTAGCTGAGTTACTCGGGCCGTTATAAATACATTATCAGACACATTCAACAAGCGATCGCAGGTAAAAATAATCCCTGCAGCGCTGGCAGTGTGGAGCGCAGATGCCAGCCAGGCTGATTTCTGGCGAGACACAGTGGGCCCCTCATCTCTCCCCATGTGCAGGGGCAGGGGTAGGAGTGGCACTGCTGGGTCCAGGGAGGGTCTCGGAGGCCTCCTGTCCCCCTCAGGGTAACAGAGTGTCAACCCGGGGGGTTGCACCCTGGAGGTGCAGGGGCTGTAGAGAACGCTGGCCCCACTGGCTGGGGGCCCCTGTAGGCCTCGTGTCAGAGTCTCTTGGGAACTTCCTAACAGGCCAGGCCTGCTGCACAGGGGCCTCTGGAAGTGGGCCGAGGTGGCCTTGAGGTCCGGTCGAGGAGGGGGCACAGGCAGGTTGGGCTCACCCACCCCTCCATTGGGGAAGCAGGGTGGAGCAGAGGGGGGGCCAGTGCTTTCTCACAGGTTCAGGTGGTCTAACTTATCCAAGCCTCAGCCATATCACCTATCCAGTGGGTATAGTGAGGCTTACCATGCAGGGTGTCTAACATTCAGTTTGTGAAACGACGTTTCCCAGGGACTCATAATCGTCATGTCATTAGTAACTAATTACAGTGAAGGAGGGCTGCCGACTCACATAGGTGTCAGCTGCCAGGCTCCAAGGCTCGCCTCCTGTGCAGGTTTTGGGTTGTGTTGGGTGCTAAACCCGGTGCACACAATGAGGATGTTGGTGTGTCATCGAGGGGTAGACCTGAGCTGAGGGCCCCAGATGGGTGGGACACGTGTGTAGGTGGCATGTGCTCGGGAATGCATGCAGCCCTCTTGGAGTAGGAAGGGAGAAGAGTTTTCAGGGAGAAGAGAGAATTCCAGACAATGGGGTGCACACAGTCTAAAGAAGGAAGATTGCAGGGAGCTTGAGCAGACAGGTGGGACACATGGTAGACAAGTACAGCTAGGACACCTAGTAGACATGTAGGATATCTCTTATACAGCTAGGGCACCTGGTAGGCAGGTAGGATACCTCTTATACAGCTAGGGAACCTGGTAGGCAGAGAGGACACCTCTGATACAGCTAGGGCACCTGGTAGGCAGGGAGGACACCTGGTAGACTGGAAGGGGAGAGAAGGACGCCTTGTCAGATCAGACTATAAGATCGTGTCATCTCAGTTCCTCCATGGAGACAGAATCCCACACTAGTGGGACCCTATTCTTTATCATTTCCACCCTCACTCTTGTTTACTGAGTGCTCACTGTATCCTCAACCCTGTGCCAACCACCTTATCAACTCCTGGTATCTTTCAGTGACCCTGGGCTGGGCTGTCATTTGGAGAGTATGAGCAGCTAGCCCAGTGGATGCTCACAGCTGGTCTGTGGTGAGCCAGGACTCGGACCCACATCCTCCTGAGCTCCCACAGTGGGGTGTCACCCCAAGCTGTTTCCTCCATACCTTAGTATCTGGTGGGGTCGTGATCCCTTCCCTCGCCTCCAACTTGCTGCTCACCCAGAGTTGGCGTTTGCCCTGACTGGGGTCATGGTCATGGTTAGCACTCACAGTGGACAGGCCGACCGCCCTTGAACTCGTGACGGGCCCCGCTGAGGCTAGAGGTCCCCCCCTCACAGTGGACATGCCGACCACCCTTGAACTTGCGACAGGCCCCGCTGAGGCTAGAGGCACCAGCCCCACTGCCAGGCCTGATTTCTTTCCTGGTACTCCTATCACAGCTCGGTGTGTGCTGAATTTCTTGCCCCAGCCTCGGTTTGTACTGGCTTGAGTGTCGGTGCTGCTGTCCTCACCTGGATCTCAACCTCTACATTGCAGGAATCGAGGCAGTGGGGCAGGAAGGTGGACACCAATGCATTCGTGCAGGGGCTGGGCAGGGGCTGGGCTCTGCCATCTGGCCAAAGTGCTGCCTGGTCCTCCCTGGAAACTCGGTGGGCACCTTTAGTGCTCTGATACCCAGACCTTCTCCTCTTGAAAAGACCCTCAAACTTCTCAGTCTCTAAAGGGAAGGACCAACACCGGGCATCTTTCCTCATCCCACCAGGTCTTGCCACGTGCCCACAGCAGAAGTCACACCTTTGAGGTGGAATGAGTCACACAGTCTTGAGGAGCAGGAGCAGCCAGGTCAGCCTGGGGTGGAGGGGCCAGGGGTGCTGAGGTCTGACTTGGGAAGGGCAGGGGCAGGGGCAGGGCTGGATCTCAGGTCAGTGTCAGGCCTGGGAGGCTGAGCCCCTGGGAGGCCGAGCCCCTGGGAGGCCAGCCCCTGTGACCCCCCTGCCTGTGATCTCCCCCATCTGGAGCAGCACACTTTCTGCCGTGCTATCCAAAGGTGCCCTCCAGGCCTCTAGGGTCTCTGTTAAGGGGCTCTCAGCCTCCGCTACACCCACAGAACCCTGCAATAAACAGGCCAGAATCACGGCCCGTCCAAGACAACCTGCGCTTTCTATCCCAGGGTCTCCAAAGACCAGAGACCTGAGCTTCTCAGAATGTGGGTCTCAATAGGCAAACGTAGTCTTCGGCCACAGAAATCAGAAGGGTGGTGACCTCTGCAGGCAGGACTAGTTGCAAAAGGGGCACAAAACCACTTCTTAGAGTGATGGGAACCTTCCTTATCTTGAGTGGGTGCTGGTCACCTGGATGTATACATATGTCAAAACTTACTGGAGGGTACACTTACTGTGTTCTCAATTATACCTTGATTTTTAAAAAAGGTCTTAGACCACATGCATCAGAAGGGAATAAACCATCCTGGAAAACCTAAAGTTTGAAAACGTCTGTTCTAGACACACTTAGATAATCTGTAGGATAATCATTCAATCTGCCATCCAAATGAGGACACTTTATTATTATTATTTATTTTTATTATTTTTTTATTTTTTTTATTATCACATTAGGTATTTCTCCTAATGCTATCCCTCCCCCCTCCCCCCACCCCACAACAGGCCCTGGTGTGTGATGTTCCCCACCCTGTGTCCAAGTGTTCTCCAAATGAGGACAATTTATAGAGGGAAGCAGGCACTGAAAATAAATGAATATATATTTATTTATTTATTTATATATAAGATACATATTATATATTAAATATATATTTCATAAAATATATTATATATTTAACTATTATATAATTAAATATGTAACATATACATATTATATAATATGTACAGCATATATATTTATTGTATAAATTTATTAAAAAATATATGAAGTTGGTACAAAAGTAATCATGATTTTGCTATAATTACTCTATTTTTTTGTTTGTTTAGTTTTTAGGTGGAGTCTCACTTTTGTTGCCCAGGCTGGAGTGCAATGGTGCAATCTCGCGTCACTGCAACCTCCGCCTCCCGGGTTGAAGTGATTCTACTGCCTCAGCCTCCTGAGTAGCTGGGATTACAGGCTCCTGCCACCACACCCAGCTAATTTTTTATATTTTTAGTAGAGACAGGGTTTCACCATTTTGGCCAGGCTGGTTTCGAACTCCTGACCTCAGGTGATCCACCTGCCTAGGCCTCCCAAAGTGTTGGGATTACAGGCATGAGCCACCGCGCCTGGCCTGCCATAATTACTCCTGTACAAATGTAATATATTTATTATTTAATTAGATCTATTATTTATTTATTATATTTAATAAATATAATGAATATATATTTAATTTATTATTTAATTAGATATATATTTACTTCATATATAATATATAACATATATTATATATAAATATAGAGAGAGACTGGTAAGTTGGTTTTAATATATTGGTGAATCCATTGAAATTTTTCTAAAGGAGTTTCTTTTCAATAGAGTCCTAACATTTTAAAAATATTTTCTTAAAATTGCTATGCCCTTCTTCAAAGTTGCTTTTTTTTTTTTTTTGGTTAGTATGCTAGAAATTGTTGACATCTTAAACTGACTCCTCTCTGTTAGACCGTAACCATTTTAATTAAGACAATTTTCTCTCTGCAGGTTCAGGGGTACCTGGTGAGCTCAAAGTAAATTCTGCTCACTGTTTTTTTTTTTTTTTTTCCACACTGAAAAGTGAAACTATTTCACCCAAATGCACTTCCAGATGTTGGTTTTTTGGCTCCATTCAGATACCTTTACAAGAGAAAATTCATTAAATAAGTTGTCTATCTTGGAGTTGTTTCTCTGTAAGTTTCTCTTGAATGTTTCTTAAATTTTAGATACAGCAAACTTGTACATCTTTTATTTTTGTCCCATTTTGGTACAGTTTATAAATGTGTTTGATTAAAAATAGGGCTTCATTAAAAGATGCCTTCCATACGTTGAGATATTCTGAAGCAAAATTACATAATTTCAAAATTAAATCTTATATGCTGTCAGGACACTCATTGTTGAATTTATCTCATCCCTCCCTCACTTGTAAGGGGTATATTTAATGTCTTCCTGTTTGCAAGCTTTGTCTTCAACATTTGCAATTTTCTAGAAGCTTTAAAAACTGAAGTTTGAGGCCAGGCAAGATGGCCTATGCCTGTACTCTAGCACTTTGGGAGCCAAAGCAGGAGGATCATTTGAGCCCAGGAGTTCGAGATCAGCCTGGGCAATAGACTGGGACTCTGTCTCTACAAAAAATACAAAAATTAACTGGAACATACCTGTAGTTCCAGCTACTTAGGAGGCTGAAGTGGAAGGTTTGATTGGACCCAGAAGGTTGAGGCTGCAGTTAACCGTGATTGTGCCACTGCACTCCAGCCTGAGTGACAGAAAAAGATCCTGTCTAAAAAAAAAAAAAAAAAAAAAAAAGCTGAAGTTTGTTGTCATTGCTCTATTTATCGAATTCATTAAATTATTTGGTGCAACCAAAATTTAGAGGATTCCTTTACAGAAGGTCTCACTGCAGTGTAGGACCCTTGGGTTGACTTACAAGGCAGCTTTCTATGGGCTTGGTTTATAGAATCACCCTCAGCATGGGCACAGGGAGAGGGCATAGCCGCACACTGAGATCTTTTTAAAATTAAAAATCAGCTTTGTGGCCAGGTGCGGTGGCTCACACCTGTAATCCTAGCACTTTGGGAGGCCAAGGGGGGCAGATCACCCGAGGTCAGGAGTTTGAGACCAGCCTGGCCAACATGGTGAAACTCTGTCTCTACTGAAAATACAAAAATGAGCCAGGTGTGGTGGTACATGGCTATAATCCCAACTACTCGGGAGACTGAGACAGGAGAATCACTCAAACCTGGGAGGCGGAGGTTGCAGTAAGACGAGATTGCGCCACCGCATGCCAGCCTGGGGGACAAGAGGAAAACTCCGTCTCAAAAAAAATAAAATAAAATAAAATAAAATAAAATAAAGACAAAATCAGCTTTGTCACAAAGTGTTGTAATTCGGCTACTCCAACTGTATGCATATAAATATTTGTAAGTTTGTGCAACTACGACTTATATTGTTCGATTGTTAGATTATCCCAACTTGTTGGACACAAGTTTGAATGAAGGTGCCCTATAACCCATGCGTGGTTCATATTTGCTCCGTAGGTATCTTCATATAATAAGAACATCACTTCTACCCAGAAACTGTTATCTAGTATGTCCATATGTGACCACTACAATGAAACAAGGAATTTCATATTGAGTGTGGAACCTTTCTTTTTTCTTTTTTTTTTGAGACGGAGTTTCGCTCTTGTTGCCCAGGCTGGAGTGCAATGGCACGATCTTGGCTCACTGCAACCTCTGCCTCCCAGGTTCAAGCAATTCTCCTGCCTCAGCCTCCCAAGTAGCTGAGATTACAGGCGTGCGCCACCAAGCCCAGCTAATTTTTGTATTTTTAGTAGAGACGGGGTTTCACCATGTTGGCCGGGCTGGTCTCGAGTTCCTGACCTCAGGCGATCCCGCCTGCCTCAGCCTCCCAAAGTGCTGGGATTACAGGCGTGAGCCACTGCTCCCAGCCTCAGTGTGGAACCTTTTAACTGAATTTGCAGTAGTCCTCATCAGAGTCTCAAATATCTCCCCTCAGACAGAATGAAATTTTTTTTTTTTTGGGAGACAGATTCTCAACTCCGTCACCTAGGCTGGAGTGCAATGGCTCAATCTCAGCTCACTGCAACCTCTGCCTCACGGGTTCAAGTAATTCTCGTGCCTCAGCCCCCCAAGTAGCTGGGGCTACAGGCGTGCACCACCACACCCAGCTAATGTTTGCATTTCTAGTAGAGATGGGGTTTCACCATGTTGGCCAGGCTTGTCTTGAACTCCCTGACCTCAGGTGATCCACCTTCCTCGGCCTCCCAAAATGCTGGGATTGCAGGCCAGAATGAAATTCTAAAAGTTGCTTTTTTAGTTCACAAATGTGATTGAAAACCAAGGGCCTATTCCTGGAATTCAGTGACTTCCTCTATGAAGTATCAGATGTTGTCATTCGAAACTGGCTTCAATGACTGTTTACTGAGTTTTTCTTCTGCTAGTGGTGCTGGCACATGAACAGTTAACTGCTTGACTTTACAGACACGCACAGGGAAGCTTAGCTGCCAAGTGTGAGCTGAGAGTAGAAGAGCAGCATTTGATCTAAATGAAAAACCATGCTCTGACCTTCTGGTGCCACACACTGCATGCCCTTGTCTTCAGCAAAGCCTTCGACCACCGTCTTTGGAAGTAGATGTGGCTGTTTCTCTAGCAGATGATGATTCTTTGGCTTTTCTGAGGTCAAAATAATGCCAATATGTATTTTGTGCAAGCTGCACCTTTGTCATCAATATTAATGGCCAGTGGAAATTCTGTGCTTTTTCGTTAAACACGTACTTCCATTATTTTAGCTCATTGCTATCAAATGAGTTTATTAAAAAATTTTAAAAGCATTAGCAAGCAAGAAAATAAATAACTTATTGTATGTTCATCCCACAAAACAATGATGATCACCTGTAGCAAGAGTGCGCAGCAGCTCCCTGTCTGTGTTTAGGGTTACCCAGCCTCTATTTCTTCATTGCATTTCACACGTTTGCCCTGTAATGTCCAACGGACCCCAAGACTGGTATCTGGTGGCTTTGACGTCTTTCAGGTGTGGCGTGGGCCATAGCAGAGTTGTCCACCCAGTGTTGGCCACAGTGGGCAGGGGGCAGTAACGTGGGACATTTCTGCCTTCTTGCTTGGGGCCAGAAAGAGGTAGTTCTACCTGGGTTGATGTCTGAGTAGCTTCCTCCGTGGTGCCCAGGTACAGTCCTGGATAGGGAGGCATGGCTGTTGGGTCTGGAAAGAGCTGAAAACAAGCTTAACTGGTCCTTGCCAGTGGTCTGGAACCACAGGTTAAATTAAAAACTGCTCACTCACATGTCTCATTCACTAGTGGACAAGATCATTGCCGAAACCAGGGGTCAAGGTAGAGTCTACCAGACCATGTCCTGCTTATTTTAATATGAATGTTCACAGTAAACTTGTTTAGAAAATGAAAAATCTGACACACATGCCAAACTGACCAGGTGCCGGGGCAACAGGTCACCAGATGATGGTCACCCTACAGGGATGACCGACTAACACTGCCCAGGGGTGTCCCATCTTCCATGAGCCCCAGGAACAGAGAGCTGACACTCCCCTCATCCAGCCACTCCATACGGGGTAGCTGACCCAGCACCACCTGGGGGCCGCCGCGACTGCACTTACAAACCATCTTCAGCCTGGGCCTCAACAGACATGCCTGAACCCTTACCAGACCCACTGAGTTAGAATCTGTCATGGCAGGAACTCATGAAGATGCATTCCAACAAGTGAGTCCCACGCAGGTGAGCAGCAAACCAGTGCTTCCAGACTCCAAAGCGGATTCTCCTTCCACCCGCCCTGTTCCGAGGGACACACATGCACAGTCACCTGGTTTGCTTTCCTCCCCACCTCCTGTCCCCAGCTTTGCCCCCACACCACCTATTTCTACAGAGACCATAGCTGTACATGGCTCCTCCAGATTCTGTGAGTGGCCCTGGCCCATGCGTCCTTCAGGAGAGCCTTTCAGCCCGGTCCTGGCAGAGATGCCCTCCCACAGTGGCTTTGCCTAGGGAGCCGGGCTGGACGCCGTGAGTAAGCGTCCTTCTGTCACTCTCACTTGCACGAATGCTGCTTCTCTAGGCCAATGGGAAAAGACAGGGAATAATGTCCATGAGAACCAACTCCTCATAGTGCTGCGAGCTTCACCTCCACCATCGGGGCAAATTTTCCCCATATCCCTGCAACAAGGTGCACCCACGAGGCAGAAAACCAAGCCAATCTCCCTAAAAAAAAAAAAGAGAGAGAAAATCCACCTGCCAGAGTGCCTGGTGGTCTGGGGTGCAGCCGGCCCCTGATAGGGGCCAAACCTCCTTGAGCCCAAACCCCACAGCCAGGGCTCTCCCTCTCGCTTGCCTCCTCTCCGTGGGATCTTCACTCTTCTCAGCCTCTGCATGGGCTGGCGAGATTGCCATAGGCAGGCCAGGATTGCCGTCTGCTCCCTGTGCCAGCTTTCCTCAGTTTAACCCCAAATCACAGAGACTTGACAAAATAGAGTTTATTTTCTGCTTGTGTCTGGTCCTGTCTAGGAGTTACTGTTCCAGGGTTTTCCAAGACATTGATCCATGGGCCCACACTCCTTCCATGTGTGGCTTTTCCCAAGGTCACCCAGAAGGCCATCTCCATCCCTGCCACCAAAACAGAAAAGCCCATGGGGGTGTCCTCTGAGAGGGTTTGGTTGGCCAGGCCCGGAGGTGGAATCCACTGCTTCTGCCCAGTGTCCAGCTGCTGGCAGATGCATGGCCATGGCTGATGGGAAGGGGGAGCAGGAAATCAGGAGGAAGGGGAAGAGGGCCACTGCACCTGTAGAAGCATCCCCCACAGCTCTCATCCTCAAGGTCTGTATCACAGCCAGAGACTCCGACAGGCCCTGCTTTGGTGACACCTCCTCCCTGCTGCAGGGGAGGGGCGGCTGTGAAGCAGATTCCCTGTGCACTGGTTACCGACGTGTCTGAGCCTGGTGAGATAGAACACTCACACAGGTTACATGAAGCAGCTCAACACCTCCTAGATGGGCATCGAGAGGCAGCAGAGCTGAAAGTTCATGGCCAGCTGGTTCCCCAAGGCTCACGAAAGCTGCCCAGCCTGGCTCGGGCCCCACCTGCACCGCAGCTGAAGGACCCTAGAAAGTAGCCCGCCCTGGGTTTCATACCTTAGGGCCACAGGCCCCACTGAGCTAAAGGACATCTCTTTCTGGGGGACGGTGGGCCTGGAATAGAGCCTGGGCTATTCCAGCCAGTTCATCCCTATCTCAGGGTGTTACTTTCTGGCACATTCTACAAGAGAGAACTACAAGTGAGAAATTGGGGAGGCTTCCCTGTGAGCCAGCCTGCAGCTGCCAGGGTGAAATGGGGCAGCTAATGGACACTCTTGCAAGAACCCACAGAGAGGAAGGCCATGGCTCTCGCAGGGAGGGACGCTGTACAAACACCATGCTTACCAGGGCAGGTAACATCCCCCCACTCCTACCCCTGACTCCCACGCCGTTTCTTGCAAATTGAAACCCAGAGGCCCTCACTAACTCAGCCCAGGCCACGCAGCTACTATGTGCAGAGTGGAGGCTGGAACCTGGATGTGTCTGACTCCAGAATCCACGTCCAGGTGACCACTGGGTGCCACCTGCATTTGCCTTCATGTGGCTCACTCTGAGGTGGCTCCAGGCCTGGGCTGGGCAGCAGAGACTGGGGCCTGGGGTATCTTTAAAGCTTTGCTGCAGCCCGTGGTCCTCCACAGTGAGTGGCATCTCCACCGCCTGTCTCATGCCTCCCGAGGAGTGACAGACAAGTCTGGGCTGCAGCTCCATCCAAGCTCTTTCCTGCACTCACAGAGTGCCCGAGTCTCCCTGGAGATGAAGGCTCTGGGTGTGAAATATCTCTGCTGCCTCCAGGAGAAGGCCATGTCCCCACATCTACAGGGAGCAGCCACCAACACGGTATTAACTCTCACTTATAACCAAAAATAAATCAATACCTCCCTGAGGCACATCACACACAGACACGCAGCGAGAGAGGATGTGGGGCAATTTGTCCAAATTATAAACAGGAAGGCTTTTCAGAGGATCTATCGCAATTAATGCCAATGCCTTAATTCCAAAGGTTTTCTGACAGGAGGAGCTGCAAACCCGGAGCAAACCTGCCCCTCCCTCCCCTCGACGGTGATTGGGTCTGTAACGAGCTGATAAATGGCACTGTCTTCCAGGAACCACCTGCATTCATTCCCCAATTATGCTTTTATTGAGCACCTACCGTGGCCCGTGGAGCTGAGCATGTGGTCAGTGTCTCCTGGGCCTGCCCAGGTGGATCCAAGAGTGAACAGAAGGGTAGGGCCTGACTCCAAGGAGCTGGGATCAAGCAGCGCTTCTGGGGTTTTCCACCAATGGGCTCCCACTCCCCTGAAGCCGTGTTTGCAGCCTGGGCAGATTCCATTCTTTCATTCGGCCAAGGTTCCCTCAACCCTTGTGTTCTAGGCACTGTGCTTCTTGGTGCATGTTTTGAAGTCTGAATGAGACCTCAGACTTGCCACTCATGCAGAGGGACCACAGCAGATAATTATAACATGAAGTGCCGAGAACATGCTGAGATCTGTGCAGGGCTGGGGGATCCTTAACCTGGCCAAGAGGTGGCTGGCCAAGGAGAGATTCCTGGAGCAAGAGACGGCACACCTGTGCTGAGGCAGCTGGGAGCTGGGGCCAGGCGGAGGGCTGGGTGCAGGCAAGTAGGAGCCGCAGGTTCTATGCTGCCGGGGCCCGAGGAGGAGGTGGGAGGTGGAAGGGGCGGGTGGGCAAGGTGAGCCCTTGGACCTGGGGATGGCAGTCCCAGCATGCATCACCAAGGTGGGCAATGTTTGTGGAGTGCGAAGAGCCTGGCCTGTAGATGCAAGCACGATGGAGCAGATGTGGGCCCTGCCCTGCCCTCTGGGAGGAAGTGTCCAGAAGAGACAAAACAGACATGAGCACAGCAACCCAGCTCCTTGGTGTGGACAACTTGCGGTACGTGCCGTGGTGGTCAGGAGCCGGTGTGGGCAGGCACACTAGAGCCGATTGTTGGGTGTTCAGGAATTTTGTGAACAGGTTGTTACACAGATAGTGGCTTAAATTGGCCCAGCTGGGAGCATTTACACCATGAGGATTGGCAGAGACTCCGTATCAGATTTTTTTTTTCCTGTAAGTAGGCTTGCAGTGCACTAAGACAAGGAAGGGCAGGCCAGGTGTGGAGTGCAGCAGCCAGGTGCAGTTTGCTCAGCAAGTCTCAGGGTGAGGGCAGGGGATGGACAGGGGACTGGGCATGGAGAGGCTGGCCTGGACAGCTCCTGGGGGAGCAGCAGCCTCCGCCTCGCCTTTGCCAGCGGCCCCAGGTGCAGGGCTGCAGGGACCGAGGTACAGGCAAACTGCAGGCTGCTGGGATACAGCTGGGAGCAGCTCCCTCTGGGGTTTCCTCTGTGGGAACAGAGGGCGAGTGACCCCACAGAGGAGCCCAGGGCTGTGCTGGGGGACAGCTGAGCTCTGACAGGTGTCTCAACTCCAAATGTAAAGACCAGACCTTCTCACCACCCACAAAGACATAAAAACAGTCCAAAACTGACTGAAAAACAGAGCAGCTCTTTGTCTCCAACTTCTAAGCACAGAGTTTGAGATGTTCCAGTGCAGGGGACTGGCCAGCTGTCCCAAGCCAGGAGACTCTTGGCATGGGCTCTACAGAAACAAGTGACCCATGGCCAGAACTGGTCCCCACCCAAGGGCGGAGGCTTCCTTAACTACTGAGCAACAGGCTTCCAGGGATCCCTCAGCGCCTCCTTCCTGAGACTCCGAGCACCCAGAAGGGTTTTCTTTATTGTGCCCCTTTAAATTAAAATCTCTCCATTTTGTGGAATTGTCAGCTGCTGGAGGAAATAAAACTGTTCATCGGCTTAATCATTTACATATGACACTTTAATATGGGCGGTAACGTGCAAAGGAGGAAAAGCTGCCCCACTTCCAGCGCAGATGGATCACTGGAATCATTACCCCGAATAACTTTTAATTCGAGGGTTTCATGTACCAGGCCCGCTCTGCATTGATAAAAAGCAAAGGCAGAGAACAAGGGCTGCAGGTGTGGGGGTGAGGCCTTCCAAAAAGGACCAGCGGGGGCAGCCTCTGCAGGCAGGGAGCTGAGCCTGCACTACAGAGCGAGAGCCAGTGTGGACAACATCGGCAGGAAAGCCATCCCTGCAACAGCAAGGACCCGCTGTCTCGTCCGACTCATGCACAGGCATTCAGTTTGCCACCAGGCTGCCCAGGGCTGCTGCTGGAGGCCCTGCTCACCAGTGGAGCGAGGCAGAATGAGAGGTGGTGACAGGTCCCTATCACCAGGCAGATAGCAAACCAGAGGACCAGAGCCTGATGTCCGGCATCAGATGTAGACTCCGCTTCATTTTCTTGTGTCAGTTACTAGCTGTGTGACCCAGGTAGAGTGGCCGGATTTAGCAGATAGAGGCAGGTGCCCAGTTCCATCTGAATTGCAGATAAACGAGCTTGTGTTAGTGTAAGTATAGCCCTTGCTGTATTTGAGCTATTCTTCAGCTTACATTTATATTTATTCCCTCTGCCACCCCTGCCACTTGCTCTCCGGGACTCCCCCACACAGTCCTCTGCTCTCAGGTCCGTGCAGCTCCCCCAGGTCACCTACCTAGCCCAGGCTGGAATGATGGGTACGAGATAGGTTCTAGACTTCCTGTCTAGATAAAACGGGCAGACTAGACCTTGGAATCTAGAACCCATTATTCTGAGTTTCTGGACAGATTAGGAGACAGGCACCATTCATTCATTCATTCATCTGAAATTTAAATTACACTGGACATCCTGTATTTCATCTTGCAGCGCTAAGACCCGGGCAGGTCTTAACTTCTCGCAGCCTGAGTTTGCTCTTCCCTAAAATGAGAAACAATATCCACCCTGGGAGGCAAGATGATTCCGGATAAGTAGCGTGAGCACACGGCCCAGCACAGACCTTCCTCCTCTTGAGGTGAGCAAGTGTTGCTTGTCCTTTCCGGCCTCCCCAGATACACAGGAACCAAACAGAAAGTCCTGCCAGACGGCCGCCCAGGGCCAGGTACAGGATAGCGACGGGTGGTGTCCGTTTGCTAAGGCCATGGGGCCAGGCTGACCAGGACTCTGCTTTGGGAGGAAGGCGAAGGGCTAGATGTGAGCCACGCAGCAAAAATGCAGGTTCTGAAAGAAAGGTCGGGTCAAGGAACAGTCTAAAATCTGAGTCCGGAGAAGAAAAGGCTGCTGGTGGCCAGGATGGAAGTGGAGGAAGGGAGCTACATTTGGGATGGTTTTGCTTTCGGATGTGGAGTGGGGAGGAACAAGGCCCTGGGGGAGGGGGAGGGGCCTTCCAGGCAGAGAGGCAGCCTGGGTTGGGTGGGTGCCATGGGGGAGATGCACAGAGCTGAGAGCAGAGAACTGTGCGGGCAGTCCCGGGGCAGCTAGGGTTAGGGGTGGAGGAGGGGCCAGGCCAGGTAGCCTGGCCAAGGAGGACGTGGGGTTCACCCCATGGGAAGGAAAACTTCGTGTCCCAGGAGGCTGAGGATGGGCTGCCTTGTGGACGCTGCAGCGAGCAGAGTTCTCAGATGGCCCCGTGGGCATGTCCACCCTCACATACGTTTGGATCTGTGATTTGCTCCAAGCCAGTAGCCTATGGCAAAGGGGCAGGGCTTTTGTAAGCATCATTAAAGTCCCTAATCATTTGATGTTGAGTTCCTCCAAAAGGCTGTTCCCCTGGGTGGGCCCGCCCTAATCAGGTGAGGGCCCTCCGGGGCCAGAGTCCCAGGCTCTCTCTTCTGCTGGCCTTGAGGAAGGAAGCCACCATGAGCTCCACAGTGGCAAGGAACTTGATTCTGCCAGCAACCCTAGGAGCTTGGAAGAGGACCCTGAGCTCAGATGAGACCTCGGCCCCTGCTGACTCTTTGATGGACTCTGTGAGACCCACTTGAAGGACCCAGCCTGGCTCCTGACCCCCAGCAGCTGTGAGATAATGAATGGGTGTGGCTTAAGCCTCTAAATCTGTAGTGATTTGTTTCACACCATAGACAGCTGGCTCAGACACCCATGTCCTGTCCCTGCAGGAGCTCGGGGTGCCCATCCCACAGGTGTGCCGCACAGGGACTTCCTGTCTAGGTAAAAGGTCAGACTAGACCTTGGAATCTAGAAATCATTATTCGGAGTTTCTGAACAGATTAGGAGATGGGTATCATTCATTCATTCATTCATTCATTGCAACACATTTTGTGCAAGGCACAGGTTGAAGCAAAGCAGAGTTGGCGCCTGCCCACAGGAGCTGAGACGCAGGTGGACAAGGTCAGATATTCACACATTGACATGTGTCAGCCGGACTATGCTGCAAAACTGAGGCTTTTGGTGCAGGGAGACCACTTGGTGGCAATGCGGGGGACAGAGGGTTAGACCAGGCCAGGAAAGTGGAGGGCACCTTTCTGGAAACACAAGCTGGTTGAGAAATATCAGTGTCACCTCCAGGTGCTCATGATATTTGTAACCCACACAGATCCAAACTCAGGACCTAGGTTTGGTGTGCTGGCTCAGAAGGCACAGATGTGCACCTGCCCTCAGCGCAACCCAGGTGTGGACAGGTCTGGGCCTGGGCTTCCGAGCTCTCCCCTCGCCTCGACTGGGTGCACCTTGGCGGTGTGGCTTCCAGAGCCTTCCCAAAGGTCTCCTCTCACTTCTGCTCCCATGTGGGAGTTGGAGGCCCCACCCAGCACAACGGTTCTCACTGTGGGCTCAGATGAGAAAGGAAAGTGGAAGAGAATCAAGAAAGAAATTAGGGTGTGGAAGCGATTATCTTTCCCTCTGATTTAAAGGGGCTGCAGGGCTGGCCTGCTTGGCTGGCCACAGTGCCAGCATCTGTCTGTTTGTTTTTTAATAACAGTACAGACTAAGCTGGGGCCATGAGATGCATCTGAGGTCCCTTACCTAGAGCTGTGGCCACACCCTCGTCCTCTGTCCCAGAGAAGGACCTAATATCCATTTGGGGAAGAGGAAAGGTTCTCTTGCCATCCTGAGTTTTGTTCCTAAACAAGGTGCTGTACTTTCTTGCTCTCTGCACAGCAGGAAATTTGCATTTTTAATGCCCAGTGCGCATGTATTGACTGAAATTACACCAATTTGCATTTTTGAGGTGGTCAACCAGTGCAGCTGACTTTCTCACATTTGATAGAAAACTCAAAGCCATAACAACTAATAGCAAAGGACCCGGAACGTGAAAGCGGTTGTTCAGCTACCTCAGTTCTCGAGCCCTTCTTGGGGTGGGAGAGCTGAGGACAACCAGCACGGTCAGACCCAGCCAAGCAGGTCAGCACTTGGGGCCTGCAGTGAATTGCTGGGCCTGCGAGACCCCAGGGTTACCCCTCCAGGATGGAAAAGTCTACCCAGAGCTAGGCAAACTGCAAAGTTTAGGGGACCTGGTCTCATGCAGGTGACCATTAACTGCACTTCTGACATGGACTGCAAAGCGCAAAGCTTGGGGGATTTCCCCAAACATCCTGAGGTTTCCTAACTTGCTAGAAAGACTCAGTGTCCACTGAAAGCTGTTCTACTCATAGCCATGGTTTATCACAGGAAAGGACACAGATCAAGTCAACCCAAGGAGGAAACGGGGCTGGGGCCGGGGACTCCAGACCTGAGGCTGCCGGTGTCCTCTCCCTGTGGAGTCAGGATATGTCACATTCTTGGCATCGAGGTGTCACAAGAGGCATGGAGCACCACCAAGCTGGTGAGCTCCCCTGAGTCCCAGTGTCCGGGGCTTCATCGGGGCTCCATTCCGTGTGCAAGACTGATTGATGATTGAGCCACGGGGCTGGTCTTTCTGGCATGGTCAACCCCACCTGAAGATCTGGCACCGCCACAGTCTCAACAAAGCCCCTCCCAGAAGCCGAGGACAAGGGCAGACCTCTCTGCAGGCCAGGCCACATTCTTTACTACATGGGGAGCTCTGCTGGACCCCCCACTCCCAAGGCCAGACCATACCCTTGGAGCTCTCTCTCACCACCCAGGCTAGGAGGGGGTTGGGGCAATCCAAGAAAGAGCTTTGTGCAGTCAGGGGCGGGGCTCTGGGCTGGGGGTCATGGGATGACATCTGGTGCTGGACCATAAGAAGAACAAAAGCACCTGAACCAGGACAGGGGGTGGAGCCAGTCGCTCTGGGCACAGCCTCAGACTGTGCTGCTGACTGCACACTAGCCTTGGCTCTCGCTGACTTTTCAGACCTCCACGGCCCTGGGCTGGCCCCTCCTCACCCATCAAGCCTCTGCTCAGAGGTCACCCCCTCCAACCCAGTAAAGATTTTAAAGTATCCACGTGCACCCTCCTCTTCTGCTTGCTCTCCAGCTCATGACCCTGTTTTCTTTCATCCACAGACTGTTGGTGGGGGTCGGGGAATGAGGTATTTGTGTCCTATGACTGCTGTATCAAAATTGGGGTCTCCATAAACTTAGAGACTCAACATGGCACAAATGTATTCTTACATTTCTAGAGGCCAGAAGTCCCAGAATTCTGGTGTCAGCAGCACTGGCTCCTGGAGGGTCCAGAGGAGCCTCCTTCTCTTTACCTTTCCCAGCTGCCAGAGGCCGCCGGCAATCCTTGGCCCATGGCCCCCTCCTCCGTCTTCAAAGCCAGCAGTCCAGCATCTTTCCTTCTCTCCCTCACCGCTGCTTCCTCCTTCTGTCTCCCCCTCTGCCTCTGACCCTCCCGTCTGCCTCTTACAAAGACCTCTGTGATGGCATCACTCCCCACAACCCTGACTACTCCAGGATAAATCCACACCTCAAGATCCTTACATTAATCCCACCCAAAAAGGCCCTATGCCATGTGAGGCTCTGGGATGAGGACGTGGACATCTTTGGGGGACATTTTTCATGCTGCCACATGAGGAGATGATCTCTGTATGATCCGTAGCTATGCCAAACCCTACAATGCCTGCACTATGACTGAGTGTCTACGCGCCTGTTCTCACACCAGACCAGACATTTCCTGAAGGCAGGGACTCACTCATGCTGTGCCTCGGTTCCTAAGTGCCTGGCAAGCAGCCCACAGCCCATAGCATGCAGCCCACAGCCCCATGACCCATGGCCCACAGCCCACAGCACACAGGACACAGCACACAGGACACAGCCCACAGCCCACAGCACACAGGACACAGCACACAGCACACAGGACACAGCCCACAGCCCACAGCCCACAGCCCACAGGACACAGCACACAGGACACAGCCCACAGCCCACAGCACACAGCACACAGCACACAGCACACAGGACACAGCACACAGCCCACAGCCCACAGGACACAGCCCACAGCCCACAGCCCACAGCCCACAGCACACAGCACACAGCACACAGCACACAGCACACAGCCCACAGCACACAGCACACAGCACACAGCACACAGCACACAGCACACAGCACACAGCACACAGCACACAGCACACAGCACACAGCACACAGCACACAGCACACAGCACACAGCACACAGCACACAGCACACAGCACACAGCACACAGCACACACACAGGACACAGCCCATAGCCTACAGCCCACAGCACACAGCACACAGGACACAGCCCACAGCCCACAGCCCACAGGACACAGCACATAGGACACAGCCCACAGCCCACAGCACACAGCACACAGCACACAGCACACAGCCCACAGCCCACAGGACACAGCCCACAGCCCACAGCCCACAGCCCACAGGACACAGCCCACAGCCCACAGCCCACAGCACACAGCACACAGCACACAGCACACAGGACACAGCACACAGCACACAGGACACAGCACACAGCACACAGCCCACAGCCCACAGGACACAGCCCACAGCCCACAGGACACAGCACACAGGACACAGCCCACAGCCCACAGCACACAGCACACAGCACACAGGACACAGCCCACAGCCCACAGCACACAGCACACAGCACACAGGACACAGCACACAGCCCACAGCCCACAGCACACAGCACACAGGACACAGCACACAGCACACAGCCTACGGCCCACAGCAGGGGGTCCATCCTGATGCATGTGGTGAAGTAGTGGATTAATTCAGCTCACAGGGAGCTCACAGGCTGCATGCTGCCTGCCTGACCTGGAGAATGGTTCAGAGGGCAGGTGGGCTTGGGCCCCGGGTGCCCAGTGCGGCAGAGGGTGCAGAAGCATCCACACAGGAGCCCGCGCCGGGGGCCTGCACTTCGCTTGTCAGAGGCTGGACCTCAGTGCTGAGCAGTGCGGGCCAAGGAGTCCCATCTGTCAAAGAAACCCATGGTGGATGGTAGCTGAAGCGATAAAAACAGATGTTATTCAGGAACAATTACAATAGAAAGAGACCTAGGTATAGAACCGGGATCAACTCCAAACACGCCACAGGCAGTGGAGATTCACAGCCCAGGAGCAGGGCGGGGTCCACGGATGGAAAGTGACTAGGAGGAAACATCAGGGGCTGGGGGATTCAGGCTCGAGTCACCTAACAGGATTCTTGCTGAAGGTAGGCCGGGGTGGTCAGACTCCTCTGGGGGATGCTGGGGTATGAGGAACCTAATCAGATATTGGAGGTGGGGGTTTCAGGCCAAAACGACTTAGCAGGGCTCTTGGTAAAACTGGATTTCATAGGGAAGTGTGGGCATGGGCCTTGCTGGAGGCGGGGATCAGGAGCCTGCCTCAAGTTTGCTCAAGTGACGAATCTCTGTCATGTCAAAGTCCTGTTCGGAGTGGGAGGCTGCAGGAAGCCAGCAGTGCAGCCATGGAGCTGGTTCCCCACCTCTGTCCCTGCAGAGCTCTGCCTTCTCCCCAGCTCTCCTCCCACACGGATGCTGTCCCAGCTAGGAACCTGTGAACCACAAAGAACAACCAGCAACTTCCGATGCCGTCCACGGGTACCCGGGACCCTGGGATATGCTCAGGCCTTGGGGATGCCCAGCCCCTCGCCGCCTACTCACAGCAGGACTTGAGTGCCGCTACATTCAGGCAGCATTGGACGTTTGGGGGTGCCACCCCCTCCAATCCCACCAGCCTCCTCTCAGCTTCCAGAAGGTGTGGCTTCATTGTTCATCCCTCACCCACATGACCTGTGCTGGGAAGAACCGTGGACATCAGTGGATGAGCTTGTGTTAGCTCAAAATAAACAACTGTTGCCACCTGCTTCCTGCGGCAGAGTCCTCCCACTGGGAACCCTGTCTGTCTGCATCCTCGGTCTCTTCTTGCGTGGAAGGTGGGCCTGCTTTGCTTCTGAGTGAGTCAGACATCCAGAGCTATTGTGCTTTGTCTCTAATTTGTTTTTAAAAGTCTCCAGAGCCCAAAATAGCATAATCTTCTTCAGGCACATAAAGGCAATGTATGGGAACCTGCCTGTCTCTACAGTACCGACTTCAGAAAGGCTGAACCTCGTGAGATCCTGTCTGCAAGCCTGGGCCACTCCTCCCTGTTTGGACGTACAACACAGCCACTGCTGTGAATCCCCAACGTCCAAGATGAAAGGAAGCCCTTCCCCAAGAAGCGGAATGTGTCTTCTTGCTCACAAATACTAAACGGCACACTGGGGCTTCTGCACTGGGTGGACCTGGACAGACTATAAAGGGGTTAACTGGTCATTTGCATAAGACTGGATGCCAGGAGGGCCAGTGACCTGACAGTTGGCGTATTGCAGGCTGTCTTCCCAGCCTGGTGAGCGCCTTAGGTTTGCTCACCGGGGAAATGAGTTTGCAGGACTGGGTTGCGGCACAGCACAGTGATCACGTGCAGATGCTGTGTGACCTCAAGCTAGTGTCTAGGCTGCTCTGTGCCCTTGTGCCTCAACCTAGTGTTCAGTAACTGAAAACAGCAGTGGGACCAGGCAGTCTCCAGAGGACATGTGCAATCCCAAACCATGATTCTTTTACAGCTTTTCAGTATATGCCTATGTCTTTCCTCTTACATAGTTCATGTTTTCATATGACTGGGTGACCCCACGGCAGAGCTGAGGCGCAGTAGTTTTTATGAAAGAAATGAATTCATATGTCAGCTAATAAATGGATAATATGAAGAACAAAGACATCCTGCTGCTTCTTGACCTTTGAAGGTGACACCAGTGCACAGTCCTTACCCAATATCTTCCCTTGGTTTAAGCACCTTCTTGTTCTCAGCCGGGTAACCTCAAATGCAGTCAAGGGCCTGCTGTTGAGTACAATTCTTTTTTTTTTTTTTTTTTTTTCTGGAGACAGAGTCTCACTCTGTTGCCCAGGCTGGAGTGCAGTGTCGCAATCTCGGCTCACTGCAACCTCCACCTCCCAGGTTCAATTGACTCTCCTGCTTCAGTCTCCTGAGTAGCTGGGACTACAGGTGAGCACCACCATGTCTGGCTAAATTTTGTATTTTTAGTAGAGACATGTTGGCCAGGCTGGTCTGGAATTCCTGAACTCAAGTGATCCACTGGCTTCGGCCTCCCAAAGTGCTGGGATTACAGGCATGAATCACTGTGAACCACTATACAGTTTTTGTATGTAATATGTTTCCAGAATGAACTTGCTACTTACGATATTTAACTACAATGAAAAAAGCTGTCTACTCATTGGGGGTCTCCCTAGAAGTCACTATGTTTTCCGTTAATTTGTCGGAGGGTTTTATGATGACACGGGTGAATGAGTTTACCAGGTGACCAGGGGGCCTCGCCTGCAGGACAAAGAGGGATTTCAGCCTCAGCTGGAATGAACCGTGCTGCCCACCTGCACACACACCCATCCATTCACCTTCTCACACACCCATCCATCTGCTCCATAACCAGGGACTCAGCACCTCTGGTGAGCCAGGCAGCATGTGACTCCCCTGTGGTCTCTGCTCTGACCCCGAAAACACCCAATAGAAGGGAAAGAGCTTCCTTGACAAGTGTGGACATCACCTTGTTCTCAAACACCGAAGTATACGCTGAGGCTGCAGCACCCCTCGTGGAGCCGGGAGTGGCTTCCCAGGCAGCCTCTGGGCATCTGCAAGAACCAGGCACTGAGATGGCCAGAGGCAAGGCCTGCCCTGCTGGGAACGAGGGGTCCAGTGGGAGAAACAGAAAAAGAAGGAGGAGGAGAAAAAGAAAGATGACGGCAGAGGGGGAGGAGGAGACCCTGCCATGGGCTGTGGCACTGGAAGGGGATCCAGCTAATCGAAACAGGAAAGTCGGGAAACTTCTCAGGAGAGGTGACACTCACAGGAGTCCTGAAGGACTGGGGCAAGTTGGCCAAGGGACATGAGTACAAGGAGGAGCTCTCCAAGATGAAGTGCTGGCCGACGCAGGGGCCTAAGGGTGAGTGAGGTGGACAGAGGACTTCGGGGACGAGCACACGAGGCAATGGCAGCGCTGAGGAAGGAGCGGGCGATGTAATGGTGAGTACCAAGGAGCACGCCCGGAGGAAAGAGGAGCCAGGCCCTGGAGAGCCTCTGGTGCTGTGCGGAGGATCTGCGTCCTATCAGAGCAACAGGGAGCCCTTGTTGCATTTCAAGCCAGGGAGTGGCATCCCCACGGCGGAGGGCCCCCATCACTGTAACTTACTGAAAGCTTATTCTGTGCCCAATGCTGCTTCCAGGGCAGGGCCTATGATGACTCAGCTAACAGAACCACCAAGAGGTGGAAACTATCATTAGCCCCATTTTATGGAAGCAGCAATTGAAGCACAGAGCAGTTAAGTAACTTGCCCGAGGACATGCAGCTGGAATTTCAGA
This sequence comes from Homo sapiens, assembly GCF_000001405.40. Lineage (NCBI taxonomy): Eukaryota > Metazoa > Chordata > Mammalia > Primates > Hominidae > Homo > Homo sapiens. Next base: position 4,637,139 of record NC_000001.11, read on the forward strand.
TGCAAAGCCAGGGTTTGAGCCCAAGCCACCTGCCGGAACCTGTGGCTTAGCCATGCTGCTCTGCTGCCGGTGCGCCTGTGACTTTCGATCCTACAGCCCTTCAGAAGACGGTGACCATGGGAGGGGGCTGCAGAGAGTCTCAGAAGCTTGGACACCCGAGGTGCTGCTTCCTGGAGTGTTTCGGGAGCTCGCCTCTGACCTCATTGTCTGGACCCCACTCAACAGACACATTCATTCTCAGGAAAGCCCTTGTCTGGTTAATCACGCTGAGTGGAAATCAGAGGTTTTTTTTTTTTTTTTTTTTTCATCAAGAGTCTGAAAGCTCCATTTTCAAAGGATGCCTCTCGCTGAACAAATGAATAGCCATCTCCTTATAAAGCATTCTGCTTTGAAATTCTGGGATGAAAGGGCCAGAGCACAAATGATTGCAGTGCTGGTAATAATGGTAACAATAATCATGATGATCATACTGTACCGGGATTTTATTTTTGAAGTCAGGGGAGGGCTCATTCGTGCTCTCCGGCTTCAGGCTGAAAGCCTGAACCAGGCCCTTCTTAGAAGCCGGGATGCGATCAGGCTGAGAAAAGTTTCTCGTGCGGAAATAGGGCCTCGGGTAAAGCAGTGCTCTCATCTTGGGCTCTCCCCTCCCTTCCCGGGGCCTTCTGATAATCTGACAAAGGTGTTTTAGTCCCTGGCAGCAGCCGCTGGGACCACCAGGGACGAAAACGTGTTAAAATCCAGGACAAACATTCTGCAGCATCTCGGGGCCGGGCCACGTGTCTGTCCCGCACTGCAGCCTTGCGGGGTGGGAACGTCTGTTCTGCCCCAAATACGGGGAATCCCTCACCTTGGAGCAGGTCAGTGAGAACCTCAGACACTGGTGTGTGCGGAGACTCAGGAAGTGGCCCACACTGGCGTGGAGGAAAACGAGGGAAATGGATTTCTGTCCCCGCCCCAACAACCAGGCCAGTCCCCGCGCCATGTCCTTCTAATCCGCGCTGCGCTCCCTCCTCCGGCTGAAGGTCATCTTCCACTTCGTGCTGGGAGCACAGGAAGCTGCCAGGCAGGCTGCGCTGGGGGAGAAATCACAAGATGCTCACATCAGCGGACCGTCCTTGTTGAGCTGCAGAAAAATAAGAGTAATCGCGGGAGAAAGTAAAAGGAACAGAGCCTTTGGAGCTGGAATGTGCTCTCCAGCCAGGACACTTATTTTTGCACGCTCTCTGTGGGAAATGGCCTTGAAAAGACGGCCGTACGGTGTTCCCTTTGTGCGTTTCAAGATTCAGTTCCCTGGGTGTTCTCCCTTCCCCTGTCCTGTGCAGGGTCGGGGTGGAGGCCCTCCTGCAGGCCCTACAGCAAGCGACTTGGGGTTTCCCAGGCTCTCATGCGTCAGAGGCAAATGAGGAGGAAGTGACAGGATTATTTAAGGAAGTTGGGCAACTTTTGTAACGTGGCACTGTCGGGGGCAAACGGGGTAAGGTGAGTTTTCTGACTCCTCCATCCCAGTGGGAGGAAACAGAGCCCACCTTGCCCTCTAAACACAAGGGAACCCTCGGCTGAGTGAAGAGACCAGAGGCTATGGGAGGGTTTGGCTTAGAGAATTTTCTGGTTAACAGAGGATGAGGCAATGATTCCATCTTGATTCCTGACCTCACAGGAAACCCTTAGAAATCACTTCACTTCCTGGTCTCCATTGGGAACCTCAGTGCAGGGAAGAGAAGGTGACCCTTACCTGCTGGCCGAGGCTTATGGGGTCAGCACTGTTGCTGCTCAGGACGCAGACTGAGTGCAGGGAAGGAAGGACAGAGAACCCCCGGGGTGTCTTGCTTTTTGAATTCTTGTTTGTTTCCCTTCGCAGACTTTAGGTGCACATAATTTGAGGAATGCCACGCCTGGGTTCATGACTCGCCAGCCATGCCTGGCCCTCTTTTGCTATTATTATTACTATTTTTTTGAGACAGAGTCTAGCTCTGTTGCCCAGGCTGGAGTGCAGTAGCACTATCTTGGCTCACTGCAGCCTCTGCCTCCCAGGTTCAAGTGATTCTCATCCTCCTAAGTAGCTGGGATTACAGGCGCATGCCACCATTCCTGACTTTTTTTTTTTTTTTTTTTTTTTTTTTTTTTTGAGAGAGCGTTTCACCCAGGCTGGAGTGCAGTGGTGTGATCTCGGCTCGCTGCAACTTCTGCCTACCGGGGTTTAAGCAATTCTCCTCCCTCAGCCTCCCAAGTAGCTGGGATTACTGGCACCCGCCACCACGTCTGGCTAATTTTTTCTTTTTCTTTTTTTTTTAGTAGAGACAGGGTTTCGCCATGTTGGCCAGGCTGGCCTCGAACTCCTGACCTCAGGTGATCCACCCACCTCGCCTCCCAAAGTGCAGGGATTACAGGTGTGAGCCACCGCACCGGGCCTAATTTTGTATTTTTAGTAGAGGCGAGGTTTCGCCATGTTGGCCAGGCTGATCTTCAACTCCTGACCTCAAGTGATCTGCCTGCCTCGGCCTCCCAAAGTGCTGGGAATACAGGTGTAAACCACTGTGCCTAGTCTATTATTATTATTATCATCATTGTTGTTATTTTTAGTTTCTTTATTTTATTTATTTATTTTTTTGAGACAGGGTCTCACTCTATCACCAAGACTGGAGTACAGTGGGGTGATCTCGGCTTATTGCAGCTTTGACCTCCTGGCCTCAAGTGTACCTCCCACCTCAGGCTGCCAAGTAGCTGGGACCACAGGTGTGCACCACCACACCCAGCTAATTTTTGTATTTTTGTAGAGACGGGTTTCACCACGTTGTCCAGGCTGGTCTCAAACTTCTGGGCTCAAGCAATCCTCCTTCTCAGCCTCCCAAAATGTTGGGATTCAGGCATGAGCCACCAAACCAGGCCTAGTTTCTTTATTTTTAACAACACAAGGCACTCCCATGAATCCACCATGCCACCCAGGAACTAGCAAACTAACTTGCATGTGCCTATAAACTTCTACAGAAGTTAGTGCTGATCATTCCTTCTCTGAAAATAGCTGTGTTATATCTACATGGATGCCTCAGAGCATATTATTTATCTTATCTGATTTTCTAGCCTTTATTTTGAGAAAGAATATCATGCTGCATGTAGTCTTCCGGTACTTGCTTTTTTTCACTTAACCTAATTACTAATTAAGTTGGGTTTTTCTTCAAATGTTTATTGGCCAGCTATATTTTCTCTCTTGTGAAATGTCTGTTTCTATATTTTTGTTCACTTTCTGATTGGTGCATTTATCTTTGCATTAATGATGTCTGGTTTTAAATATGAAAATATACATACACACACACACATATATACACATTATATACGTACACATATATATATATAATTAATATTAATGTTTTTTCAATTACACATGTTGGAAATATCTTCTCCCAGTTTGTAGCTTGTCTTCATTTTCTTGAAGGAATTTTTGATAAACAGAAGTTCTTAATTTTAATGCAATCAGTGTATCGATCTTTTACGTAAGTGCTTTGTGTATTTTGTTTAAGAAATCCTGGGATCTCAGGAAAGCGTCTCACTCTGGCTCACGGTGGGCACTTCATATATCACTGAATGAAGGAATGAATGAATGAGTGAAAGGGCAAACGAGTGACTGAGTGGCCAGCACTTCAGTCACACTAAAAACATTAGGAACAGTAATTTATCCACCTCCCCAAGCCCCATGAGGAGAGCCTGTGTGTTAGCCGTAGCAGCAGACAGCTAACCTCCTGCCTCTTGTGCAGGTCACCCAGGGAGGAAAAAGCCAGCGCAGACCTCGGCCAGGGCTCCCGACTCTGGAACACGCACCGCAGACCTATCCCTGGGGCTGCCTCCTAGAGCTAGTAACGATTCTTACTTTCCAGGGCTGCTGTGGGGGTTAAATGGCTCAGATTGAGAAACCATTTGGCACATAGTAGCTAGTTTATTATATTAGCCAGTACTGATACCATCATCATCGTCATCATCATCATCACCTCATCACAGAGCGGGTGTTCAAAGATTATTTTTGAATGAGTGAATGAGCAGCTATGTCGGCTCGGGATGAACAGTGCTTGTTTTACAACTGAGGCCGGTAGACACAGCCACTGAGTCTCCGTCTCAAGCCTCATTCTTTTTTAAAAAAAATTATTATTGCTAATGTAAATAACATTTTGATTAAAAATACCATTTCCAAATTAAAAAGAAATTACATGAGGCAGCTGGATTCTTCTCTCTGTTTTTTTCATTCAATCTGTTGCAATACATTGTTTTGGTTGAAGAATAGGAAAAGAACCTGGCCTCATACTTCCAAGTAGTTTGAAAAGAGATGAGTGTCTTACTAGCCTTCTCAGGTAACACTGGGTATCTTGTTTGACATCACACTGAAATTTGACAAGTTGGGGTTTCTTTGATAAGTAGTGGTTGATTAATGATGGGTTGTAAGTGGAATTCCATACCCATGCATTTTGTACTCTATTACATTACAATGCGCTGGTTTATCTTACTTTGAGTGGACATTTTACCCATGCATGATTTATTTAAAAGGCTTTATTGAAATGTAATTCATATGCTATACAATTCAGCCACTTAAAGTATATAATTCAATAGTGTAAAGTGTGCATTTCAATTTAACTTGGTGGATTTTGGTGTATCTGCAGTGTGTGCAACCATCACCAATGTCAATTTTGGAACATACCATCACCTCAGAAAGAAACTGTGCCCTTTAGCTATCACTCTTCTATCCTCCTTCCACCCCCCCACTTAAGCAGCCACTTATCCATTCTCAGTCTCTTTAGAACATCCTATTCTGGACATTTCCTATCAATGAACAACACGTGGCCTTTCCTGTTTGGTTCTTACACTCAGCACCATGTTTTCAAAGGTTGTCCGTACACTCAGTGCCATGTAAATAACATTTTGATTAAAAATAACATTTGCAAGTTAAAAAGAAATTATATGAGGCGGCTGGATTCTTCTCTCTGTTTTTTCATTCAATCTGCTGCAATATGTTTTCAAAGGTCTTCCGTGTTGTGCCAAGTGTCAGCGTTCCCCTCCTGTTTCCGGCCACAGAATATGATGCCACTGTCTGGATAAATCACCTTGCATGTATCCATCATCCACTGATGGGCATTTGGGTGTGTCCACTGTTTGACTGTTGCGCATAATGCTGCTATTAACATGTGTGTACATGTGTGGACTTTCACTCCTCATTCTTAACACCCTGGGTGGGGTTACAGAGCCCAGGGGGGCTCTGTCTAATGCTGAAAGCCATTGGTGTGGCAGTACCTGGTGGATAGGGTCAGTGTGTTCTGGACAGAACTGTGGCCTCCAAAGACTCATATGCCAAAGCCCCAAACCTCCACTGAACATATTTGGAGACAGGGCCCTAAAGGAGGTAATTAAGGTTAAATGAGGCCATAAGAATGTGGTCCTAGTCCTATAGGACTGTTTTCTTATGAGCAGAGGAAGAGACATAAGGGTTGCACACACACACAGGGGGATGTTGGGGACACACGAGGACACAGCCAGAAGACAGCCACCTGCAAGCCAAGAAGAGAGGCCCAAGGAGAATCCAACCCTGACAGCACCTTGTTTTGGATTTTCAGGCTCCAGAACTGGGAGAAGATGAATTTCTGTCGTGTACCACCCCTAGTCTATGATCTTCTCTTATGGCAGCCCTAGGAATTGAAGATCGTCACTGCAGAACTGACTGTAGAATTTATTGTCCAAGCTAGGGTGCTTTGAGTGCAAAGGGGCCGCTGTGAACCCAAGGACCACAGCTCCAGGCAGACCAGAACATATGGGTCACCCTGCTGGCCAAGAGCCCCCCTCCCTCTGGGGAACTCACTTCTCCTAGATTGGCAATCACCTTCCTAAACACTACACAAAGAAAGCTACCTGCCCCCTCTTCCCATCTCAAGCCAGGGTTAATTAATATCTCCGATGTCCCAATCCCAGAACACTTAATAACTTTCTCATCTGTATCTTTGGGACTTGATATTTGATCAGAGGCATCTGGGCATGGAGAAAACCCAATCTCAGCAGACCCTCATCCCAAGTCCAGGTTTCAAAGGGATGCTTGTCTGGTCTATGTTTGCTGAAATTCAGTGGAACAAAATGGAAAATAATATGAGAGTAGAGACTTCATTTGTTGGATTCAGCCATCACAGAATAAATTTTGGCTAAATGAATTGAAGAATGACTGAATCTAAACTGCCAATTGCTCTATTCAAAGAGAAGGTAAGCCAAATATGTGTGGGTTATTATTTTTCTACCAAGTTTCTTAGAGGCACAGGCATCTCTGTATCCCGCATAGCATTTAGCAATACCTTGTGTACAGTCAGTCTTCTCTAAATTCCTACTGAACAAGTTATGACTATCATGAACATGTGTGGCTGTGGCACACACTTTCCTACATTCTGATTCTACTAACTGTCTTCTGGGACCCAGACACTACCATTTCGCAGTAATACATGGGATCATTTTGCTCCTACAGGCAAGGAAGTCTAGGGAATGTAGTTTGCAGGTTTCTAACCCCTGAGAACAGGAGAGAATTTGGAAGGGTGGTGATGGTGCCGAGAACCACAGAAAATAGCCAGTGACTTCGGAGATTTTCAATGAACAATTGTGCATTTATATCTTATGTATCTGTCTAGATTATGAACGGCTTGTGAGGGCAGGGACCAAGGGTGTTTAATTTACCGAAGCATACTTGGGACCTAGGATCATGTGCAATAAATGCTTGCTACATAAAGCTTAAGTTAATAGACACTTGATGGCTGTCCTCAGGTCTCAGATGTACACCAATTTCAATCAGTTTCACTGATAGTGGGCCTCATACCAACAATGGTGACTGTTCGAGAGTGCCCAATAGGACGGGTTTTCATAGTTCATCCTCAGCCTGGCCCCCAAGGCATGGTTCTTCCCCTCCCATTCTCTAGATGTGAAAATCACGGTCAGGGAGGTGATGTCAATGGTCTAAGATCATGCAGCTGGTAGGTGGTGGAGGTAGAACTTGAAATTATTTGTTTAATTCCCCAAAAAAAAAAACAAAAAAAACAACCAAAACCCAGAAACAAAAACAAAACAACAAAATTGTGTTCTTCTGAGTAACATGCTTCTTCTTGCTTGATACAAGTGTCTATACTGATTTCACGGACCTGTGTGTCCTGGGGGGCGGGGTGGGATGGCAGGGAGGGATGTGTCCTGGGGGGAGGCGTGGGATGGCAGGGAGGGACGTGTCCTGGGGGGGGTGTGGGATGGCAGGGAAGGATGTGTCCTGAGAAGGGGGGTGGGATGACAGGGAGGGACGTGTCCTTGTGGGGGAATGGGATGGGATGGCAGGGAGGGACGTGTCCTGGGAAGGGGGGTGGGATGGCAAGGAGGGATGTGTCCTGTGTGGTGGCAGGGAGGGACGTCTCCTGGGCGAGGGTGGGGGAATGGCAGGGAGGGACGTGTCCTGGCAGTGCTCCTTCCCAGTGCAGACCCTGGATTGCTATCGCCACTTTCTATGGCTTGGGAAAAAGAAACTCCTTGAGTTCATTTGGGAAGCCTTGGACCTGATTCAGCGTTTAAACATCTGCTCAGAAATGGAGATCCATGTTGCCCTCTCATGAGCCTTCTGTTGGTGCCTACAATAAAGAACCTTCATCAGAATGCACACCCAGAGCCAGGAGGAGTCAGCCTCCTGGGAGACTCAGCATTTACCTCTTCACTTAGTGAAAAGTCCAGCAGCACTGGAACAAAGGGATAACGAATTTCTTAGCTTCACCACTCCATCCCAATGCCAATCTCAGCCAATAATATAACTTTGAGCTTTGGTGAAATCGGTGTAGATAAAATTGTATAAGGGATAATGTGAAGGCTTAGCTTAAAACCCATGTGTTATGTTTCTGTTTAGCCCTTTGACTCTACATTTATCTCAGTCTTCCTCTTTGATTATGACTTTTTTTTTTTTGAGACAGAGTCTTGCTCTGTCGCCCAGGCTGGAGTGCAGTGGTGCGATCTTGGCTCACTGCCACCTCTGCCTCCTGGGTCAAGCTATTCTCCTGACTCAGCCTCCTGAGTAGGTGTGACTACAGGCATGCACCATCATGCCTGGCTAATTTTTGTATTTTTAGTAGAGATGGGGTTTCACCACGTTGGCCAGGCTGGTCTTGAACTCCTGACCTCAGGTGATCCACCTGCCTGGGCTTCCAAAGTGCTGAGATTACAGGCGTGAGTCACCATCCCTGGCCTACTATAACTTTTAGTAGCAGTAGTTAAGATTCTTCCCTAGAAAAAACTAAAACCCTGAAGAAATGAAGGCCTGTGTTTGAGTTTTAACTGCTTTGCAGTTAAGCACTTGCCCCCTTTGTCAATTTAGGGTTATATCTGGCCGAAAGTTATAGAAAACTGGAGTAAACTACAGCTTAAACTAATGAAAGATTTCCTTTTCTTGCCTGATAGCAAATCTGGAGACAGGTAATTTGGGGTTCAAATGGACATCTGTGATATCTCTGGGCCCTAGACTACTTGTATTATTTTTCCCTGGTATTATCAGAATGCAGCTTCTACCCTCAGACCTGTTACTGCCTGATGACAACATGGCTGCTCCACCTTTTGCATCTCATCTGCATCCCAGCCAGGACTAAGGACACGGAAAGGAAAAAGATATGTGGAAACAGGTCAGTCCTCTCCTTAAGAGCTTTGCCAGAAGTCACATCAAGCAACTTCTGCTTACACATCATTGGCCAGAGCTGTGTCACGATCAACTCTAGGTATAAGAGAGGCTTGCAAATATAAACTCTTGGCTTGGCACATTTGTTATACCCCCTCCCTCTCCTCACCACCACCACCGCAGTTTTGTTAGTAAGGAAGAAGAGGAGAATGAACATTGGGTGGTCAGTGGGCAGCATGTCACCTTCTTAGCAATTAGCCATGTTCCATCAAATAAAACAAAAGCAAACATTGCACATCAGCGCACTGTCAAAGGTGAGATTTAGGACCAGCATTGTACAGGGATCAGCTCTACTGTATGCAGGAAAATAACCATCAGGACAGCAATTCATAGCATTTGGATATCGCTGCCTTGAACACATGCTGCCTGCTAGGGGTCCTGCTGCACCGCACAGTCAGAGCATGGGAAATCAACGGGCTGAGCTGTGACTTTGTCTCAAGTGTCCTCCATGGGATGTACTAAAGGAGGCCTTGGCATCGGGCAGGTCAGGTCTGGGTCATTTGTCAGCACTTCCCAGCTGAAGGCTCCTCTGACATATGCACCCCTGATCAGGCAGCCATGCTGGATGTTGCAAAACTGAACAGTTGGGTCATAGCCTGGACCCCAGCCTGGAGCTTCTTCTCCTAGGAACCAGCTCTCTGTCTAAGGAAAAGCCAGTGATTGCCTGGCTCTCTCCGTGGCCAGCCTCCACTTCAGTGCCCGGGCTGCATGGGTGTTAGATTTTTAAAATAGTAGGCCTAGGTATGATAATGTTACCAACCCTTCTGGGTCTTTGTGGAGGTTAAATGAGATCACAAATGTGAAATGCATCCTGCCGAGGCTGATGCTTATAGACAGGGGTGAGTTTTAGTCCGAACTAGAGTGAACCAGCTGGGTCTCTGTTCTGCATCAGGCCACTCAATAAGTGAAATGTCTTCCTTCCTCCCCAGCATGTTCCAGAAGCTTCTTCAAGTCCAAGGACAGCAGCTCAGACAGGGAACTGCTGGAGGAAGTGGCTTTTCTGCTCAATTACCCTCTACCTTGGTGGTGGGTTGCCTGTATGCCACCAGAGCTGCTGCTTGGGGATGAGGTCCTGCAATGACTGCCCAAAAAGGGGGCCACAGGAGGGTCAGCTGCTTTTTCATGTTTTAAGAATGGGTATCTTGGCAGATACTGAATCCCAACAAAATTCTAAAAAAATAATAATGCCGATGGTTTGATGGTGATGGTGGTGGTGGTGGTGGTGATGATGGTGGCTGTGATGGTGATCGTTGTGATGGTGGTGGTGATGGTGGTGATGGTCATGGTTGTAGTAATGGTGGTGGTAATGGTGATGGTGGTGATAGCGATAGTGATGATGGTGGTTGTGATGGTGGTGATGGTTGTGATGGTGGTGGTCATGGTGGTGGCGATGATGATGGCGGTGGTGGTGATGATGATGGTGGTGGTGGTGATGATGGTGGTGGTGGTGGTGATGGTGGTGTTGGTGATGGTGGTGATGTTGGTGGTGATGGTGATGATGATGGTCTTGGTGATGGTGGTGATGATGATGGTGGTGATGTTGGTGATGGTGGTGGTGGTGATAATGATGGTGGTGTTGGTGATGGTGGTAGTGATGATGTTGATGATAGTGGTGATGGTGATTGTGGTGGTGGTGGTGATAGTGGTGGTGGTGCTGGTAATGATGGTAGTAGTGATGATGATGATGGGGGTGGTGGTGTTGATGGTGGTGATAATGGTGGTGGTGATGTTGGTGATGGTGGTGGTGATAATGACAGTGGTGGTGATGACGATGGCAGTGGTGTTGGTGATGATGGTGGTGGTGATAATGACAGTGGTGGTGATGATGATGGCACAGTGGTGGTGATGATGATGGCAGTGGTGGTGGTGATGATGGTGGTGGTGATGATGGTGGTGATGCTGGTGGTGATGAGGAGGAGGGTGGTGATGATGGAGATGATGATGATGATTTTTTATTGGTATATAATATTTGTACATAGTTTGAAGGTATGTGTGATATTTTGATTCATGTATATAATGCATAATGATCAAATCAGGGTAATTAGGATATCCATTCCCTTGACCATTTATCTTTTCTTCATGTTGGAAACTTCCCAATGCTTTTCTTCTAGCTATTTAAAAATGTACAATAAATTATTGTTGACTATAGTCACCATACTGTACTATTAAACATGCGTATTAACCAACCTCTTGAGGACTTTTATTGAACGACCACAGCTCTACCTTCTAGATAGAAGCACAACCCTGAAAGATGCATTATCTAGCCATCTTAGAATTAGAGGTGAACCCCATCACTCCTACAGCCCAGTGTTATTTACAAGTCCCCGCCTCTGGTGTCCACCTCATTGATCAAGGATCTATGTTGAGCTTTGGAGGCAGAAGAAGGGATGCAAACTCAGCATGCTTCATGGGAAACATGCTTCTTCTTTCTCACAAATTCTGACATTATCAAGTTTAGGGGCCTGAGAAAAACAAGACATACATTATCTTCTCGAGTTGTTGGTGCCCGTGAGTGTAGAAGATTGTATGACGGTGCAGTGTCCCGTATCCTCCCTGTGTGAGGTTTACACTTTCTCACTCCCCACCCAACATCAGCCTGGCCCTGTGACTTGCTTTGCCAATGAAATGTGAGTGGATGTGACATATGCCTCCTCCCAGCAGAAGCCACAAGGGCTATGGCATGGTTCTGCCTTGATTCCTTGCCCTGTGCTATGTGACTGGGATGTCCCAGGTAAGAGCAACTCCTTCAGGTTGGGTAACAGGATGAAGACAGCATGGAGCAGGGCAGATGCCTGCTGTTGGAGTTTGTAAGCATGAACAAGAAATTGACCTTTGTTGAGTTAAGCCAATTCTGGGGGTTGTTTGTTGTTGCAATATAATCTAGTGCAAGCTGGCTGATGTGGTTTATGAATTGACTTGGAAGAGGCATCGATAGCCCAGGCTCAAAGCTGGTGTCCAGCTTTGCCACTTCTGCATGGAGCTGATGGTCTCCAGAACCTGGTTGGCTGCTCCCAGGTCAGACCTCCAGCTCTACCTGCTTGCACGTCATCCATTTTGGGAGCTCCTCTTCCCAGGCCATGATTGTTCCCAGTGACCCTCATTCACTAGCACTTTCTTTACCCCCTTAAGGCTCAGTCAACATGATGAGTGCCTGTTCTTACCTCCTGTACTCAGGGCTCAGTCAGCAAGATGAGTATATACTCTCACCTCCCCTACTTAGGGCTCAGTCAACAAGATGAGTACATACCCTCGCCTCCTGTACTTAGGGCTCAGTCAACAAGATGAGTACATACTTCCACCTCCTGTACTCAGGGCTCAGTCAACAAGATGAGTACATGCTCTCACCTCCTCTACTCAGGACTCAGTCAACAAGATGAGTACATACTCCCACCTCCTGTACTCAGGCCTCAGTCAACAAGATGAGTACACACTCTCACCTCCTCTAATCAGGGTTCAGTCAACAAGATGAGTGCAGCTCTCACCTCTCATACTCAGGGCTCAGTCAACAAGATGAGTACATACTCCCACCTCCTGTACTCAGAGTTCAGCCAACAAGATGAATACATACTCTCACCTCCCATACTCAGGACTCAGTCAACAAGATGAGTGCAGCTCTCACCCCCTTTACTCAGGGCTCAGTCAACAAGATGAGTACATACTCTCACCTCTACTCAGGGCTCAGTCAGCAAGATGAGTACATACTCACACCTCCTGTACTGAGGGCTCAGTCAACAAGATGAGTACATACTTCCAACTCCTGTACTCAGGGCTCAGTCAACAAGATGAGTACATACTTCCAACTCCTGTACTCAGGGCTCAGTCAACAAGATGAGTACATACTCTCACCTCCTCTACTCAGGGCTCAGTCAACAAGATGAGTGAATACACACACCTCTCCTACTAGCAGAACCAGACCTTCAGGGCCAGTGATGTTATCTCTCGATGTTATGTGAAACCAAGTGCCTGACTCTTTCATGTCCCCATTTCCCCCCTTCCCTTAAATCCAAACTATTTATCTCAAGTCCCATCCTGAGGACTGTGTGAATTTCTGCATTTACTCCTGCTTGTCCCCTATCCAAGGTCCAGAATCCTCTATAATATGAGGAAGGAAGGTCCTATTTCCTAAGTTTCTTTCCAAGTTAGTCGGAGGGTCCCAAGTCTTCCTCTTGCTCCTCTGGCCACTACGGCCTTCCCCTCTGGCTGCCCTACAGTAGAGACACCTCTTCCATCACTCCTCCACACACCTGCAGCACAAGCCTGACTTCTGTGGAGGTTTTCTAGAAGAGGACAGAGCTGCAACACAGGACAGAAATCTGAGATTCTTGTCCCAGTCACAGTTATGAGAAAGCATAAGGGCTTCACTGGTCACCTTATGCCCCTGGCCCTCCCCTTTGGGGCTTCCCTGGTGTGGACCCTACTCTTGGACTCCCCTCTTCTCTCTAATTTCCCACCCCAGACCTTCCAATCCCAGCAATGCCAGGCAACTGCTTTCAAATTGTGTCACTTTACTTTGCAATGCAAATTAACCTTCTTTTTCTTCATCCCTCTCTATCTAAATAGAAGAGGCAAACTGATCAATACAGAAGATCCATAAAAGCCTTGAGATGAGAGTTTTTCTCCATTCTGGGCCAGATCAAATTCTTAGGTGGCCCTCTTTCCATCTGTACCCGGAGGCTATCACTTGCTCAGAGCAAGCCAAGGAATCCCGTCTTCCTCTCTCTGATGCATGGGTACACTTTCACAGGCAGTTCAGACCTGGCATTTTCTCTTGCCGGCCAGTGCTGGGCTGCAGGATGATTGTCTTGTGAGTCATTTTGTGGGTGGGAGTACAGCTTCTTGGCTCCCACCTCTGCCCCAAGGCTTGGTCTCTGCCTTGCGCTCAGCTATGCGTGTAGTGCAGCTGTGTGCAGCCTCACCCAGGAAACAGCTCAGGTGCCAGGGGGAGGAAACCCCAAATCTCCAGCATATAACCTCCCTGAGAAGGAAAAGCGACTTTGCGTCACTCCCCCTGCCCCCGACAACCATGAGCTTCCTGCAAGTTTTACTGGGAGGGGGGTAGCCAGGAAGATAGGAGAGTCAGGGAAGACACTCCTGTGAATGCTTTCAAGAAACTTATAATAATTTTAATCAGCATTTTCCCTTCCATTTAAAATCACAAACTTAGCTACTTAATCAAATGTCATGGTTAAGACACATTTACCTCCTTGGGAGAAAAATGAACAATGGCAGCTCAATTTGGCTTTGGATGGGTTTTAAAAATAGTCAAGTCTGTGAAGGCCATTAGATAAATGGCCTCAGAGAGCTTCAAAGAGGACCTCCTGCAGGGGCCTGCTGGCTCCTTTGTTGGGAAAATAGGGGAGGGGACTAGGTGAGGAGACCGCAGGGGTTCCCCAGGGTTCCAGGCTGTGGACTTCCCCCAGCGGGGAGAAAGGGCCAGAATTAGCAGGGTGACCGGAAGAACTTTCCACAGCATGAACATCTGAACAGTTCCCTTTTGTATCGCCGAAGCTGGGAGGCGTGTGTGTGTGTGTGTGCGCGCGCACACGCGTGTGTGTGTGTGTGTTGGGTGGGAGTGACATACACACAGCTTCCCAATCCCCAAGGGAAGAAAAATGAACCAGTTAGAAATATGAGAGCCATCAATGTATAGAAAACCAGTTCTAGAAATGCTGAAATGCAAGTTAAGGTTTTGTCGTTTTACAGTCTGTAAAAAAAAAAAAAGACAATGATTTTGTCATCGAAATAATAATAATAAGCTGGGCGCGGTGGTTCAGGCCTACAATCCCAGCACTTTGGGAGGCCAAGGTGGGTGGATAACCTGAGGTCAGGAGTTCGAGACCAGCCTGACCAACATGGTGAAACCTTGTCTCTATTAAAAATACAAAAATTAGCCGGGCGTGGTGGTGCACACCTGTAATCCCAGGTACTCGGGAGGCTGAGACAGGAGGCTGAGACAGGAGAACCTGGGAGGCAGAGGTTGCAGTGAGCTGAGATCATGCCATTGCACTCCAGCCCAGGTGACAGAGTGAGACTCCATCTCAATAATAATAATAATAATAATAATAATAATAATAATAGGTGGATTGCTCTTTTTGGAGAGAGGCAGACCTGAGTTACCCTAGAGAAAAAGGAAATCAGTGTACCCTGGTCCCAAATCCTAATTTTAAGCCTGGGTGAGGGCAGAGGGCATCCTCCGTCCCCATAGACTGAAGAAGCCCTCACTCACCCGGGGCAGCAGCTGTAGTCTTAAGGCTCTGACTTCGCCTGGAGACTTCTGCAGGGCTTGTTCCCATCTCGGTTGTCAGAAAACACTTCCTTCTACTATTTTCTTTGTCCAGAGATTCCCAGGGTACTTGGATAGAATTCAAAGGGTCTTTCAACTCGTATGGGGGAAAACTGGCATCTTTATTTAACCCTAACTGAGACTTGGCATTTCCTTTCATTATCAATGTCGGTGGCAGAGCTCAGTGCCTGTGACCGTCAAACATAGAAAGCACTGGCATTTCCATATCACACTGCCATGGCTGCAGTTACCTCAGGATATTATTGCTGCATATCTGGACTTCAAAAGGAACGTAATTTAGGATCTGTCAATTGCTTACTAAGTGTATTAATAAATAATATATACGGCTATATCAGAAATTTGTTTTTATTACTCTTTTGATAATGCATTTGCATAGAATTGGTTTCCTAATAATCCTGGGCTTTTTCATCTATGCACTTAGAAGCCATTCTGAGAGAGGTCAGCAGGTGTCCACAAGGCTGCCCAAGGGGTTCCTGGAGCCGACACGGTCCGGTCCGGAGCCCCTCCCTGCCCTGCTGGCTCCTAGTGTGCGAAGCCGGCCCCTTCCAGGCCCACTCCGGTTGCAGGAAGGGCCTCCCTGGTGCAGCACCGCCTCCTCACACCGCTAGGTGGCAGCACTGCCGGCGCCTCCTTCCCCGCCGGCCGCCATAGGCCCCGCTGGTTCCAGGACCTCCCTGCCTCCTTCGCCTCTTAATGGGATCCGCTCCCTCACACCCCTCAGGGAGAGGCTCTAGGGGACGATGACCCAGGGGCGGCCCGGCAGGGAAACTGCTGAGTCACCCTGCTGCCTCTCGGGTCCTCTGACCGGCTCACAGATCACCATAGCCACAGTGTGTGTAAGGCCTTCTCATGGAGCCCTGCAAACACCTCCCCGGGGAGGGGCTGTGGGACCCATCTTACAGATGAGGAGACCGAGGGTCGGAGAGGCCACACAACTCGGCCAGGACCCCGAGTTAGCAAGCGCTGGCCCCTGGTCCAGCCACGGCAAGGCTGGCCCTCCTGCCACCACACTTCCCTGCCTCTGGCCCTCTGCCGGGAGTCTTGGTGGGGAAGTCACTGTCTTCATCCTCCTGCCCGGGCAGAGTCCAATCCTGTGCCTGGCTCCTCAAGACCGTTGGCAAAGATCCTGGAGGCCTGGGGGTGAAAGGGCTGCTTGGGGGACTTAAGCCCCAAGCTATGGTTCGCCTGGGAGACTGAGCCCCAAGCCATGGTCCTCCTGGCTCTGCCCTTCCACCCCCTCACTGGCTGCCCCTCCCAGGGAGGCCTCACCTGTGAAGTGCTTCCCGCCCCTCTCACCCCCCACGGCTCTCACATGGCCTGGGGCGATTCCAGAGCTGGCCTGGGTCAAGCACCTGCACAGAGCACAGAGCGAAGGCTCGGCATGGTATATCCCCCGCCCCTTGCACCTTTCCCCAGTGAAGGGTGGCACCAGTGTCCTTTCCAAGGCCCGGATTCTGCACTGCCCTCAGCCTGTGGAGGATTAAAAGCAGGGTTTTGCCGTGGTTTCTCAAGGCGTCAGCGGGTCTGCAGAGGATTCCGCCCCATGTCACTTCTCTCAGTGAAAGGTCCCCGCCCAGCGTCTGTCCTCCTTTAAGTGCCCCCCATTTGTTTTTTGTTGTTGTTTTTGTTTGTTTTTTGCAAATACAGACTAACCAGGTAGGCACAGAGGAGTCCTGGCATGGGAAGGGAGCAGTGAAACGCCGGTGGAGAGTCCGGGAGGCCCAGATTCCCTGGAACTTTCCAGTGACTCCTCCGGAGCAAGGGCCTGGCCAGGCAGCAGCTGCGCTGGGCGATGAGGGACCGTTGGGTAATTGGGGGCATAGGACCGGGCTTCGCTGGGTTCGGGGCAGAAGCGCCGAAGCTCCGACCCGGAACGCGGTGACTTCATCAACGCAGAAGCCCGCGCAGCCGAGCAGAGGAGTCCCTCGTAGGCGACCCTCGGACAGACGCTCCTGCGCGGCCCGCGTGGCTCAGCTCCGCCCCAGGAAACTTTTCGCGCAGCCCCCGCTCCATGCGCCCCCACCCAGTCCTTCTTCGGGGCCGCCCCCTCCCCAAAGTAGCTCTCCGGGTCCACTGGGCGCCCCCGTAACCGGGTCGGAACCTCGAACGGCTTCGCGTGCCATCCGGTTACCCTGGCAACACCATCCGGCGGCGCCCGGCGGTCCAATCCTAGCCTGCGGCCTCTCTCGAGCCTTTCGCAAGGTGGGGACCGGGACGCGACCGGGGATGGGGAAGGGGGCTGCAGGAGGCCCCGCCTGCGCTGTCGCCCCTGCTGGGCACAGCGCCCCCCACCACCCGCGGCGACCCCGGCCCCCGCAAGGTGGGGCGGCGAGCAGGAGCCGGGGCCAGGCCAGGGGCTCGAGCTCCCGTTCGAGGGGCGGGGAAGGCGGGTGACGTGAGCCGGGCCGGGCGGGCGGAGTTGGGACCGGCTCCGGGAGGCGGGGGCGAGCGCGCGGAGAGGCAGACGCGAGGAGGGAGGCGGCTGAGCAGCGCGGGCGGCTCTGCGGCGGGCGCGGTGGGCGCGGGCGGCGGGGCCCCGGGATCCCCGCGCGCCTCCTCCGCGCGGCGCCGCCGCCGCGCGTCCCCACGCCCCGCGCTCCACGGCGCCCTCGCCCCGCGCGCCTCTCGTGCCCGCCTCCTGCCAGTCTCCGGGCCGCGGCCGTCTGCAGAGCGAGCGCTCAGACGGAGCCCCCGGGCAACTTGAGTGGCGCCGATCGGCGGCGGAGCCTCTGGCAGAGCCCCCCGACCCGGCAGCGCGGAGGGGACTCGCGTCCGTCCGCGTCGCGTCACCCCAAACCCTAAGCAGCGCCGCCCCATCGGCGCGGAGCTCCGGCTGGAGGCAAGAGCCGCGCGCCGGGAGACACGCACCGTGAGCGGCAGCGCCGCCGGCCTCCCTCCTCGCCGCCCCGGAGGGCGAAGCCGCGGCTCCCCAGCCCTTTGCTGCGCCGCGACAGCGCCGGAACACGCCCCGCCTCGCTGCCGCCTTCGCTGTGCCGCCGGCGGAGGGGGCCGCGAGCCCCGCGCCCCGGCCGGAGGATGTGCGCCCCCGCGGGCCGCCCAGCCTGAGCCATGCGCCCCAACGGCGGCGGCGCGCCGGCCGGCATGGAGCCCCGCGCGGCCGCGCTCTGACTCGCTGTGCGCCCCGCGGCCGGCGGGCGGCGGGAGGCGGCGGACCGAGAGCCGGAGACCGGCGCCGCGGGACGGAAGCGAGCGGGCGCGGGCGCCGCGCAGATGGCCTGGGCGAGCCAGGTCTGAGGCCCCGCTCCCCGAAACGTGACCATGTGGATTCAACAGCTTTTAGGACTCAGGTGAGCGACCCGGCCGGCGCCGGGTGCGTGTGGGCGCGTGGGTGCCAGGCTGGGCGGAAGCGGCGCTTTCCTCTATGTTGCAAATCAAGGGACCCCTCTTCGCTTCCCGCAAGCGGGCAACGGGGTGCACCGGTAGCCGGAAAGGGGCGCCCGCCCGGAGCCTGGAGCAGCACCGCGGCCCTGGCGGGGAGCGGCCGGGTCTCCAGGGTTCCGCGCGTCCGGGGTCGGGGCAGCGGCGCCCGCCCCAGCAACCCGGGAAGTGGGGCCGGCCAGGCGCGCCCGCAGCTCTAGGAGCCAGCAGCGCAGTGTCCTGGCCGGCTGCCCCGGCGCGCCTCCTCCCCGGGGCCCGGGGCGAGGCGCCGGCCGCTGGGCGCGGCGGGCGCGGGGGCCGGGGCTGCCGGGGAAAGCTAAAGCTCCGGGCTCCCAGCGAGAGCTTCGCAGGCGGAGTTGGAGGAAACCACAGCCAAACAGCCACTCCGCTCCCCCTTCTCCTTTCTCGGGGCCCCGGGGCTGAGCAGGGGCCTCCCAGGCTCCCAGCTGCCGACCCAGCTGTTTGCGGGTGACCTCCGGGCCCGACGGGCGCTCACAGCTGGCGGGCAGCTGGGGCGGGAGAGCTGGGGTTCTTGGGGAGCTCCGGCGGCCACCCCGCTGTAAACACACACGCACATACGCCCGCCGGCGCGCCCGGGGCTTGTCTGTGTCTGGGACTCCAGGGCCAGATGGAAGAGGGGGTTCGAGCCTAGAGCCCGTGGTGGGGGTGTCCAGAAAGACCCTTCTCGGCAAACTTTGCCAGCCCGCCGGGGTTCTCGGGCTTCTCTGGCTTCTGCCTGGGGTGGCCCAGGGCCCACCAGAGCACAGCTGTCGTTTTTGCTGGGCAGGCTGCCTCTGAGCCCTCGCCCTCCTGCCGGGGCATTCACCGAGCTCGTGCATTTGGGTCCCGGGTTGGAACCGCGAGCGGGGAGGACAGAGGTGGAGGCGGAGAGCAGCGTGCGGTTCTCGAGTTTGTCCACTGGGATGCACTGCGCTCCCGCGTTGGGGACGAAAAGGCCAGTAGTTGTTAGCCCGCTGCTTGAGCCGCCCCCACTCAGGGATGAAGCTGCGGGGGGAGTGAGGCGAAGGGAGGGAGGATCTAGTGCGTGTCCTGATTTTGAGAAATCGGAAGGGGACTGGGACGCCAAGTGTTTTCTAGCGACCCTTGATTTATGAGCCGATTCTGCTCCCAGAGGTGAATACTGTGTAACACATCTAGTGAACATTGTCAGATGTTATTATTAGCATCCCTTCTCTCAGTGGCCGATCTTGCTGTGGGCTTCAAAGGTTAATCATGGAGCCGATTGTGTTGGGTGTGGGATATTGGTCGGGCGTGAATCGATAAGTGTGCTTGGGCTAGATAAGGTTTAGGCTTGGACCGTTGTGGGATGTTGGCAAAATGGAGCGAGGACAGCTTTGCAGGAATGACCCTGATCCAGGTGCCCTGGAGGCCTGCCATCCCCTGCTCTGCCCCGGACTGTCCCAGGTCTCAGCAAGACCTTCCAAGGCTTTGTGAATGACCAGACGGGTCCCCACACTGGCCAGTGGCTGGTCTTCAGCTCCGACCTGCTTCCTGAGCTGCCACTTGATTCCTGATGGCAACTTATTTGAACAGACATTTTTTTTTATTGCTAAGTTGCTAGATTAAAAGATGAGTACATTTTGATAAAGGGAGAGAAGAGCAAATATCTTGGAAAGAAGCCTCTCTTTTGATTTGAAATTTACTAAAACAGTTCCTCTCAAGCATCCTCAAGCCGGATCTTGGGATTTTGCTTTAGGAAATAGTTCTGTTGGTTCTTTTGAAGTTTGACCTTTCGTTTTTCCCCCCTCGATGTCAGCACAGGAGATTTTCTGTAAGTGTGCCTTTAAGGACGAGCTGTCACCTATTTGGGATCCTGATGGGAGAGCTCTGTCTTGTTACTGCTGTCTCCTGGCCAGAGAAGGAGGCCTGTACCCAGAGGGTCTGGGTGGTTTTGCATCACAATGGGCACCTGGGGACTCTGAGCCAAAGGGTTGCAAGTTCAAGGTCTGGAAATGCACTTTTTCTTTCAAGACAGCCCTTCACCTTTGCTTGCAAGCCACTCCGCGGCTCCCTAGGTGAGCACTGGGCGTCTTGCTGCCAAGCTTGGAGCCTGGTTAGGACAGGTAGACACTGAGCCTCCAGCTGGGGTGGCAGAAGGCCTGGCTTGCTCCACCATGGGAGAGGTGCAGTGTAACTTGCTGGGCAGGGGGTGGGGGTGGGGGTGGGGTGGGCTTTCTTAGTTCCGGCCCCAGAGACGAAGTCTGGGCTTGGTTATTTACGTCTGTGTTGGAACTGAGCTGTATGTGGAGCTTTTTTTTTTTCTTTTCCCCCCAAGAGGGAGAAGCAGATTGAGACTTATTGAGCAGCTTTTGTGTCTTTTGCGGTGGCATTTAATAGTTGTAGCAGAGCTCCAAAGATACTTTCCATCAGCTGAGAGAGAGGGAGCCACGGAAGGAGACCCAGTGGCTTGACAAGCCCTGCCAGAGCTCACCCGTGGAGGAGGCGCGTATTCAGCAAGCAGCTCAGAGCTCACCCGTGGAGGGGGCGCGTACTCAGCAAGCAGCCCAGAGTTTGGAATTGGCTTCCTGGTTGTGAGTTGCTTCCCAGGCTGCAGACCTCAGATGCTGTGGCTTCCTCAGGGGCTCCGAGCGTCCACCTAATACGTTTGCTGGGTTGCGCTCAGGACTGTGATCCCTAGCAGAGTGCCACGAGCTCATTCCCAGCCCATGTCCCTGCGGCCATCCCATCTGTTCTCCCGCTCCAAGGTTCTGGGGCCCCTTTTGTTTGGGAGGCCCTGGGTGTGTGTGTTGACATAATTCACAGTTCCCCAAGCCCTCTCAGTGCGCGCTGTACCATGTCTGGGCCTCATGGCAGGGATCCATTGGCTTGGCTGTCACCATCCTCGCTGTAGAGTCCCCAGGCAGCTGGGGCTGTGCAGCCCAGCTTTAGCGGATGAAGTCAAACGCGCAGTCCACAAACATTGCGCTCCGGGTGAATCCTGGCTCGCGCCGATTTCCAGCTGCTGCTACTAAATTGATTGCAACTGGAATCTATCTAGTGTCAGCGGCTGTGCTACTCCTCGGGGACAATCATGCTTGACTAAACTGCAAATTTAGGAGGCAGCTCAAATCTTTGGGCAACATCGGTACATACCCCCCTTTCATGCTCACCCCCACCTTGGGGATACACTGGCCAAGTGGAGGAGCTGATGGCAGACTCCTCCCAGTGTGTCCCTGTTGTTTATTTACTTTGATCACCTGCTTCCTTTTCTTCCATGCATTGGAGAGGGGAGCAGGGCAACGCAGCTCAGGAATGGAGACAGCCCCACGCCTGCCGGGGACAGCTGTCTCTGGGTCCCTGGAGGCAGAGCAGCGCCGGCTTCTCCAAGGCATGCACCTGCGTCTTTCTAGCGGGGGTCGCTGGAGGTGCTTCTGGACCCCAACCCAGTCTCCACTTCCACAGCGCCAGTCCCTCTGACCCACACACAAATGGGGTGTTTGGCAGGTGGGGCCCTGTGTGCTCCTGGGTTCTGCATTTCCCTGAGCTTTTTGTGGGAAAGCCACAGGGTACCTGGAGTGTGACCCTGGGTTACAATGAAGTAGGTAAACACAAAACCCTGACTGGATTGCAAACAGCTGAGCCTTCAAGAGCCCAGGGGCTCCTCTCAGGGGTTATATAAGAGTCATCTGTTTTAAATACGTAGTTGCCAAGTTTTCTTCAAAGGGTTACAAGTCAGTAGAGACCAAATTGATGTAAAGATTAGCTTGGAAAGCCAAATATATCCTTGATCTAGATTTTACATTTGAAGTCTGGCTTGAGAGGGTTTCTCCTGCCTGATGCCAATCAGACACAAGGAGGAGACAGGAGCAGGGGCTTTCTGGGGCTAGAGCAGGCAAACGTGGTACAGTCGACTCCATTCTTTCTTCCTCTGAGACCCCTTCCAGGAATTCAAAGGGGCTGGTGAGTCATGAGGCCTCGGAGCAGGGAGTGGTGGTGGTTACATAATTCAGATTAACTCTCAGTTAATCTGCCTTGAATAGAGAGTCAGGCTGGAGGGTGTCCATGTCAGACCTCTGGTGGCCCTTGGGCGTGTCCCCAAGTACATCCGCCTCAGAGCTGGGATAAGATCAGGCACCAGGAGGAGAGAGGAGGACTGGCTACTCCTGGGTCAATCCCAAAAGGTTACTTACTATATGATGATTTCATAGCATTGAAATTGAGGTAGGAGATGGGACTTGACTCTGGAGGTGGGACTCAGACTGTGGACCAAATTGAGGACTAGCTAAAACAGGGACAGGATGGAAGCACCATTCCATAAGACATGCCCGTCAATGTGCCATGTCAGTTTACCATTGCCAGGGCAACACCCAGTAGTTACTGCCCTTTCCATGGCGATGACCTGATGACCCAAAAATCACTACCCCTTCCCTAGAAATTTCTGCATAAACCGCCCCTTAATCTCCGTGGAATTAAAAGTAGGTATAAATACAACTGCAAAGCTGCCCCGAGCTGCTACTCTCAGCACGCTGCCTATGGGGCAGCCCTGTTCTGCAGCGGCAGACACGGAGCTGTCACACTGCCGGACCGGTAACACCACCACACCACCAGAGCTGGAACACCTCCTCAATAAAGCTGTTTTTCTTCTACCACTGGCTTGCCCTTGAATTCTTTTCTGGGCAAAGCCGAGAACCCTCATGGTCTAAGCCTCACTTTGGGGCATGCCGGCCCTGCATCAAAATGACAAAATTATAGACGTGGTACAATACTCATACTACTACTGCTACAGATGAGTAGTTGCCAGGGGTCAAAGAAGGAGTGGGGAACGGAAGGAAAGAGGGTGTGGTTACAAAAGGGCAACATCAGGCCTCCTTGTTGTGATGGAAACGTTCTCTATCTTGACTATATCCGTGTCACAATCCTGTTATATTATTGTATTGTCGTTTTGCAAATGTTACCACTGGGGGAATCTCGGTGAGGGGTACACAGGGTCTCTCTGTATGATGTCTTACAATGCCTGCAATTCCACAGTTAAAATTAAAGGTTTAATTAAAAGAAACAAACTAACATTCTCTACTAATCTGTCAGAGATTAGTGCCTAACTGATCTGACTGGCAAGCATGGGCACACGTGTGTGTATGTGAGTATTTAGCTTTTTTAGGGGTCGTGTATTTGTATTTAACAGCAGTCAAAGGTGATGTGGAAATGGGGAAAGGGGTAAAAAAATTGTTTTACAAAACTTGCTCAGTTATGTCTCTACCACATATTTTAGAACGAAAAATTCAGCAGCATATGAACGTGCAGTGTTGCTAATGTTATGAGATCCATCATCGGTGACAGTAATAAATGACTTCAGGCATAATTATTGGATAAGAAGATCTGTCCACATCTTTACGTAAATTAGGTCAACTCTGAAGATAGAGCAGGTTTTCGGGGTCAGCCCCACTTTTCTACCCTGGCTTATAGGCTTCAAGACCATATTCTGAGGATTTTAAGTCAAACACAAAAACAGCTGGTTTCCTGTTTCTAGATCAGGGAAACATGAGCCTCAAGCTTGAGAAGGCAGACACTGGTTTGTGGCTTTGCTCTTATCACCTCATTTGGGGCTTTATGATAAAAGAACTGGGGGCTGGGGTGCTCTATGAGGACTTGTTGAATGAAACTGGGAGATACAATGGGCAGCTCTATCAGATTTGTCTGTGAACTTCTGAGATATCATGACCTACACCTGATACTCTTTCTCTTTTCACATCCAGATGGGAGGTGCTGGAACTAATACTGTAATACTGCTAGGCTTTTCCTAAGCCAGGCTTTGTGCTAAGTGATCTGATCCAACGGTGCTAAACTGTTCAGCCATTCTGCATTGTCCCACTCCACCCTCATGTTCCTCAGGGTGGCCCTGCAAGGCAGGTATTATTGCTCCCATTTCACACAGGAGAAAACTGGAGCACAGAGAGGTTAGGTAATTTGCTCAAGGTCACACAGCTAGCTCATGGGAGAGGTGGGATTTGAACCCAGGTTTCCAGGACTCGAAGGTCCATTCGTGCTCCTTATGCTGACCTCTGTGGCTTTCTTGTCTTATACAAAATCTACTTCTTACTCACTTTATTAAGTTACAGGTTGCCCTTTTGGGAAACACAAAACAAAATTTTCAAACAACAACAACAAAAAATAAAACAAGAAGGACCCAGCTGCTGTGATGCCAAGTCAGCACTTCATGGATTTAGCCGTGTGTTCAGCTGACTCTGAAATCACAAGTCTCTCTGGTACCCATGATTTTAAGTAAAAGGTTTATGGTCAAATGACAGATTATTTTGCAGCACAGAATTAATGAAACGTCATGGGGAGATGAAAACCTATCTGTGACACAGATACTGCTATTCAATCTATTTAATAATTAAAAATAAATATGTCACCAAATCCAAGGAGGCCTCTATCGAGAGCTTTCTTGAAATTAAAAACTGTGGAAATCAATGAATGATCACATTGAGAAAGTTGGGTTTAGCATAAGAAGTCTGAGTAAAAGGAATTGCCCTTTATATTTGTGTGTGTGTGTGTGTGTGTCTGTGTGTGTGTGCATTTTTTTTGAAGCACAATTTACATGCAATGAAATGTATCCATTGAAAGTATATGGTTCATTGATTTTTAGGAAATTGGCCGAGTTGCACAACTATTGCCATGGTCCAGTTTCAGCACGGTTGCTTCACCCCTGATAAGATCCCTTTTGCTGTTTGTAGCAATCCCCGTTCCTGCCTCCAGCCTTTGACGACCACTCCTCTGATTTGGCCTTGATGGATTTGCCCATCCTCACTATTCCTGTAAATGGAATCCTCCAGCATGTGGTCATCCTTTTTGTCTGCCTTCTTTAGTGTCATGTTCTGAGGTGTGTCTACGCAGTAGCTTGCCACGTCATTCCCTTTTTGTTCCTGAATGGTATCCTGATTTTCAGACATCCCGTTGGCTTGCCGGTTCACCTGCTGATGCACCGTTGGGTTGTTGGCATGTTGGGGCTGGGGGAGCAGCGCTGCCATGAACTTCGCGTGCACGCCTCGGGATGGATGTTGTTTTCATTTCTCTTGCCTCCACGTTATACTTTATAACCACAGACGTCAGTGCTCGGTGGGGCCGCAAGAAGCCCCTTATGTGTCGTTAGATGGATGGAAAATGTGCCGGGCTAGGCGCCCGTGGTCCAGCTCTGGGGTGGGATAGGCTCCTCCCTCTTGTTCTAAAGAGAACTCCCTACACACAAGCCATTGTTGATTCGAACATTTCGCATTCAATAAGCATTTATTGAGTGTCGAGTGCATTCTGCCACGGGGATGTGTTTTGGTTCGATGGAGAACAGGCATTTCCATTCTGCCTTGGTATAAAGGGGAATATTTTGAAGCATTAGAAGAAGTCCTATCTGGTCAGATGCCTGGAGGTGGAGGGGAGAGGGTCAGTGGTCTCTTGAAGGACCCAAACTGTGCCTACTCCCCTGCACGTGGAAAGTGTGGGCTTCAGGGGGCTTCCAGGGAATGTAAGGGAGGCAGCCGTGCCTCCCCCTTCCCAGGGGGGCAGTGGGGCCAGTTTGGGGAAACCATCCTCATGGAGCATCATCTAGTGAGGGCTGAAGGGCATCATTTTGTTTTTATTTTATTTATTTTTTTATACTTTGAATAGATTAGGTCTTGCTGTGTTGCCCAGGCTGGTCTCAAATGCCTGAGCTCAAGCGATCATCCCACCTCAGCCTCCTAGAGTGCTGGGATTCCAGGCATGAGTCTCTGCACCCAGCCAGGCATCATGTTTGATGGATGAGGCAGGGCCAGGGTCATAGGCACAGGGCAGACTGTGGAAAGCACCTCCAGAAAGCACGGGTGTTGGTGGGTGTTAGATGCTGCCACTCACAGAAGGGGCAGCCCTCAAGCAGGCCATGGATTCCAGGAATTCCATGATGGGGATTGTTCGGCACCAACCACAGACTTGGAAGAACCCAACTGCATAAGAGGGAGAAATTAAGAGAACATTTCCCATCCTGGGGTAGATGACAGCGAACCCATGGCGCCCAGGCACCTCAAATGCAGGCTGCAGGTGGGAGGAGGGTGGCGCCTGGAGGAGCTCCTGGCATCCCTCTTGTGCTGGCCCCATGAGTGTGGATGAGGGTCTCGGCTCAACTGGCCCCAGACGGTCTTTGTATTCAGCTGCCAAGTTGTTAGCTGCCCAGACCTAGGGGTGGGGAAAAGATCTCAACTCTTGCAACCGGTGTGGACTCTTCGGTAGTTGCTTCTTCGAGCTCTGTGTAGAGAAGGATTCTGAGTTCTTCTGGGGATTTAGAGAGAGAAAAGTGCCTACAGACTGTTTGCCGTGTCTGCATAGGACATGGGATGAAAGAAGGGTGACTCCAGTACTGCAAAACTGCCCTTTTCGGGAGGCCTGGGTGCGGGGCTTGCTCATAGCCGCAGGTTCTTTCTCATAAACACCCTCACTGAGGCCTGTGTATGCAACATATCAGTGAACAGTTGCATGACACTTACTATGTAGCAGGCACTGTTCTATGCCCGTGCCGTATCTTAACTCATTCCTACATTGCTATGGTAGGAGCACTTTAAGGATCTCCTGTGTGCAGAGAAGGCACAGAGAACCTGAATGAATTTCCCCAGGCCACACAGCAAGTAAATAGCAGAGCCCGCACTCAAACCCAGGCACTCAGCTCCAGCATCTGGCCTCTGAACCGTTACATCCTGTTCTTCCTAGTCTAGAAGAACACTTTGGATTGGATGTATTTAAGGAATACAGCATCCACCAGGCTGGGGCAGGCAGCCAAGTATGGGATTTGAGCCCAGCATCCAGGGCCAATTTCCTTGCTGCCTGGCACCGCACAGAACATACATGGATGCCCATGGTATGGAGGTGAAAAGGACATGCCTGGAGCTTCAAGCGTTCTGAGCCTGGTAGGGGGACAATGGTGGTGGAGTTGCCAGGTGACAGCAGCAGCCTGTCCGGGTGGTTGGGCCCAAGGGTCAGCCCTGCTTAGAGTACAGCAGGGACCACCTCTCACCAGCTGATCCCCACCATCAGCTGGGGGGCCCCGGTCATGCCCTTCTGCCGGGGTGTCATTTTTACACAGGTGAAGAAAGAGAATGGACCCAGGAGAGAGCTGGCGATTTTGCTCATTTCCTGGGCTGCCCTTTGGTGGCATCTGCCTGGCTCTCATTTGCTTCTACTTGGAGCATCTGAATGACTCAATGACAGAGTCCCGTAACCACCCTACCAGGCTGACTACAGCCCTGATCAGACAGAAGTCAGTATCCTGCTGTGGATTCAATTTCCCGAATGGTTGCAGAGAGCCATCTTAGGCAAGGGTGAAGCAATCACCCACGGATGGTGCCGGTAGACTTCCTAGGCATGCAGCTACGATATATATAAAAGATTCAGTTACTAGGCAGGGTCATTGTATTTGGCGTGTTAGCAAGGAACCTATCTGAACCACGATGTCAGCCTTTGTGGCAGAAGCCTCTGCCCCAGGACCAGCTGAGGATTGTGCTCTCTGGCTTGGAAAGGAGTGTGGTAAAATGCGGAAAAAGCCCCACGAGAGCTGGTTTTCAGTCGACGCCCCCACCCCCCTCTTTTTTGTCAAGAGAAAATTCAAGACTGTACCCAGATGCTGAAAAAAGCTGTGCTTCCTGCTGAGGGACACGGTGGCTTTCAGAAGGCAAGGATTCTTTAGGGAGCCAATTATGCGAGACAAGAGTAAGCATGTTTATTTTTATGACACTGCATTTCAAAATCCCAGAAAATGTTGATGGAATGGCCCCATTAGGCGCCTGGGTCTCCTGGATGCTGTGGCATTACACTGTGCAGGCTTCCAGGGGCATTTTGGGGACTCTTGATTAAGCCCCGGTACTGGGCTAATTTACTGCCCATTACTACCCTGGAGGGTCTCTTTGAACACTCACAGCTCCAGGTTCCTTCTTCCTTCAGCATTTTTTGGGCTAATTTGATTCTCTGCACAGAAGCCTGATGCTCTGGGAAGACCTGAGCCGCCACACTCACTCCAACAGCATCTGTTTCTCAGGCTCTCACCCCGACGGTCCCTGGGGAGCACTGGGCTGGGGTTTTGTGGCACCAGCCACGCAAGTGGTCCCCCGAGAGTCTGCTGGCCCCAGGTGAGAGCCAGGCAGCGTGACAGGTATGGTAGCCACTGAGGTTTGTCCTGGGACAGGCTGCCTATGGGCCTGACATCCAGACACTTTCATGCAGCAGACACGGATGAGTGGCCACCGCGTGCTGGGTGCTGTGCTGGGCACAGGGATGAAAAGACCCCTCTCCTGGTCCTACAGGAACTCCAAGTGGAGGAGAGGACAGAGGAGCAAATGGAATTGCAGGAGCCAAGAGGAAGAAGGAGATGGGGAAGGTTTCCCAGAGGTAGCAGCGTTTGACTCCCTTCTCAGAGGATGAGAGGAAGGAAGCCCATTGGGCCCGAGGAGGAAGGGACAGCCAGGCGGAGGGAATGGGGTGGCTGCCGTTTACGGAGCACTGGTGGTGAGTGTGCTGCACAGATGGGGATGTGGAGGCACCCCGCAGTGAAATAGCCCACTGAGGCTCCTCCGGCCCACCCAGGAGGGGCACCCCGCAGTGAAATAGCCCACTGAGGCTCCTCCGGCCCACCCAGGAGGGGCACCCCGCAGTGAAATAGCCCACTGAGGCTCCTCCGGCCCACCCAGGAGGGGCACCCCGCAGTGAAATAGCCCACTGAGGCTCCTCTGGCCCACCCAGGAGGAGGGCAGGGCAGGTGTATTTGGGTCAGCCCTTAGGAGTTGGGTCTGTGAAGCTGGAGAGGAAGGTGTATGTTGCGGGGGGAATGCTTGGAGGAGACTGGAAAGGCCAGCAGGCCCCAGGACTGGAGCCATCTAGGGCCAGGGTCCCAGGGAAAGTGTCATGCTCTCTGCCCGTGTGCGTTCAAGGGGAAAGCAAATGACAGACCCTGGGGAGTGAGGGGTGCAGAGAGGGGGCCCGTGACTCACAGGAGGGGTGCGGAGAGGGGCCCGTGAATCACGGGAGGGGTGCGGAGAGGGGCCCGTGAATCACGGGAGGGGTGCGGAGAGGGGCCCGTGAATCACGGGAGGGGTGCGGAGAGGTGCCTGTGAATCATGGGAGGGGTGCGGAGAGCGGGCCTGTGATTCACCAGAGGGTTGCAGAGAGAGGCCCAAGAATCGCGGGAGGGGTGCGGAGAGGGGCCTGTGAATCACGGGAGGGGTGCGGAGAGGGGCCCGTGAATCACGGGAGGGATGCGGAGAGGGGCCCGTGAATCACGGAAGGGTTGCGGAGAGGGGCCCATGAATCACGGAGGGGTTGCAGAGAGGAGCCTGTGAATCACAGGAGGGTGCAGAGAGGGGCCCATGAATCACGGGAGGGTTATGGAGAGGGACCCGTGAATCACGAGAGGGGTGCGGAGAGGGGCCCATGAATCACGGAGGGGTTGCAGAGAGGAGCCTGTGAATCACAGGAGGGTGCAGAGAGGGGCCCGTGAATCATGGGAGCTGCGTGGGATGGAACCTCTGTGTCCTGGTGGAGCAGCTTAGTTTTGTGGAAGGAGAGCCCTGGGGTAAGCAGAGGGAGGGAGAGGCAGCCCTCTGGGGCTGTGGTCTTAGGGAAGTCCCAGAGGACTCCCCAGGCGGGGAAGACAACTGGCCTGGCCCCAGGAAACACGTCTGCGGTCAGTTGCCATGATTCCCAGGCTCTGCTTTTACTCAGAATTAGTCTGAGGGAAAATGCCAGCCTAGACCACGTGGGCACAAAGGTGTGACAGGCCCTGACGACCCAACTTTCCTTTCCTGAGTCTCTTGCTGCTTCTCCACCCTTCCAGCCCCAACCAGCCACCTGCCCCTGCCCCTCCGTGGGGACCTTCTCACCTTACAACAGCAGTCCCCAACCTTTTTGGCACCAGGGACCAGTTTCATGGAAGACAATTTTTCCAGGGACAGAGCGGGTGGATGGTTTCTGGATAAAACTGTTCCACCTCAGATCATCAGGCATTAGATTCTCATAAGGAGTGCACAACCTAGATCCCTCACATACATGGTTCACAGTAGGGTTAGTGCCCCTGGAAGAATCTAATTCCACTGCTGATCTGACAGGAGGCGGAGCTCAGATGGTGATGCTGGCTCACCCACTGCTCACCTCCTGCTGTGAGGACAGTTCCTAACAGATGCTGGTACTGGTTCATGGCCCAGGGTTGGGGACCCCTTCCTTAGAGAACCGGACCCCCAGTCAGTTGCTGCTTGGGGTGAAGTCATCGTCCCACCCAAGCTGTGGGTCTGAATTTTGGGAAGAGCCCCTGAGACACAAGGCAATGAGCCCACAGCACTGAGTGAACATGGAGGTTTCAAGTGGGAAGGGGAAGACGTTTGGGGAAGTTGGATTCCTCCCTAAAGAATGCCGTTAGGGTAAGGCCAGGAGTGTTTGCTCATGCCTGTAATCTCAGCACTTTGGGAGGTAGAGGCGGGAGGAAAACTTGAGGTCAGGAGTTCAAGACCAGCCTGGCCAACATGATGAAACCCCATCTCTACTAAAAATACAAAAATTAGCCAGGCGTGGTGGTATATGCTTGTAGTCCCAGCTAGTCAGAGGCTGAGACAGGAGAATTGCTTGAACCTGCGAGGCAGAGGTTGCAGTGAGCTGAGATCGCACCACTGCACTGCAGCCTGGGTGACAGAGTGAAACTCTATCTCAAAAAAAAAAATGCCATTAGGGTGGCAACTTTCTTCCTCCTTGTGTGGGGCCAATCCTGTGTATTTGAAGCTAAAAGCCCTCTTCTTAAAGTAGCTTAGAGAGCAGTGCTGTGTGTGTGTGTGCGTGTGCGTGTGTGTGTGTGTGTGTCTGTGGGTGTCTGTGTGTTGTGAGGTTGTAGGTGTGAGGCATCAGTTGACTTTAAAATGCCCAAGTAATACATGTCTGCACTTTTTCCTTCATCAACTGAAAAGCTGTTTAAAAATGTAATTAACAAAATCTCTCAGCAGACCTTCAAGGTCAGGAAATATTATTAGCCTTATTTCACAGATGGGTAAACTGAGGCAGAGCAGGAGTAAGCAACTTTCCTAAGGTCATACAAAGGCAGCAGAGTGGTGCCTGAGGACTCCAAGAGGAGTGTGCCCGTAACTCAGGCTCTGGTGGCTCAGTCCTGGGACGGGGATTCCTGGGGAGTGTGGGGCTCATCCATCTCTGTTTCCGCAGGTTGTGCATATCCTGGAGCCGGGGTCCCCTGCCTGGGAGACGGGGCACATCCAGGGTTAATGCCCACGGGGTGGAGCCTTCACTGTCCAGGCTTTCTTGCCGGGCTCTGCCTGCCTTTTATTTTCCCTCATTTTCAGTGAGAGACTGAAGTCCATGACAATTCCTTACGTAGGAATTCTGGTGTTCCCAGTGAGTCACAAGTAGGTAGAATTTATGTCAGTTGCCACAGGGCAATTTGAATTTTACAGGAGATAGTCAGAGTCAGTCAATGAGAGGGACCTAGATTCAGACAACAGGAAGGAGTCAGACTCAGCCAACATTTTTTTAGCTTGCTTTTAAAATTGAAGTGAAATTCACATAACATAAAATGAGCTATTTTAAAGTGTAAACTTCAGTGACATTTCGTGTGTTCACAATGTTGTGCAACCATCACCATTCTTTAGTTCCAAGACCTTTTCATCACCCTAAAAGGAAACTCCATGTCTTTTAGCAGTCATTCCCCGTCCCCCTGGAAACCACTTACCTACTTCCTGTGTCTTCAGTATGGCCTGTTTTGGACATTTTATATAAATGAGATCATACAATTAATACATTCTTATACTGCTATGAAGAAATGCCCGAGACTGGGTAATTTATAAAGGAAGAGGTTTAATTGACTCACAGTTCCGCATGGCTGGGGAGGCCTCAGCAAACTTACAATCATGGCAGAAGGCAAAGGAGAAGCAGGCACCTTCACAGGGCGGCAGGATGAAGTGAGTGCAAGCAGGGGAAATTCCAGGCGCTTATAAAACCATCAGATCTCATGAGCACTCACTCACTATCACGAGAACAGCATGAGGGAAACCGCTCCCATGATCCAATGACCTCCACCTGGTCCCGCCCTTGATTGTGGGGATTATTACAATTCAAGGTGAGATTTGGATGGGGACACAGCCAAACCACATCATACAATATGTAACCTTTTGTGTCTGGCTTCTTTCACTTAGCATAATGTTTTTTAGTTCACCCACATTGTAGCGTGCATCAGTACTTCACTCCTTTTTATGATGAATTCTGTGCCACACTGCAGATAGGCTACGTGCTGTTTGCCTGTCCATCCACTGATGGACATTTGGGTTGTTTCCACCTTTTGGCTGCTGTGAACATTGCTGCTGTGAACATACATGTACAGGTGTCTGTTTCGGTCCCTGTTTTTGATCCTTTGAGGGACATACCTAGGCATCAACACTTCTTGGACACGGGCTTTATCCACAATTGCCTAGTTACGGCACTGCTACAGCATTTGTGTGATCTTTGGAAGTTCCCATGGTTTTTCTGAGCCTCAGTTTTCTCATCTGAAAAACGGGGATGTCACTCAGCCCTGCACAGGGCTGGAAGGATGGTGACCCCCTACCATTTACAGGTGGCTGCCCAGCAACAGAGCCAATGCAGGCTCCTTCCCCATCTCATCCTAGATTGCAGACAGGCCTCTCTATGCCTGTGCACCTTGTTCACAGCGCTGGGCCTGTGGCAGCCGGTCTGTCTTTACTCCTTACACATCCCCAGGGAGGAGGCTCAGTGAGAAGCAGCACTTTTTATCAGCTCTGCACTAAAGAGGAATTATGAACCATTTTGGGAGTGGATTAAAGCAATTGCCCCGGGATGAATCTTATTCTTGGTGCCTTTTCCTTTCCCCTTTTCCTGGACCTCAGAGCTGAGCCATGTGATCTACTGAAAAATACCCAAGTCGACATTGATCCTTTTAGTATGACATCAGCCCTGACCCACAGTAACAAGGAACTTGTGACCCACCCATGTACGGTGAACTGGGAGCTTCCCTGGCAGTGACCTGGTTTGTGAGCCTGTTACTTTTCACTGGAAGCAGCGTTCTTGCTGGCATGGAAGCATGCTGCCTAGGCTCCTGCTGGATCCCTGCAAACTGCCTGGTTTCCCCACTCCAGTGCCCAGGTTGTCGAGCCATGACGAGTGCAGGTCTCATCGCCCAGCCTCATTGGTCTCCAGTTTCCTATCCCAAGAATGCACTGGACAGCCTGTTCAGGAAAATGAGTGAAATTAAGCAAATTAACTGCAACACAGTTTTCCAGAGTGTTCCAGAATGTTCTTCCCTTTCCCTTCCGGAGGAGAGGGAACAGAGCAAATGACAACAAACATTTCTGTTTTTGGAAAGCATGTAAAAACAAAGTCTTCCATCACTGTAACAGACCCAAGACTTCAGTACCTGGCTGTGCCTGGGCTGTGGCCCTTCAAGGCCCTTCTAAGGGATTTGCTATCATGCAAGTCATTTAAGCTGTTATCCTGTGTTGTCTCATCATTTCTCCACATAGGTGATTGTAATAGGCGCATGTGTTGGTCTTTTAGAGTCTGCATCACAGGCCAGGCACGGTAGCTCATGCCTGCAGTCCCAGCTCTTTGGGAGGCCGAGGTGGGAAGATCACTTGAGGTCAGAAGTTCAAGACCAGCCTGGCCAACATGGTAAAACCCTGTCTCTACTAAAAATGCAAAAAATAGCAGGGCATGGTGGCAGGCGCCTGCAATCCCAGCTACTAGGGAGGCTGAGGCAGGAGAATTGTTTGGACCTGGGAGGAGGAGGTTGCAATGAGCTGAGATTGCGCCACTGCACTCCAGCCTGGGCAACAGAGCGAGACTCTGCCTCAAAAAAAAAAAAAAAAGAATGGCAGCTGATTGTCAGGAGGACATAGGACATGATGCTGTGGCATGTGCACTGCATCCATTACCTCCCTTTGTCCCCAGCCCACTTAGAGCCCAGGGCCCTGTGGTCTTTCTGTCTCAAAGGTATGGAGCCACAGGCCCCAGACAGCTCAGTTTTCCTGAGCACCACCAGGAGGAAATGCACCACCGGGAACAAATGCACCACCAGGAACAAATGCACCCACCAACTCTAGCAATTCTTCCTCACACACCTCTTCCAGTCCTGTGACTGCCATATCCCCATTCATCAAATGATGTGGACCTGTTGACGTGGAAACCTTGTTAGCCCTGCTTTTAATCTGAAAGGTATAGGCCCATTATTTTTCCTGCTTTTGTAAATCCAAAGACTGAGCAAAATGGAATCCCTGGGTAACCAGAAAATGTAATTAATGGAAACAAGGTGCTTCACGAGGAAGCTGGTCAGAGCCTGCTTTTATTGTCGTGGTTTAGCCAGGGACCTGCTGTGTAGGTGTCCCCACTGCTCTCAGGCGTTGCAGTAGGAGCAGACTTTCAAAAAGGAAAGCTGTGAGGCACACTGTTCTCCTTATCTCACAGGGCCCTGCAGACCCTCACCCACCATCCCGGGGCGCCTATCAGCCTGGGCGCAGTCGCGTCTGAGACTCACGGAGCTGCTTGTGAATCATGTCGTAACACACACATGTAAAGTAAGGAGGCTGCTGTCTCCCCGGGGTGTGTATTATTATCTGGGATTGTTGTGAATTGCTCAAGAATGGACTGGGAGGAGGGAGCGGTCGGGAGTCACTTGGGCCCTGTAGAGCTGGACTTTATTGCCACCAAATGTCACTGAAGTTATTGGACCCCAAATCACTGCACCATGAAGGAGCGCCAAGCATATCAGACAAAAATGAAACAACCATTCCGCTAGGAGCCCTGAAGGGCCACAGTCATGAATACGGAGACACAGCCAGGTACTTTCATCTTGGGTGCATTACAGTGATGGAAGACTGGTTTTGCATACACTGTGCCCACATGACATGCTGATATTTCCTATTTCTTTTCAAGCCCCTGTGTTTTGCTTCTATATAGATGGGGAAATTCTCAGCTTGGGGATCCCAGGACCACACTGTCTGGCATAAAGTCCTCAGGAGGCTCCCAGGCAGCTCTTTCCTGTGGACCAGAACCCAGGATAGAGGCCCTTCCATTGCACTCCTGAGCTGTCTGCAAAGTCACTTCCAGGGAATGGTGGCTGGGTCTGCCTGGTGCTCCACCGCCCTCCCAGTGTGTGCATCCAGGCTGTGTGAGTGAGAAGGTGGGATCCCAGGCAGATTCCATCCCTGTCCCCAGAGCTGTGAGCAGGATGTGAAACCACACCCCTTAATCCATAACCCCACACAGCAAAGGGGACTTGGCAGAGGTAGGGAAGATTTCTAATCTATTGACCCTTCCGTAGGGAGATCATCCTCAATTATTCCCAGTGGGTCCAGTGTCATCACCGGAGTCCTTGGGTGCAGAGGTGGAAGAGGAGATAGAGATGAGGGCAGGAGGGTGAGGGTGGTGGCCTGAGAGATCTGAAACTTAAAAAGGATCAACACAGCATCATGGCTGGCTTGAAGATGAAGGAGTGCTTCCAGTCGAGGTGGGACCTCTGTCCTACAGCCACAAGGAACTGGATTCTGCTGACAACCTGAATGAGCTTGGAAACAGATTCTTCCCCAAGATCTCCAGAAGGAGACACAGCCCCACCAATGCCTTCATGTCAGCCCAGTGAGATGACCCTGAGCAGAGAATCCAGCTAGTCTTCTCACCAATGGAACTGTGAGCTCATAGGTGGGGTTGGGGGGGTGTTTACACTCCTGTGTTTGGGGTAGTTTGTTATGCAGCAATAGCTAACTAATTCAATAGTTAGCTATCTAAGTACACAGGATGCATGAGTGAGGTGCCACTGACGGCCCAGTGTTCTCACACTTTCTCATTTCCTCTCTCTTTCCCGTCCCCTCCCCTGCCCTTCATCCCTCTTTCTCTGTTCTCTTTCTGTCTTTCTTCTAACAAGAGCTCATGCTTGTTTCCAAAATTAGTGTTGGGACAATTGTAAACAGGTGAGATGTGGGCAGGCCTTCAACCCAGTCCCACTAAAACTCTGGGGACCCGGTATGGTGCCCTCCACAGCTCTGCTCCAGCATGGGAGCCTCCACTGACTCATTCCTTCCTGCACTTTGTATTTGGAGGTGTGGAGGGAGCAGGGGTCATGAGGCTGCTTGTGTGCCGGGGCTGTGGACACAGACGCGGCCAGGCAGCCTTCCCAGGGCATGTCCTGGCTTTGTGTCTCTGGAATTGGCCAGATGAGGGCGAGTCCTGGCTCTGGCTCTGGCTTGGTCAATGAATAAATGAATTCATTCTCAGCGTTTTAGATGTGACTCTTCTTGTCCTCTGATCAAGGCTTTATACGAGTCATGGGCTCTGGAGAGGCTTTACTCCTGAGCCAGGAGCGAGAAGTCAGGGTCTCCGTGAAATGAATTGAACCTCATTACTCCCAAATAGGGCTGCCAGATAAAAGAAAACAGGATGCTTGGTTCTGTTTCAATTTCAGACAAACAAATGTATTTTAGTATAACTATGTTCCAGGTTTTGCATGAGATAGGCTTATCCCCCCCGCCACCAAAAAAAAAAAAAAAAAAAAAAAAGGAACAAAAAGGATTGTTTCTTTCAAATACAAATGTTACTGGGCATTCTATATTTTGGTTAAATCTGGCCACCCGATTTCCAGAGACTGCAAATCGGCCAAGAAGGCAGGGCAGTGGGCAGGAGAGGGCCCTGGAGAGGAGGCTTCACTGAGCTCTAGTTAAGCTTTAGTTGCTGTTCTCTAGGTCAGGGGTTGGCACACCACAGTCTGTGGCTGCCTGACTTTGTAAATAAAGTTTTATTGGCATCACAGCCCACGGCTGCCTGACTTTGTAAACAAAGTTTTATTGGCACCATGGCCCTTGGCTGCCTGACTTGGCAAATAAAGTTTTATTGGCACAGGGGCATGCCCACTGATTTTCATAAGGACAGAGTTGAGTGGTTGTGACAGAAAACGGCCTGCAAAGCCTAAAACATTTTCTGTCTGGGCCTTTTCAGACAAAGGTCAACGACCCCTGCTTTAGGTTCAGAGGTCAGTGCAGAAGCAGAAATACGGAGGGGGCTTTCATATTAGGAGGTCCCTGAGCCCCAGCAGCTGGGTAGGCACCAGGAGTGGCTGGCCAGGCCTTCAGGAGTGGCTGGTGCTGCGGCTGTCAGCTGCTGGTCTTGGGGCCTCCCTTTCCTGGGCTCTGGTTCAGTGGGAAGCTCTCAGAGCTCTAGTTCTCTGAGGGATCGGTCGGGGCCCAGGGCAGAGTGAGCAGGCAGCATTCTGCTCTGCCTGCTTGTCTCGTGTTTTGGATCTCTGGCAGAAAGTTCCATGCAAACGAAAGCCTTGCTTCATCTGCACGCGCCTATTTCTGTCTTGTTGCCTGCCTCTGCTCTTCCTTTTTGACATTCAGCGTTTTCAAACAGAGATTCTGCACAGGGCGTGAGTCACGTTGCCATGTGGCCATGGAGGAGTCGTCTCAGGCACTGGCTGAACCGTCGTCCTGCAGGCTTGAGAATGCTGTCCCTTTGCCATGAAGCCCAGGAGGGCAGTGGTCAGAGCCATCAGGGCTGGAGAGCGGTGGGGGGGAAACAGAGCAAAACCCGTGCCCTCCTCTCCTCCCTAGGCCAGCAATGGGTGTGGGCTTGTGTGAGGATAGAGGGAGTAGTCCACAAGACCACTCCCACTTTTGACACCAACTGCAGTGTTTAGGGGTCCCCAGGACCACCTTCAGCTGCAATAATTCACCAGAAGGACTTGAAGAATTCACCGAAAGCCGTCATACTCACAGTAATGGTTTATTAAAAGGAAAAGACACAGATGAAAGCCAGCCAAGGGAAGACACGCGTGGGGCAGAGGCCAGAAGGGATCCACGCATGGAGTTTCCGGCCATCCTCTCCCATTGAGGTCAGGATACATTGCTTTCTTGGCAACAGTGAGTGACAGTGCCCAGGGAGCATTGCCAGCCGGGGAAGCCCCTGGCCTTGGTGTCCCGAGCGTTTATTACTGGGGCCTCTTAACATAGACCTGGTTGAATGACCATGTGGCCTACCTCAGTGTCCTGCCCCTTGGGAAATGGAGCAGATACCATCTGACCCAAAGCCTCTAGCCTAAATCACATTGCTCGACTGTATGGTGGCCAAGGCCCCCAGGCAAACACAGAAATTCTTATCAGGCAGGACATTCCAGGGGCCCAGAGATGCCTTCCAGGAGCCCAGGGCAAAGGTCTGACCTCTCTTGGGCAAAGTTCTTTACTAAACAATCTGGTTTACACCAGCGACCAGGTGCCTCACATTATTCTACAGTTGATAATGGTGTAGCCCAGGCCAGTTAAACCTGCCCTGAAGATGGTGTGGGCGGAAATTTTAGGAGAGAAGATGGATGGTGAGTGGTTTCTCTCCCGCTAAGGAAGACATTCTGGAGGGTACGGTGGAGTTGCTGCAGAGAAGCTGCGTGGAGTCTGCTCGCCTTCCTGCAGGGGCTGGGACGCCCACGTTTAGGAGGAAGCCCGTCTTGTGGGCTCCCAGCTCTGTGTCCTCGTGCAGGGACGGCCTCTCTCTAGGTAGCTTGCTACTCGTTTTGTGCATCTCCTCTTTCCTGGTTCCTGGATGCTCCGTGTGTTTGGGAGAGGATCCCCGGCGAGTTCATGATGCCCACTGCTGCAGAGGCCAGTGTGCACCGGCCTTGCCTCCTCGTGTCATTTTTGGGGCTAGTGTCTTAGTCACGCTCCTCCGATTTCCTCATCTTCCATGTACTTGCGCATTCTTTATTTTTTTTAACCAGTTCCAAAAAAAGATGATTTGTGTGAAGGGAGTGAAAATTGAGTTTATTTACGACAAATCAGTAGAATCCAAACTTTGGCAAAGAAATCCAGAAGAGGCCACCCGCTTCTGAAACACATCTGGGTGCATCACAGAACGTGAAGCTTCCGGTCCAGCTGGCTTGGTTAGACTCTGACCCTAGCTCTCGTCGTCCTGGGGGCCTGAAGCCACCTGCATTACCCCTTCTCAGAAACAGTGAAACCAACGCTGCCTCAGGGACTCTGGGAAGTCAGCTTTGAAATCATGTGAGACTGAGAGAGAGGGGCCGTTCCTTGGGAAATCCAGCCCACAAAGTAATCAGGAGATGATGGGGGGACGGGAGTGAGGGAGACTGGATTGTCGGGTGCCCAGCTCATCTGTCATCTGGCCTTTGGGGACAACATACTCTCAAACAGATCTTTGCTCTCAGTATTTGCACCAAGGGGGACAGGTGGCACAGAATTAGCCACTTGAAGTTTTTAGCCTGTAGATGCCAAAAGGGGTATTGCATTCTCGAATTTGCCAAGAGTGGGAAGAACATGTGCAATGCTGTTGGCTACAGAGTTTCAAAGAGAAAATAAAATGGCCAGGGGCCGTGGCTCACGCCTGTAATCCCAGCACTTTGGGAGGCCGAGGCAGGTGGATCACCTGAGGTCTGGAGTTCGAGACCAGCCTGGTCAACATGGTGAAACCCCGTCTCTACTAAAAATACAAAAGTTAGCTGGGTGTGGTGGCGTGTGCCTGTAATCTCAGGTACTTGGGAGGCTGAGGCAGGAGAATTGCTTGAACCTGGGAGGCGGAGGTTGCGGTGAGCTGAGATCGTGCCACCGCACTTCAGCCTGGGCGACAAAAGTGAGAATCCGTCTCAAAAAATAAAAGAAAAGCAATGAACCCAAATGCCTCTAATGCGATGCTATGAATTTCACATGATCAGAGGTTGGTAAGTCTGGGTAAGTGACATGTGGCTGGGATGCTGCCAAGGGGGACCCGCCAGCAGACAGTCAGGGTGGGCTGCAGTTGCCTGCAAGTTCTCGCTTTGTAGGGCTCCTAAAGGTTGAGGATTCTGACCTCACACATCCCTGATTCCACGAATAGAGAGGCTGCCCTGTGTGTACAGCTGCCCGGCTAATTAATTGCTTTTATTTGTAGTAAATAAACTCTTCAAATGCAGGAGGGCTTCCACAGGAGCTGGCCAGCGGCTTTTCTCTCCTCTTTCCAGAGGGGATTCCACCTCTCTCTGGGTCCACTCTGTGACGCCAAGCAGATGACAGAGAAGGGATTAAGGAGGGAAGGAAGGATTAAAAAAAAATTTAACATCTGAAACCAAGGCTTGCCATTCAGCGGGCATAAAGCCAGGGTGTGCAGGAGAAACTCTTAAAAAGTCAGCCAGCGGGTATTCATATGGGGCAGATGATATTCCAGGTAATGCTCCGAATGAAAATGATGTGCATTCAAAAAAAAAAATCATGTGCCTATGTGTTGAGGTCATCAGAAGCCAGTAGCTAAATATATCTCATAGGTGATGAAAATGACACAGTTCCTTTCTCTGTCCATTGTGGTGCTGGAGCCAACTATTGCTTCCAGTTGGAATGCCAACTCACTAATTTTCGTAAAACATATAAATATCAGGTGAGGAGGAGTGCTTGTTATGTTCATGAGTAGCACATTTCCTGGTGGCTCGTAGAGGATGTCGATCAGCCCTGGTGCCGTCAGATGGTGGGTACAGCAGCCCCCAGTGGGGTGGGTTGATGCATTTCCCACATACAGCAGAGAAAGCCATGCCAGCAAGACTGCAGCAGGGTGTCCCTTTGGCCAGTGCTAGGGACTGTGTTGAATTACCATCTCCCTTGTGAATCTTTCCTGTGGCCTGAAATTCATAGCATTCCTTTGGGTGCAGTTGAAGAAGAACAAATATTTGTGAAGCAGTTAGAGTGGTGTTGGGTAGAAATGAGCACTTGAAATTGTATCACAAATATGAGTGAATCTGGTCTAGGAGTGTGCACTACTATCTATTGGTTACATACTGCTCATTCACAAATGACAACTCATACATATTATCTCACATGTTCCCTGGGTCAGGAGTCTGGGCACAACTTAGTTGGGCCCTGTGCAAGGCTGAAACCAGATGTTGGCCGGGTCTGTGATCTCATCAGAGGCTCAACTGGGGAAGGATTTACTGCCAAGCTCATGTGGTTGTTAGCAGCATGCATTTCCTTGAAGGCTGCCTGACAGAGGGCCTCTGTTTTCTGCTGGCTGTCAGTGCCTTGCCCTGCAGCCCTCTCCAAATGAGAACTCACAATAAGCCAGCAAGGGAGAGAGTACCCTAGCGAGATGGATGTTACAATCTCATGTACCGTTATCACAGAAGTAACATCATCACCTTTGCTGTATCCTGTTGGCTAGAAGTGAGTCATGGGTCCCACCCACACTCGAGGGAGTGCACCATCTAAGACTGAACACCAGGAGGTGGGGACCCTGCCTGCCTCCTTAGAGCATGTCCACCACTGCGGTCATTTGCTCTCTTTGGGCAGTTCCAAATAATCACTAACATTTATTGACTCAACAGGACTGTGAGCCAGATGCATCTCATTTAAAACATCTTATGTAATCCTCATAACAACCGAGTAGGTATGCTCCTATCCTAATCCTCATTGCACAGCTCAGAAAGACAATTCCCAGAGATGTTCAGTAACTTGCACAAGGCTACATAGCATGCATTCAAACTGCACAATCAGGT
Source organism: Homo sapiens (assembly GCF_000001405.40). Lineage (NCBI taxonomy): Eukaryota > Metazoa > Chordata > Mammalia > Primates > Hominidae > Homo > Homo sapiens. The sequence goes on from NC_000001.11 coordinate 4,679,028, forward strand.
GCACCTGCCCTTAACTGCTTCATCCTAGAAGGCCAGGGGCAAGCTGCTGACCAAGACCTGGACTCTGGGAGACAGCTCAGTGCCATGCATTTGCCAGCTTTCTCAAGTTTGGAAGAGAACCATCCTATTTCAAACTGCAGCCTAACACTTGGGAAACCTGCTGCCTGACGTAGTAATTTCTCTTGACAGTACTCATCACCATGGGATCCACTGTGCACTTTACACATTGGATTCTCTCCTGCTTGTCTCCTCTCCTGGGACCTGAACTCCAGGAGGGCAGTGGGTTTTGTCCCATGTCCCCAGCTACTAGAACAAAGACCCACAAATAGCAGGCACAGGAGAAATATCTGAGTGATGAATGAATGAATGAATGAAAGTTATTTATATTCTGGAATCTTTATTAGGGGCCTCAGATCATAAGTGACCTGAGGACTTCAGGCTGTCTGCATTAGATTAATGTGGCCACCATAAAGTACTACAAACTGGATGGCTTAAAATGATAGAAATATATTACCTCATAGTTCTGGAGACTAGATGTCCAAAATCAAGGTGTTGGCAGGGCCATACTCCCTCTGAAATCTGTAGGGTAGAATCCTTCCTTGCCTCTTCCAGCTTCTGGTGGTTGCTGGCAGTCCTTGGTGTTTCTTGGCTTATAGATGCATCACTCAAATCTCTGCCTCCACTTCACATGGCCTTCTCCCATCCACATGTGTCCTTGCCTCTTCTTATAAAGACATCAGTTGTATTAATCAGGGTTCTGCTTAGAAACAGAACCAATAGGGTGTGTGTGTGTGTGTGTGTGTGTGTGTGTGTGTGTGTGTGTGTAGAGAGAGATACTTACAAGGAGTTGGCTCACATGATCAGGGAGGCTGAGAATCCCCAAGATCTGCAGCCAGCCAGCTGGAGACCCAGGAGAGCTGATGGTGTAAGCTCTCATTTAATACTGTAGAACTGAGAACCAGAAGAGCTAATGTTATAGTTCCAGTTCAGAAGCTGGCAAGCTTGAGACTCAAGAAGAGCTGATGTTTCCGTTTGAGTCTGAAGGCAGGAAAAGACCAATGTCCCAGCTCAAAGCAGTCAGGCAGAGAGTGTTCCCTCTCTGTCAGTCTTCTATCCAGGCCTTCATCTGATTGGATGAAGCCCACCCACATTACAAAGAGCAATCAGCTTTACTCAGTCCACTGATTCAGATGTTAATCCTATCCATGAACACCCTCACCCATACACCCAGAGTAATCTTTGACCACACATCTGGGCACCCCGTAGCCCAGTCAAGTTGACAAGTAAAATTAACCCTCTCACCAGTCATTGGATTTAGGGTCCATGGTGATCCAATATGACCTCATCTTAAATACATCTTCAAAGTCCCTATTTCAAAATAAGGTCACAGTCTGAGGTTCAAAGTGGACATGAACATGGGGGGACACAATTCCACCCAGTTACACCCTCCTATGGGAGACAGAGGCTGGGTAGGGGTTGGGTTATGGGTCAGCCGGCTTTCTTTCTTTTCTACCCTGTAGTGCTCAGAGCCTTGCCCCATAGATGTTTGTGAATGAATGACCATTACAAAGCTGGCCTCCATCCAGGCCACTGATGTCCACTTATCTCTCATGTAAAGCCACCCTTGAGTCTGGTACATATGCTGGGCATAAATGACTTCCCAGAAAAAGGGAATTAAAGCTGTGTTTTCAGGTGCACTGGAGTTTTTATATATAAATGTATAAAATTTGTTTCCATTCCAGTAAGAATGGTGAAGTTCAGTGTCGCATTGCTACTTATGATCTTTGATTCCATCCCAAACATCTTTCTAGTGGTGTTTTTTATATGGACTTTTGGCTGAAGTAGAGTAGAAATGGACTATTTCTGTGCGGGATTACATTTTAGTGTCTTATAACCTTGTACAATATATGAGCTAAATAATAGGGCTTTGGCATTCGAATTCAGGTGGATTTGGAAATATAGCAAAGATAAACTTCTGAGCAAGTTCTGTTTGAAATGGAGTGTTCTCTAGCACCCGTTATTGGTTTAAAATCCTGGGGGGAAGAGTTAAATAAATCAAAGAGACAGGTGCAGTTTTTAGATTAAACAGCCAAACCCATACAAAATCCCTTTGTCTAGACTGGACAAACATCAAGTGTTATTTCAGACAGTTTGATGAAATGCCCCACTGTTAACCCGCAGCCCGCTAAATGCCCGCAGTGTTTGGTAAAGCCCTTTGGAAGCCCGTGTTTTCAGCAGCACGGACAGTGTGCAAAATTGCCACAGACTGCAAGGGAGAGGAATGTCAACTGGGCCACACTGTTGGCGTCCCCCTTCGCCAGCCCCAGGCCAAGGAAAGGAGGCTGGGTGCTTGCCAGAGTGAGGCAGGGGCTGCCAGCCACACCCACCCTGGACGCAGGCCTCTGGGAAGACCCATGAGGCAGCCAGGGTTCTAGGAAAGGGCCCATAGGCAGTAATTTGTGTGCCTTTCTCGGGCTCTGGGCTTCTGGCCTGCAGAAGGGCTAGGTTCTGGCCATATTCCGGGCATTTCTGCTTACCTTGTTCAGACAGGTACAGCTGGGGCAGAGAGCACAGGCTTAGACAGAGGCCATGCCTGGAGGCAGAATATTTTTCCTTCTCATTCCGACCAAGCCTCACTCCCATCAGAGGTACTGGACAAAGCAAGGTCTCTCCAGAATAGTGCACCCTGGATTTGTCCCCCTCTGCTCTAAAGGAGAGGCAGACCACGTGCAGGAAGGCCACATGCTTGGGGTCAGACAGACCTGATGGGGCACGGTGGTGAGCTCTATGAACTTGGGCGATTCACTCATGATCTCTGCCTCGGTCTCCCCACCTGCAAAATGAAGGGGATGACAGCAGCCTCTGGGAAAGCTTCTCTGGAGCCTGCCAGTTCCAGGTGCTGCTCTGAGTTCTGGTCAATCCTCATAGCAATCCTATAATGATCTTCATTTTACAGATGAGGAAACTGAAGCATAGAGAGCACGAGGAACATAGTAAGGCCACATATCCAGGAAGTGCCAGGGCTGGGATCACTGTAGGGAGTCTGATGCAGAGTCCACCAATGATACTGTGGTCCACTGATGATGCTGAGAGGCCTTGAATTGGCCACACATCAAATTTCCCAACTTCAGAGCTGGTAAACTTGCAGGCTGCATGCATCTTAGAACCCATGAAATATGGAGGTGTGGATGTGGCAGGCTGTGCTGCCCATCGATGGTCTTCATATGGTGCCTGATCAGTGCTGTTGTAGTTGCTAAAATAATAGCTCCCTGATCTCAAGCCTCAGAGATGCTTTGTTCATTCCCAAGTGGAGCTTGGCCACCTTCCCCTATGCATCTCCCTCCCCACAACCATGCTTGGGCCCCACTTCCACCCAAGACTATGCCCAGAATGCCTTTTCTCTGAGCCCAGCCATGAGGCCCTATCAGCTCTTTCTGGCAGCTGAAGTCTCCACCAGCCCTGAGTTTTCATGTCCCCATCTGTGCTCTGTGGCTCCTGCATGGAGTTGGTCTGGTTTCTGCTCTTTCCTGAGTGGTGATCTCTACCCAAGACTGCATGGTGTGGTTCCTGTATCCTCCCTCCAACCCCTAATGGCCACCAGAGCTATGCTGAGCCCTTCGTAGGGTTTCAGACATGAATGTGATGATGGTGATGATGATGTTGGGGATGAGGATAGTGGTAATGATGATAATGATGATAGTGGTGATACTGGTGGTGTTGGTGGTGGTGATGATGGTGATTATGATGTTGGGGATGAGGATAGTGGTAATGATGATAATGATGATAGTGGTGATACTGGTGGTGTTGGTGATGGTGATGATGGTGATGGTGGTGATGGTGATTGTGATGATGATGTTGGTGATGGTGATGGTGATGATGCTGATGGTGATGATGGTGATAATGAGAATGATTGTGATTATTCCAAAAGGAGTAAGCCTGCACCATTTTCCAGCTATGTCAGTCCAGGCCCCAGTTGGCCCTTGGCCCCTTGGAGTCCAGCCACATACTGTGTAGGATCCAAGTGCCCTGCTCGCCAGAGATCCAGCACTCTTAATGGCAAGAGTCAGATGGTGGGGGTTCAAATTTGGACTCTTACCTGCTGTGTAATCTTGGTTGTAGTACTCCCCTTCTCTGTGCCTCACTCTCTCATCTGTAGAATGGGGTTAATAGCAACATCTGTCCTTCAGGGGCATGGGAAGAGTAAAATGATTAATGCCACAGTGTGCCTGGCACTGGGCCTGCCCAGAGTGCCCAGGGAAGATCAGCTGATAGTCTCACTTGACCCGCAGAGCTCAGAATCAGCATCCCTGGAAGCCTTGTTAAAATACAGCTTCCTTGGCCCGCCCTCACTGTTTCCCATTCAGTGGTCTGGGCTGGGTCTGAGCATAAGCGTTTCTTACCAGTTCCAGGTGACGCTGGTTCCACTGGCCTGGGGACCCAACTCTCAGGACCCTTGAGCCTGTCCATCCATTTCAGTGGGTCCACTGGGACGTTGATATATGGGAAAGGCAAATGTGACCTCAGACATTCAGGAAAGCAAAGAAATGTAGGCAAGGAATTTCTACGGGTTTTAGGAAAATGTTTCGTCCTGCACTGGGTACCCACAGTCTTTCCCCCGGGGACTCTTGCAAATATACTTGACTCAGATCTCCATGGGACTCACCTGGCTGAAAACAAGCTGTCACAGCACCTTCCTCTCACTTGTCCCACAGCCATTTGAGGGCACTCCCTGTGTGCCAGCTCCCGAGTACTGATGGGGCTCAGGGGGCAAGGAAAGAACATCACTGTCCCCAGAGAGGCCAGGGTGGGACTTGCACAGGTGCAGTGTTAGACGGTCAAGAAAGCCTGATGCTTAGGGCAGGGGGCACTGAGGAGGAGTATGCATGGTGAGGGGCTTCCTAGGGAGCATCAGATGCGTAGGCATTCATAAGACACAGACACACAGGGCAGGGTGAGAGGGAGGCATGAAGAATGGGGAGGAAGGAGATGGAGGAAGGAGGGGAGTGAGCAGAGGGCCCCGGGAATGGCCTGGAAAAGGCTGAGCCCTTGGATCCTCTGGGTTGGTGCATCTGGGCTCACCTCAATGGATTTGGAAGATTTAGTTTCATGCCTGTCTCTGAAGCTCCCAGGTTGAGCAAATGTTGCTGCTGTCTGCATGTGCAGGGCGGGAATGCATCCCCAGCTGTTTGGGGGGCAGCTGTTAACACGCTGATAATTTTACTCGGTGGAAACCATGTTCATTCCATTGGCTCCTGGCTCAGCACATCTCCAGGTTTAAGAGTTCACGGGGCAGGCGGGAGGAGGAGGCCATGAGGCTCACCTCCTGCCTGGGTCTAGGAAGCTGCACATCGGCCTTTATGAGTGTTCTGAGCGCCTGCTTTCTGAGTCATCACCATCATGGGCTACAGGAAGGAGAGACCAAGGAGCAAGGTCTAGGGCGGCCTTGTGGCCAGCCTGGCCACCTGGGGGAGGGGAAGGGAGTACCTTGAGCACATTCTCAGGGGGACCTTCTTTCCAGGAGCTGTTTCTCACCACTTCTTAGACATTCTCAAGCCATGGCCTTTCCTGGGTAGAATCTTGGGTTGAGAAGGTTTTTGCAGGCACTCGCAGCTTCTCACGTGCCTCCAAATGGACCTACATCATTCAAGACAGACATCTATCCATTTCACAGGTGGGAACCCTGAGGCACAAAGGTATCACTGTCTGGGCGCTGCTGGTAAAGGCAGAGCAGATCTAAAGCCCCCATCTCCATGCAATGGGATCGCCGTTGATTCCATTCAACTTGCCTCACCTCCCCCAGCCCCTTGCCTGTGCCAGCCTCCTCCACCAGAGCTGTCAAAGGGGCCACAAGGAACCAGCAGATCTCTTTCCTTGGGAAGCCAGGCCCATTGGCAGCCTCAGAGGATGGAGTCAGACCTGATCCCAAGCCATTGTCTTCTGCCTTTTGTCATAAGTCACTGTGGCAGGAGGAAAAAAGGCCCAACAACAAAGGCACCCTCCTGCTGCTGGAGTTTCCTCTCCCAGCAGGGCTTCTCTGGAGGATGCAGTCATGGCCCCGAACCCCCTCTGATCTGTCCAGCGTCCAGCATCTGTGTGACAGCCAGCTTTCTCAGCACCAGAAATGCAGCGATGGTGCATGGCTGTGTCCACAACCAGGAGCTGTGAAATGCTCCAAGTCCATAAATCACGGAAAACAAGGACATAACCTTGGTTCTGCACCATCAATACATTACCTAATTCAATCATAAAATGGAAGAGCAGTTCCATTTGTATAATTCCGTATGAAAAATCAGCAGATCTTTGCATTTTAAATGCCGCCTGCATAGCCTCTCCACAGCGCTGAGCACAGCCTCCCTTTGATGGAACAAGTGTCAAATAGAAAGGATATAAACAAGCTCCCATGTCACTACCTTCCTGAGGATGCTTATTTAGGGGGTCTTTTAATGCCTGGCTGTGATGGTTTATTTGCAAATGGTCTGCAAGCTGCTAACAATTTGTATTTCACAATTTGCTGGAGCCTGGCAGGAGCCATAATCCCATCCAATGGCATCGACAGATCACCCAGCGCAGTGTCTTGTTTTCCAGCTGCTGCTGGAGGAGCTCATTGCCGGGACCCAAGACCAAGACCCTGCCCCAGCGAAGGAGAGGCAAGCTCCACAAAGAAGGCTCCTTGGCGCCATGTTAGGGTGCACCGTTGGGGGGTCCATGGGGGACCTTCTTTCCAGGAGCTGTTTCTCACCACTTCTTAGACATTCTGAAGCCATGGCCTTTCCTGGGTAGAATCTCCCCTCTGCCTCCTTGGTGGGGTCAGGTGCCATCTGGTCATCCAGAGGCTGCAGGGCTGGGCTCTGCAAGGTCATTGCAGCCCATTGTCAGGATTGGGGATGGCAGGAAATGTCAGAGGACAGAGGGACCTGGGTGGCCATCAAATGCACCCCAAATTTGAAAGGACCCCTTCCTTTAGTGATCATCTCCTGTTTTCTGCAAGTAAATCCAAACTGCAGGCTTGAGGGCAGAGCTGTTTCTTCTCCTCGGAGGTTTTGCCTGTGTATCTGGCATGTGCCAGGCACGAGACAGCTGATGGTTGATAGTTGCTGACAAAATGACGTGGCCTCATCCTCACGTCTTCCTTGAAGCCAGTAGTGTCTCCTCACTGAGCAACTCCTTAACAAATAACCACAACTGCGTTAGATTCCTGGTGCAGTCATCACAAATTACCACGAATTGAGTGGCTTATAACAGCAGACATTTGTTGTCTCGGTCTGGCAGCTAGAAGTCCAAAATCAAGGTGGGATGAGCTGGGTTCAAGGTTCAAGTTCCTACCCTTGATTGCCCCGCCTTCCTCTGCCGCACTGCAGCTGGGTTGCAGAGGGCTGGGTTCAAGTTCTTTTTCTTCCCTGAGTGCGTGGGTAAGTCCATTAATTTCTTTGGGCTCCCAGAATAACCCCATCTCCAAAAGGAACACCCCATACATAGTTATTCGGCTTCAATAAGTAAATAAAATGATAAACCCCAGTCTTTATGGATAATACACTAATTCTGCGGGAGCGCATAAGCCCACGCCAGCCTTCCGCAGAGCTTTGCCGAGCAGGAGGCCTTCAATGGGAATTCATTTCTCACTGTTACTGTTCCGATCTCAACGCCATGAAATAAAAAGGAAGAGTCACTTAGATGCCCACGTGGATGGAGCTCTTCTAGAAAGGCTTGCTCTTCCCGGCTGAGGTCAGGAGGCCAGTGTGGCCCTGGCCTTTGGCTCTGGAGCGAGGTGAGCCCCCTTCAGCCTGCAAAAGCTGCATGCCCTCCAGTCTCTCAGTGTGGCCTCCGTTCTCTGATGCACTCACTTTTATTAGCCCTGCTTCTAGGATGTCAACCTCCAAGCAAAGGGAATCTCCACTTCTGCCGAGGGGTCAGAGCTGATGGAGTGCCCGTGAGGTTGGGCTGCCCACTTCCTGCCCAAGTTGACCAGGGCTGCCTCTGCCAGCTGCAGAGCACAACCAACCCCCTGCAAGGCCATGTCCTCACCACGGATGGGGACAGGAACCTGGAGCCCCATCCCTACTTCCAACCTCTGTGTAGGCCTTTTCCTCGCTCTTTCCTTTCCTCCTCTTTACAGAATCCATTCCATAGACATGGACAATAATTTAGTTTTAGAAATCATGATCACAGCCAGAATGCAGGCTTGAGGACCTGAACGCCTCTCGAAAGCCACCATGGGCACTCGCTATGTAGTGAGACCCTGGGAGAGTTTATTCTGGGAAGCCGTGGATGGGTTTCCACAATCTCCCATGACTGGTGCCTCAGCTGTTATTTGGAGATAACGTTCCCTTAAGCGGAGTGTAAAAATGTGTAGAAATGCTGGCACGCCCTCCATCAGCCTCAAAGCACTGATTCAGGTCATGCTCAGCGTGAGGTCAAGCCTTGGTCCGGGCAGCCTGGGGGCAGCCTCTGGGCTGGGACCAAGACCCCTGCGGTCCATGGGGAGGGCAAAGGTCAAATGTGACCAAATAAGACAGAGAAGGAACAAGGAGTTTCAGGGGAGGACAGTGGAAGGTTCTGCTGTCTGGTGGCTACGGCTGCTTTAGGAAAATAGGACATTGGCACCTGGATTGTGATGACTCGAGCCACAGCTGTTCAGTGCCAAACTGAATCGTAGAGTGAACGTCCCTGTCACTCTGAGAAGAACGAGAGCTCCGTGCTAAGGGAGTCAGCCCAGGCAGAACGCCCAGCCCAGGGAGGTGTCAAGGAAGGGCAGGGGCACCAGCTCCATCCATTCATCCATCCATCCATTCACTCATTCATTCATTCAGCCTCCTTCATCCGCCAGGCCTCTGTGTGGGAGGTGCTGGGGACACAGAGGTGAACTGAGACCCCAGATCACACAGGAGGCCAACGATGAACAAAGCCTTCACAGCTGAGGAAGGGGCTGCAGTTCTAAGTGGCCACTGGTGAAGAGCAGGGCCCACAGAACCTCTCCCTGGGGTCCAGCCTGTCCCAGTGAGCTGGAAGGCCTCCAGGGGAGGAGGTGTTTCTGCCGAGGCTGGAGGACGCAGCAGTGGGGAGCCAGGATGGGGAAGGGGGCAGCTGAGGCTGGGCTGTGCTGGACGAGGCTGGAGCGGTGGCCCCAGTGAGACGGGGGTCCCTCGGAGCGCCCCGTAGTCTTGGGAGGGAAGTGACACTTCGGAGGTTGGTGGCATGTTGCCCAGGGCATTGGCATGCGGGGGGAGTGGGGACATGTACTCACTGTGACCACACGGGGCTGGTGTCATCCAAGAGAGACAGTGAGAGAGGGAGAGAGAGACTGAAGTCCTCAGGTGAAATGCAACCTGTGAGAAACATAACTATTCCGGTTGACATTCAAACACGGTCTTATGTAGTGAAAACATTCAAGGTGTAGCTTCTCACTTAAAAACAAACAAGTGATTAACCTGAAAATAGACTTCTGGAAAAGAAAGGATCCTGATGGGGCCAGGTGCGGTGGCTCACACCTGTAATCCTGGCACTTTGGGAGGCCGAGGCAGGCGGATCACCTAAGGTCAGGAGTTCGAGACCAGCCTGGCCAATATGGTGAAACCCCATCTCTACTAAAATAAAAATATTAGCCGAGCGTGGTGGCGTGCACCTGCAATCCCAGCTACTCAGGAGGTTGAGACAGGAGAATTGCTTGAACCCGGGAGGCAGAGGTTGCCGTGAGCTGAGATCGTGCCACTGCACTCCAGCCTAGGTGACAGAGTGAGACTCCGTCTCAAAAAAAAAAAAAAAAAAAAAAGAAAGGATCGTGATGCCCTTCTTGTTTTCCTTGCCATGGCGATGACCCCATACTCGAACTGTATTAACTCAGGAAGTTCACAGGAGGACGCTGAGCCCATTATCTCCCTTCTACAGGTGGAGAAACTGAGGCAGGGAGGCATCTGGTGAGCCACCCTGCCCTGCTCACTCACAGCGGGTGCCCCTCCAGTACCCACCAGTGGGAAGAAAGCCTCTCACATACGTGCTCAGGCCAAGAGTCTGAGACCCCGCCTGCCCCCCTCACTCGCCTGTAGGGGGTGAGGGTTCTTTGGGGACCGTAGCCTGCGGCTTCGGTCTTCAGTTCCTGAGGTCATGTAGAGGGAATGGGTGTCCAGAACGGTCCCTGACAGAGTATAGGGAGAGAGAGAAACACACCGACGTCCTCGCCCCAAAAGAGGTTTCAGAGACAATTACCGATAAATCAGAACGACGCGCCTGGTATGAATTCAGCTGATTAAGGCGGTTAAATTGTTTTTCCCTTGCCAAAGGGTTGCCCGATTAACAACTAAACAAGCAATTTGTTGCACCTAAAATACCTATTTTCTGATTTATTGGCAAGGAGAGTGGAGCCTCGCGCAGCCCACCCACGAGGAGGCGGAGGGCCAGGAACGCAAGGCCCAGGAAGGCGGAGGCGGGGGGCGTTCCTGGCAGGATCATGCACAGGGCAGAGGGGCCAGAAGCCTCTGAGCCGATGGCCCCTGGGGCCCTGGCTGGAAGTGGTGGCAGGTGAAGGCCAGACAAGGTGCAGGATGGGGGTGCCTGGATGGCCTGGTCTTGGTTTCAGCTCCGTGGGTGAGAAGCACCATGACAGGATACTGGATTTGGAGGATCCGTTTCCTCCGCCTTGAAACACAGCTTTCGGGGTTGACTGTTGCTCCCAGGAGTCATGAGCATCCGGCATGAGCACGAGCGTGAACCCGCTTTCAAGCTGTAAAGCTCCCAGCACAGCTGAGCCTTGGAAAAATTCAGGAGAGGCAGAGAAATCCTGGCAGCTGGGAAACAGCCCCGCCAAGGCCGCCCCCTCTCGCGGATGCCCAGCAGCAGAGGGGATGAGAGCCTGGAGGGGCAGGTCAGGGGAGAGGCTGGTTCTCTTGCTTTCCTTCCAACGAGAAAAGGGGTGACTGTCCCTCAGCCAGGCTCCCTGGCCTGGGGCAGCATCCACATTTCATCACTGCCCCCGGTTGAGACCCCCCCAGCCCCGCTCCCTCCTGGCCCTGTAGAACTTGGTGCACACCTGGCCAACGATGGATGCATTTCCCACTCGCTGACAAAGACAAGACTCAGTGCCTGCCCTGGAGGGGTAGTGTGGAGCATGGGGCGACACCAGTGCCCAGGGCCAGGAAATGTCCCTAAACCCCCAGGAGGCCCGAGGAGGGGATGCGCCCATCCAGACCCTCCAGGAGGTTTGTGGCCTCTGAAGTCAGTCCGCTCCTTCACTGTCACCAGGGCCTGTTCCTGAGGCAGGGCTGCTGCCCACCCTCCCACCACCAAGAGGTCCCAGATGCTGAGCTGGGTCTGCAAAGTCCAGCCCTTCCCCACTTTCAGCTACTTGTGTGACCTCTTGTTTCAAGGATGGGAGCCCGTGGAATGGCCACTGGCAGCCCCCACAGCTACGCCCTCTCTTCGTCATGGAGCCACAACCAGGAGCTGTCACCAGGGGCGCGTGGAGGTGGCTGCAGTACGGGAGAGGGGACGTCGCGGCTGCTTTCTGCGCCTCTTGGCTGGTGGTTGCAGAGCACTGCCCCTGTCTGGGAGAAACACGGTGTCCCCCACTTTTATTGGGTGTCACTGTGCCTGAGTCCTGGATCCAGACAGACCTTATTTCATCTGATCCTCTCCACCAATCCCGGAGACAGGCATCTTAGTGTCCATTTTACAGATGGGGACACAAAGCATAAACAGCTGTCCCAGGCCACACGGTCCACAGAGAGAGAACTTCCCTGAGTTCTCTCCACACTCAGGTCCTGGGACCATTTCTGCCAGGAGGGAAGCCTCCACTCGGCCGCTGGTGCCTGAGCAAGGGGCGTCTATGCCTGAGTCCACCTGACTTCTTATCCAGGGAGCAGGGACCTTGGGGGTCAAGTGCGCACTGGGTCATTGGCCTGGGTCTGACTCCTATCCCCTGTGCTGGACTCAGCCTCACAGAAGGGCAGGCCATGTCTGCCTGGTCACTGTGTGGACTGGATAAGCCTGAAGCCAGGGGTGCCAGGCTGAGGCCTGGGGTGAGGAGGGCCACTGAGCGAGATTCCAAATCCAGGGTCAGAAACACAGGCTGATGCACTGTAGGTGACTCATGGCCGTGAGCTCACTGTGCTTATGGTCGTGACTAAGCTGGGACCAGAAGCCAGGAGCCCAGAGTCCCCATCAGGCTCCCGGAACAGACTCCATTCCTGTTTGGGAAAGAGCATCTGGGGCTGGGGTGTCCAGCCACCCTCGGGTGCTCCTCCCTCCCTCCTGGCCTTCCTGGGACCAGGCCACCTTCTCCCAGGTTGGCTGGAGCTGGGCAGCCAGGGTCAGGCCGGGCACACTGACCGCCTCCCTTTGTCCTCTCCAGGCCACAGAGTCTGTGGAGGCTGTGGACGAGGTGCCCTGTGCTTCTGTCGTCAGCAGGGCCAGTGCTTTAGGTGACAGGTATCTCTGCCGCCTGCTGGCCCTTTGGGCTGGGTACACAGTGGGGCTCGGGAATTGTGCTAGGCCCGGGAGTGGCTCCAGAGAGGAGCTTGGGCCTCCAGGTCCTGTGTGCCTCTTGACCAAAAGCCCTGGTGCTGGAGGAGAGTCGGAGCTAACTCCGGGCTCGGGGAACACCCGGGCAGACACTGGTGCTTGCCATCGGATGGCAAAAGCGACCCACCCGCTGACTCCAGGAGTCAGGGGGGCTTAGGAAGGAGGGCCAGGACCTGAAGGGAGGAGTAGGGCAGGCGCAAGTGGCAGAGAGAAAGGCACAAGGCAAGGTCTTTGAGGTCGGTGGTGAAAACGTGTGTGGGGGACAAGCGCTCAGAGGGGGCCCATGACCTGCAGACCCAGGACCGCCTGGCAGGGAGCCCTGCCTCTTCCCCTCCTGAGCCTGCGGGAAAATCAGTTTTCTCCTATTCCTGACTCAGGAGTGTCAGGGACCTGCAGAGGGACAAGGGTCTCCAGGGCTCAGAAGAGGGTGTAGGTCAGACGTGGGGTGGGGACGGGGTTGGAGGGAGCCAAGAACAGCCTTTGCCCCAGGCCGGGTGTCCCTGAGACTGGCCGAGGCCCTCAGCCCTGTGCTCCTTCCGGGAATGGCAGGTGGCATGGCGCCCGGCCGGCCCTGCGTGGATCTATTATCTCTGCATCGTTGCCGCCTTCTCGAGGGTTAGGAGTCAGCCCCGCTTAATAGGTGAGGAAACTTAGGCACAGAGGCACTCACTGTGCCAGGCAGGCTCCTGCTGCTGCCTCCCGCCGCTGCCTCCCGCCACCAGGACAGGGTTGTCAGGGCTTCTCGGGCTCCTCACCCCGCGCCCTGGGCTGCTCTCCTCTCTCCGTCTCTGGGCCCCTCATGCAGCCCTTTCCCTTCTGGCCTCTCAGCCTGCAGGAGAGGCTGGGGGGCACGTCTGAGGGTGCAGCAGAGGGATATAGCCTCCGTGGGACTCATCATTACGAGGACTTGTAATTGCTTTGCTGGCTGGGTCCCAAGGAAGCACCTGCCCCCAAATTCCCCACCCCAGGCATCCGGGAGGAACTTCCTGGGAAAAGAGAAAAATAGCTCAGCCCCAGCCTGGCCTCCGCAGGCCTCCTGACCATGGCGGGGCCTTCCCTAGTGGACCCCACAAATCAAGCCTCATCATTCCTTCTCTCCCTGCCTCCTGTCCCGGGTCAACTCCTACTTGGCATTGGAGACCCATCACTTCCTCCAAGCAGCCTTCCAGGCTCAGCCAAGCAGAGATGAAGCCACCCTGGCACTCTGCTGTCCTCCCTCCAGGTCTTGTCAGCTGAAATGCCTGTTCCCTCAGTGGACTGTGAACTCCCCATCTGGGTTCCTCTGTCTGTTGGCCCACGAACAGGCATTAAGTGCACATTTTTCCAAGCTCAGCCCTGTGCTCTGTGCTGGAACTGGACAGGGAAGGGACGAGGTGTGCCCCATTCTGGAACCCAGTGCTCATTGCAGCTGCTTTATTAGGTGGCTATCAAATAATTGTATAAAAATAAGCAGTTAATATTTCTATTACAGTGTAATTAATACTAAATAAGAATTGAGCTTCATAAATGCCCACCTCAGCTGTGCTTTACAGTTTCCTGGAAGCCACCCTTCCCTCACCATGGCCCAGGGAGGTTGACAGGGCTGGATTTTCTCCCAGTTTATGGGGAGAAACCGAGGAAACCTTGGAGAAGCCCCCATGAAGGCCCCATGCTGCCCAGGATTCAAAGGCCCACCCGAGTGGGGAGGCGCCCATGGGAACTTTAGACACCAGGCCACTCAACTGAGGGGAGAAGCAGCCCGTGGTCAGGGGACGTCAGGGGCATGTGCTGATGGAGAGGGACTCTCGGCTTCGGAGGGAAGAACCCCATGGGGGACTGGGAGTCATGGAGGGCTTCCTGGAGGCAGGGGGCGGGGGGAGGGATTGGAGGAGGCCTAAGCAGGAGCAGGTAGGGCTTCTGGGCTAAGACTGAGCGTCCAAGCCTTCCTTGGAGGCACCAGAGCCCAAACCCAGCTGGCTGCAGAATGGCCCTTCCTCCCCACGTGGGGCTGACAGCCTGTGTTTTGGGCATCAGGGGACTGGGAGCGGGAGGGGAGGAAGAGTTGCCAGCTCATGTCAGACTTGATTAGTGCCTGTCTTAGCCTGTTTTATGCGGCTCTAACAATATATGTGAGACTGGGCATTTTATAAAAAGCAGAGATTTATTTCTCACAGTTCTGGAGGCTGGGGCACCCAAGGTCAAGGGGCCCACGTCTCGCTGGGGCTTCTTGCTGTGTAATCCCGTGGTGGAAGCAGGAGGGCAAGAGAGCACATGGAGGGGAGGAAGGGGCCAAACGCGTCCTTTTATCAGGAACCCACTTGGGGGAGATAATGGCATTCAGCCATTCAAGGGGGCAGAGCCTTCAGGGCCCCCTCACCTCTTACAGGTCCCACCTCAGTGCTGTGGCACAGGGATTACATTTCCACAGAAGCTTCTGGGGACACTCCAGCCCACTGCAGTGCCGGGAAAAGTGAGGCCTCATTCACAAGGCAGGTGGGGTAGGGTGAGCAAAGGAGGGTAGACCCGTGTTGGGGCTGCCCCTGCACCTGCCCAGCACACCCCCAGGGCTGCTCCTGGTGGCCACTGGGCCCCGTAAAGCTGGGAGGGGCGGGGTGAGCCTCCCGTAGTCCATTACGACCAGCTCAGCCCAGGGGCACGGGTGCCAGTCTGCACCCACTTCATGCCCTCAGCTCCTTTGCCGGGGGGGGATGGCCCCTAAACGATCAGATGTCGTCATAATCCCAGCCCCCCACCCCACAGTGGTGGTCTTGTAATTGAGCAGAGTGGGTGCTTATGAAGCCTGGCTCTCAGCTCCTGAGCCCTGCACAGCAAGTATTATTTTCTCTCTGACACATGAAGGAAAGTGAGGCTTGGCGTGGCCATGTCACCTCACCATTCATTCATTCAGTCTCTCAACAAACATCTTTGGGAGACTCCTCTTCCCTGGGCCTGTTCTGCTCCTTGGGACGCCCTGGTCAGGGGGACAGACACCGTCCTTGTTCTCCTGGAGCATAAACTCCCGAGTGGTCCAGGCCCACAGCAGATGGAACATTACAAACTGTAAACTCTCAGAAACTAAATGACCAGACTGACAAGGAGATGAGCTCGTGGGTCACGCGAGGGGTCTCCCCTTGGTGGGCAGGTGGAGGTAAGGAGATAATGCTCAGCTGGGGTGAAGGATGAGAAGTGCTGGTGCCCCATGTGGCTGCAGAGAGCAGGTGCGCAGCTGGGGGTGGGACCTACAGCCAGCAGGTACCCGGGGAGCCGAGCATGGGTAGGGGCAGCCCTGGGAGCTTTAGGTTGTGAGCACAGTGGAAGCGAACAGAGGAGGCTGTGCAGGAAGGGAGGTCATGGTCAGGTTAGCCTCAGTATTGCTTTGGCAGCTGAGTGGACGGACACTGGATTATGGGGAGCCAGGATGGAAGCTGGAGGAGGGTCGGAGAAGGCCAGGAGTCAGATGGGACCATGGCTTGAGAAGGTGGTGGGGAGAGGAGTGGACGGACCCAAGGCTCTACACTGGGGGTACTTTGGCCGCCAGGGGACCTGTGGCCATGTCTGGAACATTTTTGGTTGTCACAACTTGGGAGAGGGTGCTGTGGGCATTGTGTGGATGGAGGCAGGGATGCTACCCTCCCTACAGGGAGTGGCCATGTAGGGACTGAGAGAGAGCTCCTGCAGGAGGGAGGATGGGCAGGGCCTATGAGCAAGTATTTTGGGACCATGAGGAAAGGGTGGGCTGCGATGGCTGGAGGCTTCCTGCTGCACTCCGTGGTGAGTGGTGGTGGCATTTGGGCACCTTGGTGAGCACACTGTGTAGAAGTGGTCAAAGGTTTTGCGGGGCCCATGCTGAGTTTCCACTGTGAGCTGCCCATGAGGGTCAGGAGGCCAACGGCTGGCCAGGCAAGGTGAGACCAAGGTGGGCCCGTGCTTGTGAGTGTTCCCTGCAAACACAGTACCTCGAGCCATGAGGCTCCAGGGGAGAGTGGAGATGGAGAGTGGGAACAGGTGCAGATTCAGGCTGGCCTGGCTGCTGTGAGAAAGTACCACAGACTGAGTGGTTTAAAGAAGAGAAATGTGTTTCCTCGTAGTTTCGAAGGTGGAAGTCCAGAATCAAGGTGTCTGCAGGGCTGGTTCCTGCTGAGGCCGCTCCTGGGCCTGTAGATGCTGCCTTTCCCCTGTATCTTCACATGGTCTTGGCTCTGTGTGTCTGTTCTCATCTCTTCTTTTAAGTCCCTATTGGATTAGGGCCCACCCTAATACCCTCGTATTCACTTAATTACCTCTGTAAAGACCCTTTCTCCGAATGCAGTCACACCAAGGTCTAGAGCTTCCACATATGAACTTGAGGAGACCCAAGTCGGCCCCTAACAGAGCCTCAGGGAGACAGGAGCGTGATCCTGTGGGATGACATTGCTGCACCCATTCTCAGTTCTCTCGTACTGGGGGGTTCATCAATACCTCCATGGCCATTTGTGTCTGGGGGGAGAACTTTCTAGATAATCACAGTAAACCCTGTCCTGAGTGGAGAATTGTGTGTGTCTGAAACCCATCTCTCCTTGGAAGCAGCCAGCAGGTGGTCAGGGAATGGCTCCTATAAAAAGCCAACCAGAACTTGAGACGCAGGGGTTTTGGGTTGAGGGGGGGAGCAGGGAGGCTCCCTGGCCCAGGCAGTGCTGGCTCCTGGTCATTCAGAAATGTAGGCTTTCCCAGGAAACTGTTTTTTCCCCCTTCAAGTCACAGCCACTGCTCAGAAGCACCAGGGCTTGCTGGAAAGGCTGCGACACATGCCAGACATTTTAACAGGTGTCAGGACAAGTGTCCTCCTGACACCTTCTCAGGAACAGCTTCCGGATGCGATGATCTCATTAGGGGGAGTTGGAAGTTCCAGCCCTAGGGGAGCCCTGTCCCTGGGCTGCCTGGCTGCCCTGGCTATGCTGTGTCCCTTTGGGAAGGAATTACCCAACCTACAGTGCTTCATCCCCATGCTGACGGGCAGCCGCCAGGGCAGCTGTATGCCGGGCTGCATCTGCTCTAGACACTCCACTTGGGAACCCAGGGAGACGGCTTATGCCCGGGGGGTGGCCAAGGCGGTGGGATTTCACAGCCAGGCTGCAGAGGGAACCTTGCAAGGACTTGGAAACCGCAGCCAGTGATTGTTGTGTGTGCATGTGCATCTGTGTACTGGCTGTGCCTGCATGGTGTGTTTGTGTGTGCACGCACCTGCGTTCTGTGTGTGCATATGACTGTGTGTGCATTCAGGCATATTCTGTGTGCATGTGTGTCTCTGCATGTGCACATGTGCATGTGTATATGTGTGCATGTTTTCTCTGTATGCACACAAGATGTGTTTGTGTGTATGCACCTGTGTTCCATGTGTGCATATGACTGTGTACATGCATGCATGTTCTGTGTGCGTGTGTGTCTCTGCATGTTCTGTGTGTATGTGTGTCTCTGTATGTGCACATGTGCATGTGTGTATGTGTGCATGCTTTCTCTACGCACACATGGTGTGTGTGTGTGCACCTGTGTTTGTGTGTGTATGTTAGTTTGTGCATGTGTGTCTATGTGCCTGTGTTTTCTGTATATGCATGTATCACTCAGGTTGCATGTACAGATGTGTGGCTGTATTCTGTGTGTGCATGCCTGACTGTATTAGTTTGTATGTGGCTGTATGTGTGCACCTGTGTTCTGTGCATGCCTGCATTTGTGTGTCTGTGTGTGTGCATTATGCACATGTGACCTGTATATGTGAGTGTGGCACAGGATTAGATTCGTCCTGGGTGCCCACAGCACAGGGCTGGCAATGGGAGTGGAGGAGAAATCAAAGGAAGCCATTTGTGGCTTCGCACAAGGAATGCTTTTCCAACAGAGGCCCTGGCCAGCATTTTTCAGTGGTTACTGTAGGTAATGAGTTCCCTGTCATGGTTTGTGTTCAAACAGAGGCTGGGAAAATGCTGATGGTGGCTGGTACTATAGTGACATCACCTCAGGACAACTCTTCCCAGTCCTCTTCTACTTCTGAGTGACCATGGCTGGACTTGCTCCCCTTCCTCTGTGCAGTTTCAAGGTGGGCACGTGAGTCCCACAGGCTGGTGCCAGGTCCATGTGGTGGCACCTACTAGCTAGTGACCTTGGGCAGGTGCGCCACCATCTCCAAAACGCCAGCCCCTCATGGGTAACATGGGGAGAGTAGCGTGTCTGTCCCTGAGGGTGTGCACACGTCTAACAAGATGGTCCCAGGACGACCTGGACAGGAGCTGAGCCGTGGCACAGCCACCTCAGCAAAGGCAGGGCCAAGATGCAGCGGCCACTAATGGGCTGGATCTGGACCTGCCTGGTCCTGGGCCTGTCCTCAGGGCAGCGTTCCAGTGGCCGGAGGAGAAGCAAGAGCCAAGGGGACCGCTAAGTCCGCGTTCTGTGCTCTTTTCCTCCAGCCAGCTTCACTCTGCACCAGCGTGGGGTGGTGGCGGGCAGCCGGCAGGAGATTAAGCTGTGCAGTCATCGCGGCATCTCCTGTGAGGCAGCAGAGCCTCGCTTCTTTTCATTTCCTCTCCTGATGAGAAAATGGGAACTTTCTATAGCTGAAGATGAGACAGAACCACGGCCTCCGTTGAGTGATTTACACGGATGATCTCACCTCTGGCCGTGCCAGCGTGTTTCCCCGTCACTATGTTCTTTGCTCGTCACCATGAATGTGGAATACTAGATGGGCCGCTAAGGGGCCTGAGGCCGGAGGACATGTTGCCCCCACGCCGCTGTCCCCTGAGAGCCTCTAGGGCTGTGCTTATTCTCAGGAGCCACATGCTCCCTGGAGGCCACCAAATGAGTCTTCATCTCACAGACCTTGGTCCCCTGCAAAGGCGTCATTTACATTCAGATATAAAGGACTGGGGATGGTGATGTTCACAGCAGGATATGGAGAAGGCTGTTTGAGGACTTCTGAGGTCTCCACATCACCTTAGGTGGGCTGTTGTACCTACCTTCAGCTGTGTGAGGCCAGGCCGGCCTTCCCCCTCCCGCCGAAATCCAGTGATCACAGACTCAGAAGAACCTTCAAGGTCATTGGCCCTCTCCCACCCTCAGTCAACCACAGGGCCTCC
Organism: Homo sapiens; assembly: GCF_000001405.40. Lineage (NCBI taxonomy): Eukaryota > Metazoa > Chordata > Mammalia > Primates > Hominidae > Homo > Homo sapiens. Next base: position 4,698,617 of record NC_000001.11, read on the forward strand.
TCCCCTGGCCACCTGAGGAGTGGTCATCCTTCCTCGGTGTGACCGTCACACATGTGGGTGCCTCCCAGGAAACTCTGAGCTGCTCTAGCTCCTTCTGTAATTTCAGTTCTTTTATAAGGCCCACCCCTGGCCATGGCTCTGAGTTCTGAAACTCCTGATTCTGTCCTCCTCACTGTGTGCCCTCCGATGTGCCAGAACTCAAGGTGCCTTAGCCACACTGAGCCCCTCTCAGTGGTGCCCCTGGAATGGAAGCCCTTGGCTGCAGCTTGTACTAAGGATGGTCCAGCGGGGAGTGGCTTGGGCAGGGTTGCAGGCAGCTAAGGGGTCCTAGGTCCTGGCCTCTGCCTTGCTCCTGGTTCCCCGGTGCACCTGCAGCTGTGTACCCCCTCCATCACAGGGCACACTGCTGCCCTGGGGGCGTGGCCTCCTGTCGCCAGAGTCCAGAACCTCCTTCTCACTCCTAACAAGGGTAGCATCTGGTCATTGTCACACCCACCCTGGGGCCCAGTGAGGTGAAGGGGCTCGCCCCAGGGTGCGTGGTGAGTGGGCCCGCTGGGAAGCTGATGCTCTGCCCAAACCCACCTGACCCCAAGCTGCTTCTTGACCATCTTGCTCTCCTGGCCCCACGCTGCACCCTGCCCACCTCCACCAATGCCATTCTTTTCCTCTCTTCAAATTCTAGAAACCCACGGAACAGCCACGTACTTGTTTCCAGAGGCAGAGCCTTTGCTGTTCTCCTCCCATCCTTGGTTGGCTTCAAAAGCGCCTGGCATGCATACCGAGTTTCGTAAATACCAACATAACAATTGCAACGAAACCAAAATAGATATTTCCTATGAAGACAGAGGGGCTGCAGTGAGTGTTTTGGAAGCTGGCGATAACCTGACATTTATTCCTCTCAGTTCCCTTTTCAGGGACAAGACCATCAAGAATGAGCTATAGCGCTGTCACCGGGAAACAGTGTGGGTGATCTGTGGAATGCTCTCTGTGAGGAATGCATTTTCCCAATGTAGGAGAGATGATGGAGCTGTCTTGAAAATCTGAAGCCTTTGGAGGGACACATCCTTCCTAGAACCAACATCTCCCTGCAGCCGAAAACTTCCCTCCCTGAGCCCCACCTTCTTTGAGTTGTATTTTTAAGAGACTTCATTCCAGAGAAAGACACAGCTACTATTTCTGTGTTTTTCCTTCTTCTGCAAGAGGAGAGTCAATGCCAACTCTTCCCCTAGGGTTACTGTGAGAACGGCATGAGACAATTCCTGTGAGATGCTTAGCTCACTGCCTGGTATGTAGCTGTGGCTGAATCCCTGTGGGGTATTATTTTAGTATCCTACGCCGTCTTTTTCTCTCTGCGTGCCGTCCTCTTCAGTTTGGTTTTCTCTAGTTAAATATGCATCTGTGTGATGGTGCTTGTGTCTTTGCACGATTGCGTAGAGCTCTCCCCTGAGCGTCTTCCTGGCCTGGCAGCTCTGGCTGAGGCCCCGAGCTCCGGAAGGGGCCATGTCACGTGGTGCCAGGGCAGCTGTGTGCTCCTGATACACCTCCTTCTTTGCTGTTGAAGAGCCCTCATCACCGGGCCAGCCTGTGGCACCCTTCTTGCCCACCACCCACATGCTGTATCTCGGGTTGAAATGGCCATAAAGTAGGATCAAACCAGGTTTGAGGGAGGCCCTGGGGACACTCCTCAGCTCTTAACCCGGGATGTACCCTGGGGTCTTCCACAACATACCGATGCTGGGCCTCGCCCCCACAGGCGCCCATGAGTGGATCTGCCTGAGGCCTGGGCCTCAGCATTTTCTGAACTCCCTCCTCCCCCACCCCAGAGGATCCTCATGTGAGGCCCAGGCTGAGAACCTCTCCTTGGCTTTGCACAATAGACCTTGCCCTCCCAGAGCTCTTCTGAGCCACTTCCCTTTGAGCTGACCCCCAGGGGATGAGGTTCCCAGCCAGTGAGTTCTGATCCTGCCCCATTCGCGTCTTTTGCCAGTCTGTCCCTTTGCTCAGGGGGAGATGGAGAGGAGCTAGGGCTTGGCGCTGGGATGGGGTAGCTCGTGCTGGGGGCCCAGTCTGGGAACTTTGTCCGCACACGCAGGGGAAGCACAGGAGGTGGCCTGGGGTACTTGGCTAGGCTGCCCAGCAGCCGAGGCTGCACTGCTCACATCCTGAGTGCTGCCCAGAGAGCACAGATGTGATGGAGGAGCAGGCTGAACCAAGGGGACCTGTGGGGCCCTTCGTGGGGCAGCTGGTCTGGACTGGCCTCCCCTCTGTCTTCCTGTGGAATTGTCCTGCAGGAGGGACAGGGGAGCGGGGCCCAGCAGCAGAGGCTCAGCTAAGACACAGAGCCAGGTTTCCCCTCCCAGGGACTGAGAACACTGCCACCCACCGTCCTGCCCACACACTGCTTGTCACCACTTCACTCCTCCAGAATGCTCGCGGGCACGTTGCCCAGGCAACCAGAACGCCAGCGCCGTTGCTATCCTTCAGTCTCCTCCAAGCACCTGCGAAGGCTGTCGAGCAACATCCCCCGTGCCCCAAAGTTGCTGCAGACTCCGTGCTCCAGAGCTCCTGGGGAAAGGGGATGGGAGTGGAGGAGTGCTGGGTGCTCCCGTGAGCAGTCACAAAGAACCAGGCTTAAAATATGCACCGTCTAGTCTCCCGCACACCCCTGCCACTCGGTGGCAGGTGTACAGGTGGGAAAACTGAAGCATAGGTTGGTTACACGGGTTAGTTTTGCTTACGCAGCTGGCGGGTTGCAGTGCCAAGCACCAAAGCCGTCTCATGTCACCCCCACGCCATGCTGTTTTGGGAGCAGCTGTAGGTCAGCCATGGAGAGCTGCATGGCCTGCAAGCCTCTTTCCTCTTGGAGATGAGACCATCGTTCCTCCCTTACTGGGACTGGGAGGAGCAAGTGGTGCCCGTGCCATCAGGTTTCCCAGCCTCGGCCCTCTGGTCTTTTGTGGTGGAGTCTGTCTACACTGCAGGATGTGTTGAAGCATCCCTGGCTTCTGTCACTAAATGCCAGTAGCAAACCTGAATAGTGACAACCAAATATGTCTCCAGATATTGCCAAATGTCCCCTGAGGGGCAAAATCACCCTTAGATGAGAACTGGTGATGTGTCTAAATGGTCTGTGGTACCACAGGATGCCGTTTTTACCATCTTCTGCAAGGAGGGGCCACGTGGTTCACGGAGGCCTGATGTGCCGCTGGGCTGTGATGCTGCGTAGATGCAGGGTGGCACCTGCCAGGCGCAAGGTGTGCCCCATGTCCCTCCCCACAGGGCACAGCCACCTTCACCTCCCTTCCCTTTCCTCCCCCAACACCCCGCCATGCACAGCCATTCATAGATTGCCCAGGAAGTAGTCCCTGAAATTACAGGTCACAGGAGTTACTGATTTTGCCCTAGTTTTCTAGTATATCCTCAGTGTTCTGACATGTCCTCAGTGTTCTAACGTGTCCCCAGTGTTCTCATGTGTCCCCAGTATTCTAACGTGTCCCCAGTATTCCAACGTGTCCCCAGTGTTCTCATGTGTCCCCAGTATTCTAACATGTCCCCAATATTCCAGCGTGTCCCCAGTGTTCTAATGTGTCCCTGCTCCTACAGCTGCAGGGTTGTTGGGACCTCGTTCCTGAGCAGAGATCTCAGGTTCCCTGAGGCCTAGACTCTGAGTCCTGATCAGAGGCCAGCTCACTGTGACTTGAATCAGGCCACTCCATTTTGGGGTCTCACACTGGCATCATTCAGGTTTGGGTTAAGATTAGTGCTTTGTCACGTATGGCCTGCAAAGTACCGATCCACCGGTTCCCAAGATGTTCTGTGGAAAGGAGGTCAGTTAGAGAGTTTGGCTTTGCTTACTTAGCTCACTGCTTTGCCCAAGGGCTTGACCGTGGAACCCTTCGTGAAGGTTCACAACCCTTCCTGGGGTCCCAGGCATTATCAGCTTAAGGAAAATGCCTTGGAGTGGACTGGGCCAGACCGCTGTCATGGTCCCTTCCGTCTGGGGCGTCCTGGGGCTCCCGGTGAGGCCAGCGGGTGAGTTGCAGGGAGTGCTCCTCCCTGTAAGTGTGGCCCTTGGTGTGCTGGGGCAGGGAGGAGGCGATTTTGGCTCATGAGAGGAGCCTCCGCTGGGTACTCTCCTCTACACTATCCCGGGACCACCCCAGGTTCTGGGCCGCCTCCCAGAGCTGTCTGGGGAAGCTTCGTGGGCCTTGACCTCAGAGCAGGAGCTAGACCTGCTGTCCTGGGGATGGGGCATTGGGAGGCAAGCCCCCAGACAACCAGGGCTGATTTCCAAGCTCTGGGGGAGGAGAGTAGCCAGAGATTCCGCGATGGGATTCAGAAAGCCTTCTTGTGTTCTGGAGGTTTCTGTCCGACCCAAATGAGTCATCTTTACGCTACTGCTTCTCCGTGAGTCAAGTATCGCATGCGCGCTGGACGTGTCCGGGCCTGTGATGATGAAAGCCCCTAGGCACCCTGGAGCTCCCTTCCAAAAGGGAGGGATGTTTTCAATCATATTAAATCAAGAGGTAGAGCGCGGAGTGGCTCTGACAGGACATTACAATGACATCAGGCTGGGAATGCCGCGAAAGTGATTCACGGCTTAATGTGTTTTCATTAGAGAAATTGAACCAGGGACTGCAGAAGAAAGTGGGTGTTCCCTTCCTGCGCCAGGGCTGGGGACTGAGACTGGGGGATGGCCATGTCCCCTGAGTAGAGGGGGTTGGCCTCTGCTCTGAAATTTAGTGGGAAGCCATCTGCACCGTCCTGGTGGTGACTCGGGGGGACACAGAGCGAGCCTGCTCTTGAGTTGGGGGAGTCAGAGGTTCTTCTGTGAAGGGGAAAGGGATGGAAGTCTATCTGCTTTGGGAGACACTTTCCCTTTCTCTCAAGGGCAGAACCACCAGGGAACTTGGAATTAGAGGAGAGTTTAGGGATAACGAGGCCATTTTCACATCTGAGCTGAAATCTCGCATCCCACCTAACATCAAATTTCTCTTCCTGGTGGAACTCACATCTTATCAGCGAGCGGGAGGTTAGGATGCTGAGAAAGAGGCCCAAGGTACTTGAAGTTTTATCCTATCCAAAGATCAGGGGTTGGGTATGGCCAACACAGAACCCCAGTCACAGAGGGCTTGCCACCAGCTCCGGGGGACCCTGAGCCCACGCCCTTTGATCTCTTGTCTTTGCAAAGAGCAGAATATGCTGCCACATTCCAGGAGAAGATACATCTGAATGTCCCTGAGAACAAATCTCCAAGAAGGCTCCCCACTGCCTCCCCGAGCTCCCTGGGCTAGGAATGCCTGGCAGTGCAGGCTGTCTGCCCTCCGGATGGAGCCCGGGCAGCCTAGGGCCCTCTACCCTGCTTCTCCCCACAACGCCCTGTATGTTTCCAAAGCCCAGAAATGTTTGGAACATTGAAGGTAGGGGTTAAGCAAAGGAAAAATAGTGCCCTGTTCCCCATCCACTGTATTGTGGATAATTACCCCCTTACACTAGCCAGTCCTGCTCCCTCCTGTCTGTTCCAGCTGCCAAACGGGGAAGTTTTTTTTTTTTTTTATACTTTAAGTTTTAGGGTACATGTGCACAATGTGCAGGTTAGTTACATATGTATACATGTGCCATGCTGGTGTGCTGCACCCATTAACTCATCATTTAGCATTAGGTATATCTCCAAATGCTATCCTTCCCCCCTCCCCCCACCCCACAACGGTGCCCAGAGTGTGATGTTCCCCTTCCTGTGTCCATGTGTTCTCATTGTTCAATTCCCACCTATGAGTGAGAACATGCGGTGTTTGGTTTTTTGTCCTTGCGATAGTTACTGAGAATGATGATTTCCAATTTCATCCATGTCCTTACAAAGGACATGAACTCATCATTTTTTATGGCTGCATAGTATTCCATGGTGTATATGTGCCACATTTTCTTAATCTGGTCTATCATTGTTGGACATTTGGGTTAGTTCCAAGTCTTTGCTATTGTGAATAGTGCCACAATAAACATACGTGTGCATGTGTCTTTATAGCAGCATGATTTATAGTCCTTTGGGTATATACCCAGTCATGGGATGGCTGGGTCAAATGGTATTTCTAGTTCTAGATCCCTGAGGAATCACCACACTGACTTCCACGATGGTTAAACTAGTTTACAGTCCCACCAACAGTGTAAAAGTGTTCCTATTTCTCCACATCCTCTCCAGCACCTGTTGTTTCCTGACTTTTTAATGATCGCCATTCTAACTGGTGTGAGATGGTATCTCATTGTGGTTTTGATTTGCATTTCTCTGATGGCCAATGATGGTGAGCATTTGTTCATGTGTTTTTTGGCTGCATAGATGTCTTCTTTTGAGAAGTGTCTGTTCATGTCCTTCACCCACTTTTTGATGGGGTTGTTTGTTTTTTTCTTGTAAATTTGTTTGAGTTCATTGTAGATTCTGGATATTAGCCCTTTGTCAGATAAGTAGGTTGCGAAAATTTTCTCCCATTTTGTAGGTTGCCTGTTCACTCTGATGGTAGTTTCTTTTGCTGTGCAGAAGCTCTTTAGTTTAAGTAGATCCCATTTGCTAGCCATATGTAGAAAGCTGAAACTGGATCCCTTCCTTACACCTTATACAAAAATTAATTCAAGATGGATTAAAGACTTAAACGTTAGACCTAAAACCGTAAAAACCCTATAAGAAAACCTAGGCATTACCATTCAGGACATAGGCATGGGCAAGGACTTCATGTCTAAAACACCAAAAGCAATGGCAACAAAAGCCAAATGGGGAAGTTTTGAAGAGCTTTTTTTTTTTTTTTTTTTTTTTTTTTTTTTTTTAATGAGTACTCCTCCCCCTCCAAGAATGTGCATTGTGCTTAGTGACCTGCTTCCAAAGATTCTGGAAAGGAGCAGGACTGCCTTCCCAGTGACAGCACTGGGCAAACGTCCCTGGCAAATGCTATTCAAGGTCAGCTTCAGCAGGGAGGGGTCCTGTTGAGAGCAGGTGCCCTGGGTACCCTGTATGAGGCAGATACTTCCTCTCTGTGGGCATCCCCCAAAACACAGAAGGCCGGTCTCATCACGGGACACACTTCAGACCAATCAATCAATGAAGAGGAGCATTCTATGCAATCCCTGACCAGTCCTCCTTAGAACATCAAGGTCATCAGCCACAGAGAAAGCCTGAGAAACCATCACAGCCAAGAGGAGCCAAACGAGACACAACCATTTGATGCCACGTGGTATTCTGGATGGGTTCCTGGGACTGAAAACGGACGCTAAGCTAAGTGCAAACTGGAGAAGTCCAAGCCACGTGTGTAGTTCCTGGTTATGCACCATGACGCTGTGGCATGGTGACCTACGGTATCCCTTGAGGGGAAACTGGAGATGAGTTCCCAGCAACTCTCTGGGCTCTTTTGGAATTTTTTGGAATGTCTTAAACTATTCTAAAATAAAAAGCTTTTTTGAAGCAAACCAATAGAAGTAGGGTGGAAGTCAGGAAGCATCTGGACACGGGTCATTGGGGACCGAGGGGTAGACCCTGGGTCCTCGGGGAAGGGAGGTCCACTTCCTGGGTGGGGCCTTCCACAAAAGAGCATGGACTCACAAAAAGCCAACGGCACTGCTGTGTCATAGAACAAATATGTCTGTGTCTATTCTTTCTGCTTCCTGGAGATTGTTTCTAGCGGTGCCCTGTGAACTATTGATCGTAGAAGCACGGGTCTTCTTCAACGAGGAGGCGGAGACCTCAGAGCCCACCTGCCCCAACTTACTGGTATGAATGACAGAAAAACTGGGGCTTGCAGAGTGGGAAGCTACAAGCCCATGCCAAGCTAACTTCCCCATCAAATGCAGCATCCTTCTCCTGGGCCCCAGAGCCAGTAAACGACAGGACCTGGAGGAGTCACGGGAAGTGGGTGTCTTCGTGGAACGGCTGGGGTGGATTGGCCACAGGCACAGCTCCAAGGTCCTGTCCCACCCTGAAGATTCTGGGCTGTTCCCCGGTGGAACAATTCCAGGGCCTGGCCTGCTTCTCACTGCACCAGTGCTCCCACAAGGCAGACACCAGCTGCTCCCAGGAGGCTCACGCCGCACACTCCCGGCTCGGGGAAAGGTGCAACTTTAAGTGGAAGAGATGTCTTTGGCCCCTTAATTGACAGTGATTTTCTTCTGTGAAGAAAATATACAGAAGGTAGTGAATTGAATCTCAATTCACCAAATCTTATTAAACTGTTCTTCGGGAAAAAAGATTTCAATAAAAATTTAAAAGGAAGAGAAGCAAGAAAGCCACAAACTAGAAAATAAAGTGAGACGGAGCAGTTGTTCCCCATTTGGAAGCAGCTGGGGAGCAGGGGGTGGTGGCAAGGAGTTTATTCTTTCTTTGAAAATCATGGGCTCGAGGCTGCTGAGAGGGAGCTGTCCCTGCCTCTTCTCAAAGGGTGTGGATGTGGTCCTCAGGTGCTCAGGCAGGGACCCTGTCTCACGTTCAGGGTGTCCCAGTGAGGACTGGGTGGATGAACCCAAAGTCTCCATGGCTTCCTCCTGCCCATGTGCCTGCAGCTCTGGGGGCCGCTCTGCCTTCCACCCATCCGCCAGGGCCAGGATTAGGGTGCCACGCCATGCACTCCACATTGTCCCCACAACCCTTGCACACACCCCATTCTCTAGCATGTTCCTTTTGATTTGTATTGGGATATACATTGCACAAAACTCACCTATTACAAATGTACAGTTTAGTGGGTTTTGTATAGGCATAGAGTTGTGCAGCTACCCCCACACACAATTCCAGAATATTTCGTCACCCCATAAAGAAACCCCCTACCCCATTACCCCTTCCCCAAGCCTTGGGCAATTGCTCATCTTTCTGTCTCTGTGGATTTGGTCACTCTGTGCATTTCCTATAAACGGAACCGGGCACCGTGTAGCCTTGAGTGCCTGGCTTCTTTCCCTGCTCAGGGTTTTCAAGGTGCTTCCACATTGTAGCATAGATCAAGTAATCCTGCCTTCCTTTTAAAGGCTGAACGATACTCCATTGTAACATTATGCCAGATCCCCTTTATCCATTCCTCAGCTGACGGGCACGTGAGCTGAGTCAGCTTTGACTGTTGTGAGTTGTGAGTGTGGCCCTGGGCCTCCCAGTGCAGGTTTTCATGTGGACAGATGTCTGTGCCTAAGAGAGGGGCAGCAGGGTCCCTGGAACTCTGTCTTTAGGGTTCCAAGGAATTGCCAAACTGTTTTGCCCAGAGGCATTCTGGTTTTCATTCCCACCAACAGCATACTAGGTCTCTCATCTCCTCGTGTCCTCGCCAGCACTTCATGTTCTCTGTCTTTCTGCTTGTAGCTCTCTCTGTGGGTGTGATGTGGGCGGTACGTTTTTTTTTTGTTTTTTTTTTTTGAGACGCAGTCTCACTCCATCTCCAGCCTGGAGTGCAGTGGCATGATCTCGGCTCACTGCAACCTCCGCCTCCTGGGTTCAAGCGATTCTCCTGCCTCAGCCTCCCGAGTAGCTGGGACTACAGGTGTACGCCACCACACCTGGCTAATTTTTGTATTTTTAGTAGAGACAGGGTTTCACCATGTTGTGCAGGATGGTCTCGATCCCTTGACCTCGTGATCCTCCCACCTCGGCCTCCCAAAGTGCTGGGATTACAGGCGTGAGCCACCATGTCTGGCCGGGCGGTATGTTCTTAAGGGGCCTGTGGATGCTTGAGTTTCAGGGGAGCTGGTGCCACTTCTGCCTGCCCCACAGCCTCGCCTCCTGATGGTTGGTGCTGTGGTCGGCAGCCATGCCACAGGGCCTGCCTCCAGAGGAGGTGTGGGGTCGCCTGCCATCTTGGTGCATGTCTGACAGTGCCATGGATGCCCTATGGGGTGAGGCCCTCCCGAAATCTGTTCATCATGAAATGAGAGGTGCTCAGGGCCAAGCCCCAGGCTGAGCAGGATCAGTGAGAAGAGTATTCCCAGGCTCTGCCTCATCTCAGAGCCGCCCAAGGGATGAGGACAGAGATTGTTTGTACTGCTCACTGGTCCTTGGAGATAGAGCCAAGTCCTCCTGCTGCAGAGATGCAGCCTCTCACCAAGGGGTCCCCAAGAGTCTCAGGACCAGGTCCGGGCAGCACACCAAGCTCAGCCGTCTTGGTGGCAATGCAGAGCCTGGGGCCCTTGGCCTTGCACAGAAATGAGCAGTGGCCCCTACACGTCTTCCTATGGGAGGGGCTTTCCCCCTGCCCCCCACATTTCTTGGCTGCTGGGAGTGGGCTGGGGCCTCTGTCCTGGTTGCCCACCTGCCCTCTTTTTTTTCCTCTCTGAACAAATCAATCACTTTAAAAAGGAAGAAACCAGACTTGAAGAGGAAAAACAAATCGACCTCTCCCTGCCACTGTTGCAATTGGTTGGTTTTTCTGCATAACAGCTGGGTGTCTTAGAAATGAGGGGGTTTCTATAGTAACCAATTACAGCCATGATTGGTGAAAAATCACAGAAATATCCTGTGTGTGAAGTTATGCCAGCGAGGCAGGCACGGGCTTAGGTGCTATGGTTTTAATTTCCTGGGGCAATATTTCTCTAAGTACTGATGGCAGGCAGGTTTGCTTGTCATGGCTTTTGATTCAGCCTGCCTGGTGGGGGCTGGTGGGGGCTGGTGGGGCCTGGTGGGGGCCGGTGGGGCCTGATGGGGGCCGGTGGGGCCTGGTGGAGTGTAGTGGGGCCTGGTGAAGCCTGGTGGGGTCTAATCAGGGCCTGGTGGAGTATAGTGGGGACTGTTGGAGTCTGGTGCAGTCTGGTAAGGCCTGGTGAGCTTGGTGGAGTGTGGTGGGGCCTGGTGAGGCCTGGTGAGGTCTGGTGAGGCCTGGAAGACCATGGCAGAGTCTGGTGAGGCCTGGTGGAGCCTGAAGGGGCTTGGTGGGGCCTGGTGAGACCCTGCACCTGCTCAGAGCAGCATCTCATCTTCCTGGGGCTAGACTCCCACCCAGCTCTGCAGGTCATGGGAGAATTAGAGATTCTAAACCAGCTCCCATCCTCACTGGGTCACCTGCAGCCACAGAGGAGCTACCTTAGTGTGTATATGGGGGAATTTCACCCTAACCTAAATTCGTCCTTGTGGTGACAGTGGCCCTGGTCCCTGCCCCGAGCTTGGCTGCTAGTGCAGAGAAATTGCACACCAGCAGAAACACCGTGCTGAGGATTAGCATAATGTGGAGGTCCTCATTTCTGCAGCAAAGCACTTCTATTCTGATTGAAAAACTGAAGCCTTATTGTTTGGGGATTAGTCCTTTTTGGTAATTAGCACTCATTAGCAAGAGTTTCTCTCTCACCATCCTGATGACTGGGGGGCCATCTGTTCCCCAGATATCTGGGAGAGTCAGCACCAGACACAAGGGTCTCAGTACTGAACAGAGGGCGTGCCCCCAGGGATGCGTTCACACACAGCTACAACTAAACTCTCCTACACAGACACACACAGACACACTCACACATAGAGTCTCTCACACAGACACTCACAGATACACTCGCATGCTCACACAGGGACACACAGATACAGTTGCACACACAAATACACACACAGATACTCTCACACAGACACACTCACACAGGAACGCACAGATACACTCATACACACTGACACACACGAGCATAGATGCACTCACACACTTCTATGCTGACACACATGGACACAGTCACACAACAGTACACTCTCACACACGCACCAAATACACACAGACACCCTGGCCCTCACTCACGCACAGTCTCTCACACTCGTGGACACACCCCCAGATGCATCTTTACACTCATGTATGCTGGCTCACTCTCACACTGGCACACTCACACAGCTTGACCCACACGCACACACTCACACCCAGTCACACACGTACACACTCACATACGTGTGCTTGCCTACACGCACACACTCACACACTTGCGTGCACGCATTACAATGACACACACAGCTTCCTTCCTTTGTGAAGTCACTCACCGCCTTATAAAGAAAAACTCTACCCAACCTGCTTTCCAGGCCTGGCTTTGGGCGGCGTCAGGCTGGCGCTTGGCACCTGAACACCCTCGCGCCCCCCACCCGCTTCAGTCATTACAGTTTTGGGATTCATTTTAACTTTCAGACGTGAGGCTGGTGACGAGAACTGACTTTGAATGACACCTATAATCAGTCTTCAATTATCTGTGCTGGTGGAAGAGGGAGCGTGGGCCTGGCTCCTCTGAGCCCTTCCACGTGGCTCTCTGCCGCGCCCTGGTTTTCATGTGACACCAGAGAGTCCACTGGTCCAGAGGCGACCCCAGACCTGGTGACAAAGCCGCTCCATGTGAACTGGGGAGGGGCCGCCCCGCCAGCCCTGACTTCTCCCCTGCAGCCCCGCTGCGTGGAGAGGCAGCCCCGCCCTCCTCAGGGTTGCGCAGGATTTGCCCTTTCTGCAGCCCTCCGGGGAGCTGAGGAGGTGGATAACAGGGTTTCAAAGGGCACCGGCACTGCAGATAAACAGGGGGAGCGGAAATGTCAACAGAACAGACACTTCGCGTCAATAAACTTTAGGTTTATCCGGAGCAGATCTCATTTCCCTGAGTACGATCCAGAGGAGGCCAGAAGTAAGAAGCCTTCCCATGCAGAGCATTTAAAGCGATGCCTGTTTACGATATGCATGCCGGGCTCTGGGTGAGGGGCAGCGGGAGCGGCTGGTGTTTGCAAAGTGCAAGTGCCTGGCAGGTGTAGGTGCTGGGAAGCGCCTGCGCTCACGCTGCGAGGTTTCAAGCTTGAAACCTCCGCTCCTCCTAGACCTGGGGAGAGGCGCTTCCCCAGTGGGCGGGGGGTGGCCTGGGCTATGTAGAGGAAAGCGCCTGGCCCTGGGGTCCCAGGTGGAGGCCGGTGTCCGCTGCTGCCATCCTCTCACTTACGTCCTCTCGTCGTGTGATGGGCAAAAGGAAGGAGGGACTCACAGGTCTTTTCAGGTTATCTTGTCGAGGCTGCCCTGAAAGGCTGGGGGTTTCTGAGGCTCGGTTTTCGCTCGCGTGAAATGGACTATTCGGCGACCGGCCGGCTCTGTGCCTGGCAGGCGCCTCAGCCCCGCGGTGCCGGGAAGCAGCTCCCCGCACCCTCGCAGCGCGCGCTGTTCTTGCACGTGAGTGAGCCTTTGAAGGAAAGGAAGGAAGGGTTTCGGATTCCCTTTTGAAGTTAGGAGGAGCTCTTTCCAGAAGAAGAGAGCGTCCTTGTCACAGCGCGGGGTGGAGAGAGAGGGCCCCGGGGCCCAGTCCCCCTCCTGGGCTTCCACTGACCGCTCTTCTCTCCTTTCCCCCCCGCACAGCTCCATGTCCATCCGCTGGCCGGGCCGCCCCCTCGGAAGCCATGCCTGGATACTGATAGCCATGTTTCAGCTCGCCGTGGACCTGCCCGCCTGTGAGGCCCTGGGCCCGGGGCCGGAGTTCTGGCTCCTGCCGCGGTCGCCGCCCCGGCCGCCCCGGCTGTGGAGTTTTAGGAGTGGACAGCCAGCGCGGGTCCCGGCCCCGGTGTGGAGCCCCCGGCCGCCCCGAGTGGAGCGGATCCACGGGCAGATGCAGATGCCTCGAGCCAGACGGGCCCACAGGCCCCGGGACCAGGCGGCCGCCCTCGTGCCCAAGGCAGGACTGGCCAAGCCCCCAGCTGCTGCCAAATCCAGCCCTTCCCTCGCCTCTTCGTCCTCGTCCTCGTCCTCCGCGGTGGCCGGTGGGGCCCCGGAGCAGCAGGCCCTCCTGAGGAGGGGCAAGAGGCACCTGCAGGGGGACGGTCTCAGCAGCTTCGACTCCAGAGGCAGCCGGCCCACCACAGAGACTGAGTTCATCGCCTGGGGGCCCACGGGGGACGAGGAGGCCCTGGAGTCCAACACATTTCCGGGCGTTTACGGCCCCACCACGGTCTCCATCCTACAAACACGGAAGACAACTGTGGCCGCCACCACCACCACCACCACCACGGCCACCCCCATGACGCTGCAGACTAAGGGGTTCACCGAGTCCTTGGATCCCCGGAGAAGGATCCCAGGTGGGGTTAGCACAACGGAGCCTTCCACCAGTCCCAGCAACAACGGGGAAGTCACCCAGCCCCCAAGGATTCTGGGGGAGGCCTCAGGTACAGCCATCTCTCTTCTGGTTTGGGTTTGCTTGGGGTTGAGGGCTGGGAGCGTGACTCGGGAGAGATGCTTAGATGTCCCTGGGTGATGCTATGTGTGGAGGCTCCAGGAGATGCAGGCGTGATGTGTCCATGAGCTTGCACATGCCTGTAGACTGGCAAATACAGGCTGTGCCTTAGAGGAAGGGGGCGTGAGAAGGGAGAGTTTCCCTTTTTAGTATGTACCTAGAAGTGGGCGCTGCACCCCTTGTGCCTCTGTTAGGGACCAGCTGAATCCACCAGGTGCTGCAGCCCTGTTACAGACCGGTGGAATCCACCACACACAGCCACGCCTTCCAGAATCAGAGAATTTTGTCTCTGGGGCCGGCCCTTGAGCAAGATGCTTGCCCGTCTCGTGATACAATTAAGGATCCCCCCGCCCCAGAGTCTTCAAAAGCCTTCAAGGGTATGGGACCCATGGACGGGGGCATGGACGGGGGCAGGGTGCCTGCCAACTTGACCTCGGTAGAGGATTAGGAATGGCCTTAAATAGCAAGAAAGGCCGAGGCTGGGTAAAAGGAAGAACTTCCTGCGGTGTTAACAGAACCTTCGCAGACAGTGATTCAGGTGGCACCTTTCGGCTCCCTGGGGATGTGTCAGGAGGGTGTTTGGAGGACGGAGATCAGAACAAAGGGCTTTGGTTCTTCTGCTGCTGTTATCCTAGCTGCCTGTGGACACACACAGTTCACTGGCTTTGGAATATCTCCTTCTGTGCAGTTTTGTTGTTTTTTATTTTCCTCCTATACGCTGTCCTCCATTTGCTTTGAAAGGAGTAGCCCTTGGAAATCTCCCAAGCCAGGGCTTGTCCCTGAACTGGTAGCCTGCACTGATGTCACCAGGCTTCACAGCAGGCCTGCGGGGAGAGCGCAGAGCCCTGGGCACCCCGTCACCCTCACCTCCCTCCAGTTTTCTCTGCCTCTGTTAACAGGCACAGCCCGATGTGCCAGGTTGGCTCAGAAGTTCACAACCTAGATCTGTGCATACACATTCTAGACAAACAGCAACATTTGCTAACTTTAAAATCGGATGCAGATTTTAGGGCGTCAGTACAAAGTGGGCGGGGGCGCCCTGTGGCCTCCTCACAGCTTGCTTTCCACAACCTCCAGCTTGTGGGCTCGGTAGGCCCCACCCAGGCCTCTGCAGAATCAAGGGGAGGGAAGAGAACTGCTCTTCAGAGCTCATGTGCAGGCGGCCGGCATGGCATCCAGGCCCTCTGCGTCCTCACTAGACTGCGTCCTGGCCCTGGTTCCTCCTCATCTTGGGCAGGCAGGCACCGGGCAGTCCTTGGACAGGTTTTCATGGGGTGGGTGGCTTTTGTCCTTCAGCCGGTGACCTACTTTCTTCCTTCACCTGGACAAGAGAACCTGCGGTTTTTTTTCTGAGCTCCTCTTCCCTAGAGAGCAATGTCTCTATGGAAGCACAGCCTGGGCTCCCTGCGCATGCTGAGGGCCATGCCCAGAGATGGAGGCTGTGGGCTTGGGAGAGGCTCTGGAGGAAGAGGCTCCGGAGGAAGAGACTCTGGAGGTCCTGCATCGGCTTCCTCCCATGCAGCCTCTTTTGGGAATCCACGGACATGCGGGGTCTGCAGCTCATCCTGCACTGTCAGGCGCCTGCTAGCAGTTTACAGAGTGTTCATTTTTACCTCAGTAAACTCAGCAGCCATCATCATAGTAGGATTTCTTGCTACTCTCCCTTACTGTCACCTCCTCTGTATACGTCACTTACTATATAGACATGGATGAGGAAACAAGTTCCCATTTATTCCAAATTACATTTGTTATTACTAAAGTTAAACACCCGGGACAGCGTTGTAGGCTTAGCAAATTAATTCACAGTGCATTGGATGTTGCTAATCCATCTCGACAGATGCTTATCTTGGAAGCGATTTATGGTTCTTCATAATATAATCTGGTGCTAGATTAATTTGTTTAGCAAAACAAATCTAAAAAGAGGAAAATATGTGTGTTTGTTTCTAATGCAGAGAAATGTTAATTCTGGAACGCAATGCTGGGCCACAGGGAAGGGAACAGGTGGTTTACAGCAGCGCTCATCAGGGCTAGGCCACCATCCTGAGCTTCCCAGCCAAGGCAAAGGGAAGAGAGGAAATGCGGGGATGATTCCCCTAACTGGGTTCCTCATAGCCCAGTGGGTACCATGTAAATGAATTAGACCAGAGCAGGAACAATTTAGGTTACACACTGGGAAGTACTTGCTGGTGATGCAGGAGGTGAGATCTTTGCTTAGGCTACTGAGAACAGGCTGCATAATCTCCTTATCTGAAGTCCCAAGTAGAGGGGGATGGGGCAGGGGGAGGAAAACAACTGTTTAAGCTTCCCCAGATGGAAGGAGTGCTGGGACAGAGGGCTGAACTCCCTGGAACCCCCTTGCTTGGCAGTCATCAGATGCAGACCTGCGCCCCCAACATTTGGTGGAACGTGAACACTACTCACACTTCTCAGACATCTAAGGCAGCAGAAGTGGTCTTGGGGACTCCAGAGCTGCAATCTGGGAGGCCATGAATTGCTGCAGTTAGTTAGCAGGTGCCTTGAGGCTGAAGATCTGGGAGAGAATCTGGGCTCTGTTGCATGTCACTGTGTGACCCTGGAAAAGGTCTCTCCTCTCCTGATTTTCTTTTCTTCACCAGCAAAATTGAGGCTTAGAAATAGGCCGTGTGCAGTGGCTCACGCCTATAATCCCGACATTGGGAGGCTGAGGCGGATGGATCACCTGAGGTCAGGAGTTCGAGGCCAGCCTGACCAACATGGAGAAACCCTGTCTCTACTAAAAATACAAAAAATTAACCTGGTATGGTGGCACATGCCTGTAATCCTAGCTACTACGGAGGTTGAGGCAGGAGAATCACTTGAACCTGGGAGGTGGAGGTTGCGGTGAGCCAAGATCCTGCCATTGCACTCCAGCCTGGGCAATAAGAGTGAAACTTATTTCAAAAAAAAAAAGAAATATTTTTCCTAAACGGTTGCTGTGAGAGTTTAGTGGATGAACACTGAGCATAAAATAAGGCACCTGGCGCTGAACAATTCTCCATACTTATTCGTTGTTTTTATACCCAGCAAGAATGGCCTGAGGAAGAGAGGGTTGCCAGTGTCAGAGGCAGAGCAGGCTGCCAGGGACTTGGGAGTTTTATCATCTCAGACACAGCCAGCTTTGCCACATACTGGGGGGCACCCCAAAATTTGGAATTGGAGTTTTAGGAGGTGGATGAAACATCCATTAAGTGAGTTTTACCTGTCCAAAAAGGGATCTTTGGTATCACACTTGGGGATTTATAAATTTTATTTTTGTTTCTGCAGATAAATATTTAGAAGGGACATATCATATTTTTCTATCTGTCTATAGCACAGGTTGTTGCTGGGTGCAGAGAGGAAACGTGGCTGGTGATTTGGGGGCACTCTGAAATTTCTCTGGAAGTAACATTACTTGGGATAACTGCTGGAATGATTAAAGGGTCCCCTGTCAGGATTCACCATACATATGAAGTAACTGGGAAATCTTTTTGAGTTTCAGGGTAATGGTTAAGAGTCCCACTGCCTGTCTTCAAATTCCTGGCTTCAGCTCATGATTGCTGTGTACATTTGGGCAACTTGCTTGTCCTCTCTGTGCCAGTGGGTATGATAGAGTTAACCATCTCATAATGTTGTTGTAAAGATTCAGTGAGACAGAGTGTGCCAAGTACTCAGTGCCTGGCACATAACAGTTTTCAGTATGTGCCTGCTGCTGTTAGTGTAAGGGTGGTGATGGTGATGATGATGGTGACAGTGAGGATGATGGTGGTGATGGTGATGATGGGGATGATGATGAGGATGATGATGATGGAGATGATGGTGATGATGGTGTTGATGATGATGGTGATAATGATGGTAATGGTGGAAATGGTGATGATGATGGTGTTGATGATGGTGATGATAATGATGGTAATGGTGGAAATGGTGGTGATGATGGTGGTGATAGAGAGATGATGATGATGGTGATGATGGAGATGATGATGATAATAGAGATAGTGATGATAGTGATGATGATGCTGTTGATAGTGATGATGATGATGGTTACCATTGTGCTAATTTGCTGCCACTACCTTTACTGCTCTATTGAGGGGTCATTTGATGAGTTCCTGCAGCCATGTCCCTGACCTTGGCGCTCTGTACAGAAGTGTAGATGGCACTAGCCAAGAACCTCTTGGGATGGAAAATCACCTGGCACAGGTTCACAGAGGCATTGAGCTCCAGCCTCACGTGAGCACTGGCAGAGTGTGACCGTCAGATGGGTCAGAAGTTAGCTTGAGGTTGGGGAGGAGGCTCCCCACAGTGCAGCCCCAGCCTTCTATGACAGCTCTCTTGCTGGTCAGGTTTCGAATCTGGAATCACAGAGTCTCCTGGGAGAAAAACAGAAAGTCATTTTCTGAGCTTTTATCTTAAAACGTGTAAAGGAAACTTGTGGGGAATTCAAGCCAACTGATTTGGGTTTCTGAATATGCCCACTGTGGGAATACCTGGGGCAGGAGTGCTTGGTGTACAGTTAGTGCTCAATGAAGGTTTCCTGAACCTTACGTTCTTAGGCCGTGCATGCTGGCATCTGGCCCCAAGACTTTCCCGCCTGCTCAGGCCAATCCGCTGCTTTCCCCAGCTCATGTTCTGTCTCTCAGAAACCTCGCCACCCAGGAGGGGCCCTGAAATCCTCTAGGTTCCCATCATCATTCAGGGTTTACCTCTGTTCAATCAGTCACGTATTCGTGACATCCAGCAGCTCAAGGATGAGATGGCTCAGATGTCTTCCAAGTCTGGCCTGGAAATTTTTACATTGGAATTCACTCATGCATTTCTAAGGATGATTTCCAAGTTTGCTTTGTCCTTGTCACCGAGTGGGAGCGGGGAGGCCTTCCATGTCCTTTAGGTATGTCCCTCGGTAAGCACAGGTGACAAGCTGGTGTCATTTTCTCTGCACCCCAGCCGTCAGCTGACCTAAGCATCAATGCAAGCCAGCCAACCTCAGGAGCAAGCCTCATGATGGTGAACTATTTTCTAAACACCAGAGTTGGAGTGGAAGAAAATGAGAAGCAGATGTCACAGGGAGAGACATCCTCTTCCCCTTTGGTTGAAAGCTGTGATGGCCATTTAAATGCTGAGCCCATTTTAATTAAGTTGCTGGGTGTTTGCTACCAGGGAAGTGAATCTGTCCTTAATTTAAAGATATTTGAAGCAAATGACTCATGAACTTCAAAAGTTTTGAGTGGTTTAATTGGGATAAGAGAATCAAAGAACAAATCAGTGCTTGGAGCGCTGCAAAAGATCCTAAACTTTGTAGACAGCAAGGCTGGTCTTTAGGGTCTTAACTGGGATCTTCTGAATGGATGCAGCGTGGCAAATCCTGAGTGCCGTGGTTCTGGGTGGTGGCCTGTGGTCGAGGTTTTCTGTTGGCCGACAGCTCACTGGACCCAATCAGCCTGTTAGAGCACTCCCTCTGTTTTTGCTGAGCAAACTTGTGTTCATACCAAATGGATAAGTGTGCTCCAACTCATGAAAGTCCAGCCTCTGATTCTTCTGGACACGACTGTGTTGCAGGTCTTCTTGCATTTCCCTGTCAAATGTTCCTGGCTTCAACTTATTGCATTTAGTCCTTCTTAAGCTTCTTCATTCCCTTAGGCCCTCATTCTCCTTCTAAGGGCATGCTAGGGATGTGAAAGGTCTTTAATCCTTAAGAACTGAGATGTCCAGCCTAAGGCATTTTCTTTCTTTCCTTTTTTTTTTTTTTAGATGGAGTCTCGTTTTGTCACCAGGCTGGAGTGCAGTGGGGCACTTGGCTCACTGCAACCTCTGCCTCTCGGGTTCAAGCAATTCTCCTGCCTCAGCCTCCTAAGTAGCTGGGACTATAGGCACGTGCCACTAAGCTCAGCTAATTTTTGTATTTTTAGTAGAGACAGGGTTTCACTATGTTGGCCAGGATGGTCTCGATCTCTTGACCTCATGATCCACCTGCCTCAGCCTCCCAAAGTGCTGGGATTACAGGCATGAGCCACCACGCCCGGCCTCCTAAGGCACTTTCTGTGGGAGAGCTGCTGGGTTCAACTCTGTCTTCTTTCACCAGGCCTGGAGAGGTGCCTTTACTTGTTGACCTGTTCAGGAGTTTCCAGCAAGAAGAGGAAGGCCTTAATGAACACTCTCCTCTACCTGGAAACCAGTCTCCTTTAAGGGAACGGATGGGGTCACTGACTAGTGGGGTAGCCGGCGGCTGCACGAAACACACCCTTGTAGGATATGCCTTTCCTTACATCATGAATGTCACAAAACCCTGGACTGATAACAAATCTGTTTGATATATAGTGGGTTGAATTCATGATTGCCATCCGCTCACAGGGGAATGATTCTGAGTGTAGAGATTAAATGTTAGACAGAATACCATTTTTAGACTTTTTGTTTTACTGTGTTACAAGGACCAGTTTTAGAATGTCTGGCTTCTTAATCAATTATTCAATGAACCATCAGCTCTGTACTTAGTTGACAGTAAATGCCACACCTCGGGGTAGGAGCGGGATGAGGAGTTGCAAAACATGGCCCCTCCTCCTCTTTTCAAGGAGTTAAAAAATTCCAGTTGGGAAATCCAGACAGATAAAGACATATCCTTGCACAAGAGAGAAAAGACAGGTAAGGATGGTAGAGGAAATGTCACCAAGCCACAGCTTCATCAATCGCCCAATTGTTATTCTGGCAATACAGATTGGAAGGAAACAGGAGCCGTTGCAGGTTTCTTGGAGCCGAGCCCTGGGGTGGATAGGGGAGGCATAGGAAGAGCCCATCTCGGGGGCGTGTGGTGGGGCTGAGATAGAGTAGGCAGAGCTCCTGCAGGCCTGGATTGTGGAGGGAGCCAGGCCAGGCCTCCACCTCCCGGCAGCTCAGTTTCTTGGCCTCTGGAACAGATGCTGAATAAGACAACCTCCGAGGTCCCTCCTCTAGCTCCGAATTGCCCTAAGAATGGGCGAGTCCTGGTGTTCCCTCTGCAAGGAGCGGGAACGATGGTTTTGGAGGATCCCCTTCCCCGACTTGTCATCAGTGAAAGAAGAATGCTGGAGAGGTGCGCCCCTTCCCTCCCTGCCGGTGTCCACAGTTGGCTGTCCTTGGGGACCCAGCAGTGAGCTCAGTGGTCTATGTACACAGGCAAGCTGGGGGCCTGGTGGGACCATGGCTGTGGGCTCAATTTTAAGCTTCCATTTTGTGATGATGAGTCACTCTTCTCCTGGTGGAACCCTCTGCCCCACCTCTGCCCAGGAGTGGCCTGCATTGTGGATGTCTAGCTTAAAAGGCTGCCCTGTGAATCCTGCTGGTAGAAAAAACATCACCCGCATCTTTGCAGCAGATAAGTTCCAAGTGACGTTTGAGGGCTCCCCAGGTGGTCACTGACACTCAGTCCCGGAGACTCAGCCAAATTCAGAGGCAGACGAACGAGTAATGGACCCATGTGCCACGTGGTTAGACATGAAGACAGGCTTCGGGTCCCCGCTTTCGATGTGGTTCAACATGGTTCAGTGAATCTCACAACCGTCCGCCTTGCAGTCTGTGTAAGGACGTGATGATGCAAAATAAAGGGAAAAAGCCTCCCTTTCCAGAAGTTTCTTTCAGCACTGGGGAAGCCAAGTTTGTTGGAGGAACAGAGAGGCTGAAAATCTCCCTCCAGAGGTGACTGATAGGTGGGCCATGTCAGGGACAAAGCTGGTGCCAGCGGAGAGAGCGCCCACCTTGGCTCAGATGGACCCAGGCCATGGCTGCAGGTGTCCTTGGCTCCACCATGTGACCCCATGGTCCTCTGAATCTTTGCCTGCAAAATGGGGAAGCAATTTCTTTGTGACAAGGCTGTTCTGAGACTGGACCATGCCAGCACATGTGGGAAACTGAGCGCCATAGTGAGCATGCAGCCCCTAGAGTTGAGTCAGGTCTTAAAAGATGCACGAAGCCCACCTCACCGGTGGCTCTGCCAGGGTAATCGAATGGTGTTTGTGGTGGGAAAATGCCATTTGCTTTCTGTGACCTTCAGTATCCTCTTTTGAGGTCAGTTAGGTTGTGTGGCTGCATGCTCGGTGCTATTCTGTCCATATCATGATCTTTCCCTGCCCTGGAAGGCCTCAGTTCTCACTGTGGTGGTCAGACCTACCTCAGGAAGCCCTCAGCCTGGCTCCCTTAATGTGCCAGGTCAACACACCTGAGGCGTGGTTTGTGTGAGCCCCATGGAGAGGATGGGGGACAGGGATGGGGGCTGGAGCCAGCACCATTTCCTTTGCAAGGGGCACGACTCTCCCCTTTACATAGCTGGAATAGCACTTTACAGTTGCACACGCTCCTCCCTTTACGTAGCTGGAATAGCACTTCACAGTTTGCCCAGCAGATGTGCTGTTCTCCAAGCCACCCTGGGAAGGGGGTAGGAGGGGGATCTGCAGCTGGGAGAAGCCCAGGCATTTGTGAGTGGGGACTGGGGCAGAACCCAGCTCTCCTGACTCCAGGACTGTGGCACTTTCCATGATTCTAGGGGTGCTCTTTGGGGCTTGGGGACCCTCCCACCACATACCTCTTCCGCCTGAAGCATCAGGATGCCCTGAGTGTGGGTTCTAGATCCAGGTGGAAGTTCTTGGTCTGTGTGTAAAGGCCACTGATCAAAGAAGATTCCTGGTCTTCTTGACCCTTCTAGAAGCTCCAGAGGGTCCTGTCCATCAGCAAAGCCATGACAGGCTGGACGGAAGAGTCGGATGTCCCCACCATGTGATTTCAGAGACACACCCTGTGGTGCGTCCCTGGCCAAGATTTCATGGATGTGTCCTGAGACCAAGGCCAAGCTGCTGAGACCCACTTTGGGTCCTTGTCACTTATTCCCACCTCTGCAAGGAGAAAGTCAGTGCTGTCTATGGCAGGGAGGAAGAAGAGAGGATGTGTGGATAGGGGCTGCTGGGGAATCTTGGGTTGGGCAAAGATGGCTAAAGGGAGGAGAAAGAAAGGCCAGACTCTCCTAACCCTTGCAGAGCCAGTGCCCGAGTTTGTGATGGATTTTGTGACACTCCCTTTACACACTGCCAATGCACCTTGCAGAGAAAACATAATCTGTGTTTTAAAAGCTTGATATAGTGTCCTAACTGTGCTGAGGAAGACATGCAAAGGAGAGTAATTTAGGGTAAAACGCTGTATTTGTACATTTAAGCGCCCCAGCCCATCTTCACTGGAGGGGTCCGGTGCTTACGTGCATATATACAGCATTTTATCTGTATGTGTGCTGAGGTGGTCAAAGGCTGGCCTCTGCATAGGGTCACTGGGAACACGTCTGCCACACCAGCTGGGACAGTTGCATCACATTGAGGGCAGGTGACTTTCCAAAATGGTGAACAACTTTCAGAGATGTTTGGGACAAAAATGCACACAGTCTTCTTTTGATTTATTCGGTGGTTGCATGCGGGGGAACTTCAGCGTGTTCCAGCCAGGCACTGGAGAATTCCCTGGGTTCATCTGTGGCACAGAGGAGGCCCTCTGGGTTCCAAGCATGTGGGTTAGCAGCACCGAGCCGCGGGGCAGGTGCAAGTTCACAGCGCAGAGGCGATCCGTGGTTTGCACACTTGTCCTGTGCACGGCAGGACCTGTGGCGTCCATACCTGCCTCATTCTGTGACTGTTATGAATCTCTGCTCTAGTCCTAGACATTCCGAAAGCAGCCGTTCACCCAGCTGGAGCCTCGTCCTCTATGTTCACACGCATCTTGTGCATGGGAGGCCCAGCCTTCATCTGTGTGTGAGTCCTGGGGCTGCTGTAATGCATCACCACAGTCTGCATGGTTTAAACAGAAACCTATTCTCCAGCTGTTTTGGAGGCCGGAGTCTGAAGTCATGATACAAGCAGGGCTGTGGTCCCTCCGGAGGCCCTGGGTGAGGACCCTTCTCAGCATCTTCCAGCTCCTGGTGGCTCCAGGTGCTCCTTGGCTTGTGGCCGCATCACTCCAGTCTCTGGCTGCATCTCCACATGGCTGTCTCCCTGTGTCTGTCTTCTAAGGACACTTGTCATTGGATTTAGGGCCCACCTGGATCACCCAGAATGGTCACATCCAGGCCCAGTGTGCTGGGAAAGGCAGGTCATGGCGAGTTGGGTTGGGACAGGTCAGGGCATTGGGCTGGGGCAAGGTTCCAGGAGGCTTGGAGGCCGTCATGAGGATTTGGGGTTTATTCTGAGTATGCTGGGGCTCATGGGATACACTGAAGAGTGGTGTGATCTGAGCCGGAGGTACTGGCTGCTCTCTGAGGGCATTCTAGGGGGAAGACAGGAGGCAATGATACCAGATGGGACGTGATAACTTGTAGAGAGGTGGGACGCGAGCCCCAAGAGAGCATCGGCTGGGGAGTAAGGGAGAGAACCATCTAGAGGGTCCCTGAGGTTTTAGTCTGAGCAACTCTTTCTTCAGCTGAAAGGGGTGCATTTAATTGAGAGGCAGAAGCTGGGGAGCAGCAGATTGGAAGGAGCCCTTGGGACGGGACCTTCACTCTTGTGACATCCAGCCACCCTGGCGGCCGTCCAAGGGGAGCGCCTGTGGATACTCCTTGGATTCCTGAGTCTGCCACTCGGGGGCTGGTGCAGCCCGGAGTAGAAGCTCAGCGGAGCCTCGGGTGTGTGGAAGGTCTGGAAGGCCATGGAGACAGTGGGGACCACTTGGACAGAGCGGGGACTGCAAGAGGGGAGAATGAAGGGGCAATTGGGGGTGATAAGGAAGAGCCCACCGGGAGGAGGTGGCCAGGAGGCTGCAGGAGAAAGCTGTTCCCAGAGCATGGAGGGGTCCTCGTGGCGGAGCTCCCAGAGACATGAAAGAGGCCACTTTTGTGAGGTGGAGGCTGCTGGAGACGTGGTGAGGGGAGAGTCCTGCGAGGGCGATGGAAGGGAGACGGGAGGTGAGCCGCAGATGCAGTGGGTGGAGCTGAATATTTTGAGGAGCTTTGCTCTGCAGGGGTTTGGGGAAAGGGAAGCTGTAGTTGGAGGACTATGGAGGTGGACGAGGATTTTGGTTGTTCTGTTTCGTTTTGATTTTTTTTTTTATCGTGGGAGTATTCAGGCACGTCTTTCTGCCAACGTGAATGACCCAGTAGAGAATGGAAATGGACAATGTGGCAGGGACGGAGGAACGGGGACAATACAGAAGCCAAGTCCTTAAGGGATGAGAACCAGCCTGATGTGTGCTGTTGGCTGAGCTCGCTATAGAGACCTCAAGAGGTGTCCAAGAAAAGCCTGGTTTCCGAATTCTGTGTTTCTCCCCGAGGGCTGACCTTTTTCCTCTTTTCCTTGTGAGAGCCTGTGATAGTTGGAGGAATGAAATCCCATGGGTACTGCACCGACATGGCCCCTGCCATTGCTGGGTGGCCTCCCCAGGCTGGGGTGGACAAGGAGCAGGTGCACACAGAGGTCACGTGTGGTGGCCGCGGGCACCTGCGAATGCCAGGCGGAACCATGGGCGGTGGTGGTGATGGCGGCCGGGATGAGGAAGGCTCAAGGAGAGGGGGCACTTGAGCGAGGTCTGACATGAGAGGAGGTGGCCAAGGGAGGATTTCTGTCCCCTCTGGCCTTGGCGGCATACCTAGTCCCACCTATGGCCCCTCACCTGGTCATGAGCTGGACATCCTCATCTGCTCACAGAAGGGGTCACCACCCTGCATTCCCACCCCTCTTTTCTCTGAAGCCCCCACCTCTGGGCACCCCCTGGGTGGTTTGTCTCCATCGACTGGCATTTACCATGACGTCTCTCATATTATGGCCACTTGCACTTGCCCAGAGGTGGGCCTGCTCGCTCCTCCCCAGCCCCTCGCCAATATCAATAATTGCCAGTGTCATCTGCCTGCATGGTGCTTTCCACCGGCCGTCACCTAGCCCAGGACTCCTTGAGGGGCCGCAACAAAACTCACACCCCCAGATCCTGCACCTGCTGTGCCCCTGGCTCCCAGCACCCTGCCTGGCCCACAGCTAGCTCCATAGCCATTGTCTGAACAGTTTTTTAAAATGCAACTTCTGGGCTTAGAGACAGCTGCAGGGAACGGGTTCCTAAGTGCTGAAAGCCATGCAGATCTTGCAATCTTTAGGTGAAAGAGAAAGAGGAAATGAAAAGCCAGGGTGACAATGTGCCGTGCTTTTAAAAGTCACTGATGCCCACACTGGAGGGAGGTACAGTTCTCCACAAGCACCCTCCCCTCTTGCTGCAGACACAAAGCAAGGCTGCATATGCTGGCTTGGCCCAGGGCTAGCCTGCCCCAGCGCACACTGTCTGGCTCTGGACTGCCCACGCTTGTGCCCAGAGCGAGCAATGAAACTGCCTGCCAGCCCTCAGGGTCCAGGGAGCTGGAAGCACCTGGGGCGCCAGCTCAGCCAAGGCTTGCTGGTCCCTGGGTGTTGGGTGCAGACAGCGGCCTGCAGCAGGAACCTCTGACCCCGGCAGAGGAGTAGTAAAGGGACCTCCAGCCCCCAACAGGCAGGAAAGAAGGTTTCAAGTTCCCTGGAATAGGCAGATGTGCATCAGGTTAAGTGGCTGCTCCAGTGGGCACTCACTTCCCGTGTGTGGGGAAGGGATGTGAGTGGGGTGGGCCATCTGGGATACTTGGTGTAGAATCCCGCATCTTCTCGTGCACCATGGATGCCCCGTGGAGCTCACGGGCAGGGCTGTCGTCATGGTCCCCCTGGTGCCTGGCGAGGGCTTGCTTGTGACAGATGCTCAAAGTACACGTTTAATGAATAGGTAGACTCCCTGTTCACACCCACCTCCCCTTCGAGGGGGCTTGAGGTTAGGAGAGAACTCAGAATGTCCAGGATGTCACCCTAGAGGTCACCAGCTCCTTCCTTGGTGGCGGGAGTTGCTCGGCCAACGGAACCGGGGGCCTCCTGTGCCGGTGTCCTGGGCAGCTGCAGCAAAGCACTCCAGCCTGAGTGGCACAAACAATCAAAATATGTTCTCCACCGTCCTGGAGGCTAGAAGTCTGAGGTCAGGGTGTCGGGAGGGCCGGCTCCTCCCAAGGCCTCTCTCCTTGGCTTGTAGACCCTGTCTCCTCCCCGTGTCCTCACATGGTTGTCCCTCTGTGTGTCTGTGTCCTCGTCTCCTCCTCTATAAGGACACCAGTCAGCATGGATTAGAGTCCACCCTAATGACCTCATTTAACTTTAATTACTTCTTTAAAGGCTCTATCTCCAAATACAGTCACATTAGGGGGTGGAGCTTCAACATGCAAATTTTTGGAGGACATAGCTCAACCCATAACACCTCCCACCTCCAGGGGTCATGGCCCACCTGGGAGAGTGCCTCCCCTGGGATGAAGCAGAGGGCCCCAGGAGACCTGGAGTCCTTGCGGGATGGGGGAGGAAATGGAGCTCCATCGCCAGCCCCGCATAGAGTTGGAGAGAGCTGGGCACAGGGGCAGGCCCTGAATCCTGCAGAGAGCTGGGCACAGGGGCAGGCCCTGAATCCTAGAGAGAGCTGGGCACAGGGGCAGGCCCTGAATCTTTTAAGGCTGCCGTGCTTGTGCCAGGGTGTGGTGGAGGGTACCACCCTGGGGGGCAGTACTGGAAACTCACAGTGGCCAGGGTTTATGTGCATGCGGTATTCCAACATCGTCCTGTGTTTAGAGGGAGAACCCTTGAATAATGGCGTAATTTAGGGAAGTTGACCCCAGAGCCCAGTGGGGTGAGCAGAGTCTGCTTCCAGGAGTTGTGGGGAGTGGGAGGCTTCTGGGGTGGTGTGGGTGCTCCTGGGATGGCAGCAAGTCTGGGAGCCTAGAGGAGATCCGGTTGTGGGGTCTGGGCCGGAGGAAGAGGTCAGGTTCTGAACACCCAGAGAAGGTGAGTTTTGAAGCCTCAGCCCCCACTGTGTGGCCCTAGTGAGGGTGGGAGTCACCTGGGGAATTGGTTTTAAATGCACATTTCTGGTCTCCACTCTCCAGAAATCCTGATTCAGGCAGGAGGGGCCCAGGAAGCTGCCTTCAGAAGCCGTGTCTTCAGCATGTGGGTCTGGGAGGCAGAGAAACTGCAGCCGAGAGCCGGGGGCCTGCATTGCACGGCCGGCTGCTGAGCTCGGGCCTGGTCTCCTTCAGGGTCCCTGGGGGATGGGGCTGCCTTCGTGTCTGATGAAATAGGACAGAAAACAGGCACGGAAGAGCTTCCAAGAGGCAGAGGCTTGGCCCAGAGGGAAGCTGAGGGCCAGGCTTGTCCCCTCTGTGTCCTCACTGTGGCTTCTGGGGGATGCGGATCCCTGTGTGAGAGCCCCCGGGAGCCCAGCCCCCCGGCGTGGGCCACCCCCCGCAGCGAGCCACCTGTGGCAGCAGGTTGCCATTGCTTCGCAGTTTGGGTTACATCTGTTCCGCCGTGAGTCATCAGCTCGGAGCTGGGGCGCACACAGCTCTCACTGTGCCAGGCGGCCGTTCCCAGGCTCAGGTGGGTGAAGAGCAGGAGACGAACGCTGCATCTTTGCAGCCCAGCGGGCAGCAGGAGAGGCCAGGAGGAGCCTCACAGCCTCAGAATAGTGTGGCCTCTGGCCCCCTCTGTCCCCTCGGGATCCCAGGGAGTGTGGAGGGCTCCCGGCCCCACCTTCCCTGTGTTTCAGGGGTCCCAGCCCATTGCGTTTGCCTCCAGCCCTCTCCTGTGGGGGACAGTGCGGAGAAAGCTAATGTCTCCCTTAAATGGCGTTGACTGCACAGGCACGTGGACCAGGGCCTCTCCAGTTATGCTGCGCTGACCCCGTCTGTGTCTGTAGCACTTGGTCACTGATGTCCTCCACCTGCATGTCTGCCTCTACAACCATATTCTCACCCCTGGGCAGCAGAGGCGTGCTGCTGGGGACCACGTCCCTGACACAGGACCTGGGTGCCCGGAAGACCCTGAGGTGGACCTGGGGTGCCCACCTGCTGGCATCTGCACCTCTGTGGAATCCCTTCCCCTGGAGTGTGGATGGGGCCGTGACCTGCCCCTAACGCAAGGCTGTAGCAGCAGTGATGGGACTCTCCCATGTTTAGTAATTTAAGTCTCCATACTGCTGGCCTGGAGGGGCCCATGTAGTGGGGGCTAGCGGGTGTCCAGGAAGTGAGGGCGGCCCCTGTCCACAGCCATCAAGAGGCCTAGTGCTCGGTCCTTCAGCCGATCCTGCCAATGCCTGGAAGAAGCTTGAAAGTGGAAACTTCTCTAGTTGAGCTTGCAGGTGATTGCAGATGACAGCACAGCCCAGCCCCAGGTGGTACACGGAGCCTCTGAACAGCAGGGCCCTGGTCGCCTCCGTTCCCTGTGGGACCTTGAGCAGAGGACCTAACAAAGCCATAGCCAGACTCCAGAACAGAACTCGCCCACAGAACCAGAGATCACTGACAGGTGGTGTTCGAGCCTCTAAGTGTGTGGTCATTTGCTACTTGGCAAAGACAACTAGGAGAGCCTGGAACCAGGCGAGGGTCTGTGGGTGATGGGTGAATGCACAGGGAAATGAGGGTCGTGGGCAGGGGGTCTGAGTCTGGAAGCCAATGAGACATGGCCTTTGGCAGCTTGGAGAGGAGCCCTGGGCCCCAGCGGACCCTGGCTGAGCACGGGGCCCTTCCGATGGCATGCTGGAGGGTTTATTCCAAACTCCCTTTTTCCCTGGAGTCATTGTGTGGCTCGTGGTTTCCTTTTAGTCTAAGCATGAGGAATGCACTCACACTGCCACAGCCAAATGCACCTGCGTGTTCCCACCCAGCCCCGGGTTTGGGGTTTGGCATCTGAGTGACACCTGCTCCCAGTGGCTGCCCCGATGCTGTGTAGGGGTGTGAGCGGCCATCACAGCCTGCTCTTGCTGTCGCCGTGGGGGCCTGGCCTGCTCCAGAGTGGGCTGTGTCCGTGGGAGCAGCTCCTGAATAACCCTGTGCTCCGTGGAAAGGCAGAAAGAGCAGGACAGACCCTCAGGCACAACTGCAGAGCCCAGGGGTCCGTCTACAGCGAAAGGTCATTTTGCAACTTGCTGGAAACTTCTATCTTGGGCTGCTGATTGCTGGGCCCCAGCTCCTCAGAGGACACTGCACTGGCTTTTTTGGGTGGTCAGGTTTTCCCTCCACCCTGGGCCTGGGGCTCACTTAGTCTGGCCTCCCTGCCGATGGGCTCTCTGTCATTGCTCCCTATTGAAACCAGCGTCCTGTCACCGGGGACATGGGAGCTCTCCGGGGCTCCATCGGCCCTGGGCCCAGCTGCCAGACCACACATCCATGTTTCCATTATCCCCTGAGGCTCTGTAGGGCCTGCAGACCCCGAGGACGCTGCCCACTGCCCTCCTGCTCACTCCAGCCCTGGTGAGCTCAGGGCCGAGTCTTCTGATACATCCTGGAAAAAAAATCATTGAAATGAATTATACATCAACACCAAGAGACGGATCATTAATTAATAAACTCAGCCATCTCAACTTCCCACAGCCTACACAGCATCCATGGTGAATGAATAAGCGGGCCCAGCCTCACAGCCCGGGATGCAGATGAGTCTCCCTTTCTCGTGAGAAGGGTGCAGGTCGGAGTGAGGGGAGCACAGGGCAGGGCCCGAGTCTCGAGGGCGTCACTCCTCCTGCGAGTGCAGACCTGGGGCCTGGGGGTCCAGCTGGCCAGTGCGGGCTGCCCTGTGAGACTTGGAGCTGCTGCCCCACACACTCCTGTGCCCTGGCCCTTCCTGGTGAGCTAGGTTTTCGGCTCCTGGCCTCTGAGCTGTGCCTACAGGGTGACCTCGAGACTCACGGGGTGGGACTCTGCTGACAGTTGCTCGTTGAAGTATGGGGTCTTCCAGTCTGGAGGAAGGCATCAGAGACCAGGGCAGCAGCAGGGCTGGTTCCTTCTGGGGCTGTGAGAATCTGTCTCCACCCGAGCCTTCCCATTGTCTTTCCTCTGTGCGTGTCTGTGTCCAAAGTTCCCCTTTTGATGAGGACAGCCGTCCTATTGGATGAGGGCCCACCCCGATGGCCTCATTTTAACTTGATTACCTCTTTCAGGGCTCTATCTCCAAATAAGGTCACAGTTCACGGGTAGTGGAGGTTAGGACTTCAGCATATTCATTTGGGGGTGCATAATTCAACCCATTGCACTTGTTGTTGGATTTAGGGGCCACCCTGATCACCCAGGATGAGCTCCTTAGTCACATCTGCAAAGATCCTCTTCCAAATAAGGTGTCATTCTCAGGCACTTGCGTGAGGACGTTAGCATCTTTTGGAGGAAAAAAGTTCAGCCCCAAAAGTACCCTCCCTTCCTTCTACTCCCCATTGTGTAAGCAAAACATAGCTCTTAGAGCAATGACCCCCACGCAACCCCAGAAGAGAGAAGCCTTAAAGAAACAGGCGTTCAGTAAGAGGTCCACAGCGTCCGCAGAGGGCAGGGGACTCTGCCGGATATGTCGGTATTGCCTGTGCACCTCGCAGATTCCACCCCTACAAGAATGGAAGTTTCCGGAAGATTTCCATGATTGCTAATCGTTTATTTAACATCCTATTAGAGGAGGAGACAGGGAGCAAACAAGCTTGCTGCTGCGTTTGTAGCCAAGGTGTCTTGTAAACTTAGATTTTATTGTTAACTTTGGCTCCTGGGGAAACAAAATAGCACACAGACACTGACACAGAATTCCAGGCAGAGCAGCTCGGCACAGCTGTTCCAGAGCCAGGCTGAATCCGCAGCTCACCCAGCCTGGAGCCCAGAGAAGCGGGTGTTGGGAGAGCGCCTACCTTCCTCTTGATCCCTCTCATTTTTACAAATTTTCAAGAAAAGCAACAACACAAGCCGCTGCCTCTGCCGAAGCTGTTGCGTGTGTGATTGATTCCTGGAAGGCACACAGTGCCTACTGTTAACCCAGATATCAGGAACCTCTGCGGGGCTGCCCCTCTGCACCTAGCAAAGGCATTGTCCACCCCCAGGCCACCTTTCAGAAGCCAGAAGCCTGGGGAAAGGACCCGTGTTCCCAGGAGGAAAACACCAGCCATATCTGACCTTCCATGTTGAGCCACATCTGGGCCCTGCCTGGGCCAGCATTTCTTGAGCTGTGAGTGCAGCCTGGAGTTGGATACCCAGAGGGACTCAGAACAGACATCTCAAGCAATGCTCAGACCTGGCCCTTCCTGCACTTGGTGCTCCAGTGTTCTCATCCCCTGCTTGGCTGGATCAAACTCTGCCTGCAGCCCTTCTTTCCCCTAATCACAAAGTATGTCCCTGACCCTTTTGGGTATGTCCTCTTAGTCTCACTCGTAAACTCGACTCCTTGACTTAAAAGGAGATTGCAAATGTTTTCACCATAAGAACATTTGTTTTTTGTTTTGATTTTTTAATTTTATTTATTTTAGGTTTTAGGTTTTGTTTGTTTGTTGTGTTTTGTTCTGTTTTGAGACAGAGTCTTGCTCTGTCGCCCAGGCTAGAGTGCAATGGCACAATCTTGGCTCACTGCAACCTCCGCCTTCCGGGTTCAAGCGATTCTCTTGCCTCGGCCTCCTGAGTAGCTGGGATTACAGGCATGCACCACCATGCCCGGCTAATTTTTGTATTTTTAGTAGAGACGGAGTTTCACCATGTTGGCCAGGCTGGTCTCGAACTCTTGAACTCAGGTGATCCACCTGCCTCAGCCTCCCAAAGTGCTAGGATTACAGGCGTGAGCCACTGTGCCTGGCCTGATTGTGTTTTTTAAAGTAACTGAAGAGCTGACATTTGCTCAAACTCCTACAAGATGTTGTCACTGCCGGGCAGACCCAGGCAGATCCTCAGCTCTTTGCCTTTCTAGTGGTCCCCAGAGACTTCAGAAAGGTGTGAACATTTTGCGTGACAGGTAAGAAAGTCAAGGGCTTTGGGGCTTCCTCAGCCTGCAGGAGTTAAGGGAACAGCTTGAGAAGGAGGGAGAAGCAGGTGGTTTAGGGCCTGTGACCCAAAAGCTTAGCTGGTAACATACAGGGTCCCCAACAGAGCTGGCTCATTCCAAAGCAGGCTGGTCCAGAAAGGCCTGGGACCTGGGCTCCAGCCTGCCTGAGACAAAGGCTAGAGAAGCACACAGGGCCGCCACTGTTTTCTGGCTGTTTCTGGAGAAAAGTTCAGGCCAAACTCAGCTCCTGAAAGAATTGCCCCTACCCTTCCGCCCCTGTCCTTCAGCTCAGGTGGGTCCTGGGAGGCTGGGAGCCCTCCTGGAGAGGGGCTGGGCGTCACCTGTAGCCCTCTTCTCCATGCTGCCCTTCCATCGGACACCCCCTGGGTGGCCAGGAGGCCTCCCTTCCCGATAAAGGCAGCAGCCTTAGGGACAGAGTAGGGAGGCGGGAGCCTGTGCCCCACATGCAGGAGCCCCCTTTCTGAGTGCCAGCAGGATGTGCTCTTGGGGAGAGGCTGCATGGGGAGGTACAGGGCACACATTTCCTTAGGTCTCTGAATGTTCATACAGGGAACAGCTTTCAGCCAGCCCCTCTTGCCCGAAGGGCCCCATGATGTGGGGATGGGGCACAGCCAAATTCTCCTTTCCCTTCCCTAGAAGAGACTGAGAAGGGAGCAGCTGGTGCTAGGACCTTCCCTCCAGTCTACTGTGCTGATGAGGCCAGACAGGTTCCAGAGGCCCTAATGCCACCATCCTTCTAAGACCTGGCATGGCTGAGGTGTCACATGTGCCCACCTGGGCAAGGCCATGCCTATGTGAAAGGGAAAGGGAGAAATTGTATGTGGCTGCTGGAGAGGGGACCTCCAAGCTACCCTGCCCTGTGGCTTTGCCCTCCCACCTTGGGCCCCCTCCCTCACATGGCCTGCCAGCTGTCCCTCAGTTCTCTGAGCCCCAGAGGCCCAACTTGGGCTCCTTCGGGGGCCCCCAGAATTGCACTCTGCCTACAGACAGCCTCTCAGTGCTGTAACTTACTGTCAATGAGAGTGTCCCTTGTGCCAGGCCCCACTGTGCCTGTGCAGGCAGGTGAGAGCGGCTTCACAGCAACGCAGGAGTGAGGGAGTGAGGGTGAACCCCTGGCCCTTCCGCGAGACCTGGGGTGAGTCACAGAGTCCAGAGCCTCAGTGGGCTCCTTAATACAATGGAGATGATCTTCCACACCAGGCCTCAGTCAGTTCTCCAGACCAGAGAGGTGAGAGAAGGCTTAGTAAGTTACAGTCTGCTTCGAAAATTGGAGCTGTTTCTTTTCTTTCCCCTGACGCTCTTGGGAGATCCTTGGAGGAACTGCGTCTCCAAATAGACATCTTAGCTTGGACTTCTGGCTATGGCCTCTTGGGGTCCAAATTCCCCACAAATGAATGAAAATAGGATTTCTGGACTCTTCTTTGCCCAGCAGGGCATTTCAGAATCTGTTTGGATTGAGAAAAATTAAGAAGCTGTTAAAATGCTTATTTTTGCCTCAAGAAAATTTTGTGGGATTTCCTGCCCCGCCTCCAACAAAGTGGGCAGCCCCCACCCCAGACCCCCTTCTACTCTTAGAATTAGGGCTGGGAAGGTAGCAGAACCCCCAGGGCTTGGCTCAGGGTTTTCACGTGATTTTTAAAATGCAATGCCGCCTTCAGATGATCTGCATACCCAAGACGTCAGTGTCACGGGGAGCCGTGGGTCTGTGCTTCCCCAAGGCTGGATGGCCCCAAGAGTCATCACTTCCAAAGCCTGGGTTTAGAACCCAACAGAAGCAGGTCACAGGACAGCGAGAAGCTGCCCAACAGAATCTCATTCGCTTGTTCACCTGTTCAACCATTCATTCATTCATTCATTCATTCAGCTGACCAAAGTATCTCGTGTGCCCAGGGCTGTGCTGGGAGTGGGACCCTTCACAGGCAGCCAAATCAACTCAACCCCTGTCCTCACATGGCATGCAGTCCAGTGGGGAGCAAGTCCAATTGCACAGCCGTCTTCCTGTCCTCAGAGGCCCGCCCTCCTTGTTCTGGAAGAATGGGATGTGGAACACAGATCCTGCTCCGAGCGCGGGAAATCCCAGCGGGCCGGCCTTGGGAGGATTCGGTTCATCCTGACCCATCTCTGACCTGGTCCAGGACAGCCCACCCCTCCCCTTGTTCTCCTTGTGGGCAGGGATAGGAGAAGGCCACTGTGACTTGTGCTATTTCCCAGAGACCAGAGAAAATTCTGGCATTGTGAGCTGCCCACACGCCGTCGTCTGTGTCAGAGCCAGAAATAGAACGCAAAGAAGATTCTTGTTCTGATTTCTGTGCTCATAATTCTAGGGCAAGATGCCCTTATGAGATGTGGATCAAAGGAGGTGGGGGCGGGGGGAGCTGAATGGAGCGGTTCACGCGAGGTGTGTGCGTCGCGAGCAGGGCCCTTGCCGGAGCTCCAATTAGCGGCTTTTGTAAGCGATCACGTACCGAGTATTGACTTGGCTCAGCCCAGGAAAAGCGAGAGCGATTTGCAAAAGGCCCCTTCAATCATGACAATTAAAATCCAAATACAGACCTGCCAGGGCCCTGAACCCATGCACTTGTTCTGTGTGGAGGAAGAGAGGCACCCGCTCAGATGCTCCTTCTTAGATGAAAGGAGTGCCTCAGCTGAGCCCCGGAATAGGAAGGGCCTGCCCTACTGAGCCTCCTGCCTCACTATTAACAGCGCTGCGTCCATACTGGGAGCCAGGTTCTGACAGCTGACTTGAATTAAATCTCATAAGGCCCACAGGACACACGTCCTGGGAAGAAGGCATTCCTCTGATCTTAAATCAGCAGAGGCAGAGGCCCCGAGAGGTTAAGTGACTTGCCTGAGGTCACACAGCCTGAAGGGGGTGGAGTCAGGATTCAAACCTAGGTTCCAGGGATGGTGTGTTGACAGCCTGCACTCATCTGACTGTATCTCCTTCAGTCTTCTCCACCATCCCTTGGGCGTATGGTATTTTACAAAGTAGGAAGTGGAGACAGGGATTAAGGAGTCTGTCCAGGTCTGCCCATGAATGAATGTCAGGCCTCGTCACTGCAGGAGCTCGGACTGCACTGGATGGGGCTGGAGTGGCACCTGTGGGCGATGCTGAATATGATGCATGATCTGTCTTTCGGGTGTTCTTGGAAGGAAGGAGAAGGGCAGCACCCAAGAGGGGTCAGTGATGGTGGCAGGGCCAAGGCTCTCACCTTCCCCCGGACAAGGTTTCTAAGGCCCGGGAAGCATCTTCTGCTTCCGAGGCCCGAAACAGTGGCGTTTCCTCTTCCCCGAGCACTCAGCCTCCATCTGGCTTTCTGTCCACCGGCACAGATGGCAATGTTGTTTCTCGACTCCTCCGTCCATCGCCTGCAAGCTGAGCCGCGTGATGGAGCTCAGCCTGCAGCAGCCGTCTTCACCTCAACTTCCCTGGGAGCCGTCCTGCTTTGCTTACACGTATGAGCTCCGCGTGCTTGGCGACCCTTGAGGGTGATAGAGGGCCGGGTAGAGGGGCTTCTCTTCTACACCTGGGTGAGCTCCGCACCAGCGGCAGGAGCACACCCTTACAAAAGCCTGCCACAGCACGCAAGGCATGGTGGGACCAGGCCTCCTGGCTGCTAGAAGAAGACAAGAAAAGCATACTGGGCTGAAGTCACTTCAAAAGCTGGTCACAGCAGGTCTTTTCTTCCGTGACACTCACATAGGGGAGATGGGGAGAGAAGTCATCCCTGGAATTCCAGCCTGGAGCGTGTGGGAGGGAGGGTGCGATGTGCATCAGTGGGGTGAGAACGCCTATTGGGAGAGGGGACCAATTTGGGCCCCAGGTTTGGGACTCTCCTGGTTGAATGTCTCGCCCATCCAATTTTGCAGGAAAGGAGCCTGGTATGCAGGCTCAGCACCCACTGCACCGGGTGGGCAGCTTTATTCTGCCTGTGGCACTGGCCTAAGAGCTCAGAAAGGTTTAAAAAGATAAGACAGCCCACTGAATAGCCAGGGACATTCAGGAGGCTGCACACGGAGGTCTCTCCTCCCAGGCTGCCTGCTGTACAGTGGGCACCTCTGCCTGCTGTGTGAGGTGTGAGGTGAGCTCCTCCCTGCTCCTCTGCTCCCTGAAGCCCTACCCTGGCTTGACTCATGCAGTGCAGCCATCTGAGCCTCAGTAAGCCCCTCGACAAGCTGCCGCCTCCTCCGGGGTCCCATCTTCCTGAAAATGGGGCACAGCCCCTGTTACCCCTGCCTCTGGCCTCGGAGCTGGCTCCCCTTCCCTGTGTCACTGCAGCTCAGCCCTGGGGCCCGCCTCCTGAGGGTCTCCACGGTGATCTTCAGCCTTTGCCATTGCTGGTCAGATTGAGGGGAGCAGAGCTTAGAGGAAGAGGGTTGGCGCTGAGGTTCCTTAAGGCCCCAGATCAGCTCCCTACTTGCTACAGTGGCAAGCTGCCTTACCTGCGCCTTACTTTCCTCATTTGGAAAACAGGGGTAAGAAAAATGCCAACCTCCCAGGGTTGTCAGGAGAAAAAGTTAATGTTTGTAAAGGGCTTGGGATGTGCCCTGGCACATGGTAAAGGCTGCAGAGGTGTCCCTGAGACCGTTGACAGAAATAGTTTTCACATAGTTGCCCCATCAGTTCTCCTAAACCACAGCTCTGATGTTGCCCCTCGCCTGCTCAAGAACTGTCATTGGCTCCCCACTGCCTACCCCAAGAAAGTTCAAGCTCTCTCACCTCTTTTCCAGGCTGTGACCGCCTTCTCCCTTGGCCTCCTGTTGCCCGCTGCGCTGTGCGCAGCCCTCCCTTTCCCACGGTCTTGGCTCTGCCAGTCACATCTTACCCCCTCCCAGCTCACTCTGCTCCAAAAACACCAGCCACAAGTACTTCCCCTCCCACACATCTTCCTCTAATCCTCTGTGGCCAGCGATAATCTCTTCCTTCCTCAAATGTTCATGCTGCCTTCCTGGTTGTATTTATATGTATAAATAACTGCAAAATAGGATTAAAAGTGAGGCCCTGACTCCCCAGTGAACCTGCAAGCTCCTTCAGGCCCGAGCCTTGATGTGCTTTTTGATTCTTTTTATCCTCTGTATAGCACACGGCAGAGCAATTTGCACACGTAGGGAGTTCAATATGTATTTATTGAATAAGCAAATGAAAATTAAAGAATAAAGAAAAGGCCTTGTAGCTCAAACCCCTAGTTATCCCAGTGTATCTGTGGAGAACGTGCGGGGGCCGCTGGTAAACTTGGAGTGCACAGCTTGGGTGGGCTGGTTGGAAAGAGGGCTTCTACATGGACCTGCAGCCCTAGGACTCAGACATGGGTCTCCAGGGCTGACTACTGGGGGTGGATTGAGGCCTGAGAATTCTTCCCTGCGGGGGCTTATTTTCATGCCCAGGTCAAGCAAGGGCCCCGCTTAATCCAGCCATCATCTAGAGAAAAATGGTTGAATGAACTAGAGCAACTCTCTGAATGTACTGGAGTTGGCACACTTGCATTGGGCAAAGTGGGAATTATTACGCCTGTTTGCAGCATCGCGAGCAAAGTGGGATGCTGTGTGAGAGCGTCCTTTCCCTGCCTGCAGTTTACTATGGGGCTGTGGATGGGCACCCCTGGGATGGGAAGGTTCTCACCAAACCCAGGCTGGGAGGAGGCTGGGGCAGAGCAGAGAGTCGGGAAAAAGCATGAGCCTGAGCCTGAGCCTGAGCCTGCCCCCTGGCTCTGCCGAGTCCCTGGACAAGCCCCCGTCACCACCCACCCCTCGGCCCCTCACCTCTCTCAGGGAAATGCCATAGCACTGATTACCCGGCAAGGATGGGGACCTGTGGGGTGAGATTTTTTTTTCTGGGGCTCGTGTTGGATTTCCTGGTGCAGCAACAGGACGCAGTGCAAGTGCAAGCAGAGACGGGAGCCCCCCCGAGACGGAAGCCCCCCGAGATCTGCGAGCTCATCCTTTCCTTAGGCCTCTGCATAGGCAGGGCCAGGGTGCCCAGGTCCCAGACTCCTGAGGCCCTTGTTGTGGGTTTTAAAGAAATTCTAGGCCAAGTGCAGTGGTTCACAGTTATAATCCCAGCACTTTAGGAGGCCTAGGTGGGAGAATCACTTTAGCCCAGGAATCAAGACTAGCCTGGGCAACAGAGTGAGACCCCGTTTTCTACAAAAATAATTATTTAAAATATTAGCTGGATGTAGTGGTGCATGCACCTGTGGTCCCAGCTACTCGAGAGGCTGAGGCAGGTGGATCGCTTGAGCCCAGAAGATTGAGGCTGCCGTGAACCATGATTGCACTACTGCACTCCAGCCTGGGCGACAGAGCGAGACCCTCTTTCAAAAAAACCAAAACCAAAACCAAAACCAAAACCAGCTGCCTTTTGCACCCATGGTTCCATGTGGATTTTGAAGAAGCCCAGAACTCAGTTTCACAAGAGCTGGTTAAACTCCAAAGGTGTGCAAAGCACCTGCCTGGGGGAAACAGCTTCCCAGGCTTGATTTTACCTGGTACTGAGTACAAATTTTACTCATTCCAAATGTTACACTTCTTGTCTTGCTAATGTTTCAGAAGAGTAATGGGACCCAAAGCCCAGGCGTCCTTCAAGCATGCAGCCCCCAGCCACATGGCAGGCCACGGCCATGCATGATGAGGCATGATCAACACAACAGGGGCCCTGCTCTCATGGGGCTAGCAGGCCCACAAGGGTGATTGTCTGGAAATTCACTCAAATAAATGCGTAATTGTCAACCATGTTGAGCAGACTGAGTCAATACACAAGATAGCATAAGAGTCTCTGCAAGAAGAATGTGGATTGACTGGGGAGTTAGCATGCGTGAGGGGCCTCTCTCTGAACAAGGGGAGGGTGATTAGGGGGTAGCTGGTCTGGAGCTAAGAGAGAGCACTCTAGGCGGGAGGGAAGCCAGCCCTAGGGCAGGAGTGGAGGTTGTTGGCGAGAGCCACTGGCAGGCAGATTTGGTGGGAAGGATTAGCACAGAGCAGAAGGGAAGAGTAAGGAGAGGGGGTGGGAGCCAGGGCAGGCCCCCCAGGCCATGGCAGCACCGCGGGGGTGTGCAGAGACTAGGAGAAGCCGCTGGAGGGTTTGAGCTGGGAAGCAGGAAGATCTGAGCTCTGTTCTGGAAGGGTTCCCTGGGCTGCTGGATGTAGGAGAGGCTGTGGGAAGCGGGGAGCCCTGCTAGGGATTCCACTCCAGGGGGAAATGAAAGTGCCTAGGACATGCATGGACAAAATGTGGGCGGAGGCCACCACTTGACTTGGCTCTTCCATGAAGGGAGGCCCCATAGGAGCAGGAGAACTCAGAGGAGAGAACCGCTGGAAGACCTGGGGCCCTGGCAGCAGGGCAAGGTGACCACTTAGGAGGAGAAGGAGGTGGGAAGGGCGTGGGGGCACATCTGGGGGTTTGGACACCAAGTTCATGTTGGGAATTGAGATGTGGGGGAGGCAGGGCCACTGCTTCTCCTCTCTCCCGGGAGATTGCATTTTCCATGGGCACCGGAATTCTTGGTGAGACTCCTGGTACCTGGAGCTAAATGACGCAGAAAACTGGTGGATGTCCCACTCAAACACATGTGGGAGAGTCTTCTCGTCCTGGGGGTGCCCTTCCACAACCCCACAGTAAACTGCAGGCGGGGAAAGACGATCTCACACACAGCATCCCACTTTGCTCACAATGCTGCAAACCTGCGTAATAATTCCCACTTTGCCCAGTGCAAGTATCGGCAGGCTTTGGGGTCTGCCGGCCTTGGAAAGTGGGTCCGTCCAAGCACAGACATCTCCCGTCTGTCGGCAGCAATGGTCATGCGACAGGCCTGGGAAGCCCACTGTTGGCAATGCATTTGGAATGCAGTCCACCCCCTACCCTCGTGTTAACTCCAGGTCTCCTTGCCACCTTCTGAGCTTTCTGGGGAAATAAGTCAAAAAGTTAATTTGATTTTGAACAGATTCTTAAATCAGTTCCCAAGAGGCAGAGATCAATTTGCATTTCATCTTTTCTTAGTCATCTTGGCTGGTATTTCACACGAGCTGTTGGTATTTTTCGTGTTCTCTCACTGCACAGAAATGACCCTTGGAGCATATTTTTAAAAGGAGAAAAAACCATCTGAAGAGGGGGAGGAGGCAGCAGGTTCTGTTTTTGGTTGTTGTTTTTTTTTCTGTTTTCTTTTGTACTTGTGATTTCTGTTCTTCACCACACAGCATGGTTGTGGCGGCCCTCACTTCAACGTTGAATTGTGTTTGGTTCTTCTGCATCCCTCCTAAAGTCTGAGGTTCCTTCTTGTGCCTTTGGCATCAGAGTGTCTGATAAGGGGCAGAGCCCACCCCAGGCCTTACCCATCATCTACTGAGAGGGCTTCCGGGATGGCTTCCCACCATGGTGGCCACTCCCCGTCCAGCTCACGACACCTCTCATCTTGGAAGGAGAAAGGACCTGACGGGGTGTATCTAAAAGAATTTAAAGCGGAGTCTCAGAGAGATGTGCGCATACCCATGTTCACAGCAGCGTTATTTACAATATTCGAAGTCACACCTCCCAGGTGTCCATCTATGGATGAGCAGATAAACAAAATGTGGTCCATCCACACAATGAAATATCCCTCAGCCTTAAAACCAAAGGAAATTACAGCATATGATACAATGTGGCTGAACCTTGAGGACATTCTGCTAAGCGAAATAAACCGGCCACAAAAGGACAAACTCTGTCAGATTCTACTCATATGAGGTCCCTGGAGTCACCAAATGCATAGAGACAGAAAGTCAAATGGTGGGTGCCAGGGCCTGGGGGAGGGGGATGGGGAGTGAGTGTTGATGGGGACAGAGTTTCAGTTTTGGGAAAATGAAAAAGTTCTGGAGTTGGAGGGTGGTGGTGATTTCCTGACAATGTAAATGTGCTTAATGCTGCCAAACTGTACGCTTAAAAAGTGGCTGGCCGGGCACGGTGGCTCACGCCTGTCATCCCAGCACTTTGGGAGGCCGAGGCGGGCAGATCACAAGGTCAGGAGATCGAGACCATCCTGGCTAACATGGTGAAACCCCGTCTCTACTAAAAAATACAAAAAATTAGCCGGGTGTGGTGGCGGGCGCCTGTAGTCCCAGCTACTCCAGAGGCTGAGGCAGGAGAATGGCGGGAACCCGGGAGGAGGAGCTTACAGTGAGCCGAGATCGCACCACTGCACTCCAGCCTGGGCAACAGAGCAAGACTCCGTCTCAAAAAAAAAAAAAAAAAAAAGCGGGGGGGGCTAAGATGGTCAATTTTATCTTATGTGCATTTTATCACAATTTAAAAATTTTAAAAAGAGAAAGGATCTGCCAGAATAAGCTTCCTGCAGGGTGGGGTCCAGGTGTCTTGCGTCTGGCACCCACCTTCATCCTCACGAAGACTTGGGGCCAAGGACACTTCCTGAATGTTGTGCAGCAGAGGAGCTGTCCGACTCTGCAACTACAAAGTCTCGTTGAAAGCCTGGGGGCCATGGCCACTCAAGGAGGACATGAGAGCAGGGAGGGGCTGGCAGGGCTGGGAGGTCTGCCTCACGCAGGGGTTGGGT
Source organism: Homo sapiens (assembly GCF_000001405.40). Taxonomy (NCBI): domain Eukaryota; kingdom Metazoa; phylum Chordata; class Mammalia; order Primates; family Hominidae; genus Homo; species Homo sapiens. Next base: position 4,741,122 of record NC_000001.11, read on the forward strand.
GGATGAACAAACAGAAAACGGGAGCTAGGTTTCTCTCTGGGAGAAGGAGTGAGAGTGAGCCCAGGGTCTTGGCTAGATTTGGAGGTCATCCGAGTGTCCTGGAGCTGCCGCAAGGAAGGACCACAGACCAGGTGACCTAACCCAGTAGAAAGGCATCCTCTCACAGGTCTGGAGCAGGAAGCCCAAATCAGAGTGTGTGCAGGGTCTTGCTCCCTCTGGAGGTTCCAGGGGAGGACCCTTCCCGGCCTCTTCCAGCTTCTGGGAGCTGCTGGCGTCCCTTGACTTGTGGCCACACCACTCTAATCTCTGCCTCTCTTTCCCTACGGCCCTGTGTGTGTCTGTGGGTCCTCTCTGTCTTACAAATATACCAGTCATGTGTGACCTCATCTTAATTCATTCTTGAAGTCCCTATTCCAAAAAACATCACATTCTGAGGTTCTGGGTAGACATGAACTTGGGGACACGTTTTTCATTTCAACACAGAGGTGTCAGTATAAACTCAGGGTTTCAAATGCGAGTGTTCATACATACATTTCTTGGCTCTCCAATTAAGAGGCGCTAGGCAGTGATGCTCCAGCAGAGATGGGCATACCCAGCACCCAGGCCTCAGTTTGCAGAATTTCTTGGAACCAGGGCTCATTGGGTAAATGGCTGATTCCAGGACTGGGGCAGGGAGAGCAGGAGTCAAGTCTGGAATATCTTGTTCCAGAAAGTAAGAAAGTACTCACGGAATGATGGGCACCTGTCTAAAAGACCCAGAGGCCAGCCCAAAGGGGCTCCCACTGGCCAAATCAGAGACAATTTCTGGTCTAACTCACATAATAAAGTGGAATCCCTGAGTGAATAAGACACGGAAAAGGACAATTCTTTATGGTAGAATGCCAGGTGATGCACGTGAAAGGAATGATGGAATTAGAACCATTGAAACCATCATAGTAATGATTAATTCAGGCAAGAGACATTAGTGAGTTTTAAAGAGTGGGTGAACGTTGGATGGCAAATGGGACATTCATCTCCAGTTATCTCCCATGAAATGCTGGCCACGCAAAGCCAGGGAGTGACTTTACCCTGAAGATCCTTTGCAGGCACCTCTGCCCCCTAGTGATCCAAGTCACCCCCTCTCCAGTAAAAGGACAGATCAGCTCCTGCGCTGCCTGATTGGAGTCGCTGAGAACACAGTACGGCTTCGTGATTTTCTTTCCCCAAATTCATAACCTGATCTGTTCATGAGGAAATGTCAGGCAAATCAAAATTGAGGGACATTCTACAAAATGACTGGTCTGTAATCTTCAAAATGCCAAGGTCATGAAAGTCTAGGAAGGGCTGGGAAACTGTTCCCAATTGGAAGACGAGAGACTCAAATGCAAGTTGGGAGCCTGAATGGGGTCTCTTTGCATGCTTGGGGCCCCTGGGGAATCAGGGTTGGGGGCTCTGGGGAAGGTCTAAGGGTGTCTTTGTCCTGTCCTTTCCTGTTTTCTCGAAGTTCGAAATTTTTTTTAACTATAGTGTAAAATAAATCAAATGATGCAATATAAAAGCTGACAGCCTTTTCAATTCCTCTCTTAAGTCACTCTCTGCAATCTCAGACACCTATACAGGAAGAAAAATGTGGGTTGGCTTCATGAAACACAACCGTTCCCCCACCCTAGCCCAGGTAGAAAATGGTTTAGGGTTAGTACTTTTACTTTTCCCCAAAAGCCCTGATACTGATTCAGAGGTTGCTGCACTATGAATGGTCTTCATGCTGTTTTCTTTGGGTGACCCCTCCTGGTGGGGTAAATGTGGGGATGATGGTGATGTTGACGACTGACCGACCCACTGGGTCAGATTTCAACGTCAAGTTGCCTGATGAGGTAGACACAAGTGTGCTAGCATGTTCTGGAGAATACCCCTCAGGTCCCCTGTCCCCGTCAGAACCTGTACGGATTCCACGGCTCCCTGGGGAATGACTTGGGGATCCTGGAACTTGTCCTGCACCCACAGATTACCCCTTGGTGGCTGCAGTGACATCCACCTGCCAACTGCTACCCTCAAAGGCTCTTGTTGAAATGGACATGTGTTCTCTGCTGGGGCCCCACAGAGTGATTTTGGCTCTTTCCTGTCACATTATAGGAATTTCATCAGGTCCCAAGGAGGAAATAGAACAAGAGACAGAGGTCACAAAAGCAAAGACCTCAGCACAAGAGCGCACATCTTAGCTGGGGATCAGCCTGTGGTAGTGAGGGCAGGGCCAGGGAAGGAGGGCAGAAAAGGGGCTCGAGACAGTGCACCTGGTTATGGAAAACTAAAAGGGAAGGGGCTTAGGATGGGTGGAGAAACAGGGAACTTATACTTTACAGGAAGTGCAGCTGCCACCCGCGCCTGCTCCCTGCATATTCGTTCATCCAGATATGTGTTAATGCGTATGTGTCCGCGTTCATTCATTCATCCATCCATCCATCCCTCCATCCGCCCGACAGCAGGCCTGCAAAGAAATGCTGAGACATTGCCAGGAGCTTGCAATCAATTGGCCAGAATGATTTTCTAATTTCTTCCCCTCTGCACCCTTCAACGAATTTATCTTTTACATACTGACCTGAACCCTTAAGTGCTCTGTGCAGCTGGGACAGATTTGCAAAATGAAGGTCAAACTGGATGAACTTCATCTATGGGGGGTCTCGCCGAGAACAATCCCTGACTTACCTGGTCAGAATCAATTGGGGAATAATTGGCCTCCTGACTTCAATGATGCCTGCATGCTGATTCAGTCTTGATGATATAATTACGGGAGAAGGTGGGGCCACGGCACCCTGGACCATCACTGAGAGAGCTCTCCAGGCTCTCCAGGCTCTCCAGGTTGGGATGCGGAGGTGAAGTGATGTGGTGTTTTTTATCTGGGAGAGAGCTGGGATCTCTGTGAACAGGGCTGAGGGGATAGTTAAAGGGGTCATGGGACGAGAGTGGGACGTGACCTCCAGGGACGTCTGAGTGTGTAGATCAAACGGGCCTTTGAGGGCCTGAGTCATTTTGTCAAGGGCAGCAAAGCCAGGCCCGAGCTGGTGCAGCCACGCATGTGTGGGTTGACCCAGAAGGAGCCTTGGCCACCACATGTTGATGGCAGGCGTGTCTCGTCTGGTGTGCAGCCGTTCCTGCTGTTCAGAAGCCTCACACGGAACCCTCCGTTTGTGTAAAGCTCTGTGATTTTTAAAGGACTCTCACGTATTTTTTCCTCTGGTAGATGAGTGGGCTGAGAACGTAAGTGATTTGTCCAAGGTCAATGAAGAAATCAGCAGAGCAATTATTAAACTGTATTAGAGAGCATGTTGCTGAGTGCTGTGGGGAGAGGCCTCGGGGGAGGATGTGGGCCTGGCTGGGCCTAGCCAGAAAGACAGGGCAGGATCCAGATGCAGACCTGCTCACGTGCACACACAGGGATGCACCCATGCATGCTTCCCTCACACCCAGCTGTGTGCACACAACATGAAGGGGCACACATGCACATGCACACATGCCCACATGCATATGCACACACACACACACACACACACACACATTCATGCCCAAGCACGCCCACCCTCATGTCTCACCATGTGCACATAACACACAGTCACATATACCCTGGCACACATGCCCACATGCAGACACGAAACACAGGCCCACGCTTGCATGCACACAGGTATGGGCACACATACCATGCACACATAAAGACAAATACCAGGCCAGACATGATTTGCCCCTGCTGGTGTCACTGTTAAGTGTGACAGACAAGCAGAGGACACACACCCACCTGGGACGCGGGGCTTCAGGAGAGAGGCAGACCTAATAGGGCCCGGATTCGGGGCTGGGAGGCTCCTGAGGGGCCACAGGGTCCAGACCTCTCCTATACCTCCCTGTCCTGGGGCCAGTGGTTAGGCCACTGCACCGAGGAAGGAAGCCCTCAGACAGAGCGTCCTTGGAAGGATTGAGTGAGCCCATCCTAGCAGAACCTCCAGCTGCTCTTCCCCTCCACAGCTAGAATTGAAATAATCAAAATAATCACATGCAATCATACTAAATAACAATGTGCAATGATAACAAATGGACGTCAGAGACACCCTCAAAGGCCTGGAGTTTGCTGGAGAGTCTAGGGCGACAATTTCCTAAATGAGTTGTTTTGGAGCCCTCCCACCTCTGCCAGCACCGAGAAGGCTGTTGTGGGTATGTGTGTCGAGGTGCACTGGGTTCCATCCTCAGAGGGAGGGGACAGGTCTCCAGGGCTCTGCCTTTCTCCCCCATTACCAGCCTTGCTTCTGTCCACACCTTTGGGAGGAATGTTGCCCTGCCCTCCATCCTGGAGGGCAGGCAGGGCTCTGCCAGGCTCTGATGAGGAAAGGATAAAGCTCCGCTCCACAGAAGGAGGGGGCCTGGGGTTTTAAGCCAGCCTCCATTTCCTCTCCTCCTTCCACCCAGACTGCCTTACCCTCCTCTGCTGTTCACAGTGCCCTTCTCAGACTAGCTGGTGCTTAGGAATGAATTATGCACACCTTGGGACTGCCAGAGCACAGAGGATGGGAGATGAAAGGCCTCCTCCAAGAGGTGTGAAACATACCTTGTGCATTTGGCTTTGAGTCAGAGTCAGCAGGTCACGTGGGGATGGTGGGTGGAGTCAAAGGAGGCTGCTGGGTCCTGGGCAGCGCTTCCTCTCCAAGGCCAGCGTCCTGATGTCCCTCTGTTGCTGGGGGCGAGTCGACTGCTTTCAGTCTTTGGCTAGGACTTGGGGACACGTGGTGGGAGCATGGTTTCTGGAATCAGGCTCTGCCACTGACCAGACTGCGGGTAAACTGCACTAGTGTCTCAGCCTCTCCCAGCCTCCCTTTCCTCTTTGCAAAATGAAAACAGTGAAGCCAATGGCATTGGTTTCCCGTGGCTGCTGTAACCAAGTTTCGCACATGGGTGATTTAAAACAACAGCAATTTATTCTTCCATAATTCTGGGGACCAGAAGTCTGAAAGAAAGGTGTCCTAGGACCATGCTCCCTCTGGAGGCTCCTGGGGAGGAGCCTTCCTCGCTGCTTCCAGCTTCTGGGGACTCCAGGCATTCCTCGGACGGTGGCTGCATCTCCCCAGTCTCTGCCTCCATCATCCCGTGGCTGCCTCCTCTATATCTCTATGTGTCTCAAATATCCCTCTCCTTTCCTTATAAGGACACTTGTCATTGGATTTAGGGTCCACCCTGAGTCCCAGGCAATTGAGATCCTTAGCTAATCACATCTGCACAACCCTGTCTCCAAATAAGGTCCCATGCTCAGGTACCTGAGCCAGGATGTGGCCATATCTTTTGGGGGAGGGAGCACCGTTCAACCCGCATCGCCCACCTTGTGAGATGATTACTGTAAACATGAGCAATAACGGGTGGGACGGGCCCAGCAGAGCACCTGGCATAGAGCAAGGCTCCCAACACATGGTAACCCCTTATCAGCATCTGTGCAGGGACCACAACTGTCCAACAATTGACCACTCCAGGTGCCTTCTAAGGCTAATTTTGTACCATGACCGAAAATACGTTTTAGGGCTTACAATGAAAAATTGTCCTACTTAGTACAAACAACTGCTATTGAATTCTATTCCTTGCAGCTCAGCAGGCAGCCTCTGGGGTGACAGAGGGGCATGGAGTGAACACCAGGTTTCGTGGTTTGCCCACACATTTGGGTGTCATAGATTGGCCTGTGTGCTCCCCAGCCTGGGAAATTGCCTCCCCACCACTGGGACTTTCATTGACAAGGCAGCTGGTGGTACGACACCTCCTAGGTGTTCACCACCAGCCTTGTGACCCCGCACTGCAGGGACTGTGGGTCTTGATAGGAGCGCCAAGGTAAAAGCACCAGATTAGTCTGCAGAGAAGAGATTCATTCACTCTGTAGTCCAGGCAGGACAAGACCGTGTTCACGTGAGGTCACCTGTGGGAGAACGCCACTGTCCCAGCCTCCATGTTGACACAAAACCAGACGTCAGCCAGAGCCAAAGGAGACAGATGTGGCATCAAAGGGAGAGAAGGAGAGGAAGAGGTCCCACAGAGGGGTCTGAGAGGTCTGTCCTTGCGGGCATTTGCTGTGCCGTCGTCAGCCTCACTCCCTCCAGGAGGGCTCTGTGCATGTCCTGACTTGGCTGCACTCTGGCCCTCTCCACTTGCCCACACTCCGATACACCCCTGACTGCTCCTGAGTTGTTCCCCGCTCCTCCAAATGCCATCCCCCCTCTCCACCTCACCCGGCCTCTGTTGCCTCTCCTGGGGGCCCTCATGTAGCTTCTGTCTCTTGCTGCTGTCTTGCAGACCGGGTTGGCCAGGGCCTCCTCCTCCTCCTTGGGCTTTCAGGCCTTTAGGCTTCTTTCAAAATCCCCATCCTCCAGCGCATGTGAGGTCTGGCTGTGCCGCCCCCTTCCCTCCTAGGCACTGAACCATCCTCCCACTTGTCCCTCTTGGGCCCCATTCTACCTGACGTGCAAAACCTCCACCTTGAGTGAGAGCAACTGCGTGCCATCCACACATATGCATGGAAGGAGTGGATAGATCACAGTTAGGCTGAGTCTAAGTCCACAATTGCCGACCTCAGATGAAAGCTTCCTTCGTTGGCCGGGCATGATGGCTCACCTGTAATCCCAGCACTTTGGGAGGCTGGGGCAGGCAGATCACCTGAGGTCAGGAGTTTAAGACCAGCCTGGTCAACATGGCGAAACCTTGTCTCTACTAAAAATACAAAAATGTGCCGGGCGTGGTGGCACACACCTGTAATCAATCCCAGCTACTTGGGAGGCTGAGGCACGAGAATCACTTGAGCCCTGGAGGCCAAGGTTTCAGTGAGCCAAGATCATGCCACTGCACACCAGCCTGGGTGACAGAGCCAGACTCTGTCTCAAAAAAAAAAAAACAAAGCAAAAAAACCCTCCTTTCCTTACTGTCCAACCCAAACCCCACCCACTGTGTCCCCGCACCCAGATTTTGCTGCCAGATGCAGCCCTACACAGTGTCAACCTGGCCATCCCCTCACCTGACCTTCAGAGCCACTGCCTCTGGCCTCATCCTCGCCCCTGCATCCTCCCCTCCCCGTCCATCAGCTACTCCCTCCCATTGACCCTCACCCTGGAAGAGCCTCCCATGGCCTCTGTCCCATCTCAGCGCTTCTGCTGTGTGGGGTGCATCACGTGCGTGATCACCCTGCTGTGCTGGGTGTGTTACATGCATGATCTCCTGTTACTCATGATGCCAGGGTGAGCTGAGTTGTTGTGTGTGTCTCCGGCCAGCACCTGCAAGGGGGAGGCACTGCCTAGGCGTCGGCCTCTGTGACTGGTAGTCACGACGTTGTGGTCCTCAAAAATGGAACAGGGCTCTGGCTGGGTGCGGTGTCTCACGCCTGTAATCCCAGCACTTTGGGAGGCTGAGGTGGACAGATCACCTGAGGTCAGGAGTTTGAAACCAGCCTGGCCAATATGGTAAAACCCTGTCTCTACTAAAAATGCAAAAATTAGCCAGGCATGATGGCGTGTGCCTGTAATCCCAGCAACTCAGGAGGCTGAGGCAGGAGAATCGCTTAAACTGGGGAGGCTGAGGTTGCAGTTAGCCTAGATTGTGCCACTGCACCCCAGCCTGGGTGACAGAGTGAGACTCTGTCTCAAAAAAAAAAAAAAAAAAAAAAAAAAAGAATGGAACCAGGGCTCTTACAAAAGAGGATGACAGGGCACCCTGGAGTCTTTTTGCCTTTCTGCCACTTGAGGATGCAGCAAAAGGCACCATCTTAGAAGCAGAGAGCAGCCCTTGCTAGACCCCAAACCTGCCAGCACCTTCATCTTGAACCTTCCAGCTTCTAGAACTGTGAGAAATAAGTCTGTGTTTATAAGTCACCCAATGTAAGGTGTGAGAACCGCAGGAGTGGACTGAGCCAGGACTTCAGCCTCTCATTTCTGGTGGACACGGTTCAACCAGCAACACTGTCCCCAGCATGCCAGGGCCCTGCAGTCCAGTTCGCAGTGCCCAGCTCGTTCCAGTCTTATCAACGTCATATTCTCTGCTGGGTTGTAAAGGGCCTTCCGTGAGCTCACACGGTGAGCAGAGTGTGTCCAGCTTAGGTCCCTTGGGACCTGCAGATGCTCTCAGGACAAAACCATATCAGGCGGACACACCTTCCACAGACATGGAGTCAGGCACTGCCTCCAAGTCTTGCTCTGCTCGAAGCTGAATACCTCCCCTTGCAGAAGTCACCTTGTCCCTGGAACCTCAGCCTTTACATCAGCAAAATCAAGACAGCGTTCCTTCCACTGACCCTGTCACCCATGGGGTTTCTGTAAAAAGCGAGACACGAGACGCTATGGCCCCAGATCTGTGGGATCCTCGCATGGATGCAGCTGCTGTCATGCGCTTATATGCCTCTGTCTTCTCCACTGCCGGCTTCCGGAGGATGGGCAACCCAGCCCTCCACGGACGTGGGGAGGCACACTGTGGAGGCCAGGGGGAGGCAAGAGTGGGGAGGACCAGGAAAAAACAAACCAGTGTATTTGGTGCATCTCCCTCATCACCGGGAGCTGTGCACAGAGGGACACAGTGACCCCAACTCCTTAGGGGCAGCGGCCCTGTGTACCAGAGGCCTTGCATCCAGGCAGGTGTTTCATGAAGGGTGTGTGGGTGTGTGTGTGGCACAGCTTGTGCCTTTAAGAGTGTGCCTGTGTTTGCATGCATGCAGTTCTTGTGTGTGTGCACTCGTGCACGCCTGTGTGTTTGTCCATGCCCGTGCGTCTGTGTTTTTGTGTCCCTGTTTGCAAATGTGTGTGTGTTGGGTTTTGTGCTCATATATGCTAGTGTTTTTGTGTATGCATGTGCCCATTCATGTGTGTGTATGTTTGTGTGTGAGTGGGCATAGGTATTTTCATGTCCATGTGTTTGTGTGTCTGTGTGTGCATGTGTTTGTGTGTGTGTGTGTGTTTGTATCTATATATGCCAGTGTGTCTGGTTGTGTTTGGGTCAGTATATGCTAGAGCATATGTGTTTGGCTGTGCATGTGTGTCTGGGGACATGTGTGTGCATTTGTCCCTGGCCATGTGTTTGTGTGTATGTGTGCATGCCCATGTTTGTGTGTGCGTGTGTGCATGTATTTGTGTGTGTTCATGCATTTGTGTGTGCATGTGCAGGACAGTGTGTGTGCACACACACACATGCACCTAAGGGGATGTGGAGGTGTGAACATACTTCTCGCTGCCAATGCTGGAAGAGCCTGGCTGTTCACTGCTCTGGAGACCTGTATGCTAAAAATAGAATGAGTTGGGAGGTGACACAGAGCCCTGCAGGACCACGTTGTCATCCTCATAACTGTTTTGAAAATGGCTTGTGAGCCTGAAGTGAAAAGTGCATGTGGCAGCCACAGCCTCTGCAGACAGAGCAGTGCCCTCTGCCAGGCTGGGATCAGTGGGTTCTCTAGGAGCAGGGCTGGAGGTGAGGTGTGCTGGGATGGGCACAGTTACAGACAGAGCAGTGCCCTCTGCCAGGCTGGGATGAGTGGGTTCCCTAGGAGCAGGGCTGGAGGTAGGGTGTGCTGGGATGGGCACAGTGAGCCTCAGAAATCTCCAGTGACACACCCTCCTCCTCCATCACTGTTAGAGGATGCTGCTGTCACCTTGGGAAGAAGACCAGGGATCCAAGTTGGTCTGATTGGACCAGAGAGGAAGGGATCTGACCTTCTGAGAAGAAGGAGGAGTGAGGTGGTTATTCTCCTCTCCAGCAACACGTTTATTGTCCCAGGGAGCTGGTGGCATACTAGATGGAACTGCCAGGAAGCAGGGAAAAGACCTCCAATCCCCTGACCTGGGCTGGGAGGGCCAGTGGAAAGGTCAGCTTCTCCCAATCCCCAGTGTAGAATCCGAGACTCTGAGTGGTCAGATGATCCCTTTTGGCAGGTCACCACTCGATAGTGACCAGGCCATGACGGGAACCATCTGCATGGCCCCAAGGCAGCCTCCTGCACAACCCCCAGTGCCTCTCGCTCCCCTGGCTGCCTTGGGAACCTACCTGGACAGGTGCTCCTCCTCCAGACCACCCATTTCTCCCCCTCTGTTTTGTCTGGAGATGACGGCACCATGTCTGGACCCGGCAGAGCCTTTTGTGACCTGGGAAGGATCCAGCCTTGGTCGCTGGACACCTTCGTCCAGCACAGCCTCTTCCCTGGTGGAGGTGGCCACTGACAAACGTTCGAATTCCGCTCAGTTCCAGAATGTAGCTGATGTGATGAACCTATTAGCTGATGCTTCCTGACTCAGCAGGGCATAGGAGCTAGCAGAGAGGTCCCAGCCCACAGCCAGGTGTGCCCCAGCAAGGAGAGTGCTGAAAAGAAAGGGAGGCACCTGGAACCAAGTCAGATGCCATCTTCACTCACTCGTTCAATCAGTCATTCATTTGCCAAGTATTTATGATGTGGCTGCTGCTTCTCTGGAGACACTGTCATGAACAAGAGAGACACCTGCCTCTGCCTGGAGCCCACGGTCTGGCAGCTCATCCTCCTGGCTGCGCACATTCTGTCTGGGAGTCGTCTTGTCCACAACTTTACCCAGGACCCAGCCACTGCATCCAAAGAGCACAGAGGCCTGGTGGCCACACCGATGATGGCAGTTTGTCCAGGAATACAGAGTGCAGTTGAAACACAAGCCAAGGGAGAAAGCACTCACGCTCTCTGCAAGGTGCGTTTCCACTATGTGTACAGTAAGATTGGGTCACGGGCACAGAAGCAGCCAACACAAAGGCAGGGCCGGAACAGAAGTTGAGTTCACAGGTGACTCTGGACACAGCAGCTGAGGAGTCAGACAGGGTGCACTGAGTCCCTGCCCACACCCCACAGCCTAATGCAACCAGACCTTCTTATGCCAGGCACCTGGCATCTGGCTGGATGGTAATAGTGGTGCCCACAGGAGTGAGTTAGCTGGGCAAGTGACTGCAAAGTATAGGGCTCAGGTGGGCGGAGGAAGTGCCATCTCAGACACATGAGAAAGGGAAGCAGTAAGGTCACAGCATGTCATTAAAGGAGGAACAGAGGGAGGGGAGGAGGAGGGAGGAGAGGAGGAGGAGGGAGGAGAGAGAGGAGGAGGGAGAGGAGGAGGAGGGACAGGGGGATGAGAAGACACTGGTGGCTTTGTTTCACCGAGATGAAGGAACAAGGAAAGAAACAGTTGTTTGTGTGGTTGAGGAGCTTGGAATTTCCCCAGGAAAGATGTCCAGTAGACAAGAGAATGCAGAAGGTGAGGGATCTGGGCAAGAGAGGACGTCATGATCAGTAATTGCTCTAGAGATGATAATGGCAGTGCCCAGAGCCGATGGGATGGCCCAGGAAGAATGCCCATACCTTCTCTGTGAGCCCCATTCGCAATCTTACGAGCTATGGGGACCGAGTGGTCCACCTGGCTCATAGCAGGCTCTGAATAAATAGTAGTATCATATTATGGAGTTTAAATTAAATCAGCAGGAGGGAGCCCAGCACAGCTTCCAGCATGCAGCTCTGATGAGGTCTGGCCTCCTTCCTTCCCTCACTTTGATGTCACTATTTGCTTCAGGGACCAGGACTGTCTTGCTCCCCTGCATCTCTTCTGCCACAAAGAAACAATCCTGGGCTCCCAAGCCCACCCCCATGCTCCAGTAACCCTATCATTTGAATAATTTATTCTTCCAAGAAGAGTTTGCTTCTTGAAAGACAACTATAGAACCAGGATCCAAGTGGAAGAATTCAAAGCATAAGACAAAGACTGGGTCCTCTAGGGAAAAGGAGGCCTTGCAGAGCCCCCAAAGACACAACCTGTTTTGCTCACACCTCCTCATGTTCTCTTCAAACTTCCCGCCAACCCTTCCTGGGGTGCTCCTTGGCCACATGCCTTTGTTCTGGACTGTCCAGTGGGTCCCCTTGTATGACCTTCTCTCCATCCGTACCATCCCTGCCTCTAAAGATGCCAACCAGAGAGCCTACCATGAATCTTCTCCTTCTTTTACGGCGTTTTATATCATTGCTGCTGGAAGGGCCCTGTGCACTAATCAGTCCTGAGATTTTCACAGTTCTTTTCAGCTAAATCTTTCATCCCCAACATGGAAAATAGGTTGAGGGGAGACAGCAGTGTATGGAGAGAGAGTGGGTGCCCTGCAGCTTCCTCTTTGATTCTTCTCCAGCCCCTGGAAGCTACATTAAGGCCCAAGAGAACACCTTGAGGCTTACTGATCTAGGCCCAGTTTCCTCTTACACAGATGGGAAAACCCACACCCAAAAAGGACGTGAAAATTTCCCAAGGCTGATTGCACAGGAATTAGCAGGAATTTACTCCATTTTCTTAAAAATATTCCTATGAATTATTCATATATAAATATGTAAATTATTCATATACATTATTTATATATAAGGTAGTAGTATTTATATGTGTCCCAGTTCCTCTTGAAATTCTCCATCTTGTAATCTATTTTCTTTAATATATTAATCGCTGTTTTTGTTTTTGTTTTGAGATGGAGTTTCGTTCTTGTCACCCGGGCTGGAGTGCAATGGCATGATCTCAGCTCACCGCAACCTCCGCCTCCTGGGTTCAAGGGATTCTCCTGCCTCAGCCTCCCATGTAGCTGGGATTACAGGCATGCACCACCACGCCCAGCTAATTTTGTATTTTTAGTAGAGACAGGGTTTCTCCATGTTGGAGAGGCTGGTCTCGAACTCCTGACCTCAGGTGATCCGCCCACCTCAGCCTTCCAAAGTGCTGGGATTACAGGCGTGAGCCACTACGCCTGGCCTAACTGCTGTTTTAAAGGTGGTGTCTGATAACTCCAATACTTACTTATTCTATGAGACTATGTCTTTTGTCTTTTGTTTTTTCTCTTTGGTTTTTGTTCGCTTGGTTCTGTCCCCTGGTGTGCCTGGTAATCTTGTGTTGAATGCTAGACATTGTGCATGAAAAGCTATAGAGATGATTCATGGCACTAAATCAGACATTGACCAGCTATAGTCCATGGACCAATCCTGCCTGGTTCCTGCGTTTGTACATCCTGGGAACGAAGAATGGTTTTGTCATGTTTAGAAGGTTGAAAAAAATTAAAAGGATAACGGTTTGCAACACATGAAAGTTATTTGAAATTCTATTTCTAGTGTCCACAATTAAAGACTTCCTGGCACATAGCACACTCATTTGTTTACATTTGTCTGTGGCTACACAGGCAGGGGTGTGTTGTTACTACCAAAGCTGTATGGTCTGTAAAACCTAAGCTATTGACTCTCTGGCCCTTTGCAGGAAAAGTTTGCCAATTCTTGCTCTCAAGGCAGTTTCTCCTGTAGCAGAGACTCCCTTTCCCTTCTGGCTACCCACTAGGTTGGGACTATGTGGAGAGAAAGTGAGTTTCCAGTCTCTCAGGCAGCCCATCCTCCTTGACAGTCCCAATCTCCATTCCAAGCTTCCCAGACCATGGATGGCTTCCTGGCCTCAAGCAGCTGCCACTTTGAGGATGAGAGGACAACATCTCACGTCTTCTAAACTCACAGGGAATTCCCAGCTTCTGATTTTCCAGACTGAAACTGAACATTTGTCTATTTGTTTGTTTCTGTTTGTTTTCGGTGACGGGGCCTCAGTCTTGTGCTTTGAAAGGCCTTCTTGGAAACATGGATTAAGACGTTGCTGGGACCCCAGCGCAAAGCAAGGAGTGGCCGTTTTCCTATGGCTTCCTTATTCCAAGCGAGCGAGCCTCCCTTGTGCTGCCTGCCCTTGGGTCCTCCTTCCTGCTCTCCCCTCATCTCAACCTGGGGCATTTGTGGGGACAGTGCTCACAGCCACCACTCCCTGGGCCTTTCATGTCCTGACTTGCAACAGCCCCAGTGGGCAAGATGCAGGGAGATCAGCCCTGCCTGGGCAGGAACCCCCAGCTGGCCCACCAGGTGTCTCTGCCTTGGAGCCAGGTGGTATGAGCACAGGGATTCTCACCATGTGCCCTCCCTGCAGCCCATGGAGCCGTGGTTGGGTGGCACTGCCCACTCCTGTCCTGGTGGGAGAAGGGGCACCAGGTGACTGTCCAAGAGCAACAGGGAGGGTAACTGGGGGCCTTTCGAGTGCATCTATTTATCTGTTTATTGTTTTTAATAAAATGGCTGTTGGTGTCATAAAGACAGCAGCTGTTACTGAATTTAACAATATTCTGCAGCAGGAAGCACTCAGAACCCCTGTGGGAAGTGGGTGCGGGGGACTCTCACATGTCCCCCTCCTCTCTCACACCACCCCCACACTTAAGATTGCATTGCAATTTCCCCACTCTCTGGCTGCATAGAGGTTTTAATGAAACAAGGGGATAACCGTCTCCCTCCTGCTGGCTCTGTTGACACTGCCAGTGGGTTTTGCAGGCAGAGCACCCTGCCTGGCCACGGGGCTCTGTTTGCAAGCTTCCGGCCTTGCTCCAGGGAGATTAAGCTGCCCCCACCCCCACCCCCTGCCTGCCCATGGACTCAGTCTAGTACCGGGGGTTTGACTCAGACCTCACTGGAAGGCATGTCTTGGATGTTAAAGGAAAAATTATTCAATGAGACTTGTTAGAGAGCAGTAAGGAATGCTTTACTTGTAAGGAATGCTTTACTTGGGGCCATCACAGCAAGTACAGGGACCACACAGTGGGATTTCGCAATGGGGGAGAGAGATTGGGCTCAACTTAGAACACAGCCTGGGCAAATGGGAATTTGCAGCCAAGGGGTAGGGCGGGGTGGTGGGGGGATTAAAAACGACTAGGAGGAAACACTGGAGTAAGGGGGGTTCTGGCTGTTAAACCCACCTAACAGGGTTCTTGCTGAAGGCAGGCCAGGTTGATCAGACGTCACCTGGGGAAGGGTGAAGGATGACAACGGATCAGAAATGGAGGGTGATCAGATATGGAGGGTGGGGGTTTTGGCTAAACTCACTTAGCAGGGTTCTTTGCTAAGCATAGACTTATGCTTAGCATATGCATAAGGAAGTGCCCAGACAAGCCTAGGAGAAGGTGCAGGAGCCTGATGAGAGTTTCGCCAGGCAGAGGATCTTTGTCACTGAGTTGGGTGGAGTTTGGCAGCTGCATCAGTGAGCAAGCACCTCTCAACACAGAAATAGAAGTGTGGTCCCCTTTTCACATCACGGGCCCCAAAACAGAAGCAGCCCACAGTGGTGAGGGGCTTGGCCCTGCCGAAAGCAGCTCAGGGAGGGCTGCAGGAGTGAAATGACTATGTCCGCACCGTGGCATCCCTGGCTGGGAGCCCAGGACCAGTGCTCAGGGTGCCTGGGCCAGGTGTGCGGTAGTCTCATGGCATGGCCTGACCTTTTCTGACCCAAACTCCTCAGCAGGGGCTTGTCTGGACCAAGATTCAGCAGCAAGTAATGCCCTCCTGGGTCAATGTCTCCCAAGCTAAGCTCTTTCTCTCCAACTCACAAATGTTTACGGAGGGTCTAGGGCAGAACAGAGATGGCTGGATTTGGAGGGCCTGCCGTGAGTGGAACCCAAGACAGAGAGGCTCCCTCCTGTCTCTGAGACTACATCCTGCTGAGTTCATGGAGGTTTTGTTTTCCTGGGATTCAGACGCTTAGGTTCTGTGCAAGAAGAGTGCAGATGCCAAATTTGTGAGATGCTGGGTTAAGCAAACCTTCTGAAACAAGTTTGCTTTCTGGAGGCCTCTCAAACCTGAGCTTTGTGACTCTCCAGGAGGGAACTAAGCTTCCTACAAAGAATTCCCACCTTGATTTGAGCAGAGAATCCTTGTGGGTTTTCCCAGAATGCTGAGAAGGGTCTTTGGGGAGGGTAGGGAGCCTGCAGTGCCCCCTCCAAGTGTGGAACCTCAGGCTGCCCCTAGCCCTCCCTAGCCTCATCTCTGTCATGCAGCCACACCTGCCTGCCCCCAGCCCTTTCCCCCATGCCTGTGGCAGAGCCGGGGGTTCCCTGGAATGAGATGAGAGCCTGACACAGAGGCTCACACATGAGTCGTTGTTTGGGGAGGTGATAAGGGAGCCCGAGCGAGGCTGGGAGGATTTCATGTGGCTCCTGGAGACATCTGATTCTCTGTGTCAGTGGAGGCCGCCTCACTTCTGGTCTTTCTCTCAGAAGATCCTTTCCTTTGCCTTCAGCACAGACCCCTCCCCTTTCCGCCTCCCCTGTCAGTGAGCTATGCCTTGAAATGCCACAAACAGCACCAGACCCAGGGGCATGCAGTGCTACCAGTGTATTGCTGGGGCTCACTCACATGCCCCCGGGTGGCCAGCTGTTCGCTGATCTGGGCTGGCTTCAGCTGGGGGCTAGGGCTGTCAGCTGTGGCCCATGGGTCTCTCAGTCTCCCGTGGGCTGGGCTGGGCATGTTCTCACTATGATGGCAAACGGACAAAATGGCCAGCCTCATGCACCACCTTGCTCCCAACACTGGCCCAGCCCACAGACAACTGCAAAGCATCCTGGCATGAGTGTGGCTGGAGGGGGTGAGGATTTGGGATCACCATGGAAACACATCACAGGTACCTGGGGAGTGGGTCTACTACAGACACTCATGGTACCTCCTGTTGTAGAAGCTCTTGTCACAGGTGCACTTGCATGAGTATTTGTGATTGGTTGGTTGGTGTCCTCATCACCCTGGTTTGTAGCCTGTTCTGGATGGGGACACTGCTTGCTTTTGTTCCCCTACTGCAGCCTTTGGGTCTAGCCCAGTGCCTGCACACAGTAGGTCCTGAATAAGCAGTTATTGAATGAGTGAAGAGTGCTTTTCTATAATATCTTGAGGCAAGGTGTGTGATATGCTTTTGCTGTGTCCCCACCCAAATCTCCTCTTGAATTGTAGTTCCTGTAATCCCTACCTGTTGTGGGAGGGACCCGTGGGAGGCAGAATTTAATCATGGAAGTGATCACCCTCATGCTGTTTCTGTGATAATGAGTGAGTTCTCATTCTCATGAGATCTGATGGTTTTATAAGGGGTTTTCTCCCTTTTGCTCTGCACTTGTCTTTCCTGCCGCCATGTGAAGAAGGACATGTTTGCCTCCCCTTCCTGAATGTAAGTTTCCTGAGGCCTCCCCAGTGATGTGTAACTGTGAGTCAGTTAGACATGTTTCCCTTATAAATTACCCAGTCTCAGTTATGTCTTTATCAGTGATGTGAGAACAGACTAATATAGTGTGTCACTCTTCAATCATGTCTCCTTGGGAGACTGTCAGATCCTATACGAGCATGAGAAAGAAGCATCAGGGGCTGGCATAGGAAGTGCATTAGTCCATTCTCACACTGCTGTAAAGAAATACCCGAGACTGGGTAATTTATAAAGAAAAGAGGTTTCATCAACTCACAGTTCTGCATGGCTGGGGTGGCCTCAGGAAACTTACAATCATGGCAGAAGTTGACGAGGAAGCAAGGCACCTTCTTCACAAGGTGGCAGGAAGGAGAAATGCCGAGTGAAGCGGGGAAAGAGCCCCTTATAAAACCATCAGGTCTCGTGAGAACTCACTACCATGAGAACAGCAAGGGGGAAACCACCCCAACCCCCATGATTCAATTACCCCCACTTGGTCTCTCCCTTGACAAGTGGGGATTATGGGGCTTACAATTCAAGATGAGATTTGGGTGGGGACACAAAACCTAACCATCTCAGGAGGTCCTATGGGCATAGCATGGAGACACGATCCCACCCAACCCTGTGCTGGAGAGTGTGGTGCATACGTCAGGCTGCTGCTCGATTGACAGCACAGCTCCCAGGACAGCCGGCGTGCAGAGGAGCTGAAGGCAGCTTCTCAGGGCTGAGTCCCAGACGCTGCTCTTCCCTCTACCCGAGATCCCAGGACAGAGCGGATCACTCTCTTGCCCCGAGCTGGATGCTGGGTTACAGGCTTTCTGTGCACTCTGCAAACTCCAGAGTACTTCTGAAGATGGCCAGCACCAGAGCTCAGGTCGGGATGCAGGTTGAACCAGCTCCAAACTTGGTCACGTTCATTATATTGGTCACTGACCCGTGACTGTTTCTGTCTGCAGCCACTGCAGGTAAGGAGCCTTCTTTTTGGCCTGCTGGCACACCCTCTGGTACTCAGCTGGTGTCTGAGAATCCCTTGCTCCTCCTTCTCGTGTGTTGACTCTGAAAGGTGTGCATAGACCTGCTCCTCTTAGATGGGGCCGCTGGATGGCACATCAGTCCTGCACCAGGGTCGGTGTTGAAACATCACTAAAACTAAGGCCATGATGAGAGCTTGAAACACAGGGAGGCAAATGTCTTATAGTCTGTTTAATTTGGTTAGGTGTCTGGGAGACAGGGAGCATATTTTGAAAGACGGTTCAAAATAAAAATATTGGAGGAATCTGGCCTCTGGGGCTGGAAGCTGGATGGACTGATGTTAGTCCCAATTTGCAGAATGTCTGCTCTGGACCACTGACTGCATTGGGTGTGCCCAGCCCCGTGTCTTCTGCTCCAGGGAGCTGGCTCAAGCCTCTGCATAGACTCTGCAGTGACCATAACCAGGGTGAGGCCACTGTTCTTTGAGGACCTTCTGTACGGGGGCCTCTGGACTGGGTGCCTTCCTTCCATGGCTTCTCCCACCTACACCAGGCACATGTCTGCTGAATGGAAACTGAAGTCACAGCACCATGCCTCCAAGAGCGAGGTGCAGGCAGGCTTTTTGGAGGGGGAGCCTTGCCATTTGTTTAGAGGTTTGATGTACTGACCATTTTATAAGCTAAACGTAGGCTCTGAAGACAGTGGGTGCGGTGGTGCTGGTGGCGCTGGGAGTTGTCAGAAGGGACTCTGCTGCTAACACGCAGGGCCCAGCCCCTCCCGCCAGGCTCCAGCTGTGGATGGAGCATCTCTGCAGCAGAAGGCCCCTCAGCTGGTTCAAAGCCTCCCTGGCCATAGGGTGTCTCTTCCCCAAACCCTGAACCTCTCCTTAGCATGCAGCGAGGCCGACTTCCTTCCCCCCAGCACTGGCCTTCAGAGCCATCATCTTTTGTGGAACTTCTCAAATGATAGCAGAAGTTCAGTGAAAGAAATGGGTCATTTCCCTAACGGCCACCAAGCTCAAAGTTGAGTATCAGTGGCTTCTGTTCTTACACAAGCCAAAAATTCAGGCCGTGTGTGAGTCTCTGTGAGTGAGCCTGTGTGTGTGTGCATGTGTGTGTGAATATGTAAGTGTGTGTGAGCATGTGTATGAGTGTGTGAGCATGTGTGTCCGTGTATGTGTGAGTGTGTGTGTGCATGTGCGGGCATGAGTGTGTATATGAGTGTGTGTGAACGTGTGTGAGTCTGTGTGTGTGTATGAGTGTGTGTGCATGTGTGTGTATGTGAGTGTGTTCATGCATGTGTGTTCATGCATGTGTTCATGCATGCTTTGGAAGCTGCCCTGGAACCACTGAATGCTCTCTCTGAGGGGGTTTCTGCTTCTTCCAGCACTGGACTTTCTGCTCCGGAGAAGGTGCTGCTGCCTGTCACGGAGCAGATCTGACTCCCCCGCCCCTGGGATGGCCCAGGGTCCATGGCTGGGGAGCCACATTTCCCGGCCACGATGCAGCATTCTGATCCCCTCCCATCTGTTGGGCCGCATTCTCTGAATGCAGGTCAGAAGGAGCAGATGGACAGGGCCTGGCTTCCTTCCGCCTGTAACCCATTTCATAGTCATTATATTCAATTCAGCAATGTGTCTAAGCGTTTCTGTTTGCCACAAGGGGCGAATATGCAGGCTTGGCCTTCGCCAAGGCGTGTGGCCACACCATGGAGGGGGCCCGTGAGCAGAGGCTGCCCATCTGTGCCCCCCTACAGTCATGCCATACATAAAGTGCCCACTCTGGGATTCTTGGGGTCCTGTAGGCCAGGAGTCACAAACTTTTCCTAAAGGACTAGATGTACATATTTGAGATTTACAGGTTGTGCAGTCTCCATGTGAAATGTGCATTGAGATCATGGCCCCGAAGGGTGCTGTTGGGTGATTCATGATCTTGCAAACGTGAAGTGAGGGCTCTGTGCCCCCTTGACCCTAACTGAACCCCCAGGGTGCCCGAACCTTTGGAAAGCCTTTTAACTCAGAGGGTAAATCTCACTGCCAGTGAATTCATTTCCCAAGCTCTCTACCCACCTCGTCCTCACCCCATTCCCGGTGCCCCTGCTGAGAATCCCAGATTTGAATGCAGCAGTGCTGAGATTTTGCCAAGAAGATGGCCCTGAGAAGGAAAGGTGGATTGATGCCTTGGTTTAGGCTTGCAGCTGGGTGGCATGGGGTCTTTCTAGCAAAGACTTGTCCCCTGGGCTCTCTCTGAGTCCCGTCTGTAACACTCTGTGTTCTCTAGTTCAGAGCAATCTCCAAATACAAAGAAACCCATGGGTGACATTGGTAGCCAGTCCTAGGGTCAGGGGACATGAGTACAACTTCAGGTCCCTTCTGGAGCCCACAGCCAGACAGATCTCCAAGTCTCCCTGGACCATGATGCCATGGCCATTGGCCATCGGCCATTTCTGTGCAGAGAACAATCAGAATCTGTATTAGTCAGGGTTCTCTAGAGGGACAGAACTAACAGGATTGATGTATATATAAGGGGAGTTTATTAAGGGGAATTGACTCGCACGTTCACAAGATGAGGTCCCACAATTCCCACAATAGGCCGTCTGCAAGCTGAGGAGCAAGGAAGCCAGTCTGAGTCCAAAAGCTGAAGAACTTGGAGTCCGATGTTTGAGGGCAGGAAGCATCCAACATGGGAGAAAGATGGAGGCCAGAAGACTAAACCCATCTAGTCTTCTCACATTCTTCTGCCTGCTTTTATTCTGGCTGTGCTAGCAGCTGATTAGATTGTGCCCACCCAGACTGAGGATGGGTCTGCCTTTCCTAGGCCATTGACTCAAATGTTAATCTCCTTTGGTGACACCCTCGCAGACCCATCAGAAACAACACTTTGCATCCTTCAGTCCAATCGACTTGACACTTAATATTAACCATCACAAGTCCACCCCTTGTCAACTTGAGCCCATACACATCTCCTGAAATTATACATAATCTTCAGATAAAGACAATAACAAGGTCTTAGTTATACCTAACATAATGCAACTATCCTTCATACAACCCTCCAAAACGCTGCGCAGGACAGCAGTGAGGGGCTGAAGCCTGGAGCAAGCCTGTTGAATTCTGTGTCTGCCATGTCTTAGCTGTGTGTGCAGTACAGGGTTAATTTTGCCCAAAGAAATGTCCTTGCCCCCAATTCCCTCAGGAATGTCCTCAGGAATGTCCTGCCTGAGAAGTGTCTTTTTTGCCTGGGGGCCTTGGGCCTGGCCAGATAATACAACGGTACAACTTATGGTGGGAACTAGGGCCGTGGGGTATTGTGGTATTAGCTTGACCTTCAGAGGGGCTGGAGACTGGGGTCAGCCATGCCAAGGGTCACCTGTGGCAGAGCCCAGCACAAACTCTGGGCGTCAAGGCCCAAGGGAGCTTCCCCGATATTTCATGCGTATTGTCACACATCATTGCTGGGATGAGACAGTGCTGTCTACATTTCTCCACTGCAAGATGACATCCGGAAGTGCCTGGTCTCCCCTGGACTCTGTCCCATGCCTGTCTTCCTGGTGCTCATCCTTGTGCTGTGATAAACTATAACCAAGAATATAATGGCTTTCTGAGTTCTGTGAGTCTCCCTGCTGAATTATTAAGCCTGAGGGTGATTGTGGGGACCCCAAATGGCACTGTGCAACCTTGGGAAAATCCCTTAACCTCCTTCTGGACTTGGGGAACATATTTGTGCCCACTTCATGGTGCTGTAGTGAGCTGTAAATGCGCTAATTCACTTGGCACGAGGCTTGGCACCCTCTACCAAGAAACTTGGGGTGACTCCATGTTATGGACCTCTACAGTGGCTCCAAGGTGTTAGCCCCATGACCTCTCTCCCTCCCTGGCTTTGTTATTGATAAGGAAAGCGTTGGAGGGAGAAGGGGTGTTAAAAGGAAACAACCAGGGATGGGCTCACACCTCACCCTCTGAGGCACACTGGGGGTGACCCTCCAACCCAAGGCTTCAGCTGCAGTGATATCTGTCCTGTGGGCTTGTCTTGTGCCTCAGAGGCCTCTGCCAGCATCTTTGGCCCTTACCCATTAGATGCAGAACCACTCCCACCCACAGCTGTGACCACCCAAAGTGTCTCCAGACATTCCAGATGTCCCTGGCTGAGGACCACTGCTCCACCTGCCTAGGCCCTTTGGGGCAATTCCCTGGGGACTGCCCTTCACTGTGTTGTTGTGACCAAGCCGAGTCCTGTGAGATGTCAGCAAAGCATTTCCTTAGGGGGAGTTCTGTTTCTGTAGCATGTGATCCTGTCCCAAGCCGGAAGGACTTCCGACGAGAGGAGACTTCATCTCCACGTAGTGTTGGCTTGAAGCACTTCCCTGAGCCAGGCCATCACCCACTGTGATGGTGAATTTTATGCACCAACTTGACTGAGCTGAGGAATGCCCAGAGAGCTGGTAAAGCATGGTTTCTGGGGGTGTCTGTGAAGGTGTTTCTGGAAGAGATTGGCACGTGAAATAATGGACTGAGTCTGGAAGATCCGCATTCAGCCATGTGGGTGGGCAGTATCCAATCTGTTGAGGGCCCAGGCAGAACCAAAAAGACAAAGAAAGGGCAAATTCTCTTCTCTCCCTCTCCCTCCCTCCTCTCCCTCTCTTTCTCTACGCCCTTTCTCCCTCTCCCTCTGTCTCTCTCTTCCTCCCTCTCTCCCTCATCTCTCTCCCTGCCTTTCTCCCTCTCCCCCTCCCCCTCTCTCCTCTTTGTCTCCCTCTTCTCCAACCTCCCCCTCCCTCCCTCTTTCTCCCCCACTTTCTCCCTCTCCGCCTCCCTCTCCTTCTCTCCCTCTCCCCACACCTTCCAAGGTTCCTGGTTCTTGGGCCTTTAGACTCTGGTACTTCCACCAGTGTCCCTGCCCACTGACCTGAACCCCCTGTGGTGTAGATGGAGCTGGGACATCCATCTTCTCCTGCCCTTGGCCTTGGACTGAGTGACACCACCAACTTTCCTGGTTCTCCAGCTTGTAGACAGAAGACCATGGGATTTTTCGGCCTTCATAATCACATGAGCCAATCCCATGATAAATCTCTTCTTATAGATCTCTCTATATTTCATTGGTTTTGTTTCTCTGGAGAACCCTGACGAATACATTCACCCCTTGGAAGACTCTGCGGGGTCACTCAGAAAACAGCACACTCCTTTGTGTCCCTGACATAAAAGCTGGTGGCCTTGTTCTGCTGTGAGCATCCCAGTTTTGGAAGATGCATTTTTTCTTAGCAGCCTGTTCCCAGGAGGTGAGCAACTGACTCAGACGAAGCCTAATCCCTGAGGTTCCTCCAACTCCAGCAAGCCAAGCTGCCTCTGATCTGTCCACCACTGGGCACTGTGAGCTTCACCCTAGTCAGGCCAACGTGTTCCCAGAGACTCTTTTTCAAGGACTGCTGTGAAATTTACATTTTGCAGGTCTCTGTGGAAAATGAATGGCTTTTTTGGGATGGAATTGGCACTTTGAGTCCCAATGTCACCTGTCACCTATCAAACTTACACTTGTTGCATGACAGACATTTTTGTGTCCAGTGACCATGGCTCTTTGTTTGCATAATTCAGACGCTCCCGATTTCTGCATTGTGAAATCAGCTGTGATACGCACAGCAATGTCATCTGTTTGCCTTGGCCAATTCCAGGACCATCACTCCCGCCATCATCCAAGTGTACCAGCCAAACGTGCCTCACGTCCTAGAAAGAAAGCACGTGATGGGTTTGTTTTTGCCATGGACAATGGCCCGTATTTGATTCAGCTTCATTTAATAAGACCTTGTTCAGACCCAGAGATGGATTACAAACTTCCACATCAATCTTCAGGGCCTGATCTTATTACAAACCACCACAAATATAACCATAAAAGCCCTATTGATTGATGCAGAGCTTGGTAATCCATCTGTCCCCATCCATTATTTTGGGGATAATTTTTCATCATCTGGATGGCAGCTGATTCCTCACGCATTAGTATACAGTGGCGATTAACAGAAGCAGAAAAAGCCCCCAAATTAGCAGAATAACACCTGTCAGGAAGGGGAAGCAAGAATTCCCACACAGCCTGCTTCTGAGCTCTGGGACCAGGTCTGAATTGCAAAGAGTTTGAAGATGTGATTCAGTGTTGACCTTGGAAGTGGAGAGGGAAAAGTTTGCTTGTTTGTTCCTTCCTTGGGGGCATAGAGAGTGTGCTCCCTTTAGGTGACATCATTGTCAATCTAGTCATAGCCCCTGGACAGCTGACATGGAAACTTTTCCAGGATTGCTCAGGGGCAGCAGGGTTTATGGGACAGGTGTTCCTGCCCGAGGTAGCTAATAGCCACCAGAGACTTGACCAGAGGGAATGTTATTTAAGGCGAGAGTATTGAGAGAGACATGAGTGAAGAAGGAGAGACATGAGTGAAGAAGGAGGAGAAAAGTCAAAGCCTCCTGAGAATGGTGCCATTTGCATAGTGTGGGAAAAGTCCTTTCCACAGACCAATAAGATATGGTCTCTCTCTACACAATGATTCCATAATCTGAACATTCTTGTGTTTGGCAAGATGCTATTTCTTTTAAACATGGAGAAAATGGAGATAGACATGGCTGAAATAGTTCTAAGAGCCATCGAAGGAATCAAACTGGTACATTTCTTTCTGAGTTTTGATTTCCAAAAATCAAAAATCCTGTGTAATTGACTTCTCAAGGGAAACCTTCATGCAAAGTGACTTATTATCAAGTGGCTTCATATGGACAAACCCAGCAGGGTGAGGCCACTGCTGCTGGGTGTTAAGACCCAGCCATAAACTAGAGGCTGTGGGTCTCTCTGAAACCACCTTGACAGTGACCAGTGAAGA
This sequence comes from Homo sapiens, assembly GCF_000001405.40. Taxonomy (NCBI): domain Eukaryota; kingdom Metazoa; phylum Chordata; class Mammalia; order Primates; family Hominidae; genus Homo; species Homo sapiens. Next base: position 4,765,943 of record NC_000001.11, read on the forward strand.
GCCCAGCACACAGCAAAGCTTTGATGGTGGAGGAGCAAGGTTCTAATCCTTCAAACTAAAAGATTGCAGTTTGATTCCAAGCATTAACCGATCATCCAAAACTAAGAATATGCTTTTATTTAATCTATAAGCAGAGCCACCTTGAGCTACTCACCTAAATCACGTATCTGTAAACTGTGGTCCATGGGCCAAACATGGCCACTGCCTGTTTTTGGAAATGAAGTTTTATTGGAAAACAGCCCCATTTGCTTCTTTGCCCATTGTCTGTGGCTGCTTTTTTTGCTACAATGGTAGAGTTGAGTAGTTGTGACTGAGGCCATACTGCCTGTAAAGCCTAAAATATTTACTATCTGGTCCTTTAAGAAAAGGTTTGTCTACCTGGGATCCACATGAAGATTTACACATGGAAGGAAACTACTCCTGGCTCTTGGGGAGACTAAATGATGGGGCGGATGCTGTAAACACCACACGACTTCTCCCATGTTATTTTGCTTTATTCTAAGTGAGCAGCCTACCAAAGAGAGGAAATAATGAAGAACCCTTATGAATTTTCCATATTTCAGCCTGCTTCCTAGAAATATTATTGGGGCCACATGTCAGAAGTCCCAGTCCTTGTCCAACCATCATGAGGGTCTGTAGTTTATCCTCATAGTTGTAGCATCCTAAGCAGGAGCCCAGGAGCCCATTGAAACCCACACTCCAGGTTTTGAAGCACACGGCTGTTTACTTTGCAAGAAAAGTCTGTGCAGGGTTTGGTAAACTGTTGATCTTGAACTTATTTAACGACAGAATGTGCAGGTGTGTGGGATTTGGATTTAGATTTTGGTTTTCTTGGGGACACTGGAGCAGAGAATTGCGTTTGTCCAGGCTCTGCTTGCTGACCAGGGAAAGTCATTTTTCTTCTTTAGCATCAGGCACCCAGTTTGTCAGACAGGTTAAAAAAAATGTGGGGTGGAGATGGGTTACATCGATCCCAGGTGTGAAGGCTTAGCTAGGTGCATCGAGGGATCCTGTAGAAAGCATAGCTGTTGTATTGCGTGTGTGTGACTGCCCAGACCCTCTTAGCTGGTGATTAGCCCATAATGCACCCTTCACGTTTTAATGTGGGAAGTCTATGAAGAAAATTTACACAAAAGGCAGGAGAAGGGCCTCCAGGGCAAGGCCAACATCAGAAGTAGATCATTACCCTTCTTTCTGTTAACTTGGTTTCTGATTTTTTACCCCTTAGTTGTAAATTTAATGATACATCATGCAGCTAAGATCACATTATCATCAGCATCACCTTCACCATCATCACCATCACCATTATCATATCACTATCATCAACATCAGTATCACCATCATTATGATCATCATGTCACTATCACCGTCATCACCATCACTATCATTATTACCATCACCATCATTATCACCATCACCATTATTACCATCGTCACCATCACCACCACCATCATCATCGTTACCACCACCAACATCATCGTTACCATCACTATCATCATCACCATACCATTATCATCATTGCCATTATTATCACCATCTTCACCATTACCATCATTATCACCATCATCACCATCACCACCACCATCACCATTATCATCATCACCATCTTTATCATTACCATCATTATCACCATCATCACCATCACCACCATCACCATTATCATCATCACCATCTTTATCATTACCATCATCACCACATCACCATCACCACCATCATCATCACTATTATCATCACCATCATCATCACCATCACCATCATTATCATTACCATCATCACCACCATCACCATCACCATCAGCAGCAGCAGCAGCAACCTCCTTCTCATCACAAGAAGCACAGACACCGGATGAGCACATACGCTTTGTGACAGCATGGCTTTCTCTTGACTGGGCCAGAGGGAGTGTGTGGGTAGAGAGCAAGAGGAGACTGAACAGGCAACCCACCCTCCACAGCTGTCCATCCTTTTCAATCCTTCCTCTGCACATGAGGTCTGAGTTGGGTCTCAGGAAACTTGGCACATAGATAGGGATTACCAGAGCTGGTAGACACTCCATTGTTGGTGGGATTAGGGGTGGTCCCTGTTGCATAACTTAGCTTTCAACTCATTAGCAAACCAACTTGGCAGTCCCAGAGAAGGGACTTGCCCAGAGGTTTACAGCAGGTGCCACAGATGGGGCACAGGTTTATGGGAGGTCATTGGCCAGAACTGCAATGAATGCAGCACCTTTATTCAGGGGGCATCGGAGCAGCTGTTGCCTGTGGGTGAGCAGTACTAGTGCTGCAGGCGCACAGTAGGTGCACAACAAACAGTTCCTGAATCAGTGGATAGAAGAAGGCTTGGGAGAGACTCGCCATGCTCATGTGTTTCCTCCACTGTTTGCCGGATGCTGTTATTCTGTGGATCCTGGAGGAGAATCCCTCGTGAAAAACAAAAATTACCCCCAGAGAGGGGGAAACAGGAAGACAAAGCTTGTTTTCTGGCTGTGCCAATGTTTAATCATTTATGAACAATTTCCCCCATGAGGATCATATCCAGCAGAGAGGTAACATCTGTTTAAGAGACTGTCCTTGGGAGGCCGCCAGAAAAATCTTGACACTGAAACCCGCCATGCTGAAACACGCACATGCAGTGTTCTCACCCCAGCAGCCCAAGAGGTTGGTCAGGTGTGAGGGGCGGGTCTCTGCAAAGCAGACACCAAGATGGAGCCCCAGGCGGAGACAGGACAGTTGCTTGGATCTCAGGTGGAAGGACATGGGGAGATGAGTAGGAGGAGGTGCTGCCACCTGCGGGCTTGGCGGACTCCCTCACTGCCTTGATCTTCCAGCTTCTCAGGTGCTAAAGTGGACCTTCCGAGTAGCCCTGGCTGGTTGGTAATGTCCCCAGCATCCAGGTCCCAGGAAGGATGTGACAGATGTGTAGTCAGGAGAGAAGGTGGTCTGTGGTAGGGACCAGAGGCAGGAGCTGTTGCAGGCCTGCCCTCCTGTTTCCCCAGTCCTGTGTCTGTGGTTAGCGGCAAATGTTGCAGAAGGTTTTGGGACAGAGGTGGGGGACGGGAAAGAATCCCTGCTTTCTGCCATCGTGCATGTGGGTGTCAGCAAACAGCTCATGACCAGAGCTCTACCTGCCCCACTTCTGAAGTGGCTGGTCCTTCTGTCCCTGTCCTGCCGATTCCAGTGCCCCCCACCTCCCCATTCAGGTATTGGGGCCAGGGCAACAAGGCTAGACCATGGATTCTCCTTTGGGACTGTGGGAAGCATCCGCTGCTGGCCTGAAACTTTCATTCCTGGAACCTTGTGAAGCAGTGAACTTCTTAGCGAGGACTCTGGAAAGAGGAAGATTTCACCCCGTGATCTGGGTCTGTGAGGGTGTCATCCCATGTGCTCTTCTTTTTACCTCCCCAATATGTACTGGCCCATCCTGGCTCCCCCTGGGTCAGGCCAAACCCTGCTCCCACTCACAGGCCAGCACCCTGGAGCTAACCGTTCCAGAATAGAAGTGCGAGACTGGCCCAGGGTGTGAGGGGAGAAAGGGGCCATGGGGAATATCTCACCCAGAGCTGACCTGCCGCCAGGTAGAGGAGGCAGGTGAAGGGCTTGGCAGGTGCAAGAAAGAACACAGCCGCCCATGATCCAGGTCACGGCTTGGAGACTGACAGGGTGGTGGTGGAAGGAGAGAGCCCAGAGCTGGAGCTCCCCCTTCCTGGACCCCGGGTGAGAGCAGCCTCATGCCCGGGGCCTGCAGTCGAGGAGGAGAGAACTGAGCACCTGTCATGCTGCCCCGAGTTCCCCGCTGCGGATGGGACCTGGCATCCCCAGCTGGGTTGGGGGGATGCACCTCCACCTTTCCCGGCCCCCCTCGCCTCCTGAACCTGGTTTCACGGGTGCCCTCTTCCCTCTTTCCTTCTTTCCAGGTCTGGCTGTCCATCAGATCATCACCATCACCGTCTCCCTCATCATGGTCATAGCTGCTCTCATCACAACTCTTGTCTTAAAAAATTGGTAAGGCTCCTTGGGCCCTTCTGGCCCAGAAATGGGGGACTACCGGGGTCCCTGGGTGGTGAATACAGAAAGGCCCCTACTTTTCAAAGCCAGCCTGTTCTGCTGGCTTCTGCCCTGGGCAGTTCAGCTGCCACAGGCTGCTCACCGTCCAGCGCTGCCCTTTGGCCCGGCCCCTCTCCTGGTTTCCCTGCAGAAGGCCAGCGAGCCCAGCCTTTGTGACAGAGCTTCTCAGGGTGCGTGTGGTCCTGGGTTCCAGATTCTTTCTCTGGATCCAAGTGTCCCTTGGGATGTTGTCCACCCAGAGCACAGTCCCTATATCTTGTCTCCTCTGCCCCTTCCCTGGAAAGGTAGGGATGGGGCCCTTCTGCCAGCACCCAGCAGGGTCCCACGTCCCTCACTCAGGCTTGGTGGCCGGTTGCTGAACCAGCCCTGTTTGTATTCTTCGTTCCTCTCAAAGCCACTCTGTGTGCTGAACTAGGTTACCGCTTTGCTCTAGGCAGCCTGCCTTTGCCTATTTCCTCCTAGAAATTGGCCTACTTTGAGGCCAGCCTTGCTGGGTGTACACACCTGATAAGCCCCTGAGAAATCAGGGGACTGCTGGGAGGCCCTGCTGCTCGAAAGCGCCTTGGGGACCTCACCTGCCTGCAGCCACTCCTCCAGCAACTGTGTCTCCTTTCGGCATCCAGGCTTAAAACTCCCTCATAGAATAACAGACCCAAATGGTCCCCTTGCTGCCTGCACACAGCCATATGAATCAGACAAGGCTGATGGTGGAAACCGCATCAGAGCCTCAGAATCACAGGGGAACACAAGAAAGAGAGAGAAAAAGCCAGGCTCTGGGATCAGAGGAGGTGGGACTTCTTGACAGGCTGCAGGAGGGTGGGGGTAGCACAGCCCCACAACAGACCTCCCACTCGGCTAGCGAGGCCTCAAAGCCACCTCCTGATAGGTAGCAAACTGGGACCCCGGGCGTTTTCTGGAGACAGGGGATGAGAGAACAACACGGAGCTCACAGTGGGGCTTCTTAGGCAGGGGCTGGCCAGAGAAGGGACTTTGGACCCCTGGACTGTGTGGGCGTATGGAAGGACAAATCCCACTGGCCATCTCGGTGAAGGGCTTCATCTCCCCAGAGACAGGGGACTTTGTAGCCTGTTCTGTGACAAGTTGATGACAAGCCTTCATCTTGCTTTTCTCACACTCGAGCTTATAGCAGACCTTCAAAGAGCCCTTTGGGAGAACAGCCCGGGAGGATGGATGAGCAAGTCCTATGAACCTGACCTCCCTCTGAGGAAGACTTTGTGGGTGGGGCTGCCCCCTGCGTTTGGCATTCACCTTCTGACCTTGGTGTATGGGGTAGGGGGCTTCTTCTCCAGGAATCAGGATTCCTTTCATTGGGAAAACCAACGCAGGAAATAGCCAAGACTTAGAAGGAGACGGGCGCATCCCCCCTGCCCCTTGCCTTCGTGCAGCCCCTCCCTGTACACAGGCCCTGAGCGTGAAGGGGAAGGGGCGGGCAGGGGAAATGGCCCCCAATGCGGGGAGACGTCCTCAGCTCCCCATGCAGCAGGGGAGGGGCCTCCCAGCCAGCCCCCTTGTCCTTCCTGTGCTCTCATCATAGAAGTGGCATCCGGGGGCCTCGATTCTTGCTTCGTCGAGTCCCTGGACAGACGAGGGTAGGAGTCCCATGGTCACTATAAGTGGCCTCTGGAAACCCCTGTGGTTCAGAGGAACTAGACCATAACAGGCAGGCACGCAGGACACTTCCCTCTGCAGACTTGATCAGGGATGAAGGACAAGCCAGCTCGTCATTTCCAGCTTGTACACGTGCCCCTGGGTGAGGCTGAGGACAGGGGCTTTCTCACTCATCAGCTTTCCCCAAAGACAGGTCCATTGTCCATTCTGAGATGAAGGAACGGACCACCCCAACCTGTACCCAAAGGCTCCCACACACTCTAGGCCCCTCTGGCAGGAAGGACCCACCACAGCTTTTATCCCGTCGAGGCGTTCGTGGGGAAACTGAGTCAGCACCATGGTCTGACTGATGCTCTTTAGTTAAGCAGGTCCCTAGCTCTGCGATCACACAGCTCACTACTTACCCCTCATCCTCCCTGCTGTAATAGCCACATTTAAAATTCAAATTTCATTTTTTTTTTTTAAAAAAAAAGAGTTGATTGCTTGATTGTGGTTGATCTTTCTGAAGAGGCTGGGAATTACCGTTTAATATGAAATGATGCGTAGCTCACGCCTGCAAGCGAAAGACCCACAGTGGAAGTCTGGAGTTGTGTTTGTGGGTTTCCGGCCTCTGCCCGTCCCCCTACCCCAAACTCTTTCTCTTCCAGCTGTGCCCAAAGCGGGAACACTCGTCGGAACAGCCACCAGCGGAAGACCAACCAGCAGGAGGAGAGCTGCCAGAACCTCACGGACTTCCCCTCGGCCCGGGTGCCCAGCAGCCTGGACATATTCACGGCCTATAACGAGACCCTGCAGTGTTCTCACGAGTGCGTCAGGGCATCTGTGCCCGTGTACACCGATGAGACGCTGCACTCGACGACGGGGGAGTACAAATCCACATTTAATGGAAACCGGTAAGCTCGGGCTCTGCTAGACCCTGCAGCTGTGAAGCTCTTGGTGCTCCTGACCCCCGGGGGCCGGTGTGGCTGAGCTGAGAGCTGTTGGTCGGTTTAGGTCTTCCCTGAGGTCGCTTTGAGGGGCCCAGCCAAGGCGGACAGCTAATTTGGCAAAACGAAAGAGGCAGGGTTGATAGCAACAGGCGTTTAGCTGCTCCCAGAGAATACAGTGGCTGGAATTTCCTTCCAGACCCCTGGACGTGGGCAGTGGCGGGAAATGCATAGTCTCCCAGCCCTCGCTCTGAACCGTCATCCTTCGTGCCCCAGAGCCCAAAGGCCAGCCCCGTGGTTATTGGCCTCCTAAATATCAACAGATCACAACAGCCCCCCGACCGGAGTCAGCGTCTCTGAGCCCTGTCAATAAAATGTCAGCGGCAAATTTAGCAAAAATATCAGATACCCACCAGACTCCCAGACCGGAAGTACGTTACTAAATGCTCCTCCTTTTTTATTACTCATGTGTAATCCCTCAAAGAAAATGTACCCCACAGCCATCCCTGGGAATATTTAAAAAAACCCTTGAGTCAGCTTTCAAAGGTTTGTCCAGAATTAAATTAAAGTATCAATAAGCTTTTTTTTTAAGTGAGCATACATTTATGCATCATGTTGTAAATTAAAAAAACAGTCTCCAACAACTTGAAGAAAGGAGGAGGCTGGGATCCATTGTGAGCAATAGAATTAGCAGCCAGGGTAACACTGCCCCAGGCCCCCAGAAAGGGCTCCCCTGGAACCCAGGGCAAGGTGACTGGACTCGAGTTGTTTTAGAAAGGGCTGGCTGCATGCTCCCTTTCGTTCTGTTTGCTGATTTGTTCAGGGGCCCTGGAGAGGGAGGACTGCCGGGGCTGCCACATCCATAGTTAATGTGTCTTTGTCCTGTTGGCTAGAATGAGCAGATGTTCCTGAAATACCTTCTGGCCACGCCTCTTCTTGCATGTCCACGTTGCATTCTGCCATCTGTGATATTCTCTGTCTTAGACGTTCCCTTCCCTTCTGGAGGAGGACAGTGGCGCTCAGAACCTCAGAACTGTTGTTCTAAACCTCAGTGGTTTTACACTCAGACATTTGGGGAGCTCATGGGTGCCATTTCAGCCTTCCAGAAGGCTAAGTTCACAAATAACCGGCTAACAGATTTCCAAACTGTTTCACTGAATATGTGGATGTTGGCTTGGACGTGAATCTGGGCCAGCCAGTGCTTGGGCCGTGTGGGTAGAGGGCAGAGGGCCGTGGGCTGGCCTCTGTTGCTTCACTTTTCCCACCTTCTGTGCTTGTGTTATGCAGGGAGGTGGGGTGGGGGGCTGTCCAAGAGCAGAGTTCGCACAGCTGGTGCTCTCGTGCCCTGGCATGGAGGCATTGGATGGAACTAGTTCTTGCCTTTTGGCCCAAGGTCATGCTCTGTTGGGTTTCATTGGCCTTGGGAAATGGTAGCTTAGTCTCAAAGGTGACAAAATATGGGCGAGACATTTTGGGAGCCAGGTTCTATCCTTTCTGTCATGTGCAATAAAGTGGGTCAAATCTGCCATCAGAGGCAGAGACCCCAGGCTCTGGGCTAATCCTGCAAATTCAAAAACGAAAATGTGGAGACGGCACAGCCTTCCGGCCTGTGCAGCAAAGTGCTCGTGTGCCCAGATCCCTCAGTCTGTGTCTTCCAAAGCCTCCCAGGGTAGAAAGCATTCGTGTGTGAGGACTTCTCCCAGCCACAGGGAATGTGGGGGGTGGTCCCTTCCTGGCAAGGCCAGGAGTCCACATTAGTGCTTCCTTTCTCAAGAAGCCAGTCCCCACCACAGGCCTGCCCCGGCTTGCCTATCATGTGTCATGGTCAAGTACCAGCACGCCAAAGCCCATTTTTCTGTTCACCGCAGACCCTCCTCTTCTGATCGGCATCTTATTCCTGTGGCCTTCGTGTCTGAGAAATGGTTTGAAATCTCCTGCTGACTGGCCGAAGTCTTTTTTACCTCCTGGGGGCAGGGCAGACGCCGTGTGTCTGTTTCACGGTAGGTACCTCTCTTTGGACATTCCTGTTTTCGTTCCCTTTCCTCCCCTCCCCACTGCCCTCCCCTGCACTCTTTGGGATCACTGGGAGCTCTTTTAGACATGGCGGGTGGATTTCCAATGGCATCACTTCTCTGAACATGAGCCGGCGGGGGGGGCTGGGCTTTTGACCTTGATGTTGGATTTGTTAGAAGTGCCCTCCCCGTCCCAGGGGAGGATAGTAACAGACATTCATGCACCCTGATTCCACGTCCTCACTATTCTTATCAGTGCCACTCCTTCCCTCAGGAAGGCCACCACATGCGTGGCCTACGTGGCAGGGAAAGTCATTCCCTAAAACAAGCGACAATTACAGCTCTCATTTCCCACAACAGGAGGAGATTAGGACAGCGGCTAGGGAGGCAGGAATCGCACCTCCATCACATGTCTTTACATCGGGGGAGGGCGCAAGGCAGAATTAAAATACAATTTTGAAATATAAAAATAAGAGATAAGAAAGAAAATGATAAAGAAAGAAAGGGAAGAGTTGAGACATCTACTAATTTGAAGCCAGGAACCGGCACCAAAACAGGATGAATTTTCCACGCTCTGCTGGATGGGAACATTTGGTTTGCTTTTAGTGATATTAACTTTAATGCTAACGTTAAATTGCCTCCTTCTGTGCTGAGTCTTCAGAGCACTCGGGCTGCTGAGGGGAGAGAGCATTGCGCCCTCATGGCTGCACATCCCATGCATTCTATAAGCACAGCCCATGGGTGTGACCTGAGGTTTTCGTGTTGTTTTCATGGTTCTTTTCGACGCTGGGCTTTCTACGCATCCTCATCTTGCTTCCTTCCAAAGGTGACCTAAGATCCCTTCCATGAGTAGGGAGCCGTATTTCTAGGATAGAATACCAATATTTGAAAATATTTTTTTCTTACTTTTTGCCCACCATCTGATATGAGGGACAGAATGGACAAAGTCCTCAGGGGCCCGCGGACAGGGAAGGTCTGGAGGACTCAGCTGGCTGCACCTTGCTGGGGGCGGGGAACCAGCTGCAGTCAGAGAGGGGAGTGAATCGGTCAGTTCCTCATCCTGGCACTAATGAACTGCATGTTTGCTCCAAATCAAATCTCCAGCCCTCACTCCCTACCCCGAAGCCAACATGTTCTGCCAACTGGCAAAGAAACGTAATTAGATTAGAATATGGGAACCGAGCTGCCCTGCAAGGGCCTTTGCTGCAGCAGGTAAGAGGCGGGTTGCCCCCACCATTCAGTGGGGGGATGTGCAGCCTAGAGCATCCATCAGAAGCCAGTGCCTTTGTCTGCCTCACCGCAGCTCCCCTCATGAAGGGAGCCCCTACTGGAGTGCCAACCAAGCTAGCCGCAGGGAGCTGGCTTGCTAGCAGTGTAGTCCGCGACCCGCCTGGTAAAGCCTCTGTAGGGACTGGGTCCTGATGGTTGCCAGCATCTCTGTTATGATTTTTAAAATTTGTTAATGCACAATTCATTGACCTGGGAGATGCAAGGCCTTAGAGTCGAAGACCCTCACTCCCTTCCGCCAAGAGCCACAGACCCACAGAACTGGAGAGGTCAACTCGGGGGGACAGCCCCGTAATACGGATGTTTGCACGGCAGCTCGTGGAACACTTTTTACTTGCCCAGTCCTCCCAGCAATCTCATTTACAAGTGGGGAAACCGAGGCAGTGGGAGGTTAAATGACTTGGCCGAGGTCAGCTCCCTAGGGGAGAGGGGACAGCTTTCTAATGTTTGCACGGCAGCTCATGGAACACTTTTTACCTGCCCAGTCCTCCCAGCAATTCCTTTTACAAGTGGGGAAACTGAGGCAGTGGGAGGTTAAATGACTTGGCCGAGGTCAGCCAGGTTGTTAGTGGTGGGGCTGGATCACCCGATGGCTGCCTGGCTCCGGGACATCCCCTGCCTACTCCACAGGCCTGAGCCCAGGGATCCTTCTTTTCCATTAGAACAGGAGCCCGCAGCACTGACTTTAAAAAAAATAAAAAGATAAAATAGGGCAAAAAAAAGTGTTTTATTTACTCATCTGCCCCAGAAAACCTTCGTGTCTCATCAGCCTGGTCCTCCCCTTCCAGCAGCATGGGGCACTGAAGACCCCCCAGAAATACTGTTGGTGGGCTAGCCCTGTGCTGCAGCCCCAGGCAAAGGCAAGAGACATGGGCGCCCCCAGATGGGCCCCAGGTGGACCCCACTTCCCAACTGTGCCTGAGGAGCTGTTTCAGGACCACCGGCATTTACACAAGGAAACATCTCTGTGTCTAAAGAGCTGACCCCCTCCCTGTGGCTCTCAGGTAGGTCGTCCGCAGAGTTCAGAAGAGCCCGTGAGGCTTACTGAAGGCAGCTGCGCTCAGCCTGGGAATCTGCCGACACGAAGCCACGGCCCACTCCTGGTGGCCTCCTGAAGTAGCTGTGGACCAGGAGGGCTATGCACACAGCCTCGTTAGTCCTTGATAAATGCTTATAAGATTCTGTTGCCGATTGCGGGACAGACCGTTTACCACTCACTAGGATGAAAGCGTTGGGATTCTAAGTATCCCCTGAATCTTGCAATTAATGCCTGGACATGAGCGTCGGGTGCAGAATAGCCAGAAACATCTCTCAGATTTGCTGGGGTACTTATTGTCCCTAAATAAATAGCAATTAATACTAAAACATTTAATTAAGGTTTAAGAGCCAGTGGAGCTCTTTCTCTCTCACATAGCTGGGAAGCCTCTCCAAATGCATTTTTAATGACGATGCAGCCGTTTGTTACCACACCATTGTCTTTCTTCTCAGTCTAATCCGTGTGCACATTTGGGACCCAAAGTCAGCCAAGTTCGTTTTCTTGCAGGCGGTTGTCCGGAATGCCAGTGGCTCCTGGGCAGATGTGCACCCCAGATTCAGCCTTTGTGATAGATTCCAACACGTTCTGGCCTCAGACCACCTTTGTGGTGGGGCCAGACTGCTCTGGGCAAAGTGAAGCTGGCCTTTATGCTCCAAGGAAGGGGGCCTCGAGAGCAGGCCTGCATTGGCTCTCGGACTAATTCGCGATCATCTTTCATACAGCAGGTACACTTCAGCAAACCTCGTTAATGTTGATCTCTTTCCCTTTGCCAAGGCCGCTTCGTTCTGAACGGAGCCTGCAAAGTCATAAAAGCTCTTGAATCCGAAGCAAGTGAGAAATAAATCATGCACTATTATTATTTTCAAAAACACATTGATCACTAATAAAAAATAAGAAGTGTACCTGTGCCTTCCCACTTTGTTCTTCCAAAATATACATTAATAGAATATCAAACTTTTGTTATTCAAAGGAGCCTGTTTTTCAAAGCAACATCCATACCTTTCTGGAAGCTGTGCTTGCTGAGCTGAGAACAGTACCACGAAAACTTTGAGAGAAAGTAGCCACTTCAGATTGTCAAGAAATTCTGCTCTGCCCCGGGGACACCTGGCGGTAGCCTGTTTGCTCTTTATTTATGTATTTATTTTATGTATGTATGTATGTATTTATTTATTTTTTGCAAAAGCAGACAGTGGTCATTACACCCAGTGCGCCACTGCGTAGCATGCAGCCCAGTGGGGCCAGGCCAGCCGAGAATCTCCTTCCAGGCAGCAGAGGGCAGAATTTATCCCAGATCCCGATCTGGAAGATGGCTTTGCAAGATACATACAGCTTCCCTTTTTGCCCAGGGAATCTCAGGTGGACATTCACCTTCAGCCACGTTATTTTCCAGCCATGGGGTCCAGGCCCCACCTTATCTGTCTTTCCCAGCTGGCCTGGGATCCTCAGTCCTTCTCTGGGCTTAGTGCCAAGATGAGAGGCTCACGTGCTAAGTGTGGCGCAGAAAAACACAAGCAGCTGAAGTTTGAGCAACAGAGTTTTGGCAGAGCATGGACAACATGAGAGCCTCCTCCTGGGCCAGGGGCTGTGACCACACCTTGGTCTTGCAGGAAACCTCTCCACCCTCTACAAAGCCAGCATGGCTCTGGAAATGGTCATTCAAGGTGCAGGATTGGCGCCATCTCTCTCTCTCTCTCTCTCTCTCTCTCTCTCTCTCTCTCTCTTCTCTCTGTCTCTCCCCCTCTCCCTCTCTCTCTCTTTTCCATCCTGAGACACAGAGTAGAGAGAGATGCCTGTAGTCTTGGAAGAGACTCCCTTCCCTGCATAGCCGGGGATGTCTGGCATAGGCTGCCACCCACTCGTTGATCCTCCACGTCGTGTCTGTGGCTCCCTGCATCAGCATCTACCTGCAGGCAGTCCCCAGAGGTTGTTTCATGCCATTAGGGACGGGTCTTAGCGACTGAGGACAAAACTGCTTCACACCTCTGCCGCGTCTCTGAGCCTCATCCGGTGTTTTGATTCCCTACTCCGGGCCAGGCACAGAACTGGAACCTGCATGAACCAGTGGTGAATGGGCAGGAGACCCCCGTTCTCAGGAGGCTGTGCTGCCAGCAGGGGATGCCTTGCACATCTGCCCAGATAAAGCTCGATGCAGATGGTCCCATACCGAAGATGTCACCGAGCAAGTGCTGCAGGAGACAGAAGTAAAATAGGGGATGTGTGTAGGAAGGAATGGGGCATCCAAGAGGCCCTCCCCAGGGAGGTGTTCTTTCCAGCCAAAACCTGAAGGATTTGAGGCTTGAGATTTGCAACTTGAAATCAGGGAAGCTGGAACGTAGAGAGGAAGAAGAAGAGGAAGAGTGAGGTGGAAAGGTGGCCAGGACCCAGTGCAGAAGGATCTGATGAGCCAGCATGGGAAGTGCAGGAGGCTTTTTTTCTTTTTCTTTTTCTTTTTTTTTTTTTGAGACAGAGTCTCGCTCTGTCGCCCAGGCTGGAGTGCAGTGGCTCGATCTCAGCTCGCTGTAAGCTCCGCCTCCACCTTCACACGGGAGACTTTCACATGGGAAAGTGGCAGGATAAAGTCTACATGGGAACACCTCCGGAGCACAGCCAGACAGACGCAATGGTTGGAAGCTGCTCCTCCGGCCTTTATTCTCCTGTTTAAGGTCAGGATTAAGGATTGGAAAGCAGCCGGGGCCACAGTTCAGGCAGGAAACTATTCTTATTAAGGTGGCAGCCATATGACTTACGGTCCAACCCTGAACACATTCCAGAGCAAAAGGTTGGCCTTGTGAGTAATCAATGATCAGGGAACACAGGGACAGCAGCTTACAACCGGTGACAGTCCCAGGACACCGGGACCCAGTGTAGGGTCTCGAAGCCTAGCTTCTGGTGGCCCGAGGATTTTTATCTCCCTTTTAAGAAAAATTGTAATTGTAGTAAATATATGTAACATAAAATTTACCGTTTTAGGCCAGGCACGGTGGCTCACACCTGTAATCCCAGCACTTTGGGAGGCTGAGGCCGGCGGATCACCTGAAGTCAGGAGTTTGAGACCAGTCTGACCAACATGGCGAAACCCCATCTCTACTAAAAATACAAAAATTAGACGGGTGTGTGGTGTGCGCCTATAATCCCAGCCACCAGGGAGGCTGAGGCAGGAGAATCGCTTGAACCCAGGAGGCGGAGGTTGCAGTGAGCTGAGATTGTGCCACTGCACTCCAGCCTGGGTGACAGTCTCAAAAAAAAAAAAAAAAAAAAAAAAAATTACCATGTAACCATTTATGCGTGTCTAGTTCAATGGCATGAGTGCCTTTACCGTCCTGTGCAGGCATCTTCACAAGCCAGCTCTTCACCTCCTTCCGTCACCCCGTATTAAAACTCCGCACCCACTCAACACTCACTCCCCGTCTCCCCCCATCCCCTGGCCCCCAATTCTACTCTTCGTCTCTGTGGATTTGGTAGCTCTGGTACTTCCTGTAAGTAGAATCATACAGCATTCGTCTCTACATTTTTTAACTTTCAAAAAAATTACCAAGATGGACATATAAGAGGGATATTTCTCTCTGTGTTGTAATAATTACTTCATTTTTTAAGCCCCTCTTCCCCAAATCCGGGGAATGTGGAAGAGGTGGGCAGGGGTGGGGCACAGCTGGAGTAAGGCTACCAAGAGTGATCTGGCGCTAACCCAAAGGCACGTCCCCTTTCTTTTTTTTTTCTTTTTTCTTTTCTTTCTTTCTTTCTTTTTTTTTTTTTTGTGGGACACAGCCTCACTCTGTTGCCCAGGCTGGAGTGTAGTGGTGCCATCTCGGCTCACTGCAACCTCTGCCTCCCGGGTTCAAGTAATTCTCATGCCTCAACCTCCCAGGTAGCTGGGATTACAGGTGTGCGCCCCCATGCCTAATTTTTGTATTTTCACTAGAGATGGGGTTTCACCATGTTGGCCAGGATGTCTCCTTTCTTTACATGCAGTGAACCCTGTGCCCACAGCAGCTGGTCTTCCCACAGTAGCTGAGCGGACACTCCACTGTAGCCTCATGGAGTTGTCCACACGGATGTCATTTGGAGGCAGCAAGCAGGAAGGTGACGCCCAGGGCCCAGCCTCTTGTCCAGGTGCAGAGGGGTCCAGGGAAAGATCCAGCCCCTCACCTCTACCTTCAAATGAGTAGACTCTGGCACACTGAGTCTCCTGGAGATGATCAGAGACGCAGTGCTGATGATCAGGGACGCAGTGCTGTGCAGGAGGAGCTGTTCTGGGGCCTGCCAGCCTCGCTGTCCACTCCTGGGATGTGTCCCTCAGAAGGCAGGCATGTCCCACCTGGGGCCCCTCCTCCCCAGTCCCAACCAGAATCACTGCGGTGGGCTCAGTTGATTCAGGAGAGAGAAAGCCGCACCCTTGTCTTTGGGAAGAACTGGGGAATGGACCCAGGACTGGCAGTCACTGACCTCACCTGGGGAGCTCTGAAAACCCACGTTCACAAACACTACCCCGAGACCCTGATTCCAGGTCTCCAGAGGTGGGCCTGGGAATCTGTATTTCTGCTAAGCTCCAACGATGACGATGACGGAGCCGGTCTGGCCGCATGCTATGCATGCAGCTGCTGGAAAAATTCTAGAGCTCCCACTGGGTGTTTTTCCGACTTCATTTTTGGATCAGCGGGTACCCCCGCCCCATCCTACCACTTTCTGATATGTGTCATCTGCACAGATGAGGATGCGGTAGCATTTTCTTTCTACTGTTGAGGGTCCTGATTGCCTGTAGTTGAAAGGAGCTCTGAGTGACAGCAGAGGGACCCAGACAGCACCCCATCCCTGTGACGGAGATGCAGCTTTGGGCAGAAGGTCCCCAGATGGGACCGTGACGTGTTCCAGCTCACCTGGCCATGCCCGGGGTGACCGTCTGAGGGATGCTGACCTACTGGGGGCTCTCACTCAGCCAGGGAGACTGCATTTTCCATTTTCCGAGGCTCGGGCTGGCTGGGTGGGAGCCGCCCCGTCTCAGCCTGCCCGCTGAAGGTGGCAATCGCAGTCAGCACACCTGACCTGTGCCCAGGTGGGACTCGCCTTCTCTCTCTTTGGCAAGATCACCTCTGGGGAGATGTGGGAGGTGGATTTTCTGATGCAGTCCATTTATCTCTCCCGAATTCTGGCCTCGGGGATCCTGCAGCTGAGTAGTGGACAGAAACAGACTCCCATTCTTCCCGCAGCACAGGAGTGGAGCAGGCCCCACGCCACCCTCCATGGGAGGAAACTGGACAGAGAGTGAGAGCAGGGCTGCCACACGCAGGCCCCCTGACATGCACGCCTGGGACCGGATGCCCCGGCACCCCCACCATGAGTTAGCGGAGGGGGTGGTCCCAGCCCCTGGTAGCAAGCTCAGAGCTCTGTAGATGACCAGAATTCCACAAGGTTCAGGCTCCCACTTCATACCCTTGGGATTCCCAGTGTTTCTTCCAGTTCCTGCTGACCAGTTCTAGTGAGGCCTTGTCCACGTTCCAAGGACCCCTCCGTGTCAGTGAACCGATAAAGGGAGTGATCGGGCTCTGCATGCGGGGGTGCTGCGTGTGGGGGTCCCAGTCGACCGAGAACCCCACAGACTTGTCGCGCCCTCGGCGTGCTGCCATTTAATCTCTTCTTGTTTTCTTTCCACACAGGATTCCGTTGGTGAACCTGTAAAAACAAAACAAACAAAACAAAACAAAAAAGACAAAACCTAAAACTGAGCTATCTAAGGGGGAGGGTCCCCGCACCTACCACTTCTGTTTGCCGGTGGGAAACTCACAGAGCAGGACGCTCTAGGCCAAATCTATTTTTGTAAAAATGCTCATGCCTATGGGTGACTGCCTTCTCCCAGAGTTTTCTTTGGAGAACAGAAAGAAGAAAGGAAAGAAAGGAACCAGAGGCAGAGAGACGAGGATACCCAGCGAAAGGGACGGGAGGAAGCATCCGAAACCTAGGATTCGTCCTACGATTCTGAACCTGTGCCAATAATACCATTATGTGCCATGTACTGACCCGAAAGGCTCGGCCGCAGAGCCGGGGCCCAGCGAATCACGCAGAGAAATCTTACAGAAAACAGGGGTGGGAATCTCTTCCGATAGAGTCGCTATTTCTGGTTAATATACATATATAAATATATAAATACAAACACACACACACACTTTTTTTGTACTGTAGCAATTTTTGAAGATCTTAAATGTTCCTTTTTAAAAAAAAGAATTGTGTTATAGGTTACAAAATCTGATTTATTTAACATGCTTAGTATGAGCAGAATAAACCAGTGTTTTCTACTTTGGCAACTCACGTCACACACATATTACACACATGTGCGCATTACACACACACAATACACATACATGCATATAGACGCATCTATTGGAAATGCAGTTCCACAGGTGAGCATGTTCTTTCTGGTGACCTGGTATTCCATCACCATTCACCCCAGGGGACAGCCTCGACCGAGACAAGGAGGCCCTTAAATGACAGCCTGCATTTGCTAGACGGTTGGTGAGTGGCATCAAATGTGTGACTTACTATCTTGGGCCAGAACTAAGAATGCCAAGGTTTTATATATGTGTGTGTATATATATATATATATATATATATATATATATATATATGTTTGTGTGTGTATATATATATATATATATATATGTTTGTGTGTGTATATATATGTTTGTGTATATATATACACATATGCATACATATGATTTTTTTTTTTCATTTAAGTGTTGGAAGATGCTACCTAACAGCCACGTTCACATTTACGTAGCTGGTTGCTTACAAACGGGCCTGAGCCCCTGGTTGGGTGGGTGGTGGATTCTTGGACGTGTGTGTCATACAAGCATAGACTGGATTAAAGAAGTTTTCCAGTTCCAAAAATTAAAGGAATATATCCTTATGATGTGTGTGTGTAATATCAGGGCAGAACTTAGACATACGTGAAGGGCCCCGGTTGGTTTGAAAACGAAAAATAGTCATTCTGTGTGCAAACCACAAGGCTGCCCCAGTCAGGCAGCGCCCTGACCTGGCCTGTGCTGCATTGCCTTCCCTTGCGCAGGTGGGCAGGTGTGGCCCGCTTTTTCTAGGGCCCAAGGGTGACTTGGAATCTTGGGGGAAGCCTCGGCAAAGATGCCGTTCTCCCGTCAGCTTCCATTGGCCGATGGATGTTTCTGTTTTGTCACCGAGAATCCTACTATAAACTACCCAGTGGAAACAGGGGCCCCAGACCTGAGCCTCAGTACAGAGAATCCCAACCACACACACTTTATTAAAAATACTGCCATGCCGCCGGGCCTCCCTCACAAGCCTCACCTGAAACGGGCTCACTGGTGCCCCAGACTTGCTGTCAACAGCGGGTGCTGTAGGGATCTAGGGATGCATCTCATGGCCCACGCTGTGCCTCCTTAAAGGATGTTTCCTGTCCATGGGAGACGCCTAACATGGTGTGGGTCCCTGTCTCCAAAGACTATATTTCTCACGCGTGGCCCACGTGCAGCTTTAATTTCAGCAGTAGAGTGCATGAGCCAATTCAGTGAAATGTCACAGGCCAGGCAAAAAGGTTAAAGATCAGACAGACAGCTGACCTTACTGCCCTCAATGGCCAGGCTGATGACCTGATTCTTCCCTTGGGCTCAGTCTCCCTCTAAAACACCTTGTGATATGCTTCAGAAGTTCACTTTTGTATCTCCTGAAACATGTGAACCTAGAGTAAGGCCTCCGGAGGTGAAAGGATTGTTTTTGTGATGCAGCAGTGTTGAGATCTGTATCCATGGTATTGCTCACAAATTAGGAAAAGTTGTTCTTTAGTTTTTGTTCTGTCATTTATTTTCCCCCCAAGCTTTGGCACATCCTGAGACAATGCAAACATCCGCCACTGGCATTTGGCCGTCTCCAGGTTCCTGGCACTCACCTGCATGGCGCTCCAGCCTGCAGCTCTCTCTGCGCGCCATCCGGCCTCGTCCATCCCATTCTCCTTCAATCACTCCCTCCCGCTGAGGTGGGCCTCCTGACTCCAGGTGAGCACAGCGTGGTGCGAGTGCATGGTGAGGGCTGGCGGCGGCCAACAGGCAGTGGGGTGGCTGCTCTGGTCTCTGACATTCTGAGCTCCAGAGTGAGCCCAACTAAGGAGGAGGTGACGGCCGGGGGGCCCTGTTGGTTCGCTGATCATGAGAACCTAGGATTCCCGAGGGACTCCTGGTATCTGCTCTGTCAACTCCCAGCTGCTCAGCCCCCTTCTCTGACCATGTGCGGCACCCTGGATGCCCTGAACTCTTTCCTGGGTCCATAAGACATCGAGCCTTGGAAGGAAGCGTAATGCAACAACCCTCTTGTCCCCGATAAGAGCCACAGATTCAAGGCAGGGCTGTGAGACCCACACAGGCACAAACACCAGACAAGCAAGTGCATGCCCATTCCACACCCAAAAGTCTGGTTCTGTACCAACATGACATCCGTCAAGGTAAATCCACACAAAGGCTGCTATTTCTGGATGATTGAGGCAGTGTCTGTAGACGTGTTACTTTACTTTTTTAAATGGTTACCTGCTCTCCCAGACCCCTCACCTGGGATTGTCGTCTAGGTAAGAGGAGATAATGAGTGAAAGTGACTGGGCCTCGGAAATGCAGCCCCACCCACGGTGAAGTCTGCACCAGAGCACAGACTTGTCCTACTTCGGGCCATATGTATAGGTAATGCCCATGTACTTTGTGTGTCGGTGGCTGCTGATTTGGCCTGATCAGTCCTTCTGCAGCCTTGGGGCAGTGTTTCAAGCTAGTTGGTGTCCTCTTTCCTCTGCTTGACCCCTGGAATTCAGAGTCTAATAGTAGACACCTCCCATCCCCCACCCAAGGCCTGGTCCTTTCCTTTGCTTGAGCTTTTATTCCTCAAGAAAAGAACTCCAAGGAAGGGTGATGTGGTTTGTTAGGGTTCCCCAGTTTTCGTCCACTTCCATCTTATTCCTCGGAGATCCCGCAATTGCAAACCCCCTGGCAGCCTCCTGGCACCTGCATTTGCCTTTAAAGCTTAGAAACAGCTGGGAATGCACTCCTTGTACAGTCCAGTCCGTTTTCAGACAAAGTCGCTGCTAGTCTTCACACGCTTGATGTCACTTTGTCTGATTGGAATATGCGTGTCATTGCTCTTGTTTCCGAGTTTGGCGTGAGAAAGGCAGGGTTCTCCAGGCATGGTCAGGGAGCTTCCCCACCGTTTCCCATTGGGCTCAGATTCCAGCCATTACCGAGACAAATCCAAGCCTTCTCACGCAACGTGGAAGCGTGGTGACACCCTGGGGTGTGTGGAGGTGGCTGCTAGTGTTCCTATTTACTGCCCTCCTTGCACACAGAAGGGAGAGGCCACTTAGGGGACCTTGTCTTCTCCGTAGTATTTCTAGTCCTTGCCAATCTTGAACTTGAGTGGACTTCTCATATTACATTCAGCTCCCAGAAATTCACTCCAGTCCTTCCTGGAGCATTGTGAAATTAGAAACCTGAACTCATCAGCAAACCCCACCCACTCTTTGAATCGGGACACCAGGAAACCCGTTACTACTAATGTGATCTTACCATCTTAATCCTTTCTTTCAAAAATACGTGACTCTTTCACAGCCATATTTTAGCGTCAGGAAAAGCCATGCTTAGAGGGATTGGTCTTCAAAATTTTGTGTGTGATGCCCAATGTGTAGGCCATATTGAAAGGTGAACGCACCAAAGGATCGACCCTGTCACCTTGGATGGTCTCTATTTTGACCCTGTTGCCCATGGAGAGGTATTTTACCCTTTTGCTTCTTTGCTCAGGTGGTCCAGGGTTGTCTGTAGCCCAGGAAGCGGACTGACCCTGTATCTTGAAAGATAAGACCAGGAACCGGGAGTGAGGCTGGGACTCTCACTCAGCCTTTTCACGGTCAGTCTTGGTCTTCTCATACTTATTTCAAGATGGCACCAGGACACACCTTCTTTTGTCCACCTGTTGACACCATCACCCTCTTTCATCAAGGTGATCTCTTTCATCAGGGCATATATGAGACTTGGTGCTCCACCAGACTGTCTTCTCCCCTACCCCTGCCCCTTCCACAAAGCCATTTCTCAAGTCGCAGTGGGAAAAGATACCAAGACACCTGATTTCTTGAACCATTCTTGCTTCAGCATGTGAATTCTTTAAGACACTACTCACATATGCCATTGGAGAGAAACAACCCGTTCTGCATCACCATAATGAACCGATCAGTCATTCATCCTCTTATTCAACAAATACTTGTTCCACTTCTACCACACTGGCCATACAGTTGGAGGCAAGATGGGCACAGTTATGGCCTTGTGGGCTTTATATTCTACAGTGGGAGGAGGTGGATGGTTAATGTGAAAGCAAACCAAAATAATTTCCAGAGAGAGAAGAGGCAGGAAGAGAGCAGAGCAGAGTGATGGGGCTGGGGGCAGAGAAGGAGAGAGGGGAAGAGGGAGAGAGTGGGGGGCATTGAAGGGGAAGAAAGAGAGGCAGGGGTTGTCTACGTCTCCTCCTCCTGCGACCCATCACCTACTGGAAAATTACCACTTGCTGCTTGAGGGTTGGTCTGGTGTTGGATGGAGGAAGAAGGCCTTAGTCTTAGCTCTTGGATAAAATGCAGTGCAGCACTGAAGATAAGACATCGCAGTTGTTACGACGCCTGGTTCTCCACCAAATTCCTCTGTCATTCCAGCAAGAGTGGAAGCAGAGGGGCAGGGGCAGGGGCAGGATGAGGGCTGCTGCCCTGGTGATGAGCTTGCCCCATCCCTGGGCACTGGCTCTGCCCAGCCCCTCCCATGTTGGTCCCATCTGTCAGGTTGCCAGGCCAAGCAGGTCTCAGGTCAGCCAGGTCTCAAGGAGGATAAGGGGGTTCAACGTCAGCGACTTGGCCCACGGGGCACGGGCACCTTGGGGATGCCATTCTTCTTGGTGCCAGAAGGCAGCTGCATCTCCAGAAGCTCCCCCAGCACTGAGCTCACTTAGTGGCATCCTTCTTAAACAGCATCTGCTTTTAAGTAAGCAGCTATTCCAAAACATGCCGTGATTCATGTAATTTTTGAGTGGTTACTTTGGTGCAGTTTGTCAATTTGCTCTACCATACTGTTTTTTGATTATTTGTTTGTTTTCTAGTGTAAATAGCACAGCCCACATAAATGAGCGAAACTCATCATCTGAGGATCTTTGATTATTCTTCCCCACTTATTGTACATTGATGTGCCGCCTGCTAGGAAGATAAACTCCCTCTTTGCTCACTCTGAGCCAGGATCTCTGTGTTAGTTACACTCAGCCTTATCTGAGCATTCCAGGGAGGTCTTAAATGAATGTTTGGGGTTTTGAAACATGCTACCAGCCCTTCCTTCCAAAGAGCATGAAGCATGGCTCTGTGTGGTTTTGTGTGTCTAGGTTTAGAGCTTGTATTTGGATGTAAGGAGTGACTAAAAACAGGTCTAGGCAGAGAACTGCTATCTTTTAAACCACCCCAGCCCTCAGTCGAACAGAAAGAATGAGCGTCTTCTGATGTCAAATCATTCTAGAAAGGTCTTAGCTAGTGAGCACAAAGTAGCCAATCCCGGGAGTTTATATGGGCCTCCATGTGACCAAGCCATCCCTAGCTAGGAAACTTAACTCTTTGCACAACCTCCCTTTATGCTGAAGGGCCCTTGGGAACATGGGAACATTTGCACTTTGTCAGAGGAGTGGCCCCACCCTACTCTCTGCCTGAAACACAAAGCAGCTCCCCTCAGAACAGCCAGCCCGGTGCAGAAGCACTTGAACTTCTCATCTTCCATCTTATTTCACTTTGGTTGCAGGGAGTTAAATACATAGGCCACAGCAGACTAAGGGAGCGGTGTGCACAATGGCCCCCAGAATATCCAGTGACCCAAGTGATGTTAGTCTTAGGGTCCCTAAGGCAGTAGGGCATGGGGAGGAAAGTTCTCTCCATCGATTCCCAAACACACCAGCCACAAGTCCACACTCCACACCTGTAAACGCACAGCCCATGCCCCATTGTAAAGGTGACTGAAGAGAATGGTCAACTCGGTGGTGATGGGCCTGTTTTGGAGCTAAAAGCATAAAATGAATCCTCCCTGTAGCTCCATTGCCTTTTCCTCGTGAAGGATTCCCTGCTAAATGTTCTAAGAGTTACTGTACATAGAATCAAGAGAGCAGTTTTGAATGAGCCGTAAATCTGAGTCATATATAAGAGGCATAATATAAATTGGGCCAAGCTTGCCCATGTGGGACACACAGGTTTATAGAGATTAAACACTAGTGAGTAGCGGGGGAAGGGAACAGTGACTGTATAAATGGCCATATAAATGACCTACTTGTCTTCTCATGTAGGCTGGAATCAGAACCTACGTATGCTGTAGATAACAGTCAATTAAATGGGTTAATGTTCTAAGCCAAGAGAGTTCTAAGCCAAGACATGTGCTTGGGACTGGATTAACTCTTGTCAATATCTTGGATTCCATAGTAAAACATCTGTTAAGTAACATGCGGCAGGAAAGGATGCAGGGAGCATTGGACTGTAGGAAATTCTCCTTTATACAAGTTAATTAGTTTTGTCTCTGGTGGCTGTCTCTTAAAACAGAATCCCCTGGAGACCCGGGTTTTCATTTTGTAATTCAACACCCAAATATTTGCAACACTAAATAACAACTCCCTAAAGACTTCAGTCTTGCATGGGCATAAGCAACTCACACTGGTTAGCTTTTGTCAGATTTCGTCGTTTCCGCAGCAAAATTTCTTAGTGTTGATGTTGATAGCTTCTGGGTTGGCAAACTGGCAGTTCACTCTAGTCTTACTGGGTTGGGCAAGTCCTTGCCCCTAGAAAATTGGGGATAGCTTTGGCCATGGGAGGAGCAAGAACACTACGCAGTCGTAAGCTCTGTTTTTTGTTTTGTTTTGTTTTGTTTTGTTTTCGGCACCATTATGTACGATGAAGACTTACAGCCACTGCTAATACAGCATAGGGGACACTTTGAGGAGCCCTAGTATCATTGTTTGAAATCATTGTACAGGGAACTGCAGGGGTGAACACCATTGTACCAATCCCCGGGCCAGTGTCTCATTTCCTAACAGAATCATCCCATTCTTGTTCACTCTTCAGTCATCCCAAGCCAAAAGGGAAAATTCGAAACCCACTGTGACACCCCAACCCTAATTTCCAACCTTTGGAGGACTCACCTGGGGCAGAAGGGAGAAAGGGCTTTGCTGAAGTCTCAGGCTGCCGAGAGCCATGTATGGGCATAGGAGCAAGCTGATGGCATGGCTCTTGACAAGGTTTTCTATAGGGCAGCAGCTGCTGCTCCCAGGGGAACCCTCTCCTGTTGCCTCCGCAGTCTATTCTGGGGTGGAAACACCATTCTCTATTATTTCTCTCACATACATGTGGATTTCTAATATCAAGTTATGTGACTGCCTACCACTTAAGGCCTACAAAACCACATGGGAGTTTCTTTATTGCGTATGCAGCCAGTCAACATGAATGGGACCCTAGAAACTGTGAGGAGCAGGATTCTCTAAGGTGCTCTTAGATACGGTGTCACTTCCACATACAAGCACAATTCTCCCAGTTAAGGGGCTGGAAGACAAGCGGGGCAACTGGTTTTGAAAAGCCCGCTGGCGTGCCAGAGGGGGTGTTTGCCCACACCCTCCTTGAATTTAACTGCCACAATCTATCCGCAGATGTGTTTTGTTCTATTTCTTGTTTTTCACTAGCGTTTGCGTTGCTTCCTCTGAAGCCAGAGGGTGAAAGGCCCTAGCAAAGTTAGTTATCAGTCAACTGATGATAACTGTGATCCTTAAAGATGAATTCCCAGCCTGAGGTGACACACAGAGGTTCAGCAGACGTCTCAGGATCTGTCATATGTCATGTTGCTTGGTGTGAAGATGGAAGAACAAAGTCCACATCAGTTTCTGCTCCTTCAAACAGTGTGTCGATATGAAACATTGAGATTTGGCAGAAACATGTGCCTAGTTTGCAGCACCAAATACTGGTCTTCTCAGAAGTGTTTCTGTTTTTTTGTTTTTGTTTTTGTTTTTGTTTTTGTTTTTGTTTTGTTTAATTTCCTCTTCTGGCATCCCAATTTGGATCATTTCCTCTCTTTCTTTCCTGGAGAAACAGGATGGCAGGTGCTGGAGCCCAGAGAGGGGGTCACCCTCCAGCTAAAATGATTTAAATGGAAAGGAGAATGACAGCAAAGCCTCACGTGAACTTTAATGACCTTATCAATGACCTTTACTAACTGACTCTTGGTACCCGGATTGTTGAGAGGTGAGTGGGACTAAAAGCCAGGATCAAGATCAGGTTGCTCCACACATTTGCAGATCAGGAACCCCGGGAATATGAGTTAGACCCAGAAAGTATTGAACTGGACATTGAATGAAGCTTGAGGCCATGCATTGATAACATTTTTAGAGTCTGTTACATTATTTTCTCAAAAGGAACACATGTTTACTACAAACCATTTAGAAAATACCAATAACCAAACAGAAGGGAAATGTCTGGAACCTTCCAGTTGTTTAATTCTGTAGAAACTGTTCACGAAAGGCTGAATGAGTGGGGACAAGTCACAGAGATCTCGCCATGGTTAGCACCAGGGACAAGTCTGGCTCTAATGTATGTTTTATGAAGTCTGATTAGCTTTGAAATGCATCTTTGCCAGCTGAACTTGTCATGCACTAAACTTCCCATTGATCATTAGAGTGTCTACGATTAAGTGGAAAAGGTGGTCAACCATTTGGATGTTTGACTTTCACAACATCAAGCATTGGCCATTGGGCGTATCTGGGCATTGGTATGGAATAAACAGGATACTCAGTGAAACATCCAAACTATTGACTGGATTTTTCCCATGGGGCATCTGTCTAAGAGTCACAGATCTGAGAAATAGAAGGACCAGGTCCGTGTGGATGCTCCTAGTGCGTTCAAATAACCCTTGAATTCACCAGGTCTCATTGCATTTATTTAAAGATGGAGCCCATTGTCCCCCCTCCTCCTCAGCTCACCCATGGAACTAGAAATTCACAAACCTGAAGCTGAACCACAGGACAAGAAATTAAACAGCAACGGCCACATGGCCTCTTTTTTCACAGGTTTTGCATTGAATGTTTTAGAACTTTATTCCCCCGCCCCCTCACCCATGTATACCAAAACTGGTTTTATTTTCATTTTCCTAAATTATTTTCTGATACAATAAACTGTTAACTGTTTATTTATACTTTTACAAGGAGCACTTGTTATTTTTCAAAAGGAAAACAAAAGCCTCTCTGTTTTCATGTTCTCCGTATATCTATACCACAGCTGTCTCTATAGACGTATTTATATATCATCTTCTTGAGAGAGTTAACCTCCTGTAGTTTAATGTTGTGTTTCTTTTCTTTAAATGCATATCATAATCATGTTAATAAACAAAAATGACACAATATATGTGGGTGGGGGGCGGGGGGCAGGTGGCTGGGTGTGATTTCCGTACAGGTGAACTTTTATTCCAGATTTTTTTAAGTTGTTTCTGTATTTCAAAGCTATGTATTTGGAAAACATTGTAAATGAAACACCTATATTAACTTTCCTGTGTATATTTAGTACTCTGATGTTGCTATTAAAAAAAAAAACATAATATGAAAAAAAAAAAAAAGAAGAGAAAAAAGAATTACCATGAGTTCAGGCCATGACCTCATAAGGACTTTTTTTTATGTTACTTCTTTGTTTATTTTTTAACAATATTATCTGAGACCTCCTCTAAGAACATAGGCGTTGTTTCTATGCCTGTGGTTCACAGAGTCTAAGACTTCCTCCCTGAATCTTCATTATCTCCAAACCAATGCTTTGCCCAGTTAAACAACTCTGAAAACACTTTCAGGTCTCAGTGTCTGGGCCCTGGGGTTGGTTATTAACTGAGTCTGAGTTAACCAGTCAGGGTCTACCACATAGTACCTGATACCACAAACGCCTACAAGCTCAGGGTTGGGGGGTTCCAGTGGATCTTTTATGGGCAGTTGCAGGCCAGCAAATGTCTTGCAAAGATTCCTGCAGAGGAAACCGTGCCCTGGGGAAAGGGTCGGCCCAAGGCTTATAATTGTGTGCTGGTGCCAAGGCAAAACATTTCAAAGGGCCTCCAGTATCAGAGCCAGGAGATACCTCGCGCACTCACAGTATTTGCAGAGTGCAAAAGAGAGCTCTGTCCACTTCCAGACATGCTCGGATCAGGCAGAGTATGGGGGAGCAAGGCCCCTGCCTCTAGGCCAGCAGTTCTCAATGTGGGGTGATCCTCACCCCCACAACATCTGGCAATGTCTGGAGACATTTCTGGTTGTCACAACGGGGCTAGGGGTGCTACTGGCATCTAGTGTGAAGAGGCTAGCAGGCTGATAAGCACCCTACCCAGCACAGGGCAGCCCCCTAACACAGTCATCCAGCTCCAGAGGCTGAGGTTGAGAAACTCCCCTCTTAGAACTGGGTGGGATGCTGCACTTTGCTGTGCTCCCCATGGGAGGCAGGATGTTTTTTTGCCCTGATGTGGACTTAAAGGTGAAGCTCTCACATCAGCTGTCTCTGGGCCGGCTGGAGCTAAGCCTCAGGGTAAGAAAGCAAGGCTGGCGGGGCGACCTTGTGTTCTAGTGAACCCTGCTGCTCAGCCCCAGGTGTACTCTATACCTGCTAAGCACCTTTTAACCTGTCAATGTCTTTTCACATATTTGAAATTACCTGAACCTATCACCAAGGTCATATGCATCATCCATGTATGACTTTGCCCCACTTGCCAAATGGGGCAGACCAAGCGACACAAGGGCATGGCTGATAAAGGGTCCCTAGGCCAGGAGGGGGGTCCCAGTGGACCCAGACCTCATCTAACCCACCTCAGCTCCAACCACAGCCTCACACAACTCCAGATACATCTCCAGTGCATGGTTATCCTGCTGCTACATTTTCTGTCCTGCCTTTCTTTCTTTCGAGGCAGGGTCTTGCTCTGTCACCCAGGCTGGAGTGCATTGGCACAATCATAGCTCACTACAGCCTCAAACTCCTGGGCTCAAGCAATCCTCCTTCCTCGGCCTCCTGAGTAGCTGGGAATACAGGCGTAGGCACCATGCCCATCTAATTTTTAAATTTTTTTGTACGAACATGGTCTCATTCTGTTGCCCAGGCTAGTCTTGAACTCCTGGCCTGAAGCAATCCTCCTGCGTCAGCCTCCCAAAGCACTGGGTTAGCAGCATGAGCCACCACATCTGGTCTGGCCCTTCTTTCTTAATCAAAGCCATTGTCAAGGGCAAGGACCAGTCACAGAAAGATGACGGAGAGAGGTGAGTCAGAGGCACGGTCACAGTTTCAGTCAACACCAAGAGCTGATCTGCACGTAGGAAAAGGACACACACCAAAGGCCTGCAGAGCTAGAGATGCTCAGCCTCAGGCATCTCCAAGACATAGGAGTGCTGAGGCCTGACCACAGAGTGAAGAGCCTTCTTTACAGGCCTAGAAAAAGCAGCATTTCCCCCTAATTAGCTCTGAAGAGCAGGTGGTGCTCCTCCCCATTCCCCATCCCTCACCTGGCATAGAATCAATGGACAACTTACCCAGTGCCTCATCCAGCACCAGGCGCAGGGCACTCATGACAAAAGCACTTCCATTCCAACCTTCTCAGCATCCTGTGGTGCCTTTGTCTTCCTCCTTATCCCCACCCTGGGAGCTTCCACTTGTCTGTGAGGCCAGGGACTGGCACATGGCCGAGGTGACCACTGGCTCCCCAGGGCACTCTCTCCTGAGTCAGTGAGAGGCCTAATGTCCTCAGACACACTGATGAATGGGATACATAACTGTCTTTAACAAGCAGAAAAAAAGCAATACCACTTTGGTCATTTAACTGATTTAGACAAATCAACAGCCTGGATACCATTAAAGTAAACTCAATTTGCTCACCAGTGAGAGGGGGAAATTGGAATTCTAGTATCCATTTGCTAGTGCATAGAGCTCTTGCCTTTGAACTGAAGCCAAGACAATAAATACTGGGTCCCGATATGATTGACTAAGTTTGGCAGAGTTGCCTGTGATGGGCTTTTGAACACACAAGCACAACAGAAACCTTGCTCACTGAACAAGGCTGTGGGGACTTCCCTCCAGCGCAGTGAAGGCGGGCTGGGCATCAGGAGGAGCTGGTGCAACTATAGGTTCTCCCTAGCAACTGTCCCTACCAACTGTATGGGGCCACAGAAGGCAGGAAATATGATTTTGGGGAGCTAGGGGCTCCCCACATCCCTCAAGTGAAGACCATTCGATGGGCTAAGAGTCAAAGGTACACTTGAGGTCTTCCCCAAAAACCAACTGGAACCAACAACCCAGGCTGGTGCCAAGTTGAGAGGGACCGTAGGACTCTAGATCTTATTGTCTGCAGATGCTCTCTGCATTTGTTGTGACTCGTAATAAGTGCTTGTTCAAATCGATACATCTCCTCTGCTTTATTAACAGGCATTAACTTCAGAGCTGAGAAATGAAGTTCTAAGGTGTGAGGATAGGTTCCTTTAGAACAGCAGTTCTCAGGGGATGACATTCTTCCCAGAGAGATTTAGCACCGCCTGGTGACAGTTTGGGTTCTCATAACTAAGTAGTACAGCGGGCACTGACATCTAGAATTTGGAAGCCAGGGATGCCATCGAACACCCTGCTATGCACAGGACAGCCCCATGACAAAAACAATCCAGCCCCAAATGTCAACAGTGCTGACATTGACAGCAGTGTTCTGGGGGATGCTGAAGTCGACCTGCTTTATGCAGAGGGTCATCATATAAATCAACACTGCTCATCGGGTCTTCCTGAAGCCAGCAGCTTCCTTAGGGAACAACAGGGTTATCTCAGGAAGCAAAGGGTGAGCTCTCCTTTCCCAGATCTTTTTTAAAGCCTGGGTGTTTTGGTTTGCTATGGCTCCTGTAACAAAATAGCACAAACTGGATGTGGCTTCAAACCATGGAAATGTATTGCATCACAGTTCTGTAAGCCAGAAGGCTGAGATCCAGAGGGACAGAGCCAGGCACCCTCTGAAGGCACTAGGGCTGGGCACCCTCTGAAGGCACTAGGGAAAGGTCTGCTCCAGGCCTCTCTCCTGCTTCTGGTGAATACTTGGCATGTGGCAGCCTCACTCCATCCTTCACTTGGCATCTTCCCTGTGTGTGTGTCTGTGTCTAAATTTTCCCTTTTAATAAGGATACCAGTCATGCGGGTTTGGGGCCCACCTTTCTCCAGTAGGACCTCGTCCTAACAAATTGCATCTGCAATGGGCCTATTTCCAAATAAGGTCACATTCTGAGCTGCAGGGGGTTAGGACTGCAGCATATGCATTTGGTCAGGGGGCTTGACACAATTCAACCCATGACGCTGGGGAATCAGAGATGCCATCACTTGTATTGAAACCTGCCCCACTTTCCTTTGTTCTGCATCTATCCTGAGAAAACGTGAAGGGCCTCAGGCAGCGAGGGGCAGGGGGTACCCAGAAAGGAGGTTCAAGTTCCTTCTCCTCCCCCGACTGAAGCTGGGGGGCTCGTCCAGGAAACATTGCGGATGATAGTGGCCTCACCTTTTAAAACCAAGGCAGCTGGGTTTCTAGTTGGAGGTTCATCTGGGCTTCAAAAGGGGAAGCAGCTTCCTCTTAAAGTGACTGTCCCCAGAATAGTGTTTTTGTTTTGGTTTCAGGTTGCCAGATAAAGGTGAAGCAGCTGCCACGGTCATATGCTGTCATAAAACTTAGAAAAAAAGAGAGTGAGGGAAGCGGAATACATAACTCCTTGCACAGAGAACAGCTGCAAATGCAGAGCTTTGCCTCTTTTTTTTCTTCTTCTTTATTTGCATCTGTGATTTCTTATTTCTGTTTCACTTCTTCCCTGAATTTCTGAGCTTCCTATCTGGCTCCAGCACACTTCATCTGGCAGCACGGAGAGTGCCCCCCAGTTAGGATCTGCTGTACTGCAGGAGGGAAGGAGGCCGCCACTGCTAGAGAGACATTTGGCCACTTGCCTGTGACTCAGTGGGCTCTTCCCAGCATTTCTTCTCCCGCTCACCTTCAGCAAAATGGTCTGGGTTTGCAGAGGAACCTTGTTATCTGTCTAGACTCTGTTCTCTATGTGCTCTCTTCTCCAAAGCTCTCCCCATGTTTTCTAACTCTTCAGCCTTGAACTTGGCAGAAGTGATGCAGCAAAGTCTCGGCCCCGTGAGGCTGTGGTTCTCCAGACTGGCAGCCTTCCCAGGAGTGAGGCTGTGGGCACTAAAGCAAGAGGCAGGGTGGGATGGAGAGGAGTCAGCCTTAGCAGCGGGGCAGAGTCTGTGGTTGTCCTGCTCTGGTGCTTGCAGCTCCGCCCACAGACAGGTCCAGAAGGCTGTAGGTCCCCAGAGTGTCCTTGCTGCTGGAGATGGCTGGCTCAGTTCACTTGTTCTCTTTGGAACTCTTTAGAACGTGTAGACCTCCTGCTGATAGTTTTATAGACAATCACCCAGAGTGTAGCCGTTGAGAGCAACTCTATGCAAACCATTGCTTCTGCAAAGCTACAAAATAATGAGCTTTTGATAATGACACTGAATGAGCTGTGGACACAGACTAGACCTTCCTGGGACCACATACCACCTCCGATTGACGGATCCCATTAACACCAGCAGGCCTCTTGGGGCCTGCCATCACCAAAGGCAGCTGAGTGAGGAGAGCCTCCCCAGGCTTGAAAACACTTGGGCTTGATTTTGTTAAAGCTGCACATCGAGGCACTTCCCCCTGAGACCTGGGTTATCTCATATCCTCTCCAATTCGGCAAGGGCCCCCGTTATGCTGGATTGCTTTGGATCATGGAGGAAAAACAATAATGAAGCCATATTTTGGGCATCTGGCTGAGCTTTGTTCTTCCTTTGAGAAAGGAAGCCATACCACAGTTGCCCCAAAGATGAGGCAGACACCTAATTTCCTGAACCAGACCCTTGCTGGCTTGGACACTGTGGCCTGTGGCTGAGTAATGGTTGGGGAGTGAGTGTCTCTCAGTCCAAGACCGCATATATGATAAAATTATGCAGGAAAATAATGAGAACCATTGAAAGATGTTGCTCACTTTGGGATTGAATTACCACCTAAATGAAACTGACAGTGGGCAGGGGGCTTGTAGAATGAAATTAGGGAGGAAGCTGTATTTCAATTGGGAAATGCTGGGTGCTCTCCAGGAGAGCAAGGCTCCTCTAAATGAAATACAATCCTGAGCTCCCGTTTCATCCTCTGTGATTTATTGGAACCAAAGAGGGTTGTTTGAATGGTTCTGAATGTTATTTTCAAAAGCAAATGAACATCTCATTCTGGAATCAAGACACAGGAAACTGACTTTGGAGGATCTGGTACTGGGAGAGACAGGAAGCAATGCTGGGTTCTGTATGACGTCTTCTGTATTTAAGCCCCAGTTCAAGGCAGGCTGGAGGGACATGTGGAGGAGAGAGTCCCTCAGGTCTTGGTGGGGTGGGAGTGAAACCTAGGGCTTTTCCTTTGAGTGTTAATGGGCATTGGACTGGTCTCCTGTGGTCAGTGTGTGGTGGAAAGGTGGCCAGAGACTGAGGAGCAAGGGTGAGACACCCAGAGAAATGTGGGAGACACCAGCCAACTCAACCCCCGGCCTTCCCCAGGTGGGTCCCAGGCTACACTCAATGTTGGTCACCCCTTCCCCTCCTCTTCCTGCCTGTCCAATCCCAGGTGGCAGAACCTCCACTGTACAAATCAGAATCTTCCACTAGTTCTACTAAAAAGGAGGTAAAAGGTGATGTTGTTTCACTTTGATAAGGTTTGGCTCTGGGTCCCCACCCAAATCTCACCTTGAATTATAATCCCTACATGTTATGGGAGGGACCCAGTGGGAGGTAATTGAATCATAGGGGCTGGTTTTGCCCATGCTGTTCTCATGATAGTGAATAAGTCTCTCAAAATCTGATGGTTTTATAAAGGGAAGTTCATGGGCACACACTCTCTCTTGCCTGCTGCCATGTAAGACGTGCCTTTGACCTTCTGCCATGATTGTGAGGCCTCCCCAGCCATGTGGAACTGTGAGTCCATTAAACCTCTTTTTCCTTATAAATTACCCAGTCTCCAGTATGTCTTCATTAGTAGTGTGAGACAGACTAATACACAGTCCTATCTATTGCGGCTCTTTCTGAATGGTATGGTCAAGTTTCTGACAACATCTTCAAGGGCATTGCTCCTGTAGTGACAGCATCTTCCAGTAGTTCTCTGCAAAATTTTATCACCTTTAAGGACTGGGCTGGGAGACATTCACGCACCAACCATTGATCACTCACCTTTCATAGTCTCTAAGCCCTAAGCCCACCCTGGCAGCTTCCACACAGAACTCTTTGGAGAGGTGGCTGAGAGATATTTCCTCCAACCCAATTCACAAGATCATATTCAGCTTGCCTGGATATAAAAACTGATTAGCGACATAACTAGGTTGAACTCAAATGTGATGAAAACTGGTAGTGCGGCTCCTCTTCTGCAGGAAGGCTTGGAATATCTGTGCATTCCTAGGATACGTGACACAGGTTTTCTACCCGTGCAGGGCCATTGGGAGGCGCAGGAGGAAGATGAGGGCTGATCTGCTCCATGGACCACTTGTATCCGCAACCCGGGGGCTGGTGTGTCACCCCTTTTCCTCACCCTCTTCCCACACACCACCCTTTCTCTACTTTCTCTCTTCTCTTCTCCCTCTCCCCCGCCTACCGAAGGTCACCTTCTCTGGTTTGAATGGGGCCTGCCTTTTAGAGCTTTAGGAAGAAAGCCTCAACACCCCCTTGAGTGGAATCTTTCTGCTTCCCTTCTGGGCTTTGCTAAGAAAACAAAATCTACGCTGTTGGAGTAGCTGCTGGAGGTGAGGAGGGGAAGAGTGAACGCCTTGAAGCCAGAGATCCTGCAGCTTTGCAGGGAGACATGAGTTTTCTCCTCCTGCACCATGGTGGCATCACAAGAGGGTTCGAGCCCTTCCAGACGGCAGACCTAGCACCAAGCACGCGGCTTGCATTGCCTCATTTATTCCTCATGACCATGCTATGAAGTAGGCATTAGTGTCATCCAGCTTTATGAATGAAGAATCTGAGTCAGAGAGAGGTTGAGGAACTTGCTCTTGGTCACACAGCCTGACTTCAGCCAAAATAGTCCAACCTCAGTGCCCACATGCTTCCCCTCCCTGCTAAACTACCAGCCAAAGACCACACTAAATGACAAGAGGCTGATGGGGGCTGAGTGGCTTCTGGCCTAGTCCCCCAGAAGAGGTGTCTTCTCCCACCAGAATTCTTTGAGAACTTGCAAGTTCTGGGAAGAAGTATCATTGGGAGAGGGAGGGAAACAGAGTCACATACATAAACAATGCAAGACAGCATGTGATTTGTGCATGTACAAGTTACAGAGGACAGGGCCTGGGAGCCCCGAGAGGGGAAGGAGCCTACAGGCCAAGTGACCAGGGGCCCCATGGGAGGGGAGGATGCTGCGCCTTCCCTATTATATTTGCCTCCCTAGGACATGCCATGCAGGCATTCTACCGGTGCAGTTGATGCCTCTCCAGGAAGGTCCTCAGGCACCAGACTTGTCCATGAAATCCATAGAAGAGGATGGACTCTGGTGGAGAAATCCTCCTTGAGCTTCATCACGGCCTCCACGGTGGAGGTCAGGCCCCTGAACAAGCCGCTCACTGGGCTTCTCAAGCCACTATGTCTCCACCCTGCATCCAGACAAGGCTTCATTTGATGCCCCCACCTCCCATCTTCCACCCTCCTTGTCGCCTTAGCTGTGCGAGATGCCCCAAAACCTGTCTGGCTCTTACACACGTGCCTGTCTGCAAGGGCAGGCTGTGAGATGCAGCTACAGGCTGTGGGCAGACAGTGCATGGCCCACGCCTGTGGCTCACCCTGCACATCGTGCCTGGAAGCTCCCTCTGAAAACACAAGGCTCAGCTTCCCCAGAGGTGGCCACACTATGCCAGGTCATTTAAACTGAGGGGCAAACTTTGAGAGAAGGAAAGAAAGAAGGAGCTGTGTGGATAAATTCCTCTTCTTTCCTCTCCCTAATGGATTGCTCCAAAGAGGACATTGCTAGGTGGTTTCTCTGGAGAATTCCAGCCTGACCAAGCAAAGGTGATTGGGAGGCTGTGGCCAGCACAATAACTCACCACCAACTTGCATTTGTTTTCCTCCACCCCTTTTCTCTTCCTTTCCTCCAAACGGTCTCACTCCCAGAATTACACTCCCTGAATTACACTCCCTGCAATAAAGCATTAACACATAAGTCCTGTAGGGACTCATATTCAGACTAGGATGGGAAGGTATCCAGGGAAATCGTAGATGGTAGCAATGTTGGGAAACGAAGGAGACCCATCTGCCACAGAAGCTTGTCCAGGTACAATTTCCAGCAGGCTGTTGGGATGGGTCAAGGAAGGCTTTGATGCTGAGCTCAGACACTTTGACTTCATTCTGTAGACCAGCGGGGAACACACTGGGTCGCCTGGACAAGAGGCTCACTTTCGGATTAAATGGGTCTCATGTTAGAGGGTGTCCCAGGTGGCTCAGATGTGCCCGACTTGGGCAGAATCACATCTTCAGGAGTAGAGGAGCCCTTTGTGCTTTTGAGCAAAGAAGTGCTGTGAACAGGACCGAATTTGAAAAAAGAGATGCAGACAGAGGGTTGAGTGGGAAGCTAAACCAGAGCCAGCAGTCCAGAGAGGAGCCTTGAGAACAGGCAGCCAGACCAACAGGCCACTTGAGGAAGACCCGTGGCCGAGGGGGCGGACCTGCAGGAGGAGCAAAACACAGAGCTGTTTCCACGGCCAACTGGGGTACTCGCCAGGAAGCCAGATGTCTGTGCTGGAAAATGTCCACACACAGCTGCTCCGAACCCAAGCCAGGGCCTGGCGGTGATGTGTAAAAGCAACAAAGACAGTGGGGCTGGACAGGGGCAGAAGGTCTTATGGTGTGATCTGGGGAGGAAACAGACACCTGGATCCTGGCCAGGTCATGAGAGTTCTATTACCCCATACTCTCCTCCAGGGTGGCTCACCTCTTGCCCACCACCCACTGGACTCAATACAACAGTTGTCTCTGTCTCAAGCCTGCAGGAAGGTAGCCAGATAGGAAGAAGATGCATGTGCTGCTGAGTGAAGATGGAGGAGCCAGAGCAGAAGGTGGGAGCTCCCCAGTCCCGAAGAAGGCAAGGGGACCACCCAGGCATGAAGACACCATCCCTGCGGAGGCCAGCTCCCCACACGCATCAGTGATCCCCCATCAGAAACGGCTCTGAACCCTCCCCTGTCTCCATCTCTCCCGCATTGCTATGGGTTGAATGCTTTTGTCCTCTCCAAAAAGTTATGTTGAAACTTAATCCCCAGTGCAACACTGTTGGGAGATCTGGCCTTTTGAGAGGGTTTGGGCCATGAGGATCTTTCCTCATGAATGGATTAACGTTGCTCTGAAAAGGGCTTGCAGGGTGGGTGGGGAATTCACTCTTTTTGCTCTTCTGCTATGTGAGGGCACATTGCTCATTCCCACTTTCCCTCCCACTGACTATGTGAGGACACAGCAAGAAGGCCTTCACCAAGTACTGGATGCTTGTGCCTTGATCTTGGACTTCCCAGCCTCCGGAACTGTGAGAAATAAATTTTCTGTTTTTTATATATTACGTGGCCTGTGGTATTTTGTTGTAGCAGCACAAATGGACTAACACACATGCTGTTCTGATCAAGCCTCACTAACCTGCACCCAGTCTGTCTATACCACATCCTTATTGGGATGCTCACCTTCTCTCCTCTTCTTCCCACTGCCATTGCAAAAATGACATTCAATATTCTCTGCACAAAACTGTGCAGAGTGGCTCCCTATTGGTCCAAATGCCTTAACAGAACTCTAAACTCATTCATCTTCTGTCTTTGTGACAGTCCTGAGGAAAGGCTGGGGTTCATTTCACCCACTCACCCAGGAAATAGACACCATTGAAATCACTTTTTGCCAAAAAAAAGAGCAATCCCTTGGAAACTGACAACTGGTGGGGATGGGAGGGTATTTTATTCCGTCAAAGATAAAGACAATTATTTTAGGAGTATTTCCATTTTTCCCTTGATGGGGGATTCTCACATCTGTTTCATCCAGGCTTTCCAGGTCCAGTTCAGTTATGGTCAGGCAGCAGTTTTCTCCCAAAGCTATTCTCTGGGTGTCTTCTTCTGTCATCTATACATAGTTTTGGGAGCTCACCAAGGTGAAATGCACCACCAGAAGGGGATTTCTTTATTTCCCTTCTACTAAGGTTTTGCTCTGACTGGTGATGAGTGTAAGAATATCAAACATCACAGAAAGCACACACGCTGGCCCACAGAGGCATTGTGAGGCCCTTTGCTGGACACCTGGGAGGGGCAGCCTGTCTGTCTTCTGCTCTGCCCTTTCCTGCTGTGTTCTGGAAGCATAGGCAAGCATTCCACAGTATCCTGCCTGCAGCTGGGGATGCTGGGCTGAGCACACAAGGAGCCACAAGGAGAGTGCCCAGGCAAGACCTTAGAGTCTCAACTTCAAAAACTATGGTGGGGCAATGGCCAAATCAGGATCATATCTTTTACAGATGTAGCCCTCCTGTTAGCACCTGATAAATCCTCTGTTCACACCTGAGATAAAGTGGGAGGGCCATTGCTCTTGCTTTTGACACCCAAGTAAGATAAGCCACACAGGCTGAGACATCAGAGAAGAGTCAAAACAATAAGACTACAGAGCCTGGCTATTTTTCTGCCAATGAGAAGCTGCTTTCTTTTCTCAAAAGCCATCAGATTAGATGGGTTCCTCCCCACCTTTCCAGCCTTTTTGGCCCCCTTCCTCACACTCTTCAACCCAGGGACTAAAGCAATTGTCCCCAGTATAACTTACTCTTCAGGGTCCATGCTTGAGCTGTTTGCTCAGCATAAATTATCCTCCCAGGAAAGGTATTTCATATTCTCCAGGGTACAACTCACCTGACACTTTTCCTTCTTCCAGAACACTCCTATCTGTAACTTGGGTTTACTCAACTCCTGCCCTATCCTCCCACAATATTTGACTATGCCTGTCATACAGTGCCCATTGCTGTAACAGCAGTATTGGTGATAGTGGAGCAGCAACGACAGTACCATCTACTGAGCATTTACCCTGTGCACACCTAGTGTAGAGTCTGTCCTAACTTCAGCCTAAAGGGACAGTGCAAGATGTTAGTGGTCTGGTTTTCTGTTGCTGTGGGATAAGCCACTCACAACTTTGTTGTTTAAAACAAAAACAGTCATTTTATTTTTTATATCCAGCTAGTCTGAGAGTTGACTGGCTTCAGCTAGCTGGTTCTCCCTCAAGGTCTCTCCTATGGTTGCAGTGGATGGTGGCTGAGGCTGGAATCCTCTGACCACTCCCATACTCATGTGTGGAGCCTGGGCTGGGGAGACTCAAACAGCTGGGGCTCCTTGGGCATCTCTTTCTATCTCTCCATGGTCCTCTTGTGAGATTAAGTTTTCTCATCTCTAAAATAGTAGTGAAAATATGAAGTATCTCGGGGGATTGTTGTAAAATTCAAGCAAGCCGGTAAACACTTGAAAATATCAGCTGATACAATGACAGTTGTTATCATTATCCAGAAGACTTGGATGATGCAGAAAATCTTCAGATACTTAAGAGCTATGATGGGCATAAAGAACAACACATGTCTACGCTCCTTCCGAGAAGACTGAGACCAGTGGATAGAAATTATATGGTAGAAGATTCTGGTGCAATCTCTAACAATAAAATAGCTCCGAGATGGAACAGGATGCCATGACCCAAAATAAGTTCCCAGTTATTGAGTGTACTCAACACAGTCTGGCTGACTGTTGCTTAGGGAGTGGCAAAGGGGGCATCCACTCTAAATGGAGGATTACCTGTAGGTCTTTTCTAACTCTGACTTCCTATAAGTCTCTGAATATGTTTTGATTGCATTGATGGAACCAAGAACATACAGTGTATACATCACTCTATTTCTTCATCCAGGTATTCATTTATTCAAAAAATATTCCTTGATCATCTTGTGATAATCCATCTTGTGCCAGGTCCTGTGTTAGGCACTGTTGATAGGGTAGTAATTGTAGCAGCACCATGAATATATGAGCTACAGGAACCTCATCCTAAAATCTGGTGGAGGATACAATTTCAAAACTGTGCAATGAGAGAAATGGTCCACTGGGAAAGAAACCCAGGGGCCGCCCAACCCCAACTGTGAAAAGGAGGAAAGGGAAGCATTTCTAAAAGAAGGTATACAGTTGATCCTTAAATAACTTGGGTTTGAACTGCACAGGTGCATTTATACACAAATTTTCTTCCACTTCTGTCACCTCTGAGATAGAAAGACTAACCTCTTCTCTTCCCCCTCCTTAG
Source organism: Homo sapiens (assembly GCF_000001405.40). Classification (NCBI taxonomy): domain Eukaryota; kingdom Metazoa; phylum Chordata; class Mammalia; order Primates; family Hominidae; genus Homo; species Homo sapiens. Next base: position 4,805,290 of record NC_000001.11, read on the forward strand.
CCTACTCAATGTGAAGATGACAAGGATGAAGACTGTTAAGATTATCCACTTTCACCTAATGAATAGTAAATATATTTTTTCTTCCTTATGATTTTCTGAATAACATTTTCCTTATTCTAGCTTATATTATTGTAAAAACAGCTTGTAATACATATAACATGCAAAATACGTGTTGACTGTTTATGTTAACAGTAAGACTTCTGGTCAAGAGTAGGTTACTAGCAGTTAAGTTCTGGGGGAGTCAAAAGTTATGCAGATTTTCAACTGTGTGTGTGGTGGGTCACCCCTAACTCTCATGTTGTTCAAGGGTCAACTGTATTTAATTTGAGAACTGAAGGATGAGTACAACTTATCCTCCCAACTGTGGTTGGGAGTGGAGAGGAGGGGTTGGAAAGAAGAGTGAGCCTAGAAGAGGGAATACTACATGGGATGATTCAGAATGAGAGAGAGCATGGTGGAGGGGATGAATATTGTTCTTTATGTGCTCAGGGCACAGGATATGAAGTGGGCAGGGCATGTTTGAAGCACCCTATTGATTATTCAGAGGTATTCTTGTGCCATTGGCATATATGCTTTCATCCAGCCTCCCCCTACTGCTTCCATTTAGAAAGTTATTATTGCATTGATGAGGCTTGTCCTAGTAAGGTTGCAATGGAAATGGAGAGAAGGGAATAGATTGAAAAGATCTTCAAGGAAGAATTGGCATGCCTTGAAACTGGAATTCATTAAAAATAGGAGGTGAGCAATTAAGTTAATGTTTAAAGATGACCAAGATTTTCAACTTGACAGACTCAGGGGAGCTGGAAAGAAGAGCTGATGAGAAATGAAAGATAAGGAATTCACTTTAGAACATGGTGACTCAGAGATAATGGCAGTGCAGGAAATGTCCTCTAGGTAATTACAGATTAGAAGCCAGACAATGAGTGACAGACTGGTCTGTATTTACTGACTCAAGAGTCGGTAGGAAGATAGAGCTACGTTTCCATCATGCCAGATAGAATCAGACTTGTACTCCCATCATAAGCAACTAGAAAGCTGGATTTTAAAAACTATGAAACACTGGACAACTGGCAGTATAAGACTGTTATCCCTAAGGAAAGGGAAACAAGTAAGGCAAATCCTTTCTCCCAGGCCATATTTTTCATACTGTGGCATAGAGAAGGGGAACCTAAGTAGACAACAGCAGCCTCAATGAGGTGAAGAGACAGAGTCTGGAGTTTGGGAAAACTGAGACTGGAAGTTCTGCGGTTTGATACTGAAGAAAAGAGAATCATGTTGAAATAAAGAGCTTCATAAATCTGCATAGAGATTCTCAGGAGTCAATTGCCGAATGCCGAGCAACAAATGCATAGTGTACAGCTCTATAAGACTTTGAAAGAACCACCAGGGAGCTTTAGGATAAATAATTCCTGGAATCCTGAGTTCTGATCAGCCAGAATAAAGACACTTTGTTTAACACTTGTGCCACTCAGGGGAGACTACAGAGTTATGCCTTATTAATAGGGCTAGAGATTAAAGGCTACTATAGACTTGTATTAAAATATATTAAAAATAGATCACAGAGGCTGGGCAGAGTGGCTCACACCTGTAATCCCAGCACTTTGGGAGGCCAAGGTGGGTTGAGCTCAGGAGTTTGAGACCAGCCTGGGCAACATAGTGGGGCCCTGTCTTTACAAAAAATACAAAAATTAGCTTGGTGTGATAGCATGCACCTATAGTCTCAGCTACTTGGGAGGCTGAAGTGGAAGAATCACTTGAGCCCAGGAGGTTGAGGCTGCAGTAAGCTGTGCTCATGCCACTGCACTCCAACATGTGCAACAGAGCAAGATGCTGTCTCAAAAAGGAAAACAAAACAAAACAAATAAAACCCAGATGTCAAAAGGATCCACAAGTAACTTAACTTTGGCCAGAGCAAAACTAAATGTGCTCTGAAGGATAAAAAAATGCAGACACTTAAAAATGTAATAATCAAAATGCCTATCATTAAATCAAAAATTAGTAGACATGAGAGAAAGAAAGGTAATGTGACCAACTATGCAAAGAAAACTTATTAAACAGAAGCAGACCCAGAAACCGCAAAGATGATGGAATTAACTGACATGGTCTTTAAAACAGTAACTATAGACATGCTCAAGGATTTAAAGAAAATTACCAAAATCATGAGATAAATAGAAGAATTAAAAAGCACCCAGTGGAATTACCAGACCTTAAAATATAAAGTATCTGAAATGAAAAATTCCCTAGATCAACTTAACAGCAGATTCAATGAGTAAAAAAAAAGATTGGTGAACTGGAAGATACATAAGTATAAATTACCCATTTGAGACCCAGAAAGAAAAAAGACTAAAAAAAAAAAAAAAAAAAAAAAAAGGACAAAGCCTTAGTGATTTTTAGAGCAAAATCAAGCAGTGTCACATATGTGTTATTGGAAGCCCAGAAAGGGAGGATGGAAAGGGGTCAGAGAAATATTTGAACGAATAGTGGGTGAAAACTTTTTCAGTCTGATGAAAATATAACCCAAAGATCTAAGAAGCCAAACAGATCCATCAGGAGCCTAATCCATCAGGATTAACATAAAGAAAACCACACAAAGACACATTATCACCAAATTGCTAAAAAACAGTGATAAAGAGAAAATCTTTAAAATCTTCAGGGTAAGAAGACAACTTTCATATAGGGCAACAAAGATAATACTTATTATAGACATGTCATTGAAAACAATTCAAGACAGAAGAAAAGGAAATTAGATCTCTGAAATTCTGAATTTAAATAAAAGAAAAACATTAAACCTGAAATTCTGTGCTCAGAAAAAATATTCTTCAAAAGAAAGGGGCAATAAGAACTTTCAGAGACAACAGAAGCTGAAAAAATTCATGATCTGCAAACCTGCACAAAGAAATACTCAAACTTTTGTGGTTGAAAGAAAATGACACCAAAAAGAAACTCATATTTTCTCAAAATAATGAAAAACATAAACGGTAAATATGTGGGTGATATGGTTTGGATCTGTGTCCCCCCACCCCAAATATCTGTTCAATTGTAATCCCCAGTGTTGGAGGTGGGGCCTAGTGGGAGGTGATTGGATCAGGGGGCAGGATTCTCATGAATGGTTTAGTACCATCCCCCCTTGGTACTGTATAGTGAGTGAGTTCTCACAAGATCTGGTTGTTTAAAAGTGTGTGGCACCTCCCCACACTGCCCCCTTGCTCCTGCTCTACCCATGTAAAATGAGCCTGCTTCCCCTTTGCTTTCTGCCATAATTGTAAGTTTCCTGAGGCCACCCCAGAAGCCAAGCATCATGCTTCCTGTACAGCCTGCAGAACTGTGACCCAATTAAACCTCTTTTCTTTGTAAATTACCCAGTCTCACGTATTTCTTTACAGCAGTGTGAGAACAGTGAGTAATATAATGAGTAAATATAAAACATTTTTATTGTGACTTTTTAAAAGATAATTTACTGTTTAAAGCAAAAAAATATACTTTTCTGCAGAGACTAAACAAATATTGAAGTAAAATATATGACAATATTAACACAAAGAATGGTAGGGAGAAATAGAAGTTCATTTTTGTAAACTTTTCATGTTACACATGAAATGGTATGAAATTAGTTGAATTCAGACAAGGATTAGTTGAAATAAATAACTAAATAAACTATGTAAATAACTAAAACATTAAAATAAAGAGGTATAGCTGAGATGGAAATAAAATGGAATACTAAAAGATACTCAGTTAATCCAAAGTATGGCAGAAAAAGATGGAAAATAAAAATTAAAAACACAGTTTCTAGTTCAGCCTAACAAAAGTAAAAAGCTGAACAAATGGAAAAAATCAGCAGCTCTTCTTAGATCCATAAAAAAGTGACATCACAAGCAAACCATTGTCCCCAAAATTGGAGAGACAGATGGTAGATACAGAAAATCACAACACATGAGAGCACAAACCTCTGCAGAAACCAGGGCCAAAGTAGAGTAATTGATTAACTGCTGAGGCCTCATAGTGACAAGTATGAAAGATTTTTTTTTTTTAAATCTAAGGTTTTCACTGGGCCCCCAAACTTTTGTGAATTTCAGCTCCTGGAGAGAAGGTCTTAGCTAATGCAATAAGGCAAGAAAAGAAAAGTACACGGATTGGGAAGGAGTAAATGAAACTGTCTTTGTTCACAAATAACATGTTTATCTATGTAGAAAATCCAAAAGAGTCACACACACACACACACATACACACACAAAAACACTGTTGGAAATAAGTGATTATAGCTGGGTTATAGAATATAAGATTAATATACAAAATTTAATCATTTTCCTATATGCCAGCAATGAACAACTGCAATTTGAAATTAAAAGTAAAATAACTTGCATTGGCACCCCCTCAAATAAAATACTTAGATAGAAACCTAACAAAATATGTACAAAATCTATATGAAGAAAACTACAGAACTCTGATGAAAGAAATTGAATAACCTAAATAATGGAGAACCAGTCCATGTTCATGGATAGAAAGACTCAATGTTGTCAAGATGTCAGTTCTCCCCAACTTGATCTATAGATTCAATGCAATTCCGATCAAAATTCCAGGAAGTTATTTTGAGGATATTGACAAACTGATTCTAAAGTCTATATGGAAAGGCAAAAGGCCACAAAGCGCCTCCACATTATTGAAGAAGAACGAAACTGAAAGAATGACACCACCCAACTTCAAGACTTACTGTAAAACTACAATAATCAAGACAATGTGGTATTGGTGAAAGAACTGACAAAAAGATCAGTGGACCACCTAGAGAGCCAGAAGTAGACTCACATAAATATAGTCAGCTGATCTTTGTCAGAGGCACAAAGAAAATACAGTGGAGAAAAGAGAGCCTTTTTAATAAATGATGCTGGAACAACTGGACATTCATAGGCAAAAATATAACTCTAGACACAAACCTTACATGTTTACAAAGGTTAACTCAAAATGTAGGATTTAAAACTATAAAATTCCTAGAAAACAGTATAGAAGAAAATCTATGTGACCTAGAGTTTGGTAATGATTTTTTTAGATACAATACCGCAGGCCTGATACATAAATGAAAGAACTCACAACCTGGATCTCCACCAAAATTAAAAATTTCTGCTCTGTGAAAGACACTGTCAAGAGAATAAAAAGATAAGCCACAAGCTGGGTGAAAATATTTGCAAAAGACACATCTGATAAAGGACTGTTATTCAAAATATACAAAGAAATCTTGAAACTCAACAATAAGAAAATAAACAACTCAATTTAAAAATGGGCCAAAGACTTTAGCAAACACCTCACCAATGAAGATATACAGATGGCAAATAGAATATGAAAGTATTCTCCACATCGTAAGCCATTAGGGAATGCAAACTAAAACAGTGAGATACCATTACACATCTAACAGAATGTCCAAAATCCAGAACGCTGACAACACCAAATGCTGATGAAGATGTGAAGCAATAGACACTCTCATTGACTGTTGTAAGAATGTAAAATAGCACAGTAGCTTTGAAGGACAGTTTCATGGTTTCATGCTGAACACATTCTTAACATAGAGTCAGTAATTGTGCTCCTTGGTATTGACCCAAAGAAGTTGAAAGCTTATGTTCACACAAAAACCTGCAAACAGACATTGATAGCAGCTGTATTCATAATTGCCATAACTTGGAAGCAAGCAAGATAATCTTCTAGTAGGCTAATGTGTAAATACTCTGTAGTACATTCAGACAATGGAATATTATTAGCACTAGAAAGAAATGAGCTATCAAGCCACAAAAAGACATGGATGAATTTGAAATGCATATTACTAAGTGAAAGAAGCCAATATGAAAAGGCTACATACATACTATGTAATTCCAACTATGTGACATTCCAAAAGGCAAAACTATGGAGACAGTACAATTATCGGTGGTTTCTAGGGGTTGAGGGGAGAAAGGGAGAGGTAGGCAGAGGATTTAGGGGGCAGTGAAACTATTCTGTATATATTGCAATGGTAGATATCTATCATTATAAGTTTATCCAAATTCATAGAATGTACCCTACCAAAAATCAACCCCATGTAAACTACGGACTTTGTGTGATAATGATGTTTCAATGTAGGTTCGTCAGTTCTAACAAATGTACCATGCTGGTGGATGATATTGATAATGGGGGAGGCTATGCATGTGTGGGGGCAGGGGATATTTGGGAAATCTCTGTACTTTCTGCTCAGTTGTTCTGTAAACCTAAAAGTGTTCCAAAAATAAAGTCTGTTTCTTTAAAACAGAAAGGTTGACACCTATGGAAAACAAATAATAGGATGATAGACTTAAACTTAACCATGTCAGTAATTACATTAAATGTAAAGAGTTGTGATATTCTATTTAAAGGCAGAGATCATAGAACAGAAAAACAAAACAAAACAAAACTAGCAGTCTGCTGCTAAATGTTTAACAACCAGCTCCCCAGAGAAATAAATGTCCTAATTTGTATCGATTGTGGGTTTTGTGGTGTAAAGACTTCCACTATGGTCAATGTCAAGGTACAAGGTGACGTCTACCAGCTTGCAAAATTCCTGAAGATGTAACAATTAGCTCTTGTGAGTCAGTATGTGCTGGCCCCAGCACATCACTAGTTAAAAACCCATCTATATACTGTTTACAAGAAACACAACATAAATATAAAGACACTGATAAGTTGCAACTATAAAAAATGGTAAAAGATGTACAATGTTACTAACAATCATAAGAAAATTTGAGTGGTTACATTAATTTCTGACATAGAAAATTTTGGTAAAAAGGATATTTTACGCTAATAAAGGGATCTACTTATGCAGAAGACATAGTTCTAAATATTTGTGCAACTAATGACAGAACTTCAAAAGACACTAAGGAAAAACTGACAGAACTGAAAGACAGATATACTTGGAATTATAGTTTCAACACTCCTTAGTATTGATAGGACAATTTGACAGGAAATCAGGGAGGATACAGAAGATTTGAACAACACTCTCGATAGCTTTGACCTTTTTGACATTTTTCAAAAATTACATCAAACAACAACATAATATGTATACTTAACAAGTACATATGCAACATTCACCAATATAAGCCATGTATTGGGCCATAAAACAAGTTTCAATAAATTTAAAATATTTTAAATCATACAGAGTATATACTCTGATCACAATAAAATTTTATTCAAAAGGAAAAACAAAACATGTTTGGATTGCATCTAAACGTTTAGGAATTAACACTCTCAAAAATTAGAAGGGATATTAGAAAATATTTTAAGCAGACTACAATGAAAACATAAAGAGGAAATCACAAGGAGAATTAGAACACATTTGGAACTGAATGAGGATAAAAATACAACATATGAAAATTTGAGTGAGGCAGCTAAAATAGTGCTTAGAGGAACAGTTAAAACTTTGAAAATTTATATTATAAAATAAGTTCTAAGAACAATGATCTAATTTTTCACTTTAAGAATCTAGAAAAAACAAGAAATTAACCCAAAATTAATATAAAAAATAATAAAAACAAGAGTGAAAATCAAGAAAATAAAATATTAATAAACAATACAAATCAATGAAACAAAAATGAGTTCTTTGTAAATATTTATAGAAACCATAAATTCTAGCTAAACAAATCATGAATAAAAACAGATAAGACAACATATCAGAGTAAAGATGGGACACAGATACTCCAAACATGAAAAAGGCAATAAGGATGTATTAGGAACAACTTTAGGCCAATAAGATGAACAATGTAGATGTAATGAACAAATTCCTTAACAGATACAAGTTACCAAAATTGATAAAATAAGAAAAAATTTGGATAGCTCTATAGCTATTAAGTCAGTTCACAACTAAAAACCTTCTACAGTGAAAAAGCCAGATCCAGATGGTTTCACACTGGTAAATAATAATAATGCCAGTCCTGAAGAAATAATACCAATCCCATACCTTTTTCACAAAATAAAAGAATATATACCTCCCCCCTCATTTATGCATTGGAGCCAAATGAGACTTTACCAAGGAAAACACACACACACACACACACACACACACACACACACACACCGTGTAGACCAATATCTCTCATTAACATAGATGCAAAAATCTTTAATACAAACTTACCATACCAAATTCAGGTATACATAAAAAGGGTATACCAACTAGGGTTTACTCAGGGATGAGGTAGGTCTAATGTTTCAATCAATTAATATATTTCATCATATTAACAGAAAAAAGCCCATAAGATCATTTCAGAAGCATCTGGCAAAATTCAACACCTATCATGTTGAAAACTCTTATCAAGGTAGAAGTCAGATGAAACATTATTAATTGATAAAGGGCGTTCAAAGCATAAACAAAAGCATATTGCTAAAAATCACACTGAATGGTGAAAACCTGACCATTTGTAGAAACATAACAAGGAGATGTCTATTCTCATTATTTCTATTCGCTATGTTGCTGGAGGTCATAGCCAGTGTAAAAATACAAGGAAAATATATGAAAGGCATACAAATTGAACAGGAAGCAGTGAAATTGTCTTTATTCACAGATGACATGACCATGAATGTAAAAAATGCTAAGGAATGTCTAAAAACATTACTAGAAAAAATAACTAAATTCAACAAGTTCTCTATAAACAAAGACAAAATATAAAAATCAAATTTGTCTCTATATAATGGCAGCAAAGAATGAAGAATGAGACATAAAACAGCATCATTTACAATGGCATCAAAAAAGTGAAATATTTAAGGATTCAATATAGTTGCATAATTATATAATGTATAACATATCAAATATATAAAATATGTAAATATTTGGGGATATATGTTTACATACATATGTATATTAAATGTACACTAAAAAATTACTGAACATTGCTAAAAGAAATTAAATCTCTACATACATGGAGAGAAATATCTTGTTCAAAGATTGAAAGACTCAATATTAAGATGTTAATTCCTCCCACATTGATCAAAAATTTGACATAACCCCATTCAAAATCCCAGCACACTTCTTAAAAAAATAACAAACTGATTCTAAAATTTACTGGAAATGCAAAGAAAACCTAGAATAGACAAAAAAAATTTTTTTAATAGAATAGCAACATAGGAGGCTTGCTGCTTCTTCATTTCAACACGAATTATAAAGCCACAGTAATCACGACAGTGTGGTATGGGCATAAGGATAGACACATAAGTCAATGGAACAGCACAGAGATCTACGAAATAAGTTCACACTTCAATGGTCAATTAATGTTCAGTAAAGGTGTCAAGGTAATTTAATGGGGAAATGATAGTCTTTCAAAAATGGTCCAGAGGTAATGAACACCCATATACAAAAAAAAAAGAACTTTCATTTTTATCTTACACCATATGTAAAAATTAACTTGGAATAGATCTTAGATTTAAATGTAAAAGCTAAAACTATAAACTTGTAGAATAAAATATAGAAGACATCTTCATGACCTTGAGGTAAGCAAAGATTTTATGGGATACAAAAAGAACAAAGCACAAAAGAAAAAATTATAAATTGGACTTCATTCAACATCAAAAACTTTGACTTTTCAAAAAAAAAATCAGTAAGAAAATAAAGCCAAATCATCACTGACTAGGGGAAAATATCCACAATATACATTCCGGACAAAGAACACGTATCCAGAATATTTAGAGAATCCAATAAAATTAGACAAACAACTCAATTTTTAAAATGTGCAGAACAATTGGATGCATCACAATGATGACAAATAAACACATGAAAAGGCACTCAGCATCCTCAGTCATCAGAACATACAAATAAAAGTGTGTAAAAAGAGATATCCCTTTGTACCTCTAAAATGGCTAAAATCTAAGTGAGAATACCGAATACCAAGTGTTCCAAGGAGGTGCATCACCTGGAATCTGCATGCCTTGCTGGTCATGAGCAACCACTGTGGAAAATGGTGTTGATAACTTCTTGTAAGTTAAACATACACTTACTGTGCAATCTAGCAATGCATTGCTAGACGTTTACCTAAGAGAAATGAAAATGCATGTCCACAGAGATGTGCTCACAGATGCTCAATGCCGCTTTATTCATGATAGCACAAACTGGGAAAGAGCCAGATGTTCATCCTCAGGTGAAATAATAAAACAGAAGATAGATCCACACACAGAAATACCAGTCAGGAACACAAGAGATCAGAATATGGATAGATGTGATGGTATGGAGGAGTAAAGCAAGGCAAACAAAAACAGAAGCACACACTGTAAGATTTTACTTATATGAAATTCTAAAATAGAATAAACTAGCCTTTGATGGCACAAAGCATATCAGAGTTTGCCTGGGGTCAAGGGTTGGGGGTGAGGAGGTTGATTGCTGAGTAACATAAGGCAACTTTTGGGGGTGGTAAAAATATTTTATATTTGGCAGTGATGGCTACACATTTGACAAAACTCAGCAAAAGTCTACACTTAAAATGAATAATTTTTATGGTTTTTAACTTACACATCTGTAAAGTTAATTTGTTTTTTTTTTTGAGACAGAGTGTTGCTCTGTCACCCAGGCTGAGTGCAATGGTGCAATCACAACTTCCTGCAGCCTTGAGTTCTTGGGCTCAAGCAGTGCTCCCACCTGAGCCACCTGGGTAGCTGGAACTACAGGCCAGTGCCACCACTCTTGGCTAATTTTTTTTTTAATAGAGGCCAGGGTCTTGCTATGTTGTCCAGGCTGGTCTCTAACTGCTGGGCTTAAGTGATCCATCCTCCTGCCTTGGCCTCCCAAAGTTCTGGCATTACAGGTGTGAGCCACCATACCCTGCCGAAAGCTGATATTTTAAAGTACAAAGGGTATTCCAGGAGCAAGCATGAAGAACTAGATGCAACAACACAGAAGCCTGCAGGGGCAACTGCAATCTGTCTAGCATTACAGTTCTACAATATGAAAAGGAAGACCCAGCAGAACCCACCGATGAGGGGAGAAAGGCCACCACCTATGGCCCTCAAGTGGTCGACTAAGAATTAGATGTATCTCATGTATGTTGACTAATGAAGGGTTTCAATCAGGGACTAACGTATTGAGTTTTGTTTCCCATACTCACATCTGGCACTCATGTGGATAATAAGTTGTAAGATTAAAACCACCTTTGCAAAATTATGACTGAGACAGCAAAAGAGATCTGACTTAATCAACTCCATCCTGCTTCTAACCTCCAAGCTGCCCTTGTTCATTCATGGGCATAGGCTGAAATAACTTTGAGAGAAACTTAGTTTATAGTTCATAGTTTAAAAAGGCAATAACAACCCTTTCCCAAAGCAGACCCCCTTCTTGCCTGGGGACTAGACTGCCTTTGTAGGACTAACATTAGCCACGAGATTAGAAATGATGGTTTAGGAGTCACGCAGCTGGAGGCTACAAGATTCTGACCCTCCCTAAACTGCTCCTAAGATCAGTGCTTGAGATATTTTTCAGACCCTGCACTTGATGGATCAGCTGGCACCACCCAGATCTATTAACTGGCTCATCTGATCTTGTGGCCCCCACCCAGGAACTGACTCAGCACAACAAGACAGCTTCCACTCCCTATGACTTCATTCTTGACCAATCAGCACTCCTGGCTCACTGGCTTCCCCCCACCCACCAAGTTGTCCTTAAAAATTCTGCTCCCTGAATGCTTCAGGGAGGCTGATTTGAGTAATAATAAAACTCCAGTCTCCCGCACAGCCGGCTGTACATGAATTACTCTTTCTCGTTTGCAATTACCCTGTCTTGATGAATGGGCTATGTCTAGATAGTGGGCAAGGTGAACCTCTTGGTCAGTAGCAAGAGGTTAGACAGGAGACTTAGGGATGAAGTTAGATATGCAAAAAGCAGAGGAAAATGAGCACAGCTGAGGAAAAGCATTTGAGACAAAAAGTGAAAGGATTTGGAAGTTGATTTGCTCAAGGGATGAGGGGCAGACAAGCCATTTGTGATGGTTAATACTGAATGTCTGCTTGATTGAAGGATGCGAAGTATTATTCCTGGGTGTGTCTGTGAGGGTGTTGCCAAAGGACATCATATTTGAGTCAGTGGACTCCGAGAGGCAGACCCACCCTCAATCTGGGTGGACACCAACTAACCAGCTGCCAGTGCAGCTAGAATAAAGCAGGCAGAAGAGTCTGGAAGAAATAGACTAGCTGAGTCTTCTGGCCTCCATCTTTCTCCCATGCTGGATGCTTCCTGCTCTGGAACATTGGACTCCAAGTTCTTCAGCTTTTGGACTCTTGGATTTACACCAGTTGTTTGCCAGGGGCTCTGGGGCCTTTGGCCACAGACTGAAGGCTGCACTGTTGGCTTCCCTACTTTGGAGGTTTTGGGACTCAAACTAGCTTCCTTGCTCCTCAGCTTGCAGACATCGTATTATGGGACTTCACCTTGTGATTGTATGAGTTAATTCTCTTTAATAAACTATCTTTCATATATACATTTATCCTATTAGTCCTGTCCCTCCAGATAATCCTGACTAGTACACCATTAAACAAGCAAATGTACAAATTAAAAAAAATTAAGGTGAGATAGCCCCATTAAAAAGAGCCAAACATGTTGAGTGGACACCTCAGAAGGAGTCTTGTTAAAGAAAAATTATTCAATGACATTTGTTAAGCACAGGAAGGAAGTCTCTATTCAGGACCATTGTGATGGGCATAAGGACCACTGCAAAGGGGTCTTGTGGTAGAAGAGAGAGATTGGGCTCAGCTCCAAATACAACACAGGAAGTAGGCATTTATAGCCAGATAACAGGGAGGAGTCAATTCATGGAACATGACTAAGAGGAAAGAAACGTCAGGAGTGAGGGGCATTCTGCTAACAAGATCACCTAATAGGATCCTTGCTGAAGTCAGGCCAAGGTGATCAGACCTCACCTGGGGGAGGGTGGAGGATGAGGAAACTGATCAGATTTCACTGAGGGTGATCAGCATGGTGTGTTCTGGCAAACTACTTTGCAGGGTTTTTTGCTAAAATATAATTTTGCAAGGAAGTGCACAGATGGGCCAAGGAGAAGGTTCAGGAGCCTGACTAAAGTTTGGTCAAGCAAAGAATCTTTCTTAGTATAAACCTATGGCCAATAAACACATAAAAAATGATCAGAGGAATGCAAATGAAATCCACTAGAATATATCACTTTGTACTATGTGATTGGCAAAAATTACAGTCTGACATCATCAAGTGTTGGTTGAGGATGCAGAGCAACAGAAACGCATGTTCATTGTTACAACCGTTCTGTGACACAGTGGAGCATTATCTACCAAAGTTGAATATACACATTTCCTATGACATATTGATTTCACTCCCAGGTATATACCCTGGTGCCTAAATGCACCTGGATATATATACAAGATTGTCCATAGCAACATTGATTATAATAGCCCTGTTAACCTTAAATAATGAGATTCAGGAAATATGATGAAGCAGAGAGTTTATTTGAGCACAAAGCTTGAGAACAGCCTCCCTGAAAATACAGACTCCAAAAGAATAGGTCAGCATTCCAAAGTGGGGAGGTTAGGGTTTCCCTATACAAGCTGTTGACAAGGTTGCAACATTTTCCACAGTACATATGTTATAGTGATTTGGTTGGTTACACCTCACTATATTCCATGGAAGATCACTTTAGCACTACACGAAGAGGGGCGATGATCTGAGGGTTCTTATCTCTGGTGCAACAAGACCTTTCCTATTCGTTTACAGGAAAAAGCAGAAGTTGTAGCTGTATGCTGTGTAACTCAGGCAGCATAGCCACTTTCTTCTCAAGGCTCAAAATAATTTAAAGTTTCAACAGCTTTATGTTTGAATTATTTACTTTCACAGCCCACACTGAAACAAGCCAGATTTCCATCACTGGTAGAATAGATACATGAATTGTGTATATGCTTATGAAAAAATACTTAAGCAGCAGTAAAATAAACGAACTACATCTACATGCATGGATGAGTCTCACAAATGTAATTTTGAATGAAAGAAGTCAGATGCAAAATAAGACATATTCTGTTAAGTTCCACAAAAGGCAAAGCTGATGTCTGGTATTTAGGGATACACACTTAGGTAGCATAACTATTGCAATAACAACAAAAGCAAGAAAACTGTCACCGTAAAAGTCAAGATGATGGTGTCAACCTAAAATTATCAAAAGGGTTAGAATCTAGTTTAAAGAGAGTTTATTCAAGCCCAAAGTTTGAAGACAGGCTGCTCAGGAAAGCACAGATGCCAAAGAGTGGAAGTCAGTCTTCCATTGACTTCCATTCAGTCTTCCGAAGCGCTGAACCGTGGGATTGTGTATATAGACAAATTTTGGGGAAGCTTAACAGAATGTCAACATCTTTCTATGTAAGGCTTAATGGATAGTTACAATAATCTGATTAATCAAGGTGGCCTTTTTCTTATGGGAAAGGTATATTAACCTTCTGCATCAAAGATGTAACAGTCATGGGGTCTTGGTGGCCATCTGGTCTGAGTTAGGTACAGGACAAGAAAGAGTCAATTAATCTATAATAAAGATCAATGATTGAAAGAAGGGAGATCTGGTCTCTGTCTCTCCTAGTCATTTACAGAACAAGAGCAATGAGGAAGACCGTTATGCTATAATCTAAGAAACAGAATTGGAAATATGCTACTGACTCAGTCTCCAGGGCTTAACTTCCCCCTTGGCATAATAAATTTAAGGAGTCCTAAAATTTTATTTTCTCTTACATTGGCCACCCCTGTTGAAGGAACCCTAAGGTCCTTCTGGGGTGCTAGTAATATTCCACGTCTTGATTCAAAGGATGGTTACATGGTCGTGTACTTTAGAACTATGTATTAATTTGAGCAGTGATGTGTTTCATGCACTGTTCTTTATGCAAATGAAAGTATTCAGAAAACACTACCCCAAACGTGCTGCTTTGTGTGCTGACTACTTCAAACTGAAGGCACTTGGGAAGCAGCAAATGCAGGGAGTGGCTTTCTTTGAGCTTCCTTGATCTGCCTAAAGACTGGATTATCCAAAAGGAGCTCTCTTGTAATGAATCATTTCCCCAGAAATTTTATCAACCAGGGAAGATTAACTCTCATCACAGGGGAGAAAACTGGAAGTTGACACCATGCCCAGACTATTACTACCTGAGCGACCTTTAATCTGCACAAGACCGCCTTTCTTCACTGTACATTTTCTCCTCTTGCCCTGCCGTAACCTGTGGTCCCCATCACCCCCCAGAACTCCAAGCTCCTGGTTGTTTTTTTTTTCATAGCTCAGTATGGTGTATAAGTTTTAATCATCTGACCCTTCTTGAAGTCTAATGTTTTGTGAGATTCCTGTGTGTATAAACACAATTAAATATAATTCTCCTCCTGCTAATCTGTCTTATGCCAATTTAATTTGTAGCCCAGCCAAGGAACCTAGAAGGGTAAAGTCATTTTTTGCTCCACTACACATATTATATTTCATGACTTAAAAATTTAAGCAATGTCAGCAAAATAGGGGTGGTCATTGAAAGCGTTAAACACACAGGGCCACCAGTGCACAGTGGCATGGGGAGCACATTGCACAATGCCAGTGGCATCACTTCCATGGACATCAATGATTCCAAAGGCAGGCAGCCAACCAGGGAAGTGCAGAGCCCATAAGAGACCCTGAAAAGCAGCTCCCAGAGAATGACCTTTCCTCTCTGTGGTCCTTGGCCAGGTCCCATAGCTCTCCCAAGCACACCTCCTGGATTTCCCATGGGAATGCCCAGATGCAGCTGGAATCAAAGCTACAGGTAGTCATTGCTCCAGGGCCCCTCCCAGGGAGAGAGCAAAGGATTTATAATGGACATGAGAGGCTTTGTCCTAAAAAAGACACTAAAATGAAGATGTAACCACAGGAGGGTCTTCTGTACTGGCCCTCTCCTTCTGCGGATGTGAAAACTGGAGGCGCAGAGACACATGTGGCCTCTTCTTGGTCAAGAGAGAGTTAATGTCCAGGCTTGAAGGAAGCCCTTCAAGGTTCTTCTCACATTGAAGTCAGGCTGTTCCCCTAGGATCCCTGTCCTCTTCATTTCTTATTCTAAATTTGTAGATTAACTCATGTTAATGATTCCTGATGGGTGGAAATGTTATTCTATTAACATATTTGCATAATGATAGGAACTTCAGTGCCTTAATGGGGGAAACTGAAGTCCCAGGGAGGGCCAGTGGAGCAGGAATTGGCGGCTCTTGGGGACTTTTGTACTTTTTGCTTATTTGAGAAAAGTCATGGATTCCCTCCCCAGAGAAGGTAACGTGAGCCCAAACTGTGGGCTATTTGAGGGGATTCACAGACCCCCTCCACCCTACCAACCCATCTAAGGCCCAGACTAATACCATGAGGGAAGCCAGACTCTTCCCCTCTGGCTTTAGCCCTGATGACTGCGTGCAGTGGTGACAAGGCACCCCATCATTTGATGGTGTTTGGGGAGACAGAAAGAGAAAGAGAGATTGAGAGAAAGATTATCTTCTGTAATTCATTAATAATAATGTTACCGAAGGTAGTTGGTCAGACATACGCAGGGCAGGAGAGAGCGCCCCTGGCCCCTACAACCCCAACCAGAAATATCAGGCAACAATCACTGATGGTCAAGCAGTGGTTAAACTGTTTCTCTAAAATAATAATTGGTTGCAGCCAGTGCCAGGGAAAAGCAGTATCCCCAATAGATAGAAACATCTGAAACTCATGATCAGCAGCTTCCGATAACATCTCAGGAGCTGGGCAAGTGGGTTCAAGCATGCACACTAAGAGGCAAAATGGTGGAGTTTAACTGGTCTATGACTCCTCCTAGGGACATCTGGTAAGAGAAGAATGCCTCAAGTGAGTATGTACACAACTCTAGTAAACACACAGCACATGTGGAACCCCCTCTCCCTGTAAGTGCTGGCAGCCACTGTGCATGCGGACAGCCCACCCCAAGGGAAGAATCAGGAGAGAAGGGACACGAGGCCCTGGAAGTATGCCAACATATAAAACCCTAAGTCAAAGGTCGAACTGTGCTCTTGAATCCCTCAAGTCACCCACTTGGCCCTCTTCCAAGTGTACTTTACTTCCTTTCATTCCTGCTCTAAAACTTTTTAATAAACTCACTCCTGCTCTAAAACTTGCCTCACTGTCTCCCTCTGCCTTATGCCCCTTAGCTGAATTCTTTCTTCTGAGGAGGCAAGAATTGAGGCTGCTGTAGACCCATGTGGATTTGCCACTGCTGAACAATAATACCAAGTAACAGCTGACCTTTCCTTGGTGCTCACTGGGAGCTGGGTATTATTTGAAGTACATAGCAGGAAAAGACTCACAACTCGAGGTTTGCAATTAGAAGCCTCCAAGGGCTCCCCCGAGCAGAGACCGTGGCATAACATGCCCACAGTCCTCAGGCCAGTGTTGAGAAAGGCCAAACCCTGTAAAATATTGTTAAATAGAACTAAATATGGCCTGAGAAAGCCTCCATACTTCCATACTTGAGTCCTTGAGGATGAACCGTAACCTAACTTAGTAAGCAGACGAGACTAGACACCTGATTTAGGAGGATGCTTCAGTGGCTGAGTCTCGGCCAATCTCAGCAGCCAGACTTTCACCACTCATAGGCTGCTGTTCAAACTGTGTTCAAATAAAAGCAAATGCCAAGTTGTAACCAATCCGGCTGCTTCTGAATCTCACTTCTGTTTTCTGTCCATCACTTTCCTTTTTTTAATCTATAAATTTGCTCTGACCAAGAGGCATCCCTGGAGTCTCTCTAAATCTGCTGTGATTCTGGAGGTTACCCGATTCAAGAATCATTCTTTTTTTTCTTTGCTCAATTAAACTCTGTTAAATTTAATTTGTCTAATGTTTTTCTATTAACAATGTTTAAAGAAGTTTATTCTGAGTCCAATATGAGTGACCATGGCTTGCACACAGTTTCAAGAAGTCCTGAGTACAAGTGCCTGAGGGGGTCGGGTTACAGCTTACATATATATATGTGTATATATATACGTATATATATTCTTCCCTTGGGGTGGGCTGTCCGCATGCACAGTGGCTGCCAGCACTTACAGGGAGAGGGGGTATCACATGTGCAGTGTGTTTACTACAGTTGTGTACATACTCACTTGAGGCATTCTTCTCTTACCAGATGTCCCTAGGAGGAGTCATAGACCAGTTAAACTCCACCATTTTGCCTCTTAGTGTGCATGCTTGAACCCACTTGCCCAGCTCCTGAGATGTTATATACGTATATACATATACACGTATATATACGTATATATACGTGTATGTATATATGTATATATACGTATATATACGTGTACATATATATACACACACACACACACACACACATATATATATGTGTGTGATGATGGGTCACTGCAACCTCTGCCTCCCAGGTTCAAGCTATTCTCCTGCCTCAGCCTCCTGAGTAGCTGGATTACAGGCATGCACCACCACACCTGTATAATATTTGTTTGGTTTGTTGTTGTTGTTGTTGAGATGGAGTTTCACTCCTGTTGCCCAGGCTGGAGTACAGTGATGTGATCTCGGTTTACTGCAACCTCCGCCCCCTGAGCTCAAGCAATTCTCCTGCCTCAGCCTCCCGAGTATTTGGGATTATAGGTGCCCACTACCACACCCAGCTAATTTTTGTACTTTTGGTAGAGATGGGGTTTCACCATGTCAGTTAGGCTGGTTTTGAACTCCTGACCTCAAGTGATCCACCTGCCTTTGCCTCCCAAAGTGCTGGGACTGCAGGCATGAGCCCCACATCCAGCCAATACATTTTAAGGATACAGAAGTTACAGGCAAAGACATAAATCAATATGCATAAGGTATACATTTGTTCAGCCTGGAAAGGTGGGACATCTTGAAGTGGGGCAGGGGTAGGGGATGGGGAGGGCTTATAGGTCATGGGTGGATTCAAAGATTTTCTGATCACCAGTTGGTTGAAAGAGTTAAGCTTTGCCTTAAGAGCTGAAGTCAGCAGAAAGAAAGGCTTGAGTTAAGGTAAAGGGGGCTGTGGAAGCCAAGGTTCTTATTATGTAGACCAGGCCTCTAAGTAGCAGGCTTCAGAGAGAATGGAGGGTAAATGTCTCCTTGGGGAACTTAAAAGGTGTTAGGCTGTAGTTAAATCTCTCCTAGATCAGGAAAAGACCTAGAAAAGGAAGAAAATTCTCTATTGAATGTAAATGTTCCCCACAAGAGACAGCTTTGCAGGGCCATTTCAAAATATGTCAAAGAAATATATTTTTGGTTAAAATACTTTGATTTCCTTCAGGGTCTGCTCTCTGTCAGGTGATGCTATACCAGAGTCAGGTTGAAATTTGGAATTTTATTGCCACAAAGAGTGTTTTGTCCATCTTATGATCTCTATTTTAATATTAGTTCTGGTCAGTTAGTTGTGCCTAAACTCCAAATGGAGGGGATGTAAGAAGTTGTGCCCTACTCCCTTCCTATCATGGCCTGACCTATTTTTTCAGGGTTCTGTGGGATCCTCTTGGCCAAGAGGGGGTGTCTATTCAGTTGGTTGGGGGCTTGGAATTTTGTTTGGTTTCTACCAGGAAGGGGCCTTACCACAATTCATAGGGGCCTAGAGGACACCTGGTTTATTATAAAAGCCAGGTAAAGAGCAAGAAACCGCAAACAATAACAAAACACCCTCATCAATAGCCATTATCTGAGTCTAACGATTGTTATTAAAGCAGGGAGGAGTGTCTGGGATATTTTAAGTGGCAGCTAACATATCATCTTGAGAAATGGAAAGCAGAATTCAGAAGCCTCAGGTTGCAGCCACCAGCAAGACACAGCAACATCTTTCATAAACAGCCCTCCAGCCCCTGCTCTGGGGCCTCCACTTCCTTTGATTCAGACTCAACATCAGATGCAAGTCCTTTCTGTGCGGGAAGCACAACACCAAACCAGGCTGTGTGCTGAGGCCCCAAAGCCATGTCTGAGTGAGCTAGAGGCTCACAAAGAGCCCCCTCCTTGCCCTCACCCCAGCCCACCTGCAGGCTGCTTGCCACATGATCTGACCTCTGGGGCCACAAGGGCCTGCACACCCGCACTCTGCAAGTGGTTGTACAATTACCCACGCCCACGCACACATGGATGTCAGAAGGCTTTGCACCAGAATGACTCCCTCTAGAACAGGTGAGATAGAAATCCACAGGCCTGGTTTGCAAGGTCACAAAGACCCTGCTGATAAAACCCGATGCAGTAAAGAAGCCAGCCAGAAACTGCCAAAACCATCCAAAACCAAGATGGCTGCAAAAGCAACCTCTGGTTATCCTCGCTGCTTATTATATGCTGAATATAATACATTAGCATGCTAAAAGACACACCTACCACAGCCAAGGCAGTTTACAGATGTCATGGCAATGTGGGGAGGCTACCCTACATGGTCTAAAGAGGGGAGAAGCCCTCAGTTCTGAGAATTCTCCACCCCTGTCCCAGAAAACTCATGAATAATCCACCCCTTATTTAGCCTACGATCAAGAAATAACCATCAAAATGGTCACCCTGCAGCCCTTGGGGCTGCTTTGCCACCCTTTTATTCCTTTACTTTCTTGAGAAACTTGCTTTCACTTTATTCTATTGGCTGGCCCTTGAATTTCTTCCTGTAGGAAAGCAAGAACCCACATGGCCTCCCAGGCTGAACCCAAATTTTGGGGTTCGCCCTGCAACACAGACACTCTCAACAGGGCTTTGCAGGTTCATGGGGATGCCCTCACCTCACCATACCTATCACACTCACTGTGCACTTGTGGTAACACACAACTCCTGATCCCAGCCATGCCCAGCCCCTGCCACCTGCCCACAGGCGTGCTCTGTATTAACTTAGGGGCCTGAAATGCCCAGGTCCACACAGGCCCCACCCCCACCCAGGAGCTAAGAGCCCTAAGGCCCTCTCCTTTTTCCCCCTGTTTCTGTTTCTTCCGTTAATACATCTCTCCCCTATAGGGGACTTGACTCCAAAGGGGCTGCTTGCCAGGCAGGAGCAGATAATATCTGCCTGACACCTACTGGCAATAAATGTCAATGCACAGACAGGTTGATGGGCTGAGATTGCTTCCTATTGATGGAGGATGATGAAGTTGTGGTTTGGAGTGTGATTTCTGGCGAAAAGCAAAGGGATGTTGCAAAAGGGTATCCCCCTCACCCCGAGCTGAGAGGGTGTGCCAAGAGTTTGTCCTGGCTGTGTGCAGGTGAGCCATATACACAGGGCGGTTACGTGTATCCCTGTGCTGCTGTCATGGAAGTGCGAGAGTGTGTGCGGAACTACGTGTGGAGAGTGTGTCTGGGAGTTCCGTCAGTGACCATGTGTTGGTGAGCATGTTACTGGGGCCACGGAATGTCTGTGTCTTCATCACTAATGGTGTGGGTATGTAGTGGTGGCCCTGTGAGGGTTGGTGTTCACCTGGGCGGGGGTGTTCATGGGGCCATGGAATGTCTGTGTCTCCATCACTAATGGTGTGGATATGTAGAGGTGGCCCTGTGAGGGTTGGTGTTCACCTTGTAAAAAGTAAAATAGAGGTTCCTCTTCAAAGACTTTCCTCCCTGTCTAATTAGGAATAAATAGTAACTTCTCTTAAAAGCAAAATTTATTCAAAGACCTGTGCTAACATTCTTAAATATCTGCTAGCCGTAATAAAGAAATCAATGTACTTTATGTTCTTAGCTCCCACAATTTAGCCTAAATATTTGCCCTGGCATGCTTATACTGGTCCAACAAGCATTAAGTCATAGCTTGTTCCTCTTCCTTATTTAAAAGTGTTTTTGTCTTTCTCAGCATTCCACAAGTTACTTTCTCCTTCCTTTGTTCTCCTCTACCTTTGCCTCTTTTAAAAAGTTCTAAATTGCTAGCCAATCAGGACAAATACAGAGTGAGGGGTCCCATTCCAGCCAATGGAAACCGTTCACAGCAGCAGGGTGGACGCGTCAGGTTACAAAATAACTTGACTCCGTTGTTCGGTGTACTCTGGTGGCAAAACTGCTGGTGGGTGTACCCTTTCTGCAGGAAGTAAAAATGGCCTTACTAAATAAATTAAATTTATGTTCAAGTGCTATTTTTTTATGGCACCGGAGAACAAGCATTTCAAACAACCTGGGCAGGGGTGTTCATGTGTGGGGTGTAGGGGTTGTCACAGCTCCAGTGCGGGATGTTGGAGAGGGTGTCTCTTCATTTCCACCCATAGGTTCCTTCTTAAACTTGAACTCTCTCCCAGCCAGAAAGGGTAGGAGCCTCTTCCAGCCAGAAGCGGGACTCGAAGCAGGATCAAAGGGCTGGGCAGTGTGGATGCCTTCACCTACAGACCAGCTTCCCTGACCTCTCGGGAAGCTTCATGTTCTAACCTAGAGAGAGAACAATATGTCTTGACTAAACACACACACACACACACACACTCTTGCACACTCTTGGACATGCAGGAAGGCAAAGCTCTACCACCCCATAGGGAAAAGTCCACAGGGAGGCAGAAGTAAACCCCTCGTCTACCTTCTCTGGGACGTCATGCTGCCAGGACGACAGCCGGGGCTCTGTGAGAGTGAGCCGTCCTCCTCTTAGCTCTGGTCCTGGGATTCAGGTGCTAACAGCTCCCATCAGCGTTTTCCCCAAACTGATGTTACTAGCAAATGTGCTGGTGGTGAAGACAGCGGTCATTTGTGAGCGCTTGCAGTGCGGCAGGCACCGTGCTGCTTGTTCGCGGGGATGGTCTCCTTTTACTCTGCGTGGCAACACTAGCAGTGCTGCTGTTTTCCTCGCTGGGGCTCAGGTGACAGAGCTCACCCTGGGTCACTTGGGGAAGACTGCTGGTCCTGTCTTCCCTTCTTTCAGTCCTGGCATCTTCCATGCCAGCTGGGCGGATGGCTGTGGCTGCCCATACGAAGCCTGCATTTCCTATGCGTTCTCACGTGTGTTGAGGTCATGTGAGCTCAGTCCAGGCCATGAGGTGCAGCTGAAAATGATGTGTGCTGGTTCCAGGGGTCTTCCCTTTGGGGTGTAGCTGTGCCCTCCCTGGTCCTTTTTCCTCCTCCTTGGGCTGGGCAACACCCAGGCCTGGTGCATCCCAGTGACCCTAGGAGGATGTTGGGAGCTAAGCAGTCACAGTTGCCCTTTGGGCCATGGCTGCTTACATCTGAGCTAGACCATGGGAGGGAAAGCTCTACTTTTGTTAGTCTGGGCCCTGTGCAGAGTGTTCTCTCGTTAGTACAGCAATGGGTACCAGAAATGGAACTGCCATACATAAACCAAAAGGATGCAGGGCTTGTCTGTCAGACAGCAGGCAGTGAGGACCCAGGCCTCACAAGCTGGAGGCTGGGGTGCTTCAGAGCATCCTCCATACAATCTTAGGATTGCTGGAATGCCAGTGACAGTCAGCCACAAGCTGGGGAAGAACTGGGTGGAAAGAGTCAGAAAATGGGTAGGTAGCTTCCTGTTGATTCTAGCGAAGTCCAGGAGACAAGAGCCAACTGCTTTGCTGGCAGAGAGAGAGAAGGACAGCTCTGCTCAGGGAAGGCCTCTCTGCTGGTGCCCACCCGCCAGGTGGACTGAGTGTTCAGAAATCTGGGCCTTGGTTTGAGAGCGTCACCTTTTGACCCACACACAATGGGATAGAAAGTGGGCACTTTGGCCTTGAGCAAGCATCTGCTATTAATACTTCCTGGTCCAACTGTAAAGCCAGGATAAAGGGAAAAGGGCAGATTGAGGGCCTTGTAACTCCCCACCCACGTCTATGGTTTCTGAAGGTCTCAAAGAAGCTGTCATTCAGAAGGGGATGAGCCTAGCACAGAGGCCTGAATGTGAAAGAGGAGATTCAGGCTTAAGCCTCATGTGAAAATGAGGCCTGTGCTTATGATTCTGTGGGCCTGAAACATAATGGAAACCTGTGAGAGTTTGGGAGAACTCATTTGACAAGTAGAATACAACCGTCACCTGCAAATTCTTAGACCGTGAAGAGTCTGGAAGTAAAGCCCTGTCTCCCTGAAACTTCAGCTCTTAAGAAGGGCATGCTGCAACACCTCCCTCAGATACACAAAGCAGGGTACACCTAAGAGGGGGAAGCGAGAGGCCACCGACTGTGGACAGCGAGCTCCTCCCACCTCCTCCAGAGCAGAACCAAAACTGGATAAATGCGTTCATCTGGGGGACAAAGATTCCTCAGGATCGTTACATTGGACTGGAAAAAGGTGTGGCTTAACACTTGCGGTTGCAATATCCTCTGTGGATTTTATGAAAACATACTGCAATGCAATCATCATAGAACTCGTCATTATTTAAGTAACGGAATATTAGAAGAGCTAGAAAATATTGGAGAAGGAGTCAAGATGGTTTGGGGCTTAAACTCCTGGTGACGTGGACTCTCAGAGGCAGTGGGGGGTGAGTGTGATTTTGGCTGGGGTTCCACCTCGTCCCCACTCATAAGTCCCAGGTAAGTCAGTTCCTTCCTTTTGTCTCTGTTTCCTAGCAAGTAAAACAAGGCAGTAAGAAAGTCAGCTCTTTGTACCTTCTCTGGCTGTCATGAAGATCAGACCACAGAACATTGCAGAAGGTGAATTATGCCATGTTCTAGGGAACTGAGCTGGGAATTATGCCATGTTCTAGGGAACTGAGCTGTCGCTGATATTGGCATGTTTGGGGAGAAAGGTGGAGATCAGCCTTTGCAGAGCCCATTCCAATTAATACAGATCAACCCTGAGGAAGACCTCGACACAAAGGGGTCAGCTGTTGGGGTCTTTCCATTGGCAAACTCCCTCGCTATTCTTGTATTGTTCATGGACTCAGAAGCACGTCTCCAGCCTGCTCAATGCCAGATTCCAGAGTCGCAGAGGTGAGAGGCCGGTGAAGTCCCTGCTTTCCTGACATTTGTATTTTAGTCATGGAAGTAAACACAGAAGTAGGTGGGACTACATTGAACCAGACCTTCTTCACTGCTTACCAGTCACGGCCTGGAGTCCATTCTTTTGGACCCAGATTCAAAGACATAACATGCCACAGTCATGGCTACGTCTGAGCAGCCCCTTCCTGATTTGCCGACCAGGACTCCTGTGGTTGACATCATTATGAGGTTGTTATGGTGGTATTACTGGTTAATATTATCACCACTGTAATTGCTGTTCATGTTTAGGCAATATCTGTGTTTCCAAGTACATCCAGGATGCCCCCCCTTTCCCAGATAACCACATTTACTTATTTTAATTATTGACAGGGAAGTTAATTGAAATATGGGACTTCCACAGACCCCAGAGTCTTCCAATGCTCTGATCCCAGACAATTTAAATAATTCTGCCAATAAAAATTCAACGAGATGCTATCAAACATTTTATGAGTCCGAACAGACAGGTCCCACTGTGTCTAAACATCTCTTTTTGGAACTCTCGTTGAGAGGAAACAAGCAAGTGTGAATGCCCAGCAGGATTTGTTCTCGAGTCCCCTTTTCTTAGAGTGCAAAACTCCTGAATCTCCCATTCCTTCTCCTATTTTTTTTTTCCATTATTTTATTTACTTGAAAATATCCTGCTAAGTGACTTCTAAGAGCAGCTCTGTTCCACATGGTATGGAGCTGGGCCTCTTTCTCATGAATGCCTTATTTACCAGCTCGCTAAGGTCTTAGGAAAATTGGCATCTTGGCCCTGAGAAAACAGGAGGTTGTTGCAATCCAGCTGCCAGCTGCTCGACCTCGGGGGTGGGGGAGTAATTACTGGGTTTCAGTTTCTTCGTTTATAACTTGGGGAGCATAACACCAACCCGCAGGGCTGTCCTGAAGAGTAAATGAGGTCGGAAGAGAAAGCTCCCAAAGCAAAGCCAGGCATGGACAGCAGCCCAGCTCTCCTGCAATAGCAAGAAAACAGAGAGCCCCCTTCTGCTGTGTCATCAGCAGCCTCCCTTACTCCATGTCAGCACGCCTTTCCCTTTCCCAAGGGGCAGGGGCCAGGGCATCCTGTGGGTACATGGGTGTTTTCTTCCTCCCATCCCCACAGCCTGCCTTGCATAGGAAAAGAAATTGGAAAACAACAATGATGATGACATGTACAACCACAACAAGACATTCCTTCCGGGGAAGAAGCCCATTTTCTGGTGGGGAAGCAGGGCAGACTTCATAATTTTCAGGGTCCAAAGCAAAAGGAAAATGTCGTTCTCCCTATTCATAAATTATTAAGAATTTCAAAATGATGACAGCAAGATATTAAAACTAGCATGAGCCTTTCTAAGCACAGGGCCCTGAGACCATGTTCAGGTCTCATGTCCGTGAAGCCATCACCAGGGAAAAGGATGTTCTTGTCACTTGTCACCTGTCCTACTCATGGCAAGCCTCTCTGGGCTTGATTTTATTCTTACTCTCTTAAGAATCCCAAGGGGTAGGTATTTTTATCCATAGTTTATGGATAAGGAAATGTGAGAGCTCGGAAAATTGAGAGATTTCCCGAGGGGACGTGTCTCCAACTGCCTGCTCTCCTGAGACATTGGGAGTCGGATTTTCTGCAGAACCCGACGTGGCTCTCCCAAGCTGTGCTATGGAGGAAGAGTGGCCAGCACCCAGTCATCCAGCCAAGCCCCAGGGCCTGGATCTGCCTTGGTTGTTAAGAGCACAGTCTCTAGATCCAGGCTGCACATCCCTTCTTGCTACTGAGTTTGCAACTCAGGTGGCCTCAATTTCTCCACTTGGAAAACAGAGAAAATTATGCCTCATGAAGCTGTAGAGAGGATTGGATGAGCTGGCAAGGCAATGCTTTCAGAGCTCTGCCTGGCATATTAGCAATCCTTGCATCCAGAGTGATGGCTGTGCTCTATAACAGCCATAACTCTAGGGTGGCTGTAGGGTGAAAAGCAAATGGAAGGGAGGGTTGCCTGAGTTGTTCCCATGTCAGCAATCATGAAGTCGAGAGAGAGCTGCAGTCGTCCGCTAGTGTCTGCCATGCTGCAATTGTCTGTTAATGTCTGCCAGAGGTGCACCTGGAAGGTGAGGGTGCTGGTGTTGGTGGAGGTGCTAACCTACTCAAAGTGAATCCACACCTTCCCTCGAATCAGTAGAATCCGCAGGACACAGCCAGGTACTCCAGAACATACCCCACATCTCACTTCTTGTTAAGCTCATGAGGACAGGAATAATGTATGTCTGTTGTGTTCACTGCTACTAGGTTGGTGCAGAAGTAAATTCGGTTTTGTCATTACTTTTAATGGGGAAATGTTAAAATATTTCCCCAGCACCTAGAACAGTGCCTGGTAGGTTCTCAATAAATATTTATTTGAATGTTGTGAGTAGGTGAACCAAGAAAGACGTTGACTCCAGCTGGATGCCTGGAGAGATGCAGAGTTGTTCTTTAGTTCTCCACGAGGCCCTGTGGCCCAGCCTAAGAGGCACTGGTACTGGAGTGATGATGCAGCCCTTTGTCCCCACATAGATGTATGTCCTATAATACACCGTTGCAACATACACACACTGCATGCAAGCTGGGTATATTTTTTTTCCTGGAATCTTAAAGAACAAAGAAACATTTCAATGATATCTCCCCAGTCCAAAAGCTGCATCTCAGGCCATGTGGGCAGCTACAACAGAAGACCATGGACTGGTGGCTTATAAATAACAGATATTTATTCCTCACAGTTCTGAGACTGGAAAGTCCAAGATTAGAAAACCAGCAGATTCAGTGTCTGGTGAGGGCCCATTTCTGGGTTCACAGACAGCTGTCCTGTCACAATGTCCTCACATGGTGGAAGGCGTGAGGGTACTCTTTGGGGCCTCTTTTATTTTGATTTGATTTGATTTTTTGAGACAGTCTTACTCTGTGACCCAAGCTGGAGTACAGTGGTGTGATCTCAGCTCACTGCAACCTCCACCTCCCAGGTTCAAGCAATTCTCCTGCCTCAGCCTCCTGAGTAGCTGGGATTACAGGCAGGCATTACCACACCCAGCTAATTTTTGTATTTTTTAGTAGAGATGGGGTTTTGCCATGCTGGCCAGGCTGGTCTCAAACTCCTGACCTTAGGTGATCCACCCATCTTGGCCTCCCAAATTGCTAAAATTCAAGGCATGAGCCACTGCACCCAGCCAAAGGGCCTCTTTTATAGGGGCACTAATCCTGTTCCTTAGGGCTCCACCCTCATAACATGGTCACCTCCCAAAGGTCCCGCCTCCTAATACCATCACCTTGAGGGTTAGAATTTCAACACAGAAACTGTGGGGTGACACAGACATTCAGGCCACAGCAGCTGTGCAGCCCCAGGCTTCTTGTCCATGATACGGGCAACATCTCTGACCAAGAGGTGTACCCTTAGCAAAGAATCTGCTATCTGCCTCAGTGGGTCACTGTATTAGTCTGTTCTCATGCTGCTAACAAAGATATACTTAAGACTGGGTAATTTATAAAATAAAGAGGTTTAATTGACTCACAGCTCCAAATGGCTGGGGAGGCCTCACAATCATGGTGGAAGGTGAAGGAGGAGCAAAGGCATGTCTTACATGGCAGCAGACAAGAAGAGCTTGTGCAGGGGAACTGCCTTTTATAAGACCATCAGATCTCATGAGACCTATCCACAACCATGAGAACAGCATGAGAAAAACTGGCCCCCATGATTCAATTATCTCCACCTGGCCCCACTCTTGACACATGGTGATTATTAGCATTCAAGGTGAGATTGTGGTGGGGACACGGCCAAACCACATCAGTCACAGATCAAAAGATTTGGATTATCAGAGATCATAGATAAATATTTAGTTATATTCTTATCGCCTTTCATCACATATATGTGTTTCCTTAGGCTCTGAACATCAGCATTAAATGTGGTTTTTATCTCTCTATTCCCAAGATTGAGGGCAAGGTATGGCTGATACCAGTGGAGCGCTTTGGAGGTGGAAGATGTCATGGGTTGAATTGTGTCCCCCAAAGATATATAAACATCTTAATTCCTAGTACCTGTAAATATAACTTTGATTGGAAATAGGGTCTTTACAGAGATAATCAAGATAAGATGAGGTCCTAGGATGGGCCCTAATCCCATATGACTGGTAGTCTTATAAAAAGGGGAAATTTGGACACAGAGACATGCATGCAGGCATACACACAGAAAGCCATGTGATGATGAGGACAGATACTGAGTGATGCTTCTACAAGTGAAGGAACACCAAAGGTTGTCAGCAGCCAGCAGAAGGTAGATGAGAGGCCTGAACAGCCCTCAGAAGGAAGGGCTTAACTCTGCCCACACCTTGATCTTGGGCTCTCAGCCCCCTGGAATGGTCGGACAACTGTGGGACAACATATTTCTGTTGTTTAAGCCCTCCAGCCTGGGCTGCTTTGTCACGGCAGCCTGAGCAAGCCAATACAGAGGTGTGGCAGATACTGGTGCTGGTCACCAGATATTTCTGGTTCTCCTTCTGGGCATATGGTGGGATCACCCAGATCCTACCTTCTTGGCCCATTCAAGTTGGGGATGGCCATAGCACTTGCTTTGAGTAGTGCAATGTGGGCAGAGATATGTGTGTGAATTCTAGATAGGAGCCTCCAAATTCAGTATGTGATTCACCACACTCCCTTCTGCCTGTTTCTATGACAGTGGGAGCATGTTCCCCATTTCCAAGAGGGAGCCTTGGCAGATTCCCTCCCTGAGGGATGACAGTTAGCTCAGGACCCTACCAACCTGCAATGGACCTTTAACGAATGGGGAACTGTATTAGTCAGGGTTCTCTAGAGGTACAGAACTAATGGAATATATATATATATATATGTACATAGAGTTAAAATAGTTAATTGTAAGCCTCCATTCACTCTCTCTCTCTCTCTCTCTCTCTCTCTATATATATATATATATATGAGGAGTTTATTAAGTATTTACTCACATGATCACAAGGTCCCACAATAGGCCGTCTGCAGGCTGAGGAGCAAGGAAAGCCAGTCCGAGTCCCCAAAACTGAAGAACTTGGAGTCCGATGTTCAAGGGCAGGAAGCACCCAGCACAGGAGAAAGATGTAGGCTGGGAGGCTAGACTGGCCTCTCTTTTCACATTTTTCTGCCTGCTTATATTCCAGCCTTGCTGGCAGGTGATTAGATGGTGCCCACCCAGACTGAGGGTGGGTCTGCCTTTTCCAGCCCACCGACTTGAATGTTAATCTCCTTTGGCAACACCCTCACAGGCACACCCAGGATCCATACTTTGCATCTTTCAATCCAATCAAGTTGACAGTCAGTATTAACCATCACAAGTCCACCCCTTGTCAACTTGAACCCATACACATTCTTGAGTTCATACATCATCTTCAAATAAAGACAATAATAAGGTCATAATTATGCCTAACATAATACAACCATCCTTCGTACAACCAGAAATGCACCAATCCCCAACCCAAATACTATTACATAAAATTAACAATACTTAAATGCTGATGTGAAGTCAATAAATCTTAAGTCACATGATAAAGGAGAAAGGAAATAATAAAGATATTTTCTTAGTACAAGTGTATACAAGTGTATACATGTATTACACATGTCCATGCATTGCCGCTTGTGTAGGTACACACGTGTGCAAGTGTGCACACAGGCATGTTGTGGTTTCAGCAATTTCCTCTGGAGACCTCTTTGAAAGTGGGCAGCCTACCTGTGCTCAGGGGACAGTGTGCCTTAGTTCAACCAAGTCTGAAACAGCTGAGTCCAAGACACCATGAGTGTCTGAAATGAGGCATCATCCTCCCCACTGGGACTCACGGAGCTGCTCACCTGGGACTGAGGTGAGCCCCACGTTAAGTGGCCGTGTTGAGAAAGGGCTGATGCCGAAGTGATTTGTTGCACTACGCCTTTCTCACCTGCAATCTCCCCAAGCACAGGTTAAAAACATGGTAGAATCTCACTTAAGGCAGAAGAATGAAAACAGACCCAGAGCTCAAGAAAACCAGCTACTTTGGACAAAATCAGTCTTCACCAGAACGAACCAATTAAAACAAAATGGGTGCCTTATTCTATGCAGGAGATTTGCATATTTTGCAAGTTCTTAACAACAGAGAAAAATCTCGAGGTGCCAGGACAGGAAACCTCAAGACAGCTCCCATTATCTTCAAAATAAACGAGAGGTGTCATTTTTAATGAAGGGAGGAAAAGGATGCCTTTAATCCCCTCTCCACACTCCCTCTCCCTCCCACAAGTTAGGAATCCTCTCCACAAGCTGCAGAGGAGAAAAAATATCAGTTAGCCAGGAAGTTTTGAGTGGGGTTTATTAGTCTTTTCAAATTCGTCAGCTGATTGTCTCCTAAACTTAAGCTTCTGTGGGACAGCAGCAGGTTGGACATTGATTCCACAGGCAGAGGCAGCTCCTGACCTCAGCAGGATTTTCAGGGAGCACGGAGGGTCTGCAGAGCTGCCTTATCACCAGGCTCTGTCTCTTTAAACAGGCAGCCAAACTGCAGGACAAGCTGAGCCTCCTCCAAGGAACATGGGGTGGGAGGATGGCAGGGGCACCCTGGGCACTTCCTGATGAGGAAGTTCTTTGTGAATCTTGCAGAAGGAGCAAAGCTTGGGGGCGTGGAGTGTGCATAGAACTGACCTTGCACATCTATCCAAGAGGATTGTGCAAGCTGTCATCTGCTGGAGTCAGCAGCTGAGGCCACTGTGGTGGGAGCAGCATGCCCTCCTGCAATCATTCTGGCTCCAAATGTCGGCCATTTCATCACTACCTACTCAGTGGCCTTCAGAATATAGCACTTTTAAAAAGAAATAGTTAATTGTAAGCCTCCATTCACTCAAGAAGCTTTTCTTTGCATGGGGGGTGGAGCTTTCTGACAGGAGGAATTGGAAGATGGCCTTTGAGATTCCCAGGCCCTGGCCTGCATGCCCTGTATATCCCCACCCCTTAAGTTTTGCAGGTGGGCCAGGCCTCATTAGGTGAGCCCTTTGAAAAGATTCTAAGGAACAGAGACAGAAGAAGACTGAGAGATCCAAAGCTGCAGAGACCCCCTCCTCTTGGCCTTGACAGAACAAACTGCACTGTTGTGAGTGCCACATGGCAAGGAACAGCAGATGCCTCTAGGAGCTGAGAGTGTCCCAGCTGCCAGCCATCAAGGAAGCCGGAGCCTCAGGCCCACACTGCAAGGAACTGAACTGTGTCCACAATGACATGGACTTGGAAGAGGATCCCAGGATCCAGAAAGGAATGCAGCACAACCAACACCTCAACTGCAGCCCTGTGAGGCCCTAAGGGGAGAATGCAGACAAGCCATGCCAGACTCCTGACCTAGAGAACCCAGGAGATAAACAGATGGTGTGTCGAGCCTGTGCTAGGGCTGTAGCCATTTGTTACATGACATAGATAGTCAACGTGTACTTTTTTTTTTTTGAGACAGGGTCTTCCTCTTTTGCGGACTGGAGTACAGTAATGCAATCACAGCTCACTGCAGCCTTGGACTCCTGGGCTCAAGCAATCTTCCTACGTCAGCCTCCCAGGTAGCTGGGACTACCCGCATGCACTACCACACCCTCCTAAATTTTTATGCTTTTCGTAGAGATGTGGTTTTATCCACCATGTTGCCCAGGCTGGTCTTGGACTCCTGGGCTCAAGTGATCTGCCTGGGATTACAGGCATGAGCCACTGTGCCTGGCCAGCCAACGTGTGCTTTAAACAGGAGGGGGCGAGTGCACGGCTGGCCCAGCAGGGAGGGTGGGCCAGCTATGCACCACACTCCCACATTCCTCTGCGGTACCACCCACCCACTGTCTCCATATCTGCGGAGTGTGTGACAGTTCCGAGACAGGCTTCCTGTGGTGCATGTCTGCACAAGCTCATGCTTTCCTGTTGGCATTTTTCAGCTGTATTTTTCTCCCCAGCATGGTGTGCGCAGCAGGTAGGTGGGGCCGTGTCTGCCCTTTCCACCTCTGCATTCAGCCTACTGTCTGGCAGCTTGGTAAGTACCATAAGACTGAATGAGTTTATAGTTCAGCAACAGCATGGTGGGCACCATAGGGACCTGGGTTGGGGGTGGTGGTGAGGGGGAACTTCCAAGCAGCCACTGCACTCTCCCTAATTTGTGGTAGCCTCAGTTTGGGTGGAGTTGATTCCACTCTCAACTCAGGGTTGGGAGTGGGCTCTGATCCTGCTCACTTTGCCATAGAGATGAGCTCAGAGACAGACAAAAACCCAGCCAGAGGCTAATCTTCACACAGAGTCTCCGTGGCCCCAGGGACTGGTTCATTGGAGGTATTGGTTCACTGGACTGATTCATTGATGAGGTATTCTGTGGCTTGATGTTTTGAGAAAGAGAAGCATCTGCCTACACTGAAGACAGCTGATGCACACACACACTTTTGCAGTCACCTGCCCACCATAAGATAAGTCAGCCTTTGCATGGAGAGGGAACAATAAAAAAACAGAATCACAGAGAAGTAGAGCTGGTTCCTTGACCAAACCATAATTGAAAATCATTTACTTCCAGATTATTCTTATTGTTATATTACCTGAGCTGGGATTTTTACTGCCCACAATGCAAAGCACCCCCAAATGAACTGTGCAGGGAGGGCAGATATTTATTTCATTTTAATAGATGAGCATGAAAGTTTCAAGTTCTTAACCAAATGGCACTGGAAACTGTATTAGTTCGTTTTCATGCTGCTGATAAAGATATACCCAAGACTGGGTAATTTACAAAGAAAAAGAGGTTTAATGGGCTCACAGTTCCAAGTGGCTGGGGAGACCTCATAATCATAGCAGAAGGTGAAAGGCACATCTTACACCATGACAAAAGAGAATAAGCACCAAGCGAAAGGGAAATCCCTTATAAAATCATCAGATCTTGTGAGACTTATTCACTACCATGAGAACAGTATGAGGGAAACTGCCCCTGTGATTCAATTATCTCCCACTGGGTCACTCCCACTACATGTGGGAATTATGGGAGCTAAAATTCAAGATGAGATTTGGGCAGGGACACAGCCAAACCATATCATTCTGACCCTGGCCTCTCCCAAATCTTACGTCCTCACATTTCAAAACAAATCATGCCTTCCCAACAGTCTTCCAAAGTCTTAATTCATTTCAGCAATAACTCAAAAGTCCACGGTGCCATTCCAAATGAGAGAAGTTGGCCAAAACAAAGGGGCTACAGGCCCCATGCAAGTCTGAAATCCAATGGGACAGTCAATGGGGCAGTCAAATCTTAAAGCTCCAAAATGATATCCTTTGATTCCATGTCTCACATCCAGGTCATGCTGCTGCAAAAGGTGGGTTCCCATGTCATGGGCAGCTCCACCCTCATGGCTTTGCAGGGTATAGCCTCCCTCCTGGATGCTTTCAAGGGCAGGTGTTGAGTGTCTGTGGTTTTTCTAGGCACACGGTGCAAGCTGTTGATGGATCTACCATTCTGAAATCTGAAGGACAGTGGCCCTCTTCTCATAGTTCCACTAGGCAGTGCCTCAGTGAGGACTCTATGTTCGGGACCCAACACCACATTTCCCTTCTGCACTGCCCTAGAAGAGATTCTTCATGAGGGACTCTCCCCTGCAGCAAACTTCTGCCTGGACATCCAGGCATTTCCATACATCTTCTGAAATCTACACAGAGGCTCCCTAACCTCAGTTCTTGACTTCTGTGTACCTATAGGCTCAACACAACATGGAAGCTGCCAAAGCTTGGTGCTTGCACCCTCTGAAGCCACAGCCCAAGCTGTAACTTGGACCCTTTTAGCCATGGCTGCAGTGACTGGGATGCAGGGCACTAAGTCTCTAGGCTGCACACAGCAGAGGGGACCTGGGCCCAGGCACGAAACCAATTTTTCCTCCTACATCTGTGGGCCTGTGATGGGAGGGGCTACCATAAAGGTCTCTGTCATGCCCTAGAGACATTTTCCCCATTGTCTTGGGGATTAACATTTGGCTCCTTGTTACTTATGCAAATTTCTGCACCTAGCTTGAATTTCTCCTTAGAAAATATTTTTTTTTCCTATTGCATAATCAGGCTGGAAATTTTTTGAACTGTTATGCTGTGTTTCTCTTTTAAAACTGAATGCCTTTAACAGCACTCAAGTCACCTCTCGAATGCTTTCCTGCTTAGAAACTTCTGCCAGATACCCTAAATCATCTCCCTCAAGTTCAAAGTTCCACAAGTCTCTAGGGCAGGGGCAAAATGCCACCAGTCTCTTTGCTAAAACTTAGCAAGAGTCACCTTTACTCCAGTTCCCAACACGTTCCTCATCTCTATCTGAGACCACCTCAGCCTGGATTTCATTGTCCTTATAATTATCAGCATTTTGGTCAAAGCCATTCAACAAGTCTCTAGGAGGTTCCAAACTTTCCCACATTGTCCTATCTTCTTCTGAGTGCTCCAAATTGTTCCAACCTCTGCCTATTACCAAGTTCCAAAGTTGCTTCCACATTTTTGGGTATCTTTACAAGAGCTCTCCACTCTATCAGTACCAATTTACTGTATTAGCCCATTTTCATGCTGCTGATAAAGATATACCTGAGACTGGGTAAGTTACAAAGAAAAAGAGGTTTAATGGACTCACAGTTCCACGTGGCTGGGGAGGCCTCACAATCCTGGCAGAAGGTGAGAGGCATGTCTTACGTGATGGCAGACAAGAGAGAATGCGAGCCAAGTAAAAAGGGGAAACCCCTTATAAAACCATTGGATCTCATGAGACTCATTCACTACCATGAGAACAATATAGGGGAAACTGCCCCCATGATTCAATTATCCCCCACTCTGTCCCTCCCACTACACGTGGGAATTATGGGAGCTACAATTCAAGATGATATTTGGATGGGGACACAGCCAAACCATACCAGAAACTATCAGAGATGGAAATCATCAAAGGTGTAGAACTGAAATTGATTTTTTTTCCTAATGGGTGGTAGGCAAAATTCTAACATGACCTCCACAATTGCCACCCCTTGTGTACATGGCCTGTACATCTCCCCTTGAATGTGACAAAATTTATGAATATGATGGGATGTCACTCCTGTGATTAGATGACACCATATGGCAAAAGTCAAGAAATTTTGTAGGTGTAGTTGAGGTTCAAACTAATTGATCTTGAGTTAATCAAAGGGAGTCTGCTCTTGATGTCATCTGGTGAACTCTTAAAAGAGACACAAAGTAGCAGATGTTCTCTTGCTGTCTGGGAAGGAAGTTCACTGTCATGATGTGGAAAGGGCTACTTAGCAGGGAACAACAGCCAGCTCCTAGGAGCTGAGGGCCTCAGTCAGTCATACATGCACCAGGAATGGAATTCTACCTGCTAGTGAGCATGGAAGAGGACCCTGAGCCTTAGGTGAGACTGCAGCCTCTGCTGTCACCTGGATTTCCTCCTAGTGAGACTACAGGCAGAGGCCCCACCTACCTGATGTTTAGACTCCCAACCCACAGAAATGGTGAGATGATAAATTTGTGTTGTGTTAAGCCACTAAGTTTGTGATAATTTGTTACGCAGCAACCGAAAGCTAATATAAAATATAACGCACCCCTCAATGGATGAGTTACGAGCTAAGATTAAAATATCTGCACCTGCATAATCAACCTATCTGTATCTATTGCAGGGACCAAAGGAAAACCTCCCCTTAGCCCTTTGATGTTTCACTCAAAGCCAACTGACAAAAGGCAGATTAATAAGAGAAAATGCATACAAAATGTATTTTAACATGTGTGGCATAGGGGAATAGCATGAAAATGATTACTTACTAACCCAGTGGGGTACAAGTGTTTATATGCCCTTCTTTATAGGCAAAGGGGAGATGGGGAAGTGTCTCAATTTGAGGGACAATAAATGATGTTTAGGGGGAAATGAATTAACTTGGAGAACTTATGATGGCCTGGGACAGTCTGTTGGGCCCGCAGAGCAGACAATGGCTGATAAATGATTCTCTTTGAAATTCTGAATGAAACCAAAATAGAACACAATGGTTTGCTACAAAAATTTGTCTAGGTATGTCGACAGACATCAGTCTTTCTTCCTGCAATATGAGTCAAGTTCATGAAAAGTCAGGGAAAATTATGTTCTTAGGCAGATCTGGCCTTTAGGCAGATAAAGGAACTTCAGAGAACAGCTTCCTCCTGTGCTTTCGGGAAAAAAAGAGGATCAAGAGACAAGGAGGAAGAGAAGATTAGAGAGACCTTAAACTGCTTCTTTAGTCTAGCATGTCAAAACACCATATTTTGGGGTACTCATTTCTGAACCCCAGTATTCCCCTGTCTGAAACTCCCCTAGAAACCTCACACACTGAAAGCTGAGTTGGGGACTGTGGAGAGAAAAATCAAGTTAGTACAAGAGTGGCAAGGCTCTCATTAAAACAGTCTGTTGTTTCTCAGAATAGGCCAGTCCAACTAAAAAATCAGGTTGCATTTCAGGAGATGATGTAGTAGATGGGTTCTCAAAGCTAGGCCTTTATATATGATGCCGGCAAACAGATTTTTAGCAAAAGGCATTTCTATGGAAACAGAAGAAAAACAACGATTAATGTCTACAGTAGTCTATAAACTAGTTTCTTCTAGAGTCTGAAGGGCATTGAGCTGAGAAGCCCAGTGGCTATCTGATGGATTTTCCTGGATTGCAGTATGTGTGTAAAGTTTGTCCAAATATAAACTGCTGCAGTGATTTTTCTTCAAAGCCGAGTTGATGGGCTATAGCTCCTAGGGCCTTAGGAAAAAGGCATTTTTAATTTTTAGTGATTTCAAGTCAGAAAGGTGAGAGAAAAATTAAAAATATTTGTCTGGAGAGTCACAGCCAGATATTGGAGGGAACTAAAAATCAGCCCAGATAATTAAAAAAAGAGAAACCTCAAAAACAATGGGCAGGGCTAGAATCTAATAACCAGTATACTATTGTTGTTTTTATTTCTGAAACAGTTTTTCTCTCTCTTTGGTGATCCATTGTTACCAAAGATATTTATGATAAAACTAATTTGTTCATAGAATAAATTTTGTTGCATTAACTTGGCCTCATTACTTGCATAAAGTGCAGCAAGAATGTATTTATCATACAGGCTCCTTTTAAGTTGGCTTTACTGGAACGTTTCATAAGAAATCTTCGACTGGACTTTAAAAGTCTCCAGAAGCAAGGAAGCCAGGCAAAAAATTTGACTTGCCCTGTGATTTTGTCTGCAATACTCATACATACTGGGTGAACTCCTCTCTTTTCAAGTTCTCCAAATATCTTGAGGTTTCTGGGTCTGTCAAAAAGTGGCATTCTTTACTCCACAAGGCATCCATGTGAACCATTATTTGAAGTATCAGGCTAGTTTTTCCAAGGATCTCTACCAGTTTTATAGTCTCAGCTTCAGTTCCTTAAAGCTGTCTGGTTATATCTGAAAACATGACATTCTATTCAGAGGCTTGCTAAAATAATCAGTGTCTCCAATTTTGTCCTGTTACAAAAGAAAACAGATATTTATCAAATTTATGCAAATAACTATATTACCATAAAATTAGAATACTAATGAATAGCTTTCAGATTTTGGAGGGAACAGGTAGAGAGAAAGGTAAATGCTTCAATTTTGCTTACAAAAGTATACTTTACCAAATTGTCATAAAGCTCTAAATTGCCTTAAAACATTTTCTTGACTCCAGAAAACAAAACATAAAAAGAATCTTTTTCAATATTTCAAACAAAAAAAGTCATAGAAATTACTTTAGTCCTCCATCAGTTCAACACCATGTAATTAATTCTTATTCTGCTTGATATAATGTTAGTAATTTCATGAGCCTATTTCTTTTTTAATTGAAGTTTACAAAATTCTTACCCAGTTCAAATTTCTGATGTCAAAGTTGTCAGAAACCTGTATTTTGGAGTACTTGTTGTAGTCTTTTTTTGTGAACCTCCTTGAAGCCACGACATTTCATAATTTGCAAAGAACTTTGAGGAAGAAAAGAATTAGCAGAAAGCAATTACCTGTGAACAAGAATTAAAATGGCCATGGTGAAAGGCACAACTGGCAAAGAAATTTGCTCATTTTTGTGTGGCCTAAAACAATTAAACATAATTATGACTGCCAACATATACTGAGACTTAACAGATTTTTAAAAATCTCATACAATTTAGACACTCATATTAATAACGTATTCATAAAAATATATTAATAATATAACTCAGAAAAAGATTACACATTATTTCTTATGATGTTTCCTGTATAATTTAACATATGAGATAAGTTTGTTTACTATCACTCTTTTGGATGCTTCAAGGGCTCTTTGGAACATCCCTGAGTTAGTTTGAGATTTAAAAGATTAATTTTAGATTTAAAATTTTGATTTAGGGAAGCCTGTCAAATATGTCAAAGGTTTAAAACACTTGATTAAAATAGGATCACAGGTTACTGCAAAATAATAGTCATTCATTTAGCCAAATGATAATTTGAATATTCAAAAAGCAAAAACCTTTACTCTTTGATAGAGATGAGATTCCATTTTCCAAATAATCAAATGACCCAATAATGATTGCATGGAGCACATAGAATCTGTTTCTCTCTCTCTCTTTTTTTCTTTTTTTTTAAATTTGTAATTTACTAAAAAGGTGAACCAAGTTTTTTACTATCTCTTAGTAATATTACAAAAAGTCTTGAAACAAGATTCTACCTTTGTATTAATATACTTTTAAAATCAGAACTGTTTTTAATAAAATCTTATAAACAAATCCTTTCAATCTCAGTCAGCTTTGACCACACAAGATTTTCATAAACCTTTTATAACTTTTTATCAATTTTTTCTCATTATTTCCCCAACTTTCTGTATCCATTTTGTCTTATCTATATCATCTTTTCCTCCATTCATTTATTCTAAAAAAAACCTGTCAGTAACCTCTTAATTTTGTAGATCAAAATTATTTCATAATCTTTAGAAAGTTATGTTTCCTCAATTGTTTTATGTTCATTAACAGATCTAGATGTATTTAGCTTTTCTATATCACAGAACAATAGGATGTCAAAGTGTGTAAACTTAAACCTATGCTTAATAATTGATATTTTGATTACTTACTTAGAAATCACTGAGATATTTTATGATGATCTGTTACCTAATTTGACATAACATGTCTTTAAGATTTCAAATTATTGAAACATTTTTGAAATGATGACAAGCTCATTTATAAATATTTGTCTCCCTTACATTTACCTACTTTACTTGTCTTTAACAATTACATTTGAATTGTTCATTGAAAACAATGTTAGCCATTTTTTTCTTTTAAAAAAGCAAAACTGGACAACAGCTGCATTGGCCAGCCTCATCTTAACCAAGGCCACTGAGATACTGAACACAAGTACGCTCCTTTATGTGTCCCCCAACTGTCCTGGGTCCCAAGTACCCACATGGTACCCAGAATGGTCACGAAAGAAAGGGCCCATCTGAGTCCTGGATTTACACAGAAGACTCAGAGCCCAGGAGAGAGGACAGAGCTGTGAGAAGGATGTCTGGAGGATCTGACCCCTCCAGCATGGTCAGGAGGCAACGCCGGTCCAGGGAGGATGGGGCCATATTGAGCTTGGCCCTGCCCTGTAGCTGGTGGCCCAGGCACTGTGGAACACATATTAATAACATATCCATGCCTATGTCCCTAGGCCTCACCATGACCATCTGTCTACAGCCTAGATTTCAGAGGCTCAGAACCAAAGACAAGCTCAAGCAAGTATCAACAATATCATAGAAACAACACTTTTATGACTTTAAAACACCTAGCAGAGACAGTGTAAATTTGTCTCACCAGCAGACCTAGAAAAAAATGTATGAGTTAAATGTTGAAGACATTTTATTTTATCAACAATTTTAAAGCTAGCTTTATTTACCAAACATTACTAAGGTCTTGTGAACTTGAAAAGCATTTGGGTTAATTTGCTTAATTTATGAGAACTCATTTATTTATAAGTCAACTTGGTACCATGTAGAATATATACAAATGCATGTACAGGCATATACATACATGTAGACATGACATACAGCACACATGTATGTATCCCAAAGTGAAAAATAACAGGGGGTTTAATGTAAAGGACACCAGAACTTTGCATCCAAGAGGAACCAGCCCAAGACTCTTGAGGCTTGGTGAGGAAGATGGAAACCCCACTCCCAATGAAAGGAGTCAGTGGTGCCTTTTTTCTGTACCTCATGAAGCCTCAGGGTTGCCAGAAGCCCTTTCTAGACCCTTTCAAGTGGTATTGCAGGTAGCAAAAGGAAGGGGAGGTGGAAGTACATGGAAGAACATTTTTATTATCATCATTATTATTATACTTTAAGTTCTGGGTTACATGTGCAGAACATGCAGTTTTGTTACACAGGTATACATGTGCCATGGTGGTTTGCTGCACCCATCAACCTGTCACCTACATTAGGCATTTCTCCTAATGTTATCCCTCCCCTAGCCCCCCACACCTGACAGGCCCTGGCGTATGATGTTCCCCTCCCTGTGTCCTTGTATACTCATTAAGAACATGTTTTAGAGGAGCCAATTTGGGAAGATTTTAAGCTTCCCCGAAAGGCCAATGAAGTTTTAGTTAGCAGGAGTTTGAAAAAAAGTAGGCCTAGTCAGCTAAGAAGTTCCCATGGGAGAAATAGAATGGAAAAAAGAACAGAGAGACAAAAAATAGTCTGAATATCAGCCTTTAACTAAGCTGACTTTTGATCATAGAGGTCTTTAAAAAAAAATCCTTTTACATTTCTTATTATTAGATTTTAGCCAGGAAAAATAGCAAATATTCCTGGCTTAAAAGACAAATCAAAACAACAACAACAAAACTTAAAGAAAAATGTGTCTACCAGTGACTCAGAACTAAACCAAAGATACACCTTTTATGACTTAACTAAGTACACACAACACATGGCCAAGGAGGTGCAAAGAAACAGTCCTCACAAGATCCAAAGCCGGCCTCAAAGACAGCTGGAAGAAAAAAAAAATAGACTAAGCAACCAGGAAAACAATAGCTGTTCATGGAGAGAAAAGCATCAATAACAAATAGGTACTCCAAAAAGTCAAGAGTCACACAAATATAAATTCCAAACAAATAATTCAAACTAGTTCTTATAAATGTTCCATTTTTCTCATTAAAGGAGTTAAAGGATTTATATGTCCAAGGGACAGATTCCCTGGTCAGAAATCCCTGCAGGGGCCAGGATGATGAAACGCAAAATCCTAGCCATTAGACCACAGCTTGGAGTGGCCTTTTGCAAATTCTGCAGGGAATCCAAAGCAGGCAGTCTGCATGTACAAATGATTTTACATCTGATTTCCGCCTTTTAAAAAATCTTGCCAATGGAGTTTGTAAGGCTATGTTTCTTTTGTGTCTTTTCATAGGTACCAGTAAGGTAGCCATTTAAATCAACAGTTGTACAAAAAATTTTCTTTTACTTATAGACAATTTATTTATTCCACACATGACTCAAGCCAATAAGCCTTTCTCATGGAAAGTCCCAGAGGTAGCTTTCCAGGTTTAGAATACCATGGATGTAAGTGGCATTTTTTAATTGGGTTCAGAA
The DNA here is from genome assembly GCF_000001405.40 of Homo sapiens. Lineage (NCBI taxonomy): Eukaryota > Metazoa > Chordata > Mammalia > Primates > Hominidae > Homo > Homo sapiens. Next base: position 4,847,668 of record NC_000001.11, read on the forward strand.
GATGCAAAGCCCTCTGATCTCCCCCAAAACTTCATTCTCAGGAGTAGAGAAAGCAAAAGAACTTTTGTTGCCATGGATGGGTAATGATGGTGTTTGTGTGTGTGGTGCCTCCAGCATTCCACAGATTTGTGGGGGTTGCTAGACACAGGTTCATCAGTCCATGACACCAGGCAAGCCCTCTTGGGATTGGACTTTCCCAAGACTAACCAGATAACAAGAGTTGTGGCAACAAAAGTTACTTACAGCTGGGACTCCTTAATAAGACAAATTCCCCTGAGAACTCGGCACACTCAGAACCGAGTGCTGCTTAATATCGTATGTGTCTCGGGGATCCCCGTCCTTTTAATCTGGCCACCAGATGTTGCCTGAAAATCATGAATCATGCCCTCTGGATGGTGAAGACCAAGAAACAGTGCTTCCTCTTGGTCACAGATCAAGGTCTCGTGGACATAAAACAAGACACGAGGGACAAGCAGCACAGAAAGACAGAAGCAAAAGAAACCCGGACCATTTCTGGGGGAAAAAGGAATCATATGATATGAGTATTTATTTATACCAAAAAATACATCAGGGTCGGTAAACCAAAGTCCTACTCATACAAATGCTTTTCTCCTATTAATCTTAAGTTTGGATAGGAAAAAGAGAGTGATTTTTACCATCTGCTTGACTGGATTCTAAAGGGAGAGAGCAGGACTCTGGTAAGAATTTCTCACTCTTTGCTGGCTTGTCAGGTCCCGGGGTTCCTTGACTGTGGCTTTCAGAAGAGCACAGTGGTTTTGGTTATCCTGCTCACAGAACCATAACCGTAGGGGCCAAAGGAAAACTTTCCCCTTGTCCTCAGAAGGTCTGCTGAAAAGAGACCGAAAAAAAAAGGCAGCTTAATAGGATAAAAGGCATACAAAATTTATTTTAATGTCCTTAGCATGGGGGATTAGCATGAAAATGATCAGTCTGCCAATCACCCAGTGGGATGCAGGTGTTCATGTATTCTTCTTCACAGGGAGAGGGGAGATGGGAGAAACGTGGCAATTTGAGGGTAGTAAATGATTTCGAGAGGAAATGACTGCACTTGGAGTACATACAATGACCTGGGACAAAGTCTGTTGGGCCCACAGAGCAGACAGTGGCTGGTAAATGATTCTCTTTGGAATTCTGAATGGGACCAAAATAGGGAACAATGATTTGGGACAAACCTCTGTCCAGGTGCACTGACAGACTTCATTCTTTCTTCTTGTGATATGAGTTAAGTTAATGAAAACTCAAGGAAGGAACAAGAGGGGATTGTGTTCTTCTTTGGCAGGTCTAGACTTCAGGCAGATAAGGGAACCTTAGGGAACAGCTTCCTCCTGTGCTTTGGGAAACAAAGAGGATTGAGATACAGGAAGCTGAGGAGAAGGTTAGAGAGACATTGAGACTGCTTCTTTAGTCCGGCATGTCAAAGCACCATATTTTCGTGTATCAGTTTCTGAGCCCCAACTCTATATCTATTCATATATCTTTCTCTCGTGCATGCGCTCTTTCTCTCTCCCCACCTGTGCATCCATCTGTCCATTCATCCATCCATCCATCCATCCACTGTCCATTTATCTATCTATCTCCCAGACGCACCCAGAATAATCTCCCTTTTGATTAACTAAAGCCGAGTGACTAGAGACCTTCTGTAACCATAGTAAATGAGCAGGTTGCTCTCTGTCTTGACTTTACTTTTCAAATTAACTTTTAAAATCTATCCTCACCGAGGAAAGGAATTGCCAAGCTACAATTGCACTGCACTTTCCTTCACCTTTGCCATCTAATGTGACCTAATTATAATCTCCCATCTCATTCATATTCATATTCACAAATCTTGAGTGCTTTCCCTACACCAGATTCTTCCAAACATATTAGTTCCCCAGTGTTCATAATGGCGTCATGAGCTGGACATTCTTGCCCTTGATCTACACTCAAGTTTAAGTGACTTGCCCAGTGGTAGCAGAATCAGATTCCACATTTGTGGCCTGGTGGCCTTGTATGCCAACCCTTCCCAACAGGGGAGAAGCCCATAGCACTGATGTGAGAAAACAAATGCAGGTTTGGATCCTGGCTTTGTGGTGGGATTTGGGCTGAGTGATAGCATCTTCTTGTGCCTCAGTCTCCTCCACAATAAGAAGGAAAGGTCTGTTGTAAGGATTAAATGTGATATGATGTAGAAAGTGCTCAGAATCTTGCCCGGCGTAATATCACAGGCTATGGTTACTATTTATTTTGATTAGCATTGCTATTGTTGTTGCCACTGTTAATACTACCCCATAGTAAGAATGTAACAACTTCAGTAGCAGAAGGAGAGGAGGAAAGTGATGCCCTCACAAACCGATGAACCTGGGTGGGAAGTAGGGTCTGCTTGGATCCAAATGTCCTATCTGGTATTATTTCTTATTCCCCAAATTTCTTCCAGATTCATGAACATCATCACAGGACTCAAGTGACTATAATTCAGTAAGTCCAAACCACTAACGTTATGTCTAATTAGCTAGTCTTAATCGACATTAAGATAAATAACTTTTCAAATTATTTTTCCTTGTGAAATTGAGACATGTTGGAGGGCAACCATCTATAATTTAAATCAATGAATTGAGACAAATGTAATTTAGTGGTTGCTGAGAAAAGAGAGAAAAATTTTTTAATGCGCTAATCAACTCACCAGTGTTGATAGTTAGGGGAAAATTCTGAAACACATTAATCAGCTGTGGGTGAAACAGCTCAGAGACAGTATCATGCTGTTAAGAGCATAAACAAGCAGTAATGGTTGAAGAACAAGCAGCACTTGGCCTTCTTGGTCTCCTGCCAGTAGAGATTCCTCATCACCATCATCTCATTTTCTCTCACTTACAGTTGAAAAGTCTAGCCTTCAAGCATAGTGCCCACTGTCTGTAAAGAACACAGCTTGACATTTATTTTTGCTACCTATTTCTCACCTGTCCCACCTCCTTTCTCATTTCAGGCTCCTGATGACATCAATTTCTGAAAGTTTAAAATGTATTCAAGTAAATTTTCCTCCAAATTTGATTGTGCAGTGATAAAGGAAGCCACAGATTTGAACTGGGGATGAGAGCATGTGGAATAGCCACCCACTTCCTGCATGTTGTGAGTTGGGGTGACCCAAAGCTGACAACAGAGGCAAAGGCATAGCACAAATCCAAGAGTTGGAGTCAGGGCAGCACAATCTGACTCTGTAGTTGTAGAGGTAGCCTTGAGATGCTAAACATAGCTTTTCTTTGTTTTCAGCTTCTGTAGTGATAAAAAAAGAAATGTCAACTTTAGATTTCACACTCTAAGTTGTGAAAAATGAGAGCATATTTAATCAGTTGTGATTCTTTCTATTGAAAGTGATAAAGCTTGACACAAACTGTCTTGAGCAAAAATGGGAATTTATTGGCTTATACAAGCAAAAATCTTGGGATGTATTCAGCTTAAGGCAGAATTAAAACCAAGAATTAAAACAAAGCTCTCAGAATTTTCATTGACAAGCTCTGCTTTCCCTCCATATGCTCTAGCCAGGGAGCTCTAACTCTCCCATCATGGTGACAGGTGGTGAGCCATCTCCAGCCTCACAGTCTTTCAATTAAGATGAGCAGGAAGCACATGAGAATCTTTTCTGTGGACCCCAGAGTACTGCCTTTACTAGTTCAACTGACCGGGGGGTACACACTGAAGTGTGGTAGTCAAGAGCTCAAGCTCTAAGTAATTTCCTGGTTTGCAGCCCAGCCCTGTGACCTGGGGAAACTTAGCAACCCTCTCTGAGCTTTATCTATAAAGAGGGCTGGTACCTGCTGCTTAGGGAAAGTATAAAACTCAGATAGGCTTATGCAGACCAAGAGCACAGGGCAGTGCGGATGGCACATGGCAAGAACTTGGTGAATGTTTGCTGCCGTCATCATACCCCCACCCTGAGTCAGTCACAGGGCCAGAGGAATGATCTGAACTGATTGCTTGGGCAATAATCTGAGATTCTGTGCCTGGGCAGACCACCCAGGCAGAGAAGAGGAAGCACAGACCTTCACACTAAATTTACATCATCCCCAGGGGAGACGATCCCATGTTATAAAGTGGGTGGGACACCTTATGACATGAGGAGGGGCATCTCACTTCTCCTTCTGCTCCTCAGCTGTGCTGGAGCTGTGCATGCTGCAGTGAGCGCCAGCTCCCTCCACCCTGGAATTCTGCTGATCTCAGCGGCATGGTTGGTTTGCTTCCTCTGGCTCTCACGCTAGTTGAAGTTGCAGACTCATCCATGTGTAAGAACTGTCCAAGGGGTGCTTGAAGGGCACTCTCAACATTGCATTGCATTGCATTGCCAAGCCACAAACACAGCTTTATGCTCCAAACTCTTCAAGATCAAGAGTATCAACAGCGCTCGGCCTGTTTCCATCGATGAGAAGCAGGCTTCCATCTATTCAGAATGAGAGCCACCACACCAGTTCAAAATGATGAAGCTAGAAGGGGAAACAATTTCCCCAATGTGAAGCTGACAGCTAGCCCCCTGCTTTGACCGACGTGGCTTCTGTGGGCACCCGGAGCAGGGCATGGTATGACTCACAGGGCTTCACCTCCTTGACAATGTGGGAAGTCAGGATGGAAGGAAGGAGGTGAGGCTGAGAGTGGGGGCACAGGCTCTTATCCTTAAAATTAGGAATTCTTGGAGGGAAGTCTCATGACATCGCTGAACCTCAGTTTCCTCGTCTGTGAAAGAGGAAAATAATCCCTGCCTCGCTGAACTGATGTAAGGACTGAATGAGGTGGTGTGTGCAAGTGGCCAGTGAACAGCAGGCCTTCGTACATTGTTAATATGCAGGATTTCATCATCGTTCTAAAGTTAAATTAGGAATAATCTTGATCTGTCCATTCATTTTTTCATTCATTCATTCTTCCATTAAGCATGACCCAGAGCCTTTGTCTTCCTGGAAACTGAAGCACTCCCAGGGAATGCGTCTTCCCTCCTTTCAGTTCTGTAACCGTAGTAAATGAGCAGGTTGCTCTCTGTCTTGACTTTACTTTTCAAATTAACTTTAAAAATCTATCCTCACCGAGGAAAGGAATGCTAATAAAACCTCCCACATTAGACCGGGTTGCAAAAGAAGTCATACACATAATCCTTTCCCAGGTTCACCAATTTTGCTACTTTGACATCCTGGTCCTAGGTGTGCCTAACAGCCACCAGTTTGATACATGGCCCTGAGTCACCTTGCCACATTAGACAAACCTACCCATTGATCCATAAGCAGTTCTCTGTTGTTCTTGATCCATTTGTGCCACTCCCGTGGGCAAGCCCTTGCTCTGCTCAGCATGGAGGGTCTATCTCTTGGCTGCTTTTAAGCCTAGTCTCAAAATATCTGTGGGGTTTTGGTAAGCTGGTTAAACTCTCCAGGCTTCAGTTTCCTCAGTCATAAAACAGGGAAGAAGTCAAAATCACCTCTCAGGGCTGTTAGTCTAACCGAGGCAAATAAGTGCTCTCAGTAAAACTGCAAAGTACTACACAGCTGGCAGCTGTACCAAGCTTGCCTTCCTCCTCCTCCTTTATCCTCCTCCCCCTGCTCCTGCTTGGCATGGCTTGGATCTGTGTCCCCACCCAAATCTCATGTGGAATTGTTATCCCCAGTGTTGGAGGTGGGGCCTTGTGGTAGGTGATTGGATCAGGGAGGCAGTTTCTAATGGTTTAACACCATCCTCATACTGCTGTCTCGTGATAGAGTTCTCGCAAGATCTGACTGTTTAAAAATGTGTAGCACCTCCTCACTCTTCTTTCTCCAGCCATGTAAGATGAGCCTGCTTTCCCTTTGCCTTCTTCCATGATTTTAAGTTTCCTGAGGGCTCCCCAGAAGCTGCTATGCTTCCTGTGCAGCCTGCAGAACCACGAGCCAATTAAACTTCTTTTCTTTATCAATTACCCAGTCTCAGGTATTTCTTTACAGCAATGTGAGAACGGCCTAATACACTGCTCTTCCTCTTTCTCTTCTCCTTTTTTTTAACCTATGGCAGATTTGAGGATAAAATTACATAATGCAAGTGAAAGATCTCTAAAAACTACAGCGTTCCATGATGTTTTATCTCCATCATCAATATTACATTCAACTGCTGCTTGATGATTAATGCACAACGAATTGTCTCTTCCAGGTACAATCAAACACGTAGAAGACCAGGTTGCAATCATGTTTCCCCAAGTTTGCTTTTCCTGACAGATGCTCTATTTTCCAATCTTTATATTTTCATTAAAAAAGTTCCACCCCAGAACCTCACTCCAACATTTTGAAAATATACTGAACATACCTGTGCTTTAGAAGCAGGGCCTGAATATGTATTTGTTTCCTGGTGAACCAACTGATGGAGTTATGCAATGCTGGCATAAATTCACAGCTCATTAAACCAGCCACATAAAACATTATGGGAGCAAACACCTCCCTGAGGAGTCTAGTGGAAAAGAATAAGGAAGCCACAGCCTACATCAAGCCAGATGCCTAATCAGAGCCAACGGTACACACAGAAAGTGCTGATGAAGAGCTTCAGTATGGTGCCGCGTTGGAGTAAATTATGTAATTGTTAATCAACGAGGCATTATCATCCTTGATATTTCATTCACTGCCTAGGTATCCGGAGACACTCACCTGTCTTCTTGTTATTACATATTTTGCAGGACAATGCACTGAGAGATTAGAGTTCATAGCAACCGCCATGTATTTTTATTCTTTCCTGGCTGTGTATGTTACCGAGAAACATAGAGCCTTAACAAGGCCTTTTAGATGTAAAATAATATACAGGGAAACTGTGCTTATTGTGGGGTTTCACAGAGAGTGATGACAATTAGGAATCCCTGTGCCCCTGATTAATGCGTGTTTATAAACACATGTGAAGTGCCTGCCACCCCGTGGTACAATGCAGGAGACAGAGCATGGTTCTGACGAAACGGCCTAGACACAGTATCTAAGCCAGGCATCTGAGAGAAGGCTGACCTCTCCTCTTAGGCTCAGGGGGGTTTGTCGTGGGGGCTGCCTGATCAGCAATGGGAAGACTGAGATAAACACAGGCCTCAACTTCCAGTATTGCCTGCGTGTGCAATGCTCAGTTGCTAACTCACAGAAGTCTAAGAGTTTTTTTTATCCAAGACACTTTTTCACCATCAGCAAGAGAAAAGTATCTCCAGGGTATGACCGTGATGAATCTTGAGGATCCGAAGGGGTCCCACTTCCCTCTTAACTTTCTGCCTTGGGGACAGCTTATTGGCGATGTTTGCTCATTTGAGAAATGTATCACTTAGGGTTCTACTAGAGAAAGAGAACCACTAGGAGATGTATATCTACATCTGTATCTATATCTCTATATCTATATCTATACCTATATCTCTACATGTATATCCATATTTATATGATACAGATGTAGAGATATGAACATGGATATGTTAGGTTGGTGCAAAACTACTTTTGTTTTGTTTTGTTTTGTTTTTCATTGAAAGTAATGGAAAATCCGGCCAGGCGCCGTGGCTCACGCCTGTAATCCTAGCACTTTGGGAGGCCACGGTGTGTGGATCGCTTGAGGTCTGGAGTTTAAGACCAGCCTGACCAACACGGAGAAACCCCATCTCTACTAAAAATACAAAATTAGCCAGGCATGGTGGCGCATGCCTGTAATCCCAGCTACTCAGGGGGCTGAGGCAGGAGAATCGCTGGAACTCAGGAGGCGGAGGTTGCAGTGAGCCAAGATCGTGCCATTGCACTCCAGCCTGGGCGACAAGGGCAAAACTGCATCTCAAAAAAAAAAAAAAAAAATGAAAGTAATGGAAAAACTACAATTACTTCTGTATCAACCTTAATAGACACATAGATAAATAAATCTCTATCTCTATGCATATGATAGATATATTGATATGGATATAGATATATCTACATCTATACCTAATCTCTAAACCTATATCCATGTGTATACAGATACCTATATTTATAGATCTATACCCATCTCTATATTCATATATCTTTATATCTGTATCTATACACTCTATAATTTAAATGTGCCCCCCAGCAAGCCTGTGTTGGGAACTTAATCCCCAATGCAACAGTGTTGACAGGTGGCACATTTGAGAAGTGATTAGGCCATGAGGGCTTTGCTCTCATGAATAGATTAATGCTGATTTAAAAAGGATCTGAGGCTGCCAGTTTGATCTCTTGCTGTCTCTCGCATGGGCTCTTTTCTCCTTCTGCCTTCCACCATGGGATGATGCAGTGAGAAGGCCCTCACCAGATGAGGCTGCTCAATTTTGAACTTCACAGCCTCCAGAATTATGAGCCAAATGCATTTCTGTTCACTATAAATTACTCAGTCTGTGGTATTGTGTTATAGCAGCACAAAACAGACTAAGGAAATATGTGTGTGTGTGTTTATGAAAAGAGAGCAGGAGAAGGAGAAAGAGAGAGATCTCTAAGATCTCTCTGTACAGGGAAATAGAATAGAGGGGTATCTATCTCTATAACCATATATATATTTGAATCTATCTATCTATCTATACAGGGATATTTATGGATAGATCTCTATCTCTGTATCTATATAACTATATATAGAGAGATGAATATGAATATGGACATAGAGACATGTGGATATAGAGACATAGATCTATAGATACACATATATTAAGAGATTTACTGCAAGGAATTGGCTTACATGATTGGGGAAGCTGTCCAGTGGGAAAGCGGGAGGGCAGGCAGGAAACTCTCCTGCAGGAGCTGACACTGCAATCCCCAGGTAGAGTTTCTTCTTCCTTGGGGAAACCTCCGTTTTGCTCTTAAAGCCTTTTAACTGATTGGATAAGGCTCACCCAGACTATTAAGGATAAGCTCCCTCTCTGAAAGCCAACTGCTTGCAGATGCCGACCACATCTGCCAAATACTTTCACTGAAGCGTGTAGGTTAGTGTCTGGTTGAGTCACTGGGTACATCAGCTTAGCCATGTTGACACATGGAGGTGTCCATCACAGGAAGTGAATGTGAGAATTCTTACCAGGTTTGAGAGCATAGTAGGAGTGCTGAGAAGTTAAATATGGGAAAATAATTTGGGGGAAGAATTTCTGTCAACTCTTCAAATTATTGGGTGTACCATGTATGTGTTAAACACCAGTCAGCCACAAACATACCCTTAACACTCTTTCAATAACTCATGGACTAGCTTATGCACTAGCTCATGCATGTACTAATGCTGTGCTCCACCCTGCATGGCTGTGTGAAGCAGGTTCACACTGCACTGGTATCAATCCCAGGGGAGAACTCTGAACACCTTATCCACTGTATCATGAGCTGGAACAATTTCTATCACATGTCTGAGTCTAGTGAGGCAGAACACCCACACACAAGACACGTGAAGCATGTTACTTACAGCAAGGAACAACAGAAGCCTAGGGTTCATGGTGAGCCAGTCCTCCAAGACTCAGGTAAGGTGTTCAGAGTGCATGGACCTTTTCTCCTTAATTCCTCTATAGCGGAGGGACTCTGGAACACAACCTACCCTCCGTTTTATATCCTGGGTGAAACATGACTTGTGGGCTAAAGCATTGTAGGACATTCTGTTCTACAAGGAACAACAACAGAGCCCAGGCTATTCCAGCCAGTTCATCCTTAGCTCAAGGTATTATATTCTCAGCATGTTCTATGGTTATTCTTGAGAACTACAAGTGAGTAAAGGAGGACAACTGGTTCAGTCCACAGCCAACTGGAGAACCGTCCTGCAGGCTGAATTACCAAACTGCCATATAACTCTAGAAGGATGATATGGTTTGGCTGTGTCCCACCCAAATCTCATCTTGAATTGTAGCTCCCATAATCTCCATGTGTCATGGGAGAGACCCTGTGGGAAGTAATTGAATCATAAGGGTGGGTTTTTCCCATCTGTTCTCATGAGAGTGAATAAGTCTCGTGAGATCTGATGGTTTAATAAATGGGAGTTCCCCTGTACATGCTCTCTTGCCTGCCACCATGTTAAACATAGTTTTGCTTCTCCTTTGCCTTCCACCATGATTGTAAGGCCTCCCCAGCCATGTGGAACTGTGAGTCCATTAAACCTCTCTTTCTTTATAAATTACCCAGTCTCTGGTATGTCTTTATTAGCAGCATGAGGACAGACTAATACAATAAATTGGTACCAGGTAGTAGGATGCTGCTGTAAAGATACCCAAAAATGTGGAAGCAACTTTGGAACTGGGTAACAGGCAGAGGTTGGAACTGTTTGGAGGGCTCAGAAGAAAACAGGAAGATGTGGGAAAGTTTAGAACTTCCTAGAGACTTGGAGGGCTCAGAAGACAGAGAGATGTGGGAAAGTTCAAAACTTCCTGAAGACTTGTTGAATGGCTTTGATCAAAATGCTGATAGTGGTATGAATGATAAAGTCCAGGCTGAAGTGGTCTCAGACGGTGATGAGAAACTTGTTGGGAACTGGAGTAAAAGTCACTCTTGCTATGCAAAGAGACTGGTGGCATTTTGTCCTTGCCCTAGAGACCTATGGAACTTTGAACTTGAGAGAGATGATTTAGGGTAACTGGTGGCAGAAATTTCTAAGCAGCAAAATGTTCAAGAGAAAGCAGAGCATAAAAACTTCACAAATTTGCAGCCAGGCAATGCAGTAGAAAAGAAAAACCCATTTTCTGGGGAGAAATTCAAGCCAGCTGCAGAAATTTGCATAAGTAATGAGAAGCCAAATGTTAATTGCCAGGACAATGGGGAAAGTGTCTCCAGGGTATGTCAGATACCTCTGTGGCAGCCCCTCCCATCACAGACCTGGAGGCCTAGAAGGAAAAAATGGTTTGTGGGCCAAGCCCAGGATGACCTTGCTGAATGCAGCCTAGGAACTTGGTGCCCTGCGTCCCAGCCACTCCAGCCATAGCTAAAAGGGGACAAGGTACAGCTCGGACTGTGGCTTCAGAGGGTGCAAGCCCCAAGCCTTGGCAGCTTCCACATGGTGTTGAGTCTGCAGGTGCATGGAAGTCAAGAATTGAGGTTTGGGAACCTCTGCCTAGATTTCAGAAGATGTATGGAAATGCCTGGATGTCCAGTTTGCTGCAGGGGTGGGACTCTCATGAAGAACCTCTACTAGGGCAGTGTGGAAAGCAAATGTGGGGTTGGAGCCCCCAAACAGAGTCCCCACTGGGACACTGCCTAGTGGAGCTGTGAGAAGAGGACTGCCATCCTCCAGGCCCCAGAATGGTAGATCCACTGACAGGTTGCACTGTGTGCCTGGAAAAGCCACAGACACTCAATGCCAGCCTGTGAAAGCAGCCTGCAGGGAGGCTGTACCCTGCAAAGCCACAAGAGCAGAGCTGCTCAAGGCTGTGGGAGCCCACCTCTTGCATCAGTGTGACCCAGATCCAAGACATGTGGTAAAAGGAGATCATTTTGGAGATTTAAGATTTGACTTCCCTACTGAATTTTGGACTTGTATGGGGCCTGCAGCCCCTTCAGTTTGGCCAATTTCTCCCATTTGGAATGGATGTATTTACCCAATGCCTGTACCCCCATTGTATCTAGGAAGTAACTAACTTGCTTTTGATTTCACAGGCTCATAGGCAGAAAGGACTTGCCTTGTCTCAGATGAGACTTTGGACTGTGGACTTTTGAGTTAATGCTGAAATGAGTTAAGACTTTGGGGGACTGTTGGGAAGGCATGATTGGTTTTGAAATGTGAAGACATGAGATTGAGGAGGAGCCAGGTGTGGAATCACATGATTTGGCTGGGTCTACACCCAAATCTCATCTTGAATTTTACTCCCATAATCTACCATGTCATAGGAGGGACCTGGTGGAAGGTAATTGAATCATGGGGCTGGTTTTTCCCATGCTGTTCTCATGATAGTGAATAGGTCTCATGATATCTGATGGTTTCATAAAGGGCAGTTCCCCTCACATTTCCTCTTGCCTGCTGCCATGTAAGATGTACCTTTGTTCCTCCTTCACCTTTTGCCATGATTATGAGGCTTCTCAAGCCATGAGGAACTGTGAGTTCATTAAACTTCTTCTTTTAAATAAATTACCCAGTCTCCAGTATGTCTGTATTAGTAGTGTGAGAACAGACTAATACAAAGGGAGACCCTAGTTTTTTTTTTTCTTATTTTATTATTATACTTTAGGTTTTAGGGTACATGTGCATAATGTGCAGGTTTATTAGATATGTATACATGTGCCATGTTGGTGTGCTGCACCCATTAACTCATCATTTTACATTAGGTATATCTCCTAATGCTATCTCTCCCCCGTCCCCCACCCCACAACAGGCCCCAGTGTGTGATGTTCCCCATCCTGTGTCCAAGTGTTCTCATTGTTCAATTCCCACCTATGAGTTAGAACATGCAGTGTTTGGTTTTCTGTCCTTGTGATAGTTTGCTGAGAATGATGGTTTCCAGCTTCATCCATGTTCCTACAAAGGACAAGAATTCATCCTTTTTTATGGCTGCATAGTATTCCATAGTGTATATGTGCCACATTTTCTTAATCCAGTCTATCGTTGTTGGACATTTGGGGTGGTTCCAAGTCTTTGCTATTGTGAATAGTGCCACAATAAACATACGTGTGCATGTGTCTTTATAGCAGCATGATTTATAGTCATTTGGGTATATACCCAGTAATGGTATGGCTGGGTCAAATGGTATTTCTAGTTCTAGATCCTTGAGGAATCGCCACACTGTCTTCCATAATGGTTGAACTAGTTTAGAGTCCCACCAACAGTGTAAAAGTGTTCCTATTTCTCCACATCCTCTCCAGCACCTGTTGTTTCCTGACATTTAATGATCGCCATTCTAATTGGTGTGAGATGGTATCCCATTGTGGTTTTGATTTGCATTTTTCTGATGGCCAGAGATGATGAGCATTTTTTCATGTGTCTGTCGGCTGCATAGATGTCTTCTTTTGAGAAGTGTCTGTTCATATCCCTTGCCCACATTTTGATGGGGTTGTTTGATTTTTTCTTGTACATTTGTTTGAGTTCTTTGTAGATTCTGGATATTAGCCTTTTGTCAGATGGGTAGATGGCAAAAATTTTCTCCCATTCTGTAGGTTGCCTATTCACTCTGATGCTAGTTTCTTTTTTAAAATTTATTTATTTTATTATTATTATACTTTAAGCTTTAGGGTACATGTGCACAACGTGCAGGTTTGTTACATATGTATACATGTGCCATGTTGGTGTGCTGCACCCATTAACTCATCATTTAGCATTAGGTATATCTCCAAATGCTATCCCTCCCCCCTCCCCCCACCCCACAATGGTCCCCGGAGTGTGATGTTCCCCTTCCTGTGTCCATGTGTTCTCATTGTTCAATTCCCACCTATGAGTGAGAACATGCGGTGTTTGGTTTTTTGTCCTTGCGATAGTTTGCTGAGAATGATGGTTTCCAGTTTCATCCATGTCCTTACAAAGGACATGAACTCATCATTTTTTATGGCTGCATAGTATTCCATGGTGTATATGTGCCACATTTTCTTAATCCAGTCTATCGTTGTTGGACATTTGGGTTGGTTCCAAGTCTGCTATTGTGAATAGTGCCGCAATAAACATACGTGTGCATGTGTCTTTATAGCAGCATGATTTATAATCCTTTGGGTATATACCCAGTAATGGGATGGCTGGATCAAATGGTATTTCTAGTTCTACATCCTTGAGGAATCGCCACACTGACTTCCACCATGGTTGAACTAGTTTACAGTCTGACCAACAGTGTAAAAGTGTTCCTATTTCTCCACATCCTCTCCAGCACCTGTTGTTTCCTGACTTTTTAATGATCGCCATTCTCACTGGTGTGAGATGGTATCTCATTGTGGTTTTGATTAGCATTTCTCTGATGACCAGTGATGATGAGCATTTTTTCATGTGTTTTTTGGCTGCATAAATGTCTTCTTTTGAGAAGTGTCTGTTCATATCCTTTGCCCACTTTTTGATGGGGTTGTTTGTTTTTTTCTTGTAAATTTGTTTGAGTTCATTGTAGATTCTGGATATTAGCCCTTTGTCAGATGAGTAGGTCGTGAAAATTTTCTCCCATTTTGTAGGTTGCCTGTTCACTCTGAAGGTAGTTTCTTTTGCTGTGCATAAGCTCTTTAGTTTAATTAGATCCCATTTGTCAATTTTGGCTTTTGTTGCCATTGCTTTTGGTGTTTCAGACATGAAGTCCTTGCCCATGCCTATGTCCTGAATGGTATTGCCTAAGTTTTCTTCTAGGGTTTTTATGGTTTTAGGTCTAACATATAAGTCTTTAATCCATCTTTAATTAATTTTTGTATAAGGTGTAAGGAACAGATCCAGTTTCAGCTTTCTACATATGGCTAGCCAGTTTTCCCAGCACCATTTATTAAATAGGGAATCCTTTCCCCATTGCTTGTTTTTCTCAGGTTTGTCAAAGATCAGATGGTTGTAGATATGCGGCATTATTTCTGAGGGCTCTGTTCTGTTCCATTGGTCTGTATCTCTGTTTTGGTACCAATACCATGCTGTTTTGGTGTCTGTAGCCTTGTAGTACAGTTTGAAGTCAGGTGGCGTGATGCCTCCAGCTATGTTCTTTTGGCTTAGGATTGTCTTGTCAATGCAGGCTCTTTTTTGATTCCATATGAACTTTAAAGTAGTTTTTTCCAATTCTGTGAAGAAACTCATTGGTAGCTTGATGGGGATGGCATTGAATCTATAAATTACCTTGGGCAGTATGGCCATTTTCATGATACTGATTCATCCTATCCATGAGCATGGAATGTTCTTCCATTTGTTTGTATCCTCTTTTATTTCCTTGAGCAGTGGTTTACAGTTCTCCTTGAAAAGATCCTTCACATTCCTTGTAAGTTGGATTCCTAGGTATTTTATTCTCTTTGAAGCAATTGTGAATGGGAGTTCACACATGATTTGGCTCTCTGTTTGTCTGTTATTGGTGTATAGGAAGGCTTGTGATTTTTGCACATTGATTTTGTATCCTGAGACTTTGCTGAAGTTGCTTATCAGCTTAAGGAGGTTTTGGGCTGAGACTATGGGGTTTTGTAAATATACAATCATGTCATCTGCAAACAGGGACAATTTGACTTCCTGTTTTCCTAATTGAATACCCTTTATTTCTTTCTCCTGCCTGATTGCCCTGGCCAAAACTTTCAGCACTATGTTGAATAGGAGTGGTGAGAGAGGGCATCCCTGTCTTGTGCCAGTTTTCAAAGGTAATGCTTCCAGTTTTTGCCCATTCAGTATGATATTGGCTGTGGATTTGTCATAAATAGCTCTTATTATTTTGAGATACATCCCATCAATACCTAATTTATTGAGTTTTTAGCATGGAGGGCTGTTGAATTTTATTGAAGGACTTTTCTGCATCTATTGGGATAATCATGTGGTTTTTGTCTTTAGTTCTGTTCATATGATGGATTACGTTTATTGATTTGCGTATGTTGAACCAGCCTTGCATCCCAGTGATGAAGCCCACTTGATCGTGGTGGATAAGCTTTTGGATGTGCTGCCGGATTTGGTTTGCCAGTATTTTATTGAGGATTTTTGCATCGACGTTCATCAGGGATATTGGTCTAAAATTATCTTTTTTTTGTTGTGTCTCTGCCAGACTTTGGTATCAGGATGATGCTTGCCTCAAAAAATGAATCAGGGAGAATTCCCTCTTTTTCTATTGATTAGAACAGTTTCGGAAGGAATGGTACCAGCTCCTCGTTGTACATCTGGTAGAATCTGGCTGTGAATCTGTCTGGTCCTGGACTTTTTTTGGTTGGTAGGCTATTAATTATTGCCCCAATTTCAGAGCCTGTTATTGGTCTGTTCAGGGATTCAACTTCTTCCTGGTTTAGTCTTGGGAGGGTGTATGTGTCCAGGAATTTATCCATTTCTTCTAGATTTTCTAGTTTATTTGCATAGAGGTGTTTATATTATTCTCTGATGGCAGTTTATATTTCTGTGGGATCAGTGGTGATATCCCCTTTATCATCTTTTATTGCATCTATTTGATTCTTCTCTCTTTTCTTCTGTATTAGTCTTGCTAGTGGTCTATCAATTTTGTTGATCTTTTCAAACAAACAGCTCCTGGATTCATTGATTTTTTGAAGGGTTTTTTGTGTCTCTATCTCCTTCAGTTCTGCTCTGATCTTAGTTATTTCTTGCTTTCTGCTAGCTTTTGAATGTGTTTGCTCTTGCTTCTCTAGTTCTTTTAATTGTGATGTTAGGGTGTCAATTTTAGATCTTTTCTGCTTTCTCTTGTGGGCATTTAGTGCTATAAATTTCCCCCCACATACTGCTTTAAATGTGTCCCAGAGATTCTGGTATGTTGTGTTTTTGTTCTCATTGGTTTCAAAGAACATCTTTATTTCTGCCTTCATTTCGTTATGTACCCAGTAGTCATTCAGGAGCAGGTTGTTCAGTTTCCATGTAGTTGAATGGTTTTGAGTGGGTTTCTTTTTTTTTTTTTTTTTTTTTTTGAGATGGAGTCTCGCTGTTTCGCCCAGGCCGGAGTGCAGTGGCGCTTATCTCGGCTCACTGCAAGCTCCACCTCCGGGGTTCACACCATTCTCCTTCCTCAGCTTCCCGAGTAGCTGGGACTACAGGCACCCACCACCGTGCCCAGCTAATTTTTTGTATTTTTAGTAGAGACGGGGTTTCACCATGTTAGCCAGGATGGTCTCGATCTCCTGACCTCGTGATCCGCCCATCTTGGCCTCCCAAAGTGCTGGGATTACAGGGGTGAGCCACCATGCCTGGCCTTGAGTGGGTTTCTTAATCCGGAGTTCTAGTTTGATTGCACTGTGGCCTAAGAGACAGTTTGTTATAATTTATGTTCTTTTACATTTGCTGAGGAGTGCTTTACTTGCAACTATGTGGTCAATTTTGGAATAAGTGTGATGTGGTGCTGAGAAGAATGTATAATCTGTTGATTTGGGGTGGAGAGTTCTGTAGATGTCTATTAGGTCTGCTTGGTGCAGAGCTGAGTTCAATTCCTGGATATCCTTGTTAACTTTCTGTCTTGTTGATGTGTCTAATGTTGACAGTGGGGTGTTAAAATCTCCCATTATTATTGTGCGGGAGTCGAAGTCTCTTTTTAGGTCTCTAAGGACTTGCTTTGTGAATCTGGGTGCTCCTGTATTGGGTGCATATATATTTAGGATAGTTAGCTCTTCTTGTTGAATTGATCCCTTTACCATTATGTAATGGCCTTCTTTGTCTCTTTTCATCTTTGTTGGTTTAAAGTCTGTTTATCAGAGACTAGGATTGCAACCCCTGCTTTTTTTTTGTTTTCCATTTGCTTAGTAGATCTTCCTCCATCCCTTTATTTTGAGCCTATGTGTGTCTCTGCACGTGAGATGGGTCTCCTGAAGACAGCACACTGATGGGTCTTGACTCTTTATCCAATTTGCCAGTCAGTGTCTTTTTTATTGGAACATTTAGCCCATTTACATTTAAGGTTAATATTGTTATGTGTGAATTTGATCCTGTCATTATGATGTTAGCTGGTTATTTTGCTCGTTAGTTGATGCAGTTTCTTCCTAGCATCGATGGTCTTTACAATTTGGCATGTTTTTGCAGTGGCTGGTACCAGTTGTTCCTTTCCATGTTTAGTGCTTCCTTCAGGAGCTCTTGTAAGGCACTCCTGGTGGTGACAAAATCCCTCAGCATTTGCTTGTCTGTAAAGTATTTTATTTCTCCTTCACTTATGAAGCTTAGTTTGGCTGGATGTGAAATTCTGGGTTAAAAATTCTTTTCTTTAAGAATGTTGAATATTGGTCCCCCCTCTCCTGCGGCTTGTGGAGTTTCTGCCAAGAGATCCGCTGTTAGTCTGATGGGCTTCCCTTTGTGGGTAACCTGACCTTTCTCTCTGGCTGCCTTTAACATTTTTTTCCTTCATTTCAACTTTGGTGAATCTGACAATTATTTGTCTTGGAGTTGCTCTTCTCGAGGAGTATCTTTGTGGCATTCTCTGTATTTCCTGAATTCGAATGTTGGCCTGCCTTTCTGGGTTGGGGAAGTCCTCCTGGATAATATCCTGAAGAGTGTTTTCCAACTTGGTTCCATTCTCCTCATCACTTTCAGGTCCACCAATCAGACGTAGATTTGGTCTTTTCACATAGTCCCATATTTCTTGGAGGCTTTGTTCATTTCTTTTTACTCTTTTTTCTCTAAACTTCTCTTCTTGCTTCATTTCATTCATTTCATCTTCAATCGCTGATACCCTTTCTTCTAGTTGATTGAATCAGCTACCGAAGCTTGTGCATGCATCACGTAGTTCTCGTGCCATGGTTTTCAGCTCCATCAGGTAATTTAAGGTCTTCTGTACATTGTTTATTCTAGTTAGCCATTCATCTAATCTTTTTTCAAGGTTTTTAGCTTCTTTGCGATGGGTTCGAACATCCTCCTTTAGCTCAGAGAAGTTTGTTATTACCGATCATCTGAAGCCTTCTTCTCTCAACTTGTCAGTCATTCTCTGTCCAACTTTGTTCCGTTGCTGGCAAGGAGCTGCATTCTTTTGGAGGAGAAGAGGAGCTCTGATTTTTAGAATTTTCAGCTTTTCTGCTCTGGTTTCTCCCCCATCTTTGTGGTTTTATCTACCTTTGGTCTTCGATGATGGTGACATACAGATGGGGTTTTGGTGTGGATGTCGTTTCTGTTCGTTAGTTTTCCTTCCAACAGGGCCCTCAGCTGCAAGTCTGTTGGAGTTTGCTGGAGGTGCACTCCAGACTCTGTTTGCCTGGGTATCACCAGCGGAGGCTGCAGAACAGCAAATATTGCAGAACGGCAAATGGTGCTGTCTGATCGTTCCTCTGGAAGCTTCATCTCAGAGGGGCTCCTGGCCGTATGAGGTGTCAGTCGGCCCCTACTGGGAGGTGCCTCCCAGATAGGCTACTCGGGGGTCAGGGACCCACTTAAGGAGGCAGTCTGTCCGTTCTCAGATCTCAAACTCCATGCTGGGAGAACCACTACTCTCTTCAAAGCTGTCACACAGGGACTTTTAAGTCTGCAGAAGTTTCTGCTGCCTTTTGTTCAACTATGCCCTGCCCCTAGAGGTGGAGTCTACAGAGGCAGGCAGGCCCTCTTGAGCTGTGGTGGGCTCCACCCAGTTCAAGCTTCCCGGCCACTCTGTTTACCTACTCAAGCCTCAGCAATGGTGGGCGCTCCTCCCCCAGCCTTGCTGCCACCTTGCAGTTGGATCTCAGACTGCTGTGCTAGCAGTGAGCAAGGCTCCATGGGCGTGGGACCCTCCGAGCCATGCATGGGATATAATCTCCTGGTGTGCCGTTTGCTAAGACCATTGGAAAAGCACAGTATTAGGGTGGGAGAGACACGATTTTCCAGGTGCCCTCTTTCATGGCTTCCCTTGGCTAGGGAAGGGAATTTCCTGACCCCTTGCACTTCCTGGGTGAGGTGATACTCCACCCTGCTTCGGCTCACACTCCGTGTGCTGCAGCCACTGTCCTTCACCCACTGTCCGACAAGCCCCAGTGAGATGAACCCAGTACTTCAGTTGGAAATGCAGAAATCACCCATCTTCTGCGTCACTTACACTGGGAGCTGTAGACTGGAGCTGCTCCTATTCGACCATCTTGGAACCTCTCCCCGGGAGACCCCAGTTTTATCCCCACTTTATTGATGATGAAGCACAGGTGCAGTCATGCAAGAAGCTCACAGCAGAGCTAGGATTTGAGCCCAAGAATCCTGTCACCTGTTTTTAATCTTTTTTTTTAAATAAGACTTCCAAATGATCTTTGTATTTTGAACCAATTCTGAATTATTCTGTTGAGGCTGATAGGAGTTAGCACTGATGATCCCAATCATTACCCATGAAGTTTTGGACAAGTCATTCTGCCTCTCTTGGTCTCCGTTTTACCACAGGTTAAATGGGGGTACACTCCCCCTTTTAGGCAGCCTCTTAGTTTTAAGATCGCTGACAAGTTTCGAAGGCATAAAGTGTGTGGATATGTTTTATAAATTGTAAGAACTGTGCATATGGGAAACATTCTTTTCCCTTAACTTCTTACATGCATAATTTTCCCAGCAACTACATCTGTGCTCAGCTTTGCTTAATGAATTGCCCTACACAACAGGCAGGAATAGCTCCATGGCACATGAGGTGCAATTTAAAACATGGCATCTCTAAAATGCATTTATTTCTAGCCCTTTTTCCATATGATTGAAGAGAAGTCTCATTTCTCTGTATCCTCCTTTTGCTCTCCTGTGTCTCCTAGAACCAGAGGCTCTAGGAGTCCTCAGGGCAAGGTCTCCATCCATGACAGATAGAAGCCTCTGAGACTCCCTGCCCAAGCTCATATCCCCATTGCGAGTAATCTCCTCTGTCCAAAGTTAGCCACCAGGCAACTTGCAGAGGCACCTAGGGACTCATGTTCAAAATCTTAGCCTCTACAAACACCTGTGGTTAGGGCCCTGTCCCTGGCACTTCCCAATTGCAAAGTTTGGGCCACTTTTCTCTTTTCTAACTGCAGACTCCAGTTCCTTCCTTCCAGGATAGTGCAACCCTGATGTGCTTCCCCCTTGAAAACAGCTCATGCCAGCCCTACACGCTGTCCTCCTTCATAGAATGGCAGCCCTGGTTTCAGAGGAGCCTGGGTCTTTGGGAAGAAAAGGCCATTGTCTCCTTGGCAAAAAGGTCAAAGGAGCTGTCTCCTCCTCCTTCTCCTCCTTTTTCTTCTCCTCTTCTTCTCCCTTCTCCTCCTCCTCTCTCTTCTCTTCCTTCCCTGCCTCCTCTTCATTTTCCCCTCTCCTGGTCCTCTTCCTCCTCCTCATCTCCCTACTCCTTCTCCTCCTCTTCTTCCTCATGTTTGTCCTCCTCTATCTCCTCCTCTGCCTTCTTTTTGCTTGTTTAGTCTGAAGCTGTGACTACAAACCACTTTTTTTTTGGTCAGTATCTCAACTCATCAGGTCTGTTTTCATAAGTAAACAGGCATGGGGTGAGTAGTTGCAGTGGTTGTAGGTGTTGGAGGTGCCAGTCCTCCCTCACACACAGCTCTCACCCAGTGTTTTGGGTGGAACCTGAAAGTGAGGATGGAGCCCATTTGTAGAGCTCTCCAAGGAAGCCTGTTGCTATGGAAACTTCAGCTTGGCACCGTATGCAAATACCTGTCTCCCTTGAAACTTGCCTGACAGTGATGCTGAGCAGAAAATATAGAACACGGTAAAATGGGTTTTAACTTTTATGTAGGGACTGTAAGAGCTGTGCCTTCTAATTAATTATGCACAAGCACTCCAAGAGGCAACCTGGTAGAAATGTCTGCAGGTAATGTCCTTTTGACAAATTCCCTTCAACTCTTAATTTTTTAAAGGGAACTTTTTTTCAGTAAATAGAATGAGAAAAGGAGAGTCAGTTCATTTTGAACAGGCTGCTGTGGACACCCATTAGCGGTGTGCTCACTGCACAAGCTTCACTTCTCCTCATTAGTGTGACATGAACACAACTGCCAAGGGCCCAGCATGGAGGCCATCAGTCCTGTCGCACATGCTCAGGGACAATCCCATGGGGGCTGTCTCAAATAAATGAAAAGCGTGGGAAGCCCCCCTGAAATAACCATAAGCTGCCCTCTCAGGGGGTGTCTGCCTTCTAAGACCACTCGGGTGATCCTGGCAGTGGATCCGGATTCCAGGTGCCAAGGGGACATTTTGCAGAGCTCAGAAAGAGAGAGGCATGGAATTTGGGTTCCCTGGGGCTCAGCCAGGTCCTGAGCTCTCCAAGGCTTCCAAGGAGGCAGAGAAGAAATACCTGGGCCTGGTGGAGCTCTGGGTGTTACGTTACCGAAGTTTATCATCGCCAGTACAAGAAGAGGCTAGCAAAGAGGGAAGTGGACACATTAAGGCCGAGGCTGGAAAATCAGCCAGGGATGATGGCACAAACAGGGGAAGAATTTAGCGGCTCCCGGTGCACATGAACCCCTGTGCTGAGTCACACTGTTTGTGCCTTTAGGACCCTGGATGGGCCCTGGTGAGGAAGCAGCCTCACGAGCCTTCCAGAAGCAAGCCCAGTAGCACTGGCCACTCGAGTCCACCCTGTAATGTCTGGGTCCTTCTCAGTGGGGTGGGCAGACTACAGAGGACAGAGGGAGCTGAGATGGTGCAACCCTGGGGCCCAAGAAGCAGACACGAAATAGGAGTCAGGCAGCAGAGGTGGAGGTGGAGGCAGATCTCCTGCAGTGGGGTGTAGGGGCATTGGCACAGGGACACAGCGGGCCTGATGGTGCAGGAGCTGCAGGTGCCCTGCTGAAGGCAGAATCTGCCTGGACCCCAGCAAGCAGATCCCACAGCAAAGTCACGTGGCCGCATTCCATCCACAGAATGACTCTCTGGAGTGGGTCCCACTTCCCGTTTATAGATGAGGAAACTGAGGCCCAGTGAGGTGCGAGAGACTTGGCCTGGGGCACAGTCCACCATCTGCTGAGGCGTCATGATTGGTCTCTAACTCACATCCACTCGAGGCTCCTCTATCGTGAACATATCACAGGAGAGGTGGGTTATGCTACAGTTGAGTTGTTCCCTCTCAAATATCTTATGTTGAAGTCCTACCCACCAGTAACTTAGAATGTGACCTTACTCGGAAATATGATCCTTGCGGTTGGAATTAGTTAAGTCAAAAATGAGGACATACTGGAGCAGGGTGGGCCCCTAATCAGTTGGACTGGTGTCCTTATAAAAAGGGGAGATGCAGGCTGAGGGGCACAGGTGCAGGGAGAAGGCCAGATAGAGATAAAGGCAGAAATCGAGGTGATGCATCTATAAGCCCAGAACTGCCAATGATTGCCAGCAACCACCAGCAGAGTGGTGTGGGGCAGGTTTTCCTTCACTGCCCCAGAAGAAAGCAACCCTTGATCTTAGACTTCTAACCTCCAGAACTGGGAGACAATAAGTTTCTGTTGTTTTAAGTACCCAGTCTGCAGCAAACGTCCCCCAGCCCTGCAGCTGCAGGAAGTGGCTCAGGTCAGACCACCGCTAAGGTACATTCCACGTGAGGGCTGGAGAGGGCCATCGGTGCCTTTACCAACAGTGTTGATGCCTCACCCTGGGCATCGGCCAGGCTGGCAGAAATGTGGCTGGGAGCGGCAGGGACCATGGAACCATCGTGGCCTGGGGTGAGGAAGGCGTTGAGCAATCATGCTTGGGGACGTTCAGCTCTGGGCTTTAGGATTCAATAGGACACCGTATTGATGTACAGTTGCTTGCGGTGGCCATGCTCGTTCCTGTAGATGAGCTCTTTTGATCCTAATGGCAATATAGCCAAGAAAACAGGCAAGTGTTCCTACAGGCCACATTCTCCCAGCTGCTGACTGGTGGAGGTGAGCTGCAAGGAGCTGCCCCCAGGCGCGACGGTGAGTGCCTCTCATCTTCCAAGCCACTGGCCCCAGGTCTCTATTCTGAGGCAACAGCCAGAAAGTCAGTAATATTTCTCTAGGGGAATTTCAACTGATGAATTGTTTAGTAGGTAAAATTCGCTTCCTCCATAATTGGAAATGTAAACAGAAGTGATTATACACTGATTTGTAGCAATTGGGCAAATGTAAGGAATGCACTATTCTGTTAGAATAGAGGGGAACGGTGGTACACCCCTCGCTGGCACTGCCAGCTCCTCTGGGGGGTCAGGGCAGATGTGGGGCAGAACCCAGGCCACCTCAAGAATGGGAGGTCAGCTCCTTCCTGAGAGGCCCTTTGCCACACAGCATGGCCCTAAGCCTGGGAGATGCTTCAAAACTTCAGACCCAAGGCTGTGGGTGCCACAGACACACAGAGGAACAGTCTTCAACCAGACTGAGACCAGGGCTTGTTTCTTGTACCTCCTTCTGCCCCAACACACACACATATCACATGCACGTGCACACACACACACCACACACACATACCACACACAACCTCCCATATACACACATACCCACACACACACCACACAATCCCCTGTACACACACATGCACACACACTACACACCATATACACACACACTGCACAACCTGCCATACACACACATGCATACCCCACACACACTCCTCTTTTGTAACCTCCTCTCTCACTCAGTGCTTTGAGGTTAGGGGTCTCTTATGCATTGGCAACAATGCAAAGATGCTGATCCACGATCCTCGGTTCACTGGTCAGTCCCTACATGCCAAGGGCTTTGCTCACACCTGCTCATTCTAGTCCCTTCTGCAGCCAGGCAGAGAAATCTGGGCTTTGGAGACACGGCTTGTCCATGCTGGGCATCTCCTTAGGCTGCAGAGCCAGAATCTGTGGTTCAGGTCAGAGGACCTGGAGTGGGTTCCCCCAGCACCTCGCCTGCTGTGTCCCCAGGCCCATCGCCTCCTACCTCCTCTTTCAGTTTCCCAGAGAACACCTGATGGAGAAACAGACCCCTTCCCTGGCCTGCTAGCTTCTCTCCTCAGTAATGGAGAATCCAGCTTGTGAAGGAAGAAGATGGGAGTCGAGGTATAGGCTCAGGGGCTGTCTGGGTGACCTTCTCTCCTTTAGAGGATAAGAGTCCCTTTACCCTAGCCCCACCCCTGACACTTAGGCGGGGCTGCTGAAGTTTTATGTGTCATTATCAGCTCCAATGGGTTCTGACAATACCATGATTTCTGCATCGTTTACAAGTTTGAAGCAAAGGCCAATGTTTAAACCCAAAGAACGAATCTTTCAGAGTAGAATTTTTCAGTGCTAAGAATATTTGGGTGCACTATGTTCCATTTAATGCCTGACCAGCTGCTGCTCGCACCTTCCCTCTTAGAACTGAGAATTCACACCTGTACCCCCATCTGCAGTCTCTGGAGACCCCCTGGGCTCAGCCTTTCATTTCCAGCCCACAAATGACAGTATTGAGCTGGATGCTCTTAGGGACCCTTCTGGAACTGGGTTCTGGGATGGAGACCCTCCCTTTAAAGAGTTCTCTACCGAGGCCTGCAAAACCAGCAGGCCTTCAAACAGTGCTGTCACCCCGCCCTCTCTGCACAGAGGCTCAAGATGGCATCCTCCAGCCAAAGGCTCCTTGTGGAGCCTGACCCTTTCTAAACCCAAGGACGCTGCCTAGAGTTAACCCTGCAGAGCTGAAACCCGGCTTGTCCCACGTTTAGGTAACAGTGTCAGCTAAAGCTGGCAAAGTGATTAAGAATAGTAAATTGAAGTCAAAATAATTTTTAAGCACTCTGGATTACCAAAGCCTAGGTCCTCTCCTGTCTACCCAGCTTCCCAGTTTTATCTCTAGCATATTTTATGCAAATAGTTCTCTCTCTTTCTCTTTCTCTCTCTTCTTCCCTCTTCCTCCCCACCCCCCAACTTTCTCTCTAATAGAAGAGCTTGGCTGGGCTTCCTCAGATTTTTTAAAGTAGAAATTTAAATACAATATCTAAAGCTTTTAGCCTTGCTTATGGCAACACAAAAAATCCAATTATCAATTAGAACTGATAATGTTTTATAGACTATTCTCTTTATTAGTGCCATATTGCAGCTAATTCTAGAGAACAATTTCTCAGAAATGTCCCTGGGTTATGATTTTGTTGACTCCATTTTGCAGAAGATTTAAGATGCCAGTGAGTGCCCGCCTGAGCCTGCCTAGGGCCCCCGATGCCATCCTTCAGGCTCCCTGGGTTGACGCAGCCCTGGGCTCTCTCCATGCTGGAAAGGCGACAACATTCACATGCCCTGCAGTGTTCAGTCTTCAGGTAGGAAATTCACAAATCCCTTGACATGTGGGTTTGGTTTGGATCTTTAATCACTACTAAACTCACCCCCAAAGTACCTCAAAAAGGTAGCAAGACCCAGGGTAGGCCACATCCTTCATCATTTTCCCGCCAGGATCTCTGCCGGGAGACAATAAGAGGCACCTGCTCTGCAGGGCTTGTCCCCAGAGCTCGCCAGCCCAGCCCCAGGAGCCCTCCAGAAGGCCCGCATTCACAGATTAAATCTCACCCAATTTGGTGCCTCTTCTGTCTTCCAGCACTTCACAGCCATGGCCCACCCTCCCACCAGCAATTTAAGCCAGCTCCAGAGCCAATGCCACCTGCCGTGCACAGGGTGATTTTTCCAAGCTGAAGCTGTGGGTAGAACTTTCAGTCTTCACCTCAAAATGCAGCCCTGCTGGGTGCATGGACGAAGCCAGAGTCGAAGGAGTCGGGGGTCACAGCCAACACCTTCCAATAAGACACTGTCCATGACCTTGTGTCACTGGATCCTTGGCCACACGCAACCAATATCGTCCTGGGTTTTCAGTGGCTCAGTAATTTACTTTGAGCTTCGGAACCGCAAAGAGGTGGAGCCAAGATTAAACCTGGTCCTTCTAGACATGGGTTCTGGATGCCTCCACCATGCCTTGATACTGAAGGGTCCCTACGTACACCCCTCTTATTTACGATGGAGTATTCTGGCTGTTACTCAGTCCCTTCATTCCAACTTCTCCTTGATTGTGCTACCCAGAACCACGTCTGCACATCTGCTAGAGTTGGTTGTTGATGGCATTGATCCCACTCTCGTTACATGACTGATCAGTAATTAGGCTGAGCTAAAATTAATTCACAGTCTCCAGAGCCCAGCCCAGAGGCTCCCCCTAGAGACATCTGGCTTATGCTTACTGGTTGGATGAGGTGGGTGCAAGGTGGATGAGTGTCTTTGTTTATTTGAGCTGCTATAACAAAGCTCCACTGACTGGGTGGCTTATCAATAAGACACGTATTTCTCCGTTTTGGAGGCTGGAAGTCTGAGATCAGGGTGTTGGCATGGCTGGGTGCTGGAGATGCCCACTTCCTTGTTGCAGACAACCAGCGTCTCATTGTATCCTCCCACGGTGGAAAAACAACAAGAGAGCTCTCTGGGGTCTTTTTTATAGGGGTCCTGTCCTAGTCTGTTTTGTGTTGCTATAAAGAAATACCTAAGACTGGGTAATTTATAAATAATAAAAAAGTTTATTTTTCTCGGATTCTGATGGTTGCAATGTTCATGATTGGGTGTCTGCTTCTGGTGAAGACCTCAGGCTATTCCACCCATGGAGAGGGTGAACAGGAGCTGGTGGGTGCAGAGACCACGTGGTGCAAGACAGAGGGGAGGTGCTAGGCTCTTCTTAACAACCAGCTCTCATGGGAACCAATAGAGCAAGAACTCATTCACTCCCGAGAGAGCAATAATCTATTCACAGGGTATCCAACCCCATGACCCAGACACCTCCCCCTAGACCCCAGCTCCCAATACCATCATGTTGGGAATCAAATTTCTTTCTCTTTTTTTTTTTATTATACTTTAAGTTCTAGGGTACACATGCACAATGTGCAGGTTTGATACATAGGTATACATGTGCCATGTTGGTTTGCTGCACTCATCAACTCATCATTTACATTAGGTATTTTTCCCAATGCTATCCCTCCCCCAGACCCCCACCCCACAACAGGCCCCAGTGTGTGATGTTTCCTGCCCTGTGTCCAAGTGATCTCATTGTTCAATTCACACCTATGAGTGAGAACATACAGTGTTTGGTTTTCTGTCTTTGTGATAGTTTGCTGAGAATGATGGTTTCCAGCTTCATCCATGTCCCTGCAAAGGACAGGAACTCATCCTTTTCTATGGCTGCATACTATTCCATGGTGTATATGTGCCACATTTTCTTTATCCAGTCTATCATTGATGGGCATTTGGGTTGGTTCCAAGTCTTTGTTATTGTGAATAGTGCTGCAATAAACGTATGTGTGCATGTCTTTATAGTAGCATGATTTGTAGTCCTTTGGGTATATACTCAGTAATGGGATTGCTGGGTTAAATGGTAATTCTAGCTCTAGATCCTTGAGGAATCACCACACTGTCTTTCACAATGGTTGAACTAATTTACACTCCCACCGACAGTGTAAAAGTGTTCCTATTTCTCCACATCCTCTCCAGAATCTGTTGTTTCCTGACTTTTAATGATCGCCATTCTAACTGGTGTGAGATGGTATCTCATTGTGGTTTTGATTAGCATTTCTCTGAAGACCAGTGATGATGAGCATTTTTTCACGTGTCTGTTGGCTGCATAAATGTCTTCTTGTGAGAAGTGTCTGTTCATATCCTTTGCCTACTTTTTGATGGGATTGTTTGTTTTTTTTCTTATAAATTTGTTTGAGTTCATTGTAGATTCTGGATATTAGCCTTTTGTCAGATGAGTAGTTTGCAAAAATTTTCTCCCATTCTGTAGGTTGCCTGTTCTCTCTGATGGTAGTTTCTTTTGCTGTGCAGAAGCTCTTTAGTTTAATTGGATCCCATTTGTCTATTTTGGCTTTTGTTGCCATTGCTTTTGGTGTTTTAGACATGAAGTCCTTGCCCATGCCTATGTCCTGAATGGTATTGCCTAGGTTTTCTTCTAGGGTTTTTATGGTTTTAGGTCTAACATTTAAGTCTTTAATCCATCTTGAATTAATTTTTGTATAAGGTGTAAGGAAGGGATCCAGTTTCAGCTTTCTACATACAGCTAGCCAGTTTGCTGGGAATCAAATTTCAACATGAGATGTGGTGAAAACAAACAAACCACAGCAAGCGCAAATCCCATTCTTAAAGGTTCCACCCTCACGACCTAATCACCTCCCAAAGGCCCCACCTCCTAACACCATCTCATTGGGGGTTGGGATCTCAACATATGAATTTTGTGGGGCCACATACTTTTAGTCCATACAGTCAGTGAGTCAGCCATTGAGTAGGGACAGAGAGCATCCTTCATTCATTCACTCATTCTTTTGTTTGATGTATTTTTATTGAGTGCTGGGCTGATGTATCCCCTGTCATTGGGACATGTAGAATGTAGCTACAGAGTTGTACTGTCATGGGGTAAATGAAGGGCTAAGGCCTTGTCTGGATTCTTGTCCCTCTCCACCTCTCATCCCACCAAGGAGGCAGCTCAATGGTGGTTTTCAACATGAGAGAAAATTCCTCACCTTTTGTAGAGAAAAGGTAAGTTGTTCAATTCATCCAATAGGATCTGGTGAGCTGAGATGTGTTGATGGTGAAGTCAAAGTCAAGAGTCCCCTGCTTTCCCAAGTGACTGGCTCAGGAGGAGTCCCTTGAAGCTTCTTTTTCAGCAAATACTGTGGCTGCCTGAGTCCAAGGGTGCTAACCTGGGAAGCCTGCCTGATGGGATTTCTGTTGATGAGATAGTAGAGAGATCCACGTCCCTAGCTGGGCACTTCCAAAGAGCCTCTGAGAGCCTGGGGTTGTGGTTCTGCAAGGCAGGAGTGTAGGCTTTCCATGCACCTGTTCCAAAGGCCCCTGTCTCAGTTGGTTGTGGTTCTCTCACTCTTCACTAAATGACCCAGGGGACATCCTGAGGGTATTGCTGGCAGTGGTCTTAGTCAGCAGAGGCAGGAGGAGCTTGTTATGCCATAAGAAGCTGCAGTCTTAGAAAAATCGCAAGGGATATAAGAGAGGGATAAAATAACTGAAAGTCTGAGTGACAAATTGAAGGACAGGAGGTGACCATTCAGGATAGAGACCCCCCACTTTATCACAGCCAGGACTGTTTACCTTCTCCGTGCTGCAGGTAGTGGGCCATTTTCCTTGGTGATAGGGTCAACTGAATCAATGAGGCCAAAGGGGAAACATCTATTTCCAATGTTGGCAAGCATGGAGAGACCACTTATTCCCTCACCAATACACTGGACACAGCCACACCCACAGATTTCTACAGAACAAGAAACCAATTAAGCCTTCTGCAGGTGGGGTGTGGGGCTCAAACCTAAGGGACAATTTGCTCTAAAGGACATTATGGGGTCATTTCTTTCAGCATCTGGAACCCTCTCAGGAAATGCAGAACAGATAGATGTCCAGTGTGAATTAGTTGGGTATATGAATGATACAGTTTGCTGTGTCTCCACCAAAATATCATCTTGAATTGTAACTCCCACAGTTCCTACATGTCATGGGAGATAACCAGTGGGAGGTAATTGACTCATGGGAGTAGGTCTTTCCCGTGCTGTTCTTGTCATAGTGAATACATCTCATGAGATCTGATGGTTTTATAAATGGAAGTTCCCCTGCACAAGCTCTCTCTTGCCTGGCACCATGTAAGACGTCTCTTGCTTTTCCACCATGATTGTGAGGTCTCCCCAGCCATGTGGAACTGTGAGTCAATTAAACCTCTTCCCTTTACAAATTACCCAGTCTCAGGTGTGTCTTTTTTAGCAGCATGAGAACAGACTAATACGAAGAGCTGTGGCAAACCAGCTGACTAAGTCAGTATCATGGAAGGAGCATGAACCTGACCTCGTTCAGTCAGGAGGTGCATACACCCTCCTACAGCTACAATGGCATTCTTCTGACTCTTCTACAAGTACCCCAGGCTAAACCCAGCTCTACTCCAGTGAATTTTCAGTAGAGAACCTCGGCTCCAAGAGGCCCGGAGGTCTCCAAACTGAGAGGACTTTGGGAACTTTCAGAAGACAAGTCACAGACCAAGCCCTGGTCTGCAAGAAATTGGGACTTCTCTCTCTGCTCAGCCTGGGAGTTTGGCCTGTGAGAAAATGAACAGAAAATAGAGACCATAAGTACCAATGCCTCTCTTTTGAGTAAACACACATCAACATAAAAGGAATGCCCAGAGCTGCAAGAGTGAATGGCCTTCAAGCAGCACAAAAGACTCAGGTGGCCCCTGGACACAGGTGTGGAGTGAAGAGGGGTCCTCCAGGAGCTGAGATGAAGGCAGCTTCCCAAGCCAGGTACCAGAAGTTGGGGAGAACCCACAGTCCAGAATCCAGAACAGGACCCACACATGACGGGGATGCAGACATAAGCGACTGATGGTTAATATTGAGTGTCAACTTGATTGGGTTGAAGGATGCAAAGTATTGTTTCTGGGTGTGTCTGTGAGGGTGTTGCCAAAGGAGATTAACATTTGAGTCAGTGGACTGGGAAAGGCAAATCCACTCTCAATCTGGGTGGGCACCATCTAATCAGCTGTTAGCACAGCCAGAATAAAAAGCAGGTAGAAGAAGATGGAAAGACTAGACTGTCTTAGTCTTCCAGCCTCCATCTTTCTCCCATGCTGGATGCTTCCTGCCCTCAAACATCAGACTCCAAGTTCTTCAGCTTTTGGACTCTTGGACCTTCCACCACAGACTGAAGGCTGCACTGCTGGCTCCCCTACTTTTGATGTTTGGGGACTCAGACTGGCTTCCTTGCTGCTTGGCTTGCAGATGGCCTATTGTGGGACCTCATCTTGGAATCATGTGAGTCAATTCTCCTAATAAACTCCCCTTCATATGTACATCTATCCTATTAGTTCTGTCCCTCTGGAAAACACTAATACAGGAGCCATCCTCAAAAGCCCGTTTCATAACTAAGGAGGCATCAACAACTCTCCCAGCAGCTGATGGAGGATGGAAACCACACAAGTGCGGAGATTTCAGGTGGGGACTTGGTGGGGGTCGTGTCAGCCCAGGGAGAGAGGACGGAAATTCAGCAAGGACGTAGAAGAGAGTGCTTCTACCTTAATCATCGCCCTGAGGACCCTGAGGCCAAAGACACCAGAGCTCCTCACTTTCATCTACAGTTTCAGAAGCCAGACTCTAACAGATGAGTTGGAAAGATGCCTTTGAAGGGCTCGGTAATGATGGCTCAATGAGGAGTTTTCATTTATAAATGTGACTCACTGTGGCCAGGCCACGGAGGGTCTGGAGCAGGGCAGACACAACAGCACCACCCTCCAATTAATGGATGTGCAAGAACCGCTGTGGGACTCAGATTTGGGCCAAGAACCCCAAATCATCTCCCGTGGCTCAGCCCTGAGAGCCACCCGGTACTCTCGGGGCAACAGGAAACTAATGAGCTCCTTTCTGTTCTGGTTGGTTTTGTTTTGTTATGTTCCCCAGCAACAGAAGGCATTTCTTTCTTTCCTTCAGGCGTGAGATGATTTAAAGTTTCCCTTGTTTGTCCCTATGTCCCTCCCTAAGGAGTTCTGAGGTGCTCCCTTTCAGGACAGGCATTGGGTCATTGACCTCCTTTCTCCGCGGAGGCATATTCCTGTGCAGAGCGTGGCCTCCTAGTGCTGGAACAGGAGGATCTTGGTGAGATGAATGCACTTGGGCTGTTGGAGACTCTTTCTCAGGTTGGCCTGAGAGCCTCCAGGAAGCACCGTGGGGAGGGAAGAGAACAGCGAGGCCCTTTTCCTAATTCCACTCTGAGGGTATCTGGCCCAGAGGAGGAATATGGAAGAACCAGGTGCATCCTGCCAGGTAGAGACCTTCCTGCGGGCTTTTTGGAGACACTAGTGCAAGTCAGTAGAGAGCTCTCAATGGCAAAGAGGAGACAGATTAGACAGATGCTGCCCCTTCAAGTGTCTCAGGGGAGAGGGGGCCTAAGCAAAGAAACCAGAAATTGGATGTGGGCCACTGGGTGAGCCTGGGGTTTCTGTGCCTCATGCTGGAGTTTCGGGCAAGTCCTACTCCTGCCAGCCGGGGGCCAGGTTCATTATGCACCATCATGGAGCTTGGCAGCTGAGATGCTTGCTCCTAGGGCAAATGGATAAATGGATTAGCCACGCTTTTCTTGTTCCTTTTATTTTGTTTTTTGGAAACATGCACTGAGTGTCTTTCCCCTTATCAGTTATTTATTCTAATAAGTCATTTTATTGGCATCTTCAAAGGCACAGAAGTGAGATCTGTTCTGCAGTGGGCATTGGCTGTCACTGTTTCTCAAGAAGTGGTACTAAGCTTCTTGTTCCATGAGCTGTGGCAACAGCACCCAGCCTGAGTGGCATCAGCACATGCTCAGAGCTGGGTGACTCGGGTTCATGTCCTGGCTCAACTGACTCAGCCAAGTGACTGTAGGCACGTGCCTTAATTTCTTTGTGCCTCCGGGATCCCATCTTCAACAGGGGGACAATAATAACCTTATCTTATGGGGCAGTGAGGAGTTACTGAATTAATATACACAAAGCACAGAAATCAGGGCCTGGTGAGGACTAATTTGGGATTCTTGATTGTTGCCCGGAATTGGTCAAAGCTTAATTAATTATTTTAGAAATAATTAAAGCAGTAGAAAGAAATCTGGACGGTTATGCTTCCGAACGCTTACTCTGCATCAGCTGCCTGCGGGGCTTGGTTCATTTTGCAGCTAATGACTCCTGAGCACCCACTGGGAGTGATCGCTGGCTGAGCTCACCTCCTTCACAGGCACTGGCCCTGGGAGGTGCTGAGTGATGGCTCTGTTGTTTTATAGCCTGTCCAGGAAGCTGAGGTCCGGAAAGGTTAATTAGCACTAGAAAGAACCCAGAACCAAGACTCTCAAGATCCCAGGCCTTGTGCTGGCTTGAAAATCTCATAGCCCAGCAGGTTTCTCCTCCTTTTGACCTTGTGAAATGAGAGGGCAAGTCTCCTACAACGCAGAGGGAAGCGTACAGAATCCCATCCTTTTGTTAAACTCCGGACTAAACCACATCCCTTGAACTTTGAGATTCTGCTAGTCTTTAATACATGAGTGTGTGCAGGGAGTGGGGTGTGGTACGCAGGATACCATAGAATTTTATTTTTGTGGGATCATCTCCTTACTAGTTTCCAAAAGAATGCCACTGGGAAATGTTTCCCCAGATGTTCATTAAGTAACAAAATATCTGTCATCTGCTAATTATCCATGACTGAGCAGCAACTTGCACTTAAGAAAATACATGGAAAGCAGAATAAAAAGGAATATCAGCCTTCCTTCCCCATAGATGGCACAGGGAGGGCAACGTAAACCACCCCCTTTCTTATTCTCTCATGTGTCTTTTCCTGTCTGGGTGAACAGTTGCCGCAAAGCCATTACTCGGTATCAGCGGGATGAGATTCGTTGTCGGTGGCATTTCAGCCTTTCTGCTGGACCTCTGCCTTCCAGTTTGAAAAATCAACTGGCATTAATTGTCAGAGGCTGTGTTTCCCTCTTATTCCCCCAAGCAAAAGAGAAGGGCTGCTGCCTTCACTTCGCTGCAACAGTTGTCAAAAAGAAAGACAGTTCTCCCCAAGAATGTCAATTCGGCTTCTCTGCTACTGTGAGTCTCCCATCTACAAGGACAGCTCTGAGCCATTGGGCAGCAGAGCGCCTGGGATCTCACCGAGAAAATCTGCTCAAGATTTGCTGGATGGAAAGAGGTTTATCATTTTGGCAGGGGCCCGATTATGGAAATCAGGAAGTTCTCGCCCTGTTCCCGGATGCCTGAAAGCCTTCCCAGCTATGTTGGAAGCAAGAGCCCGTGTACTATTCCCTACGCCGCTAAAGATTGACAGTGCCCTCAGAATGGGCCTCCACAACCCAGCTCGTGGACACAGCTCTTCTCCATCCACACTGGCCATCTGGATGTTTAGGTTTCTCAGATGAAAAGGTGCTTCCAGAAAGAGCAGGGGGCCGACAGCCAATGAACTCTTTCCTGTTCTATAGTTTTCCTTGGGAAACATTGGCTGTGTCTTACCAAACAATGGGCAAAACATGAGGGCCCTAATATCTAAATGGGCAAAAGACACAAGCAGGCAATTCACAAATGTAAAAATATGACTAGGAAGCAAATGAATGGGAGAATGTCCAACAACTGTAACACTTAGAAATTCAGATGAAACAATGAGACATAGTGTGTGTGTAATGTGTGTGTGTGTTTGCATATCAAGTTAGAAATGACTACACACTTTCCAGCAACCAGCTAGTGAAATGATGTCTTACTCATTGCTAGTGGCTATAGAAACTGATTTTTTTTTTTTGGTGAGGGGCACTATTTATCACAGATTTTGTAAAGCCTTTAAAAAAGAACAGTTAGCTTTTATCAGACATCAGGGCCAAATCTAAGTACTGTGGACTCATTGCTGTACACAACTCACAATGACCCTACCGGACAGGTATAGTATGATCTCCATCCTCCTCTTCTGGGTGGAGGCACCAAAGGAGAAGGAGTTCATATACTCAGCCTGAGGTGATGCAGCCAGTAGTGATGGAGATAGACTCTGAATGCAAGACCTCCAGCCCCAACCACCTCATTCTAGTGCCCTGCGGGTCCTCCTCATTTACTCCAGGGCTATGGAGGGGCCTAAATACACACCCACAAGAAATTTTTGACACTAAAATGATCAGCAGTTTGCTGAAAATTAACCAAATAACTTACAAGGCACTCAGTGAAATATGCTGTCATTTTAAGATGATACCTAGGATTTTAAGTTATTCATCTCAAAATGAATGCAAACATATTTATCTCCAGTCCCCACCTGAACCCTACTAAAAAGGAGAGTAAATGAAAAAAAATTTTAAACAACATATAATATTTCAAGATCAGTGAGAACAGGAGAGGAGACAATAACATTATTTTGGATGCTGAGAAGCAGGACAAGTGTTTACAGACTCAGCTGACCCAAGAAAGCAGAGTCCAATCAGCAGTACAGAAAACATGGCAGACTGACCAGCCCTGCAGAATCTCCCAAGGGCTTAGAACTTGGGGGCCCCTTACATTCTGGAAGCAAATGTGGAGGTACAGTAAAAACAGGAGGATGATTGGAGGTTGGTGTGGGAAGTAGATGGACCAATCCCTCACCTGACTTGTCTTCAAAATTCTGTGTGTGGAAGAACAACTTCCCCGACCTTGGCAGGAGACTAGGTTTATTCTCTGTAGAGGCTAAAACAGAGTCACTGAAGATGTGAGGATTAGAGCAATGATCAAATTGAAAACACGATGATTAAATGGAGGTTTCCCCCAGTTGGCTCTCAGAATCCTCAGACGTCTCCCTTCCAGACAGGAGATTGGAAGATTGTTTTCTGGAAAATCTGACTAGCCCAAATGAAAAGACCTAAAGATACTGACAGCAGAGCCTCCCCAGTGACATCCCAGGCAGATCATCCTACCACAAGACCAAAGTTGACGAGTGCTACTACCCACTTAGAGTTTCCAACCAGCCTTAAAGTTTCATATATTAAATATGAGCAGACTTTCAAGGATCTCCAAAATATTTGAGGAAGGTTTGTAACATGGACAGATACCAAACAAGCAAACTGAACCCCAGGGAGGAAACTGTTATGTAGAGAGATGAAAACCAAAGCCTAACAAACAAGAAAAATGCCAATAATACCCTTGGGTTGTAAGAGAAAATATCACATCCATGAAACAAGAAGAAGGTGTTGTTAAAAAGGAACATTTAGAAAACAAAGTAGTTCTTTAACATTAAAAAGATAAGGGCAAAAATTCAAGATTCAATAGAAAGTTTCTAAGATAAGCTGAAGAAACTTCCAAGAAAGTAACAAAATGACAAAGTGATATGCAAAATATAAGAAAATTAGATTACCCAAAAAGAAAAAAGTTAGATAAAGAAAGAGCAAACACAGTGAATGGGAATATATCACTAAAGAATAGCAGAAATACCTGGTGATATGTTGTAATTCTATGTGCTCATTGTTCCAAGCACTGCCCATATACTAACTCATTAAATCCTCATAACAAATCTTGAAGTAGGCACTATTTTTGTCCTATTTTACAAATGAGGACACCAAGCACAAAGATACTAAGACAGAGAGGTGAGGAGACTGACTACCCAAGATTACTCAGCTGGTAAATGACAGAGCTAGGATCTGAACCAGGCAGTCTGATTCCCATGTCCAAGTTCTTAACCACTATGCTAGACTTCCTCTCAGTAAAAGGGCTTCATAAAATTAAAGAAATAATTCAAGTTTTTTTCCCCAGACCTTATTGTCACAGGTTTCCAAATTGAAAGGGTCTTTTGAACATCTGACACAATGAAATAATAATCCCTACCAAGTCATAAAATCATAGCATCATGGACTGTCACACACTGGGAGCAAAGCAGAGATCCTAAAAGCTGAGAGAGAAAGGAGAGTTGTGGGGAGGAGAAGAAATTAACTCTAGAACTAAAAAAAAAAAAAACAGATTAGATGACACCTGACTTCTTTAGAGCAATACTGGAAACAAGGAGGAAATGGAGTATTATAATGCCTTCAAATTATGAGGCAAAAGTTGTGAAACTAGCAGGCTATGCTCACCAAATGGTCAGTCAAGTGTGGTGGTGGACTAACAACAATTTTAGACACAGTAGATCCATGCACCTTTTGTCTGAAACCTGCTGAAGAAGGTGCTCCATTAACATGAGGAAGTCAAACAGAGAGAGGAAGGCATGTCATCAGGAAATAGGGAGGACAACAAGAAAAGTGGATCCCTACGGTGATGGGGAAGGTGGTTCCAGGACGACAGTTGTACACCATAGAGTATAACAGTCCAGATTGGAGTAGGCTGAAAGACAGAGAGTGATGTCTCCAAGAAGATGAAATTCACTGGATGTGTTCGAATGAATGGAGAAGAGATTCTTGCAAGAGACAATTTCTACAAGAATATGGAAATGGAATATGGAATATAGAAAATGAGACAAAACAAGCCAAAAATGACATCCATGACAATGAACACCATTGAGAAAAAAACAACAGTAGTTGTTTAGGAAAAGAAAAATGATCTCATAGCATCCAGTGAATTGAATTCCCATATATCACCATTCACTTTGGGTTGGTCATGATAACATAAACACTGAATATCCATTTCAGCAGCATGGCAATGTAGCTATATTACCATGGTGGGATGATGGAGGAGTGGGAGCTCACATATGTAGGGGTGCAAAGGATGAAAGAGCACTAAACCTTTCTTGTTCTTAGTGGTAAGTTAATAAATAGCAACTGAGACTGGGTGGGGTGGCTCAAGCCTGTAATCCCAACACTTTGGGAGGCCAAGGCAGGCGGATCACGAGGTCAGGAGTTCGAGACCAGCCTGACATGGTGAAACCCTGTCTCTACTACAAATACAAAAAATAGACGAACATGGTTGCATGCACCTGTAATCCCAGCTACTTAGGAGGCTGAGGCAGGAGAATCACTTGAACCTGGAAGGCAGAGGTTGCAGTGAAATGAGTTCGCACCATTGCACTCCAGCCTGGGCGATAGAGTGAGACTCTGTCTCAAAAAAAAAAAAGAAGAAGAAGTAACTGAAGTGGAAACATCAACAGGTAGAAATGCAATGATTTATGGTATAAAATTTAGAAATATGTATGTAGCTCTGGAAAGAAAGGAAACTTCAGCTTTGCTGGCTCCAACTTCACAAAATTAGTTCTAGGGAAAGGAAATGTGTCAACCAAATTCTGATAATTCTCTTTTTACCCTTAATTTGGAAAGAAAAGGACTTAGGAAGTGGTTTTCTAATTTATTCTCTTTAGTCCTGGATGGAGTAGAAGTAGTTTTGTGAAGAGAGGGGCAAATGGGCAACCTTATCAACCAGCATTGACTGAGTCTGATGAAGCCTAAGTGCCAGAGCTCCATATGAAATAGCAGTAACCAAAGAGGCCTGCACTGAAGAGGACATACCTCCTCCAAGCCAAGCAAATAACGCTAAGAATGTCAACCTGAAATAATTGAATATTGAAGCAATGCCAAGTGTGAGCTTCTATTCCAATGCAAAAGGGCATATTTTTCTACCTACTTTAGAGTGTTTTATGTTCTAATAAAATTCTTTGGGCTTTGTGCTAGTAAGAAATGTAAGAAACCTGCACATCCTGCATATGTATCCCAAAACTTAAAGTAAAATAATAAAAAAAAAAAGAAATACCGATGAAAAATAAAAGAAATGTTATTCATAAACACGAAGGTAAATACCAAAAGAAACAGCTAAAAATTAGAAAGCAGTAACCTCTGGGATTGAAAAATCAGCAAAAAATTGATCAGGGATTATTGAGGTTCATAACAAATATTTTTAAGGGGTTATCTTTTTTTAATTTTTAAGTTCAGGGGTACATCTGCAGGTTAGTTACATAGGTAGACTTGTGTCATGGGGGTTTGTTGTACAGATTATTTTGTCACCCAGGTATTAAGCCTAGTACCCATTAGTTATTTTTCCTGATCCTCTCCCTCCTCCCACCCTCCACCCTCCGATAGACCCCAGAGTGTGTTGTTCCCCTCTATGTGTCCATGTGTTCTCATCATTTAGCTCCCACTTATAAGTAAGAACACACAGTATTCGTTTTTTTTGTTTCTACATTAGTTTGCTAAGGATAATGGCTTCCAGCTCTATTTGTGTTCCTGTAAAGAACACGATCTCAATTTTTTTAACGGCTGCGTAGTATTCCATGGGGTACATATGCCACATTTTCTTTACCCTATCTACCATTGATGGGCATTGAGGTTGATTCCATGTCTTTGCTATTGTGAATAGGGCTGTCATGAACATTGGCATGCATGGGTCTTTATGATAGAATGATTTATATTCCTTTAGATGTATACCCAGTAATGGGGTTGCTGGGTTGAATGGTAGTTCTGTTTTTAGGTCTTTGAGGAATTGTTACACAGTTTTCCACAATGATTGAACTAATTCCACTCCCACCAACAGTGTATAAGTGTTCTGTTTTCTCTGCAACCTTTCCAGCATCTGTTATTTTTTGACTTTTTAGTAATAGCCATTCTGACTGGTGTGAGATGGTATCTTACGGTAGTTTTGGTTTGCGTTTCTCTAATGATCAGTGATGTTGAGCTTTTTTTTTTCCTGTACTTGTTGGTCACATGTATTCACAACTAAAAGAACAAAAGAACCCAGAGCAAAACAGCCTCAAAGCTAGCAGAAGACAAGAAATAACCAAAATCAGAGGTGACCTGAAGGAGATTGAGACACGTTGATCAAAAGATCAATGAATTCAGGAGTTGGTTTCTTGAAAAAAATCAGTAAAATATATAGACTGTTAACTAGACTAATAAAGAAGAAAAGAGAGAAGATTCAAATAAACACAATCAGAAAAGACAAAGGAAATATTACCACTGACCCCACATAAATACAAATAAACATCAGAGAATATCATGAACACCTTTATGAGTAATAAATCTTATAGAATTAATTGACTCTGTAACTGTGTGCATGGGTAATTTTGATTGCAGGAAAAAATGGAATAGAAAAATAAATGAAAGAATGATGAATGTGAAGATGATGTAATGACTTGAAAAATGGGAATCCTATGGGGTAGAGTGAGAAGCAGGATCCTAAACAGTATAGGCAGTGTTGCCAAAACTGTGTGAAAGAGCACAGAAGAAAGACTGGAAGGAAATGCACCAAATACTAAAGATGGTTAGTCAGATAGTGTGATGTTTTAAAAATTCTTCTTTTAACTCTTTTCCACAGTGTTTATAAGCCCTTTATGAAGAGAAATGGAGCAGAAAAATAAGTGCCTCTTTAAAGCAATGGAGATTGCTCACTTGTAGCCTGGTAGGCATGGAGTAAACAAAGTCTCTGTGTTTTGCTTGGATCCACGGAAATAATTCTCTTTATAATAATCAGATAAATCTGATTATCTCCATGGGATCTGATTGGTTAAAGAACTCAGAAGACAAACATCAGGAAGGACAGTCAGTAGATAGAACTGAGGAGGGCTGACAAAGGGGAAAAAACTCATCTTAAAGAATAGAAAGACAATGGAATGGGGGCTATATAAGTGGTTGTTTTAGCTGGTAGCTGGCTTCTCATTTCCACCTCATCACCTTGGACCTTGAGAAGCAGAGGGCCATGAATGTCTCTTTTTTGTGGCTTCCAGGCACCTCTCCATCACTGTGGTGGGGCAGCTCAGTGTTCACAGGGGGCGCTCCTCTCCCATTCACCTATTTTGCTTTTCTTCCATAGGTGTTGTATTAGTCCATTTTCAACCTGCTGATAAAGACACACTGGATACTGGGCAATTTGCAAAAGAAAAAAAAAAAAAGAGGTTTAATGGACTCACAGTTCCATGTGGCTGGGGAGGCCTCACAATCATGGTGGAAGGTGAAAGGCATGTTTTACATGGTGGCAAACAAAAGTGAGAGCCAAGCAAAAGAGGCTTCCCTTTATAAAGCCATCAGATCTCATGAGACTTATCCACTACCATCAGAACAGTGTGGGGGAAACCACCTTCAAGATTCAATTATCTCACACTGGGTCCCTCCCATAACATGAAGGAATTATGGGAGCTACAATTGAAGATGAGATTTCGGTGGGGACACAGCCAAACTATATCAGGTGTGAAGGGTGAGGGTCTAAGAAGACACAATTTGGAGAGTCCAAGGAGCCCCACTCTCATTCCTACAGTGGAACATGCAAAATCCTCTTCCAGCTGTGATGTAATGCTGTCTCTACCTCCCCATGTCTTCTGTTACAATGTGAGTTTCCTGGAGGCACCTAGGTAATGTTATACTCACAGGGGATATCCAATAAAGAAACAAATCCTACCTCAGGGACAAGTAGGAGGTGGAGAGTCTCCCCAAACACTTCACCTTGAGAAACAGAATGCTCCCAGGGTGGCTAAGACCAGCTCACATTAGCTGGTGAGAACCCCTGACAAGCATCTCTTTCCAACTCTGTGTTGAGTGATGTTATGCCAGTAGCTTGGAATTAGCCATTGTGGGAGTATTCACACAAGGTAATCAAGTAAACACTACAAATAAGTCCCTATCCCCCCCAGAGAGCTGGTTACAAAACACTTATTACCACACTGCTGTAGACTTGTCTCCACTTCCTTGTTATCCCTGAGTGCTTTTCCTTGGAAGCAACCAATAGTACACTGATGCTGGAAAAGGCCACTGCTAACTTGAAGTGCATGGCAGAGATTGGACTTAGGTATCTACAAGGACTTTTCCAACTGGAGAGTGTTTATAGGTGAGAAGATGTGAAAGCTGGGGCTCTTTACCTTCCCTGACAATTCTGGTGCTCATCTCCAAGGCTTTCAGGGATCTCATAATCAGGGTGAGGGTAGGCAGGAGTGTGAGTTCCCAGTCATAGTCGAATTGAATGGCAAGACTGTGCAGACATTCCACAGCATACTTTAAAATGTCTAGAGAATGTGTTTAAGCATTGTAATATTTTACAATTTTTCGAGTGTGCCTGAAGGGAAGCCACAGATCACAAGTTATCCATCTTCGCACCCCATTACCTGGCTTAAAAATCAAAAATGTGGTAAATGAGTCTTGGGTGGATCTGTCAACAAGGCATAATAAAGATTGATGCTTTGTAGAGGTTTCATCTCAGAATGCAAATGTTGTCCTATGAATCCAAAGTATGATTATAGTGGGTAAAAAAAGAAAGAAAGAAAAAAAATCAATGCACAGTGCTAGATCGTCCAGGTAGCACCGGTCTCTGTGTCAGAAATCAAGAGGTTAGTCTATGGGGGTCTCTGAGATCCCCAGCAGGGCCAGTCCATGGGGCCTTTTGAGCCCCAAAACTGCTAGGGTAACGTGGTCTCTCAAATATTTCTGCTTCCTATTGACATGGGTTCTACTATAGTCACACTTTGCAATAAGCTGTAATTCATCTATTTTATTCAACAAATACTTATTGATCACCTACTCTTTGCCTACATCTTGTGCTGGCTGTTTCTATAGCAATGATCTTACTTAAAACATTAAACACCTCCATGAAGTGGGTTCCATTACACCCTTCTCAAGTCTATGAGACAGAGGCTTTGAGATCAGAAGGTGCTGATGACCTCCTTTCTCTCCCCACAACACTCTTGCTTCACACATCAGCTTCCAGCACACTTTTCCTTTTATACCCCCAAATACCTAGTTTCTTCCTGCCTCAGGACTTTGGGATGTGCTGTCCTTTCCTTGGAAGTCTTCTCTCCTTGGGATAACTGGCTCTGAGCAAAGCATTCACCTACTTCAGGTGACTCCATCCCATATTTGACATTCCCCATTGTACTTACTTCTTGAACCCGCCCTCCATAGCATGAACCCTCCCTGACTCTCCCCTGCAAAGGGGAGCTAACGAGACCACCTGTGACCCCGACAATTTCCACCATTCTCTCTATTTTATTTGTGTGCATTTTATCCTTATTACAGTGTTGTCACCGTACCATGAGTCTTTAACTGTTAGGGCAACTGGGAGTAGTTTCTGTCTCAGGATTACGAGGTCCTTGAGGCTGTTTAAATAAATTTATGATCTGTTTGATTTGCCTCACTTACATGTTACCATGGGTTTACCCTCCTTAACTGTTTATTCCTCTATAAGATCATGGGGGCCTGAGTCTATTCCCCTAAATCAAGTGACTACATACATTCTATTTCTACTAACAAACCCTAATAATTTACCTTCCCATCTAGGAAAATAGATTTTTCCTCTGATTAATATTGCCAGCTCAACAATGGGAAGATTTTCTCTTGGGGTCCCTAAGTTCTGTGATACTGTCCTCCCCTCCCCCTGGAAAACCGGCTGCTTCACTGAAGTTGTTGAGGCCCTAATGTCCAGTTTTCTTAGATGATGACCTCAGAATTGATGGGTAAAGAGTGAAAAATGGGAGTTGTCCTACATTTCAAGAATAGAAAGACACACAACCATAAAAAAAGACAGTTTATAAACAACAGAGGTTTATTTGGCTCATGGTTCTGAAGGCTGTGAAGTCCAAGATTGAGGGGCTTCATCTGCTGAGGGCCTTCTTGCTGTGTCATTATATGGCAGAAGGCATCACATAATTAGAGAGCATGTGCAAGAGAGAGGAAGAGGGGGATTCATTCACTTTTCTAACAAATCCAAACCATTTCTGTGATAACAAACTCACTTCTGTGATCGTGACCTTAATCCATTCATGGGTCATAGAGCCCTGATGACCTAATCATCCCTTAAAAGTCCCACCTCTCAATACTGCTGCATTGAGGATTAAGCTTCCAACACATGAACTTTGGGGGACATGTTCAAATCCTAGC
The DNA here is from genome assembly GCF_000001405.40 of Homo sapiens. Classification (NCBI taxonomy): domain Eukaryota; kingdom Metazoa; phylum Chordata; class Mammalia; order Primates; family Hominidae; genus Homo; species Homo sapiens. Next base: position 4,891,310 of record NC_000001.11, read on the forward strand.
AAGAGAAAACAGAAATGGAGGAAACTTGAATAGAGAGTTCACAGAAGATTGACAAATGGCACATAGGGACATGTAGAGGCACAATGTCATTAGTCATAAAAGATTCAAATTAAAGCCACAATGAAGTATTAAAACCATAAGGACACATACAAAATTAGCTTTTAAAACCCAGAAATACTAAATGTTGGCAAGAAACTGGATCACCCAGAACTCAGCTATGTTGGCTGCTGAGAAGGTAAAATGGTACAAGCACTTGGGAAAACTCTTAGGGTCTCCTAAAACTAATATACACCTACCCTATGATTCAGCAGTTCCCCTTCTGGTATGTATCTAAGGGAAATGAAAATATGTGTTTAAAAATTGCAACCTGTATATAAATGTTCACAGTAGCCTAATTCATAAGATTCTCAAACCGGAAAAAATCCAAATGCCCACCTACAAGAGAATGGACAAGTTACAAGTTTATGCAAAAGAATACTACTCAACACTGACAGGAATGAACTACTCATACATGCAACCTAGATGATTCTCACAGGTATTAAGCTGAGCAAAATGAAGATACCAGAGAATACATGCTCTGTGCTTCCCTGGCAGGGCTAATCAGGGTTTCTAGCTACTACTTTCTCTTAAGAATAATGTGTAAAATGCAGAAGACGCCATTGATTTGTAGAGAGCACATTATTTTAGTGCACTTTCTGTAGCCTAAACTATTGGCCCAATTCTTTACCTCTCTGCCTCTTGTGCCTTTTGGCTTTGCCATTTCTTCTATTAGGTTGGTGCAAAAGTAATTGTGGGTTTTAGCATTTAAAGTAATACCAAAAACCACAACTACTTTTGCACCAACCTAATAGTAAAAGCAGAGGATAATATTCCTTGTCTTTGGGTTTGTCATGTGACTCTCTTTGGCCATGGGAACATAGGCAAAAATGACTTGTGCCCCTTCTGAGCCCCGGCCTTGAGAGGTCTTCATGCTTGCATTTGCCACTGCAGTGAGAAGAGCTTTCCGTAGATAACTGCTGCCCCCACAGTCTGTGCCCCAGGATGAACACACACAAGGTGGACTGGATCCCAGTACAGCTAAGAGTCAAGGCCAAGGAAATGACCCCAGAGCTCAGCCTAGCTGACTTAGAAATGTGAGAGGAACCAGTGCTCATTGTTGTATACCTTTGGATTTTGTGAGTGCTTGTTACTCAGTAATAGCTGACTAATACAGTCTCCCTTCCATTCTACTACTCTTGAGTCTTCACCCCTAAGTCATTACCTAAGTAATATTCTTTCTTCCACTCTTTCCCAGTTATTATTAACATCATCATGTCCCAAATGGATCTGGTCACATCCCATACCATGAGACCACCTGAGTAACTGCACAACTTATATTCCTTACCCAATTAGAACCAGCCCAGGTGCTCCAACCTGACACTCAGAACTCCACCACAGCACTCCAACAGTTGACTTGTCATCCCTGTGTCCCAACCACATGGGATGATTCCCTGTCTCCTGTACTCACTCACACACCCTTCTGCACTCTTCTCACCCTGATGTCTTTCCCTACAGTGACGGCCAGTGCTCATCCACATATCTCACACATACCTTTTCTGCTGTGCACAGTTCAAGTGCCTCCTGTACCATACAAGTTTCTCTGATTTATCTCTGCTGAGCGATTTCTCTGGACACAATGACAGTATGACAAGATCATGGCAGCTACTCATTACAGAGCACCTACTACATATTAATACAATTTACGGCTGCCGGGCACGGTGGCTCACGCCTGTAATCTGAGCACTTTGGGAGGCTGAGGTGGGTGGATCACGAGGTCAGGAGATCGAGACCATCCTGGCTAACACAGTGAAACCCTGTCTCTACTAAAAAATACAAAAAATACAAAAATTGGTGGGTGCCTCTAGTCCCAGCTACTTGGGAGGCTGAGACAGGAGAATGGCGTGAACCCAGGAGTCAGAGCTTGCAGTGAGCGGAGATCGTGCCATTACACTCCAGCCTGGGCAACAGAGTGAGACTCCATCTGAAAAAAATACATAAATAAAATAAAAATAAATTTAAATTTAAAAAAAGTAATACAATTTACCAGCCATCTAGATAAAATTTTAATTTACTTCTCACGGGAGGGGAAAGTGCATTTCAAAAGCATTTACCTGAATACGCATCAAAAGGTTACCACCCACTCCCCACCTCCCCATCAATGAATGAATGGATAAAGGAATTGTGGAATATCAGTTCTGGGTTGAACTACAACAATACAATGGAATGTTATTTAGCCTTAAAAATAAAAAGAAATTCTGGCACATGCTATGATATGGATGAATCTCAGGGACATTTTGGCATGTGAAATGAGTCAATCACAAAAGAACAAACACCATATGATTCTGCTCATATGAAGGACCTAGAGTCATCAAATTCATACAGACAGTAAGATGCTGAGTGCCCTTAGGGAGAGAGAGAATGGGAGTTAGTGTTTATTGGATACAATGTTTCAGTTTAGGGAGACAAAAAATTTCTGGGAATGGATAGTGGTGATGGTTGCACAGCAATGTGAATGCACCCAATGCCATGAAATGGTCAACTTAAAAATGGTCAATATGGTACATTATATGTTATATACATTTTACCACAATAAAAGTAGGCATTTATTTTTCAAGATTTCACAGTCAGGCCGGGAGCAGTGGCTTGCACCTGTAATCCAGCACTTTGGGAGGCCAAGGTGGGCAGATCACTTGAGGTCAGGAGTTCGAGACCAGCCTGGCCAACACAGTGAAACCCCGTCTCTCCTAAAAATACAAAAATTAGCCTGGCATGGTGGTGTGCACCTGTAGTTTCAGCTACTTGGGAGGCTGAGGCAGGAGAATTGCTTGAACCCAGGAGGTAGAGGTTGCAGTGAGCTGAGATCGCACCACTGTACTCCAGACTGGGAGACAGAGCAAGACTCTGTCAAAAAAAAAAAAATATCTCACAGTCAGGCACTCAGGCATAGACCCAAACCTACCCAACTCTAAAGCCCTTGACTTTTTATGTTGTCCGTGTCTCCTGTTAGAATTCCTGTCACCCCTACTCAAGTGTAGCATCAGTGAGGTTAGGTGTACTTCTGATCCATCTTTGATGCTCCAAGTACCTTAGAGAAAATATGTGGGAAAAAGGAAAGGAGGAAGAAGGGAGGAAAGAAAGACTCCTTGTGTGATGGGCACAAAAGGGGGCATTCAAGGGCTTACTGTGGAGGTGGTGGCAGTGAGTGGGGTACACAGTGCTGTGAAGCTGGATTTGGGAAACAAGAGGAGCCATCTGGAATAGTGAGATTAAGAAGCAGAATCCAAAGGATTTTGTTTTGTTTCGCTTGTAAACAGTTCTGGGTTAAACTAAAACACCTGGCTGCTATGTCTCACTTCCCAGTCATGACCAGCAGCACTCTGCATACCCGCTTCCTCCTCCAGCAGCTAGCAAAAGCCGGAGCCTGTGATTTATAAGGACGTGGTGTTTAGTGAGGCTGGAGGTGCAGAAAGCTGCACTTGAACTATTCACAGAGAGAGGGAAAGCCCAGCAGTGGGGGGTAGAGATGGCAACCAGAGTTTTGGCCATCAATGTTAGTTAAATTTAATAGTGGGGTCTTATTGACTATAAGAGTCTTAATTATCAGGAAGAATGACCCTGTCTGTTAACAGCAGAAAAATGACCAAAACTGAAACCACATAAACTTAAATTGTTTGCTTGTCCTTTTATAAGTAAGATTAATTGGCTAAATGGGGCCTATAGGTTAGAGAGGATAAGTGGTAGACTTTTTCCGACAATTGCCTTCTTCACGCTGCCAGGCTATGCTCTGGAGGTTTGATGGGAGAACATTCATCAAACAGTGTTATTGTTATTATGTTTTTACGTGTCTCTTCTCCGAATTTCTCCCACCTCAGTACTTTTTCTGCAGGAGGTAGCAGGTCTGCAGGCTGTCAGAATTGAATGTGCTGAGGAGGTGGGTGCTAGCGAAGTCTCTCTAGGAAGACAGCACAGGCGTGCGCAGACACACACACACACACACACACTCCCACCCACATCGGCCACAATGACAGATGCTTGGGTGGACGTAACATCGCTAAGCCACCTTGCTTTGAATGTCTCAGTAAGTGAGGAAGAAGGCAAACTCATTTCACTGGCTGATTTCTTTTTAAAAGAAAGGCTGTTTTCCGCTGTTAATGACCTACCACTTAATTGCCTTTGTTCTTGAATGAGCTTTGTTGGTAGATGGATTTCCTGTTCCCAACTCCATTCCTTTTCCTGGTTTCAAACATATCTCCACCTATGCCCAGATTAGGGACATGGATGTGGAGTCTGTGTCTGCAAGCAGGCCCCCCGCCCAGAGCCTTGGCTCACAATAATCCTGCACATCTGGGACCACAGGCCATTCCTCCACCTCAGGAAGAACCTGCCAATGGCCACCATGCTGAGCAAGCGGCAGATAAAAAAACAGACAAACCGGAGAGCACGGCACTCAGAACGGAACAGGGGACTTTGCAGTCCCCAGGAGCTGGGGAGAAGCTGTCTCAGCGCTGCTGGCCAGTGACAGATTCATGTTTTCTGTTTCTGCTCTGCCCCACAGAACACCAGGTGTTAGGGCTGAATCGCACACCTTCCACTCCCCAACCAAATTCACATATTCAAGTCCTACCTCCGGTACCTAAAAATGTGGCTGTGTTTGAAGACAGTGCCTTTAAAGAGGTGGTTAAGTTAGAACGAGGCTGTTAGCGTGGGCCCTAATCCAATAGGACTGGTATCCTTATAAAAAGAGGAGTCTTAAGGCCAGGCACAGTGGCTTACACCTGTAATCCCAGCACTTTGAGAGGCCGAGGTGGGTGGATCATGAGGTCAGGAGTTCAAGAACAGCCTGGCCAAGATGGTGAAACCCAGACTCTACTAAAAATACAAAACTTAGCCAGGAGTGGCGGCGGGTGTCTGCAATCCCAGCTACTTGGGAGGCTGAGGCAGAGAATTGCTTGAACCGGGGAGGCAAATGTTGCAGTGAGCAGAAATCATGCCACTGTACTCCAGCCTAGGTGACAGAGCAAGACTCCATCTCAAAAAAAAAAAAAAAAAAGAGGAGTCTTAGATGTAGACATGAGATAGGAAGATGTGAAGACCCAGGGAGAAAATCTACCAGCCCAAGAGAGATGCCTCAGAGAGAACCACCCCTGCAGACACCTTGATCTCAGACTTCCACCCTCCAGAGCTGGGAGACAATGTGTTTCTGCTGTTTAAATGACCCAGTCTGCAGTATTTTGTTACGGGAGCCTAAGCTGACTAATATATCACATGTCTTCTGGTCTCTGCAGGTTTTGTAAACCATAGGTTCTGGGTCCAGGAATGGGGAGGACGCTGGTGGCTCCCACCTGGATTTCATGCCGCAAGGGCTTTCTGCTCTGGCCTTAACTCACATGGCATTTTTAAGGCATGGCAAATGTTCTTGCCTTTAAATGGCAGCATTATATTTCAAAGGAAAATGTAATAAAGCATGCTTTTGCAGCCTCATGGAAACGTGTGCTATGCAAACATGGACGATCCTCATCTGAAAGTAATTCTCTCCCAACTCCTCAGGCCACCAAGGGAATGAAATCAAAAGATGGGCAGCGGTTCCTAGCTCATCATTTGTCAAAGCGAGACGAAGCTCAAAGCTTCAGACTTTTGTGTCCTGCGCTAAATTTAGCTAATCGCACCTCTGCGTTCTGTTCGCCATCCAGGACCCCTGCCATCCCCGGGAAGGACTATCGGCAGTGACAGCAATAATGACACTTTGTGCTTTCGGTTCCTCGCCTTGGATGGCTTTCAAAGGCCTCTGCCACCCTGACGTTCCCCATGTCTGTGACACCCAGCCAAGCAGGCACAGGAGGAGGACTCTGTGCTGGCTTCACAGAAGCAGGAGGGAGAGGCGGGAAGAGGCACACTTGTCCACACACTAAACACACAGTGAGGACACAGGCTGTGCTCAGCACTGTCTTCCCTCCAGGCCACGCCATGGCCACAGGGCGAGCTGCCACCTTCATGGAGAAATGGTCTCTGTGTCCATCCACTTCCTCGGTCTCTGGTGACTCAGGACATTGCCTAAGTGTAGGCTTCTGTCCCATCACCAAAAGTCATGCAGGAGCAGAATGCAGGGGATGCCCAGGATCTCCAGTGATTCTGCCCTGTGGACATCTTCTGGGAGCACGTGCTTGGCTGGAACAGTTGACTGCAGAGACACAGAGGAAATGGAGCTGCCCTAAAACCCCAAATGGCTGTTTCTTGGCTGAGTGAAGTGAAGCAAAGTGACTGCTATGGCTTGGCTCTGTGTCCCCACCCAAGTCTCATCTTGAATTGTAATCCCCAGGTGTTAAGGGAGGGACCTGGTGGAGGTGATTGGACCATGGGGACAGTTTCTCCCATGCTGTTCTCATAATAGTGAGTGCATTCTCACAAGAGCTGATTGTTTTATAAATGGCAGTTTCCTCTGGGCTTCTCTCTCCTGCCATCTTGTGAAAACTGTCCTTGCTTCCTCTTTGCTTTCCACCATGACTGTAAGTTTCCTGAGGCCTCCCCAGCCATCCGGAACTGTGAGTCAATTACACCTCTTTTGCTTTATAAATTACCGAGTCTCAGGTAGTCTCTTTATAGCAGTGTGGGAACAGACTAATACAGTAACTCAAAGTAGTTACATTAGTTTTGGATGGGAGAGGGACAGGGTTCCCTTCTCTCCTGATTTTCCTTTCATGACAGTAACATCCAGGCCACTCTCCCCACCTCACTCTCTTCTCCCCTAGAGAGGTATGCAATACCCGAGCTATGCGTTGCGAAGGAGAAGCTGGGACAAGAGGGCAGACCCTTCTTCTCCCCCTCTTCTTCCTCTTGAGAGCACGCACTTTGCTCTGATCTGCTCCCCTGTGTCACAGATTTCCTGGGTCTGCACAGCCCCGGTTGCTCCATGAGGCTGAGCACGTGAAGCTGCTCCCTGCAGGTGGAAGTGACATTCTACAACATCAACTCTGTCTTGATCTCAACATCATTTTTTAATCCATTACTTTTTTTTATCATTTCTCAAATGGTTTATAACACAGGCAGAGGAGAAATATGATATTTTATGTCCCCCTCCCACCTTGCCCCCTGTGTGTCTCAACATCTATTAGGCAGAGTTAAATGTGGATCTGAGTTATGGTTCCAGATATGTTTAACTATTTGTGTGTTTGCAATAATTCTGCAAAGAAAGATTTTTACGGCATTGAAATATAAACCAAAGAGTGGAACTCTCCAGGGGGTTGTGGGGGTTGTGAGTTGAGGTCTCTGGGCTGCAGTTTGTCCCAGGCCCACACTGTAGGAACACACACAGAGAATGCCCTGTAAGGGGAGTGGTGCCATTTGCTCTCTGCTTGTGGGGTCTTGGGAAGAGGGGGAATACCTGAAAGGGCCTATGTTTCAATTCATCCATTGAGAGCTGTCTCTCCAGGGACCCTACCAGCTCCCAGCTCATGGAAAAGCTGAGGTGAGCTGGTCCTGGAGCCCAGGTGGTTAGCATGGCCTAGGGACTTCCAGCCCATCCTGCAGGTGTGCATTACAGAGGGGCAATTCTATCTGTCCACCCCCTCACTCCTTCTCTTGGCCTTCTGTGGGCCCATGAATGGTTCTGGGCATGTAAGGATGAATGAGGCCCTGTTTCCATCCTCAAGACACTCAGGGACTCCTGCAGGAGAGAAAATGCACATAAAACCAGTATGGTCGTTATTCTATAGCTGCCCAGAAGTTCTCAAAACACAGAACAGTTCCCAACCTGGCCTCTTCTGCTGTTCCTCCAGCACTCCCACTCTGGCCACACTGGTGTCCTCCACCCTACTCGGAAGAGGTCACATGTCCCGCCCCACAGATGGCCACCAGGCAGCTCCCTCCCCTTTGTCCGGTCTTTCACTGGATGCTCTCTTCTCAAAGACCAGTCATTGCATTAGTTGGCTTGGGTTGCTAGAATAAAGCACCACAGACTAAGTGCCTTCAACAGCTGGAATTGATTATCTCGTGGTTCTTCAGGCTGGAAGTCCAAGACCAAGGTGTAGGCAGAGTCAGTTTCTTCTGAGCCCTCCCTTCTTAGCTTGTAGATGCTTTCCTCTCCCTGCATCCTCCCATGATCATTCCTGTGTGTGTGTCTGTGTCCTCATTTCACCAGTTGGATTGGATTAGAATCCACACTAATGACCCCAATTGACTCTCAGAAGACTCTATTTCCAAATACAGTCACATTTGGGGTTTGGAGCTTCAGCATTTGAATTCAAGGGGGACACAATTCAGTGGAGAGCAACCACTCAGGAACAGATAAGGCAGCCCCGGCCCCAGCATCCCAGCCACTCACCCTCCTCACTCTGCCTCCCAGGTATCACCCCCTACCCGCACCCCCATGTAAGACCCTCTCATTTGTGTGGACTGTTCACTGTCTCTCTCCCCATACTGGTTTGTAAGCTCCAAGAGGGCAGAGGTTTCCAGCAGTTTTGTTTCAAGATTCCCTGAGACCATCAACAGGGCCTGGCAGATGGCTGGTGCTTAAGGAATGGGAGTAAAATGCATGGATCCTGCATGGACAGGGAGAGGCAGGGCTGGCCCGGTGGTAGCTCAGAAGACGGGTCTCAGGCTCCTAGTCCTCAGGTGCCCAGGAGACACTGGCAGGAAGGATTGTGAGCCTCCAGGCTGAGCCAATGGCCTGGCTGTGGGGCATGGGTGGCTGATGAGCTGGGGAATGGGGAAGGGGCTGGAGATGAGGCAGGGTCCTAGGAAGCTTGGGAGACAATCCCTCCTCCAACCACAAAAGCTACAGCTGCTCCCTCTCATGGAATTTCTTTTCAGTCTGAAATGAAGACCCCTTAGAAAGGATAAAGACAGGAGCAGGGGTGCAGAGGAGACACTTATGTGACAGACAGGCCTCACTTTGGAAGGTCCAAGGGCCATCCCCTGATCGCCCAAAGGCTGCAGATGCCAAATGTCATGGTCAGGCTTGGTCACTGAGCTCTGGTCTGACTCTCCTCCTGTAGAAGGTGGCATGTTACCAAGGAATGAACCCCTTCCTTCACAGCAGCCACAACAGCAATCTCGCTCTGCAAGCTTGCACTTTGCGAACACCAGTTCTTAATGCCTCTGCAGGCCTGGGGGCTGTTTGCTCCCAGGCTCCCCCTACCCCCGTCTCACATAGACTGGGCCCACGTTCCCGGCAGATGCACTATTACTTGTGCAGCTCTTAGTTCCATACCATTCCTCCTGTATCCCTCAGCATCCAGGGGAACTTTCTTGGTCAATGCTGCCTGCCTCTGACAGTTATTTCCCAAAGAGTGGGAGCTGAGGCATTGTGGAAATCTGGGTGAATTCCCTTCACTACCAAGTCCTGCTCATGCCATCAACTTTGGGTTTCCCTGCAGTGGTATCTTAACAGACACCATTGTCCCTTTGCAGAGAACAGCCAACCCGGATTTCACATCCTGAATTAACTGTGGTGTAATGAAAAGAAACAGAACAGGAGTCCAAAGGCCTGAGAGTAATCCTGCCACATAGTACAATACTTGCTAACTATGTTGTATTAGTCCATTTCCACGCTGCTGATAAAGACAGTCTTGCTGATACTGGGAAGATAAAGAAGTTTAATGGACTTACAGTTCTACATGGCTGGGGAGGCCTCACAGTCACAGTGGAAGGCAAGGAGGAGCATGTCACATCTTACATGGATAGCAGCAGGCAAAGAGAGAGAGCTTGTGCAGGGAAACTCCCATTTTTAAAACCATCAGATCTTGTGAGACTAATTCACTATCATGAGAACAGCACAGGAAAGACCCACCACCATAATTCAATCACCTTCCACTGGGTTCTTCCCATGACGTGTGGTAATTGTGGGAGTTATAATTCAAGATTAGATTTGGGTAAGGACACAGCCAAAATGTATCATTCCACCCCTGCCCCTCCAAAATCTCATGTCCTCACATGTCAAAACCAATCATGCCTTCTGAACAGTCCCCCAAAGTCTTAACTCATTTCAGCATTAACTCAAAAGTCCACAGTCCAATGTCTCCTCTCAGACAAGGCAAGTCCCTTCCACCTATGAGCCTGTAAAATCAAAAGCAAGTTAGTTACTTCCTAGATAGAATGGGGGTACAGGCATTGGGTAAATACAGCCATTACAAATGGGAGAAATTGGCCAAAACAAAGAAGCTACAGGCTCCCATGCAAGTACGAAATCCAGCGGGGCAGTCAAATCTTAAAGCTCCAAAATAATCCCCTTTGACTCCATGTCTCCCATCTGGGTCACACTAATGCAAGAGGTGGTTTCCCACAGCCTTGGGTAGCTCCACCTCTGTTGCTCTGCGGAGTACAACCTCCCTCCCGGCTGCTTTCACAGGCTGGTGTTGAGTGTCTGTGGCTTTTCCAGGCACACAGTGCAAGCTGTCAATGGATCTACCATTCTGGGGTCTGGAAGATGGTGGCCTTCTTCCCACAGCTCCACTAGGGAGTGCCCCAGTAGGGACTCTGTGTGGGGGCTCCAACCCCACAGTTCCCTCTGCCCTAGCAGAGGTTCTCCAAGAGAGCCTTGCTCCTGTAGCAAACATCTGCCTGGAAATCCAGGCATTTCCATACATCCTCTGAAATCTAGGCAGAGGTCTCTGAACCTCAATTCTTGACTTCTGTGCACATACAGGCTCAACATCACATAGAAGCTGCCAAGGCTTTGGGCTTGCACCCTCTGAAGTCATGGCCCAAGCTGTACCTTGGCCCTTTTTAGTCATGGCTGAAGCAGCTGGGATGCAGGACACTAAGTCCCTAAACTGCACACAGCAGAGGGACGCTGGGCCTGGCCCACAAAATATTTTTTCCTCCTAGCCCTCTGGGTCTGTGATGGAAGGGGCTGCCACAATGGTCTCTGACATGCCCTGGAGACATTTTCCTCATTGTCTTGGTGATTAACATTCTGCTCCTTGTTACGTATGCAAATTTCTGCAGCTGGCTTGAATTTATCCTCTGAAAATGTGAATTTCTTTTCTATTGCACTAGGAGGCTGCAACTTTTCAAACTTTTATGCTCTGTTTCCCTTTTAAAACTGAATGCCTTTAACAGCACCCAAGTCACCTTTTGAATGCTCTTCTGCTTAGAAATTTCTTCCACCAGATACCCTAAGTCATCTCCCTCAAGTTCAAAGTTCCCCAAATTGCTAGCGCAGGGGCAAAATGGCACCAATATCTTTGCTAAAACATAACAAGAGACACCATTGTTCCAGTTCCCAACAAGTTCCTTATCTCCACCTGAGACCACCTCAGCCTGGATTTCATTGTCCACATCATTATCAGCATTTTGGTCAAAGCCATTCAACAAATCTTTAGGGAGTTCCAAACTTTCCCACATTTTCCTGTCATCTTCTGAGCCCTCCAAATTGTTCCAACCTTTGCCTGTTACCCAGTTCCAAAGTCATTTCCACATTTTTGGGTATCTTTTCAGCAATGCCCCACTCTACTGGTATCAATTTGCTGTATTAGTCCATGTTCATGCTGCTCGTAAAGACATACTTGAGACTGGAAATAAAAAGAGATTTAATGGAGTTATAGTTCCACATGGCTGGAGAGGCCTCACAATCATGGCAGAAGGTAAGAAGAAGCGAGTCACATCTTACATGAATGGTGCAGGCAAAGAGAGCTTGTGCAGGGAAACTCCTGTTTTTAAAACCATCAGATCTTGTGAAACTCACTCAATATCATGAGAACAGTGCAGGAAAGACCCGCCCCCATAATTCAATCACCTCCCAAGTGTTCCTCCCATGACATGTGAGAATTGTGGGAGTTAAAATTCAAGATGAGATTTGATTGGGGACACAGCCAAATCATATGATAAGTAATCTTGCACAATTTAAGTCCTTTTGAATTTCAGTTTTCTTATCTTTAAAATGGGGATGCACTCCTACTGGCGGATTAGCTGTGATGTTTAAAAGGGGGAACATGTGAACAGTGCTGGCACTTGAGAGACACTCAATAAAACCAAGCATTCCTTCATTTGTTCATAACATCTGAGGCTGAGTCAATACCCCCATCAAGGAACCAAGCCACAGGAGGTAATGTAGAAGTCAGGGTGGCCCTGGCCTAGGTTAGGGTGGCAAATTGGGTGGGCCACTGTGGTTTCTAGAGAATGGTGACAGGAAATTAGTCAAGGATGGCACCTCATTGCCTCAGACCACAAATAATTGCTTCTAACATTCTCCAAACTTAGAATCACTTCAAGGGGTGAGAGTGGGCCACATTTGGAACAAATTGTTAACAATAGGTGATTCATTAAACACACACACACACATAATTAAAACCTATTTAACACACATTTTATGAATGACTCTATAGCCATTAAAATAATTTTGAATGGGAATTTTCTTTCTTCTTCATTTCTCTTAAAATTTCCTAGATGATATAGGGTTTTCTATTTTTCTTTTTGGTCTCCACTAGTTTTGGTCTCTACTTACTCTTCTACTTCTTTTTATTTTGTGTTTAGTGGTTACTTATTTTAAATTTTAACATGTTTATTAGTAAGCCTAACAATATCAAACAACAATATCAAGCAATTTCTACCTCACTGGAAGTTAGAAGATGCAATTCAAGCTTTCCCCATTCCCAGTCTCACCTTTTTGTTGACTAGTATTTCAGTATCACTTTGTTTTTAAATACCCCAGTATTTAAAAAATATATATATATTTAGACATCATTTTTTAACAAAATGTATTTATTTATTTTACTTTAAGTTCTGTGATGCACGTGCAGAATGTGCAGGTTTGTTACATAGGTATACGTGCGTCATGATGGTTTGCTGCACCTATCAACCCGTCATCTAGGTTTTAAGCCCCGCATGCATTAGGTATTTGTCCTAATGCTCTCCTGTCAGTGGGTGGGGGGGACATCATTGTTTATTTAGAGTCACTGATGTGTTCACAACTTTATTTACATAGGTTTTCTTGGTTCCTATATCTTTCTTTGGGGTTTAATTTCCTACTTGTTGAAATGTATCCTTTAATATTTCTTTCAAAGAGGATTACTGAACAGTCAATAGTAAACTCAGTCTGCATCTAAAATTATCTGAAGGTAGTTTAATTGAACATAGCATTTCAATTAAGAAAGGTTGTTTCTTCATTATTTACAATTATTCTCTTGAATTCTGTCATTTTATACTAGTGAGATGACTACTTTCTGTCTTATGATTTTTCTCTTCTATTTTCTTAATCGCTTTCTTTGAGTAGAGTTTAAGATTTCCCCTTCGTGCAGTTCTGAGGGTTTTAGGATTTTCTTTCATGCTATGAGGTTCAAGCGTTTTACTATAAAGTGCCCATATGTGCATTTGTTTTATTGATTTTATGTGGGATTTTTTGAGTTTCTTCAGTCTGAGTACTCTCTTCACTTTGGAAAAATTGGCAGCCATTTTTTTTCCTCACAAGCTTCCTCTCCATAGTTTGTGTCTCTCCTTCTGGAATGCCTTTTAGATATACGTGGAAGCATTCATTCTCCCTCCTTGTCTCCTGGCAGTTTTGTGACTGTCTCTCCAGGCTGCTTCTTGGCCATCTCCTCTCATCTTCCTACTCACTAAATCTGTCGACTGAGTCCTTTCTACGAGTATCAGTTTCTGCAAGTACCATTTAGCCTGTGACAAACCTGCCAGCTAATATTTTTTGTACACTCTCTTGGGTCCTCTGCTCCTTCTGTGGTCCCTGGAAATTTTAAATTAATTATTTTAAAATCTCCCTCACCCCTCTCTTGACCTCTGGCTCCTGCAGAGCTAATCTTACTGTCATTGTACCTGCTGGGTTTGGCTTCCCTGTTCCTTTCCAAGAAGGATGTTTCTATGGTTTCTCCTGCATCCATCCCTGCTGTTATCATCACTAGCAGAAGCCTGGTTTTGATTGGGTGGCAATCAACTCAGGTAAAAATGGTCCTTCCCAGACCCCTGTGCAGCTAGCACTGGCTAGGTGACCTCCATCCAGCCCATGGTGAGTGAGGTTTTGTCCCTGCACAGGGCCTTTTTCATCCTCCCATGCAGAGGTCACCATGCCCACCGTGGCTGCCCGCCTGGGTCTTTGGTTATATGAGGCAAAACAACAACAACAACAAACAAACAAGCAAAAAAACTAAAAACCAAAAGACAAAAAACCTTGCTTGCACAATTCCAGACAGAAAGTTCTATTAATTTCTTAGCCTGGGGTGCCTGCCCCAGAGCCAAGTGTAACTGTGCTGTCATATCCCACATGACCGTGTTCAGGGTTCTCATGTCTCACCGGAGAAACTATTCCCATCCACAGTTTATACTCCTGACCATATAGGCTGCAGGCTTTCTGTGGGTAGCCCCTCTCACACCCACAACACAAGGGCTCCACAGCTCTTCTGGGGATGTTGAACCCTTTGTCCTTAGGTCCAGGGCCCACGACTGAGTGAGGCATCAGCTCCCTCCTCTCCTTGCTTCCTTTGAGCACCTTCTTCCTTTCTGACCTGTGGATTTTCCTTTTGTCTTTTTGACCCTTACTGATATTCAGCCATTTCTTCCTTTTATTTAAACTGTGAGTAAACAGCTTTCCACATCACATCTGTATTAGCCTACTCTCATGCTGCTATAAAGAACTGCCTGAGACTGGGTAATTATTAAGGAAAGAGGTTTAATTGATTCGTGGTTCCGCAGGACTGGGGAGGCCTCAGGAAACTTACAATCATGGCAGAAGGGGAAGCAAATACATCTTCACATGGCAGCAGGAAGGAGAAGTGCTGAGCAAAAGGGGGAAAAGCCCCATACAGAATCATCAGATCTCATGAGAACTCACTCACTATCATGAGAACAACATAAGGGTGACTGCCCCCTGTGATTCAATTACTTCCCATCAGCTCTCTCCTATGACATGTGGGGATTATGAACTACAATTTAAGATGAGATTTGGATGGGGACACAGCCAAAGCATATCAGCATCCATTAGCTACATTGGCCAGAAGTCTCAACAACAAGGATCTTTTATCCTCTAATAATAGCTGGAAATCGCTTCTCCCATAGAATACACAAGTGTACGGAACACACATGTTGTGCATCTGTATCACCATGGGCACTCACAGAGGCATCTCCAGGTTAAGAATCCATGTTTCAAAATGAATATTTGTTAGCATGGATGGATATTTATTTTATATTACGTTTTGTAAAGGTGGATACAAATTTTATGTGGTTATGATAGTATTTGGGAGATATACATGTGCATGTACGTTTGCCAATGTGTGCATGATCTTTACATGTACAAGTATGTGTATATGGATATTCCCAAATGCTATCATAACCACAGATAACTTTTATCTCTATCATAACCACATATAATTTTTATATTAATTTTTATGGCTTCTCCCAAATGTTAATAATTATTTGGCCAGGCACGGTGACTCATGCCTGTAATCCCAGTACTTTGGGAGGCCAAAGCAGGCGGATCACAAGGTGAAGAGATTGAGACCATCCTGGCCAACATGGTGAAACACTGTTTCTACTAAAAATACAAAAATTGGCTGGGCGTGGCGGTGCATGGCTGTAGTCCCAGCTACTCAGGAGGCTGAGGCAAGAGAATCACTTGAACCCAGGAGGCGGAGGTTGCAGTGAGCCGAGATTGTGCCACTGCACTCCAGCCTGCAGCAGAGCAAGACTCCATCTCAAAAAAAAAAAAAAAAAAGAAAGAAAAAAGATTTTATCAGGGTTTTATGATTATGTCTGTTCGGGCTGCTATAACAAAATACCATAAACTGGGTGGCTTATAAACCACATAAATATATCTTTCTCAGTGCAGAAGACTGGAGAGTCTAAGATCAAGGTGCCAGGAGACCTGATGTCTGCTGAGGGCCTACTTCCTGGTTCATGGACTGCATCTTCTCTCTCTGTGCTCACATGGTGGAAGGGATGAGGGAGGTCTCTCAGGTCTCTTTTACAAGGATGCTAATCCCATTCATGAAGACTCCACCCCTATGACCTAATCGCTCCTCAAAAGCCCCACCTCCAATCTCATCACCTCCAGGTTTAGAACGTCAATATATGCATTTTGGGGGTAACACAAACTTGCAGACCATACCTATGTGTGGCTTAGTTCTCTCCATTTATATGAATGCATTAGCTAAAAGATTATTATAACATTTATTTGTTTTGAAATACAATAGAGAGAACTGGACTTCCTATACCTTTGTAAGCTGAAACAAAACTCCCTTCCCAAATCAACACAAGCTAATTTGCTGAACTTGAGGGGATGTACTCTCAGAAAAGATCATAAATCCGTTCTAACAATCCCACCATCCCAGAGCAGGTTGCTGGTCCTCTCCATTTGGAAGCTGCAATTTGAATCCACTTACAAATCCCACAAGTAAGCCAGGTGCCATCTCCCTCAAGGGGACCTGTCACTTCCCTCCCTGAAATTGGCCTGGATGGCTTGGACGACTTCCGTAAAACCAACGTGACGATCTACCATCATGGAAAACCTTCAGAGAGGGTGGTATGCTCTCTGGAGAAAATCCCGAAGACCAAGTTTCTCTTTGGGCCACAGCATGCGTCTTTCTTCTGAGTCCCTGGAGAGGAGTGTTTTGTGGGATTTTTTTTCTGGCGCGCTCTCAGGGATGTGCATTCCATGGGGCTGCCACATCCTAGAGGTAGATGTTCTCTAACACGGGTACTAGTGCAGGGCTTGGCTCCTATCTCTGAGATGGAAGCTTGCAGGGTCTTGCGTGGGGAGCCGGTCCAGGCACCAGTCACTGTTTTATCCAGGCTCCTTCTTGCCCACTAGCTCACACAAGCTTCCAAACTCATCGTCTTGCATTAATACTCTGAGCCTCCAAGTCACCCCACATGCCCCAGATGGTGATTACTAGCCCAGCACCAGCCAATTTAGATTCAGTACGCTGACCCAGTGCCACAGAGTGTCCTATTATGACAGTGATCAGACTTTAAATGGTCTGTTTGGCCATTGAGAAGGGTCCTCAAAGGACTAATTCGGCTTTTGTTAATGAGGGCTTTTTAAAATTTCCTGGCACTGCTTTTCTTGATGTATGACGGATTTATGATTCATGGAGGATTTTAAAATTAATGTTGGCCTGGTGGAAGATAAATCTGACACAGGATTTATTGGCATAGTAAAGAATTAGAGGTTCCCTCCCCACGAGTATGAAAACATCAGCCAGAATGCGTTCACCAGACACCCTGCACCATGTTTCAGAGAATCCTCAGGTAGCGGGCCTAGCAGGGAAGAAATAAAGTCTGCAGCCTGCAGGACGAAGTCAGCAGAGGAAGCCAACTGACCCGTGGTCCCGGAAAAGGAGGGGGAGCAGGGAGCCTCCAGGAGAAGCTGGTTAAGTCTGCCCCTGTTGCAGCAACCTCCAATTCTGTTGGCCTTTATTGGACCCATAAATAATGTGTATAGCTCGAATGGCTGGTGCCACGGTGGGGAGTGCCCATGCAAATTCAGAACGGGAATAAACTTGATGGATGCCCTGGGTGTCTCCTGCTGGCAATAGGAAATCGTGCGGGAATCGGCCGGGCCATTTCCTCGGTGCACTCTATTCTGTCCTGGTGGGTTCCATATATTTCAGTCAAAATTTCTGTCGCTGAACACTGAGATTCAAAGTTAGGTGGCCATCTGGCCTTCCCAATTTAAACACAAACACAGAATAAGTAACATCCTTAATGAGCGCTTACTCTATGTCAGGCCAGGCTCTAAAGAGTGTCCCATATCATCTCACTCAGTCCTTGAAACAACAGATACACTAGGACATCTTATTTCTCACCTCCTTACAATGACGCAGACACCGAGGCTCACAGAGGTTAAGAAGGGTGCCCAAGTTTAATGGCGGGGCGTGGTGGCTCACACCTGTAATCCCAGCACTTCGGGAGGCCAAGGTGGGTGGATCACGAGGTCAGAAGTTCGAGACCAGCCTGATTGACATGGTGAAACCCTGTCTCTACTAAAAATACAAAAATTAGCTGGGCATGGTGGTGGGCACCTGTAATCCCAGCTACTCGGGAGGCTGAAGCAAGAGAATCTCTTGAACCTGGGAGGCAGAGATTGTAGCGAGCAGAGACTGCACCACTGCACTCCAGCCTGGGCAACAGAGAGTGACTTTGTCTCAAAAAAAAAAAAAAAAAAAAAAAGGAAGGGTACCCAAGTTTACTGAGCGAATGAGGGGCAAAGCTTGGATTCAAAGTTGACTCCGAAAGTCAAAATCTTCACCACCATCCTATGCGTCCATGAAGTGACTGTTAGGAGTAAGACCCCCTGGCATTCCCTGATTTGGCGTCCAAGGGGTGAGACCCGGCTCTAAGTGTCTTCCGACCCTCTCTTGTGCACCGTGTGTATGGATTTTGTTCTTTAAAATTCTGTATGAAATCCTCAGGCAAGTACTCATTGCCTCGATTCCCCAAATCCACAGGAGTAAATGTCACCAAGACTCTGAACCCCAAAGACGAAAAAACCTGTGCAGCTCCATGAGAGCCACTGGCTGCCAACACAGAGACCGTCTCTCTTTGTCCTGGCAGCTGCCTTGGGTGGCCACATTGGTTCTCCAGGGTCTTGGTGTTGGTGGTTTGAGGACTTTGCTGTTGCTTTTCAGCAACACAGCTCAGACAATAGGGAAACACGATGACCCACGATGCTTACCAAATGGCAGAGAGGCACTCTTCTCTGCAGAATGCAAATCTCCACGTGGAATGGCCGCAGCCCCTGAGATAAGCAAAGGCCCTCGGCTGGTTTTATGTCCGCAGCTATGTCTTCCTTCATTCTTGCAGTCTGTTCTATTTCCACCCCAGCTGGGTGCACTGCCATGCAATTCTGATGCCAACCACCCAGGGTTAGTGTCAGACTCCCCAGGTCAAGCACTCGGTCCTCCACAGACTGCCCCAGTTACATGCCAGCTCCGAGTGGAGTCTCCAGGCTACCAGCATCCCTGACCGACTGACATAAATTCAGAGACTTCTGAGACCCTTCCCCAGGTTTGAAAATCTACTAAAAAGACTCACAGAATCCAGGAAAGCTCTGTACTGCAGTTTTACTATAAAGGATACACAGAGGGTCAGCAAAATGAAGAGTCATAGGTGAGGTCTGGGAGGGAGCTCTGAGTTTCCGGACCCTCTCTCTGTGGAATCCTGGTGTGTCACCCACCTAGTACAGAAATGTGGAGGCAGGAAGCTCCACGAAGCCTCAGTGTCCAGAGGCTCAACTGGGATTTCTCTGTGTAGGCATGATTAATCTTGGGACAAGGGATTGAATTCAATCTCAACCCTTCCCCACCGCAGGTCACATGCGTGATCTTTCTGGTGACCAGCCCCCTCCTGGAGCTATCTAGGAGCCCGCCATGATTCACCTCATTAGCATAACAAAGATACTCCTATCATTAGGATATTCTAAGGGTTTTTGAAGCTCTGGGTCAGGAACCAGATACAAAGACCAGATATCTTTCAAATTATCCATGGAGTCTTTGCTCAGATGGTTAGCTGTCCCCAGCACTGTGTCAGTATGTCATGAATACTGTGTCCCCAACACAGTATTCAGATGGCCTTATAGATGCCAACTGTTGTCCCCATGCAGGTCGAGCTGTGGATCACACCTGCCTGGCAGGCTCTGTCCTGTGGGTGAGAGGCTGGAAGGCCCCGGTGGATTTCAGCCCCCATCATCTTGAGGATTCTCATCAAAGAACCCTGAGCATGCAAAGGATCAAAGATCTGGGGTTAGAACAAGTAAAGACAAGGCCATCGCTGTTACTATCACTTTGTCCTCACTTTTCTCTAGCGAGTAGGTCAAGGAGGTCACTCTTATTGAACATATTTTGCATTTTTAAGCCACAGCTGAAGGAGCACAGAGGGTAGGTCAGAGATATTATTAACTATTCAGGACTGATGGAGGCCCGAGACGGGGGGTGTCACTTTCCTGCATAATTACGTGAGCTGTAAAACGTGAAAGGCCTTTTGGCCCTCATGCCCTTTCTGTTCTGTTTTCTTCCTTGTTGACTTTTTGTCTCACTGGGCTTAAATAAACTCTCCTTCCAGGGGACGAAAGGGCATTTACTGGAGGCGAGCTCCCTCTTGTATTAACCAGGCAGGGAGAAAATGTGAACAGATGAAAGGAGATCTGAGACACTTGCATACGCTAAGCTAGGCTGGACCCATAACATCCCTTCCCACCGTTCGTCTCTGCTGAAGCCTTCTGCGTGTTGCAGGGTCCTGGCAGATGTGGTCCCTGAGCTCAAGGTTGGCCACAGGGGCTGCTGTGTTGGCTGGCATTCAAGCAGGGCCCAGGGAGGCAGGCACCAGGGCGCTGTGGGCTTGCTTTGCTGCGTTCATTTGGCTCAGGCCACTATCTGCCATCACCATAGACTGCGGGCTTCAACAACAGACGTTCATTTCTCACAGTTCTAGAGGCTGGGAAGTCCAAGATCAAGGGGCTGAGTGATTCAGTCCCAGGAGAGGGCCCTCCTCTTGGCTTGCAGATGACCAGCTACCATCTCACTCTGTCTTCACATGGCCTTTCCTTGGTGTGTGGGCAGGGACCAGGGGAGGGGAGGTGTCTCTCCTTAGAAGGACACTAATCCCATTAAATCAAGGCTCCATCTTTATGAACACATTTAACCATAGTCACTTTATTACTTCAAATACAGCCACATGTGGGGTCAGGGCTTCAACATATGAGTCTTGAGGGGACACACTGAGTCCATAGTACCCGGGTTTCATGGATAGGGTATTATAAAATGATTTAGAAATTCTTTTTGACTTCCCACTACTCTTCCTTTCATCCCCTTTCTTCTCTGCCCTTCTGACACATGTATAACTTTTAGACTTTAAAGGAAAACTTGAAGGTTTCAGGGATGGCCATTATTAAGTGTGTTGACAGGCAAGCAGTGGAGTTCACAGCCAGAGTCAAGCCCTGGAGAGCTGCTGTCTCTGGTAGTTCTTTTCCTTGTTTCCCTAATAGGAACATTAGATAACCACCATGCTAAGCCTTTTCTTTTTTTCTTTTTTTGAGATGGAGTCTCGCTCTGTCGCCCAGGCTGGAGTGCAGTGGTGTGATCTTGGCCCACTGCAGCCTCCACCTCCCAGTTCCCAGCAATTCTCCTACCTCAGCCTCCCAAGTAGCTGGGACTACATGCGTGCACCACCAAGCCCAGCTAATTTTTTGTATTTTAGTAGAAATGAGGTTTCGCCATGTTGCCCAGGCTGGTCTCGAACTCCTGAGCTCAGACAATCTGCCCACTTCTGCCTCCCAAAGTGCTGGGATTACAGGCGTGAACCACCCTGCCCTGCCGCTGAGCCATTTTTATTGCAAGATGAGATGCAAATCCACAGACCTCCCCTGTCCTGCATACTCCCAAAGAGATGTTTGGGGAGACCACTCCAAAGTGGACATGCCACCTCTATCTGTTCTCGTGTCTCTGCTGGCCTCACCACCAGCTCCTGGGTGCCCATGGGCACAGGTGGTCAGTCTCATGCTAAGCTAAGGTCTTTCTACCTAAAGGGACATGTTTTCTACTTCACTCTTGAGGGGCTGCTTTTGGATGTGATTTACACAGCCTTTTCAGTTTTTCAAAACAGCCAAAATTCTGAGACATGCTTTTGCTAAAAAGTACACGAGAATCTTCTAAGGGTTTTTAAGCACCCAGAACATAACAGGGAAATTGGTCTGATAGAGCACCGTGGTTGATTCAGGCAATAACACATATAATATTGCATTCTGGAAACGTTGGCACCTCCGCCGGCAGTCTCATCCACAGGCACAACTTTAAATAAGACACTTTGTTATTAAATAAAACCTCCTTGCAGACAGGGACCATAAGGGCTTGCCAGGTCAGTCATTTAGGTTTGAAATCTCCTTTAATATGAATTTCCAGAGGATATTACAAAAGGCCCTACGTGGGCAATAAAACACATTGTAGGAAGCTGCTAAATACGCATTTCTGCAATGGGCCTCTTTTAACGTCCGTAAATACATATGCATGAGGCACAGATAACACTCGCCTGTGCTTCGCTCTGGGAAGCATCTTCTGGGAGACACAGCAATAAGCCTTCTCCATTCACCTTGGAGCCAGCAGCCCAACCAAGGCCAGCCTGGAGATGTTAGAGGGAGCGAGATGCTCTCGTCTCACAGGTGGGAACGGCAGGCAGACCCTCTGGCATTGTGGAAGGAATCCAGAACCTTCCCCACCCTGGGCCCCCAGCCAGGGGACACTGGTCTCTCTGGGTCGGCCCATCCCCTGGTGACCGGGTTAGTTTTTATTTCTGTCTTCTGCCTGCGTGGGCCCCAGAGACAGACCCACCTGCCCCATTTACTGTGGGCACCCCTGCTCAGGACACTGCATTCAGCACATCAGAGAGTCACTCCTGCTTTTAAGGGGTGACAATGGTGCGGGAGCTTCCTGGAGCTGCTGTGAGAAAGGACCACAGGCTGAGTGGCTTAAAACAACAGGAAGTTACTCTGTCACAGTCTGGAGGGTAGAGGTATGAGTGCAAGGTGTGGGCAGGGCTGGTTCCCTCCAGAGGCTGTGATCCATTCCGGGCCTCCCTGCAGCTCCTCCTGCCTGCTGACAGTCCGGCTTTCCTTGGCTTGTAGATGCGTCACCCCAGTCTCTGCCTCTGTCCTCATGTGCTCTCTTCCCTGTGGGTCTGTGTTTTCTCTTTTTATAAGGACATTAGTCATATTGGATTGGGACCCACCCTGCTCCCATAGGATCTCATTTTAACCAGTTACATCTGCAATGACCCTACTTCCAAAAGGTCACATTTTGAGGTACTGGGGGTTAAGACTACAATGTATCTTTTTTTTGGGGGGGTCTCAATTTAGTCCGTAACAAAAGGCTTTCATTCTTAGTAGCTGTGGACATTGTAGCTGTGTTTTCAGGATCACGAAATCATTGTTTCATTTATTAATACTCAAGTTGTGCACAGCCATCAAGCACCTCCCAGGCATTGTGTAAGCTCTGGGGACCCAATGGGGGAGTGAGCCCAGAGCTGCCCCTGCTGGAGGACACTCAGGTCAAAGGTGAGGAAGGAGGGAGAGGGCACCTGGTGGGCAGGACCTGGTGAGCAGGCCACAGGAAGGAAATTCATCTTTGTCCTGAGAGAAAAGGCAACGTTGCCAGATCCATCAGGTCATAAGTGCAATCAGACTTGGGTTTAAATAGAGCGGCAGATGGAGAGGGCTGCTGAGAGGGCTGGCACTGATGTGGGCACCTGGGTAAGCAGGCTGCTGCCTGGGCTGGGGAGAAGAGAACCAAGGAGGCAAGAGAGACTCAGCCGGGGGCAGACCCAAAGCCGGGAGCAGGGAGTGGTGCCCAAAGACCTTGGTGGGACTGAGATGGGATGACGTTCCCGGTGACCCAGGGAGCATTGGATGCTCACAAATGCTCAGCGCCGCCTAAGAACACAGGACACAGCTGGTCACTCCTGCTATTGGCAGAGGAGAGGAAGGACAGGGGCTACACACCCAAAACAAACAAACAAACAACAAGAGGCATGGTGGCTTTCATGAAGTTCTGCCACTGCTTAGAAGTCTCCAGCAATATAATCAAAAAGCAGTATCTAGTTTTCACTTGTTTAATTGGCCAAAAAAACAAAAAGGGAAAATAATATTCAGTGCTGTAAGGCTGGGATGAAGTATCACTGCTGCGTGCTTTGCTGGTGGAAGTGCAAATTAGTGAAACCTTTGGAGAAGACAATTGAGCAAAACGCTTTCCTGTCTGGCAAACTGCTGCTGACAATTTATCCTAAAGCAAAAATCATACCTGTGCAAAATCTTACACAGATGAAATGTCAGGGGAACATTCTTCAGAATAAAGCGACTCTTAGTCACTTATATTTTCAGCAGAAGACGAGAAGTTTAAAAACCTAGGGACTGTCCACACTGTGGGATATTAGGCAGTCATTTAAATTGTGGTTTAAAAACTAACCAATGGGAAAATGGCTGCAATCTAAAATGAAAAATTCTAGATGTAAATTTATATTTTAGTGTGTCTCTGCCATAGGGGAAGATGTATATGACATGCTATTAAGTGAAAAATGCTGACTACGAAATTATTGATGGTATAAATGGAAGGATGGGTGTTTGTATTTGTGTGTGAATATATGTGAGTTATGCATGGCTGTATATATTAGAAAATTGAGTGAAACAAAATACACCAAATGGCTAACAGTGGTTATTTCTGTGTGATGGGGTTTAAGGTTATATTAAAACATTTGCTTGTATGTTTTTATATTAAAGAAACACATTTGCAGCCTGTGTTCATTGTAGAAAACTGGGGCAACTTGGAAAAACATGTATTATTTTAAAACATTCTAATGGAACATAGATCTTTGAGTGTCTTCTTTCTTAAACCACTTTGCTGAGTCCTAGTTCTTCATTTTTCCCCTGGGAGACAGCCTCACCACTTTTATTTCAGGAGCGAGTTCTCCCCCAGGCTGGAGGGCTGGGTGCTGGACGTGCTCTGACCCCCGAGGCTCTCGCAGGACACTCAGAGATGGCTCTTGATCCAATGGTGTCTTGCTTCTGCACACTGGAGTCACTGTGGGCACCTGCCCAGGTGAGCAGATGTGAACAATCCAAAAATTGGAAGAGTGAGAACAAGAAAGAGGTGATGTGTGTGTGTGTTTTTACATATGTGAGTGTGTTTGTGTATTTGTGTATGTGTGTGCATGTGTGAGTGTATGTCTGTTTGCATATATGTGTGAGTGTATGTGTGTGCATGCATGTATCAGTGTTTATTTGTGTGTTCGTGTGTGTGTGTGTGTGTGTGTGTGTGTGTGTGTGTGTGGACCAGGCACAGATCCCAGGCTGATTCATCTGGACATAAGGAGGGCAACTTCTGTCTTCAGGGACCATCAATCTGGCCATTTTCACTGGCACTTAATCTCCCTTAGAGCAAGGCAAATATTTTAGCATTCTTTTAAATATATATTTTTAAAGGTCTGGCTTTAAAGCCTAGAAGCTCAGGAAACCTGAGCTCAGGGTGAAATTCTCTTTGCAAGTAGGTTTGGGCCAGTGCAAATGACATGAATTATACTCACCATTACCTCAAGATGCACTGCTCCCAGTTGGCATAAAATTGCCCATTTCCTGCTTTGATATAAGGGGCCTTATTCTCGACGCTCCATTGATGTCAGGAGCTACTATTTCGTGCCCGACACATTGGTCATTCTAATCACCCTAGCCTCCGTATCTGGGCCAAGCCCCACTCCTCGTTGGCCATATTTCTGACTCCATCTGCAGTTTTTACCACTTGAGTTCTTTGGACGGGCTCATATTATCCTGAAAGGTCCCTCTAGGGCATGTCAAGGGAATGGAGGAAAGCTTATAAGCAGACAGAATAAATAACAGTGCCATTAAGGGCCGTGGGAGACATAATTGGGAGAGGAACAATGGCGGTTCAGGACACCTCTCTGTGTGCACGTGTGTGTGATGTGTGTGCCTGTGTATGCATGCGCATGTGTGCACCTCCCACTGACGCCCAAGCTCACACAGAGCTGGCTCCCCGCCAGCTGCCCCATTTCCAGTGGCTTGTTTTACAGGAGAATTCAGTTCACATGTATTCCCACCTGGTGGTGGAGGAATGAACTCTGTCATCCCCTCCTGCCCATTCCACAGCTGGTTCTGCTTTAACAGCTGGTTTTGCAAACTCAAATTTTTTCCAATGTGGTTGATAGATTAGGGAAAATGTAAGCGTGATGCAATTCTAAATTTTGAGTTTGTTTATGTGTGATTATGTCTGAAGAAATTTTTTAAAGATGCAGAAAATGTGAGTGTATGTAGGTGAATGCAAAAACCTGCACCCAGCCGATCAGAGCCACTTAGGAATCCACGAAACCTTCCCCACTTACATCTCTCACACCCCTCCTGACTACCTCAGTGCCTGGTGTAGGTTATGAGCCATGCTGGTGACATCTGGGGTTAGAACTCTCCATCTGCCCTGATCACCCTCCTTCCACCCCTCATGATGACTCCTGAGTTCCAGCCCTTTGGACGCTGGCATCCACAAGCCAATTCCAGGGTTTTCCCACAGTACAGTGCCATATTTACTGTGTTGTCTGCATTCCATAGCCATTTACTATGGAGAACAGGGGGCTGCCATACTGATTATGTTCTTCTCTTTCATAATATGTGTTACTATCCAGGTTTTTGAGTGCCCTCACAAGCCCTGTGGTTTTATTGTGCAGCTTTGCACAGGGAAATGACTTCTAGGAAGGTATGTGTTGTCTTATAGCAGATCTGACTCTGTGCTTTTATAATTCTTTGATACAGGAGCAGTTAACAGGCAAAATCAGAAATCATTGTGGTCATTTTAAACAACTCCCCTCAAAAAAAAATTTTAAGCCCATGAAGATATGCAGATGATAATCCAGAAAGACTGGGAAGAGAATGAGTAGGATCTCTCTGGAGGATGGAGAGAAATGGTTTGTGACAGAGTTTTGGGTTGCTCGTGGTGGGCTGAGTAATGTCCCCCAGAACATATCAACATACGACTTCTCAGTATGTGTGAGTGTTATCTTAGAGGGCAAAAGGAATTTTGTAGGTGTGATTAAGGATCCTGGGATGATGAGGTTATCCTAGATTATCTGGGTTGGCTAGAAATATGATCAGAGGGCACTTACAGGAAGAAAGCAGAGGCAGATTTGGCTACTGAAGGGGGTAATCTAAGGACTGAAGCCAGATGTTGTACTGGCTTTGCAGATGGAAGAAGAGGCTGTGTTTAGCTGATTTTCATGCTGCTGATAAAGACATACCCAAGACTGGGCAATTTACAAAAGAAAGAGGTTTATTGGACTTACAGTTTCACAAGGCTGGGGGGGCCTCACAATCATCACAGAAGGCAAGGAGGAGCAAGTCACATCTTATGTAGATGGTGGCAGGCAAAGAGAGAGCTTGTGCAGGGAAACTCCTGTTTTCAAAACCATCAGATCTCATGAGACTCATTCACTATCATGAGAACAGTGCAGGACAGACCCACCCCCATAATTCCATCACCTCCCACCAGGTTCCTCCCATGACATGTGGGAATTGTGGCAGTTACAATTCAAGATGAGATTTGGGTGGGGACACAGCCAAACCATAACATTCCAACCCTGGCCCCTCCAAAATCTCATGTCCTCACATTTCAAAACCAATCATGAAGTCTTAACTCATCTCAGCATTAACCCAAAAGCCTACAGTCCAACATCTCATCTGAGAAAAGGCAAGTCCCTTCTGCCTATGTGCCTGTAAAACAAAAAATAAGCAAGTTAGTCACTTCCTAGATAGAATGGGGGTACAGGCATTGGGTAAATACAGCCATTACAAATGGGAGAAATTGGCCAAAACAAAAGAGCTACAGGCCCCATGCAAGTCCAAAATCCAGCCACACAGTCAAATCTTAAAGCTCTACAATGATCTCCTCTGACTCCATATCTCACAACCAGGTCACACTGAGGCAAGGGGTGGGTTCCCATGGTCTTGGACAGCTCTGCCCCTGTGGCCTTGTAGGGTACAGCCTCCTTCCCGGCTGCTTTCATGGGCTGGCATTGAGTGTCTGTGGCTTTTCCAGGCACACGACGCAAGCCATCAGTGGATCTACCATTCTGGAGTCTGGAGGACAGTGGCCCTCTTCTCACAGCTCCACTGGGTGGTGCCCCAGTAGGGACTCTGTGCGGGGCCTCTGACCTCACATTTCCCTCCCACACTGCCCTAGCAGAGGTTCTCCATGAGGGCCCTGACTCTGCAGCAAACTTTTACCTGGGCATCCAGGTATTTTCATACGTCTTCTGAAATCTAAGTGGAGGTTCCCAAACCCCGATTCTTCTGTGCACTCACAGGCTCAACACCACATGGAAGCCTCCAAAGCTTGGGTCTTGCACCCTCTGAAGCCACAGCCTGAGCTCTACATTGACCTGCTTCAGCCATGGCTGGAGCAGCTGGGACGCAGGGCACCAAGTCCCTAGGCTGCACACAGCACGGGGACCTTGGGCTGAGCCCACAAAACCACTTTTTCCTCCTAAGCCTCTGGGTCTGTGATGAGAGGGGCTTCCATGAAGACCTCTGACATGCCCTGGAGATATTTTCTCCATTGTCTTGGGGATTCACATTTGGCTTCTTGTTACTTATGCAAATTCCTGCAGCTGGGTTGAATTTATCCTTAGAAAATGGGATTTTCTTTTGTTTCACATTGTCAGGCTGCAAATTTCCAAACTTTTGTGCTCTATTTTCCTTTTAAAACTGAATGCTTCTAACAGCACCCAAGTCATATCTTGAATGCTTTGCTGCTTAGAAATTTCTTCCACCTGATACCCTAAATCATCTCTCTCTCAAGTTCAAAGTTCCACAAATCTCTGGGGTAGGGGCAAAATGCCACCAGTTTCTTTGTTAAAACATAACAAGAGTCACCTTTGCTCCCAAGAAGTTCCTCACCTGTATCTGAGACCACCTCAGCCTTGACCTTATTGTTCATATCACTATCAGCATTTTGGTCAAAGCCATTCAACAAGTCTCTAGGAAGTTCCAAAGTTTCTCACATTTTCCTGTCTTCTTCCGAGGTCTCCAAACTGTTCCAACCTCTGCCTGTTACTGCGTTCCAAAGTCACTTCCACATTTTCAGGTATCTTTTCAGCAATACCCCACTCTACTGGTACCAATTTACTGTATAGTCTGTCCTAACGCTGTTGATAAAGACATACTCAAGACTGGGCAACTTACAAAAGAGAGTGGTTTACTGGGCTTATAGTTCCACATGGTTGGGGAGGCCTCAAAATCATGGTGGAAGGCAAGAAGGAGCAAGTCACATCTTACATGGATGGCAGCAGCAAAGAGAGTTTGTGCAGGGAAACTCCCATTTTTAAAACCATCAGATCTCATAAGACTCATTCACTGTCATTGAGAACAGTGCAGGAAAGACCTATCTCCATAATTCAATCACCTCCCGCTGGGTTCCTCCCATGACACATGGGAATGGTGGGAGCTACAATTCAAGATGAGACTTGGGTGGGGACACAGCCAAACCATATCAGGCCATTAGCCCAGGAATGCAGCACTGCAATCTGGAAAAGGCAGGGAAGTGAATTTTTCCCTGGAAGTTCCAGAGGGACCATGGCTCCATTGACATCTTATTTTTTGATCTGGTGAGACGGATTTTGGACTTAAGACCTCCAGAAGTGTAAGAGGATTAGTGTGTGTTGTTTGCAGCCAACCAAATTGGAGTTCTCTGTTACAGAAGCCACAGGAAACCAATGGGCTTGTTCTGCTCCAGGACAATGGTGGACGGGCAGGGGCTGGAGGTGGCAGCAGCTGCAGCCAGATCCATTTGCTTGGTTTATGTGTGATCTGGGGGCTTGAACAGATGATGGCAGAATGGCATTGGCTGGAGATATAACTGCTCTGTGACCATCCAATCCCTTTTAGTTGCTTGAAGAAAAAAATGCCAAGGTAGGTGGCATACCCAGCACAGAGACCCAGTATAGGCAGGCAATATATTTGGCTTTTTCCTTTTTCTGAGAAGTGACCAATTTCCTTTCTTCTCAGCTCTCCTAATCCTGGCTCCCACCTGCCCCTCACCCACTGCCTCATCCCTCAGATCAATGGGATGAAAGCCTTTCAGGAACTAACCCCACCCAGGGTGGTGTGCTCCCTCTTCTCTCAGCATCCAGGCAGCTCCTCATAACCCCCAGCCCCTTCCCCAGCTTGCTCTAATTGTCCACTCAGGCGTGCCCCCTGCTTCTCTGTAACCCTATTATTGCAACACGGGAAAGCATTTTAGGAATGCAGTTTGCAGGAGAGGCATTATTAAGATGAAGCATTTTGGTATTGGGCTGCATTTTCTAGCATCCATCTTCCAAAAGTCATTAGTCAACTGTGTGGGTCTCGGGGGAGGATGGGCTGCACCAGCTCTGGTTTCCATGAGCAACAGCATCATTTCTGCCACCTGGGTGAATTCTTGGGGCCTGCGTCTCTGGTGCATTTCCATTGTATCTAATTTGGAGGAGGGCAGACATGGAGGGTGGTTCTTGTGCCCCTGAGCTCTGCCCCAGAAAGTTTGGGATGTTTGTCTACTTGCTTTCCGCCTGGCTTTAGAGGTGTGGGTGGAGGTCACACAGGTGTCCCAGGTGGGGAAAAAGGTCTAGCCAGGCAGACAGCAGGAGACAGTGGCCTGGGGACTCCATGCTTTCACCATTACCTTATTGCACTGGGCATTGGGTTCCAGAAAGATCACATTGCCTTTCTGAGTTTTGAGTTTGTTTATGCGTGATTCTTTCTGGAGAAATTTTTTTAAATGCAGAAAATGTGAGTGAATGTAGGTGAATGCAGAAACCTGCATCCAGCTGGTCAAAACCACTTAGGAATAAGCTAAACCATCCACACTCACATATCTCAAACCCCTCCTGACTACCTCAGTGTCTGGTGTAGGTTATGATTCATGCTATTAATTTATTAATTGCAACAATAAATTAATTAAATAATTAACCCTTCACCCAGCAGATGCCAGGCACTATCTGCAGAGGTCACACAAAGTCTCTGTGCACCAGTTCTCCCAGGCTAGAGGGGAGGGGGCCACACACAGAGAAAAATCACCAGAAGATTCTTCCTCATTACTAAGCATGTTGCCCAGTATCCAGGCCCTCATGAAGACTCTCATATACCTGGGACTCTCATGATGTCTTTATTTTGAATCACAAAGTGCTAAGACATGATCTCAGTCAATGCTGGTCTTGGGTGCTCCCAGAGGGTGTTCAATGGAATCAGTTGACACAAAAAAGAAAGAGGCAGAGGAATATAACCTATTATCATTGTGGGCGGCAAGCTACTCTAGTGCTGCTTTTAAAAGTTTTTCTTTTAAATTCCTCAAAAATTTCAAAAAATCAGTAAAACACTACAGCACCAACTCTCCTTTTATCTGTTCCACATTAAAAGCCCTAACAAAAAATAAACATTTAATGCCCTATAACTAAAAAATTTTAACAAAGTCAGTCTTATCTAAATCCCAATATTTACAATTCAAAACTTAATAAGTTAATACTATCCAGAAACACATTCATCTTAATCAAAACTCTAATCCTCCAGTTAACGTTACAGTTAACCAGTTACTAAAAATAAGCCAATAAGCTACAATTCAAAACCAAACTATACTAAATAATAAAGTTATTAAACAACTACAAAAATATTACCTAAATAATTAAAATTAAATTCAAAATAATAACAATATATACCCAT
The DNA here is from genome assembly GCF_000001405.40 of Homo sapiens. Classification (NCBI taxonomy): domain Eukaryota; kingdom Metazoa; phylum Chordata; class Mammalia; order Primates; family Hominidae; genus Homo; species Homo sapiens. Next base: position 4,922,514 of record NC_000001.11, read on the forward strand.
CTTTTACAGCCATCAAACAAAAACAACATAAACTCTATTCAAACTTTATTACCCATCTCCAAAACACAACAGAAAAAAACTATCCTTAATAGCCACAGCCAACAACTTATTATAAAATGTATAACTTATAAACAAACAAATCCAAACTGTCAAACAGCTACTCGCCCCGTTAAAAACAAAATTCCACCCACAATCATGAGTGTTATCTGTAATTATTCCTGGTATATAGCCTCACAGTTTCAAGTGTCACATGCTGTATTATTCTGTTTTTATGCTGCTATAAAGGACTGCATGAGACTGGGTAATTTATAAAAGAAAGAGGTTTAGTCAACTCACAGTTCTGTATGGCTGGGAAGGCCTCAGGAAACTTACAATCACTGTGGAGGGGGAAGCAAACATATCCTTCTCCGCATGATGTCAGGAAGAAGAAGTGCCAAGCAAAAGGGGAAAAAGCCCCCATAAAACCATCAGATCTCAGGCGAACTCACTATCATGAGAACAGCAGCATGAGGGTAACTGCCCCATGATTAGATTACCTCCCACTGAGTCCCTCCCACAACAAGTGGGGATTATGGGAACTACAATTCAAGATGAGATTTGAGGGACACAGCCAAACCACATCACATGCTATCACGAAAATCTCGTAAAGGTAGCTTTAAAAAGCAGCAGTGAGCAGAAATTATAATATTCCCTTATAGGAGGATGAAGAAAACAGCCATCTTCATGTTATCCAAATAGAACTTGTGTCTTCATGCAAGATTTCTAATAATAGAATCAAAGGGGAATTGCAACAGCTCCATGACTCGACTAGCCAGAGAGGAAGCAGTTTGATTCCCAAGGAAAGTCTTCACCCTGAGATGCCTTCTGTAGCACCTGGATAAGCCTGCTTCATGAACTCTAAACTATGAATAAGGATTCCAGCTAATGCATTAATTCTACATATGCATCTCTAACTAAATGACTTAATAATATTAGCAGGCCCTTCATTATTTCATTCTTATCCAGAAGAAGTAACCATTCATGGCAACCACAAGGCTTTACGGCATGCTCTTACTGGGACATGACTGTGTGAGGCCTGGTCACACACATGGGCATGGATGAAGAATACTTTGAGTAAAGTGCTGAGATGTGAGTCAGCTCAGGACCAACTGAGGCCAGAGCCTTGAACACGCATCAGGGAGGGTTTCTGGAAGGATTAATGACTGAGCTGAGTTGAAAACAAGTTCACAAAGACTCTGGGGTCGCTGGTTTTGGGAAACTGTGCCTGCCACACTGAGGAGCTTGGAATGTTTTCCAAGGATGAGGAGGTGATTGATGGAACTAGAAATGGTTCTTCCACAGTCCAGAATTATTTTAAATTATCCTCTTTGCTGTGCCGACAAAAATCACACCATCACAGAAACCTTTGGATTAGCATCCCCTCACCAGAAGGGCATCCAGGCTCCCATCAAGCACACCATTACAAGACTTTGGGAATTAAAGAGGTCAATTTCTTCTCTGAGATGAGAAGCTTGGATTTGGAAGAGAGTGGGATGGAGCTTGGGTGAAATAATAGGGTCAAGGTGGGAGGAGGATAGGAGTAACTTCTGGGAATGGGTACTTTAAGGAAGTGTTGAGGTGGGCAAATGCTCCTGGCAGGGGGTTGCTTGGAGGTGGGAGAAGAAGGAAAATGAGCAACTGTCCATGCAAGGGGATGGTCATATGCAGTGAAGCAGAGCTCAGCAGACTTGGGTCGTCAGTTTCTCCACGTTCCAAAGAAAGGACATCCCTCAAGAAGCTCTTGAAGATAATTTCTGAGTCCTTAGGATATTTTGCCTGGCAAGAGTGTCTTTGTTTAACTCAGCCTTGGGCCAATCAGATAGCCTATGCTAATTGTAAGTCAGGGATCTCTCAAGAAACAGAACCAGTAAGATAGATACATACATGTACAAAAGAAAGCTCATTATGGCTCAAGGGATTATGAAGGCTAAGAAGTCCCACTATCTGCTGTTTATAAGCTGGAGACCCAGGAAAGTCAGCAATACATTTTAGTCTGAGTCCAAAGGCCTGAGAAACAGGGCAGCTGATGGTGGAAATCCCAGACCAAGGACAAGCAAAGATAAGATGAGATGTCCCAGCTCAAGTACTCAGGACAAAAAGGGAGGCCAGATAAATTCCTCCTTCCTCCTTTGGGGTTAGATAATGACCACCCATGTTGGGGAGGGCCGTTTGCTTTATCGAATCCAACAATTCAAATGCCCATCTCTTTCAGAAATACTGTTGCAGACACACCCAGCAATGATGTTCTATCTGGGCACCTCATGGTCCAATCCAGTTGACACATAGAGTTCATCATCACACTAAAAATGTGATTCATGATGGTGCCTTGGGCCACATGGTATCAGCTTGACCCGGGGGAGCTGGAGACTGAGTAACTAAGGTCAGGCAAGTGGGTGCTGCATGCCTACGTGACCAGCCCCCAAGTAAAACCCTGCATGCCAAGACTCAGGTGAGCTGCCCTGATTGGCCACACTTCCTATTTGCTGTCACACATCATTACTGGGAGAATTAAGCACTATCTTGCGACTCCACTATGAGAGAACAATTAGGAGCCCATGGCTGGTTTCCTCTAGACCCTGCCTTATGCACATTTTCTCTTTACTGACTTGAACCTGTACTCTTTCACTGTAATAAACCATAACCATTAGGATCATGGCTTCATTTTAGGTTCAGGGGTACATGTGCAGGTTTTTTATTTAGGTAAACTTGTGTCATGGGGCTTTGTTGTACAGATTATTTTATCATCCAGGCACTAAGCCTAGTACCCAATGGTTATTTTTCCTGATCCTTTCTCTCCCCCGACCCTCAAGCAGGCCCCAGTGTCTGTTGTTCCCCTCTATGTGCCCATGTGCTCTCATCAATTAGCTGCCACTTACAAATGAGAACATGCAGTATTTGGTTTTCTGTTCCTGCATTAGTTTGCTAAGGATAATGGCCTCCAGCTCCATCCACGTTACTGCAAAGAACATGATCTCATCCATTTTTAGTATAATGACTTTAAAATTCTGTGAGTCCTTCCAGTGAATCACTGAACCCAAAGGTGGTCTTGGGGACCCTCAGCCTAAAGGAGAATACTGCAGAAGTATTTCTCTTCTGGTTACCCCATGCATAACTAGACACGTGAGCCACTATTCTGAGAGGCAGACTGGCCTTTGGCGGAAACCTAGCTTTCTAGTTGAGGGAAGAAGGGCATAGCTTAAAGAATGGCTGCAGAAGCAGAGGAAAGCCCAGTGCAACCAGGGGCTCTGTCCACCAAGACCCTTTTCTGCCCCCAGCTGCCCTGTGCTGCCACCTCTGTTCCCAGACAAGCCCCTGCTTTCCCACCTGGCTCAGTGCTTTGTGATCACCATTCTTGGAAGTCTTCTTCTGTCTCTTCTTTGTCCCAGAGAATTTCTGCTCATCCTTTAAGATACAGCCCTAATATTTCACTGTCTCTCTGACCCACAAACCCACAGAAAGATAGGTTGCATTTAGCTCTATGACAGCATATTCTGTTGCTATCATGGGTCTTAAAGAGTGGGCTCAGGTGTCTTGCTCATCCTTGTGACACCACTGTCTAGACTACTCTACTACTGTAGAGACTTTAATTCCTGTGTGGTCGGCAAAACGATCCCAGAATTCTTCAAACAATTTACTTATCTTTTCAAGAACATATAATGAACGACCTTGGTTTTTATGTTTTGATTATCAAGAACTAATGTATGAACATAACAGAGGAAACATTAAGTAGCAAGTTAAGAGCTTGGATTCAAAAAACTCAAGATTTAACTAGGTCTGTAAATTGCCAAATGACTGTGTTGGTCTTTTTTCCCCACACTGGCTGTTAGCTTCTGTAGGAGATTTGGGTTAAGTCAGGGGTGAGAGTTCTATGACACATGAGCCACTATTCCTATCCTGTGTCCATGACAGACATGGCTAATCAATCATGATACTCATTCTCACATCTTTCTAAGCAGGTGGAACACATTTGGTGTGTGTGGAAATGAAACCTGCTGAGTAGCCTAGGGTTAGATGATCCCTAAGGTTTTCACATCCTATTTTTTTTGATCCAGATTGCTTTTTTTTTTTTTTTTTAATCTGAGTCCAGCAATGTTGTCACAGATGGAAGGGAAGTGGGTAGCATGGGTTCTGTTGAAGTCAATTCATGGCCATTCAGCCAAGAATTCTGCCAGAAATTCCTCATGGTTATGTCAAGTGGTCAAAAGTTGAGCTATATTCTATGTAGTCATTACTGGGCAGATTGTCAGGCAATGAATTAAGTCATCTCTATTGAAGGAATTCCATAGAAAGGGCCTGTGGTGGGCTCATTTGAGTCTCCCAAAATCCATATGTTGAAGTCTTAACCCCCAGGATCTCAGAATATGACTGTGTTTGGAGATAGGGTCTGTGAAGAAGGAATTAAGGTTAAATGAGTTCATATGGTCAGGCCCTAATCCAATCTGACTGATTTCCTCATAAGAGGAGATTAGAACACAGACCCATGCAGAGGGATGATAATGTGAGGACACGGGGAGGAGACGGCATCTGTAAGCCAATGAGAGGCCTCAGTGAGAACCAGTGTGCCCACACCTGGATCTCTGACTTTCAGTCTCCATAACCATGAGAACATACGTTTCTTTTGTTTAAGCCCCTGTCTGTGTTGCTTTGGTTTGGCAGCCCCAGGAAAGAAATGCAGGGCTCTTCCAAAGGAGACACAAAAAGGAAGGAGGAGGGCTCTGCTTCTTCATCCTGTACCTGCTACCCTGCTGATTGTTGTCTATGTTGGCAAAGTAAAGGCCAAGTTGTCAAACACCAAAGAGTCTTCAGAATGTTTTAGCGATCTGGAAGGACAAGGACATTTCTTTATGGCTCCCAGTCCATGGTTTCTGTCAACCATTGAGCTTTATCTCCATTGCCTCCACCTCTGTTCGCTGAACCTGCTACTACCTTCCAGAACTTTCTGCCTCCAGAACTTCTCTCCTTGTGTCTCTCACTGGAGAGAAATAAATTTGACCAAGTCATTCGCATTTGATTTTTGATGAATTTTTCTCTCACTGCTCTCAGTAAAATTTGATTTTAAAAAGAAGAGCTAAAAAAAAAAAAGAAAAGAGGAAGGTGGTCCCAAAGGGAAACACCCCATAACTGTGGTGCTTCAGTCCCCCAAAAGAGCAGAGGGGCAAAGAACTGGTGTAGCACCTTTCAACCTCTATCCAGGAAAGTTCCATCTTCCACCCAAGGGTCAGACCATGCTTCCATCCATTTGGTCCTGGTGGCCAAAGGCTGGGATGGAAATCTTGGCTTTTTTTTTTCTGTCCATCCAGAATGTGTGGGTGGCAAAAGTAATAACCTCAAACATCCATCCTATGAAAAGTAAAGGGCTACTACACCTTTAAACAAAGGATCCTTACCTGGATGGAGATCTGATGCACTTTCCATCTCGGTGGAGATGGGTTCCCCTCACTGGGTCTCTGAAGAATCTCAGAGCCTCCCAGCTTCACTCTTCTTGCCTTTGCTACACGCCCTGTGGTTCAGGGCTTCCTCCCACAGCAGCCAGGAAAGGGAGTTCTTGGGCTTAGGTTCTGAGAAGGTGACAAACGGATCTGAGGACACAACTCCAGGGATTCCTACAGTTTCTTTGGGAGGGTCAAGATTTTATTCTGCATAACTGGGGAGCCATGCCTCAAGCCTGCTCCTACCATTTATTCACCACCACCTTAGCAGGTGATGTGCCTGCTGGCCCACTTGCTTTTCAGCTAGGAAGGGGTGGTGACATCAGCTCTTGGCTGGGCTTTGGGCGGCAGGGACAATCTGGCACTGGCCAACATCACTGCATAATCATATTGCTATTGATTATGATTGCACAATCATAATGATATTGATTATGATTAGCATCATACCGGCTCTCACAACAGCAGAGGTCAGGCTTGCAGGTGTGTGCACGTGAGTGTTCATGCGTGTGTGCATTCAGGCGAGCAAGCACCTAAGGCAGCACCTTTGTGACTTACCTCACTGCTGCGGCTCTGGCCCCAGAGCTCCAGCATCCTCCACAGAGCTGCTTTCCTTTTTTTAGCCTCTGCTTGCAAAGAGGGATAGAACAGTGAATTGGAACCAGCGCACAAACCAGGAGAAGGAGGCTCTCACTGCTAGCACAAAGCAGTGACTTACCCCACCTTAGAGGCACATTTGTGGCTGGTATACACTCAGCCTCCTCATGCCTGTGTCTGGAAATCACGCACACAGCTCCTGGAGCCTCCCAGAACCAGGGGAGCCATCCTCAGGGAAATTCAGGAAAGCATTTTGTCTTAAGGAGAAATAACCAAGCCACTTTGCAAGGTTCGTCATTGTAGACAGAGCAAGCAAGCTTCTCAACACCTTTGTTTCCATTCGGCTGGAAAGTCACTGTTGGTTCAGCTCTAAGCTTTGGTGTGTCTGTGTTTCTTTCCCAGAAAAGGAAAGTCACCACAAGATGCAATTTAACTTGTAATTTGATTTGCTGTAGAGTAGCTTAAGCAATGATTGTATTTGATGTGGAGTTGAAATGCATAAAGAGATAAATGGCTTAATTTGAATCAATATTAATTTTCTGCAATTTACTTTTAACTTTACTTCTCAGCAGATGAAATTACGCTGCTCAGGAGTCATTTGAAAACTTTTTTCCTGTTCAGAAAACTGAGCTAAACCAGCATGACTGTTTCAACACAATGAGACAAAAGCCGTGCATGTGTGAGAGGTCAGATGAGAAGCAACTTCAACTAGGCTTGGCACAGTCACTCCAGGTCAGCTCCAGGAGCCCCTCCACCTCATCCCCCTGCAATGTTACCGAAACCATTCACAGAAGAAAGTGGGGCTGGGAAATTGGGGCAAAAAGAGGAGTCAGGCACGCTGTTGGCACACGTGATGGAAATGGGCTCGGTTTTAGCTTCCCAGCTCCCGCATGGCAAGTCCCACAGACTTGGGACCTTCAACAATAGAAATTTATTTTCTCACAGCTCTGGAGGCCGGCAGCCTCAGGTCCTCCTGAGACCTCTCTCTTTGACTCACAGATGCCATCTTCTCCCTGTGTCCTCACGTGGTCGTCCATCTGTATGTGTCTGTGTCCTAATCGCCTCTTCTCAGGAGGACATCAGTCAGATCAAATTAGGGCCCACCTTGATGACCTCATTTTCACTTCATTACCTCTTTAATGACTCCATATCTCCAGATAAAGTCACATTCTGAGCGCTAGGGGGCTAGAATGTAAACATGAATGTTGCAGGGACACAATTCTGCCCAAACAGACCTCTTTCCAGGACAGAGGAGACTGGCTCGGGGCTCAACATCATTCCTGTTTACAAAAACTTTACCTGAACAGGGTGTGGAACTGGGCACAGATCCTAGATCTGACCTCTGAACATGCCATCCCCATGTGCTGACTCCATCCAGCAGAAGGTACGGGAGCACGTGGCAGTGGTGACCTCCTGAGGGTTGGCAGCTGCAGAGGTGCTGGGTTCTCCACATGCTTTTTGGATTCAGCTTTCACAAGACCTCGGTGAGGTGGACACGGTGATGATGTGCAAACTTCACAGTTGAGGACAAGTGATTTTTCAGGAAGTCACCTGCCTTGTGGCCCTGCCTGCTGCTTTAGAATAAGTGTTTTCCATCTCCAAGTTCTTCCCATTGACTGAAGGCGTCTTCCACGGTAAAGCAGTGAGACGTCAAATCCGGTCTGCAGAAGGAATGTTTTCCCTGTGCCCCTGCCTTCAAACAAAGAGCTACTGGACAAATAATTCTTTGATTGGAATTTTTTTTTTTTTTTTTTGAGAGGGAGTTTTGCTCTTGTTGCCCAGGCTGAAGTGCAGTGACACCATCTCGGCTCACTGCAACCTCTGCCTCCTGGGTTCAAGCAATTCTCCTGCCTCAGCCTCCCGAGTAGCTGAGATTACAGGCATGGGCCACCACGCCAGGCTAATTTTGTATTTTTAGTAGAGATGGGGTTTCACCATGTTGGTCAGTCTGGTCTTGAACTCTTGACGTCAGGTGATCCGCCCGCCTTGGCTTCCCAAAGTGCTGGGATTACAGGCATGAGCCACCATGCCTACCCAGGATTTTTTTTTTAATAAAAAATAATAGTGTTTGAGTCAAGGTTCTCCAGAGAAACAGGATCAATAGGATATATACCTATATTTATATATGAGAAGATTTGTTATGGGAACAGTAAATGACTTACATGATTATGGAAGCCAAGAAGTCCCACAAACTGCTGCCTGCAAGCTGGAGACCCAGGAGAGCTGGGGATGTCATTCAGTCTGACTTTGAAGGGCTGAGGACCAGGTGGCTGATGTATAGGTTCAGGTCTGAGTCCCAAAGCCAGACAACCAGGCGCATGGATGTCCAAGGACAGGAGAAGACGGACGTCCACCTTCAGAAGAGATGGGATAAATCCTCCCTTCCTCTGCTTTTTTGTCCTATCAGGGACCTCACGGGATGGAGTGATGCCCTCCCATGTGGGTGAAGGCAGACCTTCCTTCCTCAGTCCACGGATTCAAAGGCTAATCTCTTTCAGAAACCCTCACAGGCACACCCAGGAATCACGCTTCCCCAGCCACCTGGGCATCCCTCAGCACCACCAAGTTGACACATAAAGTGAACTATCACAGGGTGAGTCTCTTTGTCCCGGTTGAGACACCTCATTCATTGTGTTGGATTTTATCTGTTAACTTCAAGTGTTCTGTGTAGCACAAAAACACAGTATTCAAATTATCAAACTGAAAGGAAAAGCTTGTGTAGCCAGAAGCTCAAATTGCTGCAGGGGTCCCAGGGGAGAAGGAATGGTTTTGTGGAAGCCACAGCCGGATGCATTTCCTCTGGGGCTTCACTGTGAAGGCCCACATAGCAGGAGATGGGGAGACACTCTGAAAAGGCAGGGATCTTGGAAATACGGGGTTCTCTGTGCCTGAGGAGCCACTCCGTGTCCAGGAAATGTGTGGAATATCAGTGGCCAGAGAGTTGTTTACTGCCCCAATTTTCAACCCAGTGGGGAGAAGACAGGTGACCTTTTAAAATGTAAATGAAATTGTGTTTTTCCAGCAGCTTTTGCTCATCACAAAGCTAGTTCCTGGCCATGACTCATGAGGACTGGATGCGGCCTGGACTCCACCACCTTGCCTGTCTCGGGTTCCCACAGTGATGTCACCAGCACCTGGAACAGCGCCTGGTACGGGACAGGCCCTGTCATAGCTGGGGACTGACTGACTGGGCACACAGAAGGAGCCACACAGGCATGGATGCCCCAGGTACAGGGATGCTGATGGAGAGGTGGGTGAGTGAGAGAATACTCACCAGCCAGGCCTAGGAGAGGCATTATTTTCCCTCCAGGAAATATATTCTGATTTTCATTACATAGGTGAGTGGGAAAATATGATTTTTAAATACAGATGCTCAGTTTATAGCCAACGTTATTGGAATATATCTGTTCAGTAAATTAATTTGCATCACATTGCATTTTAGTGGCTGGATATGATTTCTGAGAATACTTAGAATTTCATGGGCAGTCTTGTATCTGCTTATATATATATATATATATATATATATATATTTTTGATATGGGAAGGTAGTTCTAATCAAATCCTGCCATTGCACAGATAAAAACATTTTTTAATTGGACTTCATGAACCATCATGAAAAGCTTGGAATGGGACTTGACTGGAGATTCGGGGGGAGTTTGAGGTCAGTTGGTGTCTCACCCAGGTTGATTCGTTCAATTCTAATTGGCACCAGGAGAATTACAACCCTCAAAGAGTGTGATCAGAGGAGATAAACCATTTTACCCTAATACTTTATGCTGAAAGTTGATGGTGCAACATTTAAGCTTCCCGAAGCCTAACAACTCATTTGCAATACATTCTAGAAGGAGAAAATAATGACTCCGGGATGTCATCTCATTCCAGCCTCACATTATTTTCTTACTCTTCCCAAACTGTGGTTGTTTGGAAACGTGCCCACGGGAAGCGGTGATAGGCAGGCATCTCCCGGAGACTGGAGGAATCCAGCACCCTGGCTTCTAATTCTGAACTAACTTTTCTCCAACAAAGGATTAGTCTCCTGGGGGCCCGGGTAAATTGCTGCCCCATACCCGTTTGTGGGCATATTCCTTCCTTTAATTGCCATGTCCAAGACAGGTGGGGAACTTAAAGAATTTACTGTCGTTTGGAGCCAAATGATGCGGACGCTTCACAGCCAGAGTCCTCTTCATTGGCAGGCGACTCACAGATAATAGGCTTTCTAAATTATGCCAGGCAATTGGTATTTTCACACTTTTCCCATTGTAATTTCAAAATTAAATTAGGCCGGATATATACAGGAATGTGGTGGATGGCATTCAACGTGGACTCCAGCCAGCCTTCCTCTCAGTCCACATAGAAGGAAGAGAAAACTAATTAACTATCCTCAGGCCCAAGATTGGGTCTGTGTGTGTGGATCCACCCAGTGCCTCCCAGCTTTGAACCTTCCCCGTGTTTCTCAAGGGCAGGATCAACACCTGCAGGTCTGAGAGTGAATCCATTCTCTCCTGGGAGGGATTATTTGCAAGGAGAGAAAGGATAGATTAATCTAGCACAAGTAGACAGCCATGTCGACTCAACTGAGTTCCTGCCGTGTCCCTACTACAGCCCCAGCCTTGGGAGTGAGCCTGGGAGTCATTGACAGCTGCACTAGGCTTTGATCTTGCTCTGTTAGCTAAGACTGCATTAGAAAACTCATCTTTACCATTAGACAGTGTTTCCCCAAAGTCCCCAAGCTTTGCCTCCCTGAGTGAGCCCCACCCACCTCATGTCTCAGGGTGCTATGCACCCAGTAGGGCCTTTGTGCAGCCACATCACTCCACAAACAGCCTTGAGGCTCTTACTCTGCTCAAAGGTGTGTTAAGCTCGGGAGCGCAAGCATTTCCTATGGGAAAGTTAGTCCACAGGGAGCCTGCAGCTAGCAAGGAGAATGCAGACAGCCTTTGTGTTTAGCCTTAGGAAATTTCTTAAGAGTTAACATTAAGAAACTCTTAAGAGTCAAAGAGTTAACATTCCCTTTTTTCAACTGAAATTCACAAAACATACAATTCACCATTTTAACCATTTAAAAGTGCCCAATTCAGGCTGGGCCTGGTGGCTCATGCCTGTAATCCCAGCACTTTGAGAGGCTGAGGCGGGCAGATCACCTGAAGTCAGGAGTCCGAGACCAGCCTGGCCAACTTGGTGATACCTCGTCTCTACTAAAAATACAAATATATATATGCCGGGTGTGGTGGCTAGGTGTGATGGAGGGCGCCTGTAGTCCTAGCTATTTGGGAGGCTGAGGCAGGAGAATCACTTGAACCTGGGAGGCAGGGGTTAGAGTGAGCCAAGATCATGCCACTGCACTCCAGCCTGGAGACAGAGCGAGACTCCATCTCAAAAAACAAACAAACAAACAAACAAACCTGTAATCCCAGCACTTTGGGAGGCCAAGGTGGGCGAATCACGAGGTCAAGAGTTTGAGACCAGCCTGGCCAACATGGTGAAACCCTGTCTCTACTAAAAAATACAAAAAATTAGCTGGGCGTGGTGTCGGGCTCCTGTAATCCCAGCTACTCAGGAGGCTGAGGCAGAAGAATCTCTTGAACCTGGGAGGCAGAGGTTGCAGTAAGCCAGGATCACGCCACTGCACTCCAGCCTGGGTGATAGAGTGAGACTCCATCTCAAAAAAAAAAAAAGAAAAAAAAGGAAAAAGAAAAGAAAAAGTGCACAGTTCAGTGGTCTGTAGCACATTCGCAACCAGATTGTGCCACCATCATCACAATCAAATTCCAGAACATTTCCATCACCCCGAAAAGAAAACCCTAAATCCTTTATCAGTGACTTTCCCTAACCCTTTTCCCCAGGCCCTGGCAATCACTAGTCTTCTTATCTCTATAGATTTGCCTATTCCGGGCCTTGGTACAAAGGGAATCATACGAGATCTCAGCATCACCTCTGCAAGGTTCCTCCCTGTGGCAGCGTGCATCCCTGCTTCACTCCTTCTCTGGCTGGGCCACCTTCCATTATGTGTCTGGACCATGTCATCGTGTGTATCTGTGAATCCACAGATGGACATCCGCAGTATTTCCACTTCTTGGCTCTTGTGAATAGTACTGCTGTGAACATTTGTATCAAGTTTTTTTTGTGGAGATACATGTTCATGCCTCTAGGGTCTGCACCTTGGGAGTGGAACTGCAGATTCCTATGGCCATTCTATGCTGGACCTTTTGAAGAACTGCAAACTGTTTTCAAAGCAGCTGCACCATTTTACTTTCCCATCAGCAGTGGAGGAGGATTCCAGTTGCTCCACATCTTTACCAACACTGGTTATTTTCTGACTTTTAAAAAATTATGATTACAGCCATGCGGGTGAGAGAGTGATCCTTTCTAAGTGGGGGATGCCCTTCGCTGTTCTGCAATCCCCTCACACTTGGTCTGTGGTGCCTCCCTGACTCTCCGGGCTTGGCATGGAGAAGGGCCAGAGGAAGAAATGGGTCAAGGCAGTGTGGGAGCCACTCTTTGGCTGACAACGGCTTTGCTCTGGGGGAGCAGCAGGGCAGTGAGCTCACAGCTTCTCAGGGACAGGTCACTCTGTCCTTGTGTGCCCTCACCACCCGCTGTACAGCAGAACACAGGCAGGCACCATGACCCCTTGTTCAATGTGTCCCAAGGATGCATAATGAAGGAGGAGGTGGGTGGGCTGATGCTTTTGGGGGACTGAAGTTCAAAGTCCCTGGTGATGTGGGGATGATGGATGGTGTTCTAAGAAGAAGCAGGTCTCCTGTCTCCAGGCTGCATGTGGAATAGACCCTCAGCAAAGTCTTGCAGAGGTGGAGGCAGAGGTAGCTGTTGCCACTCTTCAAGTAGAAATGAGGCTGACAAGGAAGGAAAGTGGAAGGGTCCATTTCTCAAATCCTGATGCCTGATGAAATGGAAGGAAAAACACCTGCCAGCCAGGAAGACAGTCCCAAGGCCACACCAGCAGCCCCCGGCACAGTCATGCAGTGCCACGGAAGGGAAGATACTAATTTCAAACTAACTCTTCACCTCTATCATTTAATCTTCTGACACTGCCTAGAGGCCTGCAGGAGGAGTTACTCCCATTTTATAGGGAGGCAGCTGGAACTGGAGTGGTGGAGAGACTTGCCTAGGTGTGGAGCCTCCCTCAGCAGATCTGGGCATGGAGCTCAGACGGGAGGATACTGGCACACACAGCTGTGTCCAGAGTCACTCAGCAGGCCAGAACTGGGCCCCGGGAGGTAGAGAGGAGGGCAGAACCTTCCTCCCAGTTTGGAGTTATGAGCTTCACATTGCTGACTTGGAGGAGGAGCTGAGATTCTTGCAGACACTGCTGAAGCCAGGGAAGGGCCTGGTCCCTGACTGCTAATCGTGTTAAGCAGTGGGCGACTGGGAAAGTGTGCTGCTGGAGAGAACAGAGGGGCCATTCTGCCTTCCTGCTACTGCCAGCTAGCGGGGAACAGTGCCTGCACACACACCATGCTGCATGCCTGCCCTCCAAACCAGGACATGCCCAGCTGGGTTCTTTCCAGAGGCTAATTCCAATTGCCCTATGGACAGAGGTGAAGCTGAACTGGTGCTGCATTGGGTGCAATCTGGATTTGCTATTGCTGCTCTTGCAATAGAACTGTTTGTTATAGTTGCACTTGGCTGGCACTGGACAGCAGCTCGAAGCCATTCGGGCCCCCGTTCTGTTCATTTTTAGTGCCTGTCTAGCATCTCAGTATGCAGCACGTAATAGGCAACTTACAGGTGTGTGCGTCATTGACATCACTGAACTGATTCGAAGGATGCCTCTGGTGTTACCAAGGCGTCTAACACTCAGAAATCAATGCAGCAGGGAAGGAATGGACCCTGCTTTCAGATAACCAGGCTGGTGGTCAGCAGCGTCTTGACTTCTAGTCTGTAGTCTCTGAATAGCATACCTGTTTCCAGGACTCTCACTACACACTTATTTTTTCTTTTAACTATGATGTCAGTGCTGTAACACGGTCCCATTGCTGCTTCGCTTCTCCAGCAATGGGCTGTTGAACAGCTACTCTGTTATGTATTAAACACAGCTCTTATATTAAAAAAAAAATGGCTAAGGGCTTTGAACATTGATTTCTACCCTCAGGCTAGAGGTGTTTCTGTTGGGAAGTGGGAGTAGAATAAGGGATACTTTATCTGTTTTGCATTTGCCTTAAAAAATAAAACTTGCACCCAATACTTGACAGCCCATTCATTACACCCGCCACGCCCTTTACTAGGTTGATGCACAACGTGGAGAAAGGCTCTGCGCTCTGCCCTGCATTCCCCCTCTCTGGAAAGGCTGTGGGGAGGACGGTGCTTGGAATCCTAATGGTGCTGGCACAGCTGCCTGGGGGAAACACAGCTGTACAATGGGCAGGCCCCCTGGAAAAGCTCCAGCTGCAGGACCTTGAGCAAGGTGCCTAATTCCTTCCCAGGCTTCTGTGGGTCACATACAACATGGGGATTTTGCTTGTCCCAGCCCTAGAGGCTGCTGTGCAGATGCCATGAGGCCATGTTCACAAAAGCACCCTGCACAGAGCCACCCATGTTTCTAGCTGTTCTCAATATTATTATTTCTAACCTTTGTTTCCAGGCACTCAGGCAGACCTAAGAGGCCAATGCAATCAAGGTTTTGAGCTACTCCAGAGGTATGGGGCAGAAGAGGCGGGAGCTGGCCATGCCTAGAGAAAGATTGTAGACTCATTAAAACGAGCTGGTATGAAGCTCATGGAATGTCCCCTGGTCCCTGGCCCAGTTAAGCAGACATGCTGTTTATTAAGGGAGTGGTGATTATGTGGATTCTACTGTATTAATAACAATAAATCTGAGTAATGTCTTGTGTGTAGCCTCCTTCCAAAGCCCAATGCTATCGCAAAGTTGATGCATTAATTATGCACAGCCCCGTGCACAGGAATCAGAGTTCCTCGCCAGCAAATTTCTTCCAGCTCAGCTAGGAAGTGGTGCACTCTTTGGACACATCTAGCAGTGTGGTCAGCTAAGGACAGAAAGGGAACAAGGAATTCTCTTTCTGATGATATTTAAAGGTAAGCTTGGATCAACTCATTATGGAAATGAACAGCAGAGGGAAGGAAGGAGGGAGGGAGGGAGGGAGAGCACAGGAGAACTTACTCCTTTCAAAAGCATTGGCTGCCTTTTCACTTCCCTTCCAACCACATTTCCATCAAACCCAAAAGGTACAGCAATTGAGTCTTGTTTTGAATCAAACTGTGCATGCTTTATGGGAGACGCTGATTTGCTCATTTATTAGATTTACATAAAGAACATTTCTTTCAAAAAAAGCAGAGCTGTTGCCTGTTAAAAACATACACACACTAAAAAAATGCCAGCAAGTTTAGCTGTTACAAATAAGGAAGGCTAGGCCGCATCCTGTTGTTTTTTTTGTTTTTTGATTTTTGAGATGGAGTTTCGCTCTTGTTGGCCAGGCTGGAGTGCAATGGCGTGATGCGATCTCAGCTCACCGCAACCTCTGCCTCCAGGGTGAGGCAGAGCCACCATGCCTGGCCTGCATCTTATTCTTGTAAGAGAAAAGCTCCCTAGGAAAAGGGTTCAGCCCAGAGACTGGAGGCCTGTCCAGTGTGGAGAATTCAGCAAACCGTCCTGGAAGGTGCCACTTCCACCAGGGCACTTTCTCATGGCTAAACGAGCAAACAGGGAATCCCAGAATACAGCTTAGCAGCTCACATCAGTCCCTGAAACGGACTGTTCCGGAAACGGTGACCACAGAAAAGAGAGAGAAGTCAAAAAAAAGCAAAGGCTAGTTTTAGGACTATCAGAGAACTTGGGGCCGGCAGATCAGCAGTGTGCAGCATCTTGGCTGGGGATGTGTGGGTGCAGGCTCAGGTCTTCATGATTATTTTCCTTTCCTCCCTCTTTTCCTCCTCCCCTTCCTTCTTTCCCTCTCTCCCTCTTTTCCTCCCTCCCTTTTAATATAATAATTAACATTTTGTCGTTTTATTGCTGAGGAGGTTAAGTGACTGTTCAAAGCCACACTAGTAGTAGTGAAATAGGATTTGAATCCAGACCACCCTGACTCCCAAATCTGAGTCCTTAGCCACCCCGTATCAGAACCTGATGTATCCCTAATTTCTGCTGGCATCCTTGGGGAGCTGTCCTGTTCAAATGAGGATGCCATCCGTATCTGCTGGGGACCTTCTACCCACTCGCCAGTCCCGCAGGTCACCCCTTCTCAGTCCTCCTCCAGAGGAAGCTGGCTTCACTGCCACTTCAACTAGGCACATTCTGGCAAAAGAGGCACTTTAGCCCTGAGTTACACTGGAATTCAGGGTAGGAAGTATGGGCTGGATTCAGAGCCTCCAGGGAGTGGGACAAGGCAGCCTTCAGCGGGCAGTGTGTGTGCAGTGGGCTTGCAAACACAAGGTCTCTGAGCAGCAGTGAAAGGCACCAGCACCCCAATGTCCCAGGACAGATTCCTGGGTGTCCTCCTGAGCCTTCCCCTTTCCTTACCTCTCCAATCACTAACCCTAGTTTCACCCTCCTGAACAGCTCTTATCCTCTCTCCCTGACTGGAATTGCCACCTCAGGCCCGATCACCACCCTCTCTCTGACCCTGTGATGTCAATGCCACGCCCTCCCTCCTCCACTTGCTCCAATCCAGGCCACTCTGCAGAGAACCTCCCAGCCACTGCCAAACTGCAGCCACAACCTGCGTTTCATGTCCCATCCCGTAGAACAGAGTCCGCATGACATCAGTGTCCTCCCCTGGACATCAGTGTACTTTCATGGATGTCAGTGTCCTCATCTGGATGTCAGCGTCCTCCCTGGAGGTCAGTGTCCTCCCATGGATGTTAATGTTCTCCATATGATGTCAGTGTCCTCCATATGATGTCAGTGTCCTCCATATGACATCAATATCCTCCATATGATATCAATATCCTCTGTATTGATATTGATATTGATATTTGGAGGATATCAATATCCTCCAAATGATGTCAGTGTCCTCCATATGATGTCAATGTCCTCCATATGATGTCAATATCCTCCGTATGATGTCAATATCCTCCGTATGATGTCAATATCCTCCATATGATGTCAGTGTCCTCTGTATGACATCAATATCCTCCATACGATGCCCCTGTCCTTCATATGATGTCAGTGTCCTTTTGTGAGCACCAGTGTCCTTTGTATGACATCAGTAGTCTCCCATGAATGTCACTGTCTTCCCATAGATGTCAGTGTCCTCTCCAAAAGACAAGCAGAAGCTGTTCATGGAATGATGTGGGGGAACCTTCCAGAAAGAGGCAACATCATGTGCTAAGGTCCCAGGTCAGAGGATGCTGCACTTGTCAAGATCACAGGATGGTCAGTGGAAGTGAGACCTGGAAAGCCAGTGTGGCCAGAAGTAGGAAATGAGGTTGAGCAAGGAGGAAAGACCTCATGGTTGCCAGCAAGGAGGGTGGACATCGTGCCCAGATGGGGTAGGAATGGGTGCTAACTGTGGTTGAAGGTGAAGAGGAGAAAGGCAGCTGGGAGGGGATGATGAAGACACCAGGATAAAAGTTTGCTGCAGACCCCAAAGAAAGAAATCTCTGGAAAGGCAATTAGGAATTGCACGACTTCTCGGTAAACTGGTGATGATCCCTCCTTTACAAAGCAATCACTGATAAAATTAAGGTCTAAAGGAAAGAAAGGGCAAGAGAGAGATGGAATACAAATTGGGTTTTAGGAGGAGAAACTTTGCAATTCTGGTGTGTGAGAGGCCCAGTGCAGCCTGGGATTTGGCTAGGAAGTGGCTGTAGATCACATTAGTAGAATATTTATGACTCTGTCCTGTCTCTCTCCCATCCCATACTAAATTCCTCACATTTATCTCTACCTCATGCTCCGAGACGGACTTTCATTACCTCCGTGCAGGTAATGTGTAGCAACCCAGCACTTTAATATTAGCTAATCTGCAGTGCAGGTAACAAGCCAGCCGGCTACCTGGCATCTCTCTGCCGATGTTTGACATGGAGAGAATTGCTTAGATATGACCAGGCTGTCCCCAGCCTTAAGTACCCAAAGCCAGGAGAAAGGGGGCCAGTGGGGAAACAGGTAGACGCTGCCCAAGCAGAGGATGCTGTTTTCTGCCCAGCGGGTACTGTGCCCTGGGAGACACATTACATGTCCACATAGCAGAAATCCCCACACTTGACCCTCAGAGTTCACTCCCGGTCCTCGCGTTTCTTTTAAGTAGACTTGAGAGAGCCATGCCCCACCTCACTCTGCACAGAGGCCTTGCAGTCCTCCCTTCTGTACAATTTCTTTCTTGGGGAGGACTGGAGGGGCCCCAGGGTCTGATTGAAAAGATTCTCATATCACTCTCGATATCACTCTCCTACTGGTGCCTAGAATTCCACCATCAGCCCTCTGGCTTTCAGACAGGTGTTCTCTCTCAACCATAAGAACTCCTTGAAGGGGTTATCTGTGAAGACCCCAGTGCTTTCGGGTGAGTGATTTTATCCACTCAGAAGAGGGCAGCAGGAGAAGACGGCCTTGGAAAGTGGCACCTGAAAGTCGTCTTTATCAAATTGACCATTCTTCCAAGGGCAAATCCATGGATAATCATAAGAAGTTAGATCCCAAACAGACTTGCATGGGCTCTCACTGTCAGCACCATTGCATGGTCCCCAGCCCCCACAGTGCCCGGTCCATGTAGACCACACAGGGTTAGGATATACCCCTTTCACAGGTGATGGAACTAGAAAGTGATGCAGCCTGGATTCAGGCTTGGGTGGGTCTGGCTCCAAAGCTCATGTCATCGTCAACTCCAGCATGAGCATTTCCCTGGGGAGTCCATCATGGCTCCCAACAGCAACAGGTGCATGCAGCTTGATTCCAAGGACTCATGCCCCTGTCTTCTGGTCTTCAGGGTAGCTCTGCTACCTCCAAGACATGCTCCACAGCCCCTGCTCTGAGTGATTTCTGCACCCCGCAGCCCGCCCCACCCCTGGCCTTATCCTTCATCAGCATCCCTTGAGCACCATATTTATTGACCAGGCAGGTATAATACATGCACCTGTTTATGCTCAGTCATGGGACAGTACTAGGGACATAATCTGAAGGAGACATGGACCACACCATTGAGGAGTCCATGGTACGATCCCGGCAGTGCTCTGTGTTGGGCTCCCAACCTGCTGCCTTACAAAAGAGGAGAAGACTCCAGGAAACGGGGGCAGAATAAATATGGAAGCAACCACAAAACCTGCTAACGTGCAGCCTCACCCCTGCAAGGTAGACTGATGACTTACATCTGAAGCATTGAGCGGCCACCTTCACTTACTGCATGTCTCTTATGTCCCGGCTACCAAGCAAGACACCTTCCAAATACCCATTGACTTCTTCCAACAATCCTTGACATAGGAATGATTTGCCCCAATTGCCGTAAGAGTGGTCAGAGCATCCCAGTGATTAAATGACTTGCCCAAGATCCCTGAGCGTGAGCCTGAGCCAGAGGTAACCTTTTCACCCGGCTCCAAAGTAACTCACCCGAGTTCAGTCAGCTTAAATGTGGATGAGCAAAGACCTCTCTGGATGTTTGAACTTTGCCTCCTGCTGCCTTTCTACCCTGCACCACAGGCGACTGCCCCCTGGACACTCACACAGTAGCCCCTCCCCAAGAGGTCACCAAGCTCAATCTGCCCCAAGCACCCAGACCTGTCTCTGCCCTGGAACCCCTTCCCCATCTCATGGTGGCCCAATTGCCTCATGTGTTGTGTTCTTACTCCTCCTGCACAGGAAACGAAGACTCAGCTGAGCTTTAATTTGTGACTGGACCTGTTTCAGCAACATGTTGCCAAGTCAGATGTTTAATTTACTTCATTTATCCTAAATTCCATGTCTCTATCTCAGAGCCTAAAAGTCTTCAGCTTGGACAATTGACATATCCAAATGAACTGTTTGGACAGAGCCTTCCATCTGACCAAGTGGCCAAAACACTCGGCAAATGGAAAATGCAAACATACGGCAGATGGAGAAGGGGAGATGTGCAGCCACAGCACAGACCTATGACAAGCGGAGCACTTGCAGGAGCACAGGAAGCTTACTGCCTTTGTTCCTAGTGGAGGGCTTTTTGGACAGAGTAAAAACTGTCTCTGAGGATTTGGGTTCAAGTTAACTCCAGAACAAGATAGTAATCCTCATTGTAAGAGTTAAAGAAAGACGAAAGAAACACGAAAAGTGGCTTTAACAGTTAAAGACAGGTATATGTTGGAGAATAAACCTAAGAGGGGCTTCTGGCCAATTTCAGTTAGGAACATTTTCTCTTACAGACTAAGGATATTTAAGGGTTTAGGAATGAGGGACTTTATTGTAGGTTCAGAATGTTTTTATGTAAGGGAAAGTTAATTGTGGGGTTGGAATGTCTCTGGTCAGAGGGGAGGCTATTTTGGGGTTGGCATGTTTCTGTTTGGAGGGGGTTTATTTTAGGGTTGGAATGTTTCTGATTATGCTGACATTAGCCATTAGGCTGATGTTTTGGGTCTGGACTTAGGCAGGTTTTTTTTGTTTTTTTTTTTTTTTTGAATCATCAAGGAAAATTTAAAATGGTGGTGTTTGTCCAAAACGGCGATGCTCCTGCTCTGTCACTCATGAATGTTAAATCGTAGTATTTGTTTTTATGTAGACATTATAATTATTGTTGTTGTTATTAAGCACAACAGCATTAGTAGTATCCATAGCAAAAAAAAAAAAAAAAAAAGACCCTGAGCTTTTGGTTGAAGGAAATACTGATTCCACCAAAATCTAAGTGGGAAATCTTGCATGCTGTAGAATCAGACCCACATGTGCACCAGCAGGGTCTCCCGCTGGCTGCTGATTTCTGTGGGTCCCTGAGAAACTGAGGGAGGAGCAGTAATGAATGGGTCTGAAGAATGACTTCAGAATATAGATGTTGTGTTTCAGGGGAGGGTGCTTCCTTCAGAGCCTCATGCATGTTATCAGAGCTCTGTTCAGAATGCAGAGTCATCTCTTAGCCAGGGTGACTTCACCAAGACCAGGTGAAGTTTGTCTACAGGCTGGTGGAAGGAACCCCAAGAAAAACAGATCTCAGAGAGTGCTAGGCAGATGGCTTTTGGGGACTATTAAGTCAGAGTCCTTCAGAAAAACAAAATCAACAAGGTGGATAGATAGATAGATAGATGATAGATAGATAGATAGATAGATAGATAGATAGATAGATAGATAGATAGAGATAGATCTGATATGTATATAAAATAAGTGTCTCTCAGAGAGCTACCTGCCATCTCTTATCTACCAATCTATCTATCTATTCCCTCTCCAGGCACAAGAGACACAAATGTGACCAATCTCCATTTTACGTTCTGTGTCACTTGGCTCAGTGTAGGAAGACAGCCAGCATACTTGACTGGCAATTCTACAACCAGCAACAATTTTCTCTTGTCCAGCAGCTGAATGCAATCCCCATCACACTCAAGGAATCTATTAAGATGGTTCCTTCCCACCTACTGTGTTTTTCAACAGCATGATTTATTAATCTAGATGATAAAGAATGCAGGGCTATTTCAATTCAGCCATCATCACCTTCAAGAGCAAAGTCTCAGCCTTACCCTCAGACATTCCTGGTAGATCACCGCGTGGGAAATCTTTGGGTTTCTGTTTTGTTTTGCTTTTTGCTTTTGCTTTCTTTTTAGAGATGGTCTTGCTCTGTCACCGAGGCTGGGGATCAGTGGCGAGAGTATAGCTCACTGCAGCTTGGAACTCCTGGGCTCAAGCGATCTTCCCACCTCAGCCTCCTGAGTAGCTAGGACTGTGGGTGCATGCCACCATGCCCAGCTAATTTTCATGCTTTTTGTGGTAGACACTAGGTCTCACTGTGTTGCCCAGGCTGGTCTTGAATTCCTGGCCTCAAGCTAGCTTCCCACATTGGCCTCCCAAAGTGCTGGGATTATAGGCATAAGCCACTACACCTGGCCTGAATCTTTGTGCTTTAAGAAACTTAGGTTTTGGTGGTACATCAATTGTTCTTGATATTCAGCAACTGTTAATTTATAAATTATCAGACAAAAAAAAAGTCTTTGTTCTTAGCATCTTAAGTACCGGCATGGTCAAAGTTGTAGCTAATTAGGAATTTGAGGGAAATTTTTTGGATTTCTTGGCTGGCACCAAAGAGGTCTCTGTGGCTCAGAGCTTCGCTTGGTTTACAAGTTGTACTTCTGTGTACTTGGTGTTAAATAGCAATTGATGTGGCTCATTCAGTGGAAGAATTATCTTGTTGCAGCTTACTGCTCACTCTTTAACCTGCCAATCATTTTTCTTGGAGACAGCTCTGTTTTTTAATTACCACAAGTGTCCCATGAAAGGATGGATTTCTTGCTTTAGTGTGAGCCCCTGGCAAGGCGTATCCACTGGCTCAGTGAGATCACCAATCATTGTTGCCAAGCATGGACTTGTGCGTGTTTCTGGAGGCTGGTCAGCCTGGCAGCCTCTGAGAACTCTCAGTGCAGAGCCGGATCTCGGCTCAAGGAAGTCCCTCCCAGAGCCATGAAGGGAGGCATGACAGATGGTAGAAAACCACAGAGGCCCCGTTCCCCTCAAGGCCGGCTCACAGATGGGTTCTGACAGATGAACCCCCAGCATGGGAATATCACAAGGCCGGTGCACACTAATGCACGTGGACTTCAGCGAAATCTCTGTCACCCTCTTCCCCTCTTGCATGTAGGTTTGTGGAGCTAGAGAGTGCTTAAAGATATTTAAAATGGTGGTCAGGTAACAAAAGTGAATTCTGAACCAACATCGTTTCCATCCTGGCTTCTCCCTCTCAACATACATTTAAGGTCACTTTTGATCAAACAAAACTCATTAAGATGTGGTCTCTGCCCTTCCTGGGTCCTATGCACACTCACTTTGATCTCCGGGAACCATTTACAGTGGTAATTTTGAACTACATGAAGTTTGAAAAAATGCTAAATGTTTAAGAATAGATTAAACAAGATACAGATAGATAAAAACATGCCTCCCTCCTACCCTCCTCTGCCAATTCCCACCTTCATGGCATGCTAAGCAAACAATGTCCAGTTCTGGTAAAGTCACTGAGGTTGCTGGACTTGGATGATGATATGTATTGAACTCGAGTCTCGTCTCCAGGTTCCGGCCTTGTGTTTCCTTCACCCAGCCGGGCTGCTTCTCAAAGGTAAGCCAGAGACAAGGGAATGTCAGAGATCTGACACTTATAAACTGCAGGCTTGGGCCAGGCCTCCTTGCTTTGTTCTGTGAAATAGACTGTCAAGTTGAAGATGGTTATCACCGGCCACCACAGGGACCCGGGCATCAATTCTTGCAAAGGCAGCCCACTGGGAAATAGTTCCAGCTTATTCTTTATGCATGATGGGGCTGGAAGGGTCATATTAGACATCATAGGCATAGGTCTGTGACAAACAACTTTTCCAAGATCTATGGGAAATGGAGCCATGGAAGTTAATTTTGAACAACGAAGAACCACAAGGTCAAAATTTTGGGCCGTGGAGGAACTGAACAAGCAAGGACTCTGAAGTCAGAGTCCTAAGAATGTCAGCAGCAGGTAAGTGCATGTGTGAGCCTATGTGTGTGCATGGGAGTGAGGGCTTGTGTGCATGCATGTATGTGTGCATGCTGCTGGTGTGCACACACATTTATTTATGCTTGTGCTATGTGTATGTGTACATGTACCTGTGTGTGTGTAGAGGTATGTGTGCATGTGTATGTGCATGCATGTGTATGTGCATACATATTTGTGCATGTGTGTGCTATGTGTGTGCACATGTACTTGTGTGTGTAGAGGTGTGTGCACATACATATTTGTACATGTGTGTGCTGTGTGTGTGCACATGTACTTGTGTGTAGAGGCATATGCGCGTGTGTGTGCATACATATTTGTATGTGTGTGGTATGTGTGTGCACATGTACTTGTGTGTAGAGGTGTGTGTGCATGTGTGTGCATACATATTTGTACGTGTGTGCACATGTACTTGTGTGTAGAGGCATGTGTGCATGTGTGTGCGTATACATATTTGTATGTGTGTGCTATGTGTGTGCACATGTACTTGTGTGTGTGTAGAGGCATGTGTGCATGTGTGTGCATACGTATTTGTACATGTGTGTGCTGTGTGTGTGCACATGTACTTGTGTGTGTGTGTAGAGGTGTGTGTGCATGCATGTGTGTGCTATGTGTATGTGCATGTGCACATGGTAGAGTGCCTGGGTGTAACTTCTCAGAGCTAAGGGTGAGTGTCTGCAGTGATTTCAGTTATGCGTTGCAGATGGAGAATGTGTGTGGCACACTTTGGGGTACATCCTTTGCTAATATGGAAACCGCTCTCCCAGGGGACAAGTAAGCTAGGATCAGTCTCCCTGAACTCATCTGCCATTGGGAGGGTGGGGTGTGATGGCTCTTAACTTTGAAACAAGTCATACTTTGAAGCTCATGACTCCTACCATCATGTAGGTGGCTCTGAGGCTCTTGGGTAGATCTTCTGCTCAGTTCGGAACAGAAGACTGATCCTAGACTCAGTCTTCATTTCCAATTTCAACAGGGGAAACCCGGGGAGTGTAATCTCACGGTAGCTTTTATGAAGCACTCAAATCTTGCAGGAGCTTCTTGGCCCTTTTTGTGCCTAGAAAATGGCTCCAACAATATGGGCTAAGTTAGATTAGCCCATGATTAGCTCCATGGAATCATTAGCTGCATGAAATGGAATCAAAGGAGAGGCTAGGTCAGAATGGAGCAAAGGTGTGGACCTCAGCCACACAGCCAGCCGAGGAAGTTTTTATCACTTCTAGATTGGTAACCTTGTCATCAGTTGAAAGAAAATCGGTGTTTTTCCCTCTTGTGAGACAAGAAAAACATGTTGATTTCAGTGAGAAATTAATTTAGCCAAGTGATGAGAACTCGGCCAGCCAGGGTAAGATCAGATTTTTATTATGTACCCTGGTTCAATTTCAGAAAAGCAAATTCAAGTCCTCAAGAAAAGGTCTGTAACTTTCTCACTTTCTCGCCAGATTGGACCCCTGGTTCCTTCCGTGTGTGCGGTATGATTGACACCTTCACTGCTGGCTGCTGTAGTTTCGACCGGCTTTTAAATTATGTGATCACTAACCAGAATCATGACCGCTATGTTTTGCTTTTCTCTTGTAGCTTTTCATTATTCCCCAGATGGCCAAATGGATTAAGTTCTAAAAGGTTTTAAAAAGGAAAGAAGAAGAGTTTGTTTTCTGGCCAAGACCAACAGCAAATAATTTTGGCCTCAAAGCTATTCTCAGAGTGAGTTATTATGGATCAAAAAGAAACTTATAAAAGAAACTGCTTTTCCACTATTACTATAAAGTTAACTACTGGGAATGCAATTGTACTTATATATGGAGATGCAGGGCTTTTTTTTTGTTTTAGAAATTGCCCATAACTCTCTTGCGTGCAGTCTGGTTGAAATTGGATTGTGTGAGTCTATTTGCCCACAAGCAAGGCAAGGCCCAAGGATAGTGTGGGGACACCCCAGCGACAAGGACCAATGGCAGGATTCCTAAATCACAGCCACGGCAGTTGTCTGAATCCACTAAAAGTATTTGCTTAACTGTTGCCCTCGGAGCTGTAATTAAAGAGAAAAATATAATAAGCAAACTATAATACACACAATGCTACATCTGCTCTGCTGTTTAACCGATGCGTTACCAGAATCACCTCCTTAATTAAAGACATAAATCCATCATGTGATCTGCATAAACGCTGCCGTTTACAGGACTGTGAATTTTCCTCCTCTGAGAGCCATAGTCTGGGTGGGATGGAAATGATGAATTGGGACAACACAATGCAGTTGTGACAAAGAAGAGATAAGTAAGAAGAAGTGTGGATTTTGGTAGCTGTTGGGCAACGAACAAGCGGCCTCTTTTTCTTGACATAATCTCCTTCCTTTCATTTCAAAATCTCTTTATCAGAGTGTGAATTCCTGGGACATCGTGTGGGATGTCAGCGTCCCCATCATAAAATGCTGGGGGAACCTGAGTTCTGCTCCCCGATCACTGAACATCCCACAGGCGATGCTTGAAGGAGCTGCTGGAGACAGGTGACTTCCAATCCCACCACTGAATTTAGAGAGAGGAGAACAGGAGGATGCTAGAAAGCAAGGGGTGGCTTAGAAGGAATTGCTCCAAAAGGAGAAAGATCTGGACTGTTCTTGGCGGCAGCAGCTAATCATGAAAAGCCTCAGGGCATGCCACTCTGCTTCTTAGATCATTGCCCAAGGATTGAGACTGTCCCTCTTGATGTCTCTTTTCTTCAATGCATAATCCCTTTTCTTCACATCACTGTCTATGTCTTAGAAGTTCTTATTTCCATTGAATGTTTCCAATCCTGTTAGAGGTTATCCCTTTGAGGCCCCTGAACGTGGCCCTAAAAACTGGCTCTTTATTTCAGAGACCCACTGGACACTGGGCCATGGCAAATGGGACTTTTACTTTCATTTGGGAGGAAAGTGAATGGGATGGACTAAGGGGCAACAAGAGGACAGGGCTGAGGACAGGCATCTGAGGGGAGCATTTTGGCTGGTTCTGGCAGCAGGAGCCTCAGGGGTTGGGTGCCAGTTTGGACCAAGGGACCAGACCAAAGCTTCCCTCCCTGCCGACAGAGGCTGCCACTTGCGCAGACTGACAGCCACATTCCCCATTCTGAGAGACTCAGATACCACCTAGAAAAAGTCTTTAAGACACCAGGCCTCGCCTTGAGTCCTTCTTTTTCCAATGCAAGAGAAAGGTGGGATGATGTGCCTCCTTTGTGAGATGCTGTGCAACATCTCTGCCCAACACCCAACCCCAGACCTCTTGGTAAAAGGGGCCATACCCCAGTGGGTCTCTGAGATGTGCGTTACTGGGCTGGACATAGCTCAGAATTTAAGCAGAAAGCCTACAACCTCCCCCTTCCCCTCCAATTATCACTTGGCATGCAACCCTGTGACCACTCTCAAGCTGGGCCCTCTTCCTCATGGTTTCTTGAGTCCCCATCAGATGTGGCCTAGGAAGGAACCTCTTTCATGAGGAGGCAAAGTGGAACCTCCTTCCAGCTTCCCATTTCCATGGGAAGAGACACTAATTACTCTAGCCCCCTTGAGCTCCCTTTCCCTCCCCATAAGACTCCTGGCTGAGCTTGGCAACAGGGAAGGGCCCTGTAAATATAGCTTAGTTCTGTCCTCACCTTGTTCTTTCTGTGACCCTGCTCTTCCATGCCTGGAATGACCCAGGAAGAGGTGGGTGAGTTTCACCTGGTGGCAGAGAATTAGGAAGCTTATTTTTGCCACACACCTAAACCACACTCTCCAATATCTGCTTTTTCAGTTTAAAAAGTTTCATTTTCTTTCCTTAGAGTATATACCCAGTCATGAGATTACTGGGTCAAATGGTATTCCTGGTTCTAAATCTTTGAGGAATTGCCACACTGTTTTCCACAATGGTTGAGTTAATTTACATTCTCACCAACGGTACATGCATGTGTATGTTCATTGAACCATTATTCACAATAGCAAAGACACAGAATCAACCCAAATGCCCATCAATGATAGACTGGGTAAGAAAATGTGGTAAGTATACACCATGAAATACTATGTAGCCATAAAAAGAAATGAGATCATGTCCTTCACAGGGACATGGATGAAGTGGGAAGCCATTATCCTCGGCAAACTAATGCAGGAACAAAAAAAAAAAACAGACACTGCATGTTCTCGTTTATAAGTGGGAGCTGAACTATAAGAACACATGGACACAGGGAGGGGAACAACACATACTGGGGCCTGTCAGGAGAGGGTGGGGTTGGGGAGAGCATTAGGAAAATAGCTAATGCATGCTGGGCTTAAAACCTAGGTGATGGGTTGATAGGTGCAGAAAACCACCATGGCACATGTTTACCTATGTAGCAAACCTGCACATCCTATACATGCACCCCAGATCATAGAAAAATAAAATAAAATAAAATAAAATAACAAGTAAACAAAAGTATCATTTTCTTTTGCTTCTCTTTTCTCTCATCAATCACTGCAGTACTCACATGTGCTTTCAACCCAGCTATGACAGCCTCAAACATCCCTGACTATAAACCCAGGGCGAGAGGGGCTGCAGGGGGAGGATGGAGGAACAAGGAGCCTGTTCTTACTCACATTCCCCTTGGTGGCTTCAGCCTGGATTCAATCTGCTGCATGTTCGAACCTTTTTCACTTCAACTAGATGAAATGGATGATGTGGTCCCCAACAGCGGTACAGGGATAGAGGACGTAAGTGGGTTCTGGCCTCAAGGAATTCAATGGTTCATGGGCAACATCTTCATACCCTGATTGTGCCCAAAGGGGAAGCACCTTCTAAACAGCTGGGTCTTCAATTTGGGAAAGGAAGAAAAGGAGGCACAGGGAAAAGGGGGAGAAGAGAGATGGCACTTCAGAGCAGCATGCTAACGTCTCAGCTGTCAGAGAAAAATGAGGGAAGGGTTTTTTTTTGTAATATCCACTTTTTGGATGTTAATAATATTATATTGGTATGTTATGCTCTGTCTATAAAACAACCAAATTGGTTTGTTCATGAATCTCTACTGGACTTTCTCATTTTGCTATTGACTTTAGGTCAGGAACAAAGGGACACATGGACACCCTTCTATAAATCACCAGCAATCTTGCTTCTGAAGAACTAATTACATTGACACCCCCATCCTTTACACTGCATTTGTTACTGGCAGTTGTGTTCAGGGACGAGGAGGGGATGAAAAGGGGCACCGAAGGCCTTTGTCATACCCAGGCATAATGCCATCAATCTTCCCAATAAAATGAGGCAGGAGGTGTCATCCTTCCAGAAGGGATGGGATGAAAGATGTGCTGCTGAAACAACTAATTATTACGCATTTGCATGTGAGAACTTGCAATTTGTACCCATCAAACTTGCATCTCCATTGCTTGCTTTGGCACTTTGCTTTTAAGTTAATTTTCAGTGACCCCCAAACCAGGGAGGGAGGCTTTAGAGTGGTCTGGGAAGGCCTGGTGCTGGGGGTATAGATGCGTGCTTAACTGGATTTTTAAAGTATAAAGTTAACATGCCCATGAAAAAGGTACAGGAAAATGCAGCATGTGTTGGTTTGCCTCTTGTCATCACACTCAGTTCTCAGCTTCAAATCAAAGATGCCTCCTAAGGAGAGAAGAATGAAATGAGCCAAGCGGATCGCTGCATGAGAAAGCTGCAGATCACAGTCTCTCAAAGTGTCGTCTCTGGCCAGCAGCGTCAAGGAGCTTGTTAGCCATGCAAACTCTCGGACCCCACGCCAGACATACTGAATTGAAAACTCTGGGGGTGAGGCTAGCAATTTGTGTCTTAAATCCACTAGGTGATTCTGATACACACGCAGGTATGAGAACCACTGCCTCAGACTAGAGTCTTGAAAAACAGAATGAATTAACCAATACTTTGCCGAAAGTGTTTCCAGCGAGACGGGCCCAGGCAGAGTCATGCCACGCAATAAAAATGTGGCTTGTCTTCGGTGGGTATGCACAGCCTAAAGAAAGACATGGTTCAATAAGACATGCCCTGAGTGTCAAGAAAGTATTAAATTTACCTTTGGTTTTCCAAAATGCTAGCATTTTCTCTGTGCATGTGGTGTGGGGGGTAGGGATGGGGGATGGCATATGTGAATTCTCAGTTTACTACTTAATGGGCCTGGAAAAGTCAATCTAGTATCCATTTGGTTGGCAACAGATATTTAATGAGTGCCTACTACGTGCCAGATGCTATTGCATGTGATGGGGGAACATTACTGAATAAATTGAGAAAATGTATCGCCTTATACTGTTTACATTCTAGTGAATCTTACAACCTCATAGGATCAGTTTTAAACCATAATAATGTACAGTAGGTAATGAGATGGAAATCATGAGCAGAGAGAAACAGAGCAAAGCTTCATCTGGAATCACCTGGAATGTGATTCATTACTTTTTTCTTATCAGTGACATCATACCCATGATTACATTTCCGTTTAATGTTCAATCGAGGATGATGATAATGAGAAATGGAGAGATACCCTGGGGAGACTTTCTGCTATAAAACAATTGGTTCTTGCACAAAATATAATTGTTATTGCCTCGTTGGGCTTGCATGGAAAATTTGTAAAGGCCTTCAAAAGGGAAAGCAAAAAAAAAAACTCCTGAGCTATGAACCACATGAGCTGTAAAACTTCCTTGCAGGTAGAGATTCTAGTTTAGCAACAAGGAGAAAGGTTAATCCTAAAACTCCCAGGTGAATCCTGGTACTGGGGGCTGGAGTCACCTCAGGAGTGTGGCTTCCCCAGGCTCATGGTGGAAGTGAATGGAAATTCTTTTTTGAGACACTATTCCCCATTTAGGCACCTACAATTAAGGTCAAACTCTATAAACCCATCATCAACAATGGCTAGAGCAAGCCACCATGAGTGAGAGTCAGCAGAAACAGTGTGTTCTCATTTACTCTTTCAAGAAACTTGGCATTAGAATAATCACAATAAGAATACAAAATAATGGTGTGAGAAATGTTTAAAGAAGAAGAAAATAAAATTACAAAATGATGAAGCAGCAAGAGGTAGATTTGAGCAAATAATCATTTTTGAAATAAAAAGTATAATTATTGAAGTGAAAAATTTAGTAGCTATGTTAAAAAGCAGACTGGACACAGCTAAGGAAAGGATTAATGAACTGGAAGACAGATCTCAAGCAATAATCCAGAATAGATCGTGGCATTTTTTTTAAGTAAGAAAGCTCAAATACCTGGATGATTGAGTGAGATATTTTACCATGAATCTATTTTGAGTACCAGAAGAAGAAATAAAAAAATGAAAAAGAGGAGAGATAGTATTTTAAGAGGTATGACCAAGAATTTTACTGAATTGATAAAAGATACAAATCCACAGATGTAGGAATTATACTATATCCTTTGTAGAATAAATAAAAAGAAATTTACCCCTTTATCACATTGTAGTAAAATTGCCAAACACAATTGAGAAAGGAGCAATCTATAAGGAATATGTGGAAAGAAGGGCCACCTACAAAGAGATGAAAACTAGTTTGGCAGAAAATATCTCAAAAACCAAAATGGAAGCTGGAAGAAAGTGGAATAAGACCTTCAAACTCCTGAGAGAAAATAAATGTTAGACTAGAATTATGAATGCAGCAAACTTATCTTTCAGAAACAAGAACAAAACATATTAGATAAATAAAGTGCAGTGAATTTGCTACCCTCCCACCTAACCTAAAAGTTAGTAATTTATATTAAGTAATTAAGGATGTACAGCAAAGAGAAGAGAAATGGGAGATGTGAGATGCTGGCAGAGATGACGAACAAAGAAATGGGTAAATCTAAACATTTTCTGCACCTCCAGAATCCAGAACTATGCCAGGCACAGAATTGGTGCTCAATTAGTTTAATACAAAACATTTGCATAAAATAATAAAAATGTTTCTAATTCATGGGAGTTTTTAAAAAGAAAACCTAAAATCTTGGATAGTAATACCAAAGTAAGAAGAGTCATGATTTCAAGATTCTTGCATTAGTTACAAGGGGGTTGTGGTGTTGCCTTAGACCTCATTAAGAATTCATGGTGAACTACCAATAAAAATAGTAAAAGAGTAGAAATACGGTATAAAGCCAGAAGAAGGAAAAAAGGAATAAGCTACTACAAGCACAAACACCATGCTTATGATATGTCAGGTGCTGTTCTAAAACTTTACACATAGTAACTCTTTTTATCCTCACAGTGTTCTCTTGTATAGGTTGATACTATTATCTTTACTTTCATAGTTGAAGATACTAAGAGCTTGGGTGATTTGCCTAAAGTTGCACAGCTAGAAAATAAATAAACCCACTTCATTTAAAAAAAAAAAAAAGGAAGAATAAGAAAGGAAAAGGTATAGTAAAAGTGAATAAATAGGAAAAAGTAGGATGTTGGAAACAAACAAATGCAATATATCTGTATGGACAATAAATGTAAATGGACTAAATTTGCCAATTTAAGACATAGATTGTGAGATTCAATTTATTTTTTAAAAAAATAAACTCAACCTTATGCTGTTTATAAGAAATCCATCTAGAAAACTAGGACACACACTTGGATATAAAAGGTTGGTAAAATTAGACTATGTAATTAACAACCAACAGAATGCAGGGGAGCTACATTAATACCAGACAAAAATAGCTTATGATAAAAATAAACATTAACAAAAATAGGGTCATTACATTACGATGTTATGCAATTTCCTAGGAAGATAGAATAATTTCAATTTGTATTCACATAAAAAATTGCCTCAAAGTACTTAAAGCAATGCCTTATAAAATTATAGAGAGAAATGGATAAATCCACCATTCTGTTAGATTTCTCTACCCTTTCTAAATTGTGGATAAAACAAGCTAAATTTCCAAAAGTGCAGAATAATTTAATAACATCATTGGCAATTGTGATATTATCAAGTATGCATCGAAGGTTTTACCCAAAAAGTCAAGTGAACACTTTCTTCTCAAGCATCCATATAACATTTACAAAACTTGGTCTTGTAGTAGAGGAAGCCCAGGGGCCCTTTCTCTTTCACATGTATGTAAATGACACTCTGGAGGAAGCCTCATCTGGGAAAAGGAGGCACGTGTTATGCATGGCATGGCAGACCTGATTTAGTCCATGTAACTAGCCAGGTCTTGGATAAATGGGTTTTATCTTTGAGCATTTTCTGGCTTTTCTTGAGGGAAATAAAGGCAGAGCCAGCTGCACTGGCAGGACAGGGCAGAGTGGAGTGAAGCAAAAAATGTTTTAAGCCAAGAAGAGAGCTGTGGGTAAAATTTAGTCTGGACAGGACTGTTCCTCACTCAGTCTTGGATTTCCTTGCAATAAAAAATGTTAAGAAAACCACCAAATAGGATAAATGTGGAGGAAGAATGGTGCCTCACCTGGCACACCTTTCAAAGCTTGTTTTGAAATTGGAAATGAAAGGAATCTCAGCACTGTGATTTATCAGAAAACAGCCTGATCGAGGGGTGGGTAGGAACATTGGGTGATTTATCTTGACCACTCAGCTGACTATATGCTTAGCTGAACCAGATGAGCCCACAGGTCTCCACATAAGATGCTCAGATCCCCAGAATGAGTTTCAGCTGATACCTGGGCCCAAGGTAAATCCAGGGAAGCCATGAGACACCCTTTGGCCACTAGTTGCCGGAGGGGGTCCTAGGGCTTGGGGACCTCATGCATGGGGTTCCCATGAGGGAACCTTCTCCCTAACCCAACAGAGGGCAGGGATGCTAAGGGTTGCTAAGTTATTTGGAGAAACGAGGGTCTGTGGACAATGAAGGCAATGGTGATGGTGGTGACATTCTTGGTGGAAACCAGGATAGAAGAGGCTGACATACATTGCGAGCCCACCATACATACACCAGGCAGTGGACTATGAGCATCAGATGAATTGTTTCACTTGAGCCTCACTACAACTCTGCCGAGAGGGTCCCACTATAGTCTCCATTTTCAGATGAGAAAATTGGGGATCAGAGCATAGTAATCATAGCACTAACAGTGACGTGGCTTCTCGGGGCTCCATGGCTGATCCTGTCCAGGGGTCTGAGGGTTTTCTTCTGCCTTAAGGGAGAGCAGGGCCAAAATGTAGACATTTGAGTTGCATGAGGCTGCCTTGCTGTTCTTAAGATTTTGTGGGACTATTGCATTATTCTAATGGATAAAGTGGAGCTGATGATGCTCTCTTTTCTCAAAACTCCCTAGAAATATTGGGCATCACGGACCTTTCAGGCTGAATCTCAGCTAAGGAGAATCATGTAAAATGAAGCAAGGCAGAAGTTGTTACTCATTTGGGGTTCCCCCAAATGGTGGCAGGCTTGGGTAAAGGGAAAGGAGTGGAAAATGTGGGAATATCAGTAAGAGTCATCTGCCTTGAAGGCAAGGATATAGGGGTCCCCAAGACCAAGACCCCTGGGCCCAGCTTTAAGCCTATCCAGAAGAAGTGAGAAGAGATGGGACAGAGGAAGGCAAGGCTGGCCTCCCCTAAACCACATTGTTGGGCCATTCACTGGCCACTCACCAATGAGCCCCAAGTTAGGAATTCATGTTAGAGCTGGAGCCAGGGCCCTCATTTCTTAATAAGCTGAGTGCTGGGATGAGATTCTGTTTAGCTGTGGAGTTGGGATTTGCACCCAGGTCTGTAGAACCACAGAGTCCACTGTAATTTCAAGATTCCCACCATGTCCAGCCACCAGCAATCTTTCTCTCTTCTCCACTGAGAGATGTAAAAGTCCTCCGTAACTGGCCCATAGGCCTCTGGCAAAACTTCCCTGAACCTCCCCCCTCAAAGCGGGGGTGGGAGTCCCCCGCTTTGTACCCTCAAATCTCCTGCTGCATATCCTTAGCCCATCCCTCTCCACATTGGGAACTGCTGGGTTTTCCTTCCCACCCCTGCCCCAATCCAAGAGTGCAGGTAGGATGGTGGTCATTTGCACACACCTCCCCTGTTCCCAGCATTGTGACGGTCTGCTAAAGACTGCTGTTGATCACTGTGGAAAAGTGATTTTCATTATGCAGCAGGGTTTGCAGGGGTACAAACACATTTCAGATTAAAGAATGCATGTCATAACATAAAATAGCTAATCCCAACCATTTACTGTCTTCAGCACAGACAGGATGACAGGAGAGACTCTACGAAGGTCACAGGGGGTGCATTTTACCCTCGAAAGTCATATCGATGGAAGTCCATTATGACAACCTCAGAGCATGAGAGCAGCTGGGCTCTGATATATTCATGATTGTCCCCAATACAAGAAAATTGATCCATGACAAATTAATCCTGGCAGCTTTCATTTTTTATTTCCTTTCTGAATATACAGAACCATTAAAATGCAACCAAACAAAAAAGAATAAGATGGGACAAAGAGAGATGCACATGCCAGTATTGATTTCTTACAAAATAGTTGAAGAGTAGATTTAATTTAACTAAATGATATTAGTAATATTGACAGAGGACTCATAGCACCAACAGTAACACAGCTTCTCAGGGCTCCATGGCCGATCCCATCCAGGGATCTGAGGTCCTTCTTCTGCCTTAGGGAGAGCAGGGCCAAGGTGGAGACATTCGAGTTGCATGAGTCTCTCCTTGCTGTTCTGAGGATTTTGTGAGCCTATTACGTTATTCTAACGAAGAAGGTGGAGTGGATGATGCTCTCTGTCCTCCCCAGATCTCTCTGGAAATACAGTTGCATCATGGATCTTTCAGGCTGAATCCCAGCTAAGGAAGATCACATAAATTAAGGGAAGGCAGAAGTTGAGTGAGCCTGAGCACAAAGAAGAACTCTGCTGCCCCATGGAATCGGAACCTCTAAGGCATAGGTTGGCTCCAGCTTCAGCAGTGGATGGACCCAGTGTGGAAACGGTTTCTGATCTGCGTTCCTCTCCGGACCCTGTCTTGCTCCACCACAAGCTCCCTCTACAGGGCGTCTCAAAGTCCACCCACAGTCCCATATTCACACTTAGCCGGTCACAGCTCCAAAGGTACAAGAGCGGCCCCCAGGAACTTCCTTGTGGGAAAATTGCAAGGAAAAGCAAGGAAAATAGGGGAGGGGGGTCATCTTGTCAAAAGCCTTCGCTTTCTCAGGACAGCTAAAATCTCAAGACCAGGAGAGGTGAGGCTGGCCCCCTCGAAACCACGCTGTTGGGCAATTTCTTGACCACTCACCAATGAGCCCCCAGCTAGGAGTTATTGATAGGCCTGAGGCCAGAGCCCTCCTCTCCTAATGGGCTGGGGGTCGGGGTGAGATTCTGTTTTCCTGTCTGCAAAATAAGCAAATTAAACTAGAAAATGTTTCTCAAACACAGACCCATGAAATGGCTATATAAGAATCCTCTGGGGAGCTTTTAAAAAGTATGAGTCCTAGGCCAGTCACAGTGGTTCACGTCTGTAATCCCAGCACTTTGGGAGGTCGAGCGGGGAGGATCACTTGAGGCCAGGAGTTCCAGACCAGCCTGGCCAACACAGCTAGACCCCACCTCTACAAATAAAACAAAACAAACAAAAAAATTAGCCAGGCATGGTGGTGCGTATCTGTAGTCCTAGCTACTAGGAAGGCTGAGGTGGGAGGATCACTGGAGCCCAGGAGTTCAAGGCTGCAATGAGCCATGATTATGCTACTGCACTTCAGCCTGGGCAACAAGGTGAGACCTCAACTCTACAAATAAATATATGAAATTATGAATCCTTACTTTACTAATTTAACAGTGGGCCAAGAATATTCATTTCAAAGCTGTCCCAGGGAATCTGATGCCACATGTTTGTGCCTCTATCAGTCTCCTGGGGCTCCTATAACAAATTACCACAAGCTGGGTTGCTTTAAACCAGAGAAATTCGTTTTCCGTGCAGCTCTGGAGGCCAGAAACACAAGGTGAAGGTCTTGGCAGAGCCATACTCCCTTGGAAGGTGCTGGTGAGGGTCCTTCCGGCCTCCTCCGGCCTCTGGTGGCCCCAGGCATTCCATGGCTTGTGGCTGCACCGCTCAAATCTTCGCCTCCGTCCTCACATGGCTTTCTCTTTTTTACGTGTATCTTCTCTGTGTGCCATTGGATTTAGGGATCACACCCAGATAATCAGGATGATATCATCTCAAGATCCTTAATTTAATAGCATTACCATTTTCCCAAGTGAAGTCATGTTCTCAGCTTCTGGGATTAGGATGTGGACAGATCTCCTGGGGGCCGCCATCCAGCCCACCCTGGTGCCCTTTCTCTCTAACATTCTAGGTGCCTGTGCCCACTGCTCTGAGGCAACCACTTGCTGAGATCTCCTCTCCACTCCCGGGAAGGGGTCTCAGTGCTCGTCACCCCTGGGCAAGGACAGGCCAGTGGAGCACGACAGGGACTGTCATATCAACTGTCTCCGGCCTTTTCCTTCCTGCATCACAGGGCACCATTCAGTCCATTGCAGGCGTCCTTTCCAAGGACCTACAGGATCACCATGGGCCTAGCAGATAAACCAGGATGATGTCCATATTTTAAAGTTCATAGCCTTAATTCTGTCTGCAAACTCCCTATTGCCACGTAACAGCATATATACAGGTTTCTGGGATTAGAGTGTGGGCAACTTTAGTGGCTGTTATTCTGTCTAACACGTGGAGAGGCTGCCTTGGGCCCTCTGTATGTGTATGGAGGGGTGTCTCTGGCCTGAGATCTGTGGAGCGGACTTCACTGAGTGGACTTTGCAGCAGCCCTCATAGAGAAACAGCAAGACAGAGAGAGGGAGGAAGAGAGACAGACAGAAGGGGAGGGGGAAGGGGAGGGAAGGGAAGGGGGAAGAGAAGAGAAGGGAAGAGGAGGGGAGGAGAGGGGAGGGGAGGACAGAGGAAGGGAGGGGAGGGGAGGGGAGAAGGGAAGGGAAGGAGGTGGAGAGGGAAGAGGGGGGAGATAGAGAGAGAGAGAGAGACAGAGGGGGATACAGTGGCAGGAGGAAGTTCAGTGGAGGCTCACCCTGGGCTGCTGGTCCCATAAAAGAGAAGGACAAAAGTCCAGGCCACCCCAGATCCTGGCAGCAGGAAGCACCAGGGCCCACATCCCACTCAGGGCAGGGATGAAGGAGCCCATGGTGTGATGATCTCAGACTTCTTGCCTACTGGAGGCTCAGAGTGGATTGGATTTGCTTTAGAAAAATAAAGGAACAGGGTATGTCTTCCACTGTAAAGCAAACAATTTATTTCAGAAGGATGGAAACCCAGGCCAGAGCAAAAGGGCATCCAGTCCTCTAATCACCCAAAGATCACCTCCCACCAGCCTGGGGTGGACAGGAACTGGAAGCCAGGCCCCACACAGCCCCCTGCGAGCCACGCCTGGGGTCCAGCCTATCCCT
The DNA here is from genome assembly GCF_000001405.40 of Homo sapiens. Classification (NCBI taxonomy): domain Eukaryota; kingdom Metazoa; phylum Chordata; class Mammalia; order Primates; family Hominidae; genus Homo; species Homo sapiens. Next base: position 4,960,455 of record NC_000001.11, read on the forward strand.
CCTGTGTGAAAAGTGATTATCTCAAACCTCCAGCCCACGCCCTCCAAAGGGATACCTCCCAGTTCCAACTGCTCCTGCCTCCCGCACAACTACCCCCTCTTGCCTCTTCCCTGGGAACTCAGGAGGCCGCGTTTGTCTCCTGGCTCCTCTGTGCCCATGGTGGGCGCCATCGTTTTGCAGCTGCTGGACAGTCAGAGGTTGTCTGGGCTGTGAGGCCTCAGCCGGAAGCTCTGTCTCCAGACTCCATCCACAGGAGTTCTTGAGGGACAATGCAAATGAGGAGATGACAACAGAGTGAGACACATGCTTTCTTGTCTTCCCAGAGGACCCTGCCAGGCGTCTCCCATCTCCAGACCCTCTCACCCCACGCTATCAGGTGCCTTTTCCTAAAACCATTTCCGCGGAAGTGCTCTGTGTCAGAAACCGTAAGGGCCTCTCATTAAGAGGGGGCTTCTCTGCCCCTTCCTGGCTGCTCTCTACCCAGCCACAGTGGCTCCTGCCTCTGCCTTCTGCAAATGCTCTTTCCCCTCCAGCCTGTCCCCCCTTTCACCATGGGCACAGCTCATCCACATCCTGCCCTCATCTCCAGGCCGGCTGCGGCTTCCAACGCTTCTCCGACACCCAGCCTGTGTTGTGCTTCCCTCTCCAGCAGCCAAGAGCTCCTGAGGGCTTCTCTTTCTCTTCCTCACCTTTTACTCTTGATCTTGTTTAATTTCATGTTGACGTCCACTCTCCATTTTCACATGTCCAAGTCTCCTCTGTATGCTGTCGTGGCCAGGTGCATACCTGCCTGGACCCCCAAAGGGGACAGGGCTCCATGAAGTGAAAGGACCATACATGCACCAGATCCCTCCCGGGTCCGGAGCCCGTGCCTGACATTCCCCTGACATCATGCCATCCAGCACGTTGACTCATGAAGGGTGTCAGCTCAGGGACATTTGTTACGTAAATGCTTTGAGCATTTGAGAGGGACAAAGTTCCACTGAAAGCAAGACATTTTTGCTAAGACATATTCAGACAAAAGCCAGGGAGCCAGGACAAGGAGCATGAGCCAGGACAACAGACCAGGAAAGAAATTGCTGGTGTAGAAATAACATTGTTGTGCTTGTTAAAGAAAACAATAGCAATGTTTTGTCCCAGGGAGGCACCTGCAAGGCTCCAAGCAGCGTAGAATAATGTCAGGGAGCTTGTGCTGACAGACACTCAGGCTCTGCAGACATGAGTTCCATGCTTCATGCCCACATCACCCACCAGGTGTGCCCCAAAGCCCCAAGGGACAGGTACCAGAGTTGCCCCCACTCACATATAAGAAAAAGAGGCTGGGTGAGGTGGCTCACGCCTGTAATCCCAGCACTTTGGGAAGCCGAGTCAGGTAGATCACGAGGTTAGGAGATCGAGGCCATCCTGGCCAACATGGTGAAACCCCATCTCTACTAAAAAATATAAAAATTAGCCGGGTGTGGTGGTACACGCCTGTAGTCCCAGCTACTTGGGAGGCTAAGGCAGGAGAATCACTTGAATGCGGGAGGCAGAGGTTGTAATGAGCCAAGATCACACCACTGCACTCCAGCCTGGAGACAGAGCGAGACTCTGTCTCAAAAAGAAAAAAAAGAAAAAACAAAAATGAGGCACAAGGAGATAAGAAACTTGGCCAAGGTCACACCATTCAGCCAGGCCTTGAACCTGGGAAGCAGCCTGAGTCTGGAGAAACCTGGCCTGAGTGTGCTGCAGGATGACTGCATCCTAGGGACAGAGTCAGAGGCCAGGAGAGAGCCTGCAGGCAACATATATTCATGAAATGTCTTCAGGGGGTGACTTCAATTCAAAGCTTGAATTGAAGCTGCCCAGAGCCCAATTCAATTTGAATTGAATTCAAAGCTGCCCAGAGCACAGTCACATAAAGATAGAGTCCTATTGCCTGGGTTCAAATCCTGCTCTCAGCCTCACATTTACCTGCCAGATGCTGACGATCTGAGTATGTTGAGCGGATGCTGTGAGGGTGCCCCGAAGGTTGCCTGAGAGGAGCTCAGCTGGTGCTGCCTCCCCACAGCCCTGGACGCTGCTGCCTGGGCAGAGGTCATTCCTGCAGGTGTGTGTGGTCCCGATACACACATGTATGGCGTCTCCACCATCCTTTCTGGCAGCTTCTGGGTAGAATCTAGAAAGTGCTTCAGGATAATTCTTCCTGAGGTCAGATATTGATTGTGAGGAGCAAACAGTTTCAACGTTATTTGGAGTTACTTGCAGAGTAGTGTTTTGTTCTTCCTCTGACTTTAGATCAAGAGAAACACTTGAACCCTTGATGCTATAGACAAATGCTTTGCAGGTCTCTCTGGTTCCAGAATATGAGCAAGACCTACCCAGGACTCATCAAAGCAGAAGGAGCCCCAGGCCATTGCCTGCTAGACTTTCCAATGAGCATGAGAACGTGGCACTTTGAGGTTCATCTGTCCGTCTTCCCATCTGCCAAGGAAAACTCTTATGACGAGGATAAGGTGCTGGAGATGGTGCTGGCACTTGACCGCTGGGAGGATGGGACTAACCCTGCTGCCCATCCCAGCCCGGAGATCTGCCAGGGAGGTGCTCTGGCCGAACACATGAACAAACAAATAAAACCCCACCGCAGCAGGGAAAGGCATGCACCTCTGGATACAGGCAGGGCTGAGAGGGCACTGCCGAGTTAATTAGTTGCCGCTTGGCTGGAAGAAGTCAGTTAGAGAGAAAGTTGCTGCCTTGAGTCTCCTTGAAAATTAGGAGATCCTTGGTACTGACATGACGTGGCCTATGGTCCCCAAGACCACCAGGGGCAACCAATTAAAGCAAAACCATTCTGGAAAGCGATTAGAGGGGGAGCCCTGGGAAGTCCATGCTTCTACCCCTGGGAACAGCCTGTCACCAAGCCTAAACGATGTGCCATCCTTCCCAGAAACCCAGGTTGACCATGAGCTTTCATCACCAATCCCTTCATGTTAATCACCACCCGTCGGTGTGACTCACCCTGCCGGAGCCGCAGTCATTTTCAATCACACAGGCCAAATAAATGAATCATTACTGGAGTGAACATGCGGTGAACGCCAGCAGTTAAGCAGGGAGACAACTTCCCCCTGCTCCCCAGTCTTACTGCAAGGTCTTCATGACCACCTACCCAGGCCATGGGGCTTACAAGGAGGACACCAGCTGCTCCCCCAGAGTCCTCACTGCACCTCTGACAGCACATCCAGGCCTGGGAAGCAGCTATCCTACCCAGATAGATGGATTCGCCCCATCCTACCCAGGGGACTGTTCCCATCCTCACTGGAGGATTTGGGAGAAGCCATGTCCCTTCCTAGAGGACCCAGAGGGCAGCTGGAGAGATTATTTGCCCTATACCATGGCCAGGGACACCCACAAAGCTGGAATGTAGCAGCACATTTTCTGGGGTCCTGTCAGCTGGGGGCTGTTTTGCAGAAGATACCCTCTGGCTGGAGCTATGAACCTGAGCCATCTCCCAGGCTATTCGTTTTACCTCTGAAGAAACTGAGACGAACATCATGGAGCCATCGCAGAGAAGAGGGTTGCCAGTTGGACTCATGAATATGTCTTCAGGACAGCTTCAGCTGCCATGGACTCACCCGCTTAAGCCAGGACCCTTCCAGCTATCAAGTCAAAACAAAAAGAAAGGCAATTTCCTTCTCCTTCTATTTCTAAATTAAAGAAATCAAGTGGTGCTGTGTTCAAGCAGCTGTTTACCCAAAGGAATGAATGAAGATCAATATTAATACCTGACACCCACACACTAATCTTTTTGAAATGTCAGACAAAAATAAGGCATTGGGAAACTCTATTCTAGACATTTTCCATAACAGGGGTGAATCTCAATCTCTCTCTCTCGCTCCCTCTTCTCTCTCTGTCTGTCTCTTTCTCTTTCTTTCTCTCTCTTTCTCTCTCTCTCTCTCTCACATTCATGTCCATCCCTTCACTCACATGCTTCTGAAGGTGATATTGGACACCTGAATTCACGCCGTGGGCTGCACACTGCTGCTGTCTGTGGAATTCCTACCATTGGGAGCACACTTGGTCCTCTTACTTGGAAAGATGAATGTTAGCTCCTATTATCCAGCTGAAAGGTAAAGAGGAGTCAGGCTGTCCTCCAGCTCACGTAATGTTACATGTACCACGGAGTCAACCTTCATGGCTGCAAATGCCTTCTAAGGTGCCCTCTTCAAACTTGTACTGCCATCTTAAAATTAATTTATTAGAAGCCCAGGTCTAAACAGAGACGGTTTCCAGGGGGTGAACCATTAGCGGTGCTTGGAGCTCTTGCTGTGAGCTCCTGCTTGGAGTCCACTCTCTGAAGGTCACCCTGGAATTAAGCAGAAGAGGTCAAGTGGAGCCCTGCAGGTCCCAGAGCTGGTGCTTCCTCAGGGCTGGTGTCCCAGGAGCGATGTGTTTCTCTCCATGAAGTCCTTAATCACAGCCTCAGGAGGGGCTGCCGTTCTCCCTTTACTTCCTTGGCCTGGATTCTGTTCACAGAAGAGCAAACAGTTTCCTCGAGGCACCAAGAGATACCGGGAGATGGGCATTGTCACACAGAGTCCTCCTCCAGAGAGCATTTTCCTGAGCTCTGGGAGGTCAGGATTCAATTGGTCAAATCCACATCTGCAGTTTCCCTCCTCACGCCGGGGACCAGCCTGGGACCTTGGAGGCTGTGAGGTCTCAGACCCCTCCCCCAGCAACCCCCTTCTCATCCGAGAAGCGGGCGCGGGGCACTTGGGTGGGTTGGGGATGGAGGGTGAGCACTGCCTGGCTGGTCACATCACCTGGAATATAACAAGCACTAGGGAAGTGATAGGGGCCATTTTCGTTGTCAAGACCAATACAGATAATCATCACTATCATTTATTATTATTGATTCTTTTCTTCCTTTTATCACCAACCCACATTTCTCTGCTGATCACCTCTGCAGTTTGGATGAGTCAACAGGAAGGGAATTTGCTCCCTGTCTTTTGTCATCTGGACACCCCTTTGATTGTGCCCCAGAGGCCCAGTCAATCAACCAGTGACCACAGTGGACAGCGAGGGGCCCAGCCCTGTAGCTATTACACCTACCTATGCTGCCCAGGTGAGTGCCCCCATTGCTGAGTCTGGGTTTTCTAATCTTCGAGAATGACTGTAACCTTCTGCCTGCACACCCTAATTTCTGTGATTCCAGACTCCCTCAGCTCAGGCACAGAGGGAGGAACTAGCCAGGGGAAACAGTCTAAGTGCCACAAACTCAAAGACAGCTCTGGCTGCCCTGGGATTCTTTCTCATTTTCATTGCTAATACAGGAATTCCACTTCCTTCAAGTCAAAGAAAAACAAACAAACAAGAAGTACCTCTTTAAGAAAAGGATAACTGGGAATTGGAGGAACAAAAGAGCTGCCTGTCAGGAAAGCACAAGCAATGTGCGTGTCAAACTGCTTTTCACCCAGCAGAGCCTGGAGGAAATCTCACACGGAGACAACAGAGTAAGCTGGTATTATATCAGTAGACGTTTATTTTACAAGTCTAAAGTTATTACATTTAATTATCTTAAAGCAAAACTAGCTAAAAAGGAGAATGAGGAGAACCAAAATTGAAACTGAGAGTTGTACATGAAAAAAAAGCACACTTATACTAATCATAGTTTCCAATATTTTGGTGGCAGAAAAAATGTGAAAATTTTGATTCATGTAGATAAGTTGCCAATGATAACTTTTTTTAGCGTCTTGTCCTCAAGATACTCTTCATTTAGACTGACCCAGAAACTTTAAAGAAGAAGAGCAGGAGATATGGGTTTTAAAATTGAGCCACTAAAAATAATAGGCAACAGAAATTAAAATTTTTTAAAAGTCAAGTCAGAAGCACCCAAATTGACAGGAAGTTCTAGACGATCTACGGTGGATCACCACCCTTGCACCTGCCTTAAGGTCGTTGTTGCTGTTCTTGGCAGCTGTGCTCCCTGGACTTCTGGATCTTGCCTTCCAGCTCCCCTGTACAGGGTAGGAGGGTGGCTGCAGGCAGCATCCCACGGTGGGTTGGAGAATATTTACAATTCTGTGTGACTGAGCACACATGCACCATCTTGGCTGTGCAGCTGCACCTTTCCTAATCAGTGACCAGTGATGGTGGACATACAGTTCAAGTGCAGGCACAGGCAGAAGAAGGATGACTATAAGATCTGCCGAAGCACGCGTGCACCCAGCATTAGTAGTTCCCGATACATCATGGCATGGCAAGTAGGGAAGGACACTTGGGGTTTAAAATGTATTGTTTAAACACAGTTCCAACTGAATGTTGGAAGACACCCAAAGTCCCTTAGAGGAAGATCAAAGGAGCAAAGATGAAAGCACCTTCACCCACTGGGCTTGTGACATTGCAGCTGGGCAACTGTGTTTCTTCTCACGGCCACCCTCCAAGGTGGGTACTATAAGCATCTGATTTTGCAGGTAAGGAAACCCAGGCAGAAAGACACTCACTGATGGGCTGATGTCCACGCAGCTAGGACGTGGAGAAGCTGGGGACTGAGCTGGAATTCATCCGACTCTTGAGTCCATGCTATGTCTAATGTAATAACCACATCATTGTAATCACCGTAATTCTCACACTGAGAAGGCTTCCAACCATCCTGGAGCTGGTCTCACTGACTTCCCCAACCTCCATTCCCACTGCTCTCCCCTGCTCCCTCTGCTCCAGCTGCCCCCACCCCGGCCTCTGCTGCTCCTCCAGGCACCCCCCATGGTTGTCCCCTTACCCTGAAAGTCCTTTCCTGAATGCCTCCTGGCTCACTTGGTTGGCCCCTGCACTCTCTGCTCACACCAGCCTTTTCCAGGAAGCTGACTCTGACTACCCCGTTTACGATGACCCCTTCCCACTCACACACTGCAGGTACCATCTCACCTTGCTATGCCTCTTCTCCATGGCAGCCATCACTGCCCGACATATGAAACTGCTTATTGTTCATCATTTATCTTCAATGCTGCCAAGTAAGTTCCGTTTGTTTGTGACAACATCCCAAGCCTTTAGAACAGGAGCTTGTGATGGTTCATTTAGCGTGTCAGCTTAGCTGGGCCACGGTGCCCGGATATGTGGTCAAGCATTATTCTGGATGTTTTCACAAAGGCGTTTGTGGATGAGATTAACATTGACATCAGCAGATTTCGGGGAAACAGGTGGCCCTTCATGATGCAGGTGGGCTTCACCCAATCAGGTGAAGACCCTACAAGGAAAAGACTGGCCTCCAAGCAGGGGCAATGAAGCCACAGGCACTTTTGGACTTTTCCTGCAGCTTGGGCTTCTTCCCCAGCCTCCAGCCTGCCTGCCCACCCTGCAGATTTGGGCCTTGACAGTGTTAAGCCAAAAGTATCTGAGACAGATTTCAATCAATTTCAAAAGTTTATTTTGCTGAGGTTAAAGACACACCTGTGACACAACCATACAAGGTCCTGATGACATGTGTCCAAGGTGGTCGGGGCACAGCTGGCTTTATACATTTTAGGGAGACATGAGACATCAGTCAATACCTGTAAGATGTCCATTGGTTTGGTCCGGAAGGGCTGGACAACTCAAAGTGGGGAGAGCATTTCCAGGTTGTAGGTAGATGAGAGATGAACAGTTGCATTCTTTTGAGTCTCTGATCAGCCTTTCACTGAAGACACAATTTCCATGTGAGTGGGGGTTAGACAAATAGTCATGTAGGCCTTAGTCTGGCTCAGTGAAACAATAGGGCAGAGGAAACAATCAGATACATGTCTGTCACAGGTGAGCAGAGGGATGACTTTGAGTTCTGTCTGTCCTTTGTCCACTAGGAATTTCCTTGTGGGCTGTTATGGTTTGACTGTGTCCCCACCCAAATCTAATCTTTAATTGTAGCTCCCGTAATCCGCATGTATCATGGGAGGTACCTGGTGGGAGGTAATTGAATCATGGGGGCAAGTTTTTCCCATGCTTTTCTCATGATAGTGAATAAGTCTCATGAGATCTGATGGTTTTTACAAAGGACAGCTCCCCTGCACATGCTCTCTTGCCTGCCACCATGTAAGGTGTGCCTTTGCTCTTCTGCCTTTGCCGTGATTGCGAGGCATCCCCAGCCATGTGGAACTGTGAGTCCAATAAATTATAAATTACCCAGTCTCAGGTATTTCTTCATAGCAGTAGGAGAATGGATTGATACATGGGCAGATTGTGAGGGAGGTGTGTATCTTTTTTATCTTCATAGCCATCTTATTCAGGAATAGATTGGGAGGTGGGTTTGCCTGCTGAAGTTCCCAGTTTGACTTCCCCTTGACTTAGTGATTTTGGGGTCCCAAGTTTTATTTTCCTTCCTCATCAGCCACGATAATCACATGAGCCCATTACAGTAAGTCTCTCCATAGGCATGTAAATCCTGTTGATTCTCTTTCTCTGGAGAACCTTGACTAACACAGAGCTCATAATTGTTACATGAAAGAATGAGTGAGTGAATGAATGAATGGATGGCCATGAGGAGGAAGCCGGGTCTTAGCAGGAACTGTCCTGTTGGGTGTAAGCTGACTTCCTGTTGGGCTTCTTGCTTCTCTCCCTTTACTTGAGTGAGGGTTGCTCAACCCCTGAGCCCCTCATCTTCAACTGGAGTCACTTTCCTTCTTTTCTCCTGCAAAGCATTTGAGCTTCAGAAGGCAGGGCTTGCCCAGACTCTCCTCCTGGGAAGGGAAGGGAATGGAAAGGGAGTGGAGGGGAAGGGAGGGGAGGGGAAGGGAGGGGAGGGAGGGGAGGGGAAGGGAGGGGAGGAGAAGGGAGGGGAGGGGAGGGCAGGGAAGGCAGAGTGCAGTAATCAGAATTAGGAGGACTCAATTTCCATTTGTGACCAGGCATAGCCTCTCTGAGCCCAGGTCCTCAGGGATCTACAGTGGGGATAATGGTAAGTCCCACCCCTAAGTGGGTGCATAGCAATTAATTAATACAGATCCTGTGAGGAGTTTGAGAAGCTCAGGTTACACAGCAGGCTCAATGGGGATGCCTCTTGTTAACTACATGGAAAGTATTGAGTACACAGTTGACGTTACCAGTCCTAGTGCAGAGGACCTTTACTGAGAAAACCTTTCATCTAAGGGCTTCAAGTTAATGTATTCATCCTTTTATTCATTTCATCATTCATTCAACCAAGTTCCCACTCAAGCATCAGCCTGGCTCAGAGCTTAGGAGAAATTTGCTGATGGCAGCCACCATGCTTGTCTTCAGGGAGGTCATGGGGAGGCTGGGGAACCAGCGGATCAGAAGGTCCAAGAGCTTCTGCAAAGGCCTGGAGGCAAGAGGAGAGGCAAGAGGATGGGGTCTCCCCAAGCTGGGGTTGGGGGTCCAGGGAGACTTCCTAGAGGGGTCATGCTTGAAGATGGGGCCACAGCTCCTAGCCGACCAGACAGCTAGAGCCAGTGTTTTCCAACAAGAAGGCTGCTGGGATGGCCCACTGATGCGTTTTCTGATGCTGCTACTCTAGGGCTCAAGGAACTTCCCAGTGTCACCCATGCACTCATGTAGATGAGAAACCCACAGGATCAGACACAAATCCAGATACTGGAGGCCATGCCACCCCTTCGGACACCTGCTGACTGTCTAGTTCTGCAGATCTTTGGTCAGATCTACCATTGAGCCTGACCTGGGTGCCATCAATGCACCCACCTTAGATGCCTGCCTGCATGGTGTCTGGGGCTGAGGAGTACTGGAGTCTCCCTCCCTGGCAGGGCTTGAGGTTGTGTTCCAATTGCCCAGGAACTCAAAGGCCCCATGACAGAGCGTGTGGGGTGTCCAGAACCAACACAAGATGAGACGTTTGGCAACATGCATCACCCACAGTTCTTTCACAGATACCTTCATGGTTCCCTTTGCTTTCCTTGTTGGAGAGGAACATCCCCAAGGCTTCCTCCTGCATCTCAGGAGTTATTGTTCTCCAGGCTCCTACAGGGACCTCCTCCAGAAACTACAACTGTGCAACCCCATAAAACCCAGGGTCCTGGCAGGGAGTCCCAGCAGGCCTGCCCCCCCCTTCTGTAGGCCCTCCTGACATGGTTGACATTGAGAAAGAGTGGCTATGCTGTATTATTGTCTACTTGATTGCTTCAAATTGGTGTCACTGCCTTTAAACTATTTGCATTTCCTATTTTGGGTCTGTGTGTTTATCCTCTGAAACGGCCTGGCTAATGACTCCTATTTCACCTCCCTCTTTCCCTTCAGAAAAACGAATCCCATAAAAATCACCAGACTGGTGACTGAGCAAACTCCTTGGCATCATAAAATTTTGATTTAGAGGTTGAGCAAATGTGATGGAACATTTTTGTGTGCCCTCTTGAATTGTGTAAACTATTTTTGGTGTGCGAGCATTTGCATATTATTGCCAGAAGTGAGCTCTGTTTTGTTGTTGTCCCCCCTCTTCTGAGATGAGAAGAAGCTTGATGAGTCAAGCCAGGATGAGACAGGTTCTGAGTCAGAAGACACAGGCTGTCCAAGCCAAGCAGGCTGAGGTACAGTTCAGGCTCAAAGCAGTGAAATTAGGTGGTGGCACAGTGCTGGAAAGAAGAAATACAGGCATACACAAAAGAAATTTTAGCATACAATTCTGCAGAGGGGAGGAGATGGGGTGAAATTCTTGCTCATCTTTCAAGGAGAGATAAATGGCTTCAAGCAAAGTAGCATGTCTCCAGTGGGGCCATGTGAGCATTGGAGGGACACTGGGGAGCACCGCTGGGGAGGGAGCCCTTCCTTCCCCCCTGCACGTCACCTCAGGGGACTCCTGCACTATGGGATGCGTTCTGGGAAACACTACTTCAAACTTTCCCCCAGAACCATGGACACAAGCATAGATTCAAAGAGTTCCTTAAAGTAATAGCCCGGGAACATCTAAAATGGGAGAATGAGAATTGCCCCAAGAAAAGGCTATTCACGTGGGGGTTCACGTCCCCCCACCCGGAGTTGCGATCCAGGATCCTGGACTTGTGGGGAAGAAAAAGGTAGCCTCTATGCTGGGCTCTATATGAGCAAGTCTGGAACCAAACTGGGCACCTAGAGCATCACATTTAGATCCTTAGGGCACGTTTATGAGGAAACAGGAGCATTTGTGTGGGCTCACTGTGCACCGCGCTTAGCCTCGACTGGTATTACCTAGTATTTAACCTTCACATCAACCCATTTTGCAGCTGGGGCACTGAGGCAAAGTGAGGTCTTTGCTACTTGCCTAAGGCTGTCCAGGTGGTCCACAGACTTTGCTCTTAACACTGTGTTGAGCTGCCTCAAATTTATAAGCCATGATGTACTTGATTTTGTAGGTATTATCTCCATTCTCCAGGGAGGGAAACTGAGGCTCAGAGGGTCCGGTTATTTGTCCATGGTCCCACAGTGACAGCAAGGGAGCCTGGATCCACACATCCATCTGGCTGATGCCACAGTGCATGCTTCTTCTGGGACACCTCCGTGCCTCCCTGGGGCAGCAGGCATGAACTGAGCCTCTCCTGCTTAGGGCTGGCTAGGTTTCTTGTTCAATGGGAAGGCATCCTATTGGTGTGGAGGCCACACTAAGCACAGCTTGTCTTTCTGTTAACACCTTCCAGAACAAAGTCAGGATTCATTGCAGGACCGAATTCACGGATGTCTTACTGCAGCCCAGGGCCTGGAGTCCAGTGCTGGGGCCTGTGGGCCTGGGCTGCCCTTATGAGTCTTTCTGCTTCTTGTTATTACTTTCATTTTCTCCATTATACAGTACTTCAAATTCCATGATCTATATTGTTCTGTCTTACCATTGATTCACTGGTTAAATTAGCTGCTATTTCTTTCTCCTGCATTATAGGCTCGGAGTAATTTGTTTATGAATCAAAAGTTCTGTAGGCTCTGAAGGAAGGCTTAATATGCATTCATTACAGCTGAGCCGTAATCACCCTAAATCATGGGAATTGCCAGTCTTGGGCAAGCCGTCGTTCTCTTTGGCACAGCCTCCCATCTTTTACCTGACCAGAGCAGCGATGCTGAGGCATGAATTTTAATCAAAATTCAGGGAAGGGTGGTGGGGCGGGAGTGTGCAAAAGGTGAAAATAACAGATTTTCAAAATCTTTTAAAAACATTCCAAACCAGGCTGGGTGTGGAGGCTCACATCTGTTCTCCCAGTGCTTTGGCAGGCTGAGGTGGGAGGAGCCCTTGAGCCTAGGAGTTCAAGACTAGCCTGGGCAACATAGTGAGACCCTTTCTCTACAAAAAACAAAAAATTAGCTGTGCATGGTGACATGCTCCTGTAGTCCCGGATACTCAAGAGGCTGAGGTGGGAGGATCACTTGGGCCCAGGAGTTTAAGGCAGGCTGCAGTCAGCTGTAATCGTGCCACTGCACCCAGCCTAGGTGACAGAGTGAGACCCTGTCTCACTAACAAACAAACAAACCAAACCGATGCAAGATTATTGTTCATCTTGTCCTCCATGTGCATGTGACCGTCACAGAGCACCCACCCCAGGCCCACCCGCCTCGCCTGGAGCCTCTGGCTGTATCCCCGTGGGTCTCACCAGAAGGAGAAGGTGTGTAAGGAAAGTTAAACTCGGAGCAGTGGTCGGTGCGAGGCTGTGGCATCCCTCCCTCCTCTGGGGAACTCCTCCCAGCCCCAGCACAGGCTTGACCCAGGCCCCATGCTGCTTCTTACCCTCTGTGTCCTTCTCCAGGACAGTTGTGTGCTCTTGACCTGTCCCCAGAGTCCCCACAGCCCATTCGGGATCCAGGCAAGTCCGCCCTGGGTTCCTATAAACTGTGTGGTGCCCAGATGAGAATCCCCCATCAAACTCTTCCCTAGTGGGGTGCCAGCCTTCTTCTTCTCATCCCTGGCCTCCCCACCCCCAGGCCTTTCGAGTCACACTTTCCTTTATGATAAAATAATGCAGTGACAGTGATCAGCAGCAATAGGAGCCAGTGCCCGCACTTCGTGGCCACTTATCTCCATTTCAACGGGACGATTCTGGACCGCAGTGATCACAGCCCCCCTTTCCCTCACTGAGACTTACCAGAAGGGACTCTGCACAGGGAAAGGCTCATTGGTGGGGCTGCCTGGGAGAACTCCCAAGACACACAGGTGGAGCCTTTCCCGAAGGTAGGCCCAGAGGTGCGCCCAGGTGACAATACTGGCATAGAGCAAGCGCCTAAGGCAGCTGGGAATCTGGTGAGGTCTCCCCCCCGAAAAGGCACAAAACCAGGCTCATGGACAGACAGCCTGGCTTAGTCCTGAGGTGCCAGGCGCCAATGCACACACCAAGGGTTAGTAAACTAGAGCAGGTGGACTCACACCTTGGCAGTGTCAGAAAATGATGGGCAGGCATTAACCATCAGCAGGAGCCAGGTGTGATCCAGAGGACCCCTGCTCCACAGGGTGCTGACCCCGCCACCAAGCTGAGATCTTGTGGCCCAGGGACCTGCATCCCAGGGAGCTTCCTGTGGTCACCTCCGAGGCTTTTTCCTTTCTAGTTGAAAGGAAATCAAAGAATCTCAAGGCATTCCTGGGGAAACCAAAAGTTAAACCCCCCAAAGCAAGAAGCTCAGGAAATTTCCACTGTGCCCAACAGGCATTCCCCATTTGAAATTTTATTTGCAGATTTTATTAGAAACTAGTTTATGACACAAATTATTCAATGCCTAGGAAGCCTAAACTAATAAGAGTCTGTTTCCACAGCAAAATTCATGACATGTAGGTTTTTATTGCAGTACATTTAAAACCAAGCCTTATCCATTATGATATTGCAGAAACATGCTTTACCCTGGATTCCATTGATGATATTCTATTTAATGAAATGTCTAAACTAACCACATTATACTATTATTGACTGTGTCTTCCCGGGGATAGGCCAAGTATGGAGCAATTATCTCGCGTCTTCATCCATCATCGGAAATCCTAACTGAAGCTTTTGAGCCGAATTCCAAAGCTTTATGGGTATGGAGTGGGCTTGGGATGCAGTAAACACAGAGATGATACTAGACAAAGATATTGGGATTTTTGGGACCAGTGTGGAAAGTGAAGCTCCCTTTAAAAACACATGACCCGGCATCCGGGCGCGGTGGCTCACGCCTTTAATCCCAGCACTTTGGGAGGCTGAGGCGGGCGGATCACGAGGTCAGGAGATGGAGACCATCCTGGCTAACATGGTGAAACCCGTCTTTACTAAAAATACAAAAAATTAGCTGGGTGTGGTGGCGGGCACCTGTAGTTCCAGCTACTCGGGAGGCTGAGGAAGGAGACTGGCGTGAACCTGGGAGGCGGAGCTTGCAGTGAGCCAAGATCTCGCCACTGCACTCCAGCCTGGGTGACAGAGCAAGACTCCGTCTCAAAAAAAAAAAAAAAAAAAAAAAAGACCCGGGAAGCCAAAGCAGAAACGCTCTCTTTCTACAGACGCCCTTCCGTCCGGAGCTCCCTGGAGCTGCGCCTCGTGGGCTGTGATTTACACAGGGGCTGAGGCTTGGGCCTGAGTTGGTTCCAGATCATAGGGACTGTGACAAGGTAACATATTTGTGTAGAGCTGCAAAGTGCCCCCTGCTGAAGCAAATTTTTTTCTAATTACTACCCTCCCTAACCCTATTTAAACATGTAATGAAGGTGATTACAGAAAACTCTTTAAGGTAAACCGAAATGAATGGATTTATTTAAACTCTTAATGAACTTGAAACTCTCCAAACCGGCGCACTCCGGGGCTGGAATCACTCATTGTGGTGCTGGTGGGAGCTGAGAATGGGTTGCCGGGCCTGCCAGCCGAATGCTTAGCTGAGGGGGACAGCTCATTTATTATCCGGGTCTCTGGGAAGCAGTGACCAATTAGTCCATCTGCTCAACACTCCTCTTCCAAAAACAGACAAATTAAGCCTGGACCAGAGTTCCAAGCATCAGACCTGGCTGGAATGTGGAACTGCCCCTAGAGAGAGTCTCTACCTGCAAAAGGAAGTCAAAAGAGGCACCTCAAAGTAGGGGCTTGGAGCGATGCACCAGGCTTGTAGACTGGGAGGAGGCCCAGAGGGCCCTTTAGTTACAAGGCCTTGCTCTTGCTGGTGGCTGACCTAGGGAGGCAGTGGACAGCTGTGAGCCAGGGCTGGAGTCCTGGAGCCCTCCTGGGCGCATGTGGAAATCAGCTTCATGAATATATAGCAGTCTGTGCTGGGAACACCTGTCCCTCGTGGCCTTGAGCATAAATTTCACCCCGCTTTTAGACATGAGAATGTTCAACGTTCTCCAGAGCACTGAAGTCTACAAACACTCTCTTTGCCCCTTCTGAGCTGTGCTGTTTTACCAGCTTCATTTCTTAGAGCGCTTGGGTACGGGACAATTTGTTTGCTCTTTCTTCTAGGTTTCCCTCTCACCAAGTTTGCCCCACCCATTCTGAGCTTGACAGGCACCACTGTCCCTGTGTTCCACATGAGCAGGCTTGTTCATTGAGGGACGCTCATTCAATTCACAGAGGGGGCTCTGCTCCACAGCTTTCCACTGTCCCTTAGTCTGCAGGGCAGGGCATGGGACAGGTGCTCATGAGGAGCACCTCCTGAAGGAGGCATAGAACGAAATTCACTGGATTAGGAATTGCACCATCCAGAGCCTCAGGGGTGCTAGCTTTGTCCCTGAGCAGTCTCTGATGTTTATCATGTCCAGAAGTAGACAGAACTGGGAATCATCTAATCAGGTGTCGGGAGGATTCATCACTTGGCACAGGTGTGAGTCCCCGAGGTGTTCCCGCTTTTCCGTCATCTCGGAGGGACCTGCCTATGCTGACTGGTGGGTCATCAAGATTAATAAAGACAAAGGCTTTGGCGGATGCTCAGCTCAGGAAAAGCACCTGGAGCTGCTCTTTCCTGACTGATTAATTAGGGAAAGACGTGGTGGCTGTAATTGGCGGTTGAGTATTTTCTGAATTTTAACATTCGCGGTATGCAAATCTATCAGTTTCTAACAATATCTAACAAGATTATTTGAAAGTGAGAGTCTCCCAAGAGATGCAGGCATGGTTCGGGGGAGATGTGGGGCTCTTCCGGGTTTGTATGCACTCATATAAATCAACGGAACGTTTGTTACCAATTGTTACTAACGTTCTTCAGCAAATTGAGAGATCGACCAGTAAATACGCATTAAACATAATCCTATCTACCTGTTGCATTTAATTCCAGCAGCGAAGACCCATTACACTACTGAAGTTTGATGAATGTTTTCTCTCGCTGCTCATCTGACTTGGAAACGAGTGTGTTTGCTCAGGGCGGGGGTAGGGGGTGGGGGAGTCATGTGCGAGCCTTAGCTCCTTCAGTTTCCACGTGGAAAACTCTAAATTGAAATCCGTACCTCCAGGGACCGTGAGACCAAAGAGAAAACTGTTGGGCCCCAAAGGGACCATTTCCTACCATAATGAGAATTTTAAATGGCGGGTTTGAAATTCCTTGAAAAGCCTTTCAGAAATGTGTGTGCAAATGATGGTTGCTGAATTACTGACAGAGATGCAATTAAATTCAAGGGAGAACGTCTCCTTATTCTAATTTCCAGCCTGAAGACCCTTCTCCCTATCCCAGGAGGAGCCCAGGAACGCAAGCGAGAGCCTCTGCAAGTCACCCCAGCTGCCGCGTTTCCACCCAGGAGGAAGACGCACGTGGGGCGGCACGAGAGATAGACGGAGGTGAGGATGGAATCGGAGATGAAAGGCCCAAGGGGTGGGGCCTGGAGTGGGGCCCTCCCGACATTTCCTTCCCAATGTATTGACCTCTTCTTCTCTTAGACACAGACTAACTAAACCTGGGGGCAGTGTCCGACTGGAGCCAGGGCCCCCTCCCACACCACAGGAATCGGCAATTCCAGCGGCCTTGTTCTGAGCTGTGGGGTGTGGGGCTCCAGTGAATCCCAAGTGTATTATCTCCTTGCACCTTCAGCACTCCCTGGGCAGTGCACACTCTTCCTACCCCATGTTACTGAGTCCTCATGAATCTGCAAGGCTTTAGAACCCAGTGGGCAGAGCAGGCAGACCAGGGAGGCAGCTGCTTCCACAAGTTCCTGGCTGTGAGACCTTTCTGATGAGCCTCCTCTCCTTTGCCTGTAAAATGGGGATACCCTGCTGGGATTATCCATGCCCTGGGGTTGCTGTGAGCGTTCAGTGAGGTAACCCATGCCTTGCAAGGGTGCTCTGTCTGGCCAAACCCATGGCGAGAGTCACTCCAAAATTGACAGCAGGGGAGTTCCTGCAAGAGACAGCCCCAAACTGTTCTGAGATGGGGCTGGCTGGAATTCCAGAGGGAGAAGAAACAATTGCTGGGGTCCTTGCTGTAAAGCATTTACCGGGGGAATTTACATACAGCGGCTGAAGCCCCGTGACAGAAAGCAAGGAAAGGGATGTTTTGCCCACGTATGTCCATGATGAGGTCACGGTCTGGCGTTTGAGGGTTTAGGGAACTTGGCTCAAGGTCGGACTGGTTTCTACATGTTTAGCAACGTGGTCTCTCACTGACTGCTGCAAGCAACAACCTGAACGACTTTATCAGTGCCTGGGAATGTTCCAGAGTTCAGCTTGGGTTCAAGCCTGTAGGAGAAAGCCTGCAGCTGGCCGGGTCACAGAGCAGTCAAGGCAATCTGGGCTACTCGGTCAGGACACAGAAAGAAAGCAGTGAGGACTTGGGAGGACCTACAGTGGGCTCAACAAAAGTGGGTCTTGTTATTCCGGAGGTTAAATCATCTGACCAGCACAAGAAAGCAGTGAAGTTGGGATTCCTACCAGTGGTTTTGGCCCCAGAATCATCTCCACATGATACGTTTAGAAGGACAGGGGCCTCGTCAATGCCTGTGGGTGAAAAGATGCCCTTTCTCTTTTCTACTGAAAGTGCCCCTGTGAGACCAAGGCTACTACCATTCAACAGAGGCAGGAATGGAGGTGCACAAACTGACTCCCTGGGTCAGTATTTCTGCTGCTTTTCTGGGTGCCAGTGGGGTTAGGTTTCATGCAAAAAGCCCACAAACAGAGGTTACTCTTCAAAGCCACTGCCCCTTTTGAAGACAAAAAGCGGGGAATGTCACAGCACCACAGCTGAAGACCAAGAGGTCCTGGGAGAAGCAGGGAGTGGTTAATAACAGGAGGAGAGCCAGGACTTTGCATATAAGCTTGCAATGCACCCCATCAAGACTTCCCCGGGAGCTTTTTCCTGTGCTGGGGAATAATACAAATGTGCCCATCAGTGCAAAGGGTGCAGTGAGGGCAGGAAGTTACAGTCACCATCAGGGTCAGCCAAGGAACAGTACATAGCAAGCTGGGTGAGACACTCTGTGCCCCAGGCAGGGCCACTGGGGCGAGTTGGGCCTCAGATGTCCTGCTTCTGAATGAGGGCCTTGAACTCCGTGGTGCCTACATCCTCTCCAGTTCTAAAATAAGATGACATTTAACGAGGTCCCACTGTGTTGATGGGGCACCGCAGCGACCTCGTGTTAAACAGCACCATATTGTTGATGGCTTGACCAGATGCCGGGAGCACGTGATCTTGCTACTGAGTCTCCGTGGCCTCCACTTGGCGGCACCCAAACAAGAGACAGCAGTGTGCAAAGATACTGGGTGTGGGTTTCTCTAGTAGCAGAGAAACAGAGCCTTCTGTGCTTGCAGGGTGCTTGCCCTGCCCTAAACAGCATGAATCTGAACCCCACCCATCCGAACAGCCTGGGGAGGCAGGATGGAGAGACGTCAGAGGGCGGTCACCAGTATCTCACTGCACAGGGGCTGGAGGTTTGTGTCTCGTTAACCTAATGAGGTGACGGTAACTTCCTGCCCTCACTGCACCCTTTGCACTGATGGGCACGTTCATGTTATTCCCCAGCACAGGAAAAAGCTCCCGGGGAAATCCTGATGGGGTGTAGCGCAAGCTTATAAGCAAAGTCCTGGCTCTCCTCTTGTTACTAACCACTCTGTGCTTCTCTCAGGCTGTCCTGGTCTTCGGCTGTAGCACTGTGACATCCCCCACTTTTTGTCTTCAAAAGGGGCAGTGGCTTTGAGGAGTAACCTCTGTTTGTGGGCTCTTTGCATTCCTTCTTGGCTGCTGGGCTCTGGAGATCCTTCAGTGATACTTCAATGCCATTGATAGCAAATGCTTCAAACTGGATCTTGCTGTCCCATCTCCACTGGGCAGAATGGGCTGACCCCACATGAAACATGTGGGGAGATTTTAGTACTAGTCCATCATAAAAACATTTCCTCTCAGAATTTATTTGGATAAAGTAAAGCAGATGAAAATCACCAACTGCCTCTTCCTTCTATTTACTAAATTAGTAAGCTGATGAATAAACCAACGTATATTGAGTGCTTACCCTAGGCCTGAGACTGTGCTAAGTTAGTCTGTGATCTATTATTAATTTCCTCAACAAGTTTGTTCATTAGTTCAATAGGTGTTTCCTGGCCTTTAGCCATGTGCTGGTTATTATTCTAGGCTTTGGGGACAGAGCAGGGAATGAAACAGACAAAACGATGCAAAGCTCCCTCACGCCCAGAGGGAGGTAACTTCTAAATGGGGAGAGAGGTGACAGCAAAGTACATGGGTACAATAATAAAATGCACTAGACAGTGGTCGTGAATGTAGAAAGAAACAAAGTGGTGGGACTCAGGAAAGGCCTCAAGGGGAACATGACCCTGGGCAGGGTGCGGAAGGCAAGGGGTGCCAAGCAGGCAGGGCCATCGGGGGAAGAACACCGCAGATCGAGGCTCCTTGGCAGAAAGGCTGGGGCAGGAATGGGAAAAAAGAGACCATAGGCATAGGTGGAGGCAGATAGGAGGGAGGTCAGAAGAGTGGGGTGGGGTCCTATGGACCATTGTGAGTCCTTGAGTTTTTATTCTATACTGTTCAGGAATCAAATGTAGGGTTTGGAGCAGTGGAGGCACCCAATCTACTCTCCGTATTGGAATTAAACTAGGAGGAGGCAGAGGTGGGAGCGGAGTGGGAAGCTGCGCGGGACCCATTTGGATGGTCTAGAGGGCCCATCTCGGGGTGGCAGGAAGGTGGGGAGGTGTGGCTGAACCTGAATAGATCCCCTTTATCCTAGGATTGAAAGAAGTAGCCAGTGAGCCAGATAAGATGAGCCAGGACACACGATGCTGATGGGTCAAGGAAGGTCAGTCCTGGGAGCTGACCACAGATTGGACTGACCCAGAAGACAGTGCCAGCTCCCTGAGGAGGGGCAGCTGGGTGGATGCAGTGAATGCCAATCCCTCTTTTTGGTACCAGCACCTGGGTTTTCCTTGGGGAGAATGCTACTCCCTTAATATACACATCTTGCCAAGCTGTCACTCAAGAGGCTCAGTTTCCCTTGGGTAAGGCAGGGATGGGGGGCTCAGCTAAGACCAACAGTCTCTCCCTCCTGAAATTCTCATCTTTGACTGGCATAAGACAAAACAAAACAAAACGACAAAAAAAGCCACGAATTACCCCAGGAAGAGGCGCCGTGAAAATACTACATGCTCTTCCTCCTGTTCCCTGGGTTTGTTCTTCCTCCTTTTCCCATTTCCTGTTTATTCTAAGACTTCCACTTCAATTCCTCTATCCCCTGTGATTCCAATGACCTGTCTTTGCAGAAGAGCTTTAATCAGCTGGTCAGTTTCTAAGGCTTTCATCCAAGGAACCCTCATTGATGTGAAACAACAAAGTGAGACTTCCATCCTCGAATGTGCAGCCAGGAAGTGGCAGAAAGGAGCTTTGCATAAACTTCTTCTCATTTCAAATCCTATGCTCTTTCTCCCACGCCTCAGCCATTTGCCTTTAAAATCAATTGCATCCTGAAGTGAAGAGCTTTGCAAGAACAGTGCTATCAGAAACAACCATACTCCACCAGAGCAATCACAGCACCTCCCAGAACCCCTGGGACTTTTGCTTGGACTCGGGCAAGTGAGTAGACAGCTCGGATGGGGCGAGCACCTGCTGGTTCATCCACCAAATATGAACATGGCCCAAGAGTGAGACCCCAAGACCCGAAATTGCACCAATGACTATAGCTATACAAGAAAATGCCACTGGACAAATTTTGCAGAGGTTTCTTTATTGTTGCTGTTCTCAGCAAACCTAAGAAGTCATTTCAGTTTGTCTCAGTTTTTGTAGAAGAACAAAAAGTTCAACATTAAACCATGTGTGTAAGTAGCGTGGAGTGTTTACTCTGCCTGATCTATAGTTTAGGACCAACAATTTCCTATAGTGGGTAAATTTACCCAATGATGGTTTAAATGGTGTCTATAATCTAAGCTTAATATAGTCATCTAATACATTGACTATAGGCACAGCCAAGTTGCCTGCTTTTGATTCCTTACTCATTCATGTGGATATGTACCCAAAGAAATCTCTGACTTACACTTTGCTGCTTCTTATTTCTACTTCCTAACAATACACTACAGACAGAACACCCCCCACACACACACTTACACACGTGTGCCATCACACATCAGCACCACACAAGCAGTCACATACCCTTCATGCATGGATAGATATGTGTATTAGTCTGTTCTCGTGCCACTAATAAAGACATACCTGAGACTGGGTTATTTATAAAGGAAAGGGGTTTAATGGACTCACAGTTCCACATGTCTGGGGAGGCCTCACAATCCCAGCGGAAGGCAAAAGAGAAGCAAAGGCACATCTAACATGGCGGCAGGCAAGAGAGTGTGTGCATGGGAACTGCCCTTTATAAAACCATCAGATCTCTTGAGGCTTACTGCCTATCATGAGAACAGCTGGGGAAAGACCTGCCCCCATGATTCAATTACTTCCCACCAGATCTTTCCCATGACACACAGGAATTATGGGAGCTACAATTCAAGATGAGATTTGGGTGGGGACACAGTCAAACCATATCAACATGCACATCATACACACATACAAGCACACAAGCACAGAAACCACCAGACAATACACCCACTGATTTTTCCGATAATTCACTTACATTTTGGTGGGTTTTATCATCGAAAATGTCCTGACTATTCCCTTCACTTGACAAAGTTCAAGTTCACTCTTTAAATCACCAACTTTGAAAGAAAGGAAGCAAGACAAAACTTTCCACTTGGCTTTGTTCCTCTCCTAATTTCTTTATGCATATTAAATTTTTATTGTTGACATTCTTGTTTAGGGGGAAAATCATTGGTTTGGCTTTTTTTTTAGCTATCAGATGTTTTATAGACGTTCTAATGGCTCATTTGGTGTGAAATTAATTATCAAAGATTCGCAGAGAGTTTTAAATTACATTTTCTCTGCTCTTCAAGGCAAACAACTGGTACTGTTTTTGTCACTAATATAAGGTTCTCATTGCTGCCTTTTTTCTGTACAATGAAATGATAAAAACAAATCTTCAACTTATTTTAATGTGCTAATTGGGGGTTATTACAGCTCATTTTATTTACACTGAGATAAAAAAGCACTAATTCATTTTCCTTGCACAAACTACTTAGAAAAGATTGTAATTGCCTCCTATACAAACATGTATTTGTAAAGAGAAATGACATAAAGCTAAAAGCCTAGAAAGAAAATTGTTTGGGCAATGGGCTAAGCCAAACCCTTGGTTTTCTAGATAGAGACCTGTTGCCTGAACACATTTCCCTTTCAGGTTGCTGAATCATACGAATGGTGCTACGTACTCTGCAAGAAATAAATGCTGGTAGGACGCAGAAAAGTTCAGAAAGAGAAACTAATACAAGATTATTTCAGAGCATTTACCTTGCCCTACACAGATTTTTAGAATTATTCTGTATTAGGTAAATACACAACAGTTAGATATAAAAAGTAGTTGCTTTCCAGTGTTACTGGGCCTCATATCTTTGGCCACAAAAAGATGCAGACATCCAGTGTTTTACACTGCTGTGGTGGGTGTTCTCTGGCCAGCATTCCTGTTCATTTTACACATTGACTCTTGTCAATTTCCCTTCTGGTGCTTCAAGTTTCAAAATATTCTTAGGGTTTTAAACGTGTCATAGCTAATTACTGTGTAGGATGACAGGTATAAAGACATATCATTAGAAAATAATCAGATAATGCTTATGTTTAATAGTTCAAATTAAGCAAATACTTCCATGAAACAATTACAAATGGCTTCGTTGTGGAATTACATTTTCTAATTTTTAGGCTTATCTTTATCTCTCCTTTAGGATCTTCACAGAGTTAGAATCTTTTTGGAGGCTGAGAGAGTACCAGTAGCTTTGCTGTGTTTTGCTTGCCTGTATATGGGGAGAAAATAGCAGTAACAAAGGAACTCACTCACCCTCCAGGTTCCCTTGAGACGACAGTGTTGAATGGGAGATGGATACACTTGGAGTGAGAACTGTCTGTTGTTGCTACCACCTGCCAGCCACTGTGCAAGGAATAATATCCCATTTCCTCATGCACTTGGTTTTATGGCTTTTTAAAACCCATTGTTGGCTCCTGCCTCCCCATGTTGAAATTATTGGTCATGGATGCTGTCAAGGAAAACTTGCAATGGATGGAGGTAAACAGGCAAGGAAGATTTTTTTCAATGCTACTGTAATAGGGGTCAAGACCATTACAGTAGAGGAGAGAGACTGAACTCTACTTGGATACAACAGGGCCTGCTAGGAAGGGATTTATAGCCATTGCACACGGTGAGGGAGTCACTGGATGGAAAATTACTAAGAGGAGCTCGAAGGAGGGGAAGTGGGGGACTCTTGCTAAATTGGCTTAGCAGGATTCTTGCTAGAGATGGGCTCAGCAGGTCAAGGATTAAGCCTACCAAAGAGGAACCTGACAAAAGCTTGGTCAATGAGTGATTCTGGCCAGTGTGCAGAGTAACTTATAAGCTTGTGGGGGAAAAGAGAAGGTCATTGGGCCATGCTTTAGAGCTATTCTCAACTTGGCTCAATGAACCGGAATAGCCTCCTCTGAGGGGCACACGCTGCAGTCACTGGGCCATAAGTTGATTTTCTCCGGGTGTTGTTCTTTGCCAGAGTACACAATATTCTAGCAACAAAACAGGCTCCCTCAGGTCCTCTTCTGTCCTTTCTCCTGAGAAGCATGGAGTCTCATGAGAATGAGATCCCAAGACCCCACTGTTTCACTCAGCTCCACAAGGAGAGGGACTCTGCGTCACCACCCAGGACATTCCTTCTCCCCCAGCCCACTGCAGCTGCCTTACTGAGGAGGAAAGGCACCAGAGGGTGTCCATCACCATCTTGGGCTGGTCACACAGGTGCTGACAGGGCTGGGATCCAGACATGACTCAGTTTCCCACTTCCCTAGTGGATGGTCTGTGCCCACTGGCAGTTCCCCATTCATTCTTGATTCTCAGCCTCTCCCATTCCCTCAACTCCCAAATATACATGCAGCATAATTATGGACATTTCAAATGACTTTAGAAATTGGACTGCAAAGTCTGTCTCTCTGCCTTGCGTTTTCTGGAGGCCCTGGGATGCCCTCGCCCAAGCTGCATCTGTGAGTTCTGTCTCATTTCACCGAGCCTCCTGACAAGGCCTTGCCATGTGTGCGTCCCCAGGGGCTGGGGAGGGGAGAACGGGGCAGCCCGGAGGAGGAGAGTGCGTACGGGCGAGGAGAAGGACTGGCCATGAAGGTAGCGAATTAGCCCAAAGATGGATGAACGGGCGGGGAGGACGGACTGTGGGGTCCAGTGAGGTCACTGTGTGGGGCCGAGGCAGACGCAAGGCTGGCACCGCCCTCCTGATGTAGAGCTCCCACTTGCCCCCACCACGGACCCACCCGGATGGCTCCAAAGCTGGCATCTCATCTGTGGCACCAGATGCTATTCTTCATCCTGTTTTTAGTGCTCTGCAGGAACACACGATTGGAGGAACTTAGAAAATGATTTTATAGATGTGGAGCCCCAGTCCGGGGGGAGCTGAGTCTGCTGTGTCCTTCCAGCCAATGGGTCACAGCCGGTTGCATCCCTCACCATCCTACCTGCCCACCTCGATTTCCTATGATTCCCTTGTAGATCCCAACCTCCAGAACTGAGGTTCTTTTCCTGCCCAGGCAATACCAGGTTTATAGCACAGACACCCAAGGAACTGGGCCTGCCCTGAAATACCTCTTTCTCCAAGTAGCCACCCTCTGCCCACACACTGGTCTGGCTGAGATCCATAAAGCTCACTTTGGTTCCTTCTGGTCTCACAAATCCCTTCCATGGTCTTCCTGTGGCTCTCAGAGTCTCCCCCACCCCACCATCCACCCCCACATCCTCTGTTCTCCAACTGATTGAAAGCTGTTTGATGGCAGAGGCAACTCTGACATTGCTTTGTGCCACTTTTCCTGCTGAATACTTAATAGACATTAAAAAAATATGTTGCGTGAATCCTATATGCTTGAAAAAAACAATACCTCAATGTGTTAAAAATCCCCGTGTTTCCTGAATGTTATCTTAGGATACTGTGCTGAAGAAGAAGGCTGAATGGATATCCATGATGCAGCTGTTACATAGAACCTGGACAGGGGCTTGGTCACAAACCCGACGGGAGGCTATGTCAGTTGTCTCTGAGTCAGCTGCAAGTTAGGGAGACCATTTATTAACAGACAGTCCTAGTCTCCCTCTCCTAACTTTTTTTTTCTTTGAGATGTAGTTTCACTCTTGTTGCCCAGGCTGGAGTGCAATGGCATGATCTCAGCTCACCGCAACCTCCACCTCCCGGGTTCAAGTGATTCTCCTGCCTCAGCCTCCCAAGTAGCTGGGATTACAGGCATGTGCCACCATGCCTGGCTAATTTTGTATTTTTAGTAGAGACGGGGTTTCTCCACGTTGGTCAGTCTCTTCTCGAACTCCCGATCTCAGGTGATCCACCCGCCTTGGCCTCCCGAAGTGCTGGGATTACAGGTTTGAGCCACCACGCCTGGCCTCCCTCTCCTAACTTTTGCTGCCCGGGAAGATGGTAGCACTCAGGGCTGATGCCTAGAGACAGCCATGGATTCTAAAGAGGCAAAAACAACTCATTGTCTCACTTCTAAAACCATGATTTCCCTCCTCCCCTTCCTTCGCTCAGCCCGGCTTGCATCTCAGTACAAGGCCATTTTTCATGGCCTCGACAAGAGATCTTATCAGGCACATAATGAGTCAGCAGAGGTTACCTTGAGCAGGGACCACAGACCACCGGTTGTATATCTTCATTTTAAAACTGTAGCCACAGATGCCTGCTGTACTGAGAATGTGATTCTCTCCCTAGGACCCACAAGAAGAAGGATGCTAATGATGTTCCAAGTGTTGACGGTTCTCTGGCCCCAGGAGACAGCCTGGAAGGTAGGACCATTTGCTTGAGTTCAGGGAACCAGGAATGGGGCAGCTTTCCTAAATAGATGCAGCTGTGTCTTCTACCAGATGTGGAATTGTCATGTTGTTTTTTTTGTTTCGTTTTGTTTTACCTCCTTCATTTCAGGGACCTCAGGCTATAATTAATTCTTGAACATAGCAATAAATCAAAGCTTTGAAAATTACAGAAAACTCCCTCCCCATCCCCCACAGACACACGGCTGTGCCACCTGCTTTAATGCTCTCTTCTGGTATTGTGTCATATCTAACCACCCGAAACTCGGGCAGACATTCCAGGAATTAGTTCTGAGACTAAATCCGTGTTCCACTCTATAGAATTTGGAGTTAAAAAATAAAAATCAAACTGGAAATAGCATCCCTTACCCAGTCTGGGCCATCTCATTTTTTTTACTGGATGCAGACATCCCTAGATGCTGAGAATCCTCGTCAAGAACGACTCTTCACCGCCAAAGTCAACCACTTCACTCTCAGCAACGGCTGTCATTTCCATGTTTAAGATGCACACTTTGCCTATAGAAGCATTCACAACATAGTCTCTCCTCCACTGTAGTATCCCGCAAATGGGCCTCTGTAATTGATGAGAAATAAAAATAATATAAAAAAGCAGGAGATGGCAATACAGAAAACCTTCTGTGTGCAAGCCATGGGTGAAAAAATAGAACAGCCACTGGGCTAATCCGTGCCCTTTCAAGTTGCTATTTCTTTTGTTTTCTCGCCTGCGTCCCCCCAGTCCTCCCAGATTCAAATCTCTAGCCTCCGCGGTATCAAGCGGAGGAACAAATATACTTAGTTCTCTTAATGAGCTTCTTCCTCTGCATTCATTTTGGAGAAAAAGCTCCAGCCGAGAAGGATGGCAAAGGGAAACAGAACATTCCGGGACTGACTGAACCAGAGACAACTATTTGGCAATAAGCTTGAAAGACTCTTGATCTCTTTCCTACTTGCCTTCCAGCCTTCCCTTCCTCTAAAAGATCTGGAAGCGCTGAGGGCAATGGGTGCAAGTCAGATGAGGATGACTTTTAAGGGAAGTTGTCTTCATTTCAGACACTGAGGTTTGAATCCTGGTGCCTCCGTCTAAAAGCTGTGGTGTGATGTAGGCCTCAGTTCTGTGGGCCTCAGTTTCTTCATCTGTAAAATGGGCTTCATAAGAGAATCTCTCTCAAAGACATTCTGTGTGTGTGTGTGCATGTGTGTGTGTGTGTGTGTGTGTGTGTGTGTGAAAATAACACATGTAAATCACTTTGGATCTGTACTTTCACTATTTAAAAACTACTGTAAACCCAGTGTGGGGTTGGAAGCTCTAAGACATACTACCCTGCCAGACACCCTCCCTCCTAACCCTGATTGTCAGGGTCACCTGAAATAGCAGAGCAAGAGATAGCATGACAGATCTCTCGTACCTGCCGGGTTGGACACCTGGGAGTCTCCCAAGTGTCAGTGAAGGAAGGGAAGCGACAGTCACGAGGTCCAGATTTGCACTTCACATGTATCTTCTCATCTGATCCTCACAGCTACCTGGGGGCGAGCAGTGGATCCCGAGCTGCAACACTAGCCTCACGCTTAGGGCCCCACAGCAGGTACATAACACTCTAAGCAATAGAGGATCCAGGGAACCTGTATTACAGAAATGTGGGTGACCATCAAGAAACACTTTCAGGAAGAGGCAGGGACCTGATTTGATGTAGTTGGAGAAAGTATTTCTCACTCTCTGTTAAGCTGGGCCTATCACTGGGAGCCGTGGGGGACTCACTCTTGATATTCTGAAGCAGCTCAAGAAGTTAATGGAGACAAAGCTATCTGGAGAAAAGTATGTCCCCTAAATGCATACAAGGTAACAGAAACCACTTGGGAGGTTTTCAGTCTGCCGTTGTCTCCGAAAAACGATCCACAATCTTTGCACGTCGTGAACATACACTTCAAGAGTATGAATGGTGCTGGAAGGGCTTTGAACTCAAGCAGTTGTGGCCCCACATCCCACCTTTGCTGTGCACCTGCTGTGGGGCCCTGAACCTGAGGCTCCCTTGGCAGCTGGGGACCCACCTGCTAGCCCTCAGGTAGTCATGAGACTCAGGTAAAAGGATGCATGCGAAGCTCATATCTGGCCCCCCTGACTGTCGCTTCCCTTCCTTCAGTGACAGCTGTTCGGAGACTCTCTCGTGTGTCCAACATTGCAGGTAAGAGAGATCCTTGATGCTACCTCCCCATTACCAACACGACATAATGCAATTAGTTTTCAGCTTGCTTTGAATGCATTTCATGATTACAGGACTTCTTCAAACAATGTACCTGTAATGAGTGAATGTTCCACAAGCATGCATCTCTGCTCAGGTGTAAATATTTCCAAGGCAGCTGCATGGAATGGAAGTTTGATGGTGTCGTAGACTGAGATGCTTACTCCACATTCATTCACTCCACAGACTTCATTAAGAACCCAGGATATGCCAAGACTTCTCTCCCAGGTACTGAAGCTGCAGGAGCAGATAAAGCAGGCATCATGGTGTTCTGGGGATGATGCCCCCAAGGGAAGCCAGTTCCTGATCCTACTGCATGCCTGCCTTTGCTATTGATGGGATTCAAGACATGCTACCCCCAGATATGCACCTTGGCATTTGAGAAAATGGCAGAAACACAAGGTCATTCTCCTCTTCCCCTCTGCCTTTCTCCCCTGAAGCAGATCATAAAACCTAGGAAGGATTTTCCTGAACTTCCCCTGATGCAGGTCGTAAGATCCTCATGTGAGAGGTACCCTTGCTTCCCAGAAGGAAAAGAACAGTCTTATCTCTGGAAACACAGGGACACATAGAAGAATCTGGACAAACAGGCCTGGCTAAGCATCTCCAGCTCATCACCATTAATCATACCCCCTTTAGTCACACTTCACAAAGACCTGCTTCTTCATTCAAGCTTAAAACACAATGGTATACCCATTTCTTTTGGTCTTCGTTTCCTTACGGGAGTTTCCATGGTCACATAAACCTTTTATTAAATAAACTTGCATAGTTTATTCTTATCTTTTGTTATAGGGGCCTCAGTCATGAATTTTGCAATGAGTGAAGAAAAGATATTTTCCCTCCCCTACACCACTGGATACGCTTGGCAACTGCTTACTCCCTCCACCCCCTCGAATCTGACTTCCACCCCTCCGTGTCCTCTAGGCTATGTCAGTTGAAGCTGCCAATGACCTTCTTGACTTAAATCCAAAGCACATCTCTTGGACGTCCTCATACCTCACCTTTCTGTATTTACCATGTTGAGCCATCGCCTTCTTCTTGAACTGGTGCCCTCCCTTGGCTTTGGGCTGCCATGCCCCCTGCTGTGCACTCTCTTATTCAGATGAAGAATCTCAGGCCTTCTGTCTCTCTCTCTCTCTCTCTCCTCCCTTAGCCACCTACATTCACACTCATGGCTTCAGTCAACACTGCACACAGACACCTCTGGAACCTGTATCTCCAGCTCCCATGTCCTCTCTGAGCTCCTAAACCATACGGCTCATGGCCTGCTTGGTTGGATGTCTTCAAAACACCACAATGTCAAAAAGTTATAACCCTTCAGTTTTTCAAGGCACAGCCAGTCTTATATATTTGGATAAATGGCCTACCATGCACCGAGTAAATAAGCCAGAAATCTAGGACTCACTCTTGCCAACTCTCCTCGTCTTCATCTAGCACTCCCAATACCTCACTAATCTTCCCAGTTATATCTCTGGACATCCATCCTACTCACAGAGCTTTTTCTGGCTCCAGTGCCTCCACCCTGAAAGCCACTGAACTTTGTGCCAGTGCCTCTTCCCTAATGCCCTTCACTCACTCTCGTCCCCTCCAAGCTATACTTTTTACTATTTTCTTTTTAAGAATAATTTTATAATCATTGCCCAGATCAAGAAGTAAACCTTGGCCAGAGTCTTAGAGAGAGTCTGTGACTGTTTCACGCTTCTTCCCAATACATCCCCCATCCCTTCTCCTTACAGATCTTCTCTGTCCTGACCTCTTTTTGATAACAATTGTCTTGCTTTTATTTATTGCCTTGCCACCTACGCATGTATCCCTGAACAACAGAGCTGGGGCTGTGCCTGCTATTGATCTTTATATAAAAGGAATTAGGCTGCCTGTGTTCTTTGTGACATACTTCTTTGGCTTATCACATACTTCCGAGATTCATCTGTGGTGACGTGTATAGCTGCAACTTACTTATTTCCATTTCAAGTGTCCCACAATTTATGTAATCCATAAATACAGCTCATAGACGTTTGGTAGTCTATCTGTAGCTTGCAGTTCTGAAAATTCCCTGTTCTTGTCCTCTGTATAAAACACAGGCTCTCCTCCAACACGAAATGGGTATGCCTCAACCCCTCCTATTGCCAGATCTTTAAGCTTTTACCACTCTGATGTGTACATATTGATATTTCATTGTGGTGTTAATTTGTATTTTCCCAATTAGTAATGAGGTTGAGTACCTTTATTTATGTGTATTGACCAATTGCATTTCATCTTCCTGGGCATGCCTGCGTATTATATTTAGCGACTTCGAGGGCACTAATTCTGTTGGGTTTCTCATCTCCTCCATGGTGATTAATAAATGTTCTTCCTGTCATCTGCACATTGGTCTTCTATTGATTATATTTGATCTCTTCCTCCACTACGTGACCTGTCTTTCCACTCACTCTGAGGTGTCTTTTGGTAAGCCTTCATAACTTTAATGTAATCAAATGTATTGATCCTTCATTTTATAGTTAGTGCTTTTGGCACCTTGTTAAAAAAATCCTTTCTTACTCTTTATAATAATTCTCGATTTATAGTATGACAAATTATTCTACCTTGTTCTTCAATTGCTTTATCTGTTTGATCCTCCCCTGAGGTTATTGGTTTTTATATGTTGCTCTCTCTCTATGTCTATGTCAACACAACACTACCTTAATTATTTTAGTATTATGGTGGTAGATTGTTGGAGTCGCAGCCCCCAGTGAATCACACCAGTATTCACTTGTGTATTTTCCTCTCACACTGTGATTTATTTTGGCCAATGGAATACCAGCAAATGTAATACAGAGTGTGTCTGCACTTATCATCTTGAATGCTGTTTGGAGGTGGCCACAGTGTGAAGAAATCTGGCTGGAAAGACCACATGTGGAGAGTGGCAAGGTCATCTCAGCCATGGCAGCCAAATCCAGCTCAGCCCCTCCAAATGCAGCAGTGAGGCCAAGCAGGAAAACTCACAGAGTGAAAAAGAGTTGTCATTGTTTGGGGTATTTCATCACCCAGCAAAAGATGCCTGAAACAGCAGCCATAGCTATTCTTGGGTCTTTGTGCTTCCATCTGATCCATAGCCTCCTCCCCAGCCCACACCCCTCCATCTAGGTTCCAGCCACTGATGTCCCGGCCAGAGTCTCTCGCTGGTGTCTCTGTGCCCACTTGCTCCATCCATTCTGCCATCTTTTAAAATTCAAAGTATAGAAAAATACACACAGAAATGTAACAAACCTCTTTGTACTCAACATCTTTATAAAATATCATTGGTTATTTCAATGCAGATTGTTTAAAATATGAAAGAAATAATATGTATGTTTTAAAATTCCCTTTGAGCCCTTCTGCAACATCACATTCTTCCTTCTTCTTCATAGGAAGAGCACTCCAGAATTAACGATTATTAAATTATCTGCACGCATCTTTCTGTCAAAGTTTTTATTTATTTACTACATACACACAAACGCATGGGTGCACACAAATGGAATGTTAACCACGAAACCTTGTTAGTATTGTTATGTGTGAATTTTTGTTTGCATAAGTGTGACAGTTCTAGACATGTAATTCTGTTACACCTTTTTTCAACTGAACCTCATTTTTTAAACACTATATAGGCTGATTCACAGAAAACAAAATCAATTATCTAATGGCTGAATAGCATTTTTAATCGGATTATACCATAATTTATTTATACATTTCTCAGTTGATGAACGCTGGTAATTTCACTGTTTCCCTTGTTCTGACGATGCTGCAGAGGACACCTTCATGTACATTAGCTGGGATATAAGAACAAGAGTTTCTGGTCTAGGTTATAAACAGCAGGATTTCTGGGTTTTAGCGTTAACCTCAGCCTTACTAACCAATGCCAAATGCCCTCTGAAACATGATGTATCGAGTCACATACCTACCTGCTGTACACGAGTTCTCGTCTTTCACCTTTGCCAACACTTGATATTTATACACATTTACATAGTTTATTTTATAAAAAGAACTTCCCCTGAGGTTATTTTAGAAAGGGCCTGTGAATATAAAATCTCTAGGTTTTTATATATCTGAAATACATGCGTGGGTGTTTTTATTTAGCTTTCAACCTTGAGTCATAACGGAGTCCAGTATAGAATTCTAGGTCAATGTTTACTTCCCCCCAGCCCTTTGAGATGCCTCTTCAAGGTCTTAAGACATGTACTGTGCTCTCATTCTCATTGTTCTTCCATCAGAGATGCTTTTCTTTCTAGAAATATTTTAAATGCCTTCTCTCCTTTGGAATGTTCTGCATTTTATTACACGGTTTCTCGATTTAGATTTATTTTTATAGTTCGTGCCTTCAGCGTTTGGAATTTTGCATTATCTCTTTCTCAGAATTCTTTTAAAATGTCAGTCTTCATTATTAGTCTTTATTATCTCTTCAAGTTTCCATCTCTTTATCTCTGTGTACAACATTTAGGCTGATTTCCTTGGTTCTTTCACTTCCTTAATATTCTCTTCAGCTCTATCTAGCTTCTTCTTCAATCTTCTTCAATCTATTATTAAATCAAAATTTTCCCCTCATAATTTTCTCTTCTAGAATTTATCTTTGGTCACTTTAAAAATCTACCTAATCCCCTTTCATACTTTCTGATCTCCACCAACAGTCTGCTTTTCCTCCTTCATGTCTTATCTTTTTGTTCCATTATCTATTGTTGATATGTTGTAGTTGATTCAATATTTCTTCACATCTGAAGCAGGATTCCACACTTCAAATTGTTCCACCATATTTTCTAGAAACCCATTCCTACAACTCATTCTTCACCCAGCAGCAAAAGTGATCTATTAAAAATGGAGATCCATCTAGATTCTTCACGTGGAGAGTTTTACCAAATGTTTAAAAATGAACATTATTTCACCCTATGTCTTTCAGAAAATAGAAGAGAAGGGAACACTTTTCAACTCATTTTATGAAGTGAGGGTTATATTGTTATTGAAACCCAGAAAAAGACAATAACAAAAAATCCAACAACAACTATAACCTAATATCGCTTATGAATATAGGTTAAAAAAACCTTAACAAACTATTGATAAATAGAATTCAGCAACACAAAAAATAAATTATGATCAAATGGGGCTTATTCCAAGAATGAAAGGATGGCCCAATATTTGAAAATTAACCAATGTAACCTATCCCATTCACAGGTTAAAGAAGAAAAATTGCATGGTTATATCAATCAATGCAGAAAATGTTTTTACAAAATCCAACACCCATTCATAATATAAATTCTTAGAAAAATGACATGGGAACATCCTCAACTTGACAAAAAAGATCTACAAAAAAACCTATAACAAACATGAGACTTAGTGGTAAGAAACTGGATACTTTCTTCCTTAGAATGAGAATAAGAAAGGATGTCTGATCTCTTTTTCAATATAGTAATGAAAGTTCTAGCCAGGTAAATAAGACACATAAAGAAAATTGAAGACACAAAGATTGAAAAGGAAAAACTGTCCCTGTTTGCAGGTGGCATAAGAAAATCCCAAAGAATCTACAAGAGAACTAATAAGTTCAGCAAGGTTGCAAGATATTAGATAAACATATAAACATCAATTGTATTTTTATATGTCCACAATGAACATAGGACACCAAAATTTAAAATGCAATATGATTCATAATCACTTAAAATAAAATATGTAGGTGTAACTCTTACAAAACATGTACAAGATTTGTATGCTGAAAATGACAAAATCTTGAAGACAGAAATGGAAGCTCTAAATATATGGAAAGACATACAGTATTCATAGATTTAAAAACTCACATAGTAAATATGTTAATTTTCCCTTAATTGAGATACAGTTTTAGCACAAATTGTATCAAAGTATCAGCAAATATTTTTGTAGATATAGATGAGATTATTCTAAATGTTATAAAGGACCTAGAATCACTAAAAAACAATTTTGAAAAAGAAGATCTATCCAATTTAGAGACATTATATAGCTATGGTAATCTAGAATGGATGATCTTGGCAGATGGACAGGCTTATAGATAATGGAACAGAACAGAGAACCCAAAAATAGATTTACACAAATATTCTCAATTGATTTTTGACTAAGGTGCAAAAGTAAGTCAATGGAAGAAAGATAGACTTTTCAACCAATGGTGCTTGTTGTGGATTGAATGGTGCCTTCCAAAAAAGATATGTTGAAGTTCTAGCCCCTG
The DNA here is from genome assembly GCF_000001405.40 of Homo sapiens. Classification (NCBI taxonomy): domain Eukaryota; kingdom Metazoa; phylum Chordata; class Mammalia; order Primates; family Hominidae; genus Homo; species Homo sapiens. Next base: position 4,995,124 of record NC_000001.11, read on the forward strand.
GTACCCCAAATGAGACCTTATTTGGAAAGAGGATACTTACAGAGGTAATTAAGTTAAAATAAGGTCATTAGCATGGACCCTAATCCAATATGACTGATGTTCTTACAAGAAGGGAAAATTTGGACAGAGACAGGCATAAACCAAGGAAATATGAAGGAAAGACAGGAAGAACTCCATGTAAAAGTCAAGAAAGAGGTTGGAATGATGCATGTACACGACAAGGAATGAGAAGTATTGCCACCAAACCACCAGAAGATAAGAGAGAAGCATGGAACAGACTCCTCCAGTCTCAGAAGGAACCAACCCTGCTGACCTTGAACTTGGACTTCTGGTCTTCAGAGCTGTGAGCTACTAAATTCCTGTTGTTTAAGGCACCTAGTTTTTGATGCTTTGTACAGCAGCCCTGGCAAACTGATACAGTGCTGGAGTGAGTGAGTGTTCATATTCAATAAAATAAACCTCAAACTAAGGCTCACCCCTTATACAAAAATTCACCAAAAATGGACTATGGAACTAAATATAAAATATAAAACTAGAAAACTTTTAGAAAAAACAATGGAAAAAATCTTCTGGATCTAAGGTAGACAAAGATTTCCTAGACTTGGCACCAAAAGCATGATCTATAAATGGAAACATAAATTTGGCTTCATCAAACTTAAAATCTTTTGCCCTGTGAAGACAAGAGCCTGTTAAGAGGATAAAAATGCAAGCTATAGACTGGCAGAAAATATCTGCAAACCACATATCTGACAAAGGATTATTATCTAGAATATATAAACAAAACTTTCCAAATTCAACAATAGGAAAAAAAAAACAATCCAATTAGAAAGTGAGTTAATGACATAAAGGGACATTTCACCAAAGAAAATAAACAACTGTCAACACATGTTCAACATCATTAACTTCTGGAGGAATGCAAATTAAAATCACAATGAAGTAACATTGCATGCCTATCAGAATGGCTACAAGAAAAAACAGTGACAATACCAAATGCTGGTGAGGATGCTCTCACACTGCTGGTCAGAATTTAAAATGATACACCCAATCTGGAAAACGGTTTGGGATTTTTCTGCAAAATTCATGCATTTTCTTTTTTTTTTTCTTTCTTTCTTTCTTTCTTTCTTTCTTTCTTTCTTTCTTTCTTTCTTTTCTTTCTTTCTTTCTCTCTCTCTCTTTCTTTCCTTCTCTCTTTCTTTCTTTCCTTCTTTCTTTCTTTCTTTCTTTTCTTCTTCTTTTTTTTTTAAATGGAGTTTCGCTCTTGTTGCCCAGGCTGGAGTGCAGTGACGTGATCTCAGCTCACTGAAACCTCTGCCTCCCGGGTTCAAGCAATTCTCTGGCCTCAGCCTCCCAAGTAGCTGGGATTACAGGCAGATGCTACAATGCCTAGCTAATTTTTGCATTTTTAGTAGAGACAGGGTTTCACCATGTTGGTCAAGGCTGGTTTTGAACTCCTGACTTCAGGTGATCTGCCCGCCTCAGCCTCCCAACGTGCTGGGATTACAGGTGTGAGCCACCATGCCCAGCCCATGCATTTTCTTGAAAAAAATAAAAATAAAATAAATAAATAAATAAACTGCCATCCAATCCACCAATTGCACTTCTCGGCCTTGATCCTAGAGAAATGACCACTGTCACACAAAAACCAACACGCAAATGTTTGTTGCAACTTTCTTCCCAATAGCTCCAAACTGGAACCAGCTCAGATGTCCTTCAGCAGGTGAGTGGTTAAACAAACTGCGGTGTGTTCACACCAAGGAATGCCACTCAGCAAAAGTCTGAGCAGACTCTTGAAATACTCCGCAACCTGGTTGAATCTCCAAAGAATTGTGCTGATGGAGAAAGCCAGTGCGCAAAGGTTACTTACTCTATAATTCCACTCATATAACATTCCTGAAATTACAACATTATAGAAATGGAGAACAGAGTCATGCTTGCCAGGGGTTGAGGAGGAGTTGGGGACCGGAAGGAAGTGGGTAGGTTGTGAAGGGGAACAATGAAGGATCCTTGTGGTGATGGAAATGCTTCATATTTTGACGATATCGATGCCAATATCGTAGTTATAATATGGTGCTGTAATCTTGCTGTATGTTACAGCTGGTGAAAACATGGGATGTCTTTGTATTAATTCTTTCTTTAAAATTTTATTTTACTTTTTTTGTGAGACAGATTCTCGCTCTGTCACCCAGCCTGGAGTGCAGTGGTGTGATCTCGGCTTGCTGCAACCTCCACCTCCCAGGTTCAAGTGATTCTCCTGCCTCAGCCTCCAGAGTAGCTGAAATTACAGGTGCCCACCACCATGCCCAGCTAATTTTCTGTATTTTTAGTAGAGACAGGTTTTCATCATGTTGGGCAGGCTGGTCTTGAACTCCTGACCTCAGGTGATCTGCCCACCTTGGCCTCCCAAAGTACTAGCATTACAGGCGTGAACCATCGTGCCAGGCTGTACTAATTCTTACATCTACATATGAACCTTTAATTGTTTCAAGATAAAAAATGCTTAATTCAAAAACTCAGATCCAATGATTATTCTCCATTGTGCAAGATTTCTTATGGGCTTCCTACTTCCCCTGGAAAGAAGATCAGCATTCTTATCATGGTGGAGGACCCCCTGTGACCTTGTCCCTATCACCTGCCACCCCTGCAACCCTCTTCTTCCTATGGCTGCCAGGGTTCCTGGCCTGTTGACCTTCTGCCCCTTCCACCCTCAAATTTGCCACACTTTCCTGCTTCATGGCTCACAAATCCTCTCCACTTTCTGAAATCTCACAGTGTGTAACACACTAGACTATGTATTCATAATGAGGATTCTAGAACTACAAGGGCCCACAAGCAACTGCTGCATACCAGGTCCTATTCTTTTTAGTAGAGACAGAGAAAGCAGCTGTAAGCAACAAGGCTGAAGTCTCTGCTGCTCCACAACCTACCTGCCAGTTTGGTCACAGGTATCTCCCAAGATACACAATCACCTGGAGTGGAAGCTTCAGGACAACAGGGCTGGGTATGTTTGCCGATCTGCACATAGTCCATGTATTAGTGTGTTTTCATGCTGCTGATAAAGACATACCCAAGACTGCGTAATTTATAAAGGAAAGAGGTTTAATGGACTCCCAGTTCCATATGGCTGGGGAGGCCTCACAATCATGGCAGAAGAGCAAGGGACATCTTACATGGTGGCAGGCAAGAGATAATGAGAGCCCAGCAAAAGGGGAAACCCCTTATAAAAACATCAGATCTCGTGAGACTTATTCACCACCATGAGAACAATATGGGGGAAACTGCCCCCATGATTCAATCACCCCCTACCGGGTCCCTCCCACAACATGTGAGAATTATAGGAACTACAATTCAGGATGAGATTTGGGTGGTGAGGGGACACAGCTAAACCATATCAGTAGGTCTGTGATCAATACTTGTTAAGAGAATCAATACATCAGTACATTCAGACTTATGCCTGTGCTTCATCCTTTTTAGGAACCTGCGTGTTTCAGATAAGATACCTCTTGGATACCTCTTGATTCACTCTTCTTCCTGCCACTGTGGTGAGGATCATTGAGTCTTTGACCAGCTTTATGCAGGTACAACCTGACAGCACCTGACTTCAGGCCCACAGAACACCTCGAACTTCCATCCCCAGCGTTCACTGAAGCCCACTGGGATGGGGGATCCCTCTGCAAACCTGTCCTGTGACCTCATGTCATAAGGGACCTATCACAAGTTAACACCCCACGTGCTATTTGTGACTAATGGAGAAGAGGTTGTTGAATACTTCCTCCTTCAACTCTGAGCAGGGGGTTCTAAGAGATACCTCATGAGGCTTCTCAGAAGGTTCTACCTGGTTAGGATTGCCAGATAAAATACAGGTTACCCAGATAAATTTAATTATAAGAAAAATAACAAATGTTTTACTTTATAAATATATCCAAAACATTGCATGAAATATACTTATACTAAAAATTGTATTTGTTGTTTATCCAAAATTCAAAGTTAACTGGGCATCCTGTATTTTTATCTACTAAATCTAGCAACTAGCTGTTCCCAGTAGTGGTGGTGGGGTGGGGGGACGTCTACAAGGTGCCCTTGTCTTGGCTCTCCCTACTTCCCCGTCTTTCCTCCCTGTTCCAATCTCCCTTTCCCCAGAATCACAAATGAATTACTACCACTTACATCTTAGTCTCTGGTCAAGACAGTCTCTTAGGGTTTTCAAAAAAAGGAATATTTTTTAAAAAGTCAAGCAATCCAAAAATTAAGAAAACTCTCTTTAACCCAAATATACAGCTGTTCCTTAGTGTTTCCATTGATCTGGGTCACTACAGTCTAAGTTAGGGCAAGCACCCCACCTCCACTTCCCAACTGAGCTCAATCAATTTCCTTCTGAATCTTTTTACGCCTTTTGAAGTCTGAAGGGATATTTACTAAGAGGACTAGTACTTAAGTATACCCTTTTAAAAAGTCATTTGACCTGGTTAAGTCACCTGTGCCCTACTTTGGCAAAATGTTTTTGAAGTCTTCAGCTCAATGGCAATAAACCTTTCTTTTCAACATGTTGTGAAAAGCCCCGTGGAAGAGAAGGTAGGTAAGGCATCATCCTGCTATTCAGCTAGTTTCAGCTTCAAGAACTTTCCTTATTAGTGATAGACTGATGTGTAGTTACATAATGTGCCAATTACTCAAAGGCTTCATTCAGAGAAACAAATTCATCCACAGACACTCTCCTGGGAGAAAAGCCAGCTCTCAAACATCTGTTTTCAGATAAGGAACTTGCAACGCTTTTGTCGGGGAGGTGGGAGCGTTGTTAGAGGGGTATTTTTCCCCAAACTATAAGGTAAGACAGGGGTGGAGAAGCAATTAGAGCTTTTAATAAGGAAGAGAACGGTTAATCTTTGGTGTCTGTGTGTGTGCGCGCGCACGTGCATGTGTGTGAGTTGTCATTGTTTTTGTTTGTTTTGTATTCCTCAGAAATAGAAAGCTCCCATTAGGCCCAAAGCAAAAGCCATTTCTTCTTTATATTCATCATTTTGGGCGAGAATATTCTGTTTCGACAGATTGGCCGTGTTGTACCCATCCTGCTGGAGTGTCAGGTGGGACTCACAAAATTAATTCCGTTTAATTGACAGTGAGTTTTGAAAGGTTGTGTGGCTCCCTCCTAGCATGGACTGCTTACTTTCGAGTCTAGTCTTCATCCTAAAGACCCTAGAACATCACCAAGTGGAATGGGGAAACAGGGTGGCAGATGCTGGCTGCATCAGAGTCTCCTCTTTATGGGGTGATGACGATGCCCTCCTCCCCTCACCCTTGGTGCCAACCCACACCCCTGGGTCAAACTCTCTGATGGGGGATCACATGACTCTGCATCCAGATGACCCCTTGGGAGGACTTTGTGTCTTTTACAATTTGCTAATTACCTGGTCAAAGGATAGAGACCCCCCCGCCCCGCCCCGCCTATTTCTTTCCTCTCTTCCTTGAGAGTCACAGTGGCTGGATTGTCTCATTTCCCCACACGTCATGACCTCTGCTCCTCTTGTCTTACTACCTTTGTGTGAAAAGGCATGAAAGGGTTTCAGGTGGCTCCTGCCCTCATAATTCCATCCTTGATTCCATCCCAGGTCAGGGCACACTTCCTTGGCACGAATAAAGGTGGTGCTGCCTCTATTTGGGTGCGTCACTCTGCCCTCTGCTCGTCTGCCTGTAGCTTTCTGTGTCACCTATCAAGGCTGCAGGCAAAGTTCAAGCTGGAGGATTAAGCCCATGAGCATGTTCTTAGCACTGTGTGCGTCGGAAGCTTTTGCATCACCGCAGCTGTTACTTTTTATATCTTCGTTGCCCGAGTCTTTGGGTACCACTGACAGGCGAGTCACCAGGTGTGCCTCTAAGTAGCAAAATTAGGAATCATTCAATGCTCTGATGGTGCCAATTAGCTTCCCAGTATGAGCGCCAAGATTTTTTCTAATTAAGGCAGGAACAGTTTCTCCGTCTATAATAATCTCATTTAAAGTGTGTCCAAAACACTTAACATGCTTTGTTTAGGAACATCATCCCTATGCATTTTTTAACTATGTAAAAATAGATAGATCTCTGAGATGCTGAGTCTCCAGCTGGTTGTTCACCAGACACGTACACAGACTGGTGCAGGATTGTGTTTTGCAAGACAAATGGGACTGTTTAAATTGAGTTTTAAGGCAGAGGACATGACTTCCAGGATTCTTGCACATCTGCACACTAAAGATCTGCTCATATCTTTGAAAAGTGACTCATGCTTTAAACATAAAGGAAACAAAGATGTCCTCTTGACAAGCAAAGTAGGTCTCTTAGCCTCCAGGTCCCTAACTCCCATCTACTGTGGAAGCAAAGATTCAAGTTTGACAAAATGCAAAACTAAACCAAAGGATTCGTGAATGCCCAGAAAAATGGAGAAGCAGCAACTAAGGCTATTCTTGAATCTCATTTTAAGCAGAGATCAGTGCAAATACCTCTCACTGGACTGTAAGCCGTAAGAGAGAAGGGACTGGGTGGGTTGTAGTCACAGGTTTATCTTCAGCACCTAGGACAGCGCCTGGACCACGGTGGATACTGGATCAATAGATGTTGAACCAGACTTTTTAAACAAAATTTTGACCCCCACCCACCACCCCCAGCAACCCAGTAAAAAACAAATGGCTTTCTCTTGCACCCAGTGAGACTCCCTGCACAAAGAGTTCTGCTCACGTTTCTGACTTCTCTCTGTGTTAAAGTTGGCAGAGCTAGAGCCCTTTAGAAGACATATAGGCTGTCTTGCAAACAATAATCATTTTTCAATTTCTATAAATGCAATCAAATCCAGGGTCTAATTTTATTATCCATTAATTCCACAGTTGCATGAATACCCTTTATGGAGGTTACCAAATCCAGCAAAGTCATCTTCCTACTAGAAAAAGACAGCATCTCCTCATCCTGCATTCACTACATGGTGGAACAATGGTGCGTTTGCTGCCATCATCCCATTATCTTACCACATCTACCCTGTTTCCAGCCAATCTATTGATTTAAACAATAGATCGTTTGAATCTATTATATAGGCTGGAGTGCAGTGGTGCAGTCAGCTCACTGCAGGCTCTAACTCCTGGGGTCAAGTGATCCTTCCACCTCAGCCTTCTTTGGTCAAGTAGTGAAAAGGACTAGTCTGACTGGAGTTCTCTCTTCATTTCCTTGCCTATTTGCTGATGGAGACAGGGTGCTCATGAGAGATCGGGGGAAGAAAAGCAAAGAACCTGGTGTTGCCTCTTTGGGGTGAGTTCTTTGGGAATTGAAACTGTCTGGAAAGCCATTCTTTGGAAGATGAAGCCAGTGCCCATGGAGGGACCAAGGCTTACTTTCCTTTGCACCTCAGAGTCAAAAACTGTGTTTGGTCTATAGCAGGTGCTTAGCAAGTGCTGGTTGAATGAATGAAGAGGCTCTGCCAATGGTATGCAGTTAGAAAGAGCATTGCCTCTTCTTCTGTTGTTTATAAATATTATATCAGTGAGAAAAGATGCAGCCCCAGGGAACAACAAAATGAGTTGGCATGGTAATAGAGCAGCCATTTTGGAAATCCAGTAGAGAAGCCAGAAGCCACTTGCTTGGGCAGTCAACATTGATGCCTGCAAGCTTCTGCCCTTTACAACTTGGAAGGCAAATATGAAAAACTCTGAGATTACAATAAAAATCTCATTGTAAATCACCACAGAGAACACTGACTGGAGGCAAAGATTTGACTTCCAGCTTCAAATGTGAGAGGCAGGATGGTGAATAGAAAAGGGAGGAAGGGCGCCCTTTGATCTGAAGGGGAGTGGAGCCCAGCAGGCTCTCTTATTCATAAGGAAACATTATCTCCTGATCCATATGTTCCATTTTCTATTTAGAGCAACTCTGCTGCAGCATGCAATGTGCAGCCCTAAGGGAGAGGTTGGCTTTCAGGCATCCGGCCAGTAGGCCTTCACCTCCTGGTTTATGGTATTCAACTGGAGCAGATCCAAAGTGACACAGGAAGGGCTCATGGGGTTCTCTGACCAATCCTCTGAGGTTGCAGGCTGAGCCACCAACAGGTCTCCTCACAGAACCTGGCCTAGTGAAACTGCCTGGCCCAAGTGTCCCTTCGAAAGAAAGTTCCCAGCCACTGCTTTTGTTTGTTTGTTTGTTTGTTTTTGAGATGAAGTCTTGCTCTGTTGCCCAGACTGGAATGCAATGGTGCAATTATAGCTCACTGCAGCCTCGAACTCCTGGGTTCAAGTGATCCTCCCACCTCAGCCTCCAGAGTAGCTGGGGCTACAGGTGCATGCCACTATGCCCAGCTACTTTGTTTTTATTTTTTGTAGACATGGGGCCTCACTATGTTGTCCAGGCTGGTCTTGAACTCCTGGCCTCAAGTGATCCTCCTGCCTCAGACTCCCAAACTGCTGGGATTACAGGCATGAGTCACCATGCCTGGACCCAGTCTCTGCTCTTAAATCCACTCCGTGGCTCCTTCTTTTCTCTCTTAAATTTGTTTTCTATTGCAGCATAATAAATTACTACAACGTAGTAACTTTTGACAATGCCTTTACTTTTATTTCAGTTTTTCTGAGTTGGGAGTTTGGAGGCTGAAACCAAGAGGTCAGCTGGGACTGTGGTCTCATCTGAGGCTTGACTGGGGGAGGATTCACTGCCAAGCTCTCATGGTGTTGGCAGCATGCAGCTCCCTGATGGCTGTCTGAGGGATGGCCCCCATTTCTGCTGGCTGTCAGCTCCTCAACCTGCAGCCCTCTCCAAATGAGAGCTCAAACAACAAGGCAGCTTGCTTCTTCAAATCCACCAAGGGATAGTCTTCTTAAGACACTGCAGACTCACTGTGTAAAAATTGTAAAAACACAAGGTAATATAATCATGTGCATTCCATCACCTTTGCCATATTCTGTTAGTTAAAGGCAGGTCACAGCTTCCACCCACCCTCAGGCGGTAGTGAATTCTACCAGGCCACGCACATCAGAAGATGGGATCACAGGGGCTACCTCAGAGGCTGCTGGCACTTCTGTTGACCTTCCACACTTTGACTTTAAATTCTCCCACAACTCCCAAATTTAAACACCAGCTTAGGCCAAACTCCAAAATCCCAGATTCACATATACAATGCCTAGTGGGTCTCTCCATAAGAAGATCTACAAATGAGATTGAACTCACATGTTCATAACTCAGTCCTGATTATCTGCCTCTGCCAAAGTCCTCCCCATCTTGTCTGATGGCAGCACCATCTGTACTAGTCTGTTTTCATGCTGCTGATAAAGACATACCTAGACTGAGTAATTTATAAAGAAAAAGAGGTTTAATGGACTCACGGTTCCATGTGGCTGGAGAGGCCTCACAATCATGGTGGAAGGCAAAAGGCATGTCTTACATGGCAGCAGGCAAGAGATAATGAGCAAAGCAAAAGGGGAAACCCCTTATAAAACCATCAGATCTCGTGGGACTTCTTCACTACCATGAGAATAGTATGGGGGAAATGGCCCTCAGGATTCAATTATCTCCCACCAGGTCCCTCCCACAACATGTGGGAATTATGGGAGCTACAATTCAAGATGAGATCTGGGTGGAGACGCAGCCAAACTGTATCATCATCTTTCTGGATTTTTCAGTGAAAACCATCTTTGACTCCTCTCTCTTATACCTTACAGTCAATCCATCAGTACACCCTGCTGACTCCACTGTGAAATTATATTCAGACCCCAAACACATCTCACCATCTGCTTCATTGCTCCATGCAGGCCAAGCCAGCACTGCCATGCTTCTTCTGGGCCTAGAGCCTCCTAATCCAATTAGGTCTCTATGCTTGTCTTCCTGGAGTCTCTTGTCAACAATTTAGACAGAGTGAGTTATTCTTTTTAAGGATTACCTTTAACTCAAAGCACTCCTGTGGTTCCTATTTCAATTGGAGTTCAGTTCAAAGCCCTCACTTTGGTCCATATATCCCTGTATGAAAGGGAACTGGCCATTTTTTTACCCCAATAATTACAATCCTTCCACGGCTCACCCTTCTCAAACCTCACTCACCTTCTTCCCACTCCTCACTCACCTTCTTCCCACTTCCCTTCCACACAAAATCATTGTAGGCCTCAGGGACTTTGTACTGGCTGCTCCCACTGAGTGTAATGCAAGCCTCACAGACATCCCAGGACGAACTTCTTCTCTTGCCCCGGTCTCTGCTCACACCTCCAATTCTCAGCAGAGACTTCTCTGACCTCATTCTACACAAGAGCCGCACGCACTCCAGTCTGGTACCTTGCAACTCTCCTATGTTTCTCCATAGAACTGACAGGACATATGTTTACGTGTTTGTTTGTTTGTGTCTGCCACCCCCATAAGCATGTAAACCCCACAAGGTGGCTACTTTGTCATTGACCATCAGATCTCAAGGGCATAGCGCCTTGTCTGGTCAATAAAGGTTGACTGAAGGAATGAACAGAATAGATGAACAGGTCCTGAGGCCACTTTAACTTTGTTATTGTGCCTTAGAGCACAGGAAACATCCTTTAAGATGTGCATTGGTAAAAGGCATCTTTACCTCAATTATTTCTGTCTTCACTGAACCCCAAGTTAAACCTTCCCAGATCAGGAGTTCAAACTGTCTCTTTAAATAAACAGACTTTCTTCCCTAGCTCCTGTTTTTCTCTCAACTTGTTTCGGAAGTTCTGAGCACATACCACGTCAGACCATTATGCTGGTATGACTAATGTTTTACCCTGGCAAATGCGTAGTTTGCAGGAAGTGATTCTGCCCATGTTAGGTCTCTAAGTAAAACAACAAAATGACAATGGGGATGTCTACGGCAATGGGAATGGGGATGAGGAAGACAGTGCCGCTGAATGGAACCTTTCTGTAGATGCAAATTCCTGCTCCGTGGCCTGCCAGCTATCTGCCATCAGCCATGCTACATGCCCTCTCCAAAATCATTGTCTTCATTTACAAAATAGGATAATCACACCACCCATGTCAGACTATTAGGAGGATGCATAATTTAATGAGCTCTTGAAGGTCTAGCACAGTGCCCAGCACGTAGTAGAACTCAACAAAGAGCTAAAATTGTTGTTCGTTGGGGGGCAAAAGGAAGGTTCTATGTTATAAAACAGCACAAATGAATGAATTAATCATCACTTTTTCCCCTTAAAAAGCATTTCTACTCTTAAAATCACTTTGGATCACCAGGGGAACTAGTTAGTTGTGGTCTACCCAAGTGGTCCCCCACCTTTTCGGCACCAAGGACTGGTTTCATGGAAGACAATTTTTCCACGGACCAGGGGAGGGGGATGGTTTCAGGATGATTCAAGCATATTACATTTATTGTACACTTTATTTCTATTATTATTACATTGTAATACATAATGAAATAATTATACAGCTCACCCTAATGTAGAATCTGTGGGAGCCCTGAGCTTGTTTTCCTGCAACTATACAGTCCCACTGGGGGTGATGGGAGACAGTGACAGATCATCAGGCATTAGATTCTCATAAGAAGCGTGCAACCTAGATCCCTTACGTGCGCAGTTCACAACAGGGCTCACACTCCTATGAGAATCTGATGCTGCCACTGATCTGACAGGAGGTGGAGCTCAGGTGGTGATGCGGGTGATGGGGAGTGGCTGTCAATACAGAGGAAGCTTCACTCACTCACAGTTAAGATGCCACCTACCTCCTGCCATGCGGCCTGGTTCCTAGCAGGCCACGGACCAGCTCGTGGCCTGGGGGATGGGGGCTCTTAATCTAGAACATTTGCCTGACCAAGTGAGAGCATGCTTCACCAGGGTACACTCAAGCTGACCCTTGTATTCCTTCTAAAGATTTAGTTTGCTTTTAGTAGTGAGATTGGATATAAGAACAAAAACGGGGAATGGAGGAATTTTTGTCAACAAATCCTTTCTGCTTCAGAGAATTTAGCAGAGCAGTTTCTGAATCCTGACGACTTTCAAAAACTTAATTTGGGAGGCAAGCTGTCTGGCAAGGTCATTGTTGTCTCACTTGTAGAAACAGTTGGTTGGACTAAGAAAAGCCAGATGCAACCCCACCTCCTTCTACCACCTCCTTCCCCTCCCCAACTTAACACCAGTGACAACCATTGTTCTAATTTATTAAAATATCACTTCCTGTCAGAAACATTTTCCAAAAATTCAGGGTTTTGTCATCATCAACTAAATCTTATAAAACAACATTTTAATAACAGTGATTTCTATAACAGTAGCATAAAGAGATTAAACTTGGATCAAAATAGACTGAGGATTCAGAATTTTGGGAACAGGATTTGGTGGGATGTTGCTTCCTATGGAGCCCAGATTGTCTAAGGATTGTCAGGAATAGAGGCAGTCGGCCACTGCTCATTCATAACCCAGGAGGATGCTCAGTTGTGCCCATTCACTACATTTTTCTTAATTTTCTTAAACCTGGCCTAAGCCCACCTTAAATTAATGTTAAACAGCTTTATTAAGGCAAATTGACTTCAATTTCAGGGCTCTCCAGGAGCTGGCATGCATTAGTAGGCTCCAGTAGTTTCCAATCGGTTCCAAAAGCACTTTGTGTTGTTTTACATATTGGGGAACATCAAAGTTGGGAATATTAATACCCACCATGATTAAGCTACTGTTTCCTTTGTCAGGGATTTCATTGCTCACAGTAGGACTGCTGCTAACAGATGTATTTCAAATCCCACCCCTTCCCTTACTGAGCTTTGCAGCCAGCTCATTTCAACATGTAAAAATCATATCGTCAACTCAGGACTTCCTGTTCTGCTTGAGAAGAAAGGAATAGCAATTGCAGCATGACTCCACGAAATCCCCACAATATTCACACAACTGCACGTCCTCGCTTCTCTCTGTGTGAGCTGACACAAAAAAAGGTCCTATTCCTTATTGAGCAATTAAACCACATCCAGGATGGCGAGATCACAGTGGGCCAGTGAGCAGGGACCTTAGCATCTCACTCTGAACCAGGCACAGATCATCAATCCTCTGCAGAAAAGCCTCCGAGGTCTTAATCAGAGTCACTTTCCCATTCAGAGCAGAGAGTCCACATGGATGACCAAGGTGCCCAGAGGGATTCCATCAGTCTAGCTGGAAGATTTTAGTTAAAAAAAGGCTGTGTGTGTGTGTGTGTGTGTGTGTGTGTGTGTGTGTGTGTGTGTCTGTCTGTCTGTCTGTCTGTCTGCCTAGGTAGATGGATGGAGAAATGGGCGGATGGATGAATGGGTGGATGGATGGATAGATGGATAGATGAATGAATGGACAGATGGATATGTGAGTGTGTGTGTGTGTGTGTGTCTGTGTCTGTCTGTCTGTCTAGGTAGTCAGATGGATAAATGCAAGGAATGTGAGTATTTGTGTCTGTCTGTCTAGGTAGATGGGTGGATGAACAGATGTATGTATGGATGGATATGTGAGTGTGTGTTTCTGCCTGTCAGTTTAGGTAGATGGATGCATTGATGTATGGATAGATGAATGGGTGAGTGGAGGGATGGATAAATTGGCATGTGAGTGTGTGTGTCTGTCTGTGTAAGTGGATGGATGGATGCTCAGATGGATATGTTAGTGTATGTGCGCATGGGTGTGTGTGTGTCTGTCTGTCTGTCTAAGTGGATGGATGGATGCCCAGATGGATATGTTAGCGTGTGTGTGTGTGTGTGTGTGTGTGTGTGTGTCTGTCCATCTCTCTTTCTAAGTCAATGGATGGACATGCGAGTGTGTGTGTATGTGTGTATCTGGATGAATGCATACAGAGATGGGTGTATATGAATATGTGTGTGAGTCTACATGATTAGATGAATAAATGAATGGATGGACACGTGAGTGCATGTGTGTGTGTGTGTGTGTGTCTGTCTGTCTAGGTGAAAGGATGGATGGATGGATAGATGGATGGATGGATGAAAGGACATGTGCATTTGTATGTGTGTTTGTGGAGGTGTGTGTGTCTGTTAGTGTAGGTGTACAGATAGATGGATGAATATATGAGTGGGTGTATGGGTGTGTGTGGATGGATAGACAGTCAAATACACACATATATGTACATATACACACAAGCCTTTAACTTTATTAAAGATCCACCATATGCTGGACCCACCAGCAATGCTTACACAGCTGCCCTTCCTTTTATTAGAGTTGACCTTCTCTTCTCCTCCAAGTCCTAGGAGGAGAGAGGGAGCAGCTTCTGCTTTTCTGCTTGGTGAGTTGTTGCAGGCTTCCTCTGGGACCCCTGGGAAGGCAGTGCTACTCACTGATGGTTGTCATGGAGCTGGGGAAACTGCCTGAGTGCAGCATCACCCAAGTCAGCTTCTGAAGATGCCCCTTGCTGACGTACAGCCCCTCAGTACCAAACTTTTAAACAATGTACTTCCAGGAGCCCACACATTGCCTGCTGAGATCAACACAAGCCGAGCTTCCTTTCTCACTTGAGAAGCGGCTGTGATTCCCTGGTCCCACCCACGTTTTCCTAGCTAGCTTGTTCTTACAGTATTTGTGCTCAGAGCTGCTTGGAAGAGCCAGGAAAGGTTCAGAGGGGCACCTCCACCCCCAGTGACCCAGGTCTCTGCCACATTCTGTGTCCTTGGCTACAATGCTCTGCACTGTAGTCACTCTTTGGATGATTGCTGAGCTCCAGCCACTCCTGGCCTCCCATCCCAACCCTCCTCAGACTGGGGAATGGCACCTCGAGGGCTGTCACCCTCCCTGGTTGCACTTGTGAGGGAGGTGAGCAGGCCGGGCTGGCAGTGCTGTGGTTGCTGGAGCTGCCCTCTGGCCAGTCCCTGGAGCACTGTGTTTCCTTGATCTCCCAAAGGGCACCTCCTGCTGAACTCCCTTCCTGGCTCTTCTTGGACAAGTGCTTAGAGAATATAGTCTTGGTCAATTCGGGGAAAGGCTCTGTCTGGAACCCACACAATTAAAGGGTCCACTGTGTGTGTACTAGGTGAGTATTCTGAGAGCCAGAGTTGCGGTACATATGGTGCTGAAATGGCTTCTGCCCTCAAAGTACCTACATTTAGACAGGGGAGCTGCAACACCTATTGAGCCTCTAATGATTGCAGACAGTAAATGTTGCCTGAGGCTGTGATTCTGGAAGGTGCATTTTAAGTGCTTCATTTTAGTACAGTGGGCAGAAGGACTACAAAGAAGGTGAGTATCTTCATTTAGCAAAAGCTGTACCAAGGAGGTGAGCCACTGGAGTAGAAGCAGGGGTGAGGGAAAGGCATTCCGGAGCTGGCAGGCAAGTCTGTCCCCAGGGCATCTTTGAGGAGCACCACGGAGACTGTCCTTGTCTGTGCTCAAGAAAAGCATAAGAGAAGGAGGAGATGGCAAGAGGGGGCTGTAGAGTGGATGGGAACTGAGGGCGGGAAACTGTCTTTACCATCAGCTTGTTTCAGGCCTTTGCAGACCAGCACGGCAGCATTGAAGACAGGATTGGTTCTACTCATTCCTGGGTGAGACCAGATCTCACTCTAACCACTCTAACAAGTTTCAACCATCCACACAGCAAGGTGTGGGAGACCCTAGTGCCTCTCTGAATTACTCTTTCATCACAGGAAACTGCCTCCTAAAGAGCCCAGGGGCTGCACCCACACCGTGTCCACAAATCCCTTCTCCTTCTCTAAGGACACAGTAGGGGAAAGAGTTCAGCAAAATAAAATTCAGTGAAACAAAATGAGCCCTGAGTGGATCTCTCCACTCCTCTCACCACCCCTGCCAGCCTCACTCCTGTTGGCTGTCACTGTCCTTCCCCTGGGAGCACAGCCCCTCCCACCAGCCCTCTCCTCCACGCCCGACTCCCTGTGTGTTGACACCATCACTGGGTTTTCTGCTCCAACGGGTGCCTCTTTTGAAGGAAACCAACATGCAGATATTTCCCTTCTCATGTTCACAGCTTCCGATTCCACATGCGCCACTTCCACAGGGTCCCCCAGACCCTCGACCGTGAACTTCAGCAATCAGACCTCTCTGCCCTCTGTGCACCGGCCCTGTTTAAACGCGGTTCCTGAGCCCTTGCTGCCATTTCACAACTGGAGACTTCCCTTCTCCCACACCCTCCATCGGTTCTGTTCACTGTCAACAACCCAGAAGCTTCCACTGGGAAACACGGTCTGCATACCCAGAGCACGACAGTTATCTTGCTCCATGCCCCAGGGAGGGATGATTGATGGAAGCCAAGGCCTGTTTCTTCCAAAGAGCTCTGCACACAAACATAAGAAAAACCCAGTTGACTCTACAAATACCAGCTCCAATTCTTTCATGTTGAGGCACACCTGTAGAGTGATCCACAGTGCTTTTCTTTGCAAAAAAAAAAAAAAAAAAAAAACAAAAACAAACAAACAAACAAACAAAAAAAACTGGTAGTCCCCTGGAGCTAAGACTGAGCTGAGTGACTGGAATCACTCTGAGGCTGAGAAGGGCTAAGAAGGAGGCAGTGAGCTTTGGGCAGGCTCCTTGCATGGCCTTGCAGAAAGCAAGAGGACCTAGAAGGTGGGGAGGGAAAGTGGAGGCCAGAGGACAAGGCCCTGGGAAGGGGCATGTGTGAGAGGTTTTCAGGGAAGAGCTAGGAATGCGGCAGGTTGGGATTGGGCATGGGTGGGGACTGTTAGATTTAGGGATGCTACCCAAATGCCAGGGGGAGGAATCTGTTTCAACCCAGTGGCCAGTGGGTAGTTGGTGAAGATTTTGTACCTTTATAACTTAATTTCTGTTAGAAGTATTGCTCAGAATCACTATTTATGCTGTGTTTTCAAAGATTTACCACACTTATGACTATAATGATGTTACTTCTTGAGCCATTTTTCTTCCTTGGAGAAACACATACTCGATTTCATAATGAAAATCAATGAGAAAGTACAAATTTGTGCAAATAAATTCAATGTACAGCTCAATATGCCTGGATGTTACCTCCACCGTATGAGATATGTCTGCACTGATTCATTGAACATAAACCCTGGGGAAGGGGGCTCTTCCAGGCCTATCCTGGCATCTTCGATTCCAACTCCAGCCTCTTGTCCCCAGCGAGCTTCCCCTAGCAGCCAGGACAGACAATTACCTTTTCAAAACTTGAATACTGTTAACAGCTCCCTTGTAACTTACCAACCCTCTCCTTGTCATTTTAGACTTCGCTATTCCAGTGATAAATAATCTGAATTTTTAAAATGGATTCTCAGAGGCTGTATTTTAATCTATATGCTTGTGCTTTAAATCAATAACCAATAACCAATTTAAGCTCATTTAAGCCCTGTTAGCTGCCACATAATGTTGGTGTTCTGCTCGGCATCATAGCTAACAATTTATGTTAAAGGGTGCTCAGCTTATTTTTTTTGAAGTTCTACAGCTGTCTGCTGCGTGACTGGAGAGCTGATGACTTTGAGCTATAGCAGCATTCTCTCCAAGTTCATTTCGATACTGAAAACCAAAATGAACTATTAAAACTCATTACCATTTTTATCTCTAATGGTGCAGATTCCATTTTCTATCATTTTATTCACATCTGAAAAGCAAATTGTATTTGCATAAGGAAGGGGGGGATCTCTTGGATTTTTTTTTCATTCTTTTTCTAAAAAATTAAGAAAAAATATACATAATGGTTTCTAGGAGGGGGAAAAGTGCCATCCAAATACATCTGTTAAGAAAATCAAAATTCCAGAAGCTTGATCTTAGGGACTAAACCTTTCTCTCCTCCCACCTCACCCTCAGCCCCAGCCAACATCCATCTGCTGAAGTCCTAACCCCAAGGACCTCAGACTGTGGCTGTATTTGGAGACAGGGTCTTTGTAGAGGTAATCAAGTTTAAATGAGGTTATTAGTGTGGACCCAATCGGTGTCCTTCTAAGAAGAGGAGACTAGGGCACAGACAAACGCAGAGGCATGACCACGTGAGGACACAGTGAGAAGAAGGCTACATTCAAGCCCAAAAGGAAGGCAAGAAGCCGATTCTCCCTCACATCCCTCAGAAGGAACCAGCTCTGCCAGCATTTTGATCTGGGATTTCTGGGCTTCAGAACCATGAAACTATGAATTTCTCTGGTACTTTGTTAAAGGAACCCTAGCAAAGTAAGGCATTTACAACATGAAGGAAATGACTGAAGTACTGAAGATTTGTTCATTGTAATAATAGCAGATATCATTTAACATTATTTTCTATTGCCAGAAAATGTTCTAAATGTGTTCAAATATTATCTCATTTAATCCTCAAAAATTTCCGTGAGGCGTTACTGTTATCCCCAGTTTTGCAGGTAAGGAAACTCATGGACAGGTTGCTGAGTCATTGGTTCAAGGCTGTCACATGAATGGAGAGAAACCAGGCCGTCTCTACTCCAGAGTTGGTGCTCTGAACCATGCCGTGGCACATCACTCTGGAATCTTGGATTTTGCTGAGTGTGAAGTAAAATTGTGTGCAAGCAACAAGCCTGGCTTCATTAAGCCACCTTTACCTGGAATACTCTTTTTTGCTAACACCTTCCTTCCATAAATTTCACCCAAGAATAGCAAAGATGAGCTAACGAGAAGGAGAAACGCCCACTATGTGTTGGCTATCTGCCTATCCACCACCCCCAGGATGGCCAACCACTGTTTCCAGAGATGTTACTCAGGCTTCCAGTCCCAGGTAGGAGAGCTCAGAACTCACACAAAGCCCAGGGATCTGGGAAAGGAAGGGCCTTCAGGAACCAGGGACTCACATCATCAGAAACGAAGCGGGCAGTGGTCCAGGGTTCAAGGCCAGGATATCCCAGCCATCTGAGACAGACAGAAGCCTAGAAGACTTGAGTTCAGGGCCAGCATTCTTCATCCCCAGCCTCCATGGAACTTAATACTGAGTGTGGGTGGAGAAAGGGGAGCCACGGGCCCCTGAAAAACCTTGGCTCTAGGCTGGCATCACAGGAGGAAAGGGGAGCCAGCCTGGTCCTGGGTGGCATGAGTCACTTGAGGAGCCCCACATTTCTCCTGCCACCCCACTGGGCCAAAAGGAGCTGCCTCTGCCTCCCCTTCTGCCATTTGCAGAGTCAAGGTGACCATTCCACCAGCTCTCGAATACCAGGCTTCTAAGGGCTTCCAGTTAATTTGTCAACACCTCCCAAGCACTTGCTGTGTCCCTGTCCTGTTCTCTGTGCTCCATCCCACTCCCTCTAAAGTCTGTTTACACCCTTGCAAGGTGAGCATTGCATTATGGTTCCTGTTTTAGAGATGAGGAAACTGAGGCCCAGGGAGTAAAATAATGTGCCCAGGGACACACAGCCAGTATTGAGACAAAGTACAAATCTCAGTTTGACCCAAACTGAAAATTACGAATCAGTTCTGATTGTAACTCCTGGGGCTAGTCCAGGAGAGTGAGGCACGCTGTCTTGTCCTGGGTGAGAGGTGTGGTTTCCTCTCCTGGTAAGATGCTATGTTTGAGATTTAATTCCCACATAGGGCCAGAGCCAAGGGGATGAAAACTGAGTAGAAAAGCATTTCTGATCAAAAGGACATTTTGAATCTCTATTTCATAACATCAGATAAGAGATTTTCAAGGACAAATACAATTTTACGGATATTTCCTCAGATATGATTAAGAAAGAGACAGATTTCAGCACTCAGATTTCCTGGGGCTGGCATAGGCTGAAGACCAGGAAAACAAGACACTGTATCTTAGCTCAAGTAATGAACCCACAGGGACACTGTTTCCCCATGCAGAAGGCAGACCAGTGATTTGTCACGCTATGCTCAGATGAGAATGTTTGATATGGTTTGGATCTGTGTCCCCGCCAAGTCTCATGTAGAATTGTAATCCCCAGTGTTGGAGGTAAAGCCTGGTGGGAAGTGATTGGATCATGGGGGTGGATTTCTCATGAACGGTTTCTCACCATCCCCGCTTGGTACTGTCGTTGCAATAGTGAGTGAGTTCTCGTGAGATCTGTTCATTTGAAAGTGTGTGGCACCTCCCCCCTCTCTCTCTGGCTCCTGCTTTGGCCACATAAGACATGCCTGCTTCCCTTTCTGCCATGATTATAATTTTCCTGAGACTTCCCCAGAAGCCAAGCAGATGCTAGCATCATGCTTCCTGTACAGCCTGCAGAACTATGATCCAATTAAAGCTTTTTTCTTTGTAAATTACTCAATATCAGGTATTTCTTTATAGCAATGCAAGAACAGCCTCTTCCAATGTTCTTAATAAAATTAAGAAGCTGCAGCTATTAAGCACTTAGCATGTGTCAGATACACTGACACAAACAACATTACTGTGGTGCAGATTCATTTGTTCCATTTTACAGAGGAGGCAACTGAGAGGTAGAGATTAGAGCGTTTGCCCCTAAGTGTGTGGCTGGGGAGAAGCAGAGCTAGGATGTGAATGCGTGTCTCTCCCTACAGAGTCTACAGACCTTTGGGCTATTCTGCCTCCTTCACCAACTATAAGAAGAGTGCAGAGCCGAAATAAGAGGAAACCATGGAAATACAGAGACACTATATTCTCTACAGAGGTGGAAAGTCTTCATCCCACTCCCCTCTGCCACAGTAGCAGGTGTTCACTTAGAGTTTAGGTCTCCAGCTTCCCTTGTGGCCAAAAAGGGCCAAGTGTGCATGACATGGGCTCAGATTCCAAGCATGTTTTCAAGGAAGCACAGCTCTCTGGTCTTTTCTTTCTTTCTTCCAGCTGAAATGGAAGCATCTAAAATGGTGGCTTGAGCAGCCCTGGAGGACCACAGCATCTGAGTGACAACTGGAGAGATGCCCAGCAACAGAAGGGAGGTTTGGGTTCCCCACTTTTCACCCAGCACCAAGTGGGAGAGGAAAAAATGAATTGTTATTTAGGCCAGTATTGTTCAGGCATCTCTTGTTTCCAGAAGTCAAGTCAGTATCAAATGCATCAACAAAGACATCTGAGACACCTCGATAACTTCCTTTTTCCATTTTTGAAAGTTGTGAGGCTCTCATACGCATGTATAAAATAGGGTGCCACTTTCCAAAGTGTAAGAGGATTTGGAGCAGAAAATGGTTTCCTAAGTTTGTCTCTTGAACCAGTCAATAAATCTGACAGCTGTCCCTGAATTATAGCTAAAATGTTGGATCTGCAGAGCACAGCATCATTCCTCAGAAGGAACGCACATGTCTCCTGGAAGCCCAAGGCTCGAAACTTTTCTCCGTGGGTTTTTGGTTGTGAATCAGACTTGCTCTTTCCGTCATAAACTGCAATGATGAGGCTATAAGAGAAGTAGGAGGAAAGTGTTTTGTTAGAACAAACAGGGAGGGAGAGAGCTTGAACAAAGAGAAGGAATCACTCCCCAAAGAGGCAAACTCAGTGAGCGGAATTGATGGAGACGATTGAAGAAGCCAGGGGTTATGATAATTGCAAAATGTCTTGTAGTTGTTTCCATAACAAACAATTTTGCCAGAGAGGGCTCAGAGGCACTGTGCAGCTTGGAGGAATCAACTCAAGGAGTCTGAGAGCCTTGGAAACTGCCATCCTTCTTTCAATGCCGGAGTGCATGCTGGGAGGGATCAAAATGGAGCGGACACTGGAAGAAAACTGATCCAAATCCCATTCAGGCAATCCCAGGGGACGACTCTGTTTTCAAGGCTAGCTCAGAAATTTTCAGGAGAAAGGCGTTCACTTGCTGTCAAAGGGTAGCGGTCAGTGTTTCTTAACGTTTGTTTGTTTGTTTGTTTGTTTTTAGACAAGGTCTTGTTCTGTCACCCTGTGTGCGGTGCAGTGGCACAGTCTTGGCTCACTGCAGCCTCGACCTCCCGGCCTCAAGTGATCTTCCCACCTCAGCCTCACGAATACCTGGGACTACAGGTGTGCCACCACATGTGGCTAATTTTTGTAGTTTTTGTAGAGATGTGGTTTTGCCATGTTGCCCAGGCTAATCTTGAACTTCTGAGTTCAAGTGATCCGCCCATCTCAGCTTCTCAAAGTGCTGGGATTACAAGCATGAGCCAGTGAGCCCAGCTGTGTTTCAGTGTTTCTACCGCAACCCAGGCAAAGGTAAAGACCACATAAGTCATAGAGAAGATGGAGGCATATGAGATCTGCTGGACAATGAACTTCAGCAGGAGCATAAACCAAAATAGACTCAGGGAGGAATGTTCTGGAAACTTTTGCACCTGTTCACTGGGAGACATGTATGAACATATTTTGTGTAACGTTTTTGCTTTTAGCAACAAATGAGAACACTACAAATAAGCAATTCCAAGAGAAAGGATACAGAAGTGTGTTGTATTTACACTGTGGAATATTAAACAGCTGGGGAAATGGAAGAATTGCAGATACACAAATTAGCAGGCATGATTTATGCTGAAACAAAAAAGAAGGTAATTTACAGAAGGATACATACAGTCCATTCTTGAAAAATATTCATTTATTGAGGGCCTACTGTGTGCTAGGCACTCTTCTAAGCACTGAGGATGTCGTAGTGAACACAGTAGACACATACATACTCTTTGCCCTTATAGAGCTTACATTCTCATGGGAATAACACAGACATAACTAAATAGGTAGTCTAATGAGGATACGTGTTCTGTAGGCACAAGGGAGGAAGGCAGACAGGAAAGGGCAACACTTAAACTTCAGTCCCGAAGTCCTCATGGAGAAGGCAACACGGCACCAAGACGTGCAAAGGGGAGAGAGTGGAATATGTGCCTGTCAGGGAGGTGCGAGTGTGAAGGCCCTGGGGTGGAAGCATGCAGGGAATGCTGTGACAACACCAAGGGCCAGCAGGTAGATGCAGAGTGAGTGAGGCAGAAAGAAGCAGAAGCTGAAGTCTGGAGATGAAGACCTGGACACTTAGAGGATGGAGGAGGAGGACAGATCTTAGAGAGCTGCACCAGCAAGAAACGTGGCTTTGACTCCATGATGGGAGGGTTTTCAGCAAAAGAGAGGGCATGGGCAGAAGATGAGAAACCGTGGAAATTTATTGTGATTAACCAGGAGAGAGATGACGGTGGTTTGG
This sequence comes from Homo sapiens, assembly GCF_000001405.40. Lineage (NCBI taxonomy): Eukaryota > Metazoa > Chordata > Mammalia > Primates > Hominidae > Homo > Homo sapiens. Next base: position 5,018,042 of record NC_000001.11, read on the forward strand.
CTCAACATGAGCACCTTACCTGGTGGAACGATAATTGGTTCAAAACGTGCAAAACTACACACATATTGCTTATGGACACATGGATATTTAGTAATCCTCTAAAGAAATTAATGGATGAATAAAAGCCTGGGAAGCAGTTTATCTAGGGGGTGGTGGTAGGGGAAGAGGAAGTTAATAAGAAAGAGACATACTTGAGGACACCCATGGCCTGGGGACCATCTTACTTTGGCATGCAGGAATTTCTTTCAATATTCTTTACTTGTCATGTATGTTGTATACAGTCTTTTGTGCATGTGATATTCACAATTAAAAATGACTGCCATTAGTTGAAATCTCTACAGTCTCTTTCAACACAGAAACTGTGTCTTTCTCGTCTTTCTTTCTAAATTATGAATATGTGAATTCATTTATAATCTTGGTCATAAAACCAAGGAGCCAGGAATTAGAAAAATGCAATAAAGTTATCAGCCTCCCAAAGTGCTGGGATTACAGGCATGAGCCACCGTGAGTCAGGAGTTCAAGACCAGCCTGGCTAACATGGTGAAACCCTGTTTCTACTAAAAATACAAAAAATTAGCCAGGCGTGGTGGCACATGCCTGTAATCTCAGCTACTCAGGAGGCTGAGGCAGGAGAATCACTTGAACCCGGGAGTTGGAGGTTGCAATGAGCCGAGATCACACCATTGCACTCCAGCTTGGGCAACAAGAGGGAAACTCCATCTAAAATATATATATAACCACATGTAGAGTCAAATGAGAATAAAATAAAACAGATCAGAACACCTGAAAGGAAATGGCCCCACTTGCCTCCTGTGGGCAGTGAGGTGGTCGTCCCCATACCCTGGTGATATGGTTTGGCTGTATCCCCAAGAAAAATCTCATCCTGAATTGTAATCCCCGTGTGTCAAGGGCAGGACCAGGCGGAGATAATCAAATCTTAGGGGTGGTTTCCCCCATGCTGTTATCGTGATAGTGAGTGAGTCTTATGAGATCTGATGGTTTTATTAATATAATATAAGTGTCTGGCATTTCTCCTGCTGGCACTCACTCACTCACTCCGTCCTGCCGCCCTGTAAGGAAGGTGCCTGTTTCGCCTTTGCTTTCTGCCATGATTGTAAGTTTCCTGAGGCCTCCCCAGCCATGAGGAACTGTGTGCCAATTAAACCTCTTTCCTTTATAAATTACCCAGTCTCAGGTATTTCCTCATAGCGGTGTGAGAACGGATTAATGCACATGGGAACACAAAGGAGTGACCTGTTTGCTCCTGGTGTCTTGGAGAATCCTGGGGAGGAACACAGCCACTGCTACTCTGATTTTCAAAGGGAAGGGGAGATGGGCTTGCATTTGTCTGTTGGAACTACTATAATAAAATAACATATCCTGAGTGGCTTATACACAATAGAAATTTATTACTCATCATTTTGGGGACTGGAAAGTCCAAGATCAGGGGGCTGACCGATAAAGTGTCTGATGAGGGTCCATTCTTCATAGAGGGCACCTTCTAGCTACATCCTCACTTCCTCACTTTGTGGAGGGGGCGAACATGCTCCCTCAGACCTCTTTTCTAAGGATGCTAATCCCATTCATAAAGGCTCCACCCCATGACCTCGTCACCTCCCAAAGGCCCTACCTCCTAGTACCTTGGAAATTAGAATTTGACATGTGAATTTTGGGGGGACGTAAGCATTCATATCATAGCAGGTCCTGTCAAAAAATAGATCTGGCAAGAAACACTTAAGGATAACCAAGAAACAGGATTCAACCAGATTAAAACACCAAAGAAGGCACTCTGCATTTTGTTAACATTTTTAAAACCCCTTCAATGCCTTTTTGGAGGCTAACATAAAGGATTGGAAAATGAAAAAAGAGATAAGGCTGTCATATATATCAATATAAATATATAGATAAGATACATTATCGATGTTGTATGTAATCTACACCATAGTCTTAACTCTGTGTCTGGGGTAAAAAAAAACAAAAAACAAACAATCAAACAAACCTGTGCCTCAAAGCACGCATATGCTGATTGTCAGGATGGAATGCCAGCACAAAGACATGTTTTGCAGGGTTTGAAATTCTTCTGGCCCTGATTGTTATTTCAAGATGTGGATATGCTCCTGGCTCTTTTATAATTTAAGCCAGTAAGTGATGACTCCTCTTGATCCCAACTCCCCTCTGAGCTGGAAAAGGGGGTTGCGATAAATATTATTCGATAAAAGCTGTCAACTTTTAATAAAAACGGATGTCACAAACTTTTAAGTGTTTTCATTTCTGGGTCCCTGGGATTTGTTCCAGTTTCATAATACTGTCAACTCCAAACTGAAATTACCCTTATGTAAGATAAAGCGAGGTGTTTGGAGACTACTGAGGAACAGCTTTGTTTAGGCATTTTACCCCACAGCAAAGAACTGCTTGTTCAGGGAAATTTTGCAAGATGAAGTTGTGGTCCACAAAATCTTTTCAAAAAATTGATTCCAATCAGGGGCATCTTTTGCCTTTATTTTGCATTATTAGGGAGGATTTTCTGAACAAACACCTCCCAAGTATTTATTAATGAAACACCATGAGTTTCACAAAATTTCGCTTTCCCTGGTCCTAATCTAGCCCCTGCTTTATTCCCCCACTTCTTAACATGCTAAAGATAATCTCAGTAAGTAAGTAACCCGTGGTTTGGAAACTTTCACTTCCCGCAGATCAGCTGGGACTAAGCCCACACAAGGAGCTGAAGACACATCTTGTAAGAGTCTTGTTTTACTTCTGCATGGTTTCATACTCACGGGATGTGCTCTACCTGAGGGTCCCCAGCTGCTGAAGGCAGAGGAATCGCGAGTCAGGCAATGTGGATTTGAATGTTGAATAAAGAGTATCCTACCTGGGAGGCTTTGCACCAGTCATGTACCCTGACTGAGCCCCCATCTTCTCACCTGTAAATAGCAATATCGTGATGGGGTCTCCACCGGGGCATGATGGAAATGAGCAGAGGCATTCTAATGAACTCATGAGGGGCCTGGTATGGAGTCACTGTCTACAGGACCTGGCCCAGGGAGTGGACACTAGACACAAACACTGTTGCCGTGGCTGCTGAGCGACCATGCTTCCCTGAGCAGACAGGCTTGGAAGGGGAAGGCACAGCAATCAGCCGACCTTGCAGAAACTCAGGCTTCCTCCAACCTTCTGTTTCTGAACAGCTCACCTCTCCCTCCTCCAAAATTTTTTTTAATAATAGGAAGACATGTTCTTAATTTTTCTTTCAGTCAAGGAGATATGGCTATGGGGTCTTCTGGAATCTTGCCTTGGGGATGCTCATTCTCCTGGCAGAAATTAATCCCTTCTTCTCTTTCCTCTTTTTAAATAAAATGAAAGAGCTTTCTTTATGTGATCTCTCTGAATCATTTCATTTTAAAGATTTTTAAAAAAATTCTGTGTTTCTAATATGCATATTTACAATTATTTCATCCATTTCTACATACAAATATATATGTCCACGTATTATATATATTTTTAAATAAATAGTGTCTTATCTTCCCCATTGTTTTTAATCTGAAGTTTTGTGTTTTTTTCTTTCTTTCTTTTTTCTTTCTTTTTTTTTATTTTTTTTCTTGAGACACAGTCTTGCTCTGTCTCCCAGGCTGGAGCGCAGTGGCACAGTCTCAGCTCACTGCAACCTCCACTTCCCAGGCTCAAGTGATTCTCATTTCTCAGCTTCCTGAGTAGTTGGGACTACAGGTGTGTGCCATCATGCCCAGCTAATTTTTGCATTTTTAGTAGAGACAGGGTTTCACCATGTTGGCTAGGCTGGTCTCATACTCCTGACCTCAAGTGATCCACCCACCTCAGACTCCCAAAATGCTGGGATTACAGGCGTGAGCCACTGTGCTTGGCCAAGTTTTTTTTTCTTTTAAAGTTTTTCTCCATACCAATCACCCTTCTGAACAGATAACTGATATCTGTAACTTGAAGTGCACCAGTTCATGCCTTTTTCTATGCTCATGAGTGTCACAGGTGTGACTATCTGGGGCTGGTGCTGCACGGGCAGTTAAAAGAATCTACCAAGATAGTTGTATGTAAAGAAAGGCAGATTTATTAGAGAAAGTAGGAAAATACATTGCAAGAAAGCAACGGGCAAGTCAGCAAGAGAGGAGCTGACTGCGAAGAGACAAAGGATTTTATAGGATGGTGTTTGTGCTGTGTGCTGAAGACGGCTTTATGCAGTACTGGTAACACCTAAGTTGCAGTGAGGTAACCTGCATTTTTCTATCAGCTGAGGGTCTGGTGATAGCCAGGCGCAGGAAGGTTATGAGTTATTAGCGCAGGAGGGCTATGTGTCCTGGACCATGAAGAAAGGCTGACTTAGAGCTTATCTGCTTTCTCTTTTTGCTTTCCCCTGATCTGGCCAGCCTGACTCCTTTTGCTTTATTAGGACTCCACAATGAGGTCATACGTGTGCGTTTATGCAAACACACACACACACACACACACACACACACACACACAAAGTCATAGCTAACTCTTACAGAGTATTTTCTATGCCTGGCACTATTCTAAGTAGATGCCTTTTTAATCCTCACATAACACCTTAATGTAGCTGCCGATATTATTCTCATTTCTACACGAGAAGAACTGAGGGTACAGAGAAGTTAGGAATTTCACTGAAGTCAGAGTTAGTAAGAGTCACACCCACAAGGACACTGCAGCTCCGGAGCCTGTGCTTCGGAGGAGTTTCTTGATCACTATTTATTTGCAAGTTAAGATCACAGGATGTGCATTTTTCCAAATCTTGCTTTTTACATATCACAATACATCACAAAAATTCATCTAATTCAATGGATTCTTTTTAAAGTCTGCCTGGTATTCTACACCTCAATATTTCACACTAGGATTCACTTCTCTATTGCCAAGCATCTCCTTGGTTTTAAGATTTCTTCTCCTAAAACAAAGCTGCTGGAAAAGCAAACAAACAAAAAATGTGGTTCATAGCTTTAGCTAATGGTGCTTTCATTTCTACCAGAAAAAATTTCTTTAAAAAATATAAATGACACCAAGACTGGCCCCAGAAGTAGAAGACAACTTGAATGGACCAATTGAGAAAGGAAAGATCAGAAAGATGATCAAAGAAGTACTATTTGTAAAAGAACCATGACTAGATAAGTTCACAGTTAAGTTCTATCTAATATGTATGATAATTCCAAGATAACTTAAGCTTTTAAAGGCATGCAGAAATGTGGGAAATTATCATGTTAGAACATCTGGCTTGGGCGGAGGTTGCAGTGAGCTGAGATGACACCACTGCACTCCAGCCTGGGTGACAGAGTGAGACCCTGTCTCAAAAATAAATAAATAAAATAAAATAAAAATAGAACATCTGGGCTACCTCCAACCCCTGTGGTGCCTTTATGCAAATTGAAAGGTGTGTCCCTCTGGGAGGAGGCAGCCCTTCCAATGATGCTTGGAAAAGAAGTACTCTTCCCTATACACAGATGGAGACATCGTCCTGACCCTCTTTCACCTCAGTGCACACTGTAGTGGCCATGAAGGATCTCAGCCCCACCTGCCCCTCACCAGGCAGCCTTCCTTGTGCATTTCAGAAAGTGCATCGCTCCACCAGATGGCTCATTTGAACTCTGAAACCAGGTACTGAATGTAATACAAAGAAGAACACTTGGCCAGGTATAGTGGCTCACACCTGTAATCCCAGCACTTTGGGAGGCTGAGGCGGTGGATGGCTTGAGCCCAGGAGTTTGAGACCAGCCTGGACAACATGGAAAAACACTGTCTCTGCAAAAAAAAAAAAAAAAAAAATTAGCCTATGGTTCCAGCTACTCAAGAGGCTGAAGTGGGAGAACCACCTGAGGCCAGGAGATCAAGGCAGCAGTGAGCCATGACTGTGCCACTGTGCTCCAGCCTGGGAGACAGAGCAAGATCCTGTCTTTAAAAAAAAAAAAAAAAGAAAGACATTTATAGACCAGCCTCATTGATCAATGTAGATGTGACACTTCTAAACAATATATTACCAAATTCATATCTAGAAGTATAGGGGGAAAATAAAACTCTATAACCAAGAACAGTTTATCCCAAAATTGAAACATGGTTAATTTTTTTGGAAATTCACCACCATAATTTTAACTCAACACATGAAAGGAAAGAAGATGTGAAAATATGCTAAGAAAACATTTGACAAAGCTTAGCAATCATTCATAATAAAAATTATAACTAAAACATAAATAGAAGAAACTGTTAATAAGATAAATATTATTTATGCAAAACAAGGATCAAGCATCATTCTGAAGGGTAGATAACTGAAAGACTATCCATTATAATCAGGAATCAGACAGGAGACTTGCTGTCAACGTTATCATCCACCATACTTTTAAAGTTTCAAGGCCGGGCACAGTGGCTCATATCTGTAATCCCAGCACTTTGGGAGGCCAAGGCGGGCAGATCACTTGAGATCAGGAGTTCGAGGCCAGCCTGGCCAACTTGGTGAAACCCCGTCTCTACTAAAAATACAAAAATTAGCCGGGCATAGTGGCACGTGCCTGTAATCCCAGCTACTTAGGAGACTGAGGCAGGAGAATCACTTGAACCCGGAAGGTGGAGGTTGCAGTGAGCCAAGATCATGCCACTGCACTCCAGCCTGGGCGACAGAGCAAGACTCCGTCTCAAAAATAAATAAATAAATAAATAAATAAATAAATAAAATTTCGAGAATATAATGAGATAAAATAATTTTAAGCAGGATAAGGAGGAAATAAAATTATTTTCCCCTTCATGTTATGACTGTATACTTAGATAACCCAAAAGACTCCAGAAAATAAAACAACACTACTATTACTAAGGAATTATATTAGGTACAGAGATAAAATGTAAATAAATAAAAATTAGTAGTTATTCCTTGTCTTATAAATAATTACAATGACAGAAAATTGTGCTTGCTATCTATCAAGACTGTTCTAATTTATTTACATAGATTAAATTCATTTAATGCTCACCACAAGGTTAGGAGGTAAATACAATTATTATCCCCATTTTAAAGGTGAGAAAAGAAACCACAGAGGTGAGGTAGCCTGCAAATGACTCCCTACCCTCTGACATTTTTTACTATTACCATATAGTTATTAATATATACAAATATACCAATATTCTCATGCACACCAATATTTTTGTCATTGTTTTCTAAAATGAGATCTTTGTATAACTAGCTCACTCATTTTTAAATCTCTGCATAAAATTTCCTATTTTATTTGTGTAATTGTACACTTTTGCATTTGGTGTTTTCTTTCTTGGGAGTCTTATTTGGGTTTTGGCCACTTGGAATACAGCTGTAGAAACTAGCCTTGTATATATAACCATAGGTACTTGCATTTGTCTTTTATGTGATAGGATGGAATATGTCTTTTTAATTTTAATTGATGTTGTGAAATGCTTCCCAAATGACTGTAAAATTTTACATTTCCACCAAAATCTTGAAACTGTACTCTCTCTGGAGTATCTTGTCAGGAGCAGGTGCTAAAGCTTTCCTTTTCATGGTCTGATTGTTGTAGAGAGATATCTCACTTTAACTTCAAAGTACCTTTCCCTGGCTGCTAATGGGTGTCTTCTCTCATTTATCAGTCACTCGGATTTGCTCTTCTGTGGGTTACCTGCTGATATACTTGGGCCATTTCAGTTGGGTGTTCTTCTTTTACTTGTTTTTCAGTGATTTTTATATTACAATTGTTCATCATTTGCCTGCTGTATGCATTGCAAATATTTTGGGGATCTCTCTGTGTTTGCTTTTAATTTCTTGCCATCAGATACTTTTCTTTTGATTGGATCAAATGTATTTCATCTTAGAGCTTCTGAATTTTCTCCTTAAGAAATTCTTTCTTCTAGGTGTTTTATATTTTAGTTATTTTTATGCACAGTTCACATTTCATGTGTTTTCTTTCAGAAAGATGGCCAATTGTCCCAGTATCTATTTATCCCATTCCCAGGGATGTAGAACGTTCCCCACTCTGAGCTCGGGGTCTGGATTTTCTATTCGGTGCCTCCCCCAGAACCTATTGGATGAGTGGCTTGCCGTCTATTTTGATATTAAACAAGAGGAGATTCTTCTTGCCATTTTTCTTTTGCAAACTGTTCTTCACTATTCCTAGTACTAATTGTTCCACATGAACTTGAAGGTTATTTTTCTAATTCCCAAAATAACCCCCCAAACCAACCAACCATCACAGCCATAGTCTATCCCTCTGTATGTCCATCTCTTCTTCTTACAAGTCCTATCTCTTCTTTGTCAATTGTTTCAGACACTTGTTGCTAAAATAGAAAAAAGCTATTAGGTTTTGTATGTTCCTCTTTTTGCCATCCACTCTATCTAATTTCTTTCTTAGTTATCGTAGTATGATTATTTGACTATCTTGGATTTTCTAATTATACAATCATATCAGCAAAGAAACAAAACAAAACATAGTTTTATCTCTTCTTTCCCAATGTTTATACGGATCATCTCATTTTCTTATATCAGTGCCTTCTCTACAATACCAAAATAATGTTGAATAATAATTGTGGTCGTGGGAATCACTTCATTACCTGTTTTAATTAAAACAGCTGTAGAGTTTTGTAATTTAGAATAATATTTTTGTTGAGCTTTGGTAAATAATTTTTATCATATTTAAGTAGTATTCGTTTAGTGCTATTTTACATAGGGTTTTATCATTAATGGTATCTACATTTTATTGATTGCCTTTTCAGCATCATTATTATCATCACATGTGTTTTCCTCCTTTATTTTCTGATAGAAAGATTATGTTAATAGGTTCAGTCAAACTTGCATTGATAAAGCAAACCACTTTTAAGTTATTTAAAAATAAAATACAATGAAGAATTATTAAAATAAAAGGACATCTGCCGAATATTTTATTTATATTTCTATTTTATAATATTGTTTATTATTTATATTTCTATATAACTTATGTTGGTAAGATTGGACTGGGCTTTTCTATTGGAGTTTTATCTTTGTCACATTCAGCAGAAAAACTATTACACTTGGTTTTACTCCTCCCATCTTGCCTTATGTTATTTCTTTTACTTTGTTATTTCGTCACTATTTTTTCCTATTTATTTTTCTGGTGAGATCAAATTACTATTGATTTCTCTTTTCCCTTGAACTATTTGGAAGTGGCAATGGATTATTATAATAAAATCCCCCAATGAACCTCACCTCCAAGTGTCCAGGACCATTTGCAGCGGACTGTTACTATGCGTCCATGCACATTTGCCGTGGGCTAAGAGCGTGTGTCTGTGTCCATTCACAGTGGGCTATGACTAGGTGTCCACATCCATTCATGGTGGGTTATCATCATGTGTCCATGACCATTCACAGTGAGCTATGACCATGGGTCCACAACTATTCAGAGTGGGCTATGACAATGTATCCACGTCCACTCACAATGGGCTATGACCATGTGTTCACATTCATTCACAGTGGGCTATGACCATGTGTCCATGAACGTTTGCAGTGGGCTATGAGCATATGTCCACATCTATTCACACTGGGCTATGACCATGTGTCTATAGCCATTCACATTGGGCGATGATCATGTGTCCATGACGATTTGCAGTGGGCTATGAGCATGTGTCCACATCTATTTGCAGTGGGCTATGAGCATGGCTCCACGTCCATTCATAGTAGGTTATAACTGTTCTTCACATCAAGAGGTAGAGTCAGTGTCTTCATCCCATTGACTTTGTGACTTCATTTAACCAAGAAATTAGGGGAGGTGATATTGTGCAAATCCTAGAGCTGAGGATTTAGGAGTCCTTGAGATTTACATTCTTGCCATTTTAGTGCCTGCCTCTGTGCACAGACACTCAGACTGTGCTCTTTAAGGATGAGAGAAGAGGGAGAGATCCAGGAGTCCTTATGTCTTAGCTGAGCCCAACCCCAAGCCCAGTCCCCATCAGATGCCCCACATGAGTGACCCCAGTCAACACCAGTGAATCATGAGGAAGAATCAATTGTTTGAAGCTGTAATTATGAAGCTTCAAATTTCAGGGGCAAAAATGATGCCAAAGTATTTTTCCATCTGTTATACCCATAACCTAACAACTATTTCTTCATTATTGTATAAAAATGGTACAAACTCTTTTCCCCAACCAAAATAGGTATGACCCCATTTGACTAGTCAGCTGTGAACTGAGCATGTTGATTTCTGCCTTCTCTGTCCCTATCTTGCCTACTTCCTACACCAAGGCAGCTCCATTCCAGTTGGCCAGTATGTCTTCTCAAGAATTTGTATTTGGCAGTTATATTACTTTTTTATACATTTCCAGTCATTTTATTGTTATACATATATATTTGACTGTGTCGGTGTGTATTTTCAAAGCTTATATCATGTTTAAATATGAGTAAATATGTATCTCTCTTCCATTGAATCTGAGCTGGCCTTCTGACTTCATTTAACCAAGAGATGAGGGAAGGTGACGGTGTGCAAATTATCCTTTTAGTTTCTCAAAGAGTCCCTTTAGCTTCTCATCATTTCAATTGCTACTTTCTGTAAACCTTCTCATCCTCTGGGCTGCTGCTTACAAATTGGCAAAGATCTTAATGAAAAATGATGGCAATATTGGATTCCTTATCTCTACATTTCTGTCTTTGCCATTATTTTTGCCCCTGAAGTCCTGGCTTCCTTGGTAACTCTTCAATACCTCTAAATGGACAAACATATACACAGATATATAAGTGTATAGTTCCCCAAAGTTTCTCCCTCATATTTCCAGTGTCAAAGTGCCTATTCTGCTCATTTCTGAACTCTCCCCCAGATGGAGTCTCTGTGTCCTAGCATATTGGAGATTTGTTTTCTCCCATCAGGTGAAGCTTGTCTGGTTTCCTGTGTGGTAGTTCTTTTCCTTCCGTCATCTGTTTATGTTATTCCACACTCTTTTAGTTTTCAGAGCAGCAAAAGAGACGTCTGGTGCCAATCTAATTCTTCTTTTTCTCTCCTTTCTTTTATGCATGTTTAATTGTGGTGCCTCTACTTGGGGCAACTAGTTAGGTAACTAAAGGGAAAAGATGTAATTCTAGGGGTTTTTGTAGAAGTGAAAACATCTTGGCTTGCCAATGGTTGCATTGCATGGGACTGGCAAGGCTGTCCTCTCAAAACAGATCTCACCATATGAGCTGACTATGAGAAGTTAACACTCTTAGGCTGACTTTGTGATAGAAGAAATCACAATGTGTGATAGAGATCACCATAATATATATAATTTGTCAAAATTTAAACACATTTTAAGTGGTAGCCAAACAGAAAACTGCACTGCACACAGTTCTCTTCTGAAATTCGCCATCTTGCCATCTGTATTTCAGACCACATTATTCATTTTTAAGTCTGTATATGATAATTTTAGTATCTTAGTCAACTATAAAACTATTTATATTGTCTGTTTTTTTTCTCTTGGATCTTGGACATTTGGTTATGTTCCCCCGTGTGCCTGTCAATTTTTATGCATAGTGCATGAGAAAAGCTTGAGTGATAATTTGATATTCTGAATGATGTCATCTTCCTCTGGAGAGAATTTACTTTTGCTTTTAGCAGGCAGTCTGAGCAAGGGTTTTTCACTTTAAACCAATTAGTGATTGAGCTCATTCAGAACTGGGTTTTAGTATTGTCAGCACTAGTCAATTTCTGGTTCTTTCTTACTTTCACTGTGTAGCCTTCAGGGATCCTAACTGAAAAACTTGAAAGGTTCCACTACGCCTTTTTCTTGTCATGTCTTGAAATTTTACTTTTATCTCCACCGCGTTATGAGACTGTCAAAAGATCTCATCAGCTTCTTATCCTTTTAGTTGCTGCTTTCTGTTATCCTTCTCATCCTCTGGGATACTGCTTACAAATTGGCAAAGATGTCAATGAAAAATAATGACATTACTGGGCTCCTTCTCTCTACATTTCTGGCCTTGCCATTATTTTTATCCCTGAAGTCCTGGCTCCCTTGGAAACTCTTTATTGCCTCTAAATAGAGGTAATTTAATTTATTCAGCTTTTTAGTTCTCTATTGGAAGTTTGGTCCAATTGAAGCTTGTCCACCAGAGCAAGAAGCCAAATCTCATTTTTCTTTATCAAATATATTGTGCTTTCCTATTAAAAACATGTCTTTTTTTCTCATCCTTGGAATTCAAGAATTTCACAATGTCAATATTATTTTTCATTAATCCTGCTTGGAACTTGTTAGCCTATAAAAGTTGATATTCCTATCTTTTCTTTATCACAATCATTCATTTAATAAATAAAATCGGTCACATCTAGCAACTTCATTCCTAAGCATATCCTCAAAAGAATTGAAAGCAACTCAAACAGATATTTGTTTACCCATATTCTTATAGCATAATTCACAATAGATAGAAATAATCCAATTGTTTATCAAAAGACAAACAATATTGTATATTTGTACAATGAAATATTATTCAGTGTCTTTAAAAAGAAGGAAATTCTGACACATACTAAACATGGGTAAACCTCGAAGATACTACTCTAAGTGAATAAGCCAGATGTAAAAAGACAGACAGATAGAGATAGCTAGCTAGCTAGCTAGATAGATAATAGATGGATGGATGGATGGATAGATGATAGATAGACGAATGGATAGCAATGGAATGATGGATGGATGAATGGACAGATGGATGAATGGATGGATGGATGAATAGATAGATAGATCGATCTATCTCATCAGGGAATGGATGATGTACTCAAATTAGTGATTGGAGAGATTTTAATAACGGACTACCTACATAGTTGCAGTGGGATAAGAAAAGCACACAGGATAATGGGAGCCTTGAAGCTGGTAAGTGCTGGGAGCTATTACCACCTAGACCTGGTGGGGAAAAGGGAGGGAGTTACAGGAACCTGGAGAGAGTTGTATAGAGGGGGTGCCTTGGCAGAACTGTGGACTTTGGCAGAGGGATACACATGTTCTGTAGCAACCAGGTTGGAATTATAGATGCCCTAATTTCAATTTTCTTCCCTTGCTCTGTTTGTCCCTCCCCCTTGCCTTCTCCCAGCGCCGCCACACCCCCACCTCTATTGGCAGAATACGACAGGCAAGCAGGAGACCAAAAGAGCTTATATATTCAGTTCCTCCAGGTCAGCCTCCTGGGGAAGAAAATGGGTTGATCAAAAGTGGATCGTGTATCTGGAGGAGGAATAGAGGAAATCCAGCACAACAAATGTTTACTAAGCACCTCTTTTTTGCCAGTTATTGTCCCAGGTGATAAAGACAGAACTATGGCCCAAAGACCCTTCTTTGTAAAGCTTACCTTCTACAGGGAAATTGATTTATATGATTTATTTAATTTTTTAAAATCTATTCTTTGTCCTTTTCCTAGAACTCCTAATAATCTTATATCAGGGTTTTGGAGACATATCACTCATTTTTCTCCTTAATATTTTTAACCACGGCTTTTTGTTTGGGATTCGAAAAATTCCTTTTATACCCTAGACACAAGTCAGGAAATTTTTTCTGCAAATAGCCAGATAGTAAATGTTTTAGACTTTGTGAGTCATATGGCCTGTCTCAACTACTGAACTCTGATGTTATAATGCAAAAGCAGAAATATACACTACATAAGTGAATGGGCTTGTCTGTGTTCCAATAAAACTTTATTTATAAAACAGCTGGTGAGCCAGATTTGGCCTATGAGCTATAATTTGTCAATTCTTGTTCTAGGCCAGTAACTTGGGTCTTAATGTCAACTTATTCTAACCTTCAGTTCATCTACACCAAGTTCTAGTAAAAATAATCTCATTTTGTTAATTTGTTGTTTAACAGAAAGTCCACTTATGGTGTAATTGAATCTCTGTAATTGTTCTTCACAGCTTTATTCAACTTGCTCTCCAGCACCTAGGCTTTCTAGAGCTCCCCAGTCTGCAGTGTTGTTTCTTCTTCATGCTAGGTGCAGGTCCTTTGGGGTGCATTATTATTTTCCTTTGGCAACTCCAGGCTCATTGGGCCCAAGGGTACTTCAAGTGGTGGGGTTCAGCAGCCTCTGCTCCAATGGGCAACAGGTGGCAAGGCAGCAGTTCCTGTCTGGGAATCAGGCACAGAGATAGGACCTCTCTCCTCCCAGCCTTCTTGAGCTGCAAGGTTGGAGTTTCTGGGGCAGCAGCCCCTCTTCCCTCTGCTTACCTGTACACCAGACCTTTGGGAATCTGGGAAGCCAACAGGCCTCCTGAGACAATGCACCTGGCAGGAGCTTTCACTTTCTCCAGAGAATCTGGAGCTTCAGTCCTTGTCCCAGGCCCACTGCACCAGGCTCCCACCATCCCAGAAGAAACTATGGCTTGCACAGGATCTGGCAGCCAGGAAGCCCACCCCAAAAACATCTTGATTGTTCCCTCCATGACCCATATATCTGCCAGCCCAGAAGCTCCGGGGATGGCCCTCTGCAGGTGGATTAGCGTTGGAGTGGGGGAAGGGCAGCAGGGGACCGCCGTCTTTTACGACACCGAAACCAGGGTTTCAATCTGTTGAAACATAACAGGTTTTCAGACTGGCAGCAGCTAACAGTTTTCAGAGTCAGTGTTTTTGATCATCAGCCTGAAGACACAAGCAAACTGAACAAATTGGATAAGAAGGCTTATTCACAATGAGCCAAGTCCTGACATTGAATGTGAATCCATCCAGGTGACCTGAAGGGAAGCTTTGGTCAGAATGGAGAATGAGCCTGGAAAAAAAAAAAGAACATTCCTATACAAAGATTTGGGCCTCCGAAAGGTGATTTGTCTACCACATGGTGTGATCAGCATCAGAATGAGTGACTGCCATGCTCTTTCCAAGAAATGGCCATGTCTTAGGGCAGGACCCTAGAATCTTAGATGTTGGGGTTAAAAGAGACCACTGGGACCATTAGCCAAGTCACCCCCAGTTCCCTGATACTTCTTAGAAAATGCATCTCTAGAACATCTTCGGGGGCTGTTGGATGGCCAGAATACATCTTCAACTTCTGCCCATTCTGAAAAATGTGGGTATCTGGCTCAATGGTTCTACTGAAATAACAAAGAACATGGCAGCAAAATTATCATTGGTTTACATTGTCTTTAGAGAGTGACAGATGCTCAGGATCTAGGCATGGGGGTTTATGCAGGAAGGCATTAAAAGATTAAATATGAATTTATGTTAGACAACAGACCTAGCCTCCATTCAACATCAATATGCTGGCATTATTATTATTTTATGAAAACAATAATTCACAGTTTGCTGAAAGAGAATAACAGTATTGATCTTCTGAACACTGCATTTTATTTTCCATTAAATTTTTTATGGAGCATGGCAAGCTGTGTGCTGGGTCTGATCTTTTCTGCACATTAAGGTACAAAGCTTTTGCAGATGTAGAAATTACGAGGGCTGTGTTAATAAAACCAGCTCATATGGCCTAGGAGCAAAAAGTAAACAGTTCTTCACTGGAGTTCTGCTCTGAGCTTATTAGTTTTTCAGGTTTGTGAACTGACCCACAAAGGAAATAGAAATCTCTCCTTAGTGAGCAGAGAGAAAGAAATATGTTAGCAACAATGAGAAACTCTTTCTCAAAGACTCTTTAATAGCATTGCAAGTGCACATTTCAGAAGCAGTAGAGCAAATGCAACCAAAGGCATTGGGTAATTCACTCAAACCCTAGCATGTCTTCCTACTCTGTGACATTATCTATTATGTTACCAGAGTATTTTTAGCATCAATTGGAGTAACTATATTCTTAGTGCATTAGTCTGTTCTCCAGCTGCTGTGAAGAAATACCTGGGACTGGGTAATTTATAAACAAAAGAGGTTTAATTGACTTACAGTTATGCATGGCTGGGGAGGTCTCAAAAACCTTTCAATCATGGTGGAAGTCACCTCTTCACAGAGCAGCAGGAGAGAGAAAGAATGAGTGCCAGGAGAGGACATGTCAGGTGCTTATAAAACCATCGGCTCTCATGAGAACTCACTCACTATCATGAGAACACCAGGTCCCTCCCACAACATGTGAAGATTATGGGAACTAAAATTCAGGATGAGATTTGGGTGAGGACACAGTCAAACCATATCATTCATCAGTACTTCTCTGAGGATCTTAAAACCAGTTCACTTCCTTCCTTTCACTAATTTTCACTCAGAAGTTAATATTCTGACTGATCCATTGGCTATTTGAGCATGGGTCTATTTGAATGTCTCCAAATTCTAGATTGTAAACTAGAAGCATTCACTGCTGTCCTTTGGCATGAGGTGTTTTAATCTCTTTCTCAAAAAAAAAAAAAAAATACACAAAGGACTACTATGTCCAAGTCTTGATCTGATTGTGAAAAATAAAGACACCTCCAAACAGGGATATTTCTGACTAACAGCTGGGGTAGAATCATCGGCTTATTACCTTTTTAAGCTAGCCACCTTCTCTTTGCCCCTAATATGTATGGTCTTTGTGTTTTTTTTTTCTCTGACACTAACTAGCTGAACTGCAACTCAATTCCAGTCTGACTCTAACTACCCAGAGTTGGTAGGGCTCAGTCCCACTAGGCTGCCACCACTTCAGATGCCAATTCCAACTGCTGAGTCCCCAGGTTCACTGCAAAACTGCCTGGATGACTACAAATTCAAGGTCACCACCACCCCCCCCCCCTTGGGTCTGATAATTTGCAGCACATCTCAGAATTCAGGAAACTGCTATACTTACAGTTTTATTGTAAAGGATGCAACTCAGGGCCAGCCAAGTGGAAAAGACACACAGAGCAAGATACCGTGGATGGGGTGGAGCTTCCATGCCTTCTACAGCACCTTGCCACCTCCCAGAACTGGCACACAGGGCAAAATATGGTGGGTGGGGTGGAGCTTCCATGGCTTCTCCAGCTTTCATGCCACCTCCCAGCACCTTGATGTGTTCACCAAAAAGAATCTTGCCATTTAGAGGGTTTTATAGAGGGTTCATTATGTAGATATGACTGATTAAGTCACAAGCCATGGGTCACTGAACTCAATTTCCAGCCACTCTACCATTTCCAGGAGTCAGGGGGTGGGAGCGTTGAAAGTTCTAACCCTCTAATCACATGTTTTGTTTTTTCTGGCAACCAACTCCCATCCTGAAGCTATCTAGGGGCCCACTATGAGTTATCTCATCAGCATTAACTGAAATTGAGCAAAAGGGGCTTTCTATGATTAACAAAAGATACTCTTATCACTCAGAAAATTCCCAGGGTGTTAGAAAACCTATGCCAGAAATATAAAACAAAGACCAAATTATTTTTTATTGTATTACGTCTTTCCAACATGCTAGGAGTAGAAGCAGGGAAAGGGGAAAGGCAGGCAGCCATCTCAGCAGGAGAAGACAGCATTTTACCTACCTCAGTATAGTATTGTAGAACACACATGAACACCATGCATTAGCCCATGACTAGGCAGAGGGAGAAAATGTGCAGCAGTGTTCGACAACTTCTAACATTTGATGAAACTAGGGAGAGGTACGCTTTTCTGAGCTCATGAGTCTTTTTCTATCAAGGAAGCCATCAATTTTCTAGTATCTTCTTTCACCCTCTTCCTCCTACATGAGTTGTAATTAAGCTAAAATGAACTGAAAACTGACTCCATTTTCTTCACAAAGCCCACTTGGCAAATAAAAATTCACTTGGCATTTTCTGATTATTAACCATGGTATTCAAGGGATGGGCCTCGTGCATCTGCAGAGACAGTCATATTGGACAGTGCAGAGGAGCTCCATAAATCACTTCCTAGGCTGCAACCCACATACTGGGAAAGATAAAACGCTTTACATGAGATGGACAAAAAGCTTTAGGAAAGTAGAAGGTGAGAGATCTCATAGAACCTCTAAGTTTTAGTCTCAGGCTTACAGAGACCCAGCACAATCCGAGCCAGGCATTGGAAGATCCTCCTGGCTCTCACATAACCCCTATGCACCCTTTAAGACCCAATTCCAAGGACCCTTTTACAACAAAGACTGAACTAAGGCCTCTGGCTGAGGCTGGATGTCAGCCCTCCTTTCAATATCTCTAACACTTGTCCTCATTTTCTTCCTGCCGTTATAACAGCCCAGGAGCCCATTGTGTGTGAATATTCCTGCCATTCATCCCCTCTGGGCGGTATGATCCTTAAACATAAACTGGGCTTCCTTCTTTGGCTCTGCCCATTAAATTTTGGTAGTGCAGTTTTAGATCTTGGAGAACAGTGAGACCTTTGGAAACTGAGGTCTGTATTGTGATCCCAGACACTGACGCGTCTGCTCCCACAATACAGACAGAGGCAGGAAATAGGTCAGGGATATTAACATTCTGTTCGAAATTCACAAATGTGTACAAAATACCAAAAATAATCAGTTCGGAGAAAACATGGGTTTGAAAAACAAACCTAATCTAAAAATCAAAACAATGTTGACTCACAAGAATGAATTCATTTTGGAAGCCAGCAATTTCAGATTTAATTGTGTTGATTTGTCATTTTTTTTCTCTCCCTTTCTCTTTTCCACGCTGTGTTATTGGAAAAGGCTCAGAGCTGCCTTAGTTTTGATTTATCTTGTGTGGCAGAAGACCCTCATGCTTCCAGATACAGACCCCACAGCTAATTCTCACTTCAAGTGCAATTAAAAGGACTTGAACGCCCAATTTGAAATTTCATCTTCATACTTCAAAGAAATTAGTTCAATGAGTGATTGCAATGGAGAGAAGCTAATAATGAAAATAATTAATGCCTGGAAATACTTCACAGGCACAGGAAATGCTTGCATACCTCCTGTATATTTAAAGAAAGCCCCCGAGTCAGAAAAAAAGCCAGGAGGCCAAATTGTCCATTCCAACTCCCAGAAGTTTGCCATGGCAGCATAATTAAGAGATGCCTCCTGACACCTTTCTTCTTGGACCAGCATTTGTAAACAGGGAGGCCATTTAGCTAAATTCACATAATTGCTGCAGAAAACATGGCCCAGACTTCTAAATATCACCAGCACTCAGGAGAGAATAACAATTAAGGAACATGAAAGTATGGGTGGTGCATATGAGGAAAAGGAGGTTCTCCACCTCCATGTCTCATCCTTAACCTCACACCAACAAACTTAAAAAGCTCCCTTTAAAGGCAGGATTCCAAATCACATTGACCAGGGAGATGTGAATTTGTTACTTCTATTCTTTTAACATATGCCATGTAACCAAACACAGAACAGGAATGGCAGAACACTTCTGGCATGCATGCTAGGAGTCTCAGGATCAGAGTGGACTTGGCCTCTTCCTCAACCCCCATTACAGATGTCAGACCAATCTGCCTTCTTGGGACAATTTCTGGTCCCCTGAGTCCATACTATTTTGCTCAACTGCTCTCTGCCTCTCAGGTCCTGTTCACTCATTCTGACTGACCCAAATCTGCCTCCTAGCCAATTTTCTGACTTTATCCTTCATAGAGAGACCCATCCAACAGACTGGACTTTGGATCCTTTTTCTTCTATTGTGGACTAAACTGTGTTCCCCAAAATTCATATGTTAAAGCCCTAACCTCCAATATGACTGTATTTGGAGGTAAGGAAGTTTAAGTGAGGTCATAAGAGTAGAACCCTAATCTAATAGGAATGGTGTCCTTGAAAGAAGAGGAAAAGAGTGGATCTCAATCTCTCTCTCTCTCTCTCTCTCTCTCTCTGTCTCTCCATGCACGCACAGAGGAAAGCCCACATTGAAGACAAAATGAGAATGCAGCCATCCGCAAGCCAGGAAGAAAGCCCTCACCAAAATGCAACCCTGATAGCACCTCGATCTTGGACTTCTGGCCTTCAGAACTGTGATGAAATTGTCTATTGTTTAAGTCACCCAGTCCATGAAAGTGTCATGGAAGCTTGAGGAAACTAAGACACCTTCCTTATATTGTCCAACATTTCTTGACTTCTTGTCCTCCTTGCCATCACTTTATGCCTTGCTGTCATTATGCTAAGTTGCCCCAATGACTATTTCTTCAGTCCCCATTATCATCAAACCCTCCTCCTCCTCCCATCTCCTGCACTCAAATCTTCTCCCTCCACATGTCTCAAGACTTCATCAGAATCTCCTATCTACTTACCATCTGTATTAGTCATTCTCACACTGCTAAAAAGATACCACCCGAGACAGGGTAATTTATAAAGGAAAGAGGTTTAATTGACTTACAGTTCTGCATGGCTGGGGAGGCCTCAGGAAACTTACAATCGTGGCAGAAGGGGAAGGGGAAGCAAGACAAGTCTTAGGTGGCAACAGGAGGGAAAGAGGTGCAAAGTGGGAACCACCAAACACTTCTTAAAACCATCAGCTCTCATGAGAACTCACTCACTATCACAGGAACAGCATGGGGAAACTTCCCCCATGACCCAATCACCTCCCACCGCGACTCTCACTCGACACCTGGGGATTACAAATGGAGATGAGATTTGGGTGGGGACACAGAACCAAGCCATATCACCATCCCCACCTCCTCCCCACTTATCAGACATCTCTTTCCTTACTTCTCTCCCTTTTTGCAGATTCATTAGCCCATTATTTCATTAACAGCCTCCCCAGTGCCCTAAATTGTCCTATTGCTAGTCAGAAGGACGCCCTTCTTTTGTGTCCCATGTTTTTTTGACATGACCCATTGGTCTTTTAATGTTTTCTTGCCTTCAGGCACAAGAAGTCCTAGAATCATATTAAATGTTCCCACTCCAGTCCTGAAAACGCCCCTTTCTGTAAGAATCTCTGATTCCCTTTGGGGGCAAACAGTATTTAACACCCATGCTCTGGACAGCAGGATGTCTTTTGCTATTGGGGCATCATTGCTCCTAGACTTTTTCAGTGAACAGAGCTGGAAAATATGTGTTTAAGGAAAAAAAACAGAAGATGAGTTAATACTGACACTTTGTATTCAAATTGAACCCATAAATTTCTAACATGTTAAATCCTCTTTCCCATCCCCCACATCTTCCTTGGCACCCTTCTGTTTTGATTTTTCAAATCTTTTGAAGAGGCCGTGTATACTCACTAAGTCCTTTTATTCGCACCCACACATCCACCTACTCCAGACTCACTCTGATCTGGTTTGCCTCCCTTCAGTCAGTGAAAAAATTTTGTTATGGTAACCATGCCCTCATGCCAAGGGACCTTTTTCAATTTTTATCTTATCAAAGCAGTATTCACTTGACACTAAAAACTCTGCCTTCTTTCTGAAACACTCTTCCCTGTACTTCCGTTAATCAATACTCTATCTTTTTTCTTTTCCTGGAAAATTCTTTTATGTCTCCTCTAATTGGCCATGCAATGTTAAAGGTACTGAAGGCTTGAGTCTGTTGTTCTCTCTCACACGGACTCCTCTGTCCAGGAGAGCTGATACCTGCCCATGACTTCACTGCTTCCAAAGTTCTATCTGTGGCCAAAATCTCTCCTTATTACTCCATGCACATGTATTTAAGTGTCCACCCCTGACTCTGCATGTATGCGTCTAAGGCATTTCAAACTTACCATGTTCAAAAGTAGGCTGGTTCTCTATCCCACCTTCACTCACTCAATAGCATTCTGAATAAATGGCCTTTCTATTTCTTCTGCTGCCCAAACCAGCTCTTCTGTGGTGGCTAACAGTCCTGGTTTTAGAGCCAACCTACGAGTCTTTGAATCCTATCCTCATCACTTCTTAGCTGTGCCTCATTTTTCCCATTTTAAAACTGTGAATAGGAATTGACTTTGTCTCATAGGGTTCTTTTGAGGATTAAATGACATACCCCATGGGAAATGCTCAGCACAACGTGGAGCAAATGTAACTAGTCAACGCAGGACACACGTTTCTCTCCCACTTCTCTCCTTCACCCCCTGGCTACCACGTCTGCCTATCAAACCATGTATTTCTTATGGCTGTAAACTGAGGCAGCTCATTTGTGTCTATGCAGCACTTTTTCCCTCTCCCCTTCTTCTCCTTCTGATGGGGTACCCATCGCAAGTGTCTCCAGTAGTAAAGACCCCATCACAGAGGTGCAAAGTTAACTTAAGCAGAACTCAACAGATCCCATCAAGGAAACTTGCTCAAGCTACCAAGAAAGAGGTGACTTCCTTTGTTTTTGTTACAGTTCTGGGTTCATCAGTTGTAACTTTGATCTGAACCTAGAGCAGCCAGTGGTCATTCTACGCCACTGATATGGTTTGGCTCTCTCCCCACCCAAATCTCATCTTGAATTATAGCTTCCATAATTCCCACGTGTTGTGGGAGGGACCTGGTGGGAGATCATTGAATCCTCGGGGTGGTTTCCCCCATACTCTTCCTGTGGTAGTGAAGAAGTCTCACGAGATCTGATGGTTTTATAAGGGGTTTCCTCTTTCACTGGATTCTCATTCTCTCTTGCCTGCCACCATGTAAGACATCCCTTTGCTCTTCCTTCATCTTCCACCATGATTGTGAGGCATCCCCAGCCATGTGGAACTGTGAGTCCATTAAACCTCTTTCCTTTATAAATTATCCAGTCTCAGGTATATCTTTATTAGCAGCTTGAGAACAGACTAATACTAAATGGGATAATCCTACTGAGAGTAAAGCCAACACAGAGGAAAGCTGAAAGAGGTGAGAGAGATAATTGAAAAGTAATAAAGGGAGAGGAAGCAAGGGAAAAAGAGAGAGAGATAAGAGAAAGAAAATATTAAAGATGTTATTTGAATTTCTGGATCCAACTATGCCTGGAGCAAGACATTTTCCCCATTTTCCCAGTTATATAATACAGCCAAAATATTCTTTGTTGTTGTTGTTTAATGTACTCTGAGTTAGGTGTCTGACCCTTGCAACCAAGATTTCTCCCTAGCACAAGAATTTTGTTCAAGAGTCAGGACATCTTGTAAAGATATATAAAGTAGAGCAACAAATCATAGATTTAAATTCAGAATAAAAAGACAACAGTGAGAGTAAGATTATAAAGAGATCTTGAAATAAAAACAGTAATTTCTAAACTGTCTCTACACTTGGTGGAGGTAAGGCATAAATTTTGGTTCTAAGCTTCTGTTTTTTTAGCTGACACAAGGAAGGAACACTAAGAATTACACAATTCATAGTGTACACAGAACTATAAGCAGATGAAATGCTCAGGAGAAGCACATCAATTTTTTGGTCCTGAGACTAAACAGGAAAGCCGGTAGTCATAACTATTGCTTTCCATACACTTTATGACCTGGATGGATGAGAATGAAATAAATGTATCCATCTTCTTCAAAAAGAGACCATCTGTTTCATTATTCTGTTCCTATAGTGAACCCTCTTGATACCTTCCCCCTCCATGCCCTCAGCCCACCTGAGTTGTGATAGCTGTGATTCTCCCCTCAAATGCCTGCACCTCTCCTGTTCTTCCTCTACACTTTAAGAGCTTGCCCACCTGAATGCAATTATGGCCCAGAAGTAGAGGCATTAATGACCACTTCTTCCTTTCCTGGGACAGCTCCCAAAGAGTGGTGGCTGGGAGCTAGTGACAGAATGTCCAGCCTCCTCATCTTCTGGTGGGGGACAATTCTAGGCCATGCTGCAATGGTTCCTCTGAGAGTCTCCTGTAGGATTGAACCTCATATGCCCACAAGCATAGCCCTGTCTTTAGTGCATCTTAGATTGGACTTTTTCTATTCCCCCTCCCACTTTCCCTACTTTCTCACTTCTAGGATCACCTCCCAAATAAACTGCCTACACTGAAAACCTTGGTTCAGGGTCTGGGAAACCCAACCTAAGGTCGTCACTGATTCTTCTTCCAAGGTGCCTGGAGCATGCCTGCTGTCTGCCGTGCAAATGCGCATGCTAGATTTCCTCCACTTGCCAGAGTGTCCACAGCTGGAGCAGAAGAACAGCAGGGTTGTGCTCCATCTCCAGGCCCTCTGTGGTTGCTTCTGAAAAAGAACTTTAGATGGAAAGTCCTGATTTCATTACCATCCAAATATAGATTTCTCTCTATCATCTATGTTTTTATAAATTTTCTGTGTTTTGTGTTGCTTTTACCACCTTAGGTATTCGCTAATCCTGGAGTGACTACCCTTCCCAGGGCGAATTCCTAGAGACAGAAAATAACTGATCTGTGAGTGTTCCTTTCCTATGTAAACCACCCACTCCAAATCCCACATGCCCAACCCCATTCTTTATGTAATTTCCATGCACCCCGCCAACACTTCCCCTGCCCTAAATTACCCCAGGGTCAGTGTACTAGTCTGTTCTCACACTGCTAATAAAGACATACCCGAGACTGGGTAATTTAGAAAGGAAAGAGGTTTAATTGACTCACAGTTCCTCATGGCTGCGGAGGCCTCACAGTCATGGTAGAAGATGAAGGAAGAGCAAATGGACCTCTTACATGGTGGCAGGCAAGAGAGAATGAGAATCAAATGAAAGGGGAAACCCCTTAAAAAAACATCAGATCTCATGAGACATCTTCACTACCATGAGAACGGCCCTGGGGAAGCAGCCTTCATGATTCAATTATCTTCCACCAGGTCCCTCCCACAACACATGGGAATTATGGAAGCTACAATTCGAGATGAGATTTGGGTGGGGACACAACCAGACCATGTCGGCCAGGTATCAGACAATTAGAGACCACCCTGATAAGCTCAGTACTAGAATCTTAAACTTTCCTGCCCTGCCTTGCCCATTCTTTCCTGTGGGAATCACAGTGAAGTCTCTGAGCCCTGCTCCCTGCTGGCTCCTTCTGCCTTCTGACCAGCCTGGTGGTCCCCGTGTGGCCCTGTGTGGTGTGGCCTCCCTCTTGGAAACTATAAAGTGTAAACTGCACTTTCAAAGGCAGTTGTCTCCACATCTGTCATCTCATCATGCCTGATTAAAGCAAACCCTGATACGATCCAAACATTCTCTTCTTTCTGATCCACCTTAAACCTATGGGGTCTGTGCTTGCTGCAATTGTGGTGCAGGGAAAGAATAAGGCCCCGGAGCCCAGCAGCATGGTGGGAATTCCCACCGAATGTTAACTAGTAATGCAGCCAGTTCACATCTCTGAGTGTGGGCTTCCCAGTCCTTAAAATGGAATGGATACTACCTGTCTCAGAGTCATCAAAAGAGACACAAGAGAGAATGCAAGAGAGTGCCTGGTACAAAACAGGTGCTTTAGGTTATAGAGTTATTTTCTTCATTGTATTGTTTCCTTAGACACAAATTCTAGGTTCAGATGACTTTGGGGTATAGTCAGATAAAACCATTAACTTCAGGCATTGCCACTGATTTAATAGGATATTAAATTGTTGGATGAATGAATGAATGAATCTTTAGTTTTCTTCCCAAAGAAGTTCCTGCGCAAAGCATCTTCCTCTGAAGTGTTGTCTTATGCTCCAGCTTTTGAATTCTCGTTTCACACACTTAATTCAAAGCACTAAGATAATAAATTCACTACCAATTACTCAGTTTCACCAACTATTTATAAGGTAATAATTCCTTATTTCATGTAGCTGAAAAACTTACAAAGGAAACCAAAATGACCAGCCAGGGAAACAACAGAAGGATTTACTGCAAAGCCTACCATTACAGAAACACGCCACTACCTCTCTCCTTGTCTTTTCTTTCTATGGTGTTAATCTTACATAAGTGGTTATTACCACATGAAACACATTAAGATTATTTCAATTAATTTTGTTTGACACATTGTTTTAAAAGAGTACTCTACTATTTACTGGCAATTAAACAGACTTTCATGTTAAGTATGCTGCTTGAGGGTATGTTGAGTGGGACTACGGATATAGCAATTGAAATTGTTCATTTGCAAGAAGCTTGTCCTTTGGAAGTCAAGAGTGTCTGAATATCTCTGAGGTGCTGATTTACAAGGGCAGAAAAAGATGAATAATCACATGAATTAGTTCCTTGGGTGACTAAAGCCTTATAAAGCTTTGAACACTTTTGTCCTTGCTTAGAATTAAAGAATGTTTTCCACTTTGCAAAGACATTACTGCCAAGAATAACCAGAAATGGTTAATAGGATGTTGTAGCAAAAAGAATCTTACTGCATGCACACTGGGCTAAAAGCAGTATGCTGGTTGTGTGGAAGATTTAAAGTCATGGCTCCAACAAGGCAGTGGGGCAGAGGATGTAATCTAGATTGTTAACATGTGGCAAAGGGCGAACTTGAAATAATCAGAACACACAAGACCTTAATGCTGGAGCAGGCTCCTTAAGACCAGCTTCTGGGCAAGGGTTAAGCCCTGGTTGCTAGATGCTACAGAGGTCCACTTGTGGCATATTTTATTATTCAGTTCAAAATACATTGTAGTTGCAAGTGTGACTTCCTCTTGACACATGGATTATTTAGAGGTGAATTGTTTAATTTTTGAACAGTAGGGGATTTTCTACTGATTCCTAGCTGAATTCCACTGTGGTCAGAAAGCCTACTCTGAATAACTTTAATCCTGTGAAATTTGTTGAATCTTGTTTATGGTCCAATGTATAGTCAATCTCAGTAAATGATTCTACACACTTGAAGAAGAAATGAGCCTTTGTTGCTGTTGGATGCAATGTTTTGTTTACATCCGTTAGGTCTTTTACTAGGTGTCTTGTCCATGTCTATATACTTATTTTTATTATCTTCTTGTTTTATTAGTTATGGAGTTTATTAAAGTCTTCCGCATTGGTTATGCATTGCTTTTCTTTCTTTAAGCTCTGGCAATTACTGATTTATGTATTTTGGTTTTTGGGGGGTACATACATATGTACTAATATCCTTCTGGTCAGTTAACACACTTGTGGAATGTCTCTAGTTCTACTGATGCTTGTTGCCTTACAGTTTATTTTGTACATTGTTAGTGTAACTGCCAGGCCTCTGAGCCCAAGACAAGCCATCGCATCCCCTGTGACCTGCACCTATACGCCCAGATGGCCTGAAGTAACTGAAGAATCACAAAAGAAGTGAATAAGCCCTGCCCCACCTTAACTGATGACATTCCACCACAAAAGAAGTGTAAATGGCCGGTCCTTGCCTTAACTGATGACATTACCTTGTGAAAGTCCTTTTCCTGGCTCATCCTGGCTCAAAAATCACCCCCACTGAGCACCTTGCGACCCCTACTCCTGCCCGCCAGACAGCAAACCCCCTTTGACTGTAATTTTCCTTTACCTACCCAAATCCTATAAAACGGCCCCACCCTTATCTCCCTTCGCTCTCTTTTCAGACTCAGCCCACCTGCATCCAGGTGATTAAAAGCTTTATTGCTCAAAGCCTGTTTGGTGTCTCTTCACACGGACGTGCATGAAATTTGGTGCCATGACTCGGATCGGGGGACCTCCCTTGGGAGATCAATCCCCTGTCCTCCCGTTCTTTGCTCCGTGACAAAGATCCACCTACGACCTCAGGTCCTCAGACCGACCAGCCCAAGAAACATCTCACCAAGTTTAAATCCGGTAAGCAG
This sequence comes from Homo sapiens, assembly GCF_000001405.40. Lineage (NCBI taxonomy): Eukaryota > Metazoa > Chordata > Mammalia > Primates > Hominidae > Homo > Homo sapiens. The sequence continues at coordinate 5,045,392 of NC_000001.11, forward strand.
CCTCTTTTTATTCTCTTCTCCAACCTCCCTCACTATCCCTCAACCTCTTTCTCCTTTCAATCTTGGTGCCACACTTCAATCTCTCCCTTCTCTTAATTTCAATTCCTTTCATTTTCTGGTAGAGACAAAGGAGACACGTTTTATCCATGGACCCAAAACTCCGGCGCCGGTCATGGACTGGGAAGGCAGCCTTCCCTTGGTGTTTAATCATTGCAGGGACGCCTCTCTGATTATACACTCACATTTCAAGGGTGTCAGACCACGCAGGGATGCCTGCCTTGGTCCTTCACCCTTAGCGGCAAGTCCCGCTTTTCTGGGGAAAAGGCAAGTACCCCTCAACCCCTTCTCTCCTTGTCTCTACCCTTTCTCTGCTTTTCTGGAGAAAGGGCAAGTACCCCAACTCCTTCTCTCCTTGTCGCTACCCCTTCTCTGCTTTTCTGGGACAGGGGCAAGTACCCCTCAACCCCTTCTCCTTCACCCTTAGTGGCAAGTCCCGCTTTCCTAGGGGGCAAGAACCCCCCAGTCGCTTATTTCCACACCCCAACCTCTTATCTCTGTGCCCCAATCCCTTATTTCCACACCCTGACCTCTTATCTCTGTGCCCCAATCCCTTACTTCCGTGCCCCAACCCCTTCTCTGCTTTTCTGGAGGGCAAGAACCCTCCACCCCTTCTCTGTGTCTCTACTCTTTTCTCTGGGCTTCCTCCTTCACTGTGGGTAAGCTTCCACCTGCCATTCCTCCTTCTTCTCCCTTAGCCTGTGTTCTCAAAAACTTAAAACCTCTTCAACTCACACCTGACCTAAAACCTAAATGCCTTTTCTTCTGCAATGCCGCTTGACCCCAATACAAACTCAACAGTAGTTCCAAATAGCCACAAAATGGCACTTTGAATTTTTCCATCCTGCAAAATCTAAATAATTATTGTCATAAAATAGGCAAATGGTCTGAGGTGCCTGACGTCCAGGCATTCTTTTACACATCAGTCCCTTCCTAGTCTCTGTGCCCAGTGCAACTCATCCCAAATCTTCCTTCTTTCCCTCCCGCCTGTCCCCTCAGTACCAACCCCAAGCGTCGCTGAGTCTTTCTAATCTTCCTTTTCTACAGACCCATCTGACCTCTCCCTTCCTCCCCAGGCTGCTCCTCGACCGGCAGAGCTAGGTCCCAATTCTTCCTCAGCCTCCGCTCCTCCACCCTATAATCCTTTTATCACCTCCCCTCCTGACACCTGGTCCGGCTTACAGTTTCGTTCTGTGACTAGCCCTCCCCCTCCTGCCCAGCAATTTACTCTTAAAAAGGTGGCTGGAGCCAAAGGCATAGTCAAGGTTAATGTTCCTTTTTCTTTATCCCAAATCAGAAGTGTTTAGGCTCTTTTTCATCAAATATAAAAATCCAGCCCAGTTCATGGCTCCTTTGGCAGCAACCCTGAGACGCTTTACAGCCCTAGACCCTAAAAGGTCAAAAGGCTGTCTTATTCTCAATATACATTTTATTAACCAATCTGCTCCCGACATTAAATAAAACTCCAAAAATTAAATTCCGGCCCTCAAACCCCACAACAGGATTTAATTAACCTCGCCTTCAAGGTGTACAATAATAGAAAAAAGTTGCAATTCCTTGCCTCCACTGTGAGACAAACCCCAGCCACATCTCCAGCACACAAGAACTTCCAAACGCCTGAACCGCAGCGGCCAGGTGTTCCTCCAGAACCTCCTCCCCCAGGAGCTTGCTACACGTGCCGGAAATCTGGCCACTGGGCCAAGGAATGCCCGCAGCCCGGGATTCCTCCTAAGCCGCATCCCATCTGTGTGGGACCCCACTGAAAATCGGACTGTTCAACTCACCTGGCAGCCACTCCCAGAGCCCCTGGAACTCTGGCCCAGGGCTCTCTGACTGACTCCTTCCCAGATCTTCTCGGCTTAGCGGCTGAAGACTGACACTGCCCAATCACCTCGGAAGCCCCCTAGACCATCACGGACGCCGAGCTTCCAGTAACTCTCACAGTGGAAGGTAAGCCCCTCCCCTTCTTAATCAATACGGAGGCTACCCACTCCACATTACCTTCTTTTCAAGGGCCTGTTTCCCTTGCCTCCATAACTGTTGTGGGTATTGACGGCCAGGCTTCTAAACCTCTTAAAACTCCCCAACTCTGGTGCCAACTTAGACAATACTCCTTTAAGCACTCCTTTTTAGTTATCCCCACCTGCCCAGCTCCCTTATTAGGCTGAGACACTTTAACTAAATTATCTGCTTCCCTGACTATTCCTGGATTACAGCTATATCTCATTGCTGCCCTTCTTCCCAATCCAAAGCCTCCTTTGTGTCCTCCTCTTGTATCCCCCCACCTTAACCCACAAGTATAAGATACCTCTACTCCCTCCTTGGCGACTGATCATGCACCCCTTACCATCTCATTAACACCTAATCACCCTTACCCCACTCAACGCCAATATCCCATCCCGCAGCACGCTTTAAAAAGATTAAAGCCTGTTATCACTCACCTGCTACAGCATGGCCTTTTAAAGCCTAAAAACTCTCCTTACAATTCCCCCATTTTACCTGTCCTAAAACCAGACAAGCCTTACAAGTTTGTTCAGGATCTGTGCCTTATCAACCAAATTGTTTTGCCTATCCACCCCATGGTGCCAAACCCATATACTCTCCTGTCCTCAATACCTGCCTCTATAACCGATTATTCTGTTCTAGATCTCAAACATGCTTTCTTTACTATTCCTTTGCACACTTAATCCCAGCCTCTCTTCACTTTCACTTGGACTGACACTGACACCCATCAAGCTCAGCAAATTACCTGGGCTGTACTGCTGCAAAGCTTCACAGACAGCCCCCATTACTTCAATCAAGCCCAAATTTCTTCCTCATCTGTTACCTATCTCGGCATAATTCTCATAAAAACACATGTGCTCTCCCTGCCAATCGTATCTGACTGATCTCTCAAACCCCAGCACCTTCTACAAAATAACTCCTTTCCTTCCTATGCATGGTTAGCGTGGTCAGAATTCTTACACAAGAGCTAGGACCACACTCTGTAGCCTTTCCGTCCAAACAACTTGACCTTACTGTTTTAGCCTAGCCATCATGTCTGCGTGCAGTGGCTGCTGCTGCATTAATACTTTTAGAGGTCCTCAAAATCACAGACTATGCTCAACTCACTCTCTACAGCTCTCATAATTTCCAAAATCTATTTTCTTCCTCACACCTGACACATATACTTTCTGCTCCCCGGCTCCTTCAGCTGTACTCACTCTTTGTTGAGTCTCCCACAATTACCATTGTTTCTGGCCCGGACTTCAATCCGGCCTCCCACATTATTCCGGATACCACACCTGACCCTCATGACTGCATCTCTCTGATCCACCTGATGCTCTCCCCATTTCCCCACATTTCCTTCTTCCCCATTTCTCACCCTGATCACACTTGGTTTATTGATGGCAGTTCCACCAGGCCTAATCGCCACTCACCAGCAAAGGCAGGCTATGCTATAATATCTTCCACATCTATCGTTGAGGCTACCACTCTGCCTCCCTCCACTACCTCTCAGCAAGCCAAACTAGTTGCCTTAACTCAAGCCCTCACTCTTGCAAAAGGACTACGCGTCAATATCTTACTGATTCTAAATATGCCTTTCATATTCGGCACCACCATGCAGTCATATGGGCTGAAAGAGGTTTCCTCACTACACAAGGGTCCTCCATCATTAATGCCTCTTTAATAAAAACTCTGCTCAAGGCCACTTTACTTCCAAAAGAAGCTGGGGTCATTCACTGCAAGGGACATCAAAAGGCATCAGATCCCATTGCTCTAGGCAATGCTTATGCTGATAAGGTGGCTAGCCAAGCAGCTAGCTCTCCAACTTCTGTCCCTCACGGCCAGTTTTTCTCCTTCACTTCGGTCACTCCCACCTACTCCCCCACTGAAACTTCCACCTATCAATCTCTTCCCACACAAGGCAAATGGTTCTTAGACCAAGGAAAATGTCTTCTTCCAGCCTCACAGGCCCATTCTATTCTATCATAATTTCATAACCTCTTCCATGTAGTTTACAAGCCGCTAGCCTGTCTCTTAGAACCTCTCATTTCCTTTCCATCATGGAAATCTATCCTCAAGGAGATCACTTCTCAGTGTTCCATCTGCTATTCTACTACCCATCAGGGATTGTTCAGGTCTCCTCCCTTTCCTACACATCAAGCTAGGGGATTTGCCCCTGCCCAGGACTGGCAAATTGACTTTACTCACATGCCTCGAGTCAGAAAACTAAAATATCTCTTAGTCTGGGTAGACGCTTTCACTGGATGGGTAGAGGCCTTCCCCACAGGGTCTGAGAAGGCCACTGCGGTCATTTCTTCCCTTCTGTCAGACATAATCCCTCGGTTTGGCCTTCCCGCCTCTACACAGTCTGATAACGGACCGGCCTTTACTAGCCAAATCACCCAAGCAGTTTCTCAGGCTCTTGGTATTCAGTGGAACCTTCATATCATTTACCGTCCTCAATCTTCAGGAAAGGTAGAACGGACTAATGGTCTTTTAAAGACACACCTCACCAAGCTCAGCCTCCAACTTAAAAAGGATTGGACAGTACTTTTAACTCTTGCTCTTCTCAGAATCAGAGCCTGTCCTCGAGATGCTACAGGGTACAGTCCATTTGAACTCTTATATGGACACACTTTCTTGCTTGGCCCCAACCTCATCCCAGACACCAGCCCTCTAGGCAACTATCTTCCAGTCCTCCAACAGGCTAGATAGGAAATTCACCAGGCTGCTAATCTTCTCTTGCCTACTCCAGATCTCCAGCCATATGAAGACACCCTAGCTGGACGATCAGTTCTTGTTAAGAATCTGACCCCTCAAACTCTACAACCTCGATGGACCAGACCCTACTTAGTCATCTATAGTACCCTGACTGCCGTCCGCCTGCAGGATCCTCCCCACTGGGTTCACCATTCCAGAATAAAGCTGTGCCCATTGGACAGCCAGCCTAATCCCTCCTATTCCTCCTGGAAGTCGCAAGTACTCTCCCCTACTTCCCTTAAACTCACTAGCATTTCTGAACAACAGTAATAACCCTTATGAGTCTAATATATCCCTTCATTCTATTAGGTCTGTTCATCCTTACCCTACTTTTTGCAACAAGGCTTTACGAAGTCACCCCCACCACTTAGGCCGAGCCCCAAAAACTAGTCATCCCTACTATCTTCTGTCTGGTCATACTCCTATTCTTCATTCTCAACTACTTATAAATGCCCTACTCTTGTTTACACTGCCGGTTTATATCTCTTGGTGCTATCCCCAAACTGCCACTCTTAACTCCCTCTTAGAGTGGATAGATGATCTTTGCTGGCAAGGCACCCTCCAATACTTCCACCCTGATGAAGTTCTATTCTTTACTTTTATACTCACTCTTATTCTCATTCCCATTCTTATGTCACCCTCTACCTCGCCCCAGCTATCTCCACCACACTATCAACCTTACCCATTCTCTCCTAGCCGATTCTAATCCCTCCTTAGTGAACAACTGCTGGCTTTGCATTTCCCTTTCTTCCAGTGCCTACACAGATGTCCCCGCCTTACAGACAGACTGGGCAACATCTCCCATCTCCCTACACCTCCGAACTTCCTTTAACAGCCCTCACCTTCACCCTCCTGAAGAACTCATTTACTTTCTAGACAGGTCCAGCAAGACTTCCCCAGACATTTCACATCAGCAAGCTGCTGCCCTCCTTTGCACTTATTTAAAAAACCTTTCTCCTTATATTAACTCTACTCCCCCCATATTTGGACCTCTCACAACACAAACTACTATTCCAGTGGCCGCTCCTTTATGTATCTCTCGGCAAAGACCCACTGGAATTCCCCTAGGTAATCTTTCACCTTCTCAATGTTCCTTTACTCTTCATCTCTGAAGTCCAACTACACACATCACTGAAACAATTGGAGCCTTCCAGCTCCATATTACAGACAAGCCCTCCATCAATACTGACAAACTTAAAAACATTAGCAGTAATTATTGCTTAGGAAGACACTTGCCCTGTATTTCACTCCATCCTTGGCTACCTTCCCCTTGCTCATCAGACTTTCCTCCCAGGCCCTCTTCTTGTTTACTTATACCCATCCCCGAAAATAACAGTGAAAGGTTGCTTGTACATACTCAAGGTTTTCTCATATACCATGAAAATCGAACCTCCCCTTCTATGCAGTTACCCCATCAGTCCCCATTACAACCTCTGACACCTGCCGCCCTAGCTGGATCCCTAGGAGTCTGGGTACAAGACACCCCTTTCAGCACTCCTTCTCATCTTTTTACTTTACATCTCCTGTTTTGCCTCATACCAAGGTCTCTTCTTCCTCTGTGGATCCTCTACCTACATGTGTATACCTGCTAATTGGACAGGCACATGTACACTAGTCTTCCTTACCCCCAAAATTCAATTTGCAAATGGGACCGAAGAGCTCCCTGTTCCCCTCATGACACCGACACGACAAAAAAAAAGCTATTCCACTAATTCTCTTGCTGGTCGGTTTAGGACTTTCTGCCTCCACTATTGCTCTCGGTACTGGAATAGCAGGCATTTCAACCTCTGTCACGACCTTTCGTAGCCTGTCTAATGACTTCTCTGCTAGCATCACAGACATATCACAAACTTTATCAGTCCTCCAGGCCCATGTTGACTCTTCAGCTGCAGTTGTCTTCCAAAACCCCCGAGGCCTTGACTTACTCACTGCTGAAAAAGGAGGACTCTGCATATTCTTAAATGAGGAGCGTTGTTTTTACCTAAATCAATCTGGCCTGGTGTATGACAACATAAAAAAACTGAAGGATAGAGCCCAAAAACTTGCCAACCAAGCAAGTAATTACGCTGAACCCCCTTGGGCACTCTGATTGGATGTCCTGGATCCTCCCAATTCTTAGTCCTTTAATACCCATTTTTCTCCTTCTTTTATTCGGACCTTGTATCTTCCGTTTAGTTTCTCAATTCATCCAAAACTGTATCCAGGTCATCACCAATCATTCTATACCACAAATGTTTCTTCTAACATCCCCACAATATCACTCCTTACCACAAGACCTCCCTTCAGCTTAATCTCTCCCACTCTAGGTTCCCACGCAGCCCCTAATCCCGCTTGAAGCAGCCCTGAGAAACATCGCCCATTCTCTCTCTCCATACCACCCCCCAAAAATTTTCGCCGCCCCAACACTTCAACACTATTTTGTTTTATTTTTCTTATTAATATAAGAAGGCAGGAATGTCAGGCCTCTGAGCCCAAGCCAAGCCATCGCATCCCCTGTGACCTGCACATATACGCCCAGATGGCCTGAAGTAACTGAAGAATCACAAAAGAAGTGAATACGCCCTGCTCCACCTTAACTGATGACATTCCACCACAAAAGAAGTGTAAATGGCCGGTCCTTGCCTTAACTAATGACATTACCTTGTGAAAGTCCTTTTCCTGGCTCATTCTGGCTCAAAAAGCACCCCCACTGAGCATCTTGCGAACCCCACTCCTGCCCACCAGACAACAAACCCCCTTTGACTGTAATTTTCCTTTACCTACCCAAATCCTATAAAATGGCCCCACCCTTATCTCCCTTCCCTGACTCTCTTTTTGGACTCAGTCCACCTGCACCCAGGTGATTAAAAGCTTTATTGCTCACACAAAGCCTGTTTGGTGGTCTCTTCACACGGACGTGCATGAAAATAACTACATCAACTTTCCTTTGGTTACTGTTTGCAGTGTTGTAGCTCTTTCTTATAAGCATCCCATAGTTCCTTTTCCAGTCTGACTATCTTAACCTTCACATACTTGAAGAACTGAGTCCATTTACTTATTATGTAATGACTGATAAGGCTGGTTTATGTCTGCCATTTTATCATTTACTTTGAACTTGACTCAGTTGTTTTATATTTCTTGCTTCTCCTTTCTTGTGTTATTTAGAATTAATCTATTATTTTATTAGTTCTCCCTTTTTATCCCTAAAACTGTATTAGTTAATAGATAATGAATGATACAATAAACCAAGATTCCTGGAATACTACTTAAAGGGGAATTTCTAATCTTAAATACATTTATTAGAAAAGAAGAAAGGTTGAAAAGTCAAAGATCTAAAATTTTATCTGAAGAATATAAAACAAGAAAATTAAATCAAATCCAAAAAGACAGAAGAAAGAGAATAGTAAAGATAATAGCTGATATCAATAAAGTAGGGGAATATATAAAATAGAGAAATTAATGCAATCAAAATTTGGTTATGAGATATCAGAGAAAATGGCAGAATAGGAAACTGCTCCAAAAAGGCAATAAAAAAAGCTGGTAAAAACTGTCAGAAGCAAATGTTTAGATCTCTGAAACAAACCAAGAGCCTGTAACAAGCAGGGCAAAATGTTTAATCAAGAAAAAACACCGGAATCTCAGTAAGAATAGCAACCTTTGTGGTCTTTTAATTTCCCCGGTCCTACATCCTGCTCCTCAGTTTGGCAACAACCCCGAAGAAAAAAGTTTACAGTCCCAGCACAGACACAAGTACCAGAGGAAGCAGAATAGGTCTCATTCACAAAGAACTGTGGTTGGTTACTTAACCTGTCTAGTAGCACCCTGGAGAACTGGCTCAAAGGGGTTGTCTTTATCTCAGCTTACCTGACATTCTCCCAGGTCTGAAGCAGCTAACAACAGAACCTCTGTTGAAAACAGAGGCAAATGTATTTGCTGCTGCTCCCTGGGGCAATGGATAATCACTGGGATGAAAAACAAACTCACCAAAAGCTTGAGAGGAAAGGCTAAAGAATAGGATTCTTTGGGAAGAATAAAGACATTGAAAATCTATAACATATCCTAAAAGCCTAGGAGTCCACCCACATGCCCAGGGCTGGGTACATACTCAGAAAAGCCCTGAGAATACATTGGCTTTTCACCTATTCTATGCCTGAACTTCAGGCTCTGCAGAAGCCAGAAGTGAAAGCTAAATCAGGATTGTAAATCACCCAGACATGCCCCCAATACACAGAGTCCATTTGCAAAGACTCAGGATTTTTTTTTCTTTCAGGCATATATGATATTTCTGTTCAATGAGTAGCTGATCATTAAGCTAATGGAACATAAACTACAGTGAACACACATGACAAAAAATACAGACTTTACACAATTGGTTCAAAAAAGTCACTAAACAAACGACTACTACACCAAGAAGCAGTATGATCCTGGGAAGAAAGAAAAACTGATTTATAGAGCTGTTACATGATAATACTCAAAATGTCCAATCTTTAACAACAAAAAAAATCACAAGGCATAAAAAGAAATTTTTTAAAAGTACGGTCCATACATAAGGAAAAAAGCAAGTAATTAATAACAGCTGTCCCTGAGGAAGTCCAGACATAAAACTTACTAGAAAAATACTTATATCAGTTATTTAAAATATGCTAAAAAAGCTAAAGGAAAGCATATATAAGGAACTAGAGAGAAGTCCTAGACAGAACAATTAAGCAAGAGAAAGAAATAAAGGGCATCCAAACTGGAAAAGAGGAAGACAAACTATCTCTGTTTGCTGATGATCTTAACCTCGAAAACTCTAGAAGACCCCTCCAAAAGACCCCTAGATCTGAAAAATGAATTCTGTAAAGTCTCAGGTTACAAAATCAATGTAAACAAGACAGTAGCACTGCTATACACCAACAACAATCAAGCTGAGAATCAAATCAAGAACTCAATTCCTTTTACAACAGCTACAAAAAATAAAATAAAATATCCAAGGAAGTGAACGATTTCTACAAAGAGAACTACAAAGCATGGCTGAAAGCAATCAGAAGGTACAAGCTAATGGAAATACATCCCATGCTCATAGATTGGAAGAATCCATATCGCGAAACTGACTATACTGTCCAAAGCAACCTACAGATTCAATGCAATTCCTATCAAAATATCAACATCATTTTTCACAGAAGTAGAAAAGAAATTGCAAAGTAAATATGGAACCAAAAAACAGCCTGAACAGTCAAAACAATCCTAAGCAAAAAGAGCAAATCTGGGGGCATCACATTACCTGACTTCAAATTACAGTACAAGTTTATAGTAACCAAAACAGCATGGTAATAGTATAAAAGTAAATAGATAGACAAATGGAACAGAATAGAGAACCTAGAAATGCAGGCAAATACTAACAACCAAGTAAGTGATCCTTGACAAAGCATGCAAAAACATAAATTGGGGGAAAGGACATCTTATTTAATAAATGGTGCTGGGAGAATTGGATAACCACATGTAGAAGAGTGAAACTAGATCCTTGTCTCTCACCATATACAAAACTTAACTCAGGATGAATTAAAGACTTAAATCTAAGCCCTGAAACCATAAAAATTCTAGAAGAAAACCTAGGTAAGACTCCCCTGTACATTGACATAGACAAAAATTTTATGACTAAAACCCCAAAAGGAAATGCAACAAAAATTAATAAATAAATGAGATCTAATTAAATCTAAAAACTTCTGCACAGCAAAATAAATAATCATCAGAGTGAACAGATACTTCCTCTATGCATCTGACAAAACACTTATATCCAGAATCTATGAGAAACTCAAGCAAATAAGCAAGAAAAAAACCAAATAATCTCATTTAAAAGTGGACCAGTGACGTGAATAGACATTTCTCAAAAGAAGATGTACAAATGGCCAATAAACATATGAAAAAGTGCTCAACATCGCTAATCATCAGGTAAATGTAAATTAAAACCACAATGAGCTATCACCTGACCGCAGCCAGAATGGCCATTACTAAGAAGTCAAAAACAATAGATGTTGGCATGGATGTGGTGAGAAGGGAATGCTTATATACTGCTGGTGGGATGGTAAATTAGTACAACGTCTATTGAAAACAGTATAGAGATTTCTCAAAGAACTATTTAGTGAAAGTAGATCTACCATTTTATCCCGCAATTCTACTACTGGGTATCTCTCAAAGGAAAAGAAGTCATTATATCAAAAAGACACCTGCACACAAATGTTTATTGTAGCACAATTCAACATTGCAAAGATATGAAATCAACCTAAGTGCCCATTAGTCAATGAATGGATAAAGAAAATGTGGTACTTATACACCATGGAATATTACTCAGCCATGAAAAAGAATGAAATAATGTATTTTGCAGCAACTTGGATGGAACTGAAGGTCATTATGCTAAGTAAAGTAACTCTGAAATGGAAAAACAAATATAGTATGTTCTCACTTATTAGTGGGAGCAAAGCTATGAGTACCAAAAGGCACAAAGAGTGGTATAATGGACACTGGAAACTCAGAAGTGGGGGAGGGTGAAAGGAAGGTGAAGAATGAAAAACTACATATTGGGCACAATGTACACTACTCAAGTGATGGGTGCAAGAAAATCTCAGATTTTCTCACTATACAATTCATCCATGTAATCAAAACCACTGTACCCCTAATTACAATTCAAAAAAATTTCAATAAAAACTAAAGGAAAATACGAGAAATATGTTTCACCAAATAAAGCACATTAAAAAGATACAAATTACAGAAAAACAGTTGAGAATTACAATAACTGAAATTTAAAAATCCATTAGAGGGTCTAAGTATCAGGTCTGAGCAAAGAGAAGAAAGAATCAGTGAACTTAAAAATGAGTCAATTGAGATTATCCAGTCTGAGGAATAGAAAGAAAAAATAAAGAAAAACAGAGCCTCAGAAAAATGGGGGACTCCATCAAGTGTACTAACTATACATAATGAGAGTTCCACAAGTAGAGAAGATAAAGATGCAGAAAGAATATTTAAATAAATCATAGAAAGAAACTTGTCAGATATGATTTTTTAAAAATTAGAATACACATTTAAGAAGCTCAACAAATTCCAAGTAAGATAAATACAAAGAGGTCTATGCTGAAACACATTGTACTTAAACTATCAAAAGGCAAAGATAAAGGGAGAATCTAGAAACTGTCAAGACAGAAACAACTCATCACACACAAGTTATTCTTAACTAGATTAACAACTCATCATTTCTCATCAGAAACCATGGAGGCCACAGGTGTTGGCATGAGATATTAAAAATATTGAAAGAAAAACAACCATTCAACCAAAAATTCTATATCCAGCAAAACTATCCTTCAAAAATGAAAGAAATTAAGACACTCCAAGATTTTTAAACAAACAAAACAAGAATTTGTTGTTAGCAGTCCCACTATAGTGTTTCTTGTAAACATTAAGGGAAATTTTCTAGGTTGAAAGCATATAACTGCAGACAGTAATTCAAATATACCAGAATTTAAGAAAAAAAACAATAGTCTATGTTCTTATGTAATTACAAAAAAGGTATAAATTAACATTCCATCTCTTAACTAATTTAAAAGCAATTGTATAAGACTATATGTATATAATTGTATTGTTAGACCTACAAAATATAGAAATGTAATATATTTGACAATAACTGCACAAAGGATATAGGTGGGAAAAACTTTGTACTGGAGTAAGAAAGTAGTACCAGAGGGTAAAGTTCATCTACGGAAAGTGAAAAGAACTAGAAATAATAAATTAGAAGGCTAATATAACAAACTCTACAAATATATGCTTGCTGTCCTTTACTCGGCTTCTGTTAGTAGGCATACAATCATATAAAGTAATAATTATAACAATGTATTACAAGGTTTGCAACAAACGTAGAAATAATAGCACAAAAAAGGAAAGAAAGATTAGAGTTATATGAAAGTAAAAACTGTTTATCTCACTGGAATTAAGTTAGTAAAAGTTAAAATGTATATGGTAACCCACAGAGTAGCCACAAAAAACTCTCAAAAAAACACAGAGAAAACATTATTAAAGGAAGTAAAATTCTGTGCTAGAAAATAAGACTCTGTCCCTAAAATAAAAAAGAAAAATTCACTTAATGCAAAAACACACTAAATGAGGAATAGATCAACAAAAAGATATGAAGCAGAAAATAAAAGTACAATGGCAAACATACATTCAACTACACCAATAATGACGTTAAATTTAAATGAATAGAACTATGCAATCAAAATTCAGAGCTTTCAGGCTGAATTAAAATAAAGATCCAACTATATGTTGCCTAAATAAGACATGTATACATCAAAGATACAGATAGAGTAAAAGAAAAAATATGGAAAATGATATACATATATGCATACAGCAATGATAAGAAAGCTGGAGTGGCTATACTAACATCAGAAAAATAGACATTAAAATAAGAAAACTGTTCTAGATATATAGAGGGACATTCTACAATGTTAAAATGATAAATCCTTCAGGAAAATATAACAATTATAAACATATATTGTCCTGGCAACTGAGCCACAAAATGCATAAAGTACTGACAGAATTTAAGAGAGAAAAGCCAGGCATGGTGGTTCATTCCTGTAATCTGAACACTTTGGGAGGCTCAAGCAAGAGGATCACTTGAGCCCAGGAGTCTGAGACCAGCCTGGGCAACACAGTGAGACCTCATCTCTAAAATAAAATAAAAAAAATTTTTGTAAATGAATTTAAGGGAAAATAAACAATTCAATGAAAACAGCTGAAGACTTCAATACTCCACTTTCAATAATGAATGGAATAACTAGAAGATCAACAAAAAAACAGAAGACTTGAACAACATGGTATACCCAGCAGACCTAATGACATTACAAACACTCCACCCAATAACATCAAAATACACATTTTTCTGAAGAGTACATGAAAGAGTCTATGGAATAGACCATACACTTGGCCATAAAATAAGCATCAGTATATTTAAAAGGTTGGAAACCAAACCAGGTATGTTCTCTAATCACAATAGGATATAATTAGGAATTGATAACAGCAAGAATATTGGAAATTTACAAGTAAGTGAAAATTAACATGGTAAAGAAAGATTGGTTTAACATTTAAAAATTTATGTAATACATCATTTCAATAGACTTAAGTATGTAAACTACATGAACTCAATAGGCACAGAAAATTATTGAACAAAATTCAACACCCCTTTATAATTAAAAAAGAAGCAAGTGAACAAAAACCCTCAATGAACTAGGAATAGAAAGGAACTTCCTAAATGTGATAAAGAGCACCTACAAAAAATATTTGCATTAGCAACATACTTAATAATGAAAGACTGAATGTTTTTCCATAAGATCAAGGACAAGGCAAGGATGTTCACTGCTGACATTTATATTCATACTGTATTGGGTATCCAGGGCAATTAGTGAAGAAAAAGCACAAAAGGCACCCAGAATGGAAAGAAAGAAAGAGAAAACATGAACTTTGTATAGAAAAACATCCTGAAATATACACTGAAAATTTATTAGAATTAATTTATTAGTCTGTTCTCACACTGCTAATAAAGATATACCTGAGACTGGGTAATTTATAAAGGAAAGAGGTTTAATTGACTCACAGGTCCACATGGCTGGGGAAGCCTCACACTCATGGGGAAGGCAAAGGAGGAGCAAAGTCACATCTTACATGGTGGCAGGCAAAGGAGCTTGTGCAGGGGAACTCCCCTTTATAAAACCATCAGATCTCCTGAGACTTATTCACTGCCACAAAAACAGCACGGGAAAGACATGCCCTCATGATTCAATTACCTCCTAATGGGTCCCTCTCATGACATGTGGGAATTATGGGAGCTACAATTCAAGATGAGATTTGGGTGGGGACATAACCAAACTGTATCAATTAATAAATCAATTCAAAAAGCTACAGGGTATAAGAAAATCAATATGCAAAAATTAATTATATGCAGTAGCAATTAATATATCAAAAAATAAATTAATGAAACAATTTCATTTGCAGTAGCATGAAAGGGGATAAAATGCTTTAGAATAGATTTATGAAATGAAATGTAAAACTTATGCTTTTAAAACTTAAAAACATTGTTGAAAGAAATTAAAGATCTAAATAAACACAAAAACATCCCTTGTTCATGTATTAAAAAGTTTAATATTGTTAAGACAATAACAGTCCCCAAATTGATTTACAGATTTAATGCAAGCCATGTCAAAATTTCAGCTGACTTTTTGTGGGAATATAAGTTAATCCTAAAATTTATATGAAAATTCAAGAGACCCAAAATAGCCAGAATATCTTGAAAAAGATAGAACAGCATTAGAGGACTCATGCTTCCAGATTCCAAAACTTACAACAAAGGTATAGTAATCAAGACAATATGGTACTGGCATAACAATAGACATATAGATCAATGGGACCGAATGGAGAGTTCAAAAATTAAACTTCTCATATTCAGCCAATTGATTTTTTAAAGGATGCCAAAACAAATCAATGGAAGGTAGACTTTTCCACAAATTATGCTGGAACAACAGGATACTCACATGCAAAAGAATGCAGCTGTACCCCTACTTCACACCATATACAAAAGTTAACTCAAAATAAATCAAAGCCCTAATGTAAAGCTAAGATTATAAACTCTTAGAAGAAAACAGATGTAAATCTTCATGACCATAGATTAGGCAATGATTTCTTACATATGTCAACAAATGCAAAAGAAACAAAAGAAAAATAGATAAAATGCACTTTGTCCAAGTTAAGAACCCTTTTAAGAACACCATCCATGAAGAGAAAATCAACCCATAGAGTGGGAAAAAAATTTAAGAATCTGATATCTGATAAGAGATGAAAATGTTGAATTTGAAATGAGCCTTGTGCTCCTAACAGAGTGATTAGGAAATACCCCCACCTTTTTGTGTTCCATGAAATAGCTTATTGCAAAGAATTACCCTTTCCCATATGATTTAGATAAGACTCAAAGATAACCTCCTTCTTTACCTATAATGAAGCCAGACACAGACCTTCAAGATTCCCGTTCTTTTTCTCATAAATTATTACTTGACTTGTTTGTCCACACTGAGCAATCTGGATATAATGCTCACTAACTTGACTGGACTAAAATTTAATTAGGCTTCTCTTCTTTCCCAAAGCCCCTGGATCTTGACTTATTCCTGAGCTAAAACAATCACTGCAACAAAGAACATCCCTTCTGAGAATTGCCTGTCTTACTAATGTCCAGACTTGCAATTTTTTCTTTGACTGATACTCATATCTAGAATATACAAAGAATTTATACAACTCAATAATTAAAAGACAAAGAGTCTAATTTTTAAAATAGAGTCTAAAAAGACATGTCTACAAAGAAGATATATAAACAGCCAATAAGCACATGAAAAGATACTTGGCATCAATAGTTACCAGGGAAATATAATCAAAACCATGACGAGATACTTTTTCTTACCCTCTAGAATGGCTAGAATCAAGGAGTCAGTTAATATATGTTGGTGAAGACACAAAGAAATCTAAATAACCATACAATGCTAGTGGGAATGTAAAATGGTATAGCCACATTGGAAGAAGGTCTGGTTGTTCCTTAAAAACTTAAACATGTAGCTACCATATAACCCAGGAATTCCAATCCTAAATGCATACCTAATATAGATGAAAGTGTATGTCCACAGGGAAATGCAAAAGTTTATAGCAGCATTATTTATGATAGCTAAAAAGTGGAAACACCCAAATGTTCATCAACAGATTAATGAATAAATTAAATATATCCACACAATGGACTATTATTCAGAAATTAAACAAAATGAAGAACTGATACATGCAACAATACAGATCAACATTGAAAACATTACATTATGGTAAGTGGAAGAAGCCAGTCACCAAGAGTCACATACTGTATGATTTCATTTATATAAAGTGTCCAGAGAAGGCAAATCTACAGAGACAGGAAGATGAGGGATTACCTGTGGCTGGAGGTGAAGGAAGCATGGGTGGGGAAGATGAGAGAGATAAGGATTGTCTGATGTGGGTACAGGGTTTACTTCTATGTTGATTAAAATGTTCTACATTCGAATATGGTGGTAGATGCACAACTCTGTGAATATGCGATAACCCACTGAATTGTAGACTTTAAACAGGTAAATTTTATGGTGTGAATTATATCTTTATAAAGTTTAAAATAATTTTTTTAAAAAAAGAAAAAAATAGAAAATGATGTACCATGCAGTCAATAAACAAAAGAAAGCTGGAGTGGCTTTATTAATATCAGACAAAATAGACATTAGAAGAATAAATAGTACCAGAAATAAATACAGGCATAATATAATTATAAAAAAGGGCAATTTACTAAGAAAATATAACAATCTTGAATATGCATGTACCTAACAACAAAGCTTCAAAACACTGGAGCAAAAACTTAAATAACTGAAAGATGAATTAAATAAATCTACAATTATATTCACAGACTTTAGCATTTTCTCCTACAATGTCTAGTGAAGTGTGCCTGTTTGTTTCATTTCTTACATTAGGGGAAATCTTTCACTATTTCACTACTAAGTTTAATGTTTGCAGGAAATAGCTTTTACCAGATAAAGAAGTTTTATTCTGTTTGTAGTCAGTTGAGAGCTTTTTTTCCCCATAAATGGGTGTTTAATTTTATTTTTCTGCATTTATTGAAATGAAGATATAAATTTTCCCATATTTCTGTACATAATATACATTTTAGTGATCAATTCTTTAAAATTTTAAATCCATGAAATAAAACCCAATGAGTGATTTTCCTTTTTTATACATTTCTAAACTCAATCTGGTCTTATTTAGAAATTTTCCATCCATGTTCATGAGGAATAAGTCTGTATTTTCCTTTCATATACTGTTCTTGCCAGATCTTCTATCAAAGTCATGCTGGCCTCATAAAAAGAATAAGAAGTATTTCCTCATTTTCTACTGTTTGGAAGAGTTTGTATAAGAGTAGTGTTATTTTTTTTCCTTAAACATTTGGAAGCATTCACCAGTGAAGTCAATTATGACTGGAATATTCTTTGTGGAAAGAGATTTAATTCAATGTATTTAATGAACAAGGGATTGAAGTAAAGAAACTGTAATCTTTTTTTTTTTTTTTTTTTTTTTTTTGAGACAGAGTCTCACGCTGTCACCAGACTGGAGTGCAGTGGCATGATCTCTGCTCACTGCAACCTCCAACTCTGGTTCAAGCGATTCTCCTGCTTCAGCCTCCCAAGTAGCTGGGATTACAGGCATGAGCCACTGTGCCCAGCCAGAAACTGTAGTCTTTTTGTAGATAGCCCAGCTAATTTTTGTATTTTTAGTAGAGAAGGGGTTTCACCATGTTGGTCAGGATGGTCTCGATCTCCTGTCCTCATGATCTGCCCGCTTTAGCCTCCCAAAGTGCTGGGATTACAGGCGTGAGCCACCATGTCTGGTCAGAAACTGTAGTCTTTTTGTAGATAATGCTAGCTTTGGTTGACATTATGTGGTATAAAATGGGTTTTAATCCCAACCTCACACCATGTTCAAAAATTTGTATGATGCATAAGAGACCTAACTGTCTAAGGCAAAACAATGAACCTTTTAGATACATCTTAAATAACAAGATTCAGAAAATATGATTAAGTATAGAGTTTATTTGAGCCCAAAGCTTGAGGATGGACACCTGGGAGCATAGATTCAAGTTGCCCTGAATATACAGTCTCATTAGCAGCACTTACAAGTGAGTTTTTAAGGAAAAAGAAGAGGAAGTTCCTAAGTTCGTTACCAAGAATTTGCATTTAAATAACATGAGCTATTGATTGGCTATATATTGCTCTTTGTATAACAAATTCCAGGAACATGAATATAATGTATGAGGCAGCTACTGAGAAACAAAATGCCTTTAAACAATTGCCCCAGACAGGGGTGCAGGGGCCATGACTGAAGTTCCATCCTCAGGTGTCTGTGGGCCTGATAAATTTTGCACACTTTACATATCTCAGAATGCTCTGAGCTATTTTCCCTTTCTCATTTTCCCCCTTTTCATCAACATCTTTTGATGAAAGCCTTGTAGATACACTCAAAAGGCTTTGGCTTCTTTTATATTTAGGAGGTTAGCTCCACATCACTAGGAAGATTCATTTCCTAATGGCCCTATCCCACCTTGGGGGAAGAGGATGTGCCTCAGGGAGGAATTTTAACAGCACTAAGTGATGCCATTTGTTGAATCATCTCTAGTCTTCAAACTACCATGAATTTCACCATCTTCAAAGAAATGAAACAATGAAAGAGATACAGTAAAAATACAATATACATAGAATTACAATCAAAAAGAGAATTTGGATGTCAGAATAAAACAAACAAACAAACTTATTCTATTGGGCAGCCAACTCCACCCACCACACTGGCTAAAAAGAAAAAGGCAAAAAATAACCAAGTATCAGTATGGCACAACCAGATCTCTCACATACTGACTTAATTAGAATAGTCCTTAGTAAAATGCAAATTAAAATAATATATTATTTTTACCCATGCACTTCTCAAAAACTACATTTGTATAACCATTTTAAGAAACTCTCTCAGGATCTACAAAAACTGAGCATAAAGCTGATCTTCATCATTCACGAATTTCTTATTTGCAAATTGTCAACTCACTAAAATTTCTTTGTAATTCCAAAACTCAATACTTTCACTTGCATTCATGGATATGCACAGAGCAGCAAAGAATTTGAGTCACCTGATATGCATCTTCCCAGCTTAGGTCAAACAAGGTGACTCTCTGCCTTTTTGTTTCAACTCTCATTTTGTAAACAAGTATCTTTTTTATGGTCTACTTGGTGTCATCGTTTTTTACTTTTGGGTGCTCCTGGTGAATGATTTTGGTGTTTAACATGCTCCCAAGCACAGTAGTGACGTGCTGTCTAGGGGTTTGAAGCATAAGAGAGCTGTGGTGTGTCTCCCAAAGAAAATATGTGTGTTAGAGAAGCTTTGTTCAGGTATGGATTACAGCACTGTTGGTGGTGGGTTCAATGTTAATGAATCAAGAGTATATATTAAATAAGATGTCTTTAAATAGAAGCACACAAAACAGGGTTATGTATTGATCTGTTGATGAAAACGTTTTGAAAAGAGGCTCACAGGAACCTAACCCTGTAACTTCCCTAAGAGCAAATGCTCTGTGTTTGCTAATTCAGCGTTTGTGGTGACTTCGAGATGTAGACTCTGTGAATAGTGAGAATTGACTTATGTACCCTGCTTTGCAACAATTCCATGCCTAGTCACATACCTAAAATAGATAAGTACCTATATTCCCCCGGAAGAGAAAAACAGAAGACAGTAGCATTGTTTGCAATTACCTTAAACAGAAAATTTCCTCAGAGGCCCATCAGCAGTAAAATAATTTTGGTATATTCTCAGTAAGAATAAATAAACTTCAGCAACACAGAATATGGAAATGTCTTACAAACAATAGGTTTAGTGAAAGCAGCCAGGCACAAAAGAGTACATATTGCATGATTCCATTTATACAAAGTTAAAAATAAGGGTGAAATTAATTTGTGATGTTAGAAGTTAAGACAGTACTTACCTGTGGGTAGATGGGGGAGTGTTAGTGATGGAGGGAAGAATGAGGAGCTTCAAGATGCTACCAACATTCTGGTTTATGATTGAGTGCTGGTTACATGGAGTGTCAAATATTTTGAAATTATTTTATGAGTCAACGAACAATTGCAATGGACACTTTCCTCCCTCAAGACCAAAAGAATTATGAGGATTTAGCTAGTTTCACTGTTTCATGACCCTGTGTTATTATTTTCCACACTTCAACACTTTCAACATGGCTATCCATCTCCCACAGGAAAGGACTTTCTCAGTGTAGGGAGGGAAAAAGTAATTTTTTCCTTCCACCAATCTTAGGTTCATTGGCTGGGCCTCTGTAACAAAAGACAGATTAGCAAGAGAAAA
Source organism: Homo sapiens (assembly GCF_000001405.40). NCBI lineage: Eukaryota > Metazoa > Chordata > Mammalia > Primates > Hominidae > Homo > Homo sapiens. Next base: position 5,066,137 of record NC_000001.11, read on the forward strand.
TCAAACAGAAGTTTATTAACACATATAATTCATATATACATGGGAGATACCCAGGGAATGAGTCATTCTCAAAGAAATGGCTTAACACTGTATTAAATAACATCCTTGGCCAAGAATAAGACATTTTTAGAGAAGTGATGAGACCCAGGAATAGGACTTTGGGTGCCTAGGGGGTGGCAAAATGTGGAAGGCAAATAGAGGGTAGATAAAGCCTGGTTAATAAAGCTTGTTAGGTAGAATCCTCTGGTGCTGCCTCCAGGTTGACGAGGGTCTGAAATGGTTTGGCTGTGTCCCCACCAAAATCTCAACTTGAGTTGTATCTCCCAGGATTCCCACGGTTGTGGGAGGGACCCAGGGGGAGGTAATTGAATCATGGGGGCTGGTCTTTCCTGTGCTATTCTCGTGATAGTGAATAAGTTTCACGAGATCTGATGGATTTATCAGGGGTTTCTGCTTTTGCTTCTTCCTCATTCTTTCTTTCTGCCACCATGTAAGAATTGCCTTTAGCCCTCGGCCATGATTGTGAAATCTTCCCCAGCCATGTGGAACTGTAGAGTCCAATTAAACCTCTTTTTCTTCCCAGTCTTGGGTATGTCTTTATCAGCAGTGTGAAAATGGACTAATACAGGGTCTAAAGTATTCAGTGGTTGATCTTTGTTCATACTGATAGGGGGAAGTAGCAGACATCTTTATATATTTATGTCCTGCTTTTAGGCAAATAGCGGGAGGGCAGAGAGTTTGTCTGCTTCTTCTCAATTGTCTTCAGCTCAGAAAAATGCTATGCCAAGGTGGAATATTTTGCGAGTGGCGTATTCTGGTCACCTACGCCAGGCTGGTCCATGCCTGGAACTGACTACTCAGGGTATTTGTTTTTTGTAGCTGAGGTGGCTCTTGAAAATGGTCCAATCTACATTGAAGATGTTAATGATAGCCATGACATCCTCCAGCAGAGGTAAATTTATCACCTGGAATCATGGGCTGGCAGAATGGGGCAGGTAAGATGCTTAATCTTTCATAAGCTCTAATAGCTCTCTCTGTATAATTTCTCATTGCTACTTTCCAGTAAATTTTGTCAGAAAATGCATTCAGCAGTCTCATTATGGATACTTCTTTAGTGTGTGATAAATGATACACTAACAGGTACCCTTGGCTTCTTGATGAACTGAATATGGTTGAGGGGACTAAAAGATGGAAATAATTAGGCCCACCCAAGGACCAGAGAATAAAAAGTCACAAGGTCTTTAGTCTTCCCCGATTAGCTCTAGAAACACCATGGAATGTTCATATGCATGAAGACAAATGCCTTTGGCATGTTGACATAGGTGTCATGTTTCACAGTCACTCTCAGGACCTATTCATGAATCCAGACTGTCTTAGGGCAAGAACTTTTCCTGGTTTTCTCACCAGTGTATCTCCAAAGCCTTGAACAGAATCTGACACATGGCAGGTGCTTCATCAATTGCTTTTAACTCTACCCAAAGAAAGGAAAAAATATATTGACCATTCCAACCTAAAAGGAATGTTAACATACTGTCAGAAACACAGATATGTAGAATCAAGAACTGGCAATAAGCCCAGTTGTCCAATTCAAACCTACCTGTGGACAGACTCCAACATAAGAACTTGGATTTGATGAGTCACAAAAGCAAAAACATTTAATTCTTCTCAGGAAAGGATGCTCTCTGTTCATTCAAAATCAGAATTAAGCATCTCACTTTTTGTTGTTGTTGTTGAACTTCACGTTTCTCTGTTTAGGCAGGCCCACAAACCCCTGCCAATTGATCTACAATTGAGTTTCATGTACTACCCAGAACAGATATATTGAAGATGCCCATCAAAACCTGGCAATTAAAAACAGAACTGCCAATGTGGATCAATATGCTCAGTCAATTAGCTTGTTTATTCAACTGCCTTTACTGAGAGCTCCTCAACATCAAAGACCATTGAAGTTAATAAAATACAAATACAATATATTGTATGTCAGGCTGTCAATTGCCACTTTGATGTGATAATCGTTTCTAGTAAGGAAATTATCCTTTACCTGGAGGAAGAAGGAGAAAGATAAACACTGGGAAGAACTTTTAAACAATAGAAAAAACACTGCACTAACTTAGATCTGTTCTACATCCTAGCTGTTGTCTGTTTGATTTCTCTATGCAAAACATGCTCTCAATTGGTTGTCCAGGTGTAAAAGGCTAAATAGTTCCACAGGCACTGGTCACACAAATTTGGCTGGGGAGAAACAACAGCCATTAAGCCAAAAACAAACCAAAATAATTATATCTTACAAAGATAATGTGTTTAGTCTGTTCTCATGCTGCTAATAAAGACATACCTGAGACTAGGTAATTGATAAAGGAAAGAGGTTTAATTGACTCACAGGTCAGCATGGTTGGGGAGGCCTCACAATCATGGCAGGAGGTGAAAGAGGAGCAAAGTCATGTCTTACGTGGGTGGCATGCAAGACAGAGCATGTGCAGGGGAACTCCCCTTTATAAAACCATCAGATCTCGTGAGACTTATTCACTATCATGAGAACAGCATGGAAAAGACCTGCCCCCCATGATTCAATTACCTCCCACTGGGTCTCTCCCATGACACATGGGAATTATGGGAGCTACAATTCAAGATGAGATTTGGGTGGGGATACAGCCAAACCGTATAGATGATATCAAGCATCAAAGGACAAAATTACAACAAATTTAGTTTAAAGATCTCAACTGGCTTTATTGCAATTCTAGAATCAGGTAATATGTTATTCCATAAAATTGAATAAGTGTTCAGATGAGCTGAGCAGAGGGTGTTTGTTTTACAGACAGAAAGGGATGAAGAAAGCAGAAAGGAAGAACAAAAAGCAGATTGGTCATTTCAAAGTTACTTTCTCTGTAAAGCAGGGACAGGGAGACAGAACAATAGAGAAATGACGGATCAGTTCACATCAAGTGACTTCAGGCTACCTTTTGTTATAAGAATTAAAACAAAGGGAATTTCATTTTCATGCTGATTGAAGATTGAAACTGGCTTGTTTGGAAATTGGCTGTCATCTCTTTTTCCCAATTTCTTGGAAGGTCAGACGACATTTTAGTTTCAGCTTGGCGACTTGGAACTTTAGCGTGGGTGACTCCATTTTGATTTAGTCAGATCTGTTGGGGCCTCATGCAGGAGCTTAGTCTAAAACATGGCCTTTTAAATGTTTTATTTAACACAAGTAAAACTTGGAAATAAGGCACAAAGAAGAGCAGCACACCTTTTCAATGTCATCTTGGAGTATTGCTTAGCACGTTCTCCCAATGACATTTTATCATGCTCTTCTGTCCAATAGTATAGCTACCAGACACATGTGGCTATTTAAAATCAAGTTTTAATTAATTAATTAATTAATTAATTAACAATTAATTAAATTCATATAATTAAAATCCACTTTCCAAGTCACACTAGGCCACATTTCAAGTGACACATAAAGTTATTGAACAAGTAACTACCACATTACACAACACAGACAAAGAACACTTCCAGCACCACAGAAAATTCTATTGAATAGTGCTGGTTTCTAGGGGAATATTTGTGATTGACTTTGCTCACTTACAGGGAAGCTACATCTTAACTTGTAGATTTCTGTTGTGTATCTCTAACCCCAAAGGTAATGGTTTTATTGTCCTATAGCACATTAACTGGTTTTGTTTTTAACTTTTTTGTTGGCCAGTAAAATTCCTGCTCCTTCGGTGCTATTCAAGTCAGCTTTATCGTCATCTTAATTTCCTCTATAATTAAAGAATCAAATAAAATCCTTAATATGTGTTTATTTTATTTTGGTATAAGGCTCATGTCTCAACTTTTTAAAAATTATACATGAACAGTAGGAATTCAAAGATCAATATCTTGATAGGTCAGGGTGGGCATAAATGCACAAGTGTATACATTATTTTTAAGGGAGGAGGGCTTCCAAATTTTTGGAGTCAAATGCTGGGAGTCAAATGCTGGGAGTCAGTGTATATATTAAACATAAATGCCAAGAAAATGTTTCAGTCACACTTGCCTAAAGATGTGAGGGAAATGGAAATGTAAGCCTATGCCTTTCCCGTCACGATCCCATTCATGAAGTGATTCCAGTTCTCTCTGGCAATTCCAGAATTCATGGCCCATCAATATTCCTGAAGCAATTTGTGTCCTAATTTACAATGACAGGACATTAGCTATGCACATTCAAAGCATACAGCCATGTCTCTCTATATACAAAGATGCCAATTAATTTTGAGCCTTCACTTCCAGGTACTGACAAAGATTCCCTGCTTAGGCAAAATGTAGTCAAGCTCCTGAACCTTCTCCTAGGCCCATCTGTGCACTTCCTTGGAAAACCCAGTTTTGGCAAAGAACTCTGCTAAATCAGTTTAGCCAAGAACCACCACCCTCATCCTGACCATCCTCGATACCTGATCAGACTCCTAATACTCCACCATCCCCAGGTTGTAGCTGATCACCCTGGCCTGCCTTCAGAGAGAATCCTGTTAGGTGGATTTAGCCAGAATCTGCCTCACCCCTGATGTTTCTTTTTAATAATTTTCTTTTTTCTTCTTTTACTTATTTTTATTTTTGAGACAGAGTCTCACTCTGTCACCCAGGCTGGAGTGCAACGGTACAATCTCAGCTCACTGCAACCTCCGCCTCCCAGGTTCAAGCAATTCTTCTGCCTCAGCCTCCCAAGTAGCTGGGACTACAGGCATGTGCCACCATGCACAGCTAATTTTTGTATTTTTATTAGAGACAGGGTTTCACCATGTTGGCCAGGCTTGTCTTCAACTCCTGACCTCAGGTGATCCACCTGCCTCGGCCTCCCAAAGTGCTGGGATTACAGGCATAAATAATTTTCTGTCTATGGACCCCATCCTGCTCCTTGGCTATGAATCCCCACTTACCCAAGCTGCATTAGGAGTGTAGCCCACTCTCTCCCTGCACTGCAAGACTCCATCATAGTGGTCCCTACATCTATTGCAATGGTCCTGAATATAAAGTCTTCCTTATCAGGCTTTAACAAGTAGCACTGAATAATTTTTTCTTTACCAGTTATAGTGCCATAAGTAGGATAGAATCAGATTTATTATTCCACACCTGGGGCTCTTACTCAGGACCCCAGGTTCAGGCCTTCAAGGCCTTTATCATCTTTCCTGGTTAACTGATGAGAGATCCATTGGTGAGTCTGACTCCTGAAACATTTTTCCAGACAAACATCTATTGAAGCTGGTGAGGACAGATTTTTCTTCTTAAGCCATGGGTGTAACTCTCTGATGCTGGATTAGAGTCCCAGGCTTCTTTTGAAAGGTGCCTCATGGGCTGGTGGTCCTCCTTCCTGGCTCTGTGGGGCCTCTTTATTCTCTCTACACTCCGCGTTCTCTCTACTGAATCCTGCTTTTCCCATGGGAACTTCTCCATCACTTGAATAATCAAATTTCTTTATCAGTTGTATCATCTACTTGAAACCCTGTTGGCTCTACACTCTGCTAACTCTGGACCCCTTCCCTCCCTGCTTCAGCCCCTCGGCCATTTGAATTTTAAGCCTCCTATCCTCACATTTCAGCACCTCAGGGGACTCAGAGTTCCCTTAAAAGCAAGCTGAAGGCTGAAAAGAGAGAAATAAAAAAAGAACTATTTGGAAACTTGAAAAATAAAAAATCTGAAAGACATTCACAAATACTGGTAAAAAGCTTCAGCCCTTACTCAGTAGGTAACCTCAACTTGTCTCATTTGCAAAAAAAACACAATTTGGATAACTATATAAAGTGGAGATAAACCAGTGAGTTTATATTTTTCTGTTTTACTGTTTCATGGCTAAAATTTTTTAAATTAAAAGCTGTAAGATCTGGTTGGATCTATCTGTATGTGTATTTATTTGTGCACGTATGTATGTTTGTTTGTATGTTATGCATACATATTTTTTTTATCTCTGATGGTATTACCAAACTCACTTTCAGAAAAACAGAAATCAGCCCAACTGTTTTTTAAGTTAATGTGATCAGGGATAATCTCTGATAAATAAAAGCCAGTTTAAAAATCGTTGGTAAGATAAAAATACAAATGTCTTGAGAATTGTCAGCATACTGGGTTTGTTTGTTTGTTTGTTTGTTTGTTTTTGTTTGTTTGTTTTGGCCAGGCCTTGCTGGTCACATAGGTTTGTGTTGCCTGTGATAGATGTTTGAGGCCATAAAACCGTCAATCGCACCTGAGAGCAGACTGCACAATAAAAGTGAATTGCATAATTGCCTGAAACACGTCAGTTGTAAAAGTTGAAAAAAAGAGAGAGTCTGTGAAAATGTTGTGAAAATCTTGTGTCATCAAAGCTGATTGAGATTGCATAAATGTATTTATACTATTTTAATAAAAATTAGTTTTAATAGTGGATTGATACAAAAGTAGAATCTGGTCTTCTCTGTTAAAATGACAAAGTTTTCTTGAAGTATGTGGGTGAGAATATCCAGGTTTTTTTTTTTTTTCTTTTAAGTAATTGGCCTAGGAAGCAAAGATTTTGTGTTTTATCAAGAAAATTTCTTGAATTTGATGTATTTTATTAGGTCTTCAATTATGTAAGAAAACTGAGTCTTCTCAAAACTAAAACAGCTCATGGTTTAAATCACAACTGTGTAACTTTCTGTATTTGCTTTTGGAATCTTTTATTGTCACTTTGATTAAATATATAACCAAAATAAATTCAATTGTTTAAACCCTTTTGAGCTTTTGATACATTTCCAAAATAAAATTTTATATTGCGTCTTTTTGACCTTTAACTTCGAGATTTCCAGGTGAGTCCCTGGAGAGCTCGAAGAATGCGACTCTTAACTTCCAAATAAAGGTATTAAACTAATAAGGTTAATTTGATTTCTAAATTCTATGGGAATCATTGTTAAATAAGAAATTGTGTAATCCTTCATTGACTTAAAATTTTATGGATATGTTGTAAATACATGTCCCAGAAATTATATACAATTGTTAAACATTTTATATTCTAGAACTCTGATATGTTATTGGTCAAAATCTTGATATTATATTAAAATGTTGTTTGCCACAGAAATAATCAAATTTCCTGATCAGTTGCATGATTATTATACGAGCTCTCATCAGACTTTAAACTATGGTAGTTTTAAGTTTCTGTCATTCATAGACAGATATTATTTTACTTTACTTTTTCTCTAGAAGTGTTTGCAGTTAGCAATAGTTCAAAATTGCTTTCTCATTGAGGAGATTCATTAAAAAAGACTTTTGCAAGTACTCTGGATTACAGATTTCTAACAACTTTAAGATAATACTTTTGGACTGGATAAAGAATTTTCAGAACTCTAATTAAACTGACGACTTCATGAAACTGCTATCCTAAGATCAAGCAGAATAAGAATTAATCACATGAGGGCCGGTCACGGTGGCTCACGCCTGTAATCCGAGCACTTTGGGAAGCCAAGGCAGGTGGATCACGAGGTCAGGGGTTCGAGACCAGCCTGACCAACATGGTGAAACCCCGTCTCTACTAAAAATACAAAAATTAGCTGGGTGTGGTGGCGGGCACCTGTAATCCCAGCTACTCAGGAGGCTGAGGCAGGAGAATTGTTTGAACCCAGGAGGCAGAGGTTGCAGTGAGCCGAGATCACGCCACTGCACTCCAGCCTGGGTGACAGAGCGAGACTCCGTCTCAAAAAAAAAAAAAAAAAAAATTAATCATGTGAGACTGAATGAACTCATAAGGGTAATTTTTAAATGATTTTTTTATTTAAATATTGCCAACTTTTAAAATGTTTTGTTTTCTAGATTTTAGGAAACATTTTTAAGCTATCTCTAGTTTACAGCAACTTGGTAATGTTTACTTTTGTGAACAAAAATTGAAGCACATTTTCCCTGGTGATCCCTCCAGACTTTGAAAACTATTCGTAAATATTTTTATTTTTATAATAATATAGTTGTGCAAATAACTACAAATTCAGTAAGAATCAGTTGTCCTTATAACAGGACATAATTGGAAACACTTGCTGTATTACCAAGGCTATGACTAGAATATCATATTTTCAGATATTATCAGATAGATTTTAAAAACTGAGATTGGCTTTATAGAGCCAATAAAGCCCCCTTTGGAAAAACTGGTCTGAGAGTTCTCAGACTTACAGGTGATTAAAACATGTTAATTCTTGGAAGGCCTAGTAATCCTGGGAAATTTTGAGGACCTTATGAAGAAAGGAATTCACTCAAATCCGTGTTACGGTTGCAGCCTGATAGTAAGTTCTTGATATTGCTTCTTAGTCTTAAAAGTCTTTTCTTGTTTTTGCAAGAAAAGACTCAGATTAAACTTTTATTTCTTATTAAAAGTTCCAGAAAAGCAAACTGAAAAAGAGTCTATATGGTCAGTCACTAATCTTGCTGCACTTACATAAATATTCAGGCCAAGTTTAATGAGACCAAACTTATTTTGCAAACCGATTAGTCTTACTTTGATTATCTTTGATAGAAACTGGGTGACTCTACAGAGAAAAAAAAGTATGTTCTAGAAGAAAACTATAGTTCACTCAATATTAGGTTCTAGCTCTGTTTGTTTTCTTTGAGGTTTTATTATCTATCTTCATTCTGAACTGGATTCTATGTTCTAATTTCTTTCAATATCTGACTATGATTCTCCAAGCTAGTATCTCCAATTTTCTTTCAACCTTCTGGCTTCGAATCACTAAAATTAAACTGCTTTTTACCCTGAAGCTCTGCCAGTTGAAGTTGGACATGTGGATGTAAACTTCAGAGAAACCACCACCAGAGCTAATGTACGGACAATCTTCCTCACATCCAAACCGCACACCAGGAAAATCTTTCAGATTGCCACTGCCTGTCCTCACTTCAACTGAAGATGCTTAAAACCCAGCATCTAGAAATCTTCTTGACTGGCTGCCCTCTGGACTCAGAAACCAAGTTTATAATTTGTTCCAGCTATTAGTCTTTGGTTTTGTGTCTATTTTCTTAGAAACTAAACTCCCTTCATTGAAGTCCTATGTCTCCTACCATGCAGGAGATCTCCTCAGCTGCCGAGTGCCAGTGGATGATTCAGCCGGTCATTAATGAACAAATGGCAACTGAACAAGAAAGTGGACTTACACTGTTCAGAGAAAAAAAGGATGTGTCTTCTTCCTTTGAACAAGAATCAGGACTGACTCTTTGCTTAACCAAACTTTAGTCAGGCTCCTGAGCCTTCAGCCTATCTGTGCACTTCCTAATAAAATCCAGTTTTAGCTATATATGTATATATATATAATGTAATATATAATATTATATACTATAATACATATTATATATAATATTATATACTATATATTACTATATTATTATATTATATATAATTAAACTATATTATAGTATATAATATATAATATATACTATATGTAATATTACTATGATACTGATATTATATTATATATAATTAAATTATATTATATTAATATATAAATTATATATAATACATAATATATAAATTATATTATATTATTTATATATAATGTATGCCATATAATTTATATATAATGCATTATATATAATTTATATATAATGCATTAAATATAAATTATATATAATGCATTATATATAATTATATATAATGCATTATATATAATTTATATTTAATATATAAATTTATATTTAATATATTTATATATTATATATAATAAATTATATATAATATGTAAATATAATCTATATAAAATATATAGATTATATGTATATCTATGTATAACCAAAGAAAAATGAGTCATAAACCTGGAAAACGGTTGTCCTGGGATGGATGGCACTCTAGTCACACAGACCAACCTGCACCAGTTAAAAGGAAGTCTATCTATAGATATATCTATATATAGCTCTATATAAATAGAAATATCTATATATATCTCTATATATTATAGATACATCTATCTCTGTATATAGAGATATATATCCAGTTTTAGCTCTCTCGATAGATAGATAGATAGATAGATAGATAGATAGATAGATAGACAGACAGACAGATAGATTTAAAAAAACCTTTCTAAGTCAGTTTAGCGTAGACCCCCGCCCTTGATATCTGATCAGTTTCCTCATCCTCCACCCCCCCAGGTGACATCTGATCACCTGGCTTGTCTTCAGCAAGAATCCTGTTAATTGGGTTTAGCCAGAGTCCCCCTACCCCTGATGTTTCCTCCTAGTCATTTTCCATCCACTGACTCCTACTCTGCTCTTCGGCTATAAATTCCCTCTGGCATGGGCTGTGTTCAGAGTTGAGTCCAATCTCTCTCCCACGGCAAGACTGCATTGCAGTAGTCTTTGTACCTTTCATGATCATCCTGAACAAAGTCTTTCTTATTGTGTTTTAACAAGTATCATTGAATAATTTTGTTCTTTAACAGTACCTTGATTTACTCTGAAATCTGGTATATACAAAAGAATAACATACTTACGGGGGAAGTTGACCTGAGACCAAAATAGCCGCCCTCCTCCCGCCCCCCGTGACCCCCAAACCAGGTTGAAGAATGCAGTAGATTTATTTGTAACCCTTGTGGGAGGACTAAATAAGTGTTATTTGTCATGCTTATGTTGCTGCTGTTGTTCTAAACAGCTCTAGAATCTCAAAACAGAGACCTCCCTACCAGGTCACAATATCATAGTTAACATCTTTTAGATTCCCATAGTCTTTGGAGTGGTCCAAAGATTCTTGTGCCCAGCTTCTAGTTCACAAGCTTTCCTTATTCACCAGCACAGACCACCCTGTCATCTAAGCAGCAGGTTATAAAAGGAACCACTTTATCCTCCCATATGCTGTACATTTTTCCTATGTCCCCATTTTTATTACTTTTAATCCCAATTCTCTGAGACAAGTCTGAACATTTCCATTAGAGTAAGTGGGAAAATGAAACATTTATATAAAGTCACACAGCTGGGAAGTGTCTGATCTGGGCTCTATATCCAGGTCTGCCTGATCGTAAAGCCAGTGCTCTTTGATGCTGTTCTAAACTCTGCACTGTGAAGTTCAGAAGTCAGAAGAGCGCACCTGAGGCAGACACTGGGCAGGAAGATAGACCTTTACTCCTTTCTGGGCCTCTGTACTTCCTCCAGGTTCACTGCCAGCTCCACCAACCTTTGCCAGGGCACTTCATTTCCTAGGGGTCTTTTTTTCTTTCCATCTCTACCTGTATTTATTCTTCCCAAGTCATCTCTCCCTCCAAAGCCACAACAGCACCTTTAGCTGCCGAGTGCTCACTCCACTGAACCCAGTTTGCTGTACTCAATCGGGACAAAACATCATTGTATGTATGTAAGTGCCACCAAGTAAGATGTGGGGCGATGTTTTCCAGAAATGCACCAGTCACAGTCCATTTAGTGCCAGGGAAATCAAGTTTGAAGGCGCTGTAATTATCATTATTGACTTTGGATGGTTCTGTGCTGCTATATGCAAAATCTGTAATTTCCTTGACAATATGGCAGAACATGGTATGGAACCCTCACTCTCCTAATCCTACAACAGGGGGGAAAAAAAAAAAGACAATGCCAGCCAAGCTGGCAGATGAGACTCTTCCTTTTCTGCAGCTCTCTCTACCCTTTCTAGCTAATGCTCTGCCCTATGAACAATGCTATGCAGCTGGATGGGTGGGGGCTACAAACAGCCATAGAGGAAACAGACAAATAAAATCTGGTGGCCACCCACCCAACAGCATTCATGAAGGGTCTGCAGTTTCCACGTGGGTCTTTCAGCGCTTCATTTGGTCATCAGGAATTCAGTTTCTTTCTCTGATAACATGAAAGAAGTCAAACATTACAGAAATCAAATGCAAGGCTATTATGGGTTGAATTATGTCCCTCAAGAAAAGACAAAAATGCAGCACCTTGGAATGTGATTTTATTTGGAAACAGGATCTTTACAGATAGAATCAAGTCAAAATGAGGGCCTTTATCCACCATAACTGGTGTCTTTATAAAAGGGAACTTTGAACACAGAGACAGATGTGCACGGAGGAAAGATGATGCAAAAAGACATAGGGAGAAGACAGCCATGGAAACACACAAGCAGATATCAAGGTGATGTTCCAACAAGCTAAAGAAAGCAAAGATCGCCGGCCACCACTAGCAGCTGGGGAGAGGCACGGACAGATTCAACCTGCTGCCAATGCCTTGATGTTGGACTTCTGCCTCTGGAACTCAGAGAGAATAAATTTCTGTTGTTTAAGCCACTCTAACTGTGGTGTTTTTTGTTATGGCAGCCAAGGAAGCTTATGTGAGAATCTCCCAAAAAAAGGGTGGGTATGAAGAAAGAATTTTAATAAATATGTATGATGCATTTTGGTGATTTGAAAAGGCAGCCATATTTGTCTAGAAAACCCTTTCCCTGGGCAATTGGTATCATCACTGGTGTGGAAAAAAATGAGTCATAAACCTGGAAAACGGTGGTCCTGGGATGGATGGCACTCTAGTCACACAGACCAACCTGCACCAGCCAAAAGCAAGTCTGTGATCAGAGCCTGGACGGCATCAGCCAAACCTGCCCTCTAGCAACAGTGACCACAACAGTCTCCTGAAATGCTAATTATCCTTCCTTCTGAGAACCTTTTTTAAAAAACTATTAGTGGCTAAATAAATTGAAGATGAAGGATAATTTGGCTTATTTATTTTTAGAATACTGTCTTCTTTAACCTATCTTATGAGCCTTCATTTAAATAATCAATCCAAGCTTCCCCCAATGGCACATTTTCCATTCTGTAGCGATACGTGTAATGAATCCCCATGCCACAGAGAGATGGCAATGACCCTGTGGGTGTCTCCACTCTGCATCCAACTCACTATTGCCCATTGTCTCTACCTCTCTGGGGGGCGAGGTCCCTGGAGACACCCCTCCTGTGGAGTCTCTGTCTGTCTTTGGGGGACAGAGATGTGTCTTATGGATCACTCAGCTTTGTTTGTACTCTGGGAAGTTGCACTAGAACCTCTTTCCAATGAGTCTTAATCAGTCATTTCTTGTTGCTTCTTGTAACGTCACTGAATTATAACAGAAGTGTTAATGTAAGTACAGGTTCCCTCTCAGTGATTCTGCCAAGGCTTTGCTTGCTCAGCGAGCTGGTATCCTCTGGCTCCTTGACTCTTTTCCTCCTGTCTCCTAGAGATTTGCTGCCTGCCTTGCAGATAAGGGAGTTTTTGTGGATGCTTTTTGAACGAGAGTATGTACAGTGTTGTCTTCCAGGTGTCTCTGGAGTTCTTCCATGGCACATTCTGCATCCAAAAGCACCGGATTCCTGCAAAGGACTCACCTCAGGGGCAGATCAGAATATTCCAGTCCAAATCATCAGGATTTCAAGTGTGGTTTGTGTTTTATGGATGCCTTCTCTACCCTTCTTCCATTACCCATTAACATATTTTGTGGCTCCCCAAGGATGAAGAAATACAGAACAGAAATAAAAATATCGAGCCCAATGACCTGCCTTCAAACTATTGGTAATGCAATGCTATTGCTGGAGAACAAAACATGCCACCCCCAAAACAAATATGACTAAAAAGCTACCCTTTTGCAAGAGAGATTTACATCTGTAAAATAAATCTCCTTTTGGAAGGGTGTCTCCCTCTCTGCACCAGGGAGAGAATTGCTAGGTTGACCCCCATATCACTAAAGAGCCTTCATCAATGAAGAAGGCATCGACTTAAATCTATATAACAAGGCTTAGCTTTGTTTAAGGTCCTTTTCCTGCCTTTTTCTTTTCTTTTCTTTTCTTTTTCTTTTCTCTCTTTTTTTTTTTAAACAGAGGTGGGGTCTCACTACATTGGCCAGGCTGGCCTCAAATTCCTGGGCTCAAGTGATCCTCCTGCCTCAGGCTCTTGAGTCACTGGGATTATAGACATGAGCCACCACACCCAGTTCCATAATCCCCATTTAACTAGTGAGGAAACCGAGACACAAATCAGGCAAGACACCTGTTTTGTTTGGACACACACAGCCAGGTGGTGGTTGAGCTGAACATGCTCGTTTGAACCAGGCTGTTTCCCACACTCACATTTGTCACCCTCCGTGATGATTTGACATACTGAGTCTCTCCAAGAAAGTCCCCAGTGGGAGGTACTATGCCTTTAACACGCTAGAGCAGCCTCAACAAGCTTCACCTGGGACAGGCTAAAGCATCTATGGAGAATTCATTAACATTGTTTCCTTTGTATTGACTGTTATTACAGTAACCTTTGAATCACCCAAAAGGATACTGGATTTCCATTCACAGTAATGTTACAATGTATCCCATAAGATGAATGGAGTCCCATCTAAGATTTTTACCAGTGGACTCAAGGGCTGCAACATACTTACGAGATCCCTCAGCAAGCAACCTATATATCCAACAAAAGGGGATTGATCAAGTGAATACTGGGCTATCCATGAAGTGGAATGTTATGCAGCTATACGGAGGGGCAAGAATGCTTCCTAAATGAACTACGAGGGAAACAACAAGATATATAATAAAATGGAAACAAAAGTCAGGGGCAAAATGTGTAGCATATGCTACTGTTGTATGATTTTAAAAAATGAAAAAGGGGGCCTGGTGCCGTGGCTTACGCCTGTAATCCCAGCACTTTGGGAGGCCGAGGCGGGCAGAGCGCCTGAGGTCAGGAGTTCGAGACCAGCCTGGTCAACATGGAGAAACCCCGTCTCTACTAAAAATACAAAAACTAGCCGGGCATGGTGGTGCGTGCCTGTAATCCTGGCTGAGGCAGGAGAATCACTTGAACCCGGCGGTGGAGGTTGCAGTGAGCCGAGATCGTGCCACTGCGCTCCAGCCTGGGCGACAGAGGGAGACTGCGTCTCAGAAAAAAAAAAAAAGTAAAAAGAAAAAGGGGAGAGAGAGAGAGAGAGAGAGTGTGTGTGTGTGAGTGTGTGTAGAAACAGTGGCTGCCTCTGGGAAGAGAAACTGGGTGACAGGACATGGGGAGTGAGGCTTCACATCTTGGTGCCTTTTTTAGATTTAGAACTATTTAAAGATAAATTGAAGTTATCTTAAAAAATAAAATTGCTTAATAAAAAGGAGAGCCGACTAAAGAAAAAGTAAGCTGGGACTGCAGGTGCATGTGAAAGCACCAGGCTTTGGCTATGTCTCTTTAACAGGTCTTTTCTCACATCCTTCTTTCTTTGTTTCAGAGAAGAATGGTATTTAAGCCTGAAGTTTAAACTACCATTTTGAGATCTACCCTAGAGATTTACTCAACTCTCTGGGTTATTTCTCATGTGTACAGAACATATACTTGTACATGCAATTCAACTTCTGTCCATTTTCCTCTTGATAATCTGTTTTATTCTTCCCGGGAGTCTCAGCTAAGAACTCATGAAGTGGAGAATATTATTTTTCCTCACCTACACCATTCGTATGGTTAACAGAAAGTGCTCTTAGAAGATTCCTGTAAATAAATGGATTTCTTAATAGAAATTCAGAGGGACATAGCGGTCTTCATAAAGTGTCCTGAGTGGAAAGAAAATGAGGTCCTCATTATCTAGGAAAACCCAGATGACCTAGAGCTTCTCTCATGAGAAGTGCTCATGGAACAGAGAAGGGATGTTTGTCCCTCCTCCAGGTTCAGCTGGGGAGAACCACACTCCCCCCTCACATCTCCTATGCACACTGGCCCTTTACGGAACATCCTTCCTGCATCCCCACACCACTCTGTGTTGAGGACATCACAACCCACATGCCTGTGACTCCTCCACGTTCCACACGGCATCACACTGAAAGCCCAGTCTGCTTACTAGCATGCCTTGCTAATAAAGAGATGTCGAAAGTTAAATTCTAAAGTTCAACTTTTTTTCTTACATTTTCAATCCTGTGGACAATAAGTAAATCAAGAAAAAAATAGACTTTTCAAAAAAATCAATTCTGAGACTGAGTTTTGATTTCAGAGACAAAGTCCTCATCCTTTGGAGGGTAAGTTTGGTTGTTTTCGAGGTGGAGGCTCGTTGCCTTGCCTTCTTTGCTTTTGGTTTCTCACCTTGTCTGCCCCTGCCCTGCCTCCCATCCATCCTCCTCCATCCTGTGGTCATTGGCTTCCTAACACCAATATTGGATCCTGCTTGAACACCTTAAGGGCCCATTTGCTGCTGTTCTCAGGATAAAGTCTTGAGTCCCCAGCACGGCACTCAAGGCCCTTCATAACTTGGTCACTTGTGCATGGTAAAGTAGTGTGGGGTTTAGAGGAAACACGGTCCACACCAACGTTCTCACTTCTGACACCAATTGCAAATTCAGTAGGTTTCCAAAACCATTCTCAATTTCGATAATTTTTTAGAAGGACTTGCAGAACTTTTCTGCCTCATCTTAGTTCATTCCTCAATAAACCCCGCCCAAAATTATTGGGCTAATTGTCACTGCCTGTACAGTAAATGACTTAACCTTGCCCGAAGAAAGTTCTGGTTTTTGTCCCCAGCTGCTGAGACATGCTGTGTAGGCCCTTGGCATTTCCCTTCTGATAAGGATGTGTCTATTTACCTGGGGCCTTGGCCACTGCGCAGCTTAGCAATGTGCTTTGTGATGAGGGCTTTGGGGCATGCAGTATATACTCCTCTTCTAGAGGGCTGGAGGCTAAAGGTCAGCCATGTGGGCAGCTGTTCATGAAGCCACAATGAGGGTGGACTCCTGACACCAAGGCACAGGTGAGCTTCCCTGTGGAAAATAGTCCAGGTGCATTGTCACATGTCATGGCTTGGAGGAGTTAGCACTGTCCAGGGCTCTATAGGGAGGAGACACCTTGTGTATTCATCTGTTCTCACACTGCTAATAAAGACATACCCGAGACTGAGTAACTTATAAAGGAAAGAAGTTTAATGGACTCACAGTTCCACATGGTTGGGGAGGCCTCACAATCATGGCAGAAGACAAAGGAAGAGGAAAGGCATGTCCTACATGATGGCAGGCAGGAGAGAGTATGTGCAGGGGACCTCCCCTTTATAAAACCATCAGATTTCATGAGAACGTCT
This sequence comes from Homo sapiens, assembly GCF_000001405.40. Classification (NCBI taxonomy): domain Eukaryota; kingdom Metazoa; phylum Chordata; class Mammalia; order Primates; family Hominidae; genus Homo; species Homo sapiens. The sequence goes on from NC_000001.11 coordinate 5,083,106, forward strand.
TACATGATGGCAGGCAAGAGAGAGCGTGTGTAGGGGAGCTCCCCTTTATAAAACCATCAGATTTCGTGAGAACGTCTTCCATGATGGCAGGCAAGAGAGAGCGTGTCCAGGGGAACTCCCCTTCAGAAAACCATCAGATTTCGTGAGACTCGTTCACTATCATGAGAACAACACAGGAAAAACCCACCTCCAAGATTCAATTTCCTCCCACCAGGTGCCTCCTGAGACTCACGGGGATTATTACACTTCAAGATGAGATTTGGGTGGGAACACAGAGCCAAACTATATCATCTGGAAACTATATTTTGAACCTGCCAGACTCTGCCCAGGTGCCTCTTCCCTTGGCTGATTGTAATATGCAGCAGTTTCTCATGATAAACTATAACAGCACCTTTCACTGAGTTCTGCAAGTCCTAAAAAATTATTGAAATTGAGAATGGTTTTGGAAACCTCCTGAATTTGCAATTGGTGTCAGAAGTGAGAATGTTGGTGTGGACTATGTTCCCTCTAAACCCCACACTACCTTACCATGCACAAAAATGACACCACTGTTTCATTCCCGGTATTGTTCTCTCTCTCTCTCTCTCTCTCTCTCTCTCTCTCTCTCGTGCGCGCTCTCTGTCTCTTTCTCTTCTTCTCTCTCTCCTACCCCTTGCTCTCGTCTCTATTCTTCAATTTCAAGGCATAGCTAAGCTGATAGAGTAGAAAGAGCACTGTTCAGGCCTGGGAGTAGATAAATGAGGGGCAATGTCAGTCTGAGTCATAAATGCTTTATAACTTTGGTTTTCTCTTTGGTAATTAAAAAAAAAAAATTGGCCCTGAGCAGTTGATTCTCAGTTGAGTGTCCTATGTGTCAGCATTCTGAGTGAAGGGGCAGAGACCAGCCCAGGTCCTAAAGGGCAAGTCAGGACATGCCCAGTTGACCTTCCTGATTCCACATGGTCCCTTGAAACTATGGCTGAGTTAAGGGATAAAGTGAGGGAGTCCTTCCTCATGATCCCAGAAAAGTTAATATTTTTTTGACAGGGTCTTGCTCTGTTGTCCTGCTGGAGTGCAGTGTCAAGATCATAGCTCACTGCAGCCTCAAACTCCTAGACTCAAGCAATCCTCCTACCTCAGTCTCCCAAGTGGCTGGGACTACAGGCATGCACCACCATGCCCAGATAATTTTTAAAATTTTTTTAGAAATGGGGGTCTCACTATGTTACCCAGGCTAGACTTGAACACCTGGCCTTAAGCAATCCTTCCACCTAAGCCTCCCAAAGTGCTGGGATTACAGGAATGAGCCATTAGTCGAGGAATGTCTGGCCAAAAAAATTTAGTATTTTATTCTCTTCCTTTCACATTCCCATTCACTCAAGATTAATTTTTATTTTTAAAAATTCTGCCTCATAATATGAAATCATTGAATTTCCTACTATTTCCTGCAAGTCAGTTCTGTTTTGTATTTTAAAAAGTGTTTCCTGAAGTCTTATAAAAATACAAAAACAACATGACACTTATCCTTATTTTATTGCTCCCTTTTGGCCAGGTCAAACCGCCCATTGCTTATCTAATGGGAGATACAGCCTTTCCAAATGCCACCTGAAGAATGCTCAGAATAAAGCCAACTCAATGCCCAGGCCAAATACACTGTGTTTATGCAGATGCCCAATTCATGGATCAACAGCTCCTTCTTCACCACACCATCCTTCCTCCCAAGAGGAGAAGCCTAGAATCCATATGTTGGCTCTATCAAAATGCAGATACCACCATATGTCACCAAAGATGGCACTGCAGTTGCCCTTGGCCGAGTTCCTGGTGCTTGCTGGTGGCACATTTTCCAAGCACAGACATTTTCAAATCAACCACTGAGAAGTTTGATGAGCGGCTATGATGCCAACAGAAGATTCAAATTCCAGTCAGGTGTTTGGGGCCAAAACTCGGTGCCTCGTAGCTCCTGTGGCTGAGACCACAAACTGGTTCCATAGGCAATGCAAGTGCTCTGACAGCATCTGAACACACTTACCTTTCAAAACCCGTGGCAGCCTTTCCATGCCTTGGCATGCAAATGAGTCAATGCTATATTTGGTAATGAGTGCCAGTCCTTTTTTGACAGGTTAATTAATATTCATTATTCAACAGAGAAGAAAATGCTGAGTTGTTTATCATTGGTTCATTAGTTTTAGCCAAATAAAGGATAAACATAATTACTCTCATAAACTGCTGTGACAGAGCCTAAAAATTATGAGGCTGAAAATGGATGCCTTCAGGAAAACCCTAAAAGAAATGAGACCCTTGGATCTCAGCAGATGAGTGAGAATAACAGTTCTGGTTTCTACTGGCATGTCCCAACTCCCTCTCTCATTGGACCTGGACAAGATCATTCTCCAAAAATGACTCTGCTCTTGCATTTCTTGTTGCCTTTGTCTTCACTGATGATTTTTGCTGTGAGGTGTTGGGGGCTTGTTACTACTGTGTGGTGCGTGTGCAGGAGTTAAGCCTTCTGTAGGGGCAAGTTCTCTGACTAAGCAAAAGGCTACACCTGACATCATGGAGGTTGGCATGGATGGGTCTCCCTCTGAATTCTAGCTTCCTGACTGTGTTTTTTATGCTAAAGATTTAGCAGGCTTCTCCTCCTGCATTCTCCCTCGCATCCTGTCCTTTCCTCTAGTGTCAGTGCTTTCACCTTCAACAACTCAAGACTTTAGATTCTGCTTCTTAGGGAATCAAACTCAGTCCTCTCTGTATTCACCATTTGTGTCCCTCCCAAAGTCGTGTGTTTAAACTCTAACCCCCATGTGACTATGTTTGGAGATGCAGCCTATAAAAGGTCATTAACGTTAAATGAGTTCATAAGGGTGGAATTAATCCAGTGGAATTAGTGTCCTTAGAAGAAGAGATGCTGGAGCTTGGGCACTCTCTGTAGGTACAAAAAGAAGAGGTCACATGAGCATGCAGCAAGAAGGTGGCTGTCTGTAAGCCAGCAACAGAGCCCTCACCTCTCAGCTGGCACCTGGATCTGAGACTTCCAGCCTCTAAAACGGAGACAATAAATTTCTGTTGTTAACCCATTTCCCATTTGCCCCAAGAATACTGCACTGGCAGCAAGCTGCAATTTTTTTTTTTTTCCCTAAATGGGAAATGGGTTAAGTCACCCAGACTGTGGTGTTTTGTTATGGGCAGCCCAAGCCGACGAATAGACTAACATAGACTAATAGGCTATCCGGAAACTATGGCAACACACACATACAGACACACACACACACACACACACCTTGTCATTTTCACTCCACTGCTCCATCATTGTGTTTTTAGGTAGTTTTGATGACGATGATGGTGATGATGATGAGAATAAAAAGGAAACAAACGTGTTTATGTCAGGTGTCAGGCACTTATTTTCCCTGCAAAGTGCTTGCACATTTATTACCTCATGGGGAGAGCCTGGGTCCAAGCAGCCATGGTTTCGATGAGAAAGTCAGGCTCTGAAATAAGAACTTCAATGAGCAAAACTGTATTTATGTTAATAAAAGGAAAATAAAACTCAAAATCTGTAAATATGTAAACCTCTAGTGATCTTCTCCCTAGTGAATGTAGATGTGATCAAATAAACAAGTCTGTGTGTTTCAGCTCCCTAAGGACAGAACACACTTGCATGGCTGTATTTACTGTTTATATTTAGAACAATGGTTTTAAAGAAATGTAACAGTGCCAATACAGTTTGTTGCAGGTGGGGTTTTCAGAGAGCAGTCACTGAGACTGAGTTTGGGATACTAGATCCCAAAGGAAGGGATGAGAGAGAGAGCAGAACTGAGCAGAGGGGGAAAGGGAACCACCAGGCAGCTCAACGGAGTACTGACCAGGAGCCCTGGAGCAAGTCGCCCAGCAGCGAGTGGCCTCTGTCCCCCTGCCTTGCTCAGTCCCTGGGTGTGGCTGCCCTGGGAAGATGAGACCTGGAGCAGGGCAGTTTGGCTGCTGGGCCTGCCGCTGAAGGAGCTTCAGCCGGGGCCTGTCTGCCAACACACTTCCTGCTGCTCGGCAGCAAAGCCCTCCCAGAATGGAGCCTGGGTGATGCATCTCTGTGTCCACCCCAAGCCTGAAGCTCCCTTGAGACCCTTGCCTGAGCCTATTTCCAAATATGACCACTATATTAGAGTAGGTTTGGATCCTTCTCATCAATGGTTTTATACTTGTACTATAAATTCCTGTATCCATACATATGGCCCAGTTTAGTATGTTTTAGCCATAGAAAAATGTTGTCATCCATTGGCCTAGGCAAAGAATTTATGACTCAGTCCTTAAAAATAAATGAAACAAAAACAAAAATGACAAGTGGGACCTAATTAAACTAAAGAGTTTCCACACAACAAAAGAAACTGTCAACAGAGTAAACAGACAATGGCATGGGAGAAAATATTTGCAAATTATGCATCCAATGAAGAACAAATATCCAGAATCCATGAGGAACTTAAATCCATAAGAAGAAAACAACCCCATTAAAAAGTGGGCAAAGGACATGAACAGACACTTCTCAAAAGAAGATATACAAGTGGCCAACAAACATATGAAGAAATGCTCAACATCACTAATCGTCAGAGAGATGCAAATCAAAACCATGAGATACCGTCTCACACCTGTCAGAGTGGCTTTTATTAAAAAGTCACAAAATAGCAGATGTTGTCAAGGTTGCAGAGAAAAGGGAATGCTAACATACTGTTGGTGGGAATGCCTAATCAGTTCAGCCACTGTGGAAAGCAGTTTAGAGATTTCTCAAGCAACAAAAAAATAGAGTTACCATTCAACCCAACAATCCCATTTCTGGGTATATACCCAAAGGAAAACAAATCATTCTACCAAAAAGTCACCTGCAATTGTAAGTTCATCACAGCATAATTCACAATAGCAAAGACATGGAATCAACCCAGGTGCCCATCAACAGCAGATTAAATAAAGAAAATGTGGTACATATACACCATGGAATACTACACAGCCATAAAAAAGAACAAAGTCAGCCAGCCATGGTGGCTGACACCTGCAATTCCAGCACTTTGGGAGACCAAGGCGGGTGGATCGCCTGAGGTTGGGAGTTCGAGACCAGCCTGAACAATGTGCAGAAACCCCATCTCTACTAAAAATACAAAATTAGCCAGGTGTGGTGGCGCATGCCTGTAATCCCAGCTACTCAGGAGGCTGAAGCAGGAGAATCACTTGAACCCGGGAGGCGGAGGTTGTGGTGAACTGAGATCGCACCATTGTACTGCAGCCTGGGCAACAAGAGTGAAGCTCTGTCTAAAAAAAAAAAAAAAAAAAAGATAAAAGTCATGTCATTTTCAGCAACATGGATGCAGCTGGAGGCTATTATCCTAAGTGAATTAACACAGAAACAGAAAACTAAATACTACATGTTGTCACTTGTAAGTAGAGCTAAACAATGGGACACACATGGACATAAAAATAGAAACTATAGACACCGGGAACTCCAAAAAAGGGAAGAGGGAAAGGGCTGAAAAACTACCTATTGGGTGGTGCTATGTTCATTATATGGGTGACAGGTTTTCAATAGAAGCCCAATGCTTAGCATCATGCAATATACCCTTGTAACAGAGCTGCACATGTACTCCCCAAATCTAAAATTAGAAACAAGATGCTGTCATCATCATAATATATGATATATATGATATATATATTATATATGACATATACAATATATATATAGTTGACCCTTGAACAATAGGGGTTTGAACTACATGGGTCCCCCTGCTGCCTCTGAGGCAGTGAGACCAACTCCTCTTCTTCCTCCTCTTCCTCAGCCTACTCAACATGAAGACAATGAGAATGAAAACCTTTATAATGGTCCACTTCCAGTTAATGAATAGTAAATATGTTTTCTCTCTCTTATGATTTTCTTAATTTTTTTATTTATTTATTTATTTTATTATTATTATACTTTAAGTTTTAGGGTACATGTGCACAACGTGCAGGTTTGTTACATATGTATACATGTGCCATGTTGGTGTGCTGCACCCATTAACTCGTCATTTAGCATTAGGTATATCTCCTAATGCTATCCCTCCCCCTCCCCCCACCCCACAACAGTCCCCGGTGTGTTCTTAATGTTTTTTCTCTAGCTGACTTTATTGTAAGAATACAGTATAGAATACATGTAGCATAAATGTGCTACATGTATTATGTATGGTACATGTGTTATATACATGTATGCTATATGTGTTAATTGACTGTTTATGTTATCAGTAAGGCTTCCAGTAAACAGTAGGCTATTAGTAGCTAAGTTCTGGGGGAGTCAGAAGAAGTTATACATGGATTTTTGGCTAGGCATGGTGGCTCACGCCTGTAATCCCAACACTTTGGGAGGCCAAGACTAGAGTATCGCTTGAGCCCAGAAGTTCAAGACCAGCCTGAGCAACATAGGGAGACTTCTTCTCTACAATGGTGGTGCACATCTGTGGTCCCAGCTACTTGGGAGGCTGGAGGTGGGAAGATCACTTCAGTCCTAGAGATGGAGGCTACAGTGAGCCATTATCATGCCACTGCACTCCAGCCTGGATGACAGAGACATCCTGTCTCAATTTAACAACAAAAAAGTTATACATGGATTTTCAATTGCACAGGGGATTGACACCCCTAACCCTCACATTGTTTAACAGTCAACTGCATATACCATACATGTAAACTACACATATATCATATTTATATATATTTTTTATGCTGAAGCTATATTTTTAAATTCAACATTTTGTTTAAAACATTTGCCTATTCTGATACATGACAATCTTACTCATTACGAATTATTATTAACTAACATATTCTAAATGATGTGAAAAATCTCATTGTGTTTGTATACTGTGATTTATTTCCTCATATCCTTTCCTGGTGTGTGAGCTGTTTCCTGGTTTACTCTTGTAAGCAAAGATTCAGTGAACATGTGCCCTCCTGTGTCCGTGGCTTGAGGGTTTCTCTAGGGCACCAGGACAAATGTCTTCCTTGGCTTTTCTGCATTCCCCTTGAACTTGGTGTGGTATCTGCCTGCAACTCACGCTCCATTATAAACACCAATCCATAATGCCTGGAATGATGCTCTCCTATTTCCTTCCACCGCAGACTCAAACTGCCAGGTCTTGGAAACCAAAAAGATCTCAAGGCAGGCAGGTGGTTGCTATGAGCAGTGCTAAAGGCAGGGTTGCTATTTAACTGGACTGTGTTCATAAACCTGTCTTTTCAGATCAAAAGTTTTTGCTGTAGGGATTCTTCTTTCAAAATGAAGAGACGTAGTATAATATGTATGCAGATGTGGTAAACGAAGAAAAAAGGAACAAAAACTCTAATCTTCTGTTTTTTTATGCAATCAACATAACAATTGTTAAACTTAAAAAAATGAGGAAGTAAGCAAAACAAAAACAAAGCAAAGCCCTATAAGCAACTAAAGCAGATGTTTAGTCACTAAAACTCTGTATTTTAATCAAAGGAGGGTACCTACCTATCTTCATCAAAACGTATTTAACTCGCCTTCTCACTTTGTCTCTCTCTGTGTGTGGGACAAATGCAGACATATTGTGTGAGTACTTAACTTTTAGAAATTCAATGATAGACACCCAACAAAAATAGAGAGAGATGAGAAATGAAAACTAACCATCAAACACCCCCAAGTGATGGAGTCTGTGGGCCAGTCATTCCAGGTAATCTGTGCGCATGGCCCCAGCATGGGCCTGTGATCCAATGATGGGTTCTGTGGGCCAGTCATTCCAGGTAATCTGTGTGCATGGCCCCAGCATGGGCCTGTGATGAGAGGTGGGCATCTGCCCTCCTTTGTGAGGGGTGCAACCTGGTGTGTTACTAAACCTCTTTGTAGTCTCCACCTTTTATCTGAAAATCAGGAATAATAACAGCACTTGTTTCATTGGGCCATTGTAGGGATTACATGAGTAAGAACAGATTCCTCAGGATAGTGTCTCACACATATAAAGTGCTGAATAAATGCTGCAGATGAAGAAGCCACAGTGGCCCTTGAATGCAGCCCTGTTTTAAAGCTGTAATAACTGATGCTAATAATCATGACCTTGGTCCATTGAATAAAAGAAATAACTCTCAGTATTTTCTCAGCATATGCATAGTGAATAAAATATAACTCGATGACAACAAAAATATAGATAGGAATGTATGTAAGTATTACAATATGAACAGCAGTATGCAAACACTAATGACCTTAGCTTATTAAGAAAAAATAATGTTCATAATGTTCAGTGTTTTCTCAGAAAGAAAAATGGTTAATATAATATTTTGAATCATTTTTAATTCCCAAATGCCATAGGAAAATTTTACTCCAAATGCTAGATAAGTTACATAAACTTTTTCCAAAACTGCATTCTACAATACCTTAACAAAATTTCCATGGAAAAGGTATGTTTGTGATAATGTATGGTTGGTCAAGGCTGGCTTAAAGTGAGCTAAACAGGGATTTTCTCTTTTTGTAATGATGGAACTGGAAACTGGAGTCAATTTTTCTTGCTAAAAATAGAAAATCTGGGAAAATATTAACAGAAGAGTTTGAACTAACAATACAGTGAGGAATTATGGAGAATAAAATTTAGAGAAGGAAAGAAACCCATAGAAGTAAGCTTGGCATTTAGAATTCCTTTTTCACAAGTGGTGTCTGCCCATTTGGAAGAGGTAGTTGAGACATTAAGAAGCTGAACAGCATTGTTTAGAGTCACAAGGGAATGGAGAAGCAAAAATCACAGTTGACAGCTCTGAAAAATCAGTTTCTCTACACTCATACAACACTTCTGATATCACATGTGTGGGGTTTTTTCCCTCTCCAGCAGATTCTCTGATATCAGCTAGGTGTCTGACAATTTAATTCATTTCTGAAATTATCTACTTAGAGTTAGCCTCACATACCATGAGTTAAGTGCTCAGTCCCATAAAACTACCTCCCCACTTCAGATGTCAATTGCAAGTCCAGACCTCTCCTACTACTGATCAACCAGCTACAAAATGGGTGACTCCCATGACTCCTTCTTAAGGTTTAATAATTTGCTAGAATAGCTTGCAGAAATCAGGGAAACCATTTATTTACATTTACTGGCTTATGGTAAAGGATACAACTCAGGAACACTTTAGATGGAGGCAATGCAGAGGGCAAGGTATGGTATGGAGAGGGTATATGTATGAAGCTTTCATGCTTTCTCTGGGCATGACACCCCCAAGCACCAACCCAGAAGCTTACCAAAATCTCCTTGTTCAAGAGTTTTTATAGAGCTTAGTCTCCAGTACCCTCTTCCTTCCCAGAAGGTGATGGGTGGGGCTGAAAGTTTTACCCCTCTAATTACATGCTCTTTCTACTAACCAGCCCCATGCTGAGGCTATCTAGGGGTCATAGCATAAGTCACCTCATTAGCATAAACTCAGGTAATCCAAAGGAGTTCATCATGAGGAACAAGACATTTTTATCACTCAGGAAATTCCAAGGGTTTAAAAACTCTGTGCTAGGAACCAGGGACAAAAAAAACAAAAACAGAACAAAAACACACAAATATATTTCTTCTTATTATAACACAGGCTCCACTCTGGGGAGCCCTTGGAAATCCATCTCCTTGGTATTGAGACCCTGTAGGACTATAGGCTATTAATAGCAGTAAGGCTGGGTTGTAAGTAAGTTATCTCTCTCAGGGACTAAGCCTTGCTTTTCATCATGTTCAGACTCTAAAATTGGATTGTGTTAAACCTTAATTACTAGTGTCCCAAACTGCTTACCAGAAATAGTGTATATCTTTGTGGAGGAAATTAGCATCATCTAAGGCCACAAATTATGTCTACAAAGTTTTGGGGCACAATTCTTAACTCTTAATAGTAATAATAAAAACTGAGTTGAGAAAAAACCTGGACAACATTAAAATAAAAACCAAGAGAAACAACAGATATAAGAAATAGACCCATAAGGGAACCTGGAAAGGAAGTACCAGATACTGACCTATAACTGTAATTATTAGTTCAAGAAATAAAACAGCAAGATTGAGCATTTTTGACAAAGAAATGAAAACCATAAGAAAGAATCAAATGGAAACTTAAAAATACAATGATCAATATTAAAAACTCAATGGATGATGTCAGAAATCGATTAAACACAACTGAAAAGAGAACCAGAGCTTTGGAAAATTGGTCAGAAGAAAATATCCAGAGAACCAGAGTTTTGGAAAATTGGTCAGAAGAAAATATCCAGAATGAAATGTGAAGAGTGACAAAAGGAATGAAAACACAAAACAGAGGCTAAGGGATATAAAAAAGCACTTATAATTATCTGAAACTGGAGCCCCAGAGCAAGAAAAGGGGCAGCATGGATTAGAAGCAATATTTGGAAAGATCTTCTGAGAATGTCATAGGACTAATGAAAGACATCAAGCCATAAATCCATGAAGCCCTAAAAATAAATAAAAGTAACAGCAGAATAAATAAAAATGAAATGACACATAGGTGTATCAGGATAAAGCTACTGGAATCAAAAAACAAAGAACAAAAAAACCCTCTAAAAACAAGCTAGAAAAAAGGAAACACATTACATTTAAAGCAGTCAAAATTAGACTGACAGCTAATATCACAGAAGAAACTATCATAGAAGACAATGCAATGACACATTCATCCAATGTGCTGACAAAAAAGTGTAAACCTAAGATTCTATGAGGAGTGAGAATATTTTCAAGAATGAAGAAATTTTATGCAAATAAAAATCATAAAATTTTGATTAAGGCCTGATAAAGGCCTTAATCAAAGGAAACACTAAGATGAAGATACATGTGTATATATATAATTAAAATGCACAGAGATAATAGCATATAATTCAGGAGAAGAACTAATGAAGTTAAAGTATTATTAGAGTTTTGCATTGTCCAAGAAGAGATAAAAGTACAAACTAATAATTAAACTTTGATAAGACAAGGATGCAGATTATATTCTTTAATTAACCAGTTAAAGAACAGTAAGATATTTGTAACAACTTAGCAAAACGGGGGAGGGAAGAAAGAAATTTAAAAAAATCTTAACAAATCCAAAGGAAGATGAAAAAGGGCAGACAAAGAAACATAGCTAGCTGGAACAATAGAAAAGAGCTAATAATATGATTAATTTAAAACCTAATTATCTGTTTTACATTAAACGTAAATGGACTACATAAATAGCAACGTGCTACTTAGAGAATAATACATCAGTACAATATGATCAATAAAGTATGATTTTCATACTTTACTGATAAAATATGAAATCAATAAAGTATGACTACAGAAAGTTTGAAAGTAAAAGTATAAAAATTAACCAGGCAAGATTAACAAAAGAAAACTTGGGTAGCTATATTAATAAAAGAAAAGTAAATTTAAAGTCAAAAGACATTGTTAGAGATACAAAGACATTTTATTATGAGAAAAGCATCAATTTTTAATGAAAGTGTGAAGCTTACAAAATTCTATCACTTATGAATAAGCTTCAAAGCAAAATAAATAGAACTATAAAAAATTCAGAAATGTATAATCACCTTGAGAAACTGTGGAACAACTTTTTCAGTAACTCAAAGAAGAAGAAAGGATAGAAAGAGCCAAGACACTTTTGAAGAAGGCCAAGGTAGGGACATTGCTTTACTATATACAAAGACTTATAAAGTTACCATGATTAAGACAGTGTGGAACTGGCCCAAGACCAGTGAAGCAGAGTGGAATGCAGGAAGAGATTATGCATGTATGGACACTTAATTTATGAAAAAAGGTAGCATTGCAGAACAGTGGCAGAAAATAATTTTTTTCAACAAATTGTGTTGAGTCAAATGGATTTGTATTTGGAAAAAAATAAGTAAAATGTAATCCACATATCATGCCATAAAAAAATTCCATTCAGTTGGATTATAGGTCTAAATGTGAAAGGTAAAATAATAAAACTCTGGAAAATAAAGTTAGGAAATATTCATTAACTTGGAATAAGAACACCGTCTTAAATCTGACACAAATGCATTAAACATAAAGAGAATGAATGAAAATGAACTATATTAAAATTAAGAAGTTTTGTTCATCCAAAAATATTGTAAAGAGAGTGAAACAAGCCACAGACAATATAAAGGACCCTTTAATATTAATATAAAAATAAAGCCAGGCAACCGAAATAAAAAGGTGCAAAATACTTGCATAGATATGTCATTAAGAAAAAATCCAAGGGTTGGAAACATTGGAAAAGGTGTTTGACTTCACAAGACATCAGAGAAATGAAGATTAAAACCATAATGTGACACTACTTCACACCTGCCAGAATAACTAAAATTAAAATTTCTGACAATACCAACTCAAATTCTCATACACTACAGGTGGAGGTGTAAACTAGTATAGCCACTTTAGAAAACTGTTTAACATTACCTATTTAAGTCATATGTATGTGATATTCTAACAATTTCTCTTTTAGATATACACAGTACAGAAATACATTCACAAGCTTAGCACAAGACATCTACATGAATGTTCACAGAAGTACTATTTATAAGAGCCTCTAAAGGGAAGCAATCCAAAAGAGTATTGGTGTTAGAATGGACAATTAAATTAGAATAATTAGAGAATGAAATACTCTATAGCGAAGACAATGAACAATCCAAACTTCATCCAACACATGAACGGATCTTACAAACATGATGTTGAATGAGGGAGGCTAAACACAAAGGAAAATATACTTCACGGTTTCATTTATATAAAGTTCAAAACTGAAAAGCTGCACTAAGGTGTTAGAAATGGGAAAAATGCTACTCGGAAGGCTGAGGCAGGAGAATGGCGTGAACCTGGGAGGCGGAGCTTGCAGTGAGCCGAGATCACGCCACTGCACTCCAGCCTGGGCGACAGAGCGAGACTCCATCTCAAAAAAAAAAAAAAAAAAGAAAGAAAGAAAGAAATGGGAAAAATGGTTATCTTGGGAGAGAAAAGAGGAGATGAGATATTGGTGGGAGGAAGTGTGAGGAAGCAACTGAACACTTCGATTTGTATTTGGAAAAAAATAAGTAAAATGTAATCCACATATCATGCCATAAAAATTACTTTCAGGTGGATTATAGATCTGAATGTGAAAGGTAAAATAATAAAACTCTGGAAAATAATGTTAGGAAATATTCATTAACTTGGGATAGAGAACACTGTCTTAAATCTGACACAAATGCATTAAACATAAAGAGAACATAGTGAGCCCTGAGATAGCCTCACGATGTGGGGCTGCGTGTCAGGGGAACCAATCATGTGCTTAGAGACTTGGAACTTTCAGTCTCAATCCTCCCCCAAGCTCCTGAGAGAGGAGAGAGGCTGAAGGTCAAGCTGATCATCAGTGGCCAACAATGTAATCAATCATGCCTACCCTACATTATGAAACCTCCATAAAAACCCAAAAGGAAAGGATTCAGGTGAGGTTCTGAGTAGCTGAACCCATGAAGGTCCTTGGAGGGTGAAGCGCCCCAGAAAGTGCATTGATACCCCATGCCGCTCCCTATACCACGCCTGGTGCATCACTCTGCTTGTTCATCTGCATCCTATGTCTTATCCTTTATGATAAATGGATAAAAGTAAGTAAAGCATTGCCCTGAGTTATGTGAGCTGCTCTAGCAAATTAATCAAACCTGAGGAGGGGGTTATGGGAACCCCAGTTTATAGCCAGTCACTCAGAAGTATAGGTGACAACTTTTTATACTGCCTGTGATTGGCATTTCGAGTGGGGGCAACCTTATAAAATTGAGCCCTTGACCTATGAGACCTGACACTATCTCCAGGGAGATAGTGTCAGAATTGAATTATGGAGCACCCAGCAGATGTCTGCTTGAGAATTGCTTGCTTGGTGTGTAGAGAAAACTCTCCACACATCTAGTGTTAGAAGCATTGTGTAGAACGGTGTGTGAGAGTAGAGAATAGAAGAAGCACTTTGTTTTTTCCCTATTCTTAATATAGTTATTCTTAGGACTCAAGGACAAACCTTATTTGATAAATGTAAGGCAGCCTTAATAAAATGGACTTTGTCTTCAAGGTTAATAGGTACAGTGGCATTACTGATAAGCCAACCTTTAATAGTTAGGATGCAGCCTTGGCTGCTGTTACAAAAAGACCCAAAATAAGAGTGGTGTATTAGTCTGTTCTCACATTGCTATAAAGAACTACCTGAGACTGGGTAATTCACAAATAAAAGAGGTTTAGGGCAGGCATAGTGATTCGTGCCTGTAATCTCAGCACTTTGGGCGGCTGAGGCAGGCAAATCACCTGAGATCAGGGGTTTGAGACCAGCCTGGCTAACACGGTGAAACCCCATCTCTACTAAAAAAAAAAAAAAAAAAAAATACAAAAAAAATTAGCTAGGTGTGGCGGACACCTGCAATCCCAGCTACTCAAGAGGCTGAGGCAGGAGAATCACATGAACCTGGGAGGCGGAATTTGCAGTGGGCCGAGACTGCGCCGTTGCACTCCAGCCTGGGTAACAAGAGCGAAACTATGTCTCAAAAAAAAAGAAAAAAGAAAAGAGGTTTAATTGAGAGTTCCACAGGCTGTAGAGGAAACATGACTGGGGAGGCCTCCGGAAACTTGCAATCATGGCGGAAGGTGAAGGGGAAGGAGGCACGTTTCATGTGGCCGGAGAAGGAGGAAAAGAGAGTGAAGGAGGAGGTCCTGCACACTTTTAAACAACCAGATCTTGTGAGAACTCACTCACTATCACGAGAAGAGCAAGGGGAAATCCACCCCCATGATCCAGTCACCTCCCACGAGGCCCCTTCTCTATCACTGGAGATTACAATCTGACATGAGGTTTGGGTGAGTACACAGACCCAAACCATATCAGTGTGCTTAAATAAGACAGCACATTTTTCTCAAGTTCTAATTGCAGCCCAGGGGTGGTCCCACTATTATCAAGGGTGCAGGCTCTTTCTGTCTCATTCCATCATCCTTTCCACCCTTTCCAGATAAGTGTGGAGCCTCCTACCCTTTCTGGGGTGCTCCACCCTCCAGTGACCTCTGTGATTTCAGCCGTTCAGCTTCTCGTGATTCAGGATGGCTGCTGGAAATTGACCCATGACCCACCCACATTCCAGCTAGTGGGGTTAGGGAAAAGGGACAACATGGGAG
Organism: Homo sapiens; assembly: GCF_000001405.40. Taxonomy (NCBI): domain Eukaryota; kingdom Metazoa; phylum Chordata; class Mammalia; order Primates; family Hominidae; genus Homo; species Homo sapiens. The sequence goes on from NC_000001.11 coordinate 5,098,213, forward strand.
GGTGTTCCCCTTATTTTTATGGCACAAGCTAGAATTGGCATCCATATTGCCGCTTACTCACCATTGGTCAGGACTTGGTCACATGGTCACACCTAGCTGCCGCACAGGCTGGAAACAGTGTGCCCCTGCCGAGCTAATATATAGGTTTCTTTTAAGACAGAAAGAAAAAAGCATAGATATAGGGGGCTGACGGGAGGTCTTTGATCCTTCAATAAATACCTCTTTCCTTCACTAAATACCTCTGGAAGGAGTGTTAAAAGATGTCCCATTTAGGCTGGGCGCGGTGGCTCACGCCTGTAATCCCAGCACTTTGGGAGGCCGAGGCGGGTGGATCACGAGGACAGAAGATCAAGACCATCCTGGCTAACACGGTGAAACTCCATCTCCACTAAAAATACAAAAAAATTAACCAGGCGTGGTGGTGGGCACCTGTAGTCCCAGCTACTCAGGAGGCTGAGGCAGGAGAGTGGCGTGAACCCGGGAGGCAGAGCTTGCAGTGAGCCGAGATCGCACCACTGCACTCCAGCCTGGGTGACAGAGTGAGACTCCGTCTCAAAAAAAGAAAAAAAAAGATATCCCATTTAGCTGGCATATTATATGAAAAAAATCAATGATAAAGTATAGGAAAATTAGGACCTAGATAAAAGTAAAAAGACTTCCAAGAGAGGACCAATGATTTCCAGATTCTGTGGCATTCAATCAATGAGATTCCTGTTATTTCTGTGTTTTAGAAGACAGACAATCTGTAGAATGTTCCATTTTTTACACAACACCCAAGCAGCTGATTCACAAGAAAAGTGCTGGAGAGAGCATTCTGACCAGATGGCCGATACGTGTTGCTTGCCTGTTTGTGCAAAACAGTTCAGTGTATTAGAAACAGCAGGAGCTTCGGGGTCAGAAAGACTGGGGTGTGCACTATGGCTTTGTCACTTTTGAGACGAGTGACTCTGCACAATCTGATAGTCAAAACCAAAGCCCACCAATGTCTGGCTTTTCCTTTGAGTCCTTTTAATGGTATTGGCTGCCTCTTTTGATGAGTCGAATTTCAGTGTATAAATGTTGCCTCTTCTGCTGCAATCCTGCCTCTGCAAGACACCTAATTAACAGCCACATTTTCAAAGGCACCTAACAAAAGCCTCCCTGTGTGTCTCAGCACAAGGACTCTCATTAGTGAAGCTGGGTCGGGTGATTTTTTATACCACTTCTATAATTAAAAATTCTGAAAGCTAATTACAATTATCCATCAGTATTTCAACATGCCGGGGCTGAAGATCTTAACCTTCCTTGAAGCATTGTGCTTCTCTCTCTTCTCATTCTAATCTCCTTTTGGGCCTTTTTGCTTTCCTTTTGAAAACTCTCCAGTCCTCAAAGCCTGACTGTTTGTTTTCTATATGGTTCTTCAAGCTCCCAGCTGTCAGAAGAGCTATTTGTTTGTCATCTTTAAAATGGGAAGGGAAGTGCCAACGATTGCTTCATCCTGATACCTCAGCTATCCACATAAATATTTGCAAGATGGGAGGCTCAGGTTGCAGCCAATGAGCCTGTTCCTGGGTTCAGCTCAACCTGTTCCTCTTGTCCTTCAACTAAAGGGCTCTCCACTGCCACCTGTCAGGGCCTCTAGGTGTCTCTTGTAAACACTGCGTGTAATTAGTAGCCATTAGTTCCAGCAGTGGTTCAAACAGGGAGGAAAACCAAAATATCAGAAGTTCCATTTAATTAAAGTAACTGCATTGAGAGGACTCATCTGACATTGTCTTGCAAGTAATTATTGAACCCTAGGTGCAGCAACATAGAGAAACATCAATATGGAAGAACCTTGTTGGTTACATCATCATCACCATTATGACACACCACTATCATCATAATCACCTCAACACATTGATATTGAAGTCCCTCTCACTGGGTATACAACCTCCACTGTGGGCATGGGAGTTCATGCTGACACCAACACCCTCCAGGCAGGCTGAAGCACCGGCCATATGCTGTTTTACACATGGAAGTGCTTCTGGAAATAGTCCTTTCGATTACATCTCAAACACCCCAAGGAAGCTGATTTTTCCAGGCTTGCAGTGGCTTCTGGTTTAAAACGACATCTGGCAAAAAGCTTCTCACCAAGAGTTTGGACGGCACTAAGCAGGAAGAAAATTCATGCTACCACCAAGAACTGGATTTGATTATCAACATTTTCTAGAATCTGGGGGCAAGTTTCTCTACTTCCAAAGCTAATGATAATGGGTTGGAAAAAATAGTAAATATAGTAAATCAACTTTGCAGGGTCACTAAAAATTAATAAACAAGTCTTATTATTTGAAAGTGACTGGCAACTTTTACATAAATGCCTTCTGCTTTATCAGCTAGAAAATTGGACAGCCATCCCCTTACTGTGGGGGAGCTTCTTTTGTCAGGCATAGAGGTATTTCTACCCTCTCTAGCAAGAACTGAGAGGACAGAAATTAGGTAAGACTGTAGGCAGGGGTCGCTTTGGGAATGGATCCTATATCCTGGCAGGTGTTGACTGCAGGTAACAGGGACAAGAGAAAATTTCATCTCAGCATAGAAGAGCTACTTTACAAGAATGACACTGAGAATTTGACTATAATCTATGTTCATTTTCTCCCCTTCCATCTGTACTTCTTAGGATGAATTCCAAATTACACTTAGGTTGAGAAATAATGGGATCGAAAGCAATGCAACATGTTTGCGTGTGAATATGAAGCCCAGTAAAAATTCTTCTCACTTGAGAATTAGTACACAAATATGAAAAATAGATTTTGATTATAGTTCACAAATGTTCTGTCTTTTCTTGCCATAGGATTTTACCTCTCCATTATGTTTTACTAAGGCATGGTCATTTGACCTCCTCTGGCTAATGGGAGGTGGGCAGAGTGATATGCACCGCTTTTGATTGAAAGCCTTAGGAGTGAGCATGTGACCGCTATGTCATCTATATCATAGAGCCACCATGATGGCCAGAGAGAACCTGCCCTGTTAACTTGGGTTCCAAGGTGACAATGACATGGAACAGTGCCTCAGGTGATTAGGAATAGATGAGTAACATGGGAAGAGATATCCACACTGTATACATTAATCCCCATTAATCATCAACATCATCTGCTCCTGACATCCAACCATCAATATCCTCATGGCCCAAGGACCCAGAATCACCCAGGGCAGATGATCCTTCTTCTGACTGAGCATCAGAAAGTCAACTGTAGCCTAACACAACATCACAATGCCTACATCATTCACCTCATTTTATCTCATCACAGAGGTATCTCACATCAGCACAAGAAGAAAGGTGAGTGCAGTACAATAAGGTATTTTGAGAGAGAGAGAGCACATTCACTTAACTTTTACTACAGTATATTGTTATACATGCTCTATTTATTATTTGTTATTGTCCTTAATCTTTTACTGTGTCTAATTTATAAATTAAACTTTATTGTATGTATGTAATATGGTTTGACTGTGTCCCCACCCAAATCTCATCTTGAATCGTAGCTCCCATAATCCCCATGTGTCATGGACAGAGCTGGTGGGAGGTAATTGAATCATGGGGGCGGGTTTTTCCCATGCTGTTCTGGTGATAGCCAGTAAGTCTCATGAGAGACTTATAAAGGGCACATCCCCTTCACAAGCTCTCTTGCCTGCCACCATGTCAGACACGGCTTTGCTCCTTTGCCTTCCACCATGATTGTGAGCCCTCCCCAGCCATGTGGGACTGTGAGTCCATTAAACCTCTTTTTCTTTATAAATTACCCAGTCTTGGGTATTTCTTTATAGCAGTATGAAAATGGACTAATACAGAATATATGTATAGAAAAATGTATTGTGTATATAAGATTTGGAACTGCCCACAGTTTTGGGCACCCTCTGGGGTCTTGAGATGGATCCTCCATGGATAAGGGGGGCAATTATATGTACCTAATACCATAGGTACTATATGTGCCTAATACCATAGGTCATAATACATAAGCAAAATTTGGAAAAAACAATTAAAAGAGAAACACACAAATACAAAATCATACTGGGAGACTTTTAACACTTTTTTGGGAATTGATAGAATACTCTGACTAAAAAGTAGTTCATATGTAGCCTATTTGAATAAGCTGATCTTTAAAATCTGACCTAAGAGACATATAGAATTCTGCAATCAAGAGAAAACATAGTCTTTGCAAACACATAAATTGTAAACTAAATCTCCATAAACAACAAAGGATTAATATACCACCTCCCGGGTTCAAGCGATTATCCTGCATCAGCCTCCTGAGTAGCTGGGATTACAGGCACGTGCCACCACACCCAGCTAATTTTTTTGTATTACTAGTAGAGACGGGGTTTCGCCATGTTGGTCAGGCTGGCCTCGAACTCCTGACCTCAGGTGATCCACCTGCTTCAGCCTCCCAAAATGCCAGGATTACAGGCATGAGCCACAGCACCTAGCCTAGAAATCAATTTTTAAAAATAACTATGAAAATTTTATATGTCTAGAAATCAAGAAATGCACTAATAAATAACTTGTTAATGATAGAATAAGCCATAATAGAAATTAGAATAGATGTGGACTAGATATATAATAAAAATACTTCATATCAAAACATGCTAGGTCCATCTATATAAAGCCATAAAGAATGATATTAGAATAGAAGAAAGTCTGAAAATTAATTAGAAAATAATTTATCTTAGGAAAGCAGAGAAAGAATAATAGAATAAATATAAAATAAGCTTATGTAAGATATTAAAATATGAAATAAGAAATTAAAAATTAGAAAATAAGCATATGGGAACTCAACAAAGCTGAAAATGCCAGTGATATGGTTTGGCTTTCTGTCCCCACCCAAATCTCATGTTGAATTGTGATTCTGAGTGTTGGAGGTGGGGCCTGATGAAAGGTGATTGGATCATGAGGGTGGTTTCTAATGGTCTAGCATCATCTCCCTAGTGCTGTCTCATGATAGAGTTCTCACAAGATCTGGTTGTTTGAAAGTGTGTAGCCCCTCCCCCTTCATGCTGTCTCTCCTGTCGCTGTGTGAAGATGTGCTTGCTTCCCCTTCACCTTCTGCCATGATTGTAAGTTTCCTGAGGCTTCCCAAGCCATGCCTCCTGTACAGCCTGTGGAACTTTGAGTCAATTAAACCTCTTTTCTTTATAAACTTTCCAGTCTCAGGTAGTTCTTTATAACAATGTGAGAACAGACTAATACAGTTGGTTTTTAAATATGTCTAATAGAACTGGTCATTTTTGGCAAGGTTCATGTAGGAGATGGAAAAAGTACAAATAAAAAATATTAAGGATAAAATTATGATATGAAAACTAATAAGAAAATAGTATGAATATATTCATTGCAGGCTGCGTGCAGTGGCTCACACTTGTAATGCCAGCACTTTGGGAGGCCAAGGCAGACAGGTCACCTGAGGTCAGGAGCTCAAGAGCAGCCTGGCCAACATGGTGAAACCCTGTCTCTACTAAAAATACAAAAATTAGCTGGGTGTGGTGCTGGGCACCTGTAATCCCAGCTTCTCAGGAGGCTGTGGCAGGCGAATCACTTGAACCTGTGAGGTGGAGTTTGCAGTGAGCCAAGATTGTGCCACTGCATTCCAACCTGGGCAGCATAGTGAGACTCCATCTCAAAAAACACACACACACACACACACATTCCAATACGTTTAAAATTGTAAACAAATGAAAAATGAAAAATCCCACAGCAAATATTTAAGAAGCAATAATTCCAAGTTTAAAATATATCAAACTTTGGAAAAAGATAAAATGCCTGCAAATTTATTTGAGGAGACTAGCACGACCATAATTGCAACATCTGTATCAAACAGTATAAAGAAGGTTACAGCCCCATCTTTTTTTTTTAAATCCTAAACAAAATATTAATAAACTTAATCCAGCATGATTTAAAATTACAATAAACCACAAACAACTTGGACTTATCTCAGAAATGCAAGGTGGATTCAGTATTGAGAAATTACCTAAGGCGTTTTACCACATTCATAGACTAAAAACAATCATATGATTATTCCACCAGACGCAGAAAAAAACTTTTTGATAACTTCTAACATCAAGTCATGACAAAAGTTCATACCAAACTTAGAAAATCCAGGAACTTCTTTAATTTGGTAGAGAGTAACTTAAAAAAATATTATAGCAAATTTTATTCTTAATGGTGAAGAAATAGATCATGATGTTCACTGTTCCACTTGTATTTCTAACTTTATAAGTAAGAAGTTTGGTCAGTTCAATAAGGCACGAAAAATAAAGACATAAAAATTGGAATGAAAGAAACAAAAATGTTGCTGTGTTGTAGTTACCCTGCAGAGAGGCCATGAGCTCCCTATTGAAAATGTGGTTGAGATTCACAATGGGGATGGATAGCACCATGCCTGTACACATAGGGTATGGGAGGCTTATTCCTCACTTATCGAGGCTTTCTGGGGAGAGCAGAGCCTGGGCTTGTTTATTTATTTATTTTTGAGACAGGGTCTCACACTGTTGCCCTTGCTAGAATGCAGTGGTATGATCACAGCTCACTGTAGCCTCAACTCCCTGGGCTCAAATGATCCTCCCACTTTGGCCTCTCAAGTAACTGGGACTACAGGCACGCACCACCACACCTGGCTAATGTGTTTTTTGTAGAGACCAGCTCTCACTATGTTGCCCAGGCTGGTCTCAAACTCCTGGGCTCAAGTAATTCTCCCGCCTCAGCCTCCCAAAATGCTGGGATTACAGGCATTAGCCACTGCGCCCTGCCTTGACCTGGGGTTTTTATTGTAGTTATGTGATAAAACTAATCTGAACATTGATATAGGTGGGGCTGGGGGCCTAGTGGCTTGAACTTCACAGCTGGTGACAAAGGATAGAGCACCCAGGGCTTTTTATCAGCTTGCTTGGATCTCAGACATAGGGTAGAAGAGGAAGTCAGAGAGGTACTGTTAAATCTGGGAGCAAACATCAAAAATAGAGCCAGACTCTTTATGACAGTATTGACAAAGAAGGCTGAAATTGAAAATTGAAGCAATGCACAGATTAAATACCCAAATTACCAGAAGAAATTAGTAAAAATTTCTAGATATAAAATCTATAGGCAAATTCTATTGTATTTCTAAATTTCTATCAGAAATTTAGATTCAAAAAGATATTTGCAACAGCATCCAAAATATAAACTACCTAGAAATAAACCTAACAAAATTATAAAATTTTTTCAGAGAGAAAAATTATAGAATTTTAATAAAAGATATTTTTTACAGATTGAATAACCACCTCTCAGTTTTGCCCAAATTAAACTCTATTCAAAACTCTTCCAAGGTTTTTTATGGAACATAGAAAGATGAATGTTAAATTTACAAGGAAGTAAAAATGTCTCCAGATAGTGAAGGTACTCTTAAAGAATAAATAATAAACCTAGCCTTATGTCAAGACTTATATAAATGTGTATTTATTAAGCCTGAATGAAATTGGTACTTAAACCTCACAGGTTTATTTCTGCCTCACACAACATGACCAGTGAGAAAGTGGAAGGTGTCCTTCACCACCCCAGTCACTCAGGGACTGGCGCTGACAGTGGATACATCATCCATAATGGATCCCAGCAGCAAGGGAAATATAGCTGGAAGTGGAGTGCTGGTTCCTCTATTCTTTGGTTAACTGACACAACTTATTTCCACTCACAGCCATTGGCTGAAACTTGTCACAGGGCTGTGCCTAACTGTGAGAGACCACAGAATGTGGGAAAGGAGACAGAATTGTTGATCTGCACCATTGGCCCTGGAAAGGCCATTGTCTTTTTATCAGCTTGCTCGGATCTCAGACATAGGGTAGAAGAGGAAGTCAGAGAGGTACTGTTAAATCTGGGAGCAAGCATCAAAAATAGAGCCAGACTCTTTATGACAGTATTGACAAAGAAGGCTGAAATTGAAAATTGAAGGAATGCACAGATTAAATACCTAAATTACCAGAAGAAATTAGTAAAAATTTCTAGATATAAAATCTATAGGCAAATTCTATTGCATTTCTAAATTTCTATCAGAAATTTAGGTTTAAAAAGATATTTGCAACAGCATCCAAAATATAAACTACCTAGTTTATATTTTATATAAATTTATATACCCATAAATTGAACATGCTCATAGCCTCTGACAAGTTTAGATCGTGAAGAAACTTGTACCTATGCACTGGAAGCATAGCCAAACCTGTTTTTAATAACATTGTTTATAATAGCAGCAAAATTAAGAACAACCCAGCCCTCCATCAACTGCAGAATGGATAAATAAGTTGTAGATTGTCACAGTGAAATACTCATGTAGAGTGATAGCTTGAGCCAGTTCATCCTGTCTTGCAAGAGCCAATTGTGTACCTCTCTTCCCAACTCTGCTTAAAGTGGCTTTATATTGTGGCTTGAAATCAGCTGTGCTGGAGGTATTTACACCATGGAAATGGGTAAACAGTACAAATCAGAGCTTTGGTTACCTAGAGAGCCAGTTGTTAAATGAAGTAGCTGGAACTACAGGCACTTGCCACCTACCATTGAGTGTGTAATAGTAAGAATGATAAACTACAGCCATGTGCATCAATATGGACAAGTCTTTATGCAAAGTAAAAGAATAAATTCATAGAAGCATACACAGAGTATTAGTCTACTTGTATACATACAGTTTCAAAACTGACAAAAATAAATACAGGAATAACTAAGTAATACATATGTATATATACATCAAACCAAGGGAAAGGTAAACAGAAAATTTGGGGTATGGTTATAAAAGGGAGGTGTAAACAGAGGATTGAGACCAGAAAGAACACATTTCAAGGGGCAGAGTCATTCATGACTATGAGCTATTTCTTGGCTTCACTGGTGGGTAAATTAATATTCATGTTACATTAGCACTTCATTAGCACTTTTAATCATCCATTCATATTTCATCCACTTTTTTTGTAGCCATACTACATTTCGCAATTTATAAAATCTTGTCAAATGGTACAATCAAAATCAGCTCTGGAGGGAATAAAGAGCAAAAATGACATTTGGAAAATTAAACAAATGATGTGAAGAAAAAATGAGTCAATCTCCTAAAATACAGAGAAAGAAGTCACCAAGGTGAAAATGAGGAGGGAGAAGGTCGTAGATATTGCAGCCCAGTGGGCAGGCGGAGGGAGTCCAGGGAGGGACAACAGAAGAAGGAAAAAAATCAAGTTAATTATTGTCTTTTCTTAGTGTGCAATGTCCATAGGGTTTTGAAGGTAAATGTTGTATACTCAAATTCTGTGCCTAACAAATCTGTCTTACATGCATGAAGGTAATTAAAAGAAATTGTGAGAGTTATAAATGCTCAGGAAATACATGAGTCACATATAATTCATTCTATCAGACCTGCCAGATTAATCCCAGTAGTGAACCCAAGAAAGAGTGACTTTAAAGAACTTTGTTTTCTTGACACCAAACTCAAAAAGCAAAGTTCGATTATATTTTCACAAGTGCTAGCTAAGTGATTCTTCATCTATTTCTACACTGCCTGAAAATGTCTATTTTATAAAATATATTTTATATCACAAGTCAGATGAGCCATTTTCCAAAAATTGATGACATTTAAAAGGTGAATATATGAAACACCTATTCTCGTTCTAGTCCTGTATTTGCTGAACAGTGGCTTAAATTATCCCTTTTTTTTTATTCTTCAACTGTATTCTACGGGATGCCAGGGTGGCATACAAGCACCTCTGAGGTGCTACAAATGAAATTCTGAAGTCTGAAACATTATAAAAACAAAGTGTGTATTGAGATGTATTCAATACTAAGATTGAACTTATTGAAGACACTCCCAGTAGATTATCTTGGGTAATGAACTTGGGTAAGCTGAGAGTTGATCTGCTCCCCCAACCCTCATTCATTTAAACTTCTAGGTATATCACTGACTGAGCAGTTTGCACCTTGCAAGTATCCACTTATAATTTGGGCATTTTAATGTACTTTCTCACAACACTGTAGAAACTGGTTAACTTCTGTACACAGTATTATGGTCAATAGAGAATTTATGCTTGGTTAGATCCATGTATGACCCTGTAGCGTGTCAAAGAAAAAAGTATTCGTTAACACTCGTTAAAGCACAGTAGGGAAGACTTTACTCAGGACCATTGTGTTGGTGCGGGGACCACTGCAATGGGGTTTTGCAGTAGAGGAGACAGATTGGGCTCAGTTCTGGGGTAAGGGGAATTCTGACTCAACCAACCTAACAGGATTTTTGCTGAAGGCAGGCCAGGGTGGTCAGACATCACGTGGGGGATGGTGGAGGATGAGGTATCAATTGAGGGTAATCAGATATTGAGGGTGGGGAATTCTGGCTAAACTAACTTAGCAAGGCTCTTTTCTAAAACTGGATTTTAAAAGGAGGTACGGTGATGTGCCTGGCTAAATTTTGGCCAAGCAAACAAACTTTGTCAACAGCTATCACTTGGGAAATATCAGGTATCCGGATTGTATACCATTATAGGTGTTTCTGACACTTACTGTAAATCTTACAGGCTCTTTTTTTGACTTTTATATTCTCCGGAAGGAGTAGGAGAATAGATAACATTCATAGATTAAACTTTGAAACAAAAAGACGTCTGATGACTCTGCTTTTCAAGCAGCCAACAGATCTGTTGCGGAAATCTATATAAATGTGTTATTTGCAATGCTCCTTGCCTTGGAGGGCAGGTGACTCTTCAACTGGATTTCATGTTTGCTCAGGGTAAATAGTCATGTTCTAGTGGTGGCCTTTAGTATTAGACAGAGCGTGGGATGCAAAGGCAGAGAATCTAAGGAGCTGAATTATTTCTGCACTAAAGAGAGTGGGGAGAGAGAGAGAGCCAGAGGGAGAGAGAAAGCTGGGGGAAAGGACAGAAAGAGAGAAACGCTCAGACTAAAAGGCTGGAGAAACCCTGGCAAGGGAGAGACAAGAAAGAGAATGAGGGGTGGTCTGCAGGCACAGAGGGCTGTTGAGTGAGCAGGGATGTCTATGTGAGTTTTTCTGTTTTGTTTTTTAAGCAGAGCAAAACACAGTAAATGTTTATTACTGCAATGTAGCTGGTGGCTTTATGGTGTTGATTTTTAATAAAATAACAAATTTATATTATTATTTATGTAGTAAATTTAATAAATTTCAAAGAAGAAGTTAAAATTTATATAATAAATTTAATATCTCAAGAATTAGTGGGAACAGAACGATTAAAGTTAATACCAAGTATGAGATTTGGGCATTCAGTATGTAGCACGGAATATTGTAATCATATTAGCTGAATTGGCCAACATGACAAAAAATAAATAAAAAATATAGGACAAAGAGATATGTGACCATTGACATCATTAGATGAGAGAATCAGGTGCAAAGAGTAAACAAAGGACATTAAGTTTCTTAAAGACGTTCCTACTGTGTGGTTTGCAGCGTGAATCCACTTCCTTATTTCTTCAAGAAGGCTTCAGTAAAATATGGACAACCTGCCCATGCTTTGGGGGATAGTTCATTTGGAAAGGGGTGGGTTGGTGGAATGAGGATGCGGAAAAACTGTAAATCAGCTTGTGTTCAAGCTGAGATAATGGCAAGAACAAACAGGCATCTGCCCAGCACGACTCGGCCACAATGGAGTTTCACCAAGGCAACAAGTAATTAGGTGAGACATCCAGATAGTCTCCGCACTGTGCAACAAAAAACCCACAGACCGAAATCACTGAGATGCCGAGATGGACACGGCAGCCCCACGGAGATAAAATCCCTGATTGTAATTTCGATATTTATTAGAATGTCCTCATCTTTCTCGGTGGTTGAATTTATCCCTAAATATGACTAATTTTAATTTTTAAAATATTTAAACTGATAAAATATCTCACTTATGGTTTCACACAGAAATTAGTTGGAAATAGGACTCTGCCAATTAACAAAACATGCAAACACAGTTTTAAGCCAGTGAGTTATAATATTTGGGCACTCTATAAAATGAATAATATTTTTTTCCTTCTAAAAACTGGAGAAACAGGAAGAAACACAATAGCTATTTTTATCCCCGTGGAACTTTAGAAATCATATTCTGCAAATTTAAATCTCATGTTAAAGGGCCAGAGCCACTGAATTTTCTTGAGACTGATAATGATACAATTATACATCTGACACTAAAGCTGCTGTTCATGAGATGGAGCAGGGACCTTTTGTTGGGGTCTGTGGACCCACCCAAGCATGGAAATAAAGGAAAATCTTGAATTCCTTCCAGGGACATTCTAGGCACCTGGCTAACCTTCAGAAGTAAATGAGCAAGTTGATAAGTGAGGAGCTAAGAGTAGCTTAAAACAATAGCCAAGGAAGTCAAGAGAATTTTTGGTTCTCTATAGAAACGAAAGAAACAACCTTCACATCGGTCTCTGAGTTGTTTTTCAGAAACTCAGACTCCCACTAAATGGATTCGCTAGCCCATAGACCTCAGATAAGGGGGAACCAAGGACTGAACGCTGACTGGGGTTCTGTGGTCTCAGTTTCTTCCTGTGTGGCTGCACCCGCAGAAGGTGGAGGCCACACCCATGAGCTTGAGCTAACATTGTTGTCGGCTGATCCCAAATTTTCAGGCAACATTTTACCTCCTCCACCAATTGCAGATCAGAAAATCTCTGGATCCACCGATGACCTGTCCTCCTCCAATTCAAGATTTGAGATGTCCCGCCTTTTTAGGTCAAACCAATATATAGCTTCCATGTATTGATTTATGACTTTGCCTGTAACCTCTGCCTCCCCACCTTTAAAATCCTTACCTGTAAACCCTTAGGGAGTTCAGGTCTTAAACATGAGCTGCCCAGTGCTCCGTTTGGTGCCCTGCAATAAATGCCTCCCTTTGGCTTTCTCTCGCTGTGATTCCAGTGTCCCTGTTTGGTTTTCTTCCCCTGGGCTAGCAGACCCCAGTTGGGTTTGATAACATTCACTCTGTCTATCTCTGTCTACTGCAAAGGCGTTATCTACACTTAAAATCAGGCTACACAGTATCCTTTACTTACATTAACTATCACCATAAAAGACTGAGAAACTCCGTGAGTTAATTCTTCCAACAGATATTGATTGAGCACCTAGAGCTTGTGGCTGGAGATCAAGAAGAAGTTCAAACTCTCATCTCATGTGGCTTATGGTCTAGCACCCATGTTCAGACATTAGCCAAATAACCAGACAAATCACTGTTTACTTTTAAACTGAAACAATCCTCTGAAAGAAAGGGTCACACTTCCATAAGGGCTTCAAGAGGTATTTTAGCAGTCATCTCCACTACATGTGGAGACAAGAGCTTTATCATGCAGATGTGTGTTTATCAACCGGTGTGAGGAAATGAGGAGTCTACAAGTTAAGATTTGCAGGTCCATCCCCAAGATGGGTGAAGGACCATGTCATTCACTGGGTTATGACGATGCTGTTTGCTGGAGGAATAGCACTTCCACTCCCTGGGAAGATGACAGTGCCATTTGCTAAATGGGAGCCAGTGATGTTCCCTGGGTGGGTGATGATATCACTCACTGGGTGGATGATGACGTCACTCACTGGATGGATGATGTCAGTCACTGGATGGATGGTGATGCCACTCACTGGATGGATGATGTCACTCACTAGATGGATGATGATGTCACTCACTGATTTATAAAGCATGGGATAAGGTCTAGATTAAGGAAGAGGTGTTTTTGAGGTATATGGGTGAATATTTGGGACAGTCAGCTGGTATCTCAGCATAGTATTGTAGGCATAAGAGTCAGATTGCCTGCTTTTAAATCCTGACTTTACCACTCATTAGTTCTGTCACATTAAACAAGTTACATTATGTCTTTGTGCATCGGTGGGTGTCTTTATTTGTATAACACTTTTATCAGTAATAATGCCAACCTTAGGGTAGTCAGGAGGATAAAATGAAATAATACAAAGGAAGTGCCTAGAAACATGCTTGGCAGGAAAAAGACCCCAACAAACACAAGTTGTTATTGGGTGTGTGGATCTGAGATACAAAAGGAATGGGCTGGAGACATTGTTGGGGTCTTTGGAGAATGTGTGGCTGCTGAAGCAATGGTCATAGCAAAGTCAGGAGGAAAATGGGAGGGAGAGGCAGAGGAAGAGGAAGAGGGAGAGGAAGAGGGTGACACAGAGGGAGAGGCAGAGGGAGAGGAAGAGGGAGAGGAAGGGGGAGAGGCAGAGGGAGAGGAAGGGGGAGAGGCAGAGGGAGAAGAGGGAGAAGAAGAGGGAGAGGAAGAGGGAGAGGCAGAGGGAGAGGCAGAGGGAGAGGCAGAGGGAGAGGCAGAGGGAGAGGGAGGGAGAGGAAGGAAAGGGCTAAATGAGGCCTTAAGGAGCCACCACATTGAGTGACTGGGTAGAAGAATGAGCTGTCAAAAAAAAAGTCAAACTCCACAAAATATTTGAAAAGATTCATTCTGAGCCCAATATGAGTGACCAGTGGCCCATGACACAGCCCTCGGTAGATCCTGAGTGTGTCCAAGGCGGTGGAGCCACGCTTGGCTTTTACATTGTAGGGAGACATAAGGCATCCATCAACACACAGAAGATGTGCATCGGTCCAGTGTGGAAAGGCAGGACAACTGGAAGTGGGAGCTCCCAGGTCGCAGGTGGATTCAAGGATTTTCTGATTGATGATTGGTTGGATGAATTATTATCAATAGAAAGGAATGTCTGGATCACAAGAAGGGGTTGTGGAGACGAAGGCTTTATCATGCAGATGAAGCCTCCAGGCAGCAGGCTTCAGAGAGAATAGATTGTAACTGTTTCCTATCAGACTGAAAGAGGCTATTCTATCAGTAATTCCAAAATGAAGGAGGGTATAATGAGGTATGCCCAGCTTCCCTTCCCATCATGGCCTGAACTAGTTTTTCAGGTTGACTCTGGAGTGCCCTTGGCCAAGAAGAGGGGTCCATTCAGATGGCTGCAGAGGGGCCTTAGAATTTTATTTTTGGTTTACACTGCATGAGAGTGGCAACGAGAGACTGAAAATATGAAGGAAATCCAAAAAAGATGGAAGAGTGGAAGAGCCAGGGCAAAACGGTGTTCTTCAAAAAAGACAGTGCTCAACCTCAACAGGGTTGCATTGGATGAAAGCCTTGAGGAGACAAGTGTCCACTGGACTTAAGGCAAAGGAGGTCACTGACAGCTTCAGCAGGAGGTCTCTCTCCTAGGTGAGTAATGGAGCGGATTGGTGTGGGCTGACAGTGGGTGGGAGGCAAGGAGTGGAAATGCGGTTCAGATCATCCTTACTGAGAGGCAGAGGGAGAGGAAGGAAAAGAGATAGGAGGCTGGAGGAGGTAGAGGCATCTGCTTGGTGGTCAGGGGAGGAAGTGAGGGTGTTGGGGGTTTTTCTCGGTATTTATGAGAATTATGGAGATTTTCTTTTTTCATGCTCCTCTGGATTTCCCAAAGTTCCTGCAGTGAGCATGTAGTTTTCCTTAATTATAAAACATACCTTTTTAAAAAGCAGTGTACATAATTACGTATAGTCCAGATGACCACAGCCACATAAAATATGACTTGTATCCATCATTGGGGACATCAAGTCAGGACATTAGGCTGATATTGACTGGTCTGGCCTCAGATCTTACAAAGTCAGCTTAGAGGTAGGTGAGCTACAGGCATTAGTGAAGGCATTTGCTGTACTCCCTCAGCCTTTTCCTATTATGGTGGGGAAATGCCATGGCCTTATGAACAGGGACTGTGTCATTCACCTTTGCAGCCCCAGGACCTACCACTATCCTTGGTGCATGTGTTATTCTGTTGTCATGCTGCTGAGAAAGACATACCAAAGACAGACAAGGTAATTTATAAATAAAAAGAGGTTTAATGGACTCCCAGCCCCACATGGCTGGGGAGGCCACATGGCAGAAAGTGAAAGGCATATCTCACACGGCAGCAGGCAAGAGAGAGAATGAGAGCCAATCTGATGGTTATAAAACCATCAGATCTGGTGAAACGGATTGACCACCATGAGAACAGTATGGGGGAAACTGCCCCTGTGATTCGATTATCTCCCATCAGGTCCCTCCCACAACACATGGGAATTATTGGAGGGGTAAGATTTGGGTGGGGACACAGCCAAACCATATCAGTGCATAACTGCTGTTTAACAAATATTTGTTGAATGTGTTAAAAGGAAATTCTTAGAAAAAGGTAAAACCATGACTAGCAGACAGATATAAATATAAACACTTGCTAGAGGATGTATTTTATGCTTATAAGATGAGGGAAGCAGGCAGATGTCAGAACCATTTCACAGCAAAAGTCTTCTGCAATGCTGCTTGACCCCAATACACAACAGTAGTTCCAAATAGCCACAAAACGGCACTTTGAATTTTTCCATCCTGCAAAATCTAAATAATTCTTGTCGCAAAATAGGCAAACGGTCTGAGGTGCCTGACGTCCAGGCATTCTTTTACACATCAGTCCTTTCCTAGTCTCTGTGCCCAGTGCAACTCATCCCAAATCTTCCTTCTTTCCCTCCCGCCTGTCCCCTCAGTACCAACCCCAAGCGTCGCTGAGTCTTTCTAATCTTCCTTTTCTACAGACCCCTCTGACCTCTCCCTTCCTCCCCAGGCTGCTCCTCGCCAGGCAGAGCTAGGTCCCAATTCTTCCTCAGCCTCTGCTCCTCCACCCTGTAATCTTTTTGTCGCCTCCCCTCCTCACCCCTGGTCCGGCTTACAGTTTCATTCCGTGACTAGCCCTCCCCCACCTGCCCAGCAATTTACCCTTAAAAAGGTGGCTGGAGCCAAAGGCATAGTCAAGGTTAATGCTCCCTTTTCTTTATCCCAAATCAGAAGCCTTTAGGCTCTTTTTCATCAAATATAAAAACCCAGCCCAGTTCATGGCTCCTTTGGCAGCAACCCTGACACGCTTTACAGCCCTAGACCCTAAAAGGTCAAAAGGCCGCCTTATTCTCAAAATACATTTTATTAACCAATCTGCTCCCGACATTAAATAAAACTCCAAAAATTAAATTCCAGCCCTCAAACCCCACAACAGGATTTAATTAACCTCGCCTTCATTCAAGGTGTACAATAATAGAAAAAACTTGCAACTCCTTGCCTCCACTGTGAGACAAACCCCAGCCCCATCTCCAGCACACAAGAACTTCCAAACGCCTGAACCGCAGCGGCCAGGCATTCCTCCAGAACCTCCTCCCCCAGGAGCTTGCTACACGTGCCGGAAATCTGGCCACTGGGCCAAGGAATGCCCGCTGCCCGGGATTCCCCCTAAGCCGCGTCCCATCTGTGTGGGACCCCACTGAAAATCGGACTGTTCAACTCACCTGGCAGCCACTCCCAGAGCCCCTGGAACTCTGGCCCAAGGCTCTCTGACTGACTCCTTCCCAGATCTTCTCGGCTTAGCAGCTGAAGACTGACACTGCCCAATCGCCTCGGAAGCCCCCTAGACCATCACGGACGCCGAGCTTCGGGTAACTCTCACAGTGGAAGGTAAGCCCGTCCCCTTCTTAATCAATACGGAGGCTACCCACTCCACATTACCTTCTTTTCAAGGGCCTGTTTCCCTTGCCTCCATAACTGTTGTGGGTATTGACGGCCAGGCTTCTAAACCTCTTAAAACTCCCCAACTCTGGTGCCAACTTAGACACTACTCTTTTAAGCACTCCTTTTTAGTTATCCCCACCTGCCCAGTTCCCTTATTAGGCTGAGACACTTTAACTAAATTATCTGCTTCCCTGACTATTCCTGGACTACAGCTATATCTCATTGCCGCCCTTCTTCCCAATCCAAAGCCTCCTTTGCGTCCTCCTCTTGTATCCCCCCACCTTAACCCACAAGTATAAGATACCTCTACTCCCTCCTTGGCGACTGATCATGCACCCCTTACCATCTCATTAACACCTAATCACCCTTACCCCACTCAATGCCAATATCCCATCCCGCAGCACGCTTTAAAAAGATTAAAGCCTGTTATCACTCACCTGCTACAGCATGGCCTTTTAAATGCTATAAACTCTCCTTACAATTCCCCCATTTTACCTGTCCTAAAACCAGACAAGCCTTACAAGTTAGTTCAGGATCTGTGCCTTATCAACCAAATTGTTTTGCCTATCCACCCTGTGGTGCCCAACCCGTACACTCTTGTCCTCAATCCCTTCCTCCACAACTCACTATTCCATGCTTGATCTTAAAGATGCTTTTTTCACTATTCCCCTGCACCCCTCGTCCCAGCCTCTCTTTGCTTTCACTTAGACTGACCCTGACACCCATTAGGCTCAGCAAATTACCTGGGCTATACTGCCGCAAGCCTTCACAGACAGCCCCCATTACTTCAGTCAAGCCCAAATTTCATCCTCATCTGTTACCTATCTCGGCATAGTTCTCATAAAAACATACGTGTGCTTTCCCTGCTGATTGTGTCCGATAAATCTCCCAAACCTCAATCCCTTACAAAACAACAACTCCTTTCCTTCCTAGGCATAGTTAGTGCAGTCAGAATTCTTACACAAGAGCCAGGACCGCACCCTGTAGCCTTTCTGTGCAAACGACTTGACCTTACTGTTTTAGCCTAGCCCTCATGTCTGCGTGCAGCGGCTGCCACTGCTTTAATACTTTTAGAGGCCCTCAAAATCACAAACTGTGCTCAACTCACTCTCTACAGTTCTCTTAACTTCTGAAATCTATTTTCTTCCTCATACCTGATGCATATACTTTCTGCTTTCCGGCTCCTTCAGCTACACTCACTCTTTGTTGAGTCTCCCACAATTACCATTGTTCCTGGCCCGGACTTCAATCCGGCCTCCCACATTATTCCTGATACCACACCTGACCCCCATGACTGTATCTCTCTGATCCACCTGACATTCACCCCATTTCCCCAAATTTCCTTCTTTCCTGTTCCTCACCCTGATCACGCTTGATTTATTGATGGCAGTTCCACCAGGCCTAATCACCACACACCAGCAAAGGCAGGCTATGCTATAGTACAAGCCACTAGCCCGCCTCTCAGAACCTCTCATTTCCTTTCCATCGTGTAAATCTATCCTCAAGGAAATAACTTCTCAGTGTTCCATCTGCTATTCTACTACTCCTCAGGGATTATTCAGGCCCCCTCCCTTCCCTACACGTCAAGCTCAAGGATTTGCCCCCACCCAGGACTAGCAAATTAGCTTTATTCAACATGCCTGAGTCAGGAAACTAAAATACCTCTTAGTCTAAATAGACACTTTCACTGAATAAGTACAGTCCTTTCCTACAGGGTCTGAGAAGGCCACCGCAGTCATTTCTTCCCTTCTGTCAGACATAATTCCTCAGTTTAGCCTTCCCACCTCAATACAGTCTGATAACAGAAGGGCCTTTATTAGTCAAAACAGCCAAGCAGTTTTTCAGGCTCTTAGTATTCAGTGAAACCTTTATATCCCTTATGGTCCTCCGTCTTCAAGAAAGGTAGAATGGACTAAAGATCTTTTAAAAACACACCTCACCAAGCTCAGCCACCAACTTAAAAAGGACTGGACAATATTTTTACCACTTTCCCTTCTCAGAATTCAGGCCTGTCCTCGGAATGCTACACGGTACAGTCCATTTAAGCTCCTGTATAGACGCTCCTTTTTATTAGGCCCCAGTCTCATTCCAGACACCAGACCAACTTAGACTGTGCCCCCCCCAAAAAAAAAACAAAAAAACTTGTCATCCCTACTATCTTCTGTCTAGTCATACTCCTATTCACCGTTCTCAACTACTCATACATGCCCTGCTCTTGTTTACACTGCCGGTTTACACTGTTTTTCCAAGCCATCACAGCTGATATCACCTGGTGCTATCCCCAAACTGCCACTCTTAACTCTTGAAGTAAATAAATAATCTTTGCTGGCAGGACTATGCCGAATCTCCTTAAGAACTCTCTAATCAGATATCCTGAGTCGTCCCAATTCTTAGAACTTTTATACCTGTTTTTCTCCTTCTGTTATTCCATTTAGTTTTTCAATTCATACAAAACCGTATCCAGGCCATCACCAATCATTCTATACGACAAATGTTTCTTCTAACATCCCCACAATATCACCCCTTACCACAAGACCTCCCTTCAGCTTAATCTCTCCCACTCTAGGTTCCCACACCGCCCCAATCCCGCTTGAAGCAGCCCTGAGAAACATCGCCCATTCTCTCTCCATACCACCCCCCAAAAATTTTCGCTGCCCCAACGCTTCGACACTATTTTGTTTTATTTTTCTTATTAATATAAGAAGGCAGGAATGTCAGGCCTCTGAGCCCAAGATAAGCCATCACATCCCCTGTGACTTGCAGGTATACGCCCAGACAGCCTGAAGTAACTGAAGAATCACAAAAGAAGTGAATACGCCCTGCCCCGCCTTAACTGATGACATTCCACCACAAAAGAAGTGTAAATGGCCGGTCCTTGCCTTAACTGATGATATTACCTTGTGAAAGTCCTTTTCCTGGCTCATCCTGGCTCAAAAACACCCCCACTGAGCACCTTGCGACCCCCACTCCTGCCCGCCAGAGAACAAACCCCCTTGACTGTAATTTTCCTTTACCTACCCAAATCCTATAAAACGGCCCCACCCTTATCTCCCTTCACTGACTCTCTTTTCGGACTCAGCCCGCCGGCACCCAGGTGAAATAAACAGCCATGTTGCTCACACAAAGCCTGTTTGGTGGTCTCTTCACACGGACACGCATGAAAGGTTTCACTTATAAAACCATCAGATCTGGTGAAACGGATTGACCACCACGAGAACAGTATGGGGGAAACTGCCCCTGTGATTCAATTATCTCCCATCAGGTCCCTCCCACAACACATGGGAATTATGGGCGGGATAAGATTTGGGTGGGGACACAGCGAAACCATATCAGTGCATAACTGCTGTTTAACAAATATTTGTTGAATGCGTTAAAAGGAAATTCTTAGAAAAAGGTAAAACCATGACTAGCAGACAGATATAAATATAAACACTTGCTAGAGGATGTATTTTATGCTTATAAGATGAGGGAAGCAGGCAGATGTCAGAACCATTTCACAGCAAAGGTCAAAACAGCACAAATCTATGTCTAGTAAAGGAGAGTTGAGATGAATTGCAAATGGAGACAAAATTGTTTCTTTCAAAGTAGGAGGAAGTCAATTTAAACCACTACCAGCTAGGACAGTATTTACATATCTATCACTTACCTACAATTCACAAAGAGTTTCAGAATAGCTGGGAGATAATGGGCAAGGCTGCAATCTGATAGCTCAGAGGACATGGGATAGGCAGTGCAGTTTTCCACTGAAACACAAAAATGTTTTATCTACGAATGAATGAATCACTGGTGTCATCTTGACATGCAGTGAAGAGAGAACATTAATCAATAGAAACAACTTTAAGTCAGGACCTTGGGTACAAGATAACAGTTACCACGTTTGAGACAAGTCATTGTGTTCCCAAGTTGTGTGTCTGTCCAGGCCGCTCCGGCAGAGACGTGGAGCCATGGCTGTGGCTCACGGCTGTGATCCGCATCCTTGTGGCTGCAGGGAGAGTTGCAGGGCAAACTCTGCCCTGATTCTTTTGAGCCCATGGTGTGAGCATTTCTACTCAAAGCAGGCTTAACTGTAGCAACATGTTACTCCAGAATTGTACCTTGTATCTGTTAGATTTCATAGGCAGTAGTGGTTTTTTCTTTCACTGTGCTCCCTTTATGAGCCAAAATGAGCCCTGATGCTCTTATTCATAACTGCTGGAGCAGGACTTGCAGGAAGCCTGGGCCTGACGGTGATATTTCCACTGCCTGGCTGATGACCTGGCACGAGGGACTCGCACTGAGGCTGAAGTTAGCAACTGTGCATTGGCTGCATGGCTGATTGGCAAGGGGAAGGCTCTCAGCCCTTCTCTGCCCCCTGTGTGTTCTGCTGGGAATGAAAGCTCTTTGCAGGCACAGAGGGGAGTGGCTCCCCTTTGTAAACAAAATGACTGATGTCCCTCTCCATCCTTCTTTCATGAGTGAAATTCAGTAGCATCTTTATTTAAAAAACAAAATGAGCAGGGTACGGTGTCTCACGCTTGTAATCCCAGCACTTTGGGAGGCCAAGGCAGGAGGATCATGAGGTCAGGAATTCAAGACCAGCCTGGCCAACACAGTGAAACCCCTTCTCTACTAAAAATACAAAAATTAGTTGGGCGTGGTGGTAGGCACCTGTAGTCCCAGGCAGGGGAATCACTTGAACACGGAAGGTGGAGGTTGAGCCGAGATTGTGCCACTGCACTCCAGCCTGGGCAATAGAGCTAGATTCCATCTCACAAAAAAAAAAAAAAAAAAAAGGTTAAAAGTTTTCATTCATTTGTTAAATAACTAAAAAGTGCCTGTCAGTGGTCAAGGACCTTCATATGTAAAATATCTGATGATTATAACAAATCAGAGCACTTAATGTCCATTCACCCATCCATCCACCCACTCCTACCCACCTCCACACCCACCTACCTATCCACTTATTCACCCATCCATCTGTCTATCCACCTATCCACTTTCACACCCACCCACTCATCCTTTCATTCATCCATCCATCCACTCACCCATCTCCACAACCACCCACCCATCCATTCATTCATCCATCCACCCACCCACGCATTCATCCTATCCACCCATCCATGTATTCATCCATCAAAGTATCCAGCTATCCATTCATTCATCCATCCATCCATCCAACCACCCAGACATTCATCCCATCCACCCATTCATGTATTCATCCATCAAACTATCCATTCATTCCTCCATCCACTCACCTACTTACACACCCACTCACCCATCCAATCATTAATTCATCCATCCATCCATCCATCCTCCTACCCACACATTCTTCCCATCTATCCATTCATGTATCATCCACCCATATATCCACCTATCTATCCCCCCTTTTGTCCATTTTTTATTAAATGTTATTCTGTGGACCAGAAATTGTGGTAGGCACACAGCAAGATGAGCAAGAAAGACACCATCTCTGCCCTCAGGCAGAGTTAGGGAACAAACTCAGTCTATCAGCAAAACCTATTGGCTCTATATTCAAAATATATCCAGAATTTGACCACTTCTCACCACCCCAATGCTACCATCTTGCCCTTACCTGGTAAGTAGACAAGGAGCAATCACCATCCCCATCAAGACCTGCAGGGACCTGGTGATCGTGTCCTACCTTGTCCTCTGACCTCGTTTCTTATTTCTTTCTTCCTTCCTTGGTTGGCTTCAGGTGCTCTGGGCTCCACATCAAGCTTCCTTCAGCGTAGGAGACATAGGCCAGCCCTAGAGTGTCTGTGTAGACTGTCCCCTTGGCCCCTCTTCTTGGCCACTCTTCCAATAGGTAACAGCATGGCTGATGCCCTCACCTCCTTTACACCTCTGCTTAGTTGTTCTTCTCAATGAGGCCTTAAAAATGACAATCCACGTCCTACCCTGGCCCTCCTTTCCCCTTCACCCAGCCCCACTTTATATTTTGTCCCTTCTACCTAGACACTTTTTTAAAATGTGTCTCCCTTGGCCAATTGGAATGGAAGCTCCAAGGAGCAGGGACATTTGTCTGTTGCTCCCTGTTGTGTCCCAGATGCTCACAACAATGCCCAACACAGGGTGGAACTCAGCCAGTCTTTGTTGAATGAATGAAGGAAGGAAAGAATCAGCTAAGCAAAGAAAGTTGAATTAGTACAGCAGTTTCCAGCTATGGGGGCAATTTTGCCCTGGAGACAATGATGGGGATCAGAAAACACACCCTAAAATATGCCACTTTGTCATAAAGGTTATTTTAAGCTGAAGACACTTGAGATTCAACAGATGCAGGAAAAAAAAAGCCCTCAGAACTTTAGTTTTCTGACCCAAAGCAACTATCTTTGGGAAGTGAGGCTGCCATAAATTTCTCTTTAAGTCAAATCTACTTCCAGAAGGTAGAACGGGAATAAAAACTACCCCAAATCTCTCTCCAGGGTCGTTTTATGTCCCCAAAGGAGGCAGAAAGACCGCTCACACCTGAATAGACAAACATTATCACAAACTTTATCTAGTCTTTGTTCTCCTGAAAACCCATTTATCTTTCCAAAAAGCCATTTTTCTCCCCTGTAAGTGCCTTTTCCCTCCCACTTCATGTATTAAGATGGTAAATAAACCCCAGATTCTAACCACCCCTTGAGTTACTCATCACTGAGTTCTCTATGTGTGCTTTGCATGTGTAAATAAAATCTTTCCCCTTCTCTTAATCTGCCTTTTGTCAGTTTAAGTTTCACTGAACCTAAGAGGGTGAAGGAAAGGTGTTTTTCTCCTCCCCTGCTAGGACATCTCGGAGTGTATGGAGACATGCCTTATTGTCCGTTGACAGGACTTGGCAGGGTGCTTAGTGGCATTTAATGGGTAGAGATCAGAGATGCTACTAACCATCCTACAATGTGGCCTACAATCCTACAGGGCAGCCCCCACACTGACAAGGAATTATCTGAAACAAAACATCAATAGTATAGAGAAACCCTGAGCCAGTGGTTATAAATGGTGTTTAAAAAATCACTTTATTGAAGTAAGAGTAATGTACCAATAAATGCACCTATTTAAGTGCACAGTTTGAAGAGTTTTGACGGATGCATACACCCCTGTACTCGTGACTTCACTTCAGAAAGAAAATATTTACATGTTTCTAAAATGCAAAATCATGCCCCTTTCAGTCAATCCCTTCCCCTCCTCAGACAACCACTTGATCTCATCATTCTCACCATAGCTTAGCTTTCCCACTCTAGAACTTCATGTGAATAAAAGTATGTGTGTTTCGTATTGGGTTTCTTTTGTGCAAAACCATGTGTTTGAGATTCCCCTAGTTACATGTATCAGCAGTTTCTTCATTTTTATTGCTCAGTCGTATTCCATTGTGTGAATATATTACATTTTTTTTAATCCATTCTCCTGCTAATGGACATTGAAATTATTTCCAGTTCTTGGCTATAAAGAATAAAGCTGCTATGGACACTCGTAGAGTCCATTTGTGGACATAGGTTTTTATTTCTCTTTATCAATACCCAGGCATAAAATTGTTGGGTCTTAGGGTAGACCTAACCACATGAGAAAGTGCCAAATGGTTTTCCAAAATGAGAGTACCATTTTAATTTTAATTTTTTTATTTTTTATTTTTATTTTAGAACTGGGGGTACATGTGAAGGTTCTTTACATAGATAAACATGTCATGGAGGTTTGCTGAAGAGTATCATTTTAGTCCCGCTAGCAATCTATGACAGTTTTTGGAATTGGCCATTGTGTTAATTTCAGCCATACAAGTGGGTGGAGAGTGGTATTCACAGAAGTTGAATTGGGGCATTTATCAAAGTTTTGGTTATTCTAAGTGAATTCAGATGTCTCCCTCTTTCCATAAGGTCCCTATAACCAAATACTGTGACACGATTAGATCTCAAAACGGTAAGATCTTGGGTCTGCTGGACCTGGAAGTTGCTAGTCTGGGGGATGAACAGAGCATGAGGTGGCTGGATCTGGGAACAGCAAGATCATCACACAACAATGCTGCTAGTCTTCAAAACGGTGACACCACAATGCAAAAGCGTGAGGTTTCTTTTCTGCTCGGGCACAGCTGTTACTTTCTCGGCAAAAATTTCACAGAAGAGTATAACTAAGGAGAAAAGATTATCCTAATATATGGGGTGTCACCGAGTTCAAATCCGACAAACCAGCCACAGGTGTGACTGCATTCAGCTGCTTTCCCGCCCATGGGCAAGTCCGCCGTTCTTAGCAGGCTTTTAGCTCTGTTTTACCTGACCTTGGTTTGACCATTTGCTCTTCTGTTCACCTAGGGAAGATTTAGCCCTCTGGAGTTTAGTTCTCAAAAATTTCCTTCTGTACTTCTTTCTTCAGTGGCTTAAAAGAAAAGCTTCGTTTTGGTGATTTCTTGTGGTTTCATCAGAAACAAACTTATTTCGGCCAGGCACGGTGGCTCAGGCCTGCAATCCCAGCACTTTGGGAGGCCAAGGTGGGTGGGTCATTTGATGCCAGGAGTTCAAGACCAGCCTGGCCAACATGGTAAAACCCCATCTCAACCAAAATAATACAAAAATTGGCTGGGTGTGGTGATGCATGCCTGTAGTCCCAGCTACTCGGGAGGCTGAGGCACGAGAATCACTTGAACCAGGAGATGGAGGTTGCAGTGAGCCAAGATTGCACCACTGCACTCTAGACTCTAGCCAGGGCACACAGCAAGACCTGTCTCAAAAAAAAAAAAAAAAAAAAAAAAGAACTTATTTCACTGTCTTCTGTATGCCAAATGGGAGTGGAATCTCTCATTACAGCAACGTGTGGCAAATCCCAGAAGAATGGAATCACAGGATGCTCTAGAAACCCAGAGACAAGTAACTAATTTGAGGAGTCAAGGAAGACAGTCTAGAGGAAGCTAGAGTAAAAATCATTGGTAGGAAGTGTGCGGAAACAGGGGGAAGGTGCAGAGTGTTTCAAACCAGGGAAACAAGAGTCAGGGGAGAGTACAGACAAGGAGGAAAATGAAAGAATATGAAGGCAGGAATGGCAAAAATAAAGCTGGATCTGGTTTCTTCAATATGGTAGCCTCTAGTCCCCTGTGGCTATTGGGCATTTGAGACGAAACGGGTCCAGGTTGAGACGAGGTGTCACTATTCAGCTATATACACAGGACTTCAAATCCAGCTATAAATCACTGGATTTATAGTATACACTAGACATTTGTAGATAATCTATAATTTATAATTATAGATAGATCCATAATTTATAGATTTATACTCTAAATCTACTATAAATCCAGCTATACACCCTGGATTTCAAAGACTGCAAGAAAAATATCTCTAACAATTTTTGTATTGATAATATGTTGAAATGATATTTCAGATATATTAGGTTAAATATACTATATTATTAAAATTAATGTCATCTGCTTGTTTTTAATTTTTTCAATGTGTCTACTGGGAAATTTAAAACTATATTTGCAGTGTGCATTCCATTTTTATTGGGTAGTGCTAGGCTAGAAACTCATGCAGCACCAGATCCTGAAGGGCCCTAAAAGCTATCATGCGGGGTTTGAAGGGTGCACAAAGTAAATAGAAATGATAGGATCTGATTGATGGGTTGGGATTTTAGAGAGCTAGTAAATATCTCCTGTTTTCCGGAGTTCTGAATTAATCCACTGGCATAGTGGACAACCGTAGGACCCCTGGAGGCAGGCTCCTGTTATAACGTGGTATGAGAACGGATGTTCTCTGTGGTCAGAAAGATCGCAGAGTAAGCAGAAAGGAACAGGCTGAAATGAGTATGCCTCACTTCTCCTAAACTTGCCTACCCAGAAATCTTTCCTTTTCTGGGCAGAAGTGAAAGAGGGACTGAGGGAAACCAGGAGTTGGGAAGTACCCAGAGGTCCAACGTTACTCCTCCAAGCTTTCTCAATGATATGGGATGATTTTCCTTTTGCAGTTGTAACAAATAATCAAAAACTTAGTGGCTTAAAACAATGTATATGTATTATCTCCCAGCCCTGGAGAAGTCCAGGTCAGCTCAGCTGGTTTCTCTACTCTGGTTCTCAGAGGCTAAAATAAAGGTGTCAGCTAGACCGAGTTTCCATCTAAATGTTTGGAAAGGATCATTCAGATGGTTGACGGAATTCAGCTCTGTGCTGTTGTGGGACTGAGGGTTCCACTTCCTCATGGGCTGCAGGCTGTGGCCACCATCCCCTCTCAGGGGCCTCTCTACAGTCCTAGCACAGCAGGCCCACCTCTCAGAGCCTGCTCACATTTGGACTCTTTAGGGCCTCCTGTTTTGCTGAATCTCTTCTGATTGCCTCTTCTTCCAACTCAGAGAAAAACCTCTTCTTTTACAGACTCCTGTGATTAGATGAGTCCTGCTCAAATAATCCAGGATCATCTCTCCCTGGCTCAAGGTCCATAATCATAATCCCATCTATAAAGTTCCCTTTACCATGTAAGGCCACAGATTCACAGATTTGGGGATTAGGATGTGCACGTCTTCCAGGGGAACTCTCACTGTTCCACCTACCATACATCCTAAATGAAATACAGAGATATCCTATATTTAAATATGTACATTTGAAACCACCTTTGTAAACTTATGATGGAGACACTGAAAGAGATCAGACCTAACTGACTCCATCTTGTTTCTAACCTCCAAGCTGTCCTTGTTCATTCTTGGGTGTAGGCTGAACTAACTTTGGGAGGAACTTAGTTTATAGTTTAAAACAAAGATGATAGCCCTCTCCCAAAACAAACCTCCTTCTTGCCTGGGGACTAAACTGCCTTTGTAGGACTAAGAAATTAGCCACAAGATTAGAAACTATGGTTTAGGAGTCATGCAGCTGGAGGGTACAAGATTCTGACCCCTCCCTAAACTGCTCCTAAGGTCCGTGGTTGAGATGTTTTGCAGACTCTGCACTTGATGGATCAGCTGGCACCACCCAAATTGATAAACTGGCTCATCTGATCTTGTGGCCCCACCCAGGAACTGACTCGGCACAAGAAGGCAACTTCGACTCCCTATCAGGACACAGGATTTCATCTCTCACCAATCAGCACTCCTGGCTCACTAGCTTCTCCCCAACCATTTCATCTCTGACCAGTCAGCACTCCTGGCTCACTAGCTTTCCCCTGACCACTAAGTTGTCCTTAAAACTCTGATCCCCAAATGCTCAGGGAGACCAATTTGAGTAATAATAAAACTTGGTCTGCTGCACTTGGTCTGCTGCACAGCGGGCTCGGGGTGAATTACTCTTTCTCTATTGCAATTCCTGCATCTTGATAAATCAGCTCTGTCTAGGCAGCTGGCAGGGTGAACCCATTGGGCAGTGACACATTCTTTTGTTATTAATTTCTTGAGAGGTAATTAAAATTCAAAGGTATTTTCTTTGCCTCAGTGTCCTCCTATAGAATATGGGGAAAATACTGAACTCTACTTCCTGAGGCTGTTGCGTGTGGTTGCAGCTATGCCAGGTAACAAGTTAAGTGCTCAGTAAAGGCAAGTCATTACCTTTATAGAACAATACTGATCTGCTTAACAGACAAGCTACCGACACAAATCAGCCCCTAGCAGCAATGTCATCTTCCACATGTTGTTCGTGTCCCACCTGCCAAATGGTGCCTAGTTTTCCAGGTTCCCAGGCAATGTGCCATGTTTTTCCTGTCTTAGGGAACCACCAATGAGACTGGTATTCTGTTTGGAAAGATTACCTGTTTCTGCATTTGTCAATATAAGTATAGAGAATTGCTAAATAGGGGGGATGATGTGAGGACCCTACTGAAGGGACTTTGGTTCGGATGCAACTTTCCTCACCCTATCAAATTTGCACAACCAAATTGCAATGGTAACAAATGAGTGCAATTATACCTACCTGCTGAGTGCAGCCCCCCATGCAAAATACAGGATGGTCGATGAAGACTATTCACACCTATTCCCTCCTGTGGTCTGGTTGGCCATGGGCCCTGCCTGCTTGGAAGTGCTTATTTCAAGATGCATCCCCATCTATGCTGAAGAAAGAGGCACCACCAGCCACAGCCAGCACCTCTGGCTTTGCGTCTTCTGTGCAAGGCCAGCACCTGCTTCTACAGCAGTGCCCTTGAGGTCCTTTTCCTTGGCCCTTGCTGTTGGAACTCAGCTGCCTCGTCCTTTTAACTCCACCCATCAGGTGACTCTCACCATCTTTGCTGAAGTTACAGATATTTGCTGGAATATTTATTTATTTAAGAGTAATTTAAAATATCATTTCAGTGATGTAAGTGATATTTAGGTTTTTGGGTTTTTGGTTTTCTGGATGGTCTGTGGTTTTTTAATTTTTTATTTTTTATATTATTATTTTTGAGACAGAGTCTCAATCTGTCACCCAGGCTGGAGTACAGTGGTACAGTCTTGGCTCACTGCAACCTCCATCTCCTGAGTTAAAGTGATTCTCCTGCATCAGCCCCCCAAGTAACTGGAATTACAGGTGTCCACCATGATGCCTGGCTAATTTTTGTATTTTTAGTAGAGATGAGGTTTCACCATGTTGACCAGGCTGGTCTCGAACTCCTGACCTCAGGTGATCTGCCCACCTCAGCCTCCCAAAGTGCTGGGATTACAGGCGTGAGCCACTGTGCCCAGGCTGGATGGTCTGGTTTTGAATTATTCACCCTGGCTGCAATTGTGCCCATCAGATACGTTTTGCTTTTGTTTGCTTGTGCATTTATTTTTCCCCTCATAATTTTTCAGAATTCAAGCTTTTGAAAATATATATGCAGTG
Organism: Homo sapiens; assembly: GCF_000001405.40. Lineage (NCBI taxonomy): Eukaryota > Metazoa > Chordata > Mammalia > Primates > Hominidae > Homo > Homo sapiens. Next base: position 5,128,455 of record NC_000001.11, read on the forward strand.
GTTTTGTAGCTTGGAGTATTTATTCAAAATACTTTCTTCTACCCCTGTGTACTAGGTCTACTGCTCGGGTCCTCCTCTAACCCCCTTTGTATGAGATGAAATGAGAATATTTCCCCTCTATTGCTGCTGGGCTTGACCATGTGACTTGCTTTAGCCAATGAAACGTGAGAGGAAATGATGTAAACCACAGCCAGGTAGAAACTCCTGGATTCTCTGCCCTTCCTCTTCTTACTGAGAAGTGAAGTCTAGATCAGGGAAGCTGCTTCAGCTTGGATAGGAAAGGACATGGAGAAAAGCTGAAGTCAACCCACCAAGCAGTCATGTAATGTGAGTGAGAAGTAGCCTATTATGTTCATAAGCCATTGAGATTTAGGGGTTGTTTGTTACCAGGACGTAATGGATGAAAGCTGACTGGTGCACCTGTGTCATCGGGAATATCCGCAATTACTCAGTCCCAGGGCAACTAACTTCAGGGCGCCTTGGCATGGAGCAGGCCCCTTTCTACAATTCAGTTCATAATAGCCACTTTCTGCCTTGACCCTTGAAATATCTTGCTTGATCATCCAGTCCTATCTTCTGCAGCTGTGACAAATTTGAAAACCATTGTTACAGTTAGTGTAGCTACACAATGTAAAAGGCTGCAGGGGCCAAGCGTTCAGTGGCTCATGCCTGTAATCCCAGCACTTTGGAAGTGGATCACTTGAGGCCAGGGACTCAAGACCAACCTGGCCAATATGGCAAAACCCGGCTAAAAATACAAAAATTAGCTGGATGTGGTGGTGCACACCTGAATTCCAGCTGCTTGGGAGGCTGAGGCAGGAAAATTGCTTGAACCTGGGAGGTGGAGGTTGCAGTGAGCCAAGATTGTGCCAACACACTCCAGCCTGGGTAACAGAGAGAGACTCCATCTCAAAAAAAAAAAATAATAACAATAATAATAATAAATGAAAATAATAAAGAACAAAAAGGCTCCAGGGCTTGCATCATTTTGTATATATGTTATAAATCTTTATTGGGTTAACTCACCGTGATTGACTGATTGATTGATTGATCTGTGTTGTTGTTACTGTAGACTAGCATAGCCCACCCTGACTTATAGAGATATATACATCTGTTACTCCAGGTAAAAAATACGGACCCAGACGGAACAATGAAATGGAATAATAATGGAAATGGAAATAATGTAAATGGAATAATATAAATAATATAATGTATTATAATATAAATAATAATAATATATTCAATAATATAAATGGAAATCAAAGCCATGAGAGCAAATGGAATTCTCTATCCAAGTATCCAAGGAGCATTGGCCCAGCAGTGAGGGGAAGATGCTGTTTTGAATAGGAGCAAGTTCAAGTGCCAAGTTCAGCAAGGCTGAGGATTGAGCACCAGTTTCTGCTCTATCAGTGTTCTGGCAAGTGCAGTGTCAGAGGGGAGACAAGAGAAACAGCCAGCTCTCAGAGGGTTCAGCTGTGCTTGGGAGGCTGAGAAGCCAGAGTGAAGGCAACCCTTAGAACACAAGTGATGACAAATGGCAGACACGGTAGAAGCTGGAGAAAAATGTAGAAACAAAGGAATTCTATATAAGATTAAGCATTCTCACCTCATTTTAAAATGCTGATAAGAAGTTGCTTGGTTAAAAACACATAAGAGTTAGGCTAATTAGGGATTAAAATCCTTGAGAAGGTGTAATGAGAGAGAAATAAAAGGCAGAGAATGTGCAGAGGGATTAACTTTAGCCCAGGAAACAGTCTCTTCCTTCAATCAATTAAGAGAAGGAAACAAAGAGATAAGAGCATGTGGGTAGGGGGCTTGGGCTTGAAGAGTTGATGCTAGAAGGGAGAGCTCTCATACATTACTTCACATGCTCATTAGGTGTATGTTCTGTGCCAGGAACTAGTGTGATGGTGAGGTGGGAGGGTGGAGACACGAGGAAGGGGAGGTGGTTGTTGAGGGGATGGGAGGGTGGGGGCTCTAAGAGTGGGGAAGTTGAGGGAGTGGGGAAGTGGTTGTTGGGAGAAATGAGGGAGAAGTGTGGGGAGGTGGTTGTTGAGGGGGTGGGAGGGTGGGGGCTCTGATGGGGGAGGTGGTCGTTGGAGGGGAATGGGGAGATGAGGGTATAAGTTTAGGGAGATAGTTATTACAGGAGTGGGAGGCTGGCTATGAGAGTCAGGAGGTGGTTGTTGGGGAATATGGGAGAGGAGGATGGGGAGGTGATTGTTGAGGGGGTGGTGGCAAGTGACTGGGGTTTTGCATGGGTCTCCCTGGTTCCCAGCTATTTCCCTGGGTTCAGATGAAATAACTGAATCAGTTACACAGTGCCACACTAAGCATAAGGCTCTAGGTCTCTAAAGCCCAACTAATTCCGAGGATTCAGAGGACAGGAGCAGGAAGCAGGAGGCCCCCTGGCAGAATGACTCCTTCTCTGCAGCCTTCATCTATCAGGGACAGACCCCACCTGCGCACCTCCGTGCTCCCCCTCTCCTGCCCTCTCTCCAACCCCGTGGCTTCCGCCCCGCCCCATGCACTTGGCGTCAGTCACTTGGAACAGTGCTCTGAGCCGACTGGGCTCTGTTTGCGGAAACGATGGAGGAAGAACGGATGTGAACCCTCTGGACACATGAGTTACTCATGCTGAGGATACAGCCCTATGTGCGGGCAGCCACCTAAGATCACGCCCACGGGTCCCCATGCATTCTCCTCCCACCTGCTTCCTACTTGATAAGGGTTGTTTAGGGTAAATATGTGCGATAAATGTATTGAAAAACAGGCAACTTCAACTCCCTGGCTTTGTTTAGGATGGCTATTACAGACTGAATGTCTGTGTCCCCACAAAATTCATATGTTGAAACCTCAACTCCTAATGTGATCGCATTTGGAGGTGGGGAGATAATTAGGTTTAGATGAGGCCATAAGAGTGGGGGCCTCATGATGGGATTAGTGTCCTTATAAGAAGAGACTCAGAGGCCAGGGGGAGTCGCTTATGCCTGTAATCCCAGCACTTTGGGAGGCCAAGGCCGGCAGATCACCTGTAGTCAGGAGTTCAAAACTAGCCTTGCCAACATGGCGAATGCCCGTCTCTACTAAAAATACAAAAATTAGCTGGCTGTGGTTATGCGTGCCTGTAGTCCCAGCTACTCGGGGAGGCTGAGGCAGGAGAATCACTTGAACTCTGCATTCCAGCCTGGGTGACAGAAAGAGACCCCATCTCAAAACAAAATAAAAACAGAAGAGACTCAGAGAGCTTGTTCTCATTTTCTCTCTCTCTCTCTCTCTCCCTCTCTCTCCTTCCCTCTCCTTCCCTCCCTCCGCCTCTCTCTCTCCACCTTGTGAGGACACAGCAAGAAGACAGTGTCTACAAGCCAGAAAGAGAGCTCTTACCAGAACCTGACCATGCTGGCACACTGATCTTGGACTTCCAACCTTGAGAATTGTGAGAAAGAAATTTCTGTTGTTTCAACTGCCCAGTCAATGGTATTTTGTTATGGCAGCCCAAGCTGACTAATTGAATAGCTTATAATTTAAAAATAATAATCTTAAAGCAAGGGAACTAGTGGAGTTCTATTACATGTCTTTGTTATTTTTCTTCTCCATGGTGGGCTTTGGCTGTGATGCTAGTAGTTTTATTTTTTCCTTTCATTCTATTTTTCTGTATCTGCAAATATTCTATCATAAGCATCCATTTTTTTAAATAAAAAGAAGTAAATGTTTTTATTTATGATTTTATAAGTTAGAAAGCAGATTTGTCTATACCAGGCATCTAGAATGAAATTACTTCTAAAATTGAGCACTAATTTTAGGGCTAAGTTTTTGGCAGTGAAGGCTAAAGGGAAGATTTTTATATTTCTTAGAAGTTGTTTGATCAAGGTATGCATAAAAATGCTGCCAGAGAGAAACCTGGAGCCACCTTCCAGAAGGAATACACACAAATCCTGATATAGGAGACATAGGTTAACCTAACAGGTAATGTCTGAGTAGTGCTGTAGGCAAGAAATAAAAATATTTTTCATAGGCGTTTTCTTATATTTCCCTTCCATGGAAGTTGAGGAGGTAGTATTTTGTCATGCCTACATTTCTCACAAATTATAAATGTGTTTATAGTCTAGAAGAAAAATGTTTTCTAATAGTCTAACTTTATCCATGGACAAGCTGTAAGGAACTAGAAGAATGAGCAGGTAACACAGACGATCTCTCTGAAAACATCAAAAGCCCCAGGTGAGTAATTTTTATAGAGAGGATGGTATATATATATATATTTCAGGCAGAAAGTCCTGGAAATTGGCTACGTAGGAAGCAGCCCTCAGTTCCAGACTCCATGTGAATGAAGCCAGACAGTAAGAGCCCTCAAGTCTTCTCCATCTGTTCCCCAGAGGCTGCTGAAAGGACCCAGGGAAGAGCTCATGACTGTGGTTTCATCCGTGTGGGGCCCACAGGCATGTTCACAGAGGATGCGGGTGCCTGGGGCCCAGGTGGGTATCTCCAGAACAGCTTCCGAAACACTAAGTTCCATATCCTGACATTGAAGGGACTGGCCAGGAACTGATCCTTCAGCAAGAGGGAATCCACATGGCTGGCCCTAGCAAATCTGTGTCCAAACCGTTTTGTTGAAAAAGATACACCACTTGGGGTTGGATGAAAATGATTTTCTAGGACCATCAGAGCTTGAAGATTTGTCAGTCACTGAGGAGGATGCTCATTTCCCACTGGACCACAGCGGGGCAGCTTGTGTGAAGGCAGGTGTATTGGAGCTCATCTGAACTGGGTACCACATTCTAATTCTTCTTGATTAGCATCAGGGCTTCAGACAGGTCACTTCACCAGCATGTCCTTTAGCTTCCTTGGATGTAAAAATGCATTTCGTGATAATGAACCCAGTAGTTCATCTGTCTTTGCTATTGCAGGAGGAGACGATTCTATTGATAAGGGACACCTCGGGTGCTCACTTCCACTCTTGCAAAATGGCCCCAGTAGACCTCACTCTCATTTCCAAAGAAGAAGAGCAGGCTGATTCACTGCATAGGTTCAAAGGGGGTTGGTGACATTAACCAGTATTTGATTGATTAGTGAAAGATGAGGGCTGTTAGCAGGACAGCACTCTTCCCTGAGTCTGTGTTGGCCTGGGTGTCTACAGAATATTCAGCATTTAGGCTTAATCCGTAGGTGTGGTAGTGTGGTTGCAAGGGGCTCCAGATAGACTCCTAAAGCTATGAGAATTTTTGCTCCTCTGGGACCCACAGAGACACTTCCACAGAGGCCAGAGGCTCCACTCAACATCCATCCCCTAGGTCTGAGGGACACATGGTTACAGGATACCTCACGCCCCAGACAAATCTGTGTTTCCTCTCCAAAATAATAAAGAGGGTTGGAACGAGTTTCACTGAAGACTGAAAGTCTATTTCTCCTTCCCTTCTAGCCAGGGAGGTTAGGAGTAGGTGGCAAACTTTAAGAAAATGAGATGAGAAAGTGAGTTCTGTTTTGACATAACAGAGAAGAAAGATGTGCACAGAAAGAGATTGATCTCCTTGAGTAAACGGAGCCCAGAGCATTTTTCTCATAGGCCATATTCATTTACCAGTGCTTGAGAAAATCATTCCCTATCATTGTCCCCGCACCATAAGTCACATTCAGAATCTCCTTATCAAAACAAGATAAGGATCAGAAAAAAATGAGCTGGAGAGAACACATGCTGCCTAAGTCTGGGAAGTCATAATCTTAATATGAACGGCTTAAATAGCCCAGCTAACGAGCAGGTTCACTCTTAATTTTCTAAAACAATGGCAGCTTTTGCCAGCTCTTTATCAAACCAAGATGGGACTTATCACAAGATGGTAAATGATTTCTCATCCATTATTTTATCAGTACCCCTGATTTATTTATTACCCTCAAAGGCATATTACTCTTAAAGTTTCTAGACTTCCTCTAGGAGGTGGCAGGGTGAGGGTGGAGAGAAATCCCACTGGTGGACTTGATCAAGATTTCTTGCGTATGTTTCTTTTTTATTTCAGTACATGATTAATTCACCTGTTAATCTGTAAAAACTTCACCCTCCCCATCTCTGTCCCCACCCTCAGTGGCAAAGAACTATTCCTGTCCTTGAAACATTCTCAATCGAGAAATGTTTTTGACAACCGTTCTTTTTGTTGTTGTTGTTGTTGTTTTGTTTGTTTTTATTTTTAGAGACAGAGTCTCACTCTGTCACCCAGGCAGGAATGCAGTGGCGTGATCTCAGTTCACTACAGGCTCCGCCTCCCGGGTTCAAGCCATTCTCCTGCCTCAGCCTCCCAAGTAGCTGGGATTGCAGGCATGCATCACCATGCCTAACTAATTTTTGTATCTTTAGTAAACATGGGGTTCCACCATGTTAGCCAGGCTGGTCTCAATCTCCTGAGCTCAAGTGATCCTCCTGCCTCGAACTCCCAAAGTGCTGGGATTACAGGCATGAGCCACCATGCCCGGCCGTATCTTTCTTGTTTTTTGTGTTCAACTTGTCTTACAAGAAAAAAATAATAATAATAAAACAGCAGAGATGAGGTAACACCGACAAGAATTAACTCTTCAACTCCTCGAGAAAGAAATCCTTTCTCCGTCTTTATCTACTGCCTTGAGTAGACTTGGAAAAGATGTCCACCATTTACTGACCTATGATTTCACCAAATTCTAAAGATCAAGGCAAGAAAACCTGGCTGAAGTGGGATCTACCAGTAATTCACTGAGAGACTGAACATAAAATTAATGATTTGCTCCCTGGGTGAGTTCCTGCCTGTACAGCCGAGAGCACCACAGCCCCTTCTTCTTGGGGCTTCCGATTCAAGGACATGACAAAAGGATCCGGATTGGCTGAATGTGATTCAGATGGAAAGGTACACAACAACATCTACATCTACATGCAGTTGTTAAAATGTGGCTTGAATGAGACTCACCCTCATTCGTCCCTGTTTCCCCACCCTCCTCATTATTCACCTCCTGCATCTTCTTCTGTTGGGGGTGGTGTTTATGGCATTCCTCTATTGCCTGGAGAGTTGTCACAGCATTTTGATGAAGAATGGTTTGTTTTTCTGCAAAATCCTGAGTTTCATCCAATTAACCTTTATCCTCTTTGTTATATTAATTTGAGCAGCCCTTGGCTATGACAAGAAAGAACCTCCCTTTTCCTCCATCAGCTCAACCCATCCTTCTCTTCAAGACCAACCTCTGCACTCAGGGAGGGCCCCACTTCCCCTTCACCACCCTCAGCTCACATTAGCTTGCTTCTGGCAATAATTTACAATTCGGATACTTACCAGAATCACCTGAGGGCCTGCAAAGTCTGTGTTTGGAGCCATCTGGACACAGGTCTAGATTTCTGCATTGATGTGGGCAGGGATATGGCCTAGGCATCTGCATTGTTTAAACTTTCCAGGAGATCCCAGTACCTTAGGAGGATGAGACCCTCATGGCTGCACAATGCACACTGCTACCTCCATGCCAAGGCATTCTGATTTACGTGGTCTGTGATGGCACATGTGTGGGGATTCTCAAAGGTTTCCAGATGACTCTTGCACAGGTTGATGGAGAGCCGCCAGCTTCCTCCTTATCGATTGTGCGACAAGGTGTGAATATTGCCTACAATGTCACGAGTAGGCCTGCTGTCCTCTTTCCTAGAAGCTTGGAGTCCCAGGGACAGCACAGACTGCATGAGGAACAGAATGACTAGACTCATTCCTCGAACCCGAAGCTCCAGCACCACACACAGTTCTCCACGCCCATGTGACATTCATCTCCCCAGGGCCAGATCCAGATTTTTACAGGGCCTAGTTCCCATTCAATTTGGAAAGGGGGCCTCCTTGATAAATGATTTCCAAATTATGGGTAGAAACTGAGGTTTGGAGGCTCCCTTGTGGCTTTCTTAGCTCCGAGGTTAACACGGATCACCTGCTCCCAGGTGGGTTTGCTTAGATTGCTAGCAGCCTGGTGGAGTCTGTAGACAGATCTGTGAGGACCGGGACCATTTCCCCCACCTTTCAGGGCTGTTCTGGACCCTGACATTATACTTGGAGATATTTCTTCTGGAATCACACGCAGATGAAAGCTCCAGAGAAAAGGCCACTCATTCCCCCAGAGGATGCGCCCAGCTCTGCAAGAGGCATCAGCCCTTAATATATGGAATGTATTTTGCCAGGACCATGACGGTCATTAGAAATGGGCCTTGGGTGTCATTACCCCAGAGTCATCGTGGTGAAGTATGTGTCCTCTGAGTAGACAGAACATTAGAGCGCCCTGAACTGAATTGGTCAGCCGAAAACACCAGAGTGTTTTATCCTTGGAAGGAAATTAAGCCATTTATTGGAGGACAGAAGTTCAGTATAATAGTTAAAGCAATCTGACATTTCCATAAGTTAATAAAATGTGTATGGCTGGCATAATTCGGTATGTAAAAGCATTGATCTCTCCTCCCCAAGGTCCCAAAGGAGAATTCTGGGCAGTAGGAAGAGGCAGAAGGTCAGGGTCAATGACATTAGACCTGTGTCATTGAAGATCAGCCCGCCTGAGCAAGAACCCCATGCACCCATGCACACTCTTGCACTCACTCCCCTACTTCCCCACTCCCCCACTCCCCCACTCCCCCGCTCCCCCACTCCCCCACTTCCCCGCTCCCCCACTCCCCCACTCCCTCACTCCCCCACTCCCCCACTCCCCCACTCCCCCACTCCCCCACTCCCCCACTCCCTCACTCCACCACTCCCTCACTCCCTCACTGAGGTTGCTCATTCACGTGCACATTTTTGAGACTCAGCTCAGATCTTGCCCATTTTCTGTGTCTTTCTCCCACTCTCTTGTTCAAAGCATACACTTCCTGATGCATACATGTGGAGCCTAACTATGATCCTTTCTCAGGCTCATACTGTGAAGTATGGCAGAACCATGTATAGCACAACTATGAAGACAGGCACCTCTCAACTATGAAGACAGGCACCTCTCAACTATGAAGACAGGCACCTCCTGTGCTAATCCTTTAATTCTCAGCACTTAACAGAGAGCCTGGAGCAAACAGGCACTCACACGCCGGCTAAATGAATGAAAGAATGTGAATGTACCATCAGGTGTGTCTTACTTGGTAAAATCCCTGCTCATGTGACGGCATGGTGGAATCTGAGTGGTGTTTCCAGGTCTCTCAGGCACTAACTCTGGGGGTCCTTAGGCAACACCTCACATTCCATGTCTATTTCCTTACCTATAAAATGGGGGCAATAATGGCACCCACTTTATTGGGATTAAATGAGATTATTTCTACAAACATTGGTAGAGTGCCTGACCTACAATAAACATTTAATAAAGTTCTGCAGTTATTGTTTTGCCAATGGCAAGCTCTTATAAAAAGAGATGAGCTCACAGAACCACGTTTATTTAAAACATTTGCTTTTTCTTCATCTCTGTCCCTAGCGCTCATAGGCAATATTTTTGCAGTGGACATAGTTTTAGCTGGGGTAATAATAGTATGATTAGATCCTCAACTCACGTGGTGGAAATCAAGAGCAACAAGGAAATGTACAACTCTCCCGGGAGAGTACACGGATGATGTCCAAAAGCAAATGGTACGTTCAAACTCAGCAGGAGTGAAATGGATGATAGAGATGCCTTCAACTAGCCCACAGCAAATTATCCGCTGATTCTTCTCCACTGTTTAATTAGGGTAACACAGCCAACACAGCTCAGTACAAAGAAACCATTTTAATGAGTGTTCACAGTGAAATCAATGAGGCTGACAGGTAGCAAAATATCTCCATTTGTTTTTCTTGGATATAGGCACAATTGGATGTTGAATTAGGTCAAGGGCAGGGTCAGCATGTATCATCATGCCTGCTGTGGATGCCACGGTCTGGACCTCTTAGAAGCTGCCCTTCCTTCTCTAAACCCACAATGGGCATTCTGTGTTGGCTTCTTGTCCCTTGATGCTCAGGTGAGTGGTTGGAGCTCTGTGCTGGTGAGGCCCCTGGATTTGCCTGGGATGAGGATTTTTGCCCCTGTTGCATATCCTAGAGACCTTCTGTCATGAACAGTGTACCTAGGAGAGGAATTCAAGCATTATATGGATGCCAAAGTGAATGGCTTTAAAACCCTGAGGTCCTATGACCTACAAAAGTGTGTCTCCCATCACCCAGAGCCCTATTTGAATCCATTCTCATGAGATACAGGTGGCAGTAAGAGGAACACTCTCACATGAGTCTGAGCAGAATAGGAGGGGTAGACAACCCTTCACCATTTTAGCCCCTACATAGATAGGACTACTGATACCCAGATTGTACACTGAATGTGAGAGACTCGTGGTTTCTCCCTTATTCCCAAATATTCCCAGTACCAACAGTTTCCTTGGATAGTCTCCCCAAACCTGGGACTCCACCCAGGGTGGTGTTTAAGAGATGGTAAATGAACTTCAGGGGGCATTGGGGAGCACTCAGGGTATGGAGGAACATAGCATCATGCCATGAGGAAATCATTTCCTTTACTTTCAACCCTGCTGATTATATCAAGGAGGACATAGAGTTGGGCGCTGGTTTGGTTGGACAATCTTCATGTCCTGCCAACCTCCCATTTGAATAGAGAGAGCAGCGTTATGTTTACAGTCTTCAGCAGGCAGTAAAAAAGCGCCTAGAATTTGATAACGCTTTTCATTTTGTAATTATTTTATAGTTTATTTTACTTAATTCCATTTACAATTAAAATGTGATTTCTCTCTCAAAGTAGTTTGTTTTGTTAGAAAAAGTTACTTAGCTTAAATAAAACATAAATGACCTAGTAACACAGGTGCATTGGGAGAGACTGATGACTTCAGAGTTGCAGTCCTTGGTTGGTGGTTTTGGTTCCTGGATGGGCGTTGTCCTTGATGGCTCAGCACCAGCTGGGTGGGTGTGAAAGGGCAGTGGGTGAGGGTTGTCAGCAGGACCCCAGAACATCAGCTCCCTCATCCTGACATCAAGTGTCTGCATGAATTTCTTTGGAAGAAAGGGCCTCTGCCACTGACACTAATGTTAGACAGCTGTTCCAAGTGTTCTAGGAGAAGATGAGCTAAACAAATGGGCTCCACACAGGAAATGCTCTCTGGGAATAAGCGTGGGTGTGGAGTGGAGGTGATTGAGTCCCAGAGTTTCTCTGGAAGAAGATGGGCTCAGCTTTGACATTGCTGGGGAACTTGAAGCAAACACCACTTGGGAGCTTGTTTACTCATATCCTCTGAGGGATACAGAGGCCAGTGGGGAGCAACATGGAGATATAATTCTAGAATCAGGGCACACTCCAGTCTGACACCCATTGGCTGTGTGACCTTGAACTTGGGCAGTCAACTTTGACTTTTATCACTTGCAAAAGGGGTTGAAGACTGCTCAACATGAAGTGCCATTTAAGAAATCCCAGTGAATGCTGATACAGAGTAGCAGTGCTTGTTGAGGGTCCAGTAAGAGCAGTCATTATTTTTATAGTCAGATGGCAGGAAGCACCTCTCTCCTTGATCCTATCCTTTCTTGATGGGCTTCAAGGACATCCATAGCTGGGCAACCATAGGGCAAGACCCTCACTCCCTTGCCAACCCACGTCTCTCCAATAGGAGCCAAGCTGGCTCACTTGAGTTTCACTTTGTGTATTCAATTGCCAAGTCCCTGCCAAAGTATTTTCTTCTATTAAGTGTCTAGCAGAATCTGTTCATGCAACATGTTGTCATCATCTGCCATTTGAAGCTGATTCAGCCATTAGCACCCCTCTATGTTTCTATAAATATTTAAACTACCAATACTTGCTAATCGCCTCGGTATAAAATTAGGAAGGATCAGAGGATGTTGATTCACCTTGGTTATTAAAAAGTCAGCTTAATCTTTAGTGCTGAAGTGCTTCCTGCTACTAGAAGATGAATGTGAGTAAGCAGATTGGAACGTGCACAGGAGTATATGTTTTGTTTTGTTTTTTTAAGCCAAATAAATCATTCTAACACCTGCAGCCCGCACACTAATTGGCCTGTGTCTTCGTTGCAGTGGTACTTCAGGCCACAGTTAGGAATAATTCTGTATTGTCTCCTGTTTTCCCTACCAACTTTCACATCCTCATCTCACACCCAGCCTTCCTCGTGGTGCCCCTGCAGAGGACCGAACGCCCCACTGACCTTGTGAGCACCACTCTGTATTCATGGATATGCAGATTGAGTGTTCCAGAAGATGGCAGGCTTATTAGACTGAGTTTGTAGATTGAACGTTCCAGAAGATGGCAGGCTTATTAGACTGAGTTTGTTTGAATTTATAGTGAAGACCTCTCACCAGATGGTCAGGGCTTGGTTTTCAGGTAAGCCAAAATATAGGAAAAGGGGTTTTTTTTCTTTGCAAAAATTCAGCTCACCAGATCCCAGGGTCAGTGTGGCAAATCGTCCTCATCTGGATTCGTATTTCCTGGCCCCTTGCCCATGACAGGCATCACGAGTTGATCACAGCTCTGTTTCCCACAGATCAAGGATTAGAGCTCAGGGTCCTCCCTGGTGCAAGCAGTCACCATCAGGTAACACCTGATGAAATCTCTTTGTGGTCCTGGACTTTAGCTATTTTTTTAAATTGAAAGGAGATTTTTTTTCCTTGTAAAATAGAAATCCTTCTATATACAATCATGGAATTCTCATGAGTTTGCAATCAGTATTGACATTGACTCATCAAAGACTATGTGACCCTCCCAGTGAGTCTGGGTGGTGCTTGTTCCAATTTCCAGCTGAATCTCCTTGCCCACAACAGAGCTTCCAGATAAAAGGTGGTGACTCGCTGAAGGTCACAGGGATTTGTGGAAGAGTTGGGTGTGAACCATTTTCCATATCTTTGCCTGTTGCCTTTTCCACCATGGGCTATGAACATTTATTCAACCACACAAACCATTTCTTACCAGTCTGAAATAACTCTGTCCAGCCTAGAGAAGATATTAGCAGGAAGTGTTTATGAGTGTCCTTGGGTAATCCTGTGCCTTTTATCTCCTCCAGTCCTTGCATGCCTTGCCCATGGTAGATTTGCAATGAGTGAAGACTGTTTATTGCATGTGACCCTATTGAAAAGGCTTATTTTTAAAATCACATTTCCTAAAAGTAGAATTCACACAAATGGTGTTGGTTTTTCTGTTTTGATGCACAAACCATTTTCTGCTTTCTACTCGCCTTTGCGGGCAGCTCAGACAGGCAGTGGAGTCTTCGTGGGGGCATCAGCGATGCTCTCCATGGGCTGTGCCTGGGCCCCGGTCACATGCTGGGCTCTGAGGGACCATTTACATGGCTATGTATGGCACATCTGCATGATGGGCGATGTGGTGGGCATGGCAGAACATTCAGAGGCACACACAGATCTAACTGCTTCTTCATAAAGATTCTTACACAAAATGCTAGGGGCCTGGTGACTTTCACCATAACTAAGACTTTCTCTTAGTCTGCTTGGGCTGCCATACATAGCAAAATACCATCGATCAAGGAGCTTATGCAGCAGGTGTTGATTTCTCACAGCTCTGGAAGCTGAACACCAAGATCAAGGTGCTCGCTGATTCAGCTCTTATGGCAAACCTTCCTGGCTTGCAGATGGCTGCCTTCTTGCTGTGCCGTCATATAATAGAGAAAAAGTCTTCTTTATAAATCACTGAGCCCATCATGGGGCCCTACTCCCCTGACATCTAAACTTAATTGCCTCCCAAAGGCCCTACCTCCAAGTACAATTACTTTGAGGGTTAGGGATTCAACATACGAATTTTGGGGTGACATAAACACTCAGTCTATAACAATGCTCCCTCAATGCCCGCCAGAAATTGTTAGCTTCATTGGATGGTGGTGAGAGAGAGGGCTTTGGTTAAATCAGTCCTGAATTTGGGCAGCACATTGACATCTCTGATTTCATTAGTTGGGTATGGTCTGGGTTTGGTCTGGGGGTTGCGAGTTTTAAAACCACCCCGGGTGATTCTAACGTGCAGCCAAGGTTGCCAGACACAGAGTAACTGCATTCTTTATGTGCCTGCATTATATGATGTCTGGTCCTCCCAGAGGAAGACACCTGGCTGTAGGAGAAAAATGACATTAACTTACATTTTTGAGTATGCCTCTGTACCAGGTGCTGAACAGAGTGTTCTGACTTATCGTGACTGTGACGTTCATCATTGTAGTAACTCTCATTTCCCTGTTTTCAAGATGAGGTGGCAGAAGTTTGGGGCCTCAGGTCTAGCTTCCTTGCAGAGTTCACATCTTTGCTTGTGCCCCTCCCTCTGCTGCCTTTTAACAAGAGCAGAATCTCCAATGCTCTCTGTGCTCAAAAAGAAGAGGAAAGAAGCTCATCTGAGGGAACCCAGGAATTTGGGGAGCTGGGATACGCTCCATCATTTGGAGAGTGACAAATTCTACCCGGCTTCCAAGAAGACACTCAGAGAAGTGAAGACTGAGGGAGGGGGCTGTGTTGAGAGGCTCGCACAGTCACTGGGCACCTTCTTGGTTCCCTCTTGCTTAGTCCTGGGTGGCAGTCGCCCAGATGCAGGGCAACCGGTTCTGCATTTCACATCTGAGCTGCCCAGAAGCTGTGACTTCCAAAGCCTGCATTTCCACTAGCTGCAGCGGCTGCCTACCTGCAGGTCGGGAGAGCCAGTTGGCCTGCGAGTCAAAGCCACATTTGAGTACCGGGTGGCCCTTTCTCCACTGAGTCCTGGCAACAGGTTGCACCCCACAGCACAATGCCAGCCTCTTTCCGGGCGCAGCGGCTCTCAGTGAAGCGCGAAGCCCAGGTTCCAGTCAAAGAATTGCCAAGTGAGTACACACAGCGTTTCCAGCTCATTTCCCTGCATTATCCCAGGTCTGTGTATAAACAAAAAATCAATAATAGCTCTTGGTGGTATTTTAATTGGCATTAGCTGTGTTTTAATTAGTAAGAGAAGCAGGAGGAGGGAGGTCAGGGGAAACTCCTCTCTGACTGCCACCTCCTCCGGAGTGTTTATACACCTCCAGGGAAGGCACAGCAGCCCCTGGCTTTCTTTCTTGAACTGCCCATTAGGATAATTCATTCACAATAAGCATCTCTTCTCGAATCTGATTCAGGGCTCCCAGGTTAACGTCCTCAGTCTAGGAAAATAGCACCTGCAAATTAAATGTACGCCGGGGCTCCATTGCTTAGCACTGTCTAACAGTTTGCAAAAAGGTGATTTGCAGATTTAAAAGGAGATTCAGTCTTTGAGAGGCAGGCAGAAGGCGTGGAGGGACAGCGGTGGCCTCCAAGAGGGGACAGAGTGGCTCAAATCCTAAACCCACCTCCCAGAGGTTGTGGGGTCTGCAACAAACCCTCCTGTTGTCTGAGGAATTTCCTAACTGAGGTATTCAGACTCGATTTAAGGGGCTTGGGAAGGGGCATGTAGCAGTGAGGACAGGAACTAACCCATTATTAGAATCTGCTGGGGGGAGGGCGAGATTGGGAAGGTCTGTGTTGTTTTAAGAAGTTGATGCATATAAGCAGCCTCCAACACTGCAACAGTTTTCCAACAAAAGGAAACTTCTGGAAAAAATAAGTTAAGTCAGTGTTTTCATTAATGAGATGTACTTTTAGCAGCCCATTTAAAAATTTATTTTCAAACAGCATCAAAAAAAGTGAGGCAGGACCTCGCTTTTTTTTTTTTTTTTAGATTTAACCAAATAGGTGGTATGGGTTAAAGAAATGGGAAAACCCTGGACTCTCCCATCTTTCATATTCTGTAATTTTATCTGGTGGGGAGATCTATTAAAATTAAAAAAAAAAAAAGAAAACATTTGGATCATTTGCAGAATTCAAGCTATGCCCACTGATCCCAGCACGTATCAAACACCAACACCAGGCTGACAGGGGCTGAGCTTTGCTGCACACAGATGAACAGGGCAGCAGTTTGATCCTTAATCCTGTAGACAGGAATCTAGGTCTTCACTCCGTCTAGACAGCACGCATCTGAGGCTCTGTCCCTCCAGGCTGGCATGGAGATGCCTCTCCTTTCCTCCTCCTTCATCACCTCATTTCCTTCCCTAAACATCAGTTTCCACACGGCATAAATGTTGTTTTTATTTCTAGTCTTCCAAACATAAATTGAGTCACCTTAGCATCTTCCCCTGGCTTCGCCTTGCACGAGGACAATCCCAGGCTACTTGGCCTTGGGGGCTCCGGGCTCCTCCTGTTCCTCCCTTTCGCCACTCAGGATGCCCAGTTCAATTGGTCTGGAGGGGGGCTCTGGGTGTTACTTCCAAACACCCCATCCCAATAGGTGACTCTAAAGTGCAGGCAAGACGGGCTGCTGCTCCTAAGAGTTCCAAAGATAGAAAGCATTTGAGTTTGGGGTAACTCGAATCTGGGCATTGCATGGGGCATCCCAGTTGGATTTAAAATCAGGTAAAGTATTTACAAGTAGAGGTGAGGAAGGGCATTCCAGACCAAGAGAGCAGCCAGGAGGGGCAGCGGATGCCAGGTAGGGGATGAAGGCTTGGGCGGTGTTCCCTCCAACTAGTCAGTGCTTGGGCTGAACAATGGCCCCCCAAGGTTTCAGGTTCTAATTCCTACTTGTCAGTGTTTTTTTTAAAATTCAACTTTTATTTTTGAAACAGGGGGTACATGTACAGGTTTGTTATGTGGGTATATTACACCCAGGTACTAAGCATAGTGTGCAACAGGTAGTTTTCCAGCCCCCCTCCAAGTAGACTGCAGGGTCTGTCCCCATGTTGATGTCCATCTGTGCTCAGTGTTTAGCTCTCACTTACAAGTGAGAACATATGGTATTTGGGTTGCTCTTCCTGCATAAATTTACTTAGGATAATGGTCTCCAGCTGCATCCATGTTGCTGTGAAGGACATGTTTTCATTATTTTTTTGTGGCTGTATAGTATTCCATGGCGCGTATGTCCCACACTTTCTTCATCCAGTTCATCTTTGATAGGCACCTGGGTTGATTTCATGTCTTTGCTACTGTGAATAGCTCAGTGATGAACATACAAGTTCATGTGTCTTTTGGTATAATGACCTATTTTCCTTTGGGTATATACCTAGTAATGGGATTGCTGGAACCAATGTTACCTTATGTAGAAAAAGGGTCTTTGCAGATGTGGGGTCTGTGCAGCTTAAGGGTTGTGAGATGGAGAGATTATACTGGATTATTTGGGTAAGCGCTAAATGCAATCACAAGTGTTCCTATAAAAGACAGATGAGGGAGATTTCACACATACAGATGAGGAGACCACATGAAGATGGAGGCACAGACTGGAGCAATACAGCCACAAGCTAAGGAAGCCCAGAAGACACCTGAAGCTAGAAGAGGCCGGGAACCTCCCCTAGAGGCTTTGGAGGGACTGCAGCCCCACCAATATCTTGATTTTGGAATTGTGTCCCCCAAAACTGTGAGAGAAAAAATTTCTGTTGTTGTGAGCCACGCAGTTTGTAGAAATTTCTTCTAGCAGCCCCAGGAAGCTCATGCTGCTAAAGTGGAAGATCTTTAGCAGACAGATTTGGCAGCCTGGGGCTAAGGTACAGGAAGGGGAATGCAGTGGGAGCGGGAGGCATGTTCTGGAGACAGGGAGACTGAAATCCAGGGCGGCTCTGGGTCTGCCTCAGATTATTGTCAACAGAAGCTTAAAGGAAATGAAAATAATAGAGTGTGGCAACAGAGAGAGGAGGTCAGGCTCCCCCAGGGCTGAGAGAAGAACTGACAGCGTGAGCAGAGTCTCCTGCAAGGATGGCCCTCCCTCACTAAGGCAAGGGAGTCAGAAGTCAGGGATGGACTGACGCCGAGGCCGGGAGCTGGTAGGGTGAAGGAGCCCCTTGCACAGATGGTCTCTCAGGAGGCATCAGGGTAGCATCCTCCAGGGTTGGTCCCTGGCCACACTAAGGTCATCCCCATGGATTCTGAGCACCCAAGCAAGAGCTGACCCTAAAGACTCCATGAAGTGCCTTACAGGGAGAAGCCGACATCTGCCACATCCACCTTGTCCACCACAAGTACCTGGAAGAAGCTGCCACCAGCTTCTCAAACTTACCAAATTGTGGAAATGCTGTGTGTGTGAGAGAGCGAGAAAGAGGTGGGAATGGGAAAGTAAAGAGAGAGGGAAAGAGATAGAGGGGAGAGGAGAGAGAGAGCTGTCTGTGTTTCTCTTTTGACAGAACTCTTGTTTATTCTGGAAAACAGCGGTCCCGAGCAGAGCAGCGCTGGAGAATCATTTCTACTTTATTTGGGAGAGCGCTTCTTCACGCCAGAATCCCATAAACTGAAGTCTTCCAGATTATAATCACACGTGTTAGTGTTGGGAACTAAGGCAGGGATTTACTGACAACACTCAAACATTTCATTTTTTTTATTCGTTCCACCTAGCAGAGATTCATTCATGTATTCACTCATTCATTCATTCACTCATTCATTTGTTCACTTATTCATTCAACAGACATCAGGCCAAGGGGCATTCTTCCAGGCACCAATGATTAAGCAGGGAGCAGGGAGCAGCGAGCTGGGGACCCACCTGCCTTATGGGCACATGGTCCAGTGAAGAAGTTTGGGGATTTTGACTCTGCCACTGAATTGATCAACTCACCCCTTGCCTGTCACAGCCTTCTGACATACAAAAAAGTAATCAAAAAAGCTCCATTGCCTCCATCAAAATTATCAACAAAAATGTCACATGGGCCCCTGCTGCTGACAAAATCCTCAAGCAAAGCAAGAGAACACCCCTTCTGGATTGAGAGCTCCCTGAACCCCATACCCTGGGTCCTCTTTCAAAATTTGCCCCTTTCTCCGATTGCCTAAGACATTCTGCATTCTCGCGTCTGGGGAACACACTTTATCCTCTTCTTTCTTATTCCTACCAGACTGAGAGTGATGAAAGCTTCTTCTCAAATCAATTTCTGCCTAGGAGAACACCTAGATGGATGGGGAAAGCTGCCTACCTTGCCCCCAACTAGCTGTGCAACTTGGGACCAACCAATTCATCTCTCCACTCTTTATCTGCTCATCTAGAAAATAAGATAATACCATATTCTTCTGAGGGTTGTTGTCAGAATTGCAGGAGACAAGGTGTTGGATAGTGATTCTGTCTGAACATCCTTTGCACCTTTGTTTCCTGAAAGCTTTTCCTCTTCCCCAGCTATCTCCTAGTCATCTTCAGCTGATTTGATGCTTTTACTGCATATCACACTTTCCTGGTTGCCTGTATCCCTGTAGGAATTAAACAGCTTGTTGTGTGCATTTTTATTCATGCTGGCCTGTTGCCTACTAGACCATTGGTTCTAAGGTGCGAGGTCCACACGTATGGCCCCATCACCGAGAACAGCATTAGGCACTTTGTACAGGCAGAGTTTATATTGTTGAAAGGATCAAGACATGCATGATTTAATTAAAACATTGATGCATTCATGTATTGTTTGTGTGTTAATTTCTGTGAAACATTTTTTAAAAATCAGATCCTGAGTCATGAAAGTGAGACAAAAATTAGACTTGGCTTTTGCCTATGGCAACTTTGCCAACCTCATAACCCACCAGAAGCATAAACACTATGTGCATCAAATTTAGATAACTCCACCAAACAAAGGCAAAGCAGGATTGATTGTGGAAAGTAAGCTGAGAAATAACAAAGTACATTCTGTGCAGTGTGAAGATTAAATGCATATGAAATACCCATCTTGCCAAACTGCCTTCAGCCAAATTTTGCAATGCAGGCCAGAAATCAGGAACCATTCCCTGACTCGAGGAGAGTCTAAGAAATCCAAGAATGATCCCCTCCCAAGGATTTCAAAACAACAAGCCAGGAAGGGTACTTTTCTGATGCCTTCTGTATGAAAGAAGAGTTCCAAGATAATGCCTGCTGTCCTCTGACTGCCTTTCTGATGAGCAACAAAATGTTTGATTTTCTTCTAATAGATTTGTCATTTTACTTCAAGTATCCAGTATTATTGACCTATGGAACCTCAATTTCAAAGCCATTAAAATCTAATTTTCCACACTGTGTCCCCAAGAGATTGACTAACTTTCAAAGAATAATTCATTTTGTTTAAGGAAAAAAATGCATCTCTCTATATTTTCTTTTTCATTCTTTAAAATAATTTAAGGGACATTGCTGTCAGCATAGCCATTATTACTCCCCCAGTGCCTTTCTTGCAAAAGAACATAAGTGCTCCTCTGACAAAGTAAGATTTGGTCACTAAGGACTGAAGGCTGTATTTATGTGGGGAAACTACCACTTATTGATATATTATAAAAGACCACTGTCATGTTTCACCATCAAGAAAGCAGGACAGAAGTCTCAAGGTTATTTGTTTTGGAAAATAACAGATGTGTCAAAGACTAAGCAGAAAAATGTTTTGAAGGGGAGAATGTCTTCTGGCAAGTTTCAGGAGTCCAAGACCTCTAAAATTGAGTTATCTTTCTCAGCTGCTAAACTGAACCTCTCCATTTAAAACTCTGGGATCAGAACACCTAACGAGAGGCCACTTAGGCAGGTGTTCACAAATCCATATACAGAGATCTCAGTCAATTGATGGGAACCACATGGGTGTCATCACATGGGACCCATTATACTTGCTCCTTCACAAACATATGCAATATGGGATCCTAGAGTTGAAAAAGGATATTAGTGGACAAATCAGGGCTACTGGGCTACTAGCGGAGCTGCTAGTAGTTAATTTCTTGGTTTAGGTTTTTGTACTATGGTTATGTAAGATTACATAAGGATTAAGATTACGTTAGGAGTAGGTATCTGGTGAAAGGTGTATGAGAATGCGTCTTACTAACTTTGCAGCTTTTGTGTAAGTCTAAAATCATTTAAAAATAAACATTTAAAAGAAATGTATAGTCCATATATTCAGAAAGGTTGGAAAGCAAGAGAATATACCATTGTCATAAAAACATGCCAGGATGCAAGAACAAGTGAATGCTTCATTCTAAAGCTCCTTTGGTAAGATGTGTGCAAGTCTGTGGACTAGAAAGTTATGCCAGCCACTTGACTTTACTTGAATGCCATGGTTTCTTTATACAATCAAGTGACTGGTGCACATGATACCAATAAACTTCTGTCCTTGCATTGGAAGAGTTAGCAAACAAGAGGTGCAGCCCACTAGTGCCTGAATTAGGTCATAATGGCACACCACGGCACCAGTTGTACAATGGTTGGCCCATAGCAGATGCTCAATAATTCTTATTAGTTAGTCTCCTGCAGGTCAAGTCACACCCAAGGAACATACTATCCATGTGATTGCTAGAAGCCCAATTCAGAAGGATAAACCTACAATTTAATGAGGATTTCACGTTGACCTTGAAACACTGGCAGTATAAAGGAAGGTCTGAGTAGTTTTACAGGATCACAAAGATGAAGGGGGATACCAGAGTCAAGACCTATGACTGGGAGCCCAGAGGGGAGGTGAAATCATCTGCTCAAGTTTGAGACCTATTGAAAAAAGCACTATTATTTTCAAAGGGCACATTTCACGAAAGTTTGATACATCTAGGTGGGTTTGAAATGGGACTATGGATCCAAAGAGTCACAAGTAGCCCAGGGATGGCCATCACTGTTTCTCATCCCCCAAGAGATTAGGGGTTTTTTGTTTTCTCTTGCTTCTTCATTTTATGTAAAATTAAATAAGTCCTTTCTCTTTGAGCTCTGCAGTCTGATGCTTCTAGAAGTCCTTTCTCAGTCTTGCTGGCTCATGAGAACAGCTAGGAGGGGCCCCATTGAGAGACTGCAGTCTCCAAGGGAGGCTGGACAGAGAGAAGGGCCTTTCTGGGCCTGGCCTCACCATGTCCTTGCTGTGCAGCCTGATCAAGTGACTCCTCATTCTGTGTCAGTTCCTTCATTCCAACATGGATAAGAACACTCTGCAGTACCTAGTTATTGGAAGGGATAAATGTAATGACATGGCCAAGCAGCTTGCAGCACACAGGGCTGCTTTGTAAATGCTGGCGGCCATCATTACTCTTTGTGATCCTGGTTCAGCCAGAGGGAATTTGGCTGAGGCTACTGGACATGTGTTTCTGCAAAAGACAAGGTCCCGCCAAACAGCCAGTTCCTGCAGAGGCCCCTGAGCAGGAGAAAACCAAACCCCAAAACCACACAGCAGTCTTTCTTTCCTGCACCAAGGGAGCAAGAAGACCATGAGAGGACCTGAAAGGCCAAAGATACCAAGGGAAACTAAAGAGGTAGGGGTTGGGAGGAGACAATCCTGCAGAAACAGGAAGAAATTGCTTTACTCAATAAGCCAGAGATGCCGGCATGGCTCCGCTCAGAGCAGGTGCCTGTCCAGGCCCCCAGCTACCTCCTTCATTTCTGTTGCCCACTCACCACTCTCCTCATCCTCTCTCTGAGCACCCTCAATATTTATACTGTAAATGTGGAGGACATCAGTATTGTTTGAAATGTACAAGCCTCTTTCTCAAAATAATCTCAGGAGGTTTGAACTAGTAGGAAAGACATAAAAATAAGACAACTTGGAACAAAGATGTGGAAAAGTACTTTGAAATTGCCTAGGAATGCCTCTCAAAAGTCATTTCAGCACACATTAGGTACCCACGCTCTGCAAGCATTGCCATGATTCAGGATATCTGAGTGCTCCTTACATTCATGGCTAATGTTAACTGAGCTTTCACTATGTGTCCAGCATAGGACTGTGTGCCCTCTACACATCACTTGCTGAGTTCCTACAAGAGCCACAAGAGACAGGCATGATTGTTATTCTCATTTTGCAGAGGTGAACATGCAGGCTTAGTAGGGTTAAGTAATTTGCTCAAGGTCGCATAGCTCAGTAATGGCAGAACTGGGGCTCAAACCAGACAATGAGTTCAAGCCCAAGCCTGCAAATTCGGTGCTGTCCCATGGGTCTACTTAAGCAGAAAGTCTTTTTCCTTTCTGGATGTGCATCCCTTGGCATCTACCTCCTGCACTCGGGAGATACTCAATAGACATTCTTGGACTCAGTGAGGCCAGATGGGCTCTGAGCCCGAGGACTCTCATTGCTATGATGCCATCACCCACATCATGAGCTTTGCCTTTGCTGGGGTCCTGTGCTGGGAGATTCTGGAGGGGATGGCGGAGCCTGAACTGGGACCCCTCCTATTACAGATGCACTCTTAGAAACGTACCTCACACCGAGTCTGCAGGCTCACATCTCTGACAAAGTTGAGAACTTAAATTCTCATTAGGCAGAAGAGTCTGTTCCATGCTTATTTCATCTGGGTAAGAACGGCTGGAGTGAGCGCAATCAGGCGGAATCTGCTTGAGAGTCTTCAGAGGCGCTCGCTGGGGAGGCAGCTGCAGCCAGGATGGCTTCCTGCATTTCAGTTCTCTTCTTCAAGACCATCTGTTTTCCCACAAAGGCATGTTTCCTTACATCATTCTTTATATACCTCGTCTCCATCTCACACACACACACACTCACACATGCTCACACACACACAAACGCAGTGCTCTCCCAATGCAAAATCTATATGTGTAATCAACATTTTCATGAGACAAGTTCATAGAATAGAATCTGAGCTGAGAATCTCAACTTAGTCTGAAGAAATATTTAGATCCTGGGTAGCCTGAGCGTATGCAGGTGTGTGTGTGTACGTGTGTGCGCATACACACACACACACATCCTCCCACCCCTACCACATTCCTACATCTTTGCACAGAGTAATGAAGAGGATTTATTTGCTCTATTTATTGGGCCTGATAATCCCTTTCTAAAGAGAAGGATGAGGTGGTGCTGCTGCATCCCTTTCAGCCAGAAGGCAAAGCTTCAAGGACATTCCTGTCACCTCAAGTGCAATATCACTTAAACAAGCCCAAACCTACCAGCTAGGGGCTTCTTCTCACACACATTGGCATCCGCATTTCTGCTGTTGCCCATACACTGATGGAAAGCCCAGGTATCCTTGTGGAGTTCTGCCTTCTGGCCAACCCATAACTCAAGCCCAAGCTTCATCCTTCATGTTCCCACTGTCTACACCTTCTCTTAGGTCTCTCTTCCCATCCCCAGCCCTGTAATTCAAGTTTTCCTGGCTTAGGACCATCCCCTGTGTTATGGTTTGGCTCTGTGTTCCCACCCAAATATCACCTTGAATTGTAATAATCCCCATGTGTCAAGTGCGGGACCAGGTAGAGATAACCGAATCATGGAGGCAGTTCCCCCAGGCTCTTCTCATGACAGTGAGTGAGTTCTCCCAAGATCTGATGATTTTATAAGGGGCTTTCCCCTCCTTCACTCTGCACTTCTCTCTCCTGCCACCATGTTGGACCTGTTTGCTTCTCTTCTGCCATGATTATAAGTTTCCTAAGGCCTCTACAGCCATGTGGAACTGTGTGTCAATTGAGCCTGTTTCCTTTATAAATTACGCAGTCTTAGGCAGTTCTTTATAGCAGCATGAGAATAGACTAATACAGTAAATTGTTACCACAGAGAGTGGGATGCTGCTATAAAGATATTTGAAAATGTGGAAGTGACTTTGGCACTGGGTAACAGGCAGAGGTTGGAACAGTTTGGAGGGCTCAGAAGAAGACAGGAAAATGGGGAAAGTTTGGAACTTCCTAGACACTGTTGAATGCCTTTGACCAAAATGCTGACAGTGATTTGGACAATAAAGTCCAGGCCGAGGTTGTCTCAGATGGAGATGAGGACTTGTTGGGAACTGGAATAAAGGTGATTCTTGCTATGCTTTAGCAAAGAGACTGGCAGAATTTTGCCCCTGTCCTAGAGATCTGTGAAACTCTGAACTTGACAGAGATAATTTAGGGTCTCTGGCAGAATAAATTTCTAAGTGTCAAAGCCTTCAAGAGGAAGCAGAGTGTTAAAGTTTGGAAAATTTGCAGCCTGACAATGCAATAGAAAAGAAAAACCCATTTTCTGGGGAGAAATTCAAGCCTGCTGCAGAAATTTGCATAAGTAATGAAGAGCCAACTGTTAAGCACAAAGACAATAGGGAAAATGTCTCCAGGTCATGTCAGAGACCTTCACAACAGCCCCTCCCATTACAAGCCCAGAGGCCTAGGAGGAAAAAAATGGTTTTGTGGGCCAGGCCCAAAGCCCCCCTGCTCTGTGCAGTCTTTGGACATGGTACCCTGTGGTGCCTCAGCTGCTTCAGCTCCAGCCATGGCTAAAAGGGACCAAGGTACAGCTTAGGCCATTGCTTCAGGGGGTGCAAATCCCAAGCCTTGGCAGCTTCCACATGGTGTTGAGCCTGTAGGTGCAAAGATGTCAAGAGTTGAGGTTTGGGAACCTCTACCTCAATTTCAGATGATGTATGAAAACACCTGGATATCCAGGCAGAAGTTTGCTACAGGGGTGGAACCCTCATGGAGAAGCTTTGCTAGGGCAGTGTGGAAGGGAAATGTGGGATCAGAGCCCCCACACAGAGTTCCCACTGGGGCACTGCCTAGTGGAGCTGTGAGAAGAGGGTCACCATCTTCCAGAACCCAGAATGGTAGATTCACTGTTTGCCTAGAAAAGCTGCAGACAGTGAACTCCAGCCCATGAAAGCAGCCAGGAGGGGGGTGTACCCTGCAAAGCCAGAGGCAGAGCTGCCCAAGGCTATGAGAGCCCACCTCTTACATCAGCATGCCCAGGATGTGAGACATGGAGTCAAAGGAGATCATTTTGGAATTTTAAGGTTTAATGACTGTCCTATTGGATTTCAGACTTGTGTAGGGCCTATAGCCCCTTTGTTTTGGTCAATTTCTCCCATTTGGAATGGATGTATTTACCTAATGCCTGTATCCCTGTTGGATCCAGGAAGTAACTAACTTGCTTTTAATTTTAGAGGCTCATAGATGAAAGGGACTTACCTTGTCTCAGATGAGACTTTGGACTTGGAGTTTGGGGCTAATGCTGGAATGAGTTAAGACTTTGGGGGACTATTGGAAAGGCATGGTTGTGAAATGTGAGAACAGGAAATTTGGGAGAGGCCGGGGCAGAATTAAATGATATGGTATGGCTCTGTGTTCCCACCCAAATCTCACCTTGAATTGTAATGATCCCCATGTGTCAAGGGTGGGACCAGGT
Source organism: Homo sapiens (assembly GCF_000001405.40). NCBI lineage: Eukaryota > Metazoa > Chordata > Mammalia > Primates > Hominidae > Homo > Homo sapiens. The sequence continues at coordinate 5,154,436 of NC_000001.11, forward strand.
GGAGATAATTAACTTAAGGGGATGGTTCCTCTATGCTGTTCTCATGATAGTGAGTGAGTTCTCATGAGATTCGATGGTTTTATAAGGGGCTTCCCCCCTTTGCTTTTCATTTCTCTCTCCTCCTGCCATGTGAAATAGGACGTGTTTGCTCCCCCTTCTGCCATGACTGTAAGTTTCCTGAGGCCTCTCCAGCCATGCAGAACTGTGAGTTAATTAAACCTCTTTTCTTTTTTTTTTGAGAGAGAGTCTCGCTCTGTCACCCAGGCTGGAGTGCAGTGGCACGATCTCGGCTCACTGCAAGTTCCACCTCCCAGGTTCACACCATTCTTCTGCCTCAGCCTCCTGAGTACCTAGGACTACAGGCACCCGCCACCACGCCCAGCTAATTTTTTGTATTTTTAGTAGAGACCGGGTTTCACTGTGTTAGCCAGGATGGTCTCCATCTCCTGATCTCGCGATCCACCCGCTTCAGCCTCCCAAAGTGCTGGGATTACAGACATGAGCCATGGTGCCTGGCCACCTCGTTTCTTTATAAATTACCCAATCTCAGGCAGTTCTTTTTAGCAGTGTGAGAACAGATTAATACACCCTGAAATAGCATTATTTTACTCTCCATCTAGTGTCACTATATCAATTCCTTTTCTGTGAATACCACTTTGAAGCCTCTCCTTACTGAAAAAAAAACAGTGGCTGCCTATTACCTGTAGGACAGAGTAATCCAACCCTAGTCCTTTTAATGCAGTTAGCTCCTCCAATCCTTCTTTATTGGAAATACATGGGGGTCCTCCAATGCATTAGCTCTTCCAATCCTTCTTTATTGGAAAGATTGAAAAAGGGACCCCTTAAACAAAAGAGGTGTCCTTAAACAAAAGAGGTGGCAAGGCTCTGGAGTTATTAAAACCTTAGTTCAATTCTAGTTTGACTCTTTCCTTAATACCACCTAGTTGATGTCAGGATTTCCAGAAAGCAGAGCCCATTCAAACAAAAGTAGCTTTAGGGGAGGCAACAGCAAGCATTCGGGGAGAAGAATTGTTTATGTTCTTGAGTTTTGGGAGTGTGTTAAGAACAATAGCTAATTATATTCAGTGTCTTAGTCTGTTCCTGCTGCTAGAAAAAATTACCCAAGACTCAGTAGTTTAGAAATACTAGACATTTATTTCTCGTGGTTCTGGAGGCTGGGAAGTCCAAGATCAATGTGCTAGCAGCATCAGTTTCTGGTGAGGGTTTCTCTCTACTTCCATGACGGTGCCTGGTTGCTGCATCCTCCAGAGGAAGGAATGGAAGGGCAGAAGGGAACTCCCTTCAACCTTGATCCCTGTTATAAGGGTGCTAATCCCATTCATGAGGGTGGAGCCTTCATGACGTAATCACCTTCCAAAGGCCTCACCTCTTAATACAGTTGCACTGAAGATATGTTTCAACACGAATTTTGGAGGGGCCACCATCATTCAAGCAGTAGCACCGAGCCGAGCACTGGGGATAAAATTAGAGGGCATGTGAACAATGGCTACACCACAAGGGCTTCTTTCTACATTCAAATTGTTCAGGTTGAGTTTACTCAGCCTTTAGCTGACACTCCCTAGGCCTATTTCAAACAGCTGAGGAAAAATGTTGAGTCCTCAAGGTGAAAAAGTGAAGAGTGGCCATCACTGCACAGATGTAGCAAGAGGTCCCACCAGCAGGTGGCCCTGGTGTGGCCAAGAAGAGATGCCAACCCCTGATGACCCAAGCTCTTCCCACTGCCTACTGGGGCCTGGTCGCACATATTATCTGCTACAAGCTTCCAGGCAATGCCCAGAAGTTGCACAAGAACCCCATGCACAAAAACACTGTCACCCTTGGGACCAGGTCCTCTGTCCGTAATCCATTTCTTCCTCCCTCTACCTCATGCCAGGAGGAGAGATCTAACTTGCCTGCCTTCTGAAGTGATGATTTGTATTCCAGCACAATTACACGGCAACTCCAAATGAATGAAGATTCTGCTTAATATTTTTAGTAATGATAACACTTTGTAGGACAAGTGCTTTTTAAAACTCAGAGATGGAGGATGTGGAGTGGCATTTAAAAATGGAGTTGTTAGACAAGATTCTCTGCAGCCCTGGTAAATGTCAAACATTTTATCAACTGGGGAAAGTGGCATGTTAGACATATTTTCCCCCAAACCTGATTAAAACAGAAAGTGCCTTTTGCATATTCGTTTCTGTTTTATATTATGTTAGATATGTAGGAAAGAAACAAAGAGAGAGTGAGGAGAGAAGGAGGGAGGGAAAGAGGGAGCAGGGACGAGGAGGAAGGCTGGGAGGGCTGCAAGCATCAATTTAGGTGTGTGCAGATGAAGTGGGAAACAATCTGCTCCAGAGGCCCAGAGGGGACAACAGCTTTTTGAGCAGAATAAATAGTTTGAATGGGCTGAAGCTAAAGAAACCTGTTCTGCTTAGAAACGGGAGTGGAGTGGTTGGGGCTGACTGGCTGGCAGTCTCTCTCTGGAGGAATGAAATCTCGAGGGAGCCATGTTTGTGTTGGAAGACAAATTCGCTCAGCATATAGATGCATGCGGCGTGGCTGGCACCATATGGCTTCCCCTCCAGTCAGTCCAGCAGCTGAATTCTCACTACAAGCTGAACTCCAGCCACCCCAATAACAAGTCACAGGACCAGGTTGAACCACCCAGGTGGGGCTCTGTGATGAACGAGGGGAGGTCGAGGTAGGAGCCGCGGAACTACAGGGATGGCTTAGGTGGCAGGTCAGGAAGCATCTCCATCAGTGAAGGAATCAGAAATCAGTCCTGCAATAAGGCATATTTGCCCCTTTATTCTGTACACAAAAAAATAAAAGAATGTTGATGTGTGGCCAGAATTAACTGGAACTTAGGACTGTGAGTAATCAAAGCCTGTGAAAGCTAGCGGGAAGAGTGACAGCAAGGAGCACTGAAGAACCAGGGCAGATGTTGATGAAAAAGCCACAGGGGCGTCTTCCAGAAGCCAGGGCAGTCACATGGGGGCTTCAGGGAGGAGCTTCAGAGATCAGCACTCCGTCCCCTACCCCCAATACCCCCACCCACCACACTCCTGTTTTGTTCCCAGGGCACATCCGCTGCCTACCTTATCTCAGAGGAGCTATGAGTCTCCTGTGCCTCCCAGACTCAGGCGGTGCGGGGTACAGGGCGGGTCGGCCACGCAGAAGCAAAGGCTCCCATTGTTGATTCAAAATTCCCCCAGGAGGGGGTATTCCTGCCTCAGCTGCTGCAAGAGGCTGTCCGCTGGTCCTGTTGACTGTGGCCAGGAAGCAGGTGGGACCCACTGCAGCTGAAGGCTTCAGGGACTCACCACGGGCAGGCAGTTATCCAGGAAGTTGCCTGAAGGTGTTCACGGCAGGCAAACTAAACATGAGAGCAGGTGGCAGCCAGTGGCCTGGAGGGATCTAGAGAGGAAAGGGAGGCTGTAGATGCCCAGCTAGAGTCAGGCAGGAGCGAGAGAGTGCTAGGGTAGGAGGCTCTCTCCTCCTGTTTCATGGAGACCCTTTGTAGGGCCAGAGCCCTTCAGTCCCTCCTGCTCTCTGGAATTCCTTCATCCACTTTCCTCCCCTGGATGAGCCAGTTCTTTAGCATGGCTGTGCATTTTACAAATTTCCATCCTCCAGGACCACCAGGAAGCAGTGGCACAGAAAGTAAAGTCACGCTGGCCTCCCCAAGTTCCCTTCCTCATTGTTCTCTCTGGGCCCCTCTACCTCCGTCACCACTCCCCTCCTGGACACTTAATGCTAGGGATTGTCTTGTGCATCATGGGGGCCCTGCTGCCCAGCAGGGTGACTGCCCCTGAGCATGCCTTTGCATTAGTTTGCTTGTGTTGTGATGACATAAACTGAGTGGCTTCAACAACAGAAATGTATTTGCCCACAGTTCTGGAGGCTGGAAGTCCAAGCTCAAGGTGTTGGCAGGTTTGGATCCTTCTGAGACCTCTCTCCTTGGCTTGCAGACAGCTATCTTCCTTCTGGATCCCCACATGGTCTTCCCTCTGTGCATGGCTGTGTCTGTGTCTTAACTTACCCTATTTAGAAGGACCCCAGTCATTTTGGATGAGGGCCCACCCTAATGACCTCAGATAAACTAAAAATAGGGCATCCCCCCCAGCTCCCTGAACGGGGCTCTGTATTTGCTCCCCAAATGCAGGCTTCTCTCTCTGACTCTACTTGGATGCTCTAATCTGACACTGGGTTCTGAAATCCACGAGGATAAGTGGTAACTCCTTCTGATTTTAGTTCAGTGAGGTGTGTGGTGAGGTGACTATTCCATAGACCCAGCAATTGCAAGGAACAGCTCTTCAGATTAACAGTAAAATGCATACATACACACACACACACACACACACACACACGCACGCACACACACATAGTCTTAGCTCAGGCTTCCACAACAAAATACCACAGATTGGGGTGATGTAAACAACAGAAATTTATTTCTCACAGTTCTGAAGGCTGGGGAGTATGAGGTCAAGGTGCCAGCACATTGAGTAAGTTCCTAATGAGAGTTCTCTTCCTGGTTTACAGATGGCCACCTCCCCACTATGTCCACACGTGGCAGAGAGAGGGAGAGAAAGCATAGCCAGCAAGTCTCTTCTTACAGGAACACTAATCCTATCACAAAGGCCCTGCCCTCATGGCCTTATCTAAATCTAATGGCTTCCTAGAAGCCTACCTCCATCACATCAGGAGTTAAGTCTTCAACATATGAATTTGGGAGGGTGGACATGGCCATTCAGTCCATAACATACACACATAAACACACACACACACACACACACACACACACACACACACACATATTAAATTATAAACACAGTCACTGGTGTACGCTATATTAGTCAGGGTTCTCTAGAGGGACAGAACTAATAGGATAGATGTATATGGAAAGGGGAGTTTATTAAGGAGAATTAACTCACACAATTACAAGGTGAAGTCCCACAATAGGCAATCTGCAAATTGAGGAGCAAGGAAGCTAGTGGTGGCTCAGTCTGAGTCCCAAAACCTCAAAAGCAGGGAAGCTGACAGTGCAGCCTTCAGTCTGTAGCCAAAGGCCCAAGAGCCCCTAACAAACCACGGGTGTAAGTTCTAGAGTCCAGAAGCTGAGGAACTTGCTTGAAGTCCAGTGTTTGAGGGCAGGAAGCATCCAGCACAGGAGAAAGATGAAGGGTCTCAAAGACTCAGTAAGTTGGGGCTGGGCGCAGTGGCTCACGCCTGTAATCCCAGCACTTTGGGAGGCTGAGGCGGGCAGATCACGAGGTCAGGAGATCGAGACCATCCTGGCTAACACGGTGAAACCCCGTCTCTACTAAAAATACAAAAAAATTAGCTGGGCGTGGTGGCGGGTGCCTGTAATCCCAGCTACTCAGGAGGCTGAGGCAGGAGAATGGCGTGAACCCGGGAGGCGGAGCTTGTAGTGAGCCGAGATCGCGCCACTGCACTCCAGCCTGGGCAACAGAGCGAGACTCCATCTCAAAAAAAAAAAAAAGACTCAGGAAGTCTGCTCATCCCACTTTCTTCTGCCTGCTTTATTCTAGCCATGCTGGCAGCTGATTAGATGGTGCCCACCCAGACTGAGTGTAGGTCAGCCTCCCCCAGTCCACTGACTTGAATATTAATCTCCTTTGGCAACACCCTCACAGACACACCCAGAAACAATACTTTGCATCCTTCAATCCAGTCAAGTTGACACTCAATATTAACCATCACATGCACTCATACTAACACATACACATACACACAAACACATACACACATACTAACACATACACACACACACTAACACATACACACACTAACACATACACATACTAACACATGCACACACTAACACATACACATACACACTAACACATACACATACACACATACTAACACACACTTGTGACCATCATTGGTGATGATATTTTATCAACTCTGATGAATGTTATCTGCGTACACAAAAGTAGTCATCCCTCTAAAAGACCTCCCCTGCAGGAACTGAATTAATGTGGTAGAAGCTTCCCTTGCTCCGGATGGGTTTTCAGAGGTAGATGAAGCTGGTGTGCTCACAAGACATCCTACTGCAGTGAAATCATCCTGGGTCCCGAGTACAGGCTCGGGCCGTTCAAACATACACAATTTTAGGAGAACGTCAGTTGTCAATGTAAATCTCGTAACTACGACGCAGAGAGGAGAGGAAAGAGGCAGGCAGATGGGATTATGCAAACCGTGGCGATGCCTCGGTGTGTTGCAATGCCGCGCATTTCGTGATGTTTGTGATGCTCCTGACTTACTAATGCCCTTTTTGTGCTTCTTCATAGGAGAGTGGGTACTTCTCTGCCCTGTGAATTTTGATGTGGAAATTGCCCATTGCTCTCATGTCACATTAAGAGGTAAAATGGCATGCAAGACTACCGCTGGATATAATCTGGATGATATACACATTTGCAGAAGTGTATGAGAACGCTTTTTGAATTTGAGAACCACAGTTCTGAGTTTATGGTATCAACGAATATTTTTTAAATGGGCTTTTGAATTTAACCTAAAATGAGAGTCTTCTCGAACACAATCTGAATCCATTAGTAGTGATTTAACATGAATTTACCGTCATCATATCATTCCGCCTGCCTCTCTGACTCTGAATCCCTTTGGCCAAGTCCATTGGCCAGATTATTATCTTGCCCTCTGGCATTTGGCAGGCATTTCTCTTCTTGGGATCATTTGATTTTTTTTTTTTTTTTTTTGGCAATAGCTATTTAAAGAGTAACTCAAAATATGACTCTTGCTTTTCATTGCCTATCATTTTTGGGATTTTGTGTGGATGTGTGTGTGTGTGTGTGTGTGTCTTTTTCTCCCTCTACTCGTCCCAACAGAAACACAATGAATGGAAGGATGAGTCAGTGTGCTTCTGGAAGTGTCTTCACATTTGTTTGTTACCCTAATCAATGGATGTTAGTACAGGAATGCAACCGCTGCATTAAATTAAAGAAAAAATAAAGGTAGATAATATAATATTAAAACAAAGTCGGTACTTACAGAAAGCACAGCTGAAGTCAGCGCCACCAGTTTGCAGGCAGGTGACACCCTTCCCTGGGAGATCCCCTGGGGGAGCACATGAGGCCGGTCCTGCTGGCCACTGGGAGGGGCTGCAGGGAGGAGGAGCACCAGCCACACTCCCTTCCCTGCCCTGCCCTTGCAGGGGAAGAGGGAAGCCAAGCCCAGGCTCTGCATTAGCAAGAGGCAGAGAAAGGTGAGTATCCTGGAGAAGGTTTCACAAAGCTACTTTTTTCTTTTTGCAGGGAGAGTCCCTATAACATAATTGGACATCAAACAATTATGATGTTTGATATGAGAAGGAAGCAGAGTCCCTCCCATCCTCTGACACGTGCTTGTTACCTGCAGGCATATCCACGGGGACAGCTTCACCCTACCCTTCCGGCTGGGGAGACATCGCATTTGGAGGTGACTTCATCCTGGGAAATGCTGTACCGCATGATAGGGGCCATTTGCTGGAGGAGCAGGGGGGCTTTCAGACAGCAAAGAGCTCTCTGTTGGTGCCCTCTGCACCTTGGGCACAAATCGAGATTGGATTCCTGGGGAAACTCTTTGGAATATATAAAACATAACTTACTTTTTAAACCAATGACAGGTAGTTGTATCGTTATCTGACTGGAAAACAGATGGTACATTCAAATTGCGTATTTGAAAAGGACTTGGGAAAGAGACTATTGACAGAGAAATGGGCAGTGTTTGGAGAATTACTGGGATTCAGCAGCCAGCGTCTGGCCCTGAAAAGACAGAGGAGAGAGCAGTTTCTAGAACCCGGAGATACAGACAGAAGAATGGAGAAGGTGCCTAGCGGGGAGCTGAGATTCTCATTCAGGGGTCTCTGCCAGCCTCCAGGAGCGCCAGGAGGGAGCCGGTGGGATAAATTCCCCAGCCTCTCTCTTTCCCCTGTTTCCTGCAAGTGTGCTCTGTTGGCCAAACCCAGCGGGAAAGGCAAGAACCATAAATGCGGGGCAACCTCCCCAGGCACACAGCAGAGTGGATGAGTGGGAGGCTCAGCAGAAGGCATCCAGCAAGATGAGGTCTTCAGGTTCTCCCAACCCTGGACCATCTCTTCTCAGATTCCTTGGTGGAGTTTTCTTCCTCTAAAGAGCTGACGTTCTCAGGACCCCAACCTCCGCCCTTCTTTCACTCTGCAGGTTCTGATTTTGTCTTAGATTTTACATCAACACAAACACCCAGGCAACCCCTAAGTCTGTGTCTCCCACTTAACCCCCTCCTGAGTCAGAATACCCTACTTTTTTTCTTTTTTTTTTTTTTTAAGATGGAGTCTCACTCTGTTGTCCAGGCTGGAGAGCAACGGTGCAATCTTGGCTCACCGCAACCTCTGCCTCCCAGGTTCAAGCGATTCTCCTGCCTCAGCCTCCAGAGTAGCTGAGATTACAGGAGCCTGCCACCACGCCTGGCTAATTTTGTATTTTTAGTAGAGACAGGATTTCACCATGTTAGTCAGGCTGGTCTCGAACTCCTGACCTCAGGTGATCCACCCTCCTCGGCCTCCCAAAGTGCTGGGATTACAGGCATGAGCCACCATGCCCAGCCAGAACATCCTATTTCTAGGGTGTTCCAGGGTGAATTACCAGTCAGAGTGGTTCATCCACCTGGATGTCCCAAAGTCACCGCATGGACGATAGTGAGCCTGGAACTTTGCTGCCCCTCCAGCCTCCAACCACCTCAACAAGAAGCTGAAATTCATTCCTGTCCCCCGTGCCCCCTTAACCCTCATCTCGCTGCTGTCAGCTGCATGTCTTGACACCCCGCCCTGTGCTGGAGTGCCGGCTCCGTTCCACTCATACTGCCTCTGTTTCCCAGTGACTTTTTTTTTTCCATTCTCCCTCAGTCATCCCTTAGCATGACCACATGAGACCACTACAGAAGCAGAGATCTGTTCATTCCTCCCTCAGGCAGGCCCCCTGCTGTTCATGAGGCCATGGACGGGGCACTTCTGGTCACGTTCCCCGAGTTCCCACTTCTGCTAAACACAGCTCAGCCACCATGTATGACAAGTTGGGCAATTCCATAAAAGTAGCTCGTTATTAATGGAAATTTAAAAATAAAATGTGGTGAATGATTCACTCTGTGAAGTTTGATTTGCACAAGGGAACTTTTTTTTTTTTTACAAGAGAACATTTTGGGATGACGGACATGCTCTATATCCTGATTTTGTGGGTGGATACACAGGTAAGTAAATGCACCCATCGGAATCACCCAACTGGACCCATAAAAATGGGTGCATGTTGCTGAATGTAAATTAGGCATCAATAAAGTTTTTTTAATCTTTAATTTTATTTTAAGGATACATGTGTAGGATGTGCAGGTTTGTTGCATAGGTAAACATGTGTCGATGGTTTGTTACACCTGTTAATCCATCACCGAGGTATTAAGCCCCACATGCATTCAGTATTTATCCTGATGCTCCCCCTCCACCTGCCCCCATGGATGAAGCTGGAAGCCATTATTCTCAGCAAACTAACACAGGAAAAGTTGTTTTTTGTTTTTTGTTTTTGTTTTTAAGTTAGAGCAGATTCAAGGTTAGCACCAGCTCTCACATTACACTCACTCATTGGCACTCATGCTTTTGTATTAGTTAGAGTGACTGACGCTAGCTGCTTTGACAAACAGCCCCCAGGTCTCAGTGGCTGTTTACCACAGGGGCTTTGCATTTTGCTCACATCCTGGAAACTATTGTGTGTTCAAGACAACCTTTCAAGTGGTAAGTCAGGAAATCACTCTCCTCTCATTTCATCTCGTGTTTCTGCTGGGACCTCAGAGTCATCCTTGAGATCCTTCGCATCCAGCCAGTGGACCACGAGGAGAGAGAGAATCACACATTTTACAAATTGAGCCTGGCAGTGTCTGACCTCACTTCTACTCACACTCTGATGGGCAGAATGAGTCAGACGCCCTGCCCCCACACATGTCAGGGCTGGAGGCTTCCGAGAGGCAGGGAGGAGAGGAGATCTGGTTGTCAACAGGCTGCATGGTCCCTGCTCTGTCTTTATAGATAGGGACATAGCAGGTTGAAGTTAGAGGAAGGTCCCCAGGAACTGCACAGAAGCTGCAGCCTATGTTATCAAAAACATATCCCCAAGTTGTGCATGCTTGTAAAATGTGTGGCATCTGCAAATGGCTGGAATGCTCTATTTCCTCATACTGCTTTGGAGGGGTGTCCTTGACCATGAATGTGCTGGGGACACAACCATCCATCCACCTGCCATGTGTCCCAGGGTGGGTTCAGGGCTGCCAGATGCCCCAGGATCACCCCTCACTGGAAAGAGAACTTAGACAATCTGACTACTCCACAGGAGCAGGGGTGGTGAAGCTATGGGCAGAGGCAAGACCACTCGGGGCTGGCGGGGGATAGGGAGAATCGTAAGTCCAAGCTGGAATGGAACGGTGACTGCAGGAGATTCAGCAGCATGTCGAGGACACCACCCTGTGTGTTTGGCTCTGGCAGGTAAAGGATGCAACAACCACCTGCATCCAGGGGTCTCCCTCCACCTGTCTCCACCCCCCATGAATTCCACCACTGAAAGAAACATTGGAGCCCTCCCAGAGTGTGGTACAAGGGGTGAGAAGTTTTCAGAAAGAGGATGGTGGCCACCTCCTTCTCCTTTGTCTTAGTTTTGTCAACAAAAGTCTACATTAATCACAGGTTGTTGTTGTTTTTCTGTATCTTATGATGTTTTGACATCTTAAAAACTTTGCTGGCTGGAAAAGACTACCCCTACCAAAGCTAGCCAATTCTTAGAGACATAAAAAACCGTAACCCTAACCCTAACCCTAACTCTATTAAACCAACAAATCTCAAGCCTATACCCCAGCCACCCACTTTGCCTAACTCTCACACCCCAAGCCAATATTTCCCTCGCCCTAAATTATCCCAGGGCCACGTATGAGGCAACTAGAGATCACTCCTCTACAGCCCAAAGCCTGCTGGAATTACTCGAACTAGCCAATCCCAGACTGTGCCCTGTCTCACCTTTCCTGAGAAGGCCCCAGTAAAAGCCCTGGCCTAGGCTTTCCCCTTGTTTCTGACCAGCTCTGGTGCTTCCCCACATGGCCTAGGTGTTGTGATATGTCCTCTTCTCCCAGGACTTGTAAGTAATACATCTTCTTTCAATGGCATTGGACTCTGTGTCATCACTCGGTCACCTCCATAGATTAAAATCTTAAATGAAACCAGGATTCATGAATCCTTCCTGCAATTCTAGTGCCATCCTTGTTCAGGAAATGTAATTCTATGAGCACTTTCTCCTCCCACGTTCCAAAGCTAAGTGCCATGTTACATCTGGCAGAGTGTAATACACATTCTATTTACTGTCATCCTGAAATCCAATTGTTCAGCCAGATCTTTGCTACCAACCTGCGATTACATGAAGTGTTAGAGGTACATGGTACACCACTTCCTGATTTCCTGAACAACGTGGACATTGTATTCAGGTCTAGCATCAGCGAGCCATGAACAAAGAACAGGATGGTGTATTATTAATGAATGTACTGATTCCGCCGCACAGCTGCAGAGCTCTTGGTACTTTCAGAGCAACTGCGCAGCTTCTCATGTGGTCCGAAAAACACCCCTGTGGGTAGGCAGAGAAGGCACTGTAATTGTTGTTAACTTATGAGGAAATAAGGACCAGAGTGTGAATTGGCTTGCCCAAGGACACACAGCTGGTCGATCACGATGCCAGGATCCACATCTGTAGCTCCTTCAGCCACATAATATTCTTCTTTTTATCTTCAGCTTGGTGTTTGCAGGCTTGTTTTGGTTTTGTTTTGCTTTTGTTCAAATTTAAGTATACACATCTACGAAAGAAGAGTGATTAAAGAAAGCTGAAAAAATACATGCAAATTAATATTTATCTTGCTAGAAGACACTGTAGCTTTTCCTGCACTGGTGTTCTGTGACAGGATTTTTCCCCAGGCTTGCTGAGGGCCGGGCGCTGTGCTGGGGCCAGGGCTGCAGATGCACACAGAACAGATCCAGTGACAGCACCCATGGATCTTACATGGAAGAGACCCCATGACTGAATAGGAACCACACACATAATCCACACTGGGGTAAGTGCTAGTTCAAAAAGAACACAGTGCTTGTGATCATGAGAGGCAGGGACCTCACCTGTTCAGAATGTGAACCCTGAAAATTTGAGACAGGTCTTGGTTAATTTAGAAAGCTTATTTTGCTGAGGTCGAGGACACGTGCCCATGACATAATCTCACGAGGTCCTGACGACCTGTGCCCAGGCTGGTCAGAGCACAGCTTGGTTTTATACATTTTAAGGAGACATGAGGCATCCATCAACATATGCAAAATGAACATTGGTTTGGTCTGGAAAGGCAGGACAACTCAAAGTGGGGAGGGGGCTTCCAGGTCACAGGTAGGTGAGAGACACACGGTTGCATTCTTTTGAGTTTCTGATTAGCCTTTCCAAAAGAGGCAATCAGATCTGCATCTATCTCAGCTAGCAGAGGGATGACTTTGAACAGAATGGGAAGCAGGTTTGCCCTAAGCAGTTCCCAGCTTGACTTTTCCGTTTAGCTTAGTGATATTGGGGGCCCAAGATAGTTTCCTTTCACAAGGATGTCAAGGGTGGTGTCCCGGCGAAGAGATGTATCTGCAGAGGCAGAGGGACAGAGAGCGGATGTCCGAGGGAGGGGAGATGAGAGTGGTAGGCAGAAGGAAAGAGTGTTTCAAACAGGGAGGACAGGGTTCATGGTCCTCCTGCAACCCCAGTAGCAAGGACAGTGTGGTCCTAGAAGCCCTAAGGGTAGCCAAAAGGGCCTCAAGAAGAAAGGTGTGTGGGGTCATCAAAAGCAAGACTTCTTTGGAGGCCATGTCCAAGAACATGGCCTTTGTTCTGAGAATCGTAGGATGTCTAAGCAGATTTTAAACAAATGGGATGATACACACCATTGAAAAGCATGTCCTGGCTGCTCTGAAGCAATAGAAGGAGAAGGCAAGAGTGAGAATTAAGGATGTCCATTAGAAGGTCAAGGTCAGCATCCAGGCCAGAGTTGATGGCATCTTGGTCTAGATGACCTGGGTGCTGCAGAGGAATACCTGAAACCCTGACGTCGAGGTCATGTCTTCCCGGGGGTCCCAGGAACCTCCCTCAGACATACAGCACCCGCACAATTAACATTCAGGGGCGCTGCTCCTCCAGCTGTGCCGGCACATCTGCAGGGACCCTCATCAGCTCACTCGCTCTGCAGGTAATAGATAGCTCTGGAAAGGAAACTGATGTTCCAGATGGAGATGGCCAGTTTAATTTGCAGCTTCTAAATCTGTACAGATACAGTGTTCTGTCATTAAAGATTCATTTAGACTTATCTTAATAGGAAACAATATAACTCAGCCAGACCCATAAATGACAAATCGCCCTCCCTCAAGAGAAATCCTAAGGCAAAAGACGTGACTTTCCATCATTTGATCCAGTAGTTAATTTCCATGTAGCTGACAGCGCTTCATGGCATTCAGAATGATGAGTGGTCTCCCTCCGGCCTTCTGTCCAATGTACTACAACTAGCAACATGGGTTGAAGCTTCATAACCAATGAGGTGACCATTGGTACCAGCTTGAAAGAACTGGTCAGATAGTAAGTCATGGAACCAAGGGAGTTTATAGCTTATGTATCACTGATTCTATACCACCTCTTGATTTTAAGAATGAATACAACCACAAAAAGGGGGAAATGATGGAAATTCCCCAAGTTATATACACATAAAAGTGACTAAAGGAAATTCCAGCTGGGGGGCAAATACTGGCTTCAAGGGCATCCTGGTACATTGCTTTTTTCTTGGCTTCTCCAGTTGGAAGCAGCATACTTTAGGGTAAAATATCTAGAATTTGAGCAGGGTATGATGGCTCATGCCTGTAATCCCAACACTTTGGGAGGCCAAGGCGGGCAGATCACCTGAGGTTGGAAGTTCGAGACTAGCCTGACCAACATGGAGAAACCCTGTTTCTACTAAAAGTACAAAATTAGCCAGGCACAGTGGCACATGACTGTAATCCCAGCTAATCAGGAGTCTGAGGCAGGAGAACAACTTGAACCCAGGAGGCAGAAGATGCGGTGAGCCAAGATTACACCATTGCAGTCTCCAGGCCTGGGCAACAAGAGCGAAACTCCATCCCAAAAAAAAAAAAAAAAATCTACAACTTGGAGTCATACTGATTTGACTGTGATTTCTAGCCTAACACATGCTAAAAAGTTAGCATAGTGAGATGTTTAAGAATATGGGACTTAGAAGCCAGCCTGGGTTTGAATGCCAATTCCAATGAACTCAGGCAAATGACTCAACTTCTAAGCCCCTGTTTCATTCTCTTAAAAAATATATAATAATAATAAAGCAGTTGATCCTACCTCATGTCCTTGTTAGATTTAAATGATATAAGTCCTGTAAAACCACCAGGACAGTGACCAGCCTCTCATACTAATGGCAACATTGGTGAGCACTTGCCTTTTCTGCCTGTATGATGGCACATAAATGCCTGCATTGCTTTTCTTAGTCTATCTCAGGCTAAATTAAATGTGCACAAAACACTTAATCTAGCACTTGGCAGGTGACAGTGTCAGCAACGTGACTTTCACTCCTGACTTTGTATTTGAAAGCTGGTTGAAAATTTGCCTAGTCCTGTGACCAAATAATCCCATGATTGAGAAAGCTTTTTGAACCATATAACAAAGGAACATGCTTTATTCATCAGCTAACTACTTTCCAGGATTCCAGCACTCAGACCCCGGAGTACGTTGAATGCCTCATCTTCAATGGCAGCATCCAAGTTCAGGATTGGACAGCTGGAACCCCACAATGAATAGAAGGAACTTGGGCCCCATATTGTTTAGGCTTTTCTGGGCACCAACCACCCAATCAATTCAGGGGACCTCTCATACCGTCCTAAGCAGATAACTTGATTTAAGCCCCCAACCTGAACTCAAACCATCTTGGGCCCTGAGCATGTACGAGAGTAGTAGCAGAAGTCTTCTCTCAAGTGAGACTGGAGTGCTGAGGTCAAAGGGCTGTAAAGTCAAAAGACAGAATTGGCTGAGAAGTTTAAGTAAAACCATGTAAGTGAAAACACCAAAGGGAAGCTCATATGAATTGCAGATGGATTAATTACCTATTCCTTCATATCAATAAGATCACAAACTCAATGGCTTCAAACAGTACACATCTATGATCTCATGGCTTCTGTCATCCAGGAATACAGACTCTTAGCTAGGCCCTCTGCAAGGCTGTAGTTCCAGTGTCAAGGGAGGGCTGAGTTCTCATCTGATGCTGGACTAGGGAAGGATCTGCCTCTAAGCTCCTGTGATTGTTGTTGGAATTCTGTTCTCTGCAGGCTGCCTGACTGAGGGCCTCAGTTTCTTTCTGACTGTTGACAGGAAATTTCTCTCAACATGGTCACGTGCTTCCTCCGAGCCAGCAGGGGCGTGAGGCACCTGGCAAGGCATTCAATATTATATAACATGATCAGGTATAAGCAATTATGCTCATTCTGTTACAGCTGTGGCATTCTGTTAGTTAAGAGCAAGTCCCAGGTTTCATCCACACTAAAGCAGGGAGATTGCATAGGGAGTGATCAATAAATAGCAGGTGGGGGTCCTGGGGGTCACCTTAGAGCCAGTCTGTCTCAGCAGTGCTACCTGAAGGAGATGGCGTCTCAGAGGTCTATTCTTCCCTCCACTGGCTTGTGAGAAAATGGAAGGAAAGGATCCTGAATGTTGCATTTGGGAGAAAGGGAGTATCTGAGTCAGGAGATTAAAACAAGGGAACAAAGAATAAGCCAGGGGCTTTAGCTGGGAAGTAAATTACATTTTTTTTTTTTGAAGAGGGAGAAATCTGCTCTTAAAGTGAATCTGTCCACTGCCTCACTGCCATGAAATTGTCCCTGAAGCATGTCCAGTAAGGAGAGGCAGCATCCAGCAGGACAGCTTGAGCATCCAGCAGAGGGGCCATCTCTGTCCATTTAGGGCACCCTGGCCCCACTCCTGACGCTACCATTCACTGCTAGAGGACCCTCAGCAAATCCCGTCCTCTCAGAGAAAGGCTGTGACCTAAGACACAGAGGGGCACCACCTGTCCAGCTGCCCCTGCTTGGGTCATTGATTGCCCCATGCAGAAAGGAAGAGAAACCTGGGGAAAACTAGCAGGGGAGCCTCTTACAGAACTCAGAGGAAGGCGATGCAGCGGTTTCTAAACTGTAGCTTATGGAAAGGGAGAATGGCACCGATGACCACTGAAGGCTCTGGGACTGCCAGTCAGGGTGAGATTTAGGAAGAGGGCTGCATGCACCCAACTTGAACTTCTGAGAGCCTCACTGAGCATTGGGGGAGCATCACTGGCTTTTTCATTTGGAGTTTGTGCACTGCTGGAGGCCCCAAGATTTCCACTGCTGAATCTGTTGTGTGCCTTTGTAATGGCACATACCTTCCATTGGGCCAAGTCCAGCACCCTCAGGACAATGCACCATGCAGGAGGGGTCCAAGATAAGGCTGAAATGACAGCATGAAGCTCCACAGCAGTATTTACCCCCTCCACTGAAAGAGGGTGTCAGGACAGACTTAGCCATCACTCCACGTGCCCCAAAGCATGCTCCTGAAAGCATTCGGCCATGAGATGCTCAGTGGGCACCTGCAGACCTGGTAGAAGTGCATGTGGCTTCTCCCTATTGGCATTCACAGAGCACAGAGGTGTCCTGAGAAGAGAAAATATTTATTTCAAAACTTCTCCAACATATCTACACCCAGGACTTTGGGTGTTTACTGGTAACAACTGCCAATATTTCAGTAAGCTGGTGGGATAGAGGAACCACTGGGAAATGCTGACAGCCCCAGAGCAATTATCCATAAGTAGTCATGGAGGGTCACTTCTGTGCCAGCCACTGCTGGGGATGAGGGGCATTCAATCATGAAAAGAACAGACAATGTGGTCCTTGCCCTTGCAGAGCTTCCCTTCTAGGGATGAAGCAATGACAAGACAAATGCACAGAGTGTGCAGGATGTTAGAGGTAAGTTTTAGGGAGAAAAGGTAAAGAAGATAGGTAGGATTGGGGCTGCTGACATTTTGAATGGGGTAGGTGGGAACACTTCGCCAAGAAGGACCTTGCTGTCTCCACCTGGAGAAAGTGAGCAGATGAGGAGGAGGCTATCTGGGGGAAACAGCGTTGTAGGCAGAGGAGCAGCAGTGCAAAGGCCCTGAGGTAGAAGCCACCTGCAGTTCTGGAGAAGCTGCAAAGAGGCCAAGGTAGTTGAGCAGAGAAAATGAGGCATGAATGAGAATAGATGAGGTCAGAGAGGTGGTGGGAACAAGTCACATTGATTTGTCTGCCGGGTAATGGAGGGCAGAATCCTACGGGGTCTGATACGTAGTGGAGGGAGCACATCCTACAGGTTTAACAGTAACTGGGGCCAAATCCTGCAGAGTCTGATAGGTAGGGAGGACTAAATCATATAGGGTCTAACAAGGAAGGGAAGGAGCAGCTCCTGTAGGGTCTAATAATTAAGGGGGCAGAGCACATCCTGGAGCTTGATAGGTAACAGGTGCAGCTGTGTTGAAGACTTTGGCTCTAACTGTGCTGCACGTGGTGCTGTTAGAGTATTCTGAGCAGACAGCCCTGCTGGCTGTGATCTCACTAAGGGTCCATCTAGGTATGAGATTTAGACAGGACTGCAGGAGGGACTGAGAGGGAAGAGGGCAGACTCATCAGCAGGCTGATGGTGACTCAGGCCAGGGTGATAAGAGGGCTGTAACTGTTGTTACTCACCAAAAAGGAATCATCCTCTACCTCTCCTTTAAGCTTTCCCCAGCTTTCCCCTCCATAAACCACAGTCTTTAAATCTAATGCTCTGCACGAAACCCAGGCAATCCATTATTAGACATTGTTATGTTTTTTCCACCTAATTGAGCGAGTGGTTAGGAATTTAAGACATTTTATGGCACTTATTAATCTATTGTCAGTCTTTAATTTTATAGACAGGAACCAGTTAAGAGCTAAGCTATAAAATTTCACTATGGATTCCAGGCCCTTAATGTAGATCACAAGATTCACAGCAACACGGAGGGGTGGGAGAAGGGGGATAAGAGGAAGAAAAGCGAAGTTCATCCCCTGTGGCTCCAGACTGGGAGGTGTTTTCGGCCCCCTCCTTTCTAACTTACACCAATAAACTTGAAATGAACTGAACTGAAATGAACTGAAACATGAAATGAACTGTGTAGAAACCTTTCTACCAAAGCAAATTTGAGGATGAGCATACCCTCAATTCCACCACGGTAGCTCTGTGGTTCCTCTCCAGAGGGCTTCAAGACAAGTCAGGATTTGCACAATGACTTTCCCAAAGAACAGCAGGGACAGGAGCTCCATCATCCCCACCAACATCTGGAGAATCCACTGCACAAGTTAACCCATTCTCGTGCTTGGGTATTCACTGGCACGACTCTTGTGATGGAATCAAGCTCAATATCCAGTGAGGCATTGGAATCCTGCAAAGATTCTTTCATGATGGAGACAGATGCTGGATCATTCCAACCTCAAAAGTCCCAGGGCCTGAATCATCTCATCCAATTGATCTAGAGATGCTCCTTATAAAGTCTCAGGCACCACACACTCTTGCCAGACTCAAGCCAGTTGTTTATCAGGACAAGACACTAGGTCAGCCTCTAACTTCCCCTCCCTTACATCAACAGTTCCCCTTCATGCCCCCAATCTGCTAAACACATTACTTTCTTCCATCCCACTAATGTTTACTAATTACTTAATTGGGATCAGGAATTCAGCGAGATGCTCTCTGCTCTTCGAGGAGATGATGGATGTGTGAAAAACTAAGGCACACGATGACGAAGGCAATCCTGGCTCATGAGCTGCAGGGTCGATGTTCCATGGGACCCAGAGGTTACAGTCACTTCTACTTTGCAGACAGAGAAACAGGATTAGGACCAGGTAAGGTTTCTCTTGAGGAAGCTTGAGGTTGGGTATGTAGGCTGTCACGACAGGCCAAGAGTGAGACCAGTGACACCACAGTACTTCAAGCTCTCTGCAGATATTCTGTTCCGAAGCTGGATCCTATCCGGCTCCCACCCAAACCCTCTGCCAGGGTAGTTCAAAGCCAATAACTCACCCTGCAGCTGCTGACTTCTGTGAACACAGCCTCTGATAAAGCTGCACACTTCTGCTTCAGGTCCTGATTGTCCCAAATCAACGACAAGGTATCATTTGTCCTTGGCCTCAAGGTGTCAATGATCCTCACTTAAGAATTTTCAATGGCAATATAAGAAACAATCATATATGTATGGTTTGCAAAACTATGATTGGAGATATGACTCCTTGTACCGTTAAAGTCACCTATGTGAGGCCCACAAGGCAAATTCCTCTTAGAAGCGGCATTGGGCTTTTTTTGTGTGAGATGCTGAAAGCTACATGCTTCCTCGGGTGCTCTTATTTTTTCTTTTCTGCCTGCCAGGGAATTTGGACTAAGCCTTTATGATCCATTGTTAGAGCATGTCCCAGCTTAAGGACTTTTTAGAGACAATTAACTTTCTTCCTTCTTTTTCCCTGCCCCCAAATCATTCACACAGATTTTCATCACATTCCTATGCTACTTTTTACTCTTTTAATTCACTTCTAATCTTTTCTAGAAGCAAGTGGGGATTTAGGGAATTAATTCAACTCTTTCTTATCTATGAACTCACAGTGACCACTGCCCCAATGTGGAAAATCACTCTCGGTGCAGACACAGTTCAATTGAGACATGAAAACTTCTGAAAGTGGAGTCTCTCAAGCAGCTATTGAAAAGGCTGCCTCTGCAGAATATTAATAACATAGGGAAAGCTATGTGATATGAATTCATTTCTGAGAAAGGATATCAATCTATGTATAGTGCCTTGTGAACCTCATTTTGTAAAAATAAATTTGAAGTGCATATATACATATAAAAATGGAAAGAAATGGTACTAAAAGGTTAATGTAATTATTTCTAGGATGTGAGATTAATCATGATTTCTAATTCTTCTTTGAAACTTTCCATTGTGCTCCATTTTTTTGATCCATGAGTGTATGCTGTTTCTCTTTTGCTGAGAATTGTTTCCAAGTTACCCATGTTGCACACCTTCATCTGGATCATTCATGAAAACCACATATACCACGCCACTGTGTGAACACATGACTATTTATGTATCTATTTTCATGTTGGTGGACATGGAGATGACTTCCAGTCATCTAGTCTTACAACAATTCTGCTCTAACTTTGGGGGCCACAGGTGCAAGTTCTTCCTTAGAGTTTACCTTGAGAGGTGGAATTGCTGCTTCCCACATGATTGTAAAACAGATCTTCAAAATGGGTTCTTCATTATCAATACCTGGCACTGCAGAACTGCTTCTCTTTCATTTTCGGCCAATCTAATTGGCACAGTATGTTATTTCAGTATTTTCTGAATGCAAATGAGGTTAAATATCTGCTATGGTCTGTGTTTACATCCTGCCAAAATTTCTGTGTTGAAATCCTAACCCCCAAGGTGATGGTATTAAGAAGTGGGGCCTTTTTGGGGTGAGTGGATCATAAGCAAAACGCCCTCAAGTATGGGATTAGTGCCCTTATAAAAGAGAACCCAGAAAGTTCCCTCACCCCTATGTGAGGATGCCATGGAAACGTACAGTCTATGAACCAGAAAGCAGGCCATTACCAGACACTGAATCTGCCAGGACCTTGATCTTGGACTTCCCAGCCCCTAGAACTGTGAGAAATAAATTTTTGTTTTTTGCAAGCCACCCAGGCTATGGCATTTTGTTATGGCAGCCCAAGTGGACGAAGATAGTGTCTTTACATGTGTTTGGCTATTTGAGTTTGCTTTTATGAACTGTATATTTTCTTCTCTGTCCATTTATTTATTGAGGTATTTGCATAATCTGAATTGATTTCTTAGAAATCATTCATTTAAAATGATGGCTTATTTGCAGAATATTAATTCAACTTCTCTATCTTTTTTTTTTTTTTTGTTATATGTTTTTCTTTTCTCTTCTTTTCTTTTCTTTCTTTCTTTTTTTTTTTTTTTTTTTTTTTTTTGAGACAGACTCTCCTCTGTCGCCCGGGCTGGAGTGCAGTTGTGCCATCTCGACTCACTGCAAGCTCTGCCTCCCAGGTTCACACCATTCTCCTGCCTCAGCCTCCTGAGTAGCTGGGACTAAAAATACAAAATACTTTCGTATTTTTAGTAGAGGCGGGGTTTCACCATGTTAGCCAGGATGGTCTCTATCTCCTGACCTCGTGATCCACCCGCCTCAGCCTCCCAAAGTTCTAGGATTACAGGCGTGAGCCACCGTGCCCAGCCTATTTGTTATATATTTTGCTAGAGCTAAAACTGCCACATTCCAACCTGAATGGAGCTAATGATTAAAACTTGAGTTGTATACCACCCCCACTCCCAACACACACACATAGGAAGGTCGTCAGGGAAGCAGGGTTTTTGGAGCCTCAATTTTAGTACCCAAGTCACAAGTATGTAAATGCTACAGAAAAAAGAACAGGCCCTAAACTCAAGTCTTGCCTGGACATCAGGCAGATGTTCATCAGGAGGCATTGTATTTCTCATCTCTCATAGGAACTCTGATTTGAATCAAATCACTGCAACTTTTGCATTTTTCTGATGGGGGTGAGCATAATCCTCATACAAAGAGCTTTCTCTCTTGACTGTTTCAAGACAACACCTGCCAAGCTGCTCCTTGGCTGAGGTCTCTGGGGAGCATGTTTATTGAAGGAAAAGGAATATTGTATCATGTTCATCTTGAAGTGGCTGGCCTCCGGATGTCTTTACAAAGATCCGTCTCTCAATACAGTCCCCAGTTCTGTAATACCTTCTACCAGAAGCACAGTTTCCTGGTGTTCTGTTTTCATTCTTGTTGATGAAAAAAAACCCAGCCAGAACTTTGGTTTTATTTACTTTTCTTCCTAATCTTATCACCTCCTCTAACTGTAGATGAAAATGGTGGTTGAACTGTAAAGTTATAATGCCCTACCTGAGATCACTTATCTTGGAGCATGTTGGTGTGTATTTAGGATATCTGCACCATGGGGTACTTCTCATGCCAATGGGACTTTAAATATAATGCATCTCTTTGTAATTTATTCAACCCTACGAATTGAGAGCATTTCCTTGGCCAAATATTGTGCTAGGCATTGAAGACCGAGCTGCCTTTGTAAAGAATGACATTACTTGCGATACAGGATCCTTGAGATTGAGTGACAGGGATACAATGGGGGTACTGAATCCCCATGAAGACAGGCTATGAAAAGACCAGGGAGCAGAACATTCCAGGGAGAGGAAGTGAAAAGTGTGTTCAGGATGCTAAGCTTTAGGATCAGAGAGAAGGCTGGTGTCATGGAGGCAGTCAAGGATGAGGAAGAGAACGGTAGGAGACACACAGGAAAGATACATCTGGGGATGGGTCCTGCATGTCCTTTGGCCAGGGGAAGGTGTTTGGATTGTATTCAAAGTACAGTGAGACTGAGATGAACTGTTAAGACCACTGTGGCTGCTTTGTGAATGCACTGAAAAGGGGTCCAAAGAAAAGTCTGGAGATTGACATCATAGTACAGAAGAGGATGACGGTGGGTGCAGGCCACTTCCCTGATCCCAAGAGAATGTCTCCATCCAGCAGGTATAACTGGGGGCAGGGGAGCCCCATGAGAGGAGCACCCAAGATCCAGATGCTGCACCAGCTGCAGACGCTCCCCTTGTTTGGAAGATAAGAAATTATAAAGACCATTTTCCCAAAGAATCAGTAGCTTCCGTCTTAATGAAGGCTGAAATCTAAATGATGTTATTCTGGTGGAGGACTTTGTTTCTGTCAGTGGTTTTTAACTAATTACCATAAGTACTGTCCATTTAGAATTTCACCGTAATTCCAATCCCTATTAGTGTGTAAGCAGTGCCTTATCTTTGCCGCAAGCTACTGTTTATTCATAGAATGAGACAGTACATCACAGACATTGTCATATCAAATAGATGTTTTTTGTATTACATTGTGTGCAGTATGAATGAGCCAGAAGTGATTTGCCGAGTAGGAAGTGCATTAAGAAATGAATTTTGAATTTTAAAACACATTCACTTGCTGTTGCTTGAGTGGTAGGTGTCTTGGGTTCCAACTTCCTTTTTATCTTTGGGTTTTTGCCTTAAGAAAATGTGAGCTGGCTGGTGGGGCTGAAACATTGAAGAGGGGCTTGTTTAGTGTCCTCAGGTCACCAGGGGATGTTGCTTTCCACTGCCTCTGTGCACAAGAGTGGGTATCTTGCTGGCTGCAAAAACCACGCTACCTCCGTTTCTCTACCTTTCATCAACAAAGATGTCAGCTATCTGGCCTGTCAATTTGGAGCCATAAGGAGATCAAGCTGGCACATTCTGCAAAGCTTAAATGCTTGGTTGCCATTAGGATTCGGAACAGTACTTTCAGGAGCCACCAAATGGAACCTCACATCTGCAGGGACCCGGGGAAAGATCACCTCTCTCCATTTGTGAGAGACACATATGGAAGCAGACAGATGTTCTTGATGAGATGGCCAGTTCAATTTACAGTTCCTAAATCTGCAGAGACATCATGTCCTGTCATTAAACATTCATTTAGAACCATCTTCATAGGTAATAATGTAACAGAGCATTGTACCTAGATGATAAATGGTGCTTTTTCTGCCTGAAATATTAAAGTGACAACTGCTAACTTTTCTCCATCTGACCGTTCAAGTAAGTACTTGGCTGGTTAAAACAAGCACATTTTCTCAAAGCTCATTCATGCGGCTGTTTGCCACGTGCCTACTGCGTGTTGGACAATGTGCTGGAGGTGAAATGGCATAGACAACATACAAGACACAGGGTCGCCTTCCGAGAATCTTCCAGGAATATGTTCTGAATATTTAAGAATACATAGAATAGGCCAGGCTCGGTGGCTCACGCCTGTAATCCCAGCACTTTGGGAGGCTGAGGTGAGCAGATTATGAGGTCAGGAGTTCAAGACCAGCCTGGCCAATATGGGGAAACCACGTCTGTACTAAAAATACAAAAATTAGCTGGGCATGGTGGCAGGTGCCTTTAATCCCAGCTACTCGGGAGGCTGAGGCAGGTGAATCACTTGAACCTGGGAGGAAGAGGTTGCAGTGAGCTGAGATCACACCATTGAACTCCAGCCTGGGTGACAGGGTGAGACTGTATCTCAAAAAGAGAAAAAAAAGAATAAAGTCAGGATATGTCTCAGGAAATGAGTACTCTTCTTTGTTCGGTTCACTTTAAAATGAGTTACATTTTTAAATTTCTCAAGCATATTGGACGTTTCCCTGTATGTTGTCAATGCCATTTTGAAAGATTTATATATGCATTACACTTCATAAAACTTCTTTCTTATTCAAAGGCATATTTAATTAAAACCCAGTTTTATGGTGCATGCACTAATTATTACTCTTGGCTTGAAGGCTCAGGCTGAACCTGCTTTGAAATTCTGCAACTCAAATCCTTTGCAGTCATTTTGGAAGCTTGGATGTTTTCAAAATAATTCAGTGGTTCTTATGTAAGTTGCTTGCTGATTTTTTTGTAAATGTAAAAATATAAATAAATAGAACACCCAGGAACTTGTTATAATACAGCCATATCAAGAGAGATTTGACTTGCTGAAAATATCATGCTCAGTTAAGATATTGTGAGAGGGTATAGACTTTCAATGGAGGAAGCTATACTTCTTATCTAGCCGAGCCTTATTATAACTTTTAGGATCTGCCATGCCCATCTCCCTTCGTGGCACAGTATGCACTAATATTGGTTGAGTTGAATGGAGATAAAGCACTATTTTGACAAAATCTTGTTTGACTTACTGTTGTGCAAAACGATTCTACTTAGACGTAGTACAGAAGTGGCTGCAGAAAGAAAAGTGGAACTGCTGAGGATGGTTGAGAAAGTCTTGATGTTAGAACTTGCATTTAACAGGGCCAGACTCAACACTGGCCTGATGCTGTGTGTCAGAGTCCTGGCTGCTCGTGAGAACTTCCTGGAGAGCTTTTGAAACATACCACAACCTAGAATCCCCCGCTATGCTATCCCCTGGTGACCTGAGGACACTAAACAACCCCCTCTCCAGTGAGTCCCCTAGGGCTGACATAACAGATACCACAGACTGAGCAGCTTAAACAACAGGAATTTATTTTCTCACAGTTCTGGAGGCAGAAGCCCAAAATCAAGGTGTCTGCAGCGTTGGTTTTGGGTGAAGCCTCTCACCTTGGCTTGCAGATGGCCACCTCCTCCCTGTGCCCTTCCACAGCCTTTCTCTGTGTGAGCACATCCCGGGTGTGTCTTCCTCTTCTTCTAAGGATACCAGTCCTATTGGATTAGGACCCCACGCATAAGACCTCATTTAATCTTCATAACCATCTTAGAGGCCTCATCTCCTAATATAGGCACGTTGGGGGGTTAAGGATTCAACCTATAAATTTGGGGAGGACACCTTTTTTTTTCCATAACACGCCCTAGACAAATTAAATCAGAATCTGCGAGAATAGGGGGAATCATTACTATTTTAATGACTTTAATTTAAATATTTAAATTCAGGTATAGTTGACATACAATAAGCTGCACACATTTAAGGTGTACAATTTGATATGTTGTGGCACATGAATCTGCCAGTAAAACCACTTTTATAATTAAGAGAATAATTATCATGCCCCAAAATCTAATCATGACCCTTTGTAATCCCTCGCTTCCGTATCCCTCATCTCCAGACAACCAACAGATCTGTTTTCTGTTACTGTATTAGTTCGTGTTTTATAGACTTTTACATAAATGAAATTTTACAGCACGTACTATTTTCTTTTTGGGGGAAGGGAAGTGTCTGTTTTCTCTCAGCATCATTATTCTGAGATTCACCCATGTTTTTATACATATCCATAGTTTATTTCTTTTTGTTGCTAAGTTGTATTTTATTGTATGGTAGCTTTCTTTTGATTAGTGTTAGCATGGTACATCTATTTCTATCCTTTAATTTTTAACCTATACATGTCTTTATATTTAAAGTGGGTCTCTTGTATGCAGCATATTGTTGAGTCTTTTTTAAAATCTAATTTGATTGTCTTAGTTCAAGCTGCCATAACAAAGTACTATAGACTGGGCGGCTTATAAATCACCAAAATTTATTTCTCACAGATCTAGCAGGAAGCCAGCATGGTAGGGTTCTGGTGAGGCCTCTCTTCCATGTTGCAGCCTGCCAACTTTTCATTGTATCCTCATAAAGCAAAAAGAGAATGAGAGAGCTCTCTGGGGTCCCTTTAATAAGAGAATTAATTCCATTTATGAAGGCTCTATCCTTATGACCTAACTTACTTGTTAAAGATCCCAACTGCTAGCACCATCACATTTAGGGATAGGATTGTGACATATAAATTGGGGGAGGGAGGGCACGAACATTTAGTCTTTAACACTGAAAATCTATGCCTTTTAATTTGAGTGTTTGAGCCATCTACTTTTAATACAATTATTGATATGCCTAGATTTGAGCCTATCATCTTGTTATTTGTTTTCTATTTGTGCTACCTGCTATTTGTTATTTATTCCCCTTTTCTTCTTTTTCTGCCTTATTTTGAATTACTCTGTTTTATCTCCTTTGCTGTCTTTTTAGCTTTAACTTTTTTTTTTTTTTTTTTTAGTGGTCACTTTTGGAGTTATAGCGTACATCTTCAACAGTATATCTTCAAGTGTTAGTATACCATTTCATGGTATAAAATACGGGGTATACAAAACTTAAAATGGTATATTTTCTTTTCTCTCCTCCTGGCCTATTGTTACCCATTTTGTTTTTATATGTTATGAACTCCCAAATACATTGTTATTATTTTTTAAATAGTTTTCTTGAAAAGGAGTTTAAATAATAAAAAGTATATATATACTCATGTAGTTACCACTTCTTGCACTTTTCATCCTTCATGTAAATCTTTATTTCCATCTGGTGTTAGTTTCCTTCTGCCAAAAGGACTCCTTTTATTGTTTTATTCTTTTTCTTTTATTTTGGTTTTTAGTGTGAGTCTACTGGTGATGAATTCTTTAAGCTTCTGACAATGTTAAAAAGTCTTTATTTTGCCTTCATTTTGTAAATATATTTTTCACTGGCTATGTAATTCTCAGTTGAAAATTTTTTTCTTCAACTTTTAAAAATGTTGGCCCACCATCTTCTTGCTTGCATTGTGTTGAACTACAAATCTGTTGTCATCCTTAACTTTGTTCCTCAGTACGTCTGTCTTTTTTTCCTCTGCCTACCTTTCCATGTTTTCTTTATCATTGTTTCTGGACAACGTGATTATGATATGCCTTAATTTTGTTTCTTCAGTTAACAAATGTTTCCTTTTTTTTTTTTTTTACTGTCATCACTAAACAGCAATGTCTGAATTTTTCATAACTCCTTTTTTTATTATTATTATTATACTTTAAGTTTTAGGGTACATGTGCACAATATGCAGGTTAGTTACATATGTACACATGGGCCATGCTGGTGTGCTGCACCCATTAACTCATCATTTAGCATTAGGTATATCTCCTAATGCTATCCCTCCCCCCTACCCCCCACCCCAGAATAATCCCCAGAGTGTGATGTTCCCCTTCCAGTGTCCATGTGTTCTCATTGTTCAATTCCCATCTATGAGTGAGAACATGCGGTGTTTGGTTTTTTGTTCTTGCAATAGTTTACTGAGAATGATGATTTTCAATTTCATTCATGTCCCTACAAAGGACATGAACTCATCATTTTTTATGGCTGCATAGTGTTCCATGGTGTATATGTGCCACATTTTCTTAATCCTGTCTATCATTGTTGGACATTTGGGTTGGTTCCAAGTCTTTGCTATTGTGAGTAGTGCCGCAATAAACATACGTGTGCATGTGTCTTTATAGCAGCATGATTTATAGTCCTTTGGGTATATACCCAGTAATGGGATGGCTGGGTCAAATGGTATTTCTAGTTCTAGATCCCTGAGGAATCGCCACACTGACTTCCACAATGGTTGAACTAGTTTACAGTCCCACCAACAGTGTAAAAGTGTTCCTATTTCTCCACATCCTCTCCAGCACCTGTTGTTTCCTGACATTTTAATGATTGCCATTCTAACTGGTGTGAGATGGTATCTCATTGTGGTTTTGATTTGCATTTCTCTGATGGCCAGTGATGATGAGCATTTGTTCATGTGTCTTTTGGCTGCATAAATGTCTTCTTTTGAGAAGTGTCTGTTCATATCCTTTGCCCACTTTTTGATGGGGTTGTTTGTTTTTTTCTTGTAAATTTGTTTGAGTTCATTGTAGATTCTGGATATTAGCCCTTTGTCAGATACGAGTAGGTTGCAAAAATTTTCTCCTATTTTGTAGGTTGCCTGTTCACTCTGATGGTAGTTTCTTTTGCTGTGCAGAAGCTCTTTAGTTTAATTAGATCCCATTTGTCAATTTTGGCTTTTGTTGCCATTGATTTTGGTGTTTTAGACATGAACTCCTTGCCCATGCCTATGTCCTGAATGGTAATGCCTAGGTTCTTTTCTAGGGTTTTTATGGTTTTAGGTCTAATGTTTAAGTCTTTAATCCATCTTGAATTAATTTTTGTATAAAAAATTAATATAATCAAATGTTTCTTGTGTTTCACATTTTTATTATTTTGTTGAGCTTTATGAATCTGTGGGTTTAGAATTTTTATCAAGTGTGAAAACACTTTGACCATCATTTCTTCAAATATTTTTCTTTTCTGTCCTTCGCTCTTTCTCCTCTCTTTCAGAACTTCCAATTATACATATGCGAGGCCACTTTACATATGTTACAGCTCACTGATGTTCTTTTATCTTTTTCCAGTGCATTTAATTTGAGTCATTTTTATTACTGACTTTAAGTTCACTCATTTTTTCTTCTACAGTGTTCACTCATTTTTTCTTCTACAGTGTCTACTTGGCCATTTATCCCAGCCAGTGAATTTTTTTAACTTAGACATTGTAATTTTCATTTCTAGAGATTTGATGTGAGTCTTTTTTCCTCATGTGTCATGTTTTCTGCTCTTTTCATGCCTGGTAATTCATGATTGGACTTCAGACAATATAAGTTTTATTCTTGGGTGATGGATATTTAGTCAGAAAAAGTTTAAACCTTTCCAGTCTTGCTTTTAAGATTTATTAGACCAGATGACAGCAGCATTTAGTCAAGAGCTCCTTTTTTTCTTCCATTACTGCAGAAAGATCCTTCTGCGGGACTTTCCCAGTTCCTTTTGAATTTTGAGGTTTTCCAGTCTATCTGGTGGAAGGAGGCATTATTCCAAGCCCTATGTGACTGACGGATACTCTCATTATTCCTTAAATGTTCCCTAAATGTTTCTTAAACACAGCCAGCGTGGCCTACTTGACAATTAATGGTTTTTGTTTTGTTTTGTTTTGTTTTCTGGGAGCTCACTTCCAATGTGAAAGGAGACCTTGCTTAGAAAGCTGCCTTTCCTGGAGGTTCTCAGCCTCCACTCCATGAGCTCCAGTCTTTTTGATTTCCATGAAGCTTGATTGGGCTCTTTTAGATCTTGGTTTCTAAAGCTTTGAGTTATCACTTGAGTCAAATGAAACCAAAGAGGTAGGCTGTCCCTTATAAGATTTAAAAAAAAAAAAATGTGTCCTGTTTAGATGATACAGAAAACAAACTCCCTGAAAGACATGGACATTTTTAGGGAAAGATACACATATGCTGTCCATCATAGAGGAAACCAGGGCTGCTGTTGTGTCCTTCATAGACCCTAGAGGTCAGCAATTTTGGAGTTCCACATACTAAATTCCCCAGTATCCAAAGCAGAGTTGATCTCTGACTTAGAGGAAGATGAAATGTAATATTCAATTACATGGTGTCTGAGCAATGCTTCAGAGCACCTGATACATCTCAAATCCCCCTGGATACCTTCTTATGCAGACAGAAGCACCTTTATATTAGAATAAACTTTAGCTACACACTGTTCTGTTCTCTCAAGACGCTCAAGACAATTACATTTGGTTAATGGAAATATAGAAGCCCTTGTCATTTTAACAATAGAACATTCACTTCTTTGAGCCTTATTATAGGGATAATTTGTTGCTGCCTTCCTAAAGGATATATTTATTGATTTCTTTATTCAACAAAAATATATCAAGCACTTGTAGTGAGCTAGGTACTTTTCTGGGGCAGTGTCAAAATAAAACACCGTCCTTGTTTTCCAAACAATCTCTGTTGCTCAGTGGGGCACCCTCTATTAGAAAAGGCTTAAGGGAAACCTCGGCTGCAGGCTGAGCGAATACATAGGGTCATTTACTGTTTAAACAAATGCCTAGTACTCAAGTATCTGCTTCATGGCAGGCACTGGCCTCAGTCACGTGCAAGACATGTTCTCATTCCTCAGTCTCCCATGAAAGTGGATGGCTTGGCCAGGTGCAGTGGCTCATGCCTGTAATCCCAGCACCTTGGGAGGCTGAGGTGGGTGGATCATGAGGTCAGGAGTTCGAGACCAGCCTGGCCAACATGTTGAAACCCCATCTCTACTAAAAGTACAAAAATTAGCCAGGTGTGGTGGCGGGTGCCTATTATCCCAACTACTCAGGAGGCTGAGGCAGGAGAATCACTTGAATCCGGGAGGTGGAAGTTGCAGTGAGCTGAGATTGCGCCACTGCACTCCAGCCTAGGCAACAGAGTGAGACTCCATCTCGGAAAAAAAAAAAAAAGAAAGAAAGTGGATGGCTTTCAGCCCCTTCTTCCTGACCTTCATCCCCATGATTCTGGGGTATTTCATCATCCTCCCAATAGTTAGCAACTCTTTCAGTTCTTAAACTTGCTGTCCTCACAACACACCAGATGGAGCTAATTTGACAAGGATTTATCATGGAAATGGGTGCACAGACACTGCACTGACAGGTCGTACCATATGTAGACAGCAACTACAAAATGAAAATGGCAGAACTGAAGTCTAATTCAGCTTTGTGTGAAATATTCCAATTTACCCCATTTGCAGTCTCTCATACAAGAGGCTGGACCAGAATATTAAAAAGCTATCAACCTTGAAATAGTTGCTCCTAATCAAGTCAGGTAATGAATGATGAGAAGAGAAAATATTGGGATCGTTGGCTGTTTGTCACAAACAGTGAATTACTGAGCAAGAATGAGCCATGTGCTAGCCACTAATTGTTAATCTGGCCTCTCTGATTGTTTTCATTTTAGGAAATCATGATGGCTAATTCGACTGATGGATTTTCACAGACTTAATTGACGTCAGGTTTCTCTGCTTGGTTTTTCGCCAGTATCCATTCTTTAGTGTATTCACAAGGGAGGTAGAGGTAACATACAAACACTGTGTCCTTAAGGAGCTTAGAACCAAGTAGGAGTGGGTGAGCAGAGTAAAATCCAGCTATGCAATCATCCATTTATTCAGCAGATGTTTGTTAAACACATAGGGTATTTTAAATATTGTGTAAAGTGCTGTGGGCATTCTGGAGAGTTCATCCAAGCCAAGTGCCTGGCCCATGGAAGATGCCAAATAAATATTCATCACATGAATGAATAAGTGAACATACTTGAGATCAGAAGAGACTTTCACTTATTGAAGGTGTTTGCTATGAGTACAGATATTTTCGTAAGAAAAGAGGTTTTGGAAAATGGAAGACTGGATTTGAGGAAAAGGAATAAGTGCATTTGGCCTGGAGCCTGGTTGTGTGTAGGAAAATGGGAAAAATCAGTCTGGGATAAAAGGCAGGGACTTCTTGCAGCAGGACACAGTCCTTGGCTAGGGAACGTAGGCAAAGAGAAATCAACAGCGCCTTAAGCAGCTGAGGGAGGTGACCCAGTCACGGCAGCACGAGAGCGTTTGTGCTTCCCGAAACATGCTAGCTGATATCAGAACAATCAGTCCCTTTAGAGAAACTCAACTCATTTCACAAAGCGAATTTCCTCCCTGGAACTGAAGGTTTTATCCAAGTTCAGAATGTAGTGTCTCAAAAAATGGAGCCAACACACCACAATCTTGGTTCCAACAATTCCAGACTAGGTGGAAACTACTGCTTATTACATTTGACTTTACGGGAATTTGGCTCAAATGTCTGTGAGATTCTACAGTAGAAAATCTGTCCCTAATAATCTACTTTCTCTTTAATTCAGAATGAAACTGTTGGCCCTTATTCAGCCAGAATCCAGTTCTGCAAATAGCACATTTCTCTCTAACTAGACAGTGAGGCCACTGCGCCAACTGCCCATTGCTGGCATGAAACACCAGTTTAACCAAAACAACCTCATCTAGACCACTCTGATATGGGATGAAGATGAACAGCCAACACGTTGACTCTGTGATGAAAGGACCAGTGACACTCACTAAACAATTAAAAGCACTGATAGAACCTCCTGTTCTCATCATGAAGCCAGTTTTATCTCTCTTCAGTAACTTCCACCGTTCTCTCTCCTATGCCTATTGCCTTTATAGATCATGTTTTTACTATTACAGGTTGATCTTTATGAGGCTACTCCACTGTAGCTGAGAATGCCATACTTTCTGGAATTTTTTCCTCTCTGTGGCCTCAAAATTCCTCTAGGGAATATGTTGAAGAAGGAAAGAACCATCCCTCATTCACTAATCATGTGGAGGTAAGATCATTCTCAGGCAGTTGGTAAAATCTGCAGCAGCAATAAAGATGATTTGAGATTTGAACTGCTGTGCTGGTTAAATAACTCTAATGGAGACCACAGGAGTTGGCCATCTGAGCCAGTGCTGAGAATGCATCTTGGTTGCTGTTAATTTCCCAGGTGTTGGGAGAAACCGTAGGATATTGGAGCCTGTAGATGAATTCAATAGAAAACTCCTGGGTAGTTGCTGATGAAGATCAGAGATAGAGATTTCTGTGGCTCTGAGGTCATCAGATCAATGAAAGTACAGAACAGTCTCAAAGTAGTTTTCTTGGAAATGGGGGATGGGGATGGATGACTTGCCCTTCCACTGCATTTCCACAGCAAGCACACCATGTTTGCTTAAGTTGCATGTTTATTTGGGCATGTCCTCAAGGGGTTGATCAAGAGTATAGAAGGGCCAGCCAATCTAGGCGCCTTCAAGGCCTCTCTCCAACCAGGACTTCCAACTCTCTTGTTCAAGGTCTTTCTACTAAGAGTCCTTTATTCTTCAAAGGTCTCCAACTCGTATTGGTCTTACCCTCTCTCACTCTATCCTAGCTTGGATTTCATGCTGCTTCATTAGAAGCTCTCCTTG
The DNA here is from genome assembly GCF_000001405.40 of Homo sapiens. Taxonomy (NCBI): domain Eukaryota; kingdom Metazoa; phylum Chordata; class Mammalia; order Primates; family Hominidae; genus Homo; species Homo sapiens. The sequence continues at coordinate 5,187,737 of NC_000001.11, forward strand.
CAGATAGTTTTGGCATCCTTTCCCTTCCTTCTTTGACAATTGGGACAGAATCCTACTCTGAATGATTAAATCAACCATCACTCTCATGCATGACTATACCTAAAATGCAGACATTTGCTGCTGGTTTGCTTTACATTCATGGTAGGAAACCTTGGCTGGAGCCTTGGGTTGGTTCTCAGTGAGCTCAATCACTCACTCAGCCTCTGACACAAATATTTCCTCACCTTGCTTCTCTTCTTCAACCACACTGTCAAGCATCTGATAGCCTCAACTCACAGAAGCCTCCAGACAGAACTCCTGCATCTTTCTTGGCCACATTTAGATCTTCCATGTCTCCTTCTACCCTGTTATTACAAAGTAAAAAGTGTCCCTCCACCTTGGAAGGACTTCACTTATTAGGGTGTCTCTTCTCTATGCTGACAACAATCTCTCTCTATGTGGTCATTTCTCCACAAAATATACTCTATTAAGACCCTTCTAGAGAAGTAGGAAGAGAAAGAGGAGGAGGAGGAAGAGGAGGAGGAGGAGAAGGATATTCATCTTATATCCCTCTCAGCTTCCTTCACACCAATTGGTAAAGAGAGTTGTCTATAAACTCTTTCTCCAACCTTTCATCATGTGGTTTCTCCTTAAGACCTTCTCTTTTGGATTCTGCCCCAGAATCTCTCCCAAAAGACTCTTAATAGTTACCAAAAGCACAGTGCCCATTCCCTTTTCCTCTATCCATTCTTTCTTGAGTGCAAATGCCATCTTCTTGGATTTTTCTTCTTACTACTCTTATTCCTCCTTCTGTAGCATTGCCATAGCTTCTCCAGCTCTGATTTCTAAGCACTAGGCTTCTCAAGATGTACCCCTTTCTTTTTAACTATATATCCCTCCTCAATGATCTCATTCCATGGCCTTAAAAAGTATCCTTGCAATTAAATTCATGTTTTTATTTCTGACAAAAAGCTCTCTTTCCTGAATAGCTCCAGACATATGTCACAACCTGCTACCTCGCAGGTAGGTCACACTCAAGACCGAGATGTTGATCTTTGCCCTTCCTTTCACCCACTGCTCTGACACTCTATATTCCCCATTGAAGTGACATAATCATATGCCAAATTCTCAAGCCAACAGCCCAGAGTCATCCTGAAACTCACCTTCTCCCTCCCAGAGCATTCACAACCCAACCCTCCAGCAATCTGGTCAATTCTACCTCACGAAATGCTCTCATCCACATCACTTTGCCTATGACCGCCACCTTAGATCAAGCCATCTCCCTCGCTCACTCAGAATCCTGAAAATGCTTCCTCAGCATTCCCTCTGCTTCCATATTTGCTTTCTGATCTATATTCTGCCCAGCAGCCCATGTGAACATTTTAATGAAAAAAATTATTTATTCTTCTCCTTCAATTTTGCAGTGACACCCCATTGCACTTCAGATAAAATTCCAACTTTTCCCCATGACCTACAAGGTCATGGTTGACTCCTTTCTCTCTGTTTAGCCACACTTCCTTTTGCCTAATGTGATTTGTGGCCCTGGACTCACCAATTCCATGAATGTCCACACTTCTTTCCCACCCCACAGCAGCTCCTCTCTTCATCGTGTTCACAAGATTGGCTTCTTGCACTCATTCTCATGCTACTCCTGGCTTCTCTGCGTCATCTTCTTAGGGTTGCTCTATCTGTGGGGTTGCTTCTGCTATGCCTTTAACTGCTATGCTGTTTTTCTTTTTATTTAGAGTCCTTTCAGAATTTACAATTGTTCATTTAATTGTGTGCCTATTTGCTTATTGTCCAACTCTCCAATTAGACAGTAAGCATCATAGCATCATTGGGGAGAGACCAAGTCCACTTATCGGCCTTGGCATCTCCAGCCATTGGCATGGTGCCAGCTCTGAGTGGTTGAGAATATCTGAGCATATTAGGAGAGTGGGTTAAACTTCCTGCTTTTTCTATCCAACCACCGTTGCTTTCTTCTTACTGTTCCCGTGCCTTACTTAGTGATTCCCTGAATCGATTCCTTGCATCCCACAGCTCTCTCCATCCAGAATTCCCTTCTTGAATTCTCCCAAATGCCCAAATGACACCCCACTTAAGGCTCAGCTAAAAATCCATCTCCTCCAGAAGGTGCTCTAGATCCACAGAGCAAGTGGCTCAGTTCCTCTGTGCATTTCTGAGCAAGCAGCCCACTTGAACTTCCCTGTGTTGAGTGGGCACCCATCTCCCTTGTGTTGAGTGGGCACCCATCTCCACTGTGGGACCAAGGCTGCTGCAGGCAGAGACCAGGCCATGCATTCTTCAGCACCACAGAGGTCCTTAGTTCTATTAGTTGCCCAAAGATGTGTTGAGAGAAACTCTTATTCCCTATCCCTCTTTCTTTGTATAGAATGCAACAGAGCAGAGAATATTTCAAATAAGACTGCTTCCATGGTGTCCCAGATAAAGACTCTGTCTTATCTCTTTCAACTTACCTGTATCTTATCTTATATCTTTCCTGGTATTCAACATTTACAAAGCTCCCAAGGGCTAACGAAATAGGCACAACAAAAGTTGTATTTTCAGGAGCCAATTATTGAATATTAGCCTAGAACCTTCTTTTGGCTTCTTCACTGGTCATCAAGGGAAGCACTGACCTGGACGCTGGGAAATCAAAGACAAGCAAGATACGACTCTTAATCCTGAAGACACGTTGGCAAAGGACCCAAGCCAAAAGCCAGAGCTCACAGCAGGCATGCTGCTTCCATTCAGAAGAGACCCACCTCTGTGCAGGTGCGTGGACACCTGCACCTTTAGGGATGCTGTGGGAAGATGGTGTGGCCACAGTACCAAAGACATTTCACCTTCTGCCCTGTAATAGGTGCATTAGATTAAATGGTAGACAAATGTATTTTCTTTGTTTGTTTTTTGGGTTTTTTGTTTTGTTTTGTCTTTTTTTTTTTTTTTTTTTTGAAAATCTTACTCTGTCACCCAGGCTATAGTGCAATGGCATGATCTCGGCTCACTGAAACCTCCACCCCTGGGTTCAAGCAATTCTCATGTCTCAGCCTCCTGAGTAGCTGGGATTATAGGCATCTGCCACCACACCTGAATAATTTTTGTATTTTTAGTAGAGGTGAGGTTTCGTTACGTTGGCCAGCCTGGTTTCAGACCCCTGACCTCAACTGATCCACCTGCCTTGGCCTCCCAGAGTGCTGGGATTATAGGCATAAGCCCGGCTGGCAAATGCATTTTTTAATTAGCCAGGCAGGCTAGTCTTGTTCAGAAGACAATGTCTGTTGGAAATGGTATGACCCTGGAGACTGAATGAAAAACTAACCTCTCAGGTGTTCCAGGTTCAAATCTCATCACCTCCATGGTGGCCTGTGAGAAATGTTTCATCACTATGGTGGTCTGGTTTTGACACATGAAAAGTAAAATAGGGGAATGATGTCCTATTGGAACAGGTCAAGGTGAGAGGGGTGGAGCTTTCAAGTCACCAGAATGATGAAAAATGTCCACTTGTATCTATTCAAATAACATATTTGCCTTTTTCCTATTCTTTTCAACATTTCTATAAAGTCACGGTCAGATGTTTGGAAAAAATATGTATGTACAAATATATATATGATATGTATATGAATCTATATCTACATACTTTATTCTAAAATATATCCCCAGCACTTACAAATATTTGTTTTCAGTAAAAGTGAAATCCAGAACTGTGAAAATTCGTTAATCCTCTTTGGATTCCTCATGGAGATCCACTTCTGTGCCTGTCCTGCTGGCCCACAGCTCCCTGTCACTCATTGTGAATACGCAGGATGCAAGATGTTGTGCGTCGTCAACTTGACCTTGAAAGCAAGCTTACCAGGGACATAGGAGAGCAGGGCTGCACCCCTTTGTGGCTGTGCGCTCACGTTGCCATAGTGTCAGGGAGCATATCTGTTTCCAGCTGAGCTGCTTTTGTTTAAGCTTCAAGCCTTTCCTTTTTCCTACTTGAAAAGAGTTTACCAGGAGGCAAAATGATTCAAAGTAACATCTGGGTCCCTCTTGGCATGTGCGTGGTAATTCCCTTCCTTCCATCCTGTAATTAAGTCAATTAGGTTTCTAAGTCTTCTATGAGGGGATTTCCAGGAATCTTTTCTCAGTGACACACACACCACTCTCCAAATATCATCAACCCCTTGGAGGACCACCTCCTACTCTCCTGCCTTCTTTCTCTAGAACAAAACGTAAAGCAAAACAAAGCAGCTGAGAGTCCCTCCAAATGTTGGACAATAAAGACGACAGAAAAAGCACACGCTCTCTGGTCCCAGTTCTGGATGGAGGGATGCCCGGCCTGTGCATGGCCCACTGTTCTTCCAGTTCTGGTCAATCTACAAAGGCTGTTTCCTGGATGCTATGTATTAACTGAAATCTTGGCAGACTTAACCTATTGCTCTAGACGAGTGGCTGAGTTTTTGGTGCCACATCCCCCAAAATATCAGGGAATGAGAGAATACAGTTGAAGTACTTCTTGGCATGTATGCACACCAGAAAGCAAACAGACAAGTGAAGTTTGTCTTGCTTACATTTTCTTGATGAAAACTGGAACTGCAGCTATGGTTGATCTGAAAGACTCCAGCACGTTTGATAAGCTTCGTGCCTCTTATTATTTGGGACATCTCCAATTACATTTAAAAAAATCTGCTTTAACATCTTAAATTTCATTTTCCCAAACACTCATTTCCTGAAATTCTAAAGAGTGTTCTTCAAGGAAATGATTCATAACTTCCTATTAGTTGTGCGGACATCAGTATCCTTTCTAATAAAGGAGGCTGTCCTCTCAAATAGCACCACCAAGACCTATCTATCAATCAGGAAGTACACTTACTGAGACAGGGACATAGAAGGAAGCACCACAGTGATGTTCTGCCATGAACTCACTTGGAATTCCAAACTGTTACCCATTTATGCCTTGTGTTCCATTATTGCAATGTTAAGCATTTGGAAGTTATTTATATTCTATGGCTCAAGGTCATCACCAAGGTCTTATTGCAAACATTCAAAAAATTGCAACCTCAGGCATAAATGGGTTAAATCAAGAGAACATTGGATGTGCATGCACTTGCACACACACCACACACATGCACACTCACACATGCTATATTTTGGATTTAAAATAATTAAGTTCAGATTGATTTATTCACCAACATAATCAATTCCAAATCCCTGTCAGACCTGGATCATTTAGAAAATTAAAGTCAAGCATGGTGATAGCATTCAAAAACCAGAATAGAAAATTCTTTCTTTCAAGAGTCAAACTTCTGGCTGGGCGCCTTTGCTCACGCCTGTAATCCCAGCACTTTGGGAGACCGAGGTGGGCAGATCACTTGAGGCCAGGAATTCCAGACCAGCCTGGCCAACATGGCAAAATGCTGTCTCTATTAAAAATACAAAAATTAGCCAGGTGTGGTGGCATACACCTGTAATTCCAGCTACTCTGCAGGCTGAAGCAGGAGAATCACTTGATCCTGGGAGGTGGAGGTTGCAGTGAGCTGAGATCGTGCCACTGCACTCAAGCCTGGGCAATAGAGCAAGACTTTGTCTTAAAAACAAACAGACAAACAAACAAAAACACAGAGTCAAAGTTATGTTTTCATCAACTGCAAAGCCAAGTAGAGAAAGAAAAATGAGTGCAGGAGCAAAGCTGTAGAGGGAGAAAAAAACAAAATTAATTTTCTGCTTTTCCCAGGTAACTTCAGCTGGGAATTCTGATTAACATGAGTCCTTAGTAAATTTAAGAATCATGTTGGCTTGCAGGCTTGTAGTATTGAAATTTCAACTGGTGATGACATGTGCTGAAATAATAAACACAAATAACTCCCAACCTAAATCACTCCCTTCAGATTTGGCAATTCATCTTGAGATTTGTGTTAATTACAAACAGAGAATCCAGGACATTTTTTAAAAATACCGTACAGGACTCCATAGGTATCTGCTTAATTTAATGAAGTATTTCAACAAATATTTGTAAGGCTTACTATTTGTGAATCATTATCATAAGCACTGAATTCATTCATCTATCCATCCATTCATTTAAACAGTAAAAAGTCAACTGAGTATCTACAATGTGCCAGTCACTGTTGTAGGCCTTGGAGAGGGAGCTGTGCATAGAGGATCAATGAGTCCCATAAATGACCCCTTTGTTCTCTGACCAAGATTGGAACCACAGAGCTATAGAAACAGAATCTGGACAGATGGAGATGGAAACATCAGCATCCTTGCTGATAAAGGCTGGACTAGAGGTATGTGGCAATATGGGTTTTATAACACAGAACACAGAATTAGGCAGGCTCAAGCTTTCAGTTTCAGGACAGAGCCCTTACAGCGAGATTGGACAGGCAGGCTGACCTCGAGGAGCAGCTGTGAGGCCAGTTCCTACCCAAACTCAACCACCAAGAAGTCACCCAATATGGAACTGAGGGGCAAAGGCCAGGGTATCATCCTGTCAGGTTTCTCTTCACATAGAAATCTAAAGGCAAAAGAGATTCCCTAACTTCCTGTCTATTCAGTGAACAAAACAGGCAGGAGTTGACTGAGTTCCCAGGGAGTTAGGATTCCAATGGCAGAATGAGCAGACAATGAACAAACAAATAGATAAAGGAGCTGGGAAACGTACATATGAGAGACCGAACAGGGCACTGTGGGAGGGAGATGGCATGGGAAGGGCATACAGCTATGGACAAGGCAGCTGTGGGCCTGCCCTGTGAAGCCCCTGTTGCAATAGAGTGGACAGACATTGAGTGCAGTGCAGGTAACTACTTCTTTAAAACCAAGATACATGTTGTAAAGTAAATAACCACATGGTGCTAAGTGACCCTATAACAGGATGAAGGCAGCTGGGTGGGGAAGACACAGACAGTGTCCAGGAGCCTGGCTGGCTGGAGAGGAAGCTTCTCTTCTCATCTCCCCCACCTGGCCTTGGTCATCTCCTTCAAATGCATGGTTCACCAAATGGAACCATCATTTTAAAAGATGCCTTCCAAAGAAGTAATATTCTAGAAAGAGTAGGAATTTTTCAATTTTTTGAATTTTTGCAATCAGGCCTTGGCAATGACCTTGAGCAGTAGGATATAAATAACTCCTACATGCGTAGCATTCCAATAATGGAACACTAGGCGTAAATGGGTAAGAGTTTGGAATTCCAAGTGAATTCATGACAGAAGACTAGAAGCGAGTCTTCCTGAGATCAGCCCACGTGAAGCTGACAATTGAGCTATTCATGCTGCCCCAACGTGACTCCCCCCACAGACACCCCACAATTTAGAACAAACTATTAACCCCACTGTTCTTCCCATACCACCACAAGCTGGGGAGCACATGGGGGAGAGAAGGGGGGCAGAAAGCCCCATTTACTAAACCTAAAGGTGGCTCAGGGAATGTGCAAACTTTTGAATCCCCCCTGCTCCACCACATAAGAGAATTCCAACTGCAGAGGAACTTTTCCTCCCCAGAGGAGATTCAGAGACAGGTGCAAGTCAATGCCAATAGCACAGGCACGGTGTGTGATGAATTTTCCAGCTGATATAAGAGCTATGTCCTCAACAATTTCTCCCTGAACATTTTCTTTTCCTCCAGACGCCCTAAGCCCTTAAGCATGAGTTGTTTTCAATCATGGGCCTGCAATTGGCTTGTGCCTCCAAACAGCTCTCCTTGTTTGCCTGGTGTAAGGGAGATTTGCGAACGTCTTTCTCCCTTACTGGTTAAACTCCAAGGCCACACAGCACGAGAGCCGGTGCTTTGGGGATGATTCTCTCTCTCCAGCAGGAGCAGCTGAAAGCCCCCTGCTGCCTTCATGGCAGAGCAGCTCCTCCTCCCAGACCCCACTCTTCTCATCTACTCAATTCCTGCAAAGGAGGTAGAAAAGATTCTCTTTTCCTCGTTCAGTCCACAGGTGTTTACTGGGTGTATCATGTTTCTTTTTTTTTCTTTTTTCTTTCTTTTTTTTTTGAGATGGAGTCTCACTCTGTCACCCAGGCTGGAGTGCAGTGGTGCGATCTCTGCTCACTGCAACCTCTGCCTCATGGGTTCAAGTAATTCTCGTGCCCCAGCTTCCTGAGTAGCTGCGATTACAGGTACGTTCCACCATGCCTGGCTAATTTTTGTGTTTTTTAGTAGAGACGGGGTTTTGCCGTGTTGGCCAGGCTGGTTTCAAACTCCTGACCTCAAGTGATCCACCCACCTCGGCCTCCCAAAGTGCTGAGATTACAGGCATGAGCCACCACACCCGGCCGGGTGTACCATTTTTCTGATGCTGCTGTAACAAGTTACCACAAACTTGGTGACTTAAAACAACATAAATACATCATCTTACAGACCTTGAGGCCAGACATCCAAAATAAGACTTACGGAGCTACATCTGGGAAATGTATGGGTTCCTCTGGAGGTTCCGGGAAGAATCCATGTCCTGGCTCTTTCCAGCCTCTGGAAACCACCAGAATCCCTGGGTTTGTGGCCCCTCCTGACATCACTCCCACCTCTTGCTTCTGTCATAGCCATTCCTGCTTCATCTCTGTTGTCATATGTCTCTCTGCTTCTTTCTTACAAGTACCCTTGTAATGATGTCAGGGCCCACTTGGATCCTCCGGGACCATCTCCCCATCTCAACTTAATCACATCTGCAAAGTCCCCTTGGCCATATCAGGTCACATATTTGCAGTTCCAGGGATTAGGACCTGACATCCTAAAGGACCGTCATTCAGCCGGCCACCCTGGGTGCACTGGACACTGCATACCTTGAGCACACCACACCTGAACCCCCTCCCTAGCATTGTAGAAATGCCCACCTAGGAAGGCAGAGCTAGCCACCTACTCTAGAGACAGAAAATTCCAGATGGCCCAGGACTTGCTTTCCCTCCTCTTCTGCCTCTAGGAGTGAAGCACATGACTCAGGCTCCGGCAGCCAGATGTACACTCTGCAGGTATTGCTTTGGCACACGATGGTGAAAAGACACGGGGAAGTGGAAAATTTTGCCTAGCAAGGGTGGGCAGCAGCTGCCACACTGCAAGTGAAGCAGTCTCAGTGGCAGGGGTTCTAACAGCACAGCCATGGAGCAGGGTTGAAGTATCGGCGGAGCACGACCAATTCTGGGGTGTCATTTTGTTGCGTAGCTCACAAACCTGGCTCTCTGGCTTTCCCAGATATTTGGCGGGTCATCAGTGTCCTTGGATAAATTTATTTGCTATTTAAATTAACCAAAGGCTTTTTCCTGTTGCTTGCAATGGAGAGACTAGGCTAGGTAGATTGTTCCTATGGCCTCATAATTGTTGCTAAGTCCCCAAAACTGAAGAAAGCTTCCAGGCCCTCACCAGAAGCAGGTGCTGGTTCCATACCTCTTGCACAACCTGCAGAACTGTGAGCACATCTGAGGAGAACACGATGTTCTTTTCAGACTCAAACACATCTAAAGAGAACTCCTGGGAAGCCGTAAGCACACATCATCTGAGCGTCCTGAGGCAGCTGGAACATCTCCCATGAGCTGCCCTGCCAAACCCTCCTCCCAAGCCTGCACAGAACCTGAGACAGGAAGAGAGTGAGAAGCATCAGGATTGGCAGATTGGGGATTGTGGAAGAAAAACATGGGGTTATGGTAAGAGGTCATTTCCTTCTTTCTGATGGAGGGGAGCTTCACTCTTCTCTATCCCAAATCACCTAGAGAGTGTGTATTTGGTGGGGGAGGGGGGATGGTACTTATATGGTTTGGATATTTGTACCCTCCAATTCTTATGTTGAATCGTGATCCCCAATGTTGGATGTAGGGCCTGGGGGAGGTGTTTGGGTCATGGGGGCGAATCCCTCATGAATGGCTTGGTGCTATTGTCATGGTAATGAGTGAGTTCTCACCCTAATGGTTCACAAGAGAGCTGGTTGCTTACATAGTATGCACCTTCCTTCCATCTCTCTCTTGCTCCTCCTTTCACCACCTGATGCGCCAACTCCCCTTCCCCTTCCATCATAATTGGAAGCTTCCTGAGGCTCTCACCAGATGCAGATGCTGGTGCCATATTTCATGTACAACCTGCAGAACTGTGAGCCAAATAAACATTTTTTCTTTATAAGTTTCCCAGCCTTAGGTATTCCTTTAGAGCAATGCAAAATGGACTAATTCAGGGATCTAGAAGAATCACTTACAGATAGGATGGCTGCACATCTTGGCTCACTTGGGGCAGATTCACCCATTGTCTCAGAGTCATTTCTAGTAGCATCCCCTCTCACTCTCGTAAGTGTCCAGGTTTGGCCAATCAATTCTGTGGTCACCGATTTACTGAGCATTCATTTCCAGCAAGGCTTGCAGACCCACTCTAATGCTGGGACACAATAATAAGAGGGTCCTTGTGAGAGAATGACATGAATCTCTTGAATTTGGGAGGGGAAATCTGAACACAGATCTATGCCTATTTTATACCTGATGCCAAAGAACTTGCTGAAATACCAGCTCCAGCAGGACAATGTGAAAATGGCATGTACTGGGTCTGGGAAGGAAGATGGAGAAACTCCCACCTTACCCTGATCCTCCACAACTCTCAGAGTTCACAGAGAAATCTTCTGGGATTCCCTTGGTTTCATATGAAGAATTACGGAGGTTAGAGGAGGATGCAGGAGTTACGGAGATGCCGTGAAGATGCTGCAGGTGGAGAAGGGTGGGATGTGGAGACCTGCATCCCTCTGAGCCATCCTCAGTGATGGAGGCTCCTGCAGTAAGAAGGAACATCACACCCCGATAAAACCACACTCAGCCTCTGCACAGAGACATTCATCAGCAGAGGCCATAACTCAACTGAGCCACTTCAGGACAAAGGACAGCTCACCATTACCAAGAGCTGCTCCTTGCATAATTTGACCGTTGTTTTCCCTCTTCAATCCCCGACACCAGAGGTGTTACCAAGCTTGTCCAATCCACCTTATTTTGTTGTTATTGTTACTGTTGTTCTGTCTTGCTTTTTTTTTTTTTTTTTGAGGCTTTTAGTAGCCTGAAGCTGTGGTTTTTTAGTTTCCGTCTCTAGTGATAAGCAGAAAAGAGGGATGAAAAGGGGGCATTACTAGCCCAGCCAGAAACAGAAACTAAGAACCCATGCCTGTATTCTTTCCCTTGGACATCCCTGTTAGAAACTACAAAAGGGTGGAGGGAACAGGAGTGACCTACTCTTTCCTCGCCCCCTCTTCACCCCATGGGCACACACACAACCATATCCAAGTTCTTTAGCTGAGGGTCTGGGCCACACAGGGTCAAGAAGAGTGTTGAAACATTTACAAAATTAGAACTTTAAACAGGACTGGACTAATTTGAATGACCAGCAGCAACCGAGACATTCTTAAGTAACAGGAAAGGAGGGCTTAACATAGCATGGTTAGTGAAAGAGATTGAGGAACAAATTTCCACTGAGTTGAGAGCGTTCCATAAACCAGGTTCAAGCTCAGGACAAACATCTTTTATTTTCACTTGTCCAGCATTCTCTTCCTCCTAATTTTCCACTGGGAAAATACACACTCCCCATTCCCAGTTTCTGCGGCGGAGGAAGGTCTGCCCATTGTGCACCTTCCACCCACCCATCTTCCTCATCCCCAATCCGGAAGTAGACATGTGAGTCAGGTCTTGCCAATCAAGAGTGATTATCAACTAGCACAGCTTCTGCAGGGAATCTGTTGGAAGGAGAGGTTGTTTTTCCACTGTGGTTACTCAGCTGGTGGAACCGCCAGCCTGGAATTCATGATCACTCTCTGGCCTCTGACAAGGGAAGAGCTCGTGTGAACACAGAGAAAAGGAGGGCCAAGAGACACAGAGCACCTGGATACCACTGTGCCTGAAGCTAGATACCCCTGAGCTTTTTAGTTTTATGAACCAATCCATTCCCTTCAATGATTAAGACACTTTGAAGTGGATTTGTCACTTTCACTGAAAAATACTTACCTGATGCAGATGTTCAAGTAAGTGGGAAAGGAAGGTGTATCAGTCAGATTCTAGCAGGAAACAAAAGACAGGAGATAGATGAAGTTAAAGGAGCCAACAAGAGATAGTAAGGTACCCAGGCAAGTGTGGAAAGGCTTTACCATCCCTAGGCTTGTGCTACTGGAGTCCCATGAGAGCAGGAATTCTGAAAAACGGGTCACCTGCTAGATGTCACAGCCACTTCCTTAACTGTGCTGAGTAGAGACCTCCCGGTCTTTGACCTCCTGCAAGTACTTCCCGTTGGCCAATCTCAGAGGGAGGGAAGTCAGGGTGATGCAAAAAGTAGAGAGGGTGTCTCCATGGCATTGTGCAGATGAAAGCAAAGAGGAGAGGTTGTGGGAAGACAGGGGGCAAATGCAGACTCACAAGCTGAGGATGCTTCTAATCTCCCTGCAGTATCCCTGTTCAGACAAACAGCAGGCTTGGGGGGGCCTCACATCCTCCAGTCATTTTTAGCCTACAATGAGTGCCCCATGAAAATCAAATGGCACATTGACATCACAGAGAGCAGGAATGAATGCTGGTATTGTTGATCCTTGGTCATTCCCGTCTGAGTTCAAGGCTGTTTTCCCCATGGTATTGTGTCCATTGTTCCACGGCTGGTGTGTCCTTCCTCCTTTCTCTGAATTCCACCCTTTGTTCAAGACCTAAAGTTTCATCTTATTTGTGAATCTGCTCCTGACCTCCCCAACCTGTGGCGCCCACACCACCTTAGCCTCACTGCCATTGATAGCACTTTTCTGATCATGGGGACACAGAGTCAGGGCTAATGCCTCTGATTCACTCATTGGAGTCAAGATATTTCTAGCCTCCTTAGGGCTCGCATCCCATGAGGAAGGGCTGGGTCTTACGCTTGCTGCACTCAGGGTTTCCACCCCATTTTCCCTTCATCACCTGCTGCCCTCCTCACTCATCCCTGCCCATGTGCCATATACCAGGCTGTAAATGATAGGCACCTAATGCATATTTATGAGCTGGAGTGTTTGGGGAGGAGAAATTGTTTTTGTTTGGCTAAGTCTAGAATCCTAGAACCACAATGTTTATAAAATATCTTTTCAAAGAGAATAGGGCAGCTTTGAACAAGGAAAAATGAATGAACCAACACAAGAAGAACTGTTCCAAGACCCATATTCCCAGTTAGTTTAGGGCATGGGGGATGGGATACACAAGAGACCTAAAGTTTCAGGGAAACTCATCCATTCAACATCCCATGCCCCCTTAAAATCTTGTCAAGGTGATTTTATCCATGCTGCTGTCTATGCTTGCCACTCAGAGTTAATCAATCTTACAGTCTTGGAATGAAAAGTTACATTGCATTTCTTAGTTGCTGTGAGAAGCACAGATTACTTTTGGGATACTTGATCTTGGTTCCTGCCATCATCACCTCATGGCCCATGGCAGAGGAAGGGAGCCCTTGATGGGCCAGTTGCTGCCTTTCTACACAGAGATTCCAGTGCTGCCCATGGGGGCCCACCCTGCACCACATGAGCCACCTGCAGAGAAGGAGCCCTGGTGGCCTGGGCTTGAGAGAGCAAGGGAGAGCCTGCACCATGGATGTGCTATGTCAGTTCATGCTGCAGGAAGGCACTGACCCTCCCCACACAGTCAAAGACTTGGTTAATTTCTCAGAGGGCCTCTCATTTTCTATCCACTGATTTCAGAGTTTTCTCCTGGAATTGCAAATCATGGCTCTTGAAGGCCGCTGGCTTGATAGGCCGGTTACACTGCAATTGGGCAATATTGCTGTATTCTGGGCTGTTGCAGGCCAGGGCCTATGGGGGTCCTCTGGGTGGGAATAAAATGCATTACCTTCAAAAGCTATTTACTTCCTTCAGCTGCAGCTCAATCTAATGCCACCCTCTTGTTTCCAGAAATGTCATAAATAACAATATGATTCCCAAGCAAGAATACTTCCAGCAAGTTTGTATTAAACATTTAAAAAATGTTTTAAAATTTGCAGAATTAGAAAAAATAAATCCGAATTTAAAATAATAATAAATGGGGAAAACTGCACAAAACCCAACCTGCATTCTGTTGCAGTTCACCTTGGAGGACAAGGATGTTGCTTGAGGAAGGTGGTTCTCAGTAACGAGAGAGGCACCAAGGTGAATATGTCACAGCAGAGCTTCAATGGGGAAATTAAAAACATATCACAAAGAATATGTAGAGCTGCTCTGAATACTTATAGAATGAACAGATCACAGATGATGTCTCTGCAAAAGTGCTTTCCCCACCTGTTCAGCTGAGTCCAGTTAACCAGACCTACTCAGTTTAAACACAAAGGAGGCATTAGGGCAACAAAATAAGCTGATCTGATGACTCACCTTTAAATCCGCTAGCTTGGACCTCAGAAAGGGACAGTTCACAGTTTACAGTGCAAACATATATCCAGAGAAAAAGAGTGATTTCTCGCTATTTCAAAGTCAGCAAGAGGCAGACTTTTTCCTGGCCACATGGCTCCAAACACTTGTGTACACACCGCTTGGGAAGACATCACCTCCATGCTGGGTTAATTTCCTGAGCTCTATGGGGACAGCACGTCTGGCTCCAGCCTCCCTAGCTTGGCTTAATTTTGTTTGTTTCTCCCTCAAAAAAGAGCTTTGCTCTTTGCCCACCTATAAATAATACACTATCAGGTCTTTAATGATTAGGAGGTTGGGTGAACTGCTCTTCAATGCAGAATGAAAGAGTGAGGCCCGTGTGCCCCTGCGTCCACTCCAAATTCCACCTGAAGGTGGATATGCAAAAGAAACAGCAAGTAGCTGGTGCTCCGGAACTTGCTTGTGCCAACCACAAGCATCTCCTGGTTTATACACTCATAATCCCAGGGAATGTCAGCTGCAGTGGCATGAGATGAGATGTATGATTTATTATAAGAGATTCCACACTGTGTGGGTCAATAAGAAGCTCATTGAACATGAAAATTCTCTCCTTGCCATCCCAGAGAGAGAATGACAAATCTAAACGCCCATGCTGGGTAGAACCCCATCTAAACCCAATTATATGCTGTAATTGGCGCTCAGCATAACACGAGCTAAGGGAAAACTTCAAACACTTTAAAGGTTCTATTTTCAATCTGCCTTTTGAGTTTACTTCCCTTAATGCAATTCGGTGCATGATGACTGAACACCTACTGTGTGCCAGGCTTAATATGTCACTTAGTCCTTAAGGAGCTTGCAACATAAAGGCGGAAGCCACCTATTCATCTCCAGCCATGCTGTTTACCAGTGTGGTCAGCTAGAAATGCAAGTAACAGTCAGGAGTTTCATCTGTTTTCCTCAAACTGGCCTCCTCTAAGTTAGAGGATCTAGGAAGCAGACATACCTGAAAGCGGGCAACAAGAGAAAGAGAAAGAAAGGCGCCTGAATAATCTGCAAACTATAAAATGGACATCACATGATTTGTCTTTTGTTGCTTACAAAAGCCCTGAGAGACAATAGCCCCAACCCTACCAGGATGTGGTGTGCATTGGGTGGGTAAGGTCTATAAAGGGTTTAGAACTTTATCAGTGTTAGTATATGAGTCAGTTCTTGTACTGTTATAAAGAAATACCTGGGCTTGGCACCGTGGCTCACACCTGTAATCCTAGAACTTCAGGAGGCTGAGGCGAGCAGATTGCCTGAGCTCAGGAGTTTGAGATCAGCCTGGGCAACATGGTGAAACCCCATCTCCACTAAAATACAAATAATTAGCCAGGCTTGGTTGTGCATGTCTGTAATTCCAGCTACTCGGGAGGCTGAGGCATGAGAGTTGCTTGGACCTGGGAGGCTAAGGTTGCAGGGAGCCAAGATCATGCCACTGCACTCCAGCCTGGGTGACAGAGCAAAACTCTGTCTCAAAAAAAAAAAAAAAAGAGAGAGAGAGAGAGATGCCTGAAACTAGTTAATTTATAAAGAAAAGAGGCTTAATTGGCTCACAGTTCTGCAGGCTGTACAGGAAGCATGGCTTGGCTGAGGAGGCCTCAGGAAACTTACAATCATGGCAGAAGGGGAAGGGGAAGCAAGCATGTCCTTCATGGCAGGAGCAGGAGGAAGAGGGTGGGAAGGGAGGCGCCGCACACTTTTAAACAACCAGATTTCATGTTAACTCACTCACTATCGCAAGAGCTGCACCAATGGGGAAATCTGCCCCCATGATCCAGTCACTTCCCACCAGGCCCCACCTCCAACACTGGGGATTACAATTCAACATAAGATTTGTGCAGGGACACAGATTCAAACCATATCATTTAGTTTCCTACTGCAGTGTGTGTGTGACAAATTGTCACAAATTTAGAGGCTTAAAACAACACTTATTTAATATCTTATGGTTTCTGTAGTTCAGAAATTTGGCATAGTATGGCTGGGTTCTCTGCTCAGGATTTTGCAAAGCTAAAATCAAGGTGCCAGCTGACTGCATTCTCATCAGTGGCTCCACTTGGGGAGGATCCACTTTCAAGCTCTCTCAGGTGCTTGGCAGAAATAATTTCTTTAGGACTATAGAATTCATGGCAGCTTTGTTCTCCAAAGCCAGCAACAGAAAGAAGTCTCTTCTGTTTACAGCCTCTGACTTGGAAAAAGTCCTGGACCTTCTTTGAAAAGGCTCCACTGATTGGGTCAGGCCCACCCAAGGAAAACACCCTTTTGGTTAACTCAACTGATTAGGAACATTAATTGAGTATTTCTACTTTTGCCACTGGCCATCACTTAGAAGTGGCATCCATCATATTCACAAGTCCCTCTCCCACTCAAAGAGAAGGGAATATACAGGGTGTCTGTGGCAAGAGATGGAAATCTTGGTAGCATCTTAGAAGTCTGCCTACCACAGTGCCCAGCATGCACATGAGTACCTAAGAGATGGTAGCCACACTTATCTGAATCCTCCTTAACATCACCATTACCTCTACTCTCCATGCTGCGAAGCTGAGGCTGGGGTGGGTTAAATAACCTGCTCAAGATCTTACAATTAACCAATAGCAAAGCCAGAATTTGAACCTAAGACTTCTCATTCAAAACTGCATGTTCTCTTCCATACAACAGCCTACTACAAGAAAACCAATGAAAACCAAGTAGGGGTGTTGTCTCTGTGTTAAATTTGGTGATCCGCCTTTCCTGGGGTAGGAGGGAAACAGATATACACATTAGATTCTTCCTTAAGAGTCATTCTCCATCTTTCTTTGATAATGTAATTCCAAATTTTTCAGCTTTGAGCACAGATATTTATGTACTTATGAAAGGTACACAGGCCCTCTCCCCAGGCCTAAGGATTCATCATGCTTGCTCTAAGCCAATCAAGGCATTCCAATTCCTCTTTTCCCATTGTGTTCAATGATGTTAGTGGAGATCTACTTGAGGATACAGGGAAAGGTCTCTGTATTCTCACGCTTCTAATAAAGACATACCCACGACTGGGTAATTTATAAAGGAAAGAGGTTTAATTTACTCAGAGTTCAGTATGTCTGGGGAAGCCTCACAATCATGGCAGAAGTTGAAGGAAGGACAAAGTCATGTCTCACATGGCGACAGGCAAGAGACCTTGTGCAGGGGAACTTCCCTTTATAAAACCATCAGATCTCATGAGACTTATTCACTGTCATGAGAATGGCATGGGAAAACCTGCCCCTGTGATTCAATTACCTCCCACTGGGTCCCTCTCATGACACATGGGGATTATGGGAGCTACAATTCAAAATGAGATTTGGGTGGGGACACAGCCAAACTATATCAGTCTCCCTCTCAATAAAGGAGAAAAGCTTAAGAGATGAAGGTCTCTTTGCTCCTTTTCTCCTGGCTTTTTTTGTCATGACTTGAACACAGTTGCAGGAAGTTGTGATGCTTGGAACCGGGCTACCATTTTGAAAGTTCAGAAGTTAACAGAGAACATTGTCCCAGAGTCCTGATCTTGTCAAATGCTGACCTAGTCTTGGCTCTGACTTCCACCAGGCTTCTTGTCAGCTAGACTAAACGTTCACATGGCCTAAGATACTGCCAGTGGCCTAAAAGATGAAGGCATTCCAGCTGAGAGATAATGAGAGGGAAAGGGAATGAGAAGAAAAGGGAAAGGAAAGAGAGGAAGGGAGAGAATGAGATACAGAAAGAGAATATGATTGGTTGTAAAAGTGTTGTAGGAAACCCAACTACCTGTTAGGATATAAGGAGATTCATCTTCTCTCCCACTACAAGGACCAATACCCCTGCAGCTCAGAATGGGGGTTTTGGAGCTGCAGGGAATGGGACAGGGCCACCTGTCAGTACTCGTATTCTAGTAACCTCCTCTACATTTGTATAACATCATTAAATATTCAAAAATAATATTTCTTGATCAGCTGGGCAAAAACTTCAAGAATGTAGGGAACATCTGTGAGACTTACACACACTTACCACTAGCTGTCTTAAGATAGTCATACTGGAATCAATGGCTAAAAGCAAAGGAATATGATTTGAGACAAACTTTTCCCATTAACTACTGACACTTTCAGCAAACTAATGCTTAGATATTTTTCCCCAGGAAGCCTCTACCCCTGCCCAGATCATTTGGAAACAGACTCTCTTCTTCCCCCGCCCCTTCCCCATGCCCCATATCACCTTTTAAACTCAGCACCAACATTGGTGTCTCCATTCTGGGGTTCCTGACAGATAAGGCTAAGACGGAGAATCAGCTCTTTACTACCCTCTTTGAACCTTATGTGTGAACCACAAACCCAAAAATATAAAGTAGAAAAGGGACCAGGGCAAGCTCAGTTAATTTGTGGTTCTCTCTAGTGCACTGGGATGAGGTTCCAGAAATTACGGCAGTTCCTTAGTCTAAACCTAAGGCTCAACATTGTGGGCAGTTAGCAAGCGTTTTTCCTTAATACAGAAGGACAAATAATTTAGGACAAGACATGGGCTAGGTCTGATAAAATAAATGCATTCACATCTGATTTAACTCTTCTGCAAGTATAATTGCCTGTATCCCAGACTGAGCTAACATTCTTTCTAGCAGCCATGTGACCATGATCAAACGACCACAGAATATATGCTTCTTTACGTGCAACATACTATGGTAGGCGGGGCATAGACCCTGCCAGCAAGAAGCTTACAGTGTAGAAGGGGAGGCAAGACAGTTCTGTGGGAAATTATATAATAAGAGATTCAAATATCATTTCTAGACAACAAGAGAAGAGATAACCTAAGGCAAGACATGATTAATTGCCAAGTGAATTGTTCAGACAGTAATGACAAGAGGTCAGAGTGGAGAATGATTGCTTTGGTCTAGGGCAATCAAGGAAGGCTGTATCATTCTACAATTAGAACTGTGAAGACAAGTCAGGGTGGTGAGCAAATGAGTTTAATATCTATTCCTCAAGAGAGAATATTGGAAATAAGGGTGGTAAGGAAGATGGGAGCCAGCGTTTGGAACATCTGTGTTCTTCTCTTGTCAAGAGGAGACCTTATTCTGGGGAATTCCTTTGAAATGGCATATAATGTCATAGGGAAAGTGGAAAAGAAAAGTAAGAAGGAGAATGACAGTAATTTCCATGGATAAAGCCTGCAGTCTTACACAATGCATCTTCACTCCATGAGTAAATGTTTGGTTGGACTGGATTCAGTATGGACCACCAGAAGGAAGAGAGCCTGACTGTGCTGCTTTAAGGATGTTCTTCATGAAGTGAAGAAGAAGCCCTAGGATACTTGCTTCTGGAAAAGCAAACAGTATTGAACTTTCCTTCTTTCTCTAAACATCTATAAATCTGGACAGAATATATAAGGCAAATGTTTTCAGGCAATGGAAGATAGCAAAGATTGAAACCCCTGAGGGAGGAAAACATATGAAGAGATCCTTAAATTTACCCCACTTCTCTTCCTGAGGACAAGACAGTGCACAGAGGTCCCACTGAGCTAAAGAGGTGGATATTTGAATTTGGTGGTGCTGAAGCAGCTTGAATTTGTGATGACAAATACAGGGGAAAAGGAGCTGCAACAGGGGAACAGAAGCCTGTGCAGGGTTCCCCATGGAACAAAGGTTGGTCAGTTGGCCAATGGCTGGGCTGTATTCACACAGGGAACAACTTCTCAAATCCTAGCAGAGAGTGGCTGAACTCCATGGGGTTTAGAGAAGAACAATACTAGAAGTCTCGCGGTGCTTCAAAGAGGTCTCATTAACCATCTGGACTTTCAGTTAAGAAGCCAGAAAAGGTATGGATTAGGAGTGAGGGCTGCGACTCGAAGTAAGAGCTACCTCAGATCCCTTTTCCCTCAGTAAAACTGAAAACCAAGCCTAGACAGAGTTAAGGACAATAGCATATAAATTAACAATTTCATAAAACAAGGCTCAATCTTCTTTAGAAGACAACACAATACAGATTTCCTACAATGGATCATACACAATGTCCAACATCTAAAAAATTACTAAGCATATGTAAAACCAGAAAAATGTTATCCGTGATCAACAAGAACCACTCAATAGAAATATTCCCTAGATGACATGAATGATAGAATGAGGAGACAAAGATTCAAAGCAGCTATGTGAAGATGCTGAAAGACTTATTTAAAATATATTCTTAAAGAGTAAATGGATAGGGAATCTCACTAGAAAATGAAAATACAGATGTTAATAAACTTACAATGGAGTTACATCCTGCTAAAATCATTGTAAGTTGAAAATATTGTAAGTGAAACACATTTAATACACCTAATGTACCAACCATCATAGCTTAGCCTACCCTGCCTTAAACGTGATCAAAACACCTACATTATTCTATCGTTAGGCAAATCATTTAACAAAAAACATTGAATGTCTTATGAAATTTATTGAATATTGTACTAAAAGTGAAAAACAGAATGGTTGTATGTATACTCAAAGTATGGTTTCTACTGACTGCAGATCACTTTTGTGTGATTGTAAAGTCAAAAAATTGTAAGTCAAACCATTGTAAGTCAAGGACAATCTGTAATTAAAAAGAACCAATGGGTATTCTGGAAGAGAAAACTAAAACATCTAACATTAAAAAAAAGTTGAGAGGCTTAAGAGAAGATTAGAAATGCAAGAAGAAAGAGTGGGGAAACTTTTTAAAAAGAGAGAATTAACCTAATCTGAAGAATGGGAAAAATGAGTTTAAAAAATATGACCAGCGCTCCAGCAACCTTGTATTATTTAAAGTGGTCTAATGTTCATGTAAGTGGAATCCAAGAAGGAAAGGAGAGAAAGAGAGCGGGACAGATAAAACCTTAGAAGAAGGCATAATGATCACATTTTTTACAAATTTGGTGAAAAATATTAACTGACAAATCCCCAAAGAATGGCAAATCCTAAGTAGGATAAATACACAGACAAACACGCCTAAGGACATCATGGCAAAACTGTTGAACACTAAAGCAAAAGAAAAACATCTTAAAAGCAGCTAAATAAAACCAGCATATTAAATATAGGGGACTAACATGAATGATGGCTGACTTCTCGTCAGAAAGAATGAAGGCCAGAAAACAATGGAATTGCAACTTTAAAGCAGAAAAAGAAATTTTCAATGCAAAATTCTATACCCAATGAAAGTCTTTCAAAAATGAGAGTGAAATTTTTTTAAAAACTTGAGAGAATGTGTAGCATTTGAACTGCCCATAAGAAATACTAAAGAACATTATTCAAGCCAAAGGGAAATTGTACCAGATGGAAGCATGTATCCACAGAAAGAAATACAGAGCACACATAATAATAAATATGTGACTAAATATATTTTTAAATACAGATTATTTTTTTACTAGTGTTATTAAAAGGAAAATTATTATCAAAAAATAGTAATGAAGTGTAGTTTTTAACACACATAGAAGTAAGATCTATTATAACAATAGCACAATCAGATGGTCAAATAGAATTATAATTTTGTAAAGTTCTTACATTTGTGAAAAATGAAGTGACACAATGAGTAGATGGTGGTAACTGAAGGATATGTATTGCAGCCCTAGAGCAATTTCTAAAAAGAGTAAAACTCCCAAATAAATAATGAAATAAAATGTGAAAACCCTAGTACAGTTGTTTTACTGATTTTTTGTTATCATTATGGAACTTGTCCCCCAATCTCTATTCTCAACTTCTTCCATTGTAATAGGTTTTTCCACTGGTTAAGTAGCTATCCAGAGAGAAGGCTATATTTCTCAGCCTCCTTCACAGCTTTATGTGACCATGTGACTAAATTATTCCCAATAAGTATAAGAAGACGTGATCCATGTATAACACCTGTGCTCTTTCCTTAAAATATAGTAAAACATGGAAGGCATGGAAGAGTGTTGATAAGAAAAAAATCATCAGCACCCAGATGACTTTGCAGAAGAGCGCCATTATATCAACTTGGACATTTATGCGAAAGAGAAATAAACGTTCCTCTTGTTTAAGTCACTGTTATTTTGTGTTCCTGTTGTACGCAGCCAAACTTGAATTCTAATTAGGACAGTGACTAATTAAACTTATCAGCAAAAGTCAAATATAAGATTTGGAAATAATAGATGCACAGAGCACATATATGTCAACTATTGAATATTGTGCTAAATATATGTCAATATTTTGTGCGAAATATATGTCAACTATAGGATTTGGAAATAATAGATGCACAGCGTGTTCAAATTCATACAACAAACACTAATAAATCACCTAACATGGGCCAGATATATGGGATTAAGCCCTAAAATGCATTGGTGGACAAGATAAAGCTTAAACTTGTCTACACAGGACATGCAGTCTTGAAGTATTTCCCCTCTTTCTTTTCCTAAAAACGTCCTTACACTTGAACTCTTCACTTCCTTACTGATTATTTATTCTTTTTTTTTTTTTTTTTTTTTGATGGAGTCTCGCTCTGTCACCCAGGCTGCAGTGCAGTGGTGCAATCTCGGCTCACTGCAAGCTCCACCTCCTGGGTTCACGCCATTCTCCTGTCTCAGCCTCCCAAGTAGCTGGGACTACAGGCGCCCGCCACCACACCCGGCTAATTTTTTGTATTTTTAGTAGAGATGGGGTTTCACTGGGTTAGCCAGGATGGTCTCGATCTCCTGACCTCGTGATCCACCCGCCTTGGCCTCCCAAAGTGCTGGGATTATAGGCGTGAGCCACCACGCCCAGCCAATTATTTATTCTTTAACTTTCTTCAACCAGATTTTCCTCTGCTTTACTAAATCTATGCTTTTAAAAGTCATTAAAAATAAACCCACCAATGTTATTCTTCCAGCAATAGCAAAGCAGTTCTTATCAGACAGACTACCAGACAGACCCTTCCATAGATGGCAGCTATACCCTTCAGAAGACACCAGCAATCACCACAAACATATAGAAACTGAAAGGGCTTAACATCTGAAGTAAAGGAATACCACTGTGTAAGTTTCTTTTTACCCACAGTCAGGACCTCATCCAGAATACAAGGTGGATAAAACACAGAAAGAAACCAACATCCAACAGGCTTGAAAAGCCAGGGGAAGAATCTGGGACAATATCATCAGCTGAAAGATGAAAGTAGGGAGGAGTCCAGAAGGAAGAGCACCACACAGAAGGAGCAAAATATTCTGCATATAAATGCTGCCTAAATCACTGGATGACCCCTGAACTATACATGTGCAGTGCAGACTCCAAGCAGCCAGCTACGTCTAAAGGGACTGAAAAGAGATTGAACTTTCTGCCCATCACAGTGAGAAGAAAACTGAGTAATAATGATAATATGCTGTGCCAAAATTTGTGGGATGCTGCTAAAGTAGTAATATAAGGAAATAAATAGCTTTAAGTATTTATATTAGAGGAGAAAAAAAGTCTAAAATCAGTGGTATAAGATTCAATGTAAAAATGGTCTATAAAAAGCAAAATAAACAGAGAAAAAAAGAAGAAATATAAGAGAAAAAATCAATGGAATGAAAAAACAATAAAACCAAATGTTTGGGTTTTGAAAATTTAAAAAATAGATAACTGTATAGCTAGGTAATCAAGAAAAAAACAGAGCTATAACACAGATTAACAGTATCAGGATTACAGGAGGTTATATTATTGCAGATCCTATAGGCATTACAGGAATAGCAAGAGATTATTAAGAAGAATTGTTTGCTGATAAGTTTAACAACTTAGATGAAATGGACACATTTCTGGAAAAATACAACTTATCAAAACTGATACAAGATGAAACAGAAAATCCAAATAGCCCAGTATTTATGAAACAAACTGATTTGATTTTTGATAATCTTCTGACAGATAAAGCTTTAGTCCCAATTAGTTTTACTGGTGAATTCTATCAAAACTTGAGGGAAGAAATAATACCAATCCTCCATAAACTCTTTCAGAAAATATAAAAGAAGGGAATATCTTCTGATTTGTTTTGGGGGATATTTTAGCTCAATGTTTGCTGAGACTAGCAAACTAAGGT
This sequence comes from Homo sapiens, assembly GCF_000001405.40. Taxonomy (NCBI): domain Eukaryota; kingdom Metazoa; phylum Chordata; class Mammalia; order Primates; family Hominidae; genus Homo; species Homo sapiens. The sequence continues at coordinate 5,212,040 of NC_000001.11, forward strand.
ACTAAAATATACAAAATGTATACAAAAGAAAGAGAGAGAGGACAGAAAGAAAGAAGGAATGGAAGGAAGGAAAAAAGGAAGGAAGGAAGGAAATGAAACTATGGGGAGGGAGGGAGGAAACTATGGGGAGGGAAGGAGGAAACTATGGGGAGGGAAGGAGGAAACTATGGGGAGGGAAGGAGGGAACCATGGGGAGGGAAGGAGGGAGGAAGGAAGGAAGGAAGAAAGGAAGGAAGGAAGGAAGGAAGAAATAATATAGTAAGACAAAGAGAACTACAGCTCAACAGCTCCCTTGAACATAGCTGCAAAAATTCACAGCAAACTTTTAAATAAATAAATAAAATAAAATAAGTAAATAAATAAATAAGTAAATAAAAGCAATATATTAAAAAGATAATGCATTATGTTGGGTTATACTAAGAAGTCAAGGTTGATTTAATATTTGAAAATAAATTAACAGGATACATCATGTTAATACAATTAAAGGTAAAATCAAATGTCTGTTTAAATAAATTAACAAAAATCATTTGATAAAATTGAGCACCAATTAATGTTAAAACTTGCCAAATTAGGATGTTAAGATTTCTCAGTCTGATTTAAAACAAAAACAAAAACTATGACCCTGTACTAAATGCTATGTTACGAGCTTCTTCCCTCCTAAGATACAAACAAGCCTAAGTTGTTTACTGACATTATTTGTATTCTAAATTAGTAGGTATTTCAGCCATTGTAATGAGTCAGGAAAAACAAATGCATAAAGATTTGGAAGAAAAAAGAACAACTATCTCAGTTCACAAGTGGCATGGCTCCTTTAACAGGAAATTCTAAGAAATCTACACACAACTACCATAATCAAAAAGTAAATTTAGCTATGTCATGGGAGATGACCTCAACACACACAAGCCAACTGTGGTTTTATAAACCAGCAATGAACCATTATAAATTTAATTAAAAACTTAATTCCATTTATGATAGCTTAATTAATTATAAAATAGTTGAGAATAAATTTAATAAAATATGTGCAAGAACTCTGCACTGAACACCATTAAACAGAGCTAGAAAAATAAAAGAAGATCCAATAAATGGAGATATCCATGGGACTGGAGACTTGACATTGTTAAGATTAATTCTCTCAAAATTTCCCTATAGCTCCAACTTAATCACAATCTAAATTCCGGCAGGCATTTATGTAAGACTTGATGAGCTGAATCTAAAATTTTTATGAAAATGTAAAGGAACTAGAATAGCCAAAACAATGTTGAAGACAAAGAATAAAATGAAAATATTTAGAATACCTGATTCCAAGTTAGTTTGGTATTGACATAAGAATAGACATACAGATTTGTTGAACAAAATATAGAACTAGACCTACAAATATATGGCCAATTAATATTCATAAAAAATGTCAAGGTAATTCAATGGGGAAACAATATCTATTTGATAAAAGGTTCTAAAATATCCAGATAGTCATACTATGAAATATGAATTTTGATCTCTACTTCATACATTACACAAAATTTAATTTGAAATGGGCAATAGGCCCAAATATAAAACTTAATACTATAAAGCTTCTAGAAAAAAATTGTGAAAAAATATTTTGTGATTTAGGGATGGGCAACATTTTCTTAGAAAGGACATGGAAAGCAATAACTTTAAAAAAAGATAATTTTGACTGCATCAATAGTTCAAATTTCTGCTCATAAAAAGAATCAATGAATAAAATGAATAAGCCATAGGAAAAGAAAAATGGCATTATACAACTGATAACCCCTACAGTAGTGGTAGAAGTTCAACACTTAAAAAAAAAATGAATTTAGAAGAGACAAGCCTTTGAACAAACATGTCATACATGAAGGTAAATGAATAATCAATAAGCAGATGGAAAAGTGCTCAACATCGTTAGCTATCATATCGATATCAATAATATCATACCAATGTAAATGAAAATCACCATGTGATAGAACTCTACAGCCACCAGAATGGCTGAGCTTAACTAATGATATAAAATGTTGATAAGGATAAGGAGCAACTAGAACTCTCATACATTATTGTCATACCTTATTTTTTAAAATTTTTTATTTCCATAGGTTTTTGGGGAACAGGTGGTGTTTGGTTACCTCAGCAAGTTCTTTAGTGGTGATTTGTGAGATTTTTGTGTACCCATCACCTGAGTACTCTATACTGAACCCAATTTGTAGTCTTTTATCCCTCACCCCCTTCCCACCCTTACCCCCTGAGTCCCCAAAGTCCACTGTGTCATTCTTATGCCTTTGCATCCTCATAGCTTAGCTCCCACTTATGAGTGAGAACATACGATGTTTGACTTTCCATTTCTGAGTTACTTCACTTAGAATAATAGTCTTCAGTCCTATCAAGGTTGCTGTGAATACCGTTAACTCATTCCTTTGTATGGCTGAGTAGTATTCCATCATATATATATATACACATTATATATATATATATATATATATATATACACATTATATATATATATATATACACATTATATATATATACACATTATATATATATACACATTATATATATATACATTATATATATATACACATTATATATATACACATTATATATATATACACATTATATATATACACATTATATATATACACATTATATATATATACACATATATATATACACATTATATATATATACACATATATATACACATTATATATATATACACACATTATATATATATACACACACATTATATATATATATATATATATATACACCATATATATATATGTATACCACTTTTTTATGCACTCTGATTGATGGACATTTGGATTGGTTCTACATTTTTGCAACTGGGAATTGTGCTGCTATAAGCATGAGTATGCTAATATCTTTTTCATATAATGACTTCTTTTCCTCTGGGTAGATACTCAGTAGTGGGATTGCTGGATCAAATGGTAGTTCTACTTTCAGCTCTTTAAGGAATCTCCAGGCTGTTTTCCATAGTGGTTCCCACCAGTGGTGTAGAAGTGTTCCCTTTTCACTGCATCCATGCCAACATCTATTTATTTTTATTTTTTTTTTGTTATGGCAATTATTGCCGGGGTAAGCTGGAACTTAATTAAACTAAAGAGCTTTTGCACAACAAAAGGAACAGTCAGCAGCATGAACAGACAACCCACAGAGTGGGAGAAAATCTTCACAATCTATATATCTGACAAAGGACTAATATCCAGAATCTACAATGAACTCAAACAAATTACCAAGAAAAAAACAGAAGATCCCATCAAAAAATGGGCTAAGGACATGAATAGAAAATTATCAACAGAAGATAAACAAATGGCCAACAAACATACGAAAAAATGCTCAACATCGCTAGTGATCAAGGAAATGTAAATCAAAACCACAATGTGATGTTGTACCTTGCTGACAAAAGGGCAGAATAGTCTGGCATTTTCTCATAAAAGTTAAAAAACACAGAACATTCCACACTTGGGTTCATTTGTGTGAGAAATGCAAGCATATGTCCACAAAAGATTTGTGTGTAATTATTCATAGCAATTCATTCACAAGGGTCAAAAATTGGGAGTAGCCCAGGGCTCCATCACCAGCAAAACAGCTAAATAAACTTTAGTATATCCCTACAATAGAATACTATGCAAAAATTTAAAAAGAATAAACTGCTGATACACAGTACAACATGAATGAATCTCAAAAAAAAAAAAAGAAAAAGTAAGCTCAATGAAAGAAACCTTACGCAAAAGAGCACATATTGTATCTTTTCACTGTGTGTTCTAGGACAAGCAAAACAATAGGTAAAAAAGGAATCTTTTAAATTACAGAAAGGGTTATAGTAGGAGAAAGGCAGGACTGACTGGAAAGAGGCATGAAAGAATGTTCTTGGATGATGATATTTGCGTTACACAGCTTTACGCATTTGTGGAAAGTCATCAAATGATACACTTAGATTTATGTATTCTTGGTTTCAGTGTCATTTAAAGTCTTTCTTCTGGATATTTATAATTTACTTAGGATTAATACAAAACCACAATGAAATATCAGCTCGCACCTGTTGGGATGGTTGTTATAAAGAAAAGATAACAAGTGTTGATGAGAATGCAGAGATATTGGAAAACTGGGTAAAGTGTTGACAGGAATGTAAAATGGTGCATTGGCTGTAGAAAACAGGCCAGCAGCTCTTCAAAAAATTTAAAAAGAATTACCTTATGATCCAACGATCCCACTTCCAGGTATATACCTGAAAGAATTGAAATCAAAATGGTGAAGAGATATATACATTCCCACATTCATAGAAGCATTATTCACAGTAGCCAAGATATGAAAATAATCTAATGTCCATTGACAGATGGATGGGTAAAGAAAATGTGCTATACACATACAATGAAAAATTATTAACTCTGAAAAAAGAAGAAAATTCTGCCATATGCATCATCATGGGCAAAATGAAAGGATATTACACGAAGTGAAATAAGCCAGTCACAGAAGGACAAATACTGCATGATTTCACTTATCTGAGGTATCTAAAATATTCTAACTTATAGAAACAGAGAGTAGGATTTTCCTGCTATACAATTTTAGTGGCTTTGTAATACCTAGCGAACATCAGCCAGCTGGGTATTAGTCTGGTTCTCCAGAGAAACCGAATCAATAGAATACACACACATATACATATATATACACACACACACACACTTGTGTGTGTAAAGATATGTGTGTGTAAAGATATATACATATGTATATGTCTATACACGTGTGTATGTGTGCATATATACACACATGTATATGTATATGTATATGCACATGTGTGTATAGGTGTGTATGTATGAGTAAAGATATATATACATATGTATATGTATATACACATGTGTATGTGTGTATATGCACATGTGGGTATATATGTGTGTGTATGTGTGTGTATATATATACACATATGTTAATGTATATATGTGTCTGTGTGTCTGTGTGTGTAAAGAGATTTGCAATTGACAAACTATAGAGCCAATGGCATGAACTCCAGTCCAAGTCTGAGTCTGAAGGCAAAAGATCTATGTCCCAGCTTGAAGACAGACAGAATTCTTTCTTACTCTGCCTTTTATTCTATTCAGGCCTTCATTGGATGGGCTGATACTCTCCCACACTGGGGAGGGCCATCTGCTCTTCTCACTCTACCAATTCAAATGTTAATCTCATCCAAAGACACCCTCACAGACACATTCAGAAATCATGTCTAACCAAGTATCTGGGCACCCCATGGCCCAGCCAAGTTGATGCTGAACCAAGATGAGGCATCACAAGCTCCAAAGCCTGTCTTCCAGGCTGTCCATCATCAGGCTCCACGTTTCCTGGCAGGAGCACTTCTCTTCAGTCCACAGTGTTCTCCAGGCTACACCTGCCTCTACCTGTGCCCTGCTCTGCTCTCCACAGAGGCTCTCCTGAGTCTCCACCCTAGGGAGATTTACCCAGCTCAAAAGACCACGTCTTCTTTATATCTCCAGCCCCACCATCGCCCCGAGACCTGGATTTGCACGTCCCTCTCCTTCTGACATCTCTCTGTAGATGCCTAAGAGGCCTCTCAAACAGCCTTTGGGTCCCTCCAAAGTCTGCTTCTCCCTGGTCTTCCCCACGCTAATTAATAGAGCTGCTGCTAACTCAGGTAGACCAGAAACTTTCCCCATACACTCCCCAACCAGTCCATCAGGAGGGGCAATTGAGTCCACTTGCCAAATTCATCTCTTACCTGACCCCTCTAACCTCTTCAGGGACACCAATCTGCTCCAAGCCACCTCTACCTTCTCTCTAAATCCTTAGGGTAGAAACTCCCTAGTCTTCTTGTCTCCCTGCTTACACCTTCTCTTCCCTCACACACAGCTTATTCTCAGCCAGCAGCTGGAGGGAGCCTTGCAGGACATCACTAAGACCATGCTTGCACTCCAGCACTATGCCTTTTGCCTCATCCAAATGGGAGCCAAACTCTTTGCCATGGTCTAAAAGCCTTCACAGGTCTGGTCCCTGGTGGCCTGTGGATCCCTATCCCTGACCCTCTTCCCCTTGTTGTCTGTGCTCCAGCCACACCTGACTCCTCCCCCACCACATTCCTGCCAGCTACAACCCTCTCTCAGGAGCACCATCTTTGAACCTACCTCTGCTAAGAACTCTCTTGCCTTAAATATCCAAGTGGCTAGCCTCCTGAGGCCCCCCACCACCATCCCTCTCTTCCCCTTTTCTCTGCTTTATTTTTCTACAAAACATCTGCATTAGTCAGGGATCTCCCAGAAGCAGACACCAGGATGAAGTTAAACATGCAGGATTTTCACAGGATTTTATTAGGGAAAATGTCTGTGAAATAAATTGGGAGGGAACCCAAAAAGATGGGGAGAAGATCAAACCTGCATGCAGCTCTGATGCCCATGAAGAAGAGCAGGGGCAAGGTTGGGTGAAAGCCGAGGCTGCCAGGAGGTCTCGGGTAGTTTTGACCAAGCTGCAGGGCGAGTCCTTGAGCCAAGGCCGGCTGTGAAAAGACTCCTGCTGCACTGAGTCCTTGACCTGGGTGCAGACGTAGGCATGGATTTTAAAGGACAGCAGTGGGGATCTGGTCAGCCCTGCTCCCTACATTGGGAGGTGTTTTCTCAGGTGGCCACAGGACCTGGCAATCTACAAACTAGTTATGCTTCTAGCTGCTGTCTCCCTTCTGGAAGGTGAGCAACACAACGGAGCTGCTTTGTTCACTCCTAATCCTATCACCTAGAATAACATCTATCACATAGTACATGCTCAATTAAATGTCTTGCATGAACAAATGAATGAATAGATGATATGGTTTTGCTGTGTCCCCACCCAAATCTCATCTCAAGTTTGTAGTTCCCATAATTCCCATGTGTCATTGGAGGAATCTCAGAGGTAATTGAATCCTGAGGGCAAGTCTTTCCCATGCATTCTCATGACAATGAGTAAGTCTCATGAGATCCGATGGTTTTATAAAGGGGAGTTCCCCTGCACAAATTCTCTTGCCTGCCCCCATACGAGACATGACTTTGCTCCTCCTTTGCCTTCCACCATGATTGTGAAGCCTCCCCAGCAATGTAGAGCTTTGAGTCAATTAAACCTCTTTCCTCCATAAATTACCCACTCTCAGGTCTGTCTTTATTAAAGCAATGTGAGAACAGACTAATACAATGGATAAGTGGATGAATGAATGCATTCATAAGCCCAGAGTGGCTTTCTTTCTTATTTTCTTTGGATACATATAGCTTTTTATACTCTCTCCGTTTCCACACAGAGTTTAACCATTTTTTTATTTCCTTACTCACCTGGATGTGGGTATTGAGGGCTGGACCCTGGCCACATACATTTGGCTCCACCGTGATACCAATTATCTCTCCGAGAGTGAGTCAGCGTCTGCTTGATAAATCTCTGCTGGTCCTCATTTGATCTTCAGGATACCCACGTAATCAGGGGCAGGACTAGGCTGCCCATCTTGCATATAGAAGGCAGAATTCATCGTTATTGATCACCTTCTAAACGCCATCATTTCATACCTTATCTAATGTAACCCCTGATCTCCCTCTATCCCTCACCTCCTTCAATGGTCAAACCAGCTGAAACTGGGGAAGGGACATAGCAGTGCTGAAAGCTGGAGCCTCCAGCCCTTCCCCTGCCGTGGGCACCCTGCACAGAGCACCGCAGCCTGGCATCCACCGGGGCAGCATCTCCACAGAGCTGGAGGTGGGAAAGCTCGTTCACCTGTGAACCATGCTCCTCATGACTCGCCTCTGTCACTCAATTACTGTGAACATCGGAATTGCAAAGGCACACGAATGAACAGGTTAATATGGGGACGGTGGCTTGGATTTCTGCAATGAAAGCTGCTCTGAAAACCTGGCTATGATTATTCATGATTATTAATAATAAAGTTAAGGGAAGTGGAGTGGCAGTACCCAGGACTCTGCAGACTGATGGATTGCCACATCCCTTTGCTATTTGCTAATGCCATTACTCTTAAAGCTTAATCTTCCTGTAACCATTTTTCAATAATCAGGGAAGCTAAATTAAATTAAATGCAACTCTTTGCTATTCGGTCCCAATCTTGCTTACCCTGCGCTTACCGAAGGATATCGACTCGGGGAGTGAGCTCCATACCACCTTCCAATGCTCAGGCTCCCATTCTTCATGTTGCCTCCACCCCCGCATTTCTCCTCCCAATGCACAAATTTTGACCAAATTGGACAAAGCTCATGGATTCTGAAATTCACTCACAGCACCGCAGATCCTGTGCCTCTCGCTGGAATCCTTCCCTTAAGTTAATGCTGACAAAGTCTGAAATGACAGAACCCTCATAAATTACAGCCCACGTTCTATCAAAAATATCAGGATAACAAGAAGTTTTTCCAGATGTGAACCAATGCCTGCTCCTTTTGAGCACTTTGTCACTTTATGCAAGTCTGGTTACAGCAAAGGATTGAGGTAGCCCTTTCAGTGTCATTGTCACAGCCTGAGAGCTGCAGATTTTTTTCTTTTAGTGAAGGATAACCCACATTGAGGTTTGTTTGGGATTAGCTTACTTCTGTACAAACCTTCAGTAGGACGAAAAAAATGGTCAATACCTCATACACATCTGTGGTTGCCATAAGGGGATGTTTTAAAGATAGTACCATACAAAGAGTGTAAAAATAAATTCAGGAGGCTTACGAGCTGTGCATCAGAGACAGTAGCACCATCTGCTTTAAATAACACTTATTTTCCTGAAAAAAAATATGTTCTAAAACTGAATAATGTCCATGTAGTCTAAATATTTGCTTTCCACGAGCATCCTGGGAATGATATGCAAACGTCCCAAGAATTCAGAAGGCAGTGCAAAATATTGAAGTGAAAAGAAAAGTCATTCTACTATGCAGTGTGTTCAATTGCTATGTAAATGTGAGAACATTATTATTTATTGCTCTTTCAGCTCTGACAGTTGGAAATATTGCAGAATCGAAAGACATCTGTTGAGTGTAGCAAGAGTGTCTGCAAAACTGCGATCAGGATTGAACCGTGCTATTTCTGGACCCCTGGGTGCAGGTGCGAAGTCACAGTGAGAAACAAATTGCAATGAGCTCTTTGCAGCCACTTACTTGGCACAAGTGAAATACTCCAAGAGGGTGTTCCAGGAAGTGTAACGTTAACTCTGGCTAACCCTTGGAGTCCACTTCCAACAATTGGATTCAGAAGGTCAGATTCTGGTTGACTAAGCCATTTCATTTTCTGAATCAACCATCAGGCGTCTTTGAGGGTGGGAGTCAACACCACAGGCGTAGGAAAGGACGGACCTGGGCACCAACCTTGGCTCTGTAACTTACTGACTGTGGAGCTTTGGACAAGTTGTATGACTTCTGTAGGTCTCAGTTTCTTCATCTATGGGATGGGGGTCATAACCCTCTCCATGTCGCAGGGTTGTTAAGAGAACAGAATTATCTGATATGCATCAAGTGCTGACAGTCTTGGCGACCAGGACCTCAGTTCTCACACTGCTTTACCAGCTGGCACGAAAGCTCCAATGGGGCCCTAGGGGAGCTTAAATAAAAAATATATCTGAGACATCTTGGCTAACACTCTGAAATTTTTATTGACACACAACGGGGGACATTTGATGGAGAGACATGATTCATTAACTTGTGGCTGCAACCTTTGAATTCTGTCCTGCAGGGTCTCTGGCCCAATTGCTTTGTCTTATCCTTCGATATTTCAAATCTGCCAGGAGCACTTGCCCCAAGCCCCAAACACCAGATTTTAAATATCCTACAGACGCCTTCTCACCTTTCCTAAGCCCACTCAGAGGACCTGGCAACAACACTAAGCAAATCTTAATGAGCATCAAAAAAACACCATTATGCAATGCCTGCCCACTCAAAACCATTCTCGCCAAACGTTCCCCAAGAATGGAGAAAGCGTTCTGTCTCCTAACAATTCACTGCAAGATTCTATTTTAATAAGTCAGATTCATCTGGGATAATTATCCATCATGCCTCAACAGTTAGGTAACATTTATTTAGGAAATGCTTGCTCTGTGCCCAGCATGGTGTTATTATTACTATTCAGGTTATCGGTGTTATTATTAAACCCACTTTATTAATGCTCCCTATAAGTGTACCAGTTAATGCACTGGCCACATAATTGCCAGTGGTGTTTATGGGCTCTTATAGGTCTTGGTTCCTAGGAATAACTTACTTATTCTCATGGTTTCTTTCTTTCTCTCTTTCTCCCTTCCTTCTTTCCTTCCTTCCTTTCTTCCTTCTCTCTCTCTCTCTCTTTTTGAGACAGAGTCTTACTCTGTTGCCCAGGCTGAAATGCAGTGACACCATCTCTGCTGGCTCACTACAGCCTTGACTTCCCTCCCACCTCAACCTTCTGAGTAGCTGGGACAGCAGGCGTGCACCACCATGACCAGCTAATTTTTTGTAGAGATGGGGTTTTGCAATGTTGCCCGGGCTGCTCTTGAACTCCTGAGCTCGAGTGATCCACCTGCTTCGGCCTCCCAAAGTACTGGGATTACAGACGTGAGCCACTGCCCCTGTCTTCATGGTTCTTTAATTGAAAATGACAAAATATCACATCACTATGAGATGCTCAGTAGTGGATTCAAATTCTCGAGAAAGCAGCCATCTGGCTCTGCACTGAGAAAGCACAGTCTAAGTCAGCTTTCTGCTTTCCCCAAATTAAAGGGCACCTGTTAGTCCAAGGGTGCTCAAGGTGGGTGCATGAGCCCAGCATTAACAAGCACCATTTCCAGGGTGCCATGGTGATGCCAGCGAGATAGGGCCAGAGAGCCTGTGAATGGGGGATGCTATAAACCACATTGAGATAAGTCCCTCCCTTCACCCCTCTGGGAGCTGGAGCAGGCAATGTAGAGACAACCAAAGGGGAGCCCTGCCCCGGGCACTGCATTTCCCACTGCAAGGTGGAGGGTTGACAGGGCAGGGGAGCCCCCTTGGCCACGGTGGAGCTGGAGGGAGTACTCTAGGTGTTTCTGGAGCTATAGGGAGATGCCAAGGCTGACAATGGTGTCAAAGAGTGTGGAGAAAAACCTGCTGTTGCAGAAAGACAGGAGGCAGACAGAGCCTCTAGGGACATGAGGCTCAGAGGACAGAAAGATGAGAAGGATCCACGGCTGTGGCAGAGGAAGGGTCCAGGGACTTTTTATGGAAATGCATCAACTAATGGGAAGGAAAAGAACATGCTGGGTGATAGGAAGTGTCTCAGGAGAGAAACCAACAAAAGAGCTGGACTAGAAACAGATGGACACAGACAGCCCCAGAGAGGAGGAGTCAGGGACATGCAGGCACCAGGGCTTGGGTGGGTTCAGATGGGGAGAGTGACTGGCAGGACACAGGGAGGGAGGGAGGGAGGCACAGCATAGCCCTGACAAGCAGACAAAGGAAGCCTCTGGTGAGAGGGCCAACCCTGCAAAGCTGGACCTTCTAGACAAAGGCAGCCCAGATAAGAATGGAATGCCAACCGGAGAAGCGGGAGTGAAAAAGAACTGATGGGACAGCCATGGCTGCCAGGCGCTGTGAGCTTCAATTCGGTGCCATTCAGTGAAGCTGGATGTTTCCCTATTTTAACACTTGATATGACTCTTCGAAGAGCCAATACTTATTCACTGACTTAGTGCAGGCCAGGCACCCAGCACGGACCTATCCATGCATGATCTTGGCCCAATCAACAGGGATTTCAACCAATTTCTACAGCACAAAATGTGGCTCTTTAAGCATCAGGAACAGTGAGTGGAGCAGACAAGGGATGATCTTTTTAGTACAGTCTGCCCCTTGCTGTCAGGACAAACAGGCAAACTCATACCCCCATACGGGCTTTTCTAAACGTTCCCACTTGACTGTAAATGGGAGTACCCTGAGGATATGTGGATCTCCTAACAATTCACTGCAAGATTCTATTTTAATAAGTCAGATTCATCTGGGATAATTATCCATCATGCCTCAACAGTTAGGTAACATTTATTTAGGAAATGCTTGCTCTGTGCCCAGCATGGTGTTATTATTACTATTCAGGTTATCGGTATTATTATTAAACCCACTTTATTAATGATCCCTATAAGTGTACCAGTTAATGCACTGGTTAATGCACAGGAGTTCCAGAAGCAACGCTGCCTGCCAGGCTACGTCATCTGAGATCAGTATCGGCTCTCATTTAATCTTCCAACGACCTTTAAGAAGGTTAATATTAGGATCAGAGAAGTTACAGTCTCTCAGCATCACACAGCTGGTCAGAAACAGAGCTGGGGCATTCCAAAGCCCATGATCTCATCGTTGGACTTACTCACAGATGTTTATCAGATAATGCACCAGTGGGAACCTCTGCCCTCCCGGGTTCAAGCCATTCTCCTGCCTCAGCCTCCCGAGTAGCTGGGACTACAGGCACGCGCCACCATGCCTAGCTGGTTTTTGTATTTTTAGTAGAGATGGGGTTTCACCACGTTGGCCAGGAATGTCTCGATCTCTTGACCTCATGATCCTCTTGCCTCGGCCTCCCAAAGTGCTGGGATTACAGCCGTAACCCACTGCGCCTGGCCTTAAAAAGATTTTTTTTAAGGAACCTATATTTTCTTTTGCACTGGGCTCTACAAATTATAGAGTATCTGCAAAGTATTATATTCTCCACATTCCACAGCTGGGAAGGGGCAGGAAAGCCATGTGAGGAAAGCAAAGGGGGCAGGATGATGAAAGTCATACACCTTGGACTCAGACTCGCGTAAGTTCCTTGAACTTTTAAAAAATTGTGGTAAAATACACATAACATGAAATTCACCGTTGTAATTATTTTAAAATATGTGATTCAGTGGCATTTAATGCATTCAGTATGTTGTGCAACCATCACCACTATCAAGTTCCAGAACATTCTCACCATCCCAATAGCAGACCCTGTACCCACGGGCAGTCAGTTCCCATCACTCCCACCACCCAGGCCCTGGAAACCATTCACCTGCTTTCCGCCTGTGATGGCAAATTTTATGCATCAATTTGACTGAGCTTAGGGATGTCCAGATAGCTGGTAGAACATTATTTCTGGGTGTGTCTGGGAGTGTGTTTCCAGATGAGATTAGCATCTAGTCAGTGGATGAGTAAAAATCTGCCCTCACCAGTGAAGGTGGGCAGCATCCAATCCACTGAGAACCCAGATAGAAGGAAAGGCAAATTCTCCCTCTCTCCCTCTCTCTCCCTCTCTCTCCCTCTCTCTCCCTCTCTCTCCCTCTCTCTCCCTCTCTCTTCCTCTCTCTCCCTCTCTCTCCCTCTCTCTCTTTCCTTGAACTGGGACATCCATCTTCTCTGCCGTTTCACATTAGAGCTCCTGGTTCTTGGAGCTTTGCACTCCATGACTTAAACCAGCTCCTCTACCCTCTCCCCGTCCCTTGGTTCTCAGGCCTTTGGCCTCAGACTCATCTACACCTCCAGCTTTTCTGGATCTCCAGCTTTCAGACAGCCGATTGTGAGACTTCCAAGTCTCCATAATATTCACGATCATGTGAGCCAGTTCCCATAATCAATCTCTCTCTCTCTGTCTCCACACACACAGACAAACACACACATGCACACACACACTTCCCACTGGTTCTGTGGTTCTGTTTCTCCAAAGGAACACGACTGATACACTATCTGTATGGGTTTGCCAATTCTGGATATTTCACTTAAATGGAATTATACGCTGTGGGGCTGTCCTTGAACTTCAAGGTTCACATTTAACTCCTTTGTAAAACATGATAGCGATGCTTAACTCCCAGTGTGGACATGAAAGCTCCACGATAAGCTCCTTAGGCACAGCGTAAACAATGGATAAAGGGTGTTTATCTTACTAGCATTGCTGCATTACCTTTATTATTCTTCTTCTTGCTGTTGTTATTGCTGCTGCTGTTGCTATTGTAATGAAGACGAGAGAACGACAGTGGTGATTGTGATGGGAGCTAGAGGATCCAAGATCACACAATTAGCAACTGCTGAGCCCGAATCCTGGCCTTCAATTCTAATTCTTAATCCTATTGATTCTAATTCTAACTCTTTGTAATCTTCCCAATCATCTGGTTAGGATTTTCAAAGGAGCAAAGATGAGGAGCTGGTGAAGGCAGTGCTGGCAGAGAAAAATTACAAACCAAGGTCGGGAGGAAGAAAAGACAGGACAGGAAGTGGTGGGTGGAGACGAGGCCTGAGCCGCACTGGGCAGGTCAGTTGAAGCCACGTCCTGGGACCTTTAGTGCCTTTCCGTAGGGGCTGGACCACTCTCTGCTTGGGCCTTGCAGCACCCGAGAGGCCTTTGAATAGATATTCACAGGAGCCAGGCTCGCCTCTCTGGAAATATTAGCTGGAAAGAAGGGTTCTGCAGGATAAGAGGAGGCAAGCCGAGCCGATGCAGGTGTCCCTGGGAAGCACTGGGCCCAGGGCACATTCTTTCTCTATCACAGGATCAGTAATTTGTATCATCTTAAAATAACTACAATGCTTTGGCTGGAACCCCACCAGGAGCCTCCAAGCCTTTGCAAACAATGGCTCATTAGGTTTTATCCTTTATCTACCTGTCTGCGGATTAAATGGAACAGGCATGGTTTGATACCTGCCACCGCCTCCCTCCTCCCCCCCCGCCGCTTTCCTCTAGGGCTGAGGGGAGGTAGGGAGCTGGCAGACCACGGAGGATGGTGTCCCACTGCACAGTGGGCCTGGGTCAGCGGCACAGATGCACAGAAGTAAGCCCAGCTGGGTTTACAATGGACAGAAGCCTGGACAAGGGACAATAATACCCTGGCCAGGTGGACCTTGAAATGCTAATAGGTATTCATGACAGTTTTCTAGATGACTCTGGGCAGGAGATCTAGATGTCACTGGACATAAAGATTCTCCTTTTATGCAACCAGCTTTTCTCCTATGGAAGTTCATTCTGACACAGGTTAGACACCTTTATAGTCCATGAAATTGAAAACAGGTATCTTTTTCTCTGGACGAGTCAGATAGTCATGGCGCCATCTCCTTTAGGACCAGAAAAAGACTCCAATTTCAGAGTAGTGGCCGTACAAGAGGAGACATGGACGGAAGGGAGAGCTGGAAAGCGTTTGTGTCGGGGCTCTGGTTGCAGGTTGACAATTCTGATTTTCTCTCTGGAACAGGATGACCAGATAGAGAGAAAACATCCGCCCCAGCTGGCATGACTTTTTACATGACACCCAAGAGGCTGTCTCCATAAATTTCAACTCCTGTTCCCAGCTCTGCCACGTCCTGGCTTCATGATTCCTTGGCAAATTGCTTATCTTCTCTGAATCTCAATTTCCTCATCTGTAAAATGACTGTAAACTCACACAGTACATGGGTTTCTTGTGAATATTAAAACGGAAAAATTCAGGCAAAGCAGTCGACCAAGGCTGTACAGGGTCCGTGATGTGGCAGCTGATTTGAGCCCATGCTCGTTTAGTTGTTCTTCAATCTCTATTCATAATGACAGAAATATTTCAATTATTTCAGTTACTATTATTTTCTTAAAATAGCCATTTCCTTTTTGTTGTTTTATTTCAGTTCAGATATATGTCTTTAAGTCAACTTTTAGCATTTTCTTTATTTTATTTTATTTTATTTTATTTTATTTTATTTTATTTTATTTTAAGATGGAGTCTTGCTGTGTTGCCCAGTGCAATGGCCCGTCCTCGGCTTACTGCAACCTCCACCTCGTGGGTTCAAGCGATTCTCCTGCCTCAGCCTCCCAAGTAGCTGGGATTACAGGCGTGTTCCCACTACACCCGGCTAATTTTTGTAGTTTTAGTAGAGACGGAATTTCACCACGTTGGCCAGGCTGGTCTCCAACTCGTGAACTCATGATCCACGTGCTTCGGCCTCCCACAGTGATGGGATTACAGGCGTGAGCCACTGCGCCTGGCCTGTTTTTGCTCTATTTTGATCTAAATTTTTACTCTGTCACAATCGTTGAAATGGTATTTTCTTTCATTTGTATTATCTTGGTGCTTTTAGCTCTCTTTTTTCTCCCTCTTGAAATGTACTGTATAAATGTCATTTCTTTTATTTTTTTCCTTCCAGAAGTTTGAAATACCTATAGTTTAATTCGAGTAAACTAATAATTGCCTTTACAATTTTTGCCAAATGTATATGCTTTTTCTCTCCCCGTAACTCTCCACACATTATTCAGATAATATGACCTCTTTACCATGAAGACAAGACTTTCTACATTCCCTAGGCTAGTGATCCAGGCTTTCAGCTTTTCCAAATTTTAATTTTAAACTGTTTAGATTTTTGTTCATATTATGTCTCCTTCTAATCCTTGTATAACAAGTGTATTCAATAGCAACAACAGTATATTGAAGGTTTTGCCTGGAACTGCATTTTGCTCCTTTCTTTGCCTGACATTTTCCCTTGTGTCACAGGCGGCTTTTTCCTGGGCTACAACTTTTGCTTTGTGGCATATAAGCTCAAGGATTTTTCATTTAGAAACATTTAACAGGAGGTATAATTTTCTTTAAAACTGCCTGTTTGGGAGATTATGCTGTCCCCTTTCTTGAAGGTTTGGCTTCATATGCAATTCTAAGTCCAATTCCTTTTCCCTCACAACTTTGGAGATAATGCCCTTATTATCTTTTAGAATTTCATGTTGAAAATTATAAAACTGACGTCAGCCTAATTTTTGCTGTTTTGAGACTAGCCTGCCTTTTCTCAATACAGTTTTAATACAGTTTTAGGATTGAGTTTTTTTTAAATTTCGATTTCAGAAACTTTAGCTGTATTTAGGGCTAACATTTAAAATGTATGTTTAAAACAGTGTTCAAAATTGTCTGTTAAATGTTCATTTAAAATATATGTTTAAGATGTACATTAAAAATTAAACTGTACTTTTACATTATTTTCCTAGTGTTCAATAGTTCCTTTAGACTCAGGTCTTCCTTAAGATCTTTTTTTTTTTTCCTATTTTTTTTTTAAATCATTTTTTCAGCTGGGTGCCCTGGCTCACGCCTGTAATCCCAGCACTTTGGGAGGCCAAGGTGATTGGATCAATTGAGCTCAGGAGTTGGAGACCAAGCTGGGTAACATGACAAAACCCCATCTCTACTAAAAAATACAAAAATTATCCTGGCATCGTGGCAGGAGCCTGTAGTACCAACTACTCGGGAAGATGAGGTAAGAGAATTGCTTGCACCAGAGGCAGAGGTTGCAGTGAGCTGAGGATCTTGCCACTGCACTCCAGCCTGGGTGACAGGGCAAGACTTCATTTCAAAGAAAAAAAAATTTTTCTGCTCGTTTTTTTAAATCACTTTCTGGATCACCCGTTATTAAGTAGTTATTTTATTTTTTGGATCTCTCATCCTTGTCTCTTAATTTTTCTCTTTCTTTCTCTCTATACTATTGTTCTTGTGTGATAGGAGATTGCCTCATTTTATCTTCCAAATCAGTAACTCAGTTTTGAACCACTTTCATTTTGCTCTCCAGCCCATCGAAAGAATACATCTTTTTCAAATCTTGTTTAGAAGTGTTTGCTATTTTCTACTCTTATTTCCTAATATCTTCTTATTTGGGAAAGCAATATGTCCACGTTCATAGTAGGAAAACTCAACATCGAAAAGCTGAAGGTCCTCCCTAAATTGATCTATTGATGCCATGTATTTCTGAACCAACTTCTAATAGGGATTCTATGGATCTTGACAAATTGATTTAAAAATTTATGTAGACATGCAAAAGACCAAGAAAAACAGTAAAGATGAAGAATAGAATGAAACACTGTCAGTACCAGATCTCAATGCTTACCATAAAACAACAGTAAGACAATGTCGTATTGCCATAGAAGTTGATAAATTGGCCAAATATAAAGTAAACAGAGCCCAGAATTAGACACACACTAAAAGAAAGAGGTGACTGTACCGAGTGATGGGTAAAGAGGGACTTTTTGATAAATAGTACTGGCACAGTTGGTTATCCATATTTTTAAAAAGTGAAATAGGCTATCCACCTTCCATTAAATACAACATTAATTTCAAATAAATTTGAAACTACAAGTAAAAAAGCAAAACTCAAAAATGTTTAAAAGAAAATATAGACAGATATCTTTCTGAGCTTGAAATAGGGAAGGAGCTCATAAACAGAACCAAAAAATTAAACATTTAAAAAAAAATTTTGGCTGCATTGCAATCAAAACTTGTATTTTGCAAAACACACTATACAGACAACTAAAAAAGGGAAGAAGATATTTTCGATACATATAACTAAAAATGAAAAGAGGATTTACTATTTAGAAAACATACAGAGGTCCTTTAAATCAGTAAGCAAAAAAGAAATGAACCAATAGTAAAATGTGTAATGGATGTGAACTGCCACTACCCAGAAGTGGAAATACATATTCCATAGACAAGTGAGATAACAGACCTCATTAGAAATCAAGCAAATGCAAATTAAGATACAATGATAGACCATTATATCCCCATGGGATCGGCAGCAACTAATAAACTGATGAGACAGTGGTGGTATAGGTATGTACAGCTACTTTAGAAACAATTTTTCATTATCTTGTAAAGTTGTTAAGATGTGAGAACTTAGTGATAAACTCCCAGATAAATGCCTTAAATTCTTGCACAGATGCTCCCAGGGCCAGCACAGCTCAGAACGGGAGCAACCCAGATATTCATCAACAGGAGACTAATTCAAGAGGCTGAGGCAGGAGGATAGCTTGAGCCCAGGAGTTCAAGACCAGCCTGGGCAACATAGGGAGACCCTGTCTCTACAAAACACATTTAAAAATTAGTCAAGCATAGCAGCACATGCTTGTGGTCATAGATACTCAGGAGGCTGAGGTAGGAGGATTGCTTGAGCTCAGGAGTTCAAGGCTGCAGTGAGCTGTGATCACACCTGGGGAACAGAACAAAACCCTGTCTCAAAAAAAAAAAAAAAAACCAGAAGAATGAATCAGAAAAATTGTACATTCACACAAATTGAATATTGTGCACCACTAAACACGAATGAACTACAGGTACACAACAACACGGGTCATTCTCAGAAGCAGAATATTATGAGACAAGTCCCTATGATGTACCATTAAAAAGAAATGAATTACAAGAGACATACAACAACACGGATGAATCTCAGAAACACAACGTTGCGTGAAGAAGACAAGTCCCAGAAGACCGCATTCAATAAGTTACCGTTTTTGTAATAATCAAAACCAGGCAAAACTAAGCAATGCACTGTTTAGGTATATACATATGGAATGATCTGGCTTTCCTTCCAGCCACAAAAAAAAAAAAAATGTCAATGAAACAGGCAAGCAAACCTCATTTCTAACTAACTTCAGACAGTGTGTTTTCTGAGTGTCTTTTTCTTAAGAGCCACAGTGAGTGAGTTTTTCTATATTATCATGTTACCTAATAATGATAAATAATTTGGAAAATGCAAGAGCTAAAAAGAAAAAAATAAAGCTGCCCATAATCTGACATCTTTTAAAAGCCCCCCTGCAAAGGGACTGTTTTCTGTTGTGACTCCTGATAGATATCCATTCTAATCCCAACCATTTCTTCCAACCATAGGAAGCAGAAGGAAGAGGGAGAAGCCTGCTCGGGAACTGTATTGCAGGATGGTGTTTGCCACTTAGAGCTGCAGAGCCCAGTGGCACTGCAGAGACAGTGGGCTCTTGTGTATGCTGTCACACTCCTAAGCTGGTCTTAGAAATCTTCCACTTGTGCCCAAGTGACAGATGTTGTCCAACTGATGCCCATGCCAGAACCAGCACTTGCACAGCTCTGCTCACATGAGAGTGTAACATCGTCTTAAGTATAGTCTTTAGATGACTGGAATTTCTGAGGACAGAATTTCCACTTAAAATAAAGCCTAACAAGCTCTCTGGAGAAATTAGCTGGGGTCAGAGACCCAAACTTGCCAAATAAACATATTGTCAGAGACTAAAATGAACAAGTTTCTCTCCCCCAACTCCTTTTTAAACATTAAGAAACTGAATAATCTTATTTTTCCTCCAGCTTCAGACAGAGCAAGTGTTCATAAATATTCATTTTTTCCAACTGGAAGCATTAGGCCTTGTTACTTCAAGTGGAACTAACTGAAAATTAATGATGGTTTTCAGAAAAAAGCAAGATTATATACACAGAAGCAATTAAACACAAACCTATTAATTATTTAACAACTTGTTAATGAGTAGAATTTTAGCATTCAAGTTGTAACTACTCTAGCTTGCCCCTGCCAAGTCACTTATATATCATCCTTTCAAAATTTGGCTTTCAGAAGTAAAAGATGGGGGGATTTTCACACAGATTTGCACCTTGCAAAAAGGAATCTGAGATGCCAATTACAGAGAAATGGCAAAGAACAGAGTTGGAAATAGAGCAAAGAAGTCATCTTAAATTTTGATCCAAAACCCAATATGTAGTGAAGTTTAATTTCACATTTAGAATATTTGTTATGGGAAAACAAATATTAGTGCTTTTTCTGTTTTGTGCATATTCATACATGTATATTAAGGATTTTAACATGAATTTGACCAGTTTTTAATTAATTGTGTGTATTATTTTAAGTAAATTCAATGTACAGAATAGAAAATTTACAAAGCCACTGAAACAGAGTCTTCACTTATGTTACAGAAACTTAAGCTTTAACCCACAATTATATGCCTATTGAATATTTCATATTTGTTAAATGGCACCACCTATAAGCAAAGGCATGATACTGCATCCCAGCACTATTAGACATTACAAAAACCTAGACCAAAAGGATTGGCCTTCTAGGATTATAGAAGGAAATACATCAAGTTACTAAAACACATTTATGTTTGACTGATTTTCTTTTGTCTCCATTCTGTCCGTAGTATCTATAGACATTGCAGAACTCTCTCCTGTATCTCACTGTGGCTCAGAACACTATACCCCAAAGTATGGCACCTTAGCATGCTGAGTACTTTGAACTGAAGAATATTGAAAAGACCTCAGAAGCAAGGTCTTTCTGACTTTCTCCCATCTTTCTGTCTCCCATTTCTCTCTTTCTACCAAACAAGTCACAGAAACCAGACTTTCTTCTTCCAAAGGTGGGTCATAGAAACTAAAATCACTTTCTTCCCAAGCAAGCCATAAAACCTAGAAAGGTCACTCTCTCCTTTCTCCCTTGAAGACTCATTCCAGAGAGGTCCTGCCCCATACCCAGAGGAAGGACTAGTACACAGAGAGGCCATGAAGAACGTGAACAGGCAAGTCTTGCCGGGGTTCGTCCCTCAGTCTGTTACCACAAGATTCTACCCTTTCGTCCAAACACATTTCTACATGGCTATCTGATATGGTTTGGCTTTGTGCCCCCATTCAAATCTCATCTACAATTGTAATCCCATAATCCCCACATGCCTTGGGAGGGTGGGAGGTAATTGAATCATGGGGGTGGTTTCCACCATGCTGTTCTCGTGATGAGTGAATTCTTATGAGATCTGATGGTTTGATAGGTGTCTGGCATTTCCCCTGCTGGCACTCACTCTCTCCTGCCGTCCTGTGAAGAGGTATTTTCTGCCATGATTGTAAGTTTCCTGAGGCCTCCTCAGCCATGTGGAACTGTGAGTCAATTAAACCTCTTTTCTTTATAAATTACCCAGTCTCAGTTATTTCTTCATAGCAGCATGAGAATGGATTGATACACTATCCATTCTTCACTGAACCTAAGTATAAATACAGAGTTTTCCCTGAGTCTTTAGGTTCTCATTTCTGAAGGCTGCCATGTCACGCAATACTTGATTAAATACATTTGTTAAGTTTTTCTTTTGTTAACCTGTCTTTTTTTATAGAAGTGCCAGTCATGACCCTTATGATGGAAGGGGAGCAGTGTCACACCTCTCCACATCTACAGCCTCTTCTCTTCTGGAGATGCACTCTCTCCTAGGTGAACTCACCCAGTCCCATGGTTCTAAATACCTTCCATATGTTGGTGACTCTGAATTACAGATTACAGCATGAACCTCTCCACATGCATGTTTATCAGACACCTAAATCTTAAACCAACATCTCAGTAAACAGAAACACAAGTCTTCTAATTCCTTTGGAAGTCATCCTTGACACTTCTCCTTTCACACCCCACATCTAATTTATCAGGATATACTGTAGGCTCTACGGGCATAATACACAAAATCCCACCACTTCTCCCACGCTTGCTGTGGTCACCCCCTAGGAGCCATCATTATCCTGTCCCAGCATTAAGTGCCTAATTGGCCTTCCCGTTTCTACCTTTGTTTCCCTCCACCTTCAGACTATTCACGGGTGACCAATGGAAAACATGAGTGGCATCACAAGAGTCCACTGCTGTTTCTGTTTCTCAGAATAAAAGCCAAAGTCCTTTCACTGCATCAAGGCTCCCCATCATCTGCCCCCACTGCCACTCTGACTTCCTTTCTGGCTACTTTTCCCATTTTTCACTTGGCGCCAGTCACATGGGCCCCCTGTTATGGCTGGAATATGCCCAGGGCCCTGCACCAAAGCCCTGGTGCCGCTCTTCCCTCTGCCCGAGTCTCTGCTTCCATATGGACTTAACACAGCCAGGCTTCCCCTAGTTGTTCCTCTCCCCCCAGCACTCCGTCCCCTCCTACAACTTTACATAGTAATTTCTCTTTTAACCCATGTGCTTCCTATGTGTTTTCTATGTGCCTCTTATGTATGTGTATATATGTGTGTGTGCATTCAGTCATTCACGTATGGAACCACTCATCAGTTGTCTTTTTCAGGCTATAAAGGTAGGGACAGGGACTGTCTGTTTTGTTTTCAGCTGTGTTCTTTGCATTAGAACAATGCCTCACATAGAGTAGGCACTCAAAAAATGTTTGTCAGAGAACGAAATAAATAAAGATGAATTGCATTACTAAAATTATTAATAAATAAATTATTTTTTATTAATGAATGGATTAGCAATAAATGAACAAAGACTGCATTATGACATGGATGGAAGATGGTCTAAAGCCAGGAGAGAGCTTACAGACTCAAAAGGGGATTTTGAAATAATATTTAAGTGTGAAAAAATACTGAATGACGAGCTCATATATGAAAATTGCTGCACTCCGCCACTTCCTCGACCTCCCACTATGGCAGATGTTACCGTGTGATCCTGGTAGTCTTCCAGCTGGGTCCCATTCAGGCCTCGTCATCCATCTTAACACACAGTTCTAGAATCTTGCTGCTCAAAGTGTGGTCCACAGACACTGACCAGCATCATGGGCATCACATAGGAGCTTGTGGGAAATGCAGAAACTCGCCTCTATCTACTGAGTCCAAGCAGCACTTTGACAAGATCCCTCAGTGATCTGCTTGATAATAAAGTTCGAGAAGCACCAGGGTACACAGTGACTGCTGGCTCATCACAGCCCCACACAGGCTCAAATCCGCTTGACATCTTTGAGCTGAGTGTTGCAACTTTTCTCCTGATTTAAGTGACATCCATCCCATTTCTTCACACTTGTCAGAAACCATGTCCCAATTCCTGCATCATCCATGTAATCCTGATGTGCATCCACAATGCCGGGAAGATAAGCGGCTGCCAACAATTTCCGCTGCTTTATCAGAGTCCCAGACATCTGCAACTCAGCTCCTGACATGCTGTTTGCAGCACAGTGGTGAAATCAGCAGGCCCCTCTCCACCCCAGCTCACCTTCCAGCGAAACAAAAAGGTGAGCACAGAGCAATGCTGGAGCCCAACTGGGAGAGGGGCCAGCAGTCCTGTGAATGGGCTTCCGAGAACTTCCTGTTCCCTGCTCACCCTCTTTCCACTTTCTCAGGTGACCAATGACAAATCCAGAGGCAATTCTCAAAGTGAAACTGTGTCTGGGCAGAGGCACTGAGACATTGATGATGAGACTTGGGGAGCAAGACAGAAGGGCTGGTGGGGCTGATTGAGCCCAGACTGCAACATGAGAGGGTCTCAACTCTGAAGCACCCTCTGCCACCACTGGGAAAGAAAAACCACCCCTTCTACTTGGAGGAGCCCAAGCTGAGGACAAGGACTTTACCCCATCGGGAGGATGCACCTATCAGCAAAAGCAGCTGAGAGTTCTAAAGGAAAGGTGGGGGGATATTTGAGAGGCATGCATGCTGTTTCATAAAAGACAGCTTGTACTAGACAAAGCAAAATCAATGGATTAGGCAGAAAACAAGCTTAAAATAAAATTTTTTATAAATGTCCTCAGATTGGTAGCGTGGATATTAAAAACATGAAGCAAGTCCAAGTATACATGAAAAGGAATCAGAGAAAAAGTAGTCTAAAATGATAGTATTTTAAATAGTGAACCCAGGAGATGGTTGGGATGTCAGAATACCAGAGAGACAAGGAGGAGGTTGAAGGTGGAATGAGAAGCTCACTCAGAAGGCACAAGGAAGGGTTAAAGAGAGAAGAATGAGCTGGAAACCTGGATGAGGCAGAACAACCTCTAGACATCCACGTAATAGGAGTCCCACAGGGACAGAGAAAGGTAAACAGAAAGAAGAATTGTTGAAAAATAAGAAAAGACCAAGAAGTTCACAGACTTAGAAAAAAAGTTGTTCTCAGCTGGAAAGGGCTCACAGAGGGCCCAGCTCGAAAGATTAAAATATAGAAAAAAAACCTAAACTTTACCTAGACACATTAGAATTAGACTTAAGATCATCAAAGGAAAGAGAAGATTCTAAAAACTTTCAAAGAGAAAAAGCAGATGCCATGCAAAGATAAAAGAATAAGATTAAAAATATAACTTATGTGTCTTAGTGTCGCTGTTGAGAAATACGATGGTCAAAAGTGGAAGGAAAGAATTTCAACCCCAGAATTGGACATTCAAGCAAGCTGTCATTTAAATGTAGGTAGAATACAAGCAAGGCTTCAGAACCTTTGCCATAGAGACCCTCAAGAGTTAGTACTCACCAATCAAAGCCTGGGACCCTCAGATCTTAGTGGATGAAGAGCAAACATTTAAAAGTAAAATAGAGAAAAAGAAAACTTTGTGTTTCTGGCAATAGAGCAGTCTAGAAATCCTTAAAAGCTCTTTCACTAAAAAAGACCTAGCAATGTTGAATAAATTACAACAAACATGACTAAATGAAAAGCTGAGCTCACAAGAATTAAAGGAAACTTGGGAGTCAGGAAAAGAAACAGCAGGTAAAATTAGAGTGGTAGGTGAGGGTGGAGTAATAGCTGCCCTTGGGACATTCACCAACACCGGGGATGCAGGCTTGTTGGTTTTAACAAATGCATGGGGCATTAAGCAAGACCTTGGCCTCTTAGAGACGAAAGTTTGAAGCTGAGCCCTTCTATATAAGGTTAGTCCCTCTCAGTTCTACCTTCTCAAAGACAGGGGTGGCTATGGGAAAAAAATCTACCTGTGGCAAGTTGGGGGCCAGAAGGAAAGCTGCATTATCAGCTTTGCCTGAGAATATGTGATCCCTGCCTGGCCCTCATGGCTCTGGACTTAGGGTTTGAATTTGTACTTGCTGCAGAGATGAGCAAGTATCATAGATGAGCTATATCATAGCAGAGTGACTGACAGCATGTTTGTGGCTGCCCTGTCATAAACAATGTGAGTGACTTTGGTCAAGGTGCATAACTGCCTTTTTCTGCATTCTTCATCTTTAAAAGGAGAATGCAACTTTTACTGTGTGTGACATGTATAAAGTGCTATGTAATTTTTTTGTTGAGGAGAACACTGGATGAGGTCCTGGGTTTTAGTGCTTCCAGGTACAAGGCAAAAGTAAACACAAATCCTCTCTAGAGGAATGCAACTCAACACAGATTCCTAAAGATTCCCACAAGATAGGATCAATCAAACCTAAGTTCACAATTGAAAATTGCAAAACACATGAAGGAACTGGCTACTGTGCATTAGAATCAGCAGAAACAACATTCACAATAATGAGCCACACAAAGGCCTCATGCATTTGAATTATCATGTATGAAATATAAATCATATGTGCTTAAAATAAAATAAATGATTTGAAGATGGAGAAAATGACTACGCAAAGTGATGATGACTGAAATTTTTACAGAGCAAATTTAAAAACTTAGTTCCCAGACTCAAAGAATACTGTGAATCTGAAGCAGCAGGAAATGAAATGAAATCCACAACTAAAGGCTTTATATCGAAAACAAAGAACATGAAAATCCTAAAATTGACTAGGGAGAAGGAAACTGATTATCAGAAAAACAAAATAGAAACAAAACAAAACAAAAAACGCTAATCATGTCAATTGTAGGTTTTATAACAGAAAAAAATGGAAGCCAGAAAAGAGTGGGATAATATTTTTAGATTGTTCTCACCCTAATATTGTCATTCACAAACACAGGGTGCTTTCATGTATATGTGAAATAAAGACATTTTCTGACAAATGATGAGGGCTATGACTGCATGTTTTTATACTCACGGAATGACCCAGGAGCGAGAGAAAATGTGGCAATTGTTGGATGGTGCCCTTGAGCGTGTGGGAGGGGGAAGGAGTTGGCACAGGTGCAGGGATTAGCTTTGGGGAGACAAGAACAGATGAATCTTAACGGGAGAGAAGACAGAGGCTCTGACGTAGTAAACGTGAGGGTGGGTACAGAACGGATTTCATTTCAAGGGTTTCCGGTTTCTCCATGAAGTTGGAAGGAGCTCATTATCAGGGAGGGAGCATTTTGGAGGAGGGCTTCGAGGTTTAAAGCCAGAGGAGAAGGTGTGTCAAGGTCTTTTGGGAAAGTCGGGGAGTGGACGGAAGGGATTCATAGTGGGAGGCCCTGGCCCCACCAAAGACCCTTTCAGGATGTTGGCTGCCCACATACAGAAAGACTAGCAATAGGGATCTGTGTTTTCCTCCCACTGTGCTCAGTTCCCCGGGGACAGATGTGGAGCAGCGGGAGAGTAGGGATTAGTCCAACGCGGACTCTGCAGGGCGAGTGAAAACAAGAGCACTGTGTGTTTTCAGACACTCACATATCCGCAGACAGACATAAAATCCATTAGAGCCGGTGCCTGCAGGCGTGCACATGGGACTGAGGGAGAGTGATAAGAGGAAAATACTAAACTGAGGTAAAATAAAACAAGAGAGGTAACTTGCAAGGGACAATAATGGCAGTGTGCTGGGAGCTGAAGCATGTAATTGCCCAGCTGTGTGCACCTGAGGTCCAAAATCAGGAGCAAGGAGAAAAAATAGCACCCATTTATTTGTCTTTTGAATAAATTGGAAAAGATAAAACCCCAACTATTTTTGTTCATGAGCCTTTCTTTGTCCATAGAAATATCAGCAAGAATAGCTGGAAAACCAACATGGGTGATCATGGAGGAAAGACCGCACGCGGACACCCAAGGGTCGACCTCTGGTCTTGCCCAGGCATGGGCTGTCATGTGGGGATCCACTTTGGGTTCAGCCTGACCGCATCTATTTGTGGTTACTGATCGGCTGCACAGCCGTTGATTTTATTTTATTTTTTCCGTGCCTGTGTTAGCAGCTGATTGAGGAATAATCAGCTGGATCAACTGCAGAGCTATGCAAACTAGCTGTTAAAATACCATAAATAACTCAATTGGCCACTTCGCATGAGGGCTATTTCTGTTCTATACAAAAGGGCTTATGTAACTCTCATACAACTCAATATTGAAGTTGTTAGCGGATGGAGAAAAGAGGGGGAACTTAATACTTTTCTCTCTGAGAGAAATCCCTATATGTAATCAGCTCTCTATTATCTGTATGCAGCGCAGAGGAATTTTGATCTCAAATCACACTCCTCCCTCCTTCAATGTTCTTTTCCCTACATTTTTTTTTTTTTTTTTTTTTTTGGCCAGCAGCCTCCCCACCCAGGTGCTTCTCTCGCCTACTGCTGTGTAACAAACCAGCCCGAAGCACAGAGATTTAAAACAATAGCCCTTCATTGTTTTTCACGGTTCTGTTGATTGATTGGGCTCAGCTGGGTGCTCCTGTGTCCCCATTTGTATCAGAGTGGGTGACTCAAGTGTCCACCTTCAGCCAAGAGCGTGGCCAGGGCTGGGGCACGCCACATGACCTCACTTGTGTGTCTACCAGCTAAGGCACCTCCACATGGCCACTCCAGCAGAACAATGACAACTCTTTATGTGCTGGCTGGCATCCCAGGAGGCTAAATCAGAAGCTGGAAATCTTCCAAAGGCTCAGCCCTGAAAATCACATGCTGCCCCTTCCAGCACATTCCAGTGGTAACGTCCAAGGGAAGGGAGATAGATTCCAGGTCTCAGCAGAAGCAGTGTTCATGGGGATCCTTGGTGGCCGCCATGTTCTGCAATTGCCCATACCTGTGGGAACGCTTGAGGAACTAGATCAGAGCCCAGAGTGCAGGTAGGAAGCTGAGCCTGTTGGGAAAGACTGTAGAAGGCATAGCCAAGCCCAGCAACAGTGGATGCCCTGCCAACTCCATCAGCTCTGCCTGGGGCTCCCCCTCCTTTGTTTCCTCTGCTGCTGGGCTGCTCTTTTCTTTTCACCTTATCTGTGGACCAGTGTAGATGCTGCCTTACCTTAGAATCTTGGAGTCCCTTGATCTTAGCTCCTGTATAGATCATGCTAGGTGGCCTGGTTCCTGGCTGAGTTTTGAGTTTTTCTGGTTTATCCAATGAAACTGCAGCATCCCCTACCCCACAGAGCCTGGAAAAGACTGAGAGTCCCAGGTAGTATTGCTGGAAGCCACACTGTTATCTTCTGAATGCTATGCATCCAGGATGTGAGAGGTGCCAGTTAGTCAAAGTGACTGACGTGTGTCAGTGGCAACTTTCCAAAAATGACACCCCAGGTCAGTGGAGTACAGAGGCCACAAGAGCAAGCATGTACAAGCCAGAGGGCATATGTGGTCAGGAGACCTGGTGGCAGGGGTGTGGAGAGGAGCCAAGAGTGGGGTGGGGGAGGCAGGGAAGAAAAGCTGACGTGCACCACCAAGCAAGGCCAACCCGGGGACAGGCCTTGAGAAAACCAGTGATCATCATCACCACCTCCAGCTCTCAGCTCTTCTGTTAAATGGGACTGGAAATAGCATCAGCCCGATGGGGTTACTGTGAGGATGAAATTAGTGAACATAAGCAGAGTCCAAAGAGCCATGCCCAGCACGAAGCAAGTGCTGTCTAAGAATCAGCCGCTAGGACAGAAACAGCCTCTAGGCCCTTTCCCTGGGCCATGGGCCTTGATTCATTCATATTGCATCCCGTGGTCAGAGCTTGGCAACCTAATCGTGGTGGTCAGAGCTTGGCAACCTAATAGTGTATACTGAGGTCTCTGGAAAGAATCTGTCCTATGGAGAAGGAGGGGCAGGAGGACAGTGATCCCTGCACACTGTGGAGTTTCGTCACCAACACAGACCCAACCCTCTACCTGCTGGGCCACCCTCTGATGTGCTTTCTGCTGTTCCTGCAGCAGTTTTTGACTCCTGTTGCTACTAGTTGGGGCCCTTACTTGGGCAGCCCTGTGCTCAGCTCCTACCATAATGCTGAAGTTGGGGCTTGCTTTCTCTCTTCCTCCTGCACTGCCTTCTCCCACTCCCACCCACTGCAGGCCCAGCAACTCCAGCTGCCTGCAGCTAAGGGCAGGGCTCCCTGGGCCAGCTGCCCTCCCTGGATGGACATTGCTCTTGGCTGAGGTTTTCCAGCCCACCCTGCAGCTTCGGGCCCCCTCCCTGTCTGCCTGGATGTGTACATTTCTCTCTCTACCTGGGATGTAATTTTCGGGATTATGCTTCTATATGGCAATTCATCATTCTGGGTTTAAGGACTATTTATTTAGCGATTGCCTTTGTCACTCATTGTGCCTTATTTGCCTTGCAATCTGAAGTTATTGCCCAGGTTTCAAAGAGCTGCCACACGCTTTCCTTTCAAAGGCAGCCTCATCTGGTCTCTGCTGCCATTTTCATTGGTTTTCCAAGGCTTGGGAAATGTCCGAACCAAGTGGTCCTAGACAGGCTGCTTGTCACTCACATTGGCTTCCCCAGCAGATACTTGCAAACCTCAGGACCCTCTCCTTCTTTTTGTCCAGTTCCTAGGTTTCAGGAGGGGTGAGAGGCAGAAGGGCAGCCAAGGAGAACTTGGACTCCATCGGTTCTTCCCTTCCCAGGAAACTACTATGGTTCTTTCCGAATGGAGAAAGACCCAGCCTTCAGTGAGTCCTGAGCAGGGAGGAGGGGGGTCTGGGGGTTCAGGAAGATAAGAGCTGGGCTTGGGCACTGGGGACTTGTCTAAGAGCTGGATGTGAGTGTGTCGATGTGTTTCCATTCATAACCGACTGCAGGCTCCGCTCTCACTTCTTTATCCACGAGGAACTTTAGCTGCCATTTTTGTACACTCTGAAAGCCCACTGCTTCATAGATATAGTCCCTCTCAAAACGAAGTCCACTTTGGAGGCCTTGGGCAAACTGCTGTCTTCATCTCATCCAACAGATTTTTTTTCTCTGATCACAATATTGATCTAGCACCTATTACATACCAGGATCTGGAGTAAGGGCCCTGCCTTCAAGGACCATTTCTTTTTTTTTTTTTTTTTTGAGACGGAGTATCACTCTGTCACCCAGGCTGTAGTGCAGTGGTGTGATCTTGGCCCACTGCAACCTCCACCTCCTGGGTTCATGCCATCCTCCTGCCTCAACCTCCCGAGTAGCTGGGACTACAGGTATCCGCCACCACGCCCAGCTAATTTTTTGTATTTTTACTAGAGACGGGTTTTACCGTGTTAGCCAGGATGGTCTCCATCTCCTGACCTCATGATCCACCCACCTCGGCCTTCCAAAGTGCTGGGATTACAGGCGTGAGCCACCACACCCAGCCTCACGGAGCTCTTATTTAAGCCCAAATCCATTGCAGGTGGGGGTTTCATCTAGGACTGACACTTTGGCTTGTCTCCCCACTGCTATGGATCCACATGAGACCCTAGAACCTGCTCCCCCAGCTTTACTCGGCACAGAACCTTGCAGGGAGCTTGCTAAGATGCAGATTTCACTTCTGTAGGCCTGGGTGGGCCGAGGCTCCATGGAGGCCCCAGGAGATTTGAAGCTGCTCTCTGAGGACCTCTCTGAGAACTGCACTGAGACTGTCTTCTCCACAGATCCCTTCCTGGTGCCTTTCTGCCGTTGCCCCTGGCCTGGTCACCAGCCCTCGAAAGGTGCCCTGCTCTGTCATGAGCTCCATTCCCAGTCCCTGCCCGCTGTTGCTCTCTAGTCATGTTGTCTAGATGCCTGGCCCTGAAATCCAGCATCTTTTTCCTCTACTTCCCCACCAATTGCACTTCCCAGGTGCTCTACAAATTCCCCTCAAAAGGCACAACCTCCAGGAAGGCCCCAGGAGCTACCTCTCTTTATGCAGCTCAGGAGAACATGCAGCATAAAAGATGGGCATGGAAGATCCCTGTGTTTGCAAGACTAACTGGCCACTTTATCACCAAAGAAGAGCTGTTTCCTTCCAGGGAACAGCCAGGCCTTGGGGTGGTGGTCCAGGAATCATGCCCAGGGAAAGTCCATGTGCCTTTGTCCTAGAAAGCTCTGAAAGTCTACAGTTGAACTGTCCTAGAGGCATGTGGGTGGGGAGTGGTGGGGCTCCCGTGGGTGGGAAGGTAGCCTATGACACCTGTGCTCTCAAAGGCTGAGTGGGTGGAGGGTGATGAATTACATCTACCACCCCAGAGTCTTGAATGGTGGTAGGGAATTGGGAGCTTGGACACCACAACTTGAAAGTCTGGGAGGGATTAGGATGGGAGATGGGGGAGCCGAATCTGCTGGTCTAGGGTCTGCTCTTGGATAAATGCTCAGAAGTGTCTGGGATTATTTCCTTCAAACCCTGGAGGAAAGGATGAAGTGAGGTTGTTTCTGATTTTGAAAATCCTGAACTCTGATGTTTCCTATGCCTTAAGCACCCTAGAGTGAATTCCTGCCCAGAGTCATCTTCATGGACAGGCCTTCTCATCTTGATCACCTGCAGCAGCTGGGGCTGTTCCTCCTCCAGGTGGACTCGAGCCCCTGATGCACAGGTCTGGCTCTGCCTCAGGGTATATACGTGAGATACGCAGTCCTCTGGGAATGTGCTGGCCCTTGCACGCTCACCTAGGTAAGTTGGCAAGCAATGGTTCTCACCCTAGTGGACGGCCCCATCATTCCGATTTCTCATGGCATAGCCCTAGCCCCCCACCCCACTATCGGAGGAAACACAGTTTCCTGATAGGGTGGGCAAGGGGAGCAGGTTTCCCATCCCCCATTTCCTGTTGCTGACTCATGAAGAATGTGGTGAAGAGGCTTCCACGAGGCCAGAAGCCAGGATTTCCGTGAGGTAGCCACCCTCTCACCACCCCAGAGCCTCTCACAACCCCAGACCCTCTCACCTCCCCAGAGCCTCTCGCCACCCCGAAACATCTGTGTTCCATAGAGACATCTTTGCTACCCACATGGAGTTCTCCATCTCTGATCTTGTCCTCTGGAGGTCCGTCCTGCGCCTCTTCCCACCGTGGTTTCCTCCTGGTGCCACCAGCCTCTTAGCACTGATGGGGGTTTTGGTGGGGGTGTGTGTGCATGGGTAGGGGTCAAGGTGAAAAACTTGGCATACATAAGCCCCTCCATCTTCAGCTCTGTGCACAAACTTCAGGGTTGATGGATAGGGTTTCAGTCCATCTGAATCAATGTTCGTCGAAGAACACAGAATTTGACTCATACTCTATTGCAGTTATTTAATGGTGATGAAAACCTATATGCAACACAAAATTCCCAGAAGCAGACAAGGTGGTGGTCCTGTGGGGAGATTGCAGGTGTCTGATAATCGTTCAGATCTGGGATGTGGGCGGGGCCTGGCCAACCTCACCTGGCTTCCAGGAAAGCCGGAGGAGAGGAGTTGCTCTCTGCATCCTCAGCTGTGCTGGCTGTGAAGTTGGGCCTTAGGACACTGCTACTTCCGCAGCTCAAGAGTAGAGAAATAAAGGGTTTAATCCAGAGCAGAAGGCATGTTACAGGGCGACCCAATACCCCGACTTTGCAGACATGCAAAGGAAGGGCAGAGAAGACAGAAGTGAGGGAAGGTCCCGCAGAAACCTCTGGGCTGAGGCTGGAAGCCAGGAACCTCTGATCTCCCTATGCCCTGCTCCTTCCACTAAACAGAGAATCAGACCCTGGGGGAATCGGCACCTGCCAGTCATCCTTGACAGCCATCCCCCAGGAAGCCATCTCCCACGCCTCCCTCTGTTCACTGTGATCAGGGTCAGGCTGATTGGTACGGCCTCCCTGGGCAGACTGGGCGAAGGCAGGGGGAAGGCCTTTCCCTTGAAGTTGGCTTTTTCCTTTCGATGCCCTGAATTTCTGAATTGATGGTCATTTCCCTGTAGACCCATAAAAGCAACTGATTAAAAGAAGCTGGGAAGCCAGGGGATCCCCCAAGAACAAGAAAGAGGGTGATCGCTGGAGAGTTGAGAGTATGTAGACCAAGACTACCCATGCTCTGACTTGATAAATGCTAACAAAATGAAACGGACAGAAATAAAATGAGTGAGGAGGGAGTGGGATGTGGAGGGGGCTGTGCCAGCAGGGTGCCCACCGCTCTGCACCCAGGAGAGCCCCCGCCCACCCTGAGAGCAAGAAATCT
The DNA here is from genome assembly GCF_000001405.40 of Homo sapiens. Lineage (NCBI taxonomy): Eukaryota > Metazoa > Chordata > Mammalia > Primates > Hominidae > Homo > Homo sapiens. The sequence continues at coordinate 5,245,586 of NC_000001.11, forward strand.
TGGTGAGGAGACACAGGGATGTGCAGCCCTGGGAGGCAGATGGACCTGGGAGTGGATTCAGGGGCTCCTCCATGCTGGAAAGAAAATAAGTCAGGTCAATCATATGACGAGATAAGTAGCTGATGGCCACCTAAACAAGAAAACACATTGGTCAAGTGAGGTAGGACAACCTGGGAGCAAGAAGACACTGAAGATGGGGGAGCAAGAAAGTCCTCAAAGGTAAGAAAGAGAATGCCTTAAAACTCATCTTTTTTTCAAGGTTTTGTCAGTGCTGTTTCTATTCCAGAAACAATGCACTCGGGTTCAAATTTGCCTGAGCCTGGAATCTGAGTTCTCTGAGAAGCCACTGAGCATTCTCAGATTACATAGGCCAAGACTGCTTCTCTGTCCCCTCTGGGCCTGTAGAACGTTCCCATCCAACTCCTTGCTCTGTCCTTTCCCATCTCCCTCCCTCCCTCCCTCCTTTCCTCCCTTCCTCCCTTCCTTCCTTTCCTCCTTCCTTCTTTTCTCCCTCCCTCCTTCCTTCCTTCCATCCTTCCTCTTCCTTCCTTCCTCTTCCTCCCTCCCTCCCTTCCTTCCTCTTCCTCCCTCCCTCCCTTCCTTCCTCTTCCTCCCTCCCTCCCTTCCTTCCTCTTCCTCCCTTCCTTCCTTCCTTCCCTCCTTCCCTCCTTTCCCCTCCCTCTCTCCCTTCCTTCCTTCCTTTCT